>NC_000004.12:123921381-126421381 GCF_000001405.40 Homo sapiens
CTTCTTGCTGCATCAGCCATGGCAGAAAGACAAAGAGAGTGAGAGAGAGACAGCCAGAGATTAAATTTACAGCCCCAAGCCCTTTTATAATTGGTTTTAATCCATTCATGAGAATGTAGCCTTCATTATCTAAACACTTCTTATTAGGCCCCACTGCCAAACGTTGTTGCACTGGGGGATTAAGCTTCCAGCACATGTTTTTTGGAGGACATATTCAAACCGTAGCATACAGATAAGTGAGATCATGTGTATTTGTCTTTCTGTGCCTGGCTTATTTCACTTGGCATAATGTCTTCCAGGTTCATCCACGTTGTTGAAATGACAGGACTTTCTTCTTCTTCGTCTTTTTTTTTTTAGACTTAATGGTATTCCACTGTGTATATATACTATATTTCCCTTATCTAATTATCTGTTGATGGACACTTCGGTTGATTCCATATCTTGGCTATTGTGATAATGCTGCAGTGAATATGGGAGTGTAGATATGTCTTTGAAATACTAATTTCATTTCCTTTGGAGATATATATATATGTGTGTATATATATATGTGTATATATATATGTATATATATGTGTATATATGTGTATATATGTGTATGTATATGTGTATGTATATGTGTATATATGTGTATATATATGTGTATATGCATATATACACATATACATACACACACATACATAAGTATATATATAAAATTGCTGGATCAAGTAATTTTTTGAGGAATCTCCATACTGTTTTATGTAATGACTATCTTAATTCATATTCCTATCAACAGTGTGAAAATGTTTCCTTTTCCCCACATCCTCACCAACTCTTGTTATCTTTCCTCTTTTTGATAATAGCCATTCTAACAAGTGTAAGGTAATATCTCATTATGGTTTTAATTTGTATTTCTCTGATAAGTAGTAAAGATTTACTGAATTCATTTTTTAATTCTAGCAGTTTTTTGGTGGAGTCTTTAGGGTTTTCTTATATATAGAAAACCTATATATAGGAGTGGAATTGCTGGGGACGCATATGCTTAGTTTCAGTATAGATTCCCAGATTTCCAAAGTGACTGCATCCTTTTCCACTTTTCACCGCAGTTTCTGAGAGTTCTCGTTGCTCTGGAACATTTGCCCTTGTGCTTTTTAACTGGCAATTGTTAATAAAATAGAAAGCTGTATTTTTTTTCCTGTATGTTCATTTTATGTATTTTGCTAAGTATCTTATTGTTTTAAAAAATGCTCTAAAACCGTGGTAATATCTCCACCTTTATTTCTAATTTTGTATATTTATACATTATTTATTACACTAAAAGTTTGTCTGTTATTGGTTTAATTTCTAGCAAAATATCTATGAAAATTATTTATTAATTCTATTGTTTCAAAAATTAATATTTTCTTATTTCATACTTATTCGTTTTTAGCTTTCCTTAAGCTTATTTTTCAATCTTCATTAGCAGAATGCTTACCTAATTGATTATTGTTTAATAGTAAATTGTTTCTGCTGATGGAGTGACCAACATAAATCCAGGGGAAATCTGCTGGAGAGATATTGAGTATAAAATATTTTTTCATTCAGAGAGAGAGAGACAGAGACAGAGACACACAGGGAGAGAAATAAGGAGTTAATTATCCACTTCCTTCCCCAGGACTTTGCCATGTCTGCATGTGTGGATGAAGAGTGTGATTTTAATCTTATAACCAGGAAGGGAGTTAGTCATAGGGAAATTACAGAACAGATGATTAAAGATATGTAGGTCTTTTCTGATATCACAAAGGCACAGCCTTTCATCCAACTTCCTCTTATTAAAGACCAAAAACATTAAAAATAAAAAAAGGAAAAAGGAAATAAATATTTTTCCCAATTTTTAAACTTCTGAATTCTGTTTTCTATTATTGGCCAAGGCATTCTAACTGATTCACTACCCATATCTTTCTTCATTTTTGTTTTGCTTGATATAACAGGGACAGAGAGCTATGAAAGTATCCTCCTACTGTTGTTTTCTTTTTTTTGAAAAAACTAGTTTTTGATTACATGATCCTGTATTTTATTATTATTCAGCTTGAAGATTCATAAGTTACAATTTTGTGTCACAAACTTATTTTGTTCTTTCCCATCATATTATTTTAAAAATATACAATCTACAATTTCTTACCCAGCTTCTTAAAGTATTAGTTTATTACTATGTGAGGATTAATTTACTTTTCTTTCAAATAGTGTTAAAATGTACTTTCTGATAAAATATTGTTAAACAATTTCCTTATACTCAATGCTATATTTACATATTTTCTGAGACTCACTTCTACTGTTCTTATGCTGTAATTTCCCCTTTTATATGTACAGATAAACCTTAATAGAATACTTTCTTGATTTTTTTTTCAGGACAAATAAATAGATAATATTCTTTCAGTTACTGTTACACATGAAACAAAACTTCAGTGAACATAGAGCATCTGGCTTAAAATTTGTTCCCCTGATGCATTTGTAGCTGTTTTTCCCATGTTCTGGCATTTGGTGTGGTGCAGAAGAGGTCCTGCCTCAGTGTAATTGTTCTGCCGTGCTAGGTTACATTTTTTTCCCACCTTTAGGCTGGTTGTCTTTCACGTCTCAACAGGGTATATCTGGGTTGATTTTTACTCTTCAGATGTAACCTCTTTAAATCTTTAGATTCAATTCAAATTTTTTTCTATTAATACTTTTTTTCAGTATATTTTCTGTTCTATTTTTCAGAATTATTGATCAAATTTGGATCTCTGTGTGCTGTCCTCCAATTTAATACTTTCTGTGTTGCTGTTTTATTTTCTTTCTTCTGGAACCTGGCAAAGTGCGTCAAGGTGGGTCACCAGATGTCTGACTCAATCTTCTATATTAATAGGTTTTCTCTGTATTGTTAAAATTAATTTTAAATTGATTTTGTGAAATTTATAATTATAGGATTTTTTTCATGTTCAGCTCCATTTAAATTTTTTCCTGTTTGCCCATTCTTCTTTTTTCTTATCACTTTGAACATACTGATCTCACACAGAAAAGACGCATTGATAGAAACGAATTTCTGAACTGAGTCCAAAGATTTAAAGAGGTTACATATAAATTGTAAAACACCTACATCTGGTTGTACCCTGATGAAAAAAGAAAGAAGACAATCTCTTTATCATGTCTGTCTTTTGTTTTGAAGTTGTTACTTAAATTTTGTTAAAATAAATTGTGGTTTATTGCATTATTTTCCTCATTTCTTCACCTCTTCTTGCGTCTGTTCCCTTGCTATGGCCTCGTCATCACAGATGGCATGTACTCATTTCATCTTGTCTCTGGGCTTGGCTATATGACTTGCTTTGGCTGATGACACATGAGCAAAAGTCACAGTTTGTATTCTAAGTGCAAGCCTGGAAGACCTCACATGTTCTTGCTTGTTTTCTTTTCTTTCTGGCCGATCATGGAAATAACATAACCATGGGTAGCCTGCTGGTCAGCAGAGCCACCCTAGGTAATTAATAGACATGCAGTGACAAAAAGAGCTTCCCAGTTGAGCCAAGCCTATGTCAATCAGATTCTAGTAGATTCACAGATGCATGAGCAGTAAGAAAAGTTTACACTTATTGGAGTGATTTGTTATGTAGCAATAAGTAACCAATACAATACGTTTTAAAATATTTTCTCTGGTAAGTCATTTTCAAAAGTAATTCTTTCTGTGCTTCTTGCTTAATAAATTTTTTTTGTAAATCTTACTTTTAAAACTTTATTCTTTTTTGCCTTGAATTCCTCACTGAAAAAAGATTCATTGTTTTTTTTTTTTTTTCTAATTCATCTGTCAAAATAGCGATGAGGCTTCCTCTTTGAAGATCACAGGTGAGAAGATTAGGTGCTTTCTCAGAAGCCCAGCAACCTGATGGGAGTGTGGAGTGAGCAAGACCCAAATCGGAGCTTCATCCCTGCATGGTTCATTTTGCTTATTTGGCAAACTTGCCCTGCAGGTAAGCAGATCCAGTGTGACAATATCTTCCTGTGCCAGCTGTTCATGTTTTCAAAGAAGAGATTCTTTGGGGTTTTGTTTTGTGCCTTGAACCCTTCAAAAGCAAATGTCCCAATTCTGACTGGCTTACTACTTGTCCTGCTTCCTGCTCTTCTAAAGAAGATATCTGCTGCTTTGGGGGAAAATTTTCAGCATGGTTCAAGGTATTTTATTTGCTTGCTATCCTTGAAAGAGACTAGCCAGCTGCTCACAAATCTCACTTCATCTCCCTCTTAGATATTCAGCTAACCTATATTTTTGTTTCCTCTGCCTGTGGCCATGTGATTGATTTCTTAGGAATATAATGTGAATAGAAGTGATATTGTTATTTCCAGATCTGGCTCATAAAAACTTCCTATGAACAATTACCAACTTTCCAACAGAGGCTAAAGAAAATGGAGAAAGTCCAATAACCAAGGATTGCATCTGACCCACTGCAGTACGCAATCAACTTTAACAATTATTGAAAAAGCAGAGATTTTGTAAGATTCTTCAGTTAAACAAAGTAACTATACTTGTAAAGATCAAATTCAGAGAGATCTAGACTACGGCAAAAAGTATCACTCACCTTTACTATTAAATCAGATTGTATGTTAGGTCTTTCAACTTAACCATCTTTGAATTTAACCTAAATATCTCCATTTTCTGCTAGCTGCTACAGCAAGACAGTGTCCAGTCATTTTTATGTAGTGCTCCTCCCACTTACACACCCTGTTTAGTTCAGATTCCAGTGTCTCTGGATCAATTACTGTGAAAGGAAGGTGGCAGAAGTAGGATGGAGCAAAGGAAGTACAACCGTGATGCACCAAAATGGCAGGGTGCTCTGGAGTGAATACTGACATACAGAGCCAGGGTCCCATTTTGGGCCCAAATGGCTGAGTTTTTATCCTCTGCAGGGCTGAAAATCGGTTCTTGATATTCCCGCCTTGCTCAGTCACCACAGTGGTCACTCCCACATGGATGTGATCTTAACTAGATCTCTACAGTTGAAGATGGCCATTTGGGACCAACTTGGGGAGCTATATGCTGACTGACCATACTCCTAGTGACTGGGCAGTGACTTCTGCCAAATTCTAGTTAATCTTACATTTCCTCTCACACACTAGTTTTTTTCTCCCATTTTTTAATAATATGCTGTTTTTTCCTCCATGAAAATGTTTGGTATGACTCCTAACAGTTCTCTATTTTTTTTTTTCTTTTATTAAAAGAAATTGGCAGTGCTCATTGTCTGTGCAGAGTAGAAGAGGCACCATGAGACAAATTACTTTTGATCACCAAATAGTTACTTAAAGGGCTGTTGGTTTCTTATAGTTATCAAATTTTATTGGTATACCTAATGCATTTGACACCTGAAGTAAATCATTTTTAAATATCTTCCCTTTATTCTAGAAAATTATTTTAGTAAATTTCATAAAATGAAATAAATAATAGTAATGGATAGATTTTTAAATTATGCTTTATACATATAATCATATAGCTTAGAAATATAAAACAAATTTAAAACAAACCAATTAAAACAAAAATAAATAAAACAAGAATGAAAAAAGAAAAAATAGAAGGAAAAATAAATAAAGTAATTAGAATGGTATAAAGAGAACAAAGTACAATTAATTCAATAATTTTGATAGCTACATAGCAATTGAAACTTTGAACTTTTGGTTACAGTCTGATATAATAAGTCATCTATATAATTGGTAATTAATAAATGAATTATAAGGGAAGCAAAATGTCTATAAAGGCTAAAATTTAGGCAACTGGGTCATAGCCCTGATGTAACATTTTATTATTATGATTTGTTTATTATTTTAAAAACAAGGTAGTTTATTAAAAAGTTAACCATGAATTTACCATCTGACACAGCAATTTCACTACGAGGTATTTATGCAAGAATAAATGAAAACATATGTCCATTCAAAGACCTGTGCACCAATCTTCATAGCAGCCTTTTTAATAATAGCCAAAAAGTGAAAACAGTTTAATGCCCATCAATTGGTAAAGGAATTAACAAATGTGGTATATCTATATGTGGAATATTATTTGGCAATAAGACATGGTTTATCCATATCATAGATAAACCTCAAAAACATCATGCTAAGTGAAAGAAGTCATTAAGACTTAGAAGAAAGTTGAAACCCAATCCAAAGAATCTAAGGACTACAATAAAATGATATAGGAGCTGAAAGACAAAATAGCCATTTTAAGAAAGAATCAAACTGATGTAATAGAGCTGGAAACACACTACAAGAATTTCTAATACAATTTGCAAATATTAACAGCAGAACACACCAAGCTCAGGAATGATTCTCAGAGCTCAAAGCCTGCTTCTCTGAACTAAATCAGTCAGACAAAAATTAAGAAAAAATAAAAAAGAATGAACAACATCTCTGAGAAATATGAGACTATGTAGAAAAGCAAATCTAAGACTCACTGGTATCCCTGAAAGATGGAGAGAAAGCAAGCAACTTGAAAAACATATTTGAGGATATCAATGAAAATTTCCCCAACCTCACTAGAGGGGCCAACATTCAAATACAGGAAGTGCAGAGAACCCCTGTGAGATACTATACAAGATGACCAACCCCAAGACACACAGTCATCAGATTCTCCAAGGTCAAAATGAAAGAAGAAATGTTAAAGGCAGCTAGAGAGAAGGGGCAGGTCACCTACAAAGGGAAGCCTATCAGACTAACAATGGACCTTTTAGCATAAACCATACAAGCCAAAAGAGATTACAGCCTATATTTAGCATGCTTAAACAAAAGAAACTCCAACTAATAATTCATATCCAGCCAAACTAAGCTTTATAAGAGAAAGAGAAGTAAAATTATTTTCAGACAAGCAAATGCTAAGGAATTCATTACCACCAGACCTATTTTACAAGAGATCCTTAATGGAGTGCTAAACATGGAAATGAAAGACCATTATTGGCCTCCACAAAAACACAGTTAGGTACCTATACCGTTGACATTATAAAGCAACTGCACAATCAAGTCTGCATAATAACCAGGTAACATGATGATGACAGAATCAAATCTGCACTATCAATATTAACCTTGAAGGTAAATGGGCTAAATGCTGCAAATAAATGGCACAGAGTAGCAAGTTGGGTAAAGAAACATGACCCAATGCTATGCAGTCTTCAAGACACCCATCTCACATGCAGTGACACCCATAGGTTCAAAGTAAAGAAATGAAGAAAAATCTAACAAGCAAACAGAAAACAAAACAAAACAAAAAGCAGGAGTTGCTATTTTAATTTTAGACAAAACAGACTTTAAACCAACAACAATAAAAAAAGACAAAGAAGGGCATTACATGATGGTAAATGTTTCAATTCAACAAGATTTAACTATCCTAAATATATATGCATCCAATACACGAGCACCTGGATTTATAAAACAAGTTCTTAGAGACTACAAAGAGACTTGAGTGTGGAGGGTGAGAGGAGGCTGAGGATCAAAACACTACCTGTTGGATACTATCAGTATCACCTGGTTTACAAAATAATATGTACACCAAACCTGTACAACATGCAATTT
Organism: Homo sapiens; assembly: GCF_000001405.40. Lineage (NCBI taxonomy): Eukaryota > Metazoa > Chordata > Mammalia > Primates > Hominidae > Homo > Homo sapiens. The sequence continues at coordinate 123,928,915 of NC_000004.12, forward strand.
ATCTATAGAGCCAACCTGCATATGTACTCCTGAAACTTAAAAAAAAAAAAAAGTTAGAAAAAAATTAGATGCTGGGAAAATTCAGAGTCACAGCTCTTTTTAAAAATTTTAATAAGGAAAATTTTTTTCCATATATAAACAATAGCTTATTAGAAAACATAAATGAAAAGAATTTTTTCTTTACAATTCCAATTCCAAACACAAAATATCTAGAAATATACTTCATAAAAGGTGTGTAATACCTACATAAAGAAAGAATAAAAACATTTCTGAGGAACATAAAGGATGACTGAAGAAAATACAAAGATACTCTACATTCTTGGAAAAGAAGAATCAGTATTGTAAAGATATCAACGTACCTAAATTGATCTGGAAATCCAATATGATATCAATTATTAATTTGATATTAACTTATTTCTACTAACAATATAATATAAAACTCATCTGGATGAATTAACATAAAATAATCTTCTGAGGAATCCTGAAAAAGAAAATTAATAATGGGGAACTAGCCTTAGTGTTTCTGAAAATATATGTAATAAAGCAACAAAAATTAAAATTCTTTAGTCCTTATGAATAAATAGACAGCAACGGAACACAATCTAGGAACAGTCCCAAACACAGGAAAATTTAATTTATAACAGAGTGACTAAATATTTAGAACAAAATTAAGTAAACTTGGGTCTTTATCTCGCTCCTTACACCAAATATTTAAACATTAAAAAACCCCACATAAATTCTAGGAAAAAATAATAATAACTTTATTTATTATTTTAGACCAAGAGAGGACTTCTTAAGTGACCTAAACTCAGAATTGAGAAAGTGTCTATGAGAACCAAAGCAAACCATCCATCCAAACAAAATAAACTTCTGTCTGGTGAAAAGAATCATCAACCAAGTAAACACAACTGATATTTTTTTTGGGAAAAAGTGCAATACTTCTGGCAGAAAATGTCCTGATTCATAAAAAGGTCAAACAATATCATGGCAGTCAAAATCAGATCATTTAAATGAGGAAAAAATTAGGGATATACATTCAACAAAACAGTCATAGACCATGGAAACAGAAAGTCCCTAAAAATGTTAATAATGTTGATTTTTATTGTTTTACCCTTTGTTTTCCATTTTATGCAACCAAGATTTTCCCTTGCACCTTAGAATGCTTTCTTTAAAATGTCCTTGCTCTCTTAATTTTCTGAGTTGCTACTTTCTCATTTTCCTTGCTGATTATAAAACAACTGAAGGATAAGAAACACATGTTTTTCTATAACTGTTTTTAATTAAATGTTTGGTAAACTGAAATGATTGTAATTACTCTTTTGTTATCTTCAAGAATCTACTCAAGCTTCCTCAGTTTCTCAAATCATTCTTGGGCAACAAATGAACAAGAAAGAGGACGTCTTATTATCTGGTGTCTGGCTTGCTGATTTAATAACCTAGGAGACAGTGTTTGAAGAACACAAACTCTAAAGTCCTTCACTTAAAAAAAAAAAAAAACTTTCCCAAATTGCTTACCATTTGGAAAAATTGCCTTACCTTCTTCAGTCATCTCTGATGTTGTCATCCTCAGAGTAAGAAGTACGCATTCATAAGGAACCATAACGTCCTTCAGGAAATCCAGTACACCCTACAATTTTACCTAAAACTTTGATGTTGTTTTTTCTGAGCATTTTACCTTCTAGGGAAATGGATCTCATGCTGTTTATCAGTTTCTGAAAGTTGTTATTAATCTCCCCTCATCCCAAAATTGAAGAACTTTGCTTAAATCTTAGAATCAGAACTTTGGCTCCAGTAATAAAGACTTTTCAATATCTTTATCTGCCATTGAGTCTTACCTAACGAAATAAAGCCTCCAAAGTGGGAATTTGAAATGTTTTAGAATCTTTTTTTTTCCTTTTGACATAGTGATTGGTGGGATGCTACAGGCAGTTAGTGGTTAGGGTCCAGAAATGCCAGACATCTTGCAGTGAGAGGGATAGTCTGTACAAGGAAGAATTCTCACATGTTCTGACTAACACTGGATATTATTACAGGTGAAAACATTGGAATCTTGTGAACCTCAACCTGTGTTTTACATATGTATACATGAAGTGAGTTTTGTATGCTTTATTTTTTCACTATTTGAAAAATGTAACTGCTTATTTTCTATTGTTGTGTAACAAATCACTATGCACTTAGCAGCTTAAAAAATATTATTTATTATCTCACAGTTTATGAGTCATAGGCCACTAGTTTGGACACACTTAGCTGAGTCCTCTGCTCAAGGTCTCACATAGCTGCTGTTAAGATATTGACCAGAGATATGGCCTCATCTAAAGGTTAGGTTCTCTTCTGAGTTCACGTGGTTGGTGGTGGAATTCATATCCTTGCAGCTGTAGAACTCATAGCAACTTGCTTCTTCAAGGCCAGCAATAGAGATAACTCTGCTGCTTCCAGTCTCTCTGATCTCTAGACTCTCATTTAAAGGGCTGGCCTGATGAGGCCAGGTCAAGTCAAGATCGCATCTTTCTTAATGAACTCAAAATCAACTTTGAGAAACCCTAATGACATGTATTAAATCCCTTCATTTTTGGCACCTGGTGTGCAATAATCACTGGATTGATATCTCATCAAGTTTGTCATAGTCTATTGGTTAGAAGCAAGCCACAGGCTTCATCTACACTCAAGGGGAGGGGATTGTAAAGAGCTATAACTAATTGGGAGTCACACTTGAGTGTGCCTGCAGTAACAACCATTGCATAAATCAAGGAAACATTGAATTCTGCTTTGTATGAACTCTACTTAGGTTGTTCACCATTTTGAAGAATGAGTTTACCAGCAGCACTTCTCATAATAGTCTACACTTACAGATATTCTAGTCACCATGATTCCACATAGAAGTGCAAACATCTGACTACTTCACTATGTCTTCTAGAGTACAGAGCTTTACATAGAGAAAAGTTTAATTTTATATAAATGACTCTTCTTATTTTCTTTATATTATAGTTAATACATTGCACTTGAAATCACATGCATAGGTAGTTTATGTTACCTATGGATTTAATTTCCAAACAATAAATGCAGAATTATAAAATATCTGTTGGTCTAGTTGGGTTGAAACCATTATGATAGGTAGATAGAGTGGGCTAAGGACATGAATAGACAATTCTCAAAATAAAATATGCAAGTGGCCAACCAACATATGAAAAAATGCTCAACATCGTTAATGATCAGGGAAATGCAAATCAAAACCACAATGTGATACCATCTTACTACCGTAAGAATGGCCATAATCGAAAAATCAAAAAACAGTAGATGATGGTGTGGATGCGGTGATCAGGGAACACCTCTACACTGCTGTTAGGAATGTAAACTAGTACAGCCACTATAGAAAACAGTGTGGAGATTCTTTAAAGAACTTAAAGTAGAACTACCACTCGATCCAGCAATCCTACTACGGGGTATCTACCCAGAGGAAAAGAAGTCATTATACAAAAAAGATACTTGCACACGCATGTTTATAGAAGCACAATTCACAATTGCAAAATCATGGAACTAACCCAAATGCCCATCAATCAATGAGTGGATAAGAAACTGGTATATATATACGATGGACTACTACTCAGCCATAAGAAGGAATGAATTAACAGCATTAGCAGTGACTTAAATGAGATTGGAAATTATTATTCTAAGTGAAGTAACTCAGGAATGGAAAACCAAACATTGTTTATGTTCTCACCCATAAGTGGGAGCTAAGCTATGAGGACACAAAGGCATAAGAATGATACAATGGACTTGGGAGACTCTGGGGGAAGGTTGGGGGGAGGGGGGCGAGGGATAAGAGACTACAAATATGGTGCAGTCTATACCGCTCAGGTGATGGGTGCATCAAAATCTCACAAATCACCACTAAAGAACTTACAAATACCACCTGTACCCCAATAACTTACGGAAAAATAAAAATAAAAATTCAAAAATTCTGCCTTTCTTTTTTACATAAAGAAACTGAGAATCTTTTAGCCATAATCCCAACCCATTAGCACAGACTAATTTATCAGATTAATTTGAAAGCATGGGAGGCCTGAACTTGAATGAATTAAATAAAATAGCTAAATTGTGAAACAGGCTAGAGAAGAAACTATACACAACTAGGTTAGCAAAGCAAGAGAACTTATGAGTTATCTGTCAGCTATGGGCTTCTCACTCAAACAAGATCAAGGAACCAGGAAAGTGGATACCCAATGTGGGAGTTGCCAGCAGATATGGAGGACTTGTAAAAGACACAGTCATGGACTTCACTCTTGGCTTAGGGTGACCCTAATTATAAAAAGACTAATTCTGCAGCATGAAATGTTTTATTTATTGACTTTCTTAAGATAACCAATTTATTCTGAAACTAAACCAATAATTTGTATACCAATGCTAATTGACTGGGATTATTAAAAGGCTATTTTCCCCCAAATTAAAAAAAAAACTTTTTAGTATGTCCCTCTCCCTCTTTCATTCCCTCTCTGTTTTTCTCTCTTTCTCTTTCTTTCTCCCTTTCTATCCCCTCTTCTATCTTTGGAAGGGTCAACAGAATATTGCTAACAAGTTAACACTCAGGCCACATTAGGTACAATACACTGATTGCATAACAAGGCTGTCAAAGGTTTGCCCATTGGGCAGACAGAGTAACTAGGGATGTCTTTCTGAAAGAAGCAATTGCTCATTAATGCAATGTTTTAGTGCCCATTGCCATCTGCCCAAAGTTCCAGGGCACCTGCGCAAGTGGCCCGTTTTCACCCCCTTGAGAGATCCCTGTTCCTACACAGTGGTATTGTCTACCTTATTCTTTGAAGATGCTGGATATTTGTAGGGCCAAACATTGGGAATTTGTATGTGGAGAACGGGGTTCAGTACTTGAAGAAATAATTTCATACACTGCAGGACCAAGGCAATGGTTGGGAAAGGCTTCACAATAAGAGAAAGTACTGTGGAATTTTCAGTCACAAATTCTCATATTTAACTTGAATAAACCTCAGCAAGAGTGATAAGATCATTGTAAGCTTTAATAATAGACATTCAAATATCATTTCTTGAGATTTGGGTAGCTCATCACTTAATAGTTAATATTGTAGTGAACAGAATAGCTGAATATGGCCATGACACATGGCCTATTGGGTAAAGGATTTTGATCTGAAATAGCCTTGTTAATCACATTCTGTATCAGTTTAAAAGGCTACCAAATTTCTGTAAAGCCAAACTTTCTAGTCACTTTCCAAATGTAAGCTTAAGTTCTGAATACGAATTTATAGGTTCTTTAAACCTAGGAAAGAGAATGCAAAGCAATTACATTTGACATAGTCATTTTTGCTTCTATGCAATTTTCACACTTGAAAAATGCATTGCAGCTGTGCATGAATGTCATTCTAACCCCCAACTTTTTCTAACAGCCACTGGGTGTTTTTCTTTTTCTCTGCCCCTTATCTTCCTACTGAGGATAATTTGGAAGGTAAAGAAGAGACACATATGTTGCAGGAGCAACATATGATAATGACGATTTTTCTTTCTGTCTTGAAACAATGATCATGGTGATTTTTGGCCTTGTTTATGATTGTCTGCATGTGGTACCAAGTACCATTAGGGGATGGCCTCTAACAGTACAATTCTGACCATGTCACTTCTTTATTCAAAGGCATCCAATGGCATTACACCTCAGCCAGAGAAGAAGCTCTTAAGAGATCAGGTGCCTCATTTCACCCATGGGCTGCTCCAGCATTTCCAGCCTCCTCACTCCTGACACATACAGGCACGTGCTCTCTGTGGAGTCTTTGCACTTCTCCTTTCCTTCCTGAAATGCTCTTCCCCTGGGTGTCTTCATCCTACCTCCCTCAACTCTTTCATCTTGTTTAAAAAATGTCATTTTCTCAGTGAGAACTTCCTTGTCTTATTCAGTTTGGGCTTCTCTAATAAAAATACTATAGACTGAGTGGCTTAAACAGCAGAAATTTATTTCCCACAGTTCTAGAGGCTGAGAAGTCTGAGATCAGGGTACCAGCCTGGTTGGATTCTCAGTTTAGAGACAGCTATCTTCTCATTGTATCTCACCTGGTGGAGAGCAGAGAGGGAGGAAGCAAGCTCTCTCACGTCTCTTCTTATAAGGACACTAATCCCATTCATGATGGCTCCATCCTCATGACCAAAGGCCTTGCCTCCAAATATCATCACACTGGGGATTTGGCTTCAACATTTGATTTTGGGGGTGGGAAACAAAAAATTTAGTCCATAGCATTCCCAAGTGATTTGTTTAAATTTTCTACTTAATCTCTTCTGTGCTTAAATGTATCTCCTTAGTATTGTCCTTTATCTATTGCCAATGTAACTCATCTATGTATCTCTCTATTTATCACCTGTGTATGTATGTATGTATGTACTGTGAATGTGTGTGTATGTATGTAGGTATGTATGTATCTACCTGTCTAGTTTATCTAACTTGCTTCAGAAACAGGAAACTCTTTGAAGAGCAGTGTTTTTTTCTTTTTAGTTGTTCATTTATGTATAACCATGGCACTAGAAAGTAAGAAGGCAAAAAGATTCTTTGCATATACATTTATTGAAGTACATACTAATTGAATAAAAGTATTTTATATCTACCACCTTGGCCACCTATATGTTTTAAGGTCTACAGAAGGAATTAAAAAAATATACAGTGCAACAAAATCATGGCTTTGACTTCTTATTTCTTCTTCATGGTATGAAGTATGTGAGGGGAAAGCCATGGCAATTGTTAGTCTTGTAAATGGGAATTGTGGCATTTGAGATCAAGGTTTACTTATTTAAACATGCTTTCTACAATAAAAATTATGTTTCCAGACTCTTATAATTGTATTTTCTGAAAAGAAAAGAGAGTGATAATAATTCCTGTGGTCTTAACTCTGTTCTTTCATTAGGTTAAAAATTTTCTTTAAATGTCCTAAGAAAAAATTGGATTCAATTTTGGACCTGAATGAATGTGGGAAGAACTACAAATTTAGGTGCAAAATTGACCATTCCAAATTATAAAAGTCAATATTTATAAATCAATCTGAAAACAATTGCAGCAACAATGTGTTTAAACAGAGCTATCCTTGTCACATAGTCATTCTAGGTAAAAAGGGGTCTCTTCTTCATTGAAATCCAAACCACAAGAATTCCAAGTTCCAAATTCTTTCTTTTTTGTGTGTGGCTAATACAGATTGAAGAAGTCCAAGGAATTCTGAAAATGCTTTTCCTGAATCAGCTTCTTTTTTATTTTAAAGAAATATTTTCTGATGTAGACACATTGCCAAAAGATCTTAATAAAGAGTTTTAAAAACTGATTATCCACAGAAAAAGCAATTTTTTTGCCTCTAGTTTCAAACAGAAGATGCAGATGAATGACACACAAATAAAGTATTACTAAATTCAAGGGTGTGTTCTTTGGACATCTTTTGAAAAATTGTTCTTTACATAAGTTTTTATATAGGACTTATAAATGTGAAAATGTTCACATCACAATGCACACAGGTTTGCATTTGCTTTCTTTTCTACTTAACTTGGAATTTTCTGTGCTTGACTATGTAATATAATAACATTAAAAGACACTGTTCTTTCTTCCCTCATGTTTGGGATGCAATTAATGAATATCTAACTCATGACCATTCTCAAGAGATCTTAGTTTCATTAAGAAAAGGTTGAATCTCATAACTGTATTAATATCTTGTGAATGTGCCTTATCATATTTGTCTGGGTTTTTGCTATTCATTTCCTTGTGATAAAATTCCTGGGCAGAGCAAGTCTTCGGAAGTAAGCCCACAGGGCTGCCTGGCAAGTTTATTTTGGGAAGGAAATAATCAATTTAGAGCTATTACTGCAGGAGCCCTTATCAAGCTCATTTCCTCATCTAATGCTTCAGAAGCTAATATTACATGTTTAGCAGCAACTTCAAAGAAACAGTACTGTGCTTTGTAGGTTTTATTAATGAGAAATTACTCTGAGGGCACCACGTGTTTACCATTAACATGACTACAATCCACAGACTTGCAAACATAGGTCATAAAAGCCTTAGCTGCCATAGCCCAAGACACTATTAATGTGATTCTGTGTTAACTGCTGAATTACAAGGGCTGGGGCAGAGGCTGGGGGCTGGAGGGAGGGCAGACTCAGCTAGGAAGCAGTATTATGCCTACAGTCTTGATTTGTCTGCACTATCTCTTCTCCATTATAGTCCAATGTATTGAAAATAGTGATTTAGCCTAACGGCAATATAGTCAAAACAATGTACAGGGAGTGTCAGTCCATACTCAGGTAACAATAAGAGGATTGTTTTTTCTGTATGGCACATTTAAATCCAGACCCTTATCTATACAGAGAAGCATTTAATGTTCTAAATTAGAATAGCAGAATAGCAAACATGTAGGCATGGCACATAAGAGATTTGAAGTAAGGAAAAATCAGGGTTAGCTTCAAGGCAAGAGCTTTGATAATCCTGAAAGTTCTTAATTAGAAAGGTGAGTGATATTTATATCTTCCAAATCAAGATACCTTGGTGTTCATTTCAAGACTTTGCAGTATGATTGTTTTCTGACCTTTGCAGTATGATTGTTTTCTGACCTTAAATACGAGAATATTATTTTCATTTGCTATATATTAGATTAGACTCGTGGGGCAGGCTGTTCTCTTTGTCAGCTAATAGCAAGCCTCTGTTGGACAGAAGTAAGGAGAGAATTTTCATTAAGTGTTATCTATACATGTCTCATATAATTTCCCACTTGAACACTGTTTCATTTCCATTTTAAGCTGCAACCATTCTGTTCAATCAAAACCACCTTAGGAGGGCTTCTTTTTCATATACAGATTAAACCAGTTCAAGAAAATTCAGAGAGGAGGAGTGCCCATGCGCAGGGTCTGCTAGGCTTTACGGACACCCCTGCTGCAGATGAGCTGCAGCTGCACGCTAGGAGCAGCTCTAATGTCCAGAGTGAGAAAACCAAAACATCCCCTGGAATTTGGCGGGACTTTAGGAAAATTGGATAAAAATATGGAAATTATAGGAAAATCATTAGTAGCTGTTTGGTTATTTTTCTGTGTCAGTAGACTTTTGTTTAATATATTAGATATTTGAGCAGCACTGTAAGGGCTTTTGTTTAGTTTCTTTCAAATTAAAAATAGCCAGTTGAGCAGCCAGCTTTACAGAGTAGGGTTATAAATTAGGAAAAGAAGAAAGGAGAAAATGATATGGAACTTCTAAGTTAAAATAAACCTTCCTATCCAATTTAAAGTTTATAAAGGGGAGAGATACATCCGAAGGACCCCTTTTTTATGTCTTAGAGTTAGCTATCAAACTAACTCTACGATGACTAATATTTGTTTAGAACTCAATTCTTGTTGAAAGGGGAATATTTTTGGATAGGGCTCTTTCTTTCCAATTAAAACAAAATTTGCAAAATCCTAAATAAAACTTTGACAGGAAATTAAAGATAGGACATCAATTTTTTTGTTTTCTTTAAGCAAATTATTATTTTATATTTTCATACAATCCTTTGAAAGAGGTGGAATAGTTTGGAATAGTTATTTTGAAATTCAGTTGCCATAAAACTCAAGTGTTTCATAAACCAGGTCAAGTTATTTTACCATGAAAGTCAAATGATGGCAATTTTTGAAGAGAAAATATATAAAATGGACCTTTTTTTTTCAATTTTTCTTTTTTTAAATAACTTAAAAACATTTTCCTACATGCAAATATAATGCAGTATTTGGTTTGGCACAGACATACATTTAGTTTATTTGAGTTTAATAATTATTTGGTTTAATAATTCCACATTTCATGGTGCTCTATAAAATGGCTCACAGCATCCAGGTGCTCTTCTACCTGAACAAAACTGGGAAATAAGTACCTATGTCTGTCTTTCAGGCTATTTCTTGAACTCTACTTTATTTGAACTTCATGGGGCTTATAAAAATAACAAGCCCCAATCTCCTCTAAGAACAGGCAGAGAACAGTTTGAAAGGAATCACTGCACACAACATTTAGGTTTCATCCTGTGTCCTCAACTGTTTCAAAGTTTTTGGCTTCCTTTTGGTTTCCTTTAAAATCGGTATCACTCATGAGTGCTTCCTTGCCTATATTTATAAAAATATATATATATTTAAGATGCAGTTATTTTTCAGAGCATTATTTCCTCTGATTTTCTTGCTTCCTTCTCCCCTTTAAAACTTTTTTATTTCTAAGTTAGTAAAATGACTGTAACTTTTATCATATCTTATCTTAGAATGACAGATTTATCCCTATCTAGTGCCTCCCTGGTTACTGGGTATGGGAGTGATGATACACAATTTCCACCAAAAACTGAAATAACAAGATGTATAATTTTAGAAGTGGGTATGCATGTCATTTTCTAAATTTGTAAAATCTACTGCAGGATATATTAGGATACTATCAAAATTGTCATTTTGTAGGTAAAAATAGTCAAATACTGCCAGTTTCAGGAGGTTCATTAATTATAATGTCACTCCTGCATTTGTTAGACATGTTATATTGATTTCCATTGTTTTTACTTCAATACACTACAAAAATATAAACATCTATTTTGAAACAAATAGAATCTTCCTCATCCCAGCTTCCTGAGAACACCACCCTAAATATAATTAATATTGTTTTAGATGTCTAATTCCCTGATGTACCATTTCACAATTGCATATGTTTTTTCTAAAACTTCAATTACTTTCAGTTGTTGCCCCAAATGAATGGAAATGCATAACATCACTTGCTGACTTTAGCTGGAATTAAACTACCAATAATACTCTTTAAAAAACTAAATATTTTACAATGAGATAGCTGTGAATACTTTAGCACTACAGACTGGGCTATATGATGATGTCACTTTCAGCAACTTAATGAGTTTTCTCTCCCATGGTTTTGATGATTCATCTGTCCTTTCCTGCCTCTGGATCAAGACCATATTTTACCAGGAGTCCTGTTACATCCTCCCTTGTTCAGCAGAGAATTGCTCCCGCCAGTGTTCTTTTTTCCTGTTAACACCTGTACCAAGCTGTTGAGGAAATAGTTTCAAAGCAATCCTTGAAAATGAGATTCTTGTCTCTAGCTTAAAGGAGGAAACATTTCTTCCAAATAGGAGAGAGATTGTTGTAAAGCCAAAATTACTTGTAGTCGCATCTAAATATTTAATTTTACTTTGTTACTAAGGTTACTTACTATAGTAAAAATTTTTCATGGGCATGCCACACTGAAAATTGAACCTATGGTTCAATATATCATATATCTTGTTTCTGTGTTATTACACTATATTAATAAGTCCATATATTTTCCAGACTTAAATGAGAAGAAAATTTATAATATTTTCTGTATTGAAACTCAATATGTGAAGTTGCCAAATTATTATGAATAACCTCATTTTTGATAATAGTCAAAATTAGTTTGTGAATGCATACTGAATCCATCCATCCATCTGTTTTTCAGTCTATCCATCCATCCATCCATCCATCCATCCATCCATCCATCCATCCATCCATCCATCTGTCCTGTATTCTGGATACTCTCTATGTAGAGGTGGTTTGAGGATTTGTGGAGAACACAATACCTTTTCTGTAGTGTTGAAGAAAAGGCATAGAGGTTGGTCTTAAACTTGGAAATGAAGGTTGAGGCATAATTCTACATTGGTTTCTTGAAGGAAGTGGTCATTCAAACTCAGGAAAGGAAAAACAGAATAAAACACATCCTTTGTTGGAAGAAAGTCATTTAAAAACAAAAATAATTGCAATTTTACATTTATAAACAGATGTGAAATGCATTACAAAGGTACTCAATAATTATTTCCCTGAGAAAATAGCTGGTATGCAATGCACAGAAGCCTTCCAACATCTGTCTCTGCTTTTCTGATTCGAGATAAACCTTGGTGACAGCTGAGAGATAAAATCGTGATCTTGAGACCAGGCACCCAAATTAAGGTCTATAGAATTAAAAAAATAAATAAGAAAATTAGAAGCTCCTCTAGATAAAAAAGGAGAAAGAGAAGACAGATGGAAAAACAACACACATTAAAAATGACAATAAATATGAGATTGATTCAAGAAGGAAAAATGTGGTATTTGGACTTAAACAGAACTGGGTTAAAATCTCTAGCTCTGTTTTCTTTTGTAAATTCAGGTAAATTGTTTCAATGTATCCCCATATACATTTTCTCAATTATCAAATGAACTCAAACATTTTCTTGAAAATTAAATGAGATAATATATGAAAAGCTATTAGGATTTTGTCTGCACTATAAGAGGTACTCAATATTTGATAGATGTCTTGCCTGCATTACTTTTGGCATGAATCTCAGGACTTCTAGTAAGCTTTTGTCCACATGATTGGACACACAATAGACTTTTAAGAACACTTAATACAATTCCTGAATTATTAGGTTTGGATTAAGTTCATACTTCTAAATTCAGATACACCAATAACTTTCTCAACTTCTTTCCCCAATCAGTTTTTCTAATCCAGTGTTTGAATGTTTATGTCATGTGACATGAGGGAGTGGGTGGGAATACCAGCTATTTTCTCTTCTTGACAATGATCTGTATTCCATGCATGATTCAGAGTGCAAAAGAGAGGCAGGAGGAGAAATTCAAAAGAATCCTTGTCTGAAACCTCAAACAGAGGCTGGCTAAGGAAGGGGTGAAACTTTTATGTCTTTCCTTTAACTCTTGACCCTTGAGCCGAGTCAGAGGGGGAAGAATAAAAGGTTTAGAATCCTTGGTATTTTGGTACCTCCTCACTTTCCCTTTACTTCAAGTTCCAGTTCATTTCTGGCTGTAAACTGTGATACTTTCCCTGATCACACCAAGGGACATTTCTCTGTCTTTTCCTAACTTAGATACTATTGACTACTGCAATACATACATATTGCTTTAATAATAACTTGAAGTATTATGTTTCATATGTATGCAAATTATTTTCCTAAATGAGCAGAAAGATATCTTCCCAGCCTGTATCTACATGGTGACTATCACAGTATTGATAGTGGCAGGAGACAGACAAATTCCTAGGCAGACAAGGGCGAGTCCTTAGTGAAACCCCACCTTCAAGCCAAAGACAACCTGAGGCCTGAAAACCGGGCTGCCAGTTCCAGGTAGAGTTCATGACCACAGTGAGGATTTACTCAATGCTTGTTAGCCAATTGAATGGTGCTTTTTCCAGGTCCACCCATGGACCAATCAGCATGCACTCCCCCATTCTGAACCCATAAAAACGCTGGACTCAGACACACGTGGAGACTACCTGCCTTTGGGCCCCCTCTCACATAGAGGACTGCCCACTTTGGGTCTTGTCTCATGTTGAGAGTTGCTCTATTGCTCAATAAAGCCGTTCTTCGCCTTGCTCACTCTCTGGTGTCCGCATAACCTCGTTCTTCTTTGACATGGGACGAGAACCCGGGACCTGCCAAATGGCAGGTGTGAAAGGAGCTGTAACACTATAGCCCTCCCACCCTCTGCCAGCACTGGGCTGCCCTCTCACATCATGGGAAGCAGCGGAGGGCAGAGCCAGGTCTGTCCAGGAGCTGCTGGCCAGAGAGGGTGGCAGGAACAAATAAGCTGTGACATGTCCCCCATTTGCCAAAGCCTGCAGGAATGAAGAAGCTTTAACATGCCCCCGCCCCCACCCCCATTTGCTGCTCTGTAGGTGGTGGAAGCAAATGTAAGATGTAACACAAATGAGCTGTAACACGCTGTCCCTGCCCTTTTTCCTGCAATGAAGGCAGCACAAAGGGGAGAGAGCTATAACAGTCCTTGGGGGCTCAGGTCTCGGGACTCCCTGGGCAGAAGCTGTAACACCCCTTGGGGCTCCATGGTTGCTGGCATCTCTGGGTTGGATGCCACCACATTCTCCTTGTCCAGATGCTGGTGCCAAAGGCAGAGGACAGTTCCAGCATGCCCAGATCAGCACAGAGCCATGGCAGGTGTGGAATCCAAGGTGGTAGTGCCAGTGGAGTGCAGCCTACTGGCCCGAGTGGGTAGAGTGAGCCCCATGGTGAGCCTGGAGCCCAGCGAGGCTCAGGCAGGGTACTGCTGGCTGTGGAGATTTCTGGCAGGTGAAGCGGCATGGAAAGAATCTTGTGTCAGTATTCTGTATATTATAGTGTAAAAATATAAATATTATATGCATAGTCTATTCATTCTAACTTGATAATATAAATATATGTACATATTTCTTATTTTCAGATTTATTTGGTTTTTCCTTTTTTCACTCGATTTGTCAGCATATGCATTTTATTAGCTTAGTTTTAAGAATTAACATTTTGGATTTTTATGTATTTCTGCTTTCTAATTTGTCAATATTTCCTTTAATTTTATTATTTCTGTTCTTCTCTGAAGATTGCTCATTGTTGCTTATAAAATTCCTAAAGTTGGGCCAGGCGCGGTGGCTCATGCCTGTAATCCCAGCACTTTGGGAGGCCAAAGCGGGTGGATCACAAAGTCAGGAGATCGAGACCATCCTGGCTAACACAGTGAAACCCTGTCTCTACTAAAAATACAAAAAATTAGCCGGGCTTGGTGGCAGGCGCCTGTAGTCCCAGCTACTCGGGAGGCTGAGGCAGGAGAATGGTGTGAACCCGGGAGGTGCAGGTTGCAGTGAGCCGAGATCGCACCACTGCACTCCTGCCTGGGCCACAGAGCAAAGACTCCAGCTCAAAAAAAAAAAAAATTCTAAAGTTAATGCTAATTTACTTACGGCCATTCTTTCTCATTTAATCATGAAACATTTTAAAACTGTGACTTTGTATCTAAGATTAGCTAAGCCCTGCCCACTTAAATTTTATACAAGTGTTTTTACTTTCCTTATGTTTTAGTTTGGTTTTATCTTTTAAGCCATTGTGTCAAGAGGAGGAAGCCTGGACATATTTCATTTTAGGTCATTTATTTGAGGGTTCTTTTTTGTCCTATACATTTATTTGCTCTCTGTTGCATAACATTTTTATTATTCATCAGATTCTTGGCATACTCATATTTAATATTGATGGTATTAACATTTATAAGTTACCCTGAAGTTACCTACATATAATATTTTTCCATTTTTCTGAGGTCCAAACTGGAAGTTAATGTGTTATAAAACTAGAGAACAAGAAAGGGATAATTAGCAAGTCAATAGATCTAGTTGTCCATTGAATATTCCTACTTCAATATAGTTGGTGGCTATCTCAGGGATGTCAGGTCCACCACAATTCTCCGTAATTGTTAAGAGTTACAAAATATTCTCAGTTATGCAATATTGTAGTTGGTCAAGTAAATTATATTAGACAGGTTTTTTCCAAGTTTAGAGAATGAAAATATTCTTGGAATTGTGTTTGTATGTGTAACAGATCTTATCAATTTATTACAAAAACAAGTTCATATTCAACTTATTTACTTGCTACACAGTGCTTTAAGTCTTTAAACCTGTATCAACCATGGTCTTAATGTCAATTTTTTCTTATTTTCAAACCCTTTTTGTTTCATGGATAAAGACCTATACAATCCAAAAGTTCACACATATAATGTTTTGTTACTCATACATTGTTTCTCCATTCATAGTTTCCTTGAGGATTATACAATTTAACAATGTGAAATAACTGTCTTTTATTCTTGATTATTAAACTTGGCCTTGAATTTTTACCTTGTTTAATTTACTACTCCTTGATTTCCTTACTTTTTACCTCATAAATACAATACTATACTTTTATTTGTAACTATTTGTGTATATTTTTAAGGTCTGAGTATTTTAAGTAATTAATAGTTGGATTTTGTTTTAAACACTAACCTGAGTGTTATGTGTTTTTAAAAAATTTGACTTAATATTTTAAATAAGAAATTTGAATACGTGGCTTAAAATCTGAAAGATACAAAATGGCATATAGTAAAGAACCTTTTTCATATAACTTTCTCCTGGATCCGTTTTTCCCTTCTGGAAGAAACTACTGTTATCAATTTCCTGTGTATCCTTTCAGCAGTAATTTATGGCTATATAATTGAGTGAATAAATACACGCATTTTATGTGTGTGCATGTGTTCATGCTTGCACACACACACACCCAAAGAGTTCCTGCATCTTGCTTTTTTTTCTTAACAATTAACCATAAAGATTGTTCCATATGAGCACATAATGTGTTTCTTCTTTTTAAATGGCTGCATAGGATTCCATTTTGCATGTGGACTCAGTTTATTTCATTATTCTCTTGATGTATGGTTAGGATCTTTTCAATCTTCTGATATTAAAATTTTTCAGTGAATAATCTTATGCATACCCCATTCATTTTTCACATTTTTAATATATCTATAAAATCTTAGAACTGGAGATGCAAGATCAGGGGCATTTGTAATTTCCTTTTTAGAGAATGTATTTTAATTTTTTCAGTTCTTGAAAAGATAACGCACCGCATATTATAAAAATCAAAGAAGACAATAGAGTAGGGGCAGACTAATGCCCCTTTCCCCCATCTCAACCAAAGCTGTCAATATTCTAATTCCTAGAACTTGTGAGTATGTCACATTACATGGAAAAAGGACCTTGCACGTACTTGGCAGATGCTTATTAAGGTTAAGATCCCTGGAATGGAGAGATTATCCCGGATTATTTGGTGGACTGATCTAATCACACGAATCCTTAAATTGGAGAACACTTCCTGGCTGCAGTTACAGAGAGATGTGAGAATAGATGCAAAGCCAGAGAGATGTGATCTTCTGGTTTTAAAGATGAAGGAAAGGGGCCACAAGCCGAGGTATATGGGTGGTCTTTAGAAGCTGCAAAAGGCAAGGAGACGGATTTTCCCTTAAAGCCTTCAGGAAGATATGCAGCCCTCCTGACACCTTGATCTAGCTCAGGGAGACCCTTGTCAGACTTCTGACCTCCAGAAATTTAAGGTAATAAGCCTGTGTTGCTTTGAACCCCAAAGTTTGTGGTAATTTGTTACAGCAGCTTACACAATGAATAAAGGGAGGAATAGGGAAGAGTAGATCTCCATATACCCCTTGCCAAAGTAAACTGATGTCTCTCACCAGATGTAGCCGTTCACCAGTTTTCTATGCCTGCTTTCAGATATATTCTATGCCTTTACAAAGACTTACATATCATGTATCATGGATTCTAGAGAGCTTATTTTTTCCTTTTTCAACAGCTGTGAAATTTGGATGCACCTTACAATCAAGAGTTCTTAGACTTGATTTCTCCTTGAGGGGATTTGCATTTGCTTTTGTCAGTCACTAGAAATACTACCAACCTGAGATTATTCTTAATTAAATTATCTGCTTGAGCACTCTCTAAATTAAATTATCTAGGTTAAAAATCTGTTGTTTTTTTGAGCCTCATTGATAAGGTAAATTCATGCCACAAACCCATGTGAGTAATGGTTTGTGCTTCAAATTCTTGAGGGAGATTCTTTTTCTCTCCAAGTAGTGTCAATGTCAAGTTTGAGACCAGCCAGTTTTCCTGCTATCTCTCTGCATGATGGGTTTGGTTTTCATTTGCCCTTTTTTGAGAATGTAGCCATTTGGTGACTCAGCTGTATGTATGGGCAATTAATTAGATTCCCAAGTTTATCCTTGGAATAAATTGCAAATATAAATTGCAAATAAAAATGAAAAGCTCTTACCTTTGATGACATACGCTATATAAGGGAATTTCTTTCGATGGGAAGATTTGTGTATTCTCTGTTGCAGTCTATGATCAAAGTGTTTTGTCAAGTTGTCAGAAAGATATCAAACATCGCTGCAATCATTCATGTTAGGAACATTCTTTTTTATTCTTCTACTTTGTAGTCTCAGTCATAAGCTATCACCAATGTTAATTGCATCAATAACAATGAGGTCTCCATCTACTCTCACTGTTCCTGAATGTTGGCACGTATGAAAAGGAAAGAGGCCTTGCCTTGCAATCCAGACTTATTGCTCCCTTCACAGTCAAGGGAATTCCCTTCCTTTCTCTCTCTTCTTGTGTTAGACCCATATTTTCTATCTCTCATCTATTCTATTTTGTGGTCAAGCTCCTTGTTTTGTTAGAGCACCCCACAGGTGCTTCTGGAGAGAGAGAGGTGAGAGATTAACTTTTCAAAGATAATTTATATCTAAAATGTGTTTATTCTAATCTTCTATTTGACTGGCATTTTGTGTGAGTATAGGAATCTAGGTTGGAAATAAGTTTCCTTCTGTGTTTTGAAGGCATTTTTATATCATTTTGTTAATTTCTTGTGGTGATGTTAGTGAATGAAAGCAATTCTGATTCCCAGCAATTTGCATGTAACCAACTTTTCTCTTTGTTGGTTAGTTTGTTTTTTCATTTTTCTCTAGAAGCTATTAAAATCCCCTCTTTGCATGTTTATGAAATTTTACATTAATGTGCTTTGCTGTGGATCTACTCTTGACATTGTGTTGGGAACTAAGTATACCCTTCCGTTTTAGAAACTCATGTCCTTCAATCTTGTGATACTATCTTGAATTATTTTATTAATAATTTTCTCCCTCCTATCACCTCATTTTCTATATTTCTTTTTCCTCTTTGAAATTCCTATTATTCTGATGGTGAACCTCCTAGAATGGACTTCCAAGTTTCTTACCTTTCTCTCTTAATCTATGTGTTCTTTTGTTCTATATTCTAGGATAATTTCCATAACTTTATGTTTTATATGCTTTTAAATTTACTTTTACATTTTAAAACATGTTTTATTTTATTGTATTTATTTTGTTTCCTTTAAATATCTTATTTTTAAATATTTAATTTTTTTCTTTCTTTTTTTTTACATTTTAAGAGCTACTTTTTGTTCTCGACATATTTCTTTTCTTGGAGGATGCCCATCTGGCTTCAGGGCTGCAATTTGTTTTCTTATCTTCTGTTGATATCTTTTTTTTAATAACTACCTTTAAAAAATGTCTCTGCATAGTTTCTATTTCTTCCAAATTTCTTTTATTCTTTTTGGTTTGTTTAGTCTCTATCTTATATGGAAGAAGCTTTTCTCAGATGACAATTCTGGGATCTCTGCTAATGATTAAGGATGGGGGAGTAACAAGTGATTGCAAGCATTGACATGTGGATGAGATTGACGACCTTGACTTCATTTCAGGGTGATCAGGAAGGGCTAATGATGGCATACCTGTCACGTAATTTCCTATTTTCATTAGGTACTCAGTTGTTTAACTGTGCCTGGAATCCTTTTGTCCAGACAATATCCCTTTTACCTTCTTCAGACATTAGGATTTCTTCAAGGATGCAGAAAAAAGTAGCCACCTAAAGTCATGAAGCAGGAGAAGGCATCTAGGGCCTTAAGGATCTAATGATTCCTTAAACATCTTCTCTTCATCTTTCACTTTACTGTAGCATGACATCCTTCACTCCAATTCTAAATTTCCCAGTGCAACTGCATCCTGAGCATTTTAAAGATTGTCCTGTTTAAACTGGGTTGCCTCCCCTCTGTGCCCACTACAATCTTAGATCCCTTTACTAAAAAGCTGAAGCCTAAGGGTTTTAAACAGTTTTCCAGTGGATACCACCCCAAGATAATTCAGGGAGTGTCTCATATAGTTCTAAGGGGAAAGTCATGGGGCTTGGTTTATGGGCCATGTAGAGAGAAGTGTTAAAAAATTATCATTTCTCTTTCTCCTTTTCACCTTTAGTCTGCTGTTCAACCAGTATAGTGAAATCACTTTAAGTAAAATCCTGTTTTGCTCAAAACACTGTGAATCTTCCAGTGTAACTCCAGTTCCCACATTCTTACTTGAGCTTTAATATATCATTTGTGAAAGAAAGTCAACACTAATTTATCCAAATTTCCCTTTGAATAAACTTTAAAGTAGCCAGAGCAAACTTAACTATAATTTTACTGTTAATCAATAATAGAAATTAGCTAAAAGGAAGATCTGAAAATCAATACACCCAGCTTGTTTGCGTGTTGGTTGGTTTTGGTCATCAGACCATATGCCCACCATTTTCAAGTTTTAGAATTAATAATTGACTGCTCTTATGGGAGAGGGAAGAAAAAAGAAGAGGAAGAGCAATTAGATTGCGTGATTTATGGAGAGAGGATAGAATAAAAAAATACCAGAGAGCAGAATTGAAAAGCAGGAGTTTTAGCATTTTTGTTGATGTTGTTTGTTTACTTTAACCTTAAGGCCATTTGATTTGGGTGAGGAAGTTTGCAGCTTTGAATGACCAAATAATAAATTCAGTAATATAATTTTTAAGTGAAGTCATTTAACTGTTTATCTTTTCCTCTCATGTGCTATATTCTAAGATGTCCAAATACTTAAGGCTTTGTTTGTAAAGTTGCTCAGAAATCTATGGGATAAACAGGCCAAAATTTGATTTTATTACATTCATAGTTCTTAATTAAAATACACATTTGTAAATTCAGTTTTACAATCATATATCTTCATGGAGTACCACCTCATCATATGGCCTATGTACTTTGCTGGGCATATAAATTTGGCTAATTATGTAGCTCCTATCCTTAGTAAATTTATAGTGCAGGTGGGGAGAAAACAGCCGAACAGATATTTCAGAATAATGTGATCCATGTAGACATTTATCAGTTACAACTACAATTGTGTATCACAGAAAGTGGCTTAAGTAAAAAATGGCATTTATTGGCTCATATAAATGAAACATTCAGGGGTATGCCTCCTTTTCTGTGAGGCACTAATGCATTCACATAAAGTCACTATCTTCAGGCCCCACAGAGGAGCCCTGGCTTTGCCAGGCTCACATTGTTAGCCCAGCAAATGTTTAAGAAAATGGATTCTAGCTTTCTCTCTAATCCAAACTGGAATTGAATCTGATCATCTTGAATCAGTCTTATTTGTCTTGTTAATATCTGCCTTAACCTACTACTTTTATTGCTGTGACCAAGCACACTGGAGTATTGCAGTAATACTGAAGTGGCTTAAATGAGTTGTATCTGTGCTGAGTATAGAATATCTTCAGCCTTCGGAGTGGGCAAGCAGAGCCTGAGGTAGCCAGAGTCCCCTGACTAGCCACCTCTGGCCATCAGCAGCTTCATGTGACATTCTAATTAATATCAATTTTTATGTGGACCATGCTAAGGATAAGATTGGGAAATACTGTCTTAACCAATTTTTATCACTAGAGAGATACAGTACTTTGATTGGTCATCCTTGAAATTGGCTGATATCAATTATATGTGAATTCTACGAATGGAGAGTCAGTGAAAGGGTGTAATTGCTCTAAAATGCATTTGGTAGGTTGTTAGCAGAGTGAAGGAGTTTCAAACAAATGGTCACTCAACACAGTGGTGAAGGTCTGATTCTGTATTTTATTGTCAGAAAATTGGAGCTCTTCTCATGCTCTAGAAATAAAATATCACAGAGCTTTATGTTTGAAATGTTTCTCAATGCATACATTGACAAAATAATTGTAAGAATGCTACCTTTTTCCTAACTTTACATTAAAATTAAATTTTTGAGTATTTACACCAAGCAATTTGTATTAGTTAAAAACAACAAGGAAAAGACAAGGAGAGGAAGAACTTGAAGTGAAAATTTTCAATGAAAGTTCATCCCTGTGTGAAAGCCTCCACTTCATGGGCATGACAAATACCCCTTGATGTAGGCACCACCCTCATTTATAGGCCTGGAGCACGCTTTTAACAGTCTGGAGAACCCCCAGGGAAATTGGTTTCTTAGGATTATTGCAAATAAGATCTGATTAGTTAATTATTCCTTTGTCTGAAAGAGCCCATTAAATTTGATGAAGGAATCTGTCAATGCATTTAAAGGTACAACTGAGTGAAAGGTGAGAACAAATGCTGACAAGTATGGTAAACATAAGACACACCTGACAAGACACAGGACAAGTTAAGCAAATGGCTCATAAAACTGATTTAGCAGGAGGATAGTAAAATCCTTCCTTTCAAGGGATTTGCCTTTTTACTAAGCATTTATTTGGAGACAGGATCTACTAAGGAAGGTGGACTGCATAGTTTTTACTAGAATTTACAGACATCAATCTTGTATAATAATTCTTTATAATGGCACTAAATCTATTAAGTTCTTACAGACATTTTTCGTTTACATAAACATTTTCTTTGACTAAAGTCAGACATTCACTCTTTCTTGGCCATAATAATTATTTTTGACAGGTACTCTTCTATATCTCTTTTAAACGTCATACAGAATTGGGTTTCTATTGTGGTGAAAGCTGCCATAAGGTAATGATTTAGAAATAATTACAATGAGAAATTGGCCTAGGGAAGACCCAAAAAACTTCACCCTCTGCTAAGAAATTGTATAGCTACTACTTCATACTCCTCTAGTTATAGATTATTTCATCCAATAACCACTATGATAATAGTTATTCGTCATATAAAGGCCTTTAAAAGGATGGAGATTTATTTTGTTTTTAAATAAGCACCCAGGCAATTGAATGTTTATTCAAAACATATCTGAACCTCAATGGTCTGGAAAATGCTTAAATTCATGAACAGTTGCAAAATTTGTAGCTTCGGAAGACAATGAAACCAGACTTCTTGGTAACATTTTATAGTAGTCTGAGATTTTCTCATTGTACTGTCTAATGAGATATCTACATGTCTATTGTTTTTTAAGGCTGTGGTGAATGTCGAGTTATGCCTGTGCTTTGGCCATCATTGCTACTGGGCAAAGTCTGTTCTCTAAGTTATACCCCTTCATTAACAACAATGTAATGCTAGATGCTGAAACAAATAAACCCCAAATTCCTTGTGGCTTAACATAATGTAAATTTATTTCTCACTCATATCAAGCTGAAGTGGCAGCTGGGGCTCTACTCTCTGCAGCTCACAGGGACCCAGTTTTATGAAACACTCAGTGTCCAAAATCACTCAGCCTCAAAATCCAGCCTGCCGATGGGAATAGAGAAAGAGTGGAAATCTCATGGGAAAATATTTTCAAAATATCACTTCTGCCCACTTTCCATTTTCCAGGATTTAGCCTCATGTCTCTACCCAGATGTAAGTGGTCTTGGAAAATGTTCCTTCCTGGGGGAGGGGAAGAGGCTGCTTCTCAGCAACTAATGCACACTGGGAAAGAAAAGTAGAGAAATTTGGTGGCCAGCTAGCAATTTCTGTTGCAGCCTCTGCATAACACTTTGCTGGAGCTACAGTTGCTTATGACATGTGTGTCTGAATGATAAACTGCCATGGAAATAAGTCTCCAATCTTCAGTGGGCTTTCCATTTCAGGCAGCAAGGAGAGGTCCAAAAACATTTTGTTAACTCCCAGTGTTTTAGGGACAGTGAAAAGAAAATCTTCAAATTCCCAACAGTCTAATGGCTTTGGAGATCCCTATAACCTCTGAGCACATTCTGCCTTCAGCATTGGCCAGGCCTGGAGGCAGTGACCAGAGTTCCGGCCTTCAAGTATGGCAGTATGGCAGACCTATAGTTTGAGGGTGCTGTCTGGTTTTTCAGTGGCCTTAAGGTATCCCCGAATTCGCCCTTGGCTGGCATGGGCTGAAGATTTATGTTAAAGTACTTAGTTTTGACAAATTAAACTGACATTATAAATTTTAAAAACTGAAAATGTTTCTATGGAAGGAGGTTGATGTTTTAAGTAAGCCATATGACTCTTTTCTCAGTTCACTCAGTAATAAAATTATTAATAGAAATAGTGCAACTGCTTAGATAGGGCCCTGCTCAAAGCATTTTAGAGGTATTAACCAATTAAATCTTCACAATTACCTTGTGAGGTACCATTATTACCTCCATTTTATAAATGAGCACATTGAGCTTTGGAAATTTGCTCAGTGTCAGAGCTCCAGGAAAGGGCACACCCAGCATTCTGAACCCAGGGAGTATGACTTACTGGGTTAAGCAACCAGGGAGTTAACCACCACACCAGCTGTCTCTTCCTTGGCTCCTTGATAAGCTGGTAAGATGAAACCCATTGTTATAGTGACTTTATGTTTTCTATTTTATGAGAAAAACCAGTATGCTAAACTGGTTCTCATGAGTAGTAGAGTGCACTAATATTTCTAATTGTGGAGCCTAGATAGGGCTTAAAAGGTGTGGTGAGGATGCAGGACTGGGAGGTGCTAATCATGAGATAGTTGAGTAGCAGACATTAAAGCCATTTGATGAGAGATAGGCAAGATGAGGTCACTTTACTATGGAGAAGAGCCACCTGAAATTTGCATATATGTGCATACACAATATAAAACAAAGAACTGCTGGCAGGATGCTACATTCCTTTATGTTGAGGTACGGCTAAAAATGCATGCTTGTCTTCCCTCCAACACCAGCAGTGGAATAGCTTGTTTTCTGCTACCTCCTTTCCAATCTAGCTCCTTCACAAAGCGTGCTCGTCCATTTTGGTGTATCTTTCTGTGGACTACCTCTGTGATTTACTTAGAAATTATTAATCAGATGTTGTCTTCTTAAAAATATAAGTGCTCATGTAATTTCTCTCAAACAAGATTGTAAATGCACTGAAGGTAGAAAGAAACATCTTTTGCTTCCTTGTTATCTCTCTATATCAGTTAGTGGGATACTTAATTTTCGTTAAGTCTATTTACAGAGAACCATGTGGAATGGAAAGCCATAGACAAATTACAGCCTTATAGTCAGTCAATTCTTTCTAAATTCATGCCCACTGTGTTATAGTTTGCTTTGATTCCACATTATCAGTGTCCTTCTCAGATGCCTGAACCTAGAAAACACATACCTCAGACAAAAAAGTTTTCTGGACAAATTGCAGCAATGATGTGTACTTTGTTGGCTGGAAAATCTTCTGATTCAACCACGAGGGCATCTCTAATTGTCACAGCGGGTAGAAGCAGAATAAATGAATAAGATCAAGATGCTTGGATTTTTTGCTGGATCACAGAAAAATGAGGACACAGCAGACTGGTGCCTGAGTGACCACATGTGTGCTGGGGATGGCTTGGGCACTCCCTGCCACACTGCAAGTGATGTCACCAAGTAATCGTTTACAGCTTTGTCCTCACTTCAAACTTGGCATGGGATTCAAACACTTGTTTAAAATTATAGTAGACTGTCCTATTTAAATTTATTTTTATATTGACATTTTATAATGTAATTTGACATGCAAAGTAGCTATATATATTTTAAGTCAATTGAACAAACAAAAAAGGGTACAACACTCTGGCAAACAAATAAACATCTGTGAGTGCATTTTTCCCACTGGATGGTTATAGAACACAATTCCAATTACTTGTTGCAGCAATTATCCAGAAAATCTTTTGGAAATATAATTTTAAGATGTTACCAGAAAGGGGTCCCATTTCAGACCCCAAGAGAGGGTTCTTGAATCTCCTGCAAGAAAGAATCGAAGAGTCCATAGAGTAAAGTGAAAGTAAGTTTATTAAGAAAGTGAAGGTATAAAAGAATGGCTACTCCATAGGCAGAGCAGCAGCTTGGGCTCCTGGACAAAGGATACTTATAGTTATTTCTTGATTACATGCTAAACAAAGGGTGGATTATTCATGGGTGTTCTGGGAAAGGGGTGGGCAGTTCCCAGAACTGAGGGTTTCTCCCCTTTTTAGACCACACAGGGTAACTTCCTGACATTGCCATGGCATTTGTAAACTGTCGTGACACTGCTGGGAGTGTCTTTTAGCATGCTAATGCTTTGTAATTAGCACATAATGAACAGTGAGAACGACCGGAGGTCACTTTTGCCACCATCTTGGTTTTGGTGGGTTTTGGCCGTCTTCTTTACTGCAATCTGTCTTATCAGCAAGGTTTTTACAATCTGTATTTTGTGTTGACTTCCAATCTCATCCTGTGACTTAGAATGTCTAACCTCCTGGAAATGCAGTCCAGTAAGTCTCAGTCTTATTTTACTCAGCACCTATTCAAGATGGAGTTGCTCTGGTTCAAATGCCTCCGACAGATGGAGTCAATTATTCATCAACTACAAATCTATGACTTATCAGGTAACAATTATTTTTGGAAACTTGGGACAGTATTTTGAGGATTTGTCACTTGACATGTTATTTACATCTTTTCTTATACACACCCAAACCACCTTTCTCTGTTCTTGATAGCATAAGATTCTGACAAGACTACTTACTGGCAAATATCACAGTTCCTTAAGAATACTTCATCTTCTTCCACAAGTGGTATTTTTGTAGTTAGATTCACATTAAAGAATTGTATATGTTGATGGTGTGCATTTGTAGGAACTTTCTGTGAATTTTTTTTGTATTTCTATTTACAAAATTATCTGCAATTCCATAAATCATAAAGACAGACAAGAGATATTTATTTGTCCAATAAAAGTTCAAATTGCTTAAAGCTCTAAGGTCATGTTTTTTTTTCCCCCAAAGAATATGCTTTTCACATATATTTATTCATTCAACAAATATTTATCAAGTGTCGGGAAGTATTCAGGTTACATGAAGTACATTATTGGGAAAACAAAAGCCTCAGCTTTTATTGAGGTTATGTAGTAGCATGGAAAGGATGACTATATACAATAAACATAATAAATAAGCAAGTCATACAGTCTGTTAGAGGGTGATAGGTGCTGTGGAAAAAACATTAAGCGGAGCATATAAGCGGAATCAAAACAGTGAATAGCTGGGTGGGCAGTGTTGTAATTTGAATAGGCTGATTTGGATAAGTGTACTTGAAAAGTTGGCATTTCAGCAAAGACTTGAAAGAGGTGAGAGGGTTGGCCATGTGGATAGTTTGAGAAGTGTTGTAGGCAGAGATAACAGCAGTGAAATAGTTTTAAGTAACAACTTGCCTGAAATGTACAAAGGGCAGCAAGAAGGCCAGTGTGGCTGGGACCAAGGGCAGGGAGGAGGAGGAGGAGAAGAGGTTGACAGATTAACAGTGTGGAGGAGAGGGCAGCTCAGGGAGAGGGAGGGACTTGTCAGCCATTGTGAGGACCCACTTCTAATAGAGGCAGAAGGCAGAGAAATCCTAGGCAAACAGGGGCAGGTCCCTGGTGAAACCCCACTTTCAAGCCCAAAACATCCTGAAACCTGCAGACCAGAGTGAGAACTTCTATTCCTGTTTACTTGCTCTCTCCCGATTGGTTCTTTCTGAATAACACCTTTTAACCAGTTGAATGTTGCCTTTTCCAATACTACCTATGGCCCACGCTGCCCCCACCCTGTGCCTGTAAAGACCCAGACTCCGTTGGTAGAGTGGTGATGGTCTCATGGGAAGGAGATGGCCTGACGTCAGGGAAGAGACCTCCTGACTTCAGGGGAAGATGACCTGCCTTTCCCATCCCCTCTACAGCTCCCCTCTCTGCTGAGAGCTGTTTTCATTGCTCAACAAAATTATCTGCCCTCACCATTCTTCAGTAATCAAGTGTGACCTCATTCTTCTTGGATGCTGGACAAGAGCTTGGGACCCACCAAGTATGAGTACTCAGAAAGGCTGTCACACTGGCCCTTTGCCTTTGCTGGTGGAGGGCAGCCACCTCACGCAACAGGGTCGGGGCTGACTGAGCTGCTAACATGCCGCTGTTCATTGGGCTGTGGACAGTGGAACTAAAAGAGCTAATCAGCAGACTAACACCACCTCTGGGGCTTTGGGGTCACGGGCACCCTTGCCTGAGTGCCACTGTGTTCCCCTCAAGACGAAATGCCTGGTCTGGCTATAGGCCCTGCTTGGAGTTTGCTCCTGTGTCAGCTGAGTGGCCGGCCGAATCCCACACTCACTCATTCATGTGCTTCCTCTTGAAGAGGCTGAGTATGATGGGCTAAGTAGGCAGCGCACCCTTGCTGGGAGTCCAGAAAAGGGGCTGAGAAAAATCCTGTATCACTTCTACTCTGAATGAAATGAGCAGCCAAAGGCAGTCTCATAGCAGGTTCACACAGCTACCTAGTGTAGGTGAATAGAATATTATCACTCCATTTTGTGGATGAAGAAATGAAGAGATGCTGAAAATTGAGGGGGCTGCAAAATAATCCGCTTTCAATAATTTCTTATGAAAAATAAAGGAAAATATTTGTAGAATGTCACTTTTTGACAGCTATTCCTCTTGGGGCCTGCCACTGTTAGCATTTTAATTTCTTTTTAATGCTTACAAATAATCATATAAGGCAGATATGTATCCAATTCAATAAATGAGAACATGAAGGTTTAGAGAAGTTATAAAATTTATAAAAGTTTACACATATAGTGAATATAGAGTCACAATTAAGTCTCTCTCACCTCAAATAACAAAACATTTTGTAAGGTTATATTGAAATAGTTTTAAATTTCAGACTAGGAATCATTTCAAACCCAGGAAATAAGACAAAATATAAAAGCATCCAACATATATACCTCGAAATATGTAAGCATTCAACATAGACCTCCAAGTTTAAAAGATATTAACTTTTTACCATGTTTGCTATAGGTCACTGGTTTTTTTTTTCTTTTTTGCCTTTAGAAAATAAGATAAATTTTTTCTCATTTGATGGAAATGGGAATACTATGCTGTCATTATGTTTACTTGGAATTTCTTAGATTATTGCTGAGGTTGAAAATCTTTACATGTTTTTAACCATTTGTTTTACCTATTTTGTGACTTGTCTGTTTATGTTCTCAGCCTATTTTTCTATTGATTGTCATTTCCTTACTCATGTACAAGAGCTCTCTATATTCTAGTTAATATTCATTTGTTTGTTATAGTCGTTGCAAATACTCTTTTTTTTTTTTTTTTTTTTTTAGATGGCGTCTCACTCTGTCTGTCGCCCAGTCTGGAGTGCAGTGGCACAATCTTGGCTCACTGCAACCTCCACCTCCCAGGTTCAAGTGATTCTCCTGCCTCAGCCTCCCGAGTAGCTGGGACTACAGGGGCGTGCCACCATGTTCGGCTAATTTTTTTGTATTTTTAGTAGAGACGGGGTTTCACCATATTATCCAGGATGGTCTTGATCTCCTGACCTCGTAAGCCGCCTGCCCCAGCCTCCCTAAGTGCTGGGATTACAGGCATGAGTCACTGCACTGGCCACAAATACTTTCATCTAGTCTATGGCTGGTATATTTTTTCATCATTTATTATGTAATGCACATGTAAAATCTTGGATAAAACATACATTTTTGTTTCAGTCATCTTTCTGATCACAAAAGCAACACTTCAATTTTTCCTCATTAAAGTAAATTATCTTTATGTTTCTCACAAATACTATGTATTATGTTAAATTTCTAAAAGTGAATGTTAAATATTATCAAATATATTTTCTGCATTCATGAGATGATAGTATAATATTTTCTCTTAAATATATTAATATAGTGAATTTCACTAATTGAAATCAAGAAGTTCTTGGAAACCAATGAGAACAAAGAGACAAAGTACCAGAATCTCTGAGACACAGCTAAAGCTGTGTTAAGAGGGAAATTAGGAGTACTAAATGCCTACATCGAAAAGCTAGAAATATCTCAAATCAGCACCCTACACATCACAACTAAAAGAACTAGAGAACCAAAAGCAAGCAAACAATAAAGCTAGTAGAAGACAAGAAATAACAAAGATCAGAATGAAATTGAAGGAGATAGAGACACAAAAACCCCTTTCAAAAAAAATCAATGAATCCAGGCTTTTTTTTAAAAAAATAAAATAAAATAAAATAAAATGACCGTTAGCTAGACGAATAAAGAAGAAAAGAGAGAAGAATCAAATAGACACAATACAGCATGTTAAAGGAAATATCACCACTGACCCCACAGAAATACAAACAACCATCAGAGACTGCTATAAAAAACTCTATGCAAATGAACTAAAAAATCTACAAGAAATGGATAAATTCCTGGACATATACACCCTCCCAAGACTGAAACAGAAAGAAGTTGAATCCCTGAATAGATCAATAACAAGTTCTGAAATTGAGGCAGTAATAAATAGCCTACCAACCAAAAAAAGCCCAGGACCAGATGGATTTACAGCTGAATTCTATCAAAGGTACAAAGAGGAGTTGGTACCATTTCTTCTGCGACTATTCCAAACAATTGAAAAGAAGGGACTTCTCCCTAGCTCATTTTATGAAGCTAGCATCATCTGATACCAAAACCTGGCAGAGATACATCAAAAAAAGAAAACTTCAGACCAATATCCCTGATGAACATTGATGCAAAAATCCTCAATAAAAAACTGGGAAACCAAATCCAGCAGCACCTCAAAAAGCTTATCCACCATGATCAAGTTGGCTTCAATCCTGGGATGCAAGGCTGGTTCAACATACGCAAATCAATGAAAATAATTCATTACATAAACAGAACTAAAGACAAAAACTACATGATTATCTCAATAGGTGGAGAAAAGGCCTTCAATAAAATTCAACATCCCTTCGTGTTAAAAACTCTCAATAAACTCGGTATTGATGGAACATACCTCAAAACAGTAAGAGCCATTTATGACAAACCCACAGCCAATATCATGCTAAATGAACAAAAGCTGGAAGCATTCCTCTTGAAATCTAGCACCACTCCTGTTCAACATAGTGTTGGAAGTTCTGGCCAGGGCAATCAGTCAAGAGAAAGAAAGAAATCGTATTCAAATAGGAAGAAAGAAAGTCAAACTGTTTCTGTTTGTAGGTGACATGACCCTATACCTAGAAAACCCCATTGTCTCAGCCGAAAGCTTCTTAAGCTGATAAGCATCTGCAGCAAAGTCTCAGGATATAAAATCAGTGTGCAAAAATCACAACCATTCATATACACCAACAATAGACAAGCAGAGAGTGAAATCATGAATCAACTTCTATTCACAATTGCTACAAAGAGAATAA
This sequence comes from Homo sapiens, assembly GCF_000001405.40. Classification (NCBI taxonomy): domain Eukaryota; kingdom Metazoa; phylum Chordata; class Mammalia; order Primates; family Hominidae; genus Homo; species Homo sapiens. The sequence goes on from NC_000004.12 coordinate 123,959,608, forward strand.
AATAACTACACCTAACAAGGGAAGTGAAGGACCTCTTTGAGGAGAACTACAAACCACTGCTGAAGGAAATCAGGGAGAACACAAACAAATGGAAACACATTCCATGACCATGGATAGGAAGAATCAATATCGTGATAATGGCCATACTGCCCAAGGTACTTTATAGATTCAGTGCTATTCCCATTAAACTACCATTGACATTCTTCACAAATTAGAAAAAAATTACTTTAAAATTAATATGGGGCCAGGCACAGTGGCTCACACCTGTAATCCCAGCACTTTGGGAGGCCAAGGCGGGAGGATCACCTGAGGTCAGGAGTTTGAGACCAGCCTGGCCAACATGGTGAAACCCTGCCTCTACTAAAAATACAAAAATTAGCTGGGCGTGGTGGTGGGCACCTGTAATCCCAGCTACTCAGGGTGCTGAGGCAGGAGAATAGCTTGAACCTGGGAGGTGGAGTTTGCAGGGAGGTGGAGTTTGCAGTGAGCCGAGATTACACCATTGCACTCCATCCTGGGTGACAGAGTGAGACTTTGTCTCAAAAAAAAAAAAAAAATTCATATGGAACCAAAATAGAGGTCATATAGCCAAGGCAATCCTAAACAAAAAGAACAAAGCTGAAGGCATCACGCTGCCTGACTTCAAACTGTACTACAAGTCTTCAGTAACCAAAACACCATGGTACTGGTACAAAAACAGACACATGGGCCAATGGAACAGAATAGAGATCTCAGAAATAAGGCTACACATCTACAACCATCTGATCTTTGACAAACCTGACAAAAACAAGCAATGGGGAAAGGATTCCCTATTTAATAAATGGTGCTGGGAGAACTGGCTAGCCATATGCAGAAAATTGAAACTGGGTCCCTCCCTTAAACCTTACACAAAAATTAACTCAAGATGGATTAAAAACTTAAATGTAAAACCCAAAACTATAAAAACCCCAGAAGAAAATCTAGGCAATACCATTCAGGACCTAGGCACGGGAATGGATTTCATGACGAAAACGTCAAAAGCAAATGCGACAAAAGCAAAAATTGACAAATGGGATCTAATTAAACTGAAGAGTTTCTGCACAGCAAAAGAAAACTATCATCAGAGTGAACAGACAACCTAAGAAAAGGAGAAGATTTTTGCAATCTATTCATCTGACAAAGATCTAATATCTGGGATCTACAAGAAACTTAAACAAATTTTCAAGAAAAGACAAACAACTCCATTAAAAAGTAGGCAAAGGACATGAACAGACATTTCTTTAAGTAAGAAATTTATGTGGCCAACAAACATATGAAAAAATGCTTAATCTTACTGATCATTAGAGACATTTCTTAATTTTCAAACTTACAGAATATTTCCAGTTTCTTAAATTGATTTCTAATTTCTAGTCATAGAAAATGGTCTATGTGATTTAACTTCTTTAAAAATTGTTAAATTTACTTTTTAGCCCAGGATATAGTGAGTTTTTATAAATATGCACATTGTAAAAGAACATGAATTCTGTAGTTGTTGAATGGAATAGTTTATAGAAGTCTGCTAGGTCAATTTTTAAATTGTGCTATTCAAGTTTTTTACATCTTTATTGTTTTTTCTTCCATTATATCCTTATAGAGAAAAATCTCTGACTCTGATGTTTTATGTATATTTTTATCCTTCTGGTTTTATCAATATTTGCTATTTTACTAAATACATTAAAAATGAAAAAATAAAAGTAACTGGTGATCAGTTGTCTATTTCATCTTTATTCATTATGAAATGACCCTGTTGAAATACAATAATACTTTCTGCTGTAACATCTCTCTTTCTTTGATATTGCTATAACTAAAACTCTATTTTTAAGGAGAAAGTGTTAATATTTATGAGGTAAATATATTTCCAATTTTAAAATTTATAATCTCTGTATTCTTATTTTTATATGCATTATTAATAAAAAGTGTTTGTTGGGTGTTTGCATTTTCATCTACCTGTGCCTTTTAATTACAACATATCTCCCATTTATGTTTAATGTAATTTTTGATATATTTTGGCTTAAATTCTACTAACATTTTTGCCCTATTTGTATGACCTGTTCTATATTGCTTTTTTCTTGTTTTCGTCTGCCCTTTTTTGTGTTTGTGTTAATTCTTGTCATTGCGTATTCTTCTATCCTCTAGTTGAAATTCATAACTTTTTATTCTTTAGTAGGTATGCTACGAAATACATGACACTTAATTTATCAAACCCAAAGTTATTTAAGACATTTTTCTGAAGGGGATTTAGAATTAAAGCCTAGATGGTAAACCTCCAGAGTTTATTCTTTTAACACCTGTTTCCATTTTCATTGCAGATTGAGAAATTAAGGTCGCATCATATAAGTGAAGTTGAACACTACTTTTCTAATACCCTACATCAGGTACGTTCCTAAATAAACTGGAACTTACCTCAGAAGCCTCAGAAAATTAGGAAAATAAAATGCATTACTTTGTATATTAAGAAGCTCAAAATCCCATATTTGATTCACTATAGAATTACTTCAGAATCTCATATGTTGTTTAAGCAAAACCTGTCTCATATTAAAACATACCTACTGCTGTGTTGTCTATTTGCTTTTCTCTTTTTAAATGCCCTTTTGAGAAATGCTGCAAAAATTTTGTCCTGACATGTGGGGGCCCAACTGTTTCCTGCTATACTCAGCTTGGAGGACATAGCCTCTAGGTTATACTCTTTTGAAATTGTCCTGTTGAAATGCATGTTTTGATTTTGGGATTTTCCAGATGCTTCCTAAGTAGGTCCCATGTGTTAAAACTTGTGGAAATTCAGCATGTTTCTCAATGTGAGGCATCTAAGTAGTTCACAAATTTAAGGCAATTAGTCTATTACTGGGATAAGACGATTAATTCTATTATATTCCATTGTTTACATATTACTTGTTTAATCCATTTCCTATTCTATGCTTTGTTTTTTCATTTGTCTGAATTATTAAAAGTCACTACATTTTAACATTTTAAGCAATTTAATTTTTATATATAATTATATCCTTTGGCTATTTAAACTGAAGACACATTGTATATGTAAATCAAATTAAGAAAAATAAATGGAGAGTGTGTTCACTTACAACAGGAGGCTATCGCTGTGCTAAAACTTTCTGCTGCTTTTGAGTCTTGGAATTGTGGAATCACATAATATTTAAAAAAATTAGAAAGAACTTTAAATACCATGTCCACAGACTTTCTCACTTTTCCAATGAGAAAACTGAGACCAAGAATGTTTAACAGACAGGTAATGCCTGAATTAGTCCTAGAATCCAGATTTCCTTATTATTTACATGAAGTCCAGAAACATACCATATGTATTAAATACAATGGTTTCAAACATTAATGAAGTTTGATTCTGAAATGTGGGAGGGTTCATATAAGTCTAAAATTTTAGTCTGCTTAAGTATCCAAGTTTCTTGTTGTCTTAAAATTTCTTATTGGAGGAAGCCACTTTTCAGTCACTTTGATAGGCACAAAGGATTTTGTGGTGAGGAAAACTGATATAATCATAAAAATAATTATGAAATTACAAATGTTGATTTGTAAATACTCATTCCCTTTCTCCAACTCATTGCAGGTACCACTTACAGATCTTTTAAACCTCAGACCAAATCTCCTTTCTTAGAATACCTTCAGACTAGGCCAGGTCTCTGGCCATGCACCCTTGTGTTATTGTACATGTTCTCACTCATCATTATGGGATGCCACAAGCTATGTTTGAAGTGTATACTCTAGATCATGGAGAGCCTTATAGGTCATAGTAAGGACTTGGGTTTTTATCTTTAAATAACCGAAAGCCAATGGAAAGGTTTTAATACTATCTATGTTTTTAAAAAATTGCCTGGTTGCCTTCTTGTAAGGCAGTAAGCATGGTTGGGGGAAATCCTGTTAGAAGACTGTTGCAGTAGCACCATGGGAGACCATGAAAGCTTCTTCTAGGAAGTCACCCTGGAGGGAGAAGTGGATGAATCTGATAGACGTTTAGGCAGAAAATGGTAAGAACATAGAGGGGAAAATACTGTGGATGTGGTGGATGTCAAAATGGTGACAATATTTGCAGGTCCTCTGAGTTAGAGGTGAAGCCTTTCATTGCCCTATTGATTGGGGTCTGGCCTTGTGACCAGCTTTGGTCAACGGGACAGCAGAAGATTGAGGCCTGAAAAGCATTTGCACACTGGGGATCTCTCTCACTGAGCTTAAAACAGCACTCTGTGAACAACCAGGCTGGCCTGCTGGAGAATGAGAAACCATGTGGAGAAAAGCTTTCACTGGTACAGCTATGCTAGCCAAGACCCCTGAAAGAGCTTTGCTGAGAACAGCCATCACAGACCATATCAGTAGGCCTGCCAGGCTGAAAACAGCCCAAACTGCTGACCTCCTGCATTTTGAGCTAAGTAAATGGTTGTCGCCTAACTACATTATATTGTGGAGTGGTTTGTTACTCAGCAAATGCTAACTGATACCATGAGTGAAAGAGAGAGAAGTCTATGAAATAAATATGATTGATACTTAAATGTGTATACACACACACACACACACACACACATATATATGCTCACATTACATGAAGAGCCTCAAAGTATAAGCTCTGTCTCCTCTCATCGCTGTTTAAATAATTCACATTTAACTCTATCTAGTTAACAGTCCATTTTATAAACATCAATTCCTTTAGCCTAAGAAGCTTTCCTTTCAAAGGTTTATTTTCAAATTCACCTTTTACGTGTTGCAATTTATTGTCATAAATACAGGGGTTTTTTTTTGTATTCTTAGAGAGCATTAAATAAACGATGTAAATATTAGTGATTGGGAATTTGGAAAATGCATTTGAAATGTATTTAAGTAGCTAGGGAAAGATTTCATTGTGGAAAAGATTTGATGTGAGGATCCTTGATGCAAATGATCCACTGTTGTTATGAAAAACATTCACTTGTAAATGTGAACATTGTAATACAACTACTTCACATGATGGAAACTTCTGAAAATGTAAGGGATGCTTTATTTATCTGAATTCAAGAAAAGGCTTTGTGTTTATATTAAGTTAATTTTAGATCACATAGAAATAAAAGAGAAAATTTGGTCTTCTGAAATCTATTTCTTGTAGATCTAGGATCATATCAGTCAGTTGCTATGATTAGGATAAGTGAATAGTTTACTATCCAATAAAATTTAGCCAAAGAAATATTAGACATAGATATGGGTATTTATTTAAAAATATACAGTTATCACTTTTGTGGTAGGTAGAAACGTTTTCTTTATCATCCATAGAAAGCTAACCTGGTTATTTTAGGACACATCACAGAGTTATCAAACTGCTATTTCTTTTTGTGATGTGCAGATTTTTCAGCCTTTCACACAATACAAGCACTTTACATTTAGAAAGGGAACTGAGTATCAGATGCTCTGAAACTTCTTTGTGATTTTTTAAGGTCACAGATATTGAACTCATTGATAGATAGTCTCATACTATTAAAATCTTATTGACAAATCTATTAAAGGCAGTCTTTTAAACAAAATATCAATAAGAATTATGGAGAGTAATATCCATAATTGCACAATTATGATTGAGTTATGATTGCTGTAAATTGCTCAAAATGAAAACAAAAGATATATTTTAAAAATTTAGTTAGCTCTTAATATCAGTATTATTGAGAGAGGAAAGTTGTGTCATCAGGTTGAACCTTCCCAACTTCAGAGCACTGAGTTTTCCTTTTGAATGGAAAAGGGAGATGAGCTTTAACAATTCTATTCTCTGTGAGTTCTCTTTGTAAAATAGTTTTCTTTCTTTAGACTACTCTTTCAAAAACCTCAGAATATTTGATGACTTTTTTAGGGAAAATATTGTTGCATCGTGTTCCTTTTAAAAATATTTTATTAAACTTTCTTTTCAGGGCTTTTTCATACAAAATGAAGTGAATGTTCCATTCACAAAAATGGTTTGTTCTAACTAGAAGTTCTAACCTCTGGGAATGATGGCTTACTAATAATTTCTCCCATCCCTTTCCATTATTCACTTCTCTCTTTGTTTGTTTTTTGTGCATCACCTTTCACCAACACCTTTTCTCCAGCTACCACCATTAAAACTGAGATGCCCAATTTTGGGTAAAATTTATGGAGCAGGAAATTAGAAAACAGTAACCATTGTCACCATCAGCCAACTAAACTGGCCGAGAACACATAAGTGCAGATCATAAAAATACATTGTGTGATGAAATATACAATATTTAAAAAATACTGCATGCAAAATTAAAGTTTACTGTGCTGAAATTTTCTTTAGGCTGTAAATGAAAATAAATACTGAGCATAATATGTATAAATAAGGCAGAAACTATATCTATATGGATATATAAAGGTAAGTGTATAGAGATTTTCAGACTGGTTTATGGATATATTATCAGGAGTCTGAAGACTTTCTCTAGGAATTTCTACAGTTTGCTTTTTCATTTAAGAGCATTCACTTAAAAATGAATACAAATGTATTCTTGTTCATCCAAATACTAAAAAAAATTTTAGCTTCCAAGTAAAGGTGGAAAGACATATTCTTCATTGGAAATTAATATTTTAAAGTAGTTCAAATAGAGTAAAAAGGTGGAAAACTTAAGTCTATAGCAGGTAATTCAGGCCCACTGTCTCAGAAACGTCTGTTTCATAGCAGTTGTGCTATTAGCATGGGTGAATCTTGAGTGGATTCCTTTTTGTTGTTGATACCAACTTCAATTTTCTTTGGTTGTGATAGTAACACTAAATAGGCAGAGTATAATTTTCCTCATCAATGCAGAAGTGGTTAAGCTAGCTATGGACTTACGGATTTCAATAATGTTACAATATTTACCTTATCTTGAAGTGATTAAGACAACTTAAGAATGTCACTTTTGGCCAGGTGTGGTGGCTCATGCCTGTAATCCCAGCACTTTGGGAGGCCGAGGCGGGCAGATCACCTGAGGTCTGGAGTTCAAGACCAGCCTGGCCAACATGGTGAAACCCTGTCTCTACTAAAAATACAAAAGGTAGCTGGGCGTGGTGGTGGGCACCTGTAATCCCAGCTACTCAGGAGGCTGAGGTAGGAGAATAGCTTGAACCTGGGAGGCGGAGGTTGCAGTGAACCGAGATTGTGCCATTGCACTCCAGCCTGGGGTACAAGAGTGAGACTTCGTCTAAAAAAAAAAAACACACACTTTTATTAAAATTGGTTTTAAAACTGCTAACAGGAGGAGTTTCAATTACATATGAGGGCTGGTTATTCCATTCAAAAAAGCTCCATACCTATAGTTTCATTTAAATCACGTGCATCACATTAAAGTAAGTAAGCTTTGAATTTTGGTGGTTATTTGGTTTTGAAAACAAATAATAAGGAGAACAATAGCTATCATTTACTAAGTGTTATGTGATATGTATTATTATATATATATTTCATATACTTGCACGGTGTGTAAGGTGGGGTTCTGCTATTATCAATGAAGCATTTGAAAACTTAGTAACCTGTCTGACTTGACATGGCTAGTGAGCAGTGGAGGTGGGACCACACCAAGGTATCATGACACCAGAGTCTCTGACATCACCAGGAAGATGAAAACTAGAGGTATGAGAAGCTTGCATCTTGTTTTATGGTTGTACATATTTAAGTAACACTATGACAAAAGCAGTTTAAATCAACATGGAGGGAGGCTAAGCTTAAGTCATTTTTTTCCTTTAAAAACACCCATTACTCAGCTTTGATACACACTGTACTGGTCCCATCTAAGTTCGGGGTTCTATGATTTTGTGATTCCATTGGCTGTGGGCTTTGGTCTTTTAGGAACCATTTTAAATGACCTCAGTGGATGTTGTGTAATCCCACTGTACTGGGAAAGATTTAGGCTCTTTATACACTGGGGACTGCATCTATTAAACCCGTCCACACCCTGTGGTGTGTTTTTATGCACATTCCTTTTGTCTTCTAAATGAAGTTTCTGCATATGGGAGAAGAGTGTGAAAGAAAACAAAATTCTGGACTCTGCCTGTACAGTGATTACAATTCAGACACAAAAACATCTGCTGGGTTAAAGGCACCAGCTGTTGGCCATGTACAAAAATTGCATACAATGCCATTGGTCAGGAAATTAAGAAAACTATCGTGTCAGTGGATCAAACTGTGAAGAATTTTGGAAAGACTAAATATTGTTCCCCACACTGACATTTAACCAACACAGAGCACTAAATAGAGTATACTTATTTAAAGATAATTTCCTGTCCATCCCCTCTGTTTGGAAAAATCAGTGATTTTTAAAAAATAATTTTGAGCCATTTTTGGAAAGGAATGAACTTAATGATGTGAAAAAAAAAACTAGTCCTGCAATGAAAGAGGAAGGAGTTTTATATCTTTAATTCACCTGTGATTTTCTTGTAATCTCCAAAGAAACTTTACTGAGAAAAACACTTGTGAAACTGATTTAGCTTTTAACTCAAAACTATTGATCATTTCTTCCAACTTTCCCTTTACTTATAGCCCTGATTTATGACAATACGAAGTCTAAACTTTAAAAAACGTATGCATCTATCTATTTTTAGGATTTGACAACAGTAGTTTTGTAAAATCAGTGGGCTGTTTTTGTATTGCTGGGATACCTATGCCACTAAAGTGTTGTTCTGAAATGTGTCATCATGGTAAATCACACTAAATTGATGACTTAGAGTAAAGCAAGTCTTAGAATTCATTGAAATGTGGAAAGCTTAAATTTTATAAAACAAAGGAATTGCTATTTTATTTGATACGTTCTTTGTATTTAAGTGCAAATAGCTATAGCAGAGAAAACTATTATAGTTGAATAAATATACTTAGCTTCAAGCTTTTCCAAAGTTCTGGAAAAAACAAAAAGTATAATATTTACATGACTAATTCCTTATAAGAAGCAAAGAAATACTTTTTTATAGGTCTTAAGTGTTTGGATCGAAATGCTTAACTCTGATGCCTAATGTTTCTATCTGTTTGGAGGGACACACATTGGTGAAGCGCACTCAATCCTTTACTGCAAGGGAGGTAAAAGGAATTGCCTGTCTTTAGTAATCTGCCATTAGGTGCATCTGACATTGTAATATTGCTTCTCAGTTGGATTGGACTAATCTATCAGATTCTCATGAATGGGGATTGGGTCTCTTGTTTCTCCTCTCTCCACCAGGTCCAGAGAGAGTCAATGACCTGGGTAAGTGTTTGCAAATTCAAAATCTTCTTTGGGTAACTTTTTCAAGACCAAAGCAAAAAGTTGGGAGCTAGTTCTACCTCAAAACCCCATCTTTTCCAACTTAACATTTATAAAATATTAGTTTGAGTCTCCATTTGCTGATTCTTGTCTTATTTTCCAATTGGTACAGAACCTATGTCATTGAGAAGGGTAATGTTTATTAGGTCCCTTCATGCTCATCTTGAGATATTTGGTTCATTTATTGAGAACCTTGTTAATTAGAAGACACAGCATATAATTTTAGAGAAAAATATGCATGAAGAAACTTGGGGGTAGGGTCAGGGCTTTCAACCATGGATTTTAGTAGGTGGATTCGTACCTTTAACTTGGACAGTGTGTTATGACCTATGTGGTGGAATGTGGCTGGGTTTGCATGTGGCTTTAGGATTTAGGCATAAGCCTTGTGGGATTTTCACCTAGACAGATCATTGCAGTTTATGGTAATGATTACAGGCAAGTATCAATTTCTGTAGAGGCAGTGAGTCTTAAGCAAAGAAGCAAGCCTTATTAAAGGTGGGTCTTAAAAGCTTCAGCAGCTAAAACTGAGAGGGCTAGGAGAGCCTTAGGAAGTGGGCAAAGAGCTAATAGACCTTAGCCAAGATGTAAGCTTGCTTTCAGATGCTACCTGTGTGGCTGTCCATGAGCGGTCATGGGCTTCATAAAGAGAATTGTTATGCACAGACATTAGGGGACAGAGCCACCATTGGCTGTGTTTGCCATGTTTTTGGGCACATCTTCAGGACACTCTTAGTGTCAACTCCAGGAAGGAAACACTGTTTAGCATTGCCTTCTCTGTTCTTTGGAGCCAAGAAAGAAAATGGGAAAAGCATACCCTGGAATTTATGAGGCCTTTGCTGATCCATGTATCACTTCCTACTGTAAGGTTCCACGTTGCCCCAGATTGGTTCATGACATAAACTTTAACCATGACATGAGATATTTCATGACACAAATTATGACTTCCTTCAAATAAAACTGGTAAACTTGATTAATAAGTTATTAAAACTTTATTAATATCTTTTTTGACTAATACAGTCAAGGCTCCTGTTTCTTTCATTGATTGTTAATAAAATCTTGACTATGATTTCGTTACTGAAGTGATTTGATCAATTTTAGAGCTTCTTAGCAGCAACATCTTTACCAGCCATCAGAGGTTCTGGAGGACATCCGAAGGAATAGGGCTGGACATTAGGGAGAGGCTTCAGAAAGATGGAATGCCCTACTCTCAAGATTTACCCTTAGTCTTTAACTTTCTTATAGTTTATTAATAATTATGTAAAAGCATCGGCTGTTTTTATACTTTAAACAAAAGCATCAGAGTTTGGTGAACACACTGCATAATACAATTAACAGCTTATAAATCCTTGTTCTTTTTTTTTCATTTACATCTTTTTTATTGTAATTTTTTTCTTTTCTTTTTTTTGTTATACTTTAAGTTCTGGGGTACATGTGCACAATATGCAGGTTAGTTACATATGTATACATGTGCCATGTTGGTGTGCTGCACCCATTAACTCGTCATTTACATTAGGTATATCTCCTAATGCTATCCCTCCCTCTCCCCGCACCCCACAACAGGCCCCAGGGTGTGATGTTCCCCTTCTTGTGTCCAAGTGTTCTCATTGTTCAATTCCCACCTATGAGTGAGAACATGCGGTGTTTGGTTTTTTGTCCTTGTGATAGTTTGCTGAGAATGATGGTTTCCAGCTTCATCCATGTCCCTACAAAGGACATGAACTCATCATTTTTTATGGCTGCATAGTATTCCATGGTGTATATGTGCCACATTTTCTTAATCCAATCTATCATTGTTGGACATTTGGGTCAGTTCCAAGTCTTTGCTATCGTGAATAGTGCCACAATAAACATATTCGTGCATGTGTCTTTATAATAGCATGATTTATAATCCTTTGGGCATATACCCAGCAATGGGATCACTGGATCAAATGGTATTTCTAGTTCTAGATCCCTGAGGAATCACCACACTGACTTCCGCAATGGTTGAACTAGTTTACTCTCCCACCAACAGTGTAAAAAGGTTCCTATTTCTCCACATTCTCTCCAGCACCTGTTGTTTTCTGATTTTAATGATCGCCATTCTAACTGGTGTGAGATGGTATCTCATTGTGGTTTTGATTTGCATTTCTCTGATGGCCAGTGATGATGAGCATTTTTCTCATGTGTCGGTTGGCTGCATAAATGTTTTATTTTGAGAAGTGTCTGATCATAGCCTTCACCTACTTTTTGATGGGGTTGTTTGTTTTTTTCTTGTAAATTTGTTTGAGTTCTTTGTAGATTCTGGATATTAACCCTTTGTCAGATGAGTAGATTGCAAAGCGGCCATTCTCTAGGTTGCCTGTTCACTCTGATGGTAGTTTCTTTTGCTGTGCAGAAGCTCTTTAGTTTAATTAGATCCCATTTGTCAATTTTGGCTTTTGTTGCCATTGCTTTTGGTGTTTTAGTCATGAAGTCCTTGCCCATGCCTATGTCCTGAATGGCATTGCCTAGGTTTTCTTCTAGGGTTTTTATGGTTTTAGGTCTAACATTTAAGTCTTTAATCCATCTTGAATTAATTTTTGTATAAGGTGTAAGGAAGGGATCCAGTTTCAGCTTTCTACCTATGGCTAGCCAGTTTTCCCAGCACCATTTATTAAATAGGAAATCCTTTCCCCATTTCTTGTTTTTGTCAGATTTGCCAAAGATCAGATAGTTGTAGATGTGTGGCATTATTTCTGAGGGCTCTATTCTGTTCCATTGGCCCATGTGTCTGTTTTCATACCAGTACCATGCTATTTTGGTTACTGTAGCCTTGTAGTATAGTTTGAAGTCAGGTAGCGTGATGCCTCCAGCTTTGTTCCTTTGGCTTAGGATTGACTTGGCAATGTGGGCTCTTTTCTGGTTCCATATGAACTTTAAAGTAGTTTTTTCCAACTCTGTGAAGAAAGTCATTGGTAGCTTGATGGGGATGGCATTGAATCTATAAATTACCTTGGGCAGTATGGCCATTTTCACAATATTGATTCTTCCTATCCTTGTTCTTTTAATATTATTACTGTGTCCCCTTTATTTAGAAAGAGACCCACAGTTACATTGCTCTTTCCAATTATGGCTTGAGTCTTGATTTACAGTTTAGAGGAAAGTGTGTATTAACATTTGGAACTGTGTTGTTTCTTTTGTGATGTGACTGAATTTATCCCATGTCTGCAAACAATAACTTAATTAAGTCTCCAAAGTCCCTTAGGGAAAAAGAGGACAAGACTTAACAAATTTTGAAGCATTGCAGAATAACAAAAGAATTTTAAGGCATTGTTCCCCAGCAATGAGGAGGGCTTTTTAGTGTATTGTGCTTTGAGGGGCTCTAACAATAGCAGTGCTATTCCAGTCCTGGGTTTCTTTGGCGGGGATGCCAGAGCCAAAAGGCACTAATGACCTGTGCCATCTGGCTTGTCAGCAACCAGTTTCAGTGGAGTAATTAAGAAATGTAGTCATTATTTATGCATTTTGACTATCTGTTAGAATCTGTTATTCATTCTAATATATATTTCCCAATGTTTCCACTGATTAGTCAAGATCAAGATCCTGCCTGTGTCTTCTTGAGCACGTCATTTCTGAGAAGGTTTTTCTTAAGATAATTTTGCAGTTAATTTGAGTAGAAAATTCTTTTCATAAGAAACGAATGGATGCCTTTTCTGCAATTTGGTAAGCTATTTAAAGATGCATTACTTAAAACATTTTATAAAGTCTCATTGTTAGGTATATGTTTGGATTTTAAATCAGAAATATTTGGAAGCATGAATAGTGTATAATAATAAAATGACATATTTGTAATTTATTCTTTCTAAATTGTACTCAAATTTTAAGGTGATTTGGATTAATGTTCACTTTCATCTAATATCTAAAAGCATGAGAATGCATCCTTGTTCTGAAAATTATTCTCATTCTCACCAATTGTAGAGCTTGAATGAATCTAACAGAAAATAGAACCTTGGGAAGTCAGGTGACTTTTCTCAACATCATTCAGTTCTTAAGAAATAGACTGATTCTCGTGCCATGGTTTTCAGCTCCATCAGGTCATTTAAGGACTTCTCTACACTGATTATTCTAGTTAGCCATTCGTCTAATCTTTTTTCAAGGTTTTTAGCTTCTTTGCAATGGGTTTGAACTTCCTCCTTTAGCTTGGAGAAGTTTGATCGTCTGAGGCCTTCTTCTGTCAACTCATCAAAGTCATTCTCCATCCAGGTTTGTTCCATTGTTGGTGAGGAGCTGCGTTCCTTTGGAGGGGAAAGAGGCACTCTGATTTTTAGAATTTTCAGCTTTTCTGCTCTGTTTTTTCCCCATCTTTGTGGTTTTATCTGCCTTTGGTCTTTGGTGATGGTTAAGTACAGATGGGGTTTTGGTGTGGATGTCCTTTCTGTTTGTTAGTTTTCCTTCTAACAGTTAGGACCCTTAGCTGCAGGTCTGTTGGAGTTTGCTGGAGGTCCACTCCAGACCCTGTTTGCCTGGGTATCAGCAGCGGAGGCTGCAGAGCAGCAAATATTGCTGAACAGCAAATGTTGCTGCCTGATCGTTCCTCTGGAAGCTTCGTCTCAGAGGTGTACCCAGCCGTGTGGGCTGTCAGTCTGTCCCTACTGGGGGGTGCCTCCCAGTTATGCTACTCAGGGGTCAGGGACCCACTTGAAGAGGCAGTCTTTCCACACTTGGACACAGGAAGGGGAACATCACACACTGGGGCCTGTTGTGGAGTGGGAGAATGGGGGAGGGATAGCATTAGGAGATATACCTAATGTAAATGAAGAGTTAATGGGTGCAGCACACCAACATGGCACATGTATACATATGTAACAAACCTGCAGGTTGTGCACATGTACCCTATAACTTAAAGTATATATATATAAAAAAGAAATAGACTGATTCAAAGATTGTCTTTGACTCCTCTTTGATTTCCTTTGCTGAACTTTCATTTACTAATCTGTCTTTAAATTTGGGCTCCTCAAGGGGCTAGATTTTCATTTCACATATGAAGAAATAGAGATACAGGGAGGGTAAGCCACTTGGCCAAATTCACACAGCTCATAGGTGGCAGAAGTGAGATTTGAATTGAATCTTGACCAGGGTCCAGAGTCTTTGTTGACATAATTTCCCTGAACAGACCTTTACCTTCTTGAAAGATTCTGATTCAGCAAGTCTGAGTGGGGCTGGGGAAACTACTTTTTGAAAGAAATAGGGAAGATGAGGTAATTTTCTTCAGCAGGAAAGTTTGGAAAAATTGCCCCAGAGAATAAATGTACAATGTCCATCCTGAAAATAGCAAAATTTAACAATTTTTTTTTGTATTGTTTAGAAATGAGAATACATCCATGCAAACTTGAAATTGTATATTTTCTTTTCTGGGTTCCAGCTATTCTTATATAGCTCTATTTCTGATGAGTAAGGGGGAAAAGGTTTTCTTTGTAATTATTCAGGAAAATAACTTGAGTACTAATAAAAATGGACCTAAACGAATTAAGCAGTAGATCTGAAAAATTGGCTATGGGTTGCTTTGTAGGAAATCATTGAAAAAGGGACCAGCCAAGTTATGATGATAGACATTTTCCCCTTTGTTTAGAAGGGTCTGTGATCTGCTGAGCCAAGCCAAGAACAAGAAATATGAAAGTCTGTGTTTTCTTCCAGGACTCGACTCTCTTTGGCCTACTGGATGTACAGGAAGTGGTAAAAGCTGTATGGTGTCTCCTTAGGAATTGAAAGGCCTTGGGCAAATCAATCAGGTCCTGGCTTTCCACATCAGCAAGTCAAGATAATCATGTTGGCTAAACTTATTTGAATACCATCTGGATTCACTTACTGGCAAGTGTAAAGTGTTTTCAGAATACCAAATATTATATAGGGCATCCAAGCAGCTTAAATTTCAGTGCCCTCCATTCCTTCCCTTCCTGTACTTCAGTCTACTACTGAATGCAATGAGATATAATAAAACCAAGATCTCAGGGCTCCTAGCCCTTTACCTGAAACTGCTCTTTTGTGCTGCTCCTACTGGCTGCTATCCACTGAATGTTTGTGTCCCTGCCCCCTACCCCAATTCATATGTTAAATCTTAATTCGCAATGTGATGGTATGAGGAAATGAGGTCTTTGGATGTGCTTAGGTCATGAGGGCAAAGCCTCTATGAATAGAGCTAGTGCCTTTATATGAAATTAGTGAAGACAGCTCCCTGGCTCCTTCCACCATGTGAGGACACAGTGAAAAGATGGCCATCCATCTATGAACCAGGAGTGATCTCTCACCAGACACTGAAACTGCTGGTGGTTTGATCTTGGACTTGGCAGCCTCCAAAACTGTGAAAAATAAATTTTTTGTTGTTTATGAGCCACTTAGTCCATGGTATTAGCATAGCAGCCCAAACAGATGAAGACATTGACCAAGACCTGCATGGAGTGCACATACTCTCTATTAGCCTGCAATAACAATTTAGGCAACGCTGAAGGAATTTTTTTGTTTTTATTCTTATTGGTGTCAGAAAAACACATAAATGCTTATAATTGTTACAGAAAATTGATAACTTTCCCAGGACATATTTTTAGAAAACATGTTTACTAACAAATTCCAGACCTATGACACCATGCTCATTTACATACCCAAATAATACATATGCCTCTTCTGTTTTAATTTTGTGGGCATTACACATCACATAACTAATCTCAGCTCCCTCTTTGAATTGGCTGCTAGAAAACTCAGGGCCACATGTGTAGCTTAGCTCTAGTAAATACATTGATATATGTTTGGTTTGTATGCCTCAATCTTAGCTTCATCTTATGTTTTCTTCTTTGCTTTTCCTTTTGTTCTGTTTTTCTCATGCAATTAATATTAACATTGTGTTTTAATGTGTCTTCAAGTTGCCCTAAACTCTTCCTGGAATAAAAAGAAGGGCTGAAAGAGAATTCATTTTAAAAATCTCTTGACAAATTCTTATATTCATCTTCCAGAACTTCAGATACATAAAAATATTTAAAAATTATCTATCTCTACTATGCCTGCCATGCATATATATTTTTTTACTTTATACCACAAAAGCCATGATCTCTCTACTGTTTCTGAATATGTAGCATATCCGGAAAAAGCAACTTCATCTGTAATACATTTTCTCAGATTTTCTCTTTTGGGGAAATCTAAAACCTTTAGCATGGACTTTTTCATGTTGATAGACTCAAAATTCCATTTGATTTTTATTTTCTGGCAGTACTTCTCTAAAGCAGAAAAGCAAAGATAAAGAAACAGTCAATTAAAAAACAAACAAAATGCAAGTGAATACAGGTTGAGGAAAATTCTACTTTACAAAGTCCCTCCATCTTATTGCCTCATTCTCAGACCTATTCAGTACTTGGAAAAATTCATAACCTGGCAAAATAAAAGCATTCATACTTCTCTAGGCTACAAGCCAAATCAAACCATTCTTTTTAATTACAGGTGAATAATAACACCCTTAAATTTCTTACAAATAACGTCAGCCTCCTTTTGCTTTTTGACTGATGGAAGGTGATGAATGACGACCTTTTAATTCAGCACAGCTGGATGTCTTTTGTTGCACTTCCTCTCAAAAGTTGCTGTGCAGATCTGGCCTATTTTGTCAGATGTGCTGAAAACAACGTGCCTGACTGGAAGTGGAAACAGCCTTCAAACACAAGACATTTGCATGATTGAATACCCTGTCGGGGGAGCAGCTGTGGCAGTCAATGCATAAGGTGGAAGATATGCCATTTGTTAGAGTATCTCTCTGTGTGTGTGTGTGTGTGTGTGTCTGCGTGTGTGCGCACGCATGAGTGTGTTTTGATTTGATTGTTCTTGGAGGACTGGAGGAGGCCTCTCTAGTAAATCTTTGAGGGTGGTATGAAAGTGACTTTAGTATTGCTGGCAATTTTGAGGCTGTCCTGTAAAATAGTGGGTTTATTGTCTGGACCCTTCTTTTTTCATGGGTTTCAGAATACCCAGTAAGCCAGGACTTTCTTGAGCAAATCAGGTCTGTGAGCTGCAGGCCTCAAAGACTTCTGGATAAAGAGTTCACTCACTGAAGGTTACTAAACCAGTCTTTTCCAAGATGAATTCACTGCATTTCCTTGGGAAGATAATAAGAGTGTTGCAGCCACCGTTTATTTCCCTTACTCACTGTAGGCATAATTAAAATGAGTGATCTGTGACAAACTGCATCTGTGTCTCCAGGGGCACAAATGTTGTCACCTGTA
The DNA here is from genome assembly GCF_000001405.40 of Homo sapiens. NCBI lineage: Eukaryota > Metazoa > Chordata > Mammalia > Primates > Hominidae > Homo > Homo sapiens. The sequence continues at coordinate 123,977,072 of NC_000004.12, forward strand.
GTAGATAGCTCAGCACAGATGCCAATTTACTGGGGATATATTCCTCATCCACAGAGGCTGTCACAGAGTTGACACATCAGTTTCTCAAGATAGAATAAAGCTTTGGATTAGCTAAACACCTTGTTTGTGTTTGATTTCGTGCAAAGTGTTTCTCAACCACCTGAGATCAGTATTACCTATATTTTATGGATTAAAAAACTATAGTAATGAGACTTGAAGGAGGTCTGGGAGGACAGTAATCACAAATTTAGGAAGTGGTGAATACTGAGATTCACACCCAAGTGTAGCTTGAAATCCTGTGTTCTTTGCCAAAGTTGGCTTTATTATCATTTTAACAGTGTGTTTTATAAAGCTTGAAAAGATCCTTTGAAAATGGAAACCAGACATTGTACTTTAAGAAATGTGTGGTAATTTTATCTGAAGGGATTTGAATTATTAGGATTTATTTAATAGGCAAATATAATTGTACTGGAATTATTTTTTAACCTCTTTCTCTCATACTTCTAAACAAAGAAAACCCAGCAATGATTACTTTGATGGTATTTGCATGCCAGGAGAAACAAAGGGAAAAGAAAACAGCTGGTAGTGGAGACTCCCTTGTTTGAAGCTCTGACTTTTTTTCCAGTGGCCTTTAAATCGCTCACGTGGAATCACACAACATGATTAATTCACTTAACAAACTCAATGACTCATCATCAGCTAATAAGTACTTCAAATGAGCTTAGAGAGTGTAGCTCTTTAGGTTTGAATACAAATGTTGTATCTGGAGGGACTTTGGAACTTTGAACTTTTTTAACAAATGTCCTTAATTAGCTGTAAGTAAGTAAACTGGACTTAGACCTATATGTTTAAATTTCATTGTTTTGTCAATACAGACATTTTGCAGAAGATAATTCTTTGTTTGGGGGACTCTCCTATACATCGTAAGATTTTTGGCAGCACTCTTGGCCTCTACCCATTTGTTGTCAGCAGCACCCCACCCCCTCCAATCAAAAATGTCTCTAAATAATGCCAAATTTCTCCCAGAGGGCAAAATTGGCCTTGGTTGAGAACAACTGTTTATTTATTTATGTACTTTTTAAGGACCTGTGATGGTTTTTAGTAAGTATTCAAACAATATAAGCATATAAAGTAAAAAGTGACAATTTCTTACATAATTGTAACCCCAAATAAAGCTATTGATAATGGATGTTATCCACTGCACATCAAGTAAACAATGAATACATAGAAACATTAAAATATATACTATTTATGCTAGGGAACAACTTTTAATAAAAAATGTGATCATATTAAAAAAAATTAAAACCCAGTAGGCTGGGTCTTATACACATACACATGCACACACACACACGCACACACATATATAATATATTATCTACATATGCATGTATATATCAAGAAAGCATAGAGAATATGGGGTAGTAAACTGAATTACATTGTTAAAGATTCCTATATATTTTATATAAAGTAGTACTCTACATATATTGTTAGTACTTAAAAATAGGTATTGTAATTTTTACAGCATCTGCCAAAAATGCAGAGATATATTGAAAAGTCAACAAAGAAATCAAAATAGAATTCAAAAAGTAATTGATTAACCCAAAAGAAGTCAGGAAAGGAGAAATGAATAAGCAACAACAATAACAGATTTAAAAAAAAAGAAAAAAGAAAGAAAAAATGGCAGGCCTAAATTCAACCACAGCAATCAGTTCATTAAATGTAAATGGACAAAATTTTTCAATAAAAAGGCAAACAGTGTTAATCTGTATAAAACAGTAAGAGCAAGGTAAATATGCTGTCTCCAAAGGATACATTTTAACTAAAAAGGCACAAACGGCTTGAAAGTAAAAAGGATAAAAAATGCTATACTTTGCAAATACTATTTATAATAAAACTAAATAGCTATATGCTATAAGTAACAATAGTGACTGCATTAAAAAGACTTCATTTAAATGTGAATGTGCCTAAAACAGTTTTAAGATATGTGAAACAACTGATAGATAAAACAACAACTGATAGATTAAAAAAGAAGACATAGAAAAATCCATAATCATATTTTGAGCTATTAACACACTTCTCCAAGTAATGGATAGTAAAATTAAGAATAAAGCAAGAGAAGTGAAAATATAAATAATACTGTCAACCATTTTTTACCTCACAGACACTTATTGAGCCCCCCATACAAGTGCAGACTATGCATTGTTTTGAAGTGCACATGAACTATGAACCAGGATAAATTATGCTGGACCATAAAACAAGTCTCAGTGAATTTCAAAGGACTAGATAGTACTAGTAATTACCCTCTGTGACCATAAAAAATTAAGTTTTACATCAATAAGATATGTAGAAAAGTTCTAACATTTGAAAATTAACAAATCAGCTTCTGAATAACCAATGAATAAATGAAGAAATCACTAAGAAATTAGAAAGAATTTTGAACTGAAGGCTGATAAAAAAACAGCATATCAAAATTTGTGGTATGCAGCTAATATGGTACCTAGAATGACATTTATAGCTTTAAATGATTTTATCAGAAGCAAAGGAAGCCTTAAGATTAATGATCTAATTTTCTACTGTAATAAGCCATTGTAATTACACTAAGATAATCATAAGAATTTTTAAGAAATTAGCAAAAGGTGAGAAAGTTAAACCTAATAGATAGAAGTAATAATGATAACAGCAGAAATAAAAGAAGTAGAAAACAGACATGATTGAAAATGTTTGCAAAACCAAGAGGTGACTTTTGAAAAGGTTAATAAAATTTATAAACTCTAGCAAGACAGATGAAGATAAGAAGAAAGAAATCACAAAAATCTAATATCAGGGTTGAAAGATGGGATATTACTCTAGATCTTAGAAAAATCAAAAGGATTTTGAAGAGATATTTTGAACAGTTTTATGTGTATGACTCTGCCAACATAGATGAAATGATCAAATTCCTTGAAACACACAACTTACCAAATCTGATACCTGGTGAAACACAAAATTCAAATGCCTTATGTATCAGAAATGTTGAATTTCAGCCAGGCGCGGTGGCTCACGCCTGTAATCTCAGCATTTTGGGAGGCTGAGGTGGACAGGTCACCTGAGGTCAGGAGTTTGAGACCATCCTGGCCAAACTGGTGAAACCCCATCTCTACTAAAAATACAAAAAATTAGCTGGGCGTGGTGGTGCACGCCTGTAATCCCAACTACTCAGGAGGGTGAGGCAGGAGTATTGCCCGAACCCAGGAGGTGGAGGTTGCAGTGAGCTGAGATCATGCCATTGCACTCCAGCTTGGGCGACAAGAGCGAAACTTTGTCTCAAAAAAAGAAAAGAAAAAAGAAATGTTGAATTTCTTTCAGAAACCTTAACACCAAGAAAATTCTAGGCCTACATCTTTTTCATAGTAAATTACCTCAAGTCTAAGAAGATATTATACGAATCATACAATTTTTTTTTCAAAAAAATGGAAAAGGGAATCACACTTTCCAACTCATCTTGTGAAGGCAGTATAACTGTGATACTTGACAAAAACATTGCAAGAAAGGAAAATTGTAGACTGATTTATTTCATAAAATTCCTAACAAAATAGTAGCGTGTCAAATCCCACAATAAAAGCATAATACAAAATGATCAAGCAGGATCAATATGAATTATTTAGGCTTATGGAAGACTTACTTCATGGAAACAGTTTAAATTAATGCTTAGTCTTTTACTGTTTCAAATTACCATTGTCAGGTGCCTGCTACAGACTTATCTGTCATTTCCAGTAATTCATGGTGTTACCTGTTGTTCTTTTTATCCCTTTTGATCCAATGTAGGACATCTGTTTTTTGTATGAGACCAAATTCTGGGAAAATAAAAATGTTTACCAAATTCATTTTTTTAAATTCAGTCCAGGAAATGCCTACTCCTCCATCATGTAGACTATTTTATTCAATAAAAAAATCCAGCGAGAAAACTGGCAAGTCTTTCAGATACCATCATGTATTCAGGCACTGAGAATAAAAATATGAACACAACTTCCTGCTATTCATCCCTCGCATTCCTGAAATGCAGTTTAGGTGATAAAATGAACATTCCCATTTTGTCCTTGATGCTTCCTTTTGAGACAGGCATTATTTTTATCCACATTATATGAATAAGAAAATGAGGCTCAGAACAAGGAAAAAGTGGATCAAAGAGGGTTACAACTAAAGCAAATGACATATATGTTGAGGATGTATTTTATATTCAGAGCTGCTGTAATCCTTGTGGGTACAGATAGCAATAAGATGCATGGAACCATGCTGAATTTCCATTTCCTTTCTTACTTATTGATGCTAAGATCACATAAGATCACATAATGAGTTTTCCTTCAAGATGACCATGACTTTATTTCATTAGTCAGAATAAACCCACATTCATAGTAACTGTCAATAAAAAAAGTAAAAATGTTGTTTGATTCAAAGGAGGAAATGAAGTTAGTAAAAAAAAATGCAGACCATGTATAATCTTATACTCAAATAAATGCAGCTTAATACTAAGAATAACTTTGGAAACTAGTAGATAGTCCACAGACATTTATTAGATTAACAAAGAAGCAGAACAACAATGAGACAACATTTTTTGCCTTTCAAATGGGCAGAAATATGGATAGATAAAGTATATAAAGGTAGCCAGACAGATAGAGGCAACATGACCTACTGCTCCTTAGGGTATGTAGAAATTGGCATTTCTGTTGGTTGCTTTTGGCATTGTAAATTCAAGCAATCTTTTTGAATTTATACAAAGAGTGGTAATGATATCATATGCTTTCAACAAGTTAGTTTTATTGTGGATAATATATCAAAAAGTAACCATCCAAAATATGGGAAAAATATATGTTCATAAAAAAGTGTTCAGAGTAGCGCAACTTATATAGATAAAAACAGTAAAGCAAGTATATATATTCAGCAGTAGAAAAAGGTTAAAGAATTTATGTCACATCCATTTAGTTTAATATTATACCACCTTAAAAACAGTATTATAAAAATCAAGATTATTAAAATCATGATTTGTTAAACTGTATTTATTAAAAATCATTAACAGAGTGTTCTTGGATCTTAGACACAAAGGGTTAAGTTAATCACCCTGTTTATTCCATACTATCATTGATTTTCTCACTTTACTGAAAGTTTATTCCTTTTTATTCCTATATTCCACTCCCATTTTCATAGTATCCCCACTACATGCACTACAAATATAAAAACCATTTGTCTTAACATTCAATTTTATGTAATGTACATTTTTGATTCTATGTATTTTTATAAAATGTGTGCTCCTTTCTGAGTATTTTTAATTTATGTAAATGGGTTGTTATATTTTATCTACATTTTATAAATAGCATATTAAATATCTGTTTCTTTTTCATTACACATTGTTTAAATATTTACCCATATTACTATGTACACATCTATTCACTGTTTCTATTTACTAGGTAAAACATGTAGCAAATTACATGAAATAGCAGAGTATGAATATATATTGTGATATATAGTATATATATAGAATATGTATTACAATATATATATATATTCCATGATTACAGCAGAGGACATGAGTTACAATTAATGCTCTTTTAGCAGTTGCCATCTGCAGATGGCTAAGTGTTAACCAGCTCAGTGGAGAGTCAGGGTGACAGTCTTTCACACTCATCCCTCTTGGTACTGGGGTCCCTGTCTGGCATCCGGGAAGAATCAGGTGACATGGACTTGAAGGATGGTGAATGTGGACGTTTTATTGAGTGTGGAGGTGGCTCTCAGCAGGGTGGGGAGCTGGAAAAGGGATGGAGTGGGAAGATTATCCTCCCCTGTAGTTCAGCTGTCCCCAGTCAAACTCCTCTCCAGCAGTCCAGCTGCCTCTTCAACATTCAGATGTTTCTTCCCTTCTCTCCTCTACTGCACAACTCTGCTCCTCTGCCAGTGGACTTTGGGGTTTCTGAGGGTACAGGATGCAGGGGCGTGATGGGCCAGGGTGATTATGAAAAAAGCAACATTTGGGCACGAAAACAGGAATAACTGTTCTCATTTAGGGCCACAGTTTCCAGGCTTGAGGGTGGGGGCTTTGCTGGGGAACCGCCCTCTCTACCTAGTGTTTCCTTGCCTCCTGTCTGTATCAGTAATATTAAAAAACTGGAAATAATTCACCAGATTTTCTTATGGTTGACTTGGTATCACACGAGTTTCTGAGTATCTTTATACTGAAAACATCAACAACATTAAGTATATCTCATGCTTTCCTGAGAGCAGAATGAGACTTTTGGCAGAGGTTTCAGTATTTAAGTTCCTAAATTATCTTGTCTCTGTGAAAATTCTGCATTATCCATAGTTGTCAATCTGATTGGACAGGATATATGCTAATAAAAATTTCACTTTTAAAAATTATCACCCAAATGTTTTCTATGGTGTGGATATCCACTCAATTGTATGTTTTCTAGACATAGAGTACTTCTTCCTACTCTTTCAATCCAATTTGTTTATTTAAAAAAAGTATAGTCTTTCAGAAAAATATTCTAGTCTCTAAATATTTTAGAGAAATATGATCTGATTGTTATCACCAAATTCATTGTATTTAATACTTTACATTAAAATATCAAGGTTTTTTTTCTTCTTATCAATACACTTTACATTGGTATATCAACCAAAAACACATATAGTTATTTTGTATTATTTCATATTATTTTCTTTTGAGAATTATTATATGTCCTTCACTTTATTCACTTTATTTCACACCTATAAGTTAACTTCTTTCTTTTTAAATTTAATTTAAAGCTTTGAGTTCAGGTAGGTTGAAGTTTCCTCAGTCCAACATGATCTTCATAGGTCTTATGAGATGATTATGATTCCTAGCTAGGAACTCACTGCCCAAGTTTGTAAAAGCATTGTCCAGAAATCCAATGGTTGCTTTACAGAGTCAGTTATTGACTTTCTATATCTATACTTTCTTTCCAAGGAAGCCAATGTCAAGTGGATAAGAGAGAGATAACACCCTGTCTCTTTCCCTAACTCTTCCATTTTCTTACCCAGTTTTTCAAAGCTGCTAAATTCCAACTTTTTTTTTTTTGGCTCAAAAGCAATATTGTATGTGTTATAATGATGGTGTATATAAAAAGAATAGTGATGCCAGGAAGCAAATCTAAATCAGTAAAATATAAAAAACCCATTTGTCTTAACTAAAGAAACCATAGAAGCCTTTCCCCCCTCCTTTTTCCTACTAGGTTAGGTACATAAACCCCTAATTCTAACCATCCTTCTAAGTTACTCATCATTGAGTATGTTGTATATGCAAATATGTAGGTATGTATGTTGTATATGCAAATAAATATTTTCTTCTGCTTCTGGAATCATGCCCATAGTCCATCCAGAAATAAGTAGGAAGGATGAAGGGCAAAGGATTTATGCCAACAATTCACTCAACAAATTAACAACAACAACAAAAATGAATCTTTTCAAAAATTAAGCAAACAATAGCTTTCCAGAGACTTCATCTAGTAGTCTTCTGCTTTCATCTGATTGGCCATAAATCTGCCTCGAGACTATCTCAACGTGCTGAAGTACCTGGGGAAGTGATTAGTTTGAACTGGGCACATAACCATGCTGAAAAAAATCAGCTTTGCTAGAAAGAAAGAGGGAGAAAAAGATGTTGGCTTGCACCAAGTAGTGTTACCACAACTGCCTCCCTGGGATAGATATAATGAAAATACTTACAGCACAGAGAAAATAAAAGCTTTCCAGCTCTATTTTATGAGAAAATAACTTGGAAAAAATGGCAGTGAAAAAATTTCAACCATTGTTTCAAAATATTGGAATGAGTAAATTTAAGAAAGTATTTTAAACTTTGAGATAAGCACAAATTTGACATCTTTTTTTTTTTTTTTATTTCTCTACCTCCCCCCTCCCTTCCTTACTTCTTTTCTGCTTGTAAAATTATAAATGGGTCCAGAGTCTTTTCGTTGCCTAGCACATTGTTTATCAAACTGTGCTCAGGAGCATCATCAGCAGCTGCTGCAGGGAAGCAGGGCCCACAGCGGGGCTTTGATAGCCACTCCCCTTCAAACACAGCAGCTCTGCTGTTGGAGCATTTCTGTCAGGGCACTTCGAAGGGTGGTTGCTCCAAAAGAATTGGAAAGCCACCATATTAAGTCTAATTCTCTAATTTTACAGAAAAAGAAGCCAAATAGAAGTTAAGAAAATTGACCCAAGGCCCAAAGGAACACCAGGGATTAAGCCCTGCTTTTATTTATTTTATATTTTAGTATTTCCGCCTGAAGCTGAGTCTTCTAACTCAGCTTCAACACATTGTTACTAAGTTATCACTGTGATGGTTATTTAAAGAAATTAGCAAATTAAGAGGCTTGGAATAGAAATTCACCTTCTGAATTTTAGCCCAATTAATTGCTATATAATACATGTCTAGTGAAAAATATATTTTGGCATCAGACTCATGGTTATTTTCAGATAGAGATTTTGACTATGCAAAAAGATGACTATGAGATAACATAGCAATCTTTTTCTCCAATAATCCTACATATTCAAATTAAGGGTGAATGATTTATCCATGTGACAAGATATATGGTAAAACAATATTACCCAACACTATATTAGGCACTTGTGTCTCCTGCTTTAGGGATCGCAGAAACTTTCTGTGCCTGGAGGGTATAGTGCCAAATACCAGCCCTATATATATTCAGAAAACACTTTTCTGCATTTCCATTACCTTTCTTCAGTGTTTTTGGCAGAAGTGGTGAAGATTTTGTTACTAGGCACTATAATAATGATGGCACTGGTGCCAATATTTTCCTCTAAGAAGAAAATAATAATTGCATTCACTATATTTAACCTGCCTGGCCAAAATAATTTCTGCTTAAAACCACAATGATGAAGCTAGGAAGTGTGACATTTTTGGTTTTCCTACCAAAATCAGTTAAAAATCTTGTTTTGAATTTGATATAGGTTATTATGATGAAATTCTTATTGGCTTTAATTTATTTGGCTTATGATTTTAATTATGTATTCATTTTTATAACAGCTTGCAGCTGATTAGTATTTTGTCAGGATGGCAAGCAAGGATATGTGTATTCCTTAATATTTGCTCTGAATTATTTGTTTATTATTCTTAATAACTTCTTGAAAAATCTTAATCAGAAAGAAGTTATAGAACAAAGAACTCCAGCCTTGGTCATAACATGAGGAAATAATTTTAGCATTCTGAAAATATGCTGAAGGATGAGACCAGCAAAAATAGGGCGGGGCTTCAACAGCCTTCTCTCTGTACAAACAACAGCTGGATGTGCCTGTTGCCACTGGTGGGGATGGTAATGATGGAAAAAAAACAATGTTTTTTTTTTAGTGTTGGAAAGTTTTCAGTGAAATCATGATGTCACCAGGATATGTTTTGTCTGTGACTATAATTTGCATAAGTTCCTTCCCATGGAACTATGTAAAATACAAAGGAATGTTTTATAGTACGTTTTGCCTCTGTGATGCCAATGCTCTTAACAGTCCATGAAGTAGACATCATGAGCAAAGAATTTCTTTTGTACATTCTCTCAAAGTAAGAACTAATGAAAAAGGAAAGAAAAAGGCTGTGCAAAGACTATAACTTTCACATTGTACTCACAGAAACAACAAGACTGTTTTGCATTCCTGATCTTTGACTAATATTTTAACTTTGTACTACATATTTTTGAGACCAGGATCTACATTCCTTTGTACTTATAGTTTGAGATGTGTTCTCATTTTATTGTTCTTCCTGTTATAATTACTTTGTGCGTTTTTTCAAATTCCTGTCTTTGAAAGATTTCAGTCATCAATCAAAAAGTATTTGAGACAAATTTTGGAGGTTTGGTTTGATATGAAATAAAGAAATGTCTTGATGTAGAGTAGAGGAGTTCAAGTATCCAATAAAATGTCTGGAAATCAAGAGCCATTGAGTGCTTACCCAAGAATTTTAATTTCAAAAATACTATTTGAACCTTGTGGACATGTTCAAGTTGGCTCATGAGTCTCCATGTGAATCAGATGATATAAATAAAATAATGAGGGGCATGGTCAGGTGAAGTGGTGTAAACATCAATGTGCCAGAGACATCCATCTCTAACTTCCACAATACTTTTGCAAATGTAATAGTTGAAAATAATTATTTTACATTTACTGATGACTTTTATTTCTGGTAATATAGCTGATTAGGTGATCTGAATCAACATTCCCATTGGAAACAAATAAGAAATACTGGGTAAAAGTTTTCAAAAAATTATTGAAAGCACCAAATAAGTGGGAACATTAAAAGGCTTCACAGGACAACTTCTAACAAAAAGCGGGAACCTGGAGCAGTAAGGCAATTACTGAAGCCATTTTTATCCTGAAAGCCTTTGTTGAACTCGGTAAACTTGACCTTCAGTTTTGAGGTCTCCACTAGAACATAAAGTTCTGAAGTCAAGGCTCAGGGTCTGCCCAGGGCGAGGAGTCAAGTAGCAGCTCTTCCCTGAAAGCTGAAGTAGCAAAAAGCTATATCCTCAGGATAAAGGTGAACAGGAATTAAACTATCCCCATCCGTCTCACCCCAGAAGAGTGCAAAGAAATTGGCCTCAACCCTGAGCCAAGCTAGAGGAAAAAACAACTTCCTGAGATGTTGTAATGACTGCCAGCTGTCTCATGGATTTATAACAACAATTAACACTATCTGTATTTATCATGCAGTGTAAACTGTGATTTAATTTTCAGCAATTCTTTAATTATTTAAATGATTGGTAGTGTTTCCAGGTACCTGGCAGAAACAAACGTGAATGTTTTTTGGAGGCATCTGCCTTAACCTTAGGCTTCAAAATTGGTTACAAATAAGTAACCCCCAACACCTTGAAAAAATAATCAAAGCATACAAAGGGGAAAAAAACCACAAGAGCAGAACAAGAAGGAAGAACAGACAACACAAAGATACCTGCAAAAAATTTCTCCTATTTTTGAAGCAAATATGAGAAAACAAAGTCCTCTGAATATTCAAAGCCCGACCCTCCTTATACCCTCTGACGGAATATAATCGACTGTGTTATTTCTCCTTTCCACCATTATTTTTGTTTACTCACTTCTTGTTTACAAAGAAATCCTCCTGTATTGAAAGAATAATGTAGGGCCTCATGCTGTAGGGCCTCATTCAAAGTCTCTTTGAAGAAAACAGTGAGACCAGAACAGATACAGGAGCTTTTCAAGTTTAACATACAGAAATTTAAATTGCCATTTTGCCAAGGTTAACACATTGAACATCAGCAATTTTATATGCTTCAGCATAGTATATTAGTTGAGCTAAGCTGCTGTTTCAAGGAGACATTAAATACAGAGAATCAAACAGTATAGTTTAGTTATCTTTCAAGTAATAGTCCAGATATGATTAGCTCATGGCTTATGAAGCAACTCTCTTATCCTCAACATAAGACTTTCAAAGTTTCTCTAATTTTTCCATTTTATAGCCATCTAGCAGAATGAAAGATGAAGCCCAGGGCAAACACATTTCTCTAAAAAGAGTTAAGAGAAAAGTTGAACACATTTCATTTGTTTATATCCCAGTGGCCCCAAATTAGTTAAATGGGGTCGTCCCTAATTTCAAAATCTGTGCCCTCAATAATTTCTCCTCTTATTTTCTCCTTTATTGAGGTTTCTGTTCTACTTATTATTATTTTTGTTTGATTAGAATCCTTTATCTAGCAATTATCTCCAATGGAGTATACTGTTTTAAAAACATTTTTGAATCCTTGGATATTGATACATATCTTTTTTTTTTTCATGCTGCCAAATGTTCAATTCTCTTCTCATTTCCTGTATTGCAGATAAGGTCAATGTGAAATATTATTTTCTGTATTCCTTTGTAAATAACCACTTCTTTATGTTTGGAGGCGTATTACGATGTTTCCTTGGAATTCAGGGTTTTATCAGGATATATGCAATATTAACATGTGTCTTTTTTTTCAGAGACCTTCCTGGAACTCAGTGAGCCTTTCTAATTTGAAAATTCAAGTCATCCCTCTTGTTAAATAACTAAATTTGGCCTAAAGCTGCTTTTGTAATGTGACTTGCAACCTAACCTAGTATGCAAACAAACTGCAACCTAACTTGAATATATTCTTATAACAAATAGTTTAGTCCCAGCCAATCACAGCAGCTGAGCTTCAGCCAATCATAGGCTACCAGCTGGTTAGATCATGTCCATATCAGACAAATGCCTCATCACACCATGCCCAAGTAAGACAAACACGGAGCTATAACCAATCAGTCTGTTTCTTTACATCACTTCCTTTGTCTGTCTATAAATACTGCCTGCCCATGTTCTTTGGTGGAGCTCTCTGAAGCTCTCTTGGTTCTAAGCAGTGCTTGAATCATGAATTGTTCTTTGCTCAAGTAAATTCTTAAATTTAATTTGTCTAAAGTTTTTATTTTAAGAGGCTACTCAAAGGAATTTTAAAACGTTATATTTTCAATGATTTCCTCTCCAACATCTGTCATTTTTCCTTCTTCTGGAACTCCTATATTCCTATTTTAGTTCTCCTTGCAAGATAGGCCCTATAGCAAGAAGGTAATTGAATCAAGCTGTGTTAGGCTGTGGAGCTCGCACCTGATGCATGACAAGCTCTTTATTGTGCCCCAGCAATCATACTGTGCATTGCATACCTCAAGACTGATGACATACACTTGGCCTAGGTGAGAGTTCCCCAGCAGTTTTCCAGACAAGATACCATCCTGGAATGATCTAGGCTTATGTACACATAAGGCCGACTTAAAAGGGGACAGGTATGATCTTGGACAATGAATGTGATTTACTTGGGGGCTATTAACTGCAACTCTGTAGACCTTAGAGGCCAGAATATTTGCACCTCCCTTGGAGAGTGTAATTGATCTTGCTGCTGCGTATTTGAATTCTTCTGCCTTTTTTCTGAACACTTTAGATGGAAACAACTTGTTTGATTTACCCAAGCAGTTTTGGCTTCTGTGCTTTATCTTTCTGTCAATTGTACCAGTTGTGAGTATTTATCAATAGTCTCCATGCCCTCCTGAATCTGTCCTACAATTCTAATATGTTTTTGGTATGTTTGCCATTTATTTATATTTCTTATTCTATATTACCAGACCTTTGAACTACCTGATCATTCAGTTTCATTGTAATTCCTTCCTCTTCGATACACCATGATTTCTTTTTAATTTAAAAAGAATCTTATTTTTTTAAGTTTAGAAAAGTTGTAACGTGTATGTGTGTGTGTATGCATGCACTATCATGAACTTCTGTATTTTTGTTATTATTTCATGGGCCCCTTGTCTTCTCTTTCCTCTAACAGTGCTGTTTCACTGTGAGACGCCTATTCTGGGTCTGGTGCTTGTTCTTCCTTTTGCTAAGTACTTTGTCCCTTTAGGGTCATTACAGTTATTCTGTACCTATTCATTGGGCTTAGTCCTGGAAGCAGAAGAGGCAGCCACCTTGTGGATAGTGGTAAAGGTGTCAGTCTTTTCTATTGGGGAAGGTGATGTATTGGTCAAGAAGTAGTCAGTATCCTGTTGAGGTCCCTTGAGGATGTCTCTGTGTTCTTTGTTCACCACAACTTCAAGTGCTAGCACTCTCCTGGCCTCAATCAACCTACCCAGACCCCTAGTGAAAGAATCTGTGGAGGCAGAGATAAGGGCCGATTCTTTAAAAAAAAAAAAACTCTCATGAGAAACAGCATGCCCTCTTCTTTTCATAGGAACATAGTTCCCCTCAGAGCATCTTTTTGCAGGATACACTCTGTTCTGATCCTCACCTCAAGTCTGCTTTGGTTGCTCCCAAGAAGGGGAACGAATACAATGGATTCTGAAATTTGCTCATGTGCATTAGCTGGAGTGTACTGAACCATCCTGGAAACTGAGGCAATAATATTCAATAATGGTGATCATTCCTTCATCTCAAAATTTTATTATTTTGTTCATCATGGATTTTTCATTAATTTTGATTTTTTTAAATATTGCATTAAAATATTGTTTATCCTACTTACTGAGATTTGTGGCACCACTTAACTTTTGTATCCAAGGGGAGTTCCCCACTTGCCTCATCCTTGTCCCAGCCCTTTCCTCCAGATCCTTCCTGCTGTGGCCACTCTGGGGACTCTCCTAACTCAGGGGAATAACTAGGGTTTGGATTGGAGGCAGGAGAACAGGGCAGACGTTTCCAAGCACTATCTTTGGAAAGATAAAAGGTAAAAAGAAAAAAGAAAAGAAAACGTGTACATAATTCTTCATCTCATCTTTAATGTTCCCATTCATATTGTTTTCAAATTTATATAAAATCAACTTTAAAATTTAATCCTGTTTGTGGACTAAAAATATCAAACTGTATAAAAGGATACAAGTAAAAACTAATATTTTCCCCTCACTCAAGCTTCCTTCCTCAGAGGTTAACATCTAAAAGTTTTAGTGTAAGACTGGTTATCCTTTTCAGTTTTGGAAAATTTCATTATATTTTTTCTTCTGTCAAGCCACTTCTTCCCAATTTTTTTCTTTTCCCTCTTTGAGGGAGACATAATTGTTAGGTTTTGGGTCTTCTGAGTTGAATTGTCTTATGTTTGTGTTTCTGTCTTGTCTTTTTGTCTTTGTTGGAAGGGAGTTTCTCAAATGATATCTTCTAGCTCTTGTTTTTACTTTTAAGGCTTGGCAAGTGTAGTTTTAATTTCCATCAATTCCTTTTTCCCTGCTCCTTTTTAAATAGCAACCTACTTTTACTTAATATATCAGGAATCAAAATAAATAAAATATATTACAAATAATAGTATGAAAATATATAAAATTAGGAATTGATATGGTCTGGGAGGTAATGATATGGACAGGAGGCAGGGAAATACTGTGTAGAAGAGAGAGGTCCCTGGCGAGGGCCACATGGTCAAGCCTGGACTCATGGCCCAAAGTGAGAACGTACATTCTTTTTGTCCTGCTCAAAAGTTGCCTTTTCCAAAACCACCCCTGGCCCGCCTCACCCCCGATCCTGTACCCATAAAAACCCCAGTCCCCACCAGCAGAGTGGCAGAACAGTCAAGAAGGAGAGAAGAAGCAGCTGGATATTGGAGAGAAGCAGGTTGAATTCAGAGGGATGGCTTGATGGTGGGACCTTGGAGAAGAGTTTGGCCAGGGATGGCCAAAATCCATGGAAGACCACCTTCTCACTCCATCCCCTTTCCAGCTCCCCATCCCACTGAGAGCCACTTCCACCACTCAATAAAATCTTCCACATTTACCATCCTTCAACTTCTTTGCATGACCTGATTCATCCTGGATGCCAGATGAAGACCTGAGTGTGGGTTCAAGAGGTTGTCACAGTGACCCTCCACTGAGTTAACACTTAAGCCATCCATGGATGGCAAAGCTAAAAGAACACACTTTAACACATACCCTCTGGGGTTCCAGGGGTCCCTGACAACCCCAAGATGCTGCCATGGGCCTGCACAGAGTTCTTCTGCCAGAAGTGCTCATTCTGGCCTCTGTACCTGCTCACCTGCATGCTCCCCCTCCCACAAGAGGTTGAGAGCTTTGAGCTGAGTACATGAGTCAACTCCTTTGCAGGGGTCAAGGGAACTATCACATTTCAGTAGGACAGGCTTCCTTGTGAAAATGACTTTTGAGCAGAAATCTAACCGATGCTAAGGAATTAGTTATAACGATGAAAAATGACCTAGTCAAGTAGGAGGAGGGAGTAAGAGCAGTTCAAAAATAGGATTATAGTTGCCTGCTCAAAGGCTTCTTTAATGGCCAACACATTTACAGTTATGATTTCTTCTCTGCCCATGGCTTCAGGGCAACCCATAGGTTTGATATGTAGCACTCTAACCTGAGTGTGTAAATGTTCTTTAGCTGCAATTTTATGTACCTCACTGACACAAAAGTAAGTTAGGGACTATTTTCCAGTCTATGTATGTTGGCTCTTATGTTGTTGTTGTGGATATTTTATGTTTAACTTTTTGATTTTTTTCAGTATTACTTGAAAATGTAGTATATATATTTTCAACATTTAAGCATTAATTGAGATCTTTTATGACAAAATAACATTTGTAAATATACCATAGGACCTCAGTAAATAGTTTACTCAATTTGGAATGTACTAAATCCTATGCATATCTGTTATTAAGCTATCTTAATTAGATTATAAAGAGATCTATATTTTCATTTATTTTGGGCCTATGTAGGTCATAAAAGTATTTAAATATATGTCAAAGTTCCCATGACAATATTAGTAGATATATTCATGTTTTAACAGTTTTGACTTTGTATGTCTCTATAAAATATTATCCTGCTAATAAAGTTTCATAGCTGTTATTTCTTATCAATATTAGATAACTTTTTTCTTTTTAATGAGTTTTTTTACCTTGAAATCACTTTTGTCTGAATTGCTATTATAACCTTTGCCTTTGCTTAATAAATCTCTCTCTAGCTTGCATTTTTAACCACGCTCTATAACCTTTGAGGAACCTGTGTTGTAAAAAATTAATGTTAGACTTTCTTTCATGTAACATGAAAAATATTACTATTTTAAATTCAGATGAATACACTAAACTATTAAATTTGGAATTACGTATTTTCTTCAACTTTTTAAAAACTTTGCCTTTAGTTTTGTAGCTAGATTTACAGTTGTTTAGTTTTAACAGTATGGTTAACTGTTTTCAATTAAATTATGTCATCCACATCCTTCAGTTCTTAATTTTTATTCATCTCTAGGTCCTCATATTTTGAAAGACCACCTGTGCTATATGTTTTATGACTAGGCAGTCATTGCTCCATCCATCTGTTTTTCAGTATTGTGTGTGTGGTTTTTTTGGGGGAGCGGGGGATGGAGTTTCACTCTTATTGCCCAGGCTGGAGTGCAATGGCATGATCTTGGCTCACCGCAACCTCCACCTACTGGGTCCAAGGAATTCTCCCGCCTCAGCCTCCCGAATAGCTGGTATTACAGGCATGTGCCACCATGCCCGGCAAATTTTGTATTTTTAGTAGAGACTGGGTTTCTCCATGTTGGTCAGGCTGGTCTTGAACTCCCAACCTCAGGTGATCCGCCTGCCTTGGCCTCCCAAAATGCTGGGATTACAGGTGTGAGCCACTGTGCCTGGTCAGTATTTTGTGTTTTATAGAAGATGTCTTAGACAGCTTGATATTTTTACTTTATAATCAATTAACTAGCTCTGCTGGATGCTTTTAATACTTTTATGTGTAATAATACAAAAATTTGGCCTATTTCTAGGTGTAAATATTTATTTCTAGAGTCCATGGAAAGCTCTTTCAATATACATGCATAAAATAGTATATAGTCATTAAGGACATATTGTTTTCTGTCATACAGTCCTAGGAACAGTTTAACAAGTACTTAACCATTCTAAGGCTCAGTTTTCTCCTCTCTAAATGAGACTAATACATACTAGCTCAGAGGATTATTTAAGAAATTAAATGAGATAATTCAGGATGCCTGGTAAGAGCACATATTAAAAGGCTATGTTTTTTCATTCAGATAAGCTTTCCTTCATTATTTTTTATTTCTTCTGTTCAAATTATTCTCATTTCTCCACTCAGGAATAGCTATAATTCTCAGTTTTCTCTCCATTCTTTTGCCATTTAGGTTTATCATCTATTTCAACCTTTTCCACCTCATCTTTCCTAACATGCTGGGGAAGTTTCTCAAACTTGCCTTCAAATTCAATGATTTTATTTTCAGTTGTATTCATTTTGCTCTTCACTACCTTCACTGTGTATTGTAATTCTCCTATTTTATTTTTATTTTCTTAAGTCCTTTCTTATTTAATGTATACTCCTGTTAAACCCACCCTGTTAGTATTCTCTAAAGGTTAGTATTCTTATTTTACGGAGGTTGCTGGCTCAAATGCCATTTTCTTAGAATACTTTCCTTATCCCGAAGTAAATAATTATTTATTCTTCTTACTTATCTCAAGATGATTTCCTTTTCCTTTCTTTCAGTTTTATTTGTAAGTTCTTGATGAGTACTTTCTTCCTTATTCACTTCAAACATGGCAAAATCCATACCTGCCAGATAAGCCATACTTGATGCTTGCTAGTGGGCAATGAATGAATTGCACCCATTTCTCTCTGTCAATTTGGGAAATCATTCTGTTTTCTTCAGAGATGCAGTGCTAGCTCAGCCCTCCCTCCAGAAGGAATTATTCCTGAGGAATGGTTCCCAAGCTTTGTTTTCCCCCAAAACATTCTTCTTCTGTAAGATGATAATAAAACAGGTTTTAAAAGGCGGGGAAGGGAGCAGTCCATTGAGAAGTAATTTTAGTAATCACTGTGGCAAACTGACTTGAACAAGTTTCTTTACCTCAAACATCTTAGAGTTGACATATGCTAATGTGTATTGTGAATTCAGAGCTTTTATTTTCCTTATAGAGCACCTAATAATATCTTGTGGGAAATTAATGCTCCATAGAATAAAGTTGAGAAACAGAAATATCAAACATGCTTGCTCCATTGAGGTAGAATACGCCTCACCAAACCCCCTGCCTGGCCTGATTCTCTGATACTCTGAATTAATAAACACTTGAGAAACTACATTATATAGCATATTCTATTACCAATGCTATTTCTATGTCCACTTGCCTGAAGTGTTTTGTTTGTGAGTCTAAACTGGTCTGAGGGTGTCAATGCTGTCAGGGTCCACCATGAGAACTTGATGTCTGTGCTGAGGGAACTGTGTTCTCATGGGGCTGAGGCTCACCTCCATTGCTGCTACTGGGGAAGAAGAACCTTGGGTGCACTAAGCCCCCACTTATTGCCAGAGCCTTCCATGCATTGACACTGTGATACTTTCTATGCAGAGTTGGGGAAAATGCCTCCTTCTCCATAATTGAAAATATGTTGTACCTATTTCACTGAAACCACCATTTAATCTCCAAACATTTTACAAGAATTTCTTATGTTTTTTTCTGTTTGTTTTTTGATCAGTTTTTCACACGTAGCCCATTGTTTTGTTAGGATTTAGATGTAAGGTCATGGGAGAGTCAGGATATACTTAGAACCTGCCTCCTCTGACAAATGAGAGATGATTCACCCTGGGTCAGATGCCTCATTCTCCCCTCTCGTAGGAGGAATTCTTTCTGGAAAGATTCCTTGGTTGTGCATGCAGAAGCATTTTAGTGGCTTTGCCTCACCAAATTCTCAGGCAGGCTCATCTTCTTGAACCAAGGTGGAGGCCTCTCCCACCTGCTCCTTGACAGCATAGACCTCATTCCACCAACAAGCATTTTATTGGGTCTTTCTCCTATGTGGAAAACACTAAAAATAAGTTTTTACAGATTCACACTACAATCTTAGAAGCTTGTCAATGGACAGTGAAGAACATTCAAAGAGGTAAAGTGACGTCTCTAATGGCATATAATTGGTACTAATTGTATTGGGACTAGAATTTAATTTTTTTAACTCTAGATCTCACTTAAAAAAAAAAAAGAAGAATTACAAACCACACTGCTTCTTTCCTCTTTTTTTCTGTTGACTAATAATCTAATTAATCCAAATAATACCCATACCTTATCCTAACTTGCAGACATGACTCTGCAAGTTAGAATATTATAACAAAAATAGTATTTTTTTCTGGACCTAATGAATAAAATCAACATGTTCAGAGTTTAGACTGTAAAAACTAAATTGACCATAATAGAAATTCAAAATAGATGACTAAACTGCAATGACTTATTTCTAAAAAATTACTAAAAATGTTAACAATAAAATTCTAGTGACAAATAATTTTTACACTAATGCACAGAACGTCCAAGTCAGCAATGGTAAAAAGGTTTATGACCATGACAACATCATTTATTAGAAGACTGTTCACAGCAATATATCTGATGAGGAATTAAGGGTGGGTAAAGCTGCATTCAGTGAAGGAGTGTTTCACTGTTACTTTCAAGATAAATGTCTCATGCTATTCAGACATGGAATATTTTAAACAGTATTTCACTGCCCTATAATCCTTCTTCATTCAGCCTTGTTTTCAAGGTACTTAAAAGGAAGTGACAACACAAATCTCATTCCCATCTCTAGCTGAATATCCTTTTCATTCTTTTCTTTCTGTGCATAAAATTTCTTAGGTAAATATAACCTAGACGAAATAGGTGCATCAAAGGAGACTAATTCTGCTAGTTTGGGGCCTTTTGCAAAACAGGATTGCTCTCTTTGAAAACAGAATGTCTGGAAGACAAGAGGCCTTAGGCAGGCCACCTGCTGGGCAGGACACACAGGGCACAGCCGGACAGTTTCCCATTGCCACTGGCAACCAGAAAAAACATTTTCTACCCAACTGCTCTCCCTTTGTTACAGCAGTTTAAATGGTGGCACAGCCTTGCTTTCAATAATGGCCAAGGCTTTAAAAATTATGAGAAAATGTGATGAAGGCTAGTTTAATCTAAGTTAATTATTTTAATTAGACACAAATAATTTCCTGGTAACCACATTTTTATGCCATAGGTCATCTGTGTAATGATAAGTGTCAAAACTTTTATCCAAAGTAAAGAGTGATGACAAGACAGAGAATCTAAACCCTAAAACTGGGAGCCCATTTTTCAAGAAGTTTACCCTACCAACCAATTTTTTCTTACTAAATCCAAATTTATTTTTTATTTTTTATTTTGGTGGATGTCTTAGTTTGCTGAGGTTGCCACAACAAAATACCACAGACTAGGTGGCTTAAACAATGGAAATATATTTTTTCACAGTTTTAGAGGGTGGAAGTCCAAGATCAAGGGGTCGGCAGGTTTGGTTTCTTTTGAGGTCTTGCTCCTTGACTTGCAAGTGGCCACCATCTCACTGTGTCCTCCCATGGCCTTTCCTCTATGCATGTACATCCCTTGTGTCTCTTCCTCTTTTTATAAGAACAACAGTCACAGGATTAAGACACCACCCTTATGACCTCATTTAACTTTTAATTGACTCTTAAGTAGCAGGAAATGTGATTTTGCTGGGGCACTATCTGACTCTGGCCTGATATCTAAATTGCCCAAGTGTCCTATAATTTGAATTCTTATGAGGTTGAAAAATCCAGCTGTTTTTGCACCCTAAGCTGAAGCAATTACAAAGGATGACTATAAAACTGAAGAAATAAAAGTAGGCAGTAAGCAATTTATGGGGAGAGATGAAATTAACTGTGTTGCCTCCCCACTCAAAACCATTGTTTCAGGAAGTCTTAAGTCAGCAGTCAGTACACTGAGCAGCTGGCAGAATGAGAGAACAGAGTCCATTAAGTAAAAGACAAGTGTCTTCATGGTTTAAATCTATTTCTAGAAAGATCCTTGGCTGTGAGTATTTAAACATGAAACTGACTTGAAGCAATTGAACAAGAAATGTACTGCATTTTGGAGACAATTTTAGTGTCCCTCTCAAAAACAACCCCCCAAACAAATCATTCAGAAAAAATATAATAATAATAATAAAATAAAAACAAGCCTGGAGCCTGATGAGGAGTAGCTGGGCTTGAATTTACAGCTGCAGCAGTTAGGCTTCAAGAAATGAGCGGCAGTCATATGCCCGGGTTACTTAATGCATGCCTCAGATGTGGACAAGCAAGAATCTTCCTTAGGGCAGAGCCAGGAGGCTCGGTCTCAGGGACAATCGAAAACGAGAGTATATTAGTTTTCAGTGCTGTTTAACAAAATACTGAAAACTTAATGGCTTAAGCAACAAACATTCATTAGCACACATTTTCTTTGGGTCAGGAGACCATGGATGGCTTAACTGGGCCACAATCAAGGTGTAGGCTGGGCTGCATTCTCATCTATAGATTTGACTTGGAATGAATCTGTTTCTGATCTCCCTCAGGTTGTTGGCAGAATTTATTTCTCTATGGCTGCAGGACTGACAGTTTTAGTTATTGCTAGGGTCTGCCTTCATCTCCTAGAGGCTGCTTACAATTCCTTGACATATGGGTTTCTTCAACATGGCCATTTCATGACAGCTTGCAACAGAGAGAGAGGACACTTTTGCTAACAAAAGTGGAGCTTATAAAATGTAGTGTAATCACAGAAGTGACATTATTCCATCACATTTGCTATACCTATCCTTTTGGCTAGAAGCAAGTCGCAGATCCTTCCCACATTCAAAGGAAGAGGATCATAAAATGGTGTGACCACTAAGAGGCAGGGATCACTGGGACAGCTTTACAGCCTATCTGCCATAGACAGCCTTTCCACAGAAAGTAACAGGGCTTTCAGATGGTCTAAGATGTTTCCTTCACCATTAGGGTGTGCAGTCTTTGCTTTTCCTGCTTAGCAAAATTTGATAATTGCTATGGATCAGAGACTATTGTATGCTTTCTATTAGGCAAAACTGCTTGCACCAAAGTGATATTTATTTCTTTATCGAATTGAGGAAGTAGCTTTATTAACATCATTTCGTTTTTTCTCTACTGTTTTGTATTGGGTACATTGAAGGAAAATACCTTGCATTTTAGTTTATAAATCATCAAACCATTAGAAGCAGCTCCAGAGATCCTAGAATTGGAGCTGGACACAGTATTGGATAGACTTCAGGGTTGCATCTTGGGCATGGAGTGGATATGTTCCATGAATGGGTAAAATATGAATGTCTGTCTGGGTAGCCAAAGAGGCAACTATGTCAAAGAATATTAGTTTTATGCCACCAGATCCATTCTCATCATCCTCTCCTCTGATTTTTAGCTTGGCCCACAGAATTTATCATGAAGTCAATGAATAGCCATTACAAGTTATTAATCAGGATTGCTAGATGTCCTGTAATGCACAGGGCCATCCTGCACAACAAAAGATTGTCCCATATTCCTCATGACTTTTGAAATGTTTCCTCCTATATTCATGTGTATGAAAAACCTGTTTAAAATTATCTGAGCCTAATATCTAACCCTGGGTTAAAAATAATTTCAAATATTTTTGCATGGTTTTAATATGCATTGTGTTATCCAAAAGTGCAACTACCATGTACATTAAGAGATGATTGGGTTTGGGTCTTTACCAAGAGTAGGTTATCATGTCAGAAAATCACATCACTGATATTAATGATCCTTGTATATTTAACTTGCTGGTACTTCTTTAGTCTGTATTTCTGTCACTTTCATGATATTCTAAGCATAGAAATAAGTATTTGACTGTTTCATTATGTCTTACAGTGTAGTCATGATCATATGGAAATCCATAATACAGACTTTCATCTTTACATTATAGATTACATTGAAATGTATTTGTGAAGATAGATTATGTTATCTAGAAAGTTAATCTCAGGATAAAAAAGTATTATAAACTATTTTTTATAAAAAGTAGAAGCATTGGGCATGACAGGGTTGAAACATACTGATTTAAGTAAAAGGCTAAACTAAATGTTTGTGGCATTTCGTGGGTAGAGGTTAGGGATGCTTTCTTAAAATGAATATATTAGTCATACAAAATAAAAAATTGTTTCGTATCCTGCACCACTTCAAAATGTATCATCTTACATTCCTGTAGATAAAAATTCTGTTCATAATTGTGTGATAAATTAAGGTAAGTCTTTATCTCCATAATTTTCTGAGAAAAAAATTATGTTTTATAAATGCTAAAAGCAGAGTTACTATCAACAAAACAAAAGCAACCATGTATTTTGGTGCAAGCTTTGTATCAGACACTCTGCTTTACATACCGCATCTTAAGTAATCCTTATCCCAATATTGTTAGTAGGTTTATAGCAGTGGACTATTAATCAAATTATGCTGTAAGGACTTCTATCACTTACTAGGTCATTTGATTAGTAGCTAGTACTGCTTGGGCAAATCAATTATCTTGTTTTCTAATCCTCAATTTTCTTATTAATCAATAAAATGGAGGAAAACAATAAATGTAATTCAGAGGATTGATGTAATTATTAAATAAAACACAATTTTGAAGTTAGTATAGTGTAGTAATACTTTGCTGATAATTAGAAAGTGAATTTTGAAGATTTAGTTCTTTTTCAATATCTTTAATTATAAATTTATATAATTTATAATTTAATAATGTAACTATAATTTAATATATAACTTTAAGATTATTTAACCAATTTTTGTAGTATTCACAATGTAATGACAATGGGCAAAACACATTTATGTTTACACTACATTATCAGCTTTTTCTTCCTCACTTTCTTAAGTATAGACAATCAACAAAACAATAAATCTGGCCTTGATTTGTAGCATTTGCTTATTTTCATGGTGCAAATACTTCCAGCATAAGAGTTTAAGCTATCAATGTTACATCATTAAGCTAGAATAGGGAAGAAATGGACAGTATGCTATTGCACAGTATTTCCATAAGACAGATAAAATAGAGGTAGAGCACAGGTGATATGCTCAAGAGCAGAGGTAATAGTAAAATGTAATAAGATATTTAGGAAATGATGGGTTTTGAGTATTTAATTATTTCATTTTTAGTATGATCTCTTTAATTATAAGTTTACATAATTTAAAATTTAATAATGTCTGTATTTAAAAACTGGCTAGCAGAATTCCGGAAAACTTAATAATCAGCTTTCATGAATTGGTACAAGGTGACTCCAGCATGACATTGGTTTTATCTTATGAATAAAAGATTTATATAACATTGAAAATTGAACAATATAATATATTAACAGAATTAGAAAAACCACATAGCAATCTTATTAAATGACTAAATAATCTGATACAACTCATTATTCATTTATAATAGAAACTCTCAGAAATCCAACATTAAAAGGCAGCCTTCTCGATTTGACAAAGAGTGTCTATAAAAATCCTATAGCTAGTATCACAGTTAATTGTGGAAAATGATGATGAGATACTGTTAGGGCATGAATAAATTTGCAATAATGTTAACAGATCAGGCCAAAATAGTATAAGGGCAGAACGATGAGTTAGTTGATGCCGGCCATACAAAAATTAGAAGTTCTAGAAACACTGTGGGAATCTCAAGCTTCATAAAATTAAAATTTATTTTAAAGACATGGACTTAGAAATCCCATGAGGTAGCACTGGAGACTTACATATAAAACAAGATGCTGGTTGGGAGCGGTGGCTCACACCTGTAATCCTAGCACATTGGGAAGCGGATGGATCACTTGAGGTCAAGAGTTCGAGACCAGCCTCATGAACATGGAGAAACCCCATCTCTACTAAAAAAAAATACAAAATTAGCTGAGCGTGGTGGCACACACCTGTAATACCAGCTACTTTGGAGGCTGAGGCAGGAGAATTGCTTGAATCCAGGAGGTGGATGTTGCAGTGAGTTGAGATCCTGCCATTACACTTTTCAAGAATTTGATTAAGTAGTTTTGCAAACAATAGGAAAATCTAACTTGTTATATCCATAATTTTTTATTTGATAATTGCATAAGTATTGTGGCTATTTAGAGGAATGCTACTTGTTTAATGATAAACAAATGTTAATGTTTCATTAACAATATAAATGTATTAAATAAGGAAGGTAGTCAAGAATATTCATGTACATGCAAAAAACTTAATCAGATATTGATAATTCCATCAAGAATATGGACAATATTTAAATTGAAGGACACTCATCCAGAAGTATTCATAATAGTAAATAATGCTTGGAGATCTAATTTAGGATTCTGGTTGAACAGATTATCACATGGCCATTGAATTCTAGTAATATAATTTGTAGAAATTATATGCAAAATACTGAGCATAAAGAACTAAGTAAGAAGAGCATAGGACAAAACAGTGTGTATAATATAGTATTAAAAACGTTATTATATACAGATGTTTGAATGCATTTTTGTTTGTCAGTTTAAATTTAAAAAGTCTATCAGCTAAATATGCATCTTTTGTAAGAGTCTTTTCAAAGATTGTAGAATAGGCTACAATGATTTAATAATACAAATATTTTAATTTGTAATTTTAAAAATCCTGTGTTTGTGACAGAAGTGTTGCATTGGAAATGATTAAGAAGTGCAAAATTTATTTCTTAGAATTCCGTTTAACTTAGAGACATTGTTTTATGGTACAAACCATCAAAAAATCTAAAAAATTCTTATAATCATATGTTATATATGTGTGCATAGACATATATGTATACATGTACACTATATGTATATGCATATGTACATGCATACAATATTTGAAGGTCATATGCCAAGATAGTAATAGTAATTACTTTGGATTCCGGGGATATATACAATTTAAATATTTTCATTAATGTCTTAAGTTTTTCCTTCAGTTGAAATTTTTCTTCTATAATTTAAAAAAATACCAAAAAAGCTATAATATTTTTGCGATTTTACTTAAGTATGGAAATTTGTCTAAGTGTAGAAAAACATTGGAAAAAATCTTAAAGTCCAGTAATAGAGAAATTATTTAATACATTTTGATATAATTTTATTAAACCTGTTCAATCATTAAAATGTTAATAACTAAGTGATAATAATACTCTTGAGTGAAAAATGATGAATACATCATTATAAATATTTCATAATTTTAATTTTATTTTCAAGCAATCTGTTATTATCTTAAATTGCATGCATTATCCAGAAGATGTATGAATATTTTACTTTCAGTGATTTTTAAGATTTTCACAATATAACTTTGTATTAACCTCAAATATTTTTCTTGTTTTTCTCTGAAAGAGTTATCTTTCTGCTTACTTCAAACTCTCCAGCAACTGGTCAAAATGTACTTGTATTATCACACGTGTAAGATTTTATTAGCATAAATCGTGTTCATCTATACTGCTATACAATAAACATAAGGATAATACATGCCTAGACCTCGGAAAATTGTACTTATTAATATTCAATGATACATTATTTGAATTTCAGTAAGAACCGCTGGGCAAAATGATAAATATTTCAGTGGGAATTATCACAGCACATGTCTAATCCTTGGGTGGAAAATGAGAGGATTTTTGAACAGAGGGAGGAAGGAACTTTTTCTGGCATGTGAAGGTCTAAGTTCCAAGGCATGGGGGTCCCTTACGTTTCTAGGACTCAACATTCTTAACTCTAAATCGAGAGGAGCCATATTAAATAATCTGTAACATCCGTATCTCCTCAAACTCTCCAACACTTTCATATATAGATTGAAAATTGAAGGGATAAAAACAGTAACATATCATCTTCACAACAATTATGTTAGCTTACTCTTCATCAATATGCATGGTTACTATGGATATTACAAGGCAGTTGAAAATAGCCTTATTATATTGAATGTGCCGTTGCAATTACATCTTTTAATGTGATTTTTCTCTTTTCCTTCTTTTTTTGGAAACATCCTATCTTGACTTTGGACTACTTTTAAGTTAGGTCATCCAGAAGATAGCAAGTGTTCTGTGCTAAGAATACAGGCATAATGTGGATATGGCTCCAGACCATTGCACAAAAGCAAATATCACAATAAAACAATCACATGAACTTTTTGGTTTCACAGGGCATATAAAAGTTATGTTTACACTACACTGTAGTCTCTTAAGTGTGTAATAGCATTATGTCTAAAAAATAATGTACAGGACTTAATTTAAAGATACTTTGTTACTAAAAAATGCTAACAGTAATCTTAGCCTTCAGCAAGATTTTTGCTGGTGGAGGGTTTTGCCTCCATGTTGATGGCTGCTGACTGATTAAGGTAAGGTGGTGGTTGCTGAAGTTTGGGTGGCTGTGGCCATTTCTTAAAATAAGACAACAATGAAGTTTGCTGCATTGATTGACTCTTCCTTTCATGAAACATTTCTCTGCATCATGTGACACTGTTTGATAACATTTTACCCACAGTAAAAGTTCTTTCAAAATTGGAGTCAATCCTCTCAAACCCCACCACTGCTTTATCAATTAAGTTGATGTAATAGTCTAAATCCTTTGTTGTCATTTCAACAAAGTTCACTGCATCTTCACCAGTAGTGGATTCCATCTCAAGAAACTATGTTATTTCCTCATCCATAAGAAGCAACCCTTCATCTGTTCAAGTTTATTACATTATAGCAATTCAGTTATACCTTCAGGCTCCACTTCTAATCCTAGTTCTCTTTCTATTTCCATCTCTTCTTCAGTTACTTCCTCCACTGAAGTCTTGAATCCCTCAAAGTCATGCATGAGGGTTGGAAAAAACTTCTTCTAAGCTCCTGTGAATGTGTATATTTTGACCTCCTCCCATAAATCATGAGTGTACTTAATTGGAAGCTAGAATTGTGAATCTTTTCCACAAGGTTTTCTATTTACATTGCCCAAATACATCAGAGGAATACCTATCTATGGCAGCTATAGTCTTACAAAATATATTTCTTCAATCATCAAACTTGAAATTGTTCCTTGATTTATAGGCTGCAAAATAAATGTTATTAGTAAGCATAAAAACAACATTAATTCTCCTTGAACATTTCCATTGGAGATCTTGGGTGGCCAGGTACATGATCAATGAGCAGTGATATTTTAAAAGGAATATTTCTGAACAGTGGTTTTCAATAGCGGGCTTAAAATATTCAGCTAACTACACTGTAAACAGATGTGCTGTCAGCCAGGCTTTGTTATTCTATATATAGAGCACAGGCAGAGTAGATTAAATATAATTCTTAAGGGCCCTAGGATTTTCCAAATGGTAAATGAGCATTAGTTTCAACATAAAGTGGCCAGTTGCATTAACCCCTAAGAAGAGAGTCAGTCTGTCATTAGAAGCTTTGAAGCCCGTCACTGACTTCTCCTCTCTAGCTATGAAAGTCCTAGATGTCATCTTCTTCCAATAGAATGCTGTTTTGTCTACACTGAAAATCTGTTGTTTACTGTAGCCACCTTCACCAGTGAGATCAGCCTAGATCTTCTGGATAACTTGCTGCAGTTTCTACATCAGCACTTGCTTCACCTTGCATCTTTATGTTATGGAGATGGCTTCTTTCATTAAACCTCATGAACCAAACTCTGCTACCTTTCAACTTTTCTTCTGCAGATTTTTCATCTCTCTCTGCCTTCATAGAACTGAAGAGAGTTACGGCCTTGCTCTGGATTAGGTCTTGGTTTAAGGGAAAGTTGTGGCTGGTTTGATCTTCTATCCAGGCTGCTTATACTTTGTGTCAGCAATAAGCCTGTTTTGCTTTCTTATTTGTATGCTCATGGCAATAGCAATTTTAATTTCCTTCAAGATCTTTCCCTTTGCATTCATAACTTGGCTAACTGTTTGGTGCAAGAGGCCTAGCTTTTACCCCTTCTCACCTTTCAACATACCTTCCTCACCAAGCTTAACCATTTCTAGCTTTCAGTCTAAAGTGGGAGATGAGCAGCTCTTCTTTTCACTTGAATACTTAGAGGCCTTTGTAGGCACATTCCCTGGCCTAATTTCAATAATGTTGTGTCTCAGGGAATAGGGAGGCCCAAAGAGAGGGAGAGAGATGGGGTAATGGCCGGTTAAAGGAGCAGTCAGGGCACCCATAACATTGATCAATCAAGTTTGCCATCTTATATGTATGATTGTTTGTGGTACCCCAATACAATTACAATAGTAACATCAAAGATTACTGATCACAGATTACCATAAAAGTTATAATAATAATGAAAAGATTTAAAATATTGCGAGACTTATCAAAATGTGACAGAGACAGAAAGTGAGCACATGCTGTTGGACAATGGTACCAACAGACTTGCTTGATCCAGGGTTGTCACAAACCTTTGTAAAAAACATATCTAAAACTTCATAAATCAAAGCACAATAAAATAAGGAATTCTTGTGTTTGTATGGACTTTAACAGATATTCTTAAACAAACGTTTTATGTATCACTTACTTAGAGATGGATACTTCTGCAATGCACACAGAATTTTTGAAATTAAAATTACGTATTATGGTTTAAATATTTGTACTCTTGGCCATCATATTATTTGTATTATTAGGCCATTGTAGTCTTTTCTCTGACATGAGAAGATTCTTCAAGTAAGTACCTATTTTAGGCTTAGTGTTCTTTGATTTAAACCATTGAATAATAATCTGTTTGAAAATCTGGTCTGTCTGTGAGTCGATTACTCAGTGGGCAACAAGAGCTCTCCTTCTTTAGTTCAGATGTATGAGTTATAAAAATCCTGGGACTTTAGAATTTTTCATTTTACTTATTATAACTGATACCTGAAGTATTTTAACCTTTGGTATGGATTTTATTTTCTAAAACCTGGATGAATTACAAAGAATCTAAGAAAGTCTAGGGAGGAAAAATAAGGGCAATTAAAAATGAGGCTTTCCCTCTCCTCCATTCCTCATATATTAATGTCCTTTCAGACATAATAAACCAACCTTTTCTAAAATTGCTCCTATCCGGCAACAAATTGCATGTGATCGGCTTGTTCATTAGTTGCATGTCAATTCCCCCATTTAATCTGTAAGCTGCATGAGCGCAGAAATTTTTCACATAGCACTGTATAGACTGTACCTAGCATAGTGCCTGGCATATAGTAAGGAAGCAACTAACAACTGTTGAATCAATGAAAGAAAACATGAACCTATTAGACAAGCATCTTTTTCAAGAAATGGGAAAGGAATTTTTGTTATATTGACTGAAAAAGACTGAAGGAAGTCATTATAATTTTGAGATATTCAATATATTTCTAGCTAAATTTTGGGGTGCTATAATTTATCTTATTTAATTGTTACAAGGACCTCTAAAAGTTCAGTTTCGTTGTTTCTATTTTGTAGATTAGAAAACTACAACTGATGGAATTTAATAACTTGCCTGAAGTCACTTAGCTAGTAGGAATTTGAATCCAGATTTGTCTGACTACAGAGGTGTTAAGAACTAAATTGTGCTCCCCAAAATTCCTGAGTTGAATTCCTGCCCCCCCACAATATGACTATATTTGGAGATGGACAGACTGAAGAGGTAATTAAGGGTGTAGTCCTAATCCAATAGGAAGATCAATTTCTGTTCTTTAAGCCACTTCGTCTGTGGGATTTTGTTATGACAGCCTGAGCAGACTAGCACAAGTGGAGAAAAAGAAAAAAAATAGCAAAAAAAGAAAGAAATAAAGAAAGAATAGAATGTAACATAATAGCAAAAAATTATTTATATGAATTTGGAGAAGAAAATTGTGGAATATCTTTCTTTGGACAATTTTAAGAATAGGCTGAGCTATTAGATTTAGATTTTATTCTAAATAAATCTAAATCTGTGTGATTTAGATTTTATTCTTCTTGGAGGCAGTGGTATGATTTAGATAATCTATTAAAATAACTGCTGATCTATGTTTCCAGGGACTAAAATAAATTTTAAAAGATGACTCTAATGAGAGTTAGAGCTTAATATTAAAGGGAAGACCATTTATTTTCTTTCCATTTTTCTTTTTCACTCTTGGGCCCCTCCTCTTTCTTTTTTTTTTCCTTTCTTTTTTTTTGTTATTATATTTTAAGTTCTAGGGTACATGTGCACAACATGCAGGTTTGTTACATATGTATACATGTGCCATGTTGGTTTGCTGAACCCATCAACTCATCATTTACATTAGGTATTTCTCCTAATGCTATCCCTCCCCCAGATCCCCACCCCCAGACAGGCCCTGATGTGTGATGTTCCATGCCCTGTGTCCAAGTGTTCTCATTGTTCAATTCCCACCTATGAGTAAGAATATGTGGTGTTTGGTTTTCTGTCCTTGTGATAGTTTGCTGAAAATGATAGTTTCCAGCTTCATCCATGTCCCTGCAAAGGACATGAACTCATCCTTTTTTATGGCTTCCTAGTATTCCATGGTGTATATGTGCCACATTTTCTTAATCCAGTCTATCATTGATGGACATTTGGGTTGGTTCCAAGTCTTTGCTATTATGAATAGTGCCGCAATAAATATAGGTGTGCATGTGTCTTTATAGTAGCATGATTTATAATCCTTTGGGTATATACCCAATAATGGGATGGCTGTGTCAAATGGTATTTCTGGTTCTAGATCCTGGAAGAATCGCCGCACCGCATTCCACAATGGTTGAACTAATTTACACTCCCACCAACAGTGTAAAAGCGTTCCTATTTCTCCATATCCTCTCCAGCATCTGTTATTTCCTGACTTTTTAATGATTGCCATTCTAACTGGTGTGAGATGGTATCTCATTGTGGTTTTGATTTGCATTTCTCTGATGGCCAGTGATGATGAGCATTTTTCTCATGTGTCGGTTGGCTGCATAAATGTCTTCTTTTGAGAAGTGTCTGTTCATATCCTTTGCCCACTTTTTGATGGGGTTGTTTTTTTCTTGTAAATTTGTTTAAGTTCTTTGTAGATTCTGGATATTAGCCCTTTGTCAGATGGGTAGATTGCAAAAATTTTCTCCCATTTTGTGGGTTGCCTGTTCACTCTGATGGTAGTTTCTTTTGCTGTGCAGAAGCTCTTTAGTTTAATTAGATCCCATTTGTCTATTTTGGCTTTTGTTGCCATTGCTTTTGGTGTTTTAGTCATGAAGTCCTTGCCCATGCCTATGTCCTAAATGGTATTACCTAGGTTTTCTTCTAGAGTTTTTATGGTTTTAAGTCTAAAATTTAAGTCTTTAATCCATCGTGAATTAATTTTTGTATAAGGTTTAAGGAAGGGATCCAGTTTCAGCTTTCTACATATGGCTAGCCAGTTTTCCCAGCACCACCTATTAAATAGGGAATCCTTTCCCCATTTCTTGTTTCTCTGAGGTTTGTCAAAGATCAGGTGGTTGTAGATGTGTGGTGTTATTTCTGAGGGCTCTGTTCTGTTCCATTGGTCTATATCTCTGTTTTGGTACTAGTACCATGCTGTTTTGGTTGGTGTAGCCTTGTATTGTAGTTTGAAGACAGGTAGCATGATGCCCCCAGCTTTGTTTTTTGTTTTTTTGCTTAGGATTGTCTTGGCAATGCAAGTTTTTTTTGGTTTTATATGAACTTTAAAGTAGTTTTTTCCAATTCTGTGAAGAAAGTCATCAGTAGCTTGATGGGGATGGCATTGAATCTATAAATTACCTTGGGCAGTATGGCCATTTTCACAATATTGATTCTTCCTATCCATGAGCATGGAATTTTCTTCCATTTGTTTGTATCCTCTTTTATTTCATTGAGCGGTGGTTTGTACTTCTCCTTGAAGATGTCCTTCACATCCCTTGTCAGTTGGATTCCTAAGTATTTTCTTCTCTTTGTAGCAATTGTGAATGCGAGTTCCCTCATGATTTGGCTCTCTGTTTATCTGTTATTGGTGTATAGGAATGCTTGTGATTTTTGCACATTGATTTTGTATCCTGAGACTTTGCTGAAGTTGCTTATCAGCTTAAGGCGATTTTGGGCTGAGATGATGGGGTTTTCTAAATATACAATCATGTCATTTGCAAACAGAGACAATTTGACTTCCTCTTTTCCTAATTGAGTACCCTTTATTTTTTTCTCTTGCCTGATTGCCCTGGTCAGAACTTCCAATACTATGTTGAATAAGAGTGGTGAGAGAGGGCATCCCTGCCTTGTGCTAGTTTTCAAAGGGAATGATTCCAGGTATTGCCCATTCAGTATGATATTGGCTGTGGGTTTGTCATAAATAGCTCTTATTATTTTGAGATATGTTCCATCAATATCTATTTTATTGAGAGTTTTTAGCATGAAGGGCCGTTGAATTTTGTCAAAGGCCTTTTATGCATCTATTGAGATAATCATGTGTTTTTTGTTGTTGGTTTGGTTTATGTGATGATTTATGTTTATTGATTTGGGTATGTTGAACCAGCCTTGCATCCCAGGGATGAAGCCCACTTGATCATGGTGGATAAGCTTTTTGATGTGCTGCTGGATTTTGTTTGCCAGTATTTTACTGAGGATTTTCATATCAATGTTCATCAGGGATACTGGTCTAAAATTCTCTTTTTTGTTGTGTCTCTGCCAGGCTTTGGTATCAGGATGATGCTGGCCTCATAAAATGAGTTAGGCAGGATTCACTCTATTTATATTAATTGGAATAGTTTCAGAAGAAATGGTATCAGCTCCTCTTCGTACCTCTGGTACAATTCGGCTGTGAATCCGTCTGGTCCTGGACTTTTTTTGGTTGGTAGGCTATTAATTTTTGCCTCAATTTCAGAGTCTGTTATTGGTCTCTTCAGAGATTCAACTTCTTCCTGGTTTAGTCTTGGGAGGGTGTATGTGTGCAGGAATTTATTTATTTCTTCTAGATTTTCTAGTTTATTTGCATAGAAGTGATTATAGTATTCTCTGATGGTAGTTTGTATTTCTGTGAGATTGGTGGTGATATCCCCTTTATCATTTTTTATTGCGTCTATTTCATTCTTCTCTCTTTTCTTCTTTATTAGTCTTGCTAGCAGTCTACCCATTTTGTTGATCTTTTCAAAAAACCAGCTCCTGGATTCATTGATTTTTTGAAGGGTTTTTTTGTGTCTCTATCTCCTTCAGTTCTACTCTGATCTTAGTTATTTCTTGCCTTCTGCTAGCTTTTGAATGTGTTTGCTATGGCTTCTCTAGTTCTTTTAATTGTGATGTCAGGGTGTCAATTTTAGATCTTTCCTGCTTTCTCTTGTGGGCATTTAGTCCTATAAAATTTCCTCTACACACTGCTTTAAATGTGTCCCAGAGATTCTAGTATGTTGTGTCTTTGTTCTTGTTGGTTTCAAAGAACGTCTTTATTTCTGCCTTCATTTTATTATTTACCCAGTAGTCATTCAGGAGCAGGTTGTTCAGTTTCCATGTAGTTGTGCAGTTTTGAATGAGTTTCTTAATCCTGGGTTCTAATTTGATTGCACTGTGGTCTGAAAGACAGTTTGTTTTGATTTTCTGTTCTTTTACATTTGCTGAGGAGTGCTTTACTTCCAACTATGTGGTCAATTTTAGAATAAGTGTGATGTGGTGCTGGGAAGAGTGTATATTCTGTTGATTTGTGGTGGGTGGAGAGTTCTGTAGATGTCTATTAGGTCTGCGTGGTGCAGAGCTGAGTTCAAGTACTGGATATCCTTGTTAACTTTCTGTCTCATTGATCTGTCTGATATTGACAGTGGGGTGTTAATGTCTCCCACTATTATTGTGCGGGAGTCTAAGTCTCTTTGGAGGTCCCTTAGGACTTGCTTTATGAATCTGGGTGCTCCTGTATTGGGTGCATATATATTTAGGATAGTTAGCTCTTCTTGTTGAATTGATCCCTTTACCATTATGTCATGGCGTTCTTTGTCTCTTTTGATCTTTGTTGGTTTAAAGTCTGTTTTATCAGAGACTAGGATTGCAACCCCTGCTTTTTTTTCCTTTCCATTTGCTTGGTAGATCTTCCTCCATCCTTTATTTTGAGCCTATGTGTGTCTCTGCACATGAGATTGGTCTCCTGAACACAGCACACTGATGGGTCTTGACTCTATCCAATTTGCCAGTCTGTGTCTTTTAATTGGGGCATTTAGCCCATTTATAGTTAAGGTTAATATTGTTATGTTTGAATTTGATCCTGTCATTATGATGTTAGCTGGTTATTTTGCCCATTAGTTGAGCAGTTTCTTCCTAGCATCGATGGTCTTTACAATTTGGCATGTTTTTGCAGTGGCTGGTACCAGTTGTTCCTTTCCATGTTTAGTGCTTCCTTCAGGAGCTCTTTTAGGGCAGGCCTGGTGGTGACAGAATCTCTTAGCATTTGCTTGTCTGTAGAGGATTTTATTTTTCCTTCACTTATGAAGCTTAGTTTGGCTGGACATGAAATTATCAGTTGAAAATTCTTTTCTTTAAGAATGTTGAATATTGGCCCCCACTCTCTTCTGGCTTGTAGGGTTTCTGCCAAGAGATCTGCTGTTAGTCTGATAGGCTTCCCTTTGTGGGTTACCTGACCTGTCTCTCTGGCTGCCCTTAACATTTTTTCCTTCATTTCAACCTTGGTGAATCTGACAACTATGTGTCTTGGGGTTGCTCTTCTAAGAGGAGTATCTTTGTGGTGTTCTCTGTGTTTCCTGAATTTGAATGTTAGCCTGCTTTGCTAGGTTGGGGAAGTCCTCCTGGATAATATCCTGAAGAGTGTTTTCCAAATTTGTTCCATTCTCCCCATCACTTTCGGGTACACCAATCAAACATAGATTTAATCTTTTGACATAGTCCCATATTTCTTGGAGGTTTTTTCTTTTCTTTTTACTCTTTTTTCTCTAACTTTGTCTTCTCACTTTATTTCATTAATTTGATCTTCAATCACCGATATCCTTTCTTCCACTTGATCAAATTGGCTACTGAAGCTTGTGCATGTGTCACGAAGTTCTTGTGCCATGGTTTTCTGCTCTATCAGGTCATTTAAGGTTTTCTCTACACTGTTTATTCTAGCTAGCCATTCATCTAACCTTTTTTCAAGGTTCCTTGCAATGGGTTAGAACATGCTCCTTTAGCTCTGAGAAGTTTATTACAGACCTTCTGAAGCCTACTTCTATCAACTTCTGAAAGCCCTTCTCCATCCAGCTTTGATCCACTGCTGGCGAGGAGCTGTGATCCTTTCGAGGAGAAGAGGCACTCTGGTTTTTAGAATTTTCAGCTTTTCTGCCCTGGTTTCTCCCCATCTTTGTGGTTTTATCTACCTTTGGTCTTTGATGTTGGTGACCTACAGATGGGGTTTTGATGTAGACGTCCTTTTTGTTGATGTTGATGCTATTCCTTTCTGTTTGTTAGTTTTCCTCCTAACAGTCAGGTCCCTCAGCTGCAGGTCTGTTGGAGTTTGCTGGAGGTCCACTCCAGACCGTTTGCTTGGGTATCACCAGCAGAGGCTGCAGAACAGCAAATATTGCAGAACAGCAAATATTGCTGCCTGATCCTTCCTCTGGAAGCTTCTTCCCAGAGGGGCACCCGCCTATATGAGGTATCTGTCAGTTCTTACTGGGAGGTGTCTCCCAGTTAGGCTACATGGGGGTCAGGGACCCACTTGAGGAGGCAGTCTGTCCGTTCTCAGAGCTCAAATGCCGCGCTGGGAGAACCACTGCTCTCTTCAGAGCTGTCAGACAGGGACGTTTAAGTCTGCAGAAGTTGTTTGCTGCCTTTTGTTCAGCTATGCCCTGCCCACAGAGGTAGAGTCTATAGAGGCAATAGGCCTTGCTGAGCTGTGGTGGGCTCTGCCCAGTTCAAGCTTCCCAGCCACTTTGTTTACCTACTCAAGCCTCATCAATGGTGGACACCCCTCCCCTAGCCAGGCTGCCACTTCTCAGTTTGATCTCAGACTGCTGTGCTGGCAGTGAGCAAGGCTCTGTGGGCCTGTGACCCACCGAGCCAGGCATGGGAGAGAATCTCCTTGTCTGCCAGTTGCTAAGACCTTGGGAAAAGAGCAGTATTTGGGCAGGAGTGTCCTGTTTTTCCAGGTACAGTCAGTCACAGCTTCCCTTTGCTAGGAAAGGGAAATCCCCTGTCCCCTTGTGCTTCCCTGGTGAGTTGACACCCCACCCTGCTTTGGCTCACCCTCCGTGGGCTGCACCCACTGTCTAACCAGTCTCAATGAGATGAACCAGTACCTCAGTTGGAAATGCAGAAATCACCCATTTTCTGAGTCGATCAGACTGGGAGCTGCAGACCAGAGCTGTTCCTATTTGGCCACCTTGGAGCGTTCTCCTCCTCTTTCTAAAATCTGTCTTGGTGATGAGCCTCTGCCACAGAAAAACCAGCTAGAGAAAATTTTGCTGAGTGAAAAATATCACATGAGAAGAAAAAATGTTTGCAATGAAGGCAGGGAGAAGTAGGTATTTCAAATATAGGCAGTGTGAAAGGATAATAATAATTTACGAAATGCTGCAGCCCATCTTGATTCTCGAGGAAGTGTTTTGAGTCCCCAGATTGGCCCTGGAAAGCGCGGTCTTATGGAGGCTCCATTGCTTGCAGCCCCAGCAACTCTTGGGAATATGGAAATTTAGGAGTTTTACTGTGGTGCGATGATTATCATAATTAGTCTGAGGATCTAGGATCAGGCCCATCAGGCATCAGGAGGCAGTGGGAGAGTTGAGAGGATTAAGCTTCTTCCAGCTCCTCTTTGTTTTCTTCATTCTTAATCAGCAAACTAACTTGAGCATAAAGGAAAAATGATTTTGGCAATATGGTGAACTCACCTCTCTGGCCATAAGTAGAAAAAAGTATACAAAAAGAAAGCTATGCATATCCAGCAGTTTTTGCTCAGTTTTTACATTAACTAGCTTAGATCAGCATTCATGTGATATTTAAATTTCCTTCTGGAAGCAACAATAAGTAGCAAATTTATTCATTCACAAATTTTTCTATTTTCTCATTCATTTAACAAATATATTTAGCACACCTACTATGTATTAGAGATGTACTGCTAGTGGGAATACAGTAGAAATACAATGATTAATTAACAAGAAGACATAATATGTGCCTTCATTTAGTCAGTAAAACCAGACTAACACAGTAAAATAAGTGTCCTTACCATTTCACTCTTAAGTATAATATTTTATGCCAGTTTTTGATAACTACTCATTGAAAGTTAAATGAACTTGTTGGGCTAGCTTGGTAAATGTTATGATTTTTATTATTTTCTATAGAGAAAATATTTTCTAATTTATTTTGGAGCTATCTGTGCAGTGGTTTCTCTAGAGTTGTACATAAATGTTTCACTATAAAATGAACTAATATGTAAAATACTACTCTATATCATAATAAACATAGAAATACTGTGAAAAAAAAACAGAAAATTGACCTGCTAAAAGTCTTTTTCATGTTAGCTTACTATGGGTCTGTGATGAGGAATAAATACTACATTTTACTGTCATTTCAGCATCCATTGATAAGTTTTGTTTTCCATGAATCTAACCATTCTTACATATTATTATCAGTTGTTGCTTAGTGTGTTAAAACTCATTAATGTTCTCCTGCCAGATAGATTGTGTCTTGTGACATTCTAAAGACATAAATTGATAGATTGGTTGATGCCTTGACTTTGACCATATCAGGGTGTGGTGGCAGCCCTCTTGCTCTAGGTACATGAATCCCCATGTGGATTTCCCCCAGCTATTGAGTGGAGGTAAGGATGTATGGACAGGTGAACCTGAGTTTGCATTGCACAAGCAGGAAACAAGATGACTGTGCGATGACCCTTTCAATTGAGAAATAGAAAAAGGTTTATCCTGGAGATAAAACAGGTTCAGAGAATTTTACTGCTCTGCAGAGATTTTTCCTGTTTTTATTTTTTTAAAAAAACACTTAATCCATAACAGTAGCCTAGATAATATTGCTACTTTTCTCTCTGGCCTTATGCTGAGAATCTTCATGGTGGTTCTCCCACTCTACTTTGAAATCTTTCTTTTCTTGAAGTTGACACTGTGGCTGGATGTTTCACATTTGTTGATGTTGGTAGAGAAATCATTATATTATGGAACCAACAGTCCCATGGCCTTCACCCATTTCCAGCCTCTGCTTGTTTGCATTTGGATTTTCCTTACAGGACTGAAATAGAAAAAATTATGATGCTCTCTCTCTCTTGAAGTTTCTGTTGATCAGAAGATCTTTATTCCAGGTGTTGTTTTTTTAATTATTAATTTGATTCCATTTGATTCATAACTTCCATAAATTTCACTAAAAATCCCTTCCTGTTTTCTAACACTAATATTATTTTACTCTTATTTTTCTATTTTCACTTGATACTAGGAGTAAACTTAGGTAAACTTGGGCTCCGTCGTTCACCTTGGACTCTTTCTTATTTTTATTTTTACTTTCTTTGGCCCTTAAGTGCAGAGAGGTAAGTTAATCACACTCATCATTTCAAGGCCAGCTATCATCATTTTCCATGCAAGGCCTTTTAGATTTTATTTTTTGGTATTATTGATATGTGAGTGTTGTTTTCTCCTTTATGCAAATGCCTGCTCCCATTTTATGCCACACTGCTGGCACCCACCAGAGTTGTTTTTTTTCTTTTCTTTTTTCATTTATTTTCATAATTCATTAACCTCTGGCTTGCATTTCTCACTTTCCTAAGGTTAGATCTTAGGGAAGAGGCCATACTATTTTGTCATTTTGTCAGAAACAGAAGGTGAGAAAAACAGATGTATCAACATAAATAGCTACGTAGCTTAAGTTTGAGCCCAAGGTTGCTATAGTGCTGTGTCCCCAGTGAAGTAGTTTACTCAAAAGTGTGTCTCCAGACATGCTGAAGAAAATTTTATTCCTTATTAGACTGATATTTATTTGATATGTGCTGAAGAAGGATCTAGAAAACAAATTTTAATAACTTTGATCTAGCTTCTGAAAGAGAACATTCAAAGGAATTACAGCGTGATGATTCTTAGGAAACAACATTGTCCAAGCCTCTCACCATTCTGAATGTCCCCGTAGGACAGAAGCTGTTTGGAAGCCTCATTGACGTTTGTGATTTTAGACACTCTGTGCTTTCCAAAAAAATGTATACAGCAGACGCGATTTGACATGAACTTAAAACTCACACATGGTGTTGGCACTGTGGCTTTATAAGCTCACGGGTATCCAGGGACAATTACATGAAGGATATTTACTACAACTCTATTCTTAATGAGCCAAGCAGGCTAACTACTCAGTGCTTCACATGAGGCATTACATTATGAAAGACTACAGCAGCAATTTACTAAACAGTACATTAGAGACCTAAGTTCGTGCATCTCTCTAGTGACTAATTTGCTACTCCAAAATAAATGAAACTCCACCCGTACCAGGCAAATACTACATGTGTGGGGCCCTGAAATGACTTGTTTGATTCTGCTATCTACAGAGCTAGAGAATTATTCATTAATATGTATTTGTTAGCTTTGGTTAGAAATGTAAAAATAAAACTGAAAATTTTATTAACAACTGTGATAAGGTATTTTAGAATTTCTGTTTGAAATAAAGACTATTTCCCTAGCTATACATGATCTTTATTCCAATAGAATTTCTAGAAACTTTGTGTTTTTTTTTCTGGATTGGGTTGAAAAATGAGTTTATTTAAATGTTATATTATGAATTCACAAGTTTTATAAGCATATCAATTATATATAATGACCTTAGATATCAGGCAGAAAAACAACTCTATCCCCAGAACTGTAACACGCTTTCCTTCTCAGTAATGGGATTACTTTTCTTATCATTTTGTGGCACTTTCACAGTAACAACAAAGTAACAACACAGTAACAACAAAGATCTCATTTGAGTACATTAATAA
Organism: Homo sapiens; assembly: GCF_000001405.40. Classification (NCBI taxonomy): domain Eukaryota; kingdom Metazoa; phylum Chordata; class Mammalia; order Primates; family Hominidae; genus Homo; species Homo sapiens. Next base: position 124,018,113 of record NC_000004.12, read on the forward strand.
GCAAAATCATTGGTCTGAATCATTATAGTTAGTTCACCTTTGAGATTTCTTAGTTCCCTTCCCTTCCTTTCCCTTCCCTTCCCTTCCCTTCCCTTCCCTTCCCTTCCCTCCCCTCCCCTCCCCTCCCCTCCCCTTCCCTTCCCTTCCCTTCCCTTCCCTCCCCTCCCCTCCCCTCCCCTCCCCTCCCCTCCCCTTCCCTTCCCTCCCCTCCCCTCCCCTCCCCTTCCCTTCCCTTCCCTTCCCTTCCCTCCCTTCCCCTCCCCTCCCCTCCACTCCCCTCCCCTCTCCTCTCTTCCCCTCCCCTTTCCTTCCCTTCTCTTCCTTCTTTACTTCCCTTACGTCTTTCCTTCCCTCTTTCGTTTCTTACCTCTTCCCTTCCCTTTCCTTTTTTTCCCTTCCCTCTTTCCTTTCCATTTCCTTCCCTGTTTTCTTCCTTTTTTTTTCTGTTTTCTTCCTGTGCATTTTTTCCTTCTTCCTCCCTCCCTCCTTTCCTTTCTTCCTCCTTCCCTTCCTCTTTCCCTTTCTTCCTTTATTCTTTCCCTATTTCTTCTTTTCCTTTCTTTCTGTTTTTTTCTTAAAGAAAAAGGTCCCAAGCCAAGCCGGATCTGCCATGATGCAGGTTCTGGCATTGGCATCCCCACTGCCCTCATTGTATTGCTTAGGGAAAGGCTGACATTCTTCCAGATCTGGATATGCCTGGGGTTCCAGTTACTGGAGGCTGGAGCTCCTGGGCCAAAGGGCATTCTGGAGTTTGGAACCAAATCAGCAGTTCACGGAATGGCCTGAGCCTGGTGGTGACCTCACAGTTTCAGAGAGAAACTGGGAGGAACTGTGCTGTCAACAACAGGAAGTTGATGAAAAATGAAAGAAGCCCTTGGGGAGTGAAATGAAGAGCAGATGGCTTTAATTGTTAGCCTTGCTGTGACAACTGACAAGAGAAATTCTGCTCTCTTGACATTTAAAAGATACCAGAAATACCAGTGACCACATTCCATAGCTTCTTGAAGGTTTCCATGTCAAGGAGTTCAAACTCCTCTCTATTTTCATTATTGAACAGTCCATAAAAACTGCAGGTGATAAGATCCCTGATGGGTTAGCACTCTAAGAGTTTGATAAGGCACTGAGTGCACGCAGTATAAGGGAGTGGGAAGTCACGGTGAAGGGAGGCGCTTATGCAGGGAAGTTCTGAGTGATTTATAATCTAGGCTGCTGCAAGGAAAACAAGCTCAGGTGGAAATCAAGAGCTGTCTCTATAAGCTCAGTGGATTTTCTTTTATTCCTGTGACTATAGAAATCCAGTTTATTGTCATATTGTGGAATAGTCCTTTGTTAAAAAAAAAGATTTCTATGAAACCTTTAAAGAAATGAAGTAAAAGAGAAATGAATGTTAACACAGAGATATGCTGCCTTATTTGCACAGTCAACTCATTTGTAAGAATTAGAATCCTGAACTATAGAAGGTGGCAAATGCAGATCCTGTGTATGGAGCATCTTAAGGAACCAGAAAAAAACACATACACGCTTCATGCTGAGAGGTGGATACTCTGTTATTACATCAATATGTAATTATTCGGTTGAATGTTTCTGATGCATTCTAAGTATTAACCAAATCTTTTTCTTCTCTGGTGATATAAAACAGAAACATTTCCCCATGACTGAAATCTTAATTAGGGCTACTAAATTAAGACTTAAATGTGAAAGATGAGTTTTGTTCTTTAGCCAGATCCTATGGCATCTCTATGACAATTACCACTACGTTTTCTAGTTTTTCATTGTGACTCTCATATAGAAATCTCCTAGCTCCCTCACCCCTGGGTGAGATAATGCTGAATATGTTCTGCACTGGCTCCCCACAGAGCTCCCCGGCAGGACTGACTGAGCTCCAGTTACCCACACTGATAACTTGCTTGAAAATTAATCCTTCATTGGCTTCCCTCTCTCCCACTACTCAATTCCCTATTACTCCAGTTGTATTTATTCATCTCACCTTTTGCTTGAAATGAAATCTTTGAGTTGGCTTCTGGAAGAACCTAACATAAAACCCCTTTCCTGATGTACACACCCATTCCATGCAGTGCTTTTATACTGTGTTCCTGCATGGAGTTCTCATCACACCCTATTTTAAGCATTTGTTTATTTGCTCTCATTTTTCATTACACTATGTACTTTTTGAAGTTAAGAAATGTGATTTAACTCTCCATATTTGGATCCAAACAATGGATGGCATCCAGATGGTGCTTATAAATGTTGTTGAAGGGGTGAACATTTTTCTGTCTCTGTTGTCCTTCTGACCCACTCAGTCACAGGTTTTGGCATTTCTTTCATTTCTCCTGCCCAAGCTTTCCTCTCCTCTCACCATTACCCTGGCTCAGGCCCTTACCATTTTGTGAATAAACTACTGTAATAGTTTCCTACTCGCCGTCCTAGACTCCAATCTCAGGTGTCTATTTACACCAGACTCCAAACCACAGGACAACTAACCCTCCAAAAATACCAGTTTCATTTTCTCTCTCCCTTCCTTAAAATGTCCAGCATACACACACACACACACACACACACACAAAATATATATGTATACATATACATATATATGTATTTTTATTTTAGTCTAATCTGCATTTTATCATAGTCTAGCATTTTGTTAACATTTTTATCCATAGTGTTTTCTTTGTAGCTAGACAAAAGTTACATATTGCAGATGAGGTATATTATTGCGGTAAATGTCAGAGGCCCGAGACACAGACTGCCTGTTTAATCCTAGGTTTACCCTGTGTTGAGTTGAGTGATGGCCCTCAAAAGACAGAAGGTCGTAATCTCTGGAAACCAGTGAGTTACCTTATAAAGTTTTCACAGAGGTGATTAAATGAAGGCTGTTGAGATGAGGGGATTATTCTGGATTATCCTATCAGGTGCTTTTATAGGCTGAATTGCGTTCCCCCAGATTCATATGGTAAAATCCTAATCTTCGTCCTTCAGATTATGACTGTATTGGGACAGAAGGCCTTTAAGAAGATAACTAAGTTTAAATGAGGCTGTTGGGTTGGCACCTAACCTAATATAACTAGTGTCCTCATAAGAAGAGAAGATTAGCACACATAAAGAGACACCAGGGATGGGTTTAGGCAGAGGAAAGATCTTGTGAGGATACAGCAAGAAGACAGCCTTCTGCAAGCCAAGAAGAGAGGCCTCAGAAGAAACCAAACCTTTCCACATCTTGAGCTTGGACTTCCAGCCTCCAGAACTGAGAAAATAAATGTCAGTTGTCTAAACTACCAAGTTTGGTATTTTGTTATGGCTACCTTAACAAACTAACGTAGGCCATCAAGAGTGTCTTTATAAGACAGACACAGAGAGATTAGACACACACATCTCAGAGAAGGTGCTATGAAGATAAATGTATTAGTCTGTTCTCATGCTGCTAATGAAGAGATACTGGAGACTGGGCAATTTATAAAGAAAGAAGTTTAATTGACTCACAGTTCAGCATGGCTGAGGAGGCCTCAGAAAACTTTCAATCATGGCGGAAAGGAAAGCAAATATGTTCTTCTTCACATGGTGGCAGAAAGGAGAAGAAGAATGAGTGCCAAGCCAAGGGGGAAGCCCCTTATAAAACCATCAGGTCTTCTGAGAACTCACTCACTATCGTGAGAACAGCATGCGGAAACTGCCTCCATGATCTAATTACCTCCCACCAGGTCCCTCCCATGACATCTGGGGATTATGGGAACTACAGTTCAAAATGAGATTTGGTTGGGGACACAGCCAAACCCTTTCAATTAAGTAATGAGAAATTCAAAGATGCTGGCCTTGAAGATGAGAGTAATGTGTCCACAAACCAAAAAATACTAGCAACCATCAAAAACTGGAAGAGGCAGGCATCGGAATCTCTCCTAGAGCCTCTGGAGACAGGGCGGCCCTGTCACCCCTTGATTTTGGCACAGCGATAGTGTTTTCAGACTCTGGGCCTCCAATAATTAAAGAAAATAAATTTCTGTTTTTGTAATCCACCAAGTTTGTGTTACTTTATTACAGCAGCTACAAGTAATTAATATAGACTCCTTACTAGGTGTAATCTGGGGCAATTATATTAATCTCTCCAAGCCTCAGTTTTTTCATCCGTAAAGTGTTTCCTTATCTCACAGCATTATCTAAAGACTTAATGTTTGCAGAATCCTTAGAATATGTTTGGCACATCCTGAACATTCAATAAAAGTTACTTTATTCTTTATTTTGAAGAAGATCAATGACTTCTGCATATACTTTAATACTGCGTAAGATATCTTTGCATTACATACTTTATTTTTTTTTTATTATTATTATTTTTTTTATTATACTCTAAGTTTTAGTGTACATGTGCACATTGTGCAGGTTAGTTACATATGTATACATGTGCCATGCTGGTGCGCTGCACCCACTAACATGTCATCTAGCATTAGGTATATCTCCCAATGCTATCCCTCCCCCCTCCCCCGACCCCACCACAGTCCCCAGAGTGTGATATTCCCCTTCCTGTGTCCAAGTGATCTCATTGTTCAATTCCCACCTATGAGTGAGAATATGCGGTGTTTGGTTTTTTGTTCTTGCGATAGTTTACTGAGAATGATGGTTTCCAATTTCATCCATGTCCCTACAAAGGACATGAACTCATCATTTTTTATGGCTGCATAGTATTCCATGGTGTATATGTGCCACATTTTCTTAATCCAGTCTATCATTGTTGGACATTTGGGTTGGTTCCAAGTCTTTGCTATTGTGAATAGTGCCGCAATAAACATACGTGTGCATGTGTCTTTATAGCAGCATGATTTATAGTCCTTTGGGTATATACCCAGTAATGGGATGGCTGGGTCAAATGGTATTTCTAGTTCTAGATCCCTGAGGAATCGCCACACTGACTTCCACAAGGGTTGAACTAGTTTACAGTCCCACCAACAGTGTAAAAGTGTTCCTATTTCTCCACATCCTCTCCAGCACCTGTTGTTTCCTGACTTTTTAATGATTGCCATTCTAACTGGTGTGAGATGATATCTCATAGTGGTTTTGATTTGCATTTCTCTGATGGCCAGTGATGATGAGCAAGGTAATTTACAGATTCAATGCCATCCCCATCAAGCTACCAATGACTTTCTTCACAGAATTGGAAAAAACTACTTTAAAGTTCATATGGAACCAAAAAAGAGCCCGCATCGCCAAGTCAATCCTAAGCCAAAAGAACAAAGCTGGAGGCATCACACTACCTGACTTCAAACTATACTACAAGGCTACAGTAACCAAAACAGCATGGTACTGGTACCAAAACAGAGATATAGATCAATGGAACAGAACAGAGCCCTCAGAAATAATGCCACATATCTACAACTATCTGATCTTTGACAAACCTGAGAAAAACAAGCAATGGGGAAAGGATTCCCTATTTAATAAATGGTGCTGGGAAAACTGGCTAGCCATATGTAGAAAGCTGAAACTGGATCCCTTCCTTACGCCTTATACAAAAATCAATTCAAGATGGATTAAAGATTTAAACGTTAGACCTAAAACCATAAAAACCCTAGAAGAAAACCTAGGCATTACCATTCAGGACATAGGCGTGGGCAAGGACTTCATGTCCAAAACACCAAAAGCAATGGCAACAAAAGCCAAAATTGACAAATGGGATCTAATTAAACTAAAGAGCTTCTGCACAGCAAAAGAAACTACCATCAGAGTGAACAGGCAACCTACAACATGGGAGAAAATTTTCGCAACCTACTCATCTGACAAAGGGCTAATATCCAGAATCTACAATGAACTCAAACAAATTTACAAGAAAAAAACAAACAACCCCATCAAAAAGTGGGCGAAGGAAATGAACAGACACTTCTCAAAAGAAGACATTTATGCAGCCAAAAAACACATGAAGAAATGCTCATCATCACTGGCCATTACATACTTTATGATTAGAATTTCAATTTAACAATTATTTATTGTGGGCCAGGTGCAGTGGTTCATGTCTGTAATCCCAACATTTTAGGAGGCCAAGATGGGCAGATCACTGAAGGTTGGGGGTTCAAGACCAGCCTGGCCAACATGTGAAACCCCATCTCTACTAAAAATACAAAAAAGTTAGCTGGGCATGGTGGCAGGTGCCTGTAATTTCAGCTACTCAGGAGGCTGAGGCAGGAGAACTGCTTGAACCTGGGAGGCGGATGTTACAGTATCATGCCACTGCATTCCAACCTGGGAGACAGAGAGAGATTCCATCTTGAAAAAAAGTTATTATTTATTGTGCACCATCTACTTATCTACTTACAGACTAGTGCTATAATCTGAATGTATTTTCCAGCATTTATATGTTAAAATTTAATTGCTAATGTAATAGTGTTAAGAGGTAGAGCCTGTAGGAAGTGATAAAGTCATGAGAGCAGATCCTGAGATGGGATTAGGGCCTTCATTAAAGGGCATCAGAAAATGGGTGCATTCACTTTTGCTCTTCCACCATGTGTGGACACAGCAACAAAGCACCACCTTGAAACAGAGATAGCAGCCCTCACCAGAAACCAAATCTGTTGGCACCTTGATCTTGGACTTCTCAGCCTTCTTAACTGTGAGAAATACATTTCTACTGTTTAGAAAGTACCCGGTCTGTGGTATTTTGTTATAGCAGCAGGAATAGACTAAAACAATTAGGTTCCAAACAGAATAAAAAATGTTGACTGACCTCAATGACTATGTAACACTACAGTCATTTTTAATTTATTCAGGGTGAAAGAAAAAAAAAACAGTTACTTTTTTTTTCAGGTTTCAGAACTTGAATACTTAACTATATAATATGTGGTATATATAGATATTTCTTTGTAAGAATCAATGAGTTGAGCAAATGTGTGCCTTTGAAATATTTTCATCTTGCTCAAAGTAAAACAAATATTCCTATTTAGCCTTCCTTTATTTGTGGCAATTTTGCAAGAGGGAGGGATATGGAAGATCAGGTTCTTTTATGAATGATTTTGTAATTTCCTGGTTAGTTGCCTGTGTCCACCATTGAAGGTGAGTTGTGGAGATTTATGCTGATCTAAGCCCAGTGTAGATTCACTCTAGCATTCAATATTCATTGAATACGTGAACAATGCTCTCAAGTACCTCTGGGTGAGTGTGCATGCTGCAACCTCTCAGACCCTGATCAAAGAATAGCCAGGGCAGATGCGGTTGTCTCAAGAGGATTTTAATAAAATCATGCTTTCCTATTTATTGTTTGGTGGGACTTTAATACGATATGCAAACTTCAAAAATAATAGCTGAAGAAAGTGAAGTAGAGGATTCTAGTTCTGATACAGAAACACTATGCCCTGGCATTCCTAAAGTTTAAAGTTAGTGACTATCAGGAAAGCAAATATTTCATGCAAGGGTAAGCCCTCTAATTGCGTTTGTGTTGAATGCTTGCCAGATCCGCATGTAGAGGGTTCCACAGGCGTATTTCTGATCTCACCTTCGCATCGGAGGCCACTTCAAAAGTGCCTGTGGGTGGAAGGAAAGAGGAGGAAAGTCAAAAAAGCACATGAGGAAAGACGAGAGGTAGAGGGAATGAGGCAAGAAAAGGAACAAGTGAAACCCTCTTGGGAAGGGAAGCTGTGTTTCATTTTAGTTGCTTCGTTTGGACGGAAGCCTATAAGAGATTGAATAACATAAGAAAACATACTGCCGCCCTCTCTTCTCATTCTCTCTGAATGTATGTAGAATTGCACTAGTGAAACCAAGAATGAAAACTCTCGGGAAAGCGTATTCTTTAATACTATGTTAATTATTTAAAACTTGTGCATAAAAATTAATTTTAAAATCCATACAATTTCATCTCTGAAAAATGTAATAATAAATTGCTTTTAATATTTTAGCAAAGATTAATTAAGTTAGTTGCTTGCTGGTAATTTTCCTTTCTTATTTTTTGGCAGGATTTGTAAAAAACACATTCTCATAAAAAACAAGAATATTGTTTATGTGTTTGCTAAGTTACCATTACTATAAGACATAACAACATAAAATACACATTCAGAAAATATTTTAACACATAAACAGTTTTAAATGAGGTCTCAAGACTTGCTTCATAATAGGCTTATTTTTAACACAATTATATGCTCAGCTTCATTTTTCTAATTGCCAAAGTGGGAGTAAAAATTGTACTTATTTCATAAGGTTTTTGTGAGTATTAAGTGTGCATGACTCAGAATGGTGGCACATAGTAAGTACACAATATGTAAATATTAGCATCATTCATATCTTTGAAAATGTTGCAATCTGACTAGAAAAAAAGAAATAAAAAGTAAAGATAAACAGTAAATATTGTAGATTTAATTATCCATATGAACTTTTTGCAGAATTAATGGACAAGCAACATGGTTTTGATATAGATGTTTCATTCATTCATTCATTCAATAAATTCATTCAACATTTATTGAGCAGCTACTATGTGCTGAGCATTGTTCTAGGTGCTAGAGTTCCAGCAAGAGATAAAATGGAAACATTTTCACTTCCACAGAGCTAATATTTCAGTGCTGGAACACAGACAATAACCTAGTAAAAACTGAATAAACAGTATTACCAGACAGTATGATAAGTGCAAAGAAGGCAAAGTAGGATAAGGGAATAATTGAGAGAGTTGTAAGATAGCCAGATTTAGTAAAGAAAAAAATTCAAGATGTAAAGTTAGATTTGATTTTCCAATAAATAACATTTTTTAGCATAAGTATGGCCCAAATATTGCATGGGACAAAGTATACTAAAAATCCATAATTGTTTATATAAAATTCAAATATATCTGGAGAGCCCATATTTTATCTGGCAACCCTACATGGGGTGAAGAGCTGAAGATGAGATATTTTAACACAGATCTGCCTTTTAACCTGTTTTTAGTGGTCGGAGTTGGGGGAGTGCACATCAGCTCTCATAATTTCCTCTTGCTTGCATCTAAGGAAATTCATGCTGTGCCATAGTCACACAAATCCAGTCCTATTTGTCATTGGGCCATTGGGTCTATTCCAGGTGTCAGTGTATGAGGACCGTCTGTGCCTTCTCTGACATTTAGTACTGAGAGGTTATGGGGTTCAAAACTCACTGAAATTACATACTGAGTTGATTGAAGGAAGATGACCAGAGTCCAGGACTCAATCCCAGGCTGACATTATATACATTTTGTTACAAGGCAGTTTAATTCTTGAGCCAGAGAAACACCTGACTTAAATATACCAAAGATAATACTTTTAAAAGTCTATTGTGATTTAAAAAAGCCTATTATGATCAACAATGACTTCAATATAAGCTACTTCCATACAAATGATGTTACCTGGAAAATTAAAAAAAATCATAGAAATCTTTGCACTGAACATTTAAAAAGCATTTAATGGATTTTTCCTTCAGTAGCATGGTGTACTTTTCAGTATAAGCAGATATGATTCCTGCATTTATTGCTTGACAATACACAAATTTCCTTTACACTTCAGCTATGATATTAGAAAAGAATGAAGAAGAAGAAGAAAAATCCCAGAAGCCTGAAATCTATGTTTCTGAGAGGTGAGAAACAGCAAACTGAGGAGGCTGGCAGTCAGGAGAGCCGGGATCAAATTGGCAACTATGGGAGTTTGAGTCTGTATTTTTGTTTTCTTTTCCTTTTCTTGTATTTCCAAGAGAAGCACTACAAAAAGAATGTCTTTGGCTTGAGGAAATCCAGGCTGTTTTGCCTGGCTGGACCTTTTCTAGGATATAGGAAGTGGGAGAGGGAAAGAAGATAGATTAGGGAGAGCAGGAAGGAAAAAGAGAAGAGGAGGAAAAGAAAGAAGGCATGAATGGAGAGAACTGAAAATAGTGGAAGAAGGAAGAAAGAAAGGTGAGCAACAATAAATTACCTATGTTGGCTACATTAAAATATTGACAACTAGACCATTCCAGATTTCACCATCTTCATTCATTCTCGTTATCACCATCATCCAGCCTTATTCTCAAGACTCCGCCAGATGCAGGACACTATGTGAGATGATACGCCATGGAGATCTTGGGCAAGAAGCTGAGTGGATGACCCCACCATCACTTAGGTACGATCCACTTCCTCTTCGGTAGTGGAGCTTTATAGTATGTTTCTCAGGCTGACCATGTGGAGACAGAACTGGCCAGTTGCTGTTGCTGTTACCATGTAGAAACTGTCTTTCTCTGCCCCAGGCTAGGATCTCAAAGTTGACTTCAGAACTCTTTACAACATCACGGCTTAGTGACAGGAAAGCTTGCTTTCCAGCAGCTCCTGGCCTTTACTTATTTCTTTCACTCCCGCCAATTTATCTTTGCAGTCCTAGGGAATATTGCCAAGTCTCCTCTAGATGGGGGTAAGCACTGTAAATCCCTAATTCCCAAACTAATCTTATAGCAGGGGACATGTTCTGGGCAGCCTTCCCATTCAGCTAACACCACACGTCCTTTTTTTCTTCCTGAAGTGTGTTCTATATCCTGCATGCTTTCTTAATCCAAAAGTTAATTATCAAATTTACTGCATATTTTTTAAAAACCCAGAACACCTGAACCTGGGACAGCACACATTATTTTTGTTATATAAACTGAGAAATCAGCTTGTATTTTTATTTAACCAGCAGAGTTTCCCTAAAACTAGAGAGCATTTCAAACAGTGGGCTTAGTGTACCCAAAGACAAAAGAGTCCCTGTAGACCATTCAGAAAATGTAATGAACATGTACCAACCCTCAGTTATTCAGAAATAAATGACCCAGGGTGTTCCTTTTCCAGAATTTTCTTCTTTGTCTAAGTGTTTTACATTTGATCACTTTGCTCCTTGTTAGAGTACTTATCAGAAGAACAGAAAAAAATAAGGTAATATTCAAATCCCAGTATATCACCATATGATTCACCAACCAGTATTTGTAAAAACAAAGAACAAATTTTTGTATAATTTGAACAAGAAGTACATGTGAGACAAAAATAGAACATACTACAAAAATTTAAAAGGCTCCAAACATTTGGGGGCTTCTCAAAAATTACAATCTTAGAATCTTTGTGTATATGTATATTTTAATATTCTATGAAATTATTTTTATACTCTTTAAATATTTCTCATTTAAAAAATTGTGCTATTTATTAAACATAGTTGGCTATAAACCTATATTGTTAAATAATGAAATTAATGTCATAATGAATATTTTCTGACATCCTATAACAGAAATTTTAAAAATTTTCTACTACTACTACTACTACTACTACTAATGGAGATTAGGTATATATATGTATATGTGTTTGTGTGTGTGTGTGTATTTTTTTAAACAGGGTCTCACTGTGTCACCCAGGCTGGAGTGCAGTAGCATGACCTCAGCTCACTGCAGCCCCAACCTCTCAGGCTCAAGTGATCCTCCCACCTCAGCCTCCTGAGTAGCTGGAACCACAGTGAACATCAGGATGTTTGGATAATTTTTAAATTTTTTGCAAGGATGGGTCTCGCTATGTTGCCCAGGCTGGTCTCAAACTCCTGGCCTCAAGTGGATAATTTGTTGAAAATAAAGATAAATCTAATGTTCAATCACAATTTTTTTTTTTTTTGAGACGGAGTCTTCCTCTGTCACCCAGGGCAGAGTGCAGTGGTGTGATCTCGGCTCACCGCAACCTCTGCCTTCCTGGTTCAAGCGATTCTCCTGCCTCAGCCTCCCAAGTAGCTGGGATTACAGGTGTGTGCCACCACACCTGGCTGATTTTGTGTATTTAGTAGAGACGGGGTTTTGCCATGTTGGCCAGGCTGGTCTTGAACTCCTGACCTCAGGTGATCTGCCTACCTTGGCCTCTCAAAGTGCTGGGATTATAGGGAATTTAAGTTCAGTTTAATTATGGTAGAGCAAGTCACTTCTCTGAAGATAATTGTTCAAAGAGAAAATGAAAATTACCCAAACTGACCTGATAGAATTACTTCTACTCTGCTCTCCTCAACACAAGACAGTTTTTGGTGTGTCAGGTCAACCCTGCAGTGGGAATTAAATACACATTTTATTCTAATATTTCCTCAGTCATAATTTAACTGTCCAAACACTTAAGCCACTGGAAACTCTTCCTATTGGCAGACTCTGTTAAGCTTCCTGGCTGCATTATTTCACCCTCATTTGCTTAGAGGACTCTCTCAGTGCCTATGTTCTATTCAGTCTTAGCACAGGAAGGCTGCAGGTGCTAGCCTTTTGCATCTTTTTTGTTTGTTTGTTTCATCCTCCATGGGGAATAGGCTAGAGAGAGCTAACTAATTAAAGAATTCCATTGGGGAATATCTGGAGCCAGCAGCTGTGAAACAGCAATCCAGCATTACACGTGCTCTCTCTCTGTCAGGGAAGGCCTAAAGGGTGTGGTGAGTGGCCACTTTTCCAGATGGTCTGCGTTCTGTGATGAGGCCATAGCTGTATGATGCCTCTGCTCTGAAGATGGGACATTTGGCCTTTGGATAAATGTCATTCCCCAAACTTTGAGCCGACAAAACTAGTTTTACTGCATGGAATGTTTTTCTTATCTTCAGTTAGGCCAGAACAAAAAAGCCTTGATTATACTTTTCTAAGTAGCATTCACTTTACTGTCAGAGAAGTTGTTTTCAAATTCTAGAATTTTGAATACTGGTTTTACCTGTGTAAGTGAAATGGGGGGTGGTGGGGAAAAATATGACAACAGGATAGGAAAGAAAAAGAGAGAAGAATGTGTTAAAAAGAAAAAAAAAGTTGAGAAATATATATTGTTGTAATGTCACGGAACTTTATATACTGAATGACAGACATGCTGCTTTTTTTCTGCTCTTGAATCAGTCCATCTGTGTCACCCTTAAAATTCTTCAGGGATCCTAAGACAGGACATTAATCTGAGACATTGTTTGAACTTCTGAAATCCTGTGCTCATGCTCATTAGTCCTTCTGATTGGCCAGGATTTGTCATCAGAATGGTCCTAGAAAATGTCTCTGATATTGGTCTGGAATCTATTGTCTTTATCAGCAGAAAGCAATCCCCATATATCTGTGGGTGATAAAATGCCTTATCATATAATCCTTATATTCAAGTTCCAGTATATATGATATATTATGTAGATCATATTATCCCATCCCCAAACTGCTTTACTCATTCAATAAATATTTTTTGAACACTTACCAAGTGTCACATGCTGTGTGGGGAACATAATAATGAGACTTATTAGGATTATTCAATAAAAAGTGTTCTTTTTAACTTCTAGCAAGATCTTTCCCTTTTCAAGTTCCTGTGTATTCTGACTAGATTATGTGTATTTTATACTATTTTCAGGTGATTTTTATTTAGGATGTAGCTTATTTGACCCACAACTAGATTTTAATGTCATCACAATGCTTAACATATTTTGAGGCACATAGGAGATTTTTTTAAAAAAACAGTATCAACTAGAGAAAAATTCGTTAAAAATAGGTTTATATAAAAAGTTTAAACAAGAAGGAAATGAAACAATTTCTACATCATAGAAACATATCTATAGTGTTGAGTCAAAATTAGCAATATTTTGGTTATTGTCTTAAAACTGAGCACATTATAAATATTTGTCAGAGAAAGTCAGACACAGAGAAACAGTAAAAATTTCCTAAGCATCTTTTTTCATTTACTCTTCATTAACAGAGATTGGAAAGGGTTTTTTGGGGGATAGTTATGTCACCTATTCTAAGATTATGTCTGTGTTTTTATGGTGCCAAACATTTGGATTGAAATGAGAAATGGCACAGGTTTCTTGATTGTTCATTTGGGTAAACTATCATGGACTAGACTTTTTTCCCTCTTTATATGACAGGCCTCAGGTTACAGCTAACCTAAAAATACCATGGGAATGGTAGGAATTGGAGGGGCTTCTTATGAAAACACACTGTTAGAGTGGGCCCTCTTGAACCTTTGTGAGAAGAGGAAAGAAGAGTATTTTTTTAGTTAGAAAAATAAAGCATGAAGTTATAATCTAGTTTCTTCATATACAGCCCTTCAGGCAATAGAAGAAAACAGTTTCACTTGAGTCACTTTAATAAAATACTGAACTATATATTTTGTTTCTAAACATCGTGTTCTTTTGGAAAACATGCTGTAAAGTTTCTATGCAATGGAAATTTCATTGTGATAGTAACTTTGCCAAACTTCTGGAAAGTAACATACACATAAAACTCTTTATTGCTGCCAAATTCTCCTGTTGAACTGGGAAAAAATAAAATATTGCAAGTAAAATGTCTGCTAGATTATAACATATATGTTCTACACTTGCAAGACTGCATTTAACTTCCACCAGGCAGTAAATATTATGCACTCTCACTTACTTAATATTGGCTGGCATTTTGAGTTTAAAAAAAATTTCAGGGCTCCTAAACGGAAGATTTTTTAAATAAACTGTGCTCCTCAGAATATGACAAGATTTTCCTAGGAAATCTGTGGGTGTTATATGAGTTAATTTTTTTCTCTAATGAAATATTTTTACATGGTCCATTAACAGGATTCGAAGTGATTAATTTTTTCTTTGTACTTTTCCAGGTAGATCTTTTAGTGGAAAACTTGGGGCAGTGAAATTGCCAAAGCATTAAGAAAAACAAAAGGAAGCAAAAAGAAGGGAAAGATACAGGCCTGTTTAATTTTCAAATTTAATAATAGTCTATGGATAATTGAGAGTTGGCAGATATAATGTTTCTAGTCAAGTCCTGCCACCTAAAGAGAAGTATTTCATATATGAGCCTTGTACAAATCACTGGCAAACACTGTCCAGGGATGCTGTATGGAATTCATCTCTTCCCTGGATTTCAAAAGTACATAAATCCACAATGTTTTGAATGGCTATGTTTATATTTCATTTCCCTTCTTTTTTCTTTTTGGAGGAAAGTCAGTCAACCCTATCTTCATCCTTTGCTTCCACTCTTGGTAGAGTATGAGTCAGAGCAGAAATGTTCAATTAAATAATTATCTGTGATCTCAGAATATATTTATTATAAGGTCTAAAGGAGAAAGCATAAAAAATCAGAACAAAGAAGCTAGAAGAGAAAACAGAACACATTATGGTGAATAATAAATACTGTTTTGCTCACTGGAAAGCCTTTAAATTACACCACTTCTATCTAATAATTGTTAACCATCATATTAGCCAAGCAAATTTTACACTCGTAGCATTGATTTAACAAATAACATTATATATCTAGCTCCATGCAGATTGAGTCTGGTTGTCCTTATAGGACTTTAAACAAAACAGGCGTGGCAGTCGTACCTAATTGTGAGGTTATTTAAAGGAAAAAAGTCAATTCTGTGAATTGCTTTGCAATAACCGCTACGTATAGTAAAGAACTCAAAATGCTTGTTTAAAATATCTTATAAAATCAATTGTCTTTATTGTTTTGTGTTTGTACAATAAAATTGTACTTCAAATAAGCCAAAGTTTGCTTACAATGTTCACACTGTGTGCATTCTGCATGTTATTCTTCTTCTTTTTGGTTGTTTTATGTTATATTTTCATGATCACTGAATAAAAAAGATAAAAATGTTTTTTAAAAAATTATGTATTTAAAATCGTACAAGAAGTTAACTAAAATGTTATATTATGATCTTAATGCAACAATAATTAAATTGAAAGATATACCTGTCAATAAGGTTGTAATGCAAATAATGTATAATGCATATTTAAATTTCCAACACAGGCACGTTTTTATGTTAACAATAAGTAAATTTTCTTTGCTTCAATGCAACAAAAACCTGGTGATATTCCATAAAACATTTGGAAAAAACATATTCAAAATATTTAAAATTGTAGTTATTTTATGTCTCTTTGTTGTTGCTGTTTAGAAGACAGATACTTTGGTTCTAAGTCTGATTTTCAAATCAGATTTCTTTGGTTAATAGCTAAATTAAACATCCTAATTTTATTTTCACAATGAGTTAAATGAAGAGATTTTTAGGGTTAGCCTTTATTTCCATGATTCTAACTGTCTGGAAATTTCTTCCCTTTGAAGAGGAATTAGCACTCTCGGTGTCTCCTTAAATGGTGGTTTGCTCTGAAGCATTTATGAGTTTTCCCTTCCACATACACTCATATTTGGTATTTTGGTTTTAATCTTCTCATTCCTTCAGGGTAGCATTTACTTGTAGACATTTTAAATTTCTATGATGCGATTTTTTTAAAGTGGAAAGATAAAATTTTATTTTTCAAAGAAGAATATAATTGCCTCTCTTATAGGCATTGAGAGAAACCACTGGTGCCAGAATCTGATTTGCAATTGGAGAAAGTGTATCCTACAACTCAACAAGACACTCACTGCATTGCTGTTCTATCTTTTAGTGTATAGGCCACCTCTAATGTCACTGTACTGGAAATGGCTTTTCAAGTAAATGTTGTGTGGTGTCCAGGTAGCTTCTCATAAAACAACCTGGAAAGCAGGAGGTACAATGAAGTGCACGGGCTTTCAGTCATCCCATGGTTAATCACCAAGCTTATACATCAGTACCCTTACTTTTGGTATGCAACAATTTATTCAAAATATGTTTGATTAATTGTATATCCATCATTACTGGGAAGGTTGTGCATAAAATACAATATGAATGTCACTGGCATAAAGCTACACTGTTACCAATTTGCATGAGTTTATAAATGTAGCTTTATACATCATTTAACAGTTTAATAATTTTGAAGAGGACTTTTATCAGAATTGTGTTAAATTAGGTAGTGCTAAAATCTAAAGAGTGATTACATATGAATATATACAAGTCATATAATAGTCAAAACACATAGAATTTTCTTAGAGAATAAAAAAGGATACACTAAACCTTCAGGGAAAGAAAGCTGTGAACAACTGTGAAATCTTACAAGAAAGGTTAGAAGAAAATCATATTTTATTTCTTTCACTTTGGATGCTATATAAATTATATGAGTGAATATTAGTTTGTAGACCATCTTGATTCTGGTAAGACCATGCTAAAAGGTTGTCTACTATATTTTGATGTAATTTTTTTTGTTTTTTTTTTGAGACAGAGTCTCACTCTGTCATCCAGGCTGGAGTGCAGTGGCACAATCTTGGCTCACTGCAACCTCCGCCTCCCAGGTTCAAGCAACTGCCCTGCCTCAGCCTCCCGAGTAGCTGGGAGTACAGGCGCTCACCACCATGCCTGGCTAATTTTTGTATTTTTAGTAGAGACAGGGTTTCTCCATATTGGCCAGGCTGGTCTCAAACTCCTGACCTTGTGATCCACCCTCTTCAGCCTCCCAAAGTGCTGGGATTACAGGCATGAGCCACAGCTCCTGGCCTGATCTAATCTTTTAAAAGGAGCAACCAGTTGGTAGGACAATTGAGAAAAACTGTGAATAATTAAGGCAATGTAAAAGTACTGAAATATTAGGCAAAATTCAAGCAAACAAGTTTCTTTAGTTAATTGGTATGAGTGGTTAGACCTCACAAAAAACAGATCCTATTTTCAACAAAGAAACCATGACAAAAATAGCAGCAACACTCAGTACATCCTGTACAATTAAGCACATGTGCAAATTAACAGTAAAATTGCTGACAAAAAATGTATCATGTCTGTGTCAATATCCAGTTTATTTCTGGAAATGACTAGGGGAAGACATAATTGATAAACTAAATGTCTGATATACAAACATATCATTTAAGATGTTTCTGCTTCTTGATTTATTAGAAAGAATAACAACTAGGGGAGGAAAACACTAACCTTCCATTGTTTACAGTGGATTTAAAATTACACAGTAAGCGGACACAAAAGATGTTCTTGGAATACTCTGTTAAATAAATTTTCAATGAGAATTCCAGATGAGCCATGATGTTAAACAGATGTATTATTTTCTAGACTTCAAGTAAGAAGGAACAATAATAATTGTTTGTGTATATACAGAATACTATCTTAATATTTATTGTTTTCTCAATAAAATATAGAGATAAAATACTGCTACAACACTATGTTTGAGATGAAGGGCTGGTTAGCAGCTTATTGAACTTTAAATTTTGAGTTTGTATTAAATTATTCGATTTAATAATTTTAAAATGTCACTTTCAGAATAACCTTGGAAAGGATAACTTCTAATAAATTCTTTTATGAATCAGACTAAAAGCCAATCTTTGTCATGTCTATTAAATCTCTCTTTGAAATATGTGTAGTCTATAGGATTCTTTTTGTTTGACATTATTTCTGAATTGGCTAACTTGTACAGCAAATTACAACAATGCAATTTCTAAATAGAATGACCATGGAAATATGGGTATCTCTTACAGATCTTGATTTCAATCCTTTGAATATACACACAGAAGTGATATTGCCGGATAATATGGTAGCTCTATTTTTAATTTTTTGAGGAACCCCCATACTGTATTCCATAGTGGCTGCACTATTTTACAACCATGAAAATATATAATAGCCTGATTTTCCTCAAGCTGTTCATTTTAAGGAATTGTCACATTTGCCCTTTCTTTGCTTTGAGGGGTTCCTATATCAGAGATCCAATGCTGGGGGGTATGAAAAGATGAATGTCTCAGCTAAAGAAGAGAGAGAGGAAATTTACCCTTCCTCTGTCTTTTTGTTCTATTTGGCCCCTCCATGGATTGAATAGTGCTCACCCACATGGGTGAGGGTAGGTCTTTACTCAGTCTACTGATCCTAATGTTGTCTCTTCTGGAAATATTGTTACAGAAACACTTAGAAATAATGTTTCACCATTTATCTGGTCCTCCCTTACCACAATCAAGCTGACATATAAAATTAACCATCATATTCTTTTACCTTTATGATGGCTGGAAGGGTTGGTTGATAGTTCTGTTGCAGCTTGTAGAAGGAAGTAGTTCTCTTCGGGCTTTTGTAACATATCTCTCCCTAAATGACTTATTGTTTTCCCATGGGGTCAAATACTTCATTTTTATTGACAACTCTGAAAGCCCTGCCAAAACCTTGCCAATCTCATCACAGGGTAAAGAGGTTTTCCCTTTCTGGTTACCATTTTCTTTCTCTCTTTTTCTATGATGTCTCCTTTCCATACTGAACTGCCATTCAATGTCATGTCCCGTATCCTCTAGAAGCCCATCTACCTTAACCTTACCATCTGCAATGCATGCCTATTGATTTTCTGTTTACTATGTTATCACCAGAGAAAATTTCTTAAGTGAGTTTTAGCATTGCACATGTGTGTTTATGTATTCATTTATTTGCTTTAAAAACTTTGGACAAATAAGTTACTAAATTGTTAATAACCAGTGTTTAGCTTTTCAAATCAAACAAAAATAAAATGAAGCCAATTACCTTGAAATATTAAGCAACATCTTAGAGTGAAATACAATTTGGCAAGTGGGAAGGCTTGAGGCCATCCCTTGCATGTCTAAGCTCAGTTATGCCACATGACTTGAGCTTTCACTGTACATATCAACATAATTGGAATAAGAGAACAAATCATTCTTAAAACTTTTTAGTACATCCAAACAAATTTATGCCTTTAGGAAAGGATACAAGTTACTTTAAAAGCACATTTATTTTGAGACCCAATTCACAAGGCAATTTATTTCTTTCCAGCAGAAACAGAAAGTGGCCTTCTTGATTTATTTCTCTTTCTGTTGATTTTTGTGACTTACAAAAATACATATACTTCTAAAAATCAGAAATTATTGCCAAATAATTAAACTGTGACTGATAGAGGAATGGTGTTGCTGTGATGCATGAGAAGTAAAATACACGATTGTTGACTTTGAAGAACTCATAATTTGTTATGATGATAAAACTTAATAGTAATACAGGAAGAATTCATTACAAGTGTGTATAATCAAAGAGTAGGAAAACAAAGCAAAGGAAATTATTTTGATATTGTTTGTTTCATTTTCATCATTGGGTTAAAAAAAAGTTACCTAAAATTAAGGCTTTACTGGTTGGTTATTCAACTCCTCATTTTGCTTCATTGTCTTCAGTGATACATCCAAGGATGTTGTGGATTAGCTGGAATATGCCATCTCTGGGTGATGTGGTTCTGTCGTGTTATGTGATTAGAAAATGCCTTACACTTTTTCCATCTCCTGAGGTTGTTCATATTAACCTAGAATGATAGCCCTCCATGTGTCACACCTTAGTTGCCACGAGCATTTTTAGATTTTATTTGGTGTTTCTGCCTAACTGGACTACCTACTCTAGTCACTAGGAAAAAATGATAGCAATTTCAGTTCAGTTCACTTAATCTTATGAAAGAAGAACTATTAAATCAAGACTTTATAAAAACAACCAAAGACTTAGTTGACCATGTGTGTATGTACCTTGTGGAATAAAATGTTTGTGGCTTACCACATAATTAATAAGCATAAATAATATTTAACCCAGATTTGTGCAGCTTGTATGGGTCGCTCCTTCATACTTTTTCAAATCGTGATTTGAGGCACCATTCTATAGATATTGGGAAGTCATTTGGGGTGTGTGTGTGTGTGTGTGTGTATGTGTTCAGATTATTTTCTGGAATGGTTACATGTTTTATGAATCCAAGTAATGTCTCTACCGGAGACCTTTCTTCTGGCCATGGAATAACTTCTCCAGGAAGCTTTGATATTCCCATATCATTCTACCACAAGCCTGAATATAGATAAGTCATTTAATTCCTCAAGCAAAACAAACAATCAAACAAACAAACAAACAAACAATGTCCTAAAAGGAAATTTATGTCTTTATTTTTAAAAGAAGAAATGTAATATTTTTCTTGATTCTTAAAAAAAAATCAAAGCCCTGTCACAACTCTACTTTTCATAATATGCTTCTCATACATACTAGACAAAGCTACAAAATAGTACAGGTATTTATTATCAATTATTCCATTACTAGAGTATTGCTAAAATCTTTTATCAGATCTCTTTAGCAGAACTGATTTTACGTTGGTTTTGCCTAGGTAATTTGATTCTCTTTTCTCCTTATTCTTTGATATCTCTGATTCTCCTTTGGTTTCTGGAATTCCATGCTGATCCATGCGGAGCTGGTTACTTTCATAAATGAATACCAATTGATAAATAAGAAACTTACCAGTTGCTCAAATTTCAGTCTTTAAGATAAAGAGATAACACAAAATATACTCATTTATGTTGCTATTTCTTCTTTACACACTGAATACAGCCAATACTACAGAAGAGCTGATACAACTCCTCTCAGGAGTCAAGAAAAAGAGGAGAAAAAGGGAAAGCCATCAAATTCATTGGCTTGTGATATTTAAAAAGTTTCAGAAAGTAAAAATCTATTCAGAGGACCTCATTTTGTGATGACTTCTTGGACAATGACATCTATTTTTATTGTCAGCCTGTGTGGTCTTACTCTCTGCCATGCTATAGTCATTAGACAGGGCCAACAATAATATCTGTCAATAGTAGCCTTGAATACAGGACTTGGCAGTTAATGATCTTTTATGTTAATTAAAGCCAAATTAACTTTTGCAAAGTAATTTGCAAATTTCAAATTTTATTTGTCATATTGGGATAAAAGTCTCCATTTATGTATTTTGAACTGAGTATGTAATATTGGAAAGACTACAGATTTTCTTCTTCTTTTTTTAAATTTTATTTAATTTTATTTTAAGTTCCAGGATACATGTGCAGGACATGCAGGCTTGTTACACAGGTAGACACGCGCCATGGTGGTTTGCTGCACCTGTCAACCCATCACCTAGGTATTAAGCCCCACATGCATCCATCAGCTGTTTATCCTGATGCTCTCCCTCCGCCTGACCCCAGACAGGCCCCAGTGTGTGTTGTTCCCCTCCATGTGTCCACGTGTTCTTATTGTTTAGTTCCTACTTAAAAGTGAGAAGATGTGGTGTTTCGTTTTCTGTTCCTGTGTTAGTTTGCTGAGGATAACGGCTTCCAGCTCCATCCGTGTCCCTGCAAAGGACATGATCTCATTACTTTTTATGGCTGCATAGTATTCCATGGTGTGTATGTACCACATTTTCTTTATGCAGTCTATCATTAGTGGGCATTTGGATTGATTCCATGTCTTGGCTATTGTGAATAGTGCTGCAATGACCATACATGTGCATGTATCTTTATAAAAGAATGATCTATATTCCTTTGTGTATACATTCAGTAATGAGATTGCTGGGTCAAATAGCACGTCTGGTTCTAGGTCTTTGAGAAATTGCCACACTGTCTTCCACAATGGTTGAACTAATTTACATTCCCACCAACAGCGTAAAGGGTTCCTATTTCTTCAGAGCCTTGCCAGCATCTGTTGTTTCTTGACTTTTTAATAATCACCATTCTGACTGGCATGATATAGTATCTCATTGTGGTTTTCATTTGCATTTCTCTAATGATCAGTAATGTTAAACCTTTTTTCTTATGTTTGCTGGCCACATAAATGTCTCTTTTAAGAAGAGTCTGTTCGTGTCCTTTGCCCACTTTTTAATGGGGTTGTTTGTTTTTTTCTTGAAAATTTGTTTAAGTTCCTTGTAGATTCTGGATATTAGATCTTTGTCAGATGGGATAGATTGCAAAAGTATTCTCCCATTCTTAGGTTGTCTGTTCACTCTGATGATAGTTTCTTTTGCTGTGCAGAAGCTCTTCAGTTTAATCAGATCCCATTTGTCAATTTTTGCTTTTGTTGCATTTGCTTTTGACATTTTCATCATGAACTCTTTTCCTGTGCCTATGTCCTGAATGGTATTGCCTAGATTTTCTTCTAGGGTTTTTATAGTTTTGGATATTACATTTAAGTCTTTAATCCATCTTGAATTAATTTTTGTACTACAGAAGAGCTCCAGTTTCAAATGTCTGCATATGGCTAGCCAGCTTTCCCAGTGCCAGTTATTAAATAGGTAATCCTTTCCCAACTGTTTGTTTTTGTCAGGTTTGTCAAAGATCAGATGGTTGTAGATGCACAGTCTCATTTCTGAGATCTCTATTCTGTTCCATAGGTCTATGTGTCGGTTTTTGTACCAGTACCACGCTGTTTTCGTTACTGGAGCCTTGAAGTCAGGTAGTGTGATGCCCCCTTCTTTTTGTTTAGGATTGCCTTGGCTATGTGGGCTGTTTTATGGTACCATATGAATTTTAAAGTAGTTAGTTTTTTTCTAACTTTTGAAGCATGTCCATGGTAGTTTAATGGGAATAGCATTGCATTTATAAATTTATAATTTACTTTGGGCAGTATGGCCATTTTCGCGATATTGAATCTTCCTATCCATGAGCGTGGAATGTGTTTCCATTTGTTTGTGTCCTCTATAATTTCCTTCAGCAGTATTTCTCCTTGAAGAGGTCCTTCACTTCCCTTGTTACCTGTATTCCTAGGCATTTTATTCTCTTTATAGCAATTGTGAATGGGAGTTCATGATTTGGCTCTCTGCTTGCCTATTATTGGTGTATAGGAATGCTTGTGACTTTTGCACATAGATTTTGTATCCAGAGACTGCTGAAGTTGCTTATCAGCGTTAGAAGCTTTTGGGCTGAGACGATGGAGTTTTCTAGATATAGGATTATGTCATCTGCAAACAGAGACAGTTTGACTTTCTCTCTTACTATCCGGATACACTTTCTTTCTTTCTCTTGCCTGATTGCCCTGGCCAGAACTTCCAATACCGTGTTGGGTAGGAATGGTGACAGAGTGCATCCTTGCCTTGTGCTGGTTTTCAAGGGGAATGCTTTGAGCTTTTGCCCATTCAGTATGCTATTGGCTGTGGGTTTTTCATAAATGGTTCTTATGATTTTTAGGCATGTTCCTTCAATACCTAGTTTATTGAGAGTTTTTTTTAACATGAAATGATGTTGAACTTTATCGAAGGCCTTCTCTGTGTCTATTGAGGTAATCATGTGGTTTTTGTCTTTAGTTCTGTTTATGTGATGAATTACGTTTATTGATTTGTGTATGTTGAACCAGTGTTGCATCCTGGGTATGAAGCCAACTTGATCATGGTAGATAAGCTTTTTGATGTGCTGCTGGATTTGGTTTGCCAGCAACTTATTGAAGATTTTGGCACAGATTTTCATCAGGAATATTGATCTGAAGTTTTCTTTTTTTTGGTATCCTGCCAGGATACAAATCCTGCCAGGTTTTGGTATCAGGATTATGCTGGCCTCATAAAATGAGTTAGGGAAAAGTCCTTCCATTTCAATAGTTCAGAATAGTTGCAGAAGAAATGATACCAACTCCTCTTTGTACCTCTGGTAGAATTCAGCTGTATATCCGTCTGGTCCTGGGCTTTTTTGGTTGGTAGGCTATTTATTACTGCCTCAATTTCAGAACTTGTTATTGATCTATTCAGGGATTCAACTTCTTTCTGGTTCAGTCTTGGGAGGGTGTATATGTCCAGGAATTTATCCATTTCTTCTAGATTTTCTAGTTTATTTGCATAGATTTTTTATAGTATTCTCTGATTGTTATTTGTGTTTCTGTGGGGTCAGTGGTGATGTACCCTTTATCATTTTGTATTGTGTCTATTTGATTCTTCTCTCTTTTCTCCTTTATTAGTCTAGCTAGTGGTCTATCTATTTTATTAATATTTTCAAAAACCAGCTCCCGAATTATTGAAGGGTTTTTCATGTCTCTATCTCTTTCAGTTCTGCTCTTATCTTGGTTATTTCTTGTCTTCTGTTAGTTTTGTGGTTGTTTTGCTCTTAGTTCTCTAGTTCTTGTATTTGTGATGTTAGGGTATCAATTTAAGATCTTTCTACCTTTTTGATGTGGGCATTTGTTGCCATAAATTTTCCTCTTAACACTGCCTTAGCTGTGTCCCAGAGATTCTGGTCTGTTGTCTCTTTGTTCTCATTGGTTTCAAAGAACTTCTTGATTTCTACCTTAATTTGTTTATTTACCCAAGAATCATTCAGGAGCAGGTTGTTCAATTTCCATGAAGTTGTGAAGTTTTTGAGTGAGTTTCTTAATCTTGGGTTCTAATTTGGTTATTCTGTGGTCTGAGAAATTGTTTGTTATGATTTCGGTTATTTTGCATTTGCTGAGGAGTTTTTTACTTCCAGTTGTGTGATTTATTTTAGAGTAAGTGCCATGTGGCACTGAGAAGAATGTATATTCTGTTGTTTTTGCGTGAAGAGTTCTGTAAATATTTATCAGATCCACTTGATCCAGAGCTGAGTTCAAGTCCTGAATATGCTTGTTAATCTTCTGTCTTGATGACCTAATATTGACAATGGGGTGTTAAAGTCTCCCACTATTATTGTGTGGGAATCTAATTCTCTTTTTAGGTCTCTGAGAACTTGTATGTACTTGGGTGCTCCTTTATTGGGTGCATATCTATTTAGGATATTTAGCTCTTCTTGTTGAATTGATCCCTGTACTATTATGGAATGCATTTTTCTTTTGTCTTTTTGATCTTTGTTTAAACTCTGTTTTGTCAGAAACTGGGTTTGTCACCCCTGCTTTTTTTCTGCTTTCCATTTGCTTGGTAGATTTTCCTCCATCCCTTTATTTTGAGCTTATGTGTGTCTTTGCATGTGAGATGCGTCTCTTGAATACGGCACAATGATTCGTCTTGACTCTTTATCTGGCTTGCCATTCTGTATTTTTTAATTAGGGCATTTACTCCATTTGCATTTAAGGTTAGTATTGTTATGTGTGAATTTGATCCTGTCATGATAATGCTAGCTGGTTATTTTGCAAACTTATTGATGTTTATAGCATCATTGGTTTTTGTACTTCAGTATGTTTTTGCAGTGGTTGCTAATGGTTTTTCCTTTCCATATTTAGTTTGTCCTTCAGGAGCTCTTGCAAGGCAGGCCTGGTGCCTCAGCATTTGCTTGTCTGAAAAGGATTTTATTTATCCTTCATTCCTTTTCATTTATTAGTTTGGCCAGATATGAATTTCTGGGTTGGAAATTCTTTTCTTCAAGAATGTTGACTATTGTCCCCCAGTCTCTTCTGGCTTGTAGGGTTTCTGTTGAGAAGGTCACTGTTAGTCTGATAGGCTTTCCTTTGTAGGTGACCTGGCCTTTCTCTCTGGTTGCTGTTAACATTTTTTTTTTCATTCATTTTGACCTTGGGGAATCTGATGATTATTTGTCTTGAGGCTGATCTTCTCAAGAAGTATCTTACTGGGGTTTTCTGATTTCCTGAATTTGAATGTTGGCCGTCTTGTTAGGTTGGGGAAGTTCTCTTGGATGATATCTTGAAGTATGTTTTCCAACTTGGTTCCTTTCTCCCTGTTTTTTTCAGGTACCCCAATCAGTCACAGGTTTTGTCTTTTTACATAATCACATAGTTCTTGGAGGTTTTGTTCATTCCTTTTCATTCTTTTTTTCCTCTAATCTTGTCTGCCTGTTTTATTTCAGCAAGATAGTCTTCAGGCTCTGAAATTCTTTCCTCTGCTTGGTCTATTTGGTTATTGATACTTTTGGTTGCATTGTGAGGTTCTCCTGTTGTGTTTTTCAGCTCCATCAGGTCATTTATATTCCTCTCTAAGCTGGTTATTCTGGTTAACAGCTCCTTCTGAAGCCTACTTCTGTCACTTCATCCATCTTAGCCTCCACCCAATTCTGTGCCCTTGCTGGAAAGGTTTTGCAATCATTTAGTGGAAAAAAGGCACCCTGGCTTTTTGAGTTTTCAGAGTTTTTTCATTGATTCTTTCTCATCTTTGTGAGTTTATCTAGCTTTGATCTTTGAGGCTGCTGATCTTTGGATGGGGTTTTTGTGGGGTCTTGTTTGTTAATGCTGGTGTTGTTGTTGCTTTCTGTTTCTTTGTTTTTCTTTTTAATAGTCAGGGCCTCTTCCACAGGGCTACTGTGATTTACTGTGTGTCCACTCCAGACCCTACTTGCCTGGGTCCCTCCTGCACCTGGAGGTGTCACCAGTGGAGGCTACAGAATAGCAAAGATGGCTGCCTACTCCTTCCTCTGTGATCTCTGTTTCATAGGGGCACTGACCTGATGCCCGTGGGAACATTCCTGTATAAAGTGTCTGGTGACCCCTGCTGGGGGGCTCTCACCCAGGCAGGAGGCACGGGATCCCAGACCTGTGTAATGAAGCACTCTAGCTGCCCCTTGGCAGAGGGGGTGTGTTGTGTTGGCAGGAATCTCACTCTTCTGGACTGCTCAGATTCCTCAGAGCCAGCCCGGAGAAAGACTAAGTCTGCTGATTCATGGAGACTGTGGCCACCCTTTCCCCCAGGGGCTCAGTCCCGGGGAGATCAGAGTTGTATCCCTAAACGCTTGGCTGGAGTTTCTGAAATTCAGGCAGGGAGACCCCAGCCAGTGAGGAGAGATGGGTTGGGGTCCAGCCTAAAGAGGCAGTCTGGCCATGATCTGCCACAGCCACTGTGCTGCACAGTGGGAAATTCCACCTGTGTCCAAACTGTCGAGTCTCTTCAGCACTGGCAAGGGAAAAACAGCAGATTGGAGCTGCAGTGATGGCTGCCACCCCTCCCTTCAGGAGCTCAGTAGTCTTAGGCAGTAGGCAGTCACAGTGATGGCAGCTGCCACTTCCCTAGGAAGCTCAGTTGTCTTAGGCAGCAGGAAGCCACAATGATGATGGCCACCTTTCCCTCTGGGAACTTGGTTATCTTAGGCAGACTCCAGCTGAGCGGCCACTGAGAATCTGCACAGCTCTGTGCTTGGGGCCCAAGGCCTTGGTGGCATGACCTCATGAGGGGGATCTCCTGATCTGTGGGTTGCACAGATCCATGGAAAAAGCATGGTTTCCCCGGCAGGGTAGCACAATCACTCACTGCCTCCCTTGGCTGGGGGTAGTAGCTCCCCTCTCCCCCGTGTGGCTCCCAAGTGAGCCATTGCTCCACCCTGCTTTTCCTCATTCTCTGTGGATTGCACCAACCGCCTAGTCAATCCTATTGAGAGAAATTGGATACTTCAGTTGCCAGTGCAGGATTTACTTACCATTTTCATTATCGGTGAGACTCTCCAACCACTGCTGTTTCTAGTCAGTTATCTTGGCCTTGCTGATTTTCTTCTTAATTATGTAATGATAACTTTATATCCAAACGATTGCTTTATTGAGTTGAAATTAGCTTCTATTTATTCATTTACTAAATAAAATAGATCATTGTGCTGGGTTTGAGGAATAAATAAAAGCAGAAGCAGGTCTTTCACTTCTGTGACCTAACTGTATGGTGGAAAAGAAAGACTTAATAAACAGTTTATATTTACAGATATTATATTAGAGGAGTGATTCCTACCCAGGGCTGTGCAACAGAAATATATGAAAGTTTATTTCATCAATGTTTCTTAAAACATACATGATTGACTGCGTGACTCTCATGGATATGAGTTTTAAAAGATTTTACTTTGAGTCTGACATACTCATCTCCTAGTCATATAAAAATGATTCTGGCATTAAAAGGATGGAAATTTTAACTCAAGCTGGGAGACAACATTTGTTCTGGGACATCTTTTATTCTGAGTCTTGAGAATAATGTAGGAATTCACTAGATTGAGAAAACTGAAGGAACATTAGAGTCCAAGAAACATAGATGAAAAGGCAGATAGGCACATATAAACAAAAGAAAGACTGTTAATGTTTAAGTGCAGCGTGGCATGACAATGACTTCTGGAAACCCATGGCAAAAACAAGCAAACACCAACAACATAAAAAAACAGATCTGTGTTGACCAATCACAAAATAAAGTGTCCTTAAAAGTGAACATGTCAACAGAAATTTGAATAAAAGTAAATGACTGTGTCTATGTAAGAGCAACTTTTATTTTCTGGCAAAGAAAGAAGCAGTGCATATGGTAGTGTGCAGGAATAATAGCATGGGAGCAGTTTTCACCCACTGAAAAAATTTGTTTTAACATGTTTGTTCTCTAGGCAATATCCTCATGAACACATGTCATAGATGAAACTCCCTGACATTTCTTGATTAGTATTTTCTTAGTTTTGAATAATTAAAAATTAAAAGTAGGTATGATTAAGTTTATAAGACAAAAGTTATATTTACATGTCACACATTGTGCTAAGCATTTTAAAAACACTGCTTCATTTAAAAACATTGCACATTTTTACAACTATAAAATTTATTAGCTTCATTTTATTGAGAAAAGCTAAGATTCTGAAAAGTTGAACGGCTTATCTAATATACTTTGTACCTTCAAATCCAGACCAACTTCTAAGTCTGGCTTCCAATGGACCTGCTATACAGTCTTCTTGTACGATTTGGAAACACCTTTTTTTCAGAAATACTTAGCCTATAAGGAGGAGTATGGTAGAAAACACTTCTGAATGCCACAGAACAACGCACCATCTCTGTACTTTTGCTCTGTATACATGACAGAAGAAAAACTGTCAAGCAGTAAACTCTTCACCTGCAGGCAAGCATTACTTTCAAGTGTCTCCTTGAGAATATGAAAGATAATTGATAACTGCCATGAATATATTAGTCAAAATTTGAGTGCATTTTGTTTCAAATTGAACTCTAAAATGAAACATACTCTATGCCAGAAGGAAATACTTTTTTTCTTTTTCTTGAGATGGAGTCTCGCCCTGTCATCAGGCTGGAGTGCAGTGGCATGATCTCAGCTCACTGCAATCTCCACCTCCTGGGTCTAAGCGACTCCCCTGCCTCAGCCTCCCAAGTAGCTGGGATTACAGGTGCCTACCACCATGCCCAGCTAATATTTTTTTGTATTTTAGTAGACACAGGGTTTCACCATATTGGCCAGGACGGTCTTGGTCTCCTGACCTCGTGATCTGCCCGCCTCAGCCTCCCAAAGTGGGAAATTCTTTTTTAAAAAATTATTGTATGTATGCAAGGTATACAATATGATGTTTGGATATGCATATATATAGTAAAATTAATAGTACAATAAAGCAAATTAACCTATCCATCACTTCCTGTATTTACTTTTAGTGTGTTTATTCAGTATGAGAACTTAAAATCTACTCTCAGCAAATTTTCAGTATACAATATGATATTATTAACTATAGTCCTCATATTGTACATTCATTCTCTAGACTTATTCATGCTACGTAATTGCAGGTTTGTACCCTTTGACCACTTCTCCCCATTTTCATTCTCTTTCTGCCCCAATAACTACTGTCCTACTCTCTGTTTTTATGTAATTGACTTTAAAAAAAATTCCCCATATTTGTGAAATAAAGCAGTATTTTCATTTCTGTCTCTGGTTTATTTTACTTAGCATAATGTCCTCCAGGTTCATCTATGTTGTCACAAACTGCAATATTTCTTTCTTTGTTAAGGTTGAGTAATATTTCATTGTATATATAGATCACATTTTCTTTATCCATTCATCTGTCAATAACACTTAGTTTGTTTCCATATGTTGGTTTTGAGAATAATGCCACAATGAACATGGAAATTCAGATGTCTTTGTTAGGTAGTGATTTTATTTCCTTTGGTATATACCCAGAAATGAGATTACTGGATTATATAGTAGTTCTATTTTCAAGTTTTTGAGGAATCACCATACTGTTTTCCATAATGGCTATATCAATTTACATTCCAGAAAGGAATTCTTAAATAAAATTCAAGGAGAGGTGTTATAATTTGGATATGATCTGCTTGTCCCTGTCAAAACTCAGGTTGAAATTTTGTTCCCGATGTGGTGGTGTTGGGAGGTGGAGTCTCGTGGGAGGTATTTTGCTTATGGATCAAATCTGCTATGAATAACTTGGTGCTGTTTACATGATAATGAGTTGAGTTCTTGTTGTAGTGAGACTGGATTATTTATCATAGGAATGGACTAGTTCCCATGAGAGTGAGTTGTTATAAAGCCAGAACACCTCTCAGGTTTTCCCCTCTTCACACATATCTGCTTCCCTTTTGACCTTCTCTGCCATGTTGTGATGTGGTACAAAGGCCCTCACTGGAAGCAAGGGGCATGCCCTTGAACTTCTCAGCCTGCAAAACCATGACCTAACATAAAACTTTTATTTTCCTTTTTAAATAAATGACCCAGTCTCAGGTATTTTTATAGCAACCAAAAATGGACTAAGACAGTAGAGATGAGCTCATGAATGTTTATTGGTCCCTCTTCCCTAGGTCAGAAAACAGGATTGATATCCTCCTTCTTCATGATTTACAAGGTCAAGTTATTGGCTTTTATGAATATGTAAATCCCTCTGTTCTGTGTAGGCTCACATATCAGCTACATTATTCTCTCATTCTTCTTAGATCTATAATTTACTGACTCCCTGTCAGTCTTTCCCATTAAGTGAAAGGTTTAGCATGGCTTTCCTCTTCATCCCAAATTTGACTTATCAAGATGGCTTCAAAATTTATGGTATAAACTTATATTTTAACTTTTCATTGTCTTTATCTCTTGCATTCCAATCTTGTAATCTGGACTCACAGCTCCCAATTCCCAGCCTCATACTCCAATTTTCCAACTTTATTATTCCTTTGTAAGTGTAACAATACCTTTATCATTAAACCAGTTGAAATTATTAGGTTCTTCTTAATTGGTTTGATAACTTCTTCATCTTTGGAACATTCTTTTCCATCAGCTTCTATGACACCATACTATTGTGGATTTTTTTTTCTTTCACCTTTCTGATAGCTCATTGTTTCATTCCCTTCATGAGCATATGTTCCCCACTATTCTTTTTTAAAAAGATTTATTGGGGCATAATTGATAGATAAAAATTGCAAACATTAAAGTAGATATTTTAATCAGTTTGAACATATGCATACACCTATGATGCCATCACCACAGCCAAGGTACTAAACATACCCATCACCTTCAAAAATAAATTTTCTTGTGTCATTTTGCATGTAGTTTTGTTTGTTTTGGTAAGAACATTTAACATGAATTCTATCCTCTTAAAAATGTTTAAAGTGCACAATATTGTATTATTAACTATAGATACTATGTTGTACAATGGATCTGTAGAACTTATTCGTCTTGTATGGCAAAAACTTTATACCCATTGAAGGAAAATTCCTCATTCTTCTCTTCTTACAGCCACTGGCAACAGTGTTTCTTAGATTTTTATCCTCAACCTCTTCTTACTTTAAATACTTTGTATGAGTAATGTCATCTGTATCCATTACATTGCAGTGTCATCTGTCCACTTACCCAGAAGACTCCAGCTCAGGTTCATCTCCTGGAGACTTTGGAGATGTGTATATCCAACCACAACTAGATATTTTATTTTAAAGAAGTACTTCCAGGCAGAAAAACTGTGCAGAGACCATAGGCAACTGTGAATTTAGAGGACATAAGACTGTTTCATTTTGAGTTAAACTGAAGAAAGGCAAAAAGATAAATTTTGAGAGACAGGACAGATATTATTCGTGGAGGTCCTTATAAGACGTATTAAAAGATGTGATTTAATCTGGAGTACAACACAGAGTGATTGAAGGTTACCAATCATAGAAATGTGATTAGAGAGATTACTCTGAAAGTGGGATAGAAATTGATTGAAGAAAAGGCAGTGGAGAATGACCAGTTGGGAATTTTTTTAACCTAAGTAAGAGTTTGTGGAAGTCTGAAATAAAATAATTAGAGAGAAAAAAGAAGTCTCAAATAGAGAGAAATGTTCATTAAATAAATGTATTAAAGAATGTTTTATGCAGTTAGTATAGTGATTCAGTTGATGTGAAGTGAATTTCTTTCACATTGAAATAAATTTAGTAGAGTTCCTGAAAATCATATTTGGGAATATGATCAGAGAAATATATTAAGTGTATGTACATATTTGAAAAATATACAATAAAATATGTCAAACTGATGAATTTTGGAAGTTTTACTTGATCCAATACAATTGAGTGATCAATAAAACTTAAAAAGCAAACAAGCAAGTAAAATATAAAGAGTAAGAACAATAATGAAAACATGGATTATATATTTGTGCATTGATAAAGAGAAAAACTAAAGCAAGTTAGATTGTTTTCTACTGACTAAATCAATTGAAGTTGATTAAATGTCTCTATGTTTATGTTCACATCTGTTAGACCAAACCTATATGAATAAAAATATCAATTTGATCATTATTTGATATCACTGAGGAAAAGAATAAGTTATGGCTATTTTTACTGCCCATCAAATATGTTGGCATCAGGTAGATAGCATTTAGAATATGATCTGCCTATGATTGAGCGAAATATTTATGTTTTGACTTATATTTAAGATTTTCAATGTTACCATATTTTCTTTGGCTACCAAAGATATTAATGCTATTTCTGTTGAGTTTAGAAAATTGTAACAAAAAAATTAAAATGCTATTTTTCCTGACCTAGCACATGAGTTTAGGTTGCAACATAAATCAAAGTAAAGAAATAATGATTATTTATTCCTTAAATATTTTGCTGAGTGTCTACTCCTTGTCAACACCCCCATAGTTGCTGTGGCTATAGTAGGTATGGGAAAAGTCCCTGCTCTCAGTAAAAAAGTGAGAACATAAACTAAATAATTATATAAATATGATGATTTCAGAAAATGTTATGTGTCTTAAAGGAAATAAAATTGTAATTGCTTGAAATAATTAGATATGTAAGTACATGAAAGAAGGTCAAGGTGGTTGAGAATTATGAGTAAGAAAGTGAGTGGTATGGATATCAGAGTGAAAGGTGGAAAGGCAGGCTCAGTTCACATAGGACTTTTTATGCAACATATAGAACTTAGATTCATTCTAAATGTGAAATGTTTGGAGGGTTATATGGAGTGGAGTAATATGATAAAATTTATAGTTTTAAGTGACCTTTCTGGCTCCTGTCTAGAAAATGGTTTGAAAAGGATGTAGGTCATGGTGGTCGGTTGGTGAGAATGAAATGAATTAGAAGGCTTGTGCAGAAGTCTAGTGAGAGATAACAGTGGTTTGGACCAGGATTGTAGAGGAAAGAAAGTAAGAGCTTGAAGGGTTTAGGATATATTTTGGAGGTAGTCTCACAGGCTGGCAAGTAAATTGGGTCGGAGATGACGGAAAGAGGGGATTCAGTGATCCACCATGAGCAAATGGATAAATACTAGTATCACTTACTGACACAAGGAAGATAGAGGTTATGTTTAAGAGGGGGACAAGGGGGTAGGGAGGATCAAAACTTATGTCTTTAACATGGTAAGTTTGAGGCGTGGTAATTTTAAGATATCTGTTAATCATCCAAATAGAGATGCTGCATAGGTAGTTGGATATACAAGTCTGGAGGTTTGAAGTACTGAACTGAGCTGGGCATAGAGATTGGAATAATCGGCACATAGATGACCATTAGTGTCCACATGAGAGAACTAGAGAGAAGGTAAGGTAACCCCAAAGAAGTCACAGGCTTTAGTCAGATAGGAAGCCAAGTACTCAGAATGTTTAGAGAATTAATAACCTAGGGGAATTTGCTAAATAAAAAGAGAGTAGGTGTTTAAGTGGAAGCGTTTGGGGAAAGGCTGGGAAAGGAGGAGGGTGGCAGAGGATTACAGAATGGTGTAGAAGAAAAGAGGGTGAAGAAAGGAGGAGGAGAAAGGGAGAGAAGCACAAGGAAGGCAACAGATGGGTGAGCCAAAGGAGGAAGGCTGATCAAGGGGCTGAGGGGGAAGAAAGGCAGAGGAAAGGAGGTGGGACTGGCAATGAATTGGCTAAGGGGAAGATGTGGGGCACCTTGAGGGGAGGGGAAGAGGGGGAAGAGGAGGGTGGGGAGCAGAGAGAGAAGTCAAGGCAGGTGAAAGAGAAGTTTCCATAGCATTAGTTTGGAATACACAGGATTTTAAAATTCATTTGTTTTGACTTTGTTTTTACCATCTTGAGGATTTTTCTTCTCAATTTCCTGAAAGGCAATTTCAATCAGGGATGTTTTTGTTTAAAATTCAGATTAAGCTATTCTGAAGGTAATAATATTTTATATTAAATAACACTGTCATATAAATTTTCTTCTCTATTCTGAAGCATCCTATGGCATAAGCAGGGACATCATTTTATGGAATACAGTGATAATATTCAAACTTGGGTTAAGTGATTTATGGAGCTGCCAACATATTTATTCTACTGTACTTAGAGATCACTGTCATAAAGAGTATACTGGTTTCTGGTGATTGCTGTAATAAATTACCACAAATTGTACAGCTTAAACCATCATAAACTTATTCTCTTACAGTTCTGAAGGTCACTGAATTTCTGAACTCAAGGTGTCACCAGCACCACATTCCCTCTGGAAGCTCTGGGAGAGAATTCATTTGTCTGCTTTTTCCAGTTTCTACAGGCTCCCTGCATTCCTTGGATTGTAGCCTCTCCTCAGATCTGCAAAGCCAGTGGCAAAGATTTTTCAGTCTCTGACTCTGCTTCCTTTGGCTTCAATTATATAGCCTCCTTCTCTTTTGTCTGTAGTCAAATCTCTTTCTATCTACCTTTATAAAGATACTTGTAATGCCATTTATGGCCCATCTGGATAATCCAGGATAATTTCCCATTTCAAGATCCTTAACTTAATTACATCTACAAATCTCTTTAGTTAAATAAAGTCACATTCACCGTTTTCAGGGATTAGGATCTGGTTACTTTGGAGGCCACTATTCAGCCTAAAATATATAGTAATACCACAATATTAGCATTAATTTTTCCCTTGGGTATTTGAGAGATAACCCTTGTTTTATTTTATAATACTTTTATATGATCCATCTCACAATGTATATTTTTGGTGATGTGGCCCTGGGATAAGCAGGAAATATAGTTGCATTGGGAAAATGGTTCTCCAGCAAGGTTTCTTTCCATGTTGCTATTCTCACTTTTATATCTTCCCACCAGAGATATGTACAATATGGTGAGCTTGTTTTTCTCAGCTAAGCAGATGAGATGGAGAGATGGCTGTCCTAGGAACTGCAGTATCTGTCCTGGAATGAGAGACAAAGAGGACTCTCTTCAGTCTTCTCTCTTGTCCGAGGAAGACATATTTTCTCCTTTTTGGCTTTAGCTGAGCGAACGGTCTACAGTAAGACACAAAGTATCAGTATTTATGGTAGAGATGCCTGGAGGGAGGATCCTCTGATTATTCTACATGGCACCAAACTTTCTGATCTTTGAAAAATCTAAAGCACTTTGTTCAGGAGGCATAGTTTTAACCCTGGTGGCCTAAACCACAAATTCCAACTACTTAATTACATTCTGCCTAGAGTGTCCTTCCAAGTATTCCAGAACACAGTGGTGGTTTTCATTTCCTATCTTAAGCTGCTCTGTAGTTGTTCTATTGTTATTATTTAAAATTCCTGAGAACAGACAGATGCTCGTTTTGAAACAGGAATATACATTTCCTATTGAATGAGCTAATACTCTAAAATCTGGTTGCCATATTCCATCTCTAAAGTTGAATAATAAAATGCATTAGAGGAAACATAATAAAAGGAAACAGTGAAAGAAAATATTATACAAGACAAGGCATCTGTCCTGGTTAAAACCCAAACCAGTTAATGCAGAGAATAGGCCACTTGGTGACTTTGGGTCTGGCTAATGTTCTCATCTGGAACAAAAACAATAAGACACTTGTACTGGTGCCGCAAATGGACAGGCTTATTATTTTTCTAATAAAATGAGTTAAATTTGTTTGAAGGGAGGATCACAGAAGGATGAGAAGTTTCCTTACAGCAATAGCATTCCATTTAAAGTAACTCTGTTGTATATTATAGCTCCTCATTCTTCCCATCTTTAGCTGTTTCAAATCATCTTACACAGCATTCACATTTTTAACATTATAATTCACTCATTGTTAGAGTCATTTAACCATTACAAAATAAATTTAAAAAAACAGAATCAGAAAATTTTGAGAGCGGGAGGGAGTCTAGCAATGGTTTATGATTCAAAACCTCTCGCCTTTCTCTTCTGTTTCAGTGGAGGAGCTCTCTCTTCTTTGAAGACAGATCCTTTTAACTGTGCTTTGATACTCGACCCTCCACCATGGTCACTACAACCTACAAATTGGCTTCCTCTGGTATGACTTAAGCTCCTTCTATCTACTTGTCTTTTACTCTTGATATATAAACATGCTAAGTTTCTTCCATGTACAACCATAGCAATATTTTAAAAAGAGATGAGTGTTCTTTTTTGCATTTCCTGAGGAGGACTTTCCCCTCATCCTGCCAGAGTCAACTGTTTGACTTTGGGAGAATTGGAATTGTTGACTCTGGACCTGATTGAGTCAGAGGCCATCACTGTTCGGCTTTTGACTTCAGAATAAAATATTTGAGTCTACAGCATGACCAAAAGTTTTGAAAGCCAGGCTTGGCTGGGAGGGAAAAAAAAACCCTAAAACAATTTACCTCCCACTGATGTATTAAGTATTTGCCTTACCACCCTACGTTGTAGGTATTTTCTAATTACCAGGGATGAAAAGTCAAGGGATGTCATGAAGTAGGTGTGTCATAAGGGGAGGTGGGAAATCTTTCCAGTCCTATTACCAGGTCAGGGGTGGACGAAGTTTATGGTGAGACCTGCACATCCTGGTTGCCCCTCTGTAGGCCACAGTTCCAAACATGACCCATGTTACTAAGTAGGAAAAAAATGCACAGAAAAGGGCAAGGTTGATATCACTTCCTGTTTAGAATCTGGGAGGAGATGCATATGCAGGTTCCATATGCAGGTTCCTGCCATATCAAAGACCAGCCCAGGCTCTCTCTATTGGTAATCAGCATGTTAGTAGCCAGCAGGAGGCCAGAGGGATGCTTTTGCCCAACTGCATGAGGGATATGTTTTCTCCCAGCCTAAATGCTATCTTCAGAAGAATGAAGGGAAGTAGAAAACAGTGTTGATGGGAAACAACTTTCTTTATCCATAAGACTACTTTATATAAAAAGAAACTGTTTAGGTTACCTAAGACTGAGGTTAATGTGGCAAGTTTCAGTTAAACTTTTGCCTCCATTAACCCATGGGGTGAGACACTGGGTATTTATCAAATATTTTTGGATATTAAATATCTGTGGAATACCCGTCTTGTATTTGGAGTGCTTGTCACATTTCTAGCACAGCCTAAGGAAGCCAGAGTTGATTCTGCCAGGTTTCCTTGTTACTGAGGTGCAGATTCTTCTCAGATGTGCTCAAACACAAAAGTGAGCAAAGTGCCACAAACACAGCAGCAGTAGCATCTGGTTTTTTGGAGGCAGTTGTGACAGAGCTTCTGACATCAGGCCCTGCTTTTGTTGGCATGAACTGTGTGTGGGTCTCTAACATCAGTGCAGACTTCATTATCATTACTAATGCTGAGTAGTCATGGCAGAGTGTTGTTGTTGAAGTAACCATATTTTAGGAGCCACCTAGAATGTTTTAAAAATTCCTTTTCCATTTAAGCTCATCTTAGGTAGCTAGGAACTATAGCTAGTAAGAGTCAAATGTATCCAATGCTTACTATGTACTATACACTGGTTTAAGCACATCACATGTATTATTTACTGCAAATAATTAACATTGGCAATATTAATAAAATAGATACCATTATTACCTACATTTTACAGGTGAGGAAACTGAGGTATATGGAGATTCAGTAATTTGCCCAATATTAACCAGTAAGTGGTAGACCTGGGATTAAAACCCAGGCATTCCAGCCTCAAAGCTCATACGTTAATATTTCATACCTCCCCTTTTGTTGCCTGTTTTTATAGTGCATAAGTAAATCACAAACCCCATGAACATACATTGAGAATGCTTTCCACCTATCTCATTTCTGCATAAAAAACTATGCTATTTCCTATCCTTCTTGCCATTGCTAGACATGTTGAAAGCACGGCTTACTTTTGCTTTCCCATTCCATCCCCTATCTTCCACTTCCCACTCCACTGATCTATGGCTTCCTTTCCTAATGTTCCCTGTAACTGCTTCTTGTCAAAGTCACCACAGGTGTTATCAATAGTCTCTTTTCTGGTCTTTATTCTGACTCTATCTCCTATGCATTTGGTATGTGATTCCTTACTTCTTTCTTGATTCTCTTTAGCTGTGCAGTTTCTGCGATATTTTTGTGTCCTGCTTTTTACCCACAACTCTGTCCAGTGTTTCTTAGGGTCCTTTATTTATTCTATTTCCTCTGACACACCTTAGAGACCTTTTAAAATTCACAGTCTCATTTTCCTTTTACATTTTTTACTTTCCCTGGATAAACCTATAAATATTCTAGATACAGAAACATTGATAAACCCCTAATTTATACCTTATTGTACAGATTTCTCCTAAGATCTAGAATCACATATCGTATTATCTGCTGGAAATATGTTCCAAAGGTATCTCAAGTTCAAACTAATATTCCCCACATTAAGCTCATCTTCCCTTTTTTCTCCAAACTTCTCTTGCCCCTCCATTTCTATTATTAGATAATACTGATTAATTTTGTTTTCCTCAAGTCACTTCTCCAGTTAGCCATGAAGTCCTAGATACACTCTGGCTTTCATGTCTCACGGCTATCCCATCCTTACCATCTCTACCAGCCCTGTTTTTATCCCTTTGTCCTGCTTCCTGCAATAGCCTTCCTAATTCATCTGCATGGGGTTTCCTTTCTACGTTTCCTACATCATGCACAGTAAGCTTTCCAAAGCATAAAGGTAATTGTTTTACTCCTCGCTTAACATCTTTATGTGTCTCATTACTTTCAGGGTTCAGTGTGAGCTTCTCAGCCAGACCTGTGTGATCTGGCCTGTGCTTATCTAGATACTTTATTACCATACAACTCTGTGTCTACATACCACATTTCATCTAACTTATTTATTTGCAGTTCCCCTAATACACATGCTATCTCATGCACCTGTTTGTGTTTACTATTAAATTCATCTAACACCATTGGCTTACTTTAACTGATCCATCAAAATTCATCTCAGATTTTACCTCTTCCCATGTCTTTTTTTGTGTTCTTCCTAGTGGTAACAGTGTTAACTCTGTCTTACTCACTAAACAGACTTTCAAAAGGCATTTGCTATATCTTTTATCTCAGGATATTCAGGACTTCCATGATGACTGGACTATTGTAGAAACTAAATATTATTTTACCAAATTAAATGACATCAGAGAGAGATATATATATTTATTTGAAAGTTGAGTAAACTAAGGTTCCGAGGGGTTAAGCAATTTGTTGAATGTTAAACTGCTAGTAATTAGCAGACGTGTAACAACTCTTCACTGTTCTTTAGTTTACATTCTCAGGACTTAATAAAAAGCATAAAATGTAGAGGAGACTCAATATATATTTGTTGAAAGGAGAAATGGAAAAAGAAATTAGAAAAGTCTCAATCTTTTTAAACAAAATGCTACAAAGAAGTGAATTTCAAAATAGTACAAAGGAGGAAAGCTATAATATATTATTTTATAGCAAAAGTATCTTATTATGAAATGTAATAAATGATTTGAAGCAAATTTTTGAGTGTGGCATTTTGATTTTATAGGGAGCCAAATTGTATCTGTGTTTTTCATTCTTTAAATGTGCCATGTAGTTAATTATATTGAATAATATCAAATTAAAATTAAGATACAAATAACTTCCATGTGTAAAGGAAAGTAAACATCTCCCAGATTTATAGTAATATTTTGAATGTCTAAAATATTTTCTCATAAGCATGTCTTTTAAAATTAGTAAACCTATGGAGATTACTATATGACATAGACAGGATTTGAAAACATGCCCTGATGATCTCCATCCTGGTGTTATGCCTCATGTAATTTCTTCCCTTTGAGTGAGGGAAGGGCCTATGATTTGTTTTTTTGTCAAAAGAATATGGCAAAGGTGATAGGATATCACTCCCATGTTTGTACTATGCTTTATAAGACTTCTTTTAGCAGACTAGAGCCAGAGTGTCTCCCTTGCTGGCTTTGAAAAACTAATATGCCATGTTATGAGAGGGCCTGTGAGAGCATCACCTGACAGGGAACCTTGGTGGTCTGGAAGCTGAGAGTAGCCCCAGTTTCTAGCCAGCAAGAAAATGGTGAAGTCAGTCGTACAACCACAAGGAGTTGATTTCTTCCAGTACTCATGTGAGCTTGGAATAGACCCTTAGCTTCAGAAAGGAATGTAGCCTGGCACTCACCTTAATTTTCTCATCCTTGTGAGTTTGAGCCAATGATACAGTAAAAGTGAGCCTGTACTTAATGATCCACAGTGACTTTAAGATAATACGTGATGTTTTAAAACTTGCTAAGTTTGTGGCAATATGTTATGCATCAGTATAAAATGACTGCAGGTGCCTCTTCAACCTGTTTAATATGACAAGACTTGCTATAAACTTCTGAATTTTGAGAACAAATAAATACATTAACTTTTGAAAGGCAAAGCTTAAAAGCATTAAAGGAAAATAAAACCTATGATATCTTAAATAATTTGGGTTCCAAAAAATGACCAACAAATTGTTATGAGAAAAATACATGATAAATCAACTGAATGAATGAAAATGAATAGCAATGTTATATATTCATTTTAATGAAATGGAAAATAAAGGAAAATGCAACCATGTTTATCTTGGGTTTAAATCAGTATTCATTCACTGCTCTGTTTTAAAGTACTTTATGGTTATGGTTGTTTTACAAACCATGGCAGCTCAATCTCTATTTTATTTAGAAAAGCAAAAATATGTCAAAAATAAATAAAAGTTATACAAAACAAGCAATAATTTTTAGAGAAATAATGCAAACTTCAATTACTTCTAATATTATTTAACACTGAATATCAATAATCAGCTTCTCTAAAATAATTATGTCTTATATTGATCCTTTCCCAAACATATTTCTTCCTTTCACAGGATATTAAACATCTGATTGGGTCAATATAAAAAAATAACTTCTAACATTTACTTTAAGAATTTTTCAACTTAAGTTTAAGAATATAGCAGAATAAAGCTTAAAGAAAAGAAATGTTGAAGCAATCAAACACTTAGTAGTTTTAATTCCTGATTTCCAAAACTTATCAGAGGGAAAAATTAAAAATGGCCTATACATATTTTAGACTGTTATGTTCAATATAAAAATTCAGATGTAACAGACACCTTATTTGGAAATTTGGTAGATAGAATCTGTCAGGGTTGATCACAACTTGGAGAAGAGACCCAGAGACTGTTACATTGGGCTTGGGACTATGAGAATTTTATTTACTTAAAAAAAGTATGGAGAATTTAAATGCTCAAAATTTGCTATTTTAGGACACATGAAACTGAAGTAATGACTTTTATAGCTGCCTAACTACCTCTCATTTGTAGTTTTAAAATATTAAAATTAAGAATATTGGAAATAAATAAATGATACCCTAAAAATTTCTCTTCCAACTGTGTGAAAAATACAACAGTTTCATGTTACTATCACCTCTCCTATTTTTCTTGTCTTAACAAGACTTTGCTAGTTCCAAATTCTTAAGTGTTCTGAGTAGTCATGACATTATCATTCTGTATTTGTGATAGAATGACTAGCCTTAGATAGCTCATAGAAATTGTTATTCATTTCTTGCTTCATGATGTTCAGGGTACAATATGTACCAACACTTTTTTCTCTGTTTTCCTTCCTGCAGCTGATCTGATATTAAAGTGCTGGCTTTAATAAGTTTCCACTTCAGTCTAAAATAGATAATGTAAGAAACCAGAAAGCAGAGGCTGCCAAAGCTCACTGTTTCCTGAAACCAGATTGCTATTTTACTTCTTCCATTGTGAGAAAACACAGGCCTGCAGAACCTGCCCCACCTCTTCCTCAGAGTCAATTGCACCGTCTGTGATCCAGTCACTTCACTGAGGAAGTGCTCTATGTTGAGGGCTATCATCCAATTTCACTTCTTACTTTATTGTTTGCTTTTTTGTTTAAATTTCATTGCTTTCACATCTGGCTGGTGCAGCTTTTATGTGGTATTAAAAGTATGTGTCCAAATATGTGTCCCAGATGAACATCCTGTTTGCCTTTTGATTTAAATTTCTGTTTAGTAAACCTTTGTGGTTTGGATACAGTGAGGAGTATTTTCGGCAGAACTCCCTACCCACTTCCTCAAAAATAATGACTCCCCTGTCCATTCCTCCCTTCCT
This sequence comes from Homo sapiens, assembly GCF_000001405.40. Taxonomy (NCBI): domain Eukaryota; kingdom Metazoa; phylum Chordata; class Mammalia; order Primates; family Hominidae; genus Homo; species Homo sapiens. Next base: position 124,060,931 of record NC_000004.12, read on the forward strand.
TACGTCCTCTGCTAAATTAATACTGTCTATCAGATGCATTCTTAGTGATATTCAAGAATATTACCTCCTCTCATGGTGATAAAAATCTATATCTAAAACATTACCGTTTCAGAAGCTCTTTCCACAAAAAGGCTATTTTACATGCTCTGTCATTAGCAGCAAATTGAAAATGTACCCATCAGGCCCTGGTAGAAAAATAACCAGTTTTTGAATTATGAGATATTTGCTTCATTCAGAGAAACATAAACAATGGCTTTTGAAAAAATAGGTTAGCAACTGTATTTTTTCTAGTCAAAATCAGAAAAGAAATATGGTTAAGGTATTTTAAAAATATTTCCTGCAAATTGGTCACAGAAATTCTATCACAGATGAATATATTTACTTGACATATTGCATAAAATTATTTTTTTAAATAACTGTGGTTTAAGCCAATTTTTTTGAAGCAAAATCTTTGGTTGTTCTTGGCATTTCTTAATTTGCTTACTTGGGGGTATTCTCCCCAAATCCACACATATAATTTTCATTGCCTCTAAAAGGGGTTATGAACACACATCTGAAGGAGAATTGACCACTTGTTTTTTGATGTTTTAAAGCCAACTAAAGCATAAACCTCTTGTTTCCTTTCTGATCCCAGGCTTTTTCAATAAGAACAATGCTTATGCAAGATTTCCTAGGGGGATTTTGTGGTTTGAGGTTTTAATAATCTAGGCTAAAATTCAAATAGGAACCACAGCTGCTTGGATAAGACTCTTAGACCTTTTCATTTGAACTGTAGTGAACTTACCAGAATTTTTAACTATTCTGAGCTCTATCTGATATACAAGCAGGGCATGTGGTAGCTGTATTTCCCACATAAGAATATCTGTATACTTGCAAATTGTATAAAATAATATAAAATAATATGCATGTTTCCTTTAATACTTGTTAACTTGTTTAAAACAGATTTGACTCTTTTAAACAGCGATGAATATTGGTGTTCTGATTCAGTAAGGGGAAGCTATGAAGAATACTTTAACAATTAGATCTTCAGGACTGTTAAAATAGAATCTCTTCATTTTCTGAAAAAAAAAATAAGCTATGTCTTTGCTATATTACTCTTTCATGATACTTTTTATAAAATTGATTTTGTATACAGATGCCCCTTTACTTGATGGGGTTAAGTCTCTATCTTTAAGCCAAAAATGCACTTAATACACCAAACCTACTGAGCATCATAACTTAGCCTAGCCTAGCTTAAATGAGCTCAGAAAACTTACATTAACCTGTAGTTAGACAAAATTATCTAACACAAAGCCTATTTTATAATAAACTGTTGGATATCTCATGTAATTTATTGAATGCTATACTGAAAGTGAAAAACAGAATGGTTGTATAAGTACTCAACATACAGTTTCTGCTGAAAGCATTTTGCTTTTTCACCATTATAAAGTTGAAAAATAGTAACTATTGTAAGTCAGTGACCATCTGTACTTCTAAAATAGTAGTATTGTGTTTAAAATGTAAGATTTATTGAAGAATCTAGGCTTTACCGATGCCACTGGCCAACCAGAGTCCCCTGTTACCAGCCATGGTCAACCCCACCGTATTCTTCTACATTGCCATCCCTGGTGAGCCCTTGGGCCCCAACTCCTTCGGGCTGTTTGCAGAAATAATTCCAAAGACAGCAGAAATATGTAGTGCTCTGAGCACTGGAGAGAAAGGATTTGTTATAAGGGTTCCTGCTTTTGAAGAATTATTCCAGGGTTTATGTGTCAGGGTAGTGAGTTCACATGCCATAATAGCACTGGTGGCAGGTCCATCTATGGGGAGATATTTGATGAGGACTTCAACTTGACGCATACAGGTCTAGCATCTTGTCCACAGCAAATTCTGTACCCAACACAAATGATTCCCAGTTCTTCATCTGCACTGCCAAGACAGAGTGGTTGGATGGCAAGCATGTGGTCGTTAGCAAGGTGAAAGATTGCATGAATATTGTGGAGGCCATGGAGCGCTCTGAGTCTAGGAATGGCAAGACCAGCAAGAAGATCGCCATTGCTGACTGTGGACAACTCTAATAAATTTGACTTGTGTTTTATCTTAACCACCAAATCATTATTTCTACAACTCAGGAGAGCGCCCCTCCACCTCATTTGCTCGCAGGGTCCTAGAATCTTTGTGCTCTCACTGCAGTCCCTTTGGCTTCCATATTTTCCTTATTCCCTTCCATGCTTAGCTGGATTGCAGAATTAAGTTTATAATTCTGAAACAAAAACTAAATAACAAAAAAGAAGATCTATTGAACAGTCTGTTCACCAAGTTCCTGAAGTATGAAATACATTAAATTATAGCCATCAGGTATATTTAAATGAGGCTCCAATGTTCATATGAAAGGTAAACATTCAGAGTCTATCACAGTGTTATAACATTATTTAAACATTTATTTAATCAACAAATGACTGCATACTGAGGAATTTACAAGTAGAGAATATAATAGAGAGAAAGTTTATGAATGGTCCAGCACTAAATTTAGGTGAAGGGCCTAATCCAAAGAGGAAAACTTTTAGAGCTGGGAAACCTTAGATGACTTCAGGGCTCCTTTTCAGGGCATAGAGCCTCAAAGATGTTGGGTCTGCAGCCTGGGAGGCATTTCTCTGGGAAAACATAGCCTTGGAAGGATACCAGGCTTGAAGGTCTCTGCCCTTGCTGGGTATCAGCCCCGTGTGCCTTTACACACAGTGAAACTTAGTGGTTCTCACCTAACCAGTAGTTTGCAAAGTTTTCTACAGAATCTTATATGTTTACAGAATTGTATGATGGATTTCCATAGGGAGAGGGGTGTTCTCTGTTGATGAGTAAGTAGGATCTGGATATCTCCTTCAATTTTTGCCAGAACTGTTCCACATTTTATCAGCTTTATATTAATTTTCTGGTTAAGATTTAATTTAAACCCAGCCTTTGAAGAAATGAAAAAGGACAAGTTTAATTTCTTGCATTATAGAGTATTAAAAGAGTCATAGCCTACCACATATTTCCTATGACCCCTAACTCTGAATACGAATGGTTAATAGATCGCCCATGTTATATTATGGCCAAGGTAGTGTGTGGGACTCAGATGACACCAGCTGAATCCCAACACTTCAGAATTAGACATTACACTAAACTGTTGGCAAGCATGTGCTAAAAGAAAATTTGGTAGATAACAGGTACAAATGATAAATGGCTTCTTGAAAAGAAATCAACCAAAATGTTAGGGTTGTTAAGATAAATGTTAAGATTTATTATCCTGGCAACTACAGATACAAATCAAAGCATCTTCTGTCACTTTGGTCATCTATAAGCCCTCTGCATTGGATTTCCTTTCTCTACTGGTTGGTTCGGTAATGCTTTCTCACTATTCCCAGATAAAATATTACTGATAATTAATTTTAAGTTTTTATAAAAGAATATGAAATCAGCTGTTTCAAAATCTGGGTGTACATTCTAAAGGATAGCAGGATTCTCTGCTCCTTCAGAAATATGCTTTCCTAGAACAATAGGCTTTGAAGACCATTCTCACTGTTCTCCAACTTGTGAATGCAGAGACAAATGAAGGACAGCACTTTCTAGGGATAGATATTCCTTGAATGGCTTGCTTTGACAACTGCAAAAACTCTCTGCATGAATATCCCATTTGAACCCCTACACTAAGAGACTTGACCAAATTTTAACACAACTTCCGGTAGCTTAAGGCCACTTTGCTGGAACAACCTAGCCCCCATTTCAAGTTTCAGTCTGTCTGAAAATCTCAAGGCTGTCAAAAGAAGTTAGTGTTTGTTTTAGGCAATACCTGACCATAGGTCCCTGACCTCTCTTTCTTAGCATTTGCTGAAAGGGGCTTACAATATTGAATTTTCCACTGTCCTTTTGAGATGTATATGTATCTCCTACAACTCAAGAGTGTCTTTCTAAGGATCCGAAAGCCATTCCTTTGAAATATAATCATTGGGAAAGACAGGGCCTCTGTCTCACAGTCTCTGGGGGAGGATAGAATCCTAACTTCCATAATTGACAACTAGCAGACAGAGCTTCCCTAATCACATTTGTACTGACCAACACTTTGTAATTTTTCAATTGAGTCCCCTCTTCTTCTCCCTCCCTACACCCCATTCTCCCTTTAAAATTCCATATCATCTTTCAGCAAATTGGAATGAAGCTTAGCTCTTTTCCTTACTGTCAGTAGTTAGAGAATACAATATTTTCAACACTTTAACTAACGTCCAGCTTTGTGTATCTTTGAGAGTTTTAAAAGAGGAAACAATGATCTGGCTCTTGAGGGAGATTGTGGAAAATGGTCTGTGAGGAAACTGAAGCTTAGCATTGAGGGACCTTGGTTTTCAGGAGCTTACTAGCAATGCTGGAGAGTAGTTCAGCAAGTCCTTGAGGGTGATGGGGCTGTCTTTGATAAGAATCCAAGAACATGTTACTTGATTCATACACAAGAGGCATAGAATCAGGAACTACAAGAGATAGGAAGTCTGGTGGAAGGTGAGTTAATTACCAAGAAGTTATCTCCCAAATTGGAAAAGACCTGATAGGTTTGAAAATTGTTGAGATAGTTTAGCTGTAGTTTGCATACTCTGACAACAGTTTGAGGCCCCAGAGGGAAGAAAAGGCTTTAAACTCTAAGTAACTCTGAAAGCATTAACTTTGGAAATCCTCTGGAGTGAGGCAGGCTAGGAGAATCAAGTTACATGGGCTGCCATTTAATCAACATAAAGAATGATATCATTCCATGGAAATCTCTGAAAAGCAGTCATGAACAAAGCATGAGACAATGATAATAAAGGATAGGATTATTAGATATCTCAATCAGCAAGGACCATTGAGAAAAACTAAAAAGGAAATGTCTCTTAGTTACCATGTCCAATGTGCAATAGGTAAGAACTTACCAATTTTCTTTCAATTGTTATGTGAAAATTATTTATACTTTTGAAAAGCTTTTTCCAGATCACGCCTGTGTTAGTCCATTTTTATGTTGCTGATAAAGACATAACTGAGACTGGAAAGAAAAGGAGGTTTAATTTGACTTACACTTCCACATGGCTGGGGGGGTCTCATAATTATGGTGGAGGGCAAAAGACACTTCTTACATGGCGGCAGCAAGAGAGAATGAGTAAGAAGCAAAAGCGGAAGTCTCTGATAAACCCATCAGATCTAGTGAGACTTACTCACTATCACAAGAATAGCACGGGAAAGACCAGCCCTCATGATTCAACTACCTCCTCTTGAGTCCCTCCCACAACACGTGGAAATTCTGGGAGATACAATTGAAGTTGAGATTTGAATGGGGACACAGCCAAACCATATCAACACCCAATATTGTACTTCTTTTAACAGATTCAGTATGGATTAGAGGAAATGTAATGTTAAACATTGGGTATGTAAAACATGAATAATATTTCTTTGCTGGTTAAATATTGCCAGTGAGATTTCATTGGATTGGTACCGAACATGTCTAATTTTATAGTTGTTATAATGATTTGGATAAGGATGACATAGTCACAACTAAGCTCTTCAGTGAAGCAAAGTATGCAGTTTTGTAGCTACATTTCAGAACGATTTGATAAGGCTGTATAAGTAGGTACAATAATATGATGACCAGTTACCTAAAGTATCATATTTCATCTATATAAAAGTTATAACTGGATGTTGCAAAGTAGAAAAGAGTTATTCTTACTTTGCCAGATATGTCATGAGAAAAAAGACATTGCTGAGTATAAATAAACATTTTGAGCCCAAATGAATGAGAGAATCATTTTTAGCCAGGACCCAGAAGTTTATAAGAATGATCAAGATAGAGGGTGGAGACAACCAACACTGTAGTTTGGGAAAGTCCAAGATTTAATCATTAACAATTTCAGCTGCATCTTCCTCAATCTTATTGCAGTTTACATCAGTTCCTTTTTCATGAAAACTCTGGCATTTGTTTGGTTTGTCTTTTACTTTTCAACCATCAGGTCCTTTACTTTTCGGACTCCTCTTTTTCCTATCCCCCAAAATGGGCTGTTCCTTAAGATCCTATTTTCAATTCTCTTCTTCCACTACAGGCTTTTATTTAAACATTTTATTAATTTCATTAAATGTATTAAAGCAAATACATTCAAAGCTCTGGCACTGTCTTTGCACATATTATTGTTCACTGGATGGTAGTAGATAATATTTCTCCCTCTGATATTTCTTCTACTACTATAAACAATCACAGGAGCTGCTGCCCCTTAACCACGGTGAACCTGTCTCAACACCGGTGAATTAGATGTAATATCTACTTCATAGGATTAGCTTGAAGACCAGATGAGTCAATATATAAAAAGTGACTAAGCAAACTGCTTAGCCTGAAAATAATCTATTTCTTTTTCTACATTTGCTTCTTGTTTTGACCTATCACATGAGGGTGATTCTCAGGTTGTTCTCCATTTTAAATTGCTCTCCCCCACCCCTCCTTTTTTTAAAAACAAAAAAAGTATTAAAGGTCTAAATTGCTGTTGAACATCCCTGATTTGAGTTTATTTTTAAATAAGAAAATCTTTCTTTGGCTGTTGAGATGGAAACATTATTTCTGTATGCTAAAAATATTTCATAATAGAAAGAGGGAGAAAAAGCAAAAATAAGAACTCATTAACTTTCCATTTATATCTACATTTTTTCCTGACTTTTCTTTTTCCTTTGGGAGTTCTACCATCTTTTGTGCTGCAAAAGTTGATATTTCAGCTTCAATTTTTGAAAATTGATAATTTTTCTTATTACATAGCAATATATGTTTCATGATATAAAATTCATAAAATAGGACTAATAAAAAAAGACTATAAAGAAACTCCTAAAATTTCACCAACCTGAGGTGATATTTTGATGTATATCCTCCAGGTACATACGGTATATGTATTTGTATATTGAATATGTATATCATTTTATCAACTGCTTTGTTTCATTTAAAACATAGAAATATTATCTACACCATTTCTCAAATTACATGTGTAGCTGATTATAATTCCATTTAACTTGTTTATAATATTATAATAAACAACCTATAGCAAAATTTTATGTCATTTTGACTTAAAAAATTTTTCTCCACCATATTCTATTTTTGTTTTGATTTTTTTTGCAAAATTTTCCTACATATATTTTGTTTATTTCCACTGTTATACTAATGTATTCCTTTTACTTATTGTGAAGGCTAGTAAAATAGAGTAATTCAATTCAGCTTTTTAACTGAGAATCTACTGTAGGTCAGATATGTTAAGTACTAAGTTAAGTAAAGAAAGATGAATAAGAAAAAATTCTTTCTTTACACTGGTAACAGAGATAGAAATGAAACTTTTAATGCAGTGTGGTGTATGTGATACAAAGTGCTTGCAGAAAGCAATTATTGGAGTAATGAGTAGAAATTCTACTCACAAGTATACATTTAATATGTTACACATTTTATGAAACATATATACATTTTTAAGAATTGTAGTGTGCTATTAGTTGGTATATTTTGAACTATTACAATTAAATATTAAACATTATTAATATTTTAAGTGTTAAAGATCAAACAACACATCTCAATAAATTTAAAAAACATTATATTAATGAAGCACACCTATAATCATAAAAGAGAAGTGACTTATAATTTATTTTTAAATAAAAGGAGCATTGAATCTATACATATGTTAACACTCATGGAGTCAATACCCAACCAAGACTGGGGAGATGTGGGGATGGGGAATATGAAAGCTGTGCAAATGTCAAATACCTAGTTCATTTGAAATTCAAACTTAACTTCGTGTTTTGTATTTTTATTTGTTATTAGGTTGCTGCAAAAGTAATTGCAGTTTTTGCCATTAAAAGCAATTACCAAATTACTTTTGAATCAGCCTAATACCTCTGTCAATCGTAAGTCTAGGCTATCTCACTGAGGGTAGAAAGCCTGACGTGAGATATGAAGGATGAGAATGACCATAAGAAAAGCTAGGATACTGCAGGAAACAGTAAGTGCAAAGTCCTTACAGCAGGTAAGAGATTGGCCTGCTCCACAAACAGAGAAGGAGTGGGCACTGGAGCACAATGAACAAAAGAATGTTGGAGAAACAGAAGTTCAATAAGGTCACCAGAGAGAGGGAACAGCAAAGAAGGAATGATGATGCTACTTGTCAAATTCATAGAACACATTGAAGAAAATGCTGTGGATATTAATGTATTTCAATCAGGGGATCAAAAAACCAAAATCATATTCCAGAAAAAGCATATTGACAGTAGTGTTTAGGAAAGATTGGAGAAGATTAAGGGTGAAAGCAGTTAGTTTCAGTTAGTCATGTGAACAAAAGAGGAGAGCCTGCATTAACAAAGGTAGAAAATACCCTTCATATGAAATGTGAAGTTAAGTTTGAATTTCAGATAAACCAACTAGTTTATATTGGAAGATAGTGGGTTTTAAATTTCTCATTTGTGATCTACCATTAGAAACATTTTAATCCAGTACAAACTATGTGCATGTGCATGTAAACACACACATATACACACCTATTAAGAATATTACAAAATAATAATGTACTTAGCCTTACAACAGGAAATCCTCTCTGATATTTTTATTCTAATCATATCTATTCTTTCATTAAAAATCATTGGTAACTACCCACTAATTTTTATATCTACAAATGGATTATGATGAATAATTTAAAAATATTATTTTAAGAACAAATTCAGAGTAATGTCAGCAAGATGAAAGACTAGGAAGTTACGCTCTCTTTTCCTCACAGAGACACTGAGTAACAACAATAGATGAACCAGAATACCTCCATAAGAATTCTAGAGGTCAGTCAAAAGGCTACAGTGCCCAGGCCACTGTAAAATCAAGATGAAATCCAGTGAAAGGGTTAAAAAATTTGTAGCATTTGTCATGCCCATTTATGCCCCTTTCTCTGCATAGCTAGTGCAAAAACAATTAGAAGAAAACCTCTTATACCATGGTCCTTTCTTAGAATGGAAACAAAAGGGTGCACCTTGAATCTAATGCTCTGGCTTATTGGGGACTGCCTGTATTAGTCCATTCTCACACTGCTATAAAGAAATACCTGAGTCCAGGTAATTAATAAAGAAAAGTTTAATTGGCTCATGGCTACACAGGCTATACAGGGAACATAATGCTGGTATCTGCTCAGCTCCTTGGGAGGTCTCAGGAACTTTACAAACATGGTTAGAGGTGACGGGGGAGTGACCAATTCACATGCCTGGGGCAGGAAGAAGAGATAGAGGTAGGAAGTGCCACATGCTTTTAAACAATCAGATCTCATGAGAACTCTATCCTGAGAACAGGATCAAAGGTGGAAATCCACCCATAATTCAATCACCTCCCACCAGGCCCCACCTCCAACACTGGGGACTACAATTGGACATGAGATTTGGGCAGGAACACAAATCCAAACCATATCTCTAGCCAAGAGACTGGTTTCTATCTCACCTGACTCAGATGCAACCAGTGTCAGAGTATAAAAGCCACTGAAAACAGAAGTAAGTAACATGCTGCAGTTCTGCAGGCAAATGCCAGGGTGAGCAAAAAATCATAAAAAGTTTGAGAGGATTAGAACCTCCAGTTAGCCCAACTGGTGAAAATCTTTCTTTGCACAAGGTCAGTATGCAAAGACTGGGACTGGTGGTCATTTTTCAAATGAGCAAATCCCAGGAAAAAATTACAATACATACAAAGAAAGAAGAAATTTGACCACACAAAGGAACAAAATAAAACCTAAGAAACCAACCCTAAGAAATACAGATCTATGAGCTGCCTCATAAAGAATTTGAAATAGTCATCATAGAGATATTCAAGACATTCAATGAACTTTAAAAAAGAAGATCACAGATAGACAACTAAATGGAAACAGGAAAACTGCATGAACAAAATGAGAATATCAACAAAGAGACAGAAGCTATTACAAAGCTCCAAGCAAATATTCTGGAGCTGAAAAATACAGAAATTGAACTGAAAAATTTATTAGAAAATTTCAGCAGCAGATTTGATAAAGCAGAAGAATCAGTTAACTTGAAAATAGGTCATTTGAAATCATCAAATTAGAGGCACATAAAGAAAAAAGAATGAAGAAAAGAAAAAAGAGCCTTGGGACTTATGAGTTACTATCAACGGGGCCAATATACACATTACGGGAATCCTAGAATTAGAAGAGGGAGTAAAGGGTGAGATACAGTATTTAAAGAAACAATGACTAAAAACTTCCCAAATCTGAGGAAAGAAATGAACTGTCAGTGAAATAAAACAGTCTAAAATCAAAGGCAAAAGAGAGAATCTTGAAAACAGCAAGAGAAAAATGATTTGTCACATACAAGGGAATCTCAATACGACTCTCTGTGGATTTCTCAGCAGAAACTTTGCAGGCTAAAAGACAGTGGGATGATATTTTTAAAGTACTGGGGCAAACAACAATTGTTGACCAAGATTACTGTATCCAGCTAAATAATCCTTCAAAATTGAAAGATAAATCAAGATTTTCTGCAGAGAAACAAAACCTGACAGATATTACCACTAGACATGCTCTGCAAGAAATGGTGAAGCAACTAAATCAAGTTGAAACAAACAAACAAACAAAAAACGGTAGACAATAACACAAAGCTGTAGGAAAATATAAGGTTCTCCCATAAAGATAAAATCATGAACAAATATAGTAACCTGTACTATTGCAATTTTGATACAAATAATTTAAATGACAAAAGCATTTTAAAAACTACAATTGTATGTTAATGGGTACACAGTATATAGAAATGTAATTTGTAAAAATGGTAACATAAATTGGAAGAGCGGAGCTGTAAAGAGATAGAAGTTTTGTATGTAATTAAAGTTAATTTGTTATAAGTTTAAGATGGAATGCTATAATTTAAAGTGTTTTATGTAATTGCAATCATAGCCAAACTTAAATGGAAATGGAAAGGAAATAAAAATCACTATAGAAAAATCAATAAGACACAAAGGAAGGCAGCAATAGAGAAAAGAAGGGACAAAATCCCATGGAATAACAGAAAACAATGAACAAAATGGCAATAATAAGCCTTTTCCTATCAGCAATTACCTTAAGTACAAATGGATTACACTTCCCTATTAAAAGGCATAGATTGGACCAAGCACAGTGGCTTCCACCTATAATCCCCACACTTTGGAAGATCGAGATGCAAGGATCACTTTAGGCCAGGAGATCAAGACCAGCCTGAAACCCAGTCTCTAAAAAATTTTCTCAAACTTAGCTGGCATGATGGCATGCACCTGTAGTCCCAGATATTTGGGTAGCTAAGGCAGGAGAATCACTTGAGCCTAGGAGTTTGAGGCTGTAATGAATTATGTTTGTACCACTGCACTCCAGCCTGGGTGACTCAGCAAGACCCTGACCCTGTCTATTAAAAAAAAAAAAAAAAGATAGATTGGCTGAGTGAATAAAAACAAAAAAAATTCCACTTTTATGCTATCTACAAGGGACTCACTTTAGATCTAAAGACACACAGGATGAAAGTGAAAGGATAATAAAAGATAGTCACATTTGTGACTACACAAATATAAGATAAAATAGACTTCAAGGGGGCAGGGCCAAGATGGCTGACTAAAAACAGTGTGTTTGGAGGATCTATCACAAAAAAACATAATAAGCATGTGAAACCTTCACTGGCAATCAAGGTATTCAGGTTCTCTCATCAGAACTCACTAGGAGGCTGGCATGACTCCATGGAGAAAAGGAAGAACAGTGTGGTGCAGTGTGGTGCAGCTCTCCACCTGAGAGCCACATGAGGCAGGGGACCCCCTCTCCCCAGCCAAGGAAGGCCATGAGTGTGCTACCCAGCCAGGGAAACTGTGCTTTTTACAGCACTGGGACTCACAACTGCCTAACATGCTAAGCTCCCTGGGTGGGGAAAAGGTGTTATCCATCTCTATAGATTCAAGCTATGCATTTCCCCTGCTGTATGCAGGGAGGCTGGACTGCTTGGTCCCAAGACTTGTCCCCCACAGCCCAACATACCAGCTGTGGCAGTCTGCAGCCAGAGTGCCTCTTCAGGCCTGACCCTGACCCATCCTTCCTCATTGGGTGGTTCTTCCCTGCAGGAACTCCAGAAACTCCAGCCAGAGGCTCAGGGACAGAACCCAGATCTCCCTGGGCCTGAGCCCCTATGGGGAAGGGTGGCCTCAGTCTCAGCAGCCTAGCAGACTTAGCCTTTCCTCCTGGTAGTTCTGAGGATTCCAGGTAGCCCAGAGGAGTGGGTTTTCCCCTAGCAAGGCACATTGCCACCACCAAGGGACAATGTGCTTCATTAAATTGGTCCTATTCCCTGTGCCACCCAACTGGGTGAGACCTTCCAACAGGGGTTGTCAGAGACCCTACACAGGCACAATCTTACTGACATCAGGTTGGTAACCCTCAAGGTCAGAAGTCCCAGAAGAAGGAGCAGGCACCCATCTTTGCTGTTCTCCAGCCTCCTTGAGTGATATCTCCACACACGGGAGCGAATCAGATGAATAGGGCCTGAAGTGAACTCCCAGCAAACTGCAGCAGCCCAAAAAAGAGGGACCTGACCATTGAAAGAAAAACAAACAAGTGGAAAACAACAATAGCATCAACAACAACAACAAAGCCCCCACAAAACCTCCATCCAAGGATCAGCAGCCTCGAAGGCCAAAACTGGACAAACTCATGAAGATGAGAAAGAATCAAGGAAAAAATGCTGAAAACCCAAAAGGCCAGGATGCCTCTTCTCCTCCAAATGATTGCAACATCTCTCCATCAAACGCACAGAACAGGATGAAGGATCAGGTGGGTGAATTGACAGAAGTAGGCTTCAGAAGATGGGTAATAAAAAACTATGCTAAGCTAAAGGAGCATGTTCTAACCCAATGCAAAGAAGCTAAGAACCTTGATAAAAGTTAGAAGAATTGCTAACTAGAATAACCAGTTTAGAGAGACACATAAATGACCTGATGGAGCTGAAAAACACAGCATGAGAACTTCGTGAAGCATACACAAGTATCAGTAGCCAAATCGACCAAGCAGAAGAAAGGATATCAGACTTTGAAGACCACCTTGCTAAAATAAGTCATGCAATTCAAGACTAGAGAAAAAATAATGAAAAGGAATGAATAAAGTCTTCAAGAAATATGGGACTTCATAAAAAGACTGAACCTACAATTGATTGGAGTACCAGAAGGAGACAAGGAGAATGGAAACAAGCTGGAAAACACACTTTAGGATATTATCCAGGAGAATTCCCCAACCTAGAAAGACAAGCAAACATGCAAATTCAAGAAATGCAGAGAACACCACTAAGATACTCCACGAGAAAATCAACCCCAAGACACATAATCATCAGATTCTCCAAGGTTGAAATGAAAGAAAAATTGTTAAGGGCAGCCAGAGAGAAAGGCCAGGTCACCTACAGAGGGAAGCCCATCAGACTAACAGTGGACCTCTCAGCAGAAACTCTACAAGCCAGAAGAGATTGGGGGCCAATATTCAACATTCTTAAAGAAAAAAATTTTCAACCTAGAATTTCATATCCAGCCAAACTAAGCTTCATAAGCAAAGGAGAAATAAAATCCTTTTCAGACAAGCAAATGCCAAGGGATTTCATTACCACCAAGCTTGCCCTGCAAGAACTCCTAAATGAAGCACTAAATATGGAAAACAAAAACCTGTACCAGCCACTGAAGAAACACACCAAAATATAAAATATAAAGACCAATGACACTATGAAAAAACTGCATCAACTAGTGTGCAAAATAACCAAATAGCAGCATGATGACAGGATCAAATTCACACATAACAATACTAAACTTAAATGTAAATGGGCTAAATGCCCCAATTAAAAGACACAGACTGGCAAATTAGATAAAGAGTAAAGACCCATTGGTGTGCTGTATTCAGGAGACCTATCTCACCTGCGAAGACACATATAGGCTCAAAATAAAAGGATGGAGGAAATTTTACCAAGCAAACGGAAAGCAAAAAAAAAAGCAGGGGTTGCAATCCTAGCCCTGACAAAACAGACTTTAAACCAACAAAGTTCGAAAATGGCAAACAAGGGCATTACATAATGGTACAGGGAACAATTCAACAAGAAGAGCTAACTATTCTAAATATATATGCACCCAATGCAGGAGCACCCAGATTCATAAAACTAGTTCTTAGAGACCTACAAAGAGACTTAGACTCCCACACACAATAGGAGGAGACTTTAATACTCCACTGTCAGTATTAGACAGATCAATGAGACAGAAAATTGACAAGGATATTCACAACTTGAACTCAGCTCCAGATCAAGTGGACCTGGTAGACATCTACAAAACTCTCTACCCCAAATCAACAGAATATACATTCTTCTCAGTGCCACATGGCACGTATTCTAAAATTGACCACATAATTGGAAGTAAAACACTCCTCAGCAAATGCAAAAGAATGGAAATAATAACAAACAGTCTCTCAGACCACACAGCTCAATCAAATTAGAACTGAAGATTAAGAAACTCACTCAAAACCACACAATTACATGAAAATTAAACAATCTGCTCCTGAATGATTCCTGGGTAAATAAGGAAATTGAGACAGAAATCAAGAAGTTATTTGAAACCAAGGAGAACAAAGACACAACATACCAGAATTTCTGGGACACAGCTAAAGCAGTGTAAGAAAGAAATTTATAGCACTAAATGCCCACATCGGAAAGCTAGAAAGATCTCAAATTGACATTCTAACATCACAATTAAAAGAGCTAGAAAGGCAAGAGAAAATGAATCCAAAAGCCAGCAGAAGACAAGAAATAACTGAGACACTGAGACCAGAGAAGAATTAAAGGAGATAGAGACATGAAAAACCCTTGAAAAAAAATCAATGAATCCAGGAGCTGTTTTTTTTTGAAAAAATTAACAAAATAGACCACTAGCTAGACTAATAAGGAAGAAAAGAGAGAATAACCCATTAGACACAATAAAAAATTATAAAGGGGATATCACAGTGACCCCATAGAAATACAAAATACTGTTAGAGAATACTAAAAACACCTCTTCACAAATACACTAGAAAATACAGAAAAAATAGATAAATTCTTGGACACATACAGGCTCCCAAGACTGAATCAGGAAGAAGTTGAATCCCTGAACAGAACAATAGCAAGTTCTGAAATTGAGGCACTAATTAATAGCCCACCAACCAATAAAAGCCCAGGACCAGATGGATTCACAGCTGAATTCTACCAGAAACACAAAAAGGAGCTGGTACAATTCCTTCTGAAACTATTCAAAACAATAAAAAAGGAAGGACTCCTCCCTAACTCATTTTATGAAGACAACATCATCCTGATACCAAAACCAGGAAGAAACATAATTAAAAAAAGAAAACTTCAGGCCAATATTCCTGATGAACATTGGTGTGAAAATCCTCAATAAAATACTGGCAAACCAAATCCAGCAGCACATCAAAAAATTTATTCAACATGATCAACTTGACTTCATTCCTGGGATGCAAGGCTGGTTCAACAAATGCAAATCGATAAATGTAATCCATCACATAAACAGAACCAAAGACAAAAACTACATGATTATCTCAATAGATGCATAAAAGGCCTTTGACAAAATTCAACATCCCTTCATGTTAAAACTCTCAGTAAACTAGGTATTGATGGAACATATCTCAAATTAATAAGAACTATTAATGATAAACCCACAGCCAATATCATATTGAATGGGCAAAAGCTGGAAGCATTTCCTTTGAAAACTGGTACGAGACTAGGATTCCCTCTCTCACCACTGCTAGTCAACATAGTATTGGAAGTTTTGGCCAGGGCAATCAGGCAAGAGAAAGAAATAAAGGGAATTCAAATAGGAAGAGAGGAAGTCAAATAGTCTCTGTTTGCAGATGACATGATTTTATATTTAGAAAACCTCACCATCTCAGGCCAAAAACTCCTTAAACTGACAAGCTACTTCAGCAAAGTCTCAGGATACAAAATCAACGTGCAAAAATCACAAGCATCCCTTTATGCCAACAATAGACAAGCAGAGAGCCAAATCATGAATGAACTCCCATTCAGTCACCACAAAGAGAATAAAATACCTAGGAATACAGCTAACAAGGGATGTGAAGGACCTCTTCAAAGAGAACTGCAAACTACTGCTCCAGGAAATAAGAGAGGACACAAACAAATGGAAAAATATTCCACACTCATGGATAGGAAGAATCAATATCGTGAAAATGGCCACACTGCCCGAAGTAATTTATACATTAAATGCTATTCCCATCAAACTACCATAGACATTCTTCACAGAATTAGAAAAAAACTATTTTAAATTTCATATGGAATCAAAGAAGACCCCAGATAGCCAAGACAATCCTAAGCAAAAATAGCAAAGCTGGAGGCATCAGGCTACCTGATTTCAAACTATATTATAAGGGTACTGTAACCAAAACAGCCTGGTACTGGTACAAAACAGATATATAGACCAATAGAGCAGAACAGAGACCTCAGAAATAACACCACATATCTACAACCATCTGATCTTAGACAAACCTGACAAAAACAAGAAATGGGGAAAGGATCTCCTCTTCAGTAAATGGTGCTGGGAAAACTGGCTAGCCACATGCAGAGAACTGAAACTGGGCCGCTTCCTTACACCTTATACAAAAATTAACTCAAGATGGATTAAAGACTTAAGTGTAAAACCCAAAACCATAAAAACTCTAGAAGAAAACCTAGGCAAGGCAATACCACTCAGGACATAGGCATGGGCAAAGACTTCATGACAAAAATGCCAAAAGCAATTGCAACAAAAGCCAAAATAGACAAATGTTAGCTAATTAAACTAAAGAGCTTCTGCACAGCAAATAAAACTATCATCAGAGTGAAAAGGCAACCTACAGAATGGGAGAAAATTTTTGCAATCTACCCATCTGACAAAGGTCTAATATCCAGAATTTACAAGGAACTTAAACAAATTTACGAGAATAAAAACAAACAACCCCATCAAAAAGTTGGCAAAGGATATGAACAGACACTTCTCAAAAGAAGACATTTATGTGGCCAACAAATATATGATAAAAAGCTCAACATCACTGATCATCAGAGAAATGCAAATCAAAACCACAATGAGATACCATCTTGTGACAGTCAGAATGGAGATTATTTAAAAAGTCAGGAAACCATAGATGCTGGTGAGGCTATAGAGAAATAGGAATGTGTTTACACTGTTGGTGGGAATGTAAATTAGTTCAGTTATTGTGGAAGACAGTATGCCAATTCCTCAAGGAGCTAGAACCAGAAATAATATTTGATCTAGCAATACCATTACTGGGTATAAACCCAAAGGAATGTACATCATTCTACTATAAAGACACATGCACACATATGTTTACTGCAACACTATTTACAATAGCAGAGACATGGAACCAACACAAATGCCCATCAATGATAGACTGGATAAAGAAAATGTGGTAAATATACACCATGGAATACTATGATGCCATAAAAAGTAATGAGATCATGTCCTTTGCAGGGACATGGATGAAGCTGTAACCCATCATCCTCAGCAAACCTAACACAGGAACAGAAAACCCAACACTGCATGTTCTCACTTATATGTAGGAGTTGAACAATAAGAACACATGGACACAGAGAGGGGAACAACACACACTGGGGCCTGTTGATGGGTTGGGGGGTGAGGGGAGGGAACTTAGAGGATGGGTCATTAGGTGCAGCAAACCACCATGCCACACACATACCTATGTAACAAACCTGAACATTCTGCACATGTATCCTGTTTTTATTTTTTTAAGAAGAAATTTTTTAAAAAAAGAAAAAAATAAAGCAATGCTTGAAATAAATAAAAAAATAGATTTCAAATTTTAAAATTTCACAAAAGAAACCAAGATATTGTATGATAAAAGGGCCAATTCACTGAGACAATATGACAATTATAAATGTTTATGTACCAAACCTTAGAGCTAGTAAATATATAGTGCTAACTTTGAGAGAATTGAAGGGAGAGATAGCAACATAATAGTTGAAGACTTTAATACACTCCTTTCAATAATGGAAAGAGAAAACATTACAACTGATAGCACAGAAATAAAAAGGATTATAAGAAAATACTATGCACAAATATAAACCAACAAATTGAATAGCCTATGATAAATGGATAAATTCCTAGAAATATACAACCTACCATGACTGAATCATGAAGAAATAGAAAATCTGAACAGACCAATGATGAATAAGGAGATTGAGTCAGTATTCAAAGACCTCTCAACAAAGAAAAGCCCAGGACTGGATGGCTTCATAGAGAATTCCAAGCACATTGTCAAGACAGCATTACCCTGATACTAAAGCCAGGCAAAGACACTCTAAGGAAAATAAAAACCTATTGAGTCAATATCACTGATGACTACTCATGCAAAAATCCTTTTAAAACAGTAGAAAACTGAATTCAACAGCACATTTAGTAGATTATACACTATGACCAAATGGAATTTATTTCTGGAATGCAAGGATGTTTCAACATATGAAAATCAATCAATGTCAAATACAACACTAACGGAATGAAGGACAAAAGCCACATGATCATCTCAATACATGTAGAAAAAGCACTTGACAAGATTTAACACTCTTTCATGATAAAAATATTCAACAAACTAGTAATAGAAAGGAACTACTTCAACATAATAAAGGGTATTTATGAAAAGCCCAGAGATAACATCAAACTCAAGAGAAAGACTAAAAGCTTTGCCTCTAAGATCAGGAACAGGGCAAAGATGTCCATGGCACTCCTATTCAATATGGTATTGAAAGTCTTAGCCAGAGTAATTAGGCAAGAATAATAAATAAAAGGCACCCAAATCAGAAAGAAAGAAGTAAAACGGTTTCTGTTTGTAGATGGCATTACCACTAATGTTTCTGTTGGTAGATGGCATCATCACTAATGTTTCTGTTTGCAGAAACCATTACTGCTAATCCTGTGGCCACAGATGGTGCCCAGTTTGAGCAGGAATAAAATACCATATAGGGTTAACTGGCCAAAGTCCTTTGAGTGGAGCACAGAAACCTTCTTTAGAGAGCACTTGAATAAAGGCCCCAAATTTAAAGTAAGGTATGGTTTTCTATTAAAACTTTAGTGTTTATAATATTATATACTTTCCATAGAGAGGAAAACTGTCCTACTATGTTGATGCTTTAGCTCCTGACTCCCCAACAGATGCATGGTGAAGCAGTATGTCACATTCCATGCTAAAAAAAAAAAAGAAGCAGAAGCAGAAGCAGAAGCAGAAGAAGAAGAGGAAGAGGAAGGAGAAGAAGAAGACAAATAAATTGAAAAATAACATCTTGTGTTCTTGGGTTGGAAGACTTAATATTGTTAAGACGTTCATTCTACCAAAAGAAATCTACAGATTCAATGCAATTTCTACCAAAATGTCAATGGCTTTTTTTTTTTGCAGAAATAGAAAAATTCATCCTAAATTTCGTGTGTAATTTAAATAAACCCAGAATAGCAAAAACAATTTCAAAAAAGAACAAAGTTGGAAGACATATGCTCTGATTTCAAAACATATTACAAAGCTACAGTAATCAAAATAGTGTGGTACTGACATAAAGGGACAAATAGACTAATAGAGTAGAATAGAGAGCCCAGAAATAACCCCCTGGGTATAAGGTCAAATGATCTCTAACAAGGATACCACAGGGAAAAGCTAGTCTCTTCAAACAATGGTATTTGGAAAAGTGGATATCCACATGCAAAATAATAAAGTTGGAACCTCGCCTTACACCATATACAAAAATTAATTCAAAATGGATTCAATACCTAAATGTAAGAACTAATACTCCTAGAAGAAAACATCAGGGAAAAGCTACATGACTTTAAACCTGGCAATGATTTTTTTGGCTATGACACCAAAAGCACAGGCAACAAAAGCAATAATAGACAAATATGACTATTTCAAACTTAAAACCTTTTTTGCATCAAAAGGCTCAATCAACAAATTGAAAGTGTATTTAGAATGGGAGAAAATATTTGCAAATCACATATCTGATAATGAGTTCATATGCAGAATATATATAGAATTCCCACAACTCAACAACAAAAAATCAAATATCTCAATTAAAATATGGGCAAGGAACTTCAATTGACATTTCTTCAAAGATGATATACAAATTGCCAACAAGCATATAAAAAATGCTTAATATCTCTAATCATCAGAAAAATGCAAACTAAAACCAAAATAAGATATTACTTCACACTCATTAGGATAGTTACTATGAAAGTAAAAAAAAACAAGTGTTTTGAGAGATATGAAGAAATTGGGACCCATATGGATTTCAGTGGGATTGCACAATGGTACAATTAGTGTGGAAAACAGTATGGAAGTGCCTCCAAAAATTAAAAATACAACCAATGTATGATTTAGCAATCCAACTTTTGATATATAAACAAAATAAGTGAAAGTAAGATCTTGAAAAAATATTTGCATATTCATGTTTACAGCAGCATTATTCACAACGATCAAGAGGTAGAAGCAACCCAAATGTCCGAAGGAAGATGAATTGATAAACAGAATATGGTGTACACACACCAGGGAATATTAGTCAGCCTTAAAAAGAAAGGAAATCTTGTCATATGCTACAACATGAATGAGACTTGAGGCCATTATGCTAAGTTAAATAAATTAGTCACAAAAAGACAAATGCTCTAAGAGTCCACTTATATGAGTTGTCTAAAGTAGTCAAATTCATAGAAACAGAAAATAGAATAATGTTTACCATGGCCTGGGGGAAGGGAGGAAAGGGATATTGCTATTTAATGGATATGAAGTTTCAGATTTACAAGATGAGAACATTCTGAAGATCTGTTTTACAACAATGTGAATATAGTTAAAACTACTGAACTGTATACTTAAAATTAATTAGGATGGTAAATTTTATGCTATGTGTTTTTTACTACAAAAGAAAAATTGGTTCACCTTATGCATTTCCTTATACCAAATTGTATCTATCATCTCTCTCCATATTTTGTGGTAGTCATTGCATTCTCTTTATCTCTCTTTTTATGATAATGAAACTGGTAATTTGCTTATCTCCTAAATATCACAATAGACAAAGGGAGGCAGAAGTGTGACACAATATCATTGCTATATAGGTAATTCAATCAATATTCCCATTTATTCACACTAAAACACATTATATTATTTACTTCTCAAAACAACCCTATGGAGTATTTTAGTGTTTTTTTTTTTTTAAATAAGAAGACAAAGGCCTATGAGGATAAGTAATCTGTAGAAGATCTCATGGCTGTTAAATTTTGAAGCCAGAGTTGGAGCTCATGGTCATCTCAAACACTGGTGTAAAAATCTATATTCTTTCCATTATACTGTATTTGATGAACTAACCCTTCCTGCCCCCATATTTGGCATTAGGGAGATTTTCATGAGGATATGAAAGGACATATTATCTCTTGATATTAATTTCCAGATCTGTGATAAACCTGATATCCGGATATCGATCTGAAACCCTGGGGAAAAACACGTATTTAGGAAAAGTATCTTTAAAGAGGATATTTAACTAGTACCAGATAATCGATTAAGAGCTTATTAATTTTCATACTAAATGTTGATTGCTTTTATACATGATCTTTTATTTAATGTGGGATTTTCAAGTGGGCTTGAAAGTCTGAATGGCTAGACTGAGTAAGTGCAATAGATAATGTGGTTGGTTCTTACAAATTATTTTCTACCTTCAATCCAGTTGACCCCTGGCTGCCATTCCTCCAGCTCTTCCAATGATTTTGTAAACATCTAATTATCTATAATAAGTCCTTTTCCTTTTGAAATGCTTATGGTATTTTCTCTTTCATACAACTGGACCTGACAGATTAAAGAAGGAAGCTTCACACTTAGTAAAAGGTAAGACAAGATGAAACTCAATCACAAACTCTAGTCTTTTATTGTAATAGAAAGCTTAGACCTGTGCTAAATATGCCTTGATAACTTTTAATCTGTTTTCACCATCTTCTCAACCTAGGTAGACTTGCTCATTCGATTGGTAAGTTCTAGGTACTAGGTATTCAAGTAAAGAAATTTCTTGAGGTACAGAATAAATGAATGTCATCCTCAGCGTACCAACAGTTTGAAAAAATGAGAAGAAAAATGGCAGCAGTAAAAGACCCCATTATGAACACAGGCTAGTAACTTTCTTAATCCAAAATTTCAATTTGTTATAATGACAAGTACATTTTATTCATGACAAATGTAAAGTATTGAAAGAGAAATAATCAAATAGTTTATAGCCTATACTCCTCTATTTCCTGAGGATGCTGGCTTTGTAATTTTTGATAGTCAAGAAAACGATCATAAACCTAATACAATGCTTTTGTTTGTGCAAATATTCTGTCACATTTCACTTGGAATATGGAGTATAATTTTGACCATTGCTTTTTGGGTGACCCATGATAAAGATATAAATTGTCTAGAAAGGCAAATAGATTATATAAATGGGATTCTATATAAACCAAACACAAACTTCTGGAAAGTTGAAGAGTAAACGAGATGATTAAACATCACAAATTAACATGGTGCTTGTACTCAATAAACGTAGCTATTATAATTATTTAAAAATTAATAAAGAGTTAATACTATACTCTTTATAAAATGAAACACCAGGACAAGAAAATAATGCAAAGGATAGCTTAACTGTGAAAAATAATTTAATATTAAATAATGCTGAAAGTTGTTAATCCCAACCAATACAGTATATATCTTTTTAGTGTCTCTTCACATAAATCTTATATAATACTATTGCACAAGTTTGTTAAAAGATAAAAAACTACTAAAAATAAATCTGTGTGTGATTTTTAGAAGACTACATATTTATGTGTTCCACATATTGAATCAATTTTCAAACTTCAAATTTTTAGAGTGCTTTTGGAGTGGAACACATCCTGAGTGTGCCCTTTCAGTCCAGTCTCTTACTGATGCTCTCCTAATGGCATTCACACATGCATACAGCTCGCCGCCCTAGAAGCGGCCTGCTTTAAGATTGAAAATATGACTGAGAGTGGCCAAAATACAACTCTCTGTGAGTGATCCGGTTATGTCCTAATTAACTTTCAATGTGTCAAATTCAAGTGATAGAAAATGGCCAAGGAATTAAGGAGGTAAGCTGAGATTTTACACTTTTCTCAATTTTAAGCTTGTTATTAAGTGGAAAATAAAGACTACACGCTTTTATTGCTTTAAAAAAGACAAAAAATGACATTTAATGACATTCTTGAAGAAGATGAACATTTGTAATTGCAAATGGAACTCCTTGGAAAATAAGCGTTCGTTGCTTTTGTTGCACAGATCTTTCTTCTCCAGTTCAACATGAATCTCGAACTTTTAAAATCCAGATGGGCAGCACATGACAAATATGGGTAAACTCAGCCAATGAAACAAAAGTATTTGTTTCCACCCTATTTAATGTGTTACTTCCTCCAAGTAACAATAGAAAACTAAAACTTCTTGAAAATAAATAAAATACCAATTAAATACCAATTATTTTAAAAGTGGTGATAAATTCCAAGAAAAATATGATTATATTCATTGTTATTATACCTTCAATCATATTTAAAGGGCATTTTGGAACTGGATAAATTAAAATGTCCAACTAAAAGTATCTTAGTTAACCATTCTGTTTCCAGAAAGAACATAAATAAATATATCTCACAGCAAATTCTTAAGCTTTATATAACTTTATTTTCATCACTTTTTATCTCTAGGATTTAACAAAGAGCTGCTGAAGGTTTCACTGATGTGGAAGCAGTGAATTTATATTTCAGAAGGAATACACAGATAAGTGATGGATTCAGAGAATTTATAAGCTTAAAAATGAATTTTAAAAATATAAATAAAATGATATCTGCTTTGTGATCAAATCCATTTGACTCCATGTTATTGTTTTAATGCCCTAGTGGAGCTACTTCTCTGCACAGCTTTCTGGGAGTCCAGAGACTGCTCTATACATTGGAAAATATGATGAATGTGTTCAAGAGGGGCGTGACAATTGTTCCGTACACAGATTTTTCCAAGCATTCTCTGTTTTTTATACTGTATCTTGTATTCTCTGACCAATTATTACCTCCAAGCCCAGCATTCTTTAGGAGAAAATTATCTCCTCTTTTTTGGTATTCCTCTCTGCACACACTAAGTTTTCAACTTCTCCTCAGTTAAGATAGTTACCCTTCCATGAGCCTTCTCTTTCAAAAAGTAATTAGGTACTGTAGTTGAAATTACTAGTCTGTGTTTGGCTCCTCGCCTGCCTTCCTTTCTCTCTCTCCTCTCTTTTCATTTCTTTCTTTCCCTCTTTTACTTTCTGATAACTTAGCAGAATTTGAAAAGGGAGAAGTGATAAATGCACATGGATGTCTTGATGTGTAACCAGACACACAGACTATGGATCCTAATACGCTCTCTGCTCTATGCAGAATTGGCTTCAGATTAGGCTGCCCTGAGGGTGGAGGTTAAAGACCTGGATGATTAGAGCTGAGCAGCATGAATAAAGTAGGGGCTGACATTTGCATTCAGTTGCTTGATTAAATAATGCTCCTAACTTAAAAAAAATCTTATTTTTTTGTTCGTTTGAGTCACATCATTGATGTAACTGTGGGTTTTCCATTTCTTGGCAGTACATTTTCTGGTCTCTATGATTTAGTTGATTTCAGCTTCTATTTTAAATCTATTGGTGTTTATCATGTCGAAGAAGCATAGAGACAGATATATCCTTCCTGCAAATCTCTTCCAGACTTTTCTCTGATTTACATCATAGGCTTATCAAGCTGCTGTGGTTTAGGTACAAATACCTCTACATTTCTTCTGTATGCCTTTTAAGGCTTCCCTTAATATGGTCTCCTAATCAACATTCTTTACATTTCTTGGCTTGGCCAGGTGAATCTTCTGTGTCACCAACACCAACCTACACCACACCATGGGATCCTGCCCCTTCTCTTCCAGAACTCTCATCCTCAAGTTTCAACTGAATTTTCTGCTTTCTTGCACAATATAAGCACTTTCTGTTTTTTTTACTTACCAGTTTCCTGCATAATTGTCCTTATCTCGTTGAAATGGATTTTAAATTCTGAGAACAGGAATCATTTTCCATTTATCTCCTTGCCTCACAACATGAATCCTCTTTCTGTGCAGATGTCCATTGATTGGCCAATTAAAAAAAAAAAGCTGTTCTCTTTTGCTTTTCAGTTACTGGTTTCATAGGTCAGTTTAACTTCCTTATAATATGTTTTTAAAACTAGCTTTTGAGAATTGGAAGGTTTAAGTTTTCTTTAGTTAAATCAACCAGTTAAGGGAGGATAGTTTTGTTTTCTGCTTCCAGTGAAACAATTTGGAGTATAACTAAAAACCAGTTGGATTTTACTATTGTTTATTTCAAATTTTTTATGTTTCTCTGTGGGAGGATACACTAGCTATTGATATTATCTATACCGTTTTTAATCCTCATTTGCATACAATTCCTCAGTTTACATTTTTATTTTTTTCCTGAGTGTTCCCAAATTAAAAAAATATTTTTGATATGTTTGTAGAGATATTTTAAAAATTTGTTTTGTTTTCATTTGTATTTTCATCTGCTACATTTAATAAAAGATCGTAAAGTAATTTTCTTAAAGTTTGTTCTTAAGTCTATCCCATATTCAGTTAGACTAAGTGCCAAGCTGTGTTTGGCAAACTTCAGAGGGTAACTGCTAATTAAGAAAAGCTTGTTTAATGATAAAAAGGAAGCAAGAGAACTCCTTTAAACTAGGTGTGAGAAAGTGATTCGAGCATGTTGAGTACTGCCAAAATGCTTCAGAATCCTCTGTTAATGATTTTATTAGTAGCAAACTGTCATCAGCCTTAGTAAATGTCTTAACACTTGTTTCTTTTAGTCAACTCCTAGTGACTTAAAACTGCAACTTCTAAGTCATTAATGTTTTGGGTCATTAGGGTATGTTAACATAAGTCTTCATTTGGTTGGTTTTAAACTATCTATAAAAGTAAGCTCTTTTTTCCCCTTTCTCTTCTTATTGCCTAACCATCACATTTTTATATGTTTTTCTTGCCACTGCTGGGAAACTGTAGTGCTTCACTTGTAAAGATAAATACTACTGTAATGGATTTTAATATTTTGGCCACCCAGCACCACAATTTAATTTGAGATATGCCTCTCTTTGAAAGCCATCTTGGTGGAACATAAAGTCCTTGAGACTGCCCTCCTACTTCAGAAGCTACCTTCAAATTACTAGGAATGCTTTCTGTATCTTACCACACTAGCAAAGCTAAGGATTTTAAAGCTTGAGCAGTGTAAAGCAAGGCCAAAAGGATGACGTGGGTTTAATCCATTTTCCTAAGATTATCAAGCAACCCTCGCCGCTGAGACACTCTGAGTTTCTCTGGTTCCGGACGGTTAAAAAACTGTTCATCTTCAGCCTTCCTTGTAATACTGTGAGCTCCATCCTCTTCAAAGGGAGTCACTCTTTATAAAGTCACCCTAAAGTCATTATTATTTTTTGCTTGCAAACAGACCACTTCTGTGATGTACTCACGATTATTTGTAATTGTCTCTTTCCTTGTGTGCCAATATAAGAACAAAGCTAAGTGGTGCCTTTTATTACTAAATATAATTTTTCCTATTATTTAATATTTCAGGGAAAATTATTTAACTTGTATTTACTTGTATTAACTGCAAAGAAACCTCTCTAATATTATGCCATGTGTCCTGGTGTCTGGAAAACCTAACTCAGGTGAATGTGAGATACTCAGAATGCTGGACTATCTATCCAGAAGCAAGAAAAAGATGAGTGATCACGAAAATGAGTCTGTTCATATTATGAGGATGACAAAGTTGTGGAATAGCAAGAAAGACAAAGAATATGAAGGTGCTTCATTTTTAAGTGTATAACGCTTTGCTAAGAACATACTCAGATTATGATTATATATTTGGAGTAGTGAATGAAAATGTAAATTAAAATACAATTTAATTACTACAATTTAAAAATGACTTGGAAAAGAAAGAAACTAAAATTTTCTACATGTTTTTAGAAAAAGTAATATATACTTTGTAGACATAAAACTTATTTGAGAAATAAATTGTTGTTTAAGACAACATTATGGAAACTTAGAGTTCATTAAATAGAGTGTCTTCAAGTAGTTGATCATGTTCTACAGTACTTTAAGTCTAATACAGTTGATTGCTAGGGCAAACAACTGGTGTCAGAGACCAATCCCAGTGGTTTGGGCCACATATCTGTTTCTACCAAGCCTCATCCTAAATCTTCATAACTCTCTAACCCTTTTTTCCAGAACACTGAAGACTTTCAGAAGTTAAAACTAGATCCTCTTCTGGAGGAAGTGGGAGAATCCTTATCTAATTTAATCTAGTTTAACAGATCAAATTAAGGATTTATAGGAAATTACATTGGTATCTTCATTCACCTAAAAAGGAGTAATCTTTAGAAAATAACTTAGAAACCACTTTATTTTTATATACCACAATTTCACTGAAATTCTACCATGTGAGACAAGTGAGTCTTAGAACTAATTTAGATTTCAATATATTTCTTTGAGACAATTATAATGGCTTAACGAGAGAGGTTCAGTTGAATTTATCTCTTAGCTTAATTTTTTACTTTGTCCTCTCCCTCCGCTCCTACTTTCTGTCTCTCAGCAAAACATAATACAAATAAATCTTGATTAACTTGTCATTCTTTTTAAAAAAACTAATGTCAGATTCTGTAGCTTCAAATTGTAGTTTCAGCCTGTTTTAATCAGCATTTTGGAAAGGGAATTTCTTTTAGAAAAGTGTGTGACCCATGTACTATAAAATTGAGTTTCCATACTTGTTACTTCCTTGTTTTTCCTGTTTGACAGCCAAACCCAATGAAAGGTTTGCTGATACATTTCACTTATTTTTCAATGAGAAGAGGATAATGTGAATTTCTTTGGAATTTTATTTCTTGAAAATATATTTTTCATATGCAGTCTGCCATTAGGAAAAATAAAACAGCACTAAAAGCATTATGATTAAAAAGAAAAGGATGACATCTCTATTCTTAACATACAATAAATCAGTCAACTTGTTGAAGAAACTCTTTGTGGTTTTAATCAATTCTACTCATAGTACTACTGCATACATGCCACTTCTTTTAAAACTTAACACATGAGAGATTAAAAAAAGGCACAGCAGCTAAAACAAAATGTGAGAAATTCAGTTCATTGTATGTTAGACCTTTATACTGTTTTTGTGATTATAATAAATTGTAGATTTATGAGTAGACACTTTATTGGGAGAAGTGCATTTCTGATGTTTAAATATCTTGATATTTCAAAAAGAGATTATGCATAATAGAGCTACTTTCTTGTCAAACATATTACAAACACATATAGCCACAAAAAAGCACTAATTTAGAACTTCTAAACACAGGGTGTTCGGGTTAGATGAGCTGAAAGATAGCAATTAACAGAGAATGGAAGTCCTCAAACCCAAATGGACTTTTTTTTGAAGGTAAGGGAAGAAAGAAATGTCAAAAGAGTGAAATGAATATCAGGAAACCAAACCGTAAGCATGTCAAAACACTTTCCCTACACAGTCAACTCTCGTTTTTACCTCCTAGTCTTGTATTTGCTAGCTGATTAGTAAAAAAGGCAAAAGGCAGAATTTGTTGACCATTTTTTTATCCAATAAAGTGATCAAATCCAAAACATAAAAATTTAGTAATTATAATTTCCTTTAATTTCTTTCATTTCCAAGTTCTACATGAAATGGATTCTAGAGATTTCCATGGTGTAATAAACATACCTATATGAATATTAGTTGCTTTCCAATGCCCTAGTTCTTTGGTGTTTCTTAATTGTATATTAGTAACTGTAGCTTCAATCTGGTTGAAAGGATGCTTTACATTTTCAGTCAAGATAGGCCTTTTCCTTGGCATATTTATATAAAAATGAAGAAACACTTCCAATAGTTCAAATGTATTGCAAGGACTCAGACCAAGCTTGAATTTTATTACCAGGCAGGGGGTTGACCACAGAAGTAGGCAAGCAGGGCATAGAGGTTGACTTCCATCTCTAAGGGTGGTTTTTGGTGTGTGTGTGTCTGTGTGTGTTTTAATTTATTCGTTGCTCTTAAAAAAATGAAGAGAAAAAAAGGAGCTGAATAACTTCTGGTTGGCTGGATGCCGATATTATTTTTTTTGGCAAGAGCCGCTGAGTGGCTGAAAGGTGGCCATTAACACTCTGACAGAAAGTGCTGACAGGGTGATTATAAGATTAACACCCTATGTTATATTAAGAGTGTCAAAACCTCACTCTTACCTGTCAATGGAAAATAACAGCAGGCGTGGAAGCACTACAGATGCCAAACGATTTCTAATGTGGAAGCACCGTGCATTGGTGTGTCTAAACTTTTGTCAATGCCCGTATTAGCTACAGAATTCAGCGGATGGTTGAAGGCATTCATTTCTTACTCAATAGCATGATTTCAGAAGTGAATGATTTTATAAAATCTGCATATTATAGTCATTCTCAATTGGAATAAGAATCTTACATATGATTTGGTAAGGTAAGGAGAAACTAATAGTGAATATCACTTCTTTTATAAACCCAAATTGTATTTTTTAAAGCAATTATTTACCTCAATTATGAGGAAACATTTAACAGACAAGCTATTTTCTAAATTGCGCCTATACTGCTTTGTAGCTCCCAAACTGAAAATTCCTCCAAATTCTGGCTCCAAAACCACATAACTAGAAAGTTTTCCTTCAACAAGGTGTTTGGTTATTTGTTGGCTTATTCACTCTTAATCAGACAGGGTCAGATCCTTCCTTTGCAACACATACAAGACTCCACTAAATGTATGTAAATGTAAAATATTAGCATCAATTAAACTACAAAAACCTCTAGTACTTTCTCGTCTAGGAATGGCTATTGAACATGTTGAATTCATCATTCTTTTGACTGAATTCTGCTTGGAAAACAAATGTGAAAAATCAAGATTTGCAGAATAAGTGACAGTTTGAGGAGGTGCTTAACCTGAAGGTCTTGAGTCAGAGAAGTGAGGCGTGAAGAGAGAAAATTCTCTATACCATATCACTGAGAGCCAAACCAGGTCAGTCTCTTTTTGGGTTCTAATGAATCTGCACATCATCCAGGGATCTTGGGCTCAGCCTCATTTTCTGCTCTGTCCTGCACTAGAAGATTCACTTAGCAAATGAGGGCTGATCAAGAGCCCAGGACTCCTCAAGGCCCGGGAATATGACAGCAGTCCTTTGGGAGCAGGGTAACTATGGGTGGGAGGACAGGAACTGGACATGGCTGTGGGCCTAGATTGACTTACAGCTTTAAAATCTTTAGATGCATGATACATCAATCTCCTTATGTAGTCTCACCCTGTGCCCTTTTTTCACAAACATTAGAGGTGGGCCTGACTAGAGACTATTCCTACCCAAATATTTCTTTTTCTCAACCATGAAAATAATTATCAAGTAGTCCTATAAGTTCAATCCATTAGACTTATATAGATAGGATATTTATTTATGGTGTTTTTTGGTGAAGACGTGTGATTTTCATTTCTATCATTAGGTTAGCTAAGACAGTTAATAGACTCAAGAAAGTTTCCAAATGTATGTTAACGGCTTGGTGATCAGGGAAAATCTGGGCCACTTTATAGAGACCTCATAGAACTCCATTGGAGGCAATATGGTTATTCCCCTCATTTATGCTGAAAATAATAACAGAACCATTTAACCTTGATGGATAGGTTCCCAAACAAACAATAAAGAAGAATGGTTTTAAAATCCAGAGTGGAAGAACCTAGTCTTGGAATCGAGACACTTTGATTGATTGATTCCAATATATTACAACGAGGAGGATTCTAATATATTACAATGAGGAGGTTGGAGTATATTGGTGGTGTCCTATGGCCCTAAGCAACCTCTAAGGACCAGTACAGGAGATAGGGTGAGTAGTAGTCAGGGACTCCCACCCCACCCAGGTTAATGGTACAGTGTGTCTTTAATAACTAATTTGGCTATGAAAACAATAACAGTTTTCAAACCACAGACTAGATAATTTCAAAATTCAAAAACTTTATGGTTTTAATTATGTAGAGAGACAAAGAAGGACTTTGGGTAATCAAATCTAAATGAAACTCTTCTTCTTTGACATTAAAATAAAAATAAAGAGAAAAACCCCAAAGAAATGGCTTCATGAATCTTATTTTCCTACTTGATAGAATCATAAACTGATTGAGACACATATTTTTCAAACCCCTGGAATTCAGAAGGGCTGAGTTACCTCAGCACATGTTCTCTGTTGGATTTATTAGTGTTCCCACTTGAACAGATCAGTTTGGTGAGTATAAACAGACAGTACATTTTGGTCATTGAGGAAGTAAAGGCCAAAAATGAGAAAAGTGGCTTTTATGAAAATAAGATTAGGAAATTACTGAGAGCTTTTAGAAAGACAAGCAACATGGACTGAATGACAAGGAATACATATAATATGAGCAGGATGGCATTAGATTGATTGGAGAGGAGAAATGCAGGAGGAAGGTAGGAAGGAAAGGTAACAGTAGTCCAGCTGTGTGATGACCAAGGCCAGGAGCTAGAATTTGGCACAGCTGCAAGGGGAGAAGGAGGAAATGCATGTAAGTTGCCAAAGAAGACAAGTCAAATAGGTGTTAGAACGGGAAAGGAGCCAGTATCCCTAGGCTTCCCATCTACATCTCCGTTGACTCAAACACAATTTCTCTTTTGGGAAGGTAACCTTTGTCCTTTATCCTAAGTACTTTCTAATCATCCACATCCTACTATAAGGTTACACATTAATGGAAGTCAACTTGGAGACTTCTCCAGTGACATGAAATTGTTTTCTTTTACTCTGTGGTTTAACAGTTTCTCCACAGTAACAGGGCAGTCTTTTTATTACCAGAAACATGGACCTTATTTGTGGTCTTCAGCCATGGCAAAACTCCCATTAAAGCCAATGGGAGTTGTGGCTAAGTAAACCTTAGTGAATAATACTCATTTTTTATAAGGTTTGGAATATGAAGCAATCAGAATTGTTATTTGCTTATTATTTGTTGCCTTTGGTTCCCAAGAAAGTATTACCACAAATAGGATGGAGGGTTATGTCTTTCTTTACATGTACAATACACATTTTGAAATCTTGAATAGAAATGATATATTTTTCAGGAAGGAAATACATATAATTTTAATCAGCTCTTGATTACTGATTAAGAAATTATTTTATCTTTCTCCAGTTGGGTTTAACACTTGCAAGCATTTTTACAGTGTATTATTTCTAGAAAAAAAAGTATTAATTCATTTGCTATTCCAAATAAGTTCTCTGAGTTCTGTTCCACCATGAAAAATAAGAAGCAGGAAGAATATAGCTTCAGGAAAAAAAGCAATATTATTTAGGGAATGCTTGAGAAATTTATCAAATATTTCCTAAATAATTTCGTAAGAGTTTACACCAAATAATTAATAGTGCTGTTTGTATTGGAAATTTCCTAATGGCATCTCTTTGATCTGTTGTGGGACACAATCACAAAATTAGCAACAGCCAGTTGACCCTCACCATGAAAGTACTAGATCACTTGGTCACCAAGGAAGCATCACATAACTATATTAAACAATATTTGCATACTACCTTCTCTCTCCATTCTCTTAATTTTGTATATTATATGGTAAATGCTGGGAGGAGATTTACTATTACATATTCCATTAATTGAGAACAACTAAGTGTATTGCTTATAAATTGGTTTTTTAAAAATAAATAAATGAATTGATTTTTATTTTGGATTATTTTAGGAAATATGACATAATTTGACTAACTGGGTCATTCATTCCCTGGTAGAGTAATTTTGGCAGTTTTAGAACACAGGACAATAGTGACTCCTTTCTTCTGGAAATGCTATTTGCCCTTCTATAATCAGCTCTTTGCTGGTTAATTTTTTACATGTTTGACTACTCTCTTCTAGTATTTTTAATTATCTCCTCTTCTCAATCTTCCACAAAAATCTCCGGTTTCCTTCCCTAAATGTGTTATTTTCTTGGAGAACTTTCCCAAATACACATCTTCAGGCATCATTTCAACTACAGATCTGTAAGCTGGCCATGTGTTTTTGTAAATAAAGTTTTATTGGAACACAGCCATGCTAATTCATTGTCTATGGCTTTTTGTTTTTTTCATTTCAATAGCAGAATTGAATAGTTGAGACAGAAGTTGTATAGGCCACAAAACTTACAACATTTACTATCTTCTACTCTAACAAAAAGTTTGTTAACATTTGACCTAGAACATAGTCAACTCTCCATAATTGCAACAGGAAATTGAAAATTCAACATGTTCAAAGCAAATTTATTTAATGCCATTGTTATCTACTTATTTTGTTTCATTGAATGTTTTAAAAATGTCTTTATCTTCCTTTTCCTTTGTATTTCCCACATCGCAACGGTCTGCTAATCTCCCTCAAGTCTGAACTCTTATCACTTGATTGATCCTGTCCATCTCTTACCTGAATATTTTAGCATTTAATCTCATTTTGGGTTTCGCTTTCTTTAAATGTATTACATGTTCTTTTGCCAGTAATCTTAGGCAAAAGACTTCGCTGTTCATGTATTTATTATTTAACTTGCTTTGATACCACCCGTAACTTCACGATAGAGTCCAAAACCTTAGCCTGTAATTCAAGACCATTTATTCTACGTTTCTGCCACTCCTCCTAGTGCTACAGGTACCTACTCACTTTCCAAAACACTATTGCCCAAGCAAGTCATATCCTTTCCAGCTCATGCATGTCTTTTTACATTATTGTCTCTCTGCTTGAAATGCTTTCCCAATTTTTCTTCTGTAATCCTACTCATTTTTTTTCCATGCTCAATTCAAATGTCAAACTCTCAAGCCATTCTCAGTAGGCAAAATTAAATCGTACTTCATTCTGCTTCTTTATGGCTTAGGATGCATTCAACTTTCTTTGATCTTCAGCAATAGTCTCAAAAAAATCACGATAACTTTTCTGTTGAATCTATATATGGTCTTAGAATACTTTTCAGGCAATTACTATCATTCTAAAGGTAGTCTGAGAGGTAAAATCTGTATCATACCATGTGCAACACTACGTTCTTTAAGACGGACAGCAACTTCTTCATATATTTATTCCAAAATCCCAGAATAGAAATAGGCTCTTAAAAATTGTTTAAACTGTTGAGTTTACCTGAACTGATTGAAATTGAGATGGAAATGCTAATGTAGTATTCGAAGTTATCTATTAAGGGGGAACCACTAACATTTCAGGTATGACTTAAGTTATTTAGAGACAAATACCTAATCTTCTGATTTGAATGGTGAAGGTATATCTGTCTGTTGACAAAATGAACATTTGTCAGCTTAGTAATAAAATAACAATGATAATAATTATAGTTTATGGATTGTTTTCTAGTTGCTGAGACCTTTATGTTTAATTGCATTTAACTCAAAAACATCTTAATTGTTGTTCTCATCATTTTCTTCTTCATCATTCCATTTTATAGACAAAGAAATCAAATGTAAATAATTTAATTAATTCGCTCTAGGTTATATAAAGAAGAAGTGAAATATCTAGGATTAAAGTTTAATTCTGCCTAACTTCAAAGCCTGGGTTCTTAACAAATAAAATAAATTGGTCTTCAATTTAGAGTAGATATAGAGTAGAGTAGGTAGATATAGCTTTACTTTTTATATGGGGAAAATTATTCAATTATTTTTTCAAACAGTACATAGGGAATGATTATAACGTGGAAACCTTCCAGAAATGCTTTAGAGTCTGGTGGATTTGGCATGTCTTCCAGTCATTGTTGCACGTGTGTTTCAGCTGAATCTACTTCAGTTTTTAGATACAAGATGACGTGCTCAGTGTTAAGCATCAGATTCCCAAATGACTATCTTCAGTGATCTCTATTAGGAATAACCTCCAAAAGTTTGAGAATTAGGACAATGGTGACATTTCAAAAAACATTTTTTTTTGGCTCATCCTTTAACTCTCTCAATGTAAAAACCATTTTCTTCATGTTGGCAACTATATTCGTTGTCTTAAATCCCAGTTTGTTTCAGGTTATACTATCTAGTTATAATGACATTCTTGTCTTTCTAACTGCTGTTGTTTACCAACAGTGTGCCCTGTTTGTGCTGCAGACTTCCATTCCTATTTTTCTTTCAACTCAAACCTTTGCTATTATCCTAGGAAATTTCAAAAGAACAACATATCCAGCTCCTGGTTCATTTACCTTCTCAGCCATGAACTCTCAAAAACAAAGCCAGGAAGTTGTCATCACCTGAAATTATTCCTCTCACAAAATCCATAAATCAGATGCCCACTGTCAGGAGACGATTCTCCATGGGTGTCTCACATGTCTGCTCATCTTGAAGGTAAGGTATTGATTACCCTTTGCTGTAAAAAATCTTTAAAAAGATGGACATACAGAAATTACTTCAAAGAAAGAGAGCCTCCCTCCAGAACAAAGGCATGTTTGCTTACAACCTTGGAAGATAGACACAGTGCCTTCCTCCAGAGCAAAGGGCAATTGTATTTACTCTCCAATGTAAAAAATATAATGGCTTCCACTAGAGCAAAGGGCAGGTGTGCTTATTGATCATTATAAAATGTTTGGTTTCCCTAAACTTAAATTTCTCTCCTATAACTAACCCATTGAATGTGTGGGTGTCATCTGTGGCACTGTGTTGCCTTATGGAAATTAGAGCTGAGAGAACTGGAGCAAGATTAGTAACATTCTGGCTAATTCTATTTCTGTGAGTAATCAACCGTCTTCTACGTACATCTATAAAAGTGTGGCAGGCTAATTAGTTACCTTGCACCTAGGGTAAAATCTCAGCCTCTTTACAGTTCTTAGCATCCACTCCCATATACTCGTATATTCTTCCATCTTGCCTGTTAATCTCGCCTGCCTGCCACCTTACCCCTTTCTTGGCCACTTAACTTGCACCAGGTGCAGAATCCCTCTCTTGTCTTTACTAATTTCTAGTCAATACCCTAAACCACGTTGCCAGTGTATCCTTTCATTGACGTCACCTGGAAAATTTTGACTTTTTATTATTCCAATTATGTTCTTTCTTTTTTCAGGCCACTGAGCACCTCTGGGAGAAAATATGCAGCAGATTGGTATTAATATAATTTTTGTGAGCAATGTCAACTACTCCCCAACTGTTTTCTAGTCATATGTCTCTCTTAACTTCGGGAAGTGGCTTTCAAACTTGCACAGCTCTCTTCAATTTCAGTATCACACCTCAACCTTCTTAGTTTTTAGCAAATTATCTTGCTTCCTACTGCATAAAGAAGAGAGTAGCTATGAAATGGAATTTATTGAAATTTTTCGTCAACAAATGCATGCATTTGTGCTCTCTTTACATAAAATATGTAAAGAAGAATACAAAAGTCACACATTTGATTTAAAATACATTGAACTTAAATAAATCCTAAAATATCTGGCATAATTATTTTATTCTTGCTATTTATGAAAGTTTGGCTCCTGCAGCAAAATTAATCTGCTGAGCCAATAATGATTATTTTCTCTGCTTTCTGGAGTGGGAAATGAGTCAATGAGAAATGAGCTACTTCTGATGTAACACTCTTGGGAGAGATGGAGCTATTGGAAAACATGACTTGCTCCAAAGTGCATGAGCTAACAGGGACAAAGGAGAAAGGGAGGATGAGAACTTTACAAGAGAGCTATAATGGGGTGAGACTGCTGTAGTTGGCGCTTTCTTCTTATTTGAACAATGCCTTTAGATCTAACCCAGCCCTTGTGACTTTCTCTAAATAGAAGCTTAGCAAAAAGCCAGCAAGGTGAAGTCAACATTCAAGATACATTACTAACATACCATCTAACTTCAGGCACAACAACCAGGGAATGAATGTCTGGGACATTAAGACATCCTGTACTGGTACCAGGGTGAGAAAATAAAAGGCATAGGAAGAGGTTCCCTATCTTTTTCAACCAAAAAATAGACTAGTTTCCCCCTTTTAAAAAATATGTACTTGATGTTAATGTGTTGTCTATTATATCTAGACACATCAGTGGATTAAAGAAGGTTAAAGAAAGCTATTTTTAATCCCACTAGGAGCAATTCTGCCAACCCCCTCCTATCTAAGGTTAATCTTGCTGTGTGCTTTGGACCACAGCCTGTTGTGCTATCAAAGCAATCTTGCATGTGGCACTGTCCCTTCTGATTCTCCATACTCCCATCTGAAAATTTAGCATCACGATTTGAATATTCTCAAGGCTGTTGCACTCTATTGGATCCAGTAGGCTCCTTTCAGTCTTTGTCCTACTTTGTCTCATTGCACATTTACATAAAGTTGACCAATTTTCTTTCTTAAATAATTTTCCCTGGGCTCTTATAAAAAATTGCATTTCACAGTCTTTCTTCTACCTTTCTGCTCTCCTTACTTTTTCTCTTCTTCTCTGATTCCTCCTACTCCAATAACAATGAAATATTGGAGTTCATCAAGACTTTCCTCTAGGTTCTCTTCTTTACCTTACTATACTGTCTGTAATTAGGTAATCTCATCCTCTTCAAGGACTCCAAAATGTGACTTTATGACAATAATTCCAAAATCTCAATTTCTAGCATGAGAGTCTCTTTCAATTTTCAGGACCTAATATTCTGGAGCCAATTCATTTTATCTGTAAGCATTGCAAACAAAAATATGCAAATAAATCTCAGGACTCTCCATTCTGCAAGACACTCTAACTCTGCTTCTTTTCCTCTGACATTATTACATTTATATACTATATAATATTAAATATAAGTAAAATTGTATTGGAAATGCATTTTTAATGAGATAACGTACATTTTTATTATTTTTTTACAAAACCTAATTTGAACAGATAAGTACACAGAAACGGAAGTAGGATTTAAAAATTGCAATGCCACACATATTAACCTATATATTCTAGAAATCATTTAGTGATTAATAACAAAATTACGTATTAGTGGTGTCTTGCTAACAACCAGTGTACGCAAATGCAATCGATTTTTACTAATTAATCTTATATCCATGTGGCTTGCTAAACTTTCCTATTGTTTCTAATAATATATTTGTAGTTCTTCAGGTTTTTCATATAAAGAATTATATCACCTACCAATTTTGACATTTTTATTTTCTCATTTTTGTTCCTCATGATAGTGATGCTCTTTTCTTGTATTTTGCATTTTGAGGTCAAATATAGTGTTGAATAGAAGTGATGATAGTATCTTGCTTGGCCCATTTTTAAATGAAATGTTTTTAAAATTTCCCCACTTGAGATCATGCTTGCTATAGGATTTTCATACATTTTATCAAGTTCAAGAATTGTTTCCTACTCTAATTTACCAAGATTTCCTGTATTTTATTTTGAAAATTATATCAACCTCTTAGAATAAGCTGAAAAGTGTTCTTTCTATCACCATTTATGAAAGTTTACTTGTAAAACACCATACAACTGCTCAATATCTCTAGCCAAACACTTAATGTATGCCTTATTTATTTATTTTATACAATAACTTTATTTCTAAAGATGCCTTCCAATGTTAATCTATGTAGATTTACATGTTTATAATGTTTTAATCATATTATTTTCACTTGTACCTTTTTCTTTTTTAAGTTTTGTATTATTTTTAATTGACACATAATAATTGTGCAATGTATAACTTATTTAACTAACGGAGAGCTATGGTGGCCAGGTAAAGTTGCATTGAACCAAACAAGTGGCTGACGATATATGGCTTTTTGGAGGAGATTTGTTTTGGGTTATGCTGGATAAACAGACAGGATTTAATTGATTTCAAAGTTACGGAAGCATAGTTTGTGTAACACAAGAGGGAGTGAGTTACTATTAGTCCTAGAGATATCACTTAGGGTCCACTGAAAATTGGCGAACTTTCATAATGTGAGGTTATCTCTGATTAGTTAGCTTTCAAATGTGTGTTCACAGAAGTGAGCTGTCCTTGATTAATTAAACTGGTTTAAACAACAAATTCTCTTACACCAACTGGGTGTCCTTAATTCAATTGAATTCTGACCTTTTCAGAGTTATCACAGATCACAAAAGTAAAAGGATTCAGCCCCACAGCACTGTCCCCACTTCAGATACCATTTACAAGTCCTGGGTCCCCAGGCTACCTGCACTTCTCTATGACTTGGCTATACATTCAGGGGTTCCTACGACCTCTTCTTTATATCTGCAAATTTGCTAGATCAACTCACAGAACTTAGGAAAGCACTCTACTTAAAATTACTGTTTTGTTTCAAAGAGTTCAACTCTGAAATAGCCAAAGGGAAGCAAGAAATAGGATAAGGTGTGGGGCAGTGGGGAGGAGGTTCACAGCTTGCACGATTTTTCTTAACAGAATCTAGGCATGCCACCCTCTCAAAACATTGATGTGTTCCCTGAAAGCTCCCTAAACTTCCTTGTTCAAGAGTATTTATTGAGGCTTCATTACATAGGCATGACTGATTAAATAACTGCTACCTGATTAAACTCAATCTCCAGCTCCCTTTCTTCTCTGGAGATTGCTGGGTGGAGCTGAAAGTTCCAATCCTCTAATCATGTGAGTGACAAGCCATTCCCTTTAAACGTTCCATAGGCCTGCCAGAGATCGCTTCCTCAGCATAAACTCACAACAGAAAGAGGTTCCTTATGAATAGCAAAAGATGCACCTACCCCTCAGGATATTTCAAGGGTTTTTGAATCACTGTGCCGGGAATGGAGAGCAAACACCAAATACATATTTTTTATTTTACTTCACATGGCTACAGCTATGTTCTATAGAATAATCAACAATTTCTTAGTAGTTTGGAGGCTTTTAAAATTCTCTGGTCATCCAAAGGATTTTGTTTTCCATTAAGCAAAGCTGCACATGAGACCATCAGGGACTACCCAGCTCTTCACCATTTTTGTTGATTTCCCTTGGGTTTTGTCTGAAGAAGTCTGATTTGCTATTTATCTTCATTCAATCAGTCTGATTCTATTCTGTTTTGGTTTTGGAGTCTTTTGTTGTATCATCTCTCAGGACAATGATTATGTAGAATCATTTAATATTTTAAACAACATTATTGGATAACATTAGCTGACTCTGAGAAAGTAGATAGAATTAAAATATTATAACAAGGAGTGCTAGACAAAGTGGCTCATATCTGTAATCCCAGCTACTCAAGCGGCCAAAGTGGGAAGATCACTTGAGCCCAGGAGTTTGAGGCTGCAGTGAGCTATGATTATAGCTCCACTCTATAGTTGTCCACTGTACTCCAGTCTGGACAACACAGCAAGACCCTGTCTCTAAATTTAAAAAATATATATTTTTTTCTTTTCTTTTTCAACTTTTATTTACGATTCAGGGGGTACATGTACAAGTTTGTTACCTGGGTATATTGCATGATACTGAGGTTTGGGGTACAAATGATCCTGTAATCAAGGTACTGAGCACAGTACCCAACAGTTAGTTTTTTAACCCTTGACCTTCTTTCTACCTTCCGCCTCTAGTAGTCCCTAGCATCTATTGTTGCTGTCTTATGTCCATGAGTACCTTATGTTTAATTCCCACTTATAAGTAAGAACTTGCAATACTTTGTTTTCTGTTCCTCTGTTGATTTGCTTAGGATAATGATCTTCAGCTTCTTCCATGTCCCGCAAAGGACATAATTTTATTCTTTTTTATGGTTACATAGTATTCCATGGTGTATATGTGCTACAGTTTCTTCATCCAGTCCACTTTTGATAGCCTCCTGGGTTAATTCCAAGGCTTTGCAATTGTAAATGGTGCTGGGATGAACATGTGAGGACATGTGTCTTTTTGGTAGAACAATTTGTTTTCTTTTGGATATATACCTAGTAATGAGAGTACTGGATCAAATGGTAGTTTCATTTTAAGTTCTTTGAGAAATCTGAAAATTGCTTTCCATAGGCACTGAACTAATTTACAATCCCGCCA
The DNA here is from genome assembly GCF_000001405.40 of Homo sapiens. Taxonomy (NCBI): domain Eukaryota; kingdom Metazoa; phylum Chordata; class Mammalia; order Primates; family Hominidae; genus Homo; species Homo sapiens. The sequence continues at coordinate 124,101,946 of NC_000004.12, forward strand.
CACTGTATAAGCATTCCCTTTTCATCACAACCTCACCAACATCTGTTTTTTGTTTGTTTGTTTGTTTTTGGCCTTAATAATAGCCATTCTGACTGGTGTGAGATGGTATCTCTGATTAGTGAGTGATGATGAGCATTTTTACATGTTTATGGGATGCTTGTATGTCTTCTTTTGAGAAGTGTCTGTTCATATCCTTTGTCCCTTTTTTAATAAGGTTATTTGTTTTTTGCTTGTGGAATCATTTAAGTTCTTTATATGTTCTGGATACTACACTTTTGTTAGATACACAGTTTGTGGATATTTTCTCCCATTCTGTAGGCCATCTGTTTACCCTGTATATATTAGGTTGGTGCAAAAGTACTTATTTTTCATGACAAAAACTGCAATTACTTTTGCACCAATCTAATTACTTTGGCCATTAAAAATAATTACTTTTGCAGCAACCTAATAGTTTTTTTTTTTTTTTTGCTGTGCAGAAGTTCTTTAGTTTAATTAGATTTCACTTGTAAATTTTTGGTTTTTTTGCAATTGCTTTTGAGGACTTAGTCATAATTCTTTTTCCAAGCTCATGTCCAGAATGGTGTTTCATAGGTTTTCTTCCAGATTTCTTATAGTTTGAAGTATTACATTAAAATTCATCTTGTGTTAATTTTTGTATATGGTGAAATGTAGGGGTCCAGTTTCATTTTTCTGCATATAGCTAGACAGCTATCCCAACACCATTTACTGAATAGGAATTCCTTTCCCCATTGCTTATTTTTCTTGACTTTGTCAACAATTAAATGGCTGTAGGTGTGCAGCTTTATTTATGAGTTTTCTATTTCGTTCCATTGGTCTCTATGTCTGTTTTTGTACATGCTGTTTTGGTTACTGTAGTCTTACAGTATAGTTCAAAGTCAGGTGATGTGATGCCTCCAGCTTTGTTCTTTTTGCTTAGGATTGCTTTGGGTATTTGTCCTCTCTTTTGGTTCCATACGAATTTTAAAATAGTTTTTTCCAATTCTCTGAAAAATGACATTGGTAATTTGATAGGAATAGCATGGAATCTGTAGATTGCTTTGGGCAGTATGGCCACTTTAATAACACTGATTCTTCCTATCCATGAGCATGGAATGTTTTTCCATTTGTTTGTGTCATCTCTGATTTCTTTTAGCAATGTTTTGTAGTTCTCCTTGTAGAGATCTTTTACCTTGGTTAGATGTATTCCTAGGTGTGTGTGTGTGTGTCTGTGTGTCTGTCTGTGTGTGTCTATTGTAAATGCAATTGTGTTCCTGACTTGTCTCTCAGCTTAAATGTTACTGGTGTATAGATATGCTACTGATTTTTGTATATTGATTGTCTATTCCAAAACTTTGCTGAAGATGTTAATCAGTTCTAGGAGACTTTTGGTGGAGTATTTAGGATTTTCAAGGTATAGAATTATATTATCACCAAATTATATTATCACCGATATATTCCCTCAAATATATTTTCCAGTTTGTTTGCTTTTTCTCCTTCTCTGTCAGGAATGTCAATGATTCATGAGTTTCATTGCTTTACATAATCCCATATTTCTTGAAGACTGCTAATTTTTCAAAATTATTTTTTCTTTTTTTTGTCAGATTGGGTTAGTTCAAAAGACTGGTCTTCTAGCTCTGAAAATCTGTCTTCTGCTTGGTCCAGTCTACTGATAAAGCTTTCAATTGTATTTTGAACTTCCTTAAGTGAGTTTTTCAATTCCCAAAGCTCTGATGGATTACTTTTTAAGATGTTTATCTTTTCTTTCATTCTCTGGATTGCTTTAGAAGTTACTTTGTGTTGGTTTTCAACCTTATCTTGGATCTCAATAAGCTTCTTTGCAATTATTGCTTTGAATTCTTTATCTGTCATTTTTTAGTGTCCATTTTGTTTAGGGACAATTGCTGGAGAACTAGTACAATCCTTTGGTGTTATCATGACATTCAGATTTTTCATGGTCCCAGAATACTTGCACTGGTTTCTTCTGATCTGTAGATGCTGGTACTTCTAATTGTTGTAATTATTTTTGTGTGGATAGGATTTTTTCTTTTTAAAATTTTCCTATAATGTTGTTATTATTATTATTATTATTATTATTATTATTTTATTATCTTTTTATTCTCCCTTTTTTTTCCCCCTGTCTCTAGGGCATGTGACTATAGAGAATGCTGGGTAGGGTCTTTTGGCTTTGTTTCTGTACCCTATGCACTTCTTTTAGAAAGTTTTATATTGGGCTGTGCAGTTTGTCCTATAAGCCCCTAGACGGCACTTACAGCTAAGAGCTGGCTACAGTCAACATAGCTGGATATATACTTGATCCTTATTTACTGGCAGAAGCTGTCTGATGCCTCAGGCAAAGGGCTGATTCATGGGAAACACAGTGGTTTGAGCTTTCTGCTGAAGCCTGGGACATGGAAGCCACAAACGGTGGTGTCAGACTGTGAAGGTCCATCTGCAGATTTGACGGAAGGCACAAACACTAGCACCAAGGGAGAATCCAGTGTGTGATGACCAGGCACCCAGAGGTATGCCAAGGCATGGAGCTGGGAAATCTCCTCCGTTCCAAGTTATCTGCATGGGGACTGGGGGAAGATGAGTGCTCCAGTTGCCTGGATACCTGCCTGGGTGTGGAGCAGAGAGGGCACCCCTGCACCAAGATCTCCATACTGGAGTAGTGGGGCAACTTAAACTGCTGGACCAGGAAAGCCGGTGCTCTAAATGCCTGGAGATCTGCCTGGCCATAGAACAGGGAGGATTTTGCTACATCATGATATATGTCCAGGAAAAGTAGAATGGCTCAGGCTATTGAGCCAGACAAGCAGATGCTCCTAATGCCTGGTGATCTGCCTGGGCATGGAGCAAAGAGGAGCACTCTGAACCAAGAATTCTGCACAGGAAGGGTGTGGAGGCTCAGGCTACTGAACCAGATGAACAGGTACTCTAAATGACTGGATTTCTGCCTAGTAGTAGAGAAGAAAGGGCCCCGCTGCACCACAATCTCAGGGGAGCAGCGTGGGGCATCCAGGAATGGCACATGCAGATCAGTTCCACTTTGCTAAGCTGGCTCTGGCTGCAAGTCTTGTCATCCAGGAGAAACTGCAGTTGTAGTAGCTCTCTTCCTGCCTCAGGCTTGTTACAGGGGAGAGCACAATTCCAGTGCCTACTGCTGAGGCACTTTCCATAGTTCTGGCTATGGAGGCCCCTACACCACTCCAGAGGAGATGCTCCAATCTCTGGCCTGGGACTGAAATGCCTGTGCAGCCACACTGCTGGGTCACCAAAGAATAGTTGACTTTTTATGTGCCCAAATTAAAAATAGTGTCCTGATTTCAGTCCTAGGTCTGGGAAAGTATCTGCAGCTTTTCCTGGTGTCTTTTCCTCACAGCATCTCTGAGCCTGTCCCTAAGTTAACTCCAGGGTTTGGGAAAAGCAAAGTGCTCTTACTTGGCCTGGGTTGCTTGGATACCCAGTGGAAAGATGAGTCATAGAAGGAAGCTCTGCCTCTCTCACGTACGGGGCCTTCACTCACTGTCATGGTGGCTGTATGCTAGCCTTCTTCTCTCTGGAATCTGGGATGTCCTTCACAATTCTGGTAGATGCCCATTCTCCTTCTTGAATTAAAGCTCACAGAGTTGATATTTATGTATTATCTTGCTATTTCCAAATGGTTGAGGCATGCTGAAAGACTCTAATCCACTATCTTGAAAAAAAAATAAGGTAATTTAAAAATATTATCCGAGCATGGTGGCACATGCCTATAGTCCCAGCTACTTGGGAGGCTGAGGTGGGAGGACTGCCTGAGCCTAAGTGGTGGAGGATGCGGTGAGTTATAATCATGCCACTCTACTCTAGTCTGAGCTATGGAGCAAGATCTAAATTAAATTTTTAAAAAGGGACTGTTATCTGGAAGATTTCCTAGGCCTATCAAAGAAATATAATTACTATGTGAGTGGAAATTGATTATGTCCTTTGCTATCATAGAAAATATATAGTTTTAATGTTTGTTTACTAAGAAGGCCAGTGTGTTCCAACTGTGATAGGTTGCCTCATGGAAGAGTTTGTCAAGTGTCCATTTGAAATTAGTTAATGTTATCTTAATCTCATGAATCTTACAACTAGATTGTTCTCAGTGTCTCTTTTCAGAATTTGGGAGCAAATCCTGAACATTTCCATGAATTTGTTTTTCTGCTCTATGAGAGGTCCTTATTTAAATACTTTAGGTATTGCAGCCTGGTAAGATTAACGATCTGCTAAAGTTTGTCTTCTAGCTTCCCTAAGAAGCACTCCCTTATATGTTCAACACAAAACAATCCAGGTTAAAACAAAAACATATGAGACTAAAATTTAGATAAATAGTCAAACAAAAGGGAAGAAAAAGAATAAGAAGTTTAAGTAAAAAAAAATTATCAAATATTGCAATGAAAGTTTTAATTACTTTATACAAAGGCCTATATCCATGGTAAAGAAAATTAGAAAAAGGCCTAATTATATTATACCATGATTTAGGTCTAATTGACATATATAAAGACCTATTGGTTATGAACCCTCTGGTAACAAAATTAAATAGCAACAAATCAAGTCAGTGCTTATTTCTAATCAAGCTCAACTGGCAGCAAATTTGAAGGTCAAATGAAATTTGAGCACAAGGTATAAGGATAGCATGCTTATTGGTCTGAGGGTGCCACAGAATACTACCAAGTGAAGGGCTATGGAACTCATTCTTGGTCTAGTTTTGACTGAGAAAAGAATCTTCTGATCTTATATACAGTTTAGAAAAATAGTTTGTTTTGTTTTGTGTTGGGCATAGGAGCAGATGTAGGTTGTTGTCATTCCTAGAGAATGGTTTATGTTGTCCATGGAGGCAGGAGTGGGTTGCTATTAGTTTTTGAAATGTTTTCTGTTATTTACTGAAGTATGTTTGTCATTGTTTACCATACAGGTGGAACTCGGTTAATGTTAGTTTTAGAAGCATGGTTTGTAATGAGTCTATTGCTGGTTAGCTGATGTTCAAAATGTAGGGCTGTCACTGATTGGCTGGTTTTTAGACACGGATTGACTGAAAAGCGTTGTCATTGATCAGCAAAATATGTTAAAAGCCACATTTCTTACATTGACTTGTTAAAATGTCTACAGAACAATGACTTTTATTCTAGGAGTGTGGACTTTTAATTTTTATGTGTTAGGGATAATTTGTTCTTTGAAAGTTAAATAAAATAAAATAAAACTCTCTGTGCCTGAAGTTTAATTTGGGGAAATGTTTCTGTTTTGCTACTATTTCAAGTCCTTAGTAGTAGCAGGACTATTCAGGCTTTTAGTTGCTTCTTGATTCTGGTTCGGTAAGTTATAGTTTTCAATGTATTTGTCCATTTTGAATAAATTTTCAAAATTGTTGTCTCTTGAGACTATTTTCCTGTTATCTTTTAATTTTATTTATGCCTCATCTGTAGTCTGGTCATATTTTCCATTTATAATATTTGTGCTTTCTTTCTTTTTGTCTTTAATTGTCTTGTTAACTATTTGCATATTTTGATGTCATTTTTCTAAACAACCACTTTTTGGTTTTATTGATCCATCTATTGTGTTTTCATCACTCTAATGTATATTTTCTATTTTATCATTTATGCTTTTATTTTTATTGTTTCTTTTCTTCTGTTATATTTGGGTATATTTGGTTATTATTTTCTAAATGTTAGATACTTTGCTCATTAATTCTTAGCCTTTCTGAATTTCTGATGTATGCATTTAAAAATATAATGTTCCCTTAACGGGTGTCTTATGCAGCCCTATACATTTTGACATGTAGTATTTCATTATTATACACCTCTAGGTCTTTTGAATTTTTCATATTGATTTATTTCTAACTCCTGAGTTATTTGGAAATTTTTTTCTAATTTTCAAATATAAGATAATTTGACTTATCTTTTTATTATTAACTTCTGAATTTCTTGGTTTGTGGTTAGAGCATATGGTCTCTATCATATCTGGAAAATAGAGTAGAAGGGGTACAAGGGAGGTTTCAGTCCCAATTTCTACCAAAATGCTGAACCAGCAGAAGCTTCAACGTCTACTTTCCTTCCTCCTTATGCCTTTCTAAATAGATTATACAATAACTCCTGGAGAGTTGTACTCTTTAGATCTTTTTTTCTGTCTCTTCTGGTGCTTATGAGTTTATATTCTCCTCCTTATGCCTTTCTAAACAGATATACAATAACTTATTGTATTATATTGTATATTGTATAATTATATATTTATATACAATAAGTTATTGTATAATCTATTTAGAAAGGCATAAGGAGGAGAATATTAGCTCATAAGCACCAGAAGAGACAAAGAAAAAGACCTAAAGAGTACAACTATTTCAAAACTACAAATTGAAATTGTATTTCACTGAAAGTGGAGAAAATATAACTAAGAAACAAATAATACAGAGTAAGCATAATAAGTAAAAAAGGAAGCTATTAAATATATACAATAAGAATAAGAAAGCATAAGAAGATCCAAATAGGATTATGTGTGAAGACAATAGATGAAATAAAGAATATACTAGGTAGTATAAATAAATAATCAGTGAATTACAAAATTAAAGATTAGTTTGGGAAACATTCCAGAAAGAAACAAGGAAGCATAAATAAATAGAAAACTTAAAGAAAAGTTAAGGGACATATGGGGAAAAAACAAGTATAAATATCCTTAATCAAATTCCTGGAAAGAAAAAGTTCAAGAAGAAAATATAGCCATTCAAAGTAGCTAGGATATAATTCAGGTGAAACTTAGGACCTTCAGAACCTGCAGAAACCTTGTATCTGAGTCTTCAAAGAAGTTTAGAACTTCACCAAGTTTAGAAGTAAAAGGAGGGACTAAATATTTTAGGAAACTTGGAAAAGAGAGGTTTGTTTCTGTATCTGTAAATAAGCCACATAGATTAAGTGTGAGATTTTGAGATTTGTTCTCACTCGAATGTATTCCAACTACTAATATGATTTGTCAGTGAGTTGGCCAAGCCCTTTTAGAGTTGTCAGAGATACCAATAACTCTCTACCTTAGACCCTAGACTTGGCCAGTCCAATTCACAGACCTATTGCTGCCTGGCTGGCCTCTGTAAGCATTTGCATGTAAATCCCCGTAATGATTATGACTGTAGATTCTGAAGTCAGGGGCCTGGGTTCCAGTCCAACCTCTGTCGAACACTGATTGTATAATACTGGGCAAATTACTTAACCTCCTCTCTGCTTTAGCTTCTATATCTGTAATACTAACTCTTGCAGCACTTTGTATAATTGTTCAGGATTTTACAAAAATACATCTCACAGTAGTTTCTGTTGTTATCAGCCAGTTTACACCAGAGCACATTTCGTTTTCTCCGATTTCTGATTGGTTTAGACACTTTATTACATAATATCTTCAATGGTTCCTTGATCAGTAAGAATAAAAAGCCTGAGATACAGGTTACATCACTATTATAGTAGAATCCTTTGCTCAGATTTTTAGAACTATTTTGGCGAAAGAAAAATGGAAAAGACACTGTTGTTCATCAGAGAATCTTGGAAGGTTGGAGATAAGAAAAGGTTGGGTTGAAATTGGAGATTTTGGTGAGAACTGAATTGCTCACCTAATAGAATGGCAGGTAATTGTGACTCTTAGTGATGATTCCTAAAGTTTGCTGGAAGGAGGAGTGAGAAATGGAGAAGTTGAAGCTTGAGTGGGAAGAATTTTAAAAGGAAACTTTTAAGGAATATATAAAATATTATTTAAAGATAATTACATGTTGTGATGTACACCCTCTACCTTTCTAAATCATCAGGAAGACCTACAAAGTTTATGTTATTTTGTTGGGATTTTTGCCTAAGTATAAGAGAGAAAGACCAAAATCCATTTCTTGCTGCCAAAAAGTTTAAGACATAACTAAAATAATTTAGCACAAGATCTGAGTTAGAAGTGTGACTATGTGAAGTCAGCCCTATTAATTTTCATATATATCTCGAAGAGAAGGTTGGGTTTACTGCAGGACCCAAACTAGGACTTCCGGCTACTCTTATCCAATATATTGCCAGGTTGATTCAGTTGATATCTGCTAACAGCAATACCTAATATTTTGCCTTTCATGCTAATACATAAATATTTATTCATATATAATACATATATTTTTATATAGAGAGAGGGTATTGGAATAAAAAAATGTGTGTTAGAACTAGGGCAGCAAGAATGGAAACAGAATTTAAAAAAATCACTGTTACGGCAGCCATTCTGAAGATACAGAGGGATGATCAACTTAAAATTTAATAATCCCTATGGCTTTGGCAGTTTATTATATCAGCAAGGGTTCACATGTACGGTATTGTTTAATATTATAACTGCATATATTGTTATTGCAAAGAATATTAGAATATATTATACCTATTTTAAAAATTTGTTATATTCACTTTAATGAATTAATTCCTTACAAAAAAAGAATTACTAAATTGATCATGTTCAATGATTTTTCTAAGTAAGTCTAAGAGTATTTGACTGATTCTTCATTGCTTTCCTAAAGGATTTACTCTGTCAAGTCATATAAAATATAAAATTTCTTTAGTTGTCAGGGTTAGTTCAGATTCTTTACTCTGTATGAGTAACAGATTGCAGTGTGTTTGTTCTTCATACCCATTTGTTTGTAGTGTACATGTGAAAAGTATTAATGCATAATGAGAAATAGTACAAGTACTTTCTTTTGCAGGTATCTTGATAATTTAAGAACTTCATAGGTAAATGAAGATTTAAAATATTAAAATTTGGGGGAAAATTAAATATACATTTAATACATTTTATTTACACAGTATTTGAATATATTCTTCTTACAAAATATATTTTCAAATTATCTATAAATCCCCTCATATCATCACCCTCAATCCTGAGTTCTGGGGAAAAAAATCAGTTTACTTTCTCATTATTTGTATATATAGATTGGACCATATGAAATTGTCTTCCTTGTAGATTAAAAATAGGTGAATATCAGCAATTTCATGTGTTTCAATGTAGCATTTTAATATTTGCATTTAAAAAATAAATACCATTATACTCTACTTATCTAATAGAATTTGAGTTTTTGATCAAATGTCTTAGAAAACAATTCTTTTAATTAATACATGATATCCTGAGGCATAAAATAAGCCATTCTCTCAATAACTAACCTTTGGGTTGTGCTACTTTTTTCACTGTAACTTATTTTACATATGTCCTTGAACAAATGAGTAAGTGTTTCCCTAAGGTAAATTCTAGAGGTAAAACTGTTAGGTCCAAAAGAATACACATTCTTTTTACTAGTTATTGCCAAATGCCAGTTCCTATTTAAAATCTCACCAAAATGTGAAAAGCAAATGACCTTGCTTTTCTAAAACCTTACTACTTTATTTTCCTGTTTAATTTTTTGTCCTCATAAGTTAAAAGATAGTTGTTTGTTTTAGTTTATGTTCCTCCTATTATTAGTGATATTAAGTATCTATACTGTTTACTTAGACACTCGTGTAAATTGTACACACACACGTCTCTCTTACCTAAGAAATCCAAGACTTTTAAATATGAGCATTTTCTAAACATTCCAAACAGTTATGTATAAGGAGGAAATGGCTCCTACATGTAATGTCACTACTTTTACAGATGATTTAAGCTGTTCAATTCTTGGCAAGTGTTATTTTCAACCTTCCTTCCCCCTTCCTCATATAGGATCAGTTATAATTTATCAGCTCAGTAAGAGTTTCAGTCTTAAATGTGTTTCCTAAAGATGACTTATTTCTTCTTTAAAAAAAGGACTTTTTACTCTGGGCCAGAATATAATGACTGAAGTTTATATTCACCCTGTATTTACTTTAAAATGAACTTTTTATAAATTTTGATAACTTTTCTAGAAATGCATTAACATGGAGATGTAACACAAACTTTCTGACTCAAACCACTTAGACAGGCAGGTTTGGCATCCTCCTGAAACTGAATAGGTATGGAAACTGTGCTTCTTGACCCCTAAACATTCTATCTCAAGTCTGTCTGTTGCTAGTACAAAGACAGGGGCTTCACAAATTTTATACCTGAGCCAGGCTTCAAAACTGGCTGGGAAAATGGAGTAAGAGTGACCTTTAGTGGCCACTTGGAGTAATCACAAAGTAATTTATGTCTCAAGGGGACGGATGGACATTCTGTTTGCATGACTTCTTAACACAGCAATGTAATAAGTTGGAACTGGCTAACCATGAAACATTTATTTGACTTTTTATGTCACTCTATTCTAACAGAAAATCAAAACCCTATGAGTCAGTGTTCAGACAGCTGAAAAGGTAAATTTTTAATTGGTAAATGGAAATCTAGTCACACCTATTAAAGTGACTTTGGGGCTTCAATGCCTAAATCCGCTCACAAACAGATTTGGAAAAGTACCATTTAATTGAGGCAAAAATCCTTTGCTTTCCATGGGTTGATAAAAGCCACCTGGCAGTCTTTTGAACCTCAGAACTAAGCAGCAGGGGGAGGAGTTATGTATTAGCACCATATCTGATCTTAGAAAAGAAAGACTCTCTCCCAATGAGAATGAAAGTCACTATTAATGGGAATTAAATGTTCAAAACGTATATTTTTCTTTTTGTCAGGAATATTAGTGCTTACTTCTTTTCTATAATTCCACCTTAAGATGTAGAGAGCATCTCCATAATTAAGACATTTCACTCATAAAACCTAGGTATTGCTTTCTTAAATACATAGTTTCTCTCCAATAGAAGCACTTTCTGGTGAAAGATATATCAAATGCTTTATTTCTAATAAACCTCAAATAAAAATGTGACTAAGCAGTCAAATCAGCTAGCTCTTCTACATCCTCCTGAGTTCAATTAGCCCCTGGAAACTCAGGTGTATTTGCTGAGCTTGTTGCAAGGATAGATCCCCCAAATAGAGAGAAGCTGTCTATGCATGCCCTTTCTTTTCTCCCACATTCAACAAGTGGGAAAATACTTTCTTCTCCCATGGAAAAGGGTGAGTGGGGGCTGGAAAGAAGTCACGAGGGTGATTCTTGGGAATAAGGTTTCCTTCTACATTATTACAGACAGCCCAAATCTAAAACAACAAACAACATTTCTAAGTATACATTTGAAAGATTCTCTCCTCATAGCACACATTTGTTTTTAAAAAGCAATTACTGTCTTAGTCACTGTTAACAGGGCACATTTACTTAAAAGATTTCACAGGAGTTGTCAGCATATTTAGATCACAGGCCTTTTTTTACAGGAAAGTGCACAGTTCATCTTTAGCTGCTAATATCTCAGAATATAGAATTCAAGACCAGAAATGATTGAAAAAGACAAAGATGATGTTTATATACTGGTAAGGAAACAATAAAGGAAGACATAACCATCATGAGGATGTATTCCATAATAAAACCTCAAAGTATATAACGTCACAACTAACAGAAATGCATGGAGAAATAGATATATTAACCATTGTAGTTAGAGATTTTTAACATTACCTTTCAGAAACCAAGAAATCAAACATAAGAAAAAAAGAAAAAAGGCAAACATAGCATATGTAAAAAACATAATGTGCAAGTTTAAACTATTAGATATTTATACAGCTGTAAACCTAACAAAGATAAAATATGCATTTTTATTATAAATTGATAATTCATAAAAATTGACTTCTACTATTGCTCAAAGGAATCTTCAATAAATTCCAAAAAAGCAAATAACATACTGACTAGGTTCTTTGGCCATAATATTATAAAATTAGAATGTAGCTAACAAAATTTTGTATTTATAAAAACAATAATATGTGTTTTAGATTTCAAAAAGGAAATAATGAGGAAAATTATAAAATATTTAAAACTTAAAGAAAATGCATGTATGACATAAATGGTACTTAAAAATTTGAGCTTTAGAAAGTAACATTCTTCAGGAAGTAAAAATTAACTCAAAAAAATAAGAGAGAAGAAAATAATAAAGAGCATTATAATCAAGAACTTGCTAGTAAAGTTGCATACTTATATACAGGGTAAATTATGGGAAAAAGTATTAAATGTCAAAAAGGTAGAAGAAGAAATAAAACACTCAAACAGAACAGTGCAATTGAACTGATAATCAAAGTGTTAGAGCCTCCCACAACTGCTCAAACCCAGATTGTTTTATATTTGACATTAATCAACATTTAAGAAATAGTTATTTTTTATATTATATGTGTTTCTAGAAATGAGAAAACTGCGAAAGCTGTCCACCTTATTCTACAGGGTTAGTAGAATCTTGATTTCACAACTAAGCAAGAACAAAAAACAGTAAGGATATTATTGGGATATTTGCCTTAGAAACCTAGAGGCAAATATCCAAAACAAAATATTAAATAAATAAATCTAACATATTAAAAAATATACCAAAATCAAATGGTATTTTTAATCCCAGAAATGAGAAGATGATAAACATGAGAAACTCTTTCAATATTAAAGCTCTCATTAATAAACTGAGAAAGAAAATATGAGGATTTTAAAAGATGCAAATAGTAATTTGATAAATTTTAACATATTTATAATAAATAATTAGAAATGTAGAAATAAAATATTCCCTAATTTGAAAGATATTTTATATCAAAGTACCAGTAAATAGCATCCTTAGTGGAGAAGCTTAAAATATTTCCTTTAACATCAAGGGTACACATAAAACAAAGTTATCCTCTATCATTGCCACTATTTAGCATAAGACTAGGTTTCATTCAACACTCAAAGAATTTAAAAAGAAGAAATAAGAGGTGTAAGTCCTCAAGGAAAAGAGGACTATATTATGTTCATACAGTATGATTACCTATAAAGAAAAACCAAAGGAATCATTAGAAAAAAATAGAATAAGAGCATTCAGCAAGGTTTCTGGGCACAGGATTGACTAAGAAAAAAAAACAGTAGCATTTATCTGTTCTACTAATAAGCAACTGAGAAATATAAAGTGTTCATAAATTTACTTAATAAAGAATATATGATACTTCTATGGAGAAAAAAATCTAAATTTCAGTAGAATAATGTGCAAAGAGTTTAAGAGACAGTTCACAGATGAAGATTGCAAAAGGTTAAAAAGTAAATGAGAGAGGCTCAAGCTCATTGGTAAATAAAATGCAAATAAAAGCAACAATTGTAGATGTAAAACTCTATAGAATTTTACCATCAGTTTAGCAGAATCTTGAAAGGTGAGATACTCATAGCTATATAGAGTTATAGGTATCCTCCATGCACTGTAGGTGGGAGTATAGATTCCTACCTTTCAGACAACCATTCTGGAGAATAACTTGGCAATATTTAAACAGAGGAAATGCATATTCCACTACTCACCAGTCTTGCTCCCAGATTAATATTCTATGGAAATAAAGGTTATATGTACAAATGGTGATATGCACAAAAATTTCCAGAATTTTTGGAATTTGAGCATACTTCTCTGATAGAATGGTTAGTGAAATAGTGTGGGTGCATGCTTTAGAATATTGTAGCAGCACTTGAAAGGCTCATACTGGATATATAAATAGAAACAATCATGGGTGAGTCTTAAAAACATAGTGATGAGTTAAGTAAAAAAATTCATATTTATATAAATTAAAATACATATATAAATACAAAATAGTAATACATATTTTATGAGAATTTGTACAAGAAAAAATACTACATCAAAAGCATTAGGAAAGTAGCTTACAATGGATGGTATGGCATGGAGATAAAAAGGTGTAAATAAATAATACAAAAGAGGGGACATTTGTTCTATGGATCAATGACAATTGTATCATAAACAGAAGAGTGCGATTAACCCAAAGCTATGTATTTGAGGTAAAGAGGAAAAAAAGGCTTTAGATAATCAAGGAACCTACATATGGTTAAAAAAGAGAATGTTTTATTGTTATTTCCATCTGATACAAAGTATTATGGGACTCTGTTATTTTAAATAATTAAATCTGAAAATCCACTTAACAGTACTCATAAATGACCATATTCTGAAAGCAAGGAATGGAAAAAAAGGACCATTATCTACTTCTGAGAGTGAGGACTAGCTAGCCCTCTTTCCCCTCATGTGTGATATGTTACTTCTGGCATACTGACAGAGTGGGGCAACAGTATCCATCTTATATTACATGTTAGAACATTTTACTACTTTCTTATCATTCTGGCACATCTGTGGATCATTTAGTGCATGTCCACTTTGAAGACCACTGTTCTAAAGGAGTATCAACCAATCTGATGAACTAATTTGAACATTGTAATGTGTATGTTTATATGCAGCTGTCTATGTAAATGCATATATGCAATCATCCTTTTCTGAAAACTTTTCACATTACAATTGACCCTTGAACAACATACATTTGAACGGCACAGGTCCACTTATATGTGAATTTTCTTCCGCCCCACCATACCAGAGACAGCGATTCCAACTCCTCCTCCTCAGCCTACTCAATGTGAAATGATGAAGGTGAAGAATTTTTTGATCAACTTCCACTTAATGAATAGTACATATATTTTCTCTTGCTTATGATTTTCTTAACATTTTCTTTTCTCTAGCTTATCTTATTGTAAGAATACCATATATAATACATATAACCTACAAACTATGTGTTAATTGACTGCTTATGTTATCAGTGAAGCTTCTGGTCAACGATAGTCTATTAGCAGTTAAGTTTTTGTGGGGCTCCAATGTTACATGCAGATTTTTTACTCCCTGGGGATTTGGTGCCCTAACCCGTGTATTGTTCAAAGATCAACTGTACGATTTTTTAGATAAGTAACAAAGAATAATTTATGCTATTTTCATTTGCAAATACCATCTTAAAAATATGCAGTTATTAGGAAGTGATTCAGAGACTCATAAGGAGAAAGACTGAAAATGTATGTGAAAGAAATAGTGCAAATCAGAGAGTAAGAGGTGATTGTAACCAGAATATTCTCATGTTTCTTGTAGACTTAGCACAGACAGCTTAAACCGTGCTAAAAGGATAATTAATTAAGTACAGTTAACTGAGAGGTTTTTCTGTTATAGTAATATCCTGTTTACTTAACATCTTTTCTCCTTTCAGAATTTTGCAATAAATTCAGGGTATTAACTAGATAAATAAAAATGCAGACAGGCACACAGGTGCACACACACACACACACGGAATAAGATAGTATCTTGAAATATTTATCTTTGTGTGTTTTTTTTTATTTCTGCATGTCTCTGCAAATTAGAAACAAACACATTTCTTTGAATAGAGTTCGAATTGTAATAAAGGAAAGGTAAAGAAAATGAAACAGTTAAAGCACCTTTTCTCCCCAGACTAGGCTCTCGAAAGTCCAAAGTTTCAAACCTGAGCAGGATAAGGCATAGAGGTTTTGATTCAGCAAAAGATTTAAAAATGTGTAGTGGGAGAAGCAATCAATATTTGCCTGTGACATTGCTTGGCCGAGCTGCATGCATCTAAATTAGCCCAAGTGGACAGCCACATTTAGAGAGCCAGGACAAGCATATGTCAACCCCACTGAAATCCAGAGAGGTGGTAGTGGCAAAGGGATTTAGGAGATTTTCATAGCACTTATATTTGAGTGAGACATGACGGTGATAAAAACCTGCCCCTGCGGAGCGTGGTGACTCACGCCTGTAATCCCAGCGCTTTGGGAGGCCGAGGCGGCGGATCACGAGGTCAGGAGATGGAGACCATATTGGCTAACATGGTGAAACCCCGTCTCTACTAAAAATACAAAAAATTAGCCGGGCGTGGTGGTGGGCGCCTGTAGTACCAGCTACTACTCGGGAGGCTGAGGCAGGAGAACGGCGTGAACCCGGGAGGCGGAGCTTGCAGTGAGCACCAAGATTGCGCCACTGCACTCCAGCCTGGGCGACAGAGCCAGACTCCGTCTCAAAACAAACAAACAAAAAACCTGCCCTGATGACATTTTTAGATTTATGTTCACATATAGATACCTGTGTGTTTTTGTGATGCACAAGTGGCCCATTCCCTTGATGGGGAGATTATGCAGAGGCAAATAAGGCAGGTGCCATAATAATTGCTCTCTTCAGTATCTACCCCAACCTTTCATCCTGACCACTAGATTGATAATCGGACAAGTCTTAGCACGACCCAATTGGAGAATCACTGGACCTGACAAGGAAGAAGAGAAACTGTGGGCCATAGGACCTGTAGGACTAGATGACATGTGCTCAGGAGTGGATTCTTAAGGTACTGCATTGAGGAGAATAGAACACAAAACTAGAAAATGGATATTTGGTCAATATAGGGCAGTTTCTTATGATTCAGAATTTAACAGCCTGGCAAGGACCCAAGGATAACAACTCACGTTGCCATTAGAGTATTAATTCATGATAGGATGGCACTGGGAAGCTTGGAAAAAGTGATGACCCACATTCAATGAAGGAGAGATGCCAGAATAATCATGCCAAATTATAAAGGAAAAGATTAAAAGTCTTAAAGAAGTAGTCATGCTGGAATATGTCTACTATATTAGACCAGAATATTTACTAACTATGTTCCTTGGATTCCATAAAGAATACGCAGTTTATTTCTGGGTAAGGTGGCTCACGCCTGTAATCCCAGCACTTTGGGAGGCCGGGGCGGGTGGATCACCTAAGGTCGGGAGTTCGAGACCAGCCTGACCAACATGGAGAAACCCCTTCTCTACCAAAAATACAAAATTAGTTAGGCGTGGTTGTGCATGCCTGTAATCCCAGCTACTTGGATGGCTGAGGTAGGAGAATCGCTTGAACCTGGGAGGTGGAGGTTGTGGTGAGTTGAGATCGCGCAATTGCACTCCAGCATGGGCAACAAAGAGCAAAAATCTCTGTCTCAAAAAATAATTTAAAAAAATACTCAGTTTATCAAATTGATCATTGAATGTGTTAGTGAGGAGGATATTTGTTCAGTATTGGCTCTCCAAGACTGACAGGAGAGGGTGTTACAAAACTGTGCTCCCTGGTAGCAATGGGATGATGGGATCACAGAATTTGAGAAGCCATGTGGCGGCACTTAGCTATCAGAAGCAACAGAGGTGGAATTACCTTCAAGGCAGCAAGATTACAGTGGCACCAAGGGGAGGCTAACCTACAGAACTATATAATTGAAAGAGATCAAAAACAAATAGGAAGGGGACTGAGGTCACCCATCTCAGCAGAAAATCACCACCCTTGGCCAGTTTCCAGAGCTAGTTCTTAGACACAGAACCTGTCAACTTAAGGACAGTCCAGATATCCATGAGGAAGCACCCTGTGACACCATGACAAGTTTATACAGTAGTGATCACCTCAGTCTTTTTACAGAGAGACAGACTTATGACCATTTACTTGAGTAACTGTGCATTTGGATGCTGCATCTGAGTTGCTTATGATACCATGTGCCTCTATATGCTGTCATGGCATCCCTCTTATAGAAGAGATATATAAGGGTCAGGTTATATATGAAATCTTTACGTAGGTCCATCTTACCTTGATACTACTGGGTTCACCAACTGGCCTGCTGGGCATTTCCCCAGTTTCTAAGTGTATAATCAGAATGGATATAGTGAGCTGTTGGCAAAACCCTTACCATTGGTCCCTGAACCTGTGGAGTAAGAGCTATTGTAGTGGGAGAGAGCAAGGAAAAACCCTTGAAACAGTCCCGGTTTACTCACCAAGGTAGCAAATCAAAACCAATAGATCATTCCAGGGGAGCATGCCAAAGACTATGCTACCTTCAAAAACTTAAAGGACTTAAAGGATGTTGATTGGGATGGTGATTACTCGAGTGTAATATATTTGTCAAATCTCATCAACTTACAATCTGTGCATTTTTTGTATGTTAAATTAGGGTAATAAAGTTGATTTAAACAAAGCAAAACAAAACTAACTTTTTATAGCTAGTCAGCCTGTGTGAAAGATAACTCTCTTTCCAATACATTATGTTGAACTGTTTTCTTTTGGTACAACTTGTGTTTTTTAATGTGCCTCAAAAACTGCTAAATTTCCCAGAATTAAGCTAACTGTGGAAGTTTGTGGTATAAATGGAGAAGCTGTGAAGACACTCCCCAGGTTTAAAAAATCAAACAATGTAGAAACCTATCTTTCGGTTCAGATTTTAGTGTTAACAATACTGGTTTCAGTAAAATACCTCTAGTATCCTCATCTAAAAGAAAAAGCACAAACGCAGAATTTAAGGGTGGAGGAACCAACTGTGGACGTTTGATTCTGGTTACAAATGTCTGTGAAGATTTAACTGTATTAGCGGTGTTATTTAAATTGTTCTAGTTTAATAATTGAGATATAAATTAATGAAGATTTGATAACTTTGTTATCCACCTAAGGCCTATTAACTTTAGCGCATGATTTTCTACAATACAAATTTTTAAAGAATATATATAGGATTTGTAACAGAAAGACCTGTTCTAAAATCTTCAACCACGTTTTTTCTTCTTTCACTAGTAGTAAGTGGTTCTTTAGCAGCATTTTCAGTTTCATTTTATATGAATAAAGTTACTAATAAGTAGGTTCTTTATAAAATCAGTTATATTTTGCATGGTCTATAAATATTTCAGTTGCATAAGTGACCTGAGAAGATCTAAGTCTTTATCACTATCTAGATATCATTCAATGCTAGATTTAGTTAAAAAAAAAAAAAAAAGCCCTGTACTGAACATGTGAGACTTTTGATTTCTTTACTTGATGTCAGCCTAGCCCAGAATACAGTCATTTTGTGACGCATTACAAATTACTCTTGTGTCTTTCTCCATCTTTTCTTTAATTAGGCTATTGCCTTTATAGTAATAGTATGATTGCAGAAACTGTAATTTTTGAAGTGCAGAAAACTGTTAATGCAATTAGCAAAAAAATAGTATACTTGCATGCCCATAAGTTTTGTCTAAAATATTTTCAATATACATTACATCTTATTTTAGTTCATAGAATTAATTTTTGTCCTAGTTATAGATTGCATTATGCATTTGAGAATGAAAGGCAACTTTATGTTAGTAATTATTCTTTCTCATATCTTTTCATGATGTTATGAATTTACATTGAATACAAATAGAGCCAATTGCTTTACCCTATGGTTTCTTTCCATATTGTAATATGTTTTAACATAGATCACAATTAAAGCCTACTGTGCTTCATAATATTCCTTGATGCCAGCTGTTCACCATCAATAAAATGGCAGTTTCTTCTCATTTCAGTGATTTCTTCTTAAATTTTTCTCCTTGAATTTGTGAAATTCTGAATAACAAAAGTGATACATGCAAATTAATGCTTTCACATTGGTAGTATCTGGTCAACAGGAGTCTCCAAAATGAAGAATGAACCCAGTCCAGTGTCAAAACCAACTATAGTTGAGGAACTTTTCACAGACACATCTAATTTAGCACTTCTTACTTGATATTTAAATGAGCTGTCTGAGACACATTTCTGATGAAATGTCTCTGTGATTATTTGAGAAAACTGAAGACTTTACTCTGGTAGCTCCATCATTCCTGTAATTGTTTTTGCACATCAGAACTAATTCCCCATTTTGAACTCAACAAATGCCAGTTTTTAGAGCTATTTAATGAAGGAAACAAGTTCAAACTTTATTTCCCCCTTTAATGCAATCAGAGGTTATGTTTGTTTAGAAAGCTAACATCTATCCAGATTATACACGCTCACCAGTGTCAGGCCAAAAAACACAGGCCCAAAACCACTCATTCCATAACTCCCTCATTTTCTGACCTATGGCTGTTATTGTAGGAATTGAATCTATCAAGAAGTTGCCTCTGGTACAGTCAGAGAATATCATGGCACCTTGTGCAATAATTTGCAAACTGGTTTGAGAGAAGTTGTATGAAAAAAATACATTCCAAACCTTGACCTCCCTACATTGTCACAGAGAATGTTTGGCTGGGCTTAGTTCCAAAAAAGCAAAAGAAGTGTATCTGAGAGCTAGGTGAGGTTGGGAAAACATGCTTGGCAGCTAATGATGAAGGAGCTTAACCTTCAGTCTTTGGCATCAGACACATCTGAGGTGAAGTCTTGGCTCATCTGTCTAGTGTGTGATCTTGTGCAACATATAACTCTCTTTAAAACTCTATCTTTATCCATAAAATTTGGAATTTAATAGTAATTGCATCATTTGGTTGTGTTGACTCAGAAAAGGTCCTCAGTAAGTGTTTTTTGAATTAATGAATTTAAATACATAATGACAGAATTTGCAAAGTGACAGACATGTTTAATTGCTTTTTATTATTGTGTTTATTGATCTTATATTTGTGGTTATTTATAAAGTTTTACTTGGTCTCAGAACAAAATGGATAAGATAAAATGAATATCTTGTATCAGAATTAGTCAATGCTCCACAGTAGAAATAGCTATTTTTACTATACTGCTGGGTACAAGGACAGAATAAAATACCCACTTAGCCATTTTAGGAAGATGCTCCTCAAATTCCGAAGTGGCTTGGAAAACAGAACCCAATTTTGATCCTTCTCCTTGGACAGTCAAACTGGAGAATGGTGATTGGTCTCTGCGAGTTTATTTTAACCTGAGGTTCCTCCATAGGACATTTCAGAGAGTAGGACATAAATCTGCGTACGTGTTTTCCTTTCTGCTTAGAGAAGGCTTTGGCATGGCTAAGCATTTGCAAAGTACCTACTCTGATGGCCTCCGAGGGAATGTATGTAGGTATTGACTTGTTGCTGTTAAAATATTCAACATATTCAACTAGTTCAGCTACATTTAATATGTTCATACAATTTAAGGTGACATTATTTTCAAAAAGAAAATTTAGAAATCCAGGTCAACATTTTAGTAATCTTAAGTCAAAGTCTTAAAAAATAGATTAACCTGGTAAATTCTAAAGGCATACAGCTCTTTCAGATTTTAAGAGACATATACAAAGTTCAGAACATTTTAAATGAAAAATTGACACTGTGACCAAATGAAAATAAGAATAATAATAACATTAATATAATGGATAGCATTTATCCATAATATAATGGATAGCATTTTTATAAGACATCTGGTCAACACAAGATTCAAATACTCAAATTTTTCTTTAAAAGGATATTTTAATAAGACAGGCAAAATAAAATATGTTTATTATAGGAAGCCTAATGATTAATTAATTTCATATTTTCTTTGGAAAAATATTTTTTGATTTGTTTCTGCTACAGCTGAAAGATAGATTTATGTTAAGCTTCTCCTGGCTTAGTCCTTATGGGCTCCATGGGCATTATTTGCTTGGAGTGGTAGAGGCCAACGCTGAGGCAATGTCACTTGTGGAACTCACCTTGAAAACTCATTGGCAAGTGAGGGGAATTCAGCCAGAGGACTCTCTTACTCCTGTTCTTCTGTGCAACCACTAGACCATTCTCTTTTTTTGAAAATATGTTAAAAATACCTACTCATATATACAAATCCCTACTACCTTAATATTGTTTGATTGCTTCATTTGTCTTCCCACGCTCTTCTCTCTTCTAACAATCATTCATGGTATTTGAAAATGACTCAAAGGGAATACATTTAAGTATTGCTTTGTGGCTCAACAAAACAACGCCTCTCTGTCTGTTCTTCTTTTGCTGTTTTTGACAAAAAGACAATATACATATTCGTATGCACACAATTACATTTGTCGTGTATTTTTAAACCCTCACTCATTCTTAGTTTACTTGAAACTATTCAACTTTACCTAAGCATAATATGGAAGACTTTTCTTTCTCTGTCTTTAAGCTCCTTTCATCAAAAAGAAAAGAAATAGTGATGGCTTGAAATAATGTGATAGTAACAAAAGGAAAGAGAAAAGTAATCAGCATTATTATTAATAGAATAGTTTGAAGGATATATACACACACATGTATGTGTGTATCTATCTCTACACATTATATATATAGATGCTTTTCAATGTCACTTTTTAACTATACTTTGTATGAGTAAGTAAAGTTGGCAGATGCCAAGTAAATGTTAGGTATGTGACATCCCAGTAGGCTTAGGGTACTAGAGTAATTTGAGAGTGCTATGGAAATATGTGTAATCAGAATAAATTTATGTAGGTCAAAAGTTCATCAGGATTAAAGGTAAAACATATTTGACTGGGTCAAAAATGTTTACATTTAATGACGACATAGACAAATTGGATGTGGGAAAAAGGAACAGAAGAAAAGATATAAGAGCCTGCAATTTTAAGCAAAAAGTAACAGCCACTAGAAACTTTATCCTACAAATAACATGGATATTTTGGGGACTTTTAAATAAAACTCTACTCTTATGTTTATATCAAATTCATGTGTATGTACCCAAAACATAGAGCTCTACAACAATTTTATTTGATTTTGCTTCCTTTCCTTATAAAAACTTCCATTCTGTATGTGTCACATACCATTTTTTTCCTTCTGTATTAACTTTCTGGGAGAAGAGATTGAATTAATAAATTGCATCCTCATCACCTAGTGATTCTTTTCTGCATTTCTTCAGAAAACTTTAGTTTTATTTACATATTAAATCATGAAAAAAATAAGAGAAGCAAATGCGATGGGAATACGGATTACAGAACATACTTTAGGAGAAGAAAACCTTCAGATTAAGTAAGTCTTATTATACTTATGTGTTCAGGGAAAGTGAAGAGTCTCCAAATATAAAAATATAATTTCTTCTATATTTAATTTAGATAATATCAGTCCAACAAATTGAATTTAGAGAAATGGTCTTATTTGAGAAGTTTACTTCAGTACTTCAGTTGCTCATTCATTCATTTCTTCAATAAAGTTTGTGTGTGTGTGTGTGTGTGTGTGTGTTTTTACACCAACTATATGCTTAGTAATGTCCTAGGTCCTTGGAGTGAAAGAGAGATCTATTCTTTTATACAGCTTATAATGTAGTGGAAGAGACAGACAATAAGCAAGGAAAAATAATGTCACATAGTGATCAGTGCTATTAAGAATAGTAAAGTAATTACAGCTAGATAGAATACTTTTTAGTGTTCTATAGCACTGTAGGATAACTATAGCTAACAATAATATATTATATGGTTTCAAATATCTAGAAGGAAGATATTGAATATTCCCAACACAAACAAATAATAAATGTTTGATGTGATGGATATGCTAATCTGACTTGATCAGTATAAATTATGTACATTGAAACACCGCTGTATATCCCATAAATATGTATACTTATCACATGTCAATTAAACAAACAGAATAGAAAAGAAAAAAAGAATAGTAAAGTAGGTGCAGGGATAGAGAGTGAAACTGGAAATGTCTATTTTAGATGAGATGATCAGGAGAGGTTTTCTGAGGAAGGAGTATTTAAGCAGAGGCTTGCATAAAGTGAAGGAGAGAGCCATGGGAATGTTTAACAGAAGGGTAATATAAGCAGGGAAAAGAGAATTTTAAGAGCACTATATCGGGTAAAGTTTGACACACTTGACAAAAAAAAAGAGCTCAGTGTGATTAGTGCTGAGTAATAGAAGGAAAGAGTGGAAGAAGACAAGATTTGAGTGTAGCCTTGGTGAAATATCAAAGAAGATCTTATAAGCCCTAAGAGACAAATTGTATCCTATTTTGAGTGAGAAAGAAAGCCCCTAGACATTTTGAGAAAAATGAGTAACAAAATCTAATATTCAAATATTTTCTCTGTTCCTTCCTTTCTTTTTCTGGTATTCCCATTATTCATATATATATTTTTTTCCATTTAACATATTTATTATGCAGCCATTTACAGAAACTTGACTTATGGAAGCACTAATGAATACAACAAGTCAGGTTTTCTTCATCATGCCCCCCAAACCTCTTCCTCCACGCTCTAGCCATGGTCAAGGGCCCAGTGTGTGGTGCCCAGGGAGCAGATGTCCATTAGATGCCTGTGACACCCTCCAGTTCTGCAGCCAACATGAGCAGTGTGTGAGATGGAAAGCTCTCCTTTTTTTATTTTATTTTATTATTATTATACTTTAAGTTTTAGGGTACATGTGCATAATGTACAGGTTTGTTACATAGTGCCATGTTGGTGTGCTGCACCCATTAACTCATCATTTAGCATTAGGTATATCTCCTAATGCTATCCCTCCCCACTCCCCCAACCCCACAACAGGCCTCAGTGTGTGATGTTCCCCTTCCTGTGTCCATGTGTTCTCATTGTTCGGTTCCCACCTGTGAGTGAGAACATGCAGTGTTTGGTTTTTTGTCCTTGCGATAGTTTGCTGAGAATGATGGTTTCCAGCTTCATCCATGTCCCTACAAAGGACAGGAACTCATCATTTTTTATGGCTGCATAGTATTCCATGGTGTATATGTGCCACATTTTCTTAATCCAGTCTATCATTGTTGGACATTTGGGTTGGTTCCAAGTCTTTGCTATTGTGAATAGTGCCGCAATAAACATATGTGTGCATGTGTCTTTGAGGCAGCATGATTTATAATCCTTTGGGTATATACCCAGTAATGGGATGGCTGGGTCAAATGGTATTTCTAGTTCTAGATCCCTGAGGAATCGCCACACTGACTTCCACAATGGTTGAGCTAGTTTACAGTCCCACCAACAGTGTAAAAGTGTTCCTATTTCTCCACATCCTCTCCAGCACCTGTTGTTCCCTGACTTTTTTATGATTGCCATTCTAACTGGTGTGAGATGGTATCTCATTGTGGTTTTGATTTGCATTTCTCTGATGACCAGTGATGATGAGCATTTTTTCATGTGTTTTTTGGCTGCATAAATGTCTTCTTTTGAGAAGTGTCTGTTCATATCCTTTGCCCACTTTTTGATGGGGTTGTTTGTTTTTCTCTTGTAAATTTGTTTGAGTTCATTGTAGATTCTGGATATTAGCCCTTTGTCAGATGAGTAGGTTGCAAAAATTTTCTCCCATTCTGTAGGTTGCCTGTTCACTCTGATGGTAGTTTGTTTTGCTGTGCAGAAGCTCTTTAGTTTAATTAGATCCCATTTGTCAATTTTCGCTTTTGTTAAGATTGCTTTTGGTGTTTTAGACATGAAGTCCTTGCCCATGCCTATATCCTGAATTATATTGCCTAAGTTTTCTTAGGGTTTTTATGGTTTTAGGTCTAACGTGTAAGTCTTTAATCCATCGTGAATTAATTTTTGTATAAGGTGTAAGGAAGGGATCCAGTTTCAGCTTTCTACATATGGCTAGCCAGTTTTCCCAGCACCATTTATTAAATAGGGAATCCTTTCCCCATTGCTTGTTTTTATCAGGTTTGTCAAAGATCAGATAGTTGTAGATATGCAGCATTATTTCTGAGGGCTCTGTTCTGTTCCATTGGTCTATATCTCTGTTTTGGTACCAGTACCATGCTGTTTTGGCTACTGTAGCCTTGTAGTATAGTTTGAAGTCAGGTAGCTGATGCCTCCAGCTTTATTCTTTTGGCTTAGGATTGACTTGGCAATGCGGGCTCTTTTTTGGTTCCATATGAACTTTAAAGTAGATTTTTCCAATTCTGTGAAGAAAGTCATTGGTAGCTTGATGGGGATGGCATTGAATCTACAAATTACCTTGGGCAGTATGGCCATTTTCATGATATTGATTCTTCCTACCCATGAGCATGGAATGTTCTTCCATTTGTTTGTATCCTCTTTTATTTCATTGAGAAGTGGTTTGTAGTTCTCCTTGAAGAGGTCCTTCACATCCCTTGTAAGTTGGATTCCTAGGTATTTTATTCTCTTTGAAGCAATTGTGAATGGGAGTTCACTCATGATTTTGGTCTCTGTTTGTCTGCTATTGGTGTATAAAATGCTTGTGATTTTTGCACATTGATTTTGTATCCTGAGACTTTGCTGAAGTTGCCTATCAGCTTAAGGAGATTTTGGGCTGAGATGATGGGGTTTTCTAGATATACAGTCATGTCATCTGCAAACAGGGACAATTTGACTTCCTCTTTTCCTAATTGAATGCCCTTTATTTCCTTCTCCTGCCTGACTGCCCTGGCCAGAACTTCCAACACTATGTTGAATAGGAGTGGTGAGAGAGGGCATCCCTGTCTTGTGCCAGTTTTCAAAGGGAATGCTTCCAATTTTTATCCATTCAGTATGATATTGGCTGTGGGTTTGTCATAGATAGCTCTTATTATTTTGAGATACATCCCATCAATACTTAATTTATTGAGAGTTTTTAGCATGAAGGGTTGTTGAATTTTGTCAAAGGCCTTTTCTTCATCTATTGAGATAACCTTGTGGTTTTTGTCTTTGGTTCTGTTTATATGCTGGATTACGTTTATTGATTTTCGTATGTTGAAGCAGCCTTGCATCCCAGGGACGAAGCCCACTTGATCATGGTGGATAAGCTTTTTGATGTGTTGCTGGATTTGGTTTGCCCATATTTTATTGAGGATTTTTGCATCAATGTTCATCAAGGATATTGGTCTAAAATTCTCTTTTTTTGTTGTGTCTCTGCCAGGCTTTGGTATCAGGATGATGCTGGCCTCATAAAATGAGTTAGGGAGGATTCCCTCTTTTTCTATTGATTGGAATAGTTTCAGAAGGAATGGTACCAGCTCCTCCTTGTACATCTGGTAGAATTCGGCTGTGAATCCATCTGGTCCTTGACTTTTTTTGGTTGGTAAGCTATTAACTATTGCCTCAATTTCAGAGTCTGTTATTGGTCTATTCAGAGATTCAACTTCTTCCTGGTTTAGTCTTGGGAGGGTGTATTTGTCGAGGAATTTATCCATTTCTTCTAGATTTTCTAGTTTTTTTTGCATGGAGGTGTTTATAGTATTCTCTGGTGGTAGTTTGTATTTCTGTGCGATCGGTGGTGATATCCTCTTTGTCATTTTTTATTGCGTCTATTTGATTCTTCTCTGTTTTCTTCTTTATTTGTCTTGCTAGCGGTCTATCTATTTTGTTGATCTTTTCAAAAACCAGCTCCTGGATCTATTGATTTTTTGAAGGGTTTTTTGTGTCTCTATCTCCTTCAGTTCTGCTCTGATCTTAGTTATTTCTTGCCTTCTGCTAGCTTTTGAATGTGTTTGCTATTGCTTCTCTAGTTCTTTTAATTGTGATGTTAAGATGTCAATTTCAGATCTTTCCTGCTTTCTCTTGTGGGCATTTGGTGCTATAAATTTCCCTCTACACACTGCTTTGAATGTGTCCCAGAGATTCTGGTACGTTGTGTCTTTGTTCTCATTGGTTTCAAAGAACATCTTTATTTCTGCCTTCATTTCCTTAGGTACCCAGTAGTCATTCAGGAGCAGGTTGTTCAGTTTCCATGTGGTTGAGTGGTTTTGAGTGAGTTTCTTAATCCTGAGTTCAAGTTTGATTGCACCATGGTCTGAGAGACAGTTTGTTATAATTTCTGTTCTTTTACATTTACTGAGGAGAGCTTTACTTCCAACTATATGGTCAATTTTGGAATAGGTATGGTGTGATGCTGAAAAGAATGTATATTCTGTTGATTTGGGGTGGAGAGTTCTGTAGATGTCTATTAGGTCCACTTGGTGCAGAGCTGAGTTCAATTCCTGGATATCCTTGTTAACTTTCTGTCTTGTTGATCTGTCTAATGTTGACAGTGGGGTGTTAACGTCTCCCATTATTATTGTGTGGGAGTCTAATTCTCTTTGTAGGTCACTAAGGACTTGCTTTATGAATCTGGGTTCTCCTGTATTGGGTGCATATATATTTAGGACAGTGAGTTCTTCTTGTTGAATTGATCCCTTTACCATTATGTAATGGCCTTTTTTGTCTCTTTTGATCTTTGTTGGTTTAAAGTCTGTTTTATCCGAGACTAGGATTGCAACCCCTGACTTTTTTTGTTCTCCATTTGCTTGGTAGATCTTCCTCCATCCCTTTATTTTAAGCCTATGTGTGTCTCTGCACATGAGATGAGTTTCCTGAATACAGCACACTGATGGGTCTTGACTCTTTATCCAATTTGCCAGTCTGTGTCTTTTAATTGGAGCATTTAGCCCATTTACATTTAAGCTTAATATTGTTATGTGTGAATTTGATCCTGTCATTATGGTGTTAGCTGGTTATTTTGCTTGTTAGTTGATGCAGTTTCTTCCTAGCCTTGATGGTCTTTACAATTTGGCATGTTTTTGCAGTGGCTGGTACCAGTTGTTCCTTTGCATGTTTAGTGCTTCCTTCAGGAGCTCTTTTAGGACAGGCCTGGTGGTGACAGAATCTCTTAGCATTTGCTTGTCTGTAAAGTATTTTATTTCTCCTTCACTTATGAAGCTTAGTTTGACTGGATATGAAATTCTGGGTTGAAAATTCTTTTCTTTAAGAATGTTGAATATTGGCCCCCACTCTCTTCTGGCTTGTAGAGTTTCTGCCGAGAGATCCGCTGTTAGTCTGATGGGCTTCCCTTTGTGGGTAACCCGACCTTTCTCTCTGGCTGCCCTTCACATTTTTTTCTTCATTTCAACTTTGGTGAATCTGATAATTATGTGTCTTGGAGTTGCTCTTCTCAAGGAGTATCTTTGTGGTGTTCTCTGTATTTCCTGAATCTGAATGTTGGCCTGCCTTGCTAGATTGGGGAAGTTCTCCTGGATAATATCCTGCATAGTGTTTACCAACTTGGTTCCATTCTCCCTGTCACTTTCAGGTACACCAATCAGACGTAGATTTGGTCTTTTCACATAGTCCCATATTTCTTGGAGGCTTTGTTCATTTCTTTTTATTCTTTTTTCTCTAAACTTCTCTACTCGCTTCATTTCATTCATTTAGTCTTCCATCGCTGATACTCTTTCTTCTAGTTGATTGCATCGGCTACGGAGGATTGTGCATTCATCATGTAGTTCTCGTGCCTTGGTTTGCAGCTCCATCAGGTCCTTTAAGGACTTCTCTGCATTGGTTATCCTAGTTAGCCATTCATCTAATATTTTTTCAAGGTTTTTAACTTCTTTGCCATTGGTTCAAACTTCCTCCTTTAGCTTGGAGTAGTTTGATCTTCTGAAGCCTTCTTCTCTCAACTCATCAAAGTCATTCTCCGTCCAGCTTTGTTCTGTTGCTGGTGAGGAGCTGTGTTCCTTTGAAGGAGAAGAGGCACTCTGATTTTTAGAGTTTCCGGTTTTTCTGCTCTGTTTTGTCCTCATCTTTGTGGTTTCATCTACCTTTGGTCTTTGATGATGGTGACGTACAGATGGGTTTTTGGTGTGGATGTCCTTTCTGTTTGTTAGTTTTCCATCTAACAGTCAGGACCCTCAGCTGCAGGTCTGTTGGAGTTTGCTGGAGGTCCACTCCAGACCCTGTTTGCCTGGGTATCAGCAGCAGTGGCTGCAGAACAGTGGATATTGGTGAACTGCACATGCTGCTGCCTGATTGTTCCTCTGGAAGATTTGTCTCAGAGGAGTACCCGGCCGTGTGAGGTGTCAGTCCGCCCCTACTGGGGGATGCCTCCCAGTTAGGCTACTCGGGAGTCAGGGACCCACTTGAGGAGGCAGTCTGCCCATTCTCAGATCTCAAGCTGCGTGCTGGGAGAACCACTACTCTCTTCAAAGCTGTCAGACAGGGACATTTAAGTTTGCAGAGGTTACTGCTGTCTTTTGTTTGTCTGTGCCCTGCCCGCAGAGGTGGAGCTTACAGAGGCAGGCAGGCCTCCTTGAGCTGTGGTGGGCTCCA
Source organism: Homo sapiens (assembly GCF_000001405.40). Classification (NCBI taxonomy): domain Eukaryota; kingdom Metazoa; phylum Chordata; class Mammalia; order Primates; family Hominidae; genus Homo; species Homo sapiens. Next base: position 124,131,462 of record NC_000004.12, read on the forward strand.
CCCAGTTTGAGCTTCCAGGCTGCTTTGTTTACCTACTCAAGCCTGAGCAATGGCGGGTGCCCCACCCCCAGCCTCGCTGCTGCCTTGCAGTTTGATCTCAGACTGCTGTGCTAGCAATGAGTGAGGTTCCATGGGTGTAGGATCCTCCAAGCCAGGTGCGGGATATAATCTCCTGGTGTGCCGTTTGTTAAGCCCGTTGGAAAAGCCCAGTATTAGGGTTGGAGTGACCCAATTTTCCAGGTGCCATCTGTCACCCCTTTCTTTGACTAGGAAAGGGAATTCCCTGACCCCTTGTGCTTCCCAGGTGAGGTGATGCCTCGCCCTGCTTCGGCTCACGTAGGGTACGCTGCACCCACTGTCCTGCACCCAATGTCTGGCACTCCCCAGTGAGATGAACCCAGTACCTCAGTTGGAAATGCAGAAATCACCCGTCTTCTGCGTCGCTCATGCTGGGAGCTGTAGACTGGAGCTGTTCCTATTCGGCCATCTTGGCTCCACACCCCGTTATTCATATTTTGCACCTTTGTAATTGTCCTACAATTCTTGGGTATTCTGGGTTTTTTTTTTTTTTCATTTTTTTTCTCTTTGCTTTTCAGTTTGGAAAGTTTCTATTGACAAATCTTCAAGCTCAGTGATTCTTTCTTAAGTCACGTATAGTCTATTGATGAGCCCATCAAACACATTCTTCATTTCATTTATTGTGATATTGATTTCTAGTATTTCCTTTAAATCTTTCTTAGAATTTCCATGTCTCTGCTTTCATTACCCAACTGTTTTTGTGTGTTATTAACTTTTTCCACTGGGGTATGTGGTGTATTAGTCATAGTTGTTTAAAATTCCCAGTATAATTTCAAAATCTGCTATAGTTGACTGGTTCTGATGCATGCTTTTTTGTCTCTTCAGACTGTGCTTTTTTTTTTTTTTTTTTTTTGCCTTTTGCATGCCTTATAACTTTATGTTGACAGCCAGACATGACGTATTTGGAAAAAAAAAAATTACTGGAATGAATAGACCTTTAGTGAAAACTTTTATGTTTATCTGACTAGGAGTCAGACTGTTTAGTGTTTGCTGTAGCGAAAATTTCCTCTAGTATTCTTGTTTTTGTCTCCTTTGTTGACTTTGAGTTTTCTTAGAGACTTCTTCTTTAATAGGGTGTCAGGCTTACTTCTTTCTTTTCCCTCCATCCCTCCCTCCCTCTCTTCTTTCTTGCTTTCTCTTTCTTTTCTGCTGTAATCCCTGTTATATAAGTGCCATATTGATTCAGTGGAAATGTGCAGGAGGAGGAGGAGTATTCTGTATTCTGTGCTTAGGTCTCTGTCTTCTTTTGAGCCTATATTCCTGGTTTGTGATCTTCACAAGTGTTTCTGATGTTTCCTCCCCACATCTCTTGGGCTGGAGGGATCAGGAGTTGAGGTGGAGTTGGGTATTTTTCTTCTCTCACATGGAACACTAGAAAGGGACTAGTGTTGAGTGCTTCCCTTTCCCCATATTGAAGGATATAGGGCTGAAGTTGGGTATTTCCCTTCTTCTAAGCTAGTTAACCTCTGGCAAAATAATTTCCCTTGAGGGCAAGCTATACTAAGGAGATCAGAGAGCTCTTAGTGCATTTCAGGATGGTTATTTGTCTCCTCCTTGTGCTAGAAGAACAAGGATAGTTTACTCTGATCTTCACAGTAAGAACTTCCTGAGGCTCTGGGAGGAAAAACTCATGAAAGTCTGATTTCCCCTGATAATCCCCTCATTTTTTGGAATTTTTAACTCTCTAGCTTGTCCACAGTGAGTCTCCAGCATTTGACCAACTATAGGTTAAGTGTTTCTACTGGTATTGACTCAAGGTCAAAATGGAAGACAGGGGAATAAAGAGAAGCACAGCTTGCCACTTTTGCTCCTGGGAAGCTGTGCTTCTCTTTATTCACTGTTTTCCATTTTGGGGGACAGCAGCTTGTCTTGGAGATCAGTTTTTCATGGATCTAAGATTTGTTAATTTTACAATTTTACAGTTTTACAATTTTTGTGTGTGTATGTGAGGATGGGAGTGACAACTTTCAAGTTCTTTATATATTGGATCAGAAATGAAAGTCTCCCAATGTTTTCAACATAATATGGAAATTAATGTAAATATCCACCAATAGGGGAAATTATTTTAATAAATTATGATTAAATACATAGGCAACAAAGAATAGGTTAAGAACTCTGCTTAGGATGGTGAAAGTTCTGAGATTTACTTCACCTAAAAACTATCAAGTTAGTCAATCACAGTTTCATGGATGGAAGCCATGAGATTCTTGGATCAAAGACAAAGCACTTGATTATTCACAAGACAGCAGGCAAGGGCATCATGTATGCATAGGTTCACCTTGTCCCCCATTTCTGTGGAGACAAGGTACAGGAGATCATATGGATCCTGCACATACAGTCGTGTTGCATCATGGCTTATGAACCTCAAAGTTAGAGAACTCAAATCTTTCATAATCAACTGCAAACAAATCTGTTTTTTTTTGCCATAGAGAGATGCTATCTTTATTTTCTTTGGACAGTAAAGAAATCTTTCCTCTGCCTGGAAGAGATTTACAATCTCTGTTTTTCAAGGAAGTTTGCTATACAAACATTCTAGAAAAGATAGTCTGTCACAAAAACAGCCAGTACATCTGTTTATAAGATTTGCAGCAACATGAGAGAAACATGGAGATTCTCTCTCAAAAATCTCAGGATCTGGAAATAAACTATCTCACCTCGGGTACCTCTGATGTCTTCTATCTCTGTAATCTTGTGCAAAGTTAATGAATCTATCTGTCCTTCAGTTTCCTTATATGTAAAATGGGTTTAATAATTGTACCATTAAGAATTGAAGTTGTTAGAGTATTAGAAAAGTACCAGAATCCCCAGCCTAGCCAATGTGGTGAAACCCCATCTCTACTAAAAATACAAAAATCATCTAGGCATGGTGATGCACACTTGTAATTCCAGATACTTGGGAGGCCGAGGTGGGAGGATCACTTGAACCCTGGAGGTGGAGGCTACAGTGAGCTGAGATCATGCCAATGCACTACAGCCTGTGCAACAGAGTGAGACTCCATCAGAAAGAAAGAAGGAAAGAAAGGAAGGAAAGAAAGAAAGAAAGGAGGGAGGGAGGGAGGGAGGGAGGAAGAAGAATTCAACTAAATGTTTAAACATATTAGCTGGTACTATAATTATGATACAGTGATACAAATGAATTCTGTCTATCTCTTATACATGAATGAAACAATGCTATAGAATTATATCTAAGATGTATTTTAAGTGGGAATAAACCAAAGTCCAAAGCATTATAGAGCATACTGCCATCTGTTTGAAATCAAAATAAAACCTAAATGTATGTACGTACCCACATATATAGTTGCTTGTTACATACGCCTAGACTGGCTTTAGAAGGATACTCGCATACTGAAAATTCATCTTGCCTCCAAAGAGTAGAGCTCATGGCTAGGGAACAGGGTAGAAAGAAAACATACTTTTCTCTCTAATCTCCTTAGTAATATTTGAACATTGTAGTATGTGAGTGTATTAACTGTTTAAAAATGTTTAATAAAATAAACTATATGGATAGCTTATTTTTATGAAAATATCTTTGTTTATGAGGAAAACTCAACTGTTTATATGTTGAGATTTATATGTGATTAAAACAAATATAGCCTATTAAAATACCAAGTCATTTTAATAATGTGGAGTTTTGAATTGGTTATACAAAATTTTGAATAAAGAAGATCTTCAATATAAATACAGGTAAATGGCAGAATTATAACCAGGATTGTGTGTTTGGTAGTTTCAACTTGAATCAACTTGGTTGAATTGATTTAGTGACTTTTGATTCTTGCAGTATTAACTCATTAAACTTCCTTTGAAATTTTGGTTTTGTCCTATTCCAGACTGCAAAATCTATATGCCAAACAAAACCAGAACCTTTTAAAAAGACTCTATTGAATTTCCTGTGCACTTGTGAATGTCTGTGGTTTTTAATCATCAAACCACAAAAAAAGCAGGATTAAGATATGTGGACCTTGCAATGATGGTGAAAACTTCACATTAATAATGGATGAAAGACTCAGCAGAACTGAGCAAGTTCAGATTAAGTTTGGCAAATGTATTGTTATTTTCCAGAAAACTAGCCAAGTATTACAGGGTGGGGGTTACCCATTCTCTCCCGTCTACCACCACATGTTTCTCTTTGCATCAATTATGTCATTGAGATTTTGGCAATTTTGCTCTGGATTTATGGAACTTGGAAAGAAGGCTAATGACTGCAGCCTCTTGGGCTCTCTTTTCTGTGGAAGCATTCTCCTTGAAGTTGTCATTTTAAAATATACTATTGCTGATATCTGCCTCTTGTACTTAATCTCACCCTTGAAACGTCCCAGATCTTGTGATGTGGCTAGCTCTCAAAAAAATATTGCTGCTGCTAGATAGCCAAGAACCTTTAATATTGATATAATATTTTCATAATAGTCATTGCCTGTTCTAAAACATTACGAAAATATGTTTCAGTATATGAAACTTTTCTATAGTCCTAGTATCATCTATAGTTCAGTCTTTATCACCCCACATGGCAACAACTATGGATATTGACATTTGGAAGATAGTTGAGTTCAGATCTGGATTTTTACCTCCCTTACCTGCTGTGCAAACTTAGAAAATTACTACACATTTCTGACCATCACTTTCTCTAGAAGAAATTGGGTTTAATCAATTCATAACAGTCAGACTACTGGGAAAAAAGAAGCATATTCAATAGTGTTAAAGAAAGCAAATTTAATGAAGAGCCTCTTTACAAGATTGTGAGCACAGTTCAAAGGAAACCAGCAATTGAGAATGGAAAAGCCCCGGGTCAGCACCACCAGGAACACACTACTATGTCTATACCTGAAGAGGCAAGGAAAGGGCATGGTTACCAGAACCAAGCAAGAATGCTGCTACAGGAGAAGGTTATCCAGTAGGAGCTAAATAAATGGAAATACAATATGTGCAATGTGTTTAGAAAAATAAAACTAATACCGAGGCATAAAATTGTGTTTAAATAACTAAAATATTCATAGAGGAGAAAAGTAAAATTTGGAAAGATGTCAACAATTGGGCACTGGTGATAGGAATAACCGTTTTCTTCTTAGAAAAGAGAAATAACAAGGGAATTTACCCAGAATTTATTTAAATGTTATACAAATTAAAATTTAAAAAATTGTGATGTAACAAACCAAAGGAAAATAACTATACTTCTGAAACAAACTTAAATGTATAAAAGAAGTCACTATGTGATAAAAAAAAAAAAAAAACTTCCGAGAGGAAGATGAATTTTTCAATAAATATTCCTTAGAAAGTTGGCCAAGAGTTTGGGAAAGATTGGATGCTTACTTTTAATATACAATTAAATAAAGAAATGTCTAAATAAATAACATAAAGTCTTGGAAACAATGAATTCTATACAATCAACAGAAAATATTTGCAAGTATAGAATTGAGCTGATGCTATTTTTGTTATCCTTTCATTTTTTGAAGTTTTTATGTATTTTCTACTTCCCATTATACTCTATTCCTTGGTGCTTGAGTTATTTAGAAATGTGTCTTTTCTTTATTATTTTAGTATAATTTTTACAAAGTATACATTTTTGTTTCCGCTTTATTTATGATTTAGTCAGAGAATGTTTTGTATATTATGTATTTTTAAAAACTAATTGAAACTTGATTTATAGGCTAGTTGTGGTTTTTTTAAATGCTGCCTGAATAATTTATGATCAAGTATTCAAAAGCAAATGCAACAAAACCAAAAAAAAGACAAATAGGACCTTTTTAAATGAAGAAATCTGCACAGCCAAAGGAACAATCAACATAGGAAACAGATAACCTATAGAATGGGAAAAACATATTTTCAAACTATGCATCAAAAAAAGAGGTAATACCCAGATGATATGGGTTGGCTCTGTGTCCCCACTCAAATCTCATCTCAAATTGTAATCCCCATGTGTCAAGGGAGGAACGTGGTGGGAGGTAACTGGATCATGGGGCAGTTTCTCCCATGCTGTTCTTGTGATAGTGGGGGGAGTTCTTATGAGATCTTGATGGTTTAAAAGTGGTAGTTTCCCCTGTGCTCTCTTTTTCCTCCTGCTGCCATGTAAGGAAGGTACCTTCTTCCCTTTTGCCTTCCACCATAATTGTAAGTTTCCTGAGACCTGCCCCGCCATGTGGGACTGTGAGTTAATTAAACCTCTTTTATTTATAAATAACCCAGTCTCAGGTAGTATTTTTATAGTAGTGTGAAAACTGACAAATACACCAGAATCTACAAGGAGCTCAAACAACTTAACAATGACAAAAAAATAAGCCCATTAAAGAGTGGGCAAAAGATGTGAACATTTTTCAAAAGAAGACATACAAGTGACCAAGAAACATATGTAAAAAATGCTTAGCATCACCAATCATCGGAGAAATGCAAATCAAAACCACCATGAGATACCATCTGACACCAATTAAAATGGCAATTATTAACAAGTCATAAATCAACAGTTATTGGTGAGGATGCAAAGCAAAGGAAATGCTTATATGCTGTTGGTGGGAATGTAAACTAGTACAACCCTCTTACTGGATATATACCTAAAGGGAAAGAAATCATTCTATTTAGAAGACATCTCTACTTTTATGTTTATCACAATACTATTCATAATAGCAAAGATATGGAATCAACCTAAGTGTCCATCAATGGAGAACTGGATTAAAATATAGTCTCTCTCTCTCTCTATATATATATATATATACACACACACACACACATATATACATATATATATATACACACATACATATGTATATGTATGTCAAATACCACATGCTCTCACTTACAAGCGAGAGCTAAACAATGGGTACATATAGACAGAGTGGAATAATAGACACTGAAGACTACAAAGGGTGGGAGAGTGAAAGAGGGGCAAAGGTTGAAAGTTACCTATTGGGTAAAATATTCACTATTTGGACGATGAGTACACTAGAAACCCAGAGTCCACCACTCTATAATATATACATGTAAGAAATCTGCTTATATTAACCCCAGAAATAAAAATTTAAAAATGACAAAATTTTTAAACCTGCTGCCTGAGTACTTGAAAGATTATATTCTCCATTTTTCGGGCAATAGGCTCTTTATATTTATTGTTTCAAAAATCTTTTAATGGGGGTGTAAAAGTCTTCAAAGATTAATTAGCTAAGAATTGATTTTTCAGATTCTCGAATTTTGTATGTATTCTTTCCTCAAATCTAACTCCCTGATAACTTATTAGAAATGTTATTATGCATCCTTTCTTTGCCTTTTGTCATCTCCTCTTTACCTATTGATATGATTTGGCTGTGTCCCCACCCAAATCTCATCTTGAATTGTAACTCCCACAATTCCCACATCTCATGGAAGGGACCCAGTGGGAGGTAATTGGATCATGGAGGGGCAGATCTTTCTCATGTTGTTTTCATGACAGTGAATATGTTTCACAAGATCTGATGGTTTTATAATGACCTGCACAAGCTCTCTCTCTTTACCTGCTGCCATCCATGTAAGATGTGACTTGCTCGTCCTTGCCTTCCACCTTGATTGTGAGGCCTCCCCAGCCATGCAGAACTGTAAGTCCCTTAAACCTCTTTCTCAGTAAGTTGCCCAGTCTCGGGTATGTCTTTATCAACTGAGTGAAAACGGACTAATACACCTATCTTTTGTTTTCCTCTGCAAAGTCATACCTCTCACCAATCTAAGTCTTGCTATTGTGCAATGTTCTGCATGAAAAACTTCCAAAGTAGTACTTAGAAATAACAGTGCTGGTGTTGAAAAAGGAAATGATTTTAGTTCCTGCATAATAAGTACTTTTGAAAGACAAGTAGTGTTTGGCCAGGCGTGGTGGCTTACCCCTGTAATCCCAGCATTTTGGGAGGCCGAGGCGGGTGGATCACAAGGTCAGGAGTTTCAGACGAGCCTGGCCAACATGGTGAAACCCAGTCTCTACTAAAAATACAAAAAAAATTAACTGGGCATGGTGGTGTGTGCCTGTAATCCCAGCTACTTGGGAGACTGAGGCAGGAGAATCATTTGAACCCGGGAGGCAGACATTGCAGTGAGCCAAGATCACTGCAAGAGCCATTGCACTCCAGCCTGGGTGACAGGGCAAGACTCCATCTCAAAAAAAAAAAAAAGACAAGTAGTTTTCAAATTAATTTCTGAAAAAAAAATATAAGTATTATATATATAAATATATATTATATTGTTTATATAACTATATATATATTTCATTTACACACCTAGCATATGCATCTTTAATCAACCAAAAGAAAAACAAAAGTCCCCATGTACAAGTCAAAAAAATCCAAAGTGTTGACACAGGCATAGCTAATATCAACTACATTTATATACAGCTGTGTAAGCTCAAGAAAGATCTTCTATATGTATATGCAAAAGTTATTTATTAGGAGGTCTATATACATTTATTCCCTTAGAAGCCTTTAGTGTCACCTCTAGGTAAAGACACCAACACTTCATTTATATATCTTATGAAAATAAAAAGACTATTTCCAGGATTGACAATACTGTGCATCCTATATTCAGACCACGTAGTTGCTACTGAATGTAAGTTTTGTTAAAGGACAAAACTGTTAAAAATAACTATAGCTACAATAATGTGCTAAGTGATACATAGTATAAAAAGATGCAAATTGTAACATCAAAACAAAAAATGTAACACCAAAAACAAAAACATCAATATCATAACATCAAAAACCTATAACCGCTATATATATAGTGGTTATTTTTATATATGTATATGTAATATAGTGGTTATATTATATCTATACACACAAATAATATAGTGTTATGTATAATATATATTAATGTCCACTGTTGAACATATATTATATATATATGTAGTGTCTTCTTGCTGTTTTCCTTTGTGATTCAACAGTTTTTTGTAGTACTATGCTTTGATTCATTTGCCTATAATAATCTGTTTTAAGTTGATAACGACTTAATTTCTGTTGCATATAAAAAGCTCTAGACTTTTACTTTTCCCCTACTACATTTTATAATTTTATGTCACAATTTGCATCTTTTTATATTGTTTATAACTTAGCAAATTATTGTAGCTATATACAATAAAAAGAAAACATAGTACTACACAAAACTACTGAATCACAAAGGAGGACAGCAAGAGAGAAAGAAAGGAACCAAAGAAATACAAGCAGCCAACAGGAAACAATTAACAAAATGGCAATAATAAGTTTTTAATCTATCTGTAGTAACTTTAAATGTAATGGATTAAATTATCCAATCAAAAGACATCGAGTGGCTGAATAAATAAAAAATAAGATCCAACTATATGCTGCCTATGAGACTCACTTTCGCTTTAAGGATGTGCATAGGCTGAACATAAAGGGATTAAAAAAAATATTTCATGCAAATGGCAACCAAAAGGGAGGACAGGTGGGCATATACACCAGAAAAAAATCAGCCTTAAGTAAAGCTGTCAAAAGAGACAAAGACTTTCATTATATAATGAGAAAGGAGTCAATTCACAATTGTAAATATATTTGCACCCAACATTAGAGCACCTAAATATATAAAGCAAATATTAACAGAACTGAAGGGAGAAACAAGTAATAGAATCATAGCACAAGAGTTTAAATCTATTTTTTAACAATGAATAGACCCTCCAGACTGAAAATCAATAAGGAAAATGCAGACATGAATAGAACAATAGATCAAATGAACCTAACAGATCTGTGCAGATCATTCCATACAACAGCAGCAGAATACATATTCTCAAGTGCACACAAAACATTGTATTAATTATATTTTAGGCCATAAAATAGAACAGTTATTATGCATTCTCTCTTTTGCCTTTTGTCATCTCCTCTTTAACTACCTTCTTCTTTCCTCTCCAAAGGAAATTAAGAAATTTAAGAAGATTGAAATCATATCAAATATCTTTTCTGACTACAATGGTATAAAACTAAAAATAAATTACAGAAGGAATATTGGAGAATTCACAAATATGTAGAAATTAAACACGTGTCTGAAAAACCAATGGATCAAAAAAGAAGTGAAAAAAATGAAAAAAATTTAAAATAAACAAAATGAAAACATAATATGCCAAAACTTATGAAATGCAGTTAAAGCAATTCTAAGAAGAAACTTTATAGCAATAAAAAAGAAAAGCACTCAAATAGAAAACCTAAATCTATGCCTTGAAGACCTAGAGAAAAAGAACAAAGTGCGGGATACAGTGGCTCAAGTCTATAATCCCAGCACTTTGGTATACTGAGGTGGGCAGATTGCCTAAAGTCAGGAGTTCAAGACAAGCCTGGCCAACATGGTGAAACCCCATCTCTACTGGAAATACAAAAATTACCTGGGCGTGATGGTGGGCGCCTGTAAGCCCAGGTACTTGGGAGACTCAGGCAGTAAGAATGGCTTGAACCCAGGAGGCGGAGGTTGCAGGGAGCCAAGGCCATTCTGGTGACGTCTCAGACAAAAATGAAAAACATGATATTGGACAACGAAGATATAGTGATCCTTGTAATCGTGTGGCAAAGAGCATGGCTGAATTATGTGCATGTCCTACTGTTTTGTGGTAGAACTTACAAGCAATGAAATTCAATATATGGCTGGGGAAATATCTATGCAAAGTGTTAAAGAAGCAGCCTGGTTTCTCTTGACTGCTTCTTATAAAATGCCAGAAGAAAGAAATGAGTTGAAGACATAGTTGTTAATCAAAAGAGAAGCAGAACTTTAAAGTTTGAACATTTCTAAGCCTAGCCATATTGGAAAAAATGAGAAAGTCTGTTTATGCGAGAATAAGGGTTTGGCCAAGTGTATTAGGGTTCCCTAGACGGACAGAACTAATAAGACATGTGTGTGTGTATATATATATATATATACACACACAGGGGAGTTTATTAAGTATCAACTTACATGATCCCAAGGTCCCACAATAGGCTGGCAGAAGTAATTAACTGGCTTTGGTTGAGAATTAGATGGTTACAAGAGTGCTTGATTTGGCCCATTGTGGAGCCTCCAGTTGATTATTGTGTAGGGAGGGTACAGCCACAGTTTTGCCATCAAGATATTTTTGTTGTTGTTGACTATGATCAGTTCTCCAGGAAGCAATAGCTCTGGTTTCTTCACTCAGGGCCCTCACTATTTCAACTCTATACCCATTAGGCTCAAGGCCATTTTAAGAGGCAAGGTTGAATACACAAGCTCAAGGTTCATTGAGAATGTTATCAATGACAGTAAAATTTCCTGACTCTGTTTTATCTCCTCCATGTTAAATAAAGCATGCTAATAGTGATATAGGCAATGAAGGCTGAGGTGGTCTCAGATGGAGATGAGGAACTTACTGGGAACTGGAACAAAGGTCACTCTTGTTGTGCTTTAGCAAAGAGACTGGTGGCATTTTGTCCCTGCCCTAGAGATCTGTGGAACTTTGAACTTCAGAGAAATGATTTAGGATATCTGGTGGGAGAAATTTCTAAACAGCAAAGCATTCAAGATGTGACCTCAGTGCTCTTAAAAGCATTCAGTTATAAGTATTCACAAATAGATGGTTTGAAATCGGAACTTATGTTTAAAAAAGAAGCAGAGCATAAAAGTTTGGAAAATTTGCAGTGTAACATTGCAATAGAAATGAAAATCCCATTTTCTGGGAGAAATTCAAGTTGGCTACAAAAATTTGCATAAGTAATGAGGAGTTGTTAATCACCAGGACAACGGGGAAAATGTCTCCAGAGCATGTCAGAGATCTTGGTGGCAGCCCTTCTCATCACAGGCATGGAGGCCTAGAAGGGAAAAATAGCTTCATGGGCCAGACCTAGGGCCCCACTGCTGCTTTGTGCAGCCTTGGAACTTGATGCCCTGTGTCCCAGCTGTGGCTAAAAGAGGACAAGGTACAGCTTGAGCCATTGCTTCAGAGGGGTGCATGTCATATTAAACCATAGTTTTCTTTCTGCTGGTGAAGGTTGGATTAACCCTTAATGATTCCTAAGGTTAGTCACAAATGTAGAGGCAAAAGAAGACTGGCATCTTTAATACAGAGAAAGTTGACAACTCCAGAGAGGAACAGGGTAAGCAAACATTATGGAATTATGTTTGTAGCAAGAAGATGGGAAAATGCAAAATCCATCATATTACGTGATTGAGAAAAACTGCAGATGAAGACTGGATGACGATAATATCATTCGTTTTCTTTTTTCTTTTTCTTTTTTCTTTTTTTGGCCAGGATGCCGACACAAGATAGTTTTCATACTAAAAACAAAAAGCTAAAGTATGAAGATTCAAAAATCCTCATACTTAGGCACAATGAAATTGCAAACTTGCACATTTTCTTATATAGGTGAACACATGATTGGATAATACTTAATCCTGTGTAAACAAAATACCCTGTAAGACTAACAAAATAATGTATTTCTGAGTGCATTTGTGAGATGTGCACTTGTGCTTTGTCAGTTACTCTAAGTGTTTGTTGTAGTTCAGTAAATCAAAGTGACACTGATAAATGTAACATTGCTGTCTTTGGGGAAAGAAAGCAAAATGAAACAAAACAAACTTAAAAATATATAGTTATTAGTGTATTCTCACCCAATCCACCTCTATAAATGTTTTGAGATAATAGCATTTAAGGAAATATTCTAGTTTTGGGTTGGGAAAGGGCAGAGGTATAAAAGTTTATCTAAGAAAGAATGGGGAGTGGTCTGTTTGCCTCAAGCCAATAGGGTGCATTTGATTAGAGGGAAAAGAAACCAACAACAAAACAGCCTTTAGATAGCTTTCCTGGAGTGTTGACTACCCATACTAAATCATCAACACTTCACTGCACACCATTGCCAGGAGAGAAGAAAACATCCTTCTCTTTCATTTTTTCTTCCTTTAAATGGCCAAACATGCTGTCTTTGGATTGAGTTCAATCCTGCTTTAATTCATTAAAAAGTGAAACAAAATCACCATTTACATCCTTGACAGCTGGCAGGTTTTATGTGTTCTTACTACCCCTGCCAAGTAGCAAAGGTTTCATTCAATTCAGTCACGGATCCTTGGAGAGCTCCGAGTGTGGAGCCCAACAAAACACAGTGGTAACAATGACACAGAAACCTGCGGGCATGGGGTATTATGCCAATGCACCGGTGTGTAGGAAGTCATAACTTTCAAAAACTTCAAAAAGAAACTACAACAAAAGCTTTGAGAGGGCCCAGATCATGGGAAGTTTCGGTACCAGTTGGGGTAGAAGTGTATTAAAAGGTTATTGATTCTCTTTAATATGATTCTAGCTATCTAAAGTAAGAAATGTATTTTGAAGAGCACATAATAAAAAGAAGTTGATAATTCAATTATCTTTCATCTTAAAAAAATATATAGGGAAATGGAACTTGTAAATAAAATTAGAATGTAAATAAAACTGAGAATTGGACCCTAGAAGAATTCTTGGAATTTAAAACATACTTATTTTTATTTAAAAAAAAATACTACTAATTTCTTAAAGGCATGAGGCTTTAGTATGGGTAGGGTAAGGAGAAAAATCATGAATTTTGAACTTCCTTTTGTTACTTAAAAACAGAAAAAAACAATTATATAAATGTCTATAAGAAATGACTAGTTGTAAATTAATTATGGTAAAGTTTAGGCTTCTCTTTCTTATTGTACTTTTCTTTTGGCTTGAACAGGAGCTCGGTTAATTATGTGTAGTTATCACAAGCCTTGCAGTGAGAGCGAATGTTGGTTAACAGGGTAACTAAATGTTTTTGCATTTCTTAACCTGGACTAGCTTCCACAGGCACCAAATGGTTGTCCTTCTCCAAAGGCCAAAACCTAGTGTTCAGAGATCTACTTTTGGAATCTGACTCTGAGTTTCTATTCCACTTTTACCTTAGCAGATGTGTGATTTTAGGCATGTCCCTTAATTTTTCTAGACTTCAATATCTTAATTTATAAACTGGAATAAAATAAGAGTATCTACTTCCTACAGTTAGAATAAAGATTAAATAAGATAATGATATAAAGTGTTCAAACAAGTGCCTGGCACATTGAAGTATTCAAAAATGTTAATGATAATTATTACAACAATCTAAGGTATATTTTTCATTTACTCATCTCTAGAAGTACTAGCTTAAATGATAAATTCAAGTGCCAGGTCAAGTACTTTGTCATCCTTGGCTACGAAGGCCAAATGATTTGCAAACTAGACATGGATGCCACTGTTCAGTATTGATACTGCTTTGAGGTAGAATCAGAATTTTAACTTAACCCTCTACTTTTGGTTTATACTTACTGCTTTTTGACTAAATGAAGGGTAGAAACAAAGCTACAATAAGGTTTTAGCACCAAAAATAAATGTTTTATTTAATTAGTGCACTTGTGTGTGTTCTTATGTGTGTGTGTGCATATTGTACATATTCGGGCTTCGAAGACAACATCCCTGCCGTTACCAAAGACATCTAAAAGGGATCCACAGCCACTTTCATAATTGAGTCTCAATCCAGCCCAGTAGTATTGCCAGATTAATATGGTTGGCTTTATTAAATTAAGAAACAGCTTTATACATAAGAAACTATCCACCAATCTTCACTATATTATTAAAAAATAGTTGTTTTGTCAATCATAGATTATTTCTATTACTTGACTGGGGCAGTTTCATGTAGTTTTGATTAGTTATTTTTATATGCCTGTTATTTTATGATCTTTACTTCTTATCTCTTATAGGAGAAATGTCTCAGAGCTGCAACTACAGCCCAGAAATAGAACTACTTTTGGCTCTGAAACAAAAAACCAGAGGCACTGGACTTTTCCGGCAAAATGTTATCAGTATGGCATGTATTTAGCCTTTGGTTATTTCATTTATTAAGCTAGGAAGTTCTTAAAAACAACAATTGCTTTGAGAAAATCATGTTATTGCTTTTTGCCTGTGCAAGATACTATTTGCTGAAGTTTAAAATATATATATAATCCCAGGGTTAGCATTGGCCAATAAAATTAACTTACAGAAAAACAATGAAGTGACTTCTAGTCATTATAACTTTTGAGTTCTTTTTTTTAAATATCAGTGAGGGAAGTTGAGAGACATATTTTGTTTCCAACCAGATCTTATAGTGAGAAATTTAGTGGGCAATAAGCTTTGGAATACATTTTTATATAGTGAGTAAGACCAAGAAATTTTTTATCTAGAGGTTTATGAGACTTTTGCTGTGTAAGTCCTGAAGTTTTTGAACTGATACAGAATTACAAATTTCAACATAGGTAGAAGAAAATGGAAAGGCAGAATCACAAAGGATGTCATAGCAATTCTCTCTGTGTGGATTGTTAAGTTTCTCAAATAAATTAACTACAATTTTGAAGTCTATTTTTTATAGGCATGTATGCTTTGAGCAAAAGAGAGCTATCATGAAGACATTGGTCCAAAAGAAAGATATTTCCAACACCTCAAAGGCAATATATTTAGAAGTGAAGTCCTACTTCATAAAATACTTCTTCCTTCTAACAGGACCATTTTTATAAGGTGTTAAAATGTAATATTCTGAAAGTTAAAACACAGTTCTTCCACAAATAAAAAATGAACACAGGTCAACAATTCTATTCAACTCATTAATCAACTCATAATGAGGGAACCAGAGAAATACTAAGACTGGTTCAAAAAGCTTTGAGAAGATGAATATCTGAAAACAATTTAATAAAGGACAGTTTGGATAAGATTGCAAGTTTAGGTACAATGCTGGCTAATCTCCTAAAGGACAAACATCCTTAAACTCTAGGATTATCTTTTCATTTTTATAGAAATTGTTTGTATATCTACCAGGGAAAAATCTAGAAGTTAACTTTAGTAAGTCTGAGACTTTAATCAGTTATAAACAGGGAACTGAAAAAAGTATGTTCTCATAAGCATTTAAGTAATTCTTGCCTGTGCCATTGAAAAAAATGCCTCTTCTTTTATTTTTTTCTGCTTTATTTTCAACTTTTATATAATTTTTCTTAACAAAATAAAACCACAATTTTGCAAGGCTAGGAATATTGACTTTCTCTCCAGTCTCTCAGGTTGTTTGCTGCATCTCGTTGATACATTTTCACACTATTTCCAGGCACAATATTTCTTGTTTTTTCTTTTTTTTTTTTTTGAGATGGAGTCTCGCTCTGTCACCCAGGCTGGAGTGCAGTGGCACGATCTTGGCTCACTGCAAACTCCACTTCCTGGTTTAAGAAATTCTCTGCCTCAGCCTCACGAGTAGCTGGGATTACAGGTGCCTGTCACCATGCCTGGCTAATTTTTGTATTTTTAGTAAAGACGGGGTTTCACCATCTTGGCCAGGCTGGTCTTGAACTCCTGACCTTGAGATCCACCCGCCTCAGCCTCCCAAACCGCAGCATAATATTTCTAAAGCACGCTCTGTGAGATAAGTGAGTTACATGGTCAAGCACATTTAGAAATGTAGACGTGTTATTTTTTTCCCATAACCAATGAAGTTACCATTGGATCTTGGATACAATTAGAATTGATGTGGAAGAATGGAGAGTTCTCTGTTCAATGTACCTTCTTTGAAAAAGCTGTGATACAGATCAAGGACAAAATGGGCCACCATGTTGGGAAAGAACTTCATTAGAGATAGCTATGAGCTTGACATTTCTTTTCTTTGTAAAAGGCCCTTCCTTCTTTCCTTCCTTTCTCTTTCCCTCTTTCTTTCTCTCCTTCCTTCTGTCCTTCTGTCCTTCCTTCCTTCCCTCTTTCCTTCCTTCCTTCCCTCTTTCTTTCCTTCCACCTTCCCTCCCTCCCTCTTCCTTCCTTCCTTCCTTCCTTCCTTCCTTCCTTCCTCCCTCTCTTTCTCTTCCCTTCATTCCTTCCTTTACTCTATCTTTATTCTCATATGTATTTATTTATTAAATATCTTTCTTTCCTTGTCAGTGAAGCAGTTAAGTAGATAGACTTATTGCTTGGAAATAAGAGATACTCTCCAACTCCCAACTCCCATAGAAGGTGGGGCTGAATCCAGCAGGAAGTCTGAGGAAATAAAAATGTGTAAAAAGAGCTATGTCTCTGTTAATACTTATTTATGAATCAAAATGTGAATCTAGATTCTCTAAATTTATCCTAAACTGCCTTTCATATAACATTAAGAGAAGGAACTCCAGGAGACCAAAAACCAAACAACTAGAACAAGCTCAGCATTTCCCTGAATGTATGGGAATAATTCCTTGCTGCATCTTGAACTTGGATAAGTTATTAACTAATGTGGGAGAAGTGCTGTTATTAAATACACATAATAATATTAATAATGAGCACCTGGTATATGTGAAAACTTTTATCCATGCCAGTGCTAAGTTCTTAAAACCAAACAGTATTTTTGTAAGGTCAATTCATTGACCAAATGGTTTTAACCATTTTCTGTATCTCAGCTTAGATTCATAAACATAAGTCACATGTAGCTATCTGATTTTTTAAAGACATAAGGTTTTATAAAAAATTGGATTAATTTTCCCACAAATTTCATATAAGTGTTGATGATTTGGCAATTGTCTAAATTGGCTATTCTTAGTTCTTTTGAAAATCTCTTTCTCAAAAGTTTTATCATGCTTGGGAAAATAAACTTCTAAAAGCTGAAAGTGCATGAAGACAGTATAACACTAAAATATTAAGAGGATAAATTTTACTTCTAAATTTTAAAATGTATTGCAGACAGGAGAGTATTAGAAAACTTATTTTTATTAACATTTTGTGTGATGTATATTTAATTCCCAGGGTAATACATTTTTGCATTCCTGTCTGATTGAATGATCTGGTCTTGTCAAAATTGCAAGTCTACGAAGTGTTGAGAATCTTATGGTACAGACTTTGTATTAATTTGTTAGAACTTCCATAACAAAGTATCACAGACTAAGTGACATAAACAACAGAAATTTATTTTCTCCCAGCTCTGGGCATTGTAAATCTGAGATCAAGGAGTTGGCAGGGCAGTTTTCTTCTGAGATCTCTTGTCTTGGCTTGAAGATGCTCATCTTCTCCTTGTGCCTTCACCTGGTCTTCCCTGTGTGCCTCTGTGTTCTTGCTTCCTCCTCTTATAGGGACACCAATCAGATTGGATTAGAGTCCACCTTAATGACCTCATTTTAACTTAATTACCTTGTTAAAAATCCTGTCTCCAAATATAGTCACATTAGTCTTGGGCACTGGAGGTCAGGACTAGAACATAGGAATTTGGAGAAGGAACACAATTCAGCCCAAAACAGACCCCAAATCTACCCAATAACAAGTTTCAATCTTAATTGCAATTGAACCAGATTTGGCAAGGACTAACCCAACTCAGATTTTCTAGGCATCTAAATGTTTAAATATGTATTGCACATGTGTTTCACCTCACCTGCTCTTTTTCCCTGGTGTGCATTGGTTTTAGCTGTCACTCCTTTGGTTTAGAAAATTACTCCACCCAGTTCCACAATTAGCTTTAATGAAGAAGTTAAAAATCACCCTTCTTAATGACTCTCTGCTTAGAATTTGATCACTGAAGTTATGTTGATTCAATATTTTGAATACTTTCAATCCAAATTTACAGAAACACATAGAAATTAGTGAGTATTGTAAAAAATGTCAATTTCTGATATGTTTACTTTCTCATTTTGGTAGTGAAAGAAACAAAGCATAATGAATTTCCAGGGGGGAAAAAAGGGCTCTCACTGTGATAAATACAGGGAAGAGAAATTGACCCTTTAAGAAGGGGCATTAATCCTTAAGTGGTATCATTGTTTACTGAGGAGACTCAATAAACGTAAGATTATTTTATGCTTTAACCATTTACCACCTTCAGAGGTGCTATAACAAAATCTCCCTTCTCTGTTGGAAAACATTTTGGGACGATTTGATAACTTCTTAGGCAATTTTAGTAATCACAATTTTAGTTAAAAGATACAATGTTTCAGTTATATGGGAGGAATGAGTTCAAGAGATTTGTTGTATAACATGGTGACCACAGATAATGTATTTTGTTGTTGAAAATAACTAAGAATGTAGATTGTAAGTATTGTCACCACAAAAAATGATAAATATATGAGTTAGTGAACATGCTAATTATCTTTAATTGAGCCATTTCACAATGTACACAAATTTTAAAAATCATGTTGTACTTGATAAATATATGCAATTTTTGTCCATTGAAAAATAAATTAAATATAAAGAATAAAAGAGTCTATTCTAATTTATAACTTCAGTATTATATTTGATATTAATATTATATTTGATATATAATTCTCCATTACTGGAAACAAAAAGTTGTAAGTATTCCATAATCTAAAGTTAGTCACTGAGCAACTGACTACATTCTTTCCCTTCCCCTATTGCTGGCCAGCTCTGAAGTGGCCAGCTCTCTCCACCCTGAAATCAGTCCAATCTTTTATTCCCCTTCTCAGAGGTGTAGGGAAGATTACAAGTGATTCTTGTGAAGTACTCTCTCGGCTTGGATTTGCAATCTTCCCCACAGGCTGAATCATTCTTTCAAGGCTTCTTACTGATGATGGTCATATAAATGGAGAAAGGAGAATGGAGGTTGATATGCTGGCTGGTGGCCGTAAAGGAGGAAGTTATTTGTGGCTTTCTGTAGATTGTAGAATAATTAGAAAATGTTGTCTCCAGTTCATGGCCTTAGTTTCCAAATTCAGAGGACTCAGCATCCTATTATATTAGTAAAAGATTCATTCATTCAGAAAACAACGATGGTGGAAATGGCCAACTTGTAAGACATTGAATTCTGACCAACTGCCTTGGAATTTCCTTGGAAGTCTACATTTTTAAAAGAATGAATGGGGAAATGAAAGACTTATTCAAAACAGATTTTCTCAGTTCTTAAAATTTCTAAAAAGAAACCTATTTGTATGGCAGATCCCCACTAATTTTCATGACACATAGTAGTCTAGGTTATGTCCCCATTTTGTAAATGTAATTTGTGCACTATTAGATGTCTCTTTAGCTTTAATTTCTGCATATTTTGAATAATATGCATGCTTGCCCTACTAATATAAATATTACACTGTTTTTAGGATTAAAAAAAAACCAAGATGGATATTTAATTGTTTAATAAACTGCAAAATGCTAACATGGCATAGTGGTGTTTTCTTTTTTGGTTCTATTTATTTCAAAACTTATTTGTGTATAAAAATGACTCTGCAAAGAAGAAGAGTAGGCTTTGGAAATAATTTAAAAAATCACCCCACCTCTATCTTTTTCCTCTCAGAAGAACTGAAAACAGAATCAACGATAACTGATCACTGAGACCCTGAATGGGAGGGGAGCAGAATCCTTTGTCATGCCCTCAAGCAGCCAGATATAAAGAGGGTGGGGGAGAGCCACTAGGCTTCAAGCTGGAACTGAGCTTTCATCAGGTAGATTTTCCAAGGAGGGTAGTGATTCAGAATAACAAGCTTGTATTTGGTCAGTACTGGGTCTGTTCCTCACTCATATATAGTGTGGTCTTGATCAAGTTGCTAATGTGTAAATGTGCATAATAATACCACGGCATTGGGTGGATAAAAAACCATGTAATATATAAGCATGCAACATTACCTCATACTATTACACCTTATTAGCTCTAGTTGTGTGTTAGCATTATTTGAAGGGCTCTCCATGTATGGTATCATTTATATAGTTGTAAGTGCTTTTCATATCTTACTTACATTGTGGGTTTACATGTGCTATATACTTTTTAAGCTTAATGGTAGTTAGCAGTAAGAAAAGCTAGCAAAAGCAAAATTTGTCCAGTTTTTCTTAAAACTTCAGTGCTTTCAACCACAAAGTTGGAAAGCATGGCAACATTGGGGAAGTCGGCAGAGGGCCGGAAGAGCTGTCGACCACGGAATGAGGGTTTTCTCCCGGCTGCATAATTACTGGCATCTGTAAGCACAGCCTTTTGTGTGGGTTCCCTTGGACACAAGCTGCATTACTATTTAAGTGATCCTTTTTCAGTACTATTCTACTGGACACGAAGTGTGTTCATTTCACTCTCAATATCCAGTTTCAAGGCTGAAGAACCGCACACTCATGGCGAGAATGAAAGATCTATTTATTTTCTCTGAACAGATTATATAAGAATGCTTCTTGACAGACTTCTTTTTGATCTTATAATATGATAAAGCTTGAAAAGATATTAGATGTAACTGAACCTATATTTTTCAGTGTTCTGCAGAATCTAAATATATGTTGTAAGAAGATAAAGAGATTTCCTTGGGGGATAAAATTTGGGAAATGTTGGGATTTAGAAATTAAACAAGTTTCTTCACTAAAAACAGTTTAAAAAAACTGTAGTACTCTAATGTGCTCACTAAACCTCCAAGAAAGATATAGAGAATATAGTGTGTGTCTATTTTCCTAGGAACACTTTCATGGAGCTTCTCCTGAGGATACTACTCCATGGAACATACATTAAGAAATAGTGCTCCTTAGTTTAATTAGATCCCATTTGTCAATTTTGGCTTTTGTTGCCATTGCTTTTGGTGTTTTGGACATGAAGTCCTTGCCCACGCCTATGTCCTGAATGGTAATGCCTAGGTTTTCTTCTAGGGTTTTTATGGTTTTAGGTCTAACGTTTAAATCTTTAATCCATCTTGAATTGATTTTTGTATAAGGTGTAAGGAAGGGATCCAGTTTCAGCTTTCTACATATGGCTAGCCAGTTTTCCCAGCACCATTTGTTAAATAGGGAATCCTTTCCCCATTGCTTGTTTTTCTCAGGTTTGTCAAAGATCAGATAGTTGTAGATATGTGGCATTATTTCTGAGGGCTCTGTTCTGTTCCATTGATCTATATCTCTGTTTTGGTACCAGTACCATGCTGTTTTGGTTACTGTAGCCTTGTAGTATAGTTTGAAGTCAGGTAGTGTGATGCCTCCAGCTTTGTTCTTTTGGCTTAGGATTGACTTGGCGATGCGGGCTCTTTTTTGGTTCCATATGAACTTTAAAGTAGTTTTTTCCAATTCTGTGAAGAAAGTCATTGGTAGCTTGATGGGGATGGCATTGAATCTGTAAATTACCTTGGGCAGTATGGCCATTTTCACGATATTGATTCTTCCTACCCATGAGCATGGAATGTTCTTCCATTTGTTTGTGTCCTCTTTTATTTCCTTGAGCAGTGGTTTGTAGTTCTCCTTGAAGAGGTCCTTCACATCCCTTGTAAGTTGGATTCCTAGGTATTTTATTCTCTTTGAAGCAATTGTGAATGGGAGTTCACTCATGATTTGGCCCTCTGTTTGTCTGTTGTTGGTGTATAAGAATGCTTGTGATTTTTGTACATTGATTTTGTATCCTGAGACTTTGCTGAAGTTGCTTATCAGCTTAAGGAGATTTTGGGCTGAGACGATGGGGTTTTCTAGATAAACAATCATGTCGTCTGCAAACAGGGACAATTTGACTTCCTCTTTTCCTAATTGAATACCCTTTATTTCCTTCTCCTACCTAATTGCCCTGGCCAGAACTTCCAACACTATGTTGAATAGGAGCGGTGAGAGAGGGCATCCCTGTCTTGTGCCAGTTTTCAAAGGGAATGCTTCCAGTTTTTGCCCATTCAGTATGATATTGGCTGTGGGTTTGTCATAGATAGCTCTTATTATTTTGAAATACCTAAAGAGCTTCTGCACAGCAAAAGAAACTACCATCAGAGTGAACAGGCAACCTACAACATGGGAGAAAATTTTCGCAACCTACTCATCTGACAAAGGGCTAATATCCAGAATCTACAATGAACTCAAACAAATTTACAAGAAAAAAACAAACAACCCCATCAAAAAGTGGGCGAAGGACATGAACAGACACTTCTCAAAAGAAGACATTTATGCAGCCAAAAAACACATGAAGAAATGCTCATCATCACTGGCCATCAGAGAAATGCAAATCAAAACCACTATGAGATATCATCTCACACCAGTTAGAATGGCAATCATTAAAAAGTCAGGAAACAACAGGTGCTGGAGAGGATGTGGAGAAATAGGAACACTTTTACACTGTTGGTGGGACTGTAAACTAGCTCAACCATTGTGGAAGTCAGTGTGGCGATTCCTCAGGGATCTAGAACTAGAAATACCATTTGACCCAGCCATCCCATTACTGGGTATATACCCAAAGGACTATAAATCATGCTGCTATAAAGACACATGCACACGTATGTTTATTGTGGCACTATTCACAATAGCAAAGACTTGGAACCAACCCAAATGTCCAACAATGATAGACTGGATTAAGAAAATGTGGCACATATACACCATGGAATACTATGCAGCCATAAAAAATGATGAGTTCATGTCCTTTGTAGGGACATGGATGAAATTGGAAACCATCATTCTCAGTAAACTATCGCAAGAACAAAAAACCAAACACCGCATATTCTCACTCATAGGTGGGAATTGAACAATGAGATCACATGGACACAGGAAGGGGAATATCACACTCTGGGGACTGTGGTGGGGTCGGGGGAGGGGGGAGGGTTAGCATTGGGAGATATATCTAATGCTAGATGACACGTTAGTGGGTGCAGCGCACCAGCATGGCACATGTATACATATGTAACTAACCTGCACAATGTGCACATGTACCCTAAAACTTAGAGTATAATAAAAAAAAAAAAACATTAAAAAAAAAAAAAAAAAAAAAAAAGAAATAGTGATCCAAGTCTACCACCCTTATTATTCAGATAAGGAAACTGTGGCCCAGAAAGATGACCCTGGAGTCCTAATGTGAAGTCTGCATGAAAATCGTCCCCCCCAATTTTCCCTTCACCCACACTATATCAAAATAAACCTCAAAGTGTCCTGCTTGAAACATAACTGACAGCTTCAACTTCAGTAGTTGGGCCGTTTCATGTGATGACCTTTTAAACTGATCATAATCTCTTATGCCCCCAATTTTCCTGTGAATTATCTTTTCACAGTTTTGAGAAAATCACATTTCAATGTTTTTGTTTAATGTTTTATCTCCAAACTCAGTATAGATTCTATCTACTCTGTAGCTAGATGTCTTTTATTTATTTCTAAATTCATCCATCTGGCACCCTGCCATAAAATTCATTTGTAAAAGTCCTCTATAAATCTAAGAAATAGAATCTCTCTTTACTGTCATTTGGTTTGGTTTAGTTTAGTCAAATCAAAGATTAATGACTGGGGATGGGGGGAATGGAGTAGATCTCAACCAAGGGATGCAGTTGTGCTTGAAGAGAGTATTTGGTCTGAATTAGCAGTCTCCATTATATATAGCTTACCACAGCCCCCCATTACTTTTGGTGTCCAAGAGATCGGTTTGCCTCTGTCTCTGGGAATGATGCATATTCAGTACAGTCTCTCTTTGTTTTTGTGTATTTGTCATACTCTTGTCTTTGAGAGTGTAAGACTAATGGACAAATGGAGAAACAAATTTTACATATAATTTATATAAAAATTGATATCATCTCTCTGACACTGTGTCTCTAAATACTATCCAAATTATTCTCATACTAAAATTATATCAAATATTATTAATCTATGGAGAGTTCTCTCAGAAGGAGAAAGATCCTTAAGCCCCAGAGACTTCTTGGAACTTTGCATCATAAGCCATGTGTATAAGTACCATATTCTCTTGCAAACCTCTTTCTGTTTTTTTCTTTTTAAATTTTTTATTGCAGATATCACAGTATCTTTAGAGGAACATATATAAGTGACTTGGACAATATTTCTAGGTTATGTTAAATCTGCTGCATCTTTACATCCCAGGAAGAGTTTTCCAACATTATCCTCTGATTACCATCCAATTTGTTGATTTAACAGTTCTACCATCCTTTCCTCATTCAAGTTCTTAATTTTACTTTTATTTGCTCTCATAGCTTCCACCTCCTTCTTATTATCTTATCCTACTATCTTAACTTATCTTTCTTGGATTCTAGAGCCGATGGTCATTTGGAGGCCTTTTGAGCCCATGCAACCTAAGTTTAATAAATAGAGGCAACTTATAAAGTTCTGTTTGTTTAGAACAGAGACGCTCTTTTATTTAACTGTATGACCACATAAGACATCTTAATGTCATACTAAGGTGTACTTAGTACAATATGAATTAATTGTATTAAGCTATGAAATCTTAAACATTTGTGGAAGAGGTAAAATTGGACAAGTACATACACTGTATAAATAGATACATGGCAAATTTTGTTTTCTAACTTCTTGATTTGGATCAGTGGTCCCAGCTGGTAGTGAATTTACTCACTAGAAGAGATGTGACGACGCTTAGAGATGTTTTAGGTTGTCACAAGTTGGGGAGGCTACTGGCACCTAGCAGGAGAGGCTGGGGATGCTGCTAAACATTCTACAAGGATGTAGGAGAGGCTCCTTACGACAGATTGTCCAGACCAAAATGTCAATAGTGCCACTGTTGAGACACTCTGATTTAGGTAGTGAGAGTGTATTGTAAGTGCTCTGCCTATAGCAGAACACTTGGTACACATTATTTTGTAAAATGTATTTAGCAGACTAATGGGCAGCCATGGAAGACTAGCTTGGCTCACAAAGCACTTGAATCTTAGTATCAAATAAAGTAGAACTGAAGTGTTTAAGATTATGTTACATAATAGCAAAGGTCAGTGGAAAGAAAGTAATCTTTCATTTGCTTCCTTTTTATTTATGTTTTCTTATGTAGTCTTTGGTCTTTGACGTTCCCTACTTTCTTCAGAATAAGATGATTCTGCTTTTTGTCTATGATTCATTTGTTCTTAGACATTATTTTTTACTTAAAAATAGGTCCAAACCTTCCAACCTCAAACCAATTGTATTGGCATGTCTCTCCAATGCCTTTAGATAATTCATGGTACAGACAGTATATTTTCTTTTAAAGACTTAAATCCCAAGTTATAAAATCCCTATAAATGAATGTTTTCATTGTGGTGGGAAAATGTCATATTTAAAAATTGTTTAATAGGCTGCCACTGTCAAATAATAACATTTAGACACTCAGCCAAGATATTGGTGTTGATGCTAATTCGCTTCTGCTTTTTATAGCTCATGCATGACTCTCACACGCTTAATAGTTTAGTTGTATGCTGTAAACCTTCAAGGGAAGCAGTTCTTGGAAACAACATGATATTATGAGTCTGTTACAGTTATTAAGCTATGGCAGCTAGAGTGGAAATGAATACAACAAAAACAATTTATATAGGAATATGTTTCTCAGTGGATCAGTTTCAGTATTGCTCCCTGTGGCTTCATCAAGTTTATCCTATAGGCCAATATTTCAGCCATTGTCCATATGAACATAAATAACACAGTGATGACAGGACTTTTATTTCCTTCAGGTTTAGGTTTGCTATAACTGCATAACTAAAACTTACCTGACAGTAAATAATGTTCTAAGAGAATTACGGAAGGCTAATATTAGAAACCATTATCTCCAGATCATTCTCATTCCTTACTCTCTTCTTCTGGTGCTGTCACTCTGACCTTCAGATGACTTTGCAGTGCTCTCACACCCTGTCTGGAGTGTACCAAGGCTTCAGGAATTTACAGGGAATTATCGAAGCTATTGATGTCTCATACAGACAGCTGTCCTTTCTATTCACTTTCCCAGTAGTTGCCCAGTTACTTTCTAAATCTTCACCCTTTTTTCCACTGTGCAAATTCCTGAGTGTTTGTGAGATATAAACAACCTCTTCCCTATAGAGGACAGAAGGCCCTGGACACTTGGACTTTTTTTTAACCTGAATAGAATTTAATTTAATTTACTCTTTTATAGAAGTATAATTTTACAACATATATCTGCATTGATTTTGGTGTGGTTTGGAGCATGAGCATGGTGAAAAGGGGTGAGTTAAGGGGTGGTGATAACAGGGGCTTGTAACTTTTCAACAACAGCTGAGTGAAGCAGCATTCATGGATGGAAAAGTAAAGCATGTTTATTTTGTGATATTTTTTCTTACATGAGGAAAGAGAAAAAAAGTGACAAAAAGCTAGAAAAATATTAACTTCACTAAATAAACTCATTCTGAAGTTACTTAACATCTGCTCCACAAATATAACGCTAACAATGCACCCCTTCTACACTGTATGATAAGCAGTAATAAATAAGAGAAAATTCTTATCTAATGGGATTGGATTCTAATAGGAGTGGCTCCTTACAACAGATTGTCCAGACCAAAATGTCAATAGTGCCACTGTTGAGAAATTCTGATTTAGGTAATGAGAGTGACTTAGCCAACTCTAGTAATTGCTATAAAAGACATATCTGTTTTAAAATTTTAATTTTCACTGTAAGCATAAAATGTATTATTATTCACCAATATTTTGATATAGGATAATTTTTTCTAAGTAGGGACTTCTTCTGTTTCATCCTTTCTGAATAATAATGATAAAAATACAAACTATATTCTTTTTGCCATGGGTCACAAAACTTGCTAGTAATTGTTAAATCTTGTCCCTCAGCAAAACTCCAAGATGTATCCAGAACTCAACCGTTTCTCACCACTTCATCTCTACCACTTTAGTCCACTAACTAGCTTCCTGGCCTTCACCTTGGACCTTTCTTTTCTACCCAGTGGCCAAGGTGATTCTTTAAAAGGAGGTCAGATCTGGCCACTCTGCTCAAATTTCTAATGACTTTTACTTCTTGCAAAATAATACCGAAATTCCTTCTGGTGTTCTGCCAAGTTGTGTGTGATCTGGGCTTCTGTCTGGCTCTCTGACCTCACTTCCTCCCACTCCCCTCTGCCCTGCTCTCCAGCCTCACTGGCCTCCCTGGCCCAGCGACATGGTTTTGCTATGTCCCCACCCAAATCTCATCTTGAATTGTAGTTCCCATAATCCCCATGTGTCATGGGAGGAAACTAGTGGGAGGTAATTGAATCATGGAGGCAGTTACCTTCATGTTGTTCTCCTGATAGTGAGTGAGTTCTCACTAGATCTGGTGGTTTTATAAGGGACTTTTCCGCCTTTTGCTTAGCATTTCTCCTTGCTTCTGCCATGTGAAGAAGGGTGTGTTTGCTTCCCTTTCCACCCTGTTTGTAAGTTTTCTGAGGCCTTCCCAGCCATGCTGAACTGTGACTCAATTAAACCTCTTTCCTTCATAATTTACCCAGTCTCGGGTGTGTCTTTATTAGCAGTATAAGAACGGACTAATATACCCAGCAAGCCCTCAGCCCAGGCACTCTGCACACACCGTCCCCTTGGTGTGGGAAGCTCTTCCCTAACAGAGACACATGATTAGTTTCCCTCTTTTTGGTGTTTGCTGAGATGCAATTTTCTCAGTAGGCCTTTACTGAGCACCCTTTGTGAACAGCACATCCTTCCAATCTATCTTTATTGGTTGACACTGATTTTTACCTCATTACCAAATATATTGTATATTTATACATTCATGGTCTGTCTCCCCTACTTAGATGTAAGCTTCCTGAGGGCTAGAATTTTGATGGCCTTGTTTGTTGCTGATTATCAGGACTTATGTCCCGACAATATTGAAGTGCACAATAAATATTTGCTAAATGATCAAACTCCTGGATGAATGAATGAATGAATGAATGAATTCATCATCTAAGACTTCCAATGTTTTTCTAAAGTACAGAAAAAACTTGAAAACAGTAGAAAAGCAATCTGAAAGAAAATGGACTCCTTGTAGATTTGTATAAACCCCCATTCCAATTTTTTGTGGTTGTCTTGGCTGCACTTGTTTTTCAACAATTTTGTTACAGTTCACATGAACGCTTTCGGGAATTGTTGGTAAACAGTGCCTCGTTGGGTAGAAGTAGTAACGCACAGGCATAACAAAGACAGGTGAAGCACAAGCATTCAGTACATCTTAATAATATTATGTATACTACATTTTCTCACATATAAATCTGTGTATATATCATGGATATGAACTGGGATCAGATATATGAACATTAAATGTTCATTAGCTTAAGTGATTATATTATGAGTAATTGCTTTTTGTTTTTTCTTTGTGCTTACAACATTTCTTCCCATAATAAATACAGTTAGAAAAAAGGATAAAAATGACATTTTTTCTGCTGGGCGCGATATCTCACACCCGTAATCCCTGTACTCTGGGAGGCGGAAGCAGGTGGATCACAAGGTCAGGAGATTGAGACCATCCTGGCTAACACAGTGAAACCCCATCTCTACTAAAAATATAAAAAATTAGCTGGGCATGGTGACATGTCCTGTAGTCTCAGCTACCCGGGAGGGTGAGGCAGGGGAATCGCTTGAACCCTGGAGGTGGAGGTTGCAGTGAGCTGAGATCGCACCACTGCACTCTAGCCTGGGTGACAGAGCAAACAAAAAGACTTTTTTTCTTGACTATACATTTCCCTAAAGATATTTACCTTCAAATACCCTAACAAAGACACTTTGTTAGCATGAATATTTCATTAGCTTTTGCTCTGTTTTCTTTTGAGAAAACTTAATAATACTGGCAGAATATGAGAAGTTGGAGGAAGATATATTTTATTCATGTTAAGATTGCAAACTTTCATTTAAAAATTAAAATTATGCTGGAAAACCTGATTTTCACTATAGTTTACTCATAATTAGCTGGTGTTATGATGTGAAAATAGAATCTTTAAATTCACACATATATAAGTTGTATTATCAATAAGAAACAACTAAGGCTGAAGCAAAGAAGAAAGAGACACAAGTAAAATAAAATATAAAGGTATCACAAGTAAAACAAACAAACTAACAAAGAAATGTATCATTAGGAAAGTCAGGGTTGGTGCTAAATAAACATGAAAGCCTGATTTCAGGGAATTCTGAAAGAGAGACCATCACGAAAAAAAGAGGGGCTTTGGCCTTATGATAAACATTGGGACTGACCATCAGAAGTGAGCGAGGTATGAGTTAGAATCATAACTATTGCTGGGATTCCTCCTTACCAAGCCCCCTTGTGACTCATGCATATTAGAATAAACAGAACTATAAGGATTGGATATAGTTTCTATATCAATTCTATACTATGGAATAGACATGGACATGTGAGATGCCACTGGGTGGAGACATGAGACAAAGGTTCCTGCAAGAATGGTCTTTGTCAACACATGCACACGTATGTTCATGATAGCACTATTCACAATAGCAAAGACATGAAATCAACCCAACTGTCCATCAATGGTAGACTGGATAAACAAAATGTGGTACATATACACCATGGAATACTATGCAGCCAAAAAAGAATGAGATCATGTCCTTCGCAGCAATGGATGGATCTGGAAGACATTATCCTAAGCAAACTAACACAGGAACAGGAAACCAAACACTACATGTTCTCATTTGTAAGTGGGAGCTAAACACTGAGTACATATGGACACAAAAAAACTGAACAACAGACAACAGGGCCTACTTGAGGGTGGAGGGTAGGAGGACAGTGAGGATCAAAAAACTACCTATCGGGTACTATGCTGGTTACCTGGGTGGCAATGTAATGTGAAACCCAAACCTCCACGACATGTAATTTACCTACATAACCAACCTGCATGGGTATCCCTCAACATAAAATAAAAGTTGAAAATAATGGAAAAAAAAGAAAAAAAAAAGGTCTTTGTCATCTGGTACTAATGGACTCAAGCAGAGCTTCACTAAAGGTTTCCAGTATGCTGCCCACCATTTGGTCCAAATGAAGACAGTTGAGCTTACTAAACAGTAGAGTTGACTGTGGCATCTGGCTAATGAATATTTTTCTATAAAAAAAGATAGACAGATTTGCAAATAGGAACAATACTGCACATTCTGGGGGCATGGTAAACATTGCTCACCTTAGGAACAAAACCCTGCTTTCAATTAATTCCTTCATAGGCGGAACATATCCTTTTACAAAGGTTTAGTATAGCAGTACAGTTACCACTACTATTAATATATTTTAAATAGTTAGTATAAACCAGATACTATTTTATTATTTTATATATTATTCATTTACCAGTCCAATGAGTTAGGTATCATTATTTTTCCCATTTTGCAGACAAAGAAACTGAGCCTCAGAGCTTTTGAGTGATTCATTCCAAGACCCAGAGCAAGCAAAAAGTGGGGCAGAGATCCAAACCCAGGTAGCCCTGATCCAGAGCTCATGCCTTCAGACCATCCCATATGACCCTGCAATATTATAGGCAATATGCAATATTATGTTATTTGAATTAACCAGCTGGGGTTCACATGTTGGCTTAGACTTTTACTGTGTAATCAAACAAGCTACTTAACCCTTCTGATCTTTGTTTTCTTAAACAATGTCAAATTGAAAAAAAACTATTTCCTTCATAGAATTTGGAAGGGATTAAATAAAATAATATTTAAAGTGCTTAGAAGAGTCCTTGACATATAATTAGCATTTAGTAAATCTCTCTCTCTCTCTCTTTCTCTTGCACAAGCACCCATACTAGATTGATATCAGCATTTGACTTTCGGCATGATATTGAGTAGGTATCTCAGTTAGATCACTTTTATAATCCCTTCTGATATTAAAATGATATGACAACACACTCTATCATTTCTGTTTTTATATGATGTTCCCCTTTCTTCTTCATGAGATCAATTTCATTTAAGTCTTTCCAGTTCCCTTGAAATATTTTTATCTGAAGCCATGGAATTTATTCCTCTTTTCGTTTTGTATGTTGTTTTATTTTACATTTTGAAATATATTTTTTAAAAATTTTCATGCAATGTATACTTTTTACTTTAAAGCATTTTCATATAAGTAGACTTGTATTCTAAAATAAATGTTAAGCTTCTTACGTTGTGACCATATGCTGGTCTGCTCTTATACTTTTCATTTTACTAAAAATACTATTTCATTCTGGGCTCACAGATGTCATTCAAAAAATATTCATGAAAATTGATAATTTTGACAAAAAGAAATATTTTTTGTAGACTAGAGATTCTCATACCCCATGGCTCTTAGAAATAAAGACAAAGAAAAATATAATTAGAAGGAAACCATAACCATAACTTTAAATAATTTTTCTTTCTCTTTGAATTCAAAAACAGTAATTAAAAATGTTGAAGATGATTAAGTCATTTGCTTTGTTTGAACTACTCCATTGAAGATTATGTTCAAAAGGCTATTAATACATGTTCATTAAAATTATTTCCCCTGGGTTATGTTGGTAACATAATGTAAAACATACAGGGATTCCTGTCACAACTAATGCGTTAATTAAGAAATAAATGTACTTTTATGACTTATGCCTTTTTGAGTTAATTAGATAGTAAATCATTCCCTAATGAGTGATTCTTAGAGTGTAGTAGCTATCAGATTAAATTAAAATTTCAATTGGCACACTGATTTCAATTTAAATAAGATATCTAATGGGAGCCACCTTCAGTAATCTTTTTGTGATCTTTTATGAATATTTTCCTACATGTGGATGATTCATATAAACTTTAGTGTTAGTGCAAGCTGAAGCGCTTGTCACTTTTTCTTTAAAGTAAACTTAGTAACTCAGGAATGACGAATCAAATACTGTATGTTCTCACTTATAAGAGGGAGCTAAGCTATGGGTACGCAGAGGCGTGCAGAGTAATACAATGGACCATGGGGACTCAGAAGGTTGGGAGGGCGATGAATAAAAAACTACATATTGGGTACAATGTACAGTAGTCAGGTGATATC
Organism: Homo sapiens; assembly: GCF_000001405.40. NCBI lineage: Eukaryota > Metazoa > Chordata > Mammalia > Primates > Hominidae > Homo > Homo sapiens. The sequence continues at coordinate 124,164,062 of NC_000004.12, forward strand.
CGGACTAAAATTTCAAACTTCACCACTATACAATTCATCAATGTAACCAAAAACCACTTGTACTCCAAAAACTTTTGAAAGGAAAAAAAAATTCTGTAAAGTACTTCACTTAGGTGATATGGAAATAATACACGTGTGGCTTGAAATAGATTTTTCAGCACACTGATTTAGTAGGGAAAAGCTATATAGAAAAAAAGCAAATGACTTTGAATTTATCAAGATTTAATTCGGATTTTAAAAATTACGTTTACTCATCTCTAAGCTATTAAAAAGCAGTACGTTACAGGTATTTTTCATGTATATTATTTTTAAAAATATCTTTTAAGATAGACAACAGATTCTTATTACTCTTCCTTAGTTGTAGGATTATTCAGAAGCTCTTGAGTAATTTATTACTTTCATATTTTGTATTTATTTTGTTAATTATTTCTTGTAATAACTCTTTTCTACAATTGTAATTATAGAAGTGTGAGTTTTGCTTAGCAAAGTCACGAAAGCATTATTTCTATTCCTCTTTCTACCATTTTTGTTTTTGAATACAAAATTATAAATTCTAAACCATCATTTTAAATCAATCTCTTTCTTCACCTTTCTTCATTTTAACTTTCAGGCCATGTTTCATATTGAAAGTTGAAATGTTCCTTTGCTTTAAGCAATTTAAGAAGAATAAACTTTCTTTTCTTTTCTTTTTTTTCCTATCATAGTCATTTATTTTTAAAGGCAAGAAGCCAAAAACACATTTAGAAGTCTAATCATCAAACTTACAAATAAAGCTTCATTTGAAAAATGTATGTTTTATTATGTAGTAATAATTCAATTCACCTTCAATATATAAAAATGAACAAAAACCAATACATATTAATATAATATGTTTTAATTTATTTTTATGTTAGCACCAGAGCTTTAATGGAATATGAAAAGCCATCTTGTCTGTAAAAACTTGTGAAATCATTTTCTCTCTGCTTAATTTATAAGTGGCTTAGGAAAACCAATTTCATTGGAGAGTAGTCTTAAGTTTCAAGGTTTTATTGACCTACTGTGTGCTACCTAGTCTGCTAAAATTCAGAGAAACTCTTGTGATTTTACATGGACAGAAATGACACATGTGAAGCAATAAAGATTTTAAAAAGTATTCTGAGAAATTTCAAGAACAAGTCATATTTCAATGTTAAAAAAAAACCAAAATCCTTTTTTATCTTTCAAACCCCAAAGGAATCATCGCCCTCCTGTTGCGACGCATATATGTCTTTGACAATACACAAGAATGTCACTCTCTCCCTCTTCCTTCTCTCTCCCCTACAGTTCTCTTTTGCTACCAATTTTCTACACAATTTGGTAGGGGACTGATGTATGAGGAAGAAACAATAATGCCCTTTGACTTTCTGTTAGGAAAAGACTTCTCACCCCATGCACAAGAAATAGGAAGAATGATCAAAACACAGACTGCCTCTTCATACTAAGACTTCTCTATCTCCCTTTTTCAGACCAAGCCCTATTCAAAAAACACTTTGAAATAAGAATAGCATTTGGCCAAAGAAGTATAGTTCTTATGTCATAAGTGTCCAGTCAACCACAGTGCCACTGAAAAAGGAAAATGGCTACTTTTGCACCCCCCGTGGAGAAATAACCCTGGGAAAGGAACAGCAACTTCTGACTACCCACTCTTCAGTGCTTGGGCAGCACTCCATCATGGTGTTTTCAGAATGTAGACAATCTTCCAAAATATAACAATGCAGACCCTAAACAATTTCCTAGAGAAGTCAGGACCTCAGGCAGGCAGGCAGGCAGACTGGCAGATCTCTCAAAGAAGAATCTCCCTTTGGAAAGGAAAAAAGCCTGCTTTATCTTTACTCACACACCTTTCTCCTTGCATGTGAAACTTGCTGAAGGGGAACGTGATTTTATTTTCAACCATCTATCCATGCCAACTCTCTTATTCAACTTCTTGGTCTCATATCCATATTCAAGCAACCCTCTCTAACAATGATGCTGTCAGCTTGCTCTACATCCTTTCTCAAAGTTATTACAGGTCAAGCTTGAATTCCTCTTTTGAACTTTGTAATTCTCAAACAGTCATCTGGATTGTTTCTGAGCAATAGCTAGAACTTGTTTGATCCATCTTCCTCAGCCTTTATTAATCCAATTCCTAAGTTGTCTATTTTTTCACTTTAGCCCTGTTCATTGAGGATCACTCTTGTTTAAACAGTTTATTTTTCTCCCATTAATATCAATAATAATTCAGCTGGAGGAAAGCAAAAATGATTAGCTACTTTTATACTCAGGCCTTTTGATTCTGTACATAAATGGACCTATAAATAGCCACCTATTTTATAAAATATTATTTTGAGGAAGAATACTATTGGGAGATTGCTTTTGGAAACCATCATTTTCAGTCTTTTCTATTTGTTTCCCAGCACCACAGATACTTGGAGATGGAAACAGGGATTATTTGAAATAGTTTCACTTGAACCTAGAAAGTGCAAATCACTCAAAATCCTGCTCTTGCTGTAGAGTAAGGACAAAAAACTGTTTGAAGGGCTACGAGGGAAGGATAGAGATTCCTGGGCACTAGAGGAGGCATTAAACTTAAGAAAAAGATAAATCATGTCCATCTCCAATAAGAAGTCCTTTGTAGTCCTGAGATGGCTTAAGGGTGCTATCTCTTGGTCAGAGACTTTTCTACTGTAGCTATTTCTCCATGAGCATAGGTCAAGGCAGAGATTTTCATTTCTAATTTCAATTCCACAAACAAAGAACAAACATGACATGCTAACAGCATGTTAAAGTTGAGGCTTAAATATGGCCTGAGAAGGACTCTGTATTTCTATATTTGAATCCTTTTAGATGAACTGCAGCGTAACTTACTAGGTAGACAAGATTGAAAACCTCACTTAGTAGTATGCACCTGTAACAATAGCTCAGTCTTGACCAATCCCAGCAACCGTACTTCAACCACTGATACACTGCTGAGTGTTCAAACTGTATTCAAATAAGGCAAATGCCAACCTGTAACCAATCCAGCTGTTTCTATACCTTACTTCTGATTTCTGTACATCACTTTACTTTTTTGTCTCTAAATTTGTTCTGACCATGAGGTACCCCTGGAGTCTCTCTGAATCTGCTGTGATCCTGGGGGCTTCCCAATTTGTGAATTGTTCATTGCTCAATTAAACTCCTTTAAATGTATTTTAGCTGAAGTTTTTCTTTTAACAAGCATAAATAGTTGTTTGGTTGAGGGGTTTTTGGATAACTGTGAGTTTTTCAATGTGAGTTTTTATGTAAGAAAAAAAGGTAATTTGGGAAGATAGCTGACTAGAAACAGCTCTTGGAGGCTCCCATTGAGAAGAACAAAAACAGAGTGAATCCTGCACTGGCAACTAAGGTATCCAGGTTCTCTCACTGGGACTGACTAGGCAGTTGGAGCGACCCATGGAAAGTGAGGAGAAGCAGGATAGAGTGATGGCCTACCCGGGAGGCACATGGGGCAAGGGGAGCTCCCACCCCCAGCCAAGGGATGTGGTGAGTGATTGTGCTACCTTGGCCAGGAAATCATGCTTAAAACATGGATCTGTGCAACCTGACTTGTGCAGATTTTTAGTGGCTGCTTGGCTGAGACTGCCTAAGACTACTGAGTTCTGGCAGGAGGGGTGGCTGCCATCACTTTGGCTGCCTGTTGCCTAAGATGACTAAGCTCCTGAGGGTAGGGCTGGCAACCATCACTGCAGCTCCAGTCTGCAATTTTCCCCTGCCGATACTGGGAGACTGGGCAGTTTCAACCCAGGAGGAATTCCCCACAGTGCAGCACAGTGGCTGTGGCAGACTGTGACCAGACTATTGCTTTAGGCCTGACCTGGATGCATCCCTCCTCATTGTGCAGGACCTCGCTGTGGAAATTTCAGCAACTCCAGCCAGGGGTTTATGGACAGGGCACTGATCTCCCTGGGATGGAGCCCCTGGGGGGAAAAGTGGCCATGGTCTCTGTGGATTAGCTGACTTAGTCTTTTTCCTTGCTGTCTCTGAGGAATCCGGGCACTCTGGACGAGTGGAACTCCCCCAGCACAGCGCACTCCCTCCTCCAAGGGGAAGCCAGAGTGCTTTGTTAAGTGGGTCTCTGATCCTGTGCCTCTTGACTCAGTAAGATGCCCCAACAGGGGTCACCAGATACCTTATACAGGAGTATTCCCACTGTCATCAGGTTGGTGCACCTCTGGGATGGAGCTCCCAGAGGAAGGAGCAGGCAGCCATCTTTGCTATTCTGCAGCCTCCACTGTGACACCTCCAGGGGTAGAAGGGACCCAGGAGAACAGGGTCTGGAGTGGACCCCCAGCAAACCACAGCAGCCATATGGAAGAGGGGCCTGACTGTTAAAAGAAAAATAAACAGGAAGCTACAACAACAGAATCAACAAAAAAGTCCCCACAAAAATCCCATCCAAAGGTCAGCAGCCTCAAAGATCAAAGCTAGATAAACTCAGGAAGATGAGAAAGAATCAATGAAACAATGCTGAAAACTCAAAAAGCCAGAGTGCCCTTCTCCTCCAAATGATCACAGCACCTCTCCAGCAAGAGCACAGAACTGGGCTGAGGCTGAGATGGATGAACTGACAGAAGTAGGCTTCAGAAGATAGGTAATAACAAACTTCTCTGAACTAAAGGAGCATGTTCAAACCTAAAGCAAAGAAGCTAAGAACCATGATAAAACATTACAGGAGCAGTTAACCAGAATAACAAGTTTAGAGAGGAACATAAATGACCTGATGAAGCTGAAAAACACAACATGAGAACTTCACAATGCAACCACAAGTATCAATAGCCAAATAGACCAAGTGGAGGAAAGAATTTCAGAGATTGAAGACATCTTTCTGAAATGAGACAGGCAACAAGATTAGAGAAAAAAGAATAAAAAGGAAATATGAAACCTCCAAGAACTATGGAATTATATAAAAAGACAAAACCTATGACTGATTGGGGTACCTGAAAGAGATGGGGAAGGAGGAACCTAGTTGGAAAACATACTCCAGGATATCATCCACAAGAACTTCCCCGGCCTAGCAAGATAGGTCAACATTGAAATTCAGGAAATCCAGAGAACCTAGTAAGATACCCCATGAGAAGATGAAACCCAAGACACATAACCATCAGATTCTCCAAGATTGTAATGAAGGAAAAAATATTAAGGGCAGCCAGAGAGAAAGACCAGGTCACCTACAAAGAGAAGACCATCAGAATAACAGTGGACCTCTCAGCAGAAACCCTACAGGCCAGAAGAGATTGAGGGCCAATATTTAACATTATTAATAAAAATAATTCCCAACCCAGAATCTCATATCCAGCTAAACTAAGCTTCAGAAGCGAAGGGGAAATAAAATCCTTTTCAGACAAGAAAATGCTGAGGGAAATCATTATCACCAGGCCTGCCTTGCAAGAGCTCCTGAAGAAAGCCTCAATATGAGAAGGAAAAACCATTACCAGCCACTACACAAACACGTTGAAGTAACACACCATTGACACTATGAAGTAACTGCATCAACAAGTCTGCAAAATAACCAGCTAGCTTCATGATGACAGGGTCAAATTCATACATAACAATATTAACCTTAAATGTAAATGGGCTAAATGCCCCAATTAAAAGACACAGAATGGCAAGCTGGATAAACAGTCAAGATCCATCAGTGTGCTGTATTCAAGAGACCCAGCTCATGTTCAAAGATACACATTGGCTTAAAATAAAGGGATAGAGGAAAAATCTACCAAGCAAATGGAAAGCAGAAAAAAGCAGAGGTTGCAATACTAGTTTCTGAGAAAAGAGACTTTAAACCAGCAAAGATCAAAGAAGACAAAGAAGGGCATTGCATAATGGTGAAGGGTTCAATTCAACAGGAAGAGCTAACTATCTTAAATATATATGCACCCAATACAGGAGCACTCAGATTCATAAAACAAGTTCTTAGAGACCTGCAAAAAGACTTACAATTGTAGTGGGAGACTTTAACACCCCACTGTCAATATTAGAAAGATCATCAAGACAGAAAATTAACGAAGATATTCAGGACTTAAACTCAGCTCTGGTTCAAGCAGACCTGATAGATATCTACAGAACTGTCCACCCAAAATCAACACAAAATACATTCTTCTCAGTGCCACATGGCACGTACTCTAAAATTGATCACACAGTTGGAAGTAAAATATGCCTCAGCAAATGCAAAACAACTAAAATCATAAAAAAACAGTCTCTCAGACCACATAGCTCAATCAAATTAGAACTCAAGATTAAGAAACTCACTCAAAACCACACAACTATATGAAAATTGAACAACCTGCTCCTGAATGACTCCTGGGTAAATAATGAAATTAAGGCAGAAATCAATAAGTTTTTTGAAACCAATAAGAACAAAAAGACAGTGAACCAGAATCTCTGGGACACAGCTAAAGCAGTGTTAAGAAGGAAATTTATAGCACTAAATGCCCACATCAAAAAGCTAGAAAGATCTCAAGTTGACATCTTAATATTACAACTAAAAGAACTAGAGAACCAAGAGCAAACAAACTACAAAGCTAGCAGAAGATGAGAAATAACCAAGATCAAAGCAAAACTGAAGGAAATAGAGACATGAAAAGAAACATAAAAAAATTAATGAATCCAGGATCTGGTTTATTGAAAAAAAGTAATGAAATAGATGGACTGCTAGCTAGACTAATAAAGAAGCAGAGAAAATCAAATCAACATAATACAGTATGCTAAAAAGGATAATACCACTGACCCCACAGAAATACAAACAACCATCAGAGTACACCATAAGCACCTCTATACAAATAAACTAGAAAATCTAGAAGAAATGGATAAATTTCTGGACACATACACCCTCCCAAGACTGAATCAGGAAGAAACTGAATCCCTGAATAGACCAATAATAAGTTCTGAGTTTGAGGCAGTAATAAATAGCTTACCAACCACAAAAAGCCCAGGAACAGATGGATTTACAGCTGAATTCTACCAGAGGTACAAAGAGGAGCTGGTACCATTTCTTCTGAAACTATTCCAAACAATTGAAAAGGAGGAACTTCTCTGTAACTCTTTTTATGATACCAAAATCTGGCAGAGATACAACAACAAAAAAAGAAGGTAAAACTTCAGGCCAACATTCCTAATGAATATCAGTGCAAAAATCCTCAATAAAATACAGGCAAACTGAGTCCAGCAGCACATTAAAAAGCTTATCCACCATGATCAAGTCAGCTTCAACCCAGGGATGCAATGCTGGTTCAACATATGCGAATCAATAAACGTAATTCATCACATAAACAGAACTAAAGACTAAAACCACATGATTATCTCAATAGACACAGAAAAGTTCTTCAATAAAGTTCAACATCCCTTCATGTAAAAAACTCGCAATAAACTAGGTATTGATGGAACATGACTAAAAATAATAAGAACCATTTATGACAAACACACAGCCAATATCAGACTGAATGGGCAAGAGCTGGAAACATTCCTCTTGAAAACCAACACAAGACAAGGACGCACTTTCCTACTGCTCCTATTCAACATAGTATTGGAAGTTATGGCCAGGGCAATCAGGCAAGAGAAAGAAATAAAGTGTATTCAAATAAGAACAGAGGAAGTTAAACTGTCTCTGTTTACAGATTTCATGATTCTATATCTGGAAAACCCCATCATCTCAATCCAAAAACTTCTTAAACTGATAAGCAACTTCAGCAATCTCTGGATACAAAATCAATGTGCAAAAATCACAAGCATTTCTATACATCAACAGTAGACAAGCAGACAGCAAACTCATGAATGAACTCCCATTTACAATTGCTACAAAGAGAAGAAAATACCGAGGAATACAGCTAACAAGGGAAATGAAAGACCTCTTCAAGAAGAACTAAAACCACTGTTGAAGGAAATCAGAGAGGACACAAACAAATGGAAAACATTCCATGCTCATGGATAGGAAGAGTCAATATCATGAAAATGGCCATACTGCTCAAAGTTATTTATAGATTCTATGCTATTCCCATTAAATTATCATTGACATTTTTCACAAAATTAGAAAAAAAAAACTACCTTTAAATTCATATGGAGCCAAGAAAGAGCCCATATAGCCAAGACAATTCTAAGCTAAAAGAATAAAGCTGGAGGCATCACACTACCTGACCTCAAACTATACTGCAAGACTTAAGTAACCAAAACAGCATGGTACTGGTATAAAAACAGACCGTGGACCAATGGAACAGAATAGAGAAATCAGAAATAAGACCATGTATCTACAACCATCTGATTTTTGACAAACCTGACAAGTAATGGGGAAAAGATTCCCTATTTATTAAATGGTGCTGGGAGAACTGGCTAGCCATATGCAAAAATTGAAAGTGGACCCCTTCCTTACACCTTATACAAAAATTAACTCAAGATGGATTAAAAACTTTAAAACCCCAAACTATAAAAATCCTAGAGGAAAATCTAGGCAATATCATTTAGGACATAGGTACCGGCAAAGATTTCAGCACAAAAATGCCAAAACCAATTGCAACAAAATCAAAATTTGACAAATGGGATCTAACTAAACTGAACAGCTTCTGCATAGCAAAAGAAACTATCATCAGAGTAAACAGACAACCTACAGAATGGGAGAAAATTTTTGCAATCTATCCATCTGACAAAGGTCTAATATCCAGAATCTACAAGGAACTTGAACAAATTTACGAGAAAAACACCAAACAACCTCATTAAAAAGTGGGCAAAGGACATGAACAGACACTTCTCAAAGTAAGACATTTATGTGGCCAACAAACATATGAGAAAAACGCTCAACATCACTGATCACTAAAGAAATGCAAATTAAAACCACAATGAGATACCATCTCATGTCAGTCAGAATGGTGACTATTAAAAAGTCAAGAAACAACAGACGCTGGTGAGGCTGTGGATAAATAGGAACACTTTTACACTGTTGGTGGGAATGTAAATTACTTCAATTATTGTGGCAGACAGTGTGGTCATTCCTCAAAGACCTAGAACCAGAAATACCATTTGACCCAGTAATCCCGTTACTGTGTTTATACACAAAGGATATAAATCATTCTGTTACAAAGATAGATGCATGCATATGTTCATTGCAGCAGTATTCACAATAGCAAAAACATGGAATAAACCCAAATGCCCATCAATGATAGATAAGATAAAGAAAATGTGGTACATATACATCACGGAATACTATGCAGCCATAAAAGATACATGCATGTGTATCTTTCTGTTACAAAGATACATTCATGCATATATTCACTGCAGCACACTATTCACAATAGCAAAGACATGGAATCAACCCAATTGCCTATCAATGATAGAATGGATAAAGAAAACATGTACATATACACCATGGAATACTATTTAGACATAAAAAGGAATGAGATCATGTCCTTTGTAGGGACATGGATGCAGCTGGAAGATACTATTCTCAGCAAACTAACACAGGAACAGAAAACCAAACACTACATAGTCTCATGTATAAGTGGGATCTGAACAATGAGAACACATGGACATAGGGAGGGGAACAACACACACTGAGGCCTATTGGGGGCCTGTTGTGGGGAGGGAGAGCATCAGGAAAAATAGCTAATGCATGCAGGGCTTAATACCTAGGTGATGGGTTGATAGGTCCAGCAAACCACCATGGCACACGTTTACCTATGTAACAAACCTGCACATTCTGCACGTGTATCTGAGAACCTAACATAAAATAAAATATACAGTTTAAAAAAAACTAATTTGGTATTACTTTTGTTTAATTTTCATATTCAAATGAAGCTCAAGTTAAAATAATATTTGGTAGAGAGTATAAGTGAGGTAAATTACACTTTTTATTTGATCTCCTCCTAAAGAGAAGGCCCTAGGGTGTGTGTGTGTTTCACGATATAAGAAAGTGAAGTAATATAATGTAGTGGTTGCTGTAAGAGGTTGGTTTTATGTTTCCGTGAAAGTAAACTGAAGGAAATTATAAAATTCCTTTCCCAGGAGATCTTTAATAGTGTCATGGGTTGCATCTGCTGCAATCTTTATGACAAATTCTTCCTGCAGGCAGAGTAATGGATTTTGAAGACCTTTCATGGAATTTTATATCCCCAAGGGTATATGTAATTGAGTCCAGAAATTAAAAGGCACAAGGACTTGAAAGTCTATTCTCCTCAAACAAGTTAGTTTTCTGACCTTGGATTTCAGTTTCTTCATCTGTGAAGTTATTCTTGTTCAAATAGAACAGTATTCTTAACATTTTATGTTGTGGAACACAATCTTGGGGAGGGGATGTCATCAATTTTTTGAAGTTTATCCATTAACTCTCTGGGGTCCACAGGATTTACATTAAATACTAGAATCAATGATTTATAAGGTAACACAGTGAAGTTTGATTCTCACATCTAACATTACTAGAGTGTTAGGAAAATAAATAGGAGACATCTGTTCTTAGGAAAGCGATAATCTCATATGGAAGGCACAGCATACACTCATATAGAAAAGACCTAAGAATGCTTCAATGTGGTGTATCATGAGCTCAAATGCAAATTATACGTATCAGGGGACAGAGAACAGCCACACCAGTGGGAAAGAGGAAAAGGATACAGGTAGATTCAAGTCAAGGGGAAACATTTCAAGTAGATGCAAGGAGGAACAGGCAAGTGAACCCTTAAAAACTCAAAACTATTGTAAGAGTTGACAGAAACATATTCTTGATCAAAGCAAGAAACCATATTAAAGAATAAAGAGAACAAGTTGTTGGATTTCCTTGAATATCAAGCAGAAGTATTTAATGTAATTGCCTGGCAGTGGAGTACCACTGTAGTTAAACTGCAAAGATTTGAAGTTGAGATGTATTTTAAAGAAGATGATTCTGTGTAGACAGGGAAAAGAGTGAGGACACCAGACTATATAGAAATCTACTTTAACTGTCAAGGGAAAAGTGAAATAAGGGCACATAGGGTGGTGATTATGTCAGCAGAATTAGAAAAACTGCTGATCAAAAATATGATTACAAGTAATAGGATGAATGTGCCAAAGCATTATAAAAAATGAAAAGGTAAGCACGAATACAAGCCCAGTGATTCAAAATTGTGGGAACAGCCTTTAAGGTGATGAGGACTTTAGACCCAGGTAACATATGTGTGACCTGAGAGCCTAGCTTCAGCTTTTGAAGAGGTGAGGTCGGGGGTGTTAAGGTGGTAATTGGGCATCCCAATAGTGAACTCTTGAAACAATTAGAGCAGAAGCAAGCAGTCTTAGATAATTTAAGACAGATTCAAGAAATATGTCTACCAGAAAACTGGGATTTTTTACTTAAGTTTCTTACTGGTCCAACAAATTTATTTAGAATTTATTTTAGTGTTTAAATGTCTGCCTTGTAACATAGATGTTTTTTAGTACTAAAAGCTGTTTATTTGGAAAGCTTTTCATTCTTTTAAGATTTTGGAAATCATTGCAATGAGAATCCTTTCAATTTATGCTCCTTTGCAAAAATAAATTGATCTTGTTTAATTAAAACAAGTTAATCTTGTTTTACAATGAAAGCACTAAGGTACATAAAATGTTATCAGGAGAGATCTCACCAATTCTTAAAGCCAGAGAGTTAATTTTCCACACTGATTTCTTTCTGCAATGTTGTATCCTGGGACAAATTCTTTCATATCATTGTTGTGTCTAGCTTTCTGATATAACTTGAATGTAGTTTTGGAACAAACGACATTCTTCAGACAATAGTAATTCTATTCAAGTCTGTTGAACATATCCACATAACACAGATATATATATATGTATATATATATACATAATACAATAACAATATGTCTCCTAAAAATCTATTTCTCAATGTCTTAAAGGACAGTGTTCAGGGCCTTCTTGAGGGGAAATGTTAGAGGTGGGTGTGTATATTACATATGATAAATTCACTCCAATATATAGAATCCCTAAGTGTTTGGATTCTTCTCTCACACTATTTCAAGGCATTTATGACATATCCACTTTTTATATTGGAGATCACTATTGAGTCCTAAGTTTACTAAAAGCATTCAGGCGAGCACATTAGAACCACTTCTAACTGCTCCAGTTCACACACTGAATTCGGACTCTGGTACGTGCACACGTATATTGATAAACTCAGATCAGTCTGAATTTATGTTCTTCCCTATTTAGTCTAGTTCTCTAAGACTGTATTCTCACAGGTATCCTTCAGATATTATATAAGCATTTTTACATATATATAATATTTATATTATATACTATTATAAAATCTGTTGTTATTTTGAATACCTAAGCCCCTTTCTCTCAGATTTAACTTTGTAATTGCCCCTCAGGGTGTCCTAGAAACTAACTCTGGATGAGTACGGGTGTTTTATGTTGGCTAGAGATGCTGGTGAAAGTTTATGTATTAAATTGGCTACCGAATTTCAGTGGAGAGACAAGAATTCCAGAGTATCAGAGGCCAAGCAATGAGGCGGAGACCTTAGTTGCTGAGGCAAGGAGGAAAAGCTGATAATAATCCCAATGTGTGATTCTGAGAGATGTCTGGTAATGGTCACTCAATCACTAAGTCCCAAAGCCCATATCAAGGAGTACTCCTCTAAGATCTACCTAATCTGTTTAAACTCAAATCTAGGCTTCTCTCCTTTCTTTTGAGGCTTTGCTCAAATGTCACTTTTTTGTGTGAGATTTTTCCTGCTAACCTATTTTACATGCACATACCCCTATCTAGAACTTTATTCTCTCTGAAGTGTATGCTCTGTCTCCCCTAACATAACCAGAGGCATGTGAAAACAGGGAAGTTGAACACCTGAGGATGCACCTGAACTTGGGCCAGCACTAGCACAGCACTTGTCAAGGGCACACAATTTAAAAACCTTATCAAGGTAGAAAATATTTAAATGCAATAATTGAAGAAAAGTTAATGTGAAAAACCCATAATGAAAAAAAATCAAAATTTTAACTAAAGATAACATCACTAATAATACCATGCTGAGCCATATTGGAGACTGAAGCAAAAGGAAAAATCAGTAATTCTGCTCTGGTGGTCTGGAATTTTCAAAATATTCCTTTCCCAGTAAAGGGTGAGCTGCAGCACCCAACACCCCTACAACTAAGAAAGAAGCACAGCATTTAAATAACATCTTTAGATTTTGGAGGGCACATATACCTCATTTGGGGATGTTTCTCTGATGATTGACTCACCCACAAAGCTACCAACTTTCAGTCAAGCTCAGAGCAGAAGTTTTTCCACTTGGTTCCAGCTGCTCATGCTACTTATATTTTAGGGAATTAATATTACTAATGGGTCTATGGCAGATAAGGATCTCCATAGAGATTGCAGAAAACCCTGATAGGATAATAGCAGCAGAGGCTCTGGGTTTGGGAACAAATAATTATCTTTCTCTCCTTCTTCTTCTCTCAATTTTGGCAGTGTCCATCTCCCAGTTTAGAGACTGAAGTACTATATAGAGGCTTTCCACCTCTATATGCAGGTAGAATGTGTGCATATAAGTTAGGTTCTGTCAATCAGATATTTTTATTGCAGACTTTGGTTTAGAATCTAATGATCAAAAGAAGCAGATACCATGGACAATTCATTCTTCTGTGGGAAGAAGTAGCTCCTTAATTTCCAGGGGTAGCTGGAGTTCTAGTGACAGCACCAGTGTCTGCTCAGTAATGGCAACAGTGGTGGTTTCACTGAACAATTCTGCACATTATTATAGTGTCATGTCTGACAGCATAGCCTCCAAACCTAGTTATGTGCCCCCTCTGGAAGTTGTGTGAGCTATCCTATTTACTTTACTTTCTTTATTATGATTAGTTACCCAGAGATTGTTTCTGTTACTCACTTGACTCATATATCAATGTATAGATCCCACCAAATGAAGAATAAACATCAAAATTTATTTCAATCTTCAGTAGTTTAGCCTCTTAAGAGAAAGTATATTTAATTTAGCTTTTCCATTAAACAGTACCTGAAACGTTACTCAAGCATTTCTTAATCGATCTTCCTTTTGCCTGTGCATAGTGACTTGCACATACAGTGTGAGTCACATAAATACTCTTGCTGAGTGAACAACAATGAATATGACTCATATTGTTAAGTAAATCATCCATTGTAATATATCCTAAATCCTTGCCTTACCACCAATTCTATATAAACAAACAAGGAGTAGTGGGTATTTGAGCAGATTTACAACGGTAGCCATTGTTACAGCACTGAGAAGGTATCCTTAGACAGGTGGACCTGTGTGAAATAAAGGAGGTACATTTCTCTTGGAGGAGCGGATTGTATTTTCAAATGTACTTTAGAACCTAGGATGCCTTGTGCAGTAATAACCAAAGCCTTAGAAGTTTAGCCTCTTTGAGAAATTCACAATTGGATCACAGTTCACTGCAGCTCAGTAGGTAAGAGGAAGCTTTGCATACACCTGGGATAAAATTGAGGCTAAAAGTCCCTGCTTAGTCATAGACACCCTCCCTTTCCTACTACTTGCATCTAGCAGATCCCGGTGGGCCTTCTGGATGCCTAAATCTGCCTGGCCTCACTGCCCAAGCATGGTGTGATTAAAAGAGATAGATGCCAAGAGGAGTTAAGGGTGCCAGCTGGGATGTTGAAAGCAAAGGCAAGTTCCTCAATGGTGAATGAATCTGTGTGTCTGCTGCTTCTCTGCCATGCATTTCACAATGAAGTTTAGCCTCTTTGGGGAAGCTATTTGGGGAATATCATAAAAATCTTCCTGAAGACAGACTGTAGTGATTTCTATTTGTGCCTTCATTTCACGTTTGGCTATGGGTTTCGATGGCAACAAGACTCCAGAGGCTGTGGAAACTGGTTAGCAAAGCTACTGATCAAGTGGGCCAAGGGAAACAAAAGCACACAGATTAGTCAGTGGTGAGTTTCATGCAGTTTACAAATGTGTCGCTACTTCAGTGTCCTGTTCCTTCCCAGAGGATGAAGCCCCATGGTGCCATGTAAGTAGCACCAGAGGTGAGTATTCTTCCTCTTCCCCCTGGGAAACAAGAAACTGAAGTTTTGTTAATGCAACAAATTCTTCGACAGACTCTGAGCTGTAGATAAGTAGAATCCATCCCCTCACAGGGAAGGCTTTTAGCCAGAAGTTTTTAGAGCAAAGTGATCCCCTACTGAAGGTGATAACCCAAGTGACATATTCAAAGATGTGACAAGCATGATAAATACACCTTCTTGGAAACTGGATCCAGAAAGCTATGTGTCCAGGGGTGGCTCCTGCCTGTCTCTAACACCTGTTCCCCTTACACCTATAAATGGTCAATGTTAATCAGTAGTGGTTACTTTTGGTGATGTTTCTTCAATCCCCAACCCAAGCCACCTTCATCTCCCAAATGACATTAGGTCCATGGCATACATGATAATCACTGGAATTCAAAGGTGGCATCAAAATTGGGAGATCTGCATCCTCTCATCCTTGCCAAGGCAATCACATTAATTCTGCTAACAGCTTGGTAAGTCAGCCAGCCTAGTAAACACTCCTGTCTTAGAAGGGAAATCCAGACATTCGTGTTGGTTCCTACTGTTTCTCCCCCTCTGTGTGATCTTGAGAATCTTGCCAAGGGGGCTGATGGCTGTCATCTGATGATGCCATGTGAAGGCTTTAATGAACTGGCATTTCCTGTTGCTGAGCTGCCATGTCTGAAGGCCAAAGCAAACAGGGTTTAGGCTCTTTGGATCCCAAACTGTTTTTGTCTCTTTCTCTTCCTACTTCTGATCCAGTCTGCAGGTCTGCTCACCTCTCTTTCTCAATCTCACCTGTGTACATGTGCAATATGAAGGTCAGATGCCAGGTGCTGCCTTCCAACCAGACCAAACCCTTGAGAAAAGTACGACCTGCGGGGAGCGGGGTGTGATGCCGGCTTTTTTCTGAGACACAGGGGAAACCTTGGCTAAAAGTGTTTCCTGTAAGTTGAGATGGCTGGAAGCCTAAAGCTGTTTTGCTTCAAAGTTCTTGTTACTGCTAATTGAAACATATGAGAAAGGAATAAAAATGCTGAAGTTAAGAAAGTAGAAGTTGGGAGTAGGAAAGTAAGAAAGAGTATTGCCAACTCAACTGGCCTAAGCATTTATTTGCAATGTTTCTTACTATATGATAATCAATGAATTATATCTTCATACCAGTAAAAAATGACAATGCCATGGAAGAATTTGGGTTTAATGTCATTTCTTAAAGGTCTGGGTTAATTCACACTGGCAAGGCTGCAGAGTTGGCAGGTTAGTGACTGTCCTTCTCTAGGACAGGTGAATGGCAGTTTTAGACTTGGGCAGGGCATGACTTGCACAGATCTCTGCAGTAGCCCAGGGCACCAGCAGTTGAGGGTCAAGATTTTTGGTATCCTTATCTATCAAGATCACAGGATAATGCTTTTCTCTGTCTGTTGTCAGGGATGGAATGGGGTGACACATGAAATAAAGGGAGAGTCTAGGGCATTGTTTTCTTCCAATGTTTTTGTTTGTTTGTTTATTTGTTTGTTTTTTTGAGGCGGAGTCTCGCTCTGTCTCCCAGGCTGGAGTGCAGTGGCGCGATCTCGGCTCACTGCAAGCTCCGCCTCCCAGGTTCACGCTATTCTCCCGCCTCAGCCTCCCGAGTAGCTGGGACTACAGGCGCCCACCACCGTGCCCGGCTAATTTTTTTTTGTATTTTTTAGTAGAGACGGGGTTTCACCGTGTTAGCCAGGATGTTCTCGATCTCCTGACCTCGTGATCCGCCCGCCTCGGCCTCCCAAAGTGCTGGGATTACAGGCGTGAGCCACTGCACCTGGCCTCTTCCAATGTTTTGAGGGTAACATACCTACTATAAAATATCTTGGCCAAGGTATCACAACCCTAAAATTCAGGCAACTATTTATCATTTTCCCTCAACATTTTTCACTGAAATACTCCTCCACAGGGCCATTCAGATTCTTCCAAATTTCTTATTTTGTTTCCTCTATTTTGTGCTTTTCCAAGCGTCAGGAAATATATTTATTTTTATTGCAGGAAGAAATTAGTATTTCTGAGACTACATAGATCACCAGTTTTCTCTTGAGGATGACCATTTTCCCAGAACTAATTGAATCTGACTCCTTCCTCTGTGCAGCTTCATCAGGAAATATGGTTTTGCTCAATGTAGCAGTGTCAACTTAGTAACTGGACAACTCATGTGCTAACAATGCTGGACAGTTTTCTTTAAATTTATAATTTATGCTGCAATGGCTCTTTTTCTTTATTGTATTGGCTTTGATGGAGTAACACGTCAAAATGGCTAAAGGGTACAAGCAACTAATGTAAATTATTAGTGAAATGCTACACATAAAAGACATTAAACATTCAACATTGTGGTTTGTAAACAGTAGGCAGGGAGTTATAACAAAAAGCCCATTTGTAGGCAAATATTTAGTTTTGACTTCTTCAAAGTTTTATGAAGATGAGAGACAATCCTAAACCCCAGAGGAGGGAGCTTATAAGAACGAAGTTGACAATGAGCCACATGGAAACAAATTCATGAAGAGGCCACAGACCTAGAAAGAGCTGGAAACATTGACCAGGCAACAAAGAAGACCAAACCAGGAGAATGAGGCCAAAGCCTTCCTAGTGCATGAAAATGACAAGGATTTGCTGATTATTTAGCCTCAAAAACTGCACAGAAACAACCAATTGCTGGGCCATGGATCCTGAATCTGATCATCCATGAAGAAGGTGTGAGTAGGCCTCAGGCACATGGGCTCCAGAAGTGACAACTAAATAGCAGGATCCTGGGACGGTGAGCTGTTACTCATTTTCACATTCTACTATCTGGATGGAAGGAGGAGTGAGGAAGATGCATTTTTTTTGTTTTGTTGGTCTTATTACCAATTTAGTATGTTAATTATTATTAAAAAATAGAAAATGAAAACAAGAAAAAAAAAGAAAAAGCAATTACCTAGTTTGGTTAATATGGTTAGGCTCTGTGTCCCCACCCAAATCTTACCCTGAATTCTAATAATCCCCATGTGTCAAGGGTGGGGTCAGGTGGAGATAATTGAATCATGGGGGTGGTTGCCCCATACTGTTGTGGTAATAGTGAATAAGTCTCATGAGATCTGGGTTTTATAAATGGGAGTTCCCCTGCACGTGCTCTCTTGCCTGCCACCATGTAAGTCGTGGCTTTGCTCTTCTTTCACCTTCCACCATGATTATGAGTCCTTCGCAGCCATGTGGAACTGTGAGTCCATTAAACCTCTTTCCTTTATAAATGACCCAGTCTCAGGTATGTCTTTATTAGAAGCAAGAGAATGGACTAATACACTGGTATTTCATACTTGAATAGAATATCTTCACATGTATATCTCATAGGCATTTCAAATTCAATATAGCCTACATTAAACTATTAATATTCCCAAATCTTCCCTTCAAAATATAGACTCCGGTCTTAGTTAATGATACTGCTGTCTAACTAATCACTCAGGCCAGATACCCAGGATCATTCATGATTTCTCTTTCTCCCTTTCCTTGGTCCCACCAGGTCTTATTAATTTGATTATCTAAATTATTCTGGAATTAATTTTCTCCTCCCTAGTTCCCTGCTGTTGCCTTACCTTATAGACTTGTTATCTTTCACACAAATGACTGAAATAGTCTCTAATCAATCTACCAGATGTAAGTCTCTCTCCTACAAATCTCTTATAGTCAATATCATTAGTCTATCTAAAACAAAATGTTGACTATATTTCTCTTTTAAATGCACTTCAATCTTTTTGCTAACTGCCTAGCAGAACTCACAAACTATCTGCCCACTTGTTTAATCATCAGGATAGTTTATGTTGTATGGCTTGAGCCAAACAAATGAATAAGGATATAGAAAAGCTTTCATCATTAAGAAAATTTTGCTTAATTATCTATATTAAAATTAAATACTTCCAATTATTAGGAAACAACTTTCAGAGAGTGAAATTTCAAGACACATTGAATGAGGAGATATTTGCAATTAATATTTCTGGCAAAGGACTTATATTCAAAATATGAAAGGTTCTCTTAAAATTTAATTTTAAGAGGTAGCCAACCCAGTTAATAAAACAGGCAAAGGATTAACAGGCATTGCATAACAAAGTATATCTCAATGACCAATAAACATACGAAAAGGAGCTCAAGTTAAAAACATAATGGACTATTACTATCTGTCTATCAGAATGGCTAAGATGAAAATTCCAGACCATGTGAGAGAGGACACTAAACAGGAGGAATGTTCATACATTGTTAGTGAGAATGAAATTGGTAAAACCCACTTGTACCAACGCATTCTATGACAGTATTCCCTAAGCTGAATATATGCATGCCTTATGAAAGCAATTCTACTTTAGGTAAGTACACAATAGAGAGTCATAAATATCCATCAAAAGACAATGCAAACATCCATCAACAATAGAATAGATAAAGCAACTGTGGAATACTTTACAAAAACAAGAATAAGAAACCTAATGCCACATTCCAAACATAAATCTCAAAACCACAATGATCAGTAAAAGAAATCAGATGCAAAATGTGTCCACGCTGAATTATTCCACATATGTACATATCAAAACCAGAGAAAACAAATCTGCGATATGAGAAATCACATCAGTAATTACTCTTTGAAAAAGGGATGGGTACTAATCAGGAGGAGGCTCAAGGGGACTTTCTAAGAAGCTGGTACGATTCTATTTCTATTTCACTGCTTGGTAAGTGGGAGTGTTCACGTTGTGAGGGTTCATTGAGCCTTACATTTTTTATTGTTCTTTTTTCTGTCTATATATATATCCTTCAGCAAAAAGCCTTAGATTATATCATTGAAAAAATAAATACAGGAACACTTTTTAATGAGACAGATAATTTTTTAATGCAACTTAATCAAACTGATTTTATTCCTGCTTTTAGACTATATTTTCTTTGTACATATCCAATTTGTATTACACAACTTCATCCTTACTGATTTATTTTCTAACATACAAGTTATACTATTGCCTTTCAAGGGCTTTAAATGAGCCTCTGTCCTTCTCACCATGTATTTCACAACAGAAAATCCATCCACTGAATAGCTGTTAAATTACTAAAGTATGCTCTCTTCCTGCCTATATCATATTACTTAGGAGAGGAAAATTTTATAGCCCATGAAAATTTAGGTACTCACCTAACATAATTATAAAATCTGTATTCACAAGGATTACTCATTAATTTGTTCTAATATAGAAATAAACACATTATTATAAAAAATAAAATATTTTTTGTCTCTGGGCCTTATATAACACAAGATTACTGAACAAATAAAAATATATATTATGACACATTTGTTGCTCTTTCTCTTCCCTTCATATTAAAATAAAAAAAGATGTGTCAGTAAATAATCAGTATGATATTTATCAAGAAATCAAGAATGTATAAAACCAGTCTAGAGAGCTCATGAGAATTAACAACCCTAAATATTTTTCAATCTTTATGCTTAGAATTCCACATTTATTAATCTCAACTGATATACTTGAGACTAATAAATGTGGAATTGTAAGCATAAAGATTGAAAAATATTATATAAAATTTTATCAAAGGTTGTTTAAGAGGAACAAACCCTTACTCGATGACACACTTCTTCGGAAAAGAGTGAATTTCTAGGAATTGTCAGACTCGTTTACTACAAAAATATATTTATTGTATTAGAATATATTTGTCATTGTTTCCAATGATAAGGCTTAAAAATATATAAGAAGGATTCAGGCTGAAAAGTATTGTGTAAAGCATAAAATTCAGGTGTAAGTACTAAGAAATTTTGAAGACTTACAAACAGGCAAGGATCAAATACTTCTTGTTACGTAAATCATGTTTTATTTGTAGAACATTGTGAAGCATTCATAACAAAATCTGAGATTCACCTGGTTTCAGTTTCAAGTAAATGTGAAACTCAGACTGGTTCAGCAAAAGTTTTGCCAAGGTTCATAAACTTTCATCAATGTGGGCTGATTTTTTTGGAAGGGGGTGGGAAGTAGGACTATCCAATAATTTTTACCATGTTTGGACTAGATTTCTTTGCAAATGAAAACATGCAGATGAAAGCCAAAGGAGGTAAAATGCAGACAATCTTATGCTTACTTTTTATAAATACGATCTGGTGCAAATTTTCTTTACACTTTTAAGAAAAGTTTTATGTCCTTTTTGGCAGGCCAAAAAAAAAAATCTTAGTTTGATCTTCTTTTCTACATAGAAAACTTACAACAGAAAATTACCTGTGATGCCACTTTTCATGAAAAACCAATAGAAGTGAACGTAAGTATATTTATATAGCAATAACAGTATCAATATTACTGTTTTAAATGGCTTATGTGTATTATATAATTTATTCTTACTATAATTCTCTATGGTAGGTCCTTTTACAAACAAAAGTAAGTTTTAGAGAAAGATTAAATAATTTGTCCAATGTCATGCAACTTAAGTTGCAAAACCAAAATTTAACCCAGGGAATATAACTATAGAGACCAGACTCTTAACCATTATAATATTGTGGCAGTCACTACTATTCTAGTTGCCTATCCCAAATTCATTCTTCTTTTCTTTCTTTGTACTAAGACATCAGCAATGATTACTGTACAGAGAAATAGAAGGAGACTGGACTTTTGATTATTTCATTGATCCCGTTACGAACCTAGTTCTTTCTACTTCTAGATTCCTTGTTACCAGAGAAATAGAAAAGTCTGTACTTATTTAAGCCTCATTATAACTACTCCTAAAGGGTCAGTGATATTACCTCCCACCTTGTCTTATCATAATTATAGGTGTAAAAAAGACAATCAATCAGTACCCAACACAAAATCTGAATGTAGTTGTACTATTAAGGCACAGTCTTTCTGAGAAAACCAAGAGCTTACAAAGGGGTTTGGGAAGCTTGGTGTTCAAGTATTGATGAACTGTCAGAAGCAGAAATATTTAGGAATTGGTTGATTATTTTTGGCTAGGAAACTGGTTATTTGAGTGAGACTATCACTGATTAGTTGACTTGCAGAAATATATTTACTCAGTAAGGTTACCGCTAATTGGCTGACCTCAGAAATAACAGATTTTCACTAGTGGTTGCCTTTCTATGGCGCGGTTACAGAAGCAAGATTTCACTTTGATATGGTTTGGATGTATGTCCCCTCCAAAGCTCAAGTTGAAATGTAATCTCCAGTGTTGGCAGTGGGTCTGTTTGGGTCATGGGGGTGGGTCCCTCAGAAATGCTTGGTGCTGTCCTCACGGTAATGACTGAGTTCTCACTCTATTAGTTCACATTAGAGCTGGTTGTTTAAAAGATCCTGGAACCTCCTTCTCTCTCTTGGTCCCTCTCTCACCATGTGACACATCTGGTCACCTTTGTCATCTGCCACAAGTAAAAGCTTCTGGAGGCTTCACTAGAAGCCAAGCAGATGTTGGTACCATTGTTGTACAGCCTGCAGAACTATATGCAAAATAAACCTCTTTTCTTTATAAATTACCCAGGCTCAGGTGTTTCTTTATAGCAACACAAAATGGACTGACACATACATATTTACTTGAATGTTTAACAGCTTGGTTCTGGTGGTTATTTGTTGGTATGATAAAGAACAAACAGTTCTTTCCTATAAGGTTAATGGCTTCTTACCTTCAAAAAGTTTCATACAAATAGTAGGAAGATCACCAAGAAGTTACAGTAGTTCAGGATTTCCTGGACTAGATTTTGAGTATCTTTATTTTTGTATCTTGACCTTATGCTAAGGTCATTAAGGGATATTCATAGTTTGTTTGATTTGGTTTAGCTTTTAGAAAGTAACATACCCATTCTCACTTTATAATACTGATGTAAAAATCCTGTTATGCGAATAAATAAATAAAACGCAGGGACTCTGTAGAGAAAATGTGCTTTAAAATTGTTTTCTAAAACACTTTCTACCCATTTGAAAAACTGAGTTTCAAAAGACTGAATTACTTTCATTAAAAAAGCAAAATAAAACTCATGTTTCTCAACTTTTAATCTAATTGTTTCTCAAAACCTCAAAATAAAATGACTGCATTAATTATTTAGTCTTAGGATAGAATAAACAAGAAAATGCGATATGCAATGCAAATGGATTTTGAGGTATTTATTTTGAGAAGATGATTGAAAGAGGAAATCAATCAGTCATTAAAATTCAGCTCTGATTTACAATTTTCATAAAATTAATATGTAAGTATAACTAAGTATACTTCTACTCATTTTCACTTAAATCTATCAATATATAGTCTTTCCTCAGTATCCTTGGGGAATTGCTTCCAGGACCCCCATGGATACCAAAATCCACCAGTGTTCAAGTTCCTTATATGAAACGTTGTCGTATTTGCATATAACTTATGTAAATTATCCTGTATACTTTAAATCACATCTAGATTACTTATAATACCTAATACAATGTACATTCTATGTTAATAGTTTTTATGCTACACTTCTAGGAAATAATGACAAGAAAAAGTCTGTACATGTTTACTACAGATGGAACCATTCATTTTTTTCCCCATGGATTTTCAATCAGTGGTTGATTGAATCCATTAATGGGGAACCAATGGATATGGAGACCCAACTGTATATGAAATAAATATATAGTGGTGATCTTTTAAAAATAAGTAAGTTTAGTGTTAGGCTAGAAGAAACAATTTTCCTTATTAGGTGTTAGTACAAAACTTTAATTTATGAATTGTTTTATCCCTGGAGATCACTTTGATATGCAAATTGCATTTAGGAAAATAAATTTCAAACTGAGTAAAATTATTGTTTGAATTTTTAAAAGTAATCACAAAATATAACATACCAGTTTTCTTAAAATAATAAAGGAAGTAACAAAATCAAAATGTATTAGTGGAAAATCAGTATATTGTCCGTTAAAATGAAAATACTTCCACATATAGAAGCTTCTGAAATAGTAATTTCATTGTTAATTAAACACTAACATTTACATGCCATATGGCCATATGTTACCATGGTTCTTTGCTATGATACCCCATTCTACTTCTAAAGTTAAAATTGATTTAGTGAGCAGTCCAGACAATATAAGACCCTTTACTTACTTTTGCCCTCTGAAAGGGATATGCATATTTTCGGGTTAGGTGTTCCATGGTCAGCCAATTTCAGACTGTGGGGAAAGACAATTGTTCATCAGTGGTGCTCTGCGAGAATGATGACTAGAGTACAACCCAGAGAGAATTAGAGTACTAACATAACTGGACTCTCCCTGAACAAACCTTTGAGTAAGTGTACAGATTGTTGGGAATTACTAGGAAGAAAGAGGGAGTCGAGTTACTAAAACATATAATTCATAACTGAAGGCAGAAATGGTTTCTTGAAATGGCCTGGTGTTTATATTAAGGATGCCCCAGGCTGAAGTACTGTGAAACTATGGCACTATGGTATATAAAACATGTCATAATTACAAAGCTACTGAAAAAGCACTTAATACTTTTATTCAATTTCAGTTTGCTAAAGTACAAGCAAACTTAAGTAAACTATAATGCATACATGAATATCTTCTTACAAATTTTCTTATGTGAAAAAAATTACTAGTTAAATCATATTGCTTTGATACAGACTTGGTTTTTTGTTTTTTTTGGGGGGGCAGCATTCATAAATAGGAGTTGTGCAGGGGCATATGATGTGCTATTTTTAGAATCCTGTCCTGTTTCCATTTTCCTTTCAATTCCACAGAACAAATGGAAGTATTTAAGAATCCTATACACAAATCTGAATGACCTTACAATTCTTTATTCAAATAAAATTCTTGTATTTTTATAGATCACATGTATAATTGAAAGTCAAGCAGCCAAGGACAAGCTTTCACAACGATCGCACAGCAGACTCTTGTGACTACTTTTAGGCTTGAGTTTTAAAACTTGAACATTATGTTACTAGGTGTTTTGTTGAAACCTTTTCTATTGCCATGAAGAGCTGGAGAAAGGAGATAAATTACATAGTTAATAAGTTATCCCTTAGTGGAGCAAATATACAAATTCATAGCTGCCTAAACATGAGTTTGGTAAGGTTTATAATAAAAAGATTATAGTTATTTTCTCAGGAAATAAAACTAGCCAAGTGGTAGGATTGTTCTCTAAAACAGATGCTATTTATTGCATGTGTATTCCCATTTATTATAATTTCCTGGCCCCTTTGTAGTTCAATCCTGACAACTGTAAGTCAACAGAAAAGATGAGACACAGTGGTAAATCAAAGTGAAGAACAATTATTTAAATAAGTGGAAAACATGCTTGGTATTGAGGTTATAGACAATTTTTGTAGTATTTAACAGAAAAAGGGTACAGCGTCTGATAGTGCCAAGAGTATAACCAACAGCATTTTCAAAGTCATGAGACCATTTAGTTATTTGGCCTAACTATGCAGAAGAGTAACTAATGCATGGAACATATCAATTGCATTTATTGTTAAGAAAGCTTTTAAAAGTGAAACCACCAATCCTTCAGGCTATTTCTAATTTATTCACTTAATCATTCTGACTTTTGGTAGAAACTTCATCTTCTTCTGGTCAGTCCTAACACAGTAATCTTGGGTTCCATTTGTAACCACGTGCTTGGCTAGGACATTCATTAGAGGTAACACATTCTGTTCTTGATAGCAATCCAGTTGCTTAGCCTCTACCCCAGAAGATTGTATTAAATATGACACTGTTGAGCACTGTGAAATTTCTCTTTGTTTAGACAACACTTGAAGCATATCCTGTGTGTAATATACCAAGGGTAAATGGTGGTCAATCATCTGTTCTTGAAGGCTGCAAGTCTGTCAGTCTTCAATTTAATCACCTTCAGTATGTATACTTTCTTTATTTTTCCACAAGAAAAATGTTCTGAGCATACTGCTGGCTCTGTAAAGCTACAGGATATACTATATAGCTTATTTCTCAATGAAGTATGTTGAATCTTTAACATTGGTTAAAACTGGAAAAAATAAATAACTTTGAACTATATTATAAACTGTCTTCCATTTAAGTCTTGAGTTTTATATCACTAAAATGAGATAGTTAAAGCTGTTGTTTTGACCTATTATGAGTGTTTAGCACATATCCTTCCAGGATTTTCCACCTTGTTTGACACACTTCTTTACGTTTTATTTAAAAAATATAGCATAAGCTTTACAATAGCACATGTGTAATGTAGTCAGTTCAAATGCTGTCTACATAAACTTGACAAGTTTAATTCATGGAAGAAACTGAAATGTTAATAAGGTCATTGTCAGAAGGTTACAACATTTCACTGCTGTAATTGTTATTATTATTTTATCTCTCTTAGCAACACATTATGGTTTGTTAAAGCTAAATATTTCCTTAGAAGACTGACATTGAGTTGACTTGATTTGTAATATGGAGTGTGCTGGTTAAACTACAAAGAATTAATCCTATTATATTTCACAAATAGCACCTGCTCAAGTCTGCTATAGTTGTCTGTCTACATGGAATGTGTCAGAGCAAAATTTGGCAGGACTGACAGACTGAATTCCCAAAAACTCAGAATATTTGTTCTTTATGAAACCTGCACTTTTTTTTAACTACCAAGTATTTGTTTGGAAATTAACCCTGAATTAGCCAGTTTCAAATTACTCTGTCATCACATTTTTTTTTCAAGACTGGATCTCTCTCTGTTGTCCAGGCTGGCAGGCATTGGTGCATGCAAAGATTACTGTAACCTAGAACTCCTGGGCTCAAGAGATCCTCCCACCTAAGCCTCCTGAGTAGCCAGGACTACAGGCACATGCTGCCATGCTTAGCTAATTTTTTATTTTTTGTGGAGATGAGGTCTCACTCTGTTTCCCAGGCTGGTCTCAAACTCCTGGCTTCAAGTAATCCTCTTGCCTCCACCTTCCAAAATGCTAGTATTATAGGCATGAGCCACTGTGCCCAGCCACAGCATGATTTATTCAGTGTGAGATATATAATTAGTATTAAATGCTCTAATATGAGTCTTCTAAAATATCTTTCAAGGGGAATTCAGAATCTTCTAGAGTATCATTGGATACAAAGAAATACTAGTGAACTTGGATATCATGTATTTTGCAGGTTCAGTAAGTAGCTTTATCCAGTTCATTTGGTAAATTGATTATAAAAATGTTCTCTACCCCCTGAGCATTATACTCTGCTGCATGACTTTACAGACCCTGAGTTACAGAAATAGCACATTTTTTCCCTGATATATATCTGTAACTCAGGGTCTGTAAAGTCCCTGGATATATATATATCCGGATATATATATCTGGACTGGCCTTATGATTTGATTTTGCCAATAGAATGCTCTGCCAGTTTTCACTCTTCAAGAAAATTAGCTTGTTTTTACATTCTCTCTCTCCCTTTCTCTTTCTCTCTCCTGACCCTGCCATCACCTCCAAAACAAGTTTGGGCTAGCCTGCTAAAGAGTAACAGATCACTTATAGTAGATGTGATGCTTCCCTTCCTGGGACTTTCTAAACCAATCAACCCTAGATTACCTGTCAGCTTTTTATAGACACTTGAGTGAACCCAGACAAGATCAGCCGAGACAAGTTCAGATCAGCAGAATCACTCAGCTGATTAAGAGACTCATGAGAAATAATAAATTGTTTTAAGCCACTAAGTTTTGAGGTGATAGTTTTTATGCAGCAGAAAAGCAAAAGGGCTTGCTAAGCAATGATCAGGCTCTTTAGTCCTAACAATAACTTGATTTCTAAATTATTACATCAGTCAGCCTGAAATATCAAAGGGAAAAGGCCTGAGAGAACCCTAAGTTTTTACCTCTGGCTCACCTTCAGGCACCACACAGTCAGGAAGTGATGGCTGAAGCAGAGTGGTAAACAGTTTGCCAAAGAGTTGAAGGACTGTAAAAAACAGGTGATGTATAAAGACTAAAAAAGCATATTTTCTTTTTTTTTTTTAGCTCCTGAAGTTTAAGAAAATTGTTAAAATGCTAGCTGACCACTAAGCTAATAAAACACAAACTACAGTGGTCACACAAGACAAAGAATACAGACTATAAAAACATAATTTAGAAAAGCTGCTAAAAAATAAAACCCACAACAACAAACTTGAGAGTGAAGATAATCTGATTTCCAGAGCTGTCACATTATAATATTCAAAATGTCTAGTTTTCAAGAAAAAATTACAGGGCATTCAAAGAAAGAAGAAAGTATGACCTATTCACAGGAAAAAATAAATTAGTAGAAAAGCCTCCTGGAGAATCCCAGATATTAGATTTGCTAGACAGATTTTAATCAACTATTTAAATATGTTGAAATAGCTAAATGAAACCATGGAGAGAGAATGAAAGGATGCCAGGAAAATAATGCTTCACAAAATAGAAAATGTCAATAGATAAAAATTATTTAAAAAGAGCCATATAAACTTTCTGGAGCCAAAAATACAATAATTGAAATGAAAAGTTCACTAGAGGAATTCAATAGCTAATTTGAGCAAAAAGAAGAAAGAATCAGCAAATTTGAAAACAGATTAATTATGGTTATCTATTCCAGGGAGCCAAAAAAATAAAAATAAAGAAAATGAATGGAATCTAAGAGATTTTCAGGTCATTATCAGGCTCACTAACATATGAATAATGGGAGTTCTGTGGGAGAGGAGAAAAAAGAGCAAAAAGAATATTTTAAAAACAATGGTCATAGTTCTCTAAATTTGATGAAAGACATGACTCTAAACATACAAGACACTCAAAGAACTCCAGGTAAGATAAATTTAAAAGAGAGCCACACTGAAACACGTTATAGTCAGATTGTCAAAAGCAAAACTGGCTACATCATTTTACTTTCCCATCAGCAATGTACAGGCATATCTCACGGATATGGCAGGTTCAGTTTTATACCACTGCAAAAAAAGTGAGTATTACAATAAAGTGAGTCACACAATGTTTTTGGCTTCTCAGTTAATATAAAAGTTATGTTTATACTATACTATAGTCT
This sequence comes from Homo sapiens, assembly GCF_000001405.40. NCBI lineage: Eukaryota > Metazoa > Chordata > Mammalia > Primates > Hominidae > Homo > Homo sapiens. The sequence goes on from NC_000004.12 coordinate 124,193,017, forward strand.
ATTAAATGTGCAATAACATTATGCCTAAAAAATAGTTTATGTGCCTTTATTAAAAAATACTTCATGATAAAAACGTTAATGAGCCTCTGAATCTTCAGTGAGTCTTAACTGAGAGTTTTGCCTCATGCCTCAATGTGATGGCTGCTGACTGATCAGGGTGGTGGTTGCTGAAGGCTGGTGAGGCAGTGACAATTTCTTAAAATGAGACAACAATGAAGTTTGCTGCATCGATGGACTTTTCCTTTTGTGAAATATTTCTCTGTTGCATGCAATGCTGTTTGATAGCACTTTATCCACAGTTTCAAAATTGTGGAGTCAATCATCTCTAACCCTGCCACTGCTTCATCAACTAAGTTTATGTAATATTCTAAATCCTTTGTTGTCATTTCAACAATGTTCACAGCATCTTCACTAGGAGTGGGTTCCATTTCACAAAACCATTTTCTTTGCTCATCCATAAGAAGCAACTTCTCATTTGTTAAAGTTTGATCATAAGGTTGCAGCAATTTAATCTCATCTTAAGGCCCCACTTCTAGTTCTCTTGCTATTTCCATCATCTGCAGCTACTTCTTCCACTGAAATATTGAACTCCTCAAAGTCATCCATGAAGGTTTGAATTAACTTCTTCCCAACTACTATTAATGCTGATATTTTGACTTCTTCTCATGAATCATGAATGTTCTTAATGGCATCTAGAATGGTAAATTCTTTCTAGAAGATTTTTAATTTACTCTGCTCAGATCCATCAGTGGAATCACAGTCTATACCAGCTATAGCCTTACAATATGTATTTCTTGAATCATAAGACTTGAAAGTTGGAACTATTTCCTGATTCATGGGCTACAGAATGAATGTTGTGTTAGCTTCATCTAACCTATTTATCTCGGCTTTTGATATGCCTTCCTTACTAAGCTTAATCATTTCTACCTTTTGATTTAAAGTGGGAGATTTGAGACTCTCCCCTTCACTTAAACACTTAGCATCCATTATCTTGTTATTACTTGGCTTCATTTCAATATTGTTGTGTCTTAGGGAATAGGGAGGCCCAAGAAGAGAAAGAGATGGGGCAACAGCTAGATGGCGAAACCCTCAGAATAGGCACAGCATTTATTGACTAAGTCTGCAGTCTTTTATGGGCACAGTCTGAAGTACCCCAGAACAATTACAATAGTATCATAAAATCACTGATTTCAAATCACCATATGTAATAATGAAAAAGTTTTAAATATTGTGAGAATTATCAAAATGTGACACAGAGACATGAAGTGAGCGCATGTTTTTGGAAAAAAATGGCACTGACATATTTGCTTGACACATTTGCCACAAACCTTTCATTTGTTAAAAAAAAAATCCAAAGTAAACATTATCTGCAAAATGCAATAAAATGAAGCAAGATAAAACAAGTTATGCTGGCATGAGTGTTCTGATTTCTCTGTATACTCACCAACACTTGTTAATATCCATCCTTTTTTTATTATACTTTAAGTTCTAGGGTACATGTGCACAACATGCAGGTTTGTTACATATGTATACATGTGCCATGTTAACATCCATCTTTTTTAGTAAAGTCATCTTAGTGAGTGTGAAGTGGTATCTCATTTTTGTTTTTATTTGCATTTAGCTAATGGCTAATAATCTTGAGCAATTTTTCATGTGCTTGTTAAAAAATGTCTTAAACTGGCAATTGGAGAAAACATTTTGGTCTTTGATCCAGCTGACATGAAGGTAATTTAGTAAATTTACTCAATAAGACATATTCAATTAGTCACCTATTCTGCTGACAGAACTGGGTATAGGACCTCCCTTCTCAATGAGGACAACTTGATTAAAGAAAACTTGCCTGGAGCCTATGACGTCGTCCTACAGAAGGAAGCAAAAGAAACATCATCCAAACATTTCAAGGGGAATTTATCTCCAAAAAGGATTCACTATAGAGATGTGCATAATATTTCAGAAGCTGTTCTTCATTTTCCATATTTTACAAGATGCCCTGGACTCTATGAAACAGGAAAAGAAAAGTGTAATCTGAGGACTAGTTGAAATGAAAATGTGAGAAGAAACGAAAATGTGAGAAAAAATGAAGAAAATGATGATAACTCATAAAGGTAAAATTTCAAGATTAACAGAATTCAAATCTCCATTTGAGGTAATGAAAAACATAAATGGCATTAGAGGATACTAGCAAGGTGAAGAACAATAATAAGAAACTCTCCTTGAATTAATTGGAAAATGACAAAAATGTTAATGATAACATGGTTTACGAAGATTGAAAAAGAGACTGAAGCCAATGGAAAAATTAAATACATAGCTAAGAAAAATATCTAAACAACCTTTCAAATAACACAGTTCAGATGATCTCAACAGATCTCTAGGTCACCCCTCTCTAACTCCTTGAGAATTAATCATAGCTGGCTTACCACCATTCTCTTCAATACTTCTCCTCGCATGATTCTTGATTTTTGGAAATTACAATATTCACATAGATGATACCTCTCACACCCTGGCCTCTTAGTTCCTTAACAAGCATCCACTCCAATATTCAAAAATAATGATGTAAAATTACTGAAACTACATTCCTTGTGGGACCTCAGATTTGGAAATCTCACTCTCCGCCTACTTCCTACTTGTTCTATCTCACTCTCTCCAACACATGTAGACAATTATTCTGCTTCTCCAGCAACCTATGTTCCATGAAGCATTTTTGCTTCCCTCTCCAAGTACCACTTTCCCTCTTCCTCAGCTTATCTTTTAGCACCAATCATTATAATCATGCCTGTACACCACCAACTCCTGTCTTCCCCATACCTTTGCCACAACTGCCTGGCAAAACCTAAACCCTGGTTAAATCCAGCTCTCTGCCTACTCAATTTCTATAGCCATGCAATAGAATAGTGTAAAAAGGCAAAACTATGTTGAATGGCCTTACTTGAAATTGCTGACACAGATTTGGAGTACTCATAGAGCTATCAGCTGAACATCCTTATTCTATTCTCCCAGTTAGTCTCAGGACCTTACATCTTCTCTAATCTCCAATAGATCCTCACCATTTTCACTCTCAGCTGATGACCTTGATTTATACTTGACCAAAATTAAATTAGGTAATCATAAGCATCCTCCACGCGCCCCACCAGCACATCTTCACACTTACTCGCCTGTGCCACCCATATGCTCTGCTTCCCTCCTTACATTATGTAAACTATTCTTCCTCATCTAAGGCCAAGCTCCTCACCAGTATAATAGATTCTATCACTTCTCACTTATTTTAGGTCTCTTTCCCAGCAAAGTGCCCCTTTACTCATTCTAGTTTTCTGCATCCTAATTTTCTCCCTTTAATTGAATCATTCCCATTAGAATACATACATGCCTTATTTTTCATTTTAAAAAAGAAAGTGCTTTTTTTTTTTTTTTTTTTTTTTTTACTCTATAGCCAACTCTACTAGCTATCACTCCACTTATCTGTTTACCTTTACAACAGTATTCTTTGGAAGGGTTTGTAATCATTTTGCCAATCTTCTCCCTGATCTCTTAAACATACTCCAATCGATTTTTCAATGTCATTCTACCAAAATGCTTAATGCCCCAAGCTCGCCAGCTATCAGGTTGCTAAATCCAAGGGTCAATTCTTAGACTTCATCATACTTTTCCTTAAGCAGCCACAGTTGGTACCTTATTTTTCTTGGAGCATTTTGCCATTGGCTTCTGGACATCACTTTGTTTGCTCTCTTTCTACTTTTTGGGCTGCTCCTTCTCAACCCCTTTGTCAGCTCTTCCTCAACTACCTTACCTCTAAGCAATGCAGTGCTCTAGGACTCAGGCCCTGAACTTTTCTGAAAAGTTTTCAATACAGTAATGTACTTTAAAAATTATCTGTGTTACCCATTCCTTAACACCAAGATCAGCATCTCTATATGGAAATCTAATGAGCAACTCAAATTTTCAAAGCTGATATACTGGTTTATTTCTATTCAAAATCCACCCTTTCTGCCATCTTGTTTATATCCCATGAATTGCTCAGACAATGTAGTATATAATCAAATTTGTATTTTAAAAAGATCACTCTGTTAATGCCATGGATTAAAGGAGAATAAGTGCAGATTTGAGAATGTCAGATACAAAGATAAGAAAGTTGTATGAAACCACTTAGGAAGAGTATATTTAAAAGAAAGTGGTTGAAAACACTTCTTTTAAAGTTCATGTTAGATCCTCACTTCATTACATAGCAAAATAAATCTCAAATGTATTTAATGATAAGATGCAAAAATTAAATTATTAAAACATATTAAAAGTATGCTGTATCTAAACAATGTGATTTTATATTCATTTAAATATAATGAAATATAATATTTCTTGTTTGGGCACAGTGGCTCATACCTATAATCTCAGTACCTTGGGAGGCTCAGCAAGAGGATTGCTTGAGGCCACAAGTTTGAGACTAGCCTGGGCAACATGGTGAGATGCCACCTCTGCAAAAAATTTAAAAATTAGCTGGGTGTGATTGGTATGTGCCTGTAGTTTTAAGTGCATTGAAGGATTGTTTGAGCCCAGGAGCTTGAGGTTGCAGTGAGCCATGATTGTGCCACTGCACTCTAGCCTGACAACAGAGTAGGACCCTGTCACAATATATATATATATATATAATTAATATATAAATATATATACATATATTTCCTGAGAATATTTAACAACATAGAAAAGAAGATAACATAAGTTAAGAAATAAAAGATGCAAAATTATATGTTGCATATTTTGTATTAATACAATATTTTAATTTTTATCTAAAAAGATTCATTGAAAGGTACAAATTAAAAGATTGTCTCTAGGTAGACTTACTTGGGTTTCTAAAAAAATTTCTTTTTTCTACTTTTTTAAACCAGATTTTCTATTTTGAGTTTGTATTACTTATACAATTGAAAGTTTCCATTATTTCCTAGTAAGGGGAATGATTTCTTAGAGGAAAGGAAATTTTTTGGGCATATAAAATAGAAATATTCATAACAATGAGTAAATCCCCATCATTATTCTACCTAGACTAATGTTATGAGCAGGGCCTTCTTGTGTTAAATGCTAGCAAGAAGAACTGAGGCAAACTTTTGAAATGACATGCTTAGGGAAGATTTATAAACAGGGAGTTAAGATGATTACAAAGTCCTGGATAGGATGTTTGTTAACTAGAATTTTGGGTACAGTGGAAGATTCCCTCAATCATTCTATGGACAAGAGAATGAATGAAGGAACATCATAAGGAACATAAAGTACAGAAGTTTTCTCTGCCTTCAGGAGGGATGAATACAACAAAAAATGTCAATCTAAATTCATTTCCTTCAACTTGAAACAAAGGTTAGTATTTGTTATATATTAGATTCACAGAAATTAAAGACAGTTCATTTTTCAAAATAAGATGATAAGGAAAATTCTGGAGATTAGGAAACTCAATATGGCTCTACCTGGGTCTGAGTGAGGAGAAAATCAAGAGACTTACTTCAGGTTATTCATTTATGAACGAATATTTTTTTCATTCAGGCAATCCTTCAATGCATACTGCCTCCACATATCTGGAGACATTATGGAACAAGTAGAGAGACATAATTTAGCAATCACTAAATATTCATGATGAGCAAATAATCATGGACAAATTTTATTTTCTTCTTTATGGGAGACTAAACAATAATCTCTAGTCATTTCTTATTTAAATAAAATGTTTGATTTTGTCCACTCTAAAATTGTAATTGATAAACTACTAATACAGATGACACTACTAATTCATATTATCTAATACAGATTTTATAACATATCCTAGATTTCTTGTCAATACCCTGTGAAAAGAGCTCATTTTCTCTAAAATAGAATTAAATCTACTATATTGTAATTTATGCAAATATATTATTCTGTACATTCCAGCTTGACCCTAGCCTGCCAAAATAGAGATGCTGAAAATCAAAGCGATGAGCCACTACCACCAACTGCAATAATTTTTACTGAATGCACTTAGAATTCCTGGCCTGTGTTCTGATTGCCAATACCTAACCCTTTCCAAAGAACCAAGATTAGGCTGTTTAGAGAAGATATACCATCACGGGGAAGCCAGAGACCAAGGAAAGTGCTCACTTTTAGTCGCCTCTTCCAATCATCAAATATTCTTCCTTTCCTTCCCTGTTCTTGCATCCTGCAGCAACAGGATTCATTATATTATGTATAGATTTTAAGTTAATATGTCTGTTTACAGATCTGATAATCATGGTGATAGGTGCCTTGGAAAATAAAGGAGATGTTACCAGCCGTAATGTTGATCCCTGACTTCAAATCTCCTATCATGCCAACAACATATCTTATCCACACTTGCCTCTAAACGTAATACATGTCCTGACAATTACCATGAAAGTTCTTTGCATATTGACTCAGATCAGTAAGATGAGTAAAAAGGCTTTCCAATCTTAGGAATTCTGACTTTCAAAGTAAAATTCAATAGAAGATTTCTAGAAACATAATTTAAGTAATTTTGAACTGCTGAATAAAATTTATTCCATAAAATATGCTGTGGCCACAATTTCCTAAATGTGCTCTAGTTGGAAATTTTTTTTTAATCTTGAAGTTTGGATGAGGTCCTTTGATCAAGGAAAGACTAGACCATATGCACACATAAGAGAATTCTCTAAAATTACAAAAAATAATAGCAAAAAAGGTCAGGGCTTTTCTTTCTCATTTTTTGGGTTTGTGTGTGTGTGTGTGTGTGTGTGCACGTGCGTGCGTGCTAGCCTGAATTCTAGGAGCATGAAGAACTTTAAGCCAAAACATAAAATCAATGCATTAAAAAATGAAAGCAAACCAAAAAAAGAAAAGAAAAGAAAAGAAATCCCCAAACCTTCACAGTCGGAAAAGTATTGACTTGGCCTTCCTAAAGTGTTGTCTTGACCTAAAGTACATCCTGTGACTCATATTCCAATTACTGTTATAGTTTTTCTGGCCCAAATTGCCAGGAGGAAAGGAAGTACTTCTATACTTACGGTGATTAAATGCCCTTAGTATACACAATCTTGTAAAAGCTGCACCCTGAAAAACATACAGTGTTTTATATTTCTTTGTACCTGTTACACTTTTATGAATTCTTCTTGGAGTAAAAGTACATTCTGTCACTATCTGAAAAAAGGATCTAAGTTACAGTAACATTACCAGTGTTGAAAAATGTCTTATTTTCCTAATACCATAATGCTGGCTTATTTTTTTTTTAATGCCATTGTACTGGGTCCTTATGGAAAACACATTAACTTCTATTTGCAAGCAGGTGAGAATAATGGTTTGGCCCATTATTTGCAAGAGATTCAACATTTGTTTATTCAGAAACCATTTCTAAAGGCCCTTCCAAGAAAGCAGCTTGGGGACTGTCATGTGGAATTTGGAGCTGCTCATAGGTAGCAAAACCACATCAACTTCAAAATGCCTTCTGTGAACGAAGATGGAAAATTCTATGAGATTAAAAGCTCAAAGAAAAATTTTCCAGCCATTTCCAATTTTAGATACCCTTTATCATAATCACTTAATTGATAGGTTATGGATATTATAACATGGATTTTTCCCATAATTTTTATTATTTTTATATTATAGAAATGCCTAGTTTTAAAATATTCTCATAGAAAATTATCACAGAAAATAACAAAAACAAGAACAACAAAGAAAGATCCTTCTTTTATTAAAAGTTCCTGCTGTAAATAGAAATTATACATTCACTCAACTTTCAGAAGTTCAATTTATATGCAATTGTTTAGCAAGGCACCTATTGCACGGATCACTGTAAACATTAATCTTTTTAATTAGATCTCTTCCATAATGATAGCTTGCACTTAGATACTTTAAAGTTACATTTTCAAAATAATGTGTTCATCTTTTTTTTCAAAGCCAACTTCTCTATTACTAAGAAACATTAATTATTTTCTTTTAAACATTTTCTTGAATATTTTTCCACATATCTATTTGGTTCTTTCTAAATGGTTTCATTGTCACCAAGTGGCTGTCTGGAATAGATTACTTTATCAAACAGCAATATGTGAGTTATCACTGACAAAATAATCTCAGGAGTAGAAAAACCTACTTAGCTAGGAGTACAGGGTTACCATTTTTTTGTTGTTGTTGATAACTCTTAATTTAAAGTAAACTGAGAGTTTGTAGAAATTGAGGAACCAAGAAAGTTTAAAAAACCAAAAACATATATACATATATAGGTTTATAATTTTATATGCCTTTATAAACATATATATATAAGGTTTTTAGCAGTTTTCTGTCAACTCCACACAGCTTTCTTTAACATAACTGCTGCTATGTTTTCATCCCAGCAGTACAAGAAAGGAAGAGAGGCAGATCAAGGATTAGTTTCTGCTACACTCGTGAATTTTACAGGCTTATCCCAGACATGGAGACGCAATTTGCCTTTTATCTAAATCAAAACTAGTTTGACCATAACCGTTATTGGCTGTGTAACAATAAAGAGGCTTTGATTACCTTTTTAAATTTTTTTAACAAGTGTAAATGCAACAAAAATATAAACTGATTTGAGATTTTTATTTTTAAAAATCCTAAAGACACATATTTCTATGATTTGTATGAGTAGAATTTCATTGCCAAAGTCTCTGGGTTACACCTCGCTATTGGTAAGACTTTTAATAAACAATTTTTAGGGGAAAGCACACATAAGTTGGCAAGATTTGTGCTGCCCCACAAAAGCTATTCTGCCTTCAGATTCTGAGCCAGGCCACCCCTAGAATGTCCATTCCAGCATGAAATGGCTGTCATCAAGCATGATGAGTAAATAAAAGCCTGTGCATTTACTGCAATATTAGGAAATTTTCTATCATCCTGGACTTAACAAGGGTAAAATATGTTTGGAATATCTTCAGTGTGCACAGATCTGGAATACTATCTCCTCTTAGGAATGAGCTAAAAGTAGGCCAGTAATATGTTGGAGGGTGAGAGGCTATAAACAAGGATATATTAAGTTTAGAAACAACAGGAGAGGTGAGTGAATAGGGCTATAAGTGGAGTCATCATTTCTACACACATCAGCGTGGGAAGTGATCATTCTAATAACTCCATTTGTGAAAATATAAGGAGAATTTTGTTATTACACATTGCCAGTAAGTAATCAAACTTATCTCTCCCAAACATATTTGATGTTTGCTAAAGATTTATGTAAGTTATGTTAAAATATTGGTAGACATTGGATTCTCTAACTTCCTTGGGACTTGGAGTTAAACATTTAAACAAGACTCAGCAACTTCCAGTGTAGTTCCTAGGCCATCAGCCAGGTTGTGCAACTCAGCAAAACAGCATGCACTTTTTCCTTCTCGTTTTTTTTTTTTATTTTTTCCTTTTCTTGTTACTGTTTTAAACCACCCCACGTAACAGCTTGTTAAGGGCTTCAGGCTAGTTGGTAGGTGCTAGGTAATGTAAAAAGATTGATGTCTACCCAGAGAAATTTGTACAAAAAGATACTCCAAAAAGATTATACTATATATTAACTGTCAGCTGGTAAGTTTTTTTTATTACTCCATTGGCTATAGGTGTAACAAATATTTATTTTTCATTGATTATTCCTTACTAATAATTATGTTTGTCTCAGATGAAGCATTTCGTACTTTGATATTTGATGATTATTGTTAATTACTTATGCAACTCTGGTCTCTTTCCTTTTGATTGTAATATATTTTCTGACATTAGCAATAATAACAATAACCAACACAGTGGCTCGATGTGCCAGGTTCTCTTAAAGTGGTTTACCTTATTAATTAATTTAATCCTCCTTCATCAGAACTTTGGGAGCTAAGTACAAATATTACCCCCTGTTTGCAGTTGAGAAAATGGAAGTATGGAGAGGTTGAGTAACTTGTCCAAGTTCACACAACTTATAAGTGGTTAAGTCCCAAATAAAACTCATAAATATTCAGTCATGTTAATAATTTATTAACACTATCAATTACTTAGAGATATTATATAGTTATCCCAACTTATATTTAACTAAGACATTGGATTATATGTTGCTACCATGGAAAGACCATTATATTTGAAATAATAATAAAAACCAGTAGCTATATAAAATCTTTTTTCTGCTAAGATTTTCCAAGTGTTTTACACATATTAACCAATTTGATCTTCACAACAGCCCTACGAGGTAAATTCTATTAAAATCTCTGTTTTGTAATAGAGAAATAGGCACAGAGAAATTAAATAACTTGTCCAAAGACACCCAGCTAATATGTGGCAGTGCTGGAACTTGAACCAGGCAATTTGGCTTGACTCTGTTACTTAAGTCTGTTGTGTTTCTCAAAAGCCAAAGGAGCTATATTCTCAGTTTAAATTGGGTAATTTCATTCCAGCTCCTGTGTTTACTTCCATTGACATTTTTATGTAATGTTAGTGGTATGTCTTTATTTCTATATGTCCAATGTCTAACAAGTCCTTGCCATCCATTAAGCAATCAGTAAATATCTAAGTAAATGATATGTGACATATGTGATATGATATGATTGTCAAAATAATTTCTGCATTGAGAAAAATAGTGCTTACACTGACACCACAATGAATTATCTAAAATCCATATAAAGGAAAGTTACTGAATGGCTACATTGAATGCTTTTTAAAATTTCCCATTTCCTAGTGGTTCTTCTCCTGCTTGTTGTACCTGGATTTTGTATTCCTTTAAGCAGAAAGTGTTCAGAAATTTTACTGACACTGTGAAATTTGGCTCAACCGCTGATTCAAAAAATTAGCAGCATCTACCATGGGATGCTGAGACCAATGTCAAGGTCAAAAGCAATCCCTTATTCAGTAGGTTGTTTTGCTTTCCTAATAAATGCCTCTTATCTTCCTTTTGAAGGATGACTTTAAAAGCAGAAATTTGAAAATTTCACAAGATTCGTAATATTAATTCTTTTCTTAAGAAATCACTTTAGACTATAAGCAAGGAGAAAGCTTTAGTAAGGCCAGTCTTAAAGACTCAAGATTTTAAGATAGTTTAGATAAGGTTTGAATAAGCAGCCAAAAGTTCCAAACCAGAATTCCAAGCCTGTTAGTAATCATAATATTATTTAGCACTTAGATAATTCTTTGCAGGCAGTAACCATTAATCATTGGTATCCCACTGTGTAATATGCACATTTTAAGATTATCATTTTATAGAGGCAAATATTGAAGTTGAGAGGTGAAAGGTGCGTTCAAGTCACAAATTGGGTTATTGCTTGAGCCAGAATTTTACAGGAAGTTTTTCTGACTCTATCCCTATCATATTCCACAAGCAATTACCTTACTTTCGTGCCAGGATTTTTAAATGTAATTATCTGAATACACAAAGTCAGTCAAACTGCTTGCAATACTCAGGTTGTTTACGGGAGACAGTGCGAAAAGGAACTATAAGACATAGGTCTTATACTCAAACACATGCATTCTATGGAATCTTGGACAAATTTCCAATTATTCTTGAGCCTCAATTTTCTTATCTGCAAAACAGACTAATATTCTTTACCTCCTGGGGACTTTTGAGAGTTAAATATAATAATATGTATGGATAATTATTTATAACTCTAATCTTTTGAGTGTACACTTTATGCAAGTATAAAAATCCTCAGCAATTTATGTTTAACCTGATTTCATATGTATATTCATTTATTTATTCAACAGACATTACATTAGATGCCTGCAATGTATATTGTCTCCTAGAGTAACACCTAAAATGAACTCCTTGGTCTTACAGAGCTCATAATCTTAAGGAAGGGGGCATAAAATAAACAAATAAATACATAAAGTGAGGTATAAATTCCATGTAAGATAAAAGTGGCATAAATTTCATGAAAAAAACAAGTAAGAGCATTAGGAAGTGATTTGGATGGGGTATGATTTTATCAAGAGTGGTAGATAAAGTTTACGTGTAAATATATTTGAGGAAAGACATGAGAGAATTGCAGGAAATGGTTTTGTGACATTGGAGGAAAGGGACATTTTAGGTAAAGGGAACAGCAAATGCAAAATCCCTGGGCTTGCTTAGCTTTTTCAGAACTAACAAGGAATGGAGTTAGCAAGGAAGAGATTACAAAGGATACAGGGATATCAGATTACACAGCATTTAAGACTTTGTGGGTTGTGGTAGGAATTTTGGATTTTACTTGTAAGACTCTAAGTAAAAGAAGGCTGGGCGCGGTGGCTCACGCCTGTAATCCCAGCAGTTTGGGAGGCCCAGGAGGGTGGATCACCTGAGGTCAGGAGTTTTCGAGACCAGCTTGACCAACATGGTGAAACCCTGTCTCTACTAAAAACACAAAAATTAGCCAGGCGTGGTGGCACATGCCTGTAATCCCAGCTACTTGGGAGGCTGAGGCAGGAGTATCACTTGAACCTGGGAGGCGGAGGTTGCAGTGAGTGGAGATCTTAGCCACTGCACTCCAGACTGGGCAACAAGAGGGAAAGTCTGTCTCAAAAGAAAACAAACAAACAAAAAAGGAGACTAAAAGTCTTTAGCAAGTTTTGAGCAAAAGAGTAATATGATTTGATTTATATTTTCTGGATGTTTCCAGAGGGCCAAAGCTTTGTGCAGGGTCTTTATTTGTAGCTGACTTCTTGTCTTTGGTACACAGGTAGGTATGCTAACGAAGTACTTTTGGTGTTGAAGCTTTGGGGTGTCATTCACTAGGTGGTGCTTAGGCATAATGGTCAGTCAGCAGGCTCTTGCTCAGTCTTGTGGCTCCCTTACATTTCCTCACAATTGCAGCCATGCTCCCTATCAATGTTCTGAAAATGTGGGTTCCTCCCCGACTTGAGAGCTGGCTGAGTTCATGGCTTGGCACTCCTGGGCTGCCCACCACAACTCTGGGGCAATCTCAGGGTTTATGTTCCCTCCCCAACTTGGAGACAACAGAGGAAGGCACCTTGGCAGTGGTTGTGGCCAAGGGTCTTTTACTTTTCTCTTGGGGCTCCACCCCAGAGAGATGCAGAGCTGCAACCAATCAGCACAACCGACACAGGAGAGAAGGCTGCGCTGTGGGTTTCAGCCAGAGGGTCAGGAGGTGGGGAGGGTGGGGAAGACCCTGCCTGATGATTTATATTTTAAAAGGCTCATTCTGGATGCTGTATTGAAGATAGAATATAAGCAAGGGTGAAAAGGAAGACAGTGTAGGAAGTTATCTCAATTAAATGATTGAAATAAAATGTCAGCAGTGGGGATCAGATTCAAGATATATTTTGGCATGGCTGGCATATGATACAACTTTAGTTTAGATAAGATTAGAAATGAAGTTAAAATTTGTCAGTGTGTCGATGTATTAAAAATCACGGGATTGGATGTGATTACCAAGAAAAGTATAAAGAGAGAAGATAAATATATGAGAAAAAATAAAAAGCCCTAAAGTACTGCAGTTTACCAAGGACAACAGGAAGAACCAGCCAAGATTGAGAGGAACAACAATGAAGATCAGAGCAGGACAGGGGAAGCAATGTCAACAAGGAAGGAGTCGGCCAGGCGCCGTGGCTCACGCCTGTAATCCCAGCACTTTGAGAGGCCCAGGCGGGCAGATCACGATGTCAGGAGTTTGAGACCAGCCTGGCCAACAAGGTGAAACCCCGTCTCTACTAAAAATAAAAAAAAATAGCTAGGAGTAGTGGCGGGTGCCTGTAATCCCAGCTACTTGGGAGGCTGAGGCAGGAGAATCGCTTGAACCAGGGAGGCAGAGGTTTCAGTGAGCCGAGATTGCAGCCACTGCACTCCCGCCCAGGTGAAAGAGTGAGACTCTCTCTCAAAAAAAAAAAAAAAAAAAAAACCAACCAAAAAAAAAAAAAAATAAGAAGGAAGGAGTGATCAACTACATCAACTGCCCCTGAGCGGTTGGGTAATATGACGAATGCTTGACCATGTGATTAATCAATGTGTTAGTCATTAGTGACCTTAAAAAGAGGAGTTACTTTTTTTAAATTTTTTTATCGTTAAACAAATGTATGTATTTAGTTTACGTTTATAGGTCAACAATTTATGTGGGGTTGGGCCAAGTTGTTCTTGTGGCTCACTCACATGTTTGGCGGTCTGCTGACTGTTGCCTAGGGCAGCAAGGCCATGGAGTTATGTGCACAAAAAAAAAGAGTTCTAATGGAGATGAGTAGATTAAAACCTGGTTGTCTCTCATCTGAACTACCGCATTAGCCTTCGGTCTTTCTCTCTCCAAGGCATTCTCCATTCTGCAGCCAGAATTACTTTTTCAAAAGAAAAATCCAGTGTTTCTTCTGCTTAATAATTCCAGTGCTTTTTATCTCTTACAGGACATTTATACAAAGCTATAACCTGTTCTCCAAAACTCTGCCCTCTGGGATTCAGCCTCACTGGTTTACTTTAGTTCCTTATACTTCTTCCTTCCCCAGGGACTTTGAACTGCATGACACATACTCAGAGTATTTCACAGAATTGCAATTGTACATTTTTATGTGATCATGTAATTAATGAGGATCTTCCCTAATTGAAAGCCCCATGAAGGTGGAAGTCAGCGTGATAACTTTACTCAACATACGTCCTCACACTAATGTCATACTGCATTATAAAGGCTCTATAAATACTTTTTGAGTGAATGAACACAACTTGTTTTGTAATTCTTTTTTTACATACGAACTATAAAATTCCTTTTAGAATCCTGAGGATAATGAATCTTTGACAGGAGTATTAAATACGTATTGTAATTATCTATTAAAACTCCATATTCTAATTATATTAGCACAATTAAAAAATATCTTAGAGAACAACAGAAACATCTAGATCTTCCTTCTTTAAATTTGTAAAGTAAAATGTTAGAACATGCTTTAAAAAAATGTGAATCATCATGAATGCTTACTTTTCACATGATCATTGATAATTCTCATAACATATTGGTTTCTACATGTACACGGCAGGACTGATTGTTGTGGACCAAGAAGTATAGGTAAGAAAATACCTCGCTTTCTTTATAGCTTTCTCAGACTACTGCTATTATTATTCTACCTCTAAGGCCAGCCTCCCAGTAGTGTTCTCATCTATCAGAACTTTTTTAACCAATTAACCTTTCTATTTAGCAGGAAAAAAATATATGAAACATTTAAACAGATACGACTTTAAAAGATATTGTATAAATTTAATATAGCTTATTTGTCATGAAGTCCATAAAACACTCTTCAACCTTTATATGTTTATAATATAAAATCAATGTGAAAGAACAAGTATTTTATTAGAAAGGTAACAATAAAACCAAATTATAAAAAGAAGACACTAAATAACTATCTAGTACTAAGTATTTGGCTAGGCTAATTTCCTGCAGAAAATGAATATCTACTATGTGTACCTACCTCAACCCCATCCACTCAGCAATATCTGTGAATTGACTGGGAAGACATATTAAACTGCGCTGCAGAATATGTAAGAAGCAGAGTCAAAGTATTAGTTTGTTCAGAGTTAAACATACATATAAAAGGACAGGGTTCATTTAGCATTAACTGTGAATCTCTGAGAGTATCTAATTTATTGTTTTTATTAATAAATATCATGTCCAGTATGAGGGTTAGGGGCAAGAGAGAAGGAATTTAAATACTTAGAACATTTTAGAGAACGTTCCAAGAGAAACCAAATACCTCAGACTATTTAGAGACAGAAGTATTTTGCAGTGAATGTGCTATGAAAGAATTTATTAAAGTAATTACCTTTACTATTCACTGATTTCCATAGCAACGGCACAAATTTTGATTTCCTTGAATTGATATTTAAGACTGTTTTGAGGAGTAAATTATTTCTCTGGTTTACTCATTCCTTTAATGCCCTCACCAACCTTCACCCACTATAGTGGAAAAAAAAATAGGACCACAAACTTGGTAAAGTTGGCTACAAATAACTGATTTTTCCTTAGTACTATTCTATGACCTGTGTTAATTTGTTTTCAAACCAAAAAACAGTGTTCTATGGAAGATTTCAGATAATTTCTACAAACTCAAGTTCATGGTTTTACATATAGATATGATATGTGATAAGGTAAACACAGAAGTCATAGAGGAAATTCAAGTGATTTCAGATGCTCCTCATAGGCATGCTTCCCCCAGTCTCATCATGCACACTTGAAGCCACCCTTTTCCAGATCAACTGCCTGTGAAAGATTTTCAGAACTCTGAGCCATTACTAAATGGCCATGGAAAGAAATTAAGCAAAGAAAAATTGGACAGACTTTCAGGAAAAGTTTCCTAATTGTGAAAACTATTAAAATGTGGAATAAATATCCTCTGAGGGAGAGGATAGATGCCCATCTCTGAGGCTTTAAAAACAGGATTTGACCAACACTTTGGGAAGAGAAATGAGGGCAATATTCATTACTTGGCAAGGAAGTGAGCTGGATGACATAATGGTCTTTTCCCTCTTTCATGCTAATGCCTCTTTAATGTTTCCATTTAAGTAGTAACTTAGTTTCAAAAGCGGACATTTTAATGTGGGAAGAGTACTCAGGTTTCAATGAAAACCTCACCAGAAAAAATCAGGAATGAAGGCCACCATTGACCCTGTACGTGGATTACTTTTGTATTTGACCACGTAAGACAATTGGATGGGCACCTAATATATTTCCTGGTACACTCCTATTGTGGTTGGTCTTCTTTATCTGTATGTCTATCTTGTTCAGTCTGCGCTTCAGCTTTGCAGGAAAATAGAAATTTTTTTTTCTGTGCTTGTTTATGCTAACCATGGTGCCTACAACTGCATCTGCTGCCTTTACACGGGACTGCAAACCTGTTTTTTTCAACCTTCTGTTTTATGGGTGTGCACACCCATAAATCTCCTGTGGCTGGGTTAAGGGAACATACAAGCAGCTCTTCAGCATTAAGAATGTGATGGGAGAGATTCAGGTAGATTTGAACTGCCATCATCAATCAAGACCAAGGAGAAGGCTGCTTTCCAGGATGTACACATGGCCTCTGTTTGCTGTTGCTGTTTTGCTTCTTTTAAGAGGTATGTAGTGAGAGAAAGTGTGAGGATTTACACATGAAACATTCCCACAGTGAATTTCAAGTGACTGAATAAAAATGTTGTAAGCGGATTTTATTGAACGTGAAGGTCTATCCTTTTTTAAAAGGAATATATTTTTAACTTATTTAGTTTTTATTTTTAAAATTCCACTCTTGATTTTTATAAGCTACCTTGTTTGATTTCTTGTCGTAAGCCAGTTGTGGATGATGCAAGGATTCCCAAGCTTTCAGCCATCGGTCCCTTATCCTTTTCTGACTAGATTACAGGAATGAAATTGTGTAAATACATAAGCCTTATACTCTTTAACTATTTAATAATTAAAACTGAGATTTCAGTAACAATACTTTGGATATTTCTGGATAGTTAATGTAAAATTAACAAAAAACCTGCTTTTATAATTAAATAGTATAAATGTATATTACTGTTTGCTTATGTTTTATATCCAGGTGAACCAATATATGTATGTCTGTTTCTACTGTCACTTGCAGCTCAACAGAACCCTGTAATATACATGAACAAGTTTCTGGAAGTTAAGAGGTAAGTAGCTGCTCATGTCATATTCTCTTTCTTAGAGTTCTGGAATCAGGAGAACATCTATCATGGAGCAAATAGACTTCCATTCAAATCGGAGTTGGCATATAACATATACATTATATGAAGCAATAAACAATTATTTTATATGGCAATAGTCTAAATATAACATGGCTCTGCATTTTGGGGCATGCTAAAATATATAAAATCCATGATAAATTCTCAGCTTTCCTGAATCTTCCCATGATACCACTAAGAATTTCATAACCCAAAGACCAAGATAGAAAATATGTTTTTGCAGAGACTAGAGTCACCCCAGAGTAAAACTTTAAGTGCAGATTACCTCAGATCCCTATAAAACTGATCTGCCTCTGAGAAAAGAACTAGCCAAAATATTCTTTTTGATGACAGGGTTGAAGTTCGGGATAGAAATGTAAATGTGTTCGGACATACTGAGAAATAAATCACATTGAAGAGATGGAGAAAGGAGTTGCTGGAGAGGCAAAATGAAAAGGCAGATGCTAAGGAACTGCACAAAAAGAAAAAATGTATCCTAATTGGGGCAGTGTGAACTTGTCAGACAGGGAAGAAGCATGAAGTCATAAATTGCTTAGAGAATTATAGCAGTACCTTGACATAGTAGGAAAAAGAAAGCTTATGTGTACTCAAGATCTGAATTCAAGTCCTGGCTCTATCTCTTACTGGATGTGAGATGCTGGACAAGGTACTTCTCTATTTCAATTCTCTCATTCAAATCTATGAATTCAAAAATTTGAATTAACCACCAAAGCCCCCTTTGGCTGTCAATTTTAATCTGCAGTGACATCCTGGTGGGTTGAAATTTAAGACAGTCATTAATGGATAATAAACAAAGACCATTTGTGTAGGAGTTTACCCCATGTGTATGGGTCTTATTCTTAGTAAATTGGGAAATTATAGAATGTGAATGGGGCAATCTTGAATTGTGAGGAGGAGCTCATTTTATCAGGCAAGATCCCGATTTTCAAATCAGTACCTGAATGTTGCTTATTTGATTAAACTCTGGTATACAGAAAGCATTAGCTTCAGCATTATGCCTCTACTACATAGGAGAAGAACTAAATTAGAAGGAAATAGATGTTTGACTGACTTAGAGAAATATTGAAAGAGTGGATTGATGATGCTTTCCAGGACCATTTAATTTGACTGATATAATAAAAATATTGGCAGTAATGAGAGTCTTCTGAATTAAAACCAGCCACGTTTTCTCATTAATATATTACTATTGGTGAAATTTTGTTTTAGATGGTCTTCCAAAGCAGGAAATATTTCCAATATAATTAATTATCACAGGCCGGGCGTGGTGATTCATGCCTGTAATCCTGGCACTTTGGGAGGCTGAGGCGGGTGGATCACTTGAGGTCAGGGGTTCGAGACGAGCCTGACCAACATGGTGAAAGCCAGTCTCTACTAAAAATACAAAAATTAGCTGGGTGTGGTGGGTTATGCCTGTAATCCCAGATTCTTGGGAGGCTGAGACAGGAGAATCGCTTGAACCCGGGAGGCGGAGGTTGCAGTGAGCCCAGATTGCGCCATTGCATTCCAGCCTGGGCGACAGGAACGAAGCTCCATCTCAGTTAAAAAAAAATATATATCACAAAAGGTGGAAGATGGGATTGGTCCTCTTCACTCATTTTTTTCAAGCAAGAGACTTCTCAACTGTATATATTTGTATATAATATGTATTTTTATATATATATATATGCCTCTAAATTAGCAAATTAAAGATTTAGGAAAGTACAGGTGACCCAGCTTTCTGTATGGGACAGCTTTCTGAATGTCCCAGTAATGTTTCAAAGGTACTAGTTACTTCAGTGGGTAGAACCTAGTGGATCAGAGTGCAATTATGTGTTCAATTCCAGTGAATTCCTATTAATTTCCTGACTGAAGTAATGCAGACACTACTGGCCTACCAGAATGAGGGCGAAATGTTATCAGTGGTTGTTCCCCTGCAGAGGAGACAATGGCCTGTTTCCTAGGTTGGCTTTGAGAAGTTTAATTGCATGGACTTAAGCTTTCAGAGTCAAGTTTTGACTATATTGTAGCTGTGGTTCCATAGCATCTTCCCTTTAGGGCTTGGCTGTGAGGCAAAGTCTTAATGTAAGGCAAAGTGAATGCAGGATACTTTTGACATAAGGCTGATATTTGTTGTAGTGACATTGAGGTAGGACTTGTGACATTCCCTTTACTGCTTATAGTCTCAACAATTCTTTTGAAAATTCTCTGGCCTCCTTTCTTTAGTTAGAAACATTTTCCAGCTGGAAGATACATACAGTGACTTTTTCGTGTCATCCTGCTGGTTTCTAAACATAATGATCAGGCTGACGTCTATGACATGGTTTATTCAGTCTTTTTCTTTGATTTTTATATCTTGTTTTGTGCCTGTCTTACTTCCTAGTTCAGTGAAACAAACAAAAAAAATGTTCTGGCCAGCAGCCATCTGGTAAAACAGCTGCTTTTGGCTCTGGGGAACCTGCAAATGGGACTGGGAAATAGAAAATGGAGTTTACTACTCCTAAGACCCAAATGCTCCTTTTGCTATTAATAGATCAAAATGAGCTTTAATTGAGGAAAACTGAGTTGAATGTCTTTCACATTCCTTATCTTTACTGACATCATTTCCACATTCGATGCTGTTAGCCCAGCTCTCCTTAATTTGGTTTCCAGATAAGGTTCCTCCTCCTTGATTTCCTGCTGATTACTTTTATGGGTTCTCCTAATCTATTCCTTTTAAAATGTGCTACTCTCTACATTTTATCCTTTTTCCTTAGTCTCTTATTTTGCTTCATGATCTGTTCTTTAAGCCAGCAGTCTTCAAACTTCAAGCTAGAGTCTCTCAAACTTGGCTGCATTTATGGGACTTTCTAAATTGAATGCCTGAGCTACAGCTCTGAAAATTCTGACTTAATGTTTCCAAGGGTGGGGACCAGAATCTGTATTTTTAAAATACTTCACAGATGATTCTTATGAGCTTTAGGTTTGAGAATCACTACTTTCATAAATTTTATCTATGTTCTCAGCTGAAAGACCATTGGTTTCTGAGTCTTTACTCTCTTTTTATTAACTTTCATTTTAAGTTCAGGGGTAAATGTGCAGGTTTGTTACACAGGTAAACTTGGGTCACGGGGGGTTTGCTGTACAGATTATTTCGTCACCCAACTATTAAACCTAGTACCCATTAGTTATTTTTCCTAATCCTCTTTCTCCTCCCAGCCTTCACCCTCCAATAAGCCCCAGGGTGTGTTGTTTCCCTTTATATATCTATGTGTTCTCATAATTTAGTTCCTATTTATAAGTGAGAACATGCAGTATTTGGTTTTTTGCTCCTGCATTATTTTGCTAAGGATAATAGCTTCTATCTTCATCCATGTTCCTGCAAAGTACATGATCTCATTCTTTTTATGGCTGAATAGTATTCCATGGTGTATATGTACCACATTTTCCTTATCCAGTCTACGATTGATGAGCATTTAGGTTGATTTCATGTCTTTGCTATTGTGAATAGTACTGCAAGGAACATATGTATGCATGTGTCTTTATGATACAGTGATTTATATTCCTTTGCATATATATCCACTAATAAATCAAATGGTAGCTCTGTTTTTAGCTAATTAAATTACCATACTGTTTTCCACAATGGTGGAATTAATTTACACTCCCAACAGTGTATAAGCATTCCTTTTTATCTCCACAACCTTGCCAGCACCAGTTATTTTTTGACTTTTTAGTAATAGCCATTCTGACTGGTGTGAGATGGTATCTTACTATGGTTTTAATTTGCATTTCTCTAATGATCAGTGATGTTGAGCTTTTTCTGTAGCATTGTTGGCAGCATGTATGTCTTCTTTTGAAAAATGTCTGTTCATGTATTTGTCCACTTTTTAATGGGTTTGTTTATTTCTTGTAAATTTGTTTAAGTTTCTTATAGATGCTGGATATTAGTCTGAGTCTTTATTCTTAACCCTGGCTTCTTATCTAAACTTCAGACCAATACCTCAAATTTTCTAAGAAACATTTCACTTGGATTATCCACGGTCATTTCAAATTCAATATAATCAATCAAAATTATTCAACTCTAACTCTTCCATCCACAGTCTGTCTCTTCCTTTTCTCTTACTTCAGATAATGCTTCTTCCTATACCAAGGGGGAAACCTTGTTCATTTTCAGCTTCTTGCTCTCCTCATTTTTGTTTTTTCCAGTTCATCATCAACACATGCCCATGATGGTTAATTTTATGTGTCAACTTGGCTGGGATACAGTGCCCAGATATGTGGTAAAATATTATTCTGGGTGTTTCCGTGAGGGTGTTTTTGGAGGAAATTAACATTTAAGTCGGTAGATGTTGAGTAAAGCACACTGCCCTGCATAACGTAGGTGAGCCTCATATGATCAGTTGAAGGCCTGAATAGAACAAAAGTCCAACCTACCCTGGGCAAGATGAAATTCTGCTGGCAGACAGCTTTCAGACTTGAACTGCAGCACTGGCTCTTTCTTGAGTTGCCAGCCTGCTGTTTCATCCTGCTGATTTTGTATTTGACAGCTTCCATAATCATGTGAGCCAATTCCTTAAAATAAATTCTACCCTCTGTCTCTTTCTCTCCCTGCCTCCCACACACATACAATTGGTTCTGTTTCTCTGGAGAACCCTAATACATGCATCTATTTACCTCAGAACTCTCTCTTAAATCTCTCTTCCTTCCATGTCTACTATTTCAACCTTGGGTTTGGCCTTTATCAGTTTTTGCCTGGAATATTCTAACTGGCATCTCACTGCTACCAATCTCAATTGCATTCATCGGTTTTCCACACTGTCTTGAACATGACCTTCCTACATCAGTAAGTCTGTTGATAGTGTCATCCTACTACTATGTGGAAACCTTGAGTGTTTCACTGATGTTTCCAGAAGGATTAAACTCTAAATTCTTTGTACACAAGGTATTTCATAGCATTTCACATTTACGTTAAAGCGTTAGCCTCAATTTCCAAACCCCCTCTTTTTATACCAATACATACATACATACATACTTCTCCAGCCAAGAAACCATTTATATTCCCTTAACTTAGAATGTGTTCTTTTTAATTCAGTAACTGTGTGTGTATTTTATCTTGGTTGCACTTCCCTTGACTCTAATCTACACAATTAACTCACTCTCTTATTTCAAAGCCAGCTCAAATATCACACTTCCCTGGACCTCCTCTTCCTGGAATTAAGCAGATAGCAATTGGCTTTTCCCTTTAATGCTCCTATAGCACATCTAAGAGCATAATTGAGCTTAATGCTTAACATATATTAAACATTTCTTAAGAATGAGACAATGCATTATCTCATTTAATCATCATTATTATCCCCATTTTAGGAAATTGAGATTTGGAGAAGTATACCAACTTGACCAGGTTCACACAGCAAGTAGATGGCAGACATAGGGATTGAATGACTCCAAAGTCTGTGCTCTTATGCACTATACTAAATTGTCTTTAATGCATCATCTACTACGTTGCATGTAATTATTTATTTGTAGAATGTCTTCTGACTCAACTACAAGATCCTGCCTATAATACCAAATGTCTGACACATTAAATGAATAATTGGATTAATGATAATCCAAAGTAGAATTGAGGTATTTCTGTAATCTCTATTGTGAAAGGAAAATAAAAACTGGGACCCCAATTCACTATGCCAAAAGGAAAAAATTAAGCTGAAAGCTGAGTCATGCAAGAAACTGACTTTGCTTTTGTTCCTGAGCAGATAGCTACAGATAAAAGGTCAAATATCTCCACTCTGTGTTCACCTTATCTTGTGTAAAATGCCAATTTACTGAAGGTGAGACAAATACATAATTGACTATTTCCATACTACTTCTTTTATCTTGCAACATGTGGATTTAGTAATGTGACCAGACCCTCCCTATTTCCCCTCCAGCCTGCTTTTCCTATTTAAATATTGAAGCCCTCAAAATCATCATTGGAGAAAGGCACAGATCTGTCTCCCATGCATCCTCAGCCTTGACCAAATAAAGTTCTAAACTGATTGGGATTTGTCTCAGAATCTTTATGGTTTACACTATGAAAGTTTTCATGTATTTAACTTTGCTTTACAAATTGCCCAAATTTTAAGGGTTATGTAGAAAAGTAAATATTGTGTGTTAAATCATGTTTTATTCTTAATCAACATAATTAAAACATTTTAGTGATAGAAGGAAAACTTAAGGTCATTTAATATAATTCACTCATTGCAATTTTTTTTACCAGGTAAGGGCTGGAAAAATAGAATTATTCAGTAATAGTTAATAGATGGTAGGTCAAAGCAAGAATATCTGACTTTCCTATATCTAGACTCTGTTATCCTTGACTTATAATTTTAGAAATGTGCTATATCCCTCAAATTTTGGGTCTCACTAACATATTGCTTTAAATCTTAAAACTCTGTTAGAGCATCTTTTATGTATATTTACTTGTTACACAGTCCTTATAAGAAAACAAATTTAATTTAAAATACTTGCAATTATTTGCCTCCTAAAATCTACTTCAGAGTTAACTTTTGGAATTTTTTGTTGAATATCACATTAAGAATGTTAGAGAACATTTTTTCATGTGTCTATTGGCTGCATAAATGTCTTCTTTTGAGAAGTGTCTGTTCATATCCTTCGCCCACTTGTTGATGGGGTTGTTTTTTTCTTGTAAATTTGTTTGAGTTCATTTTAGATTCTGGATATTAGCCCTTTGTCAGATGAGTAGATTGCAAAAATTTTCTCCCATTCTGTAGGTTGCCTGTTCACTCTGATGGTAGTTTCTTTTGCTGTGCAGAAGCATCATCACTGGCCATCAGAGAAATGCAAATCAAAACCACAATGAGATATCATCTCACACCAGTTAGAATGGCAATCATTAAAAAGTCAGAAAACAACAGGTGCTGGAGAGGATGTGGAGAAATAGGAACACTTTTACACTGTTGGTGGTACTGTAAACTAGTTCAACCACTGTGGAAGTCAGTGTGGCGATTCCTCAGGGATCTAGAACTAGAAATACCATTTGACCCAGCCTTCCCATTACTGGGTATATACCCAAAGGATTATAAATCATGCTGCTATAAAGACACATGGACATGTGTGTTTATTGTAGCACTATTCACAATAGCAAAAATTTGGAACCAACCCAAATGTCCAACAGTGATAGACCGGATTAAGAAAATGTGGCACATATACACCATGGATTACTATGCAGCCATAAAAAAGGATGAGTTTATGTCCTTTGTAAGGACATGGATGAAGCTGGAAACCATCATTCTCAGCAAACTATCGCAAGGACAAAAAACCAAACACCACATGTTCTCACTCATAGGTGGGAATTGAACGATGAGAACACATGGACACAGGAAGGGGAACATCACACACTGGGGACTGTTGTGGGGTTGGGGGAGGGGGGAGGGATAGCATTAGGAGATATACCTAATGTTAAATGATGAGTTAAAGGGTGCAGCACACCAACATGGCACATGTATACATATGTAACACACCTGCACGTTGTGCACATGTACCCTAAAAATTAAAGTATAATAAAAAAAAGAATGTCAGAGAAACCACATCTGTCATATCACACACAAAAAAACCTAGAAGTTGTTTATTTAAATAAATTTTTATGTAGCCAAAATCACATTCATTATTCACTTTCAGATATGATAATGTCTTTTTAATGTTCAAGGCCCTGCTAATTTCACAATATTTGCCAAATGGCTAACTGATAACAAAATAATTCCCACTTCCACTGAAGCGGTTAGCTACCTACTATTAAAACCCATCCCATTGCCACAGGCTGAGAAAAAACAAAGCCTACTGCTACACTTGCAGACAGTAATGTTTCAACCAAAGTAACTCAGATTCCTTCTTCAAGTTTTAAATTTTGGTCTGTCTTGAAATGAAAATTCGTAAAATCTTTCCCTTCCAGAAATACCAAGCACAAGTATCAAATCATTCTGTTCAATTCTAGCTGTGGAATTCTGTTAATTTCATGCAGCATTGGCGTTTACTCTGCAGAAGGTAGAGGGTAATTGCTTAATAAAGAAATCCCACCAGTTGAGTATTTCTTTCTATATATATATTGACTACAGCAATCTCTAGGCTCCAGGTTACTTATAAGAAATCAATAGACATACCAAGTTAGTGGCCCAAGTAACATATTTCTCTTTCACTTTTTCTTTCCAGTTAAAAATTACAAAGCATACACAAAGGATTTCTCTGGGCTTAATACAAAGCCCATGGGAAAATGTTGACATTGGATATACTACTTTGGGGATTCTTTTTCATCACACCATACACTATTTTACACAATCTTTTCATTATTCATCTTGCAAAACGTATCAAAAACCATTACATTTCCCTTTAATTCTGAGCCAATCACTTTGCTCTTCTAGGACATTAAACACATGAAAGTTTTAGCTGGGGTTTATTTATGCATTCATTTCTTTGGTTAAAAGAAAATCTGTGAAGGAACTTCTGAGCTCTCCTTTCACAGCTGAGATTAGAGAACCAAAACTCTGAAGCAATGAAATTTATAGAACTATAAATCACATTTCATTTTTGGACCCTGAAAAATTATAGAGATCAAGAAGTCTGATGAAGCAATTTTCATTACTGGTTCACAAGAACCCAGTCTGCTTATGTTATCACAAAACTTTTTGCGGTGCGTTAACGGGTCACTCAGGTGACTTTATGTTCACACATCACTTAGACAAAGTAAAGGTTAAAGACAACAGATATTACTGGTGTGAGATAGTATGCAGGCTGAAAACACAGTCCTATTTCTTTGAAAATCTTTGCCTCCTCAAAAAAAAAATGTGAAAAGCAGCCCCCAAATGGTTCTGCACTCCAATATGATTTTATTTCAGAATTGCTTATGTTACTAAGATTTATGAGTGTTGCTTCTCGTGAAAGAATGGCATATCCTTCAGCTCTTATTGTGGACTTTAATGGAAATAATGTGCTTTTATGGAATAAAACCTCTCTGAAGCTCTGCCTAAAACTGTTTCAAACCAGAACCTCTATACTGTGTCTGGAAAATCACTAACAGGGACAGACAGAAAGGGAGCAAATCTGTTTTTTCCATCTTCTGTCTGAAACTTCCTGTGCAACTTTCTTACTAGGATTTTTATTCCATAATAGCTGCAGAATATAAGTGATTTGCATTTTAGAAAATTATAGTGTGTGATTTTTCACATCCTATATCTCCGTTTCAGTTATGCATTCAACAGTTGCATTCCACATGATAATTTAAGGAGCTGTCAAAAAGCAATACCTTTTACAGAGAAAGACATAAAACTGTAGTCAAACCTTAATTACTCAATGAAAGACATGAGGGGGCTGATATTCTGAAATAATAGATAGTTCCAAATATTTGACATTCATAAGCTTATTATGATTTCATACAGAAGATGTCCCTTTCAAGTGAAGTTTAAATTAGGTAGTTAAATGTAGCTGATATTTCCCAGTTACAACAGCAGGGAGCTAGGGTAGAAGCCTTTGGCTTGTACTGGATAGATAGCATACCCTGCAATGTGCTACCTCTGCAGACAACTGAGAATTGAGTATTCCTCAAATATTTTCTTCACTATCCTTTGCTTCAAAATATTCACTTCCAATGCACAGTATTTTCAATCCAAGCTAAATTCTGTTTATACATTCACATCTATTTGCTGAGAATTGTAAAATCTTAGATTTGTCACAAATCTTCCTTACAATTACCCCAGTCATCTCTGTTCTTTTCAGAGATGAGAAGTTCACCAAGTCACCAACCTGACTGTTACCATGAGGAATTCCTTTACCGGAGAACATGCTGTCACAATAGGTTAAATATATGTTATACAGGTCCAAAGAATATTCATGTTCAATCTTAGTTAAAAATAAATATTTATAGTTAGTTAAATTAGGTATAGCTTTTATTTCCCACATTATAATTACCTGTATTTTTTATACTTCATGTAACATCACCAAAAATTTTAGTATTAGATAAATCAAAAAAGTTATTTGTACAAGCTTATATAATAAAAATTTAGAGATATGGCTGTCTTGTTTTTTCATTTTGCTCTCATATAACATGATTACTGTGCTATTACATAATAGTATGTACCGTACAAGGGACAATTCAAGGTAAAATATACTATGTCAATATTCTGTTTTATGAATCATTTGTCTCCACTTTATTTGTAGAATGGGAAGTTTTGTTCCAATTTTTATTATTTTCTGAATTTTATCTTACCCTAACCAAATATTTTGCAAAGAAAATTGGGAATTTTTGCCTCATGAAACTCTTTTCTCTTCTCTGTCTCCCTATGCCCCGCATCAAAAAACCTTAATTTACTTTGCTTTACTGAGTAGATTCAAGATCTCTCTTTCTCAGCTAAAAGTAATAATAAATAAATGTTTTCTGCATCTAGTGCAAGTTATGTGCTGGGAATCTAAAATATCCCAGATTAAGGTCCAATAAATCAGAGTATGTATTTGCCTGACACAAAAGAAATATATACAGATTGCATTCTGCTCCCAAATGCAGAACTCCCTTTTTGTTTGAAATTATTTTTTAGGAAGTTGAAAGAAAAGAAATGGTAAAATATTTTAACATTTTAAATTTACTTCATCGTGATTATTTCACTTATTAACATTTATAATACATCTCAGGGGAAGAGGTTGTATAATTGTTCACTATCTGTAGTTCATGAGACCTAGGAAAGTGTATATATATAGTGATGAAAAACAATTTTATCTGAAATTTGTGCTGGAAGTATAAGTGAGCTTAAAAATGTAATTGTTTTTTCATATGTAGTTGAAAAAACATATGGGTTGATTGATCGTGGCACCCAAGAAGAAATATCTAGGTCATAATCCCTGGAACCTGTGAATGTTACTTTATTTGGAAAAAGTATCTTTGCAGATGTAATTCATCTAAGGATCTTGAAATGAGGAGATCATCCTGGATTACCCAGGTGGGCCCTAAAACCAATGACTAGTGTTCTTGTAAGAAAAAAGAAGACTGAAACTTAGACAAAACAGGAAAAGACACAGAAAAGAGATGTGAAGATAGAAGCAGAATGGAGAACAGTGTGGCCATAAGCCAAGGAATGCCAACCCCCACCAGAAGGTGGAAAAGGCAAAAAAGGGATTGTCTCTTGCAGCTTCCAGAAGGTGTGGAGTCCTAATGACACCTTGATTTTGGACTTTCGGCCTCCAGAACTTTGTGAGAATAAATTTTTGTTGTTTTAAGCAACACATTTTGTGGTGACTTGTTACAGGAGCCACAGAAAACTAGTACACAGTATGAGCTCAATAATATGACTATGTGTTCATCAAATCCATGAGATGACAAATTCCTTGAGGCAAGGACCACTAAGATTTTGTTGATGGTTATGTTTTACACAGCTAGCTTGAATGAGGCAGAGTATCTAGGCACATGGCTGACCAGAAAAAATACTGTTTCCCTGTCTCCTTTGAAGCTGGATGTAGCCCAGGGGCTATTTTGAGCCAAAAAGATAAAAGCACATATAAAGTGGCAACTACAGGGATACACATTCCTAAAGAGGAGGGAGCAGTGTGATGGATGAACAGGAGACACCAACTTACTTAGGAAGTGTATTTGATTTGGTGCAAGATGAGTGTAGATTGAGAGTAGAGGCAATGCCTAGAGTAACAGTAACAGAAAAGTGTTATACAACACCTGAATGCCTACAAAGACTTTCCTATAAGAGGAGTTATGCTACTGTTTTCTTCTTATGTTACAGACAAGGTAGAGTTTTGCCACAACCAAACTTAATTCTAACTAATATACAAGATAACTGGGCCAGATGTGTTATGAGTTTGGTGAATTTATATAAATTTTTTGACAAGTATTTTATATCAAGTTGCATTCTTGGAGAAAATGAGAAGAGGAATTTACTAGCAATATTCATGAATTGAAATATTTTTGTACTCTGCCTTCCACTCACCTGCACATCAAGAGATAAGAAATGATCTATTTATATAAAATGAATTGAAATATATATTTTATTTATATTTCTCCACCTTCTGCATAAAATATTTTTATTGAAGGCTTTTATGGTGTTCATTACAATGCCTAAAAGTCAAGGTATCAACTCTAATTTCTCATTTATTATACTACAATGTAGATTTTTGTTGAAAATAACTGTAATGACATCAATGCATATCATTTTGACCCTCGAGAATTAAATTTTTTGATGTTAATTATTCATAAACACACCTTGTCTGAGCTCATTTGAAAAATTAAAAAATGAAATCATGTCTCAGCAATGTACCCAGGGTACCTGCTACCTCTGTAAAACATTCTGACTCTCTAAAATTTAATTATTGCTTCCTTACTTATATCTACATGCTACCCACTCAAATAATATTTGTTGCATTGATTTCTCTCTTTCAATTAATCCCTGCAAACAGGTTTCTTCCAGAAATATTGGGTGATTGTGCATATTGTTAACTGAAATAAATTCTGTATCCTGCATTTCACCTTGTTGCCATTATGAAATGTCAACCAATCACATTACTGACAGATGTTGTTTCATTCTACATTTCCATAGATCTAATAATATCTTTCTTTTTAATTGTCTCTTCTTGAGACAATTGTGTCCAGGTGAATGATAGGGATAAGACAACTAATTGACACCTATTAGTTTATGTGGAAAGGCCTGGGGCATAAGTAATCAAGCAAATTTTGCACTTTCTCTTTCATTTTTCCCCTCACTTAAGACTCATAATTATATTCTAATCCTCAAGATTCAAATCAGTGAAGAATTTCTTGATCTGGTCAAGCAAAATTAATCATCCCTCTTTTTGTTTCATGACTGAATGTAACAGTAGCACTCTTTTTATAAATTCTACTTTTGTGTGAAAAATTGAAGAAAAAGTTTTAATACATGGTAGTTTCTAAAACCTACTGACATTCTTGAAAAACTCCATTTAACAGAATCATTGGTACCTGATCAAGCAAATACAACCAAAGCACGGTTGCCAAGTGCTGATGGAATAAGGAAAATGGAAGCAGAGATTCTTGGGCAGTGAGGCTGTCCTGACTGGGAGGCTGAATTGTCAAGGATGTCTAGCACACATATTGAGATGACCCATCTCTCTGTAAACCTAGTACAGATTAACTTTGTACACATACTCATCTACACAATAAAAAAAACTGATAGCTCTCAATAATTGAATATTCATTTAAAAATTTCCCTGGATGGATTTACTCAGTATAAATAAGTTCAGTATAAATAAGCTCAGGGAAGAAGGAATCTCAACTTCTTCATGCAGTGTTTTTCAAAGAGAATAAAAGTCATAAAGAAGTTTGCATACATGCAGAATATTAGAAACCTTTAGATCAGGCTAGAGATGGTTACCATGAGGCATGCAATTTTTGGTTCTCTATCTTGGTTGAAGTCACTATGTAGATATTAAAAATGGCAGTGCTTAGAGTGTGGCTTTGAATCTTATGATTTATTTCTTTCTTAGATATTTTCTTCAGGAGTTTTCCCATGTGCAATCAGTATACTTGCCACTTTTCAAAATTTATTAAAACAGGGTCCTTGTATGGTTTCAGCACTCTGTCCCACACAATTAGTAGTAATTTTTATTTTCCATTATAGAGCCATTGATTACTTTTCCACATCAGTCTCTAACTGAACTAGACATTAAAAGTGAATTCTTGTTGAGTCACACAAAGCAACATTGAGAGTTATTTCGCAGCAAAGCTTTGGTGATGTTGACCTTATTTATTGCTCAATGTAAAACTTAATGTAAAACTCAGTATGGTCAGTTTCATAAAAATCAGGGCAAGACTGCAGACAGACTGCTTGATTCATTCCTTACCACAAGGAATGGACATGTATTTTCAATTCCAAGTAAGCAGTTAACATCTGTATGTTATGGCCTTTCCAAAAACCTGACAGGAATGTCATCAATGAAACTGAGAAGAAAATATTTTTGACAGACTTTTTCTTTGGCTTTCATTTTATTCCACTTGCCAAATTCAAAAAGAAAAAAAAATTCTTTCCTGTACTTTCCAGATATTTACTTTATTTAAAGAATGAGGAAATATGGGATCAATGGCAAAAGACAGGGTTGCAAAATGAGCTGCTGTAATAATCAAAATTAAGGGATAACTTATAGTCTTGGCCACAACCATTACCTAGGGTACTGAGTTAACCTTGAAATAATAGAAGAAACTAAGGGAAGGATTTTTAACAATAGCTACAATCCCCTGTACTATTTGACAACTTAAATGTGTCAAATTTATATTTTCCAGGGTGTAAGTTTGAGCAACCTGTGTGTGTGTGATTCAGGGTACAACATCACCAAATTATTCTTCATCTTAATGAGATTAACCTCATAATCTATAAAAAGGAAACTTTGTTTTTCTGTTATATACTGTGACTAGGCTCAGAGTAAAAGATCCTTATGAGTTTAACCTCATAACTACATTGCCCTACATTGCCATACATTGCCATCAGGAAGCTGCCAAATAGCTACTAAGTATAAGAGCTAGAATGTGAACCCAAGTCTTATTTAACTCCTTAACTCCAGAGTCTTTCTGTGTAATGACTACACAATCCAAATTCATAAGGAAAAGTGAAAGATGTTTCCTAATATGTAATGTGACCAGGGGATGTGTGTTAATCAATAGCCTACCAACCAAGTCTCCCAAATCTCCTCTGCTACTCTTTTCATTCATCCAGGATATTAACATTCATTCATTACATTGAAGCAAAAATAGGCTTACAAATAGGCACATCAAACAATTTTACTCTTCTGTTTTCTTTGTAATTTCTTCTTATGAAAAATTTCAACCATATCCAAAAGTAAACAATTACATAAGGAATTCCCTTGTGCACAGCTTCCAATTCATGGTCAATCTTCCCTTCCTGTTTCATATTATTTGAAAACAAATTTCACTCAATATGACATTTCATCTATAAATATTTCTATAGTTGTATTTCTAAAGTTGTATTTCTATAATATAAAGACTTAAAATCATAGCAACAATATCAATATGAACCTAAATAAATTATATTTCTTTAATATCATAAAGTATCTTATCAGTGTTCAAATTACCCTGATTGTCTCAAAATTTATTTTTAAAAGTTGATTAGTTTGATACAGGATCAAGTAAGTTCCATACCTTATTGCTAATTTGTATGTGTCTTAAATCTCTTTTAATTTATAGATTACCCCATAACATCTTCCCCTGCCCCCAGTACAAGAAGCATAGAAGTCTCCAATGAAACTCAACCCAAAGAGGTGTTCACCAAGACACATAATAATCAAAACAAACAAAAAAAAAACAAAGAAAAAAATCTGAGGACAGCAGGAAATGAAATACACATCACATACAAAAGAGTGTCAATATAACTATCAGCAGAAACTCTGCAGGCCAGTTGACAATGGAATCATATATTAAAAGAGCTCAAGGGGGAAAAAAACCCTGACAAACAAGAATACTTTATGCAGCAAATCTGTATTTCAGAAATAAGGAAGAAATAAAAATGTTACCAGACAAATAAAAGCTAAGGAAGATCATCACCACCAGACCTACCTTACAGAAATAACTAAAGAAAATTCTTTAAGCTGAAAAAAGGCTGCTAATTAATAACATAAGACATACAAAAGCATGAAACTCAAAGATGTAAGTCATATAGAGACACATTCATAATACTTTAGGATTGTAATGATGGCATGTAAAGCAATTTTATTTCTAGCACAAGGATTAAAATATAAAACTATGAGTATCAACTATAGCTAAAATAAATTTTCAAGAGATGCACATTACAAAATGATGTAAATTATGACATCAAAAACATAAAAGGGAGCGATAGTAAAAATGTAGAGTTTGTTGCATGCAATCAAAATTAAGTTACTATCTGTTTTACACAGGCTGTTATAAGTTCTGGGTAAGCCTCATGGTGACCACAAAGCCAAAATGTTTAGTATAAGAACAAAACAAAAACAGAAAAAATTCAAAGCATACCACTACAAAAAACCATCAAGCCACAGAGGAAGATAGCAAGAGAGAAAGAAACAAAATAT
Source organism: Homo sapiens (assembly GCF_000001405.40). NCBI lineage: Eukaryota > Metazoa > Chordata > Mammalia > Primates > Hominidae > Homo > Homo sapiens. The sequence goes on from NC_000004.12 coordinate 124,226,645, forward strand.
CTATACAATAACCAGAAAATAATGAACAGAATGGCAGTATTAAGTAGTTACCTATCAATAATTACCTTGAATGTAAATGGATTAAATTTTCTAATAAAAAGACATAGACTGACTAAATGAATCAAAAAACATGATCCAACTATTTGCTGCCTGTAAGAGACTCGCCTCACTTTTAGAGACATACATAGTCTGAAAGTGAAGGGAAAGAAAAAGATATTCCATATAAATGGAAACCAAAAGAAAGCAGGCATAGCTATACTTTTATCAGGCAAAATAGACTTTAAGTTGAGAAAACTGTAAATAGAGACAAAAAAGAACATTATCTAATAATAAAGGGGTCAATTCATCAAGAAGATATAACAATGGTAAATATATATGCACCCAACATCAGAGCACCTAAATATATTAAACAAATATTAAAGAACATGAAGGGAGAGAGAGATATATAATACTAGTAGGGTATTTCAATACTCCACTTTCCACAGTGAACAGACCATCAAGACAGAAAATTAATAAGGAAACACTGGACTGACTTGAACAACACTTTAGACTAAATAGACCTAACAGACACATACAGAACATTCTATCCAACAGAAACAGAATATACACTCTTCTCAAGCATACATGGAACATTTTCCGAGGTAGTTCATATGGCATGTCACACGACAAGTCTTAATAAATTAAATAAGATTGAATGTCAAGTGCTTTTCCAATTACAATGGTCTGAAACTAGAAATCAGTAACAGGAGGAATTTCAAAAAAATTCACATATACATGAAAATTAAACATATTGCTGAATAACCAATGGTTCAATAAAAAAAGGGAATGTTAAATTTTTTCTGGAGACAAAAGAATAAAAACACAACATGCTAAAATTTATGGAATAACAACTCTGGCAAAAACAGTCCTAAGAGGAAAGTTTCTAGCAATAAAAACTTACATTAAAAAAGAAGAAAGATTTCAAACAATCAACTTAATGTTATTCCTCAAAGAAGTAGGAAAAAAGGAGAAACTAAGCCCAAAGTTAACAGAGGGAAGGAGACAATAAAGATCCAAGCAGAATTAATTAAACATAGACTAGATAAACAATCCAAAAGATCAATAAACTAAGAGTTCGTTTTTTGAAAATATAAAATCAGCAAACCATTAGCTAAAATAAGAAAAAAGAGAAAAGATTAAAATAAATAAAGTCAAAAATGAAAGAGGAGACTTTATAAATGATACCAAAAAAAATCATGACACTACAATGAACAATCATATACCAACAAAGTGGATAATCTAGAAGAAATGGACAAATTTCTAGAAACAAAATACCAGGGCTGAATTGTGAAGAAATGAAAATTGGAACACACCACCAATAATGAGTAAGAAGATTGAATCAGTAATGAAAAGTTTCCCATCAAAGAAAAGCCCAAGACCTGATGGTTTTATTGCTAAATTCTACCAAACTTTTAAAGAAGATTAATATAACATCAATCCTTAAACTCTTCCAAAAAACTGAGAGCAAGAAATACTTTCAAACTCCTTTTTGCAAGGCCAGCATTTTCTGGATATTAAAGCCAGATAGGGATACCACAAGAAAAGAAAATTGCTGGTCAATATCCTTAATGAACATAGGTGCAAAAATTCTCAACAAAATACTGACAAATCAAATTCAAGAGTGTATTAAAAAGATGGGATTTACCTGTGATATGGAATGGGTTTTCAACACACATAAATCAATAAATGTGCTATAACACATTAACAGAATGAAGGACAAACCGCACAATCATCTGATTAAATGCAGACAAAGTATTGACAAAGTTCAATATCCTTTTAAAATAAACACACCAAATTAGGGGTTGAAGGAAAATACCTCAACACAATAAAGGACCTATGTGAGAAGGCCACAAGTAACATACTCAACAGTGAAAAATTGAAAGCCTTTCTTCTAAGATTTGAAATAAAGATACCCACTCTTACGGTTTCTGCTTAACATAGTATTGGATGTCCTTGTCAGAGCAATTAGGCAAGAGAAAGAAATAAAAAACATCCAAATAGAGAAGCAAAAGTAAAATTGTCCTTGTTTGCTAATGACATGATCTCATATATAGAAAACCTTAAAGACTCTACCAAAATGCTGTTAGAACTAGTAAATGAATTCCATAAAGTTGCATGACACAAAATAAACATACAAAAATTAGTAGTATTTCTATACACTATGAACTATCTGAAAAAGAAATGAAGAGAAAAATTCCATTTACAATTGTTACAATAAATAGGAATACATTTAACCAAGGAGGTAAAAGACATGTATACTGAAAACTATAAAACATTGATGAAAGGAATGGAAAAAGACAAAAATTAATGGATTTTGTTCATAGATTGGAAGAATTAATATTGTTAAAATGACTATATTGCACAAAGCATTCTACAAATTCAATGTAAACCCTATCAATATTCCAATGACAGTTTTCACAGAAATAGAAAAAAAAGTTCTGAAACTTATATGAAACAAACAAAAAAAATCCCTGAATAGTTAAGGCAATCATGAGCAAAAAGAACAAAGCTGGAGGTATCTCACTAGCCGATTTCAAACTGTACTACAAAGCTATAATAATTATAGTAGCATGTTACTGGCATTAAAATAGACACATCAACAAATGTAACATAGTAGAAAGCCCAGAAATGAACCAACATATGTACAATCAATTGATTTTCAACATAGGTGCCAAGAATACACAACGAGAAAAGATAGTCTTGTCAATAAATGTGTTGGAAAAACTGGATATCCACATGTAGAACAATAAAATTGGATCCTTACATCACACAGTGCACAATAATAAACTCACAATGTGTTAAACACTGAAACATAAGACTAGAAACTGTAAAACTGCTATAAGAAAACCCCAGGAGAAAAACTACACAACATTGGTCTGGACAATAATTTTTTTTTATTTGACCCCAAAAGCACAGGCAACAAAAATCAACAAACAGGATTACTTCAAACTAAGGAGCTGGTACACAGGAAAATAAATGTATTTTTGTATATGGTGTAAAATAAAGACCCAATTTCATTCTTCTGCATATGGGTATCCAGTTTTCCCAACATCAGTTATTGAAGAGACTATCTTTTTCCTGTTGTGTATTCTTTTTGTTGTGGGAGAAATGGAACCCTTCCTCCTATGAGCATCTATCTTCTTATTTCCAAAGAGAGAGAAAAGTCCATTCCTCAAACAAAAGCTAAGGTTTGAAGAATAACTATTACAAAGTATCAAAGTACATTACCAAATTTTATTTTGAATGATGCCCAAGACATTGTAGTAATGAACTCTGTTCGGTATTTGGAAAACAAATGATAGAAGCTTAGCAGTACACAGGCATACAAGTTATTTCTGCACAGTGTTTGAATTTCAGTTCCTCCAGTTACTAACTTTGTGATCTTGCATGGGCTATTAACTTTCTGAGCCTTAGTATCTTTTGCTGTAGTCTACCTCTCTCATTGGTTTACTGGGGAATTAAATGAAGTCACCATAAAGAAAGAGCCTTGGACAGTGCTTGGTATATAGTGGCATAGAATATAATTGCTCTTTCCTGAGATGCTTCTAGAATGAAATTCTAGAATGGAAGCTGTAGTCTTGGGTGTCAGGCATATATTGGTTTAATTTTAATCTGGATTTCATGCCCCCTTAGTCTCGAGTTCTACATAAGAAAGACAATGCATGAGGAATCCAAAAGCTCAGAAAGGTAAGCACTTGGTATTTACAATTCCTACAACTATTTGAATCTGGTACTGCAGGACTAAGTAAACTACCAGGTCTTGTGATTCACTTAAATCAACAAAGAAATACTGAAAGATCTGAAATTATAAACTTTGTTTTGCCATTCTTGGAGCATTCCATAGTGTCATTATAGTTCCCAATAAAACGAAACATATATGTGAAGAATAATCTTTAGCAACACATCACATTAATAAAAAAAATCTGGTCCACCAAGAAACATCCTGTTATTACTAGATCATTGTACATGCCCTCTAAATGAAAGTTTTTGTCTTTTAAAAGAAATGAGGCAGATTTTCCAGTGGTCTTTAGCTGACATCTTCGGTCAGCTATGCATGGGGCACAGCTGTAAGCTCATCCTTCAAGTTTCCAATTTGTCACTGGATTTTTATTTTTATTTTTGCCAAAAACAAGATGTAATTATGATAATTCATAAGCTTGTAACAATAGCCAGAAAACACATTATGACAATAAAAACAAAATCAAACAAAATTCCCACTTTTAACACCATCTACCCACCCACTCAAAATAATTTGGGTTGTGACCGTGGCATAACTTGATTATTTGAATCACAATTGTGATTTAGAATTTAACTTAGGCAAGATAAATAAGACGTGATTTCACCAAAGTGTAGCATTTTTAATTGGTAAACATGAGAGGCATCCCACTATAAGGAAAAGAGTGTGATCTTTGGAGATAGAAGGCCTACATTAGGGACTTCACTTGGCAATCTGCTAGCTTTGTGATCTTCTGCAAGAAACTACCTTTCCAAGCTCTCTGCCCTGATGAGCAAAATTGGGAGATAAACACATTTCAAGGTTTTGTGGCAATCACAAAAGTAGGTCAAAGTACCTGGAAAAGAGTAAATAAATGTTCCCATCTGCAGTATAATCATAAAATTATTTACTACTATTAGGAATACGATAGGGAGCAATAAACTTAGTACTGCTATCCTGAGAGAGAAAAAATTTTATAGAAATATGAATGTGCTAGTAACACAAAATGAAAAGTAGACATTGTATTATACTTTTCATAGATTAATAAATACGAGCATGTATTTCCTCCAGGAGAAAATACATATTGATTTCCAGAGAGTGATGGAAGTCTTTTAAAATATAAATTATAATAATAAATTCATTTTTTCATGTGTCTTTTGGCTGCATGAATGTCTTCTTTTGAGAAGTGTCTGTTCATATCCTTCGCCCACTTTTTGATGGGGTTGTTTGTTTTTTTCTTGTAAATTTGTTTGAGTTCATTGTAGATTCTGGATATTAGCCCTTTGTCAGCTGAGTAGGTTGCAAAAATTTTCTCCCATTTTGTAGGTTGCCTGTTCACTCTGTTGGTAGTTTCTTTTGCTGTGCAGAAGCTCTTTAGTTTAATTAGATCCCATTTATCAATTTTGGCTTTTGTTGCCATTGCTTTTGGTGTTTTAGACATGAAGTCCTTGCCCATGCCTATGTCCTGAATGGTAATGCCTAGGTTTTCTTCTAGGGTTTTTATGGTTTTAGGTCTAACGTTTAAGTCTTTAATCCATCTTGAATTAATTTTTGTATAAGGTGTAAGGAAGGCATCCAGTTTCAGCTTTCTACATATGGCTAGCCAGTTTTCCCAGCACCATTTATTAAATAGGGAATCCTTTCCCCATTGCTTGTTTTTCTCAGGTTTGTCAAAGATCAGATAGTTGTAGATATGTGGCGTTATTTCTGAGGGCTCTGTTCTGTTCCATTGATCTATATCTCTGTTTTGGTACCAGTACCATGCTGTTTTGGTTACTGTAGCCTTGTAGTATAGTTTGAAGTCAGGTAGTGTGATGCCTCCAGCTTTGTTCTTTTGGCTTAGGATTGACTTGGCAATGCGGGCTCTTTTTTGGTTCCATATGAACTTTAAAGTAGTTTTTTCCAATTCTGTGAAGAAAGTCATTGGTAGCTTGATGGGGATGGCATTGAATCTATAAATTACCTTGGGAAGTATGGCCATTTTCACGATATTGATTCTTCCTACCCATGAGCATGGAATGTTCTTCCATTTGTTTGTATCCTCTTTTATTTCATTGAGCAGTCGTTTGTAGTTCTCCTTGGAGAGGTCTTTCACATCCCTTGTAAGTTGGATTCCTAAGTATTTTATTCTCTTTGAAGCAACTGTGAATGGGAGTTCACTCATGATTTGGCTCTCTGTTTGTCTGTTATTGGTGTATAAGAATGCTTGTGATTTTTGTACATTGATTTTGTATCCTGAGACTTTGCTGAAGTTGCTTATCAGGTTAAGGAGATTTTGGGCTGAGACAATGGGGTTTTCTAGATATACAATCATGTCATCTGCAAACAGGGACAGTTTGACTTCCTCTTTCCCTAATTGAATAGCCTTTATTTCCTTCTCCTGCCTAATTGCCCTGGGCAGAACTTCCAATACTATGTTGAATAGGAGTGGTGAGAGAGGGCATCCCTGTCTTGTGCCAGTTTTCAAAGGGAATGCTTCCAGTTTTTGCCCATTCAGTATGATATTGGCTGTGGGTTTGTCATAGATAGCTCTTATTATTTTGAGATACGTCCCATCAATACCTAATTTATTGAGAGTTTTTAGCATGAAGGGTTGTTGAATTTTGTCAAAGGCCTTTTCTGCATCTATTGAGATAATCATGTGGTTTTTGTCTTTGGTTCTGTTTATATGCTGGATTACATTTATTGATTTGCGTATATTGAACCAGCCTTGCATCATCACTGCCCATCAGAGAAATGCAAATCAAAACCACAATGACATACCATCTCACACCAGTTAGAATGGCAATCATTAAAAAGTCAGGAAACAACAGGTGCTGGAGAGGATGTGGAGAAATAGGAACACTTTTACACTGTTGGTGGGACTGTTAACTAGTTCAACCATTGTGGAAGTCAGTGTGGCGATTCCTAGGGATCTAGAACTAGAAATACCATTTGACTCAGCCATCCCATTACTGGGTATATACCCAAAGGACTATAAATCATGCTGCTATAAAGACACATGCACACGTATGTTTATTGTGGCACTATTCACAATAGCAAAGACTTGGAACCAACCCAAATGTCCAACAATGATAGACTGGATTAAGAAAATGTGGCACATATACACCATGGAATACTAGGCAGCCATAAAAAATGATGAGTTCATGTCCTCTGTAGGGACATGGATGAAATTGGAAATCATCATTCTTAATAAACTATCACAAGGACAAAAAACCAAACACCACATGTTCTCACTCATAGATGGGAATTGAACAATGAGAACACATGGACACAGGAAGGGGAACATTACACTCTGGGAACTGTTGTGGGGTGGGGGGAGGGGGGAGGGATAGCATTAGGAGATATACCTAATGCTAAATGACGAGTTAATGGGTGCAGCACACCGGCATGGCACATGTATACATATGTAACTAACCTGCACACTGTGCACATGTACCCTAAAACTTAAAGTATAATAATAATAATACAAAATAAATAAATAAATAAATAAATGCTTACATTTTACATGCATAAATAAGTAATCAAATACAATCAAAATTGGAATTAAAGCAATCCAAAAAAAATTTCTTGGGTTGAATATATGTTTGATTGAGTTAGAATTTATTTCAGAAGAAAACAATTTTATAGACTAAGATTACATAATGAAGACTATTGATATTTATTTTTACTTTTTATTTATATGATGTTCTACCTAATGCTAATATCTTTAAAGTTGAAACAGTTGTACTTTTGGGTTGCTTCAGGGTTATAAATTTCTATACATTCTACACAGGTCAGATATGGAGAAAATTTTTTAAAAATTAATCAATGAGAAGACTGAACATTTTTTAGCCAATCTATTAGCTAATAGAAAATATCACTTTGCCAAGTGAGTGTAATACAGCATGCGCAGCCCTTTTAAACCTCAAAGTAAAATTCACCTGAATTATATTTATAAGAATAACAAAAAACAGAGACAAACTATTTAATATTTATAAAAGAAACCTTACAATTTATTTTTGTATGCCAGAGATAAAAAAATCACAAAAAATTAAAGAATGAGAAGTTATTTTGTTCTACCTTTACAACGTGTCATGCAACATAATCCAGCAGTCTGAGACATGATTGAGGATAACTCCTCTACTAAACATGCAGAAATGGAAGATAAAATGTACCAAAAGTTTTAAAAATAAGTACTTGATGTATAAATTAAGAACATGAAATTCCTGGATTGCAGACACAAAAAAGAAAGTAAAATCTGAATAATGAGAAATACCTAAAGCCTAGTATCTCATAGTACCTTGAAATCAGGTATACAAAGTGCAGCCTTGAAAAGTGCTTGAGTAATGCACAAATGTTCACAAATAAAAGTTCTGGCTTTGGAGTTGTGAAATATTCCTAATTCAGTATTATTAAACTCATGTAACTCAGAGATAATGTTTTTGCCCTGTCTATGACCAGGAGCTAAACAATAGTACTCTACATAAAGATAGTCGCTTATTTTCCATGAAACAGGAGTCAGAAAAATTTCACCCAGTAGTGCCAAGATGCTGCAAGGAACAAGGAAGACAGCTTATCTTTTATTTAGAGTAATAGCTGGCGAAAGAATCACTCATTCAGAGAGAAAATGGACTCAAAGCCAAAATTCTTCATGCAATGCAGTAATCTCAAACTGTGTAATTAATGTCAATAACCATAAAAACCTTATTTGTCTTAAAGTGAAATATGTTAGGTCCTTAAAAAGACAATTGTAAAACCACATAATAGGAATGACTCCATATTCTAGAGAACCTGTAAATATCACTAAAACTCTCCAAAGGTAAGCTCAGTAAAATTTTACAAACTGCCATGAGAGAGACAATAGATACAAAAATGGAAGAATTTACATATGAAGAATTACAGATATTAGAGACTCTCTGAAAAACAGACTTTAATCATCTACAATTTTTTAATAACAATAAATAAAAGCATAGAATCCATAAGGCAAAAGGTAGACATTATGGAAATAAAACAGGTGGGTTTGCAAAATAATTTTTAAAATTACAGAAATGGAAATATAGTCATTAAAATAGATTGAATATTAAAGTAGACAGAGCAGAAGAGAGAATTGGAAGATAGGTCTGAAGGAATGACTGAAACCACATTGTATAGAGATGGAAATTAAGAAAAAGAGGATAAACATGGGTTGACCAACACACATTTAATCAGAGTTACAAAAGGAAAGGGAAAGAGGAAAAAGGAAATATTCAGGGAAATGATGAATGATATAGTTCTAAAGGAAGATATGCATTGTTAGATTAAAAAGAAAAAACCTGAGGTCCAAGCAAGATTAAAAAAGTAAAATTACTACACTTAGATACTTTATAATGACAGTAAAAATAAAATTATTTTCAGGCATTCCAAACATTAGTATTTTTTTTAACTCATGGCACATGATGAAAAACTACTGAAGAGTGTATTTCAACAAGAAGGACTGGGACTGGGAAAGAAGTAATGAATATAAGAAGAAACAGAGGCAACTAATCATATGGTAAAATGTTCTGTAAATTTAACTAAGTATTGGAGGTAAAAGAAGATAATGACTAATGGACTTGTGGTTCAGGACATGATAGGATAGTGCCCATCAAGTTACCTCCCACTGAAAACAACTATAAAAGATGTAAAGTATTAAACAGCAATTGAAACAAGCAGGTCATGAGGTGCTAGGATCCTTGACATGAGAAAAGTTCATGAGGTTGGTTCCGCATTTGCATGATTTTCCTCAGTTCCAGAAGATGGTTTTTAAAAATTATTTCTTTGATTGTTTACTTCCCTAGTCATTTGCTCTTTCTTTCTGTTTTCCTAGTATGAATGTCAAAATCCTGCATTGTTCTTCCTTCAGTTTCAACCTTTCTCTTGAAGGTTTCTTACTTTCTTTTATATTTTGGAAAATTTCTTTTACTTTTCTTGACAAATCTTCCACTACATTTTTTATTTCAGCTTTTACATTTTTACTGACATCTGTTTAACTCTCTAAATGGCCTTTTATCAAAGGATTCTATTCTCTTTTATGTATTTAACATCATACTATATCAAATAGAATTATTTTTTGTGTTCTCTAAAATATCTGTTTTCCTTAGTATCAGTTTTGTTTTGTTTTGTTTTTTCCAATTGCCTATTCTTTCTTTTTTGTTGTTGGTTTTCTCAAACATTGAGTGATCCTTATGGGTTCATTCGTATTTATGAACAAATGGCTAGGCTGGTTAATTTACAGATTCTTTTACTCCAAAGGCTTTTCTCTGACTTGAAGTCTCACTGTATAACTTGGCCATGTTTATAGGCTACTGAGACTGCTAATCATCACTTGGGTGTGTGTTCACAAGGCGCAGGCAGCCTGGATTATCCCTCATTACTAATGCTGAAATAAGTATGGCTTTAATCTGAAAAGGAAAAATGTATAAAATTACCCTGGCATCTTTTAGTCATTTTGCTTCATTTCCCCAGAGAACAATTTTCAAGCTGTATACTAGGGCCATAGTTTTGTGGTTTTGGTTGGTAGTCTTCTAGTTATAAATTATGGATCTTTCTCTTCCTTGAACCACTTTCCCCAAATCTACGTTAGATTAAATTTATAACCCCAAACCCATAGAAATTTGTTCTTTTCATATTTTTGGCTGTACAGATGAACATTTATTTTTTCTATTTTAAATCTGAATTAAATGTGTACTGCAAATTATGGTATCTTTCAACTTAATTTCAATTTTTTTCATTGTAAAAAATGAGTAACTGAAATGTAGTTAGAGTCAAATGTGCTAACTCAAATTCTTCATTTGAAACAGTATAATTTAAAATGTCACCCCAGCACTCAACTCTTTCCTTGTGCGCCAGGTATCTTCTGTTTGCCTCCTATGCCCACATTCTGCCCAGTTATTCATCCTAGTTTCTGCCTTGGGAGACTGACCTTGTGCACCCCAAGGAACAAAGGCTTCCTGTTGGATTGATGTATTGGGATATCCTGGCCCTAGATTGGAAGAGAAGTGCGAGTGAGGTCAGGGTGTTCACTTAATCTCCTTTACTGCACTTTGAGGGCTGCTGTGTTCCTGCACCTAACAATGCTGCTGTGCTTCTCCAGGTGACCTTCTCTCTAATATTCTCTTCTGAGTTTCCTCTTCTTATTAAGGCTTGGGTATCAACTGTTTCTGCTTCACTGCAACTAACTCCAAGTTACTCAAGTGTTTCCTTATACCTATACCACACCTTTGTAAATAGTTTATTTGTAAATAAGCATTCCTCAAATTACTCTAATTTGAATGTACAATCTGTTTCCTGTTGGGACCCTGACAGATATACTTTGGAAACAGACATTAACACTCCAGAAGAAAATTTGGCTGCAAATTCTTTGACTAAAACTATTGAAATAAAATATCTTATGAAATAATCTTCTTTAGGTTTGTAATGTATATGAACATTAGCAATCTATAAACAAATATGTATTAGCATTATGGTTGAAATTGGCCCTGAAATGTCTGTAAGTTGTATAACATCCTGGCGTCTCAGTCTCTTTGTCAGTAATATGAGACTGTTAAAGGACTGGATTTATTGCCTCAGACAAGTATCATCATGATTAGTATATATTTGCTAAGCATCCACAAGTTGTAAGATCCTTGTGCTGAGTGCTAAGCATGCATTAAACAAAACAAAACTCACTTGTACTTAGAGGTATTATAGCATAGGTACTGAGATAGGACATGATTACATGGCCTATATGCTTATCAGAAAAAAGATAAATCAGCTAAAATTTACTTTATTTTCAGGAGCTTTTGGTGTTGGGGGGAGGAGGAGGTAAAATAGTTTCTCGAAAAACTGTATGCTCCTATACTAAAAGTTATTCTTCAAAAAGGCCATTATAATGTAAAATTGGGGGTTCTTAATTTTAAAAGTTGGAAAATTGTAACCATGAAAGCTGATGTATATATTTTTCATTGCATAACGATCCCCTCTGAGAATATAAAATATATTTCTATCAAATCCTTTACAAACTGTTAATAATGGCCACATGGTGCTGATGGGACAACCTTCACTGCTACAATCCTTGAATCACTGCCATTTATATATTTTACGAACTCAGCATACTTGGAAAACAACTTGAAATCAATTCTACCAATTAATATATCTTCTAAAAGTTCTGCAACTCTTTGACTTCATCACAATTACCCTCCGGTTCATGTCAATAAATAAAAAGATTACATTTTCAAAATGTCTGTCAGAGATTTTGTTGAAGTAAGAGTTAAGATGATTTGATTCCTATTTGTCCGTGTGTGTTGCGGGGACAGGGAGTGGGGGAGTGGTTAGTGCGGCAGGAGGACTTTGACCACTTTCAAAGGATCCTTAGCCTCCTATCCTTGCCCAGCTTCAGTTTTTCCATTAAAGATAATACTTTTTAGTCATTGCTGTAGTTTGAAATCTCATGGATTCTATTGTTTTCTGACAGAGATTATCTTTTGTGCAAATTCCAGGCAACTGTTATTAAGAGATGATAACAAGCTTTAAAGTAGCTGAAGTTCAGAGTACAGATAACCAAAAAATATAATAGAAAGAAAAAATAAATTTTAAAGATTGTTGCTGAAATCTGAAGAGTGCCTGTTGTAAAAAAAGATCATCGGCCGGGCGCGGTGGCTCACGCCTGTAATCCCAGCACTTTGGGAGGCCGAGGCGGGCGGATCACGAGGTCAGGAGATCGAGACCATCCCGGCTAAAACGGTGAAACCCCGTCTCTACTAAAAATACAAAAAATTAGCCGGGCGTAGTGGCGGGCGCCTGTAGTCCCAGCTACTTGGGAGGCTGAGGCAGGAGAATGGCGTGAACCCGGGAGGCGGAGCTTGCAGTGAGCCGAGATCCTGCCACTGCACTCCAGCCTGGGCGACAGAGCGAGACTCCGTCTCAAAAAAAAAAAAAAAAAAAAAAAAAAAAAGATCATCAACCTAAGAGTTAGGCAGTAGAATTCCAGCAATGATGGAGAAGGAAGCCTGCCACATGTGCCCCAGAGAACAAGGGAATCTCATAAAAAGATGTTCCCAAGAGTGGATCAATGGTATTCTTAGGGCACAAGAGGAGGGAATGAATTAATTCCTTATTTCCGTATTTTCTTCAGTATTTCTTTATTATCTTTGTGGGACACCATAGGTAAAGCATTTAGCTAATTTGCAGAATTTATTGTAGACATAATGCCTCAAAATGAGTAATATTTAGGCAAGGCAGATCAGGCAGGCAAAACATTCCAGGAAAGTGGAGGTTTTTTGGTGTAATTGACCTTAATTAGCAATGAGGTATTTTTCATTATTGTTTCAGTTTACGATTCCTATCTCGGAATCAGAAATTCAACATTTTTTTTTTTTTTTTTTGAGACGGACTCTCACTCTGTCGCCCAGGCTGGAGTGCAGTGGCGTGATCTCGGCTCACTGCAACTTCCGCCTCCCGGGTTCACGCCATTCTCCTGCCTCAGCCTCCTGAGTTGCTGGGACTACAGGCACCTGCCACCGTGCCCGGCTAATTTTTTATACTTTTAGTAGACACAGGGTTTCACCGTGTTAGCCAGGATGGTGTCGATCTACTGACCTCGTGATCCGCCCGCCTCAGCCTCCCAAAGTGCTGGGATTACAGGCGTGAGCCACCGCGCCCAGCCTCAGAAATTCAATTTTTTCTTCTCCTTAAACATTTCTGATTCTCAAGAGGGAATATCTACTCTGAAATATTTATTTATTGGTTTTTGTTTTGAGTTTCTTATATGCCTAAAATTCAGAAAAATGTTCTTTGAAACCAATGAGAACAAAGACACAACATACCAGAATGTCTGGGAAACATTTAAAGCAGTATGTAGAGGGAAATTTGTAGCACTAGATGCCCACAAGAGAAAGCAGGAAAGATCTAAAATCGACACCCTAACATCAAAATTAAAAGAACTAGAGAAGCAAGAGCAAACAAATTCAAAAGCTAGCAGAAGACAAGAAATAACTAAGATCAGAGCAGAACCGAAGGAGATAGAGACAGGAAAAACCCTTCAAAACATCAATGAATCTAGGAGCGGGTTTTTTGGAAAGATCAACAAAATAGATAGACTCACTAGCAAGACTAAAAAAGAAGAAAAGAGAGAAGAATCAAATAGACACAATAAAAAATGATAAAGGGGATATCACCACCGATCCCACAGAAATACAAACTACCGTCAGGGAATACTATAAACACCTCTACGCAAATAAATTAGAAAATCTAGAAGAAATGGATGAATTCCTGGACACATACACCCTTCCAATTCTAAACCAGGAAGAAGTCAAATCCCTGAATAGACCAATAACAGGTTCTGAAATTGAGGCAGTAATTAATAGCCTGCCAACCAGAAAAATTCCAGGACCAGACGGATTCACAGCCGAATTCTACCAGAGTTACGAAGAGGAGCTGGTACCATTCCTTCTGAAACTATTTCAAATAATAGAAAAAGAGGGAATCCTCCCTAACTCATTTTATGAGGCCAGCATCAGCCTGATACCAAAACCTAGCAGAGACACAACAAAAAAAGAAAACTTCAGGCCAATATCCCTGATGAACATCAATGCGAAAATCCTCAATAAAATACTGGCAAACTGATTCCAGCAGCATGTTAAAAAGCTTATCCACCATGATCAAGTCGGCTTCATCCCTAGGATGCAAGGCTGGTTCAACATACCCAAATCAATAAATGTAATCCATCACATAAACAGAACCAGTGACAAAAAACACATGATTATCTAAATAGATGCAGAAAAGGCCTTCGACAAAATTCAACAGCCCTTCATGCTAAAAACTCTCAATAAACTAGGTATCAGTGAAATGTATCTCAAAATAATAAGAGCTATTTATGACAAATCCACAGCCAATATCATACTGAATGGGCAAAAACTGGAAGTATTCCCTTTGAAAACAGGCACAAGACAAGGATGCCCTGCCACACCACTCCTACTCATCATGTATTGGAAGTTCTGGCCTGGGCAATTAGGCGAGAGAAAGAAATAAAGGGTATTCAAATAGGAAAAGAGGAAGTCAAATTGTCTCTGTTTGCAGATGACATGATCGTATATTTAGAAAACCCCATCGTCTCAGCCCAAAATCTCCTTAAACTGATAAGCAACTTCAGCAAAGTCTCAGGATACAAAATCAGTGTGTAAAAATCACAAGCATTTCTATACACCAATAACAGACAAATAGAAAGCCAAATCATGAGTGAACTCCCATTCACAATTGCTACTAAGAGAATAAGATACCTAGGAATACAACTTATAAGGGATGTGAAGGACCTCTTCAAGGAGAACTACAAACCACTATTCAAGGGAATAAGAGAGGACACAAACAAATCGAAAAACGTTCCATGTTCATGGATAGAGAGAATCAATATCGTGAAAATGGCCATACTGCCCAAAGTAATTTATAGATTCAATGCTATCCCCATCAAGTTACCATTGACTTTCTTCACAGAATTGGAAAAAACTACTTTAAACTTCATATGGAACCAAAAAAAGAGCCCGCATAGCCAAGACAATCCTAAGCAAAAAGAACAAAGCTGGAGGCGTCATGCTACCCAATTTAAAACTATATTACAAGGCTACAGTAACCAAAACAGCATGGTACTGGTACCAAAACATATATATAGACCAATGGAACAGAACAGAGGCCTCAGAAATAACACCACACATCTGCAACCATCTGATCTTTGACAAACCTGACACAAACAAGCAATGGAGAAAGGATTCCCTATTTAATAAATGGTGTTGGGAAAACTGGCTAGCCATATGCAGAAAACTGAAACTAGACCCCTTCCTTACACCTTATACAAAAATTAACTCAAGATGGATTAAAGACTTAAACATAAGACCTAAAACCTTAAAAATCCTAGAAGGAAGACAGAGCTCAAGACATCTCTAAAGCCAAATTATGCAACCCTTAGTGCTTCTGGGAACCCTGCTTGTATATGTCTGTAATGTCAAGCCCAAGGATTCCCTGATGACCAGGTAGCCCACAATGTTCCTTGGCTGCTTTGTGTTTCCTCTTTCCTCTGGTTCAGTACAGATCACCTTTGTTTTCGTGAAGCAAAATGGTTCTGAAATAGGGAGGAAGAGAAAAAGCTTCCTTCTTATCCCTTCTCACTTCCACAGTCCCATGGTTTTAGCTTTACTGGCTTCTATGGTCTGAATGTGTTCTCTAAAATTCACATGTTGGAACTTAATTGCCAATTTAATAATATTAATAGGTGGGGCCTTTAGGAGGTGATTAAGTCATGAGGGCACAGCCTTCATGAATGACATTAATGTCCTTATAAAAGGACTTAAGGGACTAGCTAGGTCCTTTTTTTGCCTTTCTATCCCTTCTGCCATGTGAAGGCAGTGTTCAAGGTGCCATCTTGGAAGCAGAGACCAGGCTCTCACCAAACACTGAAACTGCCTTGATCTTGGAATTCCCATCCTCCTGAACTGTGAGAAATAAATTTCTGTTGCTTATAAATTACCTAGTCTCAGATATATTGTTATAGAAGCATGGATGAGCTAAGAAGTTTGTACTGAGAAGTGGAGTGTCACTCTAACAAATACCTAAAAATATGGAAGCAGTTTTGGAGCTGGGTAATGGGTAAGGGTTATCCTGATGAGGGCTTGGAAGAAGAGGGGGGCTGTAGAGAGAGTCTGAATCTTCTTAGAGATTACATACAGAATGATCATAGAAATATGGATAGTAAAGGCAATTATGATGAAGTCTTAGATAGAAATCAGAAAAAAAGTGTTAGAAATTTGAGAGAAGATTATCTTTGTTATAAAGTAGCAAAGAACCTGGCTGTTCTTTATGTCTTATTGTTTTGTGGAAAGCAGAACTTGACAGAAATGAACTAGGATATTTGGCAAAAGAAATTTCTAAGCAAAGCATTCAGGATGTTGCATGGCTTCTCTTGACTGCTTATAGTAGAATGTGAGAAGGAAAAAGTGAATTAAATATGGAATTTATAATTAAAAGAGAAGCAAGTAAAAAGCTGGAGAATTTTCAGCCTGTGAAAAATGAGCAAGTGTGTTTTGGAGAGAACACCAAAGGAGTGGCCATACAAACGTTTGATAAGGAAATTAGTATGCATAGAACTAATCTAGATGCTATTTATCAAGACAGTGGAGGAATGATCCCAAAGACATTTCAGAGATCTCCAAAATTGTCACTCCCATCACAGGTCCAGAGTGCCAGGGCCTTGAGAGAAAAATGGTTCCAAGGGATGGGCCCAAGGCTCCTGTGGGATCTTGGACTCACTTCCCAGGTCTGCCTCAAGTTTCTGCTCCATGCATTCTGTTGCAGCACTCCTTAGCCACCCCAACTATTGCTCAAATAAATCCAGGTGTGGCTGAGGCCACCACGCTGGAGGAAGTGGTAAATCTTGACAGTGTCCCAGTGGTGCCAACTCTATAGGTGCACAGAGTGCATAGGCTATGAAGGCATGTTAACTTCACCTAGATTTCAAGAGATGCCTCAGAGAGCCTCAGAGCCCAGGTACAGAACAGCCACAGGGGTGAGGCCATTGCAGAGAACATCTGATAGGGCAATGTTCAACAAAACCATGGGGTGGTGGCAGCCACAGAGAACCGCAATTATGATAATGCTTAGTGAAGCCATGGATACAGGACCACCCCTTCAATCACAGACCTCCACCAGTGTGCAACATTAGCCTGGGAGAGCCACAGGCATGTGACTCCAACTCAAATGAGAGGTGCCACATCAGCTATGCTCAGCAGAGCTATAAGACCAGGACTGCTGGTTGCCTTGGGGGGCCCAACTCTGCCTCAGTGTGTTCGGCAAGTGGGACATGTAGACAAAGAAGGTTATTCTCAAGCTTCAAAGTTTGATGTTGTTTGCCTTGTGGGGTTTTGGACTTTCTGGGAGCTGTTGCTCTTTTCTTCTTGCCTATTTCTGTCTGTTGGAATGGGAATGTCTATACTATGCCTATCCCACCATTGTATTTTGGAAGCACATAACTTGTTTGATTTCACAGGCTCATAGCTGAAGGGAAAATTTGCCTCAGAATGAATCATACCTTGAGTCTCACCCATATCTGATTTAGGTGATATTTAGATAAGACCCTGGACTTCAGACTTTTGAGTTGGTGATGGGGTGAATTAAGGCTTTTGAAGTTATTATGATGGAATAATTATATTTTACAAATGAGAAGTACATAAACTTTGGGGATCAGAGGTGAAGTGCTGTTGTCTGAATGTGTCCCCTAAAATTCACATGTTGAAAATTAATGGCCAATGCGATAGTATTAAGAGATTGGGCTGTTAGGACATGATTGAGTCATGAGTGCAGAGCCCTCATAAATAAAATTAGAGACTTATGAAAGGGCTGGAGGAAACTAGCTAGGCCCCGTTCCTCTCTTGTTTCCACCATGTGAGGACACAGTGTCCATCACCTCTAGAAGAAACAACAAGGTGCCTTCTTGGAAGAAGAGGCCCTTACCAGACACTGAATCTCCTGGTGCCTTGATCTTGGGCTTCTCAGCCTTCAGAACTGTGAGAAATAAATTTTGTAAATTACCTAGTCTGAAGTATTTTGGGATAGCAGCACAAAAGAACTAAGACATTGGATTAGTACCCAACCATTTTCCCTAGGCTACATTCATGTCAATTTGGCAGGAAGCTGTGTTTAGATAGGCATGCACCCTCCATCCCACTTTTTGATGAGAACTGGCTTTGCCCATAAAACTGTGGTAAAGACAGGGACTTTCTGATGTAGACTCCTTTCCTTGAGGTAAGTTTCATCTTAGAGCTCTTCAAACCTATGTAAACAAGCAGATGTAAATCTATGAATAGAAGTGCACCACTTGGCTCTGCAACAGTCAAATTCCAAAAGCCAATGTATACAGTGAAGAAATGGTGAGCCTCACACCCTCACCCACATAATCTATCTTATTGCAGGAGAAGAGGGGCATCCATTTAGAGCAGAGAAAGTTGAAATACAGTGGTGTGTAAGAAAAACAAGAAACAGTGCAGTGCTTTTCATAGTAAAGTGTATGACAGGGTGAAACTGGACAACTAGGTAGGAACCAGGTGACAGAAGGCCTCCTATAATATGTAAAGCCATCTGAACTTTATTCTTAATACAGAGCCATTAAACAGAGAGTATATAGTCAGATTTATATGTTAGCTAGTCTCTCCAGCTATGAGATTATTGATGTAAGGAGAACATAAATACCACATACTAGTCAGGATACTTTGTAGCACAAAGATATATTCATGACCTTAATTAATGCCATAACAGTTGGGATAGTTTTCCTGGAAATGAAATGAGAGGATTGAGAAATATTTAGTATACAAAACAAGCATCATGTAATGAATGATCAGATGGGTGGGAGAGATGTTAGTGAAGGAAAGAAGTTTAGGATGACTCCTGTGTTCCTGGCCTCTATTAAATATATTTTTATGTTGAGTAGGTCAGGAGAAATTTACATGCTAGTTTTAGCGTCACATCAAATCTTGACAACTTTTGAATTATTTGTTAATAAATCAATTGATTTGAACTGTATTTTTGAGGTGTTTACTTAAGATTGAGTTTGAGGCATATTTCACAGAAAATTTAAATCACTACTATAATAAATTTTTTTTTTTTTTTTTTTTGAGAGAGTCTTGCTCTTTCGCCCAGTCCTGACTGCAGTGGTGCTATCTCAGCAGCTCACTGCAAGCTCCGCCTCCCGGGTTCACGCCATTCTCCTGCCTCAGCCTCCTGAGTAGCTGGGACTACAGGTGCCTGCCACCGCGCCCGGCTAATTTTTTGTATTTTTAGTAGACACGGGGTTTCACTGTGTTAGCCAGGATGGTGTCGATCTCCTGACCTCGTGGTCTGCCCGCCTCAGCCCCCCAAAGTGCTGGGATTACAGGCGTGAGCCACCACTCCCGGCCTAGTATAACAATTCTTCATTGTTATGTTAACCTACAATGTCCTCAAAATAGATAACATTTAATATACTACAAACAATGGATAATAGAAATCATTTATTCTCTCCATATATCCATCTGTCCTAGAAGGCTTAAAATGAGCCCCTCCTTTTTATTAAGGAATTTTTAACATAGGAAAAAATTTCAGAATGCTACCAGACTTGGTTTTCTGGCAGATTCTCCTCAACATAACTGTGGAGATGATGAGACATAAATAATCTGGATAACTGGTTAATTGAGTTAGTTTTTCATTTTCCAAGTAATTTATTAACTATATTTATTGAGATGGAAATACGTCCATGAAAAGGAGGCCCTGGAGAAACTCATTTCATGTATTCCTGGAAAAGAAGATTGTTGAACCCAGCAAATATCTGCTATTTTTTTCTTTTAGATACCAAAATGCATACTTACATCAGCCAAAGACAGAAAATGCTTAGACATTCCACTTGATACCTGTATTTATGTGCTTCAAACTATGCTTCCAGTTTCAATGTTTTAAACTCAATTAGAAATACAATGGGTAAAGTTTATTTCTCATTTCTAATTTGATTTAAGTGTTTGTGGTGATGAAAATGATAATGTTCACCACGGCATTAATTTCAAAGAAAATGACTACTCAAGTTCTTTCTGTGTTTTTCAAAAAGAAAAATGCCATAGATTCACATTACATATTCAGCATAAAGTTCATCCTAAGCCCTGTCATTCATTAAAATACACATCTCACTTTCAAAGTTGCATTTCATGAACAAATTTAACTTGTTTAACAGCATGCCCAATTCTATCCTACACAGTCATTGTATAGTATAGTCAATTTACATTTAAAGATAAATCAGCTTCAAAAGGGTAACTGAAATGTCAATGTCATTAGAGTCAGATGGAAATTGAGGCAATTCAATCAAGGAGAAAGGAGACATTGATCTTGTGGTCACACCATCCCTCATCTCCAGTATCCCTTCTACTCTTGTTCCATTGACTTTCAATAATCAGGTTCCAGAAGCATGAGATGATCTTGACTGAAATAGAGCTAGTTAAATGGGATTGACAGTATTTACTCAGTGCCCATTACAAATACTAGAGAGGAGAAAGTATGAATTTGTTTATTGCAGCAAAAATATTTATTGAACAGGTACTGTATGCAGGAAACTGTGCAAAGTCCTGTGAGTTCACCAGTGATCAAAATGGGTCAGGCTCCTCAAATTGAATAGGTGCATTAGGTTTCAATTAAAAAAAAAAAAAGCTTTGGGAGGCTGAGGTGGGCGGATCAGGAGGTCAGGAAATCGAGACCATCCTGGCCAACATGGTGAAACCACATCTCTAGTAAAAACACAAAAATTAGCCGGGTGTGGTGGCGCATGCCTGTAATCCCAGCTACTTGAGAGGCTGAGGCAGAAGAATCGCTTGAACCAGGGACTTGGAAGTTGGAGTGAGCCAAGATTGTGCCACTGCACTCCAGCCTGGTGACAGAGCAAGGCTCCATGTAAAAAAAAAAAAAAAAAAATACTATTAATGATATACAATAAAGAACTATAAAGAACTATTCTACGGATCAGATCTCGTATAGACTTCTTACCAAACTCCCACACTTATCTATTTCTCATTGCTTCCAAATTGGGCTACATCATGAACCTGAAAGAGCTTCTGGTACCACTGACCATGGAGATACACCTGGCCCCGGGTTTGGAGAGTTGAAACGCTGGCTGCTCCCCATGTCAACAGGATAAGCTAGCAGATCAGCAGTAATGTGTCTGTGCTACAAAGGTGCCTGGTCCTATATCAATCTTCAGAGAAAATGATTTCTGCTTTACTTGGGTATTCCAAATCTCACACAAATTTTTTTCTAATAGTCAGTCATATTCTGGTCACATTCAGCAAAGGGGATTCTGGGAAATGTGGTTCCAGCTTAATGTCTCACTGTACATCGCCACCACAAAGATTACACAGTTTTGAGGAGATATTAATCAAATAAGCATGTAAAAGTGCAACTGGTACAATAATATGCAAAGGTGGCATAAAGTGCCTTAAGGATTTGACTAGTCAGGCAAGTTAAGAAAAAACTTAAGCTTTTATCTGAAGTATAAGAAAGTTTTTATTACCAATCTTAGACATGAAGACGCTGTTTAAAACGTGGAAAGAGCAGGTGCAAATGCCTGATGAGAAGGGCCACAGCTTATGGCTGAATGTATATGTAGAATTTAATACTTTGAAATATTAAGTTATATATGTATATGTGTGTATTCGTGCATATGTATGTGTGAATATATGTGTATATAAAGGTATATATTTTTAACTTCTATTTTAAGTTCAGGGGAACATGTGCAGGTTTGTTTTATAGGTAAACTTGTGTCATGAGGGTTTCTTATACAGATGTTTTCAGCACCCAGGTATTAAGCCTAGTACCCATTAGTTAATTTTTCTTATCCTCTCCCTCCTCCCCCTCCCTCACTTCACCCTCTGATAAGCCCCACTGTGTGTTGTTCCCCTCTGTGTGTCCATGTGTTCTCATCATTTAGCTCCCACTTATAGATGAGAACATGCAGTATTTGGTTTTCTGTTCCTGCATCAGTTTGCTAAGGATAATGGACTCCAGGTCCACCCATGTTTCTGTAAAGGTCATGATCTCATTATTTTTGATGGCTGCAAATTATTCCACTGTGTATATGTACCACATTTTCTTTATCCAGTTTAATTTTTGAGACAAGGTCTCACCCTGTCACCCAGGATAGAGTGCTGTGGTGCAATCATGGGTCACTGAAGCCTTGACCATCTGGGTTTAAGCGATCCTCACACTTCAGCCTCCCAGGTAGCAGGGACCATAGGTGTGTGCTAGTTCTATATTTAAATGTAGTGAAATAATATGTAAATATTGTTACAGATGGTTGTGCATGAGATATAATTATAGGTAAATATTTACTGAAAGATTAAAACCATTCAATTTATAGATAAATAGGTATATAGTACATACAATGAAAAATCCCAATCGACTAATTTTCAAAATGTATGAGTTATTTTAAATCAAGGTTATTTGTCAGTTATTAATCTGTGGAAGCTTAAGATCAATACGCTAAGAAAAATAAGTTCATCAGAACAAAACAAATATGTAATTATGAAATATCTAAATTCACCCATGTATAAAAATGTATTTATTGTACGCCTAGAGACTGTCAGATTATCATAGCAAGAGCTGAGAATGCATACACACACACACACACACACCAATCCACTCAGGGAGTTTGCAGCAGAAAGAGGCATGGAAATCAACAATGATAGTACAATGAAGATCTGCTTAAAAGATTATTAATGTAGGAGTGGGTTTATCAGCAGGGGAATAATATTAGGAGTGATTTAACAAATGAATCATTTAGTAACTGAGCATTCATTGAAGAAGCTTCCATGCAAAATTAACTCTACTGAAAAGTGAGCACGTTTATTTAGCCCAAATAACTCTGTGCTGCCTGATATTGTTTAAATACAAAAAATGAATGACAATATGCATGTTGAGGGAGAGGATAAAGATCAAATAGGAAAAGCTTCTACATGAGTTAAGAAATTAAAACTTTATTTTAGCTTTTAGTCCTCAGAACTGTGAGAGAATAAATTCCTGTTGTTTAAGCTCAAAAACAAACAAATAAACACCAAAAACCTCTATCTTAGAGCTAAGGGTGGCTAATAGATTTTGACCAGCAAAGATAAATCAGTAAATTTGCATCTTAAAAAACTAATTTGTAATATTGAAATCCAATTGAAGGTAGACAATACCAATACAGCAATATTTTTACCATTTTATTTTATTTCTTACTAATCCTATAAAAAGATGAGACTGAATTCTTGCCTCCCTGTCTCCTGAATTCTTCCAATCAACTCAATTAGGGCCATTTAGTCTTACTTATAGGTACTGACATCTCTCAGATTTATAGTATATAGCTCTAGTCTTCTTCATTTATTCAACTCAATAATGTATATAATAAATTTACTCAATCCAGTATTAAGTGCAGCAAACATCTCAGAAGTGAAAACTGAAAGAAGGAGCGGGAGGAGGAGAAATAATTAGAAGAAATAACAAGGTGTAAAATGAAGTGGGAAAAATGACTTACTCATGGGATGTACACCAGGATGAACCTTAAGGTAAACAATGGTCCTTCGGTGACAAGGATGTGTCAGTGTAGGTTCATCATCCATAATAATTGTTCCACTCTGGTGAAGGATGTTGGTAATGAGGGAGGCTAGGCATGTGTGGGGGCAGGGAGTATATGGGAAATCTCAGTTTGGCTATGAACTTAAAACTGCTCTAAAAAATAAAGTCTATTTTAAAAATACATGACAAATGGGAGAATATTTAGCATGTAATCTGCAGGATGGGAAGGAGAGATCTGAGAGGAATGTGGAGGAGAGTATCTCAGAAGGAAAAATCACATGCACAAATATATCAGTGCATTCTAGGAATTAGAGGACTGCTGTAGTGCTAGAGGTACAAAGTTAGAAAGGCCAGGCTAGAAGCCATGCTGCAGGGGAAACTGGATTCTATATGCAAGGAGGAGCCATTGAATTATTATATTTTTACATAAATAAAATACAATGGAAGAATTAAAATAAACTTGACTAGTATCTCTGCAACCAAACATCAAATCAGTCTTGTTGGTCATTCGATTTAGACAGTATTCTTATGAGGAGCATGTTTACTCTGTATTTTTTTCTTCAGCTCAAGAGATTGTACTTTTGCATTTTTCTTCATAATCATTATCCTATTCATAGAATCAGTAATTAGTGAAATTAGTGAAAACAACATTAGTAATTAGTGAAAAACAAGAGTTTGGGACACTTTTATTCATTTAATCTTTGTTAATTGAGAACATACTATTTTTATAGTATGGGGTACTACTGTGGAAGAACATATATGCTGGATTCTGGGGATAAAGCATTAAACAAGATAGAAACCACCCTGGTTCCCGCTGAGCATACAGCCAAGTGATGAATGACAAAACATAGTAAATCTGGGTTTTCCTTTTTCGAGCTATGGATGGCTTTGGCCAAGTTATCTATAGTTCATTTCATGAACAAACATGGTTATTATAATATTTAACTCCTAAAGGTATAGAGAATTGGAGTAGTATACATAAAGTACCTAATGGAACATCTGAAACACAATATTCATTAAGTAAATATTTTATTAAAAGTTGATATTACTATGATTAAATACTTGTCTCATATGAGTAGTGAATATATAGATTTTAGCCATAATATTGAGTGACTTTGATATTTTAATTACCTTAACAATTAAGGGGCCTTTGTGCATGCATGGGTGTGTGTGTGTGTTTGTATGTGTGAGAGAGAGATTGGGAAAAAGAGGAGAGACTACCTCTTTAGTTTGCGTCACGAACTAAAATAGTCCCTATTCTCAAGTGGATAAGAAAAGAGGCTCTGGTTTTAAACCTTCCAAGTTTGAATCCTGACTTCTACCATTTATGGCTATGAGAACCTGTTCAAATTGTTTAGCTTTTCTGTGGTCCAGTCATATCACATGTAGAAAAATGTTGCTAATAGCTATCTCTTAGGGTTTCTATGAGAATTGCATTAGGTAATACATGTACAGTGTTTAGAACACTGCCTGATATATAAGTATTCAATTCTATTACTGATTCTTATTCTTACCTCTCTGGAGTTTCGGTCCTGATTTGTTTTCCTAATTATTATCTGGGACCTGTAGAAATACAAAAATTGGATGGGTTTTTATGTATAATGTTGACATTTTCAAAAAATGTTAACAAAAGACAAATTATGTTATTGCTATGGGGAAAATAACTACCAGGACTTGTTTTATACCTGTCTAATCAACCAATGTTCCATAGCCAAGGTAACAAGTAAAACTCAGAACTAGATTTAAATCTGTCCAATTGAGCAATGACAATTTGCTTCAGTGAACATGTCCCTGAAGACCAGTCAGTTAGTACTAACTCATGCCTTGAAAGTCACCCCACTGACAGTCAACTCACTCCAGCGAACATGTTTCTAAGGCTGACATGGAACAACTATTTTGAAAAATAATAAACTAGGCTTCTAAGATTGACAACCCACCCTGCCTCTACAATTAACACAAAATATGATTCTACAGCTGATATCAATCCATTCTTGCTCCCATATAAACACAACCTGAATCAATCTCAAGCTCTTCCCCAGCACCCTATGTAAAATTAGTAGTTTGCAATGCTCAGTGAGGCTTCATCTGATCAACGTAGCTCTTTTTTTTTTTTTCACTTCCATCAGCAATAAATCAAGCTTATTGATTTGAGTTTTGAATAGAGGTCTCTCTTTTTTTTTTTTTAACAATGTAGTTTTCTCCAACAGGGTAATATAGTATCTTTGACCAATAAATCTACCCAGCCCTTTTGTACGCCAGTTTCCTTTGTCCTTCAGATTTCCTGCCAGGTGCAACTGGTTCAACATGATCTCAACTCTAACTTATTTCATTGAGCTCTTATTACAAAATTTATGTTGTTATAATTTGTTGCTAAGTAGTATTAGTATATTAGATGCTTTGGTTTGGTGGTGCACTATTTGTTAAATATTTTTGCCACTAACATGCTGACTTCAGCGACTTGGCTTGCTTTTTATTTTTGTCTTTCTCTTAGTGAGAAAGATTTGTGTCATGGCTTTATATGGATTGTCTTGTTTCTGGTGACTTGAGTCAGGGAGTGGTTCCTAGAAAATGGATGGAGGTATCAGTTGGATAAACCTCCAATGTAGTCCAAACCAGCCTAAAAGTATCACTGTTGCAGCCCCATTATGCTACAGGTAATTTATACTGAGATGTTTGATCAAATTGTGTCTTGGCTCACCTCCAAAATCATGAAGAGACTTGCTGTCATGTCAATTTGTGTACAAGGTCACTCTACTTCACATTTCCAGGCCAGTGATTATTGGGTCATTGTTGCACCACCTCTTCCTGGCCTTGGCTTGGGTTGGGTAATGCAGAACATCATTTATAAAAACACAGATGTAACAGATTTTAGAGGTTCTTTTTTGTTTATTATGGGTTTGTCCAAATCAAAACTGCAACATCTTCCTGGCAAAATCTGTGAATCTTTCATAAATTTGTATTATATTCACAGCTGTTGTGTCTTCTTTGGTGAATGTTTTAAAAAATTTTTAATTTATCATTTTGAATAATTTTAATATTTCATAATTACATTTTTAAGAAATTCAGAAAAAGAAAAAATTAATAATATTAAATATGCAATTATCAGTATTTTAATTAATATCCAAAGCCACAAAACCAAACATTGACTCCAGAATAGCTTGTTTAAAAAACTCTCTAGTTCATTCCTGCTCAAATCTTCTGAAATATACTTTCCTTGAATTTCTTCTCTATGCTTACATCCTTTTGCTTCTTATTCTAACTGTTCACATGTGCTATCTTTTCCTCAGCATTTTTTTCTCAGAAAAAGAACAATTGCATTGCACAATATGCCCTTGAAATTATAAGACCAGAAGGCTCATCTATAGAAGCTGAATATAAACTTTGATCTAGAACCAATTTGGAGTTCATAAATTAAGTTTTCCTTTTGAACCTCAGGAATTTAGGCAGAAATTTTCTGAAAAAAAAAAATCAGAATTGCTTTAGGTGCCACCAGCTATGTATCAGCAAGTTAACAGTCATCCTCTCAGATAAGGAAATATAATAAGAATTAATAAGATGAAAAACACTAGGAAGAAATTTTAGTAACACAGCTGTGCATGATTTTAAAAATATTCTTGAAAGAGCAAAAAAAAAATATTTAAAATATATTTCATATATAAGGCCATTTCAGAATTCTCTCCCTTAAAGTAAATTGGACAAAGATCCAAAGTTATAAACAAAATAGAGCTGAATCAGAGGAGATTTTACAATTAGATGATACATTTTCAGATAATATTCTGAAGTAGATAGAAGAAACAAAGTAAATGGAGGGTTTTTTTTCTGTTTTCTTTTTTTTTTAATAACAAGGTTTACATCTAAAATTATAGTAGGAAACTGCTAGATGCACTCCAGCATTTGCTGACATTTTCAATGAGCCACAGGTAAAGTAAACAAGCTAAAAATTAAAATCAATTATGGCTACCAGCTAGATAGAACCACCAGCTCCCAAAACAAAAATAAAACCAAAAGATTCTCTGATCCTTAGAATTGAGAACCTAGGAAGAGACACAAGTAGAAATGACAAAAGAAGTACTGTTAGAAGAAAGAACGTTCCACACTTGCTAAGAAGTGGTGGGTGACTATCCAAACGCTGCCCTATGATTTCACTCCAAGGGAGAGACTAGTGTTCCACAATTCTGTTTTCTTCTAAACTCCCAAGGGGAAATATCTGTAAATTGAGATGGACATTAATACATCTTTCTCATTAATATGGGTGTTAAATATTTTATTAATCCAACTACCACAGAACATTAGAGTCCTCAAAACTAAACTTTCAAATTATCTAAAACTCATGAAATTAAGCAAATTGACTTTGGATGGCTCATAAACAACCGTAATAGTAATGGTGTAGTAATAATAAAATGGAACAAAATATAGTTTTGCTTAAAGTAAAAATGTATGCTTGGCCCAGAAGATAGTAAAAGAAAGCTTTGAATGTGTAGAGTAACAGGTAAAACCCTTCAGGAGAAGTAAACATTCTTTGCCTTGGTTTACATAAACCATTCAAATACTGAAAATTTTTACAATTCTAAATCCTTTTCTGCCAACATACAATTATTACTTTGAGATTGCTATTATGAGAACAACACAATTTTTTCCCTTACACAAACCCTGCAAATGTAATAAATAGGTAGGAGTCTACTTTTCAAATAGAATTACCAGATAAAATTTACTGCACAGGAGTTATTTTTAGAAGTTTCATATTATAGCTGATCTGGACATCAGTATACCTACACTATGTATAATTCAAGAAGCAACCAAAGAAGGGGCTCTGATCTCAGAGGCTCCACAGACAAAAGACAGAAAAAGTGGGAAACAGTTTATAAGAATCCAGATAAGTCTTTTCAGATTATTATAAGCTTTAATTTTTCCCAAGTTTTTTTACCTGATATTCCTACAATAGCCTAAGATATTATATACATGCAAAAAGCAAAGGCATATACTGATGATATCCTATATCTTGATGCAATATCCAAGGTTTTTTATTTGCCTCAGAATATCTGTAGCCTGAACTAATTGAAGCAGTTAAAACTACTTTTAAATATGAAGGTTCTACATGTAGTACAATCTCAATTGCTAGATGAAAGCACCAGATTAGTTCATTATTGATTATGAAAGCTTATAACTTTCCATTCATCTTAGCATCAACGTAACTTTTTAAATAAAAAAACTTTATTATTTTAATCAATGAAAAAGAAGCTCACAATTGTGTTTATCAAGTTTAAATGTCCATGTATAGAACAGATATTTTGGATAATCCTGTCTTCATCAGTTCCAGCTGCTATAACAAATTACCATAGACTGGATGGCTCATAAACAATGAAATTTATTTCTCAGAGTTCTGGAGGGTGGAAGTGCCATGATCAGGTGCCAGCATGGTCAAGTTCTGGTGAGGGTGATCTTCTGGGCTGCAGAGTACCCACTTCTTGTAGTGTCCTCATATCGTAGAAAAAGGGTGAGAGGCTCATTGGGGTCTCTCTTATAAGGGCATTAATCCCATTCATGAAGGTTCTACACTCATGACCCCTCAAAGGTCCCACCTCCTAATGCCTAT
This sequence comes from Homo sapiens, assembly GCF_000001405.40. NCBI lineage: Eukaryota > Metazoa > Chordata > Mammalia > Primates > Hominidae > Homo > Homo sapiens. Next base: position 124,256,071 of record NC_000004.12, read on the forward strand.
GTTGAAATACGGGTGGACAAAATATATGAAACAACCATATTTTGATAATGGACAATATGAAGAGCAGGACTGTTATCCTTGAGAAAAGGGGAAGAAAAAAAGAGAGCCATGTTTTCCTTATATTTCCCCCTGGGGGCACCTATAACCATATTGTAGTGGAGGGCAAACCAAGCAGAGCACGTCACTCTCAGTGAGTTGAGGAGACAGTGACTGGCATTCAGGGAGGTTGCATTGGTGGGTGTTGCTAGGAGAGAGTAACACAGAGTAGGTGATTATGGAAAAGAGAGTTCAAAAAATCTGTAAGTTTCTCCTTGAAGCCTTGGCTAAATTCTAAGCAGCGTTTTGTCATATGAGACACCATGAAGCCAGGCAAAAAAACAACTAGCAGGGAAAGAACAACTACCAGAAAACTCTAAGTGCAATAATTACAATGGCTTTCAAAGGACTGAGTGATTATTGAGTTGAGTAGAAAAAGCTAGTTAAATACACAGGGTGTTCAGCAGACAGCCCCCAATGGTTACAATTTGATGCTAAATTAGTTCTGGAGTAAAGGCTGTTCCAGATATGCCCTAATAAAGCCTAACATTGAATCTTAGCCTCAAGCAGATCCACAAGTAACAAAACTGCCTGTAATATAAGGTTGAAGGAGAAGCATATCATACAAAAACTCTAATCTACAAAAGGAAATAAAAATATCCAAATGATAAATACAGCAAGGGTTTTATTTTAAAATTGTTAAAAAACAATTGACTCCATAAAGCAAAAATGAATGTAATGTATTGTGGATTTTATAAATTATATAGCTATAAAGGTTTATGACAACATTAGCATAAAGGAAAGAAATGATTTATGAATACTGTTGGAAGTTTCCACATTATAGATGAAAGAATAAAACATAATTTGAAGATGGACTACCAAGTTAAAGATTAATATTATAAATTCTAGAGTAATCACTAAGATAATAAAACATCGTAGCTAATGACTCAATAGAGAAGATAAAAGAGAAAACTAAAAACACTCAATCCGAAAGTACTCAGAAAAATAGAAAAAGAAAAAGAAAAAAATAATGTATATGATAAGTGAAAAAGCAGCAGCAAAATAGTATGGTTAATCCCAATCATATTAGTAATTATATTAAGCATAAATGGTCTTAATTCTGAAATTATAAGGCAGAAATTTTTAGCTGGTTATAAAAATACAAGATATAACTATACACCATCTATAAGAAACATATTTGAAATATTGTTTAAAGACTCAGATAGGTTAAAAGTAAAAGCCTGGTTAAAAAAAAAAAGAGACATACATACACTAGACATACAAAGGTGAAGTAGTTATATTATATCCGACACTGTGGGTTTCAGGATAAGAAGTACCTGACACAAAGAGATATATTTCATGATGATAAAAAGTTCAGTTCATCAAGACAAACCAACAGTCTTAAAAAGACATGAACCCAATAGCAGAGCTTCAAAATACATGAAAGAAAAAATGTATTTAGACATAAATGAAAGGGCATATAGAAGGATCCACAATTATGGTTGGAGATTTCAACACTCTCCTCTCAGCAGCTGATGAGCATGTAGACGAAAAATCAGTGAAGATACAGGAGATTTAAACAGTACTATCAACCACCTGGAACTAGTTGAGATATATAAAATACTTAATTAACAAGAGATGAGTACACATGCTTTTCAAGTGCATCTGGAACATTTACCTAGACAGGCCATATGAAGGGGCATAAAAAGTTCTCAATAAATTTAAATAGTATTAAACATATTTTTGTAACAAAATATTTTGAAACCTATATTGGAAATATTCAAATATTTTAAAATTAAACAGCTGTTCCTGTTTAACTTCTGACTTACCTACCCATGGCTCTAAAATTTTACAGTTAATTAGAAAATATTTTGAATGGAATGAATTTAATATGCAATATAATCAAATCTGTGAGATAATGCTAATGCAGAACATAGAGGAACTATAATACTATAATTGCTTTTGTCAGAAAAGAGAAAAACCTAAAATTAAAGATTAAGATTACTTCTTAAATAGTGAAAAAAAAGAAAGTACAATGTAAACTCAAAGTAAAAAAAAATGCAGGAAATAATAAAAGAAAAAGGTGGGCAGTTAACTCATAAAAAGGCAATTAATACAGAAAATAAATCCCAAAAGTTGTCTTTTACAAAGAGCAATAAAATTGATAAATCTCTGGGTAGACCAATTAAGAAGAATTATCAGTGTGAGGATTTTTAAAATGACATCTGCCAGCTGCAGTGGTCCACACCTGTGTCTCAGCTACTCGGGAGGCTGAGGTGGGAGGATCACTTGAGCCCAGGAGTAAAAAAAGAAAAACTGGACATCATTAGAAATTCAATAGGCATTAAAAATAGTCAGTAAATGTATTATAACCACTCTTCAGAATCAGGACACATCATTCCACAAAATGTTTTTTGGATATCAAGACTGATTTTGCCAACATATACACCAAGAAGTTATGAAAATGCTTATTGCTTATATATAACAAGGCTTTTGGGGGAGATCACAGCAGGCATCCAAGTTATCTGAAAATGGTTTCATTGATCAGGAAAAGGAGGTTGACTTGGAGTTTTTATTGTGGTTGTGGATGGGGCTGGGATTCCCTTGTGCAGGCAGGGGTTTGCATGATTTGGAACTCTCTTTGGTATCAAAAGAGAGGGCATAAAGGCCTTCATATTGGTTTTCTCCCAGATGGGAGACATAAAGGAAAGATAGAGAGGTGAGGTTTAAAAGTTGTCAGCACTCAAATTAAAAAACATAAAGTCAAACTCTTTGTCACAGAAAATTATGAAAACATTTATCCCAATAAATTTTATAACTTGAAATGGACAAATAAAAGATTAAAATAATCAAACATATAAATAAGCAGTAGAAAATCTAAATAGTATATGTATGCGATCAAATTCACAAGTAACACCCTCCTACAAGGAAAACTCCAGACCAGGATGACTTCACTGTTGAATTCTAATAGACATTTCAGGAAGAAATACTACCAATCTTACACAAACCCATGCAAAAACAAAGGAAAATAAAATACTTGTAACTAATTTTTTTGAAGCTAGCATTATCTTGATGCCAGGGCAGACCAAAACATTACAGGAAAACTGCAGATCTCATAAACATAGACACAAAGCCCTTAACAATATTTTAGAAAACTAAATTTAATACTATGTAAAAATGATAACACATTGTGACCCAGAGATGCATATTTGGTCTAACATTCTGAAATAAATCATTATAATTTATCATATTTATGGAAAAATTACAGCTAATGTCATATTTCATGGTGAAATATCAAGTGTTTTCTCCTAAGCTCAAGAATAAGATAATCAGTTCTATTCATGATCAATAGGAATGAGGGGCTTTAGCTAATGTAGTATATAGCAAGGGAAAGAAACAATAAATGAAGAGATTGAAAAAATATCCAATCTTGATATTCAGAAAACATTTTAAAACCTGAGAACTATACTTAAAATTTTTCAGAAACAAAAAGTGAATTTAGTATAGTCAAATGATACAAGGTCAATCCAAAAAGGGAATTGTATTTTACTCTGTAGGAATATTGTAACTATTTATGAATGAAATAATGTAAAAGAAAATATGCCCTAAGTAGCATGGAAAAGTTGAAATATTTAGTATCATTTAATAAAATATCTGTAAAGCTTGTACATTACAAGCTAAATTTATTTGGTTGAGATAAATTAAAGTGTATATATACCTCTTTAATTTATCTCAACCAAAGAATGATGTATCTCTCCATATGTATATATACATATATATGTATTCTTTACACACACACACACACATACACACACACACACACACAGACATCATGTTCTTTGATTGAAGATTCCATCTGATTAGTATGTCAGTTCTGCCTAAACTGATCTACAGATTTAACAAAATCTCTATTTAAATTTCACTTTGTTTTCTTTTTCTTTTTTGGAAATGCACAAGTTGATTTAAATTTATATGAAAATGCAATAAGCCTAAAACAGCCAAAAGAATTTTGAAAATGAACAATGTTGGAGACTTTGCACTAACTGATTTTAAAAGTTCCTATGAATCAGGGTTTCTCAACCTAGACACTATTGATGTTAGGGCTAGATCATTCTTTCTTGTGGGAACTACCCTGTGCATTGCAGGATGGTGGGCAGCATCATTGGCCTCTATCCACTAGATGCCAGTAGTATCCGCCACACCCTCTAATTGTGATAACTAAAAATGTTTCCAGGCATTGCCAAATATTCCCTGGAGTCTAAATCTCCCCCGGGTAAGAACCTCTGCTATAAAGCTACATAATTAAGACAGCTTCATGTTGGTATAAGGATAAAAATAAAGATCACTGGAACAAAATAGATAGGGCCGAAATAGACCAACACGGAATCTATTGATTTTTTTTGACAAGGTGCCACAATAATTGAAGGAGAAAGAACAATCTTTTCAACAGATGGTTTTAGAACGACGGGCTATCCATATGGAGAAAAATACACTTCAGCTGTTACTTCACAGCCTACACAAAAATTAATTCAAAATAGTTCACGGTACTAAATGTTAATACCCCAAAGTCTAAATCTTCAAAAAGAAAACATAGGAAGAAATATTTATGACAATAGACTAAGCAGATTTTTTAGATCAGACCACCAAAGATCAAGAACCAAAAAAGAAAAATTTTATGATGTGTACTGTACCAAATATATTAATTCATGTTCTTATAAAGATGGTTTTAAGAAAATGGAAAGTTATGATATCAGATAGGGAGAAAGTATTCATTACAAAGAACTTGTATCTGAAATATATATTTTAAAATTCACAATACTTACGTGTGAGCATGTATACACAATACATAATGAACTCCTACAGTTCAATAAAAACACAAGTAGCCCAAATTAAAAAAAAAAAACTATGCAAATGACTTGAAGAAACACTTCACAAAAGAAGGTAAACAAATAGCCAAAATGAAAAGTTATATAGCATCATTAGTCAAAGAACTACAATGAAATCAGTGTAATTTCGTTACATGATGAAATGCCACTAACACATTCTAGAATGGCTAAAAATAAAATAACTGTCAATACCAAGTGTCTGTGAGAATGTGGGGCAACTGGAATTCTAATGCACTGCTGGTGGGGATGAAAAGTGGTACAAGTACTTATATAACACAACCAGGCAGTTTCTAACACAGTTGATGAGCTCTTTCAACAAGACCCAGTGATTCCACTTCTAGGTATTTATCCAAAAGATATGAAAATCTATGTCCAACCAAAATAAATGATCCTGGCATAAATACTCCTAGCACCTTGATTCATAATACCTCAAACTGAAACAGTCCAAATATTAAACAACAGGTGAATGGATAAACCAATTGTGGTATATTTATATAAAGAAATTTTCTTCAGTCATACGTAGGTACTAACTCAACACGATACGACATATATAAATAGCAAAAGAAACCAGTCACAAAAGAGTATGCATCGTATAATTCCATCTATATAAAATTTCAGAACTATAAATCTATTTTGTAAAGGAGCAGGTAGGAACATTCTGGGGTGATAGAAACAGCCCATAACTTTTTACTTGGGTGAATACAATTATTGAAAATGTTTAGATTTTATTGTATGTAAATTATATCTCAATAAGGCTGTAAAATAAAAAATAAAATTAAATAAAAAAATTATTTCCCCAAATTTACACGCGACACCATTACAGAGTTAACTAGTTCTCTGAGATATAGCCCTAAGATGGTTTATTTTTGCTCCCTCATTAATTTTTGTTCTTCACAGATGATATAAAATAATAGAAAAACTTAAAAAAAATTCCTAGCAAGAGGTAATGTAGTTTTGAATTTTATTTCTTTTACAATTATGAACATTCTTATTTCCTTATTTGATGAAAACAATCAATTTTATTATCTCGTAACTGAAATAATTTGATTTCTTTAAAAAGGAACTCATTTTTATAGAGTTCTACAACAGCAAGTTGGATAAATATTTTTAATTTTTGTTTTTAGTTATTAGTATTTTAATTTCTATTTTACTATTAATTTCTATTTTTCTAATTACTATTTTAGTAATTAGAAATTAGCTATGATTATATTATAAATATTTGATGTAGCAAATATTTATAATAATCATCATAACTAATTTCTACTCACTGAGGACACATATATCTATATGCTTACACATGACTTTTTAAAAAAATAAGCAAGTAAAGAAATTTGTGCAATAATAATTATCCAGAAGCCACTTGTGCAGTGCTAGCGCAAGCATTTCGTTTTCATTGGTAGAGTTCTACTGCCCTCTCCTGGTCCCTGCATCTTGCATCAATAGGGACGCAGATGGAATCTGGAGGCACTGCGAGACTCCTTGCAAAAGTACACGGAGACTTAATGCTAGAAGAGTAATAACCTCAAAATTTTCCCCATCAGATGATCTCAATTCAATGATGTATCATATCCACTAAAGGAGAAACCTAAGTCTATATAGAGTTAGAATGAACTTCAACTTTTTAAAATGTGAGGTGACCTCAGACATTAGATACAGTACAACCTCCTTATTTTATTGAAGTCAAATTTGAGGCTCCCAAAATTGAAGTGCCTTTATCCAATTAAATGCAATGAGTCAGTGGTGAATCCAGGAATAAAATATAGCATTTGTGTTTATTCAAATGGAACTAGGCGAAAGTTCACCTCTGCTGAACGCATTATTACAAACAATTCACATTTGTAAAAAACCAGATAGCAGGGAGTAATATGAAAAACAACACATACAAATAAGTTTCTTTCCTTCTCTTATTCCTTTCTTCCTCCTTCTTTCTGCCCTGCTTCCCCTTTCCTCCCTCTTTCTCTCTTTCTTTTCCCTTTCCTTCCTTCCTTTCCTTCCTTCCTTCCCTCCTCTTTCTCTTTTCCTTCCCTTTATTCTTTCTTTCCCTTTCTTTCTCTTTCTTTCTTTTTCTTTCTTCTTTCTTTCTTTCTTTTTCTTTCTTCTTTCTTTCTTTCTTTCCTTCCTTTCTTTCTCTTTCTTCTTTCTTTCTTCTTTCCTTTCTTCCTTTCTTCCTCTGTATATCAGAACACTAATTACTAAAGACACTGGTTATAAGTTATGGTGACAGCATGGAGGAAAGGTAAAATTCCTGGGCTTTGACATTAGATGTGTGTTTTAATGCCATTTCTACCATTGATAAACCATGTGATCATCATGTAATCACACTAATGCCTTAATCAGTAAATTGGAGATGGAAATAATGGCACTATATTATACAGGGCTTGTGAGTATTAAGGCCATAAGTGCTTGGTTTTAATTATTTAAAAAATAAATAGTATGAATAATTATAAGAATAGAATTTGTGCAAGAATTTAGAGTGATTGTGTATGTAATAAGTTCACTCTAACAATGAAAATGGAATGCTAGTACTAGCACTGCAAAAGTTGCTTCTGGATAATTATTACTGCATAGATTTCTTTACTTGCTTATTTTTTGAAGTCATGTGTAAATATATAAGTATATACTAATAAACATAGCGAGTTTAATAAAATATAGGTAGTAGTGCTATCATTCCTCCTACTATGTTGCGATTTCATTTTAAAATATTATACTTATTATTCAATATTTATGTCTGGCCCAACATTTGATATGTAGTGTATTTTATCAAATTTATCCTGAAACCAAAGTAAGATCTATAAAATTTGGAAGTAGTATGATTTAAAGATATTGAGAACTTCATTCTTTTATCCAGCTCAAAACTAGTGATTCCATCATTGATATCTTAGTGGATAAAAGTCCCAGAATATCTTTGGATGAAATACTGAAAATTTCACTTTAATATCAAGTTTTGTTAGGGAGGAGGAACACAAAGCCATTTTATTTTTATTGCTGTATTGTAAACATTAACCAGGTAGCTTAAGGAAAGCAAGGCAGGAAAGGCGGCAATGGCTCTGTTGGAGTGATGGGCAAGCAGCTCAGCTCAGACCTTGGGCTATTAGGTGTGGTCTTTGCCACTGGGCGTCATTGCTTCTAAGCCTTTCAGCCAACAAAGCAAGAAAGATCATGTGTGTATACAAATGTGTTATATTTATATGTAGCTGCTATGGTCTGAATGTTTCCCTCCGCATATTCATATGTTAAATACTAATCACCACAGTGATGGTATTAGAGGGTGGGGCCTTTGGGAGCTGATTAGATTGTGAGAACAGAGCCCTCATGAATGGAATTAATGACCTTGTAAAAGAGGGCCCCGAGAGAGCTGCCTTGCCCCTTTCACCACGTGAGGACATAGTGAGATGTCTGCATCTGGGAAAAGGGCTCTCATCCATAACCTGGCCATACTAGTGCCTTAATCTTAGATTTCCCAGCCTCCCAAACTGTGAGAGAAATTTCCGTTACCTATAAGCCACCCAGTTTATTGTATTTTGTTATAGGCAACTCACATGGACTAAGGCAATGTCCGTCGGTATCTATATTAAGCTAAATATGAGTATATACTGATGTCTCAAACTAATTTATAACCATGTGGATTATCCTAGCCTCCTACCCTTGCTTATCTGTAAATTCCCACTTCAACAGTGAAAAATCTGGCTCTCATGACCTGCTATCCCTTTGGTTAACTGTTCAATTCCAGGAGCATATGTACCAGTATTAGAGCTGTTAACCTATATCTCCACAGAAAAAAGGTTGTCAGCTAGAATGGAGTGCTTATGCCCATTTCCTTCTGCCTTAAATCTTACAGACACCTTTCATTTCCAAAGATACTTAGGTCCACATCTCTTGCTCCTATTCCCTTCAGTCAGATTGTTTCATACATTTATAATATATTCTCTTATCACAGTCTGGATGCCATCTGGGCTCCCCAACCCCCTAAATGATTTGTTTTTTTTTTACTTTGCATACATTAATGTTCAATCTTTGTACTGTAAAGCTCTTTGGGTTTTGATAAATGCATAAAATCATGTATCCAACATCACAGTATTATACAGAATAGTTACACCACCCTAAAAATCTCCTGTTTCACCTCTTCAACCTTCCTCTAGAATCCTTGGCAACCTCTAATCTTTTTTATGTCTCTATTATTTTGCCTTTTCCAGAATGTCAACTATTGGGCAAACAGTATATAATATTTTCAGACATGCTTCTTTCACTTAGCAATGTGAATTTAAGTTTCCTTCATTTTGTTTTGTATTTTGATAGCTCATTTTAAAATCCCCGAATAACATTTTATTCTATGGGGGTATCACAGTTTATTTATCCACTCACCTATTGAATAACATCTTGGTTGCTGACACTCTTCAGTGATTATTAAGAAAGCTGCTATAAACTTTCATCAGCAATGAGTGAGATTTCTGGTTGCCCCATATCCTAGTCAGTATTCGGTATTATCAGTTTTTTAGATATTAGCCCTTCTAATAGTTATGTAGTGGTAATTCAGTGAGGTTTTAATTTGCAATTCCTTAGTGACTGATGATGTTGAACATTTTTTCCTATGCTTATATGCCATACGTAATGTCTTTAGTGAGATGTCTGTTGGATCCATCACTCATATTTTAATTGGGTTATTTACTATTGAATTTTAAGTGTTCTTTGTATATCTTGATACACCTTTATCAGATATAGTTTGCAAATATTTCTTCCCAGTCTGTGACTTCTTTTCATTCTCTTACCTGACTCTTTAACCGTCTATTCTGTCTTTTGCAAAGCAGACATTTTAAATTTTAGTAAAGTCCAACTTAATTTTTCTTTTGTGGATCATGGCTTTGCTGTTGTATCTAAAGACTCATTGCCAAACCAATGAGTCATATGGTTTGAGCCAAACCAAAGACTCATATGCTAGGTAGATATTCTCCTGTGTTTTCTTCTAGAAGTTTAAAAATTTTGCACTTTACAATTATGTCTATGATTTATTTTGATCTAATTTTTGTATAAGGTGTAAGGTCTTTTTTGTTTGTATCCTATTCACACATTGCTGGTGAAAAGAGCAAATTGTTACAATTACTTAGGAAAACTGGCAATACCTACTGAAGCTACATATATTCCTATCTTATGACACAGCATTCCCACTTCTGGACATAGGGCAAGTGAGCATATGTGTTTGTCCAAAGACATTATAATTTTCATAATATAACAGCCTCAAATTGGAAATAACACAAATGCTCAAAAACAGTAAACAGTAACTACAAAAGCTCTGATGAAAAAAACCCAAAGGATATCTAAATAAATGAGGAAATATTCCATGTCCTTAATTAGAAGACTTACTGTTAAAATGTCAGTTCTTCCCAAATTGATTTGTAGATTCAACACAATCCCAATCAAAACCCCAGAAAGCTATTTTTGATATGGAAAGGTAAAAAATCTAGAAGAGCCAACACGATGTTGTAGACAAAGAACAACAAATTTGGAGGACTCGTGCTATCTGATTTGAAGACTTCCTATATTGCTATAGTAATCAAGGCAGTTCCTGACATTGACAAAATAACAGACACATATATAAATGGAACAGAACAGAGCATGAAATAGGCACACACAAATACAGTCAACTCATCATTGACAGAGGAGCAAAGGCTGGTCTCGAACTCCTGACCTCAGGTGATCCGCTCACCTCAGCCTCCCCAACTGCTGGGATTACAGGCGTGAGCCACCACACCCGGCCCCCCCCAAATATCTTTAACGGTAATTTGGCCTGTTCTATACCTCTAAAACAACAATATATTCCCTCAGCATGTGGGATATATTTTTTCATTTACTGCTGGCATCTATTATTTCTGTTTATAAGACTGCTGTTAGTTTAACTCCAATTACTTTATGGGTAGTCTGTCTTTTCTCTCTGTTAGCTTGTAAAGTATTTCCTCTTGTTTTCAATGCTTTCCAGATGTATTGTGATGTGTCTATATTTTCCTTTTGCTTAGTAATTGAAATATGCTTTTAGTTTTAGAATTCTTAGTTTTCTTTAATTCTAGATAAATGTAATTCCTTCTTTGTCATTGTCTCTTTTCTTCTGAAATATCCATTTCTTCTGAAATACCAGTTAATTTTTGATTTTTAATCTACCTTTAATATGTCTTGATTGATTACTTTTATATCTTTATATCTCTTTATGTTTTGTTCTAGGTGGCTTCTTTACTATCATACATTCACTGATTTTCTCATCTGCTGTGAGCTCTCTAGAGTGTACTCCCCATTAAGTGTGTATATGTGTTTATTTCAAGGCTTACATTCACGATCTTAAACTGGTATCTTTTCTTTTTTTGTTTTTGCCTTAATTTCTTATGTCTTACTCTTGAACAAGATGTTACATATAGAATGAATTCCTTCATTTATCGTTTTGAGAACATAAACACACTTATTAAAGAATTTCATGCCTGTAATCCCAGCATTTTGGGAGGCTGAGGTGGGTGAATTACCCAGGAGTTTGAGACTGGCCTGGGCAACATGGCAAAACTCTGTCTACAAAAAGTACAAAAATTAGCTGGGCATGGTGGCATGCCCCTGTAGTCCCAGCTACTCAGGAGGCTGAGGTGGGAGGATCACTTGAGCCCGGGAGGTTGAGGCTGCAGTGGGCTGTGATCATGGCTCTGCGCTCCAGCCTGCGTGACAGAGTGAAACCCTGTCTCAAGAAAAAAAGAAAAATCAGTCTATTTCATACGATATTTTAATGTGAAACATAAAACTTTTTTATGTGAAACATATTTTATTAATATTCTGATTTTAGAAAATTTTTGCTGTATGTATTAACATTCTATTTCTTTTTACATTTTAGAATTTTGGTTTGGGGGCTCATTTTGACAGAGAAGTATTTTTATTTGTTCATATTCTCTCTTTTTCCACTCCCTGCATAGGAACTAGACCCTCAAATGAGAACCACAACTTGCAATTAGTGGCATGGCAATGTTCCTGTTGGTGATTATACTGGCTATGCTGAAGATGACTTCAAGTCAATGGGTGGTTTAGTTCAGTTCTTTGTTATAAGGCTATGTCTGCTTCCTCTTGCCCCTTCAGGCTTGCAACTTACCCAAAACAGTGGCTTTAGGTGGCAGTTAGCAGTGGTTTCTTTGACCTGATTTTATGAGAGATTAATGAAATTACTTTCACATCTCCTGAATACTTTTTGTGAATTTGGATCCTGTAACTTTGTCATGTGGAACACTTTTAGTTCTCATTGCCTCTAAGAGCTGCGTTGCCTCTCTTGGCTTGTAGTTTAGTACCACACTGCATTTTGCAGGTTAGTTCTATTTCTAGTGCAAAGAACTATTTATTATGTTTTTTAATAGTATATGTATTTTTATTTTCTCTTTATGTATTTTATATAGATAATGAAGAGTAGGTGCTGATACATATTATTCTAATCTGTTAGTTGCCATAATACCTTGAATTGAGTTTGAGCCTGATTTTGCCATTCTGCCTTTGGGTCAATTTCCAAACTTCAAATCATTTTCCTTTCCTCTAATGTTTGCTTGCTTCAATTTTTCCTTAAATAAACATTTCTAAAAATATTAACAACTTAATTAGAGTAGAGGATGTGCTGTTGAAGTATATTAAAAATAGTGTAGTTTACATAGGACATCGTTTAATTTTCTTCTATGTCATAATCTTGAGGGTGGCTAGAGAATCAAGATGAGTAGGTGGCGCTACCATTCTCAACATTTGGCTTTTACTCATGGATTCAAGATGTCACTGCAGTGGTGCATAATTTCCTAATCACCACAAAGTGGGAAGAAGACTAGAGACACGTTCTTCCAATTTTACTGAGAATTGAAATGACATGCTTTCTTATCTCTGTGGCAAACAATTCTAAGGCTAAATATATGCTATGCTATGCTATGGTTTGAATATATTCCCCGTAAAGCATGTGTTGGAAACTTAGTTCCCAGTGAAACTTTGTTGGGAGGGGCCTAATGAGAGGTGATCAGCCTGTGAAGGTAGAGTGATTACTGTGTTACTGAGTTCCTTATAAAACATGAGTTTGGCCTCTTTTGCATCTGTCACTCTCTCTCACCCTCTCTTTGTTCTTTTGCCATGGGATGAAGCATCAAAAAAGCCTTCACCAGATGCTAGCCCCTTGATCATGGACTTCCCAACCTTCAGAGTCATGAGCTAATAAATTTCTGTTCATTATAAATTATTCAATTTGTGGTATTCTGTTACAGCAGCACAAAATGAACTAAGTCAACATATATTCCTGGTTCTACACTAAACAATATTGGGACCAGAAACAAATAAATTAATACATCGCTTCAGAAAGTAATTACTTCTCAAGGTTAAGGTGGTGAACCAATTAAAATTTCTTTTTTTTTAATTATACTTTAAGTTCTAGGATACATGTGCACAACGTGCAGGTTTGTTACATATGTATACATGTGCCATGTTGGTTTGCTGCACCCACTAACTCGTTTACGTAAGGTATTTCTCCTAATGCTATCCCTCCCCCAGACTTCCACCCTACGACAGGCCCTGGTGTGTGATGTTCCCTGCCCTGTGTCCAAGTGTTCTCATTGTTCAATTCCCACCTATGAGTGAGAACATGCAGTGTTTGTTTTTTTGTCCTTGCAATAGTTTGCTCAGAATGATGGTTTCCAGCTTCATCCATGTCCTCACAAAGGACATGAACTCATCCTTTTTTATGGCTGCATAGTATTCCATGGTGTATATGTGCCACATTTTCTTAATCCAGTCTATCATTGATGGATATTTGGGTTGGTCCCAAGTCTTTGCTATTGTGAATAGTGCCGCAATAAACATATGCGTGCATGTGTCTTTATATAAGCATGATTTATAATCCTTTGGGTATATACCCAGTAATGGGATCACTGGGTCAAATTGTATTTCTAGTTCTAGATCCCTGAGGAATCACCACACCGTCTTCCACAATGGTTGAACTAGTTTACCCTCCCACCAACAGTGTAAAAACGTTCCTATTTCTCCACATTCTCTCCAGCACCTGTTGTTTCCTGACTTTTTAATGATCACCATTCTAACTGGTGTGAGATGGTATCTCATTGTGGTTTTGATTTGCATTTCTCTGATGACCAGTGACAATGAGCATTTTTTCATGTCTGTTGGCTGCATAAATGTTTTATTTTGAGAAGTGTCTGATCATAGCCTTTGCCACTTTTTGATGGGGTTGTTTGATTTTTTTCTTGTAAATTTGTTTAAGTTCTTTGTAGATTCTGGATATTAGCCCTTTGTCAGATGGGTAGATTGCAAAATTTTTCTCCCATTCTATAGGTTGCCTGTTCACTCTGATGGTAGTTTCTTTTGCTGTGCAGAAGCTCTTTAGTTTAATTAGATCCCATTTGTCAATTTTGGCTTTTGTTGCCATTGCTTTTGGTGTTTTAGTCATGAAGTCCTTGCCCATGCCTATGTCCTGAATGGTATTACCTAGGTTTTCTTCTAGAGTTTTTATGGTTTTAGGTCTAAAATTTAAGTCTTTAATCCATTGTGAATTAATTTTTGTATAAGGTGTAAGGAAGGGATCCAGTTTCAGCTTTCTACATATGGCTAGCCAGTTTTCCCAGCAGCACTTATTAAATAGGGACTCCTTTCCCCATTTCATGTTTTTGTCAGGTTTGTCAAAGATCAGATAGTTGCAGATGTGTGGTGTTATTTCTGAGGACTCTGTTCTTTTCCATTGGTCTATATCTCTGTTTTGGTACCAGTACCATGCTGTTTTAGTTACTGTAGCCTTGTAGTATAGTTTGAAGTCAGGTAGCGTGATGCCTTCAGCTTGGTTCTTTTTGCTTAGGATTATCTTGGCAATGTGGGCTCTTTTTTGGTTCCGTATGAACTTTAAAGTAGTTTTTTTCCAATTTTATGAAGAAAGTCATTGGTAGCCTGATGGGGATAGCATTGAATCTATAAATTACCTTGGGTAGTATAGCCATTTTCACAATATTGATTCTTCCTATTCATGAGGATGGAATGTTCTTCCATTTGTTTGTGTCCTCTTTTATTTCCTTGAACAGTGGTTTGTAGTTTTCCTTGAAGAGGCCCTTCACATCCCTTGCAAGTTGGATTCCTAGGAATTTTATTCTCTTTGCAGCAATTGTGAACGGGAGTTCACTCATGATTGGGCTGTTTGTCTGTTATTGGTGTATAGGAATGCTTGTGATTTTTGCACATTGATTTTGTATTCTGAGACTTTGCTGAAGTTGCTTATCAGTTTAAGGAGATTTGGGGCTGAGACGATGGGGTTTTCTAAATAAACAATCATGTCATCTGCAAACAGGGACAATTTGACTTCCTCTTTTCCTAATTGAATGCCCTTTATTTCTTTCTCTTGCCTGATTGCCCTGACCAGAACTTCCAACACTATGTTGAATAGAGTGGTGAGAGAGGGCATCCCTGTCTTGTGCCAGTTTTCAAAGAGAATGCTTCCAGTTTTTGCCCATTCAGTATGATACTGGCTGTGGATTAGTCATAAATAGCTCTTATTATTTTGAGATACATCCCATCAATACCTAATTTATTGAGAGTTTTTAGCACGAAGGGCTGTTGAATTTTGTCAAAGGCCTTTTCTGCATCTATTGAGATAATCATGTGGTTTTTGTCTTTGTTTCTGTTTATGTGATGTATTACGTTTATTGATTTGCATATGTTGAACCAGCCTTGCATCCCAGAGATGAAGCCAACTTGATCATGGTGGATAAGCTTTTTGATGTGCTGCTGGATTTGGTTTGCCAGTATTTTATTGAGGATTTTCGCTTCAATGTTCATCAGGGATATTGGTCTAAAATTCTCTTTTTCTGTTGTGTCTCTGCCAGACTTTGTATCAGGATGATGCTGGCCTCATAAAATGAGTTAGGGAGGATTCCCTCTTTTTCTATTGATTGGAATAGTTTCAGAAGGAATGGTACCAGCTCCTCTTTGTAACTCTGGTAGAATTCGGCTGTGAATCCATCTGGTCCTGGACTTTTTTTGTTGGTAGGCCATTAATTATTGCCTCAATTTCAGAGCCTGTTATTGGTCTATTCAGTGATTCAACTTCTTCCTGGTTTAGTCTTGGGAGGGTGTATGTGTCCAGGAATTTATCTATTTCTTCTAGATTTTCTAGCTTATTTGCATAGAGGTGTTTATAGTATTGTCTGATGGTAGTTTGTATTTCTGTGGGATCAGTGGTGATATCTGCTTTATCATTTTTTATTGCATCTATTTGATTCTTCTCTCTTTTCTTCTTTTTTAGTCTTGCTAGTGGTCTATCAATTTTGTTGATCTCTTCAAAAAAAAAACAGCTCCTGGATTCGTTGATTTTTTGAAGGGTTTTTTGTGTCTCTATCTCCTTCGGTTCTGCTCTGATCTTAGTTATTTCTTGCGTTCTGCTAGCTTTTGAATTTGTTTGCTCTTGCTTGCTTCTCTAGTTCTTTTAATTGTGATGTTAGGGTGTCGATTTTAGATCTTTCCTGCTTTCTCTTGTGGGCATTTAGTGCTATAAATTTCCCTCTACACGCTGTTTTAAATGTGTCCCAGAGATTCTGGTACGTGGTATCATTGTTCTCATCAGTTTCAAAGAACATCTTTATTTCTGCCTTCATTTAGTTATTTACCCAGTAGTCATTCAGGAGCAGGTTGTTCAGTTTCCATGTAGTTGTCTGGTTTTGAGTGAGTTTCTTAATCCTAATTTGATTGCACTGTGGTCTGAGAGACAGTTTGTTGTGATTTTTCTTCTTTTACATGTGCTGAGGAGTGCTTTACTCCCAACTATGTGGTCAATTTTGGAACAAGTGTGATGTGGTGCTGAGAAGAATGTATATTCTGTTGATTTGGGGTTTGAGAGTTCTGTAGATGTCTATTAGGTCTGCTTGGTGCAGAGCTGAGTTCAAGTCCTGGATATCCTTGTTAACCTTCTGTCTCATTGATCTGTCTTATATTGACAGTGGGGTGTTAAATTCTCCCATTATTATTGTGTGGAAGTCTAAGTCTCTTTGTAGGTCTCTGCGGACTTGTTTTATGAATCTGGTGCTCCTGTATTGGGTGCATATATATTTAGGATAGTTAGCTGTTCTTGTTGAATTGATCTCTTTACCATTATGTAATAGCCCTCTTTGTTTCTTTTGATCATTTTTGGTTTAAAGTCTGTTTTATTAGAGACTAGGATTGCAACCCCTGCTTTTCTTTGCTTTCCATTTGCTTGGTAGATCTTCCTCCATCCCTTTATTTTGAGCCTATGTGTGTCTCTGCACGTGAGATGGGTCTCCTGAATGCAGCACACTGATGGGTCTTGACTCTATCCAATTTGCCAGTCTGTGTCTTTTAATTGGAGCATTTAGACCATTTACATTTAAGGTTAATATTGTTATGTGTGAATTTGATCCTGTCATTATGATGTTAGCTGGTTATTTTGCCCATTAGTTGATACAGTTTCTTCCTAGCATCGAAGGTCTTTACAATTTGGCATGTTTTTGCAGTGGCTGGTACCAGTTATTCATTTCCATGTTTAGTGCTTCCTTTAGGAGCTCTTGTAAGGCAGGCCTGGTGGTGACAAAATCTGTCAGCATTTGCTTGTCTGTAAAGGATTTTATTTCTCCTTCACTTATGAAGCTTAGTTTGGCTGGATATGAAATTCTGGGTTGAAAATTCTTTTCTTTAACCATGTTGAATATTGGCCCCCAATCTTCCCTGCTTGTAGAGTTTCTGCCAAGAGATCTGCTGTTAGTCTGATGGGCTTCCCTTTGTGGGTAACCTGACCTTTCTCTCTGGCTGCCTTTAGCATTTTTTCCTTCATTCCAACCTTGGTGAATCTGACAAGTATGTGTCTTGGGAATGCTCTTCTCAAGGAGTATCTTTGTGGTGTTCTCTGTATTTCCTGAATTTGAATGTTGGCCTGTTTTGCTAGGTTGAGGAAGTTCTCCTGGGTAATATCCTGAAGAGGGTTTTCCAACTTGGTTCCATTCTCCCCATCACTTTCTGGTACAGCAATCAAATGTAGATTTGGCCTTTTCACATAGTCCCATATTTCTTGGAGGCTTTGTTCAGTTTTTTTTTACTCTTTTTCCTCTAAACTTCTCTTCTCGCTTCATTTATTAATTTGATCTCCAATCACTGATACCCTTTCTTCCACTTGATCAAATTGGCTACTGAAGCTTGTGCATGCCTCATGTAGTTCTTATGCCATGGTTTTCAGCTCCATCAGGTCATTTAAGGTCTTCTCTACACCGTTTATTCTAGTTAGCCATTCGTCTAATCTTTTTTCAAGCTTTTTAGCTTCCTTGCTGTGGGTTCAAACACCCTCCTTTAACTCGGATAAGTTTGTTATTACCGACCTTCTGAAGCCTACTTCTGTCAACTCCTGAAAGTCATTCTCCGTCCTGTTTTGTTCTGCTGCTGGCGAGGAGCATTGATCCTTTGGAAGAGAAAGGGCACTCTGTTTTTTAGAATTTTCAGTTTTCTGCTCTGGTGTATCCCCATCTTTGTGGTTTTATATACGTTTGGTCTTTGATGATGGTGACCTACAGATGGGGTTTTGGTGTGGATGTCCTTTTTGTTGATGTTGATACTATTCCTTTCTGTTTGTTAGTTTTCCTTCTAACAGTCAGGTCCCTCAGCTGCAGGTCTGTTGGAGTTTGTTGGAGGTCCATTCCTGACCCTGTTTACTTGGGTATCACCAGTGGAGGCTGCAGAACAGCAAAAATTGCAGAACAGCAAATATTGCTGCCTGATCCTTCCTCTGGAAGCTTTGTCTCAGAGGGGCACTCAGCTGTATGAAGTGTCATTCGGCCCCTACTGGGAGGTGTCTCCCAGTTAGGCTACATGAGGGTAAGGGATCCACTTGAGGAGGCAGTCTGTCCATTCTCAGAGATCAAATTCCATGCTGGGAGAACCACTGCTCTCTTCAGAGCTGTCAGACAGGGACGTTTAAGTCTGCAGAAGTTTCTGGTGCCTTTTGTTCAGCTATGCTGAATGGAGTCTCATTCTGTTGCCCAGGCTGGAGTGCCATGGCACGATCTCGGCTTACTGCAAGCTCCACCTCCTGGGTTCATGCCATTCTCCTGCCTCAGCCTCTCAAGTAGCTGGGACTATAGGTGCCTGCCACCAAGCCTGGCTAATTTTTTGTATTTTTAGTAGAGATGGGGTTTCACTGTGTTAGCCAGGATGGTCTTGATCTCCTGACCTCATGATCCGCCCAACTCGGCCTCCCAAAGTGCTGGAATTACAGGCATGAGCCACTGCGCCCAGCCTAAAATTTCTTACTTATGAAGAAAAAACCTTTTAGCCAAGGCTTGCTTTAATATTTTTACCTTCGGTGCACTCAATCCAAAATTATCATGTCATCAATATTGTCTGATTTCAACTATGCTCTGCCTTGCAAGACTCACCTTAAAATCACTCATCCCAAGCCCTAAAGGTCTAAAAATATTATTCACTGAATTCTCCTTTCCAAGAAACTACTGTCCAGATTACATTGTCTCTTGATGAAGTAAGTTTCATAAACATAGCCTTATTTGATTAACAAATATTTTAAGTGATATTTTGGGGAGTCAATGATAATAGTAATAAAGACAAAAACTGGATGGCACAGAACATTTCTGCTGAAATTCCACAGGCCAGACGTTTGTTATTTGGACATATATAGGTCAAAATTTTAGTATTAGGTTGTGTAGATTTGTGCCTGATTAAAAGTGTATCATAATAGGAGAAAAAAGGATTCTGGGTGACTAGTAGTGATCTTTCACTAAACCTCTGATTATGGGAATATTCATAGTTATCATTCTTCCCACTCACTCACCATTTCCCAAGGAAGACTCAAATAATTCCTAGTCAATTATTATCCAGCCATGTTATTTGAGTGATATGCAGAATTTTCCACCAGGTATGGACAATGGATCAAGCAATGTATAAAATAATAGACAATTACCATGAATCTTTGCCTTCCGTATTTAGTAGTGGACCAGAAATAAGATAGCTATCAACTTTCCATTTTGAAAAAGGACAAGTAGAAAAATGACATTCATAATAATAAAGGGGTCCTAAGAAGCAGAAATTATGAAGATTCCCTGTCAAGGCAATAGAGTACTTATTTTGGTTAGCATCTGTATCTACTTTCTGGGAAGAACTTCCTTATCTGTTGTCCTCCATGAGATCTGAGGGACTTTTTCTTGTCTATTGTTGTCTTTGGCCACATTTGACGTGGCCATGCATACACATACACATGCATACACATTGCATGCATACACATGCATGCACATTGGAGAGTATACATGCTTGGGGGTTGCACAATCTTATTTTGCAGGTTGGAGATTCAGGGGTTTACTTAGGAGTAGGTTAATCATAAACATTTGTACTTTAGAGTGGCAATGTCTTTTTTAATACAAGTACCTAAAATCTAGTAGGCTTTCAGTCTATATGTTTGTAGTCAGTTTCATGTGACATTAAATACAGCCAAGGATCTTGCCTCCTCATAACTTTTAAACCCACCCAAATCCTTTTTAGTTACTGGCCTGTTAAGCTGGCTCATGTCTTTTCCTCAATTTAATAGCAACTACCTTGAGGCTATCTGAAGCAATAGGGATTGAAAAACAACTCATTTAATCTAATCTGTGATCTGGGCTGAGTTCCATTGTCTGGTCAAGATCTCTTGAGTCAGACAGAAGGCCCTCTAATAAAGTTCAGGTCTCAATCTTATCCCATTATGTTTAGGGGTTAGCAACCTTGGCTCTCCAACATTGTTTAAGGCTCAAAATTACTTGACTCACATCACAGTTTATTTAGATTACAGGATGCAGGCAAAGAGTTTACCTTATCAGAACACATTACTTTCCACATCTGCTTGAGAACCCCTCATCAGAATTTCTCTATTTCTCTCCAGTGATTTGTTTAAAAGATGCAAACTGTTAGCCAGCACACACAAATATTCTGATTTTTTTCTGATGAGTTCCACTAAAGTTATGGGCTCTCCGGACATTTGATTTGCTTTTTAAATGATCACAGGTAACAGTTTCACCACATTCAGTTAATGGTCATAGTATAATAAGTATCACTGGATTTCTAATCAGTAATTTCTGTATTCTCAACATCTGCTGCTTTCCTGCTAAGCCAAATTGCATAAATCTTCTATAGGTACTCTAGCATCCTCCTTGTACAAATATTTATTTTAAATAGATGTCAAATACAATTACTTTGTTTTTAAAAAAATAAACATTTATTTCTCTCTCATGTAATAGTCCAGATACAGGCAGTTGATCCAAGATGGATAGGCATCTCTGCCACATTGAACAAATGGCTTCTAGTTATGGGTTTAAGAAAGTTTTTCTGGCTCTCACTAGCTCCCAGCCACTTGAAAGGGAAAAGGCAACATCAAAGTACACACTCAGTTTTGTTTTTTGTTTTTTTTTTTGAGACAGCATCTTCCTGTGTTGGCCAGGCTATAGTGCAGTGGCACAATCATGACTCACTGCAAGCTTCACCCTTCCAGGCTCAAATGATCCTCCCGAATCAGCCTCTTGAGTAGCTGGGACTACAGGTACATGCCACCACACCTGGCTAATTTTTATATTTTTAGTAGATATGGGGTTTCACCATGTTGCCCAGGCTGGTTGGTCTTGAACTCCTGGGCTCAAGTGATCCACCCACCTTGGCCTCCCAAAGTGCTGGGATTACAGGTGTGAGCCACCATGCCTGTCCACACTCAGTTATTTCAAGGGCAAGATTCAAACATGGTGCATAACTCTTTTGTTCTGTAGTATTGTAGCATTTTTATTTAATTTGGGCTTGAGGTCTTTCTCTTGAGATTGGTTATAAACTCCAGCCTTGCCCTGACAGCATTCCAGGGTAGGTGGTCATGGATGTTTACAGTGTGGCTTTCACAGGATACTCCTTTATCCTGGTGAACAGCCTAATACCAAGGTGTATGACCTGTTGTTACTAAAATGAACTTGGGTCTGCTGCCCAGTGCAGTAAAGCGAAACACTGACATTGGGACTGCAATGAGGCATTTATTGCAGGACATCAAGCAACAAGAATCAGTTAGTTCATGCTTAAAACCTGAGATCCCTGATGGCTTGCACGTAAGGGTTTTTATAGTCAGGGAGGCAAAGGTCATAAATTAATAAAAGTCATAAATTAATACATAGAGGCTATATATTGGTTTGACCCCAAAAGGTGGGACATCTCAAAGCAGGATTCACAGGGAATAGGTGGGCTCAAAGATTTTCTGATGGACTCGGTGGCTCACGCCTGTAATCCCAGCACTTTGGGAGGCAGAGGTGGGCAGATCAGGAGGTCAGGAGTTCGAGACCAGCCTGACCAACACGGTGAAACCCCGTCTCAATTAAAAATACAAAAATTAGCTGGGCGTGGTGGCGCATGCCTGTAATCCCAGCTACTCAGGAGGGTGAGGCAGGATAATCCCTTGAAACTGGGAGACGGAGGTTGCAGTGAGCTGAGATTGCGCCACTACACTCCAGCCTGGGCGACAGACTGAGACTCTGTCTCAAAACAAAACAAAATAAAAAAGATATTCTGATTTGCAATTGGTTAAAGAGGTGAAGGTTTGTCTAAAATTTTGTGGTCAGTAGAAAAGAATGTAAGCCTTGGCCCATGGGTGTGACTTCCTCCAGGCACCTAAGAAAGAATTTTAGAACAAAGAACAACTGTCAGAATTCAGTCCACAGTTTTTCCTTATCTGAGATCTACATACCAGAGGAGCCATCTGGTGGGGGTCTGGATTTCTGAAAAAGAACTCAGGAACATATGTTAAAATGTTATTTTTAGTTTCTTTAGGGAAACCAAATTACCTTTTTCAGGAATGCAAAATTAAAACAAGGTGAACCAAACAAATTATTTTTCTCATCACGAAAAATAGAGAATATGCAAGAGTGTGAGAATTCAGGAAAATCATTTCTGCTGATAGAACTGTAAGAACTTAAATGATGAAAGAGTCAAAGACAAGAGACCATGTATACCATGAAGAGAGGATAAAGAGAATGTTGACCAATCTTCAATTTTCATGAGTCCTGATTGAATATTCTGAGCTATGTTTTCATGAGATTCCTCTGTATTATTTAATAAACATATGATTTTTCCTTGAAGAATTCTATTTTTTTCTTATCAGTAACTATTCTCTGATTAAAGAAGTATCACTGCAACTTTGAGATCTCTTGGTCTAATTCAGAGAATAAACAAACAAACAAACAAATATTGTAGTTTACATACTTAAAATAATGCCACCAGATCAAGGAAAGGGGAATAATTTATCTCGGAAAATCAGGGAAGGCTCCAGAGTGAATGTAACTTTTTAACGTGGTCTTGAAACTAAGATTTTATCGCTTGGAATAGGAAAGGCCAGAGGGCCACAGCATAGGGAAGAATTTTTCAGGTAAGAAAAATTCAGAGTAATTCTATGTGTCCAGAGATTTATCTAGTCCATAAATCTAAGTAAACACTGAGAAGTCCTTCTTTTCAAAGTGAAGAATTTGGTATAGCATGAGTTTCAGATTTCTGTCTTAAGATGTTTAGTTACTAGAAGTATTAGAACTCTCTTTTTCACTATATAATGCCATGCCAATGTGGTGATAAAGGAAGGACTACAAGACATAAACAATTTCTACCAGTCTCTAAACCTCCTTCTTTTATGTTAAGTTGCATAGAAAGAAAGAAAAAAACATCTTTTTTTCCCCCACTAAGAAGTTTCTCTTTGAGTTTATTCTAGTTATTCTGGCCATGTTACTACTTGCAGGATTGTGTGGCAAATAATGCAAACGTTAAAAAAAATCTGTTTTATACCATGAGTGGTTTTGTTTTCCCTAATTAGGAAGGAGAAGATTCATTTAGGAAGTCAGAATGACTTCTGCTTCAAACCTACAAATCTCATCAATTGGCAGGCTGTAGCCAATTAGCTTCCAACATGACAGACCAGGTGGCCAGATCCTGGGATAGCTTTCAAAAGAAAGCACACAATGTAAATATGTGTCTTTCCATCTGGCAGACTGAGGGATTTGGAAGAGGTGCCAAACTGGTTATTGGCTTCTGATTAGCCAGAAGATGATGGCTGCTTAATGCACTGTATTAACTACAGTTGCGTTGGGTGAAGCTGTGATTGTCTTCAAAGGTTCAATTTGGAACATTAACATGATAATTAAATTTCAGTTTCTGATAACTACTGTAAAAATAGGTAGGTTTGTTGCTAAAATACCAAAGAAAATGTAAACATGTTTCAACTTCAAAGTTTTCTTTCAAAAAAAGATATTCCTTCTTAAGCTGGAAAGATGCTGGAAGACCTTCCTTCTGAGTTTCACACTGATACATGCAATTGCTTACTTGACATCTCCACTTGTCTCTCTCACTTAACACTTTCAAAACTGAACTTTTGATCTTCCCACAGCCAATCCAGTGTTTTATCTTCTCAGTAAATGATCCCACTGCTTGCCTAGGTACATCAGCCAAAGTCTGCAAATAATCCTGGACACCGACCTCTCTCCTATCCACATCCATTCCATCGCCAAAGTCTGTCTATTCTACCTACAAAGCATATTTCACACCTCTCCACTTTTCTCCAGGTTCATCACTAACATTTTATTTTAAGGTTTCCTGTTTTCAGAATGACTGGAATAGCTTCCTAATTCTCTCCACTTTCATTCTTGCCATTCTCAATCTGATTTATACACAGCTGTCAGAGAATATGACATTTTTGGATCAGTTTTCTCTCTTATTCTAAGTTTTTTATTGGCATCTCTTTGCACTAAGATAGACGACAAAATTTTTTGCCATTTGTGTTCTGTCCCTTACTTGCTTCTCTAGACCCTTCTCTTTACATTGTCTCTCTTCCACTCAAGAGTAAACTTAGGGATGGAGGGAGGTGATGGAAACTTAAAAAACATTTTCCGGGTGAATTGTTTACAATCAGAAATCCTTTGGCATTCACCAACCCTTTCTATCCTCAGCACCTCCCATTATGGATGTTTCTGGACTTCCAGATCACTTTGCCATGTTAATTGAGAACTTGTGCCCAGCTAAAATACTTATTTTTCTGTTTTTATTCTTGAGAAATACTTGCAGATTTTTCATACACTATTTGTTTTCATATTTCTTGACTTCATGAACTCTAATAAGTAGCATGTATCTTCCAATTTACTAACTTGTACCCATGGCTATTTAATAAAATTTCCTATTCAGAAATTGTAAATGAATTATTAAATTTAAATATTCTCATATTTCTTCCTGATATATGATGCCTTCCTGCCCTTTATTCTTGTTTTATATATGTCATTTATTTCTCCACTTATGATGCTGACATTTCTCCTGGTGTTAAGCCCTGTTTTATCATTTTCCCTGCTTACCAACACTAAATTTTTTTTAAAAGCTTAAAAAAAATTCACAAAGACCTTCAGTATTCTGGTAAAAAAAACCAAATATTTGGACACCTATTTCTTTTCTGTTAAGCTTATAACCTTGGCAAGTTACTTGATCCTTGCTTATTCCACAGTCTCACTTTTTTTCTCTGAACTGCTTATAGCAACCAGGAAAAAATTGCTAGCAAAAATGCTTGGTCTAAAACCTGAGCTAAACCATTCAACATGTAACTAAATCTTGTTCAGTCAGTCTTTTCAGGGGACATTCTACATATTCAGTATTTTTTTAAAATTTTCTACTTCTCTTTATCTTCTATTCTCATAATATTGCTTTTTCCTTATTCTTTTCACTTCTGGAATCTTGCATAAAATTTGGCATAGGGCATAAAAAATGATGAGTTCATATCCTTTGTAGGGACATGGATGAAATTGGAAATCATCATTCTCAGTAAACTATCGCAAGAACAAAAAACCAAACACCGTATATTCTCACTCATAGGTGGGAATTGAACAATGAGATCACCTGGACACATGAAGGGGAATACCACACACTAACCTGCACAATGTGCACATGTACCCTAAAACTTAAAGTATAAAAAAAAAAAATTTGGCATAGGGAACCGTGTAAGTTTATTTAATTCAGTAATTCTCAACCCTGGCTGTGAAATTAGAATCATATGGGAGCTTTTAAAAAATCATGATGTCAGAATTATATCTCAGACCAAATAATTCAGACTTTGAAGATGGATCCTAATATAGATATTTTGAAGAGGCTTCTAATGGGCATCATGAATTAAGCACCATTGGTTACTACATGCTTTGTTAAAATTAGGGGCTTCTGATCACATAAAATATCAGAATAAGTCAATGACATTAGTGGCAATATTGTGTCTTAATATCTATATTATTCAACCCATAAGGTCTTGTGAACCACCCAACCCTGGGTGAATTAGTATCTTCTCCATAGAAAAATGGTGTTGCATACACACTTAAAGTGGTGATCATCAAAGTAATATCTACACACTTGCTGAGAAACGCCTTTTCTATTTCTTCCCTGAGGCTTCAGGAAGCTACACTTACATCTTCATTGAATAAACTTGTTAAGGGCGGGCAGATTGGCAGGCAGCTTCTCTTAAATGCTGGTATTTGAACTTGGTCTAAGAAAGCACCTCTTGTAATTTACTTTAAACTTGGCTGAATGAAGGTGATTTTGTACTTGGGCTAGGGATGAAGGGAGCTTCTCTTTCCCTTGGGGAACCCATGAAGGATGAGAACATTTACTGTGTGTGCTTCTCCCCACCTTTCCTTGAAAATAAATAAAACCACATTGTGCTGTTGCTCCACTCTGTTCAGGCATGTTGAGCCACGTTAGCTGTATTTGCTCTCCTTCATTCTGTTGCACGATGCTTGGAATAAAGAGTGTTACAAGAAGCTTGATTTGTTTCTGCTTCTCCAACAATGTCATGTAGCTAATAACCAATTTTACTTTAACATTCCTAGATTCAAAAGCAGCACCTCTATTTCATATTACCACATAATCAGCAGAAAATTCAATCTTTGTTTACTGAGACTTCAGATAAGAGAATCCAGGGATTTTGTCTACTAAGTTATATGCAGTTTTAAAAATACCCATTGCTTAATAAATCCCTGTACCAAATATTACAAAGACATTCAGAAAAAATATAAAAAGAAAGTCAGTATTTTAACCATCATTCTGGGATAAAATATAAAGGAATTGGCCTAAGGAAAAATATATCCATCTTGCATACCTCAGAAAACTTAACTTTTATTTTGGCTTCTTATACAGTTCCTAGTAGTTAAAACATGATTTTATACAATTTTTTTTATAAAGTAAGAGATGATAGCTTTTTGGCTTTTTGTTTGCTTGTTTAACATGTCAGGTTACATACTAAACTAAATGTTTTAAACAATTTGAAAATGCCTCAGAACAGTAATTGAAAGTAAAATCATAAACAAAATATAGTTCTATTTTGAGAAAATGCACCTTCACATATACCTTTCTTTAAACAGTTAATTAAATACTCAAGTGTTTCATGGTCATTTAATATTTAAGATAAATGAATTCAGACTGTAAACATTTTGTATGTTGCTTTATTGGCTAAATTATATGTGCAAGGCACCTTGCACATACTAGAGGATAAAAATATATTTTGGATTGATTATTACCATTAACATAACCTATATTTTTAGCTTGTAATGTTCTCAACGGTAATTTTATTTTGGTAATTCCCTTATATTTTAATTTTTATCTACGGTAAAATTAAATAGAAAAGTGATGCTTAAATGAAATCTATAGATTTGTCACTAGCAATTAATTTCAAACTTTGTACTTTTCTTTCTTGCCTGGCAGATTATTTTTGTATATAAATTTTAAAAGTGGTATCTATATATAGGTAAAAGGAGAAACCACAAGTAATGAGGGAGTGAAACAGAGAAAAAAGAAAAAAAATTTCAGACTAGGCATAAAGCAGTAACCTCTAACTAATCAAAGATATTTTACCTTGTAGCATTTCTATTTATTCCCCTAATTACATAACTCTTCATTAGAAGGGAATTTCACCTTACAATTTTCCATCTATGATAATTATATACTGCGGTAGCACTAGTAATAGCACCATGAACCAAGTATTTCAGAAACTCTGAAAGAAACGCAGAAGGGCTCGGCCACTATCTTGTGTTGCTGCGTGTTGTCTTCCCTGTTGGTGAGTAGAGTTTCTGTGTCACAAATGTGAAGGAAGGTGTGGGTATGCCCTGGTTCCGACCTGAGGCTAATTTTTTTATATTAATTTATGATTCACAGACTTTGACGGGGTTTTGTTTGTTGTTCATTTGTTCTAAGATGTTATTTCACTTTTACAAAATAACTGAAATCTAATTTTGTCCCCCTCTGAAGGAATAAGAAGAGGGCAAATTTAATTCATCAGTCCAAAGTCTAAAGATACTTGCTTTGGTATAATTGAAATGTAAACTTACTCCAGATTTCTGAAATGCGGATTTTTTTTTTCTTGGATTGTATATAGAATCTCTTCTCCTATTGGAATTTAAATTATTCTTTGCTGCCATAATGAAGGAAATCCAATCAAAACCACGTGCCAATTTTATTTTATTTTATTTTATTTTTTTCAGATGGAGTCTAGCTCTGTCTCCCAGTCTAGAGTGTAGTGGCGCGATCTCGGCTCACTGCAAGCTCTGCCTCCCGGGTTCACGCCATTCTCCTGCCTCAACCTCCCGAGTAGCTGGGACTACAGGCGCCCGCCACGACGCCCGGCTAATTTTTTTGTATTTTTAGTAGAAACGGGGTTTCACCTTGTTCGCCAGGATGGTCTTGATCTCCTGACCTCGTGATCCGTCTGACTCGGCCTCCCAAAGTGCTGGGATTACAGGCGTGAGCCACTGCGCAGGCCGTGCTGATTTTAACATAAATTTCATGTCATAGAAATGAGTCATAAAGTAGAAAGAGGAACCTTAGATTTGAAAATGAGCCGAAACAAATTAAGGTTTTCAAAATTCATGCTAATTAGATGTTAGTGTTTAGTGAAGAATGACTCCTGCTTATTGATATAATTAAGCCAAAAGATTTGGTATATTTTAATCTAAAAATTTTAAATAAAAAATCATTTTTATATGTATATTTATATCTATAAATGTATATTAATATTTTATATGATATAAATATTAATAAGATTAATGTTTTACATAACACATTTATACTTTTTATATTATAAATAGCATGTTACATATATTACATATAACTATATGTTTCATATTTCTTTTTTTCGTGAAAATGAACTAAAAACAAGTAGAAAATACATTATAAGGCAATATTAGTATAATAGTAGTATGAATACTACTAAACACAAGGACATTGAAGCAACCTCCAATCCTGAACTTTAGAATATAAGTTTAAAATAAAAATCAAGAAAGAGACACATAATGAATATCTGCAGCTTTTTTTTTTTTTAAGGTAGAAGAGAAAGTCAAATGTGACAAAAGATTCTCTGCTATTTACTCTTCCCTTTCTCATTCATAGCTATCTCAGTATCCAGTGTATGAATCTTATCTGGGATACAGAGAAAATGGGAGAAGTTGATTCAGACCCTTTGAAAGGATAAAAATGGTTAATGGCAAATTTGGGAAATCTGTAGTAAAATTTTTACATATAAGCTCATTTCACTTTTATTGTGGTAACTTATATTAATGGATCTTCTTTATTCTACAAAATCCATTGGGTGGGCATTCTGATTTATGTCTCTGAGGAGGGCTGATACAAACAGCGAAGTATTTTTTTTATTTGTTAATATCTGAAATTGTAGGATATAGAATAGATTTAGTAAATTACACATTTAGTCAATTACCCCATGCTAGTTTTTCCTTCTTTCCTTATAAAATAAACCAAAAGGACATGAACTCATTATTTTTTATGGCTGCATAGTATTCCATGGTGTATATGTGCCACATTTTCTTAATCCACTCTATCAATGTTGGACATTTGGGTTGGTTCCAAGTCTTTGCTATTGTGAATAATGCCGCAGTAAACATACGTGTGCATGTGTCTTTATAGCAGCATGATTTATAGTCCTTTGGGTATATACCCAGTAATTGGATGGCTGGGTCAAATGGTATTTCTAGTTCTAGATCCCTGAGGAATCACCACACTGACTTCCACAATGGTTGAACTAGTTTACAGTCCCACCAACAGTGTAAAAGTGTTCCTACTTCTCCACATCCTCTCCAGCACCTGTTGTTTCCTGACTTTTTAATGATTGCCATTCTAACTGGTGTGAGATGGTATCTCATTGTGGTTTTGATTTGCATTTCTCTGATGGCCAGTGATGATGAGCATTTTTTCATGTGTTTTTTGGCTGCATAAATGTCTTCTTTTGAGAAGTGTCTGTTCATGTCCTTCACCCACTTTTTGATGGGGTTGTTTGTTTTTATCTTGTAAATTTGTTGGAGTTCATTGTAGATTCTGGATATTAGCCCTTTGTCGGATGAGTAGGTTGCGAAAATTTTCTCCCATTTTGTAGGTTGCCTGTTCACTATGATGGTAGTTTGTTTTGCTGTGCAGAAGATCTTTAGTTTAATTAGATCCCATTTGTCAATTTTGGCTTTTGTTGCCATTGCTTTTGGTGTTTTAGACATGAAGTCCTTGCCCATGCCTATGTCCTGAATGGTAATGCCTAGGTTTTCTTCTAGGGTTTTTATGGTTTTAGGTCTAACATTTAAGTCTTTAATCCATCTTGAATTGATTTTTGTATAAGGTGTAAGGAAGGGATCCAGTTTCAGCTTTCTACATATGGCTAGCCAGTTTTCCCAGCAGCATTTATTAAATAGGGAATCCTTTCCCCATTGCTTGTTTTTCTCAGGTTTGTCAAAGATCAGATAGTTGTAGATATGTGGCGTTATTTCTGAGGGCTCTGTTCTGTTCCATTGATCTATATCTCTGTTTTGGTACCAGTACCATGCTGTTTTGGTTACTGTAGCCTTGTAGTATAGTTTGAAGTCAGGTAGTGTGATGCCTCCAGCTTTGTTCTTTTGGCTTAGGATTGACATGGCGATGCGGGCTCTTTTTTGGTTCCATATGAACTTTAAAGTAGTTTTTTCCAATTCTGTGAAGAAAGTCATTGGTAGCTTGATGGAGATGGCATTGAATCTGTAAATTACCTTGGGCAGTATGGCCATTTTCATGATATTGATTCTTCCTACCCATGAGCATATAATGTTCTTCCATTTGTTTGTATCCTCTTTTATTTCATTGAGCAGTGGTTTGTAGTTCTCCTTGAAGAGGTCCTGCACATCCCTTGTAAGTTGGATTCCTAGGTATTTTATTCTCTTTGAAGCAATTGTGAATGGGAGTTCACTCATGATTTGGCTTTCTGTTTGTCTGTTGTTGGTGTATAAGAATGCTTGTGATTTTTGTACATTGATTTTGTATCCTAAGACTTTGCTGAAGTTGCTTATCAGCTCAAGGAGATTTTGGGCTGAGACAATGGGGTTTTCTAGATATACAATCATGTCGTCTGCAAACAGGGACAATTTGACTTCCTCTTTTCCTAATTGAATACCCTTTATTTCCTTCTCCTGCCTCAGTAAACTATCGCAAGAACAAAAAACCAAACACTGCATATTCTCACTCATAGGTGGGAATTGAACAATGAGAACACATGGACACAGGAAGGGGAACATCACACTCTGGGGACTGTTGTGGGGTGGGGGAAGGGGGAGGGAAGGCACTGGGAGATACACCTAATGCTAGATGATGAGTTAGTGGGTGCAGCGCACCAGCATGGCACATGTATACATATGTAACTAACCTGCACATTGTGCACATGTACCCTAAAACTTAAAGTATAATAATAATAAATAAATAAAAATAAAATAAAATAAACCAAAAGAGAAAATACAAATGTGTCCCTGCGTAATAAGATGACCGACCATAGGTCCTCATTTGTCCCTTACGACCTGGCTTTTAATTGTTGTGCTGGTACATTATTTAGAGTGCTTCTTTTCACTCTCTGAACGACCTAGTTTCAATAGTAAATAAGACTGAATCTTAGAAGTACAGAAGGTAGACTCTCCAGACTGATTTAGGTGCCCAGGAACAGGGATACCCATTGTGGTCCATGTCATTTGGAAGACTGCAATTCTCCTAGGTTTCCCCTGTACCTAATCTTGTTCTGTGATATAAGTATGTAGTGTAGCCACAGTTTGGGGTTTGTCAGGTAGTTGGTCCTCAGAGAGGGTTCCTGTTCTTCAGCATGGTATGAACATATTTCCCTACATGTCTGAAAGTAGTATGAATACGGCACTGAGCACTCAAGGAACGGAAGAGATACCGTATCGCCCGGTATGGAGAATGCAACAACAGACTGAGTACAACAAGGACTGAGGGCTAGCAGAAAGTGTGCATCTTAGCTAAGGCTGATTTTAACACAGATAAATACAGTGTGGGTCAGGTCCTGCCATACAGAGCCTGGTGCTTGTCTCTCCAAAATGGCTCCAGAATTTACAGAGATTGGGAGAGACTCTACATTGAAAGGAATTACCTTTCTGACATCTCAGAGGATTAAATGATACTTACTTGTACAATAAGGCTCATAAACAAAAAATAAAATCCCAAGCCCCTCAACTGACTGAACTCCCTCTTGGCCAAGGGGACCCTGAGAAACCTTGAACACTGGATTCTTGGCCATGACAGGATGGGAGGTCAGAAATGCCTCATTATACTCCCTCCCTTTTTCAGTTTAGACACAACAACTGATCAGTATTAACGTTGAAACAGAGATCATAGGATGGACAGAACAGACACTGTGGCAGTAAGACGCCAAATTATAAATAAGACCTAAGGCTATGCCAGGCAATGATTAAGTTATATACTCCTACACTTAAAGAATAAACTATGTTGTAACTTCCACAAGGTATTTTTTTACTCTAGCAACTAAACAAGCACTGGCCTCAAGATAAGCAATAGTAAAGCAATTGTAGCTCACTGCCAGATGCTGGCTGAGCCCCTGTTTCACAAGCCATCACTACAGCTTTGATTGGACAAGAGACTGATTTTAGTAACTTTCTCCTGATTCAAAAACCACCAACTGTGGACTGGTTCTGGCCAGTTTACAGAGGCTGTACACTTGAATGCCTTCATGTTCTGAAAAGATCTTTGACATACAAGGCCAATTGTAAGACATTTAAATGTTAAATCTCCACCCTGAAGTGAACATGGGTCATATGTAACATGCATATTTGTTCAATACACATGCATCAGGACCCCCTTTGTAAATATTCATGGCTCCTACTGCAACCTGTTGAATATCTACAAGTTTAGCCAACCTGCTCCTGCTCAGCTTAAATTTCTGTCTTACCCCTCCCTCCTTCCAAGTCCATGCTTCTGAGCTTCCACCAGAGGCTGCACTTCCCAGCCAGTCACAATGGGCACCCTGTAGGCTGTAACCCTTTATAAGAAATAAAGTCTCCTTTCCAAAATTATAAATTGTATAATTTTTCAGTTAACAAACTAAATGTGGACTTAAATAAATTTACTTGAGTAATGAAAAAACAAAGAAATCTACATTTTTGACATCGTTATATGCAGACTAAAATGTATTCATGACAGAGGTTTATTTGTTCCTTTATTTTTTATTTTTTGCCCTCTAAAGAGATTTTTGAGAGTTTGAGGGGTTGTTTTTAAGGACCTCTCCCTAAATAATTAACTATTAAACTAGATTATTGCTTCAATGATTAGAAAGGGTACTGATAAACAAAAAAAGAAAACCCTGAAGTTTTAGTTACTACCATATTCCCATAAATTTTAATGACAAATTACAGGAATAGAGCATCAAATGACTCCATAGAATGGCTCCATAATCACCCTATAAGGAGTGCAGTGTAACACAGAGGACTAGATAAAGCTTCTTGATTTTTTTCCCCCAAATCTTCTCCATTTATTTTAAAGCCAACTCTGAGTTATCCAGAATGCTGAACACAACTAGACCCTAAAGAACCTTTTTTAACCGATAGAAAGTCAGAGTGGCCATGCTTGGTCATATATTAAATCATATATTTGATGATTCTCTGTTTGCCCTATCCCAGATCAATTCACTGCTCTGTGTCCTGGGGGATTGATCCCTAAGCACTGTCTACCTCTGGAGTCTTTGGGCTTTAAGTGATTTTGGTCTATGTGTGGCATTGGCAGAGACAATGATGTCAGAGGAGTGGGAAGTTCACTGCATTTATTTGCCCACTCTTTCCCTCCCTTGCCATGATTCTGGCAGTGGCTGTGCATAGCTACAGATCTTGTTGGAAAGCCCTCTTCCACCACTCAGCTTCTATAAAACCCCAGTTTCACCATTCCATTTCCTTGCCTGGCAGATCTAGATATGGTTCTCTCTCTGTTACTCATCTCTAGGTAACCATTCTTTGCAGGTTCCATCAATGCTGCCCACACTTTGGTAAATCATTCCTTGATTAAATTATTTTGCCAAAGCCTTGGAGTACGCCATCTCTTTCCTGCCAGGACCCTGTCCGGTCCAGGAATCTATTTTGCATTTGATGCCAATCTTCCTTGTTTCCAGAGACATTATTGCTGTTACAGTGCTAAAAATGATCCAGGAAGTTCATCTCAATTTAATCATCTCCCTACTATTAGACTGATACACTAGAGCCAGTTGTGTGACCACAACTCTTCTTCCCTTTTATTCATTTTCCTTCTACAACTGCCCATCCTATCCCTTATACTTACATCTTTTATCTGACATTCTGTGGCATTCATTCATTTTCCACTCCCCATTATAACTTCCCATGATATATTTTTTAAAATTAACAATTCAGTAAGATAAGGATGTTAAGAGAAAAAGGAATCAGATTACTTTGATATTTTTAGCTTTGGTAACTAAAAATCTGTATCAAACCAACCTATGCAGCAGGATACCTATTAGCTCATCCAGCTTGACAACTAGGGCAGGGCAGGTTTCAGGGTTGGGTGATTCATTTATTTGCTCAACAATGTCAGCCAGTACCCAGGCTCTATCTCCTCCTCTTCTCTGCCATCCAGACATTTATAGGTAGCAATATTGGTCTACCTCATAGTTGTAAGATTGTGTCAAAGAGCAATTCTACGTGAGGTTGCAAGTCTCCTCCTGTGGTTCAATCTTAAGAAAAAAAAATCATGTCTCTCCTTTTTTTTCTTTTTAATTCACTTTGGTCTAGACTTTCCATTCTTATTGTTGAGCTAATTTTAAGTTAAACAAAAAACGGCCGGGCGCGGAGGCTCATGCCTGTAATCCCAGCACTTTGGGAGGCCGAGGCGGGCGGATCACAAGGTCAGGAGATCAAGACCATCCTGGCTAACACAGTGAAACCCCGTCCCTACTAAAAAAATACAAAAAATTAGCCGGGCGTCGTGGCGGGCGCCTGTAGTCCCAGCTACTCGGGAGGCTGAGGCAGGAGAATGGCGTGAACCCGGGTGGCGGAGCTTGCAGTGAGCCGAGATCGCGCCACTGCGCTCCAGCCTGGGCGACAGAGGAAGACTCCGTCTCAAAAACAAAACAAAACAAAAACAAAAAAACTACTGTGCCTAACAGAAGAATCAGGTAGTGTGTGATGGATGTGGGGAGTTAATACTGATGGTCACCTTAGTGCAACTATTTGTGATTTGCTTCAGACAAACACTTAAGGATGTTGCTGATGGCATATTTCTACTTCATGATAAAGTTGAGAAACTAGCTGAATAATCTCAAAGTAATTTATATATTTCTCTTCTCTTCAGGTGATTCATAGAGAAATATGCTCTTATATTAATTTATCCTTCCAATATATTTGTTTATAGCTCTCCAAATTAATGGAGTGAGGTCTAGAGAGTTTCATGTTATTTAATGGATGGGGGCTGATGTGGTTTGGGTATTTGTACCCTCCAGATCTCATATTGAAATGTGATCCCCACTGTTGGAGGTGGAACCTAGTGGAAGGCATTTGGGTCATGGGGCAGATCTCTCATGAATGGCTTGGTGCCATCATCTTGGTGATAAGCGAGTTCTCACTCTGTTAGTTCACGTGAGAGCTGGTTGTTTAAAGCCTGGGACCTCCTCCTGTTTCCCCGCTCCCTCTCTTGCCATGTGACATGCTTGCTCTCCCTTTGCCTTCTACCATGAGTAAAAGCTTCCAGAGGCCTCACCAGAAGAGGCTGTACATGCTTGTACAGCCTGCAGAACCAGGAGCCAATTATATCTCTTTTCTTTATAAATTACCCAGTCTCAGGTATTCCTTTATAGCAATGCAAAATGGACTAATACAGGGGCTAAATCATAATTCTGTTCTTGGTAACACATGTAATTAAAAAAAAAACCATTGAGACTCCATCTCAAAAATAAAAATAAACTATCAGTAGTATCTAACATTTGAGAAAAAGAGCATGATTTTGAAGATCTGTGTTTGAATTTCTCATGTGACATTCCCTTCTATAATTGGTTATGGAGACTTTGAAGGTTTATCTTACATTTTTTGATCTTAGGTTCATTACATACAAAATAAAGAAGTAGATTAGAGGTCTGTTTCAAATC
Source organism: Homo sapiens (assembly GCF_000001405.40). Lineage (NCBI taxonomy): Eukaryota > Metazoa > Chordata > Mammalia > Primates > Hominidae > Homo > Homo sapiens. The sequence continues at coordinate 124,292,446 of NC_000004.12, forward strand.
TCTGAAATTGTTACTTATCTTGCAAAATTTTCTTTGTGTTCTTTTCTTTTTAAACTATTTAATCACAAGAAATATAGTATTTAAATAAAATGGACTAGGTCATTATTTGCTTTTACACAGCTAATAAGAATATCTAAACAAAATTTAAAGCTTAGTGTATAATTACAAATTTTCCATATTACCTATAAATAACCTAAAAATTGGAGACTTGCTACTAAAAACATTAACCATTCCATTTCTAACTAAATGCATTCTAACTAAATGTCAAGGGTATTTGAAATATATAAAAGTGTCAATTGTATTTCTATAATTAAGAATATAATGAAGGAAGTCAAATAATTATCATTATTTATGTAATTAAGTTACAAGTTGGATAGTTATCTTGAAAATTTCCAGGAGGCATCAACACCTAAATGAGCTATTTAAATTTAATACCCAACTCTTTTAAAAATAAATCCCCAGTCATCACTTTAAAGCTGCTTAGATCTGTTCTACTTTTCATCTCGAGTTCACTGGAAATCAAAGAAAGGGGAGTCTGAAGCCTCAGCCTGAGAATTTCTGGTGGATTTTAAACTTCTGTTTCTACTTTCATTGTTAATGTATGCTGCTGAGACAAATCTCACTAAGAGGATCTTCAGATTTAGATTCACAAGCATAATATAATCAGCTCCCTTCTCTTTATGCGACCTATCAATCTCTGTAGCACTGTTTTATACTGATGTCTTTCCTTGTAATATCTTCTTCATAACCTCTTACTAGAGAAACTGAATTTATTCATTTTGTAACTCACTTATAATCAATGTCATTGAAAGAATAGTGTATATGTATATTTCTTGTTTCTGTCTCTTCATATCTTATTCACAAAACCTGCCACAGTTTTATTTCTGGTTCTTCCACTCGATTGAAATTCATCCCATACAAGTAACCATAGACTGTCAAATATAGTGATTAGTTTTCATATGACTTATAAATAACTTAAAAATGGAAACTTGCTACTCAAAACATGAACCATTTCATTTCTAACTAAATGCATTCTAGCTAAATGTCAATGGGATTTGAAATACTTAAAATTATTAATACATTTCTATAATTATTCTTTATTGTAGAAATAGAATTAACACTGTGTTTAACATTTTTTACATTACTGATCATTTCTTCCTTCCTTGACTTCCTTACACCATCTATTCATGTTTTTCTCTAGTTTTTCTGAAAAATCCCTTTTAGTAATCACCAACTAGTCTCCCTAGGAAGAATCAGTAAATGTTGCATTAGGTACCTAAAGCCTCTATATTCAAAATTCAACTTATTTTCCTTTCCTCCACTCTATCCCAGTATATGGCTTTTCTACTCATTGGTTCTATGTCCAGTCTTAAAGTCATGATACAGGAAGCCAAACCTGATTCTTTACCACAGCAAATACTTCAACATGCTTTTTTATTTCTAGTATTTCTTAACTGCCCAATTCAAAAACTTGTTACTTATTACTGAACTATTGAAATTGTAATTTAATAAAGACAGATATTAATATCAAAAAGTGGGAGTCCTGCTATAACAAATTGCTAAAAATATGGAAGCAGCTGTGGTAATGGGTAATGGGTAGAGGCTGTAAGAGTTTTCAGGTGTATGCTAGACAAATCCGATATAGCCATGAACAAAATTTTAAAGGTGAATCTTGTCAGAAAGAAAAGGGTAGAACTATAGAGAAAGCTTATCTTCTTAGAGAACACCTAAGTAACATGAATAGAATGTTGGCTAAAATATGGATGGTAAGGCCATTCTGCTGAGACTTCAGATGGAAATGAGGAGCATGTCATGGGACAATAGAGAAAAGGAGATCCTTGTTATTAATAAGCAGCAAAAAAAATTAACTGACTTGTGTTTGTGTTCTACTGTTTTGTGGAAGGTAGAACTTGCAACCAAATTGGATATTTAACCGAGGAAATGTCTAAGCAAAGCATTGAAGGAGCAATTTGGTTACTCTTGCCTGATTATAGTTAAGTGTGAGAAGAAAGAAATGCTTTTAAGACAGAAATGTTGAGAAGGAAGTAGAATTTAAAGATTTGGAAAATTCTCAGCCTATCCACTTTGAAAACACTGAGAAAGTGTGTTGAGAAGAGACGATTAGGAGTATGGCCAAGTGACCATTTCAACCACAAACCTAAATAGCCCTCTCAACAGGAGCCAAGCATTGTTCTTGAAAATAAAGAAGGATGATACCACTTACCCCACAAGGTGATTCAGAGATAATCAGGGCTGCCTCCTTCACCACAGGCTCAGAGTGCAAGGGCCAGAGGCACAGAGCAATTTCAAAGGCTTGGGCATCCTCTCTGATTCAGGTGGGCCAGAATGCTCACACTCAATGCCTTAGGTATGGGCTTCCATGCCACAGCTGTTGCATGGGCTGTGCCCAATAGAGCCAGGGGGCAAGGTCACCACCCAGAGTCATGGTGCTATGACCCAAGACCAGCAGAGTCACCAGCATGTGATTCTAGCCCAGAAGAGCCATGAACACATGAGTCTTGCTCAGCAGAGCTGTGGAAATGGGGCCACTGCTCTAGGGGGTCTGGAGGGCAGAGAAGTTAGCCAGAGGATTATTTTGAACCTTAAGGTTTAATTCTTGAGCCCTGATGGGTTTTGAACTTACTTGATACCCTTCACCTCTTCCTTCTTTCCTATTTCTGTATTTGGAGTGGGAATGTTTATCTTATGCTTGTCTGACCAATGCATTTTGGAAGCACGTAACTGTTTTGTTTCACATGTTCATAGTTAAAGAGAAATTTAATGATAAATCATAACTTGTGCCTCCCTCATATTTGATGTAGATGATATCTAGATAAGACTTTGGACCTTAGTTTTTGGAGTTGATACTGGAATGAGTTAATGCTTTGGGGGCTGTTGGGTTGAAATGAATGCATTTTGCATGTGAGAAAGACACAAATTTGTGGGGGAGCAGAGGAGTAATGAAATGGACTGAATGTTTGTGTCCCTCAAAATTTATGTGTTGAAATCCTAACCCCCAATAGGATGGAACTAAGAGGTGGTGGTCTTTGGAAGGTAATTAGGTCATGAGAGTGGAGCCTTTGTGAATGGGATTAGTGCCTTATAAGAGGTGCTCTAGAGAGCTCTCTTGCTCTTGTGCCATGTGAGGACATGAAAAGAAGATAGTAGTCTGCAAACCATAAGAGGACCGAAACCCAACCATGCTGGCACCCTGGTTGTGGGACTTCCAGCCTATAGAATTGTGAGACAAAAGTTTTGCTTTGTTTTTTGTTTATAAGCCACCAGTCTATGGTATTTTGTTATAACACCCCAAACTGACTAAGACATCATTATACTTGGGTGGTTTTTAAATTTGTCTTCACTCCCATTCCCTATAATCTGTTTTGAAATTATAGCCATTTTAAGATTGGGTTGTTTGTATTCTTCCTATTGTGTGGCAAGAATTCTTTACATATTTCTTTATTAGATATGCATGCTGTGAACATGATCGTCCCACTTATGGCTTGCCTTTTCATTTTCTTAATGGTGTCTTTGAAAGAGCAAAAGTTTGTGTTTCTGTTATTTGAATTTTGAAGTCCAATTTTTCATTTTTGGATGGTGTATCCTTTTTTTAGTTCTATCTAAGAGACTTTACACCAAAGTCCCAAAGAGTTCCTCTCATATTTTCTTCTCAAAGTTTTACAGTTTCACTTGTTCTATTTAGATCTATGATCCATTTTGAGTTGATTTTGGTACGCAATATGAAGTAAAAGTTTAGGTCTATTTATAGACTTTCTGTTCTATTCCATCAATCCATATGTCTATAATTTCAACAAACCCAACTGTCTTAATTAGTATAGCTTTATAGTAAGTCTTGAAGTAAGGTAGAGAAACTCCTTCAACTTTGTTCTTTGAAAATATTGCTTTTGCTTTCCAGTTTCTTTGCATTTCTACATAAATTTTATAATTTACTAGCAATGTTGACCAAAATATAAAGACTTCTAGGATTTTTATTGGGATTACATTAAATCTATAGATTAACTTTCAGAGAATTGTCTTTGTAACTGTTATTTCATGTTCAAATCTACAAACATGGCATATCTCTCCATTTATTTAGACTTCTTTATTTTCTTTCACAAATTTTTATAGTTTTTAGAAAAGAGATTCTACAAATAAAATTTAAACATAATATGCAGCACAAAATCCAAGATAACCAGGCACATGAAGGGACAGGAATCAAACAAAGCAAAAGCCAGAAGAATCAGCAGCACTAGAGAATTTTGTAAGAGCACTATTTGGGAAGACAGGCATTATATTTTCCAATAAAAACTTCTAGAGACTACAGATAATGGCATTATTAGATACATGCTATAAGAATTATACTTTCTGTGTCCAAAGAAATAGAACCAAAGCTTGAAATTATCAGCAGGTATCCGGAAATTATAAAAGGGTGATATAGCAGATTGGAAATTGAACCAAATATATGTTCTCAAACTAAAAATTACAATAGTCTTACTATAAAATAAAATAGGGAGGTTTAATAACAGGTCAGATGCTTCTCTTCAGGTGAAGAGAAAATTAATGATATGAAAAGTAAATCAGAAGAAAATATCTACAATTAAGCGTGGAAATACAAAAGATGAAAAAGACCAAAAAGAGGGTGAAATATAGATAAATACATTGAAAAACCTAAAATACACATCTTTTTGAAAGGAGGAGAGGGAAAGATGGGACAAAAGTAACCTTGTAAGATATTATGTATGGGCAATTTTGAGAAATTGTGAAATATATTTATTAAGTGACAGATTCAATAAGCCTGATAATCCCAAGCAGAAAATTTCTTTTCAAAAAATTAATCCACCCAGGCACACACAGTTCAGCTATGAAAGAAAAAAAAAGAAAAATATCTTAAAAAAAGAACAAAATGTAGATGTACACTCAACAAAAATATCCATCTAGAATGAGAGTGAAACACATTTTAAACAAATGTTGAACAAGTTTTAAGCAGCAGATATTCTTCAAATGAATGAAATATTATTCAAAACAAATAGATGAAGATGCAGGAAAGATAAAAGTGAACCAAAATATTAATTATGTGGGTAAATATAAATACATTTTTGATATACAGAACAATGAAAATAATATCTTAGAAGATGAAGAAACACATTTCATGTGTAATAAAAATACATAATAGTGTTTAAGTTTGGAGTTAGTGTTCCAAAGTAAGGACATAAAGTTTGAAAATAAAAAGATCAAAACAGTTATTATGCAAACACTAAAAAAGAAAATCATAATAGTATTGCAAGCTACTCATCTGACAAAGGGCTAATATCCAGAATCTACAATGAACTCAAACAAATTTACAAGAAAAAAACAACCCCATCAAAGAGTGGGTGAAGGATATGAACAGACACATCTCAAAAGAAGACATTTATGCAGCCAAAAGACACATGAAAAAATGCTCATCAACACTGGCCATCAGAGAAATGCAAATCAAAACCACAATGAGATACCATCTCACACCAGTTAGAATGGTGATCATTAAAAAGTCAGAAAACAACAGGTGCTGGAGAGGATGTGGAGAAATAGGAACACTTTTACACTGTTGGTGGGACTGTAAACTAGTTCAACCATTGTGGAAGTTGGTGTGGCAATTCCTCAGGGATCTAGAACTGGAAATACCATTTGACCCAGCCATCCCATTACTGGGTATATACCCAAAGGACTATAAATCATGCTGCTATAAAGACACATGCACACGTATGTTTATTGCAGCACTATTCACAATAGCAAAAACTTGGAACCAACCCAAATGTCCAACAACAATAGACTGGGTTAAGAAAATGTGGCACATATACACCATGGAATACTATGCAGCCATAAAAAATGATGAGTTCATGTCCTTTGTAGGGACATGGATGAAGCTGGAAACCATCATTCTCAGCAAACTATTGCAAGGACAAAAAAACAAACACTGCATGTTCTCACTCATAGGTGGGAATTGAACAATGAGAACACATGGACACAGGAACGGGAACATCACACACCGGGGCCTGTTGTGGGGTGGGGGGAGTGGGGAGGGATAGCATTAGGAGATATACCTAATGTTCAATGACAAGTTAATGGGTGCAGCACAGCAACATGGCACAGGTATACATATGTAACTAATCTGCACGTTGTGCACATGTACCCTAAAACTTAAAAGTATAATTAAAAAAAAAATAGTATATTAACATCAGAGAAAGCATACTTTAAGGCATAAGGCATTATCACATGAAAAATACATCACTGTATTATGCTAATTAATTTATCAAGTAGATATAACTATTCCAATTTTGTTTTTGTTTTTATTTTTGAGACAGAGTCTGGCTCTGTCACCCAGGCTGGAGTGCAGTTGCGTGATCACGGCTTACTGTTGCCCCAAACTCCTGGACCTAACTGACGCCCCCACCTCAGCCTCCCAAATAGCTAGGACTACCTGTTAGCACCATTGCATTTTGCTAATATTTTTTATTTTTCATAGAGACAGGGTTTCCCTATGTTGCCCAAGCTGGTCTTGAATTCCCGGCCTTAAGTGATCCTCTGGCCTTGGCCCTGCAAAGTGCTAAGATTACAAGCATGAGCCACATGGTCTGGCTGCTATTCTAATTTTGTTTGTACTTAATTATGTGGTTTCAAAATATAAAGCAAATATAACATATCTAGAATGAGAAAAGTTGTCTAGAGAATTATGTATATTTAGTATAACCTACATACCAAACTTGACATAGTCTAATTAATTTAAACATTGTTATAGAGTTAGTAAGTGACTAAGAGAAAAAACATTCTCAAGTTTTTCTGATTCCAACATTATTAACATCTTTGCTGTAATGTCTCTCGTAGACTTTAATGTGATCCATGGATAAATAAATAGACGCCCTGCTTTTAAATGTGACTTAAAATCCAATTTAATAGAAATAATAGATATTATTATTATAATAGAAGGCCAATGGATCTCCAGCTGCACTAAATGTGATGGTTCTTCAAAGTGAGCTGTAAAATATCATGAAAAATACAGCAAAGGCCCTTATACTAGAAACTACATGTGCTTAATTCCTCATTGTTCACTACCAAAAAGCAGGAATGACTAAGTGGGTTTGCTCCTAAGTGGCAGCTTCAATGTTTCCTACTAACTAGGCCATAAGTACTTTCTTTCAACACTAAAATCCATGTCTTAATAGCCATACACCTGGGAAATCTTAAACTCTAGGGGAGGGTCATAAGAAGGAAATTACTTCCATGGGCCTTTGCTCCAAAAATCTTATATCAGGCACATTAAAAGCCAGAATCCTTTATGATGAAAACTGTTCTTTCTACCTATGTCCAGATCCCATTCATATGTACCCATCACTCAACAATAGTCTCCTTAGGGAAGTAAGTAGCTACTCTAGCCTGACTGGAATGAGGTAAAGTAATGCTAAGCTCTGTTCTTACATGTTCCAAATTCTGGAGTGCTGACATTGTTCAGATTTGATTATTTGGGCTGATAGAAGAATTTCCAAACTAGTTCCAAACTTTTAAAGAGAAATAATGGATTTGAAGTGTTTTCTTTAAAAACTGCTTCAAGTCTCTGTGGATTGGGGAAGTAGAGAAGAGGAGAGAAAGTTAAAAGTGATTACAAGTGACTTTCTTCCACCAGAAGAATGGGGAGTGGAAAAACTAATGCAAATAGTGAGGGTAAGTGGATCACTGAAAACATTTTACGAGTTATTTGAAAAAGAAAAATATAGGCCAGGTGCGGTGGCTCATGCCTGTAATCACAGCACTTTGGGGGGCTGAGGTGGGCAGATCACAAGGTCAGGAGTTTGAGACCAGCCTGGCCAATATGCTGAAACCCCATCTCTACTAAAAATACAAAAATTAGATGGGTGTGGTGGTGTGTGCCTGCAGTCCCAGCGGCTCAGGAGGCTGAGGCAGGAGAATTGCTTGAATATGGGAGGCGGAGGTTGCAGTGAGCCGAGATCGTGCCACTGCACTCCAGCCTGGGTGACAAAGCAAGACTTTATCTAAAAAAAAAAAAAAAAAAAAAAATTATCTACCAAATCAGAAAATGTACAGCTTCTGAGAATATTTCTCATTATCACATGATGCTTCTTTTAGCAGCCTCTTCTTTTGCAGCTACCTGTAGAATTTTTATAAAATTGGCCATTTTTCCTTCTTAAAGCAAACCCACTCAGTCAAAGCATCAAAATCATGGAAGCATGCTGTTTCTAACATCATGCCATTGCTCATAGTGCTCTCTCTCTCCGAATGCTTTTTCTCTTGTATTCACCAGGCTAATCCCTGCTTATGCTCCCTGTCCCATCTCAGATTGCTCAGCTTTTCTTGATTATGTCAAGCTGGCTAGGTATCCTACCTCTATCCTAGAAATTATTATTGTCCTCACTCTTACCCCAATTAGTTTAGTGTTCAGTATAGGGGTCTCTACTTTAAATATTATCTTATTCATTTTTCTAACTTAACTTCCTGGCACAAAGACTTACATACACAATTTACTCAATAAATATTTGTTAAATCAGTGAATTACTTGAGTAATAGAAATTCATTTCACTTCTCTGAGTATTCACCTCCATATCTGTAAAATGAAGAGGTCAGACAATAGTATTTCAAATTTCTCCTTTGCCAATACATTTCTATTATGGGAGCTGGGGCTCTGGTGTGGGTTCTTCAGTTTAAGGTTGCAAGTAAGTTGTCAGCATGAAACTTCACATAACAAAAACATTACAATAAAATGGGATATGTGTTACAATTGCAGGCCTCATACTCACTGGAGGCACTCATATAAGGAGACTTTAATAAATAGTCATGCCTTAAATATTGAGGCCCTTCTGCATCTTGCTGTCAATATTATATATTTTCAGTAACTTTTTTTAGTATGTGTGACTCTATATCTGTGATCTAGTTTTCCCTCTAATGAAACATAAAGTCAAGGGAGGATTTTATTTTCTTCCTTTTCCTGATTTATGTTAGGTTTTATGGTTTTTACATACAAATTCTATTATAAAACTGAAATAGAAAAAGCAAAAGCTCAAAAGTTACTGAAGTTTTTTTCTGGAAGCAAAAGATGTCTATTGTTACAAGATGTTATTAAATATAACCATAACTAAAGACAAAAGCTTCCAATTTATTTTTATAAATTCTATGGCTAATAAGAAGATACCATATTGAGGTTCAGAATAGATTGAATTAGATCTCCTGAAAAGATTTCTACAAAAATTGACTTATGTTCTAATACATTTCTACCCCAAAGGAATTGAATTTCTTATAAACTCAGAGTTGTGAAACTATCTTTTCATGAAGCATAAAGAGCTATACTTTTAATCTTAATTAACAAATGAATGAGTATCGGTTACTTTACTATGGTTACTTCACCATGGCTACCTCAACAATACCTACAGGCGATTGGTACCAGTAAAATTATGAAGTGGATGTTTGGTATCTGACATTGCCAGCCAAAATGTCCTGCCTTGGGCTGTATTTAATAACTCTACTATTGATATTCTGTTTCACTTGTTGGGCAGGGAGGAAAAACTGAATGCTCCACTATGACTGGGTTAATTATTGTCATGTAGAGTCAGAGCAAAGAATATAGACTGTGGGACTCGCGGATTCTCAGGAAAATGTTAAGGCGGTGAAATGTAATGAGTAAGTAGGCATTTCACTTCACTGATAATGTTTAGAAGTGATTCAGGGTGACACATAATGCCATGTCTGATTTCCCATGTTGATCCTGTGTGGATTCACAAGTCAGTGAATTTCGGAGGTATACTCTGCTACCTTTCCAAAGCACGCTCTATATATTCTCATTGTGCTAAGGAAGAATTTAGGAGCAATAAGCTAATAATGGAAGTCTGTCCCCCAAACCTTCTTCCATTTTCCCAAAATGTTATAACCCAGCATACCATCTTATCCCTAGAGCAATGCCCATTCATCTCTAAGAAAAACTAGTCCTAATGCTGTGGATGTCTTCTCTTAGCAATTCTTCACTATTCTGAGGTATAAATTAAAATGGATCTGTGTAGAGTTCCTATAATTATATAGGCTATAGAGCTCATCAAATATCCAATAGGTTTTTCATTTTATTACAGGTATGAAATGTTCTTTAAAAAAAAAACCCATGTGCAAACATTTTTTTTTTTCAAATAGAGAACACATTTGATATGTGCGAAGAATACAGGCCAAAACCTTTAAGAATCCCCAAACCCTCTGTCTCAATTCATTATAATTGACTTTATTAAATGCAGTAAATTAACTCAAAATTGTAAATGATCCATTCTGGTCTTAAGTAGAGTTAATTCCCACCAGACTCCTGATGGTAGGAGGGCATCTATTTTCACTCATTGAAAAAGATACTACACATTAATCAGTCCTACAGCTAAAGGTTGATAATCATGGCAGGTGCGGTGGCTCACACCTGTTATCCCAGCACTTCGGAAGGCCGGCTGAGGCGGGCGGATCACCTGAGGTCGGGAGTTTGAGACTAGCCTGACCAACATGGAGAAACCCCATCCCTACTAAAACACAAAATTAGCCGGGTGTGGTAACGCATGCCTGTAATCCCAGCTACTTGGGAGGCTGAGGCAGGAGAATTGCTTGAACCTAGGAGGAAGAGGTTGCTGTGAGCCGAGATCGCGCCATTGCACTCCAGCCTGGGCAAGAAGAGTGAAATTCCGTCTCTAAATAAATAAATAATTAAGATTCATATTTACACATAATGGACCTATAGGCTTACCTTAAATATTCCAACTATGAACGTAAAATCTTCAAAACACTGGGCTGTATTTGTTTCTGTATCACCAAAGAAAGACATTTACATTCTGGGATAGATGCCTAAACTGAACCTCTCTAGATTTTATATTGCTCTCTCAAAAAAAAAAAAAAAAACCCTTAACCTTTGTTGGTTGCAGCTTTCAACACGTTTTGAGCTTTGCACAGTTAGCCTGAAGAAATCTTCTAAAAGTGTAGGAGGAACGCAGCAGTTCCTCTTTAAATACTCTCACCTGAAGATACTTTCCTGCCTGCACGTTCAAACTTAATGGAAACTATAGAGCAAATTTTTTTCTCCTAAGTGTTGTGGTGAAAGGTGTGTAACTTTGCTTTCAGAGTCATCTCTTCTCCCTCCTCTCCTCTCCAGTTCCTTCCCTTGGGCTCGTTCCTCTATATTTACAAATACCCTGGAAATGAAGGGAAATGAAGAAAAGGTAAATGTGCCTCATAAATCAGCCACAATGAGGGAGAGCTGCATGCAAACAGGCCAGGGAAAACGAGCTCAGAATGTTAAAACCACAGAGAACCAGGATGTCATTTAGACCATGCCGTCTTGTTAAAAATCATTAAAATAGAGTTCAAAAATGGTTGAGCTTATCTAAGACTGTGCAAGTTGCTGTAGCAGAGGTAGGTCTAAAAACCCCCTTTCCTGCCTTTTAATGTGATGAGGTTTACCCAAAAATTTGTGCCAGAAGAGTCTTATCCAGAGATTTGTGTGTGGTCAAAGTGTTGGAGGGACAGAAAAAAAGGTCCAATGTCCAGTGGTTAATGCTTTGGTCAGTCAGTCATTCTTTGAGCAACTATTTATTGAGTGCTTTATTGCCAGTTCAGTTGGCTGCTTCTTCACTTATTTTTAAAGTATAACATCAAATTTGCCAACAGAGAACTGGTATTGGCAGCAGCAGTTTTTTAGCAATTTTATTGCTTTACAAATAAATTGAGAGTGAAGGAGAGATGGATCAACATTTGGGGGCACAAACTTACATTTATATATAGATATTTTGAAATACTATTTGCTTACACAATGAATGAATGTTAAGTAGAATTAAAAGTGTTTTTTTTATTTTTCTTTTCTGATTTTTTTCTTTCAAAATATCAAGAATGGACATCTGTCCTATATGTTTTCACTTTAAAATGGGAAAAGAATTATTTGATACCATAGCATTTTAACTGACATTTACTTTGCTGTAAAATGTCAATTTCTTGATCTCACTGTGTAAAACATAGTGAAGCATTATTTTCATCTCAATTAAATTTATTAGAGCTAAAAACTAAAATTCCTTTGTAAAGGATCATTTTCTAGAGTACATAGTGTCTTCTTTTTTTTTTTTTAGACAGAGTCTCACTCTGTCGCCCAGGCTGGAGTGCAGTGGCGCTATCTCGGCTCACTGCAACCTCTGCCTCCGGGTTCAAGTGATTCTCCTGCCTCAGCCTCCTGAGTAGCTGGGATTACAGGCGCCCGCCACCACGCCCAGCTAATTTTTGTATTTTTAGTGGAGACGGGGTTTCACCATGTTGGTCAGGCTGGTCTTGATCTGCTGACCTCAGGTGATCTGCCCGCCTCGGCCTCCCAAAGTGCAGGGATTACAGGCGTGAGCCAACACTTCTCGCCTGCAGTACATAGTGTCTTCTTACTGGGGAATAACTTAGGAAACTCAAATAAGAAAATTATCTGGTCACAGGAGTAACAGAGAACAGGCTACTGTTGGGCCTGTTTGTCTAGTTAAATGATGTATGTGAATGTTCTCAACATTGGCAGACAAGGAAAATGGAGAGAAAATAGAAAGAAATACATGCAGTTTGATGATTTTGGCATCAGTTTAAAGCTCACAAAGTCAAGGAAGCATCCACTCACATCAGAAGCAGAATTCATCAGTTACCACACAGTGTTCTTACTCGGGAAACTTTCCCACGCTCACATCCTCTGACCATCAACATGTGGCAAGCAAAACCCCCCGAATCTGAGAGGGTTGTTTTGCTTAAGCCTGCACAACTTTGGACATGGATACTGAGCCAAAATGTCTAAAAGCCTGCCCAGCTGGGTAGGAACATTTCTTAAGCAGATTTCCTTAGAAGACTTCCTGATCTTTGTGGTAATTTTCTTTATTTTTAGATGTCCGCTCACTGTAACATCTTTTACCAAATTATCCGTGCTGACTCCTGCTTATTATTCAGGTGCCTGCTACCATAATTGCCTCTCTGAAGGATATCCCCAACCACTTCATCTAAAATAAAAATGCCCACCTTTACCAGTCATTCTTTATACATTTCCATGATTTATTTTTACATAATATTTACTACTATAAACATAATAAATGAATGAATATATCACTGAATAAATGAACAAACAAATGAATGAGTAAATCACTGAAGAGAGACCTTGCTTGAAAAACTAGCTTTAAGTATCTCTCCTGTAAAATCACACTGATTTTCATCATTTTGTTCTATTTTCTTAATATATTCTCATTCTGTAAAATTATTCTTTTTGATTTTTTAATGTTTAGTTACGGATACATAATCATTGTGCATATTTACGAAGTACGTGTGATATTTTTATACAAGCACACAATGCGTAATGATCAAATTAGGGTAACTGGGGTGTCCAACACCTCAAGCATTATCATTTCTTTGTGTTAGGAACATCGTAAATCTACTCTATTTCTCCTAACTAGAATCTGAATTCAGTGATGACAGAGACATCTTAGATGTCTTGACAGAGACTTAGTTGTCAATAATTATTTTTGGAATTTATGTTTTGAATACTTTCTACATTATTGTCCTTATATTTATGTGAATAATACTATTAAAAGTTAATAAACAATAAAATTGCATTCATTCATTAGTATATTTGAAAAGGTCTTTGAAGTAGATTCTATAATCCCAATTTTTATGTGTTGAATAACTTGATGTGCAATTCCCATCATGCTGTAGTTACCACTTTATGAACAAATAAGTAGAATTTGTAACAAGGAGTTGTAGAGTAAATACAAAGAGAATTAGACAGGTCCAAGTGAGAGAGTGAGACCACATCCCACAAAAAGTATTATGTGGCAGGCATCTAGAAGAGAATTGGAGGGAACAGAATCAGGCAGAATAACAATAGAGAGGTTATTGAGAGTATTCAAGGAAGGGTAAACTATCCAACTTAGTGAATACAGGATGCATGTTGGGAAGCAGTTATAGGTTACATTGGAAGGGTAATTGACATTCATTTTAGAAGGCCTCAGATGTCAAGTTAGCAAGAATGTACATATTAATAGCTGGTGAGAAAACAAGAGCACTGCAAGCTTTCAGACAGAGAAATTACATAACTCAAACTCTTCTGTAGAAGTGTTTAGAAAGTAAACAAAGGCAAAGTATGCCTGGCAGAGTGGGAAGGGAGGGTTTGAAAATAATCTAGAAGACAGGCACTGAAAGTTAAAGTCTCACAGTTCCCTTTGTAAGCGTGGGTTAAACTCTGGAGACTGACAACTAGACCACCATTTTGGAAAGCATCCTAGCTGGCCTTGGGAACAGTACACCTTGACCTAATTAATTAATACTTAGCTACTACTCCTCTGCGAGCACCAGTTTCTTTCCTGTCTCATCTCTGTTTCTGAAATGCACTGTTGTGAAATTCATGGCTGTTTCAATACAAGGATTTCCACAGGGGCCATCATTTTAGAACCTGATCATCCTTCCTGCATTACAGCATTTTACCTCAGCTGCATCTTGGTACTCCTTCCTGACTCTGATCTTTTCCATCTCAATCCCCATGGAGGATGCAGACTCAGATGCAATCACTTCCAAGGGAAGCTGAGCTGGTTCATTTAGGACTGAGAGAATATGGAACAAATTATAGAAGAGGAGCCTGCCTACTAAGAATTTCTCAGTAATTATTAACTTAGAATTAATAGTTATTAAAACTTTATTAAGCATCGGAATCACCCAGAGGACTTGTTAAAACACAGCTTGCTGGGCACCTACCCCCATTGTTTCTGATCTCTTTCAGTGATGGGGCTGACACTGCTTGTCTAGGTACCACACTTTGAGAACCATCACTCTAAAAGAAGACTGTATAGCTGCATCGAAAATCTTGCTCTTCCTGATGTCTCCTAGATTTAGTAGCAGAGAACTCAAAGGCACATATTGTTTTTAAATAGCTGTGGATGGTATGAATGGATCATTTGTAAGCCACAAGCTATACTGAATAAGAATTCATCGTCTGTAGAAAATACTTTACTATTCAGACTTTCAAGAGGTAATAAAATGCTGAGTGTCCTTCTTCAATTAAATAAAATAACTCCAGCTGATATCTAGGAATAAAAATGCATAAATTCATGAGTTAAAATTATGATTACAATTACATACTTGAAACTTCCTTAGGTTAACAGTTAATGTATTTTGTGAGTGGTAGCAATAAAATGTTGATTGTACTTTATTACTACATTACTGCTACTGTAAATCTAAATTGTCATTGGCATTGAAATAGCTTACTTTTATCCATGAACAATAATGACTTTATTCCTATCAGCATGATAATGATTAGCTCTCATAAAGGTAAATACAGCCATTATTAATCCATCTACTAATCATTCTTTCCTGCTATAGTGGGTGGGATGATTGACTCTTCAGATTAATTCTAACAACATAGGTTCCTGTATAAAAAGAGACATAAACTAAGAAGGGAGAGCTGCTTATGTAAAGAAGCACTAATCTTAGGTCTTAGTTGAAAGAAAAATAACCTCAAAATTTCCAATGTTTCCACTTAGCAGCAAGGAGAAAAATATCTCATAAGTGTCATATAATTTCTAGGACAATTTTCTCATTGTCCTTGGATTATTAGTATTGGATACATTTTTGACATATTTTAATTAGCAATTATATTTATTACTCCAGGTCCTTTCACTGTTGTATTCCTTCCTATAGCTATTTTGACAGCAAGTACTCTAAATATCCCTAAGTACTCAGAAAATTTTTATTTTGTCTTTAGCAGGAAATTCCACTGAAACAAAATAGAACATACCTTTATGTTCTATTGAGAGAGTGTGGAAGAAGAAAATTCTGTATTGGTTTTGACTAACAACAAGCTGCCGGAAGATCTCTTTTTCTCCTACAGGTTAATAAGGAGAAAGTAAGTAATAAGAAAGATAAGGAGTGGTACAAAGCCAACAGAACTACTTCTCAGTTTATCCCGAGACTGTTTTTTTAATTATAATTATCTTAGTTTAAGTGAATTTCTGGTGTACTGGCCTTGAATATATACAAATGAAAAAATAAAAATACATTTCAAGGTAAGTCAATACAAATTTATATCGTTTTGAATATAGATATATTCGTCTAAGAATTTTCTTTATATCATGCAGAAAGATTAACAGGGATCTTATAGACCTAAATGTAAAAGCTAAAATTATAACACTTATGGATGAAAACATTAAAGAAAAGTGTCAAGACCTTGGGTTAGGCAAAGAGTTCTTAGATACAACATAAAACACTGTTTTAACATAAACAAACTTCAAAAACATTGTGACAAGTGAAAAAAGCCAGATGCAAAAGATTACATATTGTATGATTCTATTTATATAAAATATTCAGAAAAAGTAAATTTATAGAGATAAAAAGCAGATCAATGGTTGCTTAGGGCTGAAAGTAGAAGCCGAGATTGACTGAAAAGAGGCTTGAGGGAAATTTTTTAGTGTGATGGAAAAGTTCTAACGTTGGAAATTGGTAATAGTCACACAACTCTAAAAATTTACTAAAAATGTATTGACTTTCACTTACGGTGAACGAACTTTATGGTATCTAAAGTATACTTTAATAAAGCTTTAAAAATATATTGCAAGGTCAATAGAAAATGTACGATTAATCACAACTTGTATACTCAAAACTGAAAATATTTTAAAACTTAAGAATTTTAAAAATATTTTAAATATTTTAAAAATGTTTTAAAACTCTGAAAACTTTATAAAATATTAAGCATAATCACATTAATTGCTGACATACTTCCTAATTAATGAGGAAAAAGGAGTCTAATTATGATGTTTATATATTTGACCATTGAAATCACCAAGTCAATGTGATTCATAACTTTAAGTTTATTGTTTGTTCACTTATTTGTTTTTAATATTGCCTGTGTTCTTCAGAAATCTTGGTAATAGCTTCAACTAATGTTAGCAATAATAAAAATAAATTAGTTTCCAAATTTTAAAACAATCAATTTAACAAATATTTATTGTTACTATACAAGGCACTATAGAAATCATACTTATGAATATATTTCTCAAATTTGTGTATCTTGCCACTTCCTAATTGTGTGTGTTGGTGGGTGTGTTCATGTGTGTGTGAGAGGATAAAAAGAGAGAGAGAGAGAACTGAAATGAAAATATGGCTATATTAATGATCTAACAAAGTTAAACTTAAAATATTCTCATACAGGCAGAGTGCGGTGGATCAGGCCTGTAATCCCAGCACTTTGGGAGGCCGAGGTGGGCAGATCACCTGAGGTCAAGTGTTTGAGACCAACCTGGCCAACATGGCAAAACCCCATCTCTACTGAAAATACAAAAATTAACCGGACGTGGTGGCTGGTGCCTATAATCCCACCTATGTGGAGGCTGAGACAGGAAATTGCTTGAACCTGGGAGGTGGAGGCTGCAATGAGCCGAGATTGTGCCACTGCACTCCAGCCTGGGCAACAGAGTGAGACTCTGCCTCTGGTCCAATCATAAATGGTAGACCATAGGACGAGGTCTTCCTGCATACCTTCATTCACCATTCAATATCAAAAGTGAACTGATAGACTAAGTGGTAATGGGTGCCTCAAACATATACTGTACGTAGATATACAAAACCATACTCAACGAGTTTCCAGTTCATCAGCAAGGTCAGTAATTCCAGAATAGTTATTAGCAGCATAACAGTCACACATGCCATGTTTGAAATCTTTTGACCAATGGAGAAGTGACAACTTCAGAGGGAAAAACATGTGCCAATTATTTGCTTATCTAATTAGTAAACACTCTTTGTAGGTTCCTGACTCAACCTCTTCTCATACTCTTACAATGAAGAGATTGATTTTCCTGGTCTTAATTGCACTTCAATTATGCTTCTCCTTTACTTTAAACTCTCTAATTAGAATATTGAATATCATCTAACAGACACATAAAGTTTTTTTTTCTAAATTGAAGTCACTTACCTTCAATTATTTCCCAGTAGCAAAATGATAAATTAACAATGAATTCTGCCATATCCTGAGTCCATTATCATTCCTTTGCAGTTATATATATATGTGTGTGTGTGTGTGTGTGTGTGTGTGTGTATACATGTATGTATATGTAATGTTAAATCATTTGTATTTACCAGTGAAACCAATCAACCAATCAATTAAAATCCCAAATCTTTCATTTGGCAGATTGAAATTAGAAGCATAAAGCATTTTGTCAAGATATAACTATGAAGATATTTTCATTACTAAATATACAAATAGGCCAGTTGCAGTGGCTCACACCTGTAATCCCGGCATTTTGGGGGACCGAGGCAGGCAGATCGCCTGAAGTCAGGAGTTCGAGACCAGCCTGGCCATCATGGAGAAACTCCATCTCTACTAAAAATACAAAATTAGCCGTGTGTAGTGACACATGCCTGTAATCCCAGCTACTTGGGAGGCTGAGGCAGGAGAATCGCTTGAACTCAGGAGGCAGAGGTTGCTGTCAGCCAATATTGCACCACTGCACTCCAACCTGGGCAATAAGAGCAAAACTCCATCTCAAAAAATAAGTAAATAAATAAATAATAATATATATACATTTTCATACACA
This sequence comes from Homo sapiens, assembly GCF_000001405.40. Classification (NCBI taxonomy): domain Eukaryota; kingdom Metazoa; phylum Chordata; class Mammalia; order Primates; family Hominidae; genus Homo; species Homo sapiens. The sequence goes on from NC_000004.12 coordinate 124,311,027, forward strand.
TATACTTGTCTAAATATGGCATATAAATCTAAATAAATAAATGGATATATCCATCTCCTTGTGTATAATTCATATTTATATTAATATATACTCATTCTCTTATGTAAGCCCTTCCCCTTGATTATTGGTGTGACCTGTGACTTACTTCTGTCCAACAAAATGCAGTAAAGATGATGGGATATATGCAATTACATGCACATGATTATATGACTGTTGTAAAAGATTGTAGCACTTGTCATGCTGGAGTCTTTCTTTCCCTTACTGACTTTGAGGAAGAAACACTTTGCATAGCAAGGAACTATGGGTGGCCTCCAAGAGTGGTTTCCAGCAGTCAGCAAGAAATTGAAATCCTCAGTTTAACAACCAAAAGGAAATGAATTCTGCCATCAACTTGCATGAATTGTGAAACAAATTCTTCCCCAGTAAAACCTCAGATGAGATCACAACCCAGCTGACATGTTGGTTGCAATAAATACATTGCAATCAATGATTTGGATTGCAGCATAAAACTAAGGTGTATCTAGTCTCCTGACACATAGAAACTGTGAGATAGTAAATGTACATGGTTTTAAGCTGCTAATTTTTTGGTAATATTGTTATGCAGCAGTAGATAACTCATACAAATTTTAGTACATGGAAGTCTGATGCTGCTATAACAAACACCGAAAAATTTTGGGAGTTGTTTTCGAACCAGGCACTGGATGCAGGCTGAAATAAATTTTTGAAGAACATGATAGAGAAAACTTAAATGTCCTCAAACACACCGTTAGTAGAAATACATGGAAAGAGTGCTGTCAGTGAGGGCAGTTCAAATATTTTAAGTGTCTTGTGATATGTCCTTTGACCATGGATTATTTAGAAGTATTTAGATTATTTAGAAGTATTTCTAAAAACTTGGAAATTATTCATTTTTTGCTTATTTATTTTTAATTTATTACTTTTTGGTCACAAACATCCTCTGTATGATTCATGTTGTTTGAAAGACATTTTTCTATTCCTACCACCTGAGATTACAACTTGATATTTGTCCTCTTCTGGCTTATATTGCTATGTACTTAAGTTCATTGTTCTTTTATTCTGCCTTGTTTAATTTGATGTCAGTTTCATCCAGTTAGTTTTTCATTTTGATATTGTAATTTTTTTAGTTTAGGAAGTTCCATTGATTTTTTTCCCTATCTTCCTTTTCTATTCTTCTAATTTTCTTGTTTAAATTCTTAAGCACTTTCGTAATAGTTGTTTTATTCCCCCTTTCTGCTAATCTTATCATTTCTGTCATTTCTTGATCTCTTTCTGTTAATTGATTTTTATCTTGATTACAGGCCACCTTTTTTCTATTTCTTCTTTCGTATAGTAATCATTGATTGAATGGCTGATATTTTACCATATTGATTGAATTTTACTCTCTTCCTTATTCCGTTTCCAGGGGTAGTTAAGTAACTTATAAATATTATTGATCTAATCAAGGTTTAATTTTAGGCCTTCCAAGGGCAGAACTAGATTAATCTTTGAAGTAGGTCTAAGTTAACACTGCTACCAAGATTTGAATTTTCTGGGGTCTCTGAGGCATTGGAATCTTTCCACTGTGTCTGCTCTGAAGTCAAATATCTCCCAGCCATGCATTTATTCTAGGAATTGTTTATGTTCATCTGCTTCACAGTTCAGCATTGTAGAATCACATTCTGTGTATTTATTTGCATTAATATGTTCAGCAACAGACATGAGGAGACCCCTATTCAGGTTTTCTACCCTCCTGCCTGACACTCTCTCTCATAACTTTCACCTTCTCATACAACATTCTTTGTCTTCCCAACAGAATAAGATGATTTAGGTTATACTGCTCTACTTAAGTTTCATCTCTTTGTGCCATGGTCCATTTAGTGTCTTCAGGCACAAAGCTGAGGTGATTATGGGTATCATCCTTTTTGTTTTTCTTCTCACAGATATCACAATTCTGTGCAGCTCATTTTTTCAATATTCAAAATTGATTTCCCCCACTTTTCTAGTTGTTTCAGCAGTATGTCAAGTTCGCTAACACTCATTTCAAAATTGTATGGCCGGAAGTGGAAATTCCTCATTCTTTATATATTGACATATTTACTCTTCAAACTGAGTGGTTAACTATCTTGCCAAATGTCACTGTGCAAGGATTTGAACATAGTATGCCAGATTCAGAATCTATGCAATTAACCATTATAGCAAAGTGTGTACAATAAATTATAAATGGTGCTTTGTAGCCTAAGTAGAAAACACAATGAAGGGAGTGGCAGGAGATGAGGTTGGAGAGTTATGTAGGAGCAGCCACATTAAAGACAGTACTGCGGGCAGTGTTAAAGAGTTTGGTCTGCTTCCTATAGGCCACCAAAAGCTACAGGATAATTTGCAGGAAAGAGCAACTTTGTCAGACTTTTTCTTTAGGTATTATTCTGGGAGTGGTGTAATGGATGGATTTGGAAACAGACCAGAGATAGGAATGCGATTCATTCTGCGTATGAAATGATGTGCACAATACATGTAGTCACTGAATTTTTAAAAACTAATTGCTAAGTTTCAAAGCTTTCTTTGATAAGCATGTTTAAAATTTTCATATAAGAACAGCTATTTTAAAAGTTAAATAAATATCTAGAAGCCAATGACGTTATGATTAATACATTCAATTACTTTGTCATGAAATTAAAGTTGAATCTCTGAGTCCACTTATTATTAAAGTGTTTGTTTTTCTTTAAAGATGGTTAAAAATATTCTTTCTAGTTGGAGAATGCCTAAAAACGAAAGTTTTCTTCCCTTGGGCAAGGCATACCTTAGCAAACTGAAGTTAGGTCCTCATCTGTAGATTGAAACACTGGGTAACTAAAGCAGTGATATGTCAAACTTCTCTGGCAACTGATTTCTCTTTATAAGTGAAGGCTGATTCAGAAATGCAATAAGTATTGAGAAAACATTGGGCAACCCTGCCTACATAGTCACTGTTACCCGATTCCAAGGCATCATTGCCCTTAGGACTCTTCTTGGAATCCACACTAGTAACTCAGTTGGGAAATCATTAAACTACATAATCTAAAGTGAGGTAAAATGTTATCCAACTCATTAATGCATATATACAGAGGATAAACACACACACACACACACACACACACACACACACACATAGTGTGTGGATCATTTAACACCTAAATCAAATGGTCATGGAATAATTATGTTTGTTTTATCTGTTTACAAGTAGCTAATTTACCCCCAAACTGTGGTAGCTTGAGTAAACACAGCTTACAAAAGTTTGTAAGTGATGTATTACAAAAGCAGTACAGATCAAATGACAATTCAAAGTAGTTCTCAAACTCATAGGTCAGCCATGTCCTAAATTCTTACCTTAAAACCTTGATCAACAATTCTTATAAAAATACCTTTTTCTAGCTCTAGAATATTAATCTTGTCATCACGTTACATGTCTTAAAGAAATTCTGAGAGGTTTCTGTGTGATTCTAAGGTTACCTGTAAAATGGGAAATCTATAATTATATGCTTTGCAGTCAGCTGCTTCCTTCAGGCAACCACCTTGCATTAAATCTGCCATTAAAATAAATTTAAAAAGTCTCCCCAGGGATTGTTTTGCTCTCGTAAACTACTAATCTGCTAAATATGTAATTGAATTATTCTGTCATCTTAGCACCAACTTCACTTTTAAATAAAAACTCCTTGTAAATAAGAGGACAAGCCATAGAGCTGAGATCAATACATACTTCTATAAACCTTTCTTAATAGTTGCTGAGTAGAAAAAATAAAAGCAACTCTTAAAACTCTCCTTATTTTCTTACCACTGTCTTGTCACTTATGATGATGAGTGTACCTTTGTAGGAGCCTGGAATATAGCAAGAGAGAAAGAAAGGAACTAAGGAGCTACAAGAGAGTCAGAAAACAATTATCAAAATGGCAATAGAAGGTCATTACTCATCAATAATTACTTTAAATGTAAATGGATTAGATTATCCAATCGAAAGATAGAGTGGCTGAATGGATAAAAGACCAAAATTCAACTGTGTGTTGCTTATTAAAAAACTCATTTTAACTTGAAGAATGCACATATGCTGAAAGTAAAGGAATACAAAAAGATGTTTTACGCAAATGATAACCAAAACAGACCAGGATTGGCTATACTAATATCAGGCAAAATAGACTTTAAGCAAAAAACTGTAAAAAAAGACAAAGAAGGTCCTCATATAAAGATAATGGGGTCAAATTACCAAAGGATATAACAATTATAAATATAGATGCATCTAACATTTTAGCACCTAAATGTTTTTTTTTTTTTTTTAAATATTAACAGAACTGAAGGGAGAAAAAAATACAATAACAGCGGGGGACTTCAACACTCCACTTTCAACAATGAATAGGTAAGCCAGACAGAAAATCAATAAGAAAACAGCAAATTTGATTAATACTATACACTTAATGGACCTAAAAGACATATACCGAAAATTCTATCTAACAGTAGAATAATAGACATTCTTCCACAGCAGACTTGGCATACCTTCCAGGACAGATAATATGTTGGACCACAAAACAATTCTTAACATATACAAGGAGATTGAAATCGTATCATTTATCTTTTCTGACCACAATAGTATAAAACTAGGAATCAATAAAAAGAGAAAATTCAGAAAATTTACACATATGTGGAAATCAAACAACTCACTAATGAACAATTAGTGGGTCAAAGAAAAAATTTTAAAAAATTTAAAAATACGTTGAGACAAAGGAAACTAGAAAACAACATACCAAAATTACTGAGATGCAGCAAAAGCAGTTTTAAAAGGAAAGTTTATAGCAATAAATGCCTATTTTAGGAAAAAGAAAGGCTTCAAGTAAACAACCTAAGCGTATACCTTAAGAATCTAAAGAAAGAAGAACAAATGAAGCCCCAAAGTGAGCAGAAAGAAAGAAAGAATAAAGATTAGAGGAAAAGTAAATGAAATAGACATGAAAAAAATAGAAAAGATCAAGAAAACTAAAAGTTCAGTTTTTAAAAAGAAAAATAAAATTTACAAACATTTACTTAGACTAACCAAGCAAAAAAGAAGACTCAAATAAATAAAATTATAAATGAAAGAGGAAATATTACAACTGATACCACATAATGCAAAGGATCATAAAAGACAACTGTGAACAATTATAAGCCAACAAAAGGGATAACCTACAATAAGTAAATAAATGCCTAGAAACATAGAAAGGCCAAGGTTAAATCATAGAGAAATAGAAAATCTGAAAGGACTAAAAGACTAAAGAAACAGAAAATTTGCAAAGACTAGTTTGAAAAGACTAAAAGACTATGGAGTTTGAATCAGTAATCAAAAATCTCGCAACAAATAAAAGCCCAGGACCAGATGGCATCATTACTGAATCCTACCAAACATTAAAGAAGAGTTAATGCTAATGCTTCTTAAATCCTTCTAAAAAAATTGTAGAGGAAGGAATATTTCCAAATTCATTTTATGAGGCCAATATTTTCCTGACCCCAAAGCCAGAGAAGGACACTATTAAAAAAAGAAAATTACAGCCAATATCTCTGATGAATATCTCATAGGTGCAAAATCATTACTAATGTATTAACAAATGGAATCAAACAGCATGTTAAAAGGATCATACATGATGATCAAGTGGGATTTATCCCTGGAATGTGTGAATGGCTCAACATACAAAACCCACTAAATTCAATACACCATATTAATAGAATGAAATATAAAAATCATTTGATCAGGATCAGGCATGCTGGCTTATACCTGTAATTCCAGCACTTTGGGAGGCTGAGGTGGGCTGATCACTTGAAGTTAAGAGTTCGAGAACAGCGTGGCCAACATGGTCAAACTCCATCTCTACTAAAAATACAACATTAGCTGGGTGAGGTGGTGCGGGCTTGTAATCCCAGCTACTTGGGAGGCTGAGGCACGAGAATCACTTGAACCCGGGAGCAGAGGTTGTAGTAAGCTGAGATCGTGCCACTGCACTGCAGCCTGGGAGACAGAATGAAACTCCATCTCAAAACAACCAAAAAAAATTATTTGATCATTTCAGGAGACACAGAAAAAACATTTGAAAAAATTCAACACTGTTTCATGATAAAAACTTTCAACAAATTAGGTATAGATGGTGTGTACCTCAACATAATAAATGCCATATATAACAAGCCCACAGGTAACATTACAGTCAATGGTGAAAAGAAAAAAATCTTTCCTCTAAGATCAGGAACACCACCAGGATGCCCACTCTTTTTTTAATCTTCTTTTTGTGGAGAATGGGCTTTCACTATGTTGCCCAGCCTGATCTTAAGCATTTGGATTCAAGCTATCCTCCTGCCTTTGCCTCCCTGAATGCTGGGATTAAAGGTATGAATCACAATGCCCAGCCCCAGAATGCCCACTCTTACCACTTTTTTTCAACACAGTATTGCAAGTCCTAGCTAGAGCAAATAGTCAGGAAAAAGACATAAAACTCTTCCAAATTGGAATAGAAGAAGTAAATTGATCTCTGTTTGCAGACGACATGATGTTATGTAAAGAAAACCTTAAATAATACACCAAGAATGTTAGAAGTAATAAGTGAATTCAATAAAATTGCAGGATACAAAATTAACATAAAAAAGTCACCTTTTAGGCCAAGTGTGGTGGCTTATGCCTGTAATTCCAGCACTTTGGGAGGCCAAGGTGGGCAGACCACTTGAATTCAGGAGTTTGAGACCAGCCTGGCCAACATGGCTAAATCCCATCTCTACTAAAAATACAAAAATTAGCCAGGCATTGTGGCACACACCTGTAATCCCAGCTACTCAGCTGGCTAAGGCAAGAGAATTGCTTGAACCCAGGAGGTGGAGGTTGCAATGGGCCGTGATCATGCCACTCCAGCCTGGGCAACATAGTGAGACCCTGTCTCAAAAAAAGTCACCTTTTTATATACTAACAATGATTAAACAAAAGATTCCCCTTACAATAGCATGAAAAAATACTTAGGCATATATTTAACCAGTGAAGTAAAAGATCTGTACACTGAAAACTATGAAACATTGATGAAAGAAATTGAAGAAGAAACAAATAAATGGGAAGATATCTCAAGTTTATGGATTGGAAGAATTAATATTGTTAAAGTGCCCATACCACCCAAAGTGATCCACAGATGTAATGTAATCCCTATCAAAATTCTGGTGACATTTTTCACAGTTATAGGCAAAAAAAAAAAAAAATTCTTAAAATTTGTATGGAACCACAAAGAACTTGCATAGCCTAAGCAATGTTGAGCAAGCAGGACAAAGCTGGAAGCATCACACTTTCCAATTTCAAAATGTATTACAAATCTACAGTAATTAAAACATATGGTTCTGGCATTAAAAACAGACATACAGGCAGATGGAACAGAAAAGAAAGCCTAGAAATAAATCCACATGTTTACGGTCAACTGATCTTTGACAAAGGTGTAATTGTATAATGTGTTTACTCATTGTGTAATGGGTAAAAGATAATCTCTTCAATAAATGGTGTGGAAAATAATGGATATCCACACATAGAAGAATGAAATTGGACCCTTTTCTCACTGCATATACAGAAGTCAAGTCAAAATGAATTTAAGACTTAAATGTAAGAACTGAAAATGTAAAACTACTGGAATAAAACAGGGGGACAGTTTGTTGACATTGGTCTTGGCAATGATTTTTGGATATGACAACAAAAGCATAGTCAAGCAAAGGAAAAATAGACAAGTGAGATTGCATCGAACTTTAATGCTCTGTGCAGCAAAGGAAACCATCAACAGAGTGAAAAGAAAACTTACAAAATGAGAGGAAGTATTTGCAGACTGTACATCTGATAAGTGATTAATATCTAACATATATAAAAAACTCAAACAATCCAAAGCAAGAAAATAGCCTGATTAAAAAATGAGTAAAGAACCCGAACTGACATTTCTCCAAAGACATACAAATAGCCAATGGGTATATGAAAGGATGCTCAGCTTCATTAATTATCAGAAAAACACAATCAAAACCAAAATGAGATAGCACCTCACAGCTGTTAGAATGGCTAATACCAGAAATATAAAAAATAACAACTGTTGGTGAGGATGTGGTGAAAAGAGAATCCTCAGACACTGTTTGTAGAAATGTACATTGTTATAGCCATTATGGAAAACAGAATGAAGCTTCCTGAAAAAGTTGAAAAAATAAAAATAAAAATAGTGCTACCATACGATCCTGCGATGCAATTTCTAGGTATATAAAAAAGAAAATGAAATTAGTATGTCAAAAAGATATTTATACTTCTATGTCCATTACAACATTAGTTACATTACTCAGGATATGAAAACAACCTGTGTCCCTCAATAGATAAATAGATAAAAAAATATGATATACACACGATGTATTATCCAGCCATAAAAAGAAGGCGATCTTGTCATTCGTGACAACAAGGATGAAACTACAGGGCATTAAGTGAAATAAGTCACACACAGAAAGACAAACATTACCTAATTTCATATGTGTAATCTAAAAAAGTCAAATTTAGAAGCAGAAAGTAGAATAATAACTGTCAAGGGTTAGAGGTTGGGGAAAATGGACACATGTTTATCAAAGGGCAGAAAATTTCAGTTATGCAGGATGAATAAATTCTGGAGATCTAATGTGCAGTATTGTGATTATAGTTGATAGTGTATTGTATGCTTGAAATTTGCTAAGGTTAAGTGTTCTTACCACACACAAAAGATAACTGTGAAGTGATGGCTATTTTAATTAGCTAGATTTTTGGCAACTTTGTCAAAGATCAGTTGACTGTAAATGTGTAGATTCATTTGTAGGCTTTCTATTCTGTTCTATCCACTTGTATGTCAGTTTTTATGCCAGTACTATACTGTTTTGATTACTGTAGCTTTCTAATACATTTTCAAATCAGGAAGTGTGATGCCTCTACCCTTGTTCTTCTTGGTCAAGCTTGCTTCGACTATTCTAGATAGTTTACGGCTCCATAAGAATTTTATGATGTTTTTTCTATAACTATAAAAAATATTTTCAAAATTTTGATAAGGATTACATTAAATCTGTGGATTGCTTTGGGTATTATGGGCTTTTTAACAATATTAATTCTTCCAATCCACAAAGATGGGACATCTTTCCATTTATTTATATCTTCTTTAATTTCTTTCATCAATGTTTCATTGTTTTACGTGCATAGATCTTTTATCTCCTCAGTTAAGTTTATTCCCAAGTAGTTCATTTTCTTGATGCTATAAATGAGATTATTTTCTTAAATACAATCCTAATCTTAAATATAAAGATTATATTTTTGCCAGTCTTAAATTGTTTTTCACATCAGTCATTGTTAATATACAGAAATGTAAATGTTTTATGTTTATTTTACATTCTCCAACTTTCCTGAAATGTTTATGAGTTCTAACATTTTTTGATGGATGATTTAGGATTTCAGGATTTTCTATATGTAATGTAATGTCATCTGCAGGCAGAGACAATTCTACTTCTTTTCCAATTTGGATGTGTTTTCTTTCTTTTTTCTGATTATTGTTCTGGCAAGCAGGCTTGATGTTTTCGTTAATTGATTCTCCAGAGCTATGTCAGCAAACTATAGCCTGAGGACCAACTTCTGTGTCTGCCTATTTTTGTAAATAAAGTTTTATGAGAACATAGCCAAGCCCATTTGTTTACATATTATGTTTTCATACGATTACAGCAATGTTGATTAGTGGCCCAAAGTTAAGGTATTTACTATCTCTTCCTTTTTGAAAAAATTATGCCAATTCATACTCTACTGCATGTTGTTTGTACATTTCTTGCCACCTCATTCTGTTTAATATAATGGCAGTGACTTGATTTGTCTCATCCCTTGAGCTGAACTATGTAAAAGAAGCACAGTAGAAACACTTAAAACCTAAAAGATGTGGATTAAGGAGCTGTCAACTTCAAGACAATGTCCTGCAGCCCCCAGTACTTACCTGTTGTCTTTTTCATTACATGGAATAGGTGGATGTCGATACATCTCTATGAGCAGGTGTATTTGTATAAGTTAGTCATCTTCTGAATCTCCTATTACAGAACCAGGCCCATTATCAATCATAAGTGTATATTTTTTGACTGCTTCTTATATCTCTTGCTTTCCTTAGTTTTCTTTGTCATGAGGATATTTGATAGCCACATGCTGTGACAACAAAACAACTGGTTAACATAACAAATCCAGTTAAATGTTTGCTTTTTTATATGATGACTGCTATTGAGTTTTAATTTTTTGGCAGAAAAATTTGATTTTATTTTTACCAAATTAATCTGTCTTTTTTCTTTCCCACTGGCAAAAATAGAATCCTTACTCTAGAGTGAGTAATCTTTACTCAATCTTTACTGAATAACTTTCATTTGACCTATGTGTAATCACAGCAGAAGTGCTTTCTCCAGCTGAACTCTTTATTTAAATGACAGGGGTTACGCAGTATATATATGAAAGAGATGAATATCTTCATGCTCCTGCTGAAAGGAGAGAGTGCTTAGCCTGGACCTTCTTCCCACTGCCTATGGAGACCCCACATGGCCGCCTGTGGAATCCCCAGAACTACGTAGGGCACACTTTTAAATCTACTAGAGCTAAGATTTAAATGAAATTAGTAAATTACTCTCTATTGGGGAGTGGCATGTATTTGTATGGTTTAGTGTCTAGAATTACATGCTAAGAAACACTGGCAGGACTTTATTTTAAAAAATAATAAACTGTTTTCAGCTTTGGAAACTTCAAAAAATATTTAAGCACCATTTATCAGAAAAGTCAAACTATTGTTCATCTTCCCATCACTTACAGATATAATCAAGGCATTACATTTTGCAGTACCGAACTTGTTAAAAAGCCATATTTCTAAAAATCCAAGTAACCATTTTGCATATGAAGAGAATACAAAGTTCTGCTGAATGCTAATGTGACCCAGAAATAGCATTACCCTCTCCACATATTGGTTTGGCACATTCTTTTACCTTTAAGTAGAAACAGCAATCAAAGTGCTTGTAGCCATTTCTGAATCTTCTGTCAAAGTTAAAATTGCTTTGTCAATTTCATAAAATGGAAACATTTTATGAAATATTATTTTATTTCTCCTTGGCCTTATCATCATTCTTATATAATAAATATATTACTTGTCCTAATATAATTTATTTAATAATGTATATGTGCCTATAACCATAAGGCAATTCTTAGCAAGGTGTCTGGTTACAGCATATACTCAATAGGTGATCACATTTGTTGTCCTTGTTTGTAATAACTTTAGAGAGCATCAGAAGACTAGAATATGAAAACAAACGGAGCAATACAATATGCTCTACACAAAAGTAATCCTTTGCCATAAAGAGCACATTTTCGTAGACACAAAAATGGAGGTCTACCCTGCCATCTAGTGGATATATTGGGAAATAAAAAAATTTGTTTTTAAGGTTTCAAAGGAAGTTGCATTACATTTCACCAAAATGTTGCATTTTTCTTGAGCAAATAGCATCTGCTCTCTGTATTGCTTTCAGCATATTCTGTGAAGATTTATGCATGAATGAAATAAGATAATTTTCAGAAATCTTGGAAAAAGTGGGACTTGAGGATTACAGAACAGAAGCTAAAAAATTACAGTGCTTAATGAATGTTTTCACATATGGAACATCACAAAGCGAGAGTGAGAGAGGAAGGAGACAAATTGATGCCCGTATCGAGTTGTTTAAAAGAGGGAACAAATAAAAAAGAAACTACTTAGCAAATTTTTAAAGCTTAAAACCAGTCCCCAGGGTTCAAGGAATTATTCTCTAACACATGGAAAGCTTGGCAAAGACGGAAAATATCTTTTGGAAGAAATTTCAGTGTCTGGAAAGAGAAAGAAAAGGGAAGATGAAGAACATGTGATGAAAGAAAGCACAGCATTTATGAAGAATTCGGCAGCTCTGCAGCTGCTGAGAGCGGTGTCTGGCAGTGGCAGTTTTCCTTAACTTCACCTCAGAGCTGTTGGGTTTTGGTGGGAAAGAAAGCATGTTTAAAGAAAAACTTTCAATAAACTGGATGCAAAAAGTTTGCATTACCTTGTTAAAATGAAATACTATCAAAAGACTAATGTAATACCAAGCAAAGTGAATCTCCGGCCAGTTTGATGTCTCTCATGTTTCTGCTTGAGTATATGCATAAGATGTACGTGCCATAGGCCTTGACTTTAAAATGTTTGTGTGATATTGTATAAAAGATGTAGATGATAAACAAAAGAAATTTACAAATACTATTTGAGCTTTCAGAATGATGTGAGACATATTTCTACTAGCGTCCGTTGAAAATGTTCCAATGTGTTTTGCAAAATAATTTTTTAGGAGGAAAACATTGATTAAGACATAGGCTGAACTGTTAAAATTATTAATAAAACTCATCTGTTTGTTAAAAAATTAACAATAACATGGCATTGATTTTATTCAGGATGTCAAAATGTGTTTTTATGATTATGCATGTTTATAGCTTTGTCACACAAGTGACATGAATTCTCGGCAATTAAAAAGGACTTGAATTTCAAGGCACTTTAGGAAGATGATCTGCTCCTCTAGTAGCTCTGCATTTTATCAAGTTATGGTTCTGGAGTAAAGCACTGCAAATTTCAGACCTCCACCTGAAGAAACGGTAGAACCATTTCTTGTTTGTATTGTTTTACAATATTATTACCATGAGACCACAGTAGGGAACTTTACTTTGCCTACCTACCGAAGTGTTATATGTGGATATACAAATTTAAAGAAGCAGAGAAAGATTCTATTACAAAAGAAAAAAATAGTGCATGGAAAAGAAGACTGCCACATCACCCCTCATTACAGCATACAAAGAGTTATTGTGTGAATGTTCAAACTTAGTAACCTCTGCCAGTTGAGCCGCTGGCCTGTCTCTTGGGCAGTTTTTGATGGGCCTGCTAGAGCTATCCTATCAGAAGGAATGAAGAGATTAACAGGAAGAATAGCAGTTTGATATTTTAAAACTTTTGATAGCCAAGTCCATTGTGCTATTCATTCCCAGCATGTTTAGGACACTTTGCAGAATATCAGATAGGAAAATAGTTCCCCTACAGGAAGAGGGAGATCTAAAAGGTAAGGACCCTTAGTTTGGGAACAATATTCTTGGGCTGGCCAGAGGTGAGGGCAGATTGAATTCTGATCTAGCTCATTAGTGATTAGTGCTAGAGTCTTAGAGGGGAAAAAGGGGAGGTTGATAATAAATAGGAATAAAAAATAAAAGTGGAACTATTCACATTGATTTATGAAATGGAGATAATACTTTTTGAGAGCTAACAGACAGCCCCCCACTTTCTCCTATTTATAGCCTTTTGAAAGGAAGAAAATAAATGGTATTTCATGGAACAGACAAGCTGGAGGAATTGTGGTCTTGCAACAGTACAGTGGGTTCTTTAGATGGTTGTGATGACCTAGATACATTGGGCATGGCTAGAGACTTCCAGCCACCTGAGAACCAGGAAGGCAGGTGGCCTTGTAGAGCAAGCCTAAAGTCTGTGAGAAGAGGGACTCCAGAAACTTCTCTGTGACAACCTCCCATTGTCTTACAATAATGTGGCCCTGGGTGTTATAAACCTGCCATGTCATCTCTTGCCCTTAGAAACAGCTGACTGAACCAGAGGTGGACAACTAACCAATGTTTAGCCAATCGGACTCTCTTTTTCAGAAATTTAGAGTTAGAACCACTTCCAACTTGGACCTAATGCTACAAAAGTCTGGACCTCCAATATATAAACTGGAAAACTGTGCTTGATCCATGTTTTTCCATGTGGACAAAGGAGCAGAGAAAGAGTCTGCAGAGGGACAAAGGAAAACAAATGCAAAAGAGGAGTAGAGATGAGAAATACCTAAAGCTATATCTGAACAGTTTTAAATCATTCGTTCCAGTTCTTTTCTGTGCTCCACCCATATTTCTGCCCTTGGATTTTTATTAGATATCTCTACACTCTTATGATACATTCTTATTTGACTTAAGGAAGGCTAGACAAATATCTGTTACTTGCACAAAAGTTATTAATCCATACAGTAAGTTTGCCTCCACACTGTCTAAATCCAACCATTTCAGCCAGAGGAAGAAAATGTGAAAATCTGGGCTCACAACAGTCTCTTAGACTCCCGAAGAGAAACTGAAATCTGGATGTGACCTCAGGGGCTCTATTCTTTCGTGTGTTTCTTCAAAATGTCTAGATGCCCCTCCAGCAGAAAGGGTTCCCTAGTCTTGGTCTCTGTTTCTCTCCTGTAAGGCACTTTCTGATCCTCTACAAGCCCTCCCTGCCCACACACACGTACTTTATGTGGATCAAGTGCATAGAGGAGTTCCAGTACTAATACTTAAGGGGTTCTTCTGGGAGTCCATGGGTGGACCTCGATTCCGGAACAGTGGCTGATGAGCTGATGGCTTTGATTAGTCAGTGTGCTATTCCTTTCAAGTGATTATATGAGATTGGGCCACCAGAATGGTACAGAAATGTTGATTTTGGGTGACTTTCACATCAGGCACAGGATGAATTCAGGGCTCTAGGCTACTAGTGCTCCTCGGATGAGTCTTGCGTTTGCGGCGGATACATGGTTCTTCCATCAAATCTTGCCTGCCAGTGATCTGTCTGCTGTCATGCCAATGGTCTGTAGGATTCAAGGGTGTAGGGTTGATAGCAGGCCTACACTACCAAGTGTGCCTCTGCTGTAGGCACCCAGGACATTCACCTCTTGCTGTATCCAGGCCATGTATCTAGGAGTCCTTCCAGGATAGCCTTGCCTATTTCCTGCAAGGACTTTTCAGACTGTTGCTTCATAAAGCCTCCAGGCCCTTCTGATCAGTATCTTCTCTTCTTACCATAGATGTGTGACATTGGGCACTCTCAGATAAGTCTTATGCAATGCCAAGTGAGAAACAGACATTTCTTCTGCAAATGAGACTCCTCTTCTTGCTCCTGTCTTTGTTTAGTCTCCTAACTAGGGAAGTACTATGGTCTGAATGTCCCTCAAGTCATGTGTTGAAACTTAATTGATAATGTGATAGTATTAAGAGGCAAGTCCTTTAGGAAGTGATTAAGTTTTCATGAGGGTAGAGTCCTCACGAATGAGATTAAGACATTTATAAATGAGGCTTCACAAAGTGTTCAGCCATTTTTGTCCTTCAATTCCTGTCACCATGTGAGACACAGCATTCCTTCCGTCAGGAGGACATGACACTGCGAGAAGACACCATGTTGGAAGCAGAGAGCAGCCCTCTCCAGACACCAAGTCTGTTGGCACCATGACCTTGGACTTCCCAGCCTCTACAACTGTGAGAAAATAAATATATGTTGTTTATAAATTTCCCAGTCTTAGGTGTTTTGTTATAGCAACACAAATAAAGACAAGGTGGGATACAGGAGGCAGGGGTACAATCAACATTGAACCAGATCGCATTCTAAGAATAGTGATCACCCATAAGTGGGAGTTGAACAATGAGAACACATGGACACAGGGAGGGGAACAACACACACTGGGACCTCTCAGAGCATGGAGGGGCAAGGGGAGCGACAGCATCAGGACAAATAGCTAATGCATGCAGGGCTTAAAACCTAGATGACTGGGCCGGCTTCTGTGGCTCACACCTGTAATCCCAGCACTTTGGTAGGCTGAGGTGGGTGGATCACCGGAGGTTAGGAGTTTGTGACCAGCCTGACCAACATGGCTCTACTCTCTCTACTCTACTCAACCATCTCTATTAAAAATACAAAAATTAGCTGGGTGTGGTGGTTCGTAACTGTAATCCCAGCTACTCAGGAGGCTGAGGCACGAGAATTGCTTGAACCTGGGAGATGGAGGTTACAGTGAGCCGAGATCACACCACTGCACTCCAGCCTGGGCAACAAGGTGAAACTCCATTTCAAAAAATGAATAAAACAAACAAACTAACAAATAAAACAAACAAAAAAAACCCCACCTAGATCATGGGTTGATAGGTGCAGCAAACCACCACAGCACACATATGACTTTGTAACAAACCTGCACATTCTACAGGTCTCCTGAAACTTAAAGTAAAATAAAAATTAAATAAATAAATACACAAATAATTTTTTAAAAAGAATGTAGTGATCATAGCCAAAAATATTCAAGAGAAAATATGGATATAATTATATTATTCTAAGTTATGCTATAAACTTTATAAAATAGATTTAATGTGACCAGAAATGAATTAACATTCACTTACATTTGAGGGCATAGACAATAAAGTGGACTAACAAATTTTTAGTCAGTGGGAGCCAGTATCCATGGATAGCACTATGGATGGTGCATCATCATGATTAATGATGTAACCAATAATAACCAAATGGAATTAGGGAACTGTAGTGGCATGAGGAGCTATATTGTTTCCAATGCAGACAACTTCCAAAGAGCCATGGGATTGGAATAATGGCATGATACTTTTTCTTGCAGTAGGAAATACGAAATTAGCCAGAAATGGTGCATTGTTTAAAAGAGAAGAAGGGAGAAGGAGAAGGGAGAGGTGGAAGAGGAGGAGATAATGAAATAAATGGGCACAATGAAGAATCTTCATGAGCAGTGATTGGACAACAAACAAATATGTAAATACATTGTCTCTCTGCCCATTATTCTTAACCTTAATCAGTAAATTACTAAATTGCACATGGGTCCATGAATTTTGTTCTTAATAAATTATTTATACAGACAGAGACCACACAAATATATTTGTCTGGGGCCCCACACACCCTATGGGTAATCTTGAATTCTGTCAACATAGTCAGTGAATACCAACCTCGAAAATAATTTGTAGACTGTTGGTAGTTGGGTGGAGGTGCACAAAAGATTTTAATACAGAAGGTCTTCTATTTAGATAGAAAGGTCCTCAATAGATAGAAAGGAATCTAACCCTTATCACTGCTATGACCTTCCTATAGGTGTTAGTGGTTGTGGGCAGTAAGTTTAGTCTCTGCTATAGTATTGTGTATGCTGTGTTTAATCTTAAGATGTTTTGAAATACTTTACAAACATCACTCCTTCATCAGTGTCTGTTGCAAAGGGAATGAAAGTATTTAAAATGCTAGTAAAAAGAGGCAGGCAAACGATATAAAAATGGGAAGTGGTGAGAGTGTAGGAAAGTGACTGGATGTGAGATGAGACTAGAGGATCAGAACACATTTCACAATGAGCCAATATTATTTCAGGAGTGTGCTTTAAATTATGAATACCCCCAAATATGATTTGTTTCTAAGTATGAGGCCATGAAACCAAATTATCTAACCATATGGGGAGACGTGAATGGGTAAGGATAGGAGTGGGGTGGCAATAGGGATGGTTGAGTGGAGGAAGTAGGGGTCAGGCATCCCTAGGGAAATAATATCTTGCTGAAAATGGAAGCTTTTCTGGGACTACTCAGATGAATTGATATAGATTCCTCTAGTTAAACGTTTCAGCCAGTACAAGAGCCCAGAGAAGAGAGAGAAAAGCATGCTTTCAAATAAACAGAAGATTTCCATATTGAGAGAAAGAGAAAGATAGGAAAGGAGTGAAAAAGCATAAGGCAAGAGACAGGCATAGTCCTATTGCAGATCTAAAGAAACTGGACTATCCTCAGGACAATAGACAGACATTGGAAACTGTTAGCAATGTGTGTTATAAATGATCTCTCTGGTTGCAGAGTGAATGCAGGGGAACAGTTAGGAAGCTGTTCAAAGGTGGTGGCACTGACAATGAAAAATAGACTCTTAGGAGGTATATAGGAGATGGAAGTGGCAGTAGGTTTGATGAGAGAGTCTGAGGAAGAGAGAGTTCCCAGGGATGCTCCCAGGCTTAGCTGCTAAAAGCGCAGCAACACAATTTCCTGAAGGGCAATTATATAGGTGAGGCTGAAGGTGGAGAGGGGGTGGCTCATTGGGAACAGAATAAATTGAGTGCAGGTTGAATATTAGGAGCTTGAGGGGCTTCTGAATGGGAGATGACAGTAGGAAGTTGAAGTTATGTAACTGGAGGATTCATTATGAACTTGGTCTGTTTCCCCAAGGGCAAAAGCATGTTGTTTGTCTCCATTTTCCATCTAGAGAGCAGAACATTGAACCTGGACACATGCTTTCTCAGTTTAAAAATGGCTTCCAAATGCAAAGGAGCAGAAATGCAGTAGTAGCTGATACATACCAAATACAAAGGTCACTTACTTTACAAATTCATTTTGCACCAGGCTGTGCCTCAAAACATAATTCAGAAACTTCAGACATCATGAGCAGAGAAGTTTTACCCAAGAGTGTTCCTCTTGAACTGACAGGAAAGATAAATGACCTTGCTCTTTACAAGCATGGAAGTGTGCTTTCAATGTTTACACAGTGGTGGTGTTCATCTCTATTATCTATGTGTTTTAATATAGCCATTTAGCTGTGAAAATAACCACACAGAAGTGCCAATATAAAATTGATACATTTTTTAATTTATTGAAACACTTGCCCATTTCCAGATGTCTTCCTGTATTTTTGACCTGTTTTATAATCTTGTTGAGGAGGTGTATTCATGCTCAGAGAAACATTGGCTTGAGGAAGAGTGGGGGGTAGCTCAGAAAGGAGAATTTCCCGAAAACCTGTGCATTATCAACATGATTTGGTAAGGTTGTTTGATTTTGAGTTTTTCTTTTCTATTTCTTAATTTAAATGTTAAACATTTAAATCACTTTAAGTCTATAATAGATATCCACAAATATTAACCATTTTATTAATTTAGTAATTCAAGTGCCCTGGAAGACATATGTTCAGATTATCTTAAGAGTTTTCATATTTCAATACATAAGAGGTTAAAAAAAAAGCCTACCAAACTAACACATAAATCTGAGAAGTCTAGTTGTAGGTGTCATGTTTACGTTGCTTTATCTTGGCCTTTGTATAGCTGTGAAAAATGAAGTGTGAACTTTGATGCTTCTGCACGTTACAATCTTTCCAATTCAAATTCAGAGGGGGAATAAAGAGAGAAGGGAACTAATACTATGAAACTGACTATGTCCCAGGGACGTTTGTTTACTTGAGTTTATTACAACAGTACATTGAGCAGGACATTTCTAATCTCATTTTTAGATAAGGAAACTGAATCTCAGAAGAGACATTTGCCAAGAGTCACCTTGCTACGTAAAGGGTAGTAGCACTGGGATCTCCTGTTTTTTGGAAAACTGGCCTGTTTCAAAGTTCAGTTTGATTAAGTGGCACTAAGCATAAGTGACTCCATTCTGGCTTGGTCCATTCTGGTCTACTGGGGCTGAGTGCAGGAGGCTAGTTTAAACCAATGGCCTCCTATAAACTTTAACAACGATTATGTTTCAACTTATACATCTTTTTTAGTGTCTACTGACAAATGACTAACAGAGTGTTACTTTCCTATCTATGTTTTTAAGGTGACTACACCAAACTCTGCAATATTGAAGTGCTTTCTAGATATGCTTGAGAGAGATCTAATAGATAAAGTGTAATAGGAGAGTAGATGAATGGAGTCATTTTCTAAAAAAAGATCAGAAAAATGTAAGTTAAATAACCTTGGTTCAGAGACAAGGGAATGCAGTGAAGGAGATCATGATTCTGATTGAGGGCAACTATCAGTGGATTACAGGAAGAAAGAGAATGCCTGTTTTACCGAGCTTTTAATTTTTAATCAGTTTTATTGAGGTATAGTTTACTTGATACTTTGTCATACTGACTTCCTCTTCCAAGGACAGTGTTTCTTTTACATTCTCCCCTCCACTGCAGAGGGAAGCAGCCTAAATCATTTCTTAAGAAAGAGTGGGTCACTGCTTTTGGACTGGTGGTTTAAAGTGTAGTCACTGGAATAAAGACATAAGCATCAGCTGGAGGCCTCTGAGAAATGCAAATACCCAAACCCCACTCATAGACCTCCTAATTGAAAACTGTGAGGGGTGGGGGCCAGCAATCTGTCTTTTAACAACCCCTCCAGGTGATTCTGATGCACTATCAATTTTAACAACTCCTGCACTGGCAGCTGGCCTTTGACAAGGCTTAGCCAATCTGGAGATGGGCCACAGGAGGGTATATTGCCCAACTTGTCCCGCAGATGCATCATTACTTAGCAAAGCTATTCTCAGCTTCCCAATTTGGGTTCAGAAAACTAGAAGAAATCAACCAGCCATTGGCAGAAAGACAAAGACATTTAGATTGAAGTAGAAAACAAAGGTACAGTAGAGTCATGCCAATAACAGGCCCCTAAAATTCCTGTTGATGAAAGAGTGAGATTGTGTTTCTTCCACATTACTACTTCCATATTCTTATGTCAAGCTTCCATTTCATGGGGTATCTCACAACCAAAATAGTTAAAGCCTCTTGTTCTCTGCAATTTAGAATCTACTTAGAAACAAGTGTTAGTAATTGTTTGAGCCAAGAAGATGGAGAAGGAGCAAAGAAGCAGTGTTCATCTGTATACTGAGAAAATAATGATACAGTGTCCAGAGGGCTCAGATGAACAAAAGCAGTCATTTTGTCTTCTGCCCAACAAGTGAAAAAACATTACAAATCTTAATAACTATGTCGACTAATAATAAATAATATGTATTATGCACTCCCTGGGTTCAGGTTGCTCTTTTATGTGTGTGCACATGTGTTTGTATGTATATACATAAATGTATAGTTTATACGTAAAATACCTCAATTCACTTAAGTCACATAATAATCCATGCATGTTTGGATTAACGCTATACTTGCTTTATAGATTATAGATAATAGCGTTAAGGTAAAGGAAAATTAATTAACTGTCCTGAGTATACACACATAATCTGTTAGACGGTAAGGATTTGGACCACAGCAGCCTGGCACCAGAGCCTGTGCTATCAACTATAAAGCTATATTGCTTCTTGATGGAAGTTATTAAAATTAATCCTCCTGGTTTGGGATTCTATAAACTGCCTGTTTGTCTCTATGGCAACCATATTCAAAGCCTTCAGCTTCTAGACTCTCATGTGAAATCCCTACTAACCATAAGAACCACATGGCTCCTGTGTGTCCCACAAAACATATGCATATGATTAGATTTTATATATGACTCTTAACATCTTCCTCAAATAAATGTTCAATACTGTGAGCACTGGTTTTAGTTCATACATGAATTGTTTACATTTGATTTCCTAGTTATCAGCCTGAACAAACAAGTGAGGAAGGGAAGAAAGCGTGCACTGTCCTCCTCTTTCTAGGTCTTGAATGTATTCAAAAGTTTCATGGTTGGCCACAGGGTGAAACCTTGGAGGTCTTCCTAAAAAGTGTGGGGGAGGCCCTCAAATCCATAAAGGCAGTCAGCATGCTCCTGAATCAACTCTCAGAAAAGCACCTTCTAAGCTATTAATGATTAACATTTATGGGTATTGTTTTTTACATGCACATCCTAGTTTTGGGGGAAAATACTTACACACGTTAATTTTATGTTTTAATTCAAACCGCAAATGGCACAATGTTACATAGTAACTCAGTAGTAGAGCAGGGACTAGGGGACAAGAATTGTTCCTTTTCTTTTCTTTTTCTATTTCAGTCTTTACTGATCACCTGACATGCCAGCGACTACAACTATACAGGGCACACAGAAAAAAAAAATGCAACCCCTGTTCATCATCACCCCATCATTTACAATCTCTGATGTGATTGTAGCATCATCACTCTGCTTGGTTGGGCCTGTGAGCAGGAGTTACATAACTCAGAGCAGCAGCAATCACCAGGGCCCTGGGAGGGTAGATTTGCCTGCATCCTCTACTCACCCAGAGCCATGCAGCAAGGGCTGGATGGCTGCTAGCCCCAGAAAACCTTAGCAGACTGTGAGGCTCAATCCAGTTTTGAAAAGCGGTAAAGAATGCACCCATTGGGCCGGGCGGGGTGGCTGACACCTGTAATCCCAGCACTTTGGGAGGCCAAGGTGGGCGGATCAAGGCCGAGATCAAGAGATGGAGACTATCCTGGCCAACATGGTGAAACCCCATCTCTACTAAAAATACAACAATTAGCTGTGCATGGTGGCGTGCGCCTGTATTCCCAGCTACTTGGGAGGCTGAGGCAGGAGAATCACTTGAAACCCGGGAGGCAGAGGTTGCAGTGAGCCGAGATAGCACCACTGCACTCCAGCCTGGGCAACAGAGCAAGACTCCATCTCAAAAAAAAAAAAAAATGCATCCATCAGGAACGTTGTCTTTACCAATCCCTAGCCTCCACCCTTGGTTGCCCTGGAATTTTCTTCCATCAATCCCTCTGCTTAGTATGAGGTAAAAGGCTGAATGTATTTCAGCTATAATCAGAGGCACTAGGAAAACTGTGTGTGTGTGTCCATGAACACTCCCAGGTACATGTATGTGGGTTGGCAAATGACCTGAGGGAATATCAGGGAGGGAAGTAAAGCAATTTAAAGTACAGATGAAAGGAACTGAGGATGAGTGCACGGTTCCTGGCTCAAGATATGCTTCTCAGAAGTTTTGTAGAGTATTTAAAAGCCCTTCCTGACTTGTCAGGTAACCCACATTTTCCTAATGGTCTGAGCTAGTGGAAATGGAATGTGCTTTTTCGATAGGCTGCTCAATCTAAATCTCTGAGTATCTTCTGATTTGTCTGGTAAGCAAAATGTATGACTTCAGAAATCTTAATTGGCATTTAACGAATGACTTTTCAGCTTAAATGTTAGTCTTGCGTAATTACAACTCTTCAAGTAAAAATATGGTATTCTGGTAAAGAAATTTAATGTCTCAAAGAGGAATAGTTTCCAAATAAAAAGCTGCAGAGAACTTAAAACTACGATCATGAGATCACTGCTTTGTATAATTTATATGATACAATCATTAGATTCGTTTCCTTTATAAGTTACTTCAGACATAATACTAGAAATTATATAGACTTGCTAATGGATTCCCTTTTTAGAAAATGCTATCATATATTAATACATCTCTCTACTTCCTTATTATTAAAACATAATCCCCATTTATTTCCATTTAGAATAATCAAACAAATCAAAAGCATGATACTAAGCACTATAGTAGTAAGGTTGCATAAAAAGAAAAATGACTAAAACCACAAATCTACTGAATAATAATACTTAAGTAGAATAGTGTTATTTTATAATTTTATTAAATGAATTTAAATAAAAACAATGGTTTGTGCAGAAAGCTAAATGCTAGATTTAAAACCATAATATCAACTGGGAAAATGCCACTAGGTGGAGCCCATGGTTTCTAAGATTTTTGATAGTCTCCTCAAGTAGTCCTGGGGTAAGTATTTTCTAGCTGTTGAGTCACAGTGTTGTTAACTGTTAGGGAGAGACATTAGCTTGATATATAGGACGATCCTTTGGTTACGATTAGGAAATGGGGAAATTCGAGAATGGGGTAATCATTTTTCCTTCTGTACAAGTTTATAAAAGAATGCAAGTACAATCAGCCCATTTCTGGAAACTAACAGTAATTTAAACTGACTTTCTGAAAAAGAACAATCAATAATTTAATAATACTATGGCAAAGAAAGCTAGCTCTTTGGCAGAACTGTTGAAATGCAGTTTTCTCTTATTAGTGGGTATTAAATATCCACTTTAAGAGAAGTTTAAAAGAAAATTAGAACAAAAAAACATTTTAAGATATACTTGTAAGTCAAGCACATGGCAAATAAAAGAAACGCATTTTAAAAATTATTTAGATTGCATTCATCAGGCAGTTACAATCTGTTAAGTACATTCCGGAAAAAAATGTGAATATAGGACAATTGTACTCTAGTAGCTATTCTAAGGGGGCAAAGAAATAGCTTTGCTTACAGATGATACACAGTTCAGCCTATTAAAAATAATATTAAATTACTGATTTCACAGTCATTCTTCTTCATTAAATTTAGTTTTTTTAAATGTAAAGCTTTTAGGTATCATTAACATTAATAAACTACTTATTTAAGTCATATAATTTGATAAGTTTCACATACATAACTGCAACAAAATTTGTGCTCCCTTAAAACTTTTCTTGTGCTCCTTTGTAATACCTCCCCTCCCCATTATTCTCTGTTTTCTCTCTCCCTGAAGTGACCGCTAATCTGTTTTCTGTCACTGTAAGTTAGTTCATATTTTCTATCTGGATTCATACAATATGAACACTGTTTTTGGTGAGGGTGCGTCTAGCGCTTCTCCCTTTCAATAATCATTTTGAGATTCATCTACATTGTTCTATGTATGAGTTCATTCCTTTTGATTGCTGAGTGATATTCCAAGGTTTGGATATGCCATAGTTTATCTATTTTTCTATTGATGGGGATTTATGGGTTTTTTTCCAGCTTGGGATTATTACAAATAAAGACTCTATGAACATTTGTGTACTAATCTCTGTAGAGATGTGTATTTCCTTTTATCTTGAGTATAAGCTAAGAGGGTAAGGGCTGGTAAAGGGGAATTGTCATATGACAAGTGTCTGCTTAACTTTTTAGGAAACCGGCATGCTGTTTTCAAAATTGGTTATACCACTTCTTCCTTTGTATGTAATAAAGTACATATCTCTGTTTTATGGATATTAATGAAAGTAATGAATATCATTGAGTTGCTTAAATTAGGAAAAAATAAAACAAAACAAACTTTGACTTTCTTCTACTTAAGAATACACTATCCTGGACCACAGTGTCAAATTTGTCTCCTATGTGCTCTAGAGGAACAAAGATAAAACCATAGTCACTACCTTTAAACTACTTGCATACATTAAATAACTTAAAACATCATTGGGTAAGTTAACGAGAAGAAGAAAGAAACAAATAAGATTTTTAGTTCATCAACATATGAACAGGATGAAACAACTTAGAATTGTAAACCTTATAATTTTGTTGCTCTAGGTTATGATAGATGCACAGCTCAAAATTTAGAATAGTATCTGCTTCAATGTTCTACCCTAAATTCAGGCCATGTGTTCTTATTTTACATTAAAAAATGTACTCACTATTTCCAGCAGAACAATTTCTCATAAAACTTCTCAAGCATATTACTTTTCCAGTAATAAGAGTGCTTGCTATACTTTTAGTATGTTTTGGTCTTTATTCAAATAAATTAAGTTGGCCATAGTTTAAGTTGTACTATATTATCTTTTTGGAAAACATAGCCCATGTTTTTAATTTAATGAAATTACACCACAGGAAGAAGGTGTCAGTTAAACGTTTTGAAAATATTTCCTTACCAGATGTATGATTTCATATAAACTGCCTAATTGTCTATTTCTGTATTTGTAAAGAGGACTAACACTTCTGTATACCTTTTTGTGAGAATAAGAAAATTAAAACTTATAAAGTACTTAAGTACTCAATAAATATTAACTTTTATTATTTTACTATTTCTAAAGCCTTCCAAATATAGAAGATAGTGGTAGATAAGTCTGTATTAGGAAGAACAAAAACACCTAGACAGAAATTTGTTCAGAAACCTTGTCTTGTTTTCATATCTGTGGATTCCTGTGAAGACCATCCCTCTACCCCCCTTAAAATAGTAAAACTTTTGTACATCCTTAGGTTTCCAATGACTAGAACTGTTTCTTAGATTGTCAAACAACTTCTGCGATTTGATAGTTTCTGAAATCCAAATGTGCTTCCTGACCTATTGTAATAAGTTTGTTTAGTACTGCGCTTTGCAAATCCCCTGAAAAATGAACGCTATGCATGTTCAATGAAATATATTTAACTCTATGTAGTTTAGGATTTACTTAAATGACCAACTAGGCTTTATTTCATCAGACACAATTTTTTCAGTGACAGTGAAACCATGCATAATAATTCCTTTCAGTTTCAAACCTATTAGATTAATAGATAAAATATGTATTTAAATAATAACACTGTACTTATATAAATAAATAAAATGCTCAAAGCAAATAAAAAGTAGCTGTGGCCCAGGAACAAATGGAAAGCCCCTGTTGGTAGCTGAGACCCAATACATATGGTCACCCAAAGCTAATTTTGAATGCAAGTGTGTCTGGTACTGCAGACTCAACAAGGAGCTGTGGGTGGAACTCCCACCTCACCTAGTCTGGGGGCAGAGCTGGACTTCAGCCAGACCTGAATGAAGTCTGCGGGCCATCAATACTGCAAGTCCTACTATTTTTAAAATATAAAATAACCTAATATTACCACATCAATTTTGCCACTGCAATTGAATTCCATTTTAAGATGATGTCAGAGCACAAGATGAACATCCAAATGAAGACTATTCCATATTAATGTGAGAAAGGCATTCTAGTGTATAGTGAATAACACAGACTGTAGAGTCAGATTGTCAAGGATTGAATTCCAGAACTGCCCACTTCTGTATGTGACTTCTGGCCTCAGTTTCCTCCTTTGTAAAATATTAATTACAACAGTGCCTACAATGTAGATTTGTGTGAGGATAAAATGAGTGGGTACTTTGAACTCAACCCATTGCAAATACTGTGGAAGGTTTGTTATTATTAGTAAAAAAAAAGTGCTCACCCATTATATGTGAAGCATCTTCTACAGGTTAAGCTTTTGGGAAATTGATGATGACAAACAATACCTATTTGGCCACTTGCATATTTAATTTTAAATATTCTCCCTCTATTTTTCTCCCTAGACTTCCATTCTTATTTTTGAATACTTAGGTATGATAATGACCCTGAATTGAAGTCTCAACAAAAGTATCACCTTTCAATGTTAGCTGAGAAAGTTTATGCATAACTGTTACTCCTTTGGAAAACAGATTTCTCCTGGGTGGAATTCATTAGCTCTATCAAATTGTGAGAAATTAAGAGTCCAAGTCTGTAAATGGGCTTTGTTTTTTCTAAAACTTGTTTTGCTTGTACTCTTTTGTAGGTGGAATCATTATTCACCTAGTTCTTCATGCTGAAGATCCAGATGTTTTCCTTACGCCTTCCTTCTTCCTCACCACCCCTCCCCTGTATACGATTACCCCATTTTACTTCTTTGAACCCTCTTTTTAATATTATCGCTATCCTTGTAGACTTCCTTGTCTTTGCTTAGATAGCCAATGCTCCCAGCCACCTCACTGGGCTCTCTGCCAGCTGCCCTGACCTTGCAGCCATCTGCCTTCCAGCTGCTAGAAGAAGCCTCCAGCTGCTAGAAGAACATAGACAAGAGTTCAAAATATATAAAGAATTTGTATGTTAACACTATTTCTATATTTTAAATGAAAAAATAGTGTTAATAGCATGATAAACTGTGTGTGTGTGTGTGTGTGTGTTGTGGGGAGTGGAGAGTGTGTGTTATGGGGAGTGGAGAATAATGAAAAGGTCCAATCATTCATAAGTGCTGAAACAGTCTGTGACTGTGTTCCATTTTCCACCAGTATTTACCCCATCAGGAGATCCAGAGAGTATTAGGCAGAACTCCCTGGTTCAGTAACCATTTAGGTACATCATTTTACAAACTAATGAAAATCAGTCTTCTCCCTCTCTTCTCCCTGTAGGCCTTTTCCTTGTGTTATTAACCGTAAAGTAGGATGGTATAACTTCAAGCTAAGGAGAAGGGAAAGGGATTTATAAAGGTTTATAAAGGGCACCGGAAAAATTTGATTCTGTGTGTCACAGAGCAAGGCAATGTAAAAAGCCTATAATTAAGCATGTTTTGTCATTTCATATTAACTTGTAAGAAGTTCTAGAATTGCTTCCTACTTGCTTCATTCTTCTGTTTTTTTTTTTTTTTTTGACTATGTCTCACCCTGTCGCCCAGGCTGGAGTGTTTTGGCGCGATCTCGGCTCACTGCAAGCTCCGCCTCCCGGGTTCAACGCCATTCTCCCGCCTCAGCCTCCCGAGTAGCTGGGACTATAGGCAATTCATTCTCCTTTCTACAAGACAGCGTTAACTTACCATGTTACTGAGAGGTGACAGTGTGCTGGCAGTCCTCACAGCCCTCGCTGGCTCTGGGCGTCTCCTCTGCCTGGGCTCCCGCTTTGGCGGCACTTGAGGAGCCCCTTCAGCCCGCCGTTGCACTGTGGGAGCGCCTTGCTGGGCTGGCCAAGGCCGGAGCCGGCTCCCTCAGCTTCCGGGGAGGTGTGGAGGGAGAGGCACGGGCGGGAACCGGGGTTGCGCGCGGTGCTTGCGAGCCAGCGCGAGTTCCGGGTGGGCGTGGGCTCGGCGGACCCCGCACTCGGAGCAGCCGGCCGGCCCCACTGGCCCGGGCAGTGAGGGGCTTAGCACCTGGGCCAGCAGCTGCTGTGCTCAATTTGTCGCCGGGCCTTAGCTGCCTTCCAGAGGGGCAGGGCTCGGGACCTGCAGCCCGCCATGCCTGAGCCTCCCCACCCCCTCGGTGGGCTCCTGTGCGGCCCCAAGCCTCCCCAAGGAGTGCCGCCCCCTGCTCCACGGCACCCAGTCCCATTGACCACCCAAGGGCTGAGGAGTGCGGGCACACGGCACGGGACTGGCAGGCAGCTCTACCTGCAGCCCTGGTGCGGGATCCACTGGGTGAAGCCACCTGGGCTCCTGAGTCTGGTGGGGACTTGGAGAACCTTTATGTCTACCTAAGGGATTGTAAATACACCAATCGGCACTCTGTATCTAGCTCAAGGTTTGTAAACACACCAGTCAGCACCCTGTGTCTACCTCAGGGTTTGTGAATGCACCAGTGGACACTCTGTATCTAGCTAATCTGGTGGAGACTTGGAGAACCTTTGTGTTGACACTCTGTATCTAGCTAATCTGGTGGGGAGGTGGAGAACCTTTGTGTCTAGCTCAGGGATTGTAAATGCACCAATCAGCGCCCTGTCAAAACAGACCACTCGGCTCTACCAATCAGCAGGATGTGGGTGGGGCCAGATAAGAGAATAAAAGCAGACTGCCCGAGCCAGCAATGGCAACCCGCTAGGGTCCCCTTCCACACTGTGGAACGTTCGTTCTTTCGCTCTTTGCAATAAATCTTGCTGCTGCTCACTTTTTGGGTCCACGCTGCCTTTATGAGCTGTAACACTCACCGCAAAGGTCTGCAGCTTCACTCCTGAGCCAGTGAGACCACGAACCCACCAGAAGGAAGAAACTCCGAACACATACGAACATCAGAAGGCACAAACTCCAGACACGCCGCTTTTAAGAACTGTAACACTCACCGCGAGGTGCCGCAGCTTCATTCTTGAAGTCGGTGAGACCAAGAACCCACCAATTCCGGACACATTACTTTCTATTTTTATTATTTGTCTATGTCTCTTGCTGTTTTCTTGCTCCTTGGCACATAGTAGGTACTCCTTTCAATTATTAAGTAAGTGAATAGACAAATTAAATGCATGAGTGATTTAGTAACCCAATTGATCTCCGAAGGTATGTCTTTGGGAAGAAGAAATTAAACAGCCAAATGCTATACTAGCATTCATTTCAGACAACAAACTAAATGAAATGGCAAAAATATATTCAGAATTATCCCAATGTAGTTTTACTGCAAACTCTAAGTTTGCTCACACTTCCTTCTTTTGGTTTCTTTAACCCAAACAACTAATCGTTATTCTCAGAGTTGGGGTAAAATGAGAAAGCAAGTACTTAGATGTTAAATTCTACCATCAATTACTTCAGTTTTTGTTTTTTTGACACAGAGTCTTGCTCTGTCGCCCAGGCTGGAGTGCAGTGGCACAATCTTTGCCTTCACTGCAAGCTCCGCCTCCTGGGTTCACACCATTCTCCTGCCTCAGCCTCCCAAGTAGCTGGGACTACAGGCGCCCACCACCACGCCCTGCTAATTTTTTGTATTTTTAGTAGAGACGGAGTTTCTCCGTGTTAGCCAGGATAAGTCTCAATCTCCTAACCTTGTGACCCACCCGCCTCGGCCTCCCAAAGTGCTGGGATTACAGGCATGAGCCACCGTGCCTGGCCAAAATTCCAGAGCTTTTAAATTTATATCAAATTAAAATCACACCATCAAAATTTTCATGTTCAATTCAAACTATCAATGGCCTATATCAATGTAAGATAGATTATAACTTCAATTGACTTTGGCTCAAGTTTTAAAATAATGGACTGTTGCTCATTATGTGATAATGTTTATTTGTTTCTATGTAACTGAAGCAATTATTAGCTTTTGGGAATTTATGAGATCTTTGTTTGCATACATCTAACAATATGCATTTTTCTTGTCAAATGTTTGGTGTTTGATTTTTTTTGTCTTCTACATAATCCACTAACCTGGTTGGAATATATAGTGATGTATATATTCAATAAACAGTTGAAGTGCTGTGGATGACATTGTATATTTTGAATTACTCCTTCATAAGATGTTAACAAAAGTTATGCATGTTCATGAAAACTTCCAACATTTTTCTTTGTTTTTTTAATAAGAAAATAAATTATGTTACTAGTTGCACTGAGAAATTTATTTATATTCTACTTCTTTGAAGGATTAGAAGGTTTATTTGAGTCAATGCATTGATACATGTGTATTTCTCTTCTCAGTAAATGTATTATGAAGGACTAGAAATTCATAAATTTACACGTAATTTTGAAAAAATATTACTAATGTTTTAAGTAGTTCAAATAAATGACTAAGGACAAAAAATACTTCCACTTTTTTACATAAGTAATTCACCTGAAGGACACATAATTTGCTTGAAAATGTACCATCATATCCTAGACTAAGGCTGCAGTTGTATTAAATGCTCATTCTAGTCCCATTAAATCCTGATATTCTAAGAATTTATGAGCATTATATCTGGAAAATCTCAATAAAATATATTCAAGCAGGACAGGCATATATGGGATTTTCACTCATTTCACCATATTTCTAATTAAATAATTTCTCCATGTTGAAATACTTATTTATCTGTTTGAAATTTGTCTCTCTGGACCTTCTAGATCTCGGGTGTTTTTTTCCACATTCAGATTCCGTCTATCTCTGTACTCTGCTGTCACTATGTGTTCATTTGCCAGCTTCTTGCAAAGGGCTGTATACCTCTATTCCTTACCACTATCACCACCAATTACTCTATCTTCAGCCACATTGAACCAGTTTACATTCTTCGATCATGGCAATTTTACCCCAGGCTTCTGCCCAAATTTTTCCTTCTTCCCTTCTCTTCTTTTTTTGTGGACAACTCCTACTAACTCTTCAATTTTCAGCTTAGACACCAAATAATACATAGACTTACTTTGCAACTCATTTGTAATAAAACTCTAAATAGCGACTTAATCATTCTCCAC
This sequence comes from Homo sapiens, assembly GCF_000001405.40. Lineage (NCBI taxonomy): Eukaryota > Metazoa > Chordata > Mammalia > Primates > Hominidae > Homo > Homo sapiens. The sequence goes on from NC_000004.12 coordinate 124,342,169, forward strand.
TCTTAGTTGTTTTTATTTTTATTTGCTCAATCATTCATTTTTTATATTATAAATATAATTGTGTACCTGCCATGTAACAAGCAGTCTGGCAATGGGGTTCGTGGCTTGTGCATTCTGAAAATAATTAATAGAGATACGTACAAAATGTTAGAACAATTCTAAATAACTAGAAAGTAGCTGTACTTGGGAAGTGCAAGGACAATTCTCCAATTACTTCATGAGGGCAAAAATTTTTCTCTTCTTCAATCACTGAATCCCCAGTGCACAGAATAATTCCCAACATCTCATAGCTTACTAAATCTCTTAAATAATGGGATAGTCATTCAGGAGTAAAAGGAGGAAGTCAGATGATTTCCAAATTAACACATAAACTACTTTGTAGGTATTCATTAAAAAATAAGTTAAAAATAATTTAATTTAATTGTACAGATGTTTGAGGCAAAGGTGTGTTATCAGTTTAAGACACCTAGATAGTTCTCCACTTCATGACAGAACCAACTTCCCCTTTTTATAACATAGATTATGGGTCTATATTATAAAAATAAGGGTTATACCTGATAATATTGATGCTGTTTTCTATCCTGAACTTCAAATCTCTGCGAAAAGAAAAACATTTCTAATACTCTATTCATCAAAACAATCCCATGTTAACTATTACCATAAAATCATTATCAGGTTAATTTGAATAGTGTAAGAGTGAATTATAAGCTGTGAGTCTTAAATTACATAATCTAGAAGATTGTTTTATAAGAAGAAAACTAGAGAAAAGAGCATCCAAAGCTACCAAATGCACATGTATACTCACATATATACACACAAATACATACAAATGTATGTATCAGTATGTAAAGATTAATAGTCAATAGTCAACATAATTGTTATTTTAATTGTTCAAATTCATACCTCTAGAGCGTGGCACAGAGTCTAAGTAACTTCTCCATGGTTACGTAATTAGTGAGTGGCAGAGATATTTGACTTGCTGACTCCTAGTTCTGTATTACTTTTACTATACTCTGCTAGCCCAAGGTCCCTGGAGAATTTGCTGCATACATCTACTCTGTGCAGTCAAGGTGGATAGCACTCACTGATATTTGTAGGCTGAGGTCTGGTGAATTCTTCTACATCTCTGTATTGGGGTCTGGCATTTCTACTGCTCAGAAGCCTTCTAAGCTTCAGGTTAAGCTTTGAAAGTTCAGTAATTAGGGTTCTTGATCAGTAAGCAATCAGTAGAGTAGAAGTATAGAGGTTGGCAAAAATTAAGAGACTTTTTTATTTCCATGCTTTTTTCTCTACTCCCTGACCCAACCTGCCTCACTGTTAAAAACTTTTAAAGAGTGTTTAAGTACTCATTAAATCTTGCTGGGAAATTTCTAGCAAGAATTATAGCATGGACCACCCCTTGTCTACAACCACAAGTTTAGAGCTGGGAGATTGAACATTTTCTGGCTGAAACAATTCATTGCTTTTTGTCCTGAATGTAAACTTGGCTCAGGAAAAAAAGGTGGGAGCTTTCTTTTCCCGCATGCTTGAGACTTCATATTCCCAGAAGTGAGGAGAGAAAAGAGTAATGTATCAGGGAGATAGTGTAAAAACACATTACTGTATTAAACATGAGCTGGAGTTCAGGGATATATTTTGTGGGTTTTGTTTCACCATCTTGAAATGAACAAGCATAGTTTTATTCTAACAATGCACATATGTTTGTACTTGGTATATTGAAATGATTATTAAGAACATTTGGTTGAAGGGACTGAGGGCTTCACAAAGACAGTGAGAAGTTCAAGTGAACATCAGATAATTATATTAGGAATTTTGTTGAATGAGTCTTATTTATGTGAGTTTCACAAGATAGTTAAAAGTACAAAAAGCTTTCCCAAGTGCATTTTCTCAAGGTTTCTTGAGATCAAATTCCAACAGCATGTCCTTTGTTTATGTCCATTTCCAAGCAAATTGCCAGGTGTTTCAACGTCCTTAAGGAAGTATAATTCACGTGGGGATGTGTGTGAACTCTTCTTTAGCTATTTTATGTTTAAGATGTACATGGTTTTATTTGTTATTTCCCCCATTGTTTTTATTAAGATTCTAATAATGTGTTTGGGAAAATGAATATGTCTGTTTCTCTTTCCACAAGCAAATCCAGTTTGTGGGTAATTTTTGAATCGTTCTCTCCCATTATTCAATAAATTATACTGTATTTTAACATGAGACAGAACATTGGAGGAATGTTTCTTTTACAGGGAAAATAATATAACAGAAGAAAGAGAATCTCATGGCTCTAATGCTTGGACTTTTAATTTCTCATTAGCTTATCAGATGGTAACTACTTTCTGTTTAACATGTTAGGCCTGTCAGCAGACAACATGATAATCTTTAAATATTATTAAAGTATTTTCAATACTAAGCAGAATGTACCAATTACAGGCGTGAAGTGATTTATGAAAATAGATGTAAGGGTGAAAATTGAGCTTTTTAATGGGTGGTAGATTATCTTATTTCAAGTGTTGGGAAGTTTCCACAATTAAAGAGAAAAGTGTTTATAATAGAAGATAGAAATCTTGTCTGAGTGGAGTAAATATTCTTGAGTTTCAAGTTATAATCCCTTTTCTCGCTTTTGAAATTACTGGCAAAAGAACTTAGTGTGAAATTTAACTTATACTAGCTCAATTAATATTTCTAACTCATTATTGTGGCCTTTCAAATAATCATTTCACTGACCACCACCATTATTAACCTCTCCATTTTATTAACTTCATGTTATTGAAGTCTCCTATCTTCTCTTCATCATCGTGAGTGTTTTCAATGACATCATGGTCTTTCCCGCACATTGGAGACTCTTCACTCTCAATTCACCACCACCCTCTCCTCCCGACCTCATCTTAGATGACTTTAGTGCCATTATTCATAAGATATTTACAATTATAACTAAAAATATATTTTATAATAACTATCTCCATTCCCCTAATCATATCCTAACTTAGTTATTACACTGGGAAAAAGAAAATTGGAAATACTACTATCTGATAACAGCAGGGGTATCCTGTAGCAACTGGTATTTGAGGTAGGGAAATAGAAAAGTAAGGGCCTGATTTATAATGTTTGCTGATTATCATGTGGCAAATACTTGCACTGGGGCTAATTGCAAGTTATCACCATAATGTCACTGACTACAGAGGTGGGATGACAGGTCCACAATCAGCTCTCTTTAGCTGGTACAGACTGGCTTCAGCACACCATTGGATCATAGATTCATATTTCTACATTTCTCTTGGCATTTTGTTTTGTTTTCCCAACCCCAAGTTCCTTAAATATCTCTTAGTTGATCTCCTAACTTACTTTTCTTCTGTATTAAATCTTATTGGCGATTATTTCAAATACAATTCCCAAAAGAATCAAATTCTCCAGCTCCTACCTTTGTACTACACATACCCTTCAAAGCTGATCTGATCTAGGATCTCTCTTCCCTTGCACCACCAATTCTCCCATTCCTTTGCCCTGACAGTAATGGACTCTGGAGAAAATCGTTCATCTGCATATTAAGATTGCATCTTAGTGCACACTGTCTACATTTTGGTGAGTCTTTAGTACTTTTTACCATTCCTTTTTGTTATGCCAATCAGTTCCTTCTATTATTCCCCATAAGAGCTCTCTCAGCCCTTCATCAGTCTCTGTAGGTCTCTCACTTTAGACCTTTCAGTGAAATTCTTTCTTGAAAGACAGACAGCCCATGAATGATGTTCTTCCTCCCAATTTTACTTTTGTTCCTATTTACTCTGCCCTTCCTACTTTCTAGCTGCCTTAGGAAGCAATAAATAAATCTTCCTTTTCAAAACTCAATCCTTATTTTTGCTTTTTTGAGAGAATCTCACCTTATGTTCTTTATGTGCCTCAATCCATCATTACTCCACTTTCCCCAGAATATTTTTCAATCCCCCTCTTCCTGCTCTTATCCTCCCCTTGGCCTAAAACCTGATGGAACTATTCCTTGCCTTGAAACTGAAACAAACAAAATTCCTTTCTCAACATGTTTCACATAAAACCACCAAATGTTACTTCTGTCTCTCATGTTGACCTATAAAAATTTTTTCTGCCTTGGGTTTGTTTTTCTCTTCATCTCTTATTCTTTTCTTTCCTCATGGGAATATAAAATCTATGGATTTGTAGGACAATAAAGTTCAGAAAGCCTGCCACTATATCTTTCTTGTTCGTAGTACTTTGCAGTATGCATAGGCAGTAGATATTCATTAGATAAATATATGCCATGATGCCATCATCTCTCCTGAAACTGCTCTCACTTAGGTTATCAACGACTTTTTGTCAAAACTGTCAAAATCTGTATAGCTTTCTGCAGCATGAAAACCTTCTGGAAACTTTTCCTTCTCAAAACCCTTTTCTTTCTTGATTTCCTTATCCATACTCCATTTGTGGTTTCCCCCTGTCTTTCTGAGCACCCTGTCTTTTTTATTGGCAAGTTTTCTTCTGGCTACTCCATATTATTTTGATGAGCATCAGTGTTTTTTCCTTTCTTGGTTTTCATCTCTTCCCTGTGGGTTTTTTTTCTAGACATATTAGCTTGTCTATACCTCAATGACAAAATCTATATTTTCAAAGTTACATTAATTAAGAGAGTGTGATATTGATGTAGGATAGGCAAATAGATCAATGGAAGAGAATAGAAAGTACATGAATAAATTCACCTATATAAGGTCAACTGATTTTTGACAAAGGCACCAGTGCAATTTAATGGGCAATCTTTCTAAGAAATGATGCTAGATCAACTGGATATATATGTGAAAAAAGCATTAGCCTTGACCCTTACCTAACAATATAAAACTATTCACTTGAGATAGATTATAAACAAATGAAAAAGCTAAAACTATCAAGTTAAAGCATAGGAGAATATCTTTGTGACCTAGGGGAAGGCAAATGTTTTCTTACACAAAATTTTAAAATCACAAAACGTGAAAGAAAAGAATTAACTTCGTTTTATAGCAGTTTTAAAAACCTGCTCATTGGAATATATTATTAGAAAAACAAAAAGTCCTGTAGACTATGAGGAAATAGTCTCTCTCTGTATGTGTTCAACAAAAGATTCCTACAAATAAATAATAATTTTAAAACAATAAAAGTGGCTAAAAGACCTAGATACCATTTCAAAAAATAAGACATATAAATGGCCAATAAGCACCAAAAATATGATCAAAGTAATTGGTTATTAGCTACATAAGTTGAAATTACAATGAGCTACTTCAACACACCCCACAAAATGACTAAAATTAAAAAGATTGACAGTAGAGACTATGTGTTACAGAGGGCACAAATTAACTGTGCTCTCATTAATTTTTTCTGAATATTATATGATACAGTCATGTTGAAAATCATGTTGGCAACTACTTACAAAGCTGGAAATGCACTTACTTTATGATACAGCAATTCTGATACTAGGTATGTACTCAAAAGAAATGAAAATGTTTGTGTCCTCCCAAAATTTGTGTGAGAATATTCACTGCAGCTTTACATGTAATTGCAAAGACTATTCACTGCCACTTTACTTAGGATATCAAATAATTAGAAACAAACTAAATATCCATCAAGCGGAGAATGGATAAACATATTGTGGTATATTCATGCAACAGAATATTACTCAGCAACACATTAATTTAAAGAATGAACTCCTAATACACAAATTAAATATCAAAAACTTCATGTTGAGTGAAAGGAGACAGATCCAAGAAGTCTGTATGATTCCATTTACATGAAGTTTAACAACAGACAAAGTTAATTTATGGAGATAGAAATTGGAATAGCTATTGCCCCTGAGAAGAGGGTGATTTTCTATGAAAGATCAAATGGGAACCTTCAAAGTTAATGGCAATGTACTGAATTTTGATAGGAATATTGGTAAGACAGTTGTGGGTGTTTATCAAAACTCTTGATCTCTACACTTACTAGTTATATATTTTACTCCATTTAATTATACCTCAATTAAAATTAATTAATGAAAATATCAAATTTTATGCCTCATCTCTTTATTGAAATCCAAACCTTTATTACTAGTTGGTTGTTGAATGTCTCTACCTGGGCAGCTCTATTTCAAATGTAAGATGTTAAATAATGGACTCAGTGTATTTTTTCCGGATCTCAATTTTTCTTCTCCTGCTGATTTCACTCTTATAGTTGATAGTTTCAACATAGCTTCAGTTAGTTAAATCTCAGGACTTTGGACCCATCTTTGTTTCCTTCTTACCTATTCTATTTTGTTTGTTGTGATGTCTTATGGGTTTGACCTCCAAACCATACCTTGTATCTTATCCTCTGCTTAGCTCTGCTGCCACTTCTAAAGCTCTTCCTTAGATTTTGATATAATCCTCTTGATTCAAGTATGATTTCTTTCTATCTCTCATGCAACTTAGGCAAAGGTGAGATCACATCAGTACCTGGCTGTAAGCCCCAATGACATTTATTGTCTAGAGCAGAGTTTGAAGCCTGCTGGCCCTCAAACTGGATTCAATCAACGAACAGATTTGATACTTTGCTGTTTTCAAAAGATGTGAATTTGTTGCTAACTCTTGACAAGTTGTTGAACTCCCATAAATATCCAGATATTTCTGTTTCTCTGAATAAAATCAGAAGGCCTGACTGTATTGGACTTGAGTCCTCATGGAGCAACAATTGCCTTATGTTGCATTAGGTGATCCCCGCTTTAGGTGGGGGCACACACGAGTCTTTGGCTACTGTCCCTCTCAGCCTCCATTGCATGTTCTCCTTCACTCAATTGTTATTATTTTTTACCTGGTATTCAGGCTTTAGTGAAACATGACAAAAAGAACCTTCACAAACTAGCCCCACATGTTCCTTGAAAGTTCCTTGAAGGTTTCTTTGATTGCTTTCTTTCCTTTCTGGAATTCTCATTTTTCTTCTTTGTATCAATCCATCTTCCTATTCTTCCTACATACCAATTTCTCTATTTAGTGAATTATAGTCTCTGTTTAGCAAACTGGGACTCCTACACATTCTTCAGAGAAATTAAATTTTATCTCATTCCTTCTTGAAAATTACTACTGTATAACTATATATATATATATATATATTCCTGGAATAACTTATGTCCCAGCATCATTTTGGCTGGGACCCATTCCTGTTTTTCCTGCTAGACTCTGAACACTGAGAGAATTGTATCTTACTCATTCTTAGCTCTCTAGGAGCTGGTACCTGGTATGTGCACTGTGAATTAGCCTTCATAAGAATCTTTGGGAATGGGTACTATTTCCCCCATTGTAGTTGACAGAATTGCCGTTCATGTCATATATCTGGCCAATAAAGAGTGGGTCTTTCTGACTTGAGTTTTTTGTTCCATGAAACCAAACTGCCTCTTTGAAATATTAACAAAAGGCATATGCATAATAACTTAATTCAAGAGAAGCCTAGGAACAAATTTAAATAATTATATATTTTTAAGTAGATACACTTCTATATAATGAAAGGTATTTATGTTTACTTTAGAAAATTAAAAAAAATAGATTTGATAAAATGTAGACCATTTCCTGTAAAGGAAAAGCCTCATCAGTGGAAGTAATAGGTTCTCTGAGGCTAATTTAGTCACCTTCTTCCAAGATCTGATATTTGAACACTGTACATCCAAGAAAGTTGGTGGTGCAAAATGTTTCTATGTTGTGCTAGGTTTGTGCTAACTCCTACCAAAGTTGAGAGGCTTCACAATGACTCAATAGCCAATTAGGTATGTTCAAATTCACAGTTTGTTGGGAGACTTTCACACAGTGTCAATCATGCAATTAATATTCAATACACAGGCAGTAATTTAAAAGGGGGCAACAAACCACAATGATGGCTTGGAAGACCAGCATGCTGACAGAGGGGTTCAGTGGGTCCAAAAGTCTTCCAGACACTAATCAGCTGGGAAGTCACTGCTTCTCTCTGGCCAGAGCCTCTGGTTGCTGACTCCAAGTAGGGAGAAGGCATCAGAGTTCTTATGAGCAGAGTCTAAATGCGTCTTGGACAAGTCAGATTCTTGCTGCTTGCCTGGCCCTCCGCAGATGTGCCTATTCTCATCATCTCAGCCACATCTTGAATTCAATTTCTATTGGTTCATTTCAGGTTTCTGGTGGTACTGGGCAATAACAGGTGTTATCACCTCAGTCCATTACACATGTTTATTTCTTTGAGGAGTAAACAACCTTACTCAATACACTTGACATGAGTAAGTTCATTTTGAGACATTAGGATCTCAAACCATTATGCCATATCATCCTGATATAAAGGTTAAGGGAATAGCTTTTCTTTTATCTTTTAAAAAGGGCACTGTGATGAAAAATGTCTTTCTTTTCTTGATTTCTCTTTTCGTCTTTCTTTTTATCTTCTTTCTTTCTCTCTCTTTACTTTCTTTCTATCTAAACCTCCTTCCCGTATTAGGGAACTCCCCTACATTATGAAACTGGGCTCCGCACCCCAGAACTGAGTCTGAAAATCTGTATCTCTTGCAGCTAAACTGGCAACCTATCGGACATACCCATCCTAGACTTTGACTCAAAGGCCAGTTGAACTAGGAAGCTGGACTAGGCAGAATTCATTCTGGCAAGGGCAGGGGCAGTGACAGTTGCTTTAGGGACAGCAGTCAATGTTTGTGGCTCATGGGAAAAGCTGCCCTGTCTGTGCCAGCAACAGTGTCCGTGCTGAACTCACCAGATCAGTTCTCTGGCATGGGTTTGGTTGGGTTTCTGGTTTAATCGCTCCCAAGCCTGGTCTCTGCAACTTTTCAGAAATGTTGAGAGCTACCCAATACTTCTCTAATAAATTCCTTTTCTACTTGAACTAGTCAGGGTTGCCTTCCGTTGTGACTAAGAATCCGGATGAACAGAGCTCTGAAACATCAATCTTGGAATTTCCGTATCAATATCCCACATATAGTGTGTGGGCATCTACATTGCACATATATGGCTTCACATCCTCCTTTCAGGAAAGTTATTTACTGATAAATGATGAGTGGTCCTGCTTAATTCCTTTTTTTTTTTTTTTTTTTTTTGACAAGGTCTTGTTGTGTTACATAGGCTGGAGTGCATCGGGGTGATGATAGCTCACTGCAGCCTAGAAATCCTCAGCTTAAGGGATCTGCCTTCGTCAGTCTCCCAGGGAGCTAGAACTACAGGCATGTGCCACTATGCTTAGCTAATTTTTTTTTTTTCTTTTTGTAAAGATAGGGTTTCACTATGTTGCCTAGACTGGTCTCAAACTTGTGGCCTCAAGTGATCTTTCTCCCTCAGCCTCCCAAAGTACTTGAGATTACAGGCATGAGCCACTGAGCCCAGACCTTACTTAATTACTAAACATGCATTTAATTACATAAAACTAAGAGCACTGAGTTGTTAAGTAGAGACATGAGAGTAGTTTTCAGTTTATTCTGACAATAATACCAAATAATGCTGCAATTGCTCTAATCCACCACGCCTGGAAACAGGCATAGAATGGTTTTAATGAGCCTATTTAGTTCTGAATCCATTGCTTGTTTGGATAAGAAATGTGCAAGATTTTTAAATTTGAGAATAATATGTATTCAGGCTCAAAATGTAGTTCCCATAGAAACTTGATATGACTGTATAAAAAAACTTGATATGTCCTGATTTAAAAAACCAATGTACCAACATCTGAAGAACCCTATCAGTTAATCTGACATACTCCGTTTCTTATATTGTTTTGTTCTTCCTATTCCAAAAATGATTCTGTCTGTAGATGCTTGTAATTAAAGACTTGAAATAAAATGAAAGCGACCTCATGAAATGTTTGATAATGCTTAATGAAATTAAGATATTGATAAACGGTGGAAGAGCACATATGTGTATATACATTTGCATGTACGTATGTGTGTATAGATACATGTGTATGGGGGAGATAGATAAATAGATAATAGCAATTAGAGTAAGGAGTATACAATTCAGAACTATACCATCCAATAAAAGCCCAGTAGCCACATATGGCTATTAAGTTCATGTTGCAAATATGGTAAAGAACAGAATTTTAAAATTTATTTAATTTTAACAAGCTTAAATTTAAATGTAAAACACAAAGCAGGGTGAATTTTTTTCTTTTTAGCACAACTTTATTGTTTCATTGACTGTTTCCTTTAGCCATGAATGGTCTAAAATATTATTGGTGTATTTTAGTGCAGATAATAGGCATGTGTGTTATTGATGCCATTACACATAGACACATCATTGGTGTACTTGGTGTCGGCAGTGTGGTTCAGTTTAAATTACATTTTCTATATAACACTGTAACATTACAATGTGTTTTTTGTCAAGGAATCAAACAGTTCCTAAGCAGAACTGTGTAAACCTTCTGGGTTTCCTTTCCACACTTCCACAGATATGGTCTGTAAGAAAACAACAAGCCCAAAAGGATTTACACACTTAGCTACTGCAGCCTACGTGATGGATCAAGACAATGTCTCTTAAAAAAATTAAATAGGATCATTCATCTTTTGTAAATAACTTTCCTGAAAGTGGCAAGCCATATGTGTGCAGTGTAGAGGCCCACACCCTCTATATGTGGAATATTGATAAAGAAATTCAAGGTTGTCATTTTAGAGCTCTGTTCATCAGGATTCTCAGTCATGACAGGAAACAACCTTGACTAATTCAAGTAGAAACGGAATTTATTAGAAAAGGTTGAATAGCTCTCAGGATTTCTGAAAAGTTGCAGAGACCAAAGACACAGCATAAGAGGTACCACATGAGCTTCATATTCTCGCTGGCCCTTTTGGTTGCCAAAGTCCCTGGGGGCAATGTAGAGTAAGCCCAGGTGGATGCTGAGCACTCCGTGGATCTGTCTCCCAACGGAGGAACACTGAGATTAGGAAACTACTAATCTTATAAAGTGGGGCTGCTAGCAAACTTGCCCAACATTTGCCCTTGAGGGAAATATTAACTATTATCTTTGTCAGGAAAGAGATCTTCCCCCTCACTCAGAGGGAGACATTACCTCTAGCTTCCAAGGCTGTCTGTTATGTGAACATCCTTGAAAAGATGGTCTGGGACAAAATCTGCTACAAGATATATAAAAAGGCCATAGAAAATCACCACCTAATATTATTATACATTAATATCTTATGAGGACTTTATGAAATATAGTGATATCCGTGTAAATTGTAAGTGGTAGACAAATTTTAATGCTTTTTATATAGTAAATATGTTAATTTATTTTTATACTTTTAAAAATATGGACAATTATTTTTACTTAAAATGAAGACATATAACTGATACAGAATCAAGTGAAAATGGTGGTGCTAATACTATGTCCAGAATACTAAAGGAAAAAAGATGCTGGAAGGAGGCATGGCACATATTTCATAACCATTGGCCATTGCAATTTGCTGTAGGAAAGCAAAACAAACAAACCAAAGTATACTATTGTGGTGTAAAAAATTTAAAGACAATAAAGTGGGAAATATTACATGTCAACAAGTAGATAGTAACTTTGATGTGAAGTTTTCTCTTGATATCAAAAAAGAAAAAATCTACAAAATCAACCACATGAAATCAGAATTAATGTCTAACAAAAATATTAAACAATTTTTAACAGGAACTAAGAGTGTAACTTTGGCCAGATGAAAATGGCTTAGATTTTTGCAGACAAATGCAATACAACATTTTTTTAGATAGAGAGATGGTAAATAAAATTGTAATTTCAGTTATAGAAATTTTTTAATGAAATTATGAAGCTTCTTTTAAAAAAGATGTTTCACAGTGAAAGACCTTATTTAAACCAATAACCTATAGAAATTTTCTAACAATATCAATGGTGTTTTTATTCAAAGTTTAAAAATTTGCAAGAACGTGTCTTTAGCTTTAGATTAGTTGTGTGATAAAAGCAGTACTGCCCAATTAACACTTTGGGTGCTTTTTGTGTCAAAACACTTCCAGTCTTATAAAGAAAGTTCAATTCACAGCACAAAATATCAAATTCATAGTATAGATATTTTACACTTCCTACATCTGCCAAAGAATAATTTCAAGAGGATATGCAAAAATTAATTTCTATCATGACAGATGGTGCTTCAGCTATGTTAGGTCAAAAATCTGGATTTATTAAAACTGGGCACAGTGAGTCACCCTGGCAATCCCATGACTTTGGGAGGCTGAGACAGGTAGATTGCTTGCCCCCAGGAGTTTGAGACCAGGCTAAGCAACATTATGAAACTCCATTTCTATAAAAAATACAAAAACTAGGTGGGCATGGTGGTACATTCCTGTGGTCCCAGCTACTTGGGAGGTTGAGGTGAGAGGATAACTTGGAGGTGGAGTCCTCCAACTTTCTTCTTCTTCTTCAACATTGCATTGGCTATTACTTTAGTTAAGATTCTCCAGAGAGACAGAACCAATAGGATATATAGAGAAATATATAAAAAGAGATTTTTTAGGGGGAATTGGCTCGCTTGATTATGGAGGCTGAGACATCCCACAATAGATTGCCTGTAAGCTTTAGAACCAGGAGAGCTGGTACGGGGGCTCAGTCCAAGTCCAAACACCTCAGAACTAGGGAATAGAATAGTGTAACTCTCAGTCTGAGGCCATAGATCTGAGATCCTGAGGGCCTACAGATGTGAGTCACAAGTTCAAAGGCTAGACACTGGAGTACTGATGATTTCTGAGGTCGGGATATAAGGTGTCTGGGCTCTGTGACCTCACTTCTCTGATAGTTATAAGAAGAGTTATTAATTTTTCAGTTAATTCAGGTTTTAACTTGTTAGGATGAAGTGATGACTTCCAGGCTCCTTAGAGGCTGGACTAGGAGGACTTAGAAGTCTGAACTATATTTTTAGAATACTCAGTTGTCATAACAGTTAGTAAATTTGCTTAACTTGGTAAGACCTAATTTCAAAACTAAGGGATTAGTTTCTCATTGCTGCTGCAAGAAGTTACCATAGCTATAGTAGCTTAAAACCATACAAATATGTTACAATTCTGGTAGTTAAGAGCTAAAAAAGGGTCTTACTGGGAGAATCACCTTCACTAAAAGGAAGACAGAAAGGAAGGAGAGAAGGAAGAGAAAACCATAAAACAACCAGAAAACAAATAACAAAAGGGCAGAAGTCTTTATTATCAATAATAACATTGAATGTAAATGGACTAAACTCTCCAGTCCAAAGACATGGAGTGGCTAAATGGATTTAAAAAAAATACTCAATTATCTATTGTATACAAGAAACACACTTCACCTATAAAGGCCTACATAGACTGATAATAAAGAGATGTACAAAGTTAGTTTATGCCAACTGAAACCAAAAAAGAGCAGGAGTAGCTATGCTTATATTAGACAAAATAGATTTCAAGACATAAACTGTAGAAAGAGACAAAGGTCATTATATATGATAAAGGGGTCAATTCAGCAAAAGAATATAACAAATGTAAATATATGTGGACACAACACTGGAGCACCCAGATATATAAAGCAAATATTATTACAGCTTAAGAGAGAGATAGATCTTTGTACAATAATACCTGGAGACTTCAACACCATGCTTTTAGCATTAGACAGATCTTCCAGACAGAAAATCAACAAAGTAACATTGGACTTAATCTGCACTATAGACAAAATGGATTTAATAGATATTTACAGACCATTTTCTCCAGCAGCTGCAGAATACATGTTCTTCTCAGCACATGGATCATTCTCAAGGATAGACCATATGTTAGGTCACAAAACAAGTGATAAAACATTCAAAAAATTAAAATATTATCAAGCAAGCATCTTCTCTGACCACAATGAAATAAAACTAGAGATCAAAACAAGAGAAAATTTTGGAAACTATACAAACACATGAAAATTAAACAATATGCTCCTGAGTGACCAGTGGGTCAATTAAAAAATTAAGAAGAAAATTGAAAAATTTCTTGAAACAAATGATAATGGAAGCAAAATATATCAAAACCTGTGGGATACATCAAAGGCAGTACTAAGAGGGAAGTTTATACTTGCAAGTACCTACACCAAAAAAGAAGAAAAACTTCAAATAAATAACCTCATGATGCATCTTAAAGAACTAGAAAAGCAAGAGCAAACCAAACCCAAAATTAGTGGAGAAAAGAAATAATAAACATCAGAGCAGAAGTACGTGAAATTTTAAAACAGAAAACAATAAAAAGATCAAGGAAACAAAAATTGTTCTTTAAAAAGATAAACAAAATTGACCAACCTTTAGCCTGACTACCAAGAAAAGAGAGAAGATCCAAATAAATAAAATCAGAGATGAAAAAGGAGACATTACAACTGAAACCACAGAAATTCAAAAGATCGTTAGGGGCTACTATGAGCAACTATATGCCAATAAACTGAAAAATCTAGCAGAAATGAATAAATTTCTAGACACACGCAACCTACCAATATTGAACTATGAAGAAATCTAAAAACTGTACAAACTAATCTGTTAGTTTGAGATCCTCTCCCATTAAAGAAAAGCCCAGGACCCAATGGCTTCACTGCTAAAATTCTACCAAACATCTAAATAATAACTAATACCAATCCTGCTGAAATAATTTTGAGAAATAGAGAAGGGAATAGTTCCAAATTCATTCTGTAAGGCCAGTATTACACTGACACCAAAAATGGACAAAGACACATATAAAACAGAAAAGTACAGGAAAACAAGGCTGATAAATATTGATGCAAAAAACCTCAACAAAATACTAGCAAACCAAATTCAACAACACATTAAAAAGATTATTAATCATTACCAAATAGCATTTATCCCACGGATAAATTCAACATATGCAAATCAATGATTCAACATATGCAAATCAGTCAATGTGATACATCATATCAATAGAAAGGAGGACAGAAACCATACGATCATTTCAATTGATGCTGAAAAAGCATTTCATAAAATTCAACATCACTTCATATTAATAAATCTCAGAAAACTGGATATAGAAGGAACATACCTCAACATAGTAAAATCCATATATGACAGACCCAAAGCTAGTATCAGATTGAATGGGAAAAACTGAAAGCCTTTCCTATTAGATATAGAACACAACAAAGGTGCCCACTGTCACCACTGTTATTCAACATAGTATTGCAAGTCTTAGCTAGAGCAATCAGAAGAGAGAAAGACATAAAGGGCATAAAAATCGAAAAGGAAGTGGTCAAATTATTCTTGTTTGCAGATGATATGATTGTATATTTGGAAAAATCTACCACCAAAAAACTGTTGGAACTGATAAACAAATTCATTAAAGTTGCAGAATACAAAATCAACATGCCAACATCTGAAGCATTTGTCTATGCCCACAGTGAACAATATGAAAAAGAAGTCAAGAAAGGAATCTTATTTACAACAGCTAAACAAGCCAACCAATAAAATTAAGTACCCAGGAATTAACTTAACCAAAGAAGTGAAAGATCTCTACGATGAAAACTGTAAAACATTGATGTAAGCAGTTGAAGAGGACACAAGAAATGGAAAAATATTCCATGTTTATAGATTGAAAGGATTAATATTAAATTGAAATGTCCATTCTACAGATTCAATGCAATCCTTATTAATACCAATGATGCTCTTCATAAAAATAGAAAAAAAAATCCTAAAATTGATATGGAACCACAAAATAGCCAAAGCCATCCTGACAAAAAGAACAAAATTGGAGGAATCACACTACTTGACTTCAAATTATACTATAGAGCTATAGTAACCAAAACAGCATGGTATGGGCAGGCATAGAAACAGACACATAGACCAATTAATGGAACAGAATGGAGAACCCAGAAACAAGTCCACACATCTACAGTGAACTCATTTTCAAGGTGTCAAGAACATGCTTGGAGAAAAGATAGTATCTTCAATAAACGGTGCTGGGAAAACTGGATATCCATATGCAGAAGAATGAAACTAGACCCCTGTCTCTTACCACATACAAAAATCAAATCAAGAAAGATTAAAGACTTAAATGTAAGATCTCAAACTATGAAAATACTACAATAAAACACTGGGAAAACTCTCCAGGACACTGAAGTGGGCAAATATTTTTAAAGTAATACCCAAAAGCACAGGCAACCAAAGCAAAAATGGACAAATGGGATCGCATCAAGTTAAAAATCTTCTGCCCAGCAAAGGCGGTACTTGTACTCCTATGTTTATTGCAGCACTATTCACAATAAATGATCACCAACAGATAAATGGGTAAAGAAAATGTGATACATATACACAATGGAGTACTATTCAGCCATAATAAAGAATGAGATCTTGTCATTTGGAAGACATGGGCAGAACTGGAGATCAATATGTTAAGAGAAATAAGCCAGGCACAGAAAGACAAACTTCACATGTTCTCACTCATGTGTGGGAGCTAAAAATTAAAATGATTGAATGCATGGAGATAGAGAGTAGAAGGAAAGTTCCCAGATTCTGGGAAGGGTAATGGGGGAGGGGAGACTGGAGGTGGTTACCACTAAGAAAGTAGGAATTAGAACTAATATTTGATAGCACAACAATTATAGTCAATAATAATTTAATTATACATATAAAAATAACTAAGAGTGTAATTAGATTGTTTGTAACAAAAAGGATAAATTTTTGAGGTAATAAATTCCACATTTATCCTGATGTGATTACACATTGTATGCCTGTATCAAAATATCTCATGTACCTCATAAATATATACCCCTACCATGTACCCACAAAAATTAAAAACTTTAAAAATTAAGTGTAAGATATACACTATATTATCAATAGTATGAAAAAATAATGTAAAATATTTCATTATTATGTTACATTATATACTGGAATTAAATACATAATTAAAATAAAATGTTGTTAAAACTAATTTCATCTGTTTTTTTCAACTTTTTAAAATATGGCTACTAAATAGGTACCTATGCAACTTACATTTAGTTCTACTGGACAGAAGCTGACATAGAACCATTAGGATTACATATTTTCAAAATATTATTACTTGACCTCTCTTTATATTAATTCCATCTATAATATTGAGAGAGCCAGAATGAAGGCTGGGCAGTAGTGTCTGAATGTGCACAGCACAGCTGGCACAACTGTTACTAGCTGTTCTAAAGTAAGGAATGTTTGAAACAGAATACTAAAGTCATCAAGCCAACCTCATGGTCTGGATATTGACCTCTGGCATCCAGAATCCATGTGGACCATCTTTAATATTTCCTTTATATTGCATGGGTTGAAAGGTTAGACTATAAATTTTCCAGACTCCTTGACCACTAGCCTTATGAATATGATTGAGGTTCTCTGCCAATGAGATCCAACCATATAAATTTTGGAAGGTAGAAGGAAGGCAGAAGCCATTCCCTTTCCTGTGTCAATGGTTCTTGAGGACATTGTACTCTACATTTTATTCTCTAGTCACTGGTTTTTGGAGTGGTGGCAGCCATTAAATTGATCACCATTTTCCACTGATTCCTGATCTCTGGATGACAATTGTAGTGCTATTACTCTGACACCTAGTGACAGCTCTCTGATCTCCCTGTCTCTAGCCCTTCCAAAAATTTTACAAGCATCTAATAATCTGTATAAATAACTTCTTTGTTAAAAAGCCTAAAATGGTTTCTATCTCCTGTACTAAACACTGCAACATTTCTCAGCAGATGAGGAAAATAAATCTGTAGAGTTGATTCAGGCCAGAAAGAGTCCACCGCAGGAATTGGAGTAGAATTAGGCCACTCATAATGTTGATTCTGGCTTCTGTACCTTCAAGAAAATATAAGATGATATTTACCTACTCAGCATGTACCTGGAAGCCCCTAAAGTTTTCAGAAGAGAAAATGACATTATTAAAATTATTCTTTAGAAAATGTAATGTCATGGAGCATCTATGAAAAGGTAGAGATTAGTATCTTCAAGAACAGATAGGAGACAATTATAATAGTTCAGACAAATTATAGGAAGGACTTAAACTTAGGCAAAGAAGTGTAAATCAAAAGGAAGAACTGGAGTTGAGTGAAATTGTGTAATAAAAATTGACAAAAGTTGGGAAATATGACCCATTAGGGAAGGGCCAAAAATTAGCCTAAATTTCCAGGATTCCTATTTGTTCAGAGGGCAGACAGGTCAACAAGAGAAAAAAGAACAATAATATTTTTAAAATTAGGAGTGGCAGACATGATTAATTGTTGAGGATGGTTGAATTTGAGATTAATATGGACTATCTAGATAATGATTCTGGGCAGGAGCTGAGAGGGAACACAGATAACAGAAGAACTGATACTGAGGACCATAAGAAATTCTGAAGAGCACGTGAAAAGAGAAAATGAGAATATGACCAAAGGCAAAATCTTAGTGTCTTATCCATATTTTGGAATCTAAGTAAAGTAAAGAAATTGAATGATCAGAGAATGCAAACTGGCATAATGAAATGTTAAAGGTAGAGAAGGTAAAATAAAAGTATTTAATAAAGTTATATCATTTAAAGAAACAAGAGAAGGAGGGCTCAGGAACACTAATGAATTTGGCAATAAGGTGAATTTCTTTTGAATTTGTCACTACTAACAATTTTCTAAGCTGACTGATTTAAATTTCAGTCTCTTTTCCTAAAAAAAAAAAGGACAACTATAAAGCATCCAAAAAATAGTCATGTGGGAAAAGAAAAAAAGTCCAAATATTTTAACGTTTCTGCCTGAGGGACTATTTTGTTTGTATGCTTGTGATGTTTCTTTTGGATAAGATGAGGTGGGGGGTGAGCCGTAATAAAAATAAGTAAATAACATAGGATTAACAAAACCTTTCTTTTCCATTGTGCCAGCTGGTGACAACTTTCAGTTTAAATGACATCATATTATCATATCATATTTATTTCTACTGATAGCCTTAGGAAAAGTTGCTACATAACAAAGGTTTATAATACAGTTGTATTCAGATATATTTCTCTTAGAAAAAATGCAAGAAACAAACACTAAAATGACACCTTCCATTTTCAGACAAAATACCTGGATTAGGTCATGACCACTATTCTTTAAGTTGGAAAGGAGAAGCAAATACTTTCAAATTTTTCCATTTATAGAACTGATAAACATGATTCATGATTAATTTATTTAATAGCTACACAAGGTCTGTTCCAAGATGGCCAAATAGGAACAGCTCAGGTCTGCAGCTCCCTGCGTTATCGATGCAGAAGACGGGTGATTTCTGCATTTCCAATTGAGGTACCTGGTTCATCTCATTGGGACTGATTGGACAGTGGATGCAGCCCACAGAGGGTGAGCCAAAGCAGGCTGGGGCATCACCTCACCTGGGAAGTGCAAGGGGTTGGGGGATTTGCCTTTCCTAGGCAAAGGAAGCTGTGACAGGCTCTACCGGGAAAATCAGGACACTGCCACCTAAACACTGCACTTTTCCAAAGATCTTAACAAACGGCACACCAGGAGATTATATCCTGTGCCAGGCTCAGTGGGTCCCACGCCCATGGAGACTTGCTCACAGCTAGTCCCAGATCGAAATGTGAGGCGGCATGCCTGATTGGGGGAGGGGTGTCTGCCATTGCTGAGGCTTGAGTAGGTAAACAAAGCAGCCAGGAAGCTCAAACTGGGTGGAGCCCACCACAGCTCAAGGAGGCCAGCCTGCCTCTGTAGACTCCACCTCTGGGGCAGGGCATAGCTGAACAAAAGGCAGCAGAAACTTCTGCAGACTTAAATGTCCCTGTCTGACAGCTCTGAAGAAAGCAGTGGTTCTCCCAGCACAGTGTTTGAGTTCTGAGAATGGACAGACTGCATCCTCAAGTGGGTCCCTAACCCCTGTGTAGCCTAACTCGGAGACACCTTCCAGTAGGGGCTGACTGACACCTCATACAGCCGGGTGCCCCTCTGAGACGAAGCTTCCAGAGGAAGGATCAGGCAGCAATATTTGCTGTTCTGCAATATTTGCTGTTCTGCAGCCTCCACTGGTGATACCCAGGCAAACAGGTCTGGAGTGGACCTCCAACAAACTCCAACAGACCTGCAGCTGAGGGATCTGACTGTTAGAAGGAAAACTAACAAACAGAAAGGAATAGCATCATCATCAACAAAAAGGACATCCACACCAAAACCCCATCTGTAGGTCACCATCATCAAAGACCAAACGTAGATAAAACCACAAAGATGGGGATACACCAGAGCAGAAAAGCTGAAAATTCTAAAAACCAGAGCACCTCTTCTCCTCTAAAGGATTGCAGCTCCTTGCCAGCTATTGAACAAAACTGGATGGAGAATGACTTTGATGAGTTGACAGAAGTAGGCTTCAGAAGGTCAATAATAACAAACTTCTTCAAACTAAAGGAGAATGTTCAAACCCAACGCAAGGAAGCTAAAAACCTTGAAAAAAGGTTAGACGAATGACTAAGTAGAATAAACAGTGTAGAGAAGACCTTAAATGACCTGATGGAGCTGAAAACCATGGCACGAGAACTATGTAACACATGCACAAGCTTCAGTAGCCAATTCGATCAAGTGGAAGAAAGAGTATCAGTGATTGAAGATCAGATTAATGAAATGAAGTGAGAAGTTTAGAGAAAAAAGATTAAAAAGAAACAAACAAAGCCTCTAAGAAATATGGAACTATGTAAAAAGACCAAATCTACGTTTGATTGGTGTACCTGAAAGTGACAGGGAGAATGGAACCAAGCTGGAAAACACTGTTCAGGATATTATCCAGGAGAACTTCCCAAACCCAGCAAGGCAGGCCAACATTCAAATTCAGGAAATACAGAGAACACCACAAAGATACTCCTCAAGAAGAGCAACCCCAAGACACATAATTGTCAGATTCACCAAAGATGAAATGAAGGAAAAAATGTTAAGGGCAATCAGAGAGAAAGGTCAGGTTACCCACAAAGTGAACCCCATCAGACTAACAGCAGATCTCTCGGCAGAAACTCTACAAGCCAGAAGAGATTGGGGGCCAATGCTTAAAGAAAAGAATTTTCAATCCAGAATTTCATATTTGCCAAACTAAGCTTCATAAGTGAAGGAGAAATAAAATCCTTTACAGACAAGGAAAAGCTGAGAGATTTTGTCACCACTAGGCCTGCCTTACTAGGGCTCCTGAAGGAACACTAAACATGGAAAGGAAAAACCGGTACCAGCCACTGCAAAAACATGTCAAATTGTAAAGACCATCAGTGCTAGGAAAAGACTACATCAACTAATGGGCTAAATAACCAGCTAATATCATAAGGACAGGATCAAATTCACACATAACAATATTAACCTTAAATGTAAATAGGCTAAATGCCCCAATTAAAAGACACAGACTGGCAAACTGCATAGAGTCAAGTCCCATCAGTGTGCTGTATTCAGGAGACCCATCTCACGTGCAGAGACACACATAGGCTCAAAATAAAGGGATGGAGGAAGATCTACCAAGCAAATGGAAAGCAAAGAAAAGCAGGGGTTGCAATCCTAGTCTCTGATAAAACAGACTTTAAACCAACCAACATCAAAAGAGACAAACAAGGCCATTACATAACAGTAAAGGGATCAATTCAACAAGAAGAGCTAACTATTCTAAATATATATGCCCTCAATACAGGAGCACCCAGATTCACAAAGCAAGTCCTTAGAGACATACAAAGAGACTTAGATTCCCACACAATAATATTGGATGACTTTAACACCCGACTGTCAATATTAGACAGATCAATGAGACAGAAGGTTAACAAGGATATCCAGGACTTGAACTCATCTCTGCACCAAGCAGACCTAATAGACATCTACAGAACTCTCAAACCCCAAATCAACAGAATATACATTCTTCTCAGAACCACATTGCACTTATTCCAAAATTGACCACATAGTTGGAAGTAAAGCACTCCTCAGCAAATGTAAAAGAAGAGAAATCACAACAAACTCTCTCTCAGAACACAGTGCAATCAAATTAGAACTTAGGATTAAGAAACTCACTCAAAACCGCACAACTACACGGAAACTGAACAATCTGCTCCTGAATGACTACTGGCTAAATAACGAAATGAAGGCAGAAATAAAGATGTTCTTTATTTCTTGTTCAATGAGAACAAAGACATGACATACCAGAATCTCTGGGACACATTTAAAGCAGTGTGTACAGGAAAATTTATAGCACTAAATGCCCACAAGAGAAAGCAGGAAAGATCTAAAATTGACACCCTAACATCACAATTAAAAGAACTAGAGAAGCAACAGCACACACATTCAAAAGCTAGCAGAAGGCAATGAATAACTAAGATGAGAGCAGAACTGAAGGAGATAGAGACACAAAAAACCTGTTAAAAAGTCAATAAATCCAGGGGCTGGTTTTTTGAAAAGACCTACAAAATTGATAGACTGCTAGCAAGACTAATAAAGAAGAAAGAGAGAAGAATCAAATAGATGCAATAAAAAATGATACAGGGGATATCACCACAGATCACACAGAAATACAAACTACCATCAGAGAATACTATAAACACCTCTACGCAAATAAACTGGAAAATCTAGAAGAAATGGATAAATTCCTGGACACATACACCCTCCCAAGACTAAACCACGAAGAAGTTGAATCCTTGACTAGACCAATAACAGGCTCTGTAATTGAGGCAATAATTAATAGCCTACGAATCAAAAAAAGTCCAGGACCAAATGGGTTCACAGCTGAATTCTACCAGAGGTACAAGAAGGAGCTGGTACCATTCCTTCTGAAACTACTCCAATCAATAGAAAAAGAGGGAATCCTCCCTAACTCATTTTATGAGGCCAGCATCATCCTGATACCAAATCCTGGCAGAGACACAACAAAAAAAGAGAATTTTAGACCAATATCCCTGATGAATATCGAAGTGAAAATACTCAATAAAATACTGGCAAACTGAATCCAGCAGCACATCAAAAAGCTTATCCACCAAGATCAAGTTGGCTTCATCCCTGGCATGCAAGGCTGGTTCAACATATGCAAATCAATAAATGTAATCCATCACATAAACAGAACCAAAGAAAAAAACCACATGATTATCTCAATAGATGCAGAAAAGGCCATTGACAAAATTCAACAGCCCTTCATGCTAAAAACTCTCAATAAACTAGGTAGTGATGGAATGTATCTCAAAATAATAAGAGCTATTTATGACTAACCCACAGCCAGTATCATACTGAATGGGCAAAAACTGGAAGCATTCCCTTTGAAAACTGGCACAAGACAGGGATGTCTTCTCTCACCACTCCTATTCAACACAGTGTTAGAAGTTCTGGCCAGGGCAATCAGGCAAGAGAAAGAAATAAAGAGTATTCAATTAGGAAAAGAGGAAGTCAAATTATCCCTGTTTGCAGATGACATGATTGTATATTTAGAAAAATCCCATTGCTTCAGCCCAAAATCTCCTTAAACTGATAAGCAACTTCAGCAAAGTCTCAGGATACAAAATCAATGTGCAAAAATCACAAGCATTCTTATACACCAACAACAGACAAACAGAGAGCCCAATCATGAGTGAACTCCCATTCACAATTGCTACAAAGAGAATAAAATACCTAGGAATACAACTTACAAGGGATGTGAAGGAACTCTTCAGGGAGATCTACAAACCACTGCTCAGCAAAATAAAAGAGGATACAAACAAATGGAAGAACATTCCATGCTCGTGGATAGGAAGAATGAATATTGTGAAAATGGCCATACTGCCAAAGGTAATTTACAGATTCAATGCCATCCCCATCAAGCTACCAATGACTTTCTTCACAGAATTGGAAAAAACTACTTAAAGTTCATATGGAACCAAAAATGAGCCTGCATTGCCAAGACAATCCTAAGCCAAAAGAACAAAGCTGGAGGCATCAGCTACCTGACTTCAAACTATACTACAAGGCTACAGTAACCAAAACAGCATAGTACTAGTACCAAAACAGAGATATAGACTAATGGAACAGGACAGAGGCCTCAGAAATAACACCACACATCTACAATTGTCTGATCTTTGACAAACCTGACAAAAACAAGAAATGGGGAACAGATTCCCTATTTAATAAATGGTGCTGGGAAAACTGGCTAGCCATATGTAGAAAGCTGAAACTGGATCCCTTCCTTATACCTTATACAAAAATTAATTCAAGGTGGATTAAAGACTTAAATGTTAGACCTAAAAGCATAAAAACCCTAGAAGAAGACCTAGGTAATACCATGCAGGACATAGGCATGGGCAAGTACTTCATGACTAAAACACCAAAAGCAATGGCAACAAAATCAAAAATTGAGAAATGGGATCTAATTAAACTAAAGAGCTTCTGCACAGCAAAAGAAACTACCATCAGAGTGAACAGGCAACCTACAGAGTGGGAGAAAATTTTTGCAATCTACCCATCTGACAAAGGGCTAATATCCAGAATCTATAAAGAACTTTAAAAAATTTACAAGAAAAAAATCAAACAACCCCATCAAAAAGTGGCCAAAGTATATGAACAGACACTTTTCAAAGAAGACATTTATGTAGCCAACAGACCCATGAAAAAATCCTCATCATCACTGGTCATCAGAGAAATGCAAATCAAAACCACAGTGAAATACCATCTCACACCAGTTAGAATGGCGATCATTAAAAAGTTAGGAAACAATAGGTGCTGGAGATGATGTGGAGAAATAAGAATGCTTTTACACTGTTGGTGGGAGTGTAAACTAGTTCAACCATTGTGGAAGACAGTGTGGCAATTCCTCAAGGATCTAGAACTAGCAATACCATTTGACCCAGCGATCCCATTACTGGGTATATACCCAAAGGATTATAAATCATGCTACTATAAAGACACATGCACACATACGTTTATTGCGGCACTATTCACAATAGCACAGACTTGGAACTAACCCAAATGTCCATCAATGATAGACTGGATTAAGAAAATATGGCAAATATACACTACGGAATACTATGCAGCCATAAAAAATGATGAGTTCATGTCCTTTGTAGGGACATGGATGAAGCTGGAAACCATCATTCTGAGCAAACTATGTCAAGGACAGAAAACCAAACACCACATGTTCTCACCCATAGGTGGGAACTGAACAATGAGAACACTTGGACACAGGATGGGGAACATCACACACTGGGGCCTGTCATGGGGTCGGGGGATGGGGGAGGGATAGCATTAGGAGAAATAACTAATGTAAATGATGAGTTAATGGGTGCAGCAAACCAACATGGCAAATGTATACATATGTAACAAACCTGCACGTTGTGCACATGTACCCTACAACTCAAAGTATAATAAATAAAAAAAATTTAAAAAATAATAGCTATACAACATTTCAAAAATTTGTTCATGAGACATAAATTATTAAAATAAAATAAAATGTAAGCTGATATTATACTTCTATAAAATAAGCATCTCCAGTGGTTTACCTTAAGGCACATAAAGAATACCTGAATAATTTTTTTTTTTTTGAGACAGGGTCTCTGTCACCCAGGCTGAAGTGCAATGGTGCAATCACAGCTCACTTTATCCTCAGATGATCCTCCCACCTCAGCCTCCCGAGTAGCTGGAATTAAAGGAGCATACTACGGCTAATTTTTGCACTTTTCTTAGAGATGAGGTTTCACCATGTTGTCCAGGCTGGTCTCAAACTCCTGGGCTCAAGTCATCTGCCCACCTTGTCCTCCCAAAGTTCTAGGTTACAGGAGTGAGCCATCACACCTGGCCTTGAATAATTATAAAAATGTAGAATCTATTAAAGATCCAAAGGCATTAATGTTCTAATTATGATTAACTAGCCTTTTTGATTTTTATTATGCTAGATAAGTTGCAGAAGTAAATTATTTCTTTTTTATTTTTAAATTATTTTTATTTTTTTTTATTAAAAATTCTTTTCTTTCCAACTTTTATTTTAGGTTCAGAGGATGCAGGTTTGTTACATGGGTAAATTGTATGTCATGGGGATTTGGTGTACAGATTATTTCATCACCCTGGTACTGAACATAGTACCCAACAGGTAGTTTTTCGATCCTCACATTCCTCTCAGTCTCCACCCTCGACTAGGCCCTAGTGTCTATTGTTCCCTTCTTTGTGGCCATATGTACTCAGTGTTTACCTCCCACTTATACTGAGGACATGTGGTATTTGGCTTTCTGTTGCTATGTTAATTGCTTAGGATAACGGCCTTCTGCTTCACCCATGTTGCTGCAAAAGACATGATTTTGCTGTTTTGTATGGTTTATAGTATTCCACGGTGTATGTGTATCACATTTTCTTTATCCAGTCTACAATTGATGGGCATCTACACTGATTCTATGTCTCTGCTATTGCGAATAGGGCTGTGATGGACATACATGTGTATCTTTAGGGTAGAATGATTTACATTCCTTTGGTAAATACTCAATAATGAAATTGCAAGGGTCAAACGGTAGTTCTGTTTTAAGTTATTTGAGAAATCTCCAAACTGCCTTCCACAGTAGCTGAACTAATTTACATGCCCACCAACAGTATATAAGCATTCCCATTTTTCCACAGCCTTGCCAGTGTGGGTTATTTTGTGGCTGTTAGTTATAGCCATTTGGACTGGTGTCAGACAATATTGCATTATGGTTTGGGTTTGCATTTCTCTAATGATGAGTGATGTTAAGCATTTTTTCATATGCTTGTTGGCCATATGTATGTCCTCTTTTCAGAAGTGTCTGTTCATGGCCTTTGCCCACTTTTAATTTGGTTGTTTTGTTTTTTAATTGTTAATTTAAGTTCCTTTTAGATGCTGGATATTAAAACTTTGTTGGATGCGTAGTTCACAAATACTTTACTTTCTCCCATTCTGTAGGGTGTCTATTTACTCTGTTGATAGTTTATTTTGCTGCACAGAAGCTCTTTAGTTTAATTAGTTCCCACTTGTTAATTTTTGTTTTTGTCACAGTTGCTTTTGGAGTCTTCATCATAAAATCTTTGCCAGGACTGATGTCCAGAATGGTATTTCCTAGGTTTTCTTCTAGGGCATTTATAGTTTTAGGTTTTCAAATTTAAGTCTTTAATCAATCTTGAGTAGGTTTTTGTATTTGGTGGAAGGAAGGGATCCTGTGTTAATCTTCTGCATATGGCTAAACAACTGTGCAGCACCATT
Organism: Homo sapiens; assembly: GCF_000001405.40. Lineage (NCBI taxonomy): Eukaryota > Metazoa > Chordata > Mammalia > Primates > Hominidae > Homo > Homo sapiens. Next base: position 124,369,218 of record NC_000004.12, read on the forward strand.
TATTGAATAGGGAGCCTTTTCCCTATTGCTTGATAATACGGGCTTTGTCAAAGAACAGACGGTTGTAGGTGTGTGTTTTTATATCTGGGTTCTCTAACCTGTTCCATTGGTCTATGTGTCTGTTTTTGTACCACTACCATGCTGTTTTGGTTACTGTAGCCCTATAATATTGTTTTTGTGTCACATGATGCCTCCAGCTTTGTTGTTTTGCTTAGGATTGCCTTAGCTACTCAGGCCTTTTATTGGACTTATATGAATTTTAAAATAATTTTTTTCTAGTTCTGTGAAGAATGTCATTGGTAGTTTTATATAAATAGCATTGAATCTGTAAATTGCTTTGGTCAGTATAGCCATTTTAATGATAGTGATTCCTCCTATTTGTGAGCATAAAATACTTTTCATGTCTTTGTGTCATCTCTGATTTTTTTTCAGTGGTATTTTCTAATTCTCACTGTAGAGATATTTCACTTCCCTGGTTATCTGTGTTCCTAAGCATTTAGTTCTTTTTGTGTCTATTGCAAATGGGATTGCATTATTGATTTGGCTCTCAGCTTGAACATTATTGGTGTATAGAAATGTTACTAATTTTGTACATTGATTTTGTATCCTGAAACTTTAATGAAGTTGTTTATCAGATATAGAAGCCTTTGGGCAGAGACCATAGGATTTTCTAGGTATAGAATTACATTGCCTGTGAAGAAAGATAATTTGATTTACTGTCTTCATATTTGGACACCTTTTATTTCTTTCTCTTGCCTGATTGTTCTGGCTAGGACTTCCAGTACTATGTTTAATAAGAGTGATGAGAGTGGGTATCTTTGTCTTGTTCTAGTTCTTAAGGGGAATGCTTCCAACTTTTGCCCATTCAGTATAACATTTGCCATAGATGGCTCTTATTTTGAAGCATGTTCCCTTGATGCCTAGTTTGTTGAAGGTTTTTAACATAAAGGAATGTTGAATTTTATTGAAAGCCTTTTCTGTGTCTATTGAGATGATCATGTGGGTTTCCTGTTTGTTTGTTTGTTTTTACTTCTCTTTATTTGATGAATCATATTTACTGACTTGCATAGTGGAATCAACCTTGCATCCCAAGAATAGAGCCTACTTGATTATGGTGGATTATATTTTGGATGTACTGCTGGATTTGGTTTGCTAGTATTTTGTTAAAGATTTTTGCATCGATATTTCTCAAGGATATTGGCCTGAAGTTTTCTCTTTTAGTTATGTCTCTGCTAGGTTTCGGTATCCGAATGATACTGGCCTCATGGTACGAGTTAGGGAGGAATTCCTCCTCTTCAATTTTTTGAAATAATTTCTGTAGGAGTGTTATCAGCTTTTCTTTATATGTCTAGTAGAATTTGGATGTGAAACCTTCTGGAAAGGGGCTTCTTCTAGTTAGTAGATATTTTATTAGTAATTCAATTTCAGAACTTGTTATTGGTCTTTTCAGGGTTTAAATTTCTTCCTGGTTCAATCTTGCGAGGTCATATGTTTCCAGAAAATTATCCATTTCTTCCAGATTTTCTAGTTTGTGTGCATACGGTATTCATAATAGTCTTTGAGGGTGTTTTGTATTTCTGTGGGGTCAGTGGTAATGTCTTCTTTGTCATTTCTGATTATATTTATTTGGATCTTCTGTCTTCTTAAAATTAGTTTAGTGATCTATCAATCTTAATTATTCTTTTGAAGAACCAACTTTTAGTTTCATTGATCTTTTGTATGCTTTTTTTGCATCTCAATTTTATTCAGTTTAGCTCTTCTGCTAGGTTTGGGGTTGGTTTGCTCTTCCCCCCCCCCGCCACCCCAATTTCCTAGGTGTGATGTTAGGTTGTTAATTGGAGATCTTTCTAACTTTTTGATCTGCGGGTTTAGTGCTTTAAGCTTTTCTCTTAACACTGATTTAGCTGTATCTCAGAGATTCTGGTATGTTGTTTCATTGTTTTCATTAGTTTCAAAGAATTTCTTGACTTCTGCCTTAATTTTATTGTTTACTCAAAAGTCATTCAGGAGCAGATTGTTTAATTTCCATGTAATCATATAGTTTTTTGAGATCTTGGTATTGGTTTCTATTTTTATTGCACTGTGGTCTGAGAGTATAGTTGGCATGATTTTGTTTTTATTGAATTTGTTGAGAATTGCTTCATAGCTGAGCATGTGCTCAGTTTTAGAGTATCTCCCATGTGTAGATGAAAAGAATGTATATTCTGTTGTTTTGGATGGAGTGTTCTGTAGATGTCTGTTAGGATCATTTAGTCAATTGTTGAGTTAGGTCCCAATTATCTTTGTTAGTTTTCTGACTCAGTGATCTATCTAATACTATTAGTGGGGTATTGATGTCTTCCACTATTATTGTGTGGTTTTCTAACTCTCTTTGTATGTCTCTAAGAGCTTGTTTTATGAATCTGGGTACTCCAGTGTTGAGTGCATATATATTTAAGATAGTTAAGTCTTCTTGTTGAATTGAATGATTCATTATTATGTAATGCCCTTTTGTCCTTTTTAATCACCATAGGTTTAAATAATGATTTAAAATCAAAAAGAGCAGGGGTTGCTATTGGTTTAAAGTTTGAACAGTCTTTTCTTGATAGACCTTTCTTCACCTATTTGCTTGAGCCTATGAGTGTTATTGCATGTGTGATGGGTCTCTTGAAGACCCACTGGGTTTTTCTTCTTTATCCAACTTTCCACTCTTTGTTTTTTGCGGGGGACATTTAGACTGTTTATACTCAAAGTGAATATTGATATGTGTGGATTTGATCCTATCCTTGTATTGCTGGCTGGTTGTTATGTAGACTTCATTGTGTAGTTGCTTTGTAGTGTCAGTGGTCTATGTACTGAAGTGTGTTTTTGTGGAGGTCAGGAACAGCCTTTTGTTTTCATGTTTAGCACTCCCTCAAGGACCTCTTGTACAGCAGGTCTAATGGTAACAAATTTCCCTAGCATTTGCTTGCCTAAAGAGGATTTCATTTCTCCTTTGCTTATGAAGCTTAGTTTGGCTGGACATGAAATTCTTGGTTGAAACTTCTTTTATTTAAGGATTCTTAATATAGGCCCCAAACCCTTCTGGCTTGTAGGTTTTCTGTTGAAAAGTCTAATATTAGCCTGATGGGTTTCCCCTGTGGTGACCTGCCCCTTTTCTGTAGTTGCCATCAATATTTTTTCTTGCATGTTGGCCTTGGAGAATCTGATGGCTGTGTGTCTTGAGGATGGTTGTCTTCTGTAGTATCTCACAAGTGCTCTCTGAATTTGAATGTTGACCTCTCTAGTGAGGTTAGGGAAATTTCATGGACAATATCCTCAAATATGTTTTGTAAATTGTTTGCTCTCTTTCACTTTCTTTCAGGGATGCCAATGAGTTGCAGATTTGGTTTATTTATGTAATCCCATATTTCTCTGAGGTTTTAATTGTTTAAAATTCTTTTTTTTTTTGTCTGACTTGATTCAAAGCATCGGTCTTTGAACTCTGAGATCCTTTCCTCAGCTTGGTCAATCCTGCTGATAATACTTCTAATTGTATTATGAAATTCTTGTAGTGAGTTTTTCAGCTCTATCAGCTCAGTTTGGTTATTTCTTGAAATGGCTATTTTGTACTTCAGCTCTTGAATCATTTTACTGGATTCCTTAGATTCCTTGGATTGGGTTTTAAATTTCTCCTCAACTCAATGTTCTTCATTGCCACCCAGATTCTGAATTCTATGTCTGTCATTTCAGCCACTTTAGTCTGGTTAAGAACCATTGCTTGGGAGATAGTGCAGTCATTTGGAGGTAAGAAGATAAGCTGGCTTTTAGAGTTGCTGGAGTTCTTGTGCTAGTTCTTTCTCATCTGTGTGGGCTGATGTTCCTTTAACTATGTTGTAATTTGAGTATAATTAGTTGATTTTGTTTCTGGATGTTTTCAGAGGGCCATGGCTTTGTGCAGGGGATTTGTGGCTGAATTCCTGCCCTTGCTTTTACATAGCAGCATATATTAGTAAAGTACTTTTTTATGTTGTAGTTTGGGCTGCAATCCAATAGTTGGTGTTTATTCGTATTGGCTGGTATATAGGCTCTTTCTCAGCTGCACGACTCCTGTGTACTCCCTCACATTTGCAACTACGTTCCATCTCAGTGCTCTGAAAGTGTGGGTTCCTCTTCCACTCAGGTGTTTGCCACAGACCTCAGCTTGGGACTGAATAAAAAGTTCAGGCTTTTTATTCTCTCTCCAGCTTGGGGGCAGCAAGTGTGGAAACCTTGGGAATGTCAATGGCAGAGGGCATGTCACTTGTCTCCGGAAGCTCCACCACAGTGAAATGCAGAGCCACTGGCAACTGGAACACTCAGTTGGGGATGGGGTGGCTGCATTGTAGGCCCAAACTGGTGGTAGCGGGGGAGGGTGCTGCCTGGTAAAGTGCAAGGGGTATGAGGGGCTTGCAGGGAAGATAGTCTGGCCTCTTCTCCATAGGGCAGCTATGGTGTGCTGGAGGTTCAAGTAAAGCATTCAGGCTCTTTGATCTTTCCCCAGCCTGGTGGCAGCAAGGGTGGGTAGCACTACAGTGGCCTTGTCAGTAGCACAGGGGCTATCAGTTGCTTCTGGGAAATCCACCTCAGAGCGACACAGAGCCACTGCCAAAGGGAATGTTCAGTTGGGGGCTCAAGCTGGAGGCTTCATCTGCTGAAAAGCAGGGGGTTGGGGGCTCTCAGGGAAGAGATTGACTTCCTCTCTGTAGGGTAGCTGTGGCATGCTGAAGGTGCAAGCAAAGCGATCAGGGTCTTTATTTCCTTCCTAGCCTGAGGGAAATAAGGGTGTACCATTGCAGAGGCAAAGGGAAGAAAGCCTTTTGGTTATCTCTGGGAATACCACCCCAGAGATGCAGAGCCACCACTGACTAAAGAGAACAGATGGATGTAGGGCAGCTGTGGATCCAGCTGGGGATCCAGGTTGGGAGGCTCTGCCCAGTGAGAAGCCAAAGGAGCAGGTACCCATATAGAAGACAGTCTGGCTGCTTTTCTACCGCCTGCTAGAGACTCATTATAGCTTTGGGGCTCTCTGCACCCTCCCCAGCATGAGGGTAGTAGTGGTCGGCCTGTGGCAGCAGCAATTGCAGTGGGCCCATGGGTCACTTCTGGGAGCTGTCCCAGAGAAATGAAAAGCCATGACTGACAGGAGTGCTAAAATAGGGGTGGTATGGCTGTGCTGTAGTCCCAGGCCTGTGGGCTTTGCCTGGTTGAGGTGCAGCACAGGTGAAGCCTGCAGTGCCTCCACAAGTTGCCACCATGGATGCGGCCCCTGTCATGAGGGCCATGAAAGAGCCTGGCCTCCCTTGTTGATGGGCCTATAGCAGCTAGGACCAGGGTACTCAGGGATCCAAGGCCCTTTGGGCTCCACATGGGCCCTGAGCTGTGGCTATGCCCAGACTCCAAGTAGCTCCCTGTGTCTGTCTGGAGGCCTCCGGGCTGGCAGGGGATGGTCAGTGGGGATTGTCTGTGCCCAGGATTGTAAAGGTCTGTGGCAGGAGTGTAGGTCCCTGGGGGCTCTTGCTCACTCACCCCTTCCCCATGTTGGGGAGCCTTCCTTGGCTTCTTTCCAAACCCAGGTGGGCAGCTGTCTTGCCTTGCTCCTGTCTGCTCTCTGTGGGTCACTGTTGCTTCCTTGATAAAACCCAACATGGAGCACTGGAAAACCCACATTAGAGCTATTGTTTACTTGCCATTCTGTCTCCTCTCTGTGAGAGTGGTACACACTAGTTCCTCCTAGTCAGCCATCTTGGACCCTCCATTTCTCTTTTTTAATGGCCATTTATCTTTTCTACAGTGTTAAACTATTTTTCTAAGGGATTAGGATATGCTACATAATTAGAACCATTTTATGATGAGAAATATTTATTTTGTTGGAAACTATGTGAGTTTAGGTAATTAAATAGAAATTTAAAAGAAATATTCTGTTTAAATTAATAGATTCTTGAATACTGAAAAATCATTTTATTCCACTATTTCTAATCAGGATTAGAGTGGAATCTTTTTTTTTTTTTTACATGAATCAAAAGTATAAACTTGGTATAACATTTGTAGTTCTACTGGACCTAATTTAAATTACACAGAAAACGGTATTACAAAATAGAAGTCCCTTCATTGTTTTAATAATGGAATCTAAGCATAAGGAAAAAAATTTTATATGAAAAAGTTTATATTAAAAATTTATGTGAAAACCACACATGGTTACCCAAATGTGATATTTGGGTATATAACAGAATATTATGAACAACTTAAATGTAATTTGAAAAAAATGGCAATTATCACATTTGGGTAACCACAGGAAGAGATTTAACTCATCGGAAATTTAGCCAAAACACTTCCATTTAAAAGAATCCGAATGTTAATGAAATATTCACTTTACAAGGAAAAAAACCCAGTTTATTTGGAATTATTTTTGATTTATGTTCTCAATAAAAATTAGGGACTATGAACCTCTAAATGGTACAGCAGGATATACCATGAGCCTTTAGAGCAAGGATTATGCTATTATCTCTGGGATAATCACAGAAAAAATTAAAAATAAATAAATAAAATTAACAGCATAATAAGTAAATAATGATTGATTAAGGCAAAAATAGAGGAAAGAATAACTCAAAACTGGTAAATTAAAGACCGTAGTAAGAGGCTAAATAGAACTCTATATGTGTCAGTAATTACATTCGAAGCAAATTGACTACTCTTTGTAGTCCTCAAAGATTGTCAGATTAGAATAAACAAGACAAAATCCAACTTCATGGTGCTTTGAAAAGTTACTCTTTAAATATAAGAATATACAAGGTTGAATATAAAAGTAATACAACACACGAGCAAATATCAACAAAAATAAAGCTGATAAAGCTGTAATAATAGTAGACAAAATAGACTATGGGAAAACAGGGACATTTTGTAATGAAAAAGGATCAACTGAAGATACCATAATCCTAAATCTGAATCACATAAAACATACCTTAAAACCATATATAGCAAAATTTGACAGAACTAAAAGAGGAATAGACAAATCAGCAGACACCTAGACTTTAATATATCTCACTCATTAGTTAACTGCCCAAGTAGGAAAAAATATCAGAAAGAATATACAATATATAAACAAAAATATTTGAAACTTGACCTAATGGACTTATGAAGAATATTGCATCCAATAACAATATGATTCATACATTTTTTCAAGTACACATGTGACATATATTAGTCAATATTCATGCTGCTTATAAAGACATACCTAAGACTGGGCAGTTTGCAAAAGAAAGAGGTTTAATATGGATTTACTGTTTCACATGGCTGGAGAAGCCTCACAATAATGGCAGAAGGCAAGGAGGGGCAAGTCACATCTTACATGGATGGCAGCAGGCAAAGAAAAAAGAGTTTGTGCAGGGAAACTCCCCCTTATGATACCATCATATCTAATGAGACCCACCCACCACCAAGAGAACACCATGGGAAAGACTGGCCCCCACATCCAGTTACCTCCCATTGGGTCCCTCCCACAACATATAGGAATTCAAGATGAGATTTGGGTGGGGACAGAGCCAAACCATATCACAACGTTTATGAAACACACTATGTTCTTGAGGAAGAAAAAGAAAAGCAATTCAAACTTGGAAAAGCGAAGACATTATACAAAATTACAGCAGAAATTAATAAAATAGAAAACAAGTATTCAAAAGGGAAAATGAATAAAGTCAAAAGTTGGACCAAGGAAAACTAATACAATTGATGAAGATCTAACTAAGCAATATTGTTCAAGGTATAAGTAGAGAACAAAACATTACCAATATCAAGAATGTAGATTCTACAAATAGCTAAAATATAACAGGAGAATATTATGAACAACTTCATATGAATAAATTTAATTTGAAAAAAATGGCACAAAAATACAACTCACCAATATTGGCTGAAAGAGAAGTAAAAAATATTAATATTAGTCTTCTAACAAAAATAATTCAAACTATTATTATACCTTTCTACAATTAAAACCTCAGGCTTTTATGGTTTTGCCTATGAACTCTTCCAACATTTTAGGAACAAAAATAGATAAATCTTAAACAAATCTTCTAGAGAAGAAAAAAAGAGAGAACCATCTCTTATTCCTTTTAAGAGTCTAGTTTACCTTAATTCTAAAATTTGGAAGGCTCTTACAAGAAAGGAATATTGCAGAACAGCCTCTCTTCTAAACATAAGATGCTAAAAATGTAAGTAAACTCTCAGCATATTGAATTAATTGGTTTATAAAAAAGGAAAATATGTCATGAATCAGTGAGATATATCCAGGTTGTAACAAAGAGTCTGACTCTATTTTCTGATGTTTAACTCTTCATAGATTTTAGGCTTCACTCCTCCCTCTCTCCCCTTTGCCTCACATAGGGACAAGCTAATAAGAAAACCAGGGCTTTTTTTCTTCTTTGATGCTGATATAAAATTCAAACCATGAGTGGAACTTTCATCCTAGACCCATCCCCTAATCACCATAACAATTTCAAGCCAATCTCCTTACCTGGATTTCTCAAGCCATTTTAAGACCTGTTTGGTAGCCACTCTGCTTGCCCCAGAAAGTCTCATGTGAATGATAATTCTTCTCATCGTTTCTTGGTGTGTAGGTCTTGACACCTGAACCAGACTTTGTGGGGAGATCCATCATACCTCTAAAGAGTAGCTACAATATGTGAGATACATAAGGTTAGTCCAACATTTGAAAAAAATCAGTCAATCTCAAGCACCACATAAATACAATCAAGAGATTATTGACTGAAGCAGCAAAAGAATTTAGCAAACCTCTAACACCAGTTATGATTTCTAAAAAATAAACCAAAAAGTGTTGAGTAAACTTGAGTAAGAAGAGAACTCCTCGATGTGATAAGAAATATCTACCAAAATTCGCAGCAATTATTATACCAATTTATAAATATTTAAAATAGTCCCCCTGAGTCTGAAAAAGTGAAAAAGACAAAGATATCTACTATAACAACTTATATTCATCAGTACATTGGAAATTCTAGCTGGTAAATTAAGTCAAGAAAAATAGTATAAATGAACCATCAACATTGGTGAATAAAATGTTAAATTGTCATTATTTGGAGATATTGTGAGCCTACAAAATCTATGAGTATTTACTAGAAATAATTATTAGAGCTAATGAGCAAACTTAACATTTTGACTTGCACACAATACAAAATATAACTAATTTTACCTTCTGTACTTGTTAAGAAATAAAAATGGAAACTAAAATAAAAATACTTAAATGGCACAAAAATATCAAATACCTAGGAATAAATATATCACAAGTTTCACAAGACATTTCCACTTGAATCTTCTAAACATTATTAAGAAAAAATTTTGAAACTGAAATGGAGAGATATACCATGTTCATGAGTTAAAAGACAATATTATAATGATGACAATTGTCCTCTAAATTAATTTACATTTTGAAAACAATCCCAGTGAAAATATCAGCTTCTCGTATGGCAGAAATTGACAAAACAGTTCTAAAATTTATATAGAAATGCAAGTTGCCAAGAACAACAAAGGCTATACTGAGGAAAAAACATGGAAGATTTAACAATACCAGATGTGATGACAGTCCAGTGGTATTGGGACAAGGATAGAAAAACTCAGCAATGGAACAGAATAGTTAAGAAACAGAAGCACACAAGACCAGAACCTCAATACTGTGAGAAAAAGCATAGTTTGATATTTTTACTTTGTGTTGCTTGTGCAATTGACTATTCACTTTTTAAAAAATGTATTTTCATCCCTACCTGAGGCTGTTCACAAAAAAATTAATTCTAGTTGATTTGAAGACAAAAATAAAAGGTAAAACTATGTAATTTTCAGAGGTAAGCATAGGAGAACATTTTTATGGTATGGGAGTGGGTAATTTTTTTTTTTTTTTTTTTTAAAGAACACAGCCAGGCACGGTGGCTCATAACTGTAATCCGAGCACTTTGGAAGGCCAAGGTGGGCAGATCTCCTGAAGTCAGGAGTTCACGACCAGCCTGGTCAACATGGTGAAACCCCATTTCTACTAAAAATACAAAAAATTAGCCAGGCATGGTGGCGCATGCATGTAATCCTAGTGACTCGGGAGGCTGAGGCAGGAGAATCGCTTGAACCTGGGAGGCAGAGGTTGCAGTGAGCTGAGATCATGCCACTGGACTCCAGCTTGGGCGACAAGAGTGAAACTCCATCTCAATAATAAATAAATAAATAAATAAATAAATAAATAAATAAATAAATAAAAATAACACAAAAAGTGCTTACAAAAAATTATAGATTGAATTTTATTAATTTCAGAATTTCTGTTAATAAACAGACATTGGTAAGAAAGTGAAAAGTAAGCCCACAGCATAGGAGAAGATATTTACAATACATATATCTAACAAAATATTTGGATCTAGAATACTAAATAAACTCTTAAATAAATAAAAAAATAAACACAGATTACCAAATAGAAAAAATGGGCCAAATATTTCAGAAAGATACTTTATGAAATGATATCCAAATGATGGCAAACATGAAAAAATGTTCACCACTGTTTATCAGAAAATGCAAATTAAAATCACACTGAGATAGCACTTCCCACCTGCCAGAATTGCTAAAGTGAAAAGGCTTGAAAATGTAAAGTGTTTGTGAGCATGAGGAACAATCAATACTATCACACATTGTTGGTGGGAAGGTAATTTAGTATACATTTTTCAGAAACCGGCTGTTGCAGGTGTAACATGCACATTTCCTATAATGCAACAATTCCATTCTTTGTATGTCATGCAAAATGCAAGCAAAAAATCACAAATAGACATGTATTAGAATCTTCATAGAAGCACTATGTCTAATAGCTGAAAACTACCCAAGTACCTATCAAGAGTAGAATGAATAAATTCTCATATAGTCACAGGATAAAATACTGTATAGCAACTTAACATTGTTAAATTGTTAACAGTGTTGTTAACAGTGTTGCAACAATGATAAATGCTCTAACACTGATGCAACAGTAAACATGTATCTCAAAAATATGATGTTGAGCAGAAGCTAGACACATAATAACACATATAGCATATTTCCAATTACATAAACTACACAAAGAACCAACATTAAGAAATGCCCTTTAGGATCAAGATAGTGGATATCCTTAAGCAGAAAGTGGGGAAGCATTTCTAATAATGAAAGAAAACATGTAAGGAACTTATTGGGTGCTTTTGATCTCAACTATTCCTTAATCTGGGAGATAGTACACGGATGAACTACATTTGTGGAAATTCATTGTGTTGTATGTACACTGTCTAAATGTACATTATGCTTCAATTAAAAATGTTAAAAATTAGATTTTGTTACTTCAGGAACAAGTAGAAAATGTACTTTAATACTATAATATTTATTAGATGCATTTTAAAAAGTAAATTACCTGTGAATAAATCTAACAAAACATGTTTAAATTCTTTATTTAAAAATTATAAAACTTTATTGAAAGATACCAAAAAATGTCTTGCTGAAAAGAAAAATTTAGTATTATAAAATCGTATTTCTAAGTCTTCCACATCTCCAATGCAATTCCCAATGCAGTCGAAATCCCAATAGTTTGGACTGTGCATTGGTACAACTCAACAAACTGATTTTAAAATTTGAATTTGAATCAAGTTTTAAAAATAACCAAGATATAAACCTAGAAATAGAATATAAAGTAAGTAACTCCATCAGAAAGCAAAATCTCTTGTACAGTTTTGATAATTAAGGTGAAATGCTATTAGTGAAAAAAGAAATAATTAGACCAATAGAATACAAATACAGAGTACTGAAGCAAACCAATATTTGTATGTGAAAAAATTCATTTATTCAGAACAGATATTGCAGAGTAGAGGGAAGGGATGAACTATCCAATAAAATGTGCTAACAATGGTTATCATTGTAGGCAAAATAACATTTGATTTTCATCTCATATTATTTTAAGGAATCAATTTTAAATGAATTCCGAGCATACCTCAGAAATATATTGTGGGTTCAGTTCTAGGTGGCCACAATAAAGTGAATATTTTGAAAAAGTGAGAAGCGAGTCAAATTTTTTGTTTCCCTATGTGTATAAAATTTACATTAAACCATACTGTAGTCTATTAAGAGTGCAATAACATTATGTCTAAAAAACATACATACTTTAAACAAGTTTTATTGCTAAAATTGCTGATGAACATCTGAGCTTTCAGTGAGTTCTAATTTTGCTCTTGGAGGATCTTGCCTCAATGTTGATGGCTGCCAACTGATCAGATGGTGATTGCTGAAGGTTGCAGTGGCTGTGGCAATTTCTTACAATAAAACAATGAAGTTTGCCACATTGATTGACTCTTCCTTTTATGAAACAGTTGTTTGTAGCACACAATGCTACCAACAGCATTTTACCTCCACACAGAACTTTCAAAATTGGCGTCAATCTTCTCAGACCCCTGGCACTGCTGCATTAACAAGTTTACATAATATTCTAAATCCTTTGTTGTTTCAAAGGATTTGAACATTTCAACAATGTTCCTATCACCTTCACCAGGAATAAACCCCATCTCAAGAAACCACTTTTTTTGCTCATCCATAAGAAACAACTCCTCACCCATTCAAGTTTTATTATATTGAAGCAATTTAGTCCCATCGTAGGCTTCATTTCTAATTCTAATTCTCTTGCTATCTCCACCCCATCTGCAGTTACTTTCTCCACTGAAGTCTCTCTCAAAGAAGGTTGGAATTAACTTCTACGTCCCTATTAATGTTGACATTTTGACCTCTGATGAATCACAAATGTTCTTAATGGCATCTCCACTGGTGACTACTTTCCAAAAGGTTTTCAATTGACTTTGCCCAAATCCATCAGAGAATTCACTATCTTATGGCAGCTATAGCCTTATTGAATATATTTCTTTCTTTTTTTTTTTTTTTTGACGTGGAGTCTGACTCAGTCACCAGGCTGGTGTGCAGTGGCGTGATCTCGGCTCACTGTAACCTCCGCCTCCTGGGTTCAAGCCATTCTCCTGCCCCAGCCTCCTGAGTGGCTGGGACTACATGCACACACCAGCACGCCAAGGTAATTTTCATATTTTTAGTAGAGACGGGGTTTCACCATGTTGGCCAGGATGGTCTCAATCTCCTGACCTCGTGATCCGCCTGCCTAGGCATGCCAAAATGCTGGGATTACAGGCATGAGCCACTGCACCCGGCCAAAATATATTTCTTGAAATATAAGACTTGAAAGCCAAAATTACTGCTCGATCCATGGGCTGAAGAATGCATGTTGTGTTAGCAGAGATGAAAACAACATTAATCGCTTATACCTCTCTGTCATAGTTACATTGTCAATGAACTACATTGTCAATCAGTTACAATGTCAATGGCAGCAGGTGATTGTCAATGAGCAGCACTATTTTGAAAAGAATTTTTTTCTGAGGAGTACTTCTCAATATGGGGCTTAAGATATTCTGTAAACCATGCTGTAAAGAGGTGTGTTGTCAACCAGGCTTTGTTCTTCCATTAACAGAGCACAGGCAGAGTAGATTTAGCATAAGTGTTAAGGACTCCAGTATTCTTTTAATGGTAAATAGCACTAGCTTCAATTTAAAGTCACCTGTTGCATTAGCCTCTAACAAAAGAGCCTGTCCCCTGAAGCTTTGAAACCTAGCACTGGCTTCCCTTCTCTAGCTATGCAAGTCTTACATGGCATCTTCTTCCAAATGAAGTCTGTTTGTCTATAATGAAAATCTGTTGTCAGTGTAGACACCTTCATCAGTTATCTTAGATCTTCTGCATAACTTGCTGCAGCTTCTACATCAGCACTTGCTGCTTCACCGTGCATTTTTTATGTTGTAGAGAGGGTTTTTTTCCTAAAATGTGATGAATGAACCTCTGCTAGTGTCCACTTTTCTTCTGTAGCTTCCTTGCCTCTCTCAGCCTTCATAGAATTGAAGAGAGTTAGGGCTTTGCTCTGGATTAGGCTTTGGCTTAAGGGAATGTTGTGGTTAGTTTGATCTTCTATCCAGACCACTCAAACTTTCTCCATATCAGCAATAAGGCTGTTTTGCTTTCTTATCATTTGTTTGTTCACTGGAGTAGCACTTTTAATTTCCTTTAAAAACTTTTTCTTTGCATTTACAGCTTGCTTGTTGGCTCAAGAGGCCTAGCTTTAGGCCAAGCCCTGCTTTCAACATCCCTTCTTCACTAAACTTAATCATTTTTAGCTTCTGATTTAAAGTAAAATATGTGCAACTCTTCCTTTCACTTGAACACTCAGAGGCCATTGTAATTGTCCTGATTTCAATACTGTGTGTCTCAGGGAACAGGAAGGTGTAAGGAGAGGGAAAGAGATGGGAATGGCTGATTGATGGAACATCAGAACTCACACAGCATTTATCAGTTAAGCACATTTTCTTATACGGGTGCCCTAAAACAATTACAATAGTAACATCAAAGATCCCGAATTATAGATCACCATGACAGATATAGTAATAATGAACAAATTTGATATGTTGTGAGAATTACCAAAATATAACACAAAAAAACAAAGTGAGCACATGCTGTTGGAAAAATGCTGTCAACAGAATTACTCAACACAGAGTTGCCATAAACCCAAAATTTTTTAAAAAGAAAGAAAAATGTAGTGTCTGTGGAGTGTGTTTGGATGAAGTGCAATGAAACTAGGTATGCCTATATAATAGTAAAGCAAAAAAAAACTTTAATTATTTTTTGAAAAGACTTTATCCTAATTTTGACCTTTGAATAAAGAAGAAGTTCTGGTGGAAAATGTCATAAAGCAAATAATAAGGAAACATATTGATTATTTTAAAAGAATTAACTAAATCCATTATAATTAAGTTACATTAAAGAATATTTTTTCACGATACAGTAACATAAAGAGAATGAAAACAAATTGTATGCTGGAGAGAAAATATGCTACACATTTAGTTGACAACTGTGTCATATCTAAAATAAAGAACTCATATAAATAAAAAACTGACAATTTAATAACTTGAAACTAGCAAGTTATAAAGACATCTTTCACATAATAGGATATGCAAAGAGCCCAGGAACATGAAAAGATGCTCAACTTCATTATCATATGGGTAAATACAAATTAAAACAAAAAAATCCATTTTATTAAGATCAATAAACATTAGCAGGATTTTACAGAATAAAAATAAATACTTGAGAATCCATACTTGGGACAATGTCTATGTCCCGAAATTAAGAAAAATTAAGAAATCAGCTAAAGTCAAGTACTGACAAAGACGTGGATCAACAGAAACTTCAGGTGGTCGTATAAGTGATACTTTGGAAATTGTATCACACTACCTATTAAAGTTCAACATGTATTTATCAAATGTTCCCACAATTCTACTCTTTTATATATGCTGAAAACACTAAAGATAGACATTTACAATACTGTTGTACTATTGTAGACAGATCAGCACTGTTTGTGATAGCAAAATCCTGGAGTCCACTCAAACTTTGAATGCCAGTATAAGTAAATAAGTTGTTGTATATTTAAACACTGGAATTATTATACCTCAGTAAAATTTTTTTTAAAAGCAAGAACTAAAGTTATATGCACCAATGTGGATAAACCTCAAAAACAAGCTTGACAGAAAAGAGGTAGCTGCAAAATAATTCATGTTTCCACTTTTTAGAATTCAAAAATGGCAAAACTATGCAACAAATTATTTACAGATGCAAGCATGTTTGATACAATTATTATTAAAAACAAGGAGGTAAATGACACAAACTTCAGAATTGCTTTGACAATTTTGAAAAATATGATTCTAGATTAGTCATATTTTGATTCAAGTATATGTAATGAATAAAGACAATATAGCTATATAAGGACCCATGAATCTTGTCTCTATACACTTCTTATTAGGGAGTGATTAGAAGTAGTGGTGTATACCAAGAGAAAGACCTCATGTCCAACAATGGGTGGAATTAACACAGGAGAATGGTTAAGAGAAGTCTTAGAAGACTGGAAGTTTGGTAAATTTCTAAAATAACCAAGGCAGTTTTAGCTTGGGGAGGGATGCTGTAAGAAAATGAGAGTTAGTACACGATAAAATGAGAAATAATTTGTTGGTGATTATTGTGGGTGATTTGGTGATGTTTACCAACAGAGAAAAAGAGTGAGAGAGTGAGAAAGAGGAGACAAAAGAGACGGGATAAGGGAGAGAGGGAGAGAAAGCCAGATACGTGAAAAAGAGGGAATTATTAATTTAAGGAAAACAAAAGATTTTACAATTAAAAATATTATAGTAGAATATGTTGCTCTATATAGTGTATATATTCAATAGAATATGGTGATGCTGAAATAAACAATGATTATTTAACAAATTACTAGTTAATAATTCGGGAGGATGGAGCAAGGCAGTTTGAGGAGAGTGCTATATCTTTATCTAGCATAACAGGAGTCATTAGACAAATACCCAAATTGATAATCACTAAATAACAATGTAAGTATATTATTTAGAAACATAGAAATGACTACCAGAAGAAACACTTAAAATTATTTCCTCTGGAGAATATGTCTGAAAGAAGAGAAGGGTTTAGTGACCACACTCTTTACTATAAGGTTTTTGATACATTAGAAAAGTGACTTTCTGCACTTATTTTTGATACATTTTTAAAAATTAACTGAAAACATAGACATTGTCCCAATTATGGATTCTCAAGTGTTTATTTTTGTTCTGTAAAAACCTTATGATCTTGATTGATCTATTTGGTAAATAAGTGGTGTCTATCTTCAAAAATTTCCACAGTCACACAGGTAAGGATTTTTAAAAAACTTTTGCTTTGCAATGGGCCGCCAGTTTAGAAAGCACTATACTATCAAAGGCTCATGTCAACATTAAATACTCCATGTAGCTGAAGTCAGTGGATGGTAGAACCCCAGAGATCTTTCTGAATAAGAAATCTAAGTTTGAATGTTCAGTATCTATCAGAAAAGAGCTACATCTCCAAAATTCTTCCACTCTGGTCTCCTTTACTGAAGTTTCACTTTTCCATACAATCTTTCCATACAATCTTGGTAGCTTGATGGTTTAAAAGCCTTAAATGGTTACATTTACTGTTGTTTCTGGTTGTCGTCAAGGTTACAGAAACAGCAACTACTGCAGGCAATTAAACTGACTTCATAACCTGCCTTAGCTACAAGACTGAAGTTCCAATTTTCCAGTTGTACTTGGATCTGAAATTTGGCTTCACATGAGTTCAGTCTGTCCCGGGACAAAGTAAAGCCAAGTTTACATTGTCTACTAAATACTCCAACGGTTGACACTATTTTTTCAAACATCAAACACATTTTATGGACTCGAACATAATAGTATAGTGATAAAACTGTAGGATATTTAAAAGTTTTTTTATTTTTCTTTTCTCTTATTCTGAAGTATTTCCTCTAACGTTACACTTTTCTTATTTATTTTTCCACTGCTATCTCTTATTCAATAAAAAAAGGAAAGATCTCTTAAGCCCTGGAAAGAAAAAGTCAAAGATAAGAACTAATCAACCTCTAGTAATTCTTTCCATTAGTTTTGTTACTCTCTTTTAAGTTTCTCACTGAGTCTCTGCAGCTTTAATGTCAGAGGTCCTTTGGCCATGTAGAAGGAACCGCAGTTTCTTAACCACAGACGTCCTAAATGCAAAGTAGATAGTTCTGAAGTTGACGTAAAGAACTACAGCTACTAGAAGACGGTATTACCACTTCCTATCCTACGAATTACACGCTACTTCTGGTTTTGTCTTGGAGGTAATTGTTTAACACCTGATTTTAAGGGCTTTCCTCAGATTGGAATATAATTGGACAAATTTAGCTTATCTGATTACATCCATTAGATATTAGTTTAAATTTATAAATGACAGCAGAGGACACAAAGTTAATTAAACCTGTGCCAGTACATTCATCACAATCATGACTGGTCACCTTGGAGCCTCAAATGAAGTTAAACCTGTACATATGCCTGCTAAGTTATCTGATATTTTTAGAAGAAAAATTAAACAAAATGCAAACTTTTTTATGACGAAGAAAAATAAAGCTAAAATGTAAAAGAATATCTACCTTTTTCTCCCTCTTAGAATAAAGAAGATACTCAGTCAAGATGTCATACATACCAGTAATACTGGATTAGAAGAAAAAGAATGATGCATTTTCTTGGAGTTTGCTTAGTCACACCGGGTTTTCTATGATATTTTTTGGGGGAGTGTCAGCACTCACGAATGACAAGCAGTTGTGTGCTTGTACATCATACTCAGCACTGGAATTCAATTCAGAATTAACACTGCCTCAAATATCAAATAAAAACAGATGTTACAGTCCTAAATCTAATAGTCCTTGGAGAATGACAGGGTGGAGAATAGCATCAGAGACAGAATGAGAATGAATGAGGGAGTCACAGTCACTCCTGTACCTTCTCATTGGTTCCGTAAGCACTAGTTAAATTGGATATAGGTCAATAACCTAAAATTCAACATCTTACCAACCAAATTCATCTCACAGAGGTGTATTTCTCATTCGGTGTTCCTTTTCACTACAATAAGTACCACCTTCCCCACCTAATCAAACCCAAAACGTCAAGCAATCTTTAATGTTTTCATTCTCTCTGATATTTCACATTGAATTATTTATTAGATTGGTTTTTCTACCTCAGAAATATGTCTGAAATATTAATATTCTTTCTTATGCCATCATCACTGAAGTTCAAAAAATTACCACTGTAGGTTTTTGTTTGTTTGTTTGAGACAGGGTCTTGCTCTGTCACCCAGGCTGGAGTGTAGCGATGTGATCTCGGCTCATTGCAACCTTAACCTCCTGGATTCAAGTGATTCTCCTGCCTCAGCCTCTGTGCCTCAGCCTCCGAAGTAGCTGGGATTACAGGCGTGCATGCGCCATGCCACTCGGCTAATTTGTGTATTTTTTAGTAGAGATTGACCAGGCTGGTCTTGGACTCCTGATCTCAAGTCATCCGCCTGCCTCGGCCTCCCAAAGTGCTGTGATTACAGGCACCAAGCCCAGCCAACCATTGTACACAGTTTCTAGTCACCCTCTTCATGTCTATGATTGCTGTCTCTAGTTCATTCATGGCCCAGAAATCAGAGGGATTTTTTTTTTTTTTCAGAAGGATTCTCCCACTGTCTCTTGGGCTGGAGTGCAGTGGCGCAATTTCGGCTCACAGCAACTTCTGCCTCCCGGGTTCAAGAGATTTTCCTGCCTCAGCCTCTTGAGTAGCTGGGATTACAGGTGCATGCCGCCACGCCCTGCTAACTTTTTTTCTTTCTTTTTTTTTTTTTTTGTAATTTTAGTAGAGACGGGGTTTCACTGTGTTGGCCAGGCTGGTCTCGAACTCCTGACCTCATGATCCACCCGCCTCGGCCTCCCAAAGTTCTGGGATTAGAGGCGTGAGCCACTGCACCTGGCCAGAGGGATCTTTTAAACAACAGAAATCTGATCATGTCATTGTTTTCTTGCTTTCTTAAAATTGTACAGTACCTTCCCATTTTCTTAATATCAAAAATCCTTAAAAACTACTGACAGTTGGTCCTTATAGCTCTAGCTTCATCTTTTGTAACTTTACCTTTGTCCTTGATGCTACAAATCTTCTAAACTTCTTTCAGTTTTCAAGCACTATATAAGAAATTTATTATATAGTTCTGGGACTTTTTGTGTTTAGGGGATATTTGCATGGGATGCTATTACTTCATCCTCATCCTATTCCTATTCATTCTTTTGTGTCAGTTTAAGAATAAATTAAATGGGTCTTCCTCATCTTTAGGCAGCTTTAAATTCCATTTTAACTCAATGCCTTGGTGTATTGAATTTCATCTTTTCCAAAATATTTGAAACTTCCATTTCAGTTCAATGTCCTGCTTAATCCTAATGCCTAGGTCTTCCAGGACTTTATCTGTCTTGTTCATAATTGACCTCTTCATTTTTACTATAAGTCCTGGAACGTGGTAGATGCTTGATAAGTATTGATTGAGTCAAATTGAATAAAATATATAAGAATGATAAAAATGTGTAGCAGCTTCCTTTAAAATGCTCAAAACTAGAGATTTCAAAATCTCAGAAATCACCACTAAGAACTTATCCATGTAACCAAACACCGACTGTTCCCCAAAACCCCAAAAAATAATTCTACCTATATTGTCAAAAACTACATTTTATTTCACTGATTTGCACATAAGAATTGTTTGTATGTGTATGAATGTATGTTTGTAGCTGTGCAAGAGAGGATGGAAGGTGAAAGGAAAACAGGCATGAGCAACAAAGGCATGTCTATATATATATATATATATATATATATATATATATATATATATAATGAAAAGGACTGTGAGGAACACTTTGGCTTTCTTTTATCAAAGGCCCTGCCATGTTCTGAAGTCTTTTCTGGACCTCTTGGTATTGTATGTATAATCTTATATACCAAAACAAATATGGCTATAAAATTCAAATAGCAATCCACTTGAGAATAAATCATAGCATACCCTGCTATTTTTGTCTGCCTTCCTTTAAAGATGTGAAGATCTGAAAGGATATATGAAACCTAATCCCTTCCTGTGGTTAAAAAAAATATTAAGAACAAACTACATGCAAGTCTCAGCACATACTTGCAGTCACTCCAAAGTAAATGTTTTCTCTATACCTTGGGGAAAAAGTGATTTTGTGACTCTCTGCTTTGCAAATCAGCTGATTTTTTTTTCAAAGACAGCCTCCTTGAGAAGTATGTATACTTTAGAAGCATCACTTTTCCAAAACTCTACGCCTTGGAATAGTATTGCCTTGAGATTTTTAGATGTTAAAAAAGGGCACCCTACATTTTTTGGAAGATGGGTTGCATTTAGCTGTATCATACTATTAAAGTATTGCAGCAAAATATGAGTAGCATGGAACCTAGACTTTTCAAACATTTTATCATTCAACTAAACCTTGTTGTATTTTCATACCTATTAAAATCTGTGTCATTCAGTAACAATTCACAAAATCCTAGTTTAATGAGAGAGAAAATGAATTCCAAACTAGCAACCTTATCATTCTCTTTTCCCCCTCAAAAAGCCTATCTAGCCTCAGTCATCATTCTTAAAATGACAATAATCACACCTATTGCATAGTAGTAGAGTGAGAATTAATTGGGAGTTATATACCAGATTTCTACTCAAAATCTCATTTCTCTTCTATGCTCCAAACCATAGAAAAAAAATTACAACAAATTACTTATATAAAAATATTTAGCAGATTTGTTAATGTTTCCTCAAAGGGGAAATATCGCATACTTTTATTATTGTTACTGTAACATTTGTGCAATGCCTTAAACCGCAGTGTTCTTTGCACTAGGGGAACTTCAAACGTGGAGGTTCTGTACAAATTCTGTCTGTTGCCATCAAATGTCATATAGCTGAATGGCAAGCATTATCATGCCTGTGCTCTGCTAGGGGAGCACCTGATTGGCTCTACAATCGAAGTACAGGGGGATGCATTTTACAGAGGAACAAAACAACTGCAGAAACAATTACTCTGAAAGCTGTTTTACATTCAGATCACTCTCGGTATGTCTGCAAATCATAAATAGGCTTCAAAGAATGAAAAGTCAGAAATTGGAGCTCATAGCATATGGGTTTCTAGACAAATCTAGACGTGGAATTGAAAATGACTAAATTTGATTTCCTTGTCAAAATTGTGTTTTCACAGTAATCTGAACTTTATCCTGTCTCCGTTCTCCCCACCTCCCCCGGAGCCCAATATCAAACAAGTGTTTGAGTAAAGAAAAATCCAAGCTAACAGGAAAACTATAACACTACAGAGTAAACACTCACAGCAGCATCTGTCTAAGGAGTCATACTTCAGAGAGCAAATGACTTTTTTCCTGAGAGAACTGCTGTTAGCTAATATATGACAGTTCATGGGCTTTCACTGTAGTCAACCAGAAGCAAAAAATTAGACTGAAACTTGCAGACTGAAGCTTACGGAATTTGACTGTAATGGAAATTATCGGCAAGAATCTTGGTTATTCAAAGTTTCAGTGATTTTCCCATATGCATTTTTGCTGAATTCATGTTTAAGAAACAGGAAAGTCAAACCATGATTTTGCTTTTGAAAAGGCAAGAAAATACTAAAATATAAAGCTTTGAAATTATACATTGCTTCGTTAATTCTTAAGATCTACAGATCTGATTACATGTAAGTTTCTGTATTGCGTCTCAAAGGATAGATAAGCAAATTAGAAAATAGCAAATATTTTTTTAAATTTTTTTTATTATTATTATACTTTAAGTTTTAGGGTACATGTGCACAATGTGCAGGTTAGTTACATATGTATACATGTGCCATGCTGGTGTGCTGCACCCATTAACTCATCATTTAGCATTAGGTATATCTCCTAATGCTATCCCTCCCCACTCCCCCCACCCCACAACAGTCCCCAGAGTGCGATGTTCCCCTTCCTGTGTCCATGTGTTCTCATTGTTCAATTCCCATCTATGAGTGAGAACATGCGGTGTTTGGTTTTTTGTCCTTGCGATAGTTTACTGAGAATGATGATTTCCAATTTCATCCATGTCCCTACAAAGGACATGAACTCATCATTTTTTATGGCTGCATAGTATTCCATGGTGTATATGTGTCACATTTTCTTAATCCAGTCTGTCATTGTTGGACATTTGGGTTGGTTCCAAGTCTTTGCTATTGTGAATAGTGCCGCAATAAACATACGTGTGCATGTGTCTTTATAGCAGCATGATTTATAGTCCTTTGGGTATATACCCAGTAATGGGATGGCTGGGTCAAATGGCATTTCTAGTCCTAGATCCCTGAGGAATCGCCACACTGACTTCCACAATGGTTGAACTAGTTTACAGTCCCACCAACAGTGTAAAAGTGTTCCTATTTCTCCACATCCTCTCCAGCACCTGTTGTTTCCTGACTTTTTAATGATTGCCATTCTAACTGGTGTGAGATGGTATCTCATTGTGGTTTTGATTTGCATTTCTCTGATGGCCAGTGATGATGAGCATTTTTTCATGTGTCTTTTGGCTGCATAAATGTCTTCTTTTGAGAAGTGTCTGTTCATATCCTTTGCCCACTTTTTGATGGGGTTGTTTACTTTTTTCTTGTAAATTTGTTTGAGTTCATTGTAGATTCTGGATATTAGCCCTTTGTCAGATGAGTAGGTTGCAAAAATTTTCTCCCATTCTGTAGGTTGCCTGTTCACTCTGATGGTAGTTTCTTTTGCTGTGCAGAAGCTCTTTAGTTTAATTAGATCACATTTTTCAATTTTGGCTTTTGTTGCCATTGCTTTTGGTGTTTTAGACATGAAGTTCTTGCCCATGCCTATGTCCTGAATGGTAATGCCTAGGTTTTCTTCTAGGGTTTTTATGGTTTTAGGTCTAATGTTTAAGTCTTTAATCCATCTTGAATTAATTTTTGTATAAGGTGTAAGGAAGGCATCCAGTTTCAGCTTTCTACATATGACTAGCCAGTTTTCCCAGCACCATTTATTAAATAGGGAATCCTTTCCCCATTGCTTGTTTTTCTCAGGTTTGTCAAAGATCAGATAGTTGTAGATATGCGGCATTATTTGTAAGGGCTCTGTTCTGTTCCATTGATCTATATCTCTGTTTTGGTACCAGTACCATGCTGTTTTGGTTACTGTAGCCTTGTAGTATAGTTTGAAGTCAGGTAGTGTGATGCCTCCAGCTTTGTTCTTTTGGCTTAGGAATGACTTGGCGATGCGGGCTCTTTTTTGGTTTCATATGAACTTTAAAGTAGTTTTTTCCAATTCTGTGAAGAAAGTCATTGGTAGCTTGATGGGGATGGCATTGTATCTATTAATTACCTTGGGCAGTATGGCCATTTTCACGATATTGATTCTTCCTACCCATGAGCATGGAATGTTCTTCCATTTGTTTGTATCCTCATTTATTTCATTGAGCAGTGGTTTGTAGTTCTCCTTGAAGAGGTCCTTCACGTCCCTTGTAAGTTAGATTCCTAAGTAGTTTATTCTCTTTGAAGCAATTGTGAATGGGAGTTCACTCATGATTTGGCTCTCTGTTTGTCTGTTATTGGTGTATAAGAATGCTTGTGATTTTTGTACATTGATTTTGTATCCTGAGACTTTGCTGAAGTTGCTTATCAGCTTAAGGAGATTTTGGGCTGAGACGATGGGGTTTTCTAGATATACAATCATGTCATCGGAAAACAGGGACAATTTGACTTCCTCTTTTCCTAACTGAATACTCTTTATTTCCTTCTCCTGCCTGATTGCCCTGGCCAGAACTTCCAACACTATGTTGAATAGGAGTGGTGAGAGAGGGCATCCCTGTCTTGTGCTAGTTTTCAAAGGGAATGCTTCCAGTTTTTGCCCATTCAGTATGATATTGGCTGTGGGTTTATCATAGATAGCTCTTATTATTTTGAGATACGTCCCATCAATACCTAATTTATTGAGAGTTTTTAGCATGAAGGGTTGTTGAATTTTGTCAAAGGCCTTTTCTGCATCTATTGAGATAATCATGTGGTTTTTGTCTTTGGTTCTGTTTATATGCTGGATTACATTTATTGATTTACGTATATTGAACCAGCCTTGCATCCCAGGGATGAAACCCACTTGATCATGGTGGATAAGCTTTTTGATGTGTTGCTGGATTAGGTTTGCCAGTATTTTATTGAGGAT
The DNA here is from genome assembly GCF_000001405.40 of Homo sapiens. Lineage (NCBI taxonomy): Eukaryota > Metazoa > Chordata > Mammalia > Primates > Hominidae > Homo > Homo sapiens. Next base: position 124,393,892 of record NC_000004.12, read on the forward strand.
TTTTGCATGAATATTCATCAAGGATATTGGTCTAAAATTCTCTTTTTTGGTTGTGTCTCTGCCCGGCTTTGGTGTCAGGATGATGCTGGCCTCATAAAATGAGTTAGGGAGGATTCCCTCTTTTTCTATTGATTGGAATAGTTTCAGAAGGAATGGTACCAGTTCCTCCTTGTACCTCTGGTAGAATTCGGCTGTGAATCCATCTGGTCCTGGACTCTTTTTGGTTGGTAAGCTATTGATTATTGCCACAATTTCAGATCCTGTTATTGGTCTATTCGGAGATTCAACTTCTTCTTGGTTTAGTCTTGGGAGAGTGTATGTGTCGAGGAATTTATCCATTTCTTCTAGATTTTCTAGTTTATTTGCGTAGAGGTGTTTGTAGTATTCTCTGATGGTAGTTTGTATTTCTGTGGCATCGGTGGTGATATCCCATTTATCATTTTTTATTGTGTCTATTTGATTCTTCTCTCTTTTCTTCTTTATTAGTCTTGCTAGCGGTCTATCAATTTTGTTGATCCTTTCAAAAAACCAGCTCCTGGTTTCATTAATTTTTTGAAGGGTTTTTTGTGTCTCTATTTCCTTCAGTTCTGCTCTGATTTTAGTTATTTCTTGCCTTCTGATAGCTTTTGAATGTGTTTGCTCTTGCGTTTCTAGTTCTTTTAATTGTGATGTTAGGGTGTCAATTTTGGATCTTTCCTGCTTTCTCTTGTGGGCATTTAGTGCTATAAATTGCCCTCTACACACTGCTTTGAATATGTCCCCGAGATTCTGGTATCTTGTGTCTTTGTTCTCATTGGTTTCAAAGAACATCTTTATTTCTGCCTTCATTTCATTATGTACCCAGTAGTCATTCAGGAGTAGGTTGTTCAGTTTCCATGTACTTGAGTGGTTTTGAGTGGGTTTCTTAATCCTGAGTTCTAGTTTGATTGCACTGTGGTCTGAGAGACAGTTTGTTATAATTTCTGTTCTTTTACATTTGCTGAGGAGAGCTTTACTTCCAACTATGTGGTCAATTTTGGAATAGGTGTGGTGTGTTGCTGAAAAAAATGTATATTCTGTTGATTTGGGGTGGAGAGTTCTGTAGATGTCTATTAGGTCCGCTTGGTGCAAAGCTGAGTTCAATTCCTGGGTATCCTTGTTAACTTTCTGTCTTGTTGATCTGTCTAATGTTGACAGTGGGATGTTAAAGTCTCCCATTATTATTGTGTGGATGTCTAAGTCTCTTTGTAGGTCACTCAGGACTTGCTTTATGAATCTGGGTGCTCCTGTATTGGGTGCATATATATTTAGGATAGTTAGCTCTTCTTGTTGAATTGATCCCTTTACCATTATGTAATGGCCTTCTTTGTCTCTTTTGATCTTTGTTGGTTTAAAGTCTGTTTTATCAGAGACTAGGATTGCAACCCCTGCTTTTTTTTCCTTTCCATTTGCTTGGTAGATCTTCCTCCATCCTTTATTTTGAGCCTATGTGTGTCTCTGTATGTGAGATGGGTTTCCTGAATAGAAAATAGCAAATATTGTGTATAAATCTTTGGAATGTGTTAAAGCCCTTTCATCTGGTATTAAGGTGAGAGGAAACATGAGACATAGGAAAGTTACTTCAGCACCAGATATGTTGGGGAAGCAATTCAATTGAATAATGGAATGCTTCAGCTTCTAAAGTTAAAATTTGTCTTTAAGGAGAATCACAAACAAGTTTATTTATCTAAATTATATTTCATTTGATGTGTTGATTTTTGGTACATGACAAACTATTATCTTTGGTCTAAATATAAACTTCTTTTATTAATCTTTGGTTTATTCACATTTTTAGTTACTCATTTAATAATATAATGAATTCCTATTAATATTAATCCACTGGCCAAACTAAACACTAGATCCTTATAAATAACAGTTCTGAGGGCTCCTCTACCAAATCATTCCTCTATCGTGCCCACTTCCAGAGGAAAACCTATTCTAAATTTTGCATTTATTATTTCCAGTGGATGCTGAAATTAGCTGCCTGGATCATCTACTCGAGACAGAAGAACTCATTCAGGCAAGTGCTGGTGGTGTTGGTGATTGACAGGTCTTCTTGTTTCCCCCTTTTGGAATTGCCTGAGAGTCTCCTCATCCAAGGTCACTTCCTTTTTCAGAGGCAGCATGCATAGAACCAGTGCGTGAGGATGGGGAGGCACTGGGAGTTATACAGCTCTGGCTCTAGTGTTCCAATGTAGTACCAGTCTACAGAGATATCCCAACTCGAGTTCTTTCTGGGGGCTATTAAGGCTATTTTTGAGACTATATCTCACTCCAGTCACTCCTTATTCTTTCACTTTGTATACAGATATCTCCTTCACATATTTTATTTTCTAGGGAATCCCATCTTTGACATGATTCTTGTTCTTTTTTTAACAAATAATGCAGAAGTAATTGTATATCCATAAGCAAAAGAAAAAAACCTTGACTTAAACCTCACTCTTATACAAAAATTAACTCAAATAGATAATGGACTCACATGTAAAATTATAAAATTTTAGAAAAAAGAATGAAAGATTTGCCACATGAAAAGATTTTCAAAATCATTAGCTTTGAGGAAAATGCAAATTAAGTCACAATGAGATACATTTATACACCTATCAGAATAGCTAAAATAAAAAATGCTGACAAGCCCAAATGCTGATGAAGATGTGGAAAAATGGATCACTCGTATATTGCTGGTAGGAATGTAAAATGAAACAGCCACTCTGGAAAACAGTTTAGCATTTTTCTATTATATAATACTAAACACATAATAACCATATAACCCAGCGATTGCACACTTGAAACATGTTTCCCGGAGAAATGGAAACTTTTGTTTATGAAAAATAAAACCCTATCTATGAAGAATAGCAACTTTATTCATAATAAATGAAAACTGGGAGCAGCCCAGATTCCCTTTAAAGGTGATTATGAAACAAACTGTGTTGTTTTTCTGCCATGGACTACTACTAGCTATCAAAATAGAAAAATCATTGACACATGCAGCAACATGGATGAATCAAGGAGTTCTACAGAATTATACAGGTGAATAAGGGTGAAAAAAGCCAATCCCAAAAGCCTCCGTACTGCATGGTCTTACTTACATATCAGATTCTTGAAATAACAAACTATGGAAGTATAGAATAGAGCAGGGATTACTAGGGTTTAGTGATGAGGCTGGGATGGTATGGCTACAAAAGGGCAACACAGGAAATCCTTGGGATAGAATTGTTCTGTATGTTAACTGTAGTCCTGGATGCAGAAATCTACATGTAAAAACATTTTATTAAACTAAGTATACACACACGAATAAGTACAAGTTAACTTGTAAAATCTGAATAAAATTGATGGTTTGTAACAACCTTAATATTCTGGTTGTGATTTTCTACAGTTTTGCAAGATATTACTAATAGAAGAAATGGCATGAAGGGTACATGGGAACTTTTGTGCTATTTCTTACACTTGTATGTACATCTACAACTATTTCAAAATCATAATTCTAATTTAAAAATGTAATGCTTGTGTTTAAATGTTATAGTAGTAGTAGGTACTATAGATTGTCTTTGGTAGCTTTTTTTTTCTTCCTTTCACATACTCCCTAATTCATCCTATGTGACAGATTAAATACCAAGATTTCTCCAATCCGCTGTATGTAGCTTTCTTTCATTCATATTTACTGCTGTTTAATACTTGAATTTCTGACTATAACACAATTTATGTGTATATTTTTCTATTGATTAGTGTTTGTGGTTTTTTAAGTATTTGATATTATGGACAGTGGTGTGAACAATCTTGTCCTTGGTATGCAAGTCTTTCTAGTTCATTGATCCGCTCCTTTTATTCCTTCTAATTTTGGGTTTATTTTGTGTTCCTTTTATAATTTGGTTTATTATTTTTTCAGCTATTTTTCTTTTCTAGTATAAATATTTAAGGCTATATGTTTCTTTCAAAGCATTGTTTTTGTATTTTCCCATGAGTTTTGATGTACAATGTGGTTATATTTAGTTCCTTCTTTCTTTTCTTTTTTTCTTTTGTTTGACAGAATCTTGCTCTGTCGTTTAGGCTGGAGTGCAAAGCTGTGATCTCGGCTCACTGAAACATCCACCTCCCAGGTTCAAGTGATTCTCCTGCCTCAGCCTCCTGAGTAGCTGGGATTACAGGCATGCACCACCACGCCCAGCTAACTTTTGTATTTTTAGTAGAGATGGGAATTTTACCATGTTGGCCAGGCTGGTCTTGAAAGCCTGACCTCAGGTGATCCACCTGCCTTGGCCTCCCAAAGTGTTGGGATTACAGGCGTGAGCCACCACACCCAGCCATATTTAGCTATTTCTAAATATTTTTTAGTTTTGAAATTTGTCAACTTCTTTTATCATAAATTGTTACAAGTTTTTTTATTTCCAAATATAAGGGGGTTTATTTATCTTTTTTAGTTGTTGTTCTTTCACATTTTTAGCTGGATTTCCTCATCCTGAGAAACATGTATCTGCATGATACCTGCACTTTGAAATTTATTATTTCCTGCTTGATGGCATAGAAAATGATCAATTTTGTGAATGAGCTATAAATATTTAAGACAAGTGTATTTACTCTATTTGGGGGCACAAAATTCTGTGTATCTCTATTACAATAAACAATATTTTTACTATTCAAATTATATTTTCAATTTTTTTTGGCTATTTGTACTATTAGTGAATAAAAGAAGACTGCTGAAATCTCTTTATATATATTGGTAGATTTATTTAAGCTTCCCAGTAAATCTATCCATTTTTTAATTCATATAATTTGAGGCTAATTTTTAGACAATAGAATTTAAATTGTTCCATGTTTTCTGTGAGTTTAAATTCTGATCATTTATGTAGTAACCCTAAAAAGTTATTTTGCTTTAACGTCTATTTTTTCTGTGATTATTATTAAGTCAGCTTTCTTTTATTTGCTCATTGCCTAAAAATGTGAGCTAATTACTACGAATATAAAAAATTTTATATCATTTCTTCTGAGAACAGAAAATAATCAACATCCAGTACATTAGATTACACTGGTATCACTTGTGGTTCAAGAAACAACACAACTTATTAACAATTTTATAGTAAACTTACTTTACATTGGAGTTTATTATTTCTAAATATTCATTTGGAAGAACAAGGTATTAAAAATGTAGATGAGTTTTAGCCATTTCTTTAATTATTTATGAATCATCTATGATACAGCATAAGTCCCCTTTTTTGTTTCCCTCTTAGCATTATTTTATAAGATGTATGAAAGCTAAAAATTTCCCCTCCTGAAAAAGAGTAACAATAAAAGCTTATATTTACTAAAATATCTTCACATATTTTCATTCTTAGAATGAAGAGTCTCCTGAATAAGAAAAATTCGGTAGCTTTATGTACAATATTATATTCTACATTCTAATAAATCTGTTATCACCTTCATAAGCACCTTAAGTAGGCCTCACTCTAGGCTATATCACCATGTACATTTTAGGCAGACAACTACAGAAACAGAGATATAAGTAAGACCATTTAGAAGAAAAGACAAATAAACAACAGAATAAACTCTTTAAGCGGGTAAGCCCCTAATGCATTAACTAATAAAGGAAATAAAATGGTCCTCTTTTTCATTCAAATGTGTCAAATAGGTTAGAAAGCAATAAAAAAAAGATGTTTTCTGTACTGTAAAATATTTACCTGATATTATTAGGCCCTGTCCCAGTTGTAGCAATTAAATAACACTGATCTTTTTACGAATAACAAATTTTGTGCTCTTGACAAATAATTAGAATATTCTGAAGCTTTCCACTTGGCAAGTTTTGAAAAAGTCTTAGAAAATAAGGTCATTGCTTTTCCCATTTAGTGGATGTCTAGGGATTCAATAAAATTTCTGACCTTGTTTTTGTTGTTGTTTTCTGCAACATTTCATTTGTTTAAACTGCTTGATGTAAAAAGAAATTCCATTCTTATTCAAAGCCTCATGGAAACAGAACAGGCACTGACCATTAATGCATGTCCAATTTAGCCTGATCTTCCAACGTAGGGTATTTAACATGGTTGATAGCAATTACTGTGCACAGTTTTTCAACTTTTTCTCCCAGGCACATAGTTGCCTTGTCTATCTTTCAAAACCACAGTTCTAATCATGTAAAACCTCCCAGCTCCCATCTTGAAATGCCCATGGCTATCCATTGATTTCAGATCTATACTGGCAGTGTTTGACCTAACTCTCAAAGCTAGATTACCTCCTAACTGGGTGTGAATTTACATTTACAAATTCATTTCATACTATTTGCTTTCATGACCTATGGACCAAACTTAGGGATGATACATATGCTACCCTTTAATCATGTTGCTTTCTCTTTTTGGTTGGTCCTTTATCCTACCTTTACACATTCCAATATTAACCATCCTTTATTGTCCTGCTCACATAGGATTGCAACTCTTCAATGAACCCTGCCTTAGGCCCCTCTAAGCTACAAATATCCTCTCCTTCCTCTGAATTACAAATTAGCACATTACGTGGGGAAAATAGAAAGTATGACTTCTATTATAATGTGTTTGCATGCCTTCAATTTCCCAGCAACTTTTCATTTATGTGGTCTTTTATGATTGGCTTCTTTCACTTATCATAATGTCATGAAGGTTCATTTATGTTGTAGCACTTATCATACTTACTGCTTTATAGAGCTGAATAACGTTCCATCATATGGATATACATTTTATTTATCTATTCATGAGCTGATGAATATTTGAGTTGTTTCCACTTTTGGGCTATTATAAATAATGGTGCTATAAACATTTATGTACAAGGTTTTGTGGGAATATATGTTTTCAGTATATATACCTGGGAGTAGAATGTCTGGATCATATGATTACTCTGTGTTCAATCATTTGGGGACCTGCTAGACTGTTTTCCAGAGCAGCTGCACTGTTTTACATTTCTACAACCAGTGAAAGATGGCTCCAATTTCTCCACATCTTTGGCAACATTATTATTATTTTAAAATTATTATAGTTATCCCAGTGGATATGAAATGCTGTCTTAATGGGATTCTGATTTAAATATGTACTGTCTTTTATTCTGTTGAAGTGGTATATTACACTCATTGATTTTCAGATATTAAATCGACTTTTCTTTCCCAGAACAAATCCCAAATTGGTCATGGTGTATAATCCTTTATTTTTTTCTTTTAAAAATTTTGTAAAAATTTAAGGGGATACAAGTGCAATTGTGTTACGTGGATATATTGTGCAGTGATGAAGTCTTGGCTTTTAGTATATCCATCACTCAAATAATATAAATTGTAACCATTAAGTAATTTCTCATCACCAATCCCCATTCTGCCCCCACTATTCTGAGTCTCCAATGTCTATCTTTCCACTCTCTATATCCATGTGTACATATGTATAATACTTTACACAAAATGTTACATTGCATGTACTAGTATTTTGCGGAGTATTTTGATGTCTGTATTCATAAAAGATATTGGCCTGTAGTTTTCTCATGATGTCATTATCTGGCTTTGGTGTCAGGATAATACTGGCTTGATATGATGGGTTGAGAACTGTTCTCTCCTCTTCTACTTTTGAAAGAGTTTGTAAATATTTGTTTTCTTATTGTTTTGTAGTTCATCTATTGTAAAACAATTTCTTTGCTTAATCTAAAATTTATTGTTTGTATAAAAAAAGATTTCTTTTTATATTAACAGATAACCAATTGGAGCAGCATTTGTTAAATTATATTCTTAATATCATTGATTTGGAAAGTTATTTCATAATATTAAATTTATTGATATACTCTTTTAAGTATCTCAGTCCTCGTTTTCTTTATCAAACATGACTTAGCTTTTTCTACTTTCTTATTTGTCTGGATTGTCTAGAGTATGGAGTCATTCTTTCAAGGTTATCCCAGACTTCCTGGCTGCCGCAGTGGTATTGTTCCCCTGGCAATGCCTGTATAATATTGTGCTCCTCAATACAGCGTGTTCAGTTTTATAATTAATGAAAGTCTCTTCCACAGTTTAACTAATTGATTGAATACTATGAGGTTTTTCAATATTGTTGAAAATTTAAATATATTTCTGGAGTTTTCACAGGTAAAACATTTGATAAACCTTCATGGGGCAAAAAAAAAAAAAAAGAATAATATACTTGTCAAAATCCATAGAACTGTACAACACAAAGATTGAATCCTAATGTCAACTACAAATGTTAGTTAATAACGATGTATCAATATTTGGTTCATGAATTGTAACAAATGTACTACACTAAAGCAAGGTGTCAATAGCACCAAAAACTTTGAACAGGAGGAAAGAAGGTATATGGGAACTCTGTGTGCTTTCTGCTCAATTTTTCTGTCAATATAAAAGTGCTTCAAAATAAAGTCAATCAATTTAAAATAGATTAATTATATGTAAGACATTTTGAAGAACTATATAAATCATAGCTGGTTTTAAAAGCAGATATTAGGTATAGATAGGGTCACTTGGCAAAATAGAGCTTCACAGTTTCACACTAGCACGCATTACCAGTGCATTCTTTCCTTTTACTCCACTCCCCTCTGCAGATCCTCTGCAGATACACAGTCCTTCCTATCCCTTGTGACCTGTTTTGTTTGTTTGTTTGTTTTAAGAAATAGGTCTCTGCTCAATAATATTTAAATGATCACAACTGTGACAGTAGCATGCCCTTTTCCATCTGACTTAGCTGGTAGTTTCTCTTTATGTCTGGGTCTTGATAAACCCTTGAAGGTAATATGACTGAGATAGCAGCATCACTTCTCTATTGGGCTGTTGCTTCCCAATAAGTCATAGCAAAGAATAAAGTTTATCTAATTCCATGTACAAGCAAACACTGAAATAACCTGAATACTCATTATATAGAATTAAATAACTTAAAATTTAATCAAGAGTAGAATATTTTCCTGCTATCAAAATGAAATTTTAATGAACATTTAATAACATGGACAACATTCTCAATATGTTAATTGGAAAAATAAAAATAAAAATCTGTGTATACATATGAAAGAAAATACATCAAAATGAGCTACCCTATCTAGAATTTCCTGGGAGAACCAAAAAAATACATTTGAAATAAATAAATTCTATACTCTGCCATGCATGTACATATGACATTAAGTTGTCTTTTAGAGAAACTGCTTAAAATTTTTCTATTTTGGTACAATTTTAGATTGACAGAAGAGTTGTAAATATAATGGAAATAGTTCTTACATATTGTAATATTGATATCTTTCATAACCATGAGGTATTCATTGAAAATAAGAAATTATTGTGAAGCACTAAAATATATGCTACATATTTTATTTGGATTCACCAGTTTCCCCTCTAATGTCTTTTTCTCTTCCACAATATCTTATTCCATCTAGTTGTCATATTTCCCTTGTGTCCTCCAATTTTGACAGTCTTACTGTGTTTTCTTCCTTTTCATAACCTTGACACTTTTGAAGAGTACTGTTCTCATATTTTGTTGAATGCTTCTCAATTTAGGTTTGTCTGATGATTTCATATGATTATACTGGGGTTCTGATTTTTTTGGAAGGCTACTACAAATAAGAAGTGCTCTTCTTATTGGGTGATATCAAGGAACACACAAAATCAACAAGATTTATTACTAGTGACACTAACTTTGATCACTTGGTTAAGATGCTATCTTCTGGTTTCCCTATTATAGCGTCACTTTTTTTTCTCTTTCTGCACTCTGTTCATCAGAATGAGTCACTAAGTTTAGCCACATTCAAAAGAAATTTTAAACCAATGTTTTAAACCTTTATTCTCTCCATGGCTTTAAATGGTAGGTGTCTTCCTGATTAACAATATGTGGCCTACTCATTACATATAAATTTCTGCCTCTGGAAGGTGATGGGTTAGCTTTCAAGGTGTCACAGAGATTTCAAGTCAAAGTTACACATCCCACTTGACCATAATATTAACTCAAACTATTTGAAACCTATTTAATTATGGTGAAAATTCAAACTAAGCTCTAGCTAATGTGGATGATGAACTTATTTTAGACTTTCCACGTGAGGTGCTCCATCGTGTATTTCACATATGTCCTGATGAAGTTTAATTCAAATCATTGTGAATATTCCCTCTCTATTTGGTGCTATTTCCACAGCTATTTTGTATGATGTGATAATACACTGGAAAACAGATAGAGAGGGATTTCTTTTTTTATTTTTATAGATAAAAATATTGTTTTATTCTGGGTACTTATAACATCAGTGATTCTAATTTTTTAAATCTTTTGGTATTCACCAAATTTTTCTCAATCTCATATATTGCCTTTATAACAACAAAAAAGATAATATTACACTTTTTTAAAGTAATGGATTTATGCAAGATATGTCTGCTAATGAAAATATGATATGACATAGGATAAAGAAAGAACTTCAGTCTCAGAACTTCAATCTTTTTCTATTACTTAAATAAAATTGAGTGGTTCCAGTGGTTTTGGATCTCTGAGTCTTTGCTGACACTTATTACATTCTGTTCGGTTGTCCACCTATGTTCTCTCTGCTGTCATTTGCAGTGGGCTGAGGGATTCGTGAATGTCTTTCATAGAATAAAGAAAGAAATAAAAATGTCCAAAGGAAATGAAAACTTCTGGAATCGGACTGGTCCTCAAGTCATTGTAGTTTTTTACCTCAAAATATATCTTAGATACAGGCCCTCGTCTTCATTATGTTCTGCACCACAGAATTATTTCATGCTATCATTGCATGAAACATTGCAATAGCTTGGTGACCTCTGTCACTATTCACAGTTCAGTTAAGACAACTACATATTGTGGTCAGATTGACCTGCCTGCATTCAAACATATAATATAACTTTCTGTAGTAGATTGAACAGTGGGTCCCCAAAAGATACAGTCATGTCTCAGAACCTATGAATGTAACCTTGGTTGGAAAAGGAGCCTTTGTAAACATAATTAAGTTAAGGATCTCAAGATGAAGTCATCCTGGATTATCCAGATGGGCCCTAAATTCTATTATAAGTCTCCTTAGAAGAAACACGGAAGGTACTGACACACAGAGAAGAGAAGGCCGCATAAACATAGAGGCAGAAATTGAAATTATGCAGCCACAAGTCAAGAAATGCCTGGAGACACTGAAAGAAGGAAGGATTCTCCCCTAGTGTCTTCAGAAAGAGTGCAGCCCTGCTGACACCCTGATTTAAGCACTCTGGCATCTAGAATTGTGATAAAATTAATTTATGTTGTTTTAAGCTATGAAATTTGTGGAAGTTATGATAGACTAATAAGTCTTCAGAATATTTATTTGTGCCCCTCTGGTCCATGAACCCCATTTTCTGGTAGACAGAATAATGACTTCCCCAAAGATGTCCATGTCCTAATCCCCACAAGCTATGAATTTCTTATGTTACATGTGTATATTAATCCATTCTCATGCCACTAATAAAGACATACCCACAACTGGGTAATTTATAAAGGAAAGAGTTTAATTGACTCACAGTTCAGCATGGCTGAGGAAACCTCAGGAAACTTACAATCATGGCAGAAGGAGTAGCAAATACATCCTTCTAGGAGTATATACCTTATGGTGACAGGAGAGAGAAAAATGAGAACTGAGCAAAGGTGGAAGCCCTTTATGAAACCATCAGAACTCATGAGAACTTACTATCACAAGAACAGGATGGGGGCAACTTCCCTCATGATTCAATTACCTCCCACTGGGTCCCTCCCACAACATGTGGGGATTATGGGAACTACAATTCAAGATGAGATTTGGGTGAGAACACAGCCAAACCACATCAATATCAAAAAGGAGTCAAGGCTGCAGATGGAAGTAAGCTCACCTTACCTAGGTAAGATAATACTGGATTATTTGGGCAAGACCAATGTAATCACAAGAGTCTTTAGAGTGAAAGAGGGAGACAGAAGAGGAGTCAGAATCAGAGGAAAATATGACTATGGAGAAGGTCTGAGTGATGTGATTCAAGAACTCGACTGGCCTTTGCTTTAAAGACGGAGGAAGCGGGCCACAAACCAAGGAATGCAGATGTTCTCAAGACTAACCTGGGGAGGACAAGGAAATAAATTCTGCCCAATAGACTCCAGCAGGAGTGCAGCCCTGCCCTTGACTTTAGCTCAACGAGACTCATTCTGGACTGTGAGACTCCAAAACTGTGAGATAATAAATTTGTCTTCTTTAGATCCCATTTGTCAATTTTGTCTTTTGTTGCCATTGCTTTTGGTGTTTTGGACATGAAGTCCTTGCCCATGCCTATGTCCTGAATGGTAATGCCTAGGTTTTCTTCTAGGGTTTTTATGGTTTTAGGTCTAATGTTTAAGTCTTTAATCCATCTTGAATTGATTTTTGTATAAGGTGTAAGGAAGGGATCCAGTTTCAGCTTTCTACATATGGCTAGCCAGTTTTCCCAGCACCATTTATTAAATAGGGAATCCTTTCCCCATTGCTTGTTTTTCTCAGGTTTGTCAAAGATCAGATAGTTGTAGATATGCGGCGTTATTTCTGAGGGCTCTGTTCTGTTCCATTGATCTATATCTCTGTTTTGGTACCAGTACCATGCTGTTTTGGTTACTGTAGCCTTGTAGTATAGTTTGAAGTCAGGTAGTGTGATGCCTCCAGCTTTGTTCTTTTGGCTTAGGATTGCCTTGGCGATGCGGGCTCTTTTTTGATTCCATATGAAATTTAAAGTAGTTTTTTCCAATTCTGTGAAGAAAGTCATTGGTAGCTTGATGGGGATGGCATTGAATCTGTAAATTACCTTGGGCAGTATGGCCATTTTCATGATATTGATTCTTCCTACCCATGAACATGGAATGTTCTTCCATTTGTTTGTATCCTCTTTTATTTCCTTGAGCAGTGGTTTGTAGTTCTCCTTGAAGAGGACCTTCACATCCCTTGTAAGTTGGATTCCTAGGTATTTTATTCTCTTTGAAGCAATTGTGAATGGGAGTTCACTCATGATTTGGCTCTCTGTTTGTCTGTTATTGGTGTATAAGAATGCTTGTGATTTTTGTACATTGATTTTGTATCCTGAGACTTTGCTGAAGTTGCTTATCAGCTTAAGGAGATTTGGGGCTCAGACGATGGGGTTTTCTAGATATACAATCATGTCATCTGCAAACAGGGACAATTTGACTTCCTCTTTTCCTAATTGAATACCCTTTATTTCCTTCTCCTGCCTAATTGCCCTGGCCAGAACTTCCAACACTATGTTGAATAGGAGTGGTGAGAGAGGGCATCCCTGTCTTGTGCCAGTTTTCCAAGGGAATGCTTCCAGTTTTTGCCCATTCAGTATGATATTGGCTGTGGGTTTGTCATAGATAGCTCTTATTATTTTGAAATACATCCCATCAATACCTAATTTATTGAGAGTTTTTAGCATGAAGGCACAGAAAAAGAAACTACCATCAGAGTGAACAGGCAACCTACAAAATGGGAGAAAATTTTTGCAACCTACTCATCTGACAAAGGGCTAATATCCAGAATCTACAATGAACTCAAACAAATTTACAAGAAAAAAACAAACAGCCCCATCAAAAAGTGGGCGAAGGACATGAACAGACACTTCTCAAGAGAAGACATTTATGCAGCCAAAAAACACATGAAAAAATGCTCATCATCACTGGCCATCAGAGAAATGCAAATCAAAACCACAATTAGATACCATCTCACACCAGTTAGAATGGCAATCATTAAAAAGTCAGGAAACAACAGGTGCTGGAGAGGATGTGGAGAAATAGGAACACTTTTACACTGTTGGTGGGACTGTAAACTAGTTCAACCACTGTGGAAGTCAGTGTGGCGATTCCTCAGGGATCTAGAACTAGAAATACCATTTGACCCAGCCATCCCATTACTGGGTATATACCCAAAGGACTATAAATCATGCTGCTATAAAGACACATGCACACGTATGTTTATTGCGGCACTATTCACAATAGCAAAGACTTGGAACCAACCCAAATGTCCATCAATGATAGACTGGATTAAGAAAATGTGGCACATATACACCATGGAATACTATGCAGCCATAAAAAATGATGAGATCATGTCCTTTGTAGGGACATGGATGAAATTGGAAATCATCATTCTCAGTAAACTATCGCAAGAACAAAAAACCAAACACTGCATATTCTCACTCATTGGTGGGAGTTGAACAATGAGATCACATGGACACAGGAAGGGGAATATCACACTCTGGGGACTGTGGTGGGGTGGGGGACGTGGGAGGGATAGCATTGGGAGATATACCTAATGCTAGATGACGAGTTAGTGGGTGCAGCACACCAGCATGGCACATGTATACATATGTAACTAACCTGCACAATGTGCACATGTACCCTAAAACTTAAAGTATAATTAAAAAAAAAAAAAAGAAAAAAAATAAATTTGTCTTCTTTAACCACTGAATTTATAGTCGTTTGTTATGGCATCCATAGACGCTAACACACCATATATGTTTTAAACTCTCATTAAGTAAGAAAACCATGCAGTGTTTCTCCTCTAAGCAAAGTTTAGTAGTTTAACAAACTTTTCTTTTTTTTTTTCTAAAAGGTAGATTATGCATACATTTTTTCTTCTTACATGCTTGTCATATTTTTAATTTTTTTTCTGTAATTAAATGCAATTGGTAATTTTTGAAAAGAACAACTATTTCCCCAGGGAAAGAAAACAATTGGCTTCATTTCTTTGGATACATAATTGCCTTATTTGTACCTTGAATTACTCAGACATGCTTGACTGATTGGACTGAAATATAAATCATGTTTTTAATAAATATTATTTCACGATGAACATGTTCCTGCTGTTAATAAAAAATAGGCTAATAAATAAAATCACAATAACATAAACAACATGAGAAAGATAGGGAAGATGAAAATAAATTTGGACTAAAAATTAAGAAACATATACTCCAATTCTGGTTTCGACATAAACAAAAAGTAAGCAAATTACAGAACCATTATAGCTCTTAATTTCCTCCTCTATGAAGTAAGGAATGAACTTAGTATGTAATTCAAGGATTCTACTTCTTTCCGTATTAGTTTACTAGGCTGACAAATTCATTCTATGAAACTGGAAAGTAGGCCTGAGAATGAGGAAATGCCATGCTCATTGAGAGGTATAATTATCTTTTTATACTGTGACATAAGGATAGTCACAGAGAGAAGCAAAAATCTCATCGGGAGCCTCAAAGCCTGCTTAGACATTTGGATAAACTTAATGTGCAAACTGGAAACAATATTAGAAGAGTAGTTTGAACTCTTTATAGACCCTCTGATCTGCTTACAAACTCAGCTCGAAATACACAGAAGATGAGGCTGCAGGAACTGTTAGTTTTGCCAGTGTAGACATTCCAGTGAACATTCTTAAACCAATAACTTTCATTACTCATGCTGGCATGCTCAGTAGGTGGAAGCCAGAAGTAATATACTTAGACGAAGTTGAACTATAAACAGAGTAAAGTTGCTTACCAAGGGTGCACACATTTGCAGAACAGATTAGGAATTTTGTTAATATTTGATATCGCTATTTTTCAATAATGTCTTTACAATTTTATCCCCAAATCCCTCCCATAAAAATTAGAATTTAAAAACTTAAAATATTGATATCTCTTTGAATTCAGACATTAATGTTACATAATATTTTTATTCTCATTTTTATTTTATTTTATTTGTAGTTAATCAAAGTAGTAAAAGAGAATCTATTTTTAAAGAAGATAACAAAACAGAAAGACAAGACTGAAATTGAGTAATTTACCCTTAAATATTTTCTTTCTTGGTTTTATATATACTAAAGAAAAACAATTATTATGGTCATGTGTTTAAAGCACTACTTCAACTAGTCTTTGAGTTAGAATAGCCCTAACTATTGTCTTGATAAGACCTGGATAGCTTTATATCACAATAAACCTAGACAGTAACAGTTCTACATTGCAGAGGTGGAGGAAGATTTGATTGTGTGGCATGCTGTATGGTATAGTCATTAAATAAATAAATAAATAAATAAGTAAATAAATAAATAAATAGACACTTGTCAAAAGACCAGCATAGCGTGGATGCCAGCAAAACTGTAAATGGTCATTTAATTTCAAATTGAACTGAGGCTCTATTCATTTGAGTTATTCAGAGCTTCGTCAGAGCAGCTTACAGGCTAATTTTTCTGATGCACAAAAGTGCTAGCCATAATCTAGGAATGCCTTCCTCTCATTTTAGAAGAATGGATTTAAATGTAATTTATTTCCCCTGATGAGTCAAAGTTGATTTTTGTTTATTTAGGTCTCAGTTAATGCCAAATAGGCATCCATGCTAGAACTCTAAATTATTCTCAAATCTGTTAGTCATAAATTGCATTATTTAAGTGGTATTATCACCTGCAATAAACTATTATTTGTATTCCCTTGTGATACCTGGAGGTGTTTGTGTCCAGCTGCCATCTGGTAGGCATTGCTAAGCCAGTGGCCCCTTTTTCTTTCTCAGATTAGTCATCACAGTGCAGTGTTCATTATGCGGGCCTTTTTTATAAATGAATGAAAAGGAGCCAACTATGCTCAAAATCAAGCACATGAAAATAAATCGGATCACTTTAAGAAAACTTGAATAGGAGAAGCTCTAGGTTTACACATAGCTTTGCACCTTTTACATAATCGCCAAACATTCATGTGTGCTGTTTAATTTTTATTGTCTTTAGGTAACTCATTGGCTCTAAGTCATTTGATTTCTACTTCTTTCTTTCCTCAGTCACTCACCCTCTCTTATGTGGCCATGCTTGGCTTGCCTATGCTATTCTAATCTTTAGTAAGCATATGGTTTTCTCAATAAGATGCTTTATAGTATTTCTCTGACATTGTTTAGCATCCTACCTAGAATGTCAGCTTACATCCTTGTAGCTATGATACATAATAGAATATACTCTTGGGTGAGGTAGAAAGCAAATTCTTGTCTGGTAGGCAGACATAAATATCTGGGCAGACTTAAGGTGGTATGGAAGTTAACTAACTGGTGCAGCTTTTGATCCTACCTGTTTGTGCCAGGAAGATTATAAGACAAAAGAATGAATGAAGCAGAAGGAAAATTAGAATGACCTATGTTTTCCTTCATAGAAAATCAAAATCAGCTCTACTTGTGAAGAGGTGTTAATTAACAGATTTCTGAGTAGAGAACTGGCATGCAGAGCTTTGATCACAACAGATCCTGAGTAGGACTGTGAATTAAAGTTTCAGGTTGTAAGCACTTAAACAAAAAAGCCTACCTTTTTTGCAACTGACATTTTGCCACCTAGGGCCATGCTTCAGTGGCCACTTACAAATAACTATTGACTAATGTATTATGGGGCTTCCAGTTGACTCTAAAACTATATCCTATAAAATCAATATCTGTGATGCATAGACAATGCCCTGAGTATATTTTTTGCAACCTCAGAGCAGATGATACTGCCCATATTTATGTAAAAATTTATTTACAATATTAACATTGATAAAATTCATTGATAAGATAGTGATTCATGCTGCTGCCAGCATCCCAGGGACTAAAGATATTGTTTGTTTTTCATAGAAAAGAAAATCAGGAAAATTATATATGGAAGAAAATTGGACATAAAATTTTATGAGAAAAAGGTTTTCCAGATGCATATCCTATTCTTCCAACCCCAATTTATATGTTTGTTCACTGATGCAGACTACATTTTATTTTTTACTTGCCAATCTCTCCTACAAAATTGTAACTGATTTAAGGTTGAAGAAACCTAGACCTGTATGCCATGATATTGGCTACAGAATTTTAACTAGAGTATTTTAAACACGGTGTAGGCTAAAAGCTAGCTATGGGTCCACAGCAAAGAGTAGAACAGTAATAGTGATTTAGGCAGGAAATTGGCAAAAGATAAATCCAAGGAAATAAGTCCTCAATTTCTTTATTTTCCTTATCTTCTCACTCTTATCTGTTTCACCTTTACTTCCAAAGTACTGAATTCTTGAAGATAAATGAAGAATAGACAGGATTTAGGAGGCAGAGGCAAAGATGAGGTTGTTATTTAAGGGAACAATCTGAACAAAATGAGGATTGTAATTGGAGAAGTAGCCCAGAATGGTTACAGTACAAGATGTATAAGAGAAGAAAGAGGCATAACCTTGGCAAGGTCATTTTGGACCATATTATAGAATCGAGGGAAGAGGTTAAATTATTGATTGAGGAGTTTAAACTTAATTCAGGAGGCAATGAGGAACCATTAAAGGCCCTAACTGTAAAAAAGTGACTAAATTATAATTGTGCTTTAAGAAGTTTACTCTGCCAGTGGTGTTTACTCGTTGACATCTACTCATCAACTATTTGTTTTAAAAATAAAGAAACATACATTAAGTGTTCTGAGAGATAAAGAGATTATCATGATAAAACTGACTTTATGAGAGTGCAATTTACAGAACTATTATAAAGTGCATGTAATAGCTATGCTATCTAACACAAGTAATAAATATCTTAAGTGCATGAGAGAATTTGAGAAGAGGAAGTTTTTTCTGACTATTGGGAAGACCAATTATAAGGCTAAAACAAAGGGCTATGCAAGAGATAATAAAAAATTTCAACCACCAAAATAACTGCATTTGAAGTACAGACACAAAAGATGCTATAAAAGTAAACTCAAGCAACTTGGCTGCCGTTTTGATTAGTGCATAGTGGAAAAAAGAGTCGAAATGGCTGAACATTTTCAAGCCTAGAGAATCAGGATTTATTTATTTTTTTTTTCATTCAGTAATTTGGCATATATTTATGTAGTGATGAACACATAACAGAATTATTTTAGTTGTTAGGATTGAGGGATGAAAATGCTAGTCCTCATGTAACTTACTTTCTAGTAGAGAAATAATAATGACATAAACAGAAAAACAGCATTGAATGATCAAAACTAGAAACCAAGAGAAGAGGTTGCTTGAAAAAGATGTAATTTGTTTAACAACATTGTGAGTTAGAGTAGCTCATGAGGTACGAATTTAAACAGAGAGGAGTGCCAGAGAGACTGACTTTTACTTGTCCAGTAGAAACGGCTCAAAAAAATGAGGATGAATGAGCTCATCAAAGGAGGAAGTGAAGAAAGGCAAAAATAGGGATTAGGATAGAATCTTAAGGGAATACTTGCATTTAGGAAATGAGATGTTGAATAAGAATACATTAATGAGAAAAAAGAGAGATGAAAATTTGTAAGCAATAATAAATGCTAAAATATCAAAGAATTTTTTTAAGCTAGGAGATTACATGGCTAAATTCAGCGGAGAGTAAGACGATGTAGACTGGAAAACATGCCAGTTATCAAACAGTAATGGGGGCAGAAGCTAGATCATAAATCAGTTTTAGACGTGGAAGAAAGCAGAGAGACTGAAGAAGAGCTTGAGAGAGAGGTAAGTAAGGAGGAAAATTATTTTAAGACTGATAGTTTGATATGATCATGAGTAAAAACTACTATAGCTTCACTTTCACAATTACTTTCGCTAATGATCAATTTCCTAAGTAAGACATCAGCACTTAATCTCGGCTGGATTCTTTCCCAAGCAAAAATGGGGATGTAAAGAGCAAAAAAAGAAGGACAAAGCAAAGTAAGAAAATAACAAATCAGTCAAAGAGAAAGTATGAGAAGGTTGGATTGAGAGCACACATAGAGCCATGGGAAAGAAAATGGGAATGCTGTTTGTCCTCAGAAGTGTGTTAGATATGCATGCTATGGCCTGAATGTTTGTGTGCCCCCAAAATCCATATGCTAAAGTCCTAACCTACAAAGTGAAGGTATTAGAAGGCACTGCCTTTTATGAAGTGGTTAGGTCATAAATGATGAGCCCTCATGAATGGGACTAGTGCCTTTTCAAGGAGATCCCAGAGAGCTGATTTGGCCCTTTCACTATGCAAGGACATAGCAAGAAGGCATCATCTATGCACGAGAAAGTGTTCTCCAGACTGAATCTGCTATGATCTTGGACTTCTCAGCCTCCGGAACTGTGAGAAATAAATGTCTGTTGTTTATAAGCCACACAGTTTATGATTTTATAGACCAATACAATGCAGAAAGAGATGGTGAATAAAAAGTACAGGGATAGTAACAAGGAAAGCCGAGAAGACATCTTTCAAATAGTCTTAATAATCTTGATAAATTAGAGAAAAATTATTCAGCAATTTGAAGGGTTTTGGCTAGGCTTACAGACATTAAGAGTAAAGACACTTTGAAATAGCTAAAAAAGAAAATAAAATTATGATTCAACAGGAGATAAATAAAATGATTACTCATCAGCCTAGAAGGCTTAGTTTAAATTAGAGAGCATTTATCTGGAATGAATCAATACATATGATTTTATTATTTCCTCCAGTAAGCATTGGCTGCCCAGTAGCAGAGAAAAAGGTCTGAGTGATCCTGATTCCCCTTTCTCATATTCTACCGATCTTGCTACTGGCAGGGACTGGGGTGATCCATCTGGTGTCAGATGAGAGACAAAAGGTTTTTCTCTTCATGTTCTCCATGGTTTGTTTTACCTCTTTGATGAAAAGAAGCTGTATGCCAAAGTGTAGAAAGCAAAGTCACCAAAATATAAGCCCACTCATCTATCACTGACAGTGTTTCAGACTTATTCAGCCCTGTTGTCGTGCTGATGAGTGGGGATAGAATTGCCAGAAATCTGAGGAGAAAAGTTCTCAGAAAATTAAGCCAAGTGGGAATAATTAATTTTCCCAAGCAGGGAGTGAAATGTCTCTCCAAGAGCAGTAGGGAGGTCACACCTGATCTTCAGAAACTGTATTATGTGGCAGGAGCCCCAAGTCCTTTCTGTCACTGTTCTAACTCCTCCTAGGGGAGCCTGAAAGACTTAATGTCAGGCAAGGCTACTTGATACTTATGGACATTTCCAGTTTTGGCCTTCTGTGAATGTAGAAAATATAATGGCATTGAACTTTAATGTGCATGATTATGACTCAGATCTTAGGCTCAACCTCAGAACCCAACTGGGAACAGAGTGAATATAGTCTCTGATTGTCAGGAGTGAATGAGTCAAACATATATAATTCATATAATAATTTAGACAGTAAAACAGCCCAACAAAATAGGAAGGTTTTTTTCTTTTAAACTTTAAAGGAGACCATTTTCATAATCCAGGCTTAAAAGGAGGCATATATTCATGTAATCCAACCACTTAAAATTAAGAGAAATCTCTCATCAGAGAATTTTAAAACTACTATAGCTTCTCTTTTACGATTAATTTTGCTAATGGTCAAGTTCCTAAGTGAGGCAGTATCACTTAAGCTCAGCTCTATTCTTTCCCAAGCAAAGGGTCTGTTGAAAGGATGCCGTAATAAAGCCAAGATAGGGCTCCTTTGTGCCTTTTGATGGAGTGAGACGGAATGGCATCAGATTGGGGATAACTTTAAGCACTATCGCTGCTATATGAGGAGATAAAACAGAAAGCAGTCCGTGTCTCTGAGTTGTTTTGAAGCAGAAGCCTGTGCTTCAGCAAGGAATATTTGTAACTGGAACTGACTGTAGTCTGAACTAAGAACTGCCGTTGGCTGTGAGTAATGAATTCCGTGCCTGAGGTCTGTGTTATTGCTCCTGTTATTCAATATCTTGGTTCCAAGGCAAATGCTGCTGGACATGGGCACATTTATAAATGAATAGTATAGTATAAATTCTGAGAACTTATGGAGACAAGAAAAAGGAAGGACTGCCATATGAAACACTCTCAGCCACTTCCTCAGCAAGGAGGAAAGGAAGCAATCTCATATGTAATAGTGACTTTTTTATGTCTGGCCCATTCTAATATATGATATCATCATAATTCTGCAACTTAAGTATATTAAGCTCATTTATAAAATAATGAGACGAAGGCTAAATATTTAAGAGCGTTTCTCAGTCAGACGGCAGAAAGGAGCAAGTTCAGCTGCTGAACTAATTAAATTTATCCTTGCTTAGTTGTTCTCGACATATGAGCTTTGGACCGGCAGCATTGGTATCATCTGGAAATTTGTTAGAAATAAAATTCTCAGGGCCCATCCCAGACCTACTGAATGAGAAACTCAGCATTAAAGAATGAACTCAGCAATCTGTGTTTTAACAAACCCCATAGGGGATTCTGATAAATACTACAGTGTGAGACCTACTGATCTAGTAAGAAGTCCATGCTCCCTACCAGTGTACACTACTTTCCCCACTCTGTGAAAATACTAATAATTGAAATATTAAACGGATGCATACTCAAGACACTTTGTCCATGTCATGTGTCCACAATTCCATCATTCACTTAGTCATTTCCCTCTGCACAAATTCATTCATTCATTCAATAAGTGCTATATAGAGTGTATGATGATGATGACAGATAAACACAAAGATTAAGACAAACTGTCTGATATTAGAGAAATAGGGCAGGCACACATGAATTAGTTATATTACATGAGGCAATATCTAATCACTGCCAGAATGAAGAACTCAGAGAATTCCATGAGATTTTTGGATACAAGAAAAGATTAAGTTGTTACAGTAAGACCTCATGGAGAATACAAGACTCTAGCATGATGTTGGGAAAATGAGAATATAAAAAGGTGATGGTGGTGATGGGGTGTGGATGGGGTTATTCCAGGTGGATAAAAGCCTGGAAAAGTATATTTGAGAATGTCCAGAGCAACAACCTGTTTTCTTAGATGAGAAAATCACCACAGTGGTTTAATAATTTGCAGGAGGTACCTGAAGTATAAAGAGTCTCAGAATAGGAATGAGGAGACCTGGATTCTATTCTGTCATAGCCAAGTGACATTTTTCAAGCTCTCCATTTTTTTTTTTAAGGCAGGAGTTTCAGTTCAATACTTGTTGACAAAATTGCTGGAAAGGTTAATGAAAATAATCTCTGTCAGGCTTTCCCAATATAGGCAGTATGTATGCGCTAGAAAGAAAAAGTTCAACTTTCAAATATATTTGGGGAATAATGGGTTAAATTATTGTTCTATAAGCTGTCAGACTTCTCAGAACCCTTATTGTGTTCAGGAGATAGTGAGCCTCTCAGGAGAGAAATTAGGATATGCTACGTCCCAAACTTATTTTGCCCTGGAATCCCTTTATTTGAAAACAAACAAACAAACAAACAAACAAACAACTTTTTACTATCTCTCAAGCAAGCATCACAGAAAGTACAGGCAAAAAAAAAAAAGAAAGAAAGAAAGAAAGAAAATGAAAAGGTAACCTATGTGATAATGTCTGGGTACAGAATGGTGTTCATTAAATGTTAATTTAATTGGATTTTTCTGCAGACCAGTTACAGTTCATCTTAGATCTCAGTGTACAATAGTGGAAGTGGCACGGTAATCTGAACACAAGGCCAACAAGGCTAAATTCTCACAACTGTAGCTCAGCATTCATTTTCCATGTATCTTAAAGCTTTTGCCAACTGAAAATTCGTACAAAATATACCTGTTTCTAAAAGTGTTAAACCTCTTGATTTTCTGTAGCCCAAAAGACGTAATGAAATTGCCAAAAACATTTTTCATGATTGATGCAATCAATTGATAAATGTAACCTATCGAGGTGTCATATGTAATGAGCGAATATTTACATAGAATAATTATGTACATACATAATTTTAGACACACATTTATACAATGTGTTTCCCATAAGAGAGCTATCTCTGAGTATTGTGGTTGGTGTATTTAAATAGAGCAGGAATTGTATATTGAAGTTGACAAATATTTTTCATTCCTACTTTGTGTGTCAGACACTGAGCAGAAAAGTTTGAAAAGCACAACAGAATATTTTCCAACAAGATATTCATGATCTAGTGGGGAATAGTGATGCCCATGTGTACTATAAGAGATAGGAGAGAGGCAAACTCTCCATGAAAACCAGAGGAGGGAGCAGGTAATCCTGGTTGCGGGGGAGGCACAACGGAAAGTTCCATCAAGAGAAGGTGACTCTTGATTTGGGCCTGATATGATGATTCTAACATGTCCAGGGAATAAAGCAGAGGATTCCAGGGAAATCATTTTGAGAAGTCACAGCCCCCTTTTCGTATGAAGTATATTCTGCAACACAGGAATACTAAAAAGTTGAAGATTACTTGGGATTGCAAAGCTGCATGCATGTTTAAAATGCCGTCCTTGTCTACACTCAAGCTTATTAACCCAAGGTCAGAATTTTGAAATTCAGACTTTTAGATGCATTTGATTGAGCTTCACAATTTAAGGTTACAAGAATTAAGTCTTTTAGTTTGAACTTGTTTATTCAATAGACAATCACCATAAGCTTGACACCTGGTTTCCTGATTTCTAATAATCAACTGCTATAGGATGTTGGGGCTCAGAAAACAAAACCCCAGAGTGAAGGGTTTGACAAAAGGGTCAAAGTGCAAGTCTTGTCCAGGAGGAAGTAGATAATTCTGTGTAATGAGAGAATAAAATAGGAGTAAGGAGTTGCAGGAGACCTGGACTGGGCATTCCTATTGAAGGAAGATTATGAATATTGTTCGTGCCAAGGTAAGAATTAAGTTTTTTTCTAAAGAACATAGGGTGGTATCAGAAAAAATTATGATGAAAAAGTATTTTGTTTTAGAAAAGATGCCTCTGACTTTTCATCGGAAAATATATCACAGCTGAATGAAATTTTCAAATATAAGGGATAATAATACTAAAATATCTTCCTGTAGGCACTTATAATATGCTGGGCCATGAACTATTCTATAGATGTTATTCCTTTAATGCCCTCATAGCAAGAAGACATAGAAATCATTTTCTCCATTTTAGGTATAAAATAATGTGCTTAAATTCCCACACCTTAAAATTATAGAGCAGAATTCAAATCCAAATTTGTGTATGTCAATGTTTTTAACAATTATTCTATGCTAACACCCATAAAAATCATAAAATAAGTAGAAGGAAATATGGGTGAAGGATTTCTTTTACATTCATGAGGATAGGAAAATACTTTCTAAATATATATTAAAGTCAGAAAGAGAAAATACTTAAGAAAAAATGATAGATTTGATTACATAAATATTAACATTTATATAGCATAATTATAAACAAAATTATAAACAAAATAGAAAAGCAAGCAACAAAATAGAAAAACACTTGCAACATGTGACAGAGACCTAATTAATCTTATATCAAGAGTTTCTAAAAATAAAAAAAATGTGGACTCCCCTATTACAAAAATAAGCAAAGGATGGAGACTACTAGTCATTAGAAGGAGAAATACTATTCCGAATATCTGTGGATAGGCAGAATTTTTTTCCTTTTTTTTGGTGGGGGTGGGGGGTAGTACTGGGTCTCGCTATATTGCCCAGGCAGGTCTCAAACTCCTGGGCTCAAGCTATCCTCCCACCTCTGCCTCCCTAAGAGCTGGCATTGCAGGTGTGAGCTACCACACCTGGCAGGCAGAATTTAAGGTGATAAACGTACTCATATCAAGTTGGTTGGGGTCTAACTTTGCACCCCTAACTTTCTAGAGGTAAGTTTGAGAATATGTATCATAATGTAAAGTGTGAGTTCTTTGACCCAGTAATTTCATTTCAGGATATTTTCCTTAAAAAATAATTAATAAGATGCAGCTGGATGATAAATAGGAACAAAATAAGGAAATTGGTTGGGAGAAGAGAGGCTTTATAAGACTAAATCAAAGTCTTATGGATATGAGATATCAACCCCATTTAAATGATTTTCTTTTCTTTCAAATGTTTTAGGCAGACTCTGTGGTCCTTGCTATATTCTCAAATGTAACAAGTCTACAGGGAGAGATTATGGGTCTCACACAGGGCAGTGAGCTAATAAGGGACCTTCGTAAAATTTGGCTTGGAGACATGAAATTCAAAGTCATGGCCCCTTTTTTCAAATGGAGTATATTCTGCAACACTAGAATACTAAAAAAGTTGAAGACTACTTGGGATTGCAAAGCTGCATGCATGTTTAAAATACCATCCTCACCTAGATTCAAGCTTATTAACCCAAGGTCAGAATTTTAAAATTCAGACTTTTAGATGCATTTGTTTAAGCTTCACAATCTAAGGTTACAAGAATTAAGTCTTTTAGTATGAACTTGTTTGTTCAATAGACAAACAAAGATAAACTTGACACCGGGCTTTTGATTTCTAATAACCAACTGCTGTGGAATGTTGGGGTTCAGAAAACAAAACCTCAGAGTGAAAGCCTCAGAAACAGTTTCTCTCTGACTTTCTCCTGCCCTCCTGACCCTTGCCCCTCATTTCCCCCTCTAGGCAAGCCATAGAAACTAGAATTCCTCTTTCTCTAGGCAATACAAACCGAACCCCATTTTCTCAAGGCCAGCAATAAGACCTAAAGTATTACTGTAATCTTCCACTACCTTTCTGTTAAGAGCTGGCCTTAAAGAAATCTTCTGACCTACCTTGTTGAACAGTAGGTTATGAGAGCCCCATTCCAGAAAGGATACTGATCCATACCCAGGAGGAAAGAATGTTACACAAAGAAGCCAAGAAAAATCCAAACAGACAGGCCTTGCTGGGTTTTCCCACTCAGTATACTACTATTAGATCATACCCTCTTTGTCCAATCAGATTTCTACACAGCTATCCACTCTTCATCAAATCTAAGCATAAAAATCGGCGGTTTTCTCTGTATCTTTGGGCCTTTGTTCTGAAGGTTCTTGTGTCATGTAAAATTATGATTAAATAAATTTGGAATGCTTTCCTCTCGTTAACCTGTCATTTGTTGTAGCAGTGTTGGCCATGACCCTCATGATGGATGAGGAAAGGTTTCACTGCAATGGGTAAATATCAGTGCAGCAACACCACCTAGATATCATTGTGAAACCTCAGAATCCTCTAGTTGTTTCTCAAAGACACAATTAAGCAAAAAATGAAGTCAAGAGATGAAAAGTATTTGAACGTGAAAGGGGCTAGAATCTATAATCTCTATGGAGATGAAGGCTATGCACCAAGGACATTTAAATAACTGGAAATGTTTTATTCTCTTAAAACTCTATCTCAGTTGTTAAAAAATAAACACAAAAAAAGCATTTCTCTGTAATTTAACATCCTCCTGCTGTATCTCTTAACATAACTTTCCCATTCATTTGAATTTCTGCCAGTCAATGTCTTTGGCTCCTTATTTCCTTTTCTATTGAACTAGGAGAAGCTTCTAATCTTTGCTTTTCTCCAATAAATACGAATGCTGCATGGTTTGTGTTTCCTCCGTAAAGAGAATCGGAAGCAAGGAGCCTGCAGTAAATACTTCTAATTAAAGGTTTTTCTGACATATAGGAAGCAGCCCTTTCCTAAGTGTGTGCCCAGGGTGAATTTTTACTGCGATAAGGTGGTCACCAAAATCTCATTCAGAGTCTAATATAGATGTACACTTCCTATCTGAATCCGAGAATTTATGTTGTATTTGGATATTTAGATCTAGCCACTAATGAACAATGTTTGGAAGACAAAATTAACATATGAATAAGACTAATGTATAATATTCTATGGTTTGTTTTGGTTTTCGTTTTTTAGTGTTATGAATGTTCCTTTTAAATAAAACAGTTATATTATTCAGGAATTACTGAATGTAAACATTATTTAACCAGTTTTTATCACTTACTGCTAACACAGGACATGCAACCCAATTCAGAATCTGAATAGTTAACTTTGAGAGAGCCCAGGAGTGGTTCAAATGCTCCCCAACACATCCCATCAGCTTCCACACAGCCTTTCCCATTTCTTTTTTCTTCTGTTGTAACCTCCCACTGGGGGACCCCATTGTCACCACCTGAGTGCGGCTCTTGCCATCTCCACAGAGCATCATTATTATTCCTTATGGTCTGACATTCAATTTTGATTTCCTTGTACTGTACATCCATTTGTCTTTGAATTTTATATCTTCTATTTGAGTTTTGGTTTCAACAGGAAATAGTTTCACTTCACAGAGAATATGCAGTCAAAAATTTAAGCTAGTTTATGAAGAAATTCTTCTTGTTTTTTTCTATTTCCTGTCTCTCTCATGGCTGTTACTATTCTTTGCTTCTTGCTAGATTGTCTTGACACATATACTTAGAGGTCCCACCATCAGTGTTTTCTGTTTATCCTGATTATGACTTATGGGGCTCTATTTTAGGACCACTTAATAACTGGCAAAGAGCTGGTCTAGTAGAAAGGTTGGATATAGAACTCTCAGAAGATCTACATATTTCTCAGAACATTTTCTTTCTAACTCTGCAATTTGGTGTAAAGATTTGCTTAATACACCAGATAAATGGATGCCTGGCTTGCAGAAAAACTCCTAATGCTACAGGTTCTTCATGGAGAGTTTTGGAGTTTACTTAATTTCAGAAGCTTTGGACTTTATTCTCATGTACAATCCCTTTTTTATTATCCTGCCTCCCTAATAGTCTGTTTCTTGTAAAACCTGTGTTGGAATGAATGAATAAAAAATTATTGCTTGAGGATGGCAGTTTGATATATTTCTCTAGGCACTGTTTTCTCTACTACATTACTCCCAACACCTCAACATTCAGTCTTGATTATTTTCTGACCTGAGGAAGCATCAAAACCTATTCTTACCAAATGTAGAGAGTTTTACATTTTATGTATCCAAATTTAAACAAAACTAAAAAGAACATCAAGCTAAGTAGCATAAAGTAAAGGTGAAATGTTGCTTGCCAAGATTTCAATAACTTGATCATCCTTCATAATGTAGATGTTTAATTAACTTCATGAGGTCTTGTTTTTAATCTCACCCTCCAAACAGCATGCTAAGTAACCCACATAACTAAACCTGAAACTTAAAATTACATTAATAATAGCTAACATTTATGCAGAGCTTACCATACGCCAGGCGCTCAGCAAGTATATTACATACATTATTTCTATTTATCCTTGACAACAACACTATGTGTGGGCATAACATGGAAAATTGAAGTAAATTTCTAAGCTAATAAGCAGTGTAAAACATTATTGCAGCCCAGGCAGTCTGATTACAGAAAATACCTCATGAATTCTTAACATATGAAACTTTAACATGTTAAAAGTAAAGACATTCTTCTTTTCAGTGTCAAGTAACAAATAGTTTTAACAATACCTTACATAAACCTACGTTAGTTTTCCATATCCACAATCAACTTTTTCTAATGTCCTTTTTTTGTGTTTATATTACTTTATTAAATTGTGTATAAAGCATTCTCCTAGGCATACACATTCTTTTAGTCATTATCTCAACACTCATACTCAGGAGTAAATGTAACCATCAGATAATCTTTTCTCAATGCTCATTTTTATGTCAAGGCAAGTATAGGCAGATAATACAAATGTATCTTTCTTCCTGAGGTTAACATTTTAGTTTGGTTTATTACAGTAGCCAGGGCATCCCACTCAAGTTGGACCCAGGAACCTTCCTTTGTCAAAAAGCCCACTAGTGCCTTTCCTTAGAACTATATAGAAAACAATGCTTCTGGTGCTATGAAAGAAGGAGTCTCTAACATGACTCACCCTCTTGGGCTCATATGCACTTTAGAAAGATAAGCACACAGATGCAGGCAGACACAAATCCGACCCAGCATGATCTAGTGCTATAATTCTCACCTGAACTTCATGCTGTGAAGGTTCCATGGTGAAGGAAAGGATTTGTGCTCTCTGGGAATGGGATCAGGGAAAATTTTAGAGAGAGTGACTTTTGAGCTGGAATCTGAAGGATATGTAAGAGTGAAAGGCACAAAGGAGAAGTATTCTAAGTTCTATTATAAAACATGTCTTAAATGAATTAGATTCATCTACCAGAAAATAATGCCTCTCACCATACATATCCAGAGAAAAAAAGGGAAATAAAACATAATTAAATAACCAATTAATGAATTTTATAAAGAATTCAGATTTTTGAATCTGCTGTGAGCATTTCTACATTTTTTTGTAAATTTGAACTTTACTTTTATTTTATTAAAACTTTACTTTTAAGTAGGAGGCAATGTGTGCTGGTTAAGAGCATGTACTCTAGAATGAGACCAAGATGGCTTCATTAAATCCTGACTCTGCTGCTTAGTAAAGTAGTTGGGTGAGGTTGTATAAATTATTTAACTTCTCTGAGCCTCAGATTCTTCCTCCAGAAAATCGGGGGAAATAACATTTATCTTAGTGGAGTGATGTGTACAGGATTTGACATGTCATGGATTCTCAAAACATATATATATATGTATATATATTTATACATACATTTGAAGTCCTCAAAATAGGGAAATATCTCACATATTTTGAAGCCCACTCTGCATAGTATTTTATTTTAGGTAAAATGAGTGAATGGATGAATAATTACACAAATGAATGGAAGGAGTTAATTAAGGAGTGAGTGAATTTGGCATACTTCAATTCTGCAAGTTATAGCCTTCAAAAAAGAAAGGTGCCTGTAGAATATTTCTGTAAAGAAAAATTAAAAATTATTTATTTATCAGTACATCTTGCTGTGCTATGAAGATGTGATATTATTCTGATGTTAGGGGGATATGTAGTCAAGTAATCAGAACTACATGGATCCTGTTCTGCTCCATCTGCACTCTTTATAAACTCCCTGGAATTTTATGATAGTTTAATTGTATTATGTTACTTACATGAATATATACCTTTAAAAGTTCATATGGGTATAAAATAAGAATGCAGTGAATGAAAAAAAGTGACACTTTGGGACAAAATTAGCCAGCAGTCTAAAATGGTGTATGTCACAAAGGTGAAATCTGCATTAGGACATATTCTGGAAAAACCTTTTTCCCAAGAAAAAGTGGAGAATTGCTTTGTGGGGAACATCACTGATAATTCAAAAGGGTTCCCTGTGAATAGCCTTAAAATATTATATTACAATGTTCATGAAGCATTGAAATGTTTGGATTTAGGGGAATAACTTTAATGAAAAGCATATATTGCTTTTCCCCCTTAGTTGTTCTCTTTTTCTTCCTTTCTTCCTCTCTCTTAATCATGCTGAAATGAATGTAAGGTGAGACTAATTCTATGCTGCACCAGACAGAAAGCTAATGGGATGAATGATAGGGAATGAGATACTGTGTATAAAGCTGCTTGCAAGAAGAAGATTGGAACGACTATGGATTCATTTAAGAAGAAAGTAACTAAAAGAATTAAAGATTTATTAAAGTTAACCAAGTTGAAAGAGTGAAGACATTAGATAAAGAAAGTATTTGTAGAGGGGATATTGGGTTTAGAATTGATGGAAGCAGGTTAAGTAAGACTCAAGTGACTATGGAAGACCAAAAGTTATCTATATCACAGGGCTTAAATGTGGAGCCCTATATGAAAGGGCTAAGAATTTGTGTTCATCTAAAAATCAGGGCTGAAATCAAACTTGCTGAGTGTGAGTATCAAGAAATTGGGTCATTAGTGTCCAGCTGGAATTCAGTGACCAAGCCAGACTTATTATTGATATAGAGCATGCATCCTAAAATTAACAATACCTTAACTGAATATATATTTGTCACCTAAATAGCATATGATATGTTGATGATACTTACAAACCAGGGTAAAATATAAGAGCACATGACTGGGCTGCATAAGATGTAACAAGCAATGCAATCTTACTAAGATGCACGTATCCTTCTACATGCTTTATACATATTTTTTCATTTATCTTCATTATAAACCTATGCAACGGGTACTATTATTTTCCCTATTTTGCAGATAAAAATTGAAGAACCTAAAGTTAAACAACAATCCTAGATGAGCCAGCTGGTTAGTTAAGGAGCTGATTTGACCCAGCTTCAGTACTTTAACCACTCTAGCACACTGCTCCAGAGGGACACCTCCTAAAGGCTGCACCACTCTCCTTTCATTTTTGTGGAAGGAGGGAGTGTGCTTTGTACATGATAACAACATCTATTTGTGCATATGTTCAAATTTTAACTCAGGATCTTCCTCTGTGTTTCCCTTCTGAGAATATACCCTCACCGACTGCCCAGTGCTCAGAGCCAAAAAAAGCTGCAGTCTTTGTAGATACCTCCCTCTCAAGTTTTCCCATTCAACATGTTACCTAATTCTACCAATATCACCTCACACCTACTGAGTTCAGCCAGTTCTCTGTTTCCGCTGCCCCAGACTTTTCATACCTGGACTTCTGCAAACCTTTTCTGTTGATTTTTTCCCCTAATTCTCTCTTACCCTCCCTCCCACTGCTCCCCAATATAGCCTTGGCTTTGCAGAGAAATCTTTTCAAAATATTGATTTGATCACATATCTCTCAGTTTAAAATCTTTAAATAATTTCTCATTTTTTTTTGTACAAAGACCAAACTCCCTAGCATTATTTAGGATAAGCAAACTTAGCAAAAATCTCTCCAAAATTCAATGATTTAAAGATGAAAATTTATCCCTCTCTAATATAACAAAGCAGGACAAGGTCTCCAGGTTGGCAGAGGATCATGTGTAAGATGTCATTGAGCATCCCAAGCTGAAGATGGTAAAACCTCTTTGATCACACACCTTCCAGCATCACACTGCTCTCACCATTAGAGCTCACAGAATGGAGAATGAGCCTGTGGAGGAAATATACCCGCTGCCTTGAAATCCTGTCTAGGTTGTGGTAACATCACTTATACTCATGTTTCCTTGGAGAGAAACCAGTCACATGGCCACATTGGATGCAAAGGAGACTGGGAAATGTAGTCTCTGACTGGGCAGCTATATGCTGTTACTCAAAGGGGAAACAGATTCTGATGGACAGTTAGTTTAGTCATCTCTGGTGCACCTTCTTCCCAGCTTCATTTTCTACCATCATCAACCTTGCCCTTGATTGCAGTCACAACTTTACATTTGCATGTGAACACCTTACCTGAATCCAATTATCTTCTTCTCATACTGCAGGTATCAAGTCAAATGGTACTTGCTCAGGAAAGTCATTCCTCACCCGCAGGTTAGGTTAGGTCCTACCGTACAACATATGGTACAGACTCCTTTTCCTCATAGTACTTATCACAGTTTTAATTTCTGCATTTTACTCATGATTATTCATTATATTTCTTTGTTACTGGATTTTAAGTTCCTCAGAAGCAGAGGTCTTGCTCACTTTAGGACACCACCATATCCCTTCCTAGCACAGTAACTGACTAGATACATAGTAATTATTGTTTATATGTTGTTTTTGAGTTTTTCTTAGTAGTTTTGCCACATGATACTGTGTTAGTCTTTAAAGCATTTTCCTTATGTTATCTTTTACTGCAACCTGTACTCACTCATTCAATAAATGTATGTCTTATGCTAGACAATGAGGTACATAGACAGTATGATGAGAAATAGAACAATGTGGTCTTTGATCTGAAAGTTTTTATTATGTAGTTAGGGAAAGGGCACAAAAATCCTTGAGTATAAAATATCTGAAAAAAGGTGTTGCTGAGTGGTATAGGATTAAGTGCTGAATGAGTAATATTGACACAAAGTATTATATAATCTCAGAAGAAGTCAGCTGAGTGAGGCCTGCTATGCTGGTGGAAAGTTTTCTAGAGGAAATAAGGGGTGGAGCTGGACCTTCACCTGTAGGTGCAGGAGCAGTGCCCAAACATTTTGAATATATATGAGACTTTGGAGATACAGCTAAACACCTAAACTGGAGTTGGAGCTAGTCTGATATTCCTCAATAAGTCTGAACAGGAAAGTCCTTTGGGAACATCCTCTGACCTCCTGTGACCTCTTCTAGGAAGCAGCTTAGCATTTGAACTAGAGACAGGAATTGCCAATTGTCCTGGCCTGTGTCCAAGCAATTGTGTGTAAAATGGTTAGCATCCTGTGCTGTGTAACCAGCAGCATACTGTCTTGGCCTACAGTGGGATATAAAATCACACTTTAGTTGATTTGTTATAGCTTGGCCAAAGGCTATAGGTAAAAGGAACTTTCATCAATATAAAAAGCCCGAACATTTCAGACAAATCTGGAAAAAGGTTTGTGGCCATTGGAGCTGCTAGGTGGTGAAATAAAAAAATACAATATTCAGATGGGGAAAATACAGAGATGTTGGCAAGCTGAAGAATATTCCCAAAAGACTAGAAAAAATAAAGATCTCACCCCATCAAACCAAAATTAAGCAAATGGATAAGTAATTTTGCCCCTGAATAAAGGCAAATTGTAGCAATCTTTGATTGTGTTCCCTGTATTCCCCAACTCCCCTGACTCTCCTTGCCAAGCCCACCTGCCCTGTTAGAGGTTGGAAATGCCAGGCACAGCCCACTGGGAAAGCTGGCAGCTATGGCAAGACATGAAACCAATGCTGACCAACTGGGACCTGAGTGGAAGGAGGCTTTGGGTTAATGCTTTCCTACTAAAAGAAACAGAGACTCAAAAGAAATCACCTCTTTTTCCTTCACTGGGTTGGTGGTGCCTGCCTGTGCCTTGTGGAACCATCGCAGCTGAATTGAGATCATGAGGGTGACAATGCTGATGATGGGGAGGAATTCAGATGAAAAAATAACAACGGCATCACTAAACTGTGGCTCTGTGACAGACCTATCTAGCCGTATCTGGCACCCTATTATGTGAAATTACAAATTCCCTTATAATTTATGTCATTTGACCTGTGTGTTCTATTACCTGCAGCCCAAAACATCTTATGTGATAGAATATTTAATCAAATGAGGTATCAGATTCATTTAGATTAAAATAAAATGTAGCATAAGAATCAAAGTAAGGATTTTTAAACTGATTTACAAAATTATTTCTTACACATTATATTTGCTTGTACAAGAAATTAAATATATTCTGGTAATGTAGTGCCAAAACATCAGAGACCAACAAATATCAATCACAGTTCTCCTCATGTATTTGAGCAACTGAAGTATTCATTCCTGTTGAATTTCAGTTTGCAGCATTTCAAAATTGATTGATCAGTTTTCTTTATGTAATACATTAAAATATACTTTTCATTCCTCTAGAAATGTAGTTGAAATTTCATGTCCTTTTCACTTTGAATGTAGAAATTTGGGTTCGTTGACCTGGCAAAAAAATGTTCCCACCCACGAAACCTGTCAATAATGACAAAATGAGCCAAGTAGAGCATTTGTAACAATCTCTCTATAAAGGATATTCTTTATACAATTTGAAAAGGAATTAAAATTACAAATGCAAAATTGAGCATAGGGTCTTGTAAGACCAAATTCAAGTGAGAGACCCTGATGTTTTACCTTCAGATGTTTTACCTTCATTAGCTTCAGGGTATAACTATCTCTGATAATCAGTTTTTAATTAAAAAAAAAAGTCAAAAGCCTCAGTCTATTCTTTAGATATCGATATCAAAATTCACATCACAGGTTCCAATCATGAAAAGCCAAAATAAATACCATTAACTTCAAAACCTGATCTGTAGCATAAAGGTTATTGGGTGAAACGGGCTCAAGGCAATCTTCCTTCTTTTTCTAAAACTGTGCCCCACAATTTTTTTCCTATAATGTCTTCTATCTGAAGTTTAGTCATAAAGTCTGTTCCCGACAGGGGAGAGAAATGAGGACATAATGGTATGATCTATGCTTCCTGCCAAGCCCGCTGCTTCGGTGATGGAGGTGCTTTGTACACTGGGTTATTGGATTATGGCCTCTGTTCCTGCCTGCATCCACCAGGGAGCCAAGCGCTCTGTCTTTATTTCGTGACCCTTGTGTTTACACTATTTCCCTCTCTGTGCCATGATTTCCTCTGAGCTATCAAATACTTCTAATTCCTATCCTCGGCCTGTGTGTTTCCTGCCAACTCCCAGGGGCAATCAGTCGCTTCCTCACTTCTTAGATTCTGCCTGCCAAACTTCCTGCTCAAACATGTAACTGTATACATACACACACACACACACACACACACACACACACACACACACATCCAATTTTTATGTCCCTTCTTATGGCTGTCTTCTAAAGTTGAAGAACTTTGAAACTATAAACTGTTTATCCTTTCTCTTAACTACCAAAACTTCCTTCTTCTTCTTCTTTTTTTTTTTTTTTTAATGCAACACCTTTTAACTCATTTAAGGCTGGCCTCAGTGTCTGTATTCCTCCAGCGTGTTCATTTTGCAGTGGAAAGTTTTCAGGAAAATTGGACTTTACCCATTTATAGACTTCAAGCCTTATATTTTATTCATTTGGAATGGATTTTAAAAATGGGTTACTAATTTTGAAGGTTATTAATTTTTTGAAAGTGACTTAAATAAGTAATTTCCTGTTTGCTCCCCTAGTGGCCCCATGAATTGTGCTTGAATTGTTTTCTCATCTCATGACCGAGTAGACTGAATTATTAGGGCAGGATTAGGACCATGTACATCTCAGTACAGCCTTAGCACCTGGTTCAAGGACTGGAATATAGTAGGTGCTTGATGATTCTTTGTGGAATGGAATGAAAGAGAAAAATATTTAGTGTATTTAAAATTTATTTTAATTATTAGAGTAATTATATTGTAGAGGTAAATTTTTTAAATATGGAAAATTTAGATTTTCTGTATAATCAGATTGTTCAGATTTCCTCCATGTCTGTACCTAAAACCACCAAAAATTATAATTTTTAAATGTGAATTTAAATATTTCATTTCATTTACTATCTAAAATGCTTGAACTGCTGATGGCTCATTTTCATTTAGTCCTAATGTCCTGGTTACTTTTTAAAGTAAAATGTTATTTTACTTATATATCATAGAGATGGCAATTCATTCATAATTTGAGTTTCTTTCTTTACATGTCACCCACATCTCTGTTTACTTACCTGATGCTTCTGCTCTTTCCTTTTTTCTCTAATTTTTATTACTAATAACAGTGTTAAGAAATATATACATTTCTAATTTCCAACAAGTAAGCCTAGCTCATATTTTTAATTGTTAAAATCAGGTCTAATTTTAAAGTGAATGCACACAAATAATGGGTCCTTGCTATTTCCACACATATAACATGAATTTCATGAAGGTAATTAGTAAGCAGAATAAGAGAAAATTCCACACATCCCTTCTAAGAGAGAGGGGCATTGGAAAGTTTCAAACCCAAGTGGTTTCAAATCCAGCTCTGACATTTAGTAACTGTGTGTTATTCAGGAGTTACTTAACTTCTTTGAACTTCAGTTTTTTCATTAGGAAAATAGAAAACATAAGGACCTCAACTGGTGGTTAGCAGGATAAATGGTATTAAAATACATTAATTATTTAAGTCATGGTAGATTATATATTGATACTATTATTTTGTGGACTTTTAAAGTCAAATAGACAACCAGCTATAAATATCAGAACTTGATTTTAAAATGAAAAAGAAAAACTATATTTAAATAATCTATTCCAGGCCAGGCACAGTGGCTCATGCCTGTAATCCCAGCAATTTGGGAGGCTGAGGCGGGCAGATCATTTGATGTCAAGAGTGCAAGACCAGCCTGCCCAACACGGTGAAACCCTGCCTCTATTAAAAATACAAAAATTAGCTGGGTGTGCTGATACACACCTGTAATCCCAGCTACTTGAGAGGCTGAGGCATGAGAATCGCTTGAACCTGGAAGGCAGACGTTGGAGTTAGCCGAGATTGCGCCAACGCACTGCAGTGATAGAGCGAGACTGTCTCAAAAATAAATAAATAAATAAATAAATAAATAGAATAACATATTCCAAATATTTTGTCTACAATGTACTTACAATGTTAAGATTATTTACAACTTCATGTTCTTATGTAAGATTTTGATATTTTATAGGTAAAAAATGAAATATATGTGTTCATGTATGAATTAAGGTATTATTTCTACATACAAAAAAATTTGCAGAACTAAGAAAATTACTCTGGGAAACCAAGAGGAGAAACACACTTCTATTTGCATTAGGTGGATGTCTCAGACACAGCCAAACCTGTATCTAATCAGAATAGGCAGTTCCTGAAATTATAACTTTGAGGTTCTAAAAAGCTTGAACATTTTAAAAGAATTTCTGTTTTACATGACTGTTGTACATTTTAGCATGAGTGATTCCTGTTTAGCTTTTAAGCATGCCAATTCCATGAGTGCAGTTAACTCATAGTTCTGGACTGCCTATTTCAGAACCATTTACAATTGCTTTCTCATCTTCTACTGTGAAAACTCCACAGATAGGGCTTAAATACTCAGGTTCCACACACACTTCTGGCTAGCAGTGACCTGACCATGTGATCCAGCTCTACACTCAAAGATTGAGTAGCTTACCTGCTGAGAAACGTTTTTTAAAAGTGGTTTACAGAGGGCACTGTCCTTTGGTTTTTCTCTTCCCACTTCTTCTGGCTTCAGCCTGGATAGTGGATGTGAGCTTGCAGAGCAGCAGCCATGTTACAACCTGAGACAACATACACAAGACCTGGCCTGTACACTCTGAGAACAACGGAAGAAGAAAAAAACAAAATTCTCTGGAACCCTGGACTACTAACCCCTGCTTCTCTCTGTTAAGATAGATAATTCTTGTGTATCTAAATCATTGCACAGACTTCTGGTTGGTTAAACCTGAATTTAATCCTAATTGATATGAGCTTCAACCCAAGCACAGAAGAAACAAAACATGATTTAACGACTATTTTCACAGTTCTCTTAAGGATGGTACATATCACACACCATTCTAGGCATACTGAAATAAAATTAATTCATTACAGAAAATATATTATTAGGACATTAGAACCTACTTCTCTTCCAGGTCTGGTTGAGAAAGATTGTACCAAACCCTGCTATATAAAATACAGCCTGTAGACCAACAGCATAGGCACCATCTGGTAACTAATTGGATGCCTAGAATCTCAGAATTCTCCCTCTTCACCTACTGAATCAGAATTTGCATTTCACCGTGATTCCCAGATGATTCATATGTACCATAAAGTGTTTTAAATGCTGGATGAATTATGAGTTCCCGAGGTCAAAGGAACAGTATTAAAAAAAAATCTTTTCTATCTCTATTTCCCGGTACAATGTCTAGACGGAACATAATAAGCCCAACCAAATATTTGATGAATGAAACATAACACTGGCTCAGTGTCAAGTATTAAATTCCATTATAGGTTTGATTATCACAAATCTAACTATTATTTGCAAAGCTGAGCTTATGACTATGAGGAAATGAATGAATAATGAGACAGATATCATGAAAAAAGGAAAAGTGGTTAAAAAGTTACAAAGCATAGAATGAAAGAAATCACAGGCTCTAGATGTGCACTGAAATTAAAAGTTTTAAGGAACATAGTCCCCTATAACAGAAAGTTAAAACTGGAAAATTAATGGGTAAGTAATGGGGATCTGTCCTTGCCAAAATTCATTATATTACCTAGAGCTGTCTTGATTTGTCTATTTTAGATTCTCCTATTTGGGAGAGTGGTGGACCACTTGACTCTGACGAAAGCTAAAAATGCTGTCTCATGAGAATGCACACATACACACAGACACACATACACACAGACACACATACACACAGACACACATACACACAGACACACATACACAGACACACAGACACGCTTAATTGAGTTTCAGGAAGTGCTCAGACTTTCTAAAACTTAGCTATCGAAGAAGGTACAGTGTACTTCAGGTAAAGAGCCCTTCATGATGTTTGAATTTTCTACATTACAAGTTAAATAAATGATGGTCTATGAAATCTAGAAATGATTTGGAGAAACAGACTTAGTCTCCCTCCTTACATATTCCACATCCTAAATTAACTTTTGACTGAGGGTTGAATTGTGGCCTCCACTCCACTCCAAATATATTGAAGTCCTAACTCTGGTACCTCAGAATGTGACCTTATTTGGAAATAGGGTTGCTGCAGATATAATTAGTTCGATGAGGTCATACTAAAGTAGAGTGGGCCCTTATCCAATATGACTGATGTCATAGTGAAGAGACACAGAGACAGACACGCGAGGGGAGAACATCAGTGATGATGCAGCCCGAGATTGAAGTGCTGTATCTGCAAGCCCAGGAACACCCGCGGCCACCAGAATGTGGAAGAAGCGAGGAAGGATCCTACCCTGGAAGTTTAGGAGGGGGTATGATTCTGCCTACACCTTGATTTATGACCTCGAGACTCTAGAACTGTGAGAGAAGGGATTTCTGTTGTTTTAAGCCCTCCAAGTTTGTAGAAATTTGTTACAGCAGCCCTAGGAAATAGTGGGAAAACATAATCTAGAATTATAATAACTGATTTCAAAGTGTCTGTCGTGGTTATTAATAAAAACTTTTATTCAGAAGGCATTCACTGATCTTCACTATGTGAATTCACTGATCTTCAATTTGCCATGTAATATACCCAAATAAATCAAGAATAGACTCTTATTCTTAGAGAAAAGGTAGCCTAATTTTAATTTAAAATTTACTTAGTTGATCGGGGTTTCAGTTGTTTCATCAGTGAAATGGACATTAAATGTTTAACATTAAAATTGTCTCTGAGTTCCTCTCAGAGTTCCTATCAGAATTTCTATCAGATATAGATAATAATTGATTGGCAGTTTATTTGCTAAGAAATTATTTAAAATGAATTGTAGATACTTAACCTAAAGAAGAGAAAACTAGCTCTCTTCAATTAGTTGAAAGGCAATTAACTAGAAGAGTTATTGTTGTGTATGACCTCAAATGATAGACGGGAACTGGCAGAGATGAAATTAGGCTAAATATACATAAGAACTTGTTAATTATTTTAGCTTTAACAATATATTCTGGCCCTCAATAAGTTCTTGGTCATAAGACTTGTTTTGCTGAAGAGTCATTTGCCAAGATGCCTTTAAGGGTTTCAGTCATTCCCAAGTTGGTTGGAAGATCATATCTTCCAAACACTATGGGATCAAAAAGGGTATATTTGGAAGATTAATCACTCTGGAGATAAAATGAACTTCAAACCCTGTATCTGTTCCTTAGTAACTATGTAAACTTAATTTCTGAATATCACGTTCCTCTCCTGTAAATACAGATATGAATACCCACATTAAAGTATTGTTTTGAATTATAAAATAATGCATACCAAGTGTATAGTCATTAGTTGACAATAAAGTCTGATTCTCTCCTACGCCCTGTAACTCTATGTGTATTTATATGTGCTACTGTTTACTATGTTAGGATACAAAAATAAACTCCTAAATAAAACAAAAGACCACCATTAAATAATATTTTAAAACAATTATTCAGAAAGATAAGTAATAAAGTATAACCTACTGCCACATGTTAATTTTTATAGTTGTGGGGATGTAGAAGTTTGTCACCAGCCACTCAGGTTTTTTCTACATTTGATCCTTAAGGGGAGCAACAGTACTTTCCTCAGAGCATTTAGAATAGAAAGTCCTGAACAACATTTTGAAGGTATAGGGAAAGAGCAAAGGTTCAAAAACATTGCTAAGCTCTGATCCTTAGAAGCACCAACAAAGTTCTGAGTAATTTGACAACAAAACCAGCCTCCAATTATTTTATCTTTAAAAGCAATTACTTCTTCATGACAATTATTCACATATTTTTAATTTGCAAAAATATTCTCTTTATAGTGAGCATATATGGAGCTGTATACTCAGCTTCTTTAATTTAGCTGCTGTGTGGTATAATTTTATAGTTATTTTGTTTTCAGATTTCATGTTCTGGATGTGAATATTAATGTAGCAATAGTCTGCATGTTTTTTTCACTAGAGATAGGCTGTTTGCCCACACATTCCTGAAAGCAACATGAAAAAAACAGGCCCATCAATTACCCTTTGCAAAATCTACATATTTTCCTATGCTTTCTCTGTGTAAAGCAATGCAAATTACAAAATATTTTAAAATGTATATCTATCCTTTTGGGTGTTAAGTTCTGTTTTGCTGAAGCTACTAAATCCTTCTGTTTTATTTATTTATTTATTTATTTATTTATTTAAACCATGCAAGGAGACTGTTTATTTCCAAAGGATTTTGCAATAACCATAATGAATAGGCTCCAGGCAGTTGTTCTATTCTTCTCCCTCATTCTCATCCTCAGAGGAGTCGTTGCCTACTTCCTCATAATCCTTCTCCAGGGTGGCCATATCCTCCCTGAGCCTTGGAGAACTCACCATTCTTCATGCCCTCACCAGCTTCCCAGTGTACAAACGCCCTCTTGACATACATCAGCTTGAACTTGTGGTCCAGGTGGGCCCAGGCCTTGGCAATGGCAATTGTGTTGTTCAGCAGGCACACGTCACACTGTACCTTGGCCCAGGTCACCCCCAGGCACCACAGTGGGCAGCGGTTAGTTGATACCAACCTTGAGGCCTGTGGGGCAGCAGTACACAAGCTGAATGCTGCACTTGGTCTTGATGGTGGCAATGGCAGCATTGACATCCTTGGGTACATCTCTGTGGTACAACAGGCAGTAGGCCATACACTTGCCATACCAGTAAGCCATATTCCCTAAAGTGCCATACCATCACACTTTGCCATCTGGCTGGCAGGCTGAAAGCAGGCATTGGCGATCCCTGCCAAAAACAGCTGTTGTGGTACACCTTCTCTGCAGATGACTGGCACATAGATGGCCGGGGGGATGTAGATGCGAGTGCTGGCCACCAGGTTGATCTGAAACTCTGTCAGATCCATGTTGAGGGCCTTGTCAAAGTGCAGAGAAGCTGTAGTGGAGGAGATTACTTTGCTAATGAGGAAGTTGAGGTTGGTGTAGGTTGGGGACTCAATGTCCAGGTTGTGGCAGCAATTGTCATAGATGGCTTTGTCGTCCACCATGAAGGCACAAGCTGAGTGCTCTAGGGTGGTGTGAGTGAGTGGTCAGGATGAAGTTGTAGGGCTCAACTATGGCTGTGGACACCTGCAGGGCTGAGTAGTTGGAGAATTACAGCTTAGATTTTGCCATTGTACCAGAGAGCTGCTCCATTAGGAGTGAGGTAAAGCCAGAGCCAGTGCCCCTGTCAAAGCTGTGGAACACCAGGAAGTCCTGAAGTCCTGTGCATTGGTCAGACGGCTTCCAGGTCCAGTCCAGCACTGGGTCATTGATCTCTTTGCCAATGGTATAGTGACCACGGACATCGTTGTTGAGAGCATCCTCTTTTACAGTGATGAGCTACTCTGGGTGGAAGAACTGTTGTTATAGGCCATTTCAGATTTCATCAATGGCCATAGGCTCCAGATCCACAAAACAGTCAGGACACATGTTTTCTAGCACTGGTTTCACAGAAGAAGCTGGTGAAGGTTGACTATCCCCTTCACCAATAGTCTTTTCACTGGGCTTCTGCCCATCAGTTTGAATCTCATGTTCCAGGCAGTAGAGCTCCCAACAGGTTAGCATTGCCCATCTGGACACCTGCCTGCCCCATATGGACTGAAATGTACTCACACATGGCACGTGGTGAGTCCCAGTGGTGTGTCTTATGTAGAGTCACGGTGATGGGTCTCAGCGAGAACTAACCCATCTTTTTAAGGACATTTTGGGTCTTGATTTAAAAAGTTTTAATTTTCCTGACACAAAAACATTGATGTTAAAATGTGCAATTCAAATATATGTGGGAGAAAAGTGAAAGAAACACTGATTCAGCCTTAAGATAAGTGTATCCTAAGAATTCATTTTAGCTTTACTATGTATTAGTAGTATGATTCTGGACAAATTATCTGATTTCTCTGAATTTTTATTCTCTTATTTACAAAAAGGAAATAATTTATTTTTCCTGCAAATCTTAGAGTGGTAAATTTAAATTTAGTATGCATATAAAATTTCTTTGCAAATTATTAAGGGCTAAATGGATAAAAAATATTATTTAACATGATATTATATCTTCATCACC
The DNA here is from genome assembly GCF_000001405.40 of Homo sapiens. NCBI lineage: Eukaryota > Metazoa > Chordata > Mammalia > Primates > Hominidae > Homo > Homo sapiens. The sequence goes on from NC_000004.12 coordinate 124,437,562, forward strand.
AATTTCCATATTTCTATTGTTTCTTTTATGCCTATCTTTGGCATAATTTTACTCAGCACCTAAGACAACGAATGATAGGCTTGGTCCATTTTATATCTGGCTTGTTATTTTGAAAGTCTGAAGAAAATAAAGACCCTAATTCTCCAAATGAGGAAGATTAATTCCTCATTCAACAAGTGCATTCATTCAACAAATAATTATCAAGCACCAACTATGCACAAGAACTGTGCTGAGTGATGGGCCTGCAACAGTGAAAAATACAGACCATATTTTTCTCTTCATTCAACTTCTATTTTACTAGGTGAGACATAAAATAAACAATCTAAACAAGCAAGAAACTATATGTGAGGTGATGAGAAATGTTAAGGAGTAAAAGCAGAGCAGCAGTGAGTGCTTGTGGATGCAAGTTTATGTAGGGTGACTAGGAAAGGTTTGCTGAGTAGGTCATATTTCAGTAAAGATCTGGACTGATAAAAGTGAGGGAGTGGCCCATGCAGCTATCTGGTACAACAGGGTTACAGGCAGAAGGAACAATGTGTACCAAAGCTCCAAGGCAGAAGCATATTGGCATATTAGAGGCAGAGAGAAGGCCAGTGCACCTGGTGAAGAGTGAATAAGATGAAGAGCTGTAGGAGATGAATTTGGATAGGTAAGTGGAAGAGGCAGATGACCTACAAGCTGTCAGCCATTGTTAGAATTCAGGCTTCTGTGAGAGATAGGAAGTCATTTGCTAGTTTCATACAGAGAAAAAACAGGATCTGACCATTGTTTTAACATGATCTCTCTGGCTATGCTGCCTGGAACACAGTGAAGAAGATCAAGGTGAAACAAGGACATCATTCAAGAGGTCATTTAAATAATTATTGTCTTGGACCAAGATTTTAGTATGAAGGTAGTAAAATTGGTAAGATTCTGAATATATTTTCAGGATACAGCTGTCAGAGTTTGCTGATGGATTAGTCATTGAGTATAAAAACAAAGTGAAGAGTGAAGAATATCTCTAAGAATCATGGCCTGAGCAATAAAATAATAGTATTACCATTTTCTCAGATGGGAAACAAAACGAGAGTCCTATTTAGGAGAATATCAGTCCCCCAGTTTTGGACATTAAAAGTGATTATTACCCATATCATAGCCACACACTTTCTCCTGGGTTCTCACTCAGGAACACAGGCAAACATTACTGACTTCTAGTGAGAAGCCTTGAGTCAACTAATAGAGGAATTCCCAAAGTATGCAGTTATTTTATTTTATTTTATTTTATTTTATTTTATTTTTGCCATAAGAGCCAGGCTTCCAGCTTTCACCATATAAATAGCAGTGAAAAAAAACAGTGGTTATAACTCATTTCCCTGTCAAGCCTTCAATCAATATTCTCAGCCATAGACAGTAGCTTGTCTCACCAGCAGGAAGGCAATAGTCAGAACCAGCTGCCCACATCTTTAAAAGTCCAATACCTCTAAGTAGCAAATTTGAGGTAACCCTGGAAAATTCACAGAACTCTCTGTTCTTCAACTAAATAGGAAATAACACACTCTGTGATCTACCTTTGTTACAGGGTTATTGTAAGGATCAAATAAGACAAAATATACAATAATGTTATATAGGCATAGTAGTCATGACTCTGTTTAACAACAAAGCCATAGTGAGACTATTTTTTTTTTTGCAAATAGACCCTTATCAGCTGTAGATGGTATGATTGGAAGAATATAAGTTGTTTTTAAAAAAAATCAGTTCCAAGCAAGTTGCTTTTTTACTGATATATAATATTTATAGATATTTATAGACACGTGATATTTTGTTACATGCATAGAATTTGTAACAATCAAATCAAGGTTTTAGGATACCCATCACCTCAAGCATTTATCATTTTTATTGGGCTCATTTCAAGTCCTTTCTTCCAGCTATTTTGAAATATGCAATACATTTTTGTTCACTGTAGTCATTCTACTATCGAATAGTAGAACTTATTCTTTCTATCTGACTGTTTTTTTGTACCCATTAACCCAGCTCTCTTCATCCCCCTCCTCCTACCCACATACTCCTCCCAGCTTCTGGTATCTATGATTCTACTCTCTACCTCTATGTGATCAACTTTATTATCTACTACATATGAGTGGGAACATGCAACATTTCTCTTTCTGTGCCTGGCTTGTTTCACATAACATAATGACCTCCAGTTGCAATCATGTTACTGCCAATAATAGGATTTCAGTCTTTCTTATGGCCAAATAGTATTCCACTATGTATATATACCCCATTTTCTTTATTCATTTATCTATGGATGAACACTTAGATTAAGTCCATATCTTTGCTATTGTGAATGGTGCTGCAATAAACATAAGGGTGGAGTTATCGTTTTGATATACTAATTTCCTTGCCTTTGGATATAAACCCAGTAGTGAGGTTGCTGGATCATATGGTAGTTCTGTTTTTAGTTGTTTGGATAAATCTCCATACTGTTTTCAATAGGGGCTGTACTAATTGACATTCTCACTAACAGTGTTTAAGAGTTTCATTTTCTCGACATCCTCACCAGCTACTGCTATTTTTTGTATTTTTTATAATAGCTATTCTGACTGGGGTAAGATGATAGTTCATTGTGCTTTTTATTTGCATTTCCCTGCATTAGTGATGTTGAGCATTTTTATATACCTGTTGGCATATGTACATCTTCTTTTGAGAAACGTCTACTCATGTTCTTTGCCCATTTTTTAATGGGATTATTATTTTTTTCCTGTTGAGTTGTTTGAGTTCCTCGAATCTTCTGGATATTAGTCCTTTGTTGGATAAGTAGTTCTCAAATATTTTCTCTCATTCAACATGTTGTTTCTTCATTCTTTTAATTGTTTCCTTTGCTGTGCAGAAGAATCTTAGTTTACACTTGCCACATTTGTCTATTTTTTGTTGTTGTTGCCTGTGTTTTTGAGGTCTTAGCCAAAAAATCCTGTCTAGACCAATGTACTGGAATATTTCCCCTATGTTTCCATCTAGCAGTATTAGAGTTCTGGGTCTTATGTTTAAGTCTTTAATCCAGTTTGAATTCATTTAAGTGAAAGATAAGAATCTAGATTCATTCATCTACATATGGATATCCAATTGTCCCAGCACAATTTATTGAAGAGGGTTTCATTTTCCCAGTATATACTATTGGTGCCTTGTTTAAAATCAGTTGGCTGTAAACACATGGATTTATTTCTGGGTTCTATATTCTGTTCCATTTGTCTATGTGTCTAATTTTATACCAATACTATGCTATTATGGTTACCATAGCCTTGTAATACATACTGAAGTCGGGTATTGTAATGCCTCCAGCCTTATTCTTTTTGCTCATCATTGCTTTGGCTATTGGTTATTTTGTGTGTGTGTGTACTTTCATAAAAATTTTATGTTTTTTTATTTCTGGAAGAATGCCATTGGTATTTTGATAATAATTACATTAAATATGTAGATTGCTTTGGGTGTTAGTAATTCTTCCTATCCATGAGCATGTGATATCTTTTCATTTGTGTGTTCTTCAATTTTTTCATCAGTGTTTTTGTTTCCTTTGTAGAAGTCTTTCAACTCTTTGGTTAAATTTATTCCTAGCTCTCTCTCTCTCTCTCTCTCTCTCTCTCTCTGTGTGTGTGTGTGTGTGTGTGTGTGTGTGTGTGTGTAGTTATGGTAAATGGTATTGGCTTGTTGTTGTTAGTTTATTATTGGTCAGTAGAAATGCTACTGATTTTTGTATACAGATTTTGTATCTTGTAACTTTACTGAATTTATTTATCAAACCTAAGGATTCCTTTGGTTTTTAAAAAGTCTAAGATACTATCTGAAAAAAAAGACAATTTGAAGTACTGTTTTCCAATTTAGATGCCTTTTATTTCTTTCTCTTGCTGATTGCTTTGACTAAGACTTCAAGTACTATGTTGAATAAAAGTGGTGAAAGTGAGCAAACTTGTTCCAGTCCTTAGAAGAGAGGCTTTCAGCTTTTTTCCATTCAGTAGAATGTAAGCTGTTAATTTGTTGTATATGGCATTTATTATGTTGAGGTATATTATTTCTATGCCTAGCTATAGTTAAGAGTTTTTATCATGAAGGGATTTTGAATGTCATCAAATGCTTTTTCTGCATCTGTTGAGAGGATAATATGGTTTTTGCCTTTCATTCTGTGGATATGATATATCACACTGATTGATTTGCATATGTTGAACCATTCTTGCATCCCTGGAATAAATCCCACTTGATTATGGTGTTTTATCTGTTGGATGTGTGCTGTTAGATTTAGTTTACCAATATTTTGTTGAGAATTTTGGCATCTATGTTCATCAGGGATATTGACCTTTAGTTTTCTTTTTCTATTGTGTCCTTGTCTGGATTTGGTTTCAGGAAGATTCCGGCCTTATAGAATAAGTTAGGGGAGAATTTCTTCCCCTCAACTTTTTGCAATAGTTTCAGGAGAATTAATGATAGTTTTTCCTCAGTAAAATTCAGTAGTGCAGGTATCCGGTCCTGTGCTTTTCTTTTGGGAAACGTTTTACTACTGATTCAATATTGTTAATTTTTCTTTGTCTGTCCAGATTATTTCTTCCTGATTCAGTCTTTATAGATTGTATGTTTCCAGGTATTTATGGCATATAGTTGTGCATAACAGTCCTTGACGATCTTTTTTATTTCTGTAAAATCAGTGATAATTTCTCTTTTTTTAAATTTCTGATTTTGTTTATTTGGGTCTTTTCCTTTTTTCTTGATTAGTCTAGCAGTTTATTTATTTTGATTACCTTTTCTAAAAACCTTTTTTGTTGATCCTTTCCTTTTTTTAATTTCATTTAGAAATACTACTCTGTTCTTTCTGCCTACTAATTTTGAATTTGAGTTGTTCTTGCTTTTCTAGTCTCTTGAAGTGCATCATTAGATTATTTATTTGAAGTCTGTTTACTTCTTTGATGTAGGCATTTATTGCTATACAGTTCCCTCTTAGCACTGCTTTTGCTGTATTCCACAGATTTTGTTTGTTGGGTTTCCATTTTCATTTGTTTCAATAAATGTTTTTTATTTCTTTTTTTTAATTGACCCAATGGTTGTTCAGAAGCATGCTATTAAATTTCAGTGTATTTGTACAGTTTCAAAAGTTGCCCTTGTTGATTTTTAGTTTTATTATGCTGTTGTCTGAGAAAAATACTTAGTGTGATTTTGGTTTTTTGAAGTTTTTTGAGACATGTTTTGTGGTCTAATATATGGTCTATTCTGGAGAATGTTTCATGTGCTGATAAGAAAAATGTGTATTTTGTAGCTGTTGGATAAAATGTTCTGTAGGTGTTTGTTAAGTCCATTTGGTCTAAAGTGCCATTGAAATCCAATGTTGCTTTATTGATATTTTGTCTAGATGATCTGTCTAATATTGACACTGTGTTATTGACATCCCCAACTATTATTATATTGGAGTCTATTTCTCCCTTTATATCAAATAATAGTTGCTTTATATATATATTTGTGCTCCATTGTTTCATACATATTTAGAGTTGTTATACCCTCTTACTGAATTGATCCCTTTTTCATTACATAATAACCTTCTTTGTCTCTTTTTACTATTTTTGACTTAAAGTCTGTTTTACCTAATATAAGAATAGATACACCTGCTGCTTTTCGCTTCTGTTTGCATGGAATATCTTTTTTCATCCTTTTTTTTTTCTGTCTACATGTATCTTTAGAGGTGAAGTGAGTTTCTTGTAGACAGCATATAATTAGATCATTAAAAAAACTATTCAGCCAGTCCTAATTTTTCAAGTGGGAAATTTAATTCATTTACATAAAAGGTTATTCTAGATATGTCAAGGCTTATCCTTGTTACGTTCTGAATTGTTTTCTGGTTGTTTTTTATAGTCTTTATTCCTTTCTTTTTCTCTTACTGTTTATCAATGTGATTGTATGGTTCTCTGTAATAGTAACATTGGACTCCTTTCTCTTCATCATGTATGTTTGCTCTACCAATGAGTTTTATACTTTTCTGTGTTTTCATGGTGGTAGATATTATCCTTTCACTTCCAGGTATAGGACTTCCTTAAGCATTTCTGGTAGGGCTAGTGTAGTGCTGATGAATTCTCTCAGTTTTCTTTTCCTGGGAAAGACATTATTTATCTTTCACTTATGAAGAACAACTTTGCTAGATGTAGTATTCTCAGCTATCAGTATTTTATCCCTTCAGCACTTTGCATATGTCACTCCATTCTCTCCAAGACTGTAAGGCTTTGGCTGAAAAATCTGCTGTTAGTCTGATAAAGTTTCCTTTATCTTTGACTAGATGCTTTTCTCTTGCTGTTTGTAGGAATCTGTCTTTGTCTTTGACTTTTGACACTTTGACTATAATGTACTGTGGAGACATTTTTGGATTTTATCTGTTTGGGGATTGCTGGGCTTCATATAACTGGATGTGCAAATCTCTTGGTAGACTTGGGAAGTTTTCATTTATCATTTTGTTAAATAGGTTTTTGAACCCTTTCATTCTCTCTTCACCTTCTGGAATATAAATAATTTGTTTATTTGATCTTTTTTTAGTGTCCCATATGTCATATAGGCTTTCTTCATTCTTTGTTATTCTTTTGTTTTTTTTGTTTGACTGGATTATTTCAAATACCTATCTTCAAGTTCTGAAACTACTGTTTCAAGCTATTGTTGAAGCTCTCAATTGTATTTTTTATTCATTCACTGAGTTTCAGTTCTAGGATTTCTGTTTGGCTCCTTTTTATGATAGTTATCTCTTTGGCAAGTTTCTCATTCATATCCTGAATATTTTTTTCTGATTTCTTTCTATTGTTTTTCTTTGTTCTCCTGTATCTCAATGAGCTTCTTTAATATCATTTTTTTTTAAATTATTTTTCAGGCATCTTACAAATGTCTTTTTCATTGGAATCTGTTTCTGGAGAATTATTGTTTTTCTTTGGAGTTCTCATATTACCTTTTTTTCCCTCTTTATTGTGTCCTTTCATTGATATTTGTGCCTCTGGTATAACAGTCACTTTTTCCATTTTGGGGGGTTGGCATTTATAGATTGTTTTCTTGAAAGATGTACTAATAATATTGGTTGGTAGGGTACTTCAGCTTTGATATAGGGTGCATGCAGTAATGTAGTCTTAGTATTTCTTCAACTTCAAGCAGCTTCAGTGTTGTCTGTGATTTCCTCAGTGCCATCTGTGATTTCCTCAGTGCACTAGGCTATAGTTGTTAGTGGAGGCTGTGGTGAGGCTTTGCTTTGGATGGGGATATTGAATGGGCCTGTTCTTGGCCCCAGTGGTGGCAACAGTGGGCTAAGTATGCCTGTTCTTGGGCCCCCAGGCAGCATATGCAGGTGTTAGCAGGTCCAGATGGGACAATTATTGGGACTCCAGACTACTTGCTCAGGTGACAGAAGTGGTAGCAGTGGCCTAGGTGGACAGGTAGAACCTTAGGCTCCTGGGCAGTATGCATGATATGGACAATGGCAGTGACAGTGCAGGACAACCCTTGTGCCTCAGACAGTAATGCTGGTTTTAGCAGTGGCTAAGATGGCTGGGCAGGCCAGTCCCCAGGTCCCCAGGTGGTACATGTGGGTGGGTGCCAATGGTCGTTGTAGCAACAGGCCGAGTGGGTTTATCTCAGGCCCTTAGGAAGACTGCAAAGATGCTGGCAATAGTGGACACGGCAGGGCAATCCCAACACCTCTGGATGGCATGCTTGGGTGCTGGGGGTGTTTGGGGTCTATTGTTAGACCCTCTGGTGATGCACACATGTTCCCGGGGTAACTGACAACAGGGTGATCCTCAGGTCCCCACGCAGCATGCTCAGGTACTGGAAGGTGCAGTGCTAGGTTGAGTAGGCCTGTCCTCAGGTCCACCTAATGGTGTGCATGGCATCAGGCTGTGTTAGCAAGGGCAGAATAATCTCTAGGCATCCAGGCAGCATGCTTGAGTGGCAGCAGTGACAGTGGTGGTCGCGGGCAGGGAAAGCCCATCCTTGGGATACATGCAAGTGTATGGCAATCCTGCTTCTGGGAGTGGCAGGATTGCTGTCAGTGGCAGAGATCCCAGGAAGGTGGCTTTCAGACTCTGGGGAGCACATGATTTGGCTCTCTTTGTCCTGAGAGCAGCCTCCCTGGTGCATTGCTGCCTGTTCCCCAGGGTGTGGGACTCTGTGGGTTAGAGTGCTGCAGACCATGTGTATTAGTCTGTTCTCACACTGCTAATAAAGACATACCCAAGACTGGGTAATTTATAAAGGAAAGATGTTTAATTGACTCACAGTTCCACATGGCTGAGGAGGCCTTACATCATGGTGGAAGGTGAAGGAGGAGCAAAGGCATGTCTTACATGGCAGCAGGCAAGAGAGTACATGCAGGGGAACTCCGCTTCATAAAACAATCAGATCTCATGAGACTTAAGTACTACCATGAGAACAGCACAGGAAAGACCTGCCCCCATGATTCAATTACCTCCCACCAGTTCCCTGCCACAACAGATGGGAATTATGAGAGCTACAATTAAAGATGAGATTCAGGTGGGGACACAGCCAAACCATATCATTTGGCCCCTGGCCTCTCCCAAATCTCATGTCCTCACATTTCTAAACACAATCATGCCTTCCAACAGTCCCTCAAACTCTTAACTCATTTCAGCATTAACTCAAAAGTCTGCAGTCCAAAGTCTCATTTGAGACAAGGCAAATCCCTTCCACATATGAGCCTGTAAAATCAAAAGCAAGTTAATTACTTCCTGGATAAAATGAGGATACAAGCATTGGGTAAATACAGCCATTCCAAATGTGATAAATTGGCCAAAACAAAAGGGCTACAGGTTCCATGCAAGTTCGAAATCTAGTGGGGGCAGTCAATCTTAAAGCTCCAAAATGATCTCCTTTGACTCCATGTCTCACATCCAAGTCACATTGATGCAAGAGGTTGGTTCCCATGGTCTTGGGCAGCTCTGCTTTGCAAGGCACAGCCCCACCTCCCGGCTGCTTTCACAGGTTGGCATTGAGTGTCTTGCTTTTCCAGGTGCATTGTGCAAACTGTCAATGGATTTACCATTCCGAGGTCTGGAAGATGGTGGCCCTCTTCCCACAACTCCACTAGGCAGTACCCCAGTGGGGACTCTGTGTGAGGACTCACACCCCACATTTCCCTTCTGCACTACTTTAGCAGAGGCTCTCCATAAAGCCTCTGCCCCTGCAACACACTTCTGCCTGGACATCCAGGTGTTTCCATACATCCTTTGAAATCTAGGCGGAGATTCCCAAACCTCAATTGTTGACTTCTGTGCACCCACAGGCCCAACATCACATGGCAGCTGCCAAGGTTTGGGGCTTGCAACCTCTGAAGCCATGACCTGAGCTGTACTTTGGCTTGTTCTAGCCAGTTCTAGAGCAGGTGGAATGCAGAGTACCAAATCCCCAGGCTGCATACAGCAGGGGGGCTCTGGGCCCAGTGCATGAAACCATTTTTTCCCTCTAGGCCTCTAGACCTGTGATGGGAGGGGCTGCTGCAAAGGTCTCTGACATGCCCTGGAGACATTTTTCTCGTTGTCTTGGTGATTAAAATTTGCCTCCTCATTACTTAAGCAAATTTCTGCAGCCAGCTTGAATTTTTCCTCAGAAAATGGATTTTTCTTTTCTATCACATTACCAGACTGCAAATTTTCTGAACTTCCATACTCTGCTTCTTTTTTAAACATAAGTTCCAATTCCAAACCATATATTTGTGAATACATAAAACTGAATGCTTTTAACCACACCAAAGTCACCTCTTGAACACTTTGCTGCTTAGAAATTTCTTCCACCAGATGCCCTAAATCATCTCTCAAGTTCAAAGTTCCACAAAACTCTAGGGCAGAGGCAAAATGCCACCATTCTCTTTTCTAAAACATAGCAAGAGTCACCTTTATTCTAGTTCCCAGCAAGTTCCTCATCTCCATCTGAGACCATCTTAGCCTGGACTTTATTGTCCATATTACTGTCAGCATTTTGGTCAAAGCCATTCAACAAGTCTCTAGGAAGTTCCAAACTTTCCATATCTTCCTGTCTTCTTCTGAGCCCTCCAAATTGTTCTAATCTCTGCCTGTTACTCAGTTCCAAAGTTGCTTTCACATTTTCTTGTATCTTTACAGCAGCACACCACTCTACTGGTACCAATTTAATGTATCAGTCTGTACTCATGCTGCTAATAAAGACACACCCAAGACTGGATAATTTATAAAGAAAAGAGATTTTAATGGACTCATAGTTCCACGTTGCTGGAGAAGCCTCACAATCATGGCTGAAGGTAAATGAGGAGCAAAGGCATGTCTTACATGGCTGCAGGCAAGAGAGCATAGAGAGCATGTGCAAGGGAGCTCCCCTTTATAAAACCATCAGATCATGTGAGATTTACTCACTATCATGGGAACAGCATGGGAGAGAACTGCCCCCATGACTCAATTATCTCTCACTGAGTCCCTCCCATGAGACATGGGAATTATCATAGCTACAATTGAAGATGAAATTTTGGTTGAGACACAGCTAAACCATATCACTCTGCCACACTGCTGGGTTCATTCAGCAATGTGTGGCTGAAGTGTTCTGGGTGGCTGTAAAGGTAAGTCATTGAGGCTCCAGGGATATGGAGAGGAAGGGGCTATTTGGCCCCAGGTCAGTATATAGTCTAGTGGGAACTGGACTCTCAAAATGACAAATGGCATCATACTGCAGCTGCTTGAGTCTCAGGCAGGTGTGTAGAACCCAATTGAGCTTCCCCTCCGGAGCAATGCTGTCATGAGCACTCCAGGCAGCTCCCTGTACTAGTCTCAAGGCTCATGAGAGTTGAGGGGCTCTCCAATGGATAAGATTGCATGAGTCCATGATGGGAATATGGGCTACTGGGGATCCCTCACTTACTCTTTCCCTGTACTGGGGAAACTTTCCAGGCTCCCAGCCAATCCTGGGTAAGCAGGCTGCCTTACTTGGCTCTTCTGCCATGCCTCAGGTATTTCCCGTCTCTACTGCTTTCCACGGTGTTCTCTTAGATGTGCTATTCAAAGTAAGATAATCTACTATTTATCTAATTTGGTTCTTCTTTGTGGAGGAGGTGAGTGCAAGTTGTCTCTAGTCAGCCATTTTGAACCTTTCTTCCAAATAAGTTACTTTTACCTTCTAAAGCCATAGACAAGTAGTAACTCTTTTCCACTGAATAGAGGACATTAGTAAGATGAGACGTTTTTGGCAGCAGACAACTTGATATTCAAAGACATCATACCTTCTCTAGTTTTTGCAATGTACACGTCTGAGCAGTAGCAAGTGGAACCTCAAGAGGGAGAGTGAGAAAACATTTACATAATATTTGTCCACCTGAAGTTTGAGGCTATATGAAGAAGCTGAACTATCTGCAAGAGAAATCAGCTATAAAATAAAGAATTATAGTCTTGCGTGGACTGCCAGGCACAAGTGTTAGGTGAAGACTCAGAAGAACATATGAACAAATTAGGTAGGAGAGACAGGACAAAACTGAAGAACAGGTTATGGCCTCAGTTAAGGACCTATCCAGTAATGGCCTATGTGTTTTGCCAATTTTCAGATTAAAAATTGTTTTAAATATTAGAAATATAGACAGATGTGCATGTAGGGTGTGTGTGTGTGTGTGTGTGTGTGTGTGTGTGTGTGCGCATATGTTTTGTATCACTGGTTCTTAGTCCCTCCTAATATTGCCACATATTTCATTCCTGCAACTTCCAGATATTTCAAGTATGTCTTCAGGATTATTTCACTGAAATATAAATAAGTGTTTTCAGCTGACTCACAGTATTAGCTAATTTTTCCTGCCCTCCAGTTGTGGCCATCCTCTGCTGGGTCACACTATATATCCCAGCCTCTGCTTTCAGTTGTGCTGGGTATTCCCACTAATTCTCCTTGGCATTTTTACTTGTGCCATGCAGACTAGCCTCTCTTTCTGGCTATTATCATGTCCACAGTTTAGTCTTCTCAGGTAATGTCACTGCCATTCCTCTTTGGAAGCCTTGAAACCAGCAAAGCCCTAATATTTCCACTGCATCTAAAGCTTCATTTTCAAGGCAGCAAGCTAAGGCTGTTTTCTGGAACCTCCACAGGATAAAGTTATACCATGTTCAATGTACTAGTACAGAGAATGCCTCTCTCTCTCTCTCTCTCCCGCTCTCTCTCTCTTTCCCTCCCGCCTTTCTCTCTGCCTTATTACTCAGACAACAAAATGCTGCAATTCACAAAATAACGTTTCATTTAGTTCACTTTAACTTAAATGATATGCATATGCCATTAAAAAAATTGAGGAAACATAAATTAATCATGCCCAACTGGGGTGGTTGAAAATTTTTTAAATGATAGGAATCAGTAAGCAATATAATATCATATTATTTCCCATATTATTCCAAACATCATGAACCCTAAAATAAAGTTTGTAGTTATCACAAGTTTTTAATCAATTCAGATCACATTTCAAAGTGCCACTGTGAGCTGCCCAAACCATGTGTTTTGCAGCTGCAGTGAATTTGACATGCTCTGAAATCACCATGGAATCCTCTGGATCTCTTGGAATTATGGAGCAAAGTCTAAGAAATAAAAACTGTAGTTTTTATTTCTTAATACGCTGGACAAATCAGGAAAGACATGCTTTGGAGAGCATGTGTGTGTAATTATTTTAAAGAATCCCAAATATGACTTTGTGAGTAGCTGTAGCTTTTAGAATATTTAATTATATATATATATAATATATATATAAAATATACAGAGAATTAAAGATTTAATTATATATATACATGAACAATAGCATTTTTCAATGATTCATTGTAAAGATGTTCAAACATAGAGAAAAATTAAAGTGAGTGAGTGCTTTTGTACATTCCACCTACCATTAATATTTTACTATACTTGCTTTATTACATACCCATTCAACTATTCATCCCTGTCAAACCATCAGCTTATCTTACTTGTTATATAGTTTTTGATACTTTCTTAAATCTACATATGAACCAAATGTAAGATTTCAGAATATAATTGTTAGTTCCTAATCTGAGGATCACGGATTTTTAGAACTAAAACAGACCTTTAAAAACTCTTTATTGTACACATGTCGTTTTTCAGATATAGAAATTAAGGCATAATGAGTTTAAAGTTTGAGTAAGAGCACCCAACAAATTAGTAACTAAACCAAGATTAAAATCCCTACTTGGTGTTTTCATGTAAATATGCACTTCAACAGAGAAGTTGTAATGTGTGGGCATGATGAGGAGGAGAATTGTTGAAGTGTGTTCTTTGTTAGAAAATTAAAGTGACTTCAATAGATGAATGTGCATTTGAATTAGCAGTAAGAGTTCAGAAGGAAACAGAAGTGAGTGAAGAGCTGAACATCTGTGAAAATCTTCCTACTGTATAATCAAAAGAAAAAACACTGCTAAAAAATACTTACTCTAGCATGTTTTTTATGTGTGCCAAGTTTCTAAAACTATGAAATATTGTGGGGATGAAGAATTAAAGGCTGAGCCCTGGAAGCAGGAAAGCTGGGTGGGAAACAAAGAGCATTTGCTGCTTAAATTCACTTTGACAAACTCATAGACTGTGGCAATAAGCTCTGCTTACAGAGTATAGAAGGGACGTGTTCTGTAGCCTATGCAATCCCTTGAATAAGTCCATTCCTAGAGTGGTACTTAACTTTTCTATTACCCACTATCGATCTACACTGTTTCAAGGCACATGCAAAGATAAGAGTCACGACTCTTCTGAGAATGAATATGTCACAATTTAAGGTACAAATGTCTCAATCACTTTTATGTTTCCTTGTTTTGATATAAATTTTTGAGAAAAATTTAAAATCAATGGGTGAATAAATGTTAGTTTACATTTTCATTCATGCTTCAAACATGGTGAGGCAGAAATGCAAGGTTTTTTCTTCTTCTTACATCCGTTAAAACTTAAAAGTACTCAGGATTTTGTATTTTTTAAAACCCTTCACGTAACTCTTTAGGTGACCAGTATTTGAGAGCTACTAGTATAAAGAATTCTACAGTAGAAGTCAAAAGGTCTGGTTTCTAGTTCTGGTCCCATAGTGATTTATTAAGTGGCCCTGTGTAATTCATTTCCCTCTAGAATTTATTTCCTAAGCATGCAGTAGATGCCAGACCCACCTAGCATGTGTTATGGGGTTAATAGAATGAGATATTTGAAAGGAAAATACTCTGTAAAGGATCTAGTATTACATATTTACAAGTATGTGTGTACATGTATAAGTATGTATATATATATATATATATATATATATATATATCAGTCTTCATTGTCTTAATCTTGTGACCAATGTAAACTATTTAAGCCTCAGGCCAGAGTCACAGAGGAAGTCTCCTGCTTTCAGGTGAGGAGAACATGTATCATACATTGTGTGACTCTACTTAGGTCCCCTTGGCATAAACGATTATAAACAGAGCCCTTTGATTTTTTCTAACTGAAAATAATTGTAAGAGATACATTTACCTTGTTATATTCACACATAATCAATACATATGTTTTATGAAAAAATACTCACCTTTACCATGAGTTACACACTCTAATATGATTTTCTCTTTTATTTAACTTTGAAAAATGTTGTCATAAACCAATAACTGGATCTCACAATCATTAATGTATTTACCTGCCTCTTGAAAGACATTGTCGTAAAACCTCTATTGTGAGTCTCAATTATAGCGAATTATTCAATGAGAAGAGAAAAACAAGTTAATGGTGTCAACCCAATATTTTCAATCATGAAAAGAAATTGAAGGGGTTGAATCCTTTCTTATGAATCTCTACTGTGTGAGCTAATAATCTATCAATGTGAAAATCTACCTGGTCTAATGTGTGAATGGTAATGCATCCTGTTTCATCTGCATTTATGTATCTATTCTTATGTTTGTTATAAAAAGAGACTTGTGGACCTTATGATACTAATAATATTAAATAATATTTTTAATGGACACTTGCTGTATGATATAGTTTGTATCTGTCCCTACCAATCTCATGTTGAATTGTAATCCCGAGTGTTGGAGATGGGGCCTGGTGGGAGGTGTTTGCATCATGAGGGTGGATCTTTGGTGAATGGTTTAGAGCCATCGCCTCAGTGCTGTCTTCACCATAGTAAGTTCTTTCGAGGGCCGGACATGGTGGCTCACACCTGTAATCCCTCACTTTGGGAGGCTGAGGTGGGAGGATCACTTGAGGACAGGAGTTTGAGACCAGCCTGGCCAACATGGTGAAACCTCGTCTCTACTAAAATTACAAAAATTAGATGGACATAGTGGTGCACACCTGTAATCCCAGTTACTCAGGAGGCTGAGGCAGGAGAATCACTTGAACCCAGGAGATGGAGGTTGCAACGAGCCAAGATCTCACCACTACACTCCAGCCTGGGCAACAGAGCAAGATTCTGTCTCAAAAAAAAAAAAAAAAAAAAGTTCTTGTGAGATCTGGTTGTTTAAAAGTGTGTGACACCTCCTCCCCACTCTCAAGCTCCCACTTTGCCTTCTGCCATAAGTAAAAGCTGCCTGAGACTCTCACCAGAAGCAGATGCCACCACCATACTTCTTGTACTGCCTGTAGAACCAAGAGCCAATTAAATCTCTCCTCTCTATAAATTACCCAGTCTCAGGTATTTGTTTAAATGCAACAATGGTCTAACACACTATGAAACAAGCAAAGAAAGGCACTTTCTCTGATTGTTATCTAATGCCAATGAAAATTTTAGAAGTGAACTATTATTCTCATATTACTTATGAAAAAATTTAGGAATAAAGAAGTTAAGTGACGCCTTAACTCTCACAATAAATTTGATAGTCCAGTCCTCTAATACAGTGGTCTTCAAAGTGAGGTAGGTATATCTCTTAGTATATACAAGTAAGTTTCAAGATATTTGCAGGTATATTAGGCCATTCTTGCGTTGCTATAAGGCAATACTGGAGACTGGTTCATTTATAAGGAAATAGGTTTAATTGGCTCTGCGGGCTGTACAAGAAGCATGGTGCTGGCAGCTGCTTCTGGTGAGGGCCTCAGGAAGCTTCTAATCATGATGGAAAGTAAAGGGGGAGCAGGCGTCTCATATGGCAGGAGTGGGAGCAAGAGAGAGAGTTTAGTGGGGGGCGGGGGGTGCCACATACCTTTAAACAACTAGATCTAGCAAGAATTCACTCACTATCATGAGGACAGCACCAAGTCATGAGAAATCCACCCCCGTGAGCCAAACACTTCCCCCCAGGCCCCACCTCCAACACTGGGGATTACAATTCAACATGAGATTTAGAGGGGACAACATACAAACTCTATCAGCAGGCATAAAAAGTTGTAAGAGGCACAATTTTGAGTTTTCCGTTTCTTAGTTATTCTTTTCTAACACCAATATGCTAGAGAAGTCCCTCATAGTTGAGCTTCTTCTATATTCTTTGACAACGCTCCTCTCCTTTTACTAAACATGGACATTGCTCATCTCTTGGAGTTTTACAAATTTTCATTTTAAATTTCAGGGTCATTAAACCTTCTCCATCAGATCTAATGTTAAGGGAAAGGCTGCAGTCATACTCTTGACTTTTAGTTCTCAAGGGTCAGTGTTGGGGCAAAATATAGATTTATCATTTTCCTCTGTGTTCCAGAAACTGATGTACATTTTGACCTGCAAACTTGGTCCGGGTATTTCCAGCAGACACCACCCTCACAATGTCACTCTCAGATCAGTATCAGATACATGGCTGTAACTCTGAATTTAGAGTCTAAAAATGATCCAGTTAAAAATTTCCATGCATGTCTCATTTTGTTAATAGTACAAGAATAGTAATATTATTTAGTGAAGGAGAATTAGAATAACAGTTACTTGAACTTTAGGATTCTGCTAAACTTGATTTGAATCTCTTCTGGGTCATTTGCTACTATGTAACCTTGGAGAATAACTGAAACTTGAGTTTCAATTATTTCTTACATTAAAAATAAAATAATAGTAATGAACTTGTGGGACTTTGCTAGATTTTTAAAAAGTCATGTATGTAAGAACCTGGTACATTAGTAGTGCTCAATAAATGATGGTTATTGTTATAATCATACTGTTCATGTCATTTAAAAAACAGGCATTAAACTCACTCACTGTTCAAGATTGGCCCATAAAAGTGCTGAAATGCTTAAAGAAATACATGTGTGAACAGCAGAGTCATCCTCTTCCTAACCCGTCACTGATTATAGTTATATCAGATTATTCCCTAAGTTTGAGGTTCCAAAAATGAGGGGCATATGCTTAGAAAAAGAAAAAAGTAACAGAAAAAAATGTTGGGTCTATAGCCACCAGAAAAAGACCACAGGAAATGAATACATTTAACCTCAGAAAGATAAGGCAAAGGGTGTATCAATCTCTTTGACTCTCAATTTCCTCATCTTCAAAGTTGGACTAATGATTCCTGTGCTCAGGTTCAAGGATCAAAAACAACTCTGATGAAATTCTGCCACATACTACATGTGAAAATTTGGGCCAACTAATGTACCTCTATTAGTCTCAGTGTCTTAGTCCATAGAATATAATTAATGCTAGGAAATGCCTTATGGACTTAGAGAATTCTCAACGCATGATACACACCTTGGCACTGAGTGAATGTTAGTTACTGACGTGGCTGCAGGTACCAGTTTCTTAGGGCTGACATAACAAACTACATACCACAAACTGGGTAGCTTACAAAAACAAATGTTTGTGTCAAAGTTCCAGAGACTAGCAGTCTGAAACAAAGGTATCAGTTGGGCTATGCTCTCTCTTAAACCTGTAGGAAAAATCCTTCCTTGCTTCTCCTCAGTTTCCGATGATTTGCTGGCAGTGTTCAGTGTTCCTTGGATTGCAGTGGCACAACTCCAGTCTCAGCCTTTATTGTCACATGGCATTCTCTCTGGTGTCGCTGTCTTCACATGGCCATCTTATAAGGGTACCAGCCATATTGGACTAAGTATGGCCCCATCTTAACTAAGTTAGCCTCGGCCTACAGGGTCAGGATCATCAGTATCACTGTCTTCCATCTCCACATGTTGTCTCACTGGAAGGTCTTCAGGGGCAATAACCTGTATGGAGCTATCATCTCCTATGATAACAATGCCTTCCTCTGAGGCTATTTTACAGTTAACTTTTCAAGTAAAAAGGAATACATTCCAAAATAATGATAAAATTTATAGTACAGTAATACATAAACCAGTAACATAGTTTCTGGTTTATTTTCAAGTGTTATGTACTGCTTATTATCGTATGTGCTATACGTTTATACAACTGGCAGCACAGTAGATCTGTTTATACCAGCATCACCACAAACATGTGAGTAATACATTGTGCTATGACATTATGATGGTTACAATGTCTCTAGGTGACAGGAATTTTTTATCTCCATTATAACCTTATGGAACTACTGTCATATATGCGGTCCCTTGTTGACCAAAACATTGTATATGGTGTATGACTATATATAGTTTTTTCATAAAAGCCTCCACATGAAAAGGGATTTTTAGAATGAGAAGAAACTCCAAAAATGAACATGTTTAAATCTAACCAAAAATAATTTAAATGACACTTTAGAAAAACATGATAGCAATGATGTCTCTGAAATGATAGGATGTACTCTTTTGTTGTATTCTATTTTACAAATATATTGTAGATGCCAGAATTAAGTGACTTAATTAGTATCAGGAGATTATGTTTTCCTAGAAAAACAGCAAGTATGATGCTAATATTGCAAATTATAAACTTTATATTTTATTTTACTAACTACATGTAACAAATACTAAATAATATTTTACAGGTATGTGCCAATTTTTTAAGATTTTTTTCTCATTGGTGATATAAATTGAACTTACTCTGAGGCATAAAGAATAGCTATTAACCTTCTATCTTCTTATTTTCTATTAAAAAAAACTGAAAGAAAACTGATAGAACAAACCTTGCCCATGGTTTCATAGTTAGTAAATCACAAGGCTAGAATTCAAACCTTGTGATTCAACTAACTTTTGAATGAAAATCTTGTCAGCATTTCCTTGGTTGTTCATCCATTTTTATTTTCGTTGTTGCTGTTATGTTATTCATGATACCAATAGTACTGGGTGTAATGTTAAATAGTAGCCACAACAGAGGGTATGACCAAGACCCTCTTGTCTTAGTCAGTGTAATTGTCCATTGATCAGAATTCCACAAGGGAAGATATACCACGCATTGGTAGGAGGAAAGCAGTTTTCTTTCTAAAAATAAATGTTTCCTATTAATTTTTTTCCTTCTTATTACATTTCCTCAATCAATATTCAATTACCTTATAATAAATTGAAATAATTCTGTGATAATTTGTTCCATTGAAGTGATGAGACATGTATGTAGGGAAATCACAAATCATTTTATCTGTGTGCAGCAACCAATTATTTAATGATTTGGGGTCTACTGGCGTACAACAATAAACATAACAAGATATGAGCTGAAGTCAGTAAATGTCAGGTGCAGGTAGAGGAAACAACATGTCAACTTAATTCTGCTTGCTCTACTATTTCCCAGGAGAATGCTCAAGCAGATTTATACCACAACTTTACTACACTGGGTTGCTTTACAAAAGACCATTTCTATACCAAAACAAAAAAGTTACACTCACCTTGGGAAAACATAAAGCTCCATCTCCAGAAACAACTTCCAGCTGGTCTTTCCTAACCATGTCTCAGTGATTAGACCAAAGTCATGAGCATTAGAGGCAAAGGTCTAGCAGAAGTCCAAACTTTCAAAGTAACATCTGCAGAGAAAATATCAGCCGATATAAAAACATGTGCACTGTTAATGAAATTGTGGAGTTTGCATCCTTTTGAATTTTTCTGCTTTGATGAGTATTCTTTATTCATAACCTCTCTAAGGCATTTTCTTTGGAACACAAAAGGATAATTCATATTCTATTTATTTTATTCTCATAAATTATTTCTTCATACTACTAATCCTAAAGTTCTGCAATGTTGCTTTGTTTCCTTTTACACCCACTCACCTAAACCTCCAATTCCAGAAAAAGAACAGCTGAAAAACTTATATATTACATATTTTAACACCAATTGGATTTCTTTAAGCTCCATGTGATATGTTTAGTTGACTATAGTTACGTCGCTCAAGTGATTATGATTGATTCAAATGTCTAAGATTAAAAATTGTAACCCAGGAAATCTTACTTTAGAAGAATCTTCCAGTTTTATAGCTATAGTTGATTGTCCTGTCTCCACATGAGCATCACAATAGTTATTCCATTCACTCACTTAAACTCACTCAACAAATGTGACCTGTTTTACTGAGTACCAGGAGTTATGAGGAATATAAAGGAAACAGAAGTCATGGTCTCATTTTAGGGTACTTACAATATCTACAAAAGATACTATCTTTTTCAACAGTCGCAAAATACAAATAGGAAAGAAAAAACCGTCTAAATCTTATTTGAGGAAATGACAAAATGCAAGGTACAGAAAATAAGTGTAAAAGGAGAATTGGTGCTCCTTAGTTCTAAAACTTCAGTGGTTGAAGTCCATTTTTATGTCCTGAAACATCAATAAAAACATCTGTTATATAATCTACTAGCTATCTTCACTCAAAATTACTTGCTTATGTAAATATTTAGTTTATAACTTTTTTAGTAAAAACATTTAAATGTTGAATAATTTAAGAAAAACATTTTAGTCTATATTTAAAAATGAAAAATTTTTTTTTCTCTACTTCATAGATGTATGCAATTTACAAGAGTGAAAGGAGAAACATAGGCAGAGTTAAATGAATTCCTCTTGAATGTGCGAAATTTATAGTTTTAAGACTTTCTGCTGGATTTTCACTTTTCACTATAAGGAGCAAGTGTGAAAGAAAGACCATCTGACATAGAAACAAATCAACTGGATTCCTGATATAAGGAATGCTAAGCATTGATTTCTGAGGTAGCAATGAAGCAAATTTGTCTCTTGCTATTTTTCCAATAAGAATCCTATATTTTCTTTCAAAAGTGTCTGTAAGTGTAGACATCGGTGTAGATTTGCCATCTTCAATGTTATGCTTTCATCAGTCTCACTGAAGTCCAAAGTCAACCTCTTCTGTTGGCTTGGTTTGATAAAATGACAAAATAATAAATGACCTGATAAAAATGACAAATAAGGAAGGATTTATCTCTAGACTCCAAATCTCCTTTATTCATAAACACACACACACATACACACTCACTCACTCACTCAAATATCAAGAGATGATTTCAGAACTCAATTCTTCATTTTTGTCTTATACTACTCCTAAAACCTTCTCTAAAGAAAAGCTAATAAATTCACTCCCAATAACATATTATTGCTTGAAAAATCCAGCTTACTTACTGTTCAAGTCATTCGATTTGATTATGCTTCTTTAAAACAAACACCTTTTTGGCATTTTTTACTGCTACATCTTTAGTGTCTAGGGCAGTGCCTGGCATATGTGTACAAGAAATTTTTGTTGAATTAATACATACATTAAAGTTTTCAGCCAAAGAAATTGAAAAATTGTTGGCAGCATGAAAAAAATGTTTAATTTCTTTTTGTTGTCCCTAAAATACCTCCGTCAAGGCTGCTTCCAATTCTACATAAGGCCACCTTGTAATATTCTTTCCTCCCAGTTGTCTTCCCCCACTTCTCTGCCCTGATACTGAAGAGTAGGAATTGTCACCTGGACTCTGAGTCTATATGCAGAGATTAGATACCCCTCTGGGAGTACTAGAAATGCAGTATGTCAGGTGAATTTTAGCGAAGCCTGAATTGCTAACCCTCTGGGTTCCCCAGCCCCTCTAAGCTTTACAACTGCTGAGGATTCAGCCCTAGAGCAGCACAGAAGACACCTCTGTGGGGTGCATGGGACTGAAAAAGGATGGGTAAGTTATTAGGAGCACCTTGCTAGAAGCACCTATGTCAAGTCTTTTAATAAGTATTTAATTAACTGACTACAGAGTTAAGGGACAACATTGAGGCAGAGAATATGGATTTTTTTTTTTTTTTTGGTGCCACTTACACTTGACTCCTGAATTGGAAGAGCCCAAGGAAAGGAAATAATAAAAATTCTTACACTGTGGATCCTCGCAGGTTGTAGAGGAATTTTGCCATTGTTGTGTAAGTAGCAGTAAACGGTCACAGGACTAGCAGACATTCAACAAAGCTGTCCTTTATTATCATACTGACTTCTGAGACTAAATCCCTCCTAATGCACCACAGCAGGATCTCCAAGGAACAAAGACACTAACATTAAATTTCAATATCTTTTGGCCCAGATGATGGCCATTTAAGCCAAGTTTCCCTTTCCATAACAAATCCTAATCTTGTGTCCCTATTCATTTTAAAATACATATATTTATAAACCCAAAGAGTTTGTATGCAGAGATTAGATACCCCTTTGGGAGTACTAGAGGGGTACTTCTAATCTTCTGCTCAAGCTAGTTTGTAGTCAGTAGCTGACATTCCCCCTCGGCATTGTCTGAAAATTGACAGCAGGAGCTCCTCAACGAAACCTTTTCACACACAATAGAAAGCCTTGAAGTCGGTGCGTGTCTGTGTCTGCTTTTTTCAAGAGGAACACAGCATGTTTGTAAACATGTGGCGTGGAAGGAAGATTTAGGATACAAGAGCAAGCCTGTGCCCCACTGATTTCCTGTTTGTTTCTCACATTATGTTACCCCTGGCAACTAATGTGGGAAATACACTGAGAGAACAGCACTCCTTTTCCTTATTGTAAGTCCAAATTTGGCAAATAAAAGAAAATAAAACCTTTTAGCTGTTTTCTTAATTGTGGAAAGTTTTTATATTCCTGTTTTATTTTTTACTCCAATTCTCTCCTTTTGCTTTCAGAAATAGAGAAAAAGAGATAGAGAAAGAGGAGTGGGAGAGAAAGAGTTTGCTTCAGTGATTTGATCTGCTAAAACCATATGGCACTGAGAACTAGAAGAGAAACTATTGAATAAAAATTATGCAATACTTATAGACACAATAAATAAGTTTCACTTTCATATCACAAAATAAATAGCACACTTGCATAGATTAATGAATGTATCCTAGGTGATGTTTATTTACCATATAAACAGAAAAAAAATCACGTGAATTTGTTCATTCATTCATTCATTCATTCAGCATTTGCTTCACAGGAAGCACTATGTTGGACATGTGCATTCCTCTTTTATCCCCTTTGCAGTAGAGTTTAACCAACATGGAAACAGAACATTGGAAAGTGAGGATACTTGCCCTTGGCCACAGTCTGGTAGATTCAGGACCTGGTCTGTTTGATTCCTAAGCTGGTGGCATCCCTACACTATTATGTCCCTCCACATTGATGATCCTAGTGTCTGAGGTAGAGCAGAGATGAAAGGACGTGGGTTTTGAGAGGAATAAACCAAAATAAGAAAATTATCACTGAGAAAATTGAGCAATTAGTACTTACCTGTCTTGTTCACTGTCCTTTAATGAGCAACAAGCCCCCCCAAAAAAGTCAGAGAATGAGGCTAATGATGACCTTTTAGACTCTAGAACATATATTAGTGTAAAATGAAAAGGATATTTAGAAAGAAATAGTAATCTGATTCATTTTTGTGTTTATATTTACATCACACAAAATAATGAGCAAAACCCTTTGGGAGTAGTAATTTTCAGACTACTATATTATTAAACATTTTATATTTTCCATCTCATGGAAGACATTATTTACTAAATGGCAAGCAAAAAGATTTTTATCTATATTGTTGCGGGAAGTCAGGGACCCCAAAAGGAGGGACCGGCTGGAGCTGCAGCAGAAGAACATAAATTCTGAATATTTCATGGACATTTATCACT
The DNA here is from genome assembly GCF_000001405.40 of Homo sapiens. Lineage (NCBI taxonomy): Eukaryota > Metazoa > Chordata > Mammalia > Primates > Hominidae > Homo > Homo sapiens. Next base: position 124,461,379 of record NC_000004.12, read on the forward strand.
TCCCTAATAATACTCTTATAATTTCTTACGCCTGTCTTACTTTAATCTCTTAATCCTTTTATCTTCATAAGCTGAGGATGTACGTCACCTCAGGACCCTGGGATGATTGCATTAACTGTACAAATTGATTGTAAAACATGTGTGTTTGAACAATATGAAATCAGTGCACCTTGAAAATGAAGAGAATGACAGCAATTTTAGGGAATAAGGGAAGACAACCATAAAGTCTGAGTGCCTGCAGGGTCGGGCAAAAAGAGCCATATTTTTCTTCTTGCAGAGAGCCTATAAATGGATGCACAAGTAGGAGAGATATCGCTAAATTCTTTTCCTAGCAAGGAATATAATATTAAGACCTTAGGGAAAGAATTGCATTCCTCAGGGGAGGTCTATAAATGGCCGCTCTGGGAGTGTCTGTCCTATGTAGTTGAGATAAGGACTGAGATATGCCCTGGTCTCCTGCAGTACCCTCAGGCTTACTAGGGTGGGGAAAAGACCCCGTCCTTATAAATTTGAGGTCAGACCCGTTCTCTGCTCTCGAACCCTGCTTTCTGTTAAGATGTTTATCAAGACAATACGTGCACAGCTGAACATAGACCCTTATCAGGAGTTTCTGATTTTGCCCTGGTCCTGTTTCCTCAGAAGCATGTGATCTTTGTTCTCCTTTTTGCCCTTTGAAGCATGCGATCTTTGGGACCTACTCCCTGTTCTTGCACTCCCTCCCCTTTTGAAATCCTTAATAAAAACTTGCTGGTTTTGCCACTCAGGTGGGCATCACAGACCTACCGATATGTGATGTCACCCCCAGCAGCCCAGCTGTAAAATTCCTCTCTTTGTACTCTTTCTCTTTATTTCTCAGATCTGCCAACACTTAGGGAAAATAGAAAGAACCTACGTTGAAATATTGGGGGTGGGTTCCACTAGCCCATGCAGCACAGCCTCCACAGTAGCTGGGATTACAGGTGCCTGCCACCACGCCCTGCTAATTTTTTTGTATTTTTAGTAGAGATGGGGTTTCACCATGTTGGCCAGGCTGGTCTCGAACTCCAGACCTCAGGGGATCTGCCTGCCTCGGCCTCCCAAAGTGCTGGGATTACAGGTGTGAGCCACCATACCTGGTCAACGTGGTGAAACCCCTTCTCTACTAAAAATACAAAAAAATTAGCTGGGCGTGGTGGCAGGTGCCTGTAATCCCAGCTACTCGGGAGGCTGAGATGAAGTCTGCTCTTGTCCCCCAGGCCAAAGTGCAATCTCGGCTCACTGCAACCTTAGCCTCCCAGGTTCAAGCGATTCTCCTGCCTCAGCCTCCCAAGTAGCTGGGACTACAGGCATGTAGTCCGGCTAATTTTATATATATATATATATAATTAGTTTTTGAAACTACTGGGGCAGGCGGGCTTTATTCTGGGTGCTGGAGAGCTGTGGGCCCCACTCCTCCCGTAGAATGCCACCAGGGTGAGGGGCTGGGCCTCGGCAGGGGTGAGTGCTCAGAGCAGGAAGGGGATGATGGGCATGCGCAGGGGCGGGTAGTCCCAGAACTCCTTTAGGGAGCTGTGGTGCTTGCCCTTGGCCTAGATCGTCATCTGGGTAAAGCCCACCAGGGAGAACAGGGCCACTGGGAGACACTGTGTCATGATGGCAAAACTGATCCAGGACCCCATCTGGTAGGTGTAGTTGGGGCAGGACACCAGCAGGAAAAGCCACGTGAAAGGGTTCTTGGTGAGGTATGGGATCTTCTGGGTGTTGGACTCAGCGGGCCGCCGGTCCCACAGGGCCATGTGGATGGAGAAGTCGCCAAGCACAGGCAGATCACAAAGATGGCGAGTGCCAGTTTCACCTGCTGAGCTCTGTAAGTAGGGGGTGTGTAGAGAGGGTGGTTGATGTAATAGGCCATCCACCCAGTGAAGCCCCAGGAGTAGGTGCAGTTCTTGAAGATGTTGCGCAAGGCATGGTACCATGGGAGAAGTGGTGCATGAACAACGTCTCCAGCAGGTGCTTGACGTAGTGCAATGAGTGACAGATGCAGGTGAGGTGCACCACCATGTGCCGACTGGATGTGAAGTCATATTTGTTGCCATAGATGAAGGGCACTCAGAAGTAGAAGAGCAGGTAGATGAAAAGAGGCCCCCCGTACTCTGTTAGGAAGACCGTCACCCAGCTGATCTGGGCCCCCACATCCTGGAAGTAGAGTGTGGCCATGGCGCCCACGGGCATCTTCTGCAGAACATCTTCATCATTCAGGGACTTGCCCTTGGGGTCCAGGCGGAGGGACTGGTGGGCAGGGTACCACTGCAGAGGGGTCTTGGTGAAGAGGTTCTTGATCTCTGCAGTGGTGGTGTGGGGCTCCACCTTGTCCAGGAAACACAGCTTCTCCCCTGTCTTTGCGTGCAGAATCTCCACCTCTTAGTGCTTCATGGCTGTCTCCCACGGCGGCTACTGCTCCATGGCTGCTGCTGCCTAACTGCGCGGCACAGCACAGGGTCCCGCCGTTCGGGGTCCCTGACTTCCCGCAACACTATATACCAAGTGGCATTATGTGATCTTCTTCATAGAGGTCCCAAAACATATTGCCTTGTATATTTGGCCTTTTGATAGTTTACTTGTACTTTCTTAATTTTTTTTTTGCCGTCTCAGGATTAACTTTATACTCAGAAAAATGCTCAAAATTTCTCACTATTGTAGACAAACATTTAAACATTTTATTATTTAATTGACCATTTACTCCTTAACCTCAGCTGTAGATAATGCCTTTGAAAACACTTAAATTTGGGGGGCTTACTTAACACTAGAATTCACTGAGCTTAAAAAAAAATTGGGGGGCTTACTTAACACTAGAATTCACTGAGCTTAAAAAAAAATTACTGTCCCTTCATAAAAATCTTAGTGTTATTCATGGACACAGGAAGGGGAACATCACACACAGGGGACTGTTGTGGGGTGGGGGGAGGGGGGAGGGATAGCATTAGGAGATATACCTAATGCTAAATGATGAATTAATGGGTGCAGCACACCAACATGGCACATGTATACATATGTAACAAACCTGCACGTTGTGCACATGTACCCTAAACTTAAAGTATAATAATAAAATTTTAAAAAATCTCAGTGTTATTAACACTCACTCATATATCATACTGCTACAGTAAATATGATACTGGAATCAACTCACATCATTATTTATTGCATAACAAAAGAATGCCCATCAGTATATATCTTAACTCTCACCCACATTAGTACTCTGAATTTTACTCTAAACAAATCTGTAGCTTTATTAGTTTGTTAAATTTAACAGAGGTAAATTTACAATGATTTTAGCCTTTCACTTATGCAGGCTCCTCCATTAAGGGTACCCTAGCAATGTTTACAAGATCATTATAATTTTTGTGAAATTTCCAATCATAAGACATTTTAACCACAATTGCTCTGCTGTCACTTTCCATACTGACTTCCCTCAGTGCCATGGGGTTTGGAATGGCCACACTCACATTTGGAATCTGGCTAAACAGAAGTTAAGTTGGGGATACTTTTAGTTTGGGTTTAGTGGAATACATTTATGTGGCACACTACCACTTCAATGCACAGGTAAGCAACTGCTACCTGTTGGAATGCAGAAATAGCTCCAAGTACCCTCCTAATGCTCCTGGACTCAAAGGGAGGTCCTTTGATTGTCATCAATCATGCTCATTCAAAGAGCATATAAGATTAGTCACTGCACAAGAAACCCAAAAATGCACCTGAAATTGCAAGTTCTTCTACGAAAGACATTTGATAGAGATTTTTCCATGTACTTGACAGCAATCCTACATAACATTATTGATATGATTTATGGAGCTAAGAGAAACTTCTCCAAATGACTGAACAAAAATTCTCATTCAACTGTGATAAAGCAAAGACAAAAGTTTCTTTCTATTCTGTTTATAGAAAATATCACATTACTGCAATGTTAAATTTCACAGAAAAAGTTAGAGACAGACAATAAATTAATACAAATGTTATGCTTTTTCTGGATTTTTGATGCCGATTGTATTTGTGACCTTGGGAAATTTTGAAATTTATTGTGATGCTTTTCTTATTTTCAGTAAATATTTGCATATAGCTCATATTGTATTTGTAATTTTCTTTTACTTTGCTTTAAGATCTCTACTTGTGTAAACCTCCATACTACCTATGGAACCTGAATTCAACCCTGCATGATAGGAAACAAAAATAATTTGACTTATTTTCCTAAGAAGACTATTTTTTAAAAAATAAAGTAGGCTACATATTTATTTCAGATTAAATGTATTTTCCAAAAATAAACGTTTGTTAAATTTTTCCTCTTTATTTTAATTAGTGGCTACAAAGATGAACATTTAAATAGTTGCTGTTCATATGGCAATTCTGTAAGGTTTCTTCATAGTCTGGAAACCTAAACCAAAGCAAATAGTTTAGAAATTTGTGGGGATTTAGTATGGCCTCTACTAAATAAAAATAATGAATTTGTCTACTTTCCCTTCTCTCTGTTCTGTCATGCATCATGTCATGCTAAGTAAGAAAAAAAGAGAAAAATATCCATCCCCCAAAATATACAAAATATATGTCATAAATTTTACTGTAGCACAGCCTTCCAACTTGTCTGTTATTTAACTGTTTCAACACTAATATGGGACCATTGATATGTGCCTTACAGGGATGTTCAGAGGGTCAGTAACCTAACACCAATATAAAGGAGTTGGGAAAAAAGTGAGGTAGTATTATACATGATGTGTCCTGAGCAAATTCGATTATTCCAGAATGGCTATAGGCTTAGTTTAATGAATAGTCCTTTAAAAGCAAAGAGAGAAACCCTGGAGATTAAATTACAGCTTGATGAAGTACTTGAAATGACCAACTTTGGAATTCAGACTTTGTCACACTTCAGAGACATGGAATAGCTACAGCTACCATTTCTTACACTTGTCCCAAATAACGTCTTGTTTTTCGGCCCTCTCTCCATAATTTGGAGCTTATTAGACTCAGCAACTTTTTACATAAATTCCGCAGGCATAAAATGGGTGGCTGCCACTGGATAAAAGTGGGCACCGAGTATACTTTCATGCACCACTGATCACAGCCTTAAATTTTAGTCACTTCTATTCCTTTCCTACCCACCCAATACCTTTGTTAAAATAACAAAACAGCAGTTAGCAGTTAACATTTTAAACATTTACTCATATTACTTATATAAGTGCTAATATTGAAAACCCTTTTAAAGAAGTAAAAGTTTTATTAAGTTTCATTCTTATCAACAAGCGCAAATTTAAATCTAACTCATTTAGGGTGCCTTCCTAAATTTAAAATCATTCATAGACACACTGTGGACTCACGGCACTGGCACTTTATTGCTTTATCACAGCTGTGACACAATCAGGCCTCACTGAAAGCACTCTCTGAATGGGAGAAGTTTTTAAGTACAACTCACAGCTGATCAGAAACCAGACCTTAAGTTGCCTCCTTAGGACTTCTGATTACCTTCAGAGTTCTCTTAGCTCACTCTGCTTGGATTTTTAAAATTTTACAGCTTTCTGCTCCATGTAGCTTCAGGTAGGAGAGAGATATCCACCTGGGTGCATAAATCTTTTCTATAGGCAGCACTACTTCCCCAGATTTGCCCAAACCTCTCCGAAGTTCTCTTTCTGGTAAAGCCTTTGTTTTCTCTTACTTCTTCACCGTTCCAGGAGAGTCCTATCCTTTACAATGACCACCTGGTATGAAAGCTAAACTATACCCAAGTAACTTTTTCTATAAGCTCTTCAAGCTTCACTGTTTTATTTCTGTTTTTTTTTTTTTTGTTTTTTTCTGGAAATCCCTGGCAGCAACTTAATTCTTAAGGGGATTTGAGACTTTTTAAATAGCCTATATTTTAAAAACAACATGAACAGAACACTCAAGTTCTCCTCTCTTAAGAATCCATGGTCTAAATCAGAACTCAAATACAAAGTTTCCCTTGATGACCAGAAAAATCATATTGCTGGAAATTGGTTAAATTCCACTGACAATGTAACCTAGTTCCAGCTAAATAAAATGAATATTCTTAATGAATATTTTGTTGTGAAAATAGCTTTCCTCTTGTCTTTGCTGGTAAGTGTGTATTGTTTTGAAAGCTCGTGGTAGAAGAAACACAGCTACATATATGGATGTAATGTTCTTTGATCCAAATTTCTCTTCTGATATTTCCCTTACCTCCCATTTGCAATTATGTGAAGCTTTACGAAGCATCTGTGACACTGTTGCTTTATTTGTCCAAGTAAATGAGGTCATTTGCTCTAGCTCTGCTCCGGTAGCTTGAAAAGTGCCCATTAAACACCCAGGTATCTTCCTAATTGGAGCGAAAATAAAACTCATAAAGGCCCATTGGAAAATTCCTCTGATGTTTGACACCGTGGGCAAATCAGAACTGAGGGCTTCTGCTTGAGCTTCCTTAAACAAAAAAAAAGCATTTTTTTAGACTGTGAGCCAGGCACTTAACCAGTATAGCTCTTCCAAAGAATTCCAGAAGTAACTCTTAGCTTCTTGAATTGGGAAAAAAAAAATATCTAATTTATAAGACAAGTCATAAGCTCTAACTAAAACCTTACCTTAGGAAATTATCCCTGGAAGCTACTGCATAATATTTTGTTATACAAAACCCCAGTTTCAAAAGAAAAATCTTCCTTAATTAGAAGAAACCTTAGTGTAGATATTGAAAATGGACTCTCCTGAAACTCCTAAGGGAGCAACATCTCAACTCATATTCTTTTATTGATTCAAATAGCCGTGACCTCCAGCATAATTGTGGTCATGCTCCGTGTAACAGAGTCAATTGCTTTTGAATCACCTCTTCACTTAAGGTAATCATGAATGATGCCAGACATGTGTTTCTCCTCATGATGTTAACAAAAATTCCAGATTAAAAAAAAATGTGAAAGGAAGAGGCATGAGACGTGCCTGTTTTGGAGTTGTCCCCCCAGGTAGGCCCACATTTTATTGCTTTGGCAGGACCAGTCAGAGCCATGATTGACATATAATGAGGCTCCTATTCAGGTACCATCTGAAAAGCCTATTCTAATCTCACAGTCCTGAGTTGCTCCTCATGCCAGTTCCTCTGTTAAACTGACACAAAGTTATCATCTGATAGTGTTAACTTGGCTGAAAAATCTTCAAATGTTCCCGTTTTTCCTAGAAAAAAGTTCAAAGTCCTCAACCTGATGTTCAAATCCTGATGCGGTTTGGCTCTTTGGCTCTTTCCTGACTGGAGTCTGTCTATTTTTATTTATTTATTTATTTTTTTGAGACGGAGTTTCACTCTTTTGCCCAGGCTAGAGTACAGTAAAGGGATCTAGGCTCGCTGCAACCTCTGTCCCCCGGGTTCACGCGATTCTCCTGCCTCAGCCTCCTGAGTAGCTGGGATTATAGGCGCCGGGCACTACACCAAGCTAAATTTTGTATTTTTAGTAGAGACGGGGTTTCGCCATGTTGGCCAGGCTGGTCTCAAACTCCTGACCTCAGGTGGTCCACCTGCCTGAGGCTCCCAAAGTGCTGGGATTACAAGCATGAGCCACCACACCTGGCCTGTCTCCTAATGTATTGCCCTCCCCTGGTACCCTCGTACGGTTTCCTGTCTAAGCACTCCCTGTGCTCACCAACCTCAGCTCCTTAATTGAACTGCTCTTACTGTCTGCAAGGCCCTTTACTCCATAGACAACCATCAGGTATCAGTTCTTCTAACAACTTCTCCGAAGACACTTTCTTAAATTTCTCTACACACAAAAATATCATTTTCTCTCCATGTCATATAGTATTTATTAATGCTATGAATTTATAAAACATATTGCAGGATACCTTATAGTGGTTTTTAAAATGTGTTCATCTTCCCCACTGCTTCATAATCCAGAACAAGATTATTTTATATCTTAAACACATTTATAGTATCTTTTACAACTTCCTTCCAGTACCTCTCCACCAAAGGACTAGCCAAGAGCTTTGCATATTGTTCTATTAAAAATATTTGCTACTTAGTTAAATAATCATTGCTTAGCTGCTTCTGATGATACTTTTCTATGCATAAATTTTAAAGACAGTTTAGAGTGTTACTTGAATACACAAGAGATACTCTGATTCATAAAAAAGCATGTCTGTGAAAAATATGCTTGAAAAACTTTCTACTCCCAACTGATTCCCTGCAAAGCACAGTTTTTCCAAAACTGTAGAAGACCTGACTGCTTGGAATACATTGTGCTGATTTACTTAAATGCCATTTCTCTTCAGTGTCTGGTTTTTTTAAAATACCATTTAAAATAATTATGCCAAAATGTGTACAGACTATACCAAAATATAAAAGGGAGTAAAGTGAAAATTGACTCTACCATCCCCACGTTTATCTCCCATTCCTCCTTCCTAGAGGCAACGTTACCAGTTTCCTATGTATTCTTACATTGATTTCTCTTTCTTTTAAGAATTGATCATGGTTTTCTGTTTTAAAATTAGATGTTTACTAGATGTGAAAGATACACTGCTTTCCCTTAGTTCATGTGACTATCAGTAAACCCCTAAAAGCTTCAAATATGATCTGAAAAACAAGGGAGTTCTCAGAGTGATGCTCTATATCTTTGTCTTCATTGTCTATGTTCACACATATACAATTAGAGGATCTTTACCCTCTTACAGAATATCTGTAGCAGACAAAATAACAAAAATGAAATTATCTTTTGAAAGGCTACAATGTAGCCAATGTATCACTATATGAGGCAATCTCCATGTATTATGTTAATACCCACAACAAAGAGAGGTTATTGCCTCTCATCCACAGACAGATGTAGATTGAGGTTTAAGATTACAGGACTGGCCAGTAACTGGAATGCAATTTACCACAGGTTTATTAGATGCCAATTTCAAGTAGCATTTTGAATTGTGGGATTATATGACTCCTTTCTTTGCTCTTCTCTCTTCTTTCTTTTTTCTTTCTTTCTTCTCTTTTCCTTTCTTCCTTTCTTTGGCTACTATACTACTTCTTTCTTTCTCTCTTCCTTCCTTCCTTCTTTCCCTCCTTCCTTCTTTCTTTCCTTCTTTATCCTCTCCCTTCCCTTCCTCCTTCCCTCCCCCTTCCTTCCATCCTTCCTTCCTTCCTTCCTTCCTTCCTTCCTTCCTTCCTTCCTTCCTTCCTACCTTCCTTCCTACCTTCCTTCCTTCCTTCCTTCTTTCCTTCCCTTCCTTCCCTCCCTCCCTCCATCTCTCCCTTTCTCTTTCTTTCTTTCTTTCTCTTTCTTTCTTTCTTTCTTTCTTTTTCTTTCTTTTTCTTCTTTTTTTTCTTTCTTTCTTTCTTCCACACCAAGTTATGCTACTTCTATATATTTTCAGGTTTATGGTGTGTTTTTTTAAAATAAATTTTATATAATTCTAGAGGTATTTCTAAATAGTTTAGGAAAAAATGTTTTGGATGAAATTATCCTCAATCTCTCTCTCTCCAATTTCAAAGTCTCTGGAGATGAATAAGAGAGTCTCTTGAAAATTCAGACACAGTAAATCTGTCCTAAGAGTTTCAGGGTTGTAGGCTTGCTACAATAGTAGTATAGTAGCCAATTCCTTAAGAATAACAAAACATTGATTAAGTCAATAATAACACTCAGAAAATAAATTCCCTGATGCAATGCAGTTGAGCTTTTTACCTCCATGAGGAATGGTCCCAGGATCCTTTATGAGTTCTGTGATGGTTAATTCTGAGCGTCAACTTGATTGGATTGAAGAATGCAAAATATTGATCCTGGGTGTGTCTGTGAGGGTTTGCCAAAGAAGATTAACATGTGAAGTCAGTGGGCTCGGAAAGGCAGACCCACCCTTAATCTGAGTGGGCACCATCTAATTAGCTGCCAGTGTGGCTAGAATATAAAGCAGGCAGAAAAAATGTGAAAAAAGTAAACTGGTTTAGCCTCCCAGCCTATATCTTTCTCCCATGCTGGACCTTTCCAGCCCTTGAATATCAGACTCCAAGCTCTTCAGTTTTGGGACTCAGACTGGCTTTCCTTGCTCCTCAGCTTGTAGATAGCTTAGGGGACCTTGTGATCATGTGAGTTAATATTTAATAAATTCCCCTTTATATCTATCCTATTAGTTCTGTTCCTCTAGAGAACTCTGACTAATACAGATTTTGGTAGCAGGAATGGTTCTAGAGGAACAGAATATTAAGGATGGGTTTGTTTTTTTTTTTTTTCATTGTTTTTGGGGTTTCTGGAGTTGGTTGCTTAATATAATTAGACCCCAAAATGATAAGGACTCTACTTCTTACAGTATGGAAAACACTGACAGTCCTTGGCATGAACTGTTTAGAGAGTTATGCAAAATAAGTACATTTGGAAATGTTGATTCACCACTTGTGAGAGGCAAGGAGTTCAGTGAGCCTATACATAATATTTTTGACCACATGTGGAGAACCAAGGAACATAATGAAGCTGGTTGATTGCTCCTAAGTTCAGTGGACAAAGTGATGAAAGAAAATGATGAACTCAGGGATTCTACTTCCTGGCTTCAGAAGCAGATACTAAGTCTCAAATCTGCCAAAATTGCCCTGAGTGAGAGTCTTATCTCCTGTAGAGAAAGAGCTGAAATTGTGGAAAAAGAGACACAAGCTCTTATCATGGGAGTGGCTGACCTGCAATGAAAGGTGCATGCATAGCCTCTCCAGGTGTTTGCTGTTAAGGTGAGGGTATTGATTGGAAAAGAATGGGACCCTGCAACTTGAAATGGGGACATGTGGGAAGACCCTGATGAAGTTGGGGACACTGAGCTTGTAAACTCCAATGAACCTTTTTTGCCAGAAGGAGCAGCTTCCCCATCCCTGGTAGTGGCAACATCCCCTCCCCCACCCATGCTGCCATCAGACTTTCCACCTTTGTCTGAGGAGAAAAACCCTGGGCTGCCTGAGGCAACAGTGATGGCCTCCCCTGAGGCAGTTGCCAGGTAAGATAATGTTGATTCTCCTCAGAAGCCACCCCCAATATCCCTGTTTGCTTCTAGATTTATAACTAGATTGAAGTCCCAGCAGGCCCTAGAGGTGAGGTTGAGAGTATGACCCATGAGGAGGTGCACTACACTTGAAAAGAACTGCTAAAGTTTTCTAATTTATATAAACAAAAATCTGAAGAACAGGCATGGAAATGGATATTAAGGGTGTAGGATAATGGTGGAAGGAACATAGAGTTGGGTCAGGCTGAATTTATTGATTTGGGCCCAATAAATATGGACTCTATTTCATGTTGCAGCTCAGGGAGTTAAAAAAAGGTTCTAAGAGTTTATTTTCTTGGTTAGCTGAAATATGGATTAAAAGATAGCCCACTGTGAGTGAGCTGGAAATGCCTGATCTCCCTTTGTTTTAATATAGAGGAAGGAATCCAAAGACTTAGGGAGACTGGGATGGTAGTGTGGATTAGTCATTTTAGACCTACTCATCCCAGGTGGGAGGGTCCAGAAGATATACCCTTAACCAATGCCTTATGAAATAGATTTGTGAGGGCAGCACCTGCATCTTTGAAGGGTACTGTAATTGATCTTCTCTGTATGTCAGATCTAACAGTGGGAACCACAGTCACTCAACTACAAAATTTAAATACAATTTGAATAATTGGATCCCGAGGTGGCAGGGGCCAAGTGGTGGCAAACAACCATCAAAGGCAAGGTGAGCAGAGCTACTATAATGGACAGCAGAGACAAAGCAGCATCAGAATAGTCTGAAAGGGAGGCAGTGTCCCCTTGAGGAAGGACCCCACTACACTACTGACAAATTATGCTGTTAATATTTCTCCCATCCTTCCCCCAGGATACCTTCAGCCTTTTACCAAGGTAACTGTACACTGGGGAAAGGGAAATGATCAGCCATTTTAGGGATTACTGGACACTGGCCCTGAGCTGATGTTGATTCCAGGGGACCCAAAATATCATTGTGGTCCTCCAGTTAAAGTAGGGGCTTATGGAGGTCAGGTACTTAATAGAGTTTTAGCTCAGGTCTGACTTACAGTGGGTCCAGTGGGTCCCTGGATTCATCCTGTGGTTATTTTCCCAGTGCCAGAATGCATAATTGGCATAGACATACTTAGCAGCTGGCAGAACCCCCACAATGGCTTCCTGACTGGTGAGATGAGGGCTAGTATGGTGGGAAATGCCAAATGGAAGCCATTAGAGCTGTATCTACCTAGATAAATAGTAAGTCAAAAACAATATTATATCCCTGGAGGGATTGTGGAGATTAGTGCCACCATGAAGAACTTGAAAGATGAAGAGGTGGTAATTCCCACCACATCCCCATTTGATTATCCCATTTGGCCTGTGCAGAAGACAAATGGATCTTGGAGGATGACTGTGGATTATTGTAAGCTTTACCAAGTGGTGACTCCAATTGCAGCTGCTGTACTAGATGTGGTTTCATTTCTTGAGCAAATTAACACATCTCCTGGTACCTGGTATGCAGCCATTGACTTGGCAAATGCCTTTTTCTTCATTCCTGTCCATAGGCCCATCAGAAGCAATTTGCCTTTAGCTGGCAAGGCCAGCAATATCCCTTTACTGTCCTACCTCAGGGGTATATCAAGTCTCCGACTTTGTGTTATAATCTTATTCAGAGAGACCTTGATCACTTTTTGCTTCCACAAGAAATCTCACTGGTCCATTACCTTGATGACATTATGCTGATTGGATTCAGTAAGCAAGAATTAGCAAGCACACTGAACTTATTGGTGAGACATTTGTGTGCCAGGGGATAGAAAACAAATCTGACTAAATTTCAGGGAACTTCTACCTCAGTAAAATTTATAGGGGTTCAGTGGTGTGGGGCCTGTTGAGATATTCCTTCTAAGGTGAAGGGTAAGTTGTTCCATTCGGCCCCTCCTACAACCAAGAAAGAGGCATAACACCTAGTGGGCGTATTTGGATTTTGGAGGCAACACTTTCCTCATTTGGGTGTGTTACTCTGGCCCATTTATTGAATGACCTGAAAGGCGACCAATTTTGAGTGGGATCCAGAACAGGAGAAGGCTCCGCAACAGATCCAGGCTGTTGTGCAAGCTGCTCTGCCACTTGGGCCATATGACCCAGCAGATCCAATGGCACTTGAGGTGTCAATGGCAGATAGGGATGTTGTTTGGAGCCTTTGGCAGGCTCCCATAGGTGAATCACAGTGGAGGCCTGTAGGATTTTGGAGCAAGACCCTGCCATCTTCTACAGATAACTAGTCTCCTTTTAAGAGACAGCTCTTGGCCTGTTACTGGGCTTTGGTAGAAACTGAACGTTTGACTATGGGTCATCAAGTCACCATGTGACCTGAACTGCCAATCATGAACTAGGTGCTTTCTGACCCACCTAGCCATAAAGTGGGTCATGCACAGCAGCATTCCATCATCAAATGGAAGTAGTATATACGTGATCAAACTCAAGCAGGTCCTGAAGGCATGAGTAAGTTACATGAGAAAGTGTCTCAAATGTTCATGGTCTCCACTTCTGCCACCCTGCCTTCTTTCCCCCAGCCTGCACTGATGGCCTCATGAGGAGTTCCCTATGATCAGTTCACAGAGGAGGAGAAGACTAGGTAGGGCCTGGTTCACACATGGTTCTGCACAATATGCAGAAAGTGGACAGCTGCAGCACTACAGCCCCTTTCTAGGACATCTCTGAAGGACAGCAGTGAAGGAAAATCTTTCCAGTGGGCAGAACTTCTAGCAGTGCACCTGGTTGTGCACTTTGCATGGATGGAGAAATGGCCAGATGTGCAATTATATACTGATTCATGGGCAGTAGCCAATGGTTTGGTTGGATGGTCAGGAACTTAAAAGAAGCATGATTGATAAATTGGTGACAAAGAAATTTGGGGAAGAGTTATGTGGATAGATCTTTCTGAGTGGTCAAAAACTGTGAAGATATTTGTTTCCCATGTGAGTGCTCACCAACAGGTGACCACAGCAGAGGAAGATTTTAATAATCAGGTGGATAGGATGGGATGACCTGTTCTGTTGGCACCACTCAGCCTCTTTCCCCAGCCACCCCTGTCATCGCTCAATGGGCTCATGAACAAAGTGGCCATGGTGGCAGGGAGGGAGGTTATGCATGGGCTCAGCAACATGGACTTCCGCTCACAAAGGCTGACTTGGCTATGGCCACTGCTGAGTGTCCTGTTTTTCAGCAGCAGAAACCAATACTGAGTCCTCAATATGGCACCATTCCTTGGGGTGATCAGCCAGCTACCTGGTGGCAGGTTGATTATGTTGGACCTCTTCTATCATTGAAAGGGCAGAGGTTTGTCCTTGCCTGAATAGACACTTACTCTGGATATGGGTTTGCCTATCCTGCACACAATGCTTCTGCCAGGACTACCATCTGTGGGCTCACGGAATGCTTTATCCACCATCATGGTATTCCACACAGTGTTGCCTCTGACCGAGGCACTCACTTTACAGCTAAAGTAGTGAGGCAGTGGGCTCATGCTCATGGAATCTGCTGGTCTTACCATGTTCCTCCATCATCCTGAAATAGCTGGATTGATAGAATGGTGGAATGGCCTTTTGAAGTCACAATTAAAATGGCAACTAGATGACAATACTTTGCAGGGCTGGGGCAAAGTTCTCCAGAAGGCCTTGTATGCTCTGAATCAGCATCCAATATATGGTACTGTATCTCCCATAGACAGGGTTCATGGGTCCAGGAATCGAGGGGTGGAAGTGGACATGGCACCACTCACCATCACTCCTAGTGTATTACCATGCTCTGTGATTAAGGTCAATGGGAAACTACAACAACCCAATCCAGGCAGGACTACATATGGCCCAGACCCTTCAGAAATGAAGGTTTGGGTCACTCCACCAGAAAAAAAAACACTACCTGCTGAGGTGTTTGCTGAAGGCAAAGGGAACACAGAATGGGTACTAGAAGAGGGTAGTCATCAATACCAGCTATAAACACGTGACTAGCTGCAGAAATGAGGACTGTAATTGTCATGAGTATTTTATTCTTCTTTTGTTAAAAATATGTTTGTGCGTGTATACGTTTGCACTAAAAATTTTTTTCTTTTCTTTTTTTCTTTATTATGTGATTTCATTTATTGATTTCATTTCAGCATTTAAGTATTGTTAACTTTATGTAATAGTATTTTGGTTAGGGATTGGTGTGTTTCTGGTTGTACAAAGTATTGTTGTATTATGTTAGGCATAATTATTACCTTATTATTGTCTTTATTTGAAGATTATGTATGATCTCAGGAGATGTGTATGGGTTCAAGTTGACAAGGGATAAACTTGTGATGGTTAATACGGAGTGTCAATTTGATTGGATTGAAGGATGCAAAGTATTGTCCCTGCTTGTGTCTGTGAGGGTGTTGCCAAAGGAGATTAACATTTGGGTCAGTGGGTTGGGGAAGGAAGACCCACCTTTAATCTGGTGGCCACAATCTAATCAGCTGCCAGCGAATATAAAGCAGGCAGAAAAATGTGAAAAAAACGAGACTGATCTAGCCTCCCGGCCTACATCTTTCTCTCATGCTGGGATAACATTATACTCCAAGTTCTTCAGTTTTGGGACTCAGACTGACTTTCCTTGCTCCTTAGCTTGCAGATGGCCTATTGTGGGACCTTGAGATCATGTGAGTTAATACTTAATAAACTCCCCTTTATATACCTATCTATCCTATTAGTTCTGTCCCTCTAGAGAACTCTAATACAAACTCTTTTTCCCCTCTTTCAATTTTCTTATTATCACGTTGAGATATATTTTAGGTTTTGTTTTTCTGATTTGAAACTTAACAGTCATAATTAAATTAGGCAAAAACCCAATAGTGAAGTCTGTTGCTCCCTCTCTCTTTGTATGAGGCTATAATTAAATAATTATATATTGATTTAACAGAAATTGAAGGAGCTCAAAAACAAGGTAGGATAAGAGACAATGTATTGAATTTAGTCTCAGAATGTGACATGAATTAAGCCTTACTTTTTTCTTTATTCCTTTTAACTGCTCATTCATTCATTATATAAATAGACTAAATCCATTTATCACATAAGTTATTATTATGTATAGTTATTGCTGTTATTATTATTTTGTACCCTGTTGTCTTCATGCGTAGAAAGGATTGAGCCAGCTGAGCAATCTCCAAGGTTATCTCAAAGACAATATTTCATTTTATTTTTGTCGTGAGAACCAGTGTTTTAGACTCTGTATGACCTAAGACTGCTGGAAAGAAGGAAGATCTGGTTAAACTAACACAAAGAGCTCCTCAGAGTGTAGTTTTCTTACCTTTATTGCTTCCTTGAGTTCTTATATTGTAGTGGAGACTGAGTCCTCCATACTGCCTGGGCTCTGATTAAAATAAGACCTCTGATATCACATGCAATGAAGAATAGAGAGTTCTAGTATGTAAAGCATTTTACATCTCCCAGTTGGATACTTCGGACTTGTGGTGAGTGAGTGATGGTACCTCACCTCTGGTGATGTTATGGTACTATTCATTTTAAACAATGTCCTTCTCCTCCCTTTATAACACATGGTTACATCATTGTTCTGCCTGAAAAACAGCAGTGACTACCAGGATTAAATCTTTGTTGTGGGGATTATATGAAAGATTTTAAACAGTTCATTTCAGATACAATGGAGGGCTTCCTTCAATTACTACATCCAGTTAATAACAGAAATATTGATGGCAAAATATGTTAAGCTTATCACTATTATAATAGTTTATTCTTCAAAACAGTTTGCACAAGAGCAGGAGAGGAGTCAAGACATTAACTTAAAGACTAAAAAGAGATTTGACCTTGGTTTTCTGAACCGGCAAAATAGGTTATCTAGCTCTATGCTCATTCAACGAACTAGAACATTCATGGAAGAAATCACTTCCTTGAAAATAAGATTAATTTGCAATACATCCCACTCTAACACTGCAAATTTGCCACTGGCAAATTTGCAATCTTCACATATTTTATACTATCTTTTATCTATAGTCTGGATGTTCTGCCAAGCATTTATTTGGTATCATTAAACTGATAAATGGTCTTCAAGATATTTTCCACAATCATTCTGTAAACTCTGCAGAAATGGCCTTTCCCAGAATGAATAGCTATGAAATGCATTGGAATGCTAGTCAAATTTCAAACTTAAAAAAAAAAAAAAAAAAAAGAGTTACACACATTCAAAGCTACGAATTCTAGCTGCCAAAGACAATTATCTTTGCTTTGGATATCCTAGTTATCTTTGCTAAAAGATATGAATACAAAAGCTGTGCATCCATAGTGAACTTAAGTCAGCATGGGGCTATAATGAAATTATGCTTTACATTTAATAAAGGTTCATGGAGTTACCATAACAAACTACAGAAGCTAGAAAGCTCTGTTTTTTTTCTATTGTGTTTCCTCCAGCATAGCTTGATTTTTATCAAGGGTGTTGACATCATTTCCCTTCTAAGTGTCCATTGTTTAACTCTGGTGGAGAAGAACAGGAAAAGGGCAATATATTTATTTATATAAAAAACTCTAGGCAGGAAAATGCTTTCTTGGGTACTTTATTTCCTCATTGTGAAACATGAGGTTCTTATAAAAAGATAATGATGCTGTTTTACATCTTGATACATCTATTAACCCATATCACAGGCTAAAAGCATGGTAGATTTTTTTTCTATTCATGGAGTTATCACCTTACCTCCACATCACTTTTTTTTTTCTCAGTTGACAGATACTAATTGTGTATATGTATGGGGTACAATGTGATGTTTTGATCTATGTATACACTGTAGAAAGATTTCATCAAGCTAATTAATGTATCCACCTCATATCACTTTTGACAGACACTTTTTGTTTTAAATATTACTTTTTATTCTTTCACAAATTCCAGAATGATATTTTGATATGAGGAGTCCCTGAAATTAAAGAAAAAGAAAAGAAAAAAAATCTAATACCCTCATGTTCAGTGAAGACTGAGTTGTCTTCTGAAATTCAACAATCCTTTCTTAGAACAAATCCAGCTAAAATGGAAAGGATTAAATTTAGAGTTGATCAAAAGATTGGAGAAGGTTTGGGGTTTAGTTCGACTTAGAAATCAGGGAGAATGAAGTAATAATGAAAAAGTAATAATTCCTAAAAGTATGCTTTAATCCCTATTTTTTTTTTCTCATTGCCATGGTCTCTTTTTCAGAAATGGGGTTCAGAAAACAAGGGCAGAATATGATGTTTTGGATCAGACTAGAAGTTACTTTTCTCTATATCCTTAATGATAGTGCACTGTGAGACATTTCTTTGGCCAACAGTGAATCTAAGGTTAATTCTTTCACCTAATAAAAAATTGAACATTTATTGAGGCCTACCATGTTTTAATCACTCAGCTAAGTATTTTACTTGCATCAGTCATTTTATCCTCACAAAAACTCTGTGATAGAACATTGGTTCTATTATTAACCCACATCACAGGCTAAGGAACAAGCAGGCTTGCCTAAATCATAGAGCTGGGATTCAAATCCGGGCAGTCTGACTTCAGGGCCTTCACTCTTAAAAACTGCTGTACTGATTACCTAACGTGAGACGCTATTCACCAAATGCATCTGTTCTCAGTGACATTAATTTAAACGTATTTAAGAGAACATGATAGAAAATACATGCACTCACACCCTACCACCACCTCTACTTTTTTTTTTTTTTTTTTTTTTTTTTTTTAAGGCAGGGTCTCACTCTGTCACCCAGGCTGGAGTGCAGTGGCACAATAACAGCTCACTGCAACCTCCACCATCCCGGTTCAAGCAATACTATCACCTCAGCCCCCGAAATAGCTCAGACTATAGGCATGTGCCGCCATGCTCAGCTAATATTTAAATTTTTTTTGTAGAGATGGAGTTTTGCTATGTTGCTCAGGCTGGCCTTGAACTCCTGAGCTCAAGCAATCCACTGGCCTTGGCCTCCCACAGTGCTGGGATTACAGGTATGAGCCACTGCAACCGGCAAACCTCTATCTTTATGAAAACAAAATATTTGTCACCACCAAGATTCCAGGCACTGTGTTAAGAATTAGAGATATATAGATGTAAATAGTGCAGAGATTTTTCCTTCCTCCTTCTCAAAGTCTGGTCATGGAAGAAATTTCTCTATATACTTATTTATTGGATTGTACGGTTTTAAAATAACTGTGCAGGGTCATCTAAGATCATAAATTGAAATGAGCTCGAGAATAGTTCTTAGATGCGGCTGACATGAAAATCTTATTTAACGCAATAAGCACGAATGATATTTACACATGACTGTGTAGTGATAAATTATTCATATTGTTCCATAATAAAATTGCTGTGCCTTTTCATCAAGCAGGGTATAATATCTGACTGACAGGTACATGATAATTTTAATCCTATAGTATCCTAATAAACTTTTCCTTCAGTTTACAATCTCAGTGGGCGCTATAGGTACTAACGCAGTAGCCTTATGTGAAAAGCATTCTTATGGGATGATATAAAACAAACACACACAGGCTTGAGGGCTAGAAGGTAGTGTTTTTATATCACATCTGACCTTATAAGCAGTGGGACATTAAGCTAGTTACTTACCCTTTCTGTGTTTAGTATTAAAGAATAATTGAGAGGTAAGTAAAGCACATGACACCATGAGTGAGTAGCACCATGTCCATCACAGCATGGGCTCTCAGTGTACACAGTCTCTTTTGCTAAGCCCCCAGATCTTGCAGTATTCATGGTCAAATGCAAGGAGGCTTAGTATAATATCTACAAAAAATGCTGTTGTTAGTGTCATCGTAGAAATGTACTCGATGGGAATAATATTATAAAGTCAGAGTCAAGCAGACTTGACTCACGTCTTTCCCTTGTTTCATATTCTTTCCAGATCCCTGGAAGAGGTGGTCCTTTACCCTCATTCCATTGTGTTTTCCTACTGGAACTTTATAATGGAGAAATGATATTCCTATGACTATGCCTAGCCCTGGAGGCATAGGGATGACTCTGCTTGGGTCTTTCCAGCTCAGATATGGTGCTTATTAGGGGAGCATTCTAAAATACGAAAATTAAAGAACACACACCAGATGAGCCCTGATCTGAGTCACTAGCCTGATTATCTTTTCTTCTTGTCTATGGCCACTGAAATCTTCTGTCAAGGTTTTAAAATCCAACTTCTCATGAGACCACAGGCCCAGAAAGAGGACATGTCTTGCTCAGAACCTGGAGTGTAACTTGGGTGTTCTCACTTCCAAACTGTTTTTTACAGGCAACATGCTGTTAGCAATGTTCATGTGACTGGCATACAGTGAAACAGCCCTGTGGCCTGATCTCTGTACTGATTCACATGTAAGGAACTATCAGTCAAACAACTTTGAGCAATAATATATATCTTTACTGTGAGTTTTCCTTTAGGGAAAGCTCAGAGGATTTATAGGGTACTTTATTCAGCATGACTTCTTAAAAATCATCTGGAGGTTTTTACCATCTACAGAGTAATTGTTATGGATCGTGTCCAGCCCCCACCCTCAATTCTCATGCACATGACGCCTCAGTGCTGTTCTCTTCCATCCACTTCCATCTACCCATCACCATTCCCTCTAGTGGGAAATATCATCCTTCTCTGACTCAGAAGCTTTTATTGCAAGAAACAGCTCCTCTAAAATTAGCAAAATAATGTCCTCATCACCTTATGTTGACTTGTATTTATGATTATTATGCATTTCAATCCTCTCCTACAAACTTATTAAAACGAGCAGTGGAGCCAGGCGCAGTGGCCCACGCCTCTAATCCTGGCACTTTGGGAGGCTGAGGCAGGCGGATCACCTGAAGTTGGGAGTTCAAGACCAGCCTGACCAACATGGAGAAACCCCGTCTCTACTAAAAATACAAAATTAGCCAGGTGTGGTGGTGCATGCCTGTAATCCCAGCTACTGGGGAGGCTGAGGCAGGAGAATTGCTTAAATGGGGAAGGCGGAGGTGGCGGTGAGCTGAGATCGAGCCATTGCACTCCAACCTGGGCAACAAGAGCGAAATTCCATCTCAAAAAATAAATAAAACAAGCAGTGGGACATTAAGCTAGTTATCTACCTTTTCTGTGTCCTCATCTGTCCAAACATGGATACATGTCTCTTACCTCATGTGGTATTAGAAGATTTATAGGGCACTTTATTAGTGAAATTAGTTAAGTCATTGTTTTCTTGGGCAATAATTAGGGCAGGTGGGCTATTTCAATGAATAGCCAATGGAGCCACTAAAACCTGACTCTCAATCATTGTCTACAAATAAAAGCACAAGGTATAAGGGTATAGTCAGGATTTCTAGCATGTTTGTGGTTTGA
The DNA here is from genome assembly GCF_000001405.40 of Homo sapiens. Classification (NCBI taxonomy): domain Eukaryota; kingdom Metazoa; phylum Chordata; class Mammalia; order Primates; family Hominidae; genus Homo; species Homo sapiens. The sequence goes on from NC_000004.12 coordinate 124,482,654, forward strand.
AGTTAGTACAACTTACTGCATTTTGACTTTATTTATTCATTTATTTTGTTGTTGTTTTATATGTCTATTTTCTTTACTAGATCTTGAGAGGTTTGGGCCAGAGCTGGGTCTTATTGTTTTTGTTCTGCAGGCCTAGTAGTTTACCTAGTATTGGCTGGCCACTCAGTAAATGTTCAGGAAAGAATGGATGGATAAACAGATGTAGATGTCCATGGAAACTATTTTTTTTTGTAGGTATTGAGTACAAGGCAGAGCAAGAGTAGCATAGATCTGACTTTCCTAAACATAATCTTTCCCTTCTTGACACCCATCACCAGTGAACACAGACTCTTTACCCAAATTAACAGCCCACCAGCCCAAGATAATGGCACAAGTCTGAATTGAGTTGTGCTTATGATATCCCTCCCTCACAGATCAGCCCACTCCTCCTTTAAAATTCTATGCAGGGACTGCGGTGCCAGCCAGCCCCTCTCATTCACTGTCTGGAAACACAGTGGCAGTTTTCCCTTTTGGCCTATTGTTAGAGTCAGCGGTGGCTAACAGATCCCATCTGCCTTACTCAGCTCTGTCATCCTCTTTGCATGGCCCTCAGCTGTGAGGGCACTTCTCAGCAAGGCTGGCTGGGGAGTAGTCACTCCCTCTTTCCCAGCTGCCTGTTTCCTGGAAAGCATGCCGGGTCTCCATTATCTCTTCTCTGTATAAGTAGTTAATCTACCAGGCCAGTAAATTCTTTAGATTTTGCATACCACACAGTTTCAAAAGTAGTGTAGATCTGAGTTCCCCAAACCTGCTCCTTCCCTCCTTCACCTCCATCACCAATAAACACAGGCTGTCTCTCTGCACTGAACGTTACCCAGCTGTGCACAGGGAGATAAATTAGCAATTTCCCAGCCAAACGGCTCAATAAGGGTGAGAGCATATTAACAAGATGGGCTGTGGCTGTAGCACCTAAGGTTGCAAATCCAGTTTTGGAAACACAAATGTACTTTAATACCATAAACAGATACCATAAACTTTTTGAAAATTCCATATCCCTTATCTGATTGAGACTGATCCACGTTATCTCAACAGTTAATGGCAATGCATTTTAAATGTAACAGGAGGCAAATCTAGATACTTTATAGAATATAAGCACAAGGAAGGAATTTAAAAAAGCCAAACACTCTACTGGTTTATCTCAATTACAGTCTTTAGAAAAAATAAAGTGATTCCTAAAGAAAAATTTGACATAGTGGCCAGTTGATAGTTCTATGGCTCTTAATAATTTATATACCAAATTTCAGCTTTCAAATTAAATGAAATAAATTGATTTTAAAATTCAGTATAGTTTGAATCAAGATGAACTGATAAAAAAAAAGCAAAATAACTCTCAATGTTCTCAAAATTGCTTTCCACTAATATGAAAATAAAAGTGAAATTGGACATTGGATAAACAAATATGAATGTATAACATTTCACTACCAAACAAGCATTCTCCTTTTATAGGTGAAAGCAAACAGCTGCCTATTTACATTGTGATATGCACTGATGTGATTGCAAGGGCTTCTCACCTGGATACATAGCAGACATACCTGGCCCATGGGAATTTCCAAGAACCAGGTTTCCTCTGTCATGTTTGTCATGTTTTTTTTTTCCTAGTCCAAAGTTAACAACATCATATTTTTATACAAAGGCAGTGGTTCAATGAGTTAGCAATTACCTACATTTAAAGAAAACTGACAGTGAATTAAATGCAACATATAGTCATTATTGAAGGAAATGAATCCAAAAACCAATTATTTTTAATACCAGTGTTATTACATTAGGTACTAGTACCTAATGTATTAATAGTACCTAATGTATTAGCAGGTGGTTTGTAATCACCTGCTACATTTCATATTCACTTAGTATGTCACATTGCTAGTAAATTTATGTATCATCAAATGTACAGCAGGAAGAAAATCTATCTTATTGAAAATAAAATTAATAGAAACCAAACGTGGTTTTTAAAATGCTAGTTCAAAGAAATTGTGATTGTTTTATGTTTTTCTAAAGCTCATCGGGCACAAGGGTCATTTCTAAGAGCAACTTTGTAACATATTAAGTGAACATGCATAATAAGAAAGACTAAATTATCCTGTGGTATCAATCATTGCATAATTTTGGAAAACTGCTGGTCTCCGGGCAATAGAAAAACAAGTACTACAGTCACAAATAAAATTCACAGAAATCGTCTCAGGATATTAAATTGCCTATAAAGCTCTTGTATAGTAGAAAGTGCCAACATATTAAATAACATCCAAGAAATGTGTACATGAGTTTTCCATCCAAGAGTCTAAAATGGAGCTACTTAATCAATGCCATAATTTTTTCATTTAATGATAGTTACTCTTCACATTAAATTCTAAACTCTCATCTTTTCATCTTTTATCTGTCCTAATTTCTTTTAAGAGAGTTTCCCCAACTTACAGTACTGTTGTATTACGCTAAATTAAATTACAAATAACTCTATTCACTGTCTAGTTAAATGACATTAAACAATGCAGGAACTATCTGGAGCTATGTTCCTTTTGGGTGCTGCCATCAATAAAACTAATTGGCAGTTCTAAAGCTTTTCAGTAATGTTTTTCTTTATAATGATACCCTTAGAGTGATATAAGAGTCTCAATTGTTTTCATTTCTTCTCAAGTAAATATGCGTGGACTGCCTGTTATGCAAAGGCATGATATTGATGTTATCACAAAAAGACTAAATTACTTTAAAAATTAATAGTTAAATAAATCTTATAACAATTTGCAAAAAAGGTAGCCAAAAATAGGCAGGTATCTTCAATCTTAATATTAAATAAATAAAAATTTTTTAAAATAAGTTAACATTTTTCAAACATCCCCAGCGATTAAACAAAATGCCATGTTGAGGATGTGATTGCTATAATTGGTCCAACTTTCTTGAAGAACCATTTGGTTTTATGTTTTAAAGTACTAAAATGTGTGCTGTCCTTAATCTACAAATCTTATCTCTAAAAATATTTCCTAAGGAAATATTAACAAGTATGTAAACATTTATTTATAAGTATTCCATTAAAGTTTTATTTATAGTACAAAAAATAAACATGGCTATCTATATATAAATAATGTTTCATTCAAATAGTAAAGTAATGTTGACATTAAAATAACAATCTACAATATATATATTTGCTGGTAAGGAAGGATGCCTAAGTTTTATTTTGATTGATAAGAGTAGGTAATACAGGTGGCAAATTATAAGCAATTTGTGTTAAAAAATGTTATATGTATATAGGGAGGTAGTTAAAATATATAAACCATTAAAATATTTAGAATGGTTTTCCCTGAATAATTGAGTTATAGGCAATCTTATTTTTCATCTCTATTTAGCAACTTTCTCTGATTTTCTATAGTAATTATGAATGTTGTAATTTTTAAAAAATTTCCAAAATAAAAATTAACTTAGAAAACTAAGAATTCATTACTGGTTTATTTGTTCACTATCTACTCAAAAGATAACAAGCAAAGGTATTTTATTTTACAGCTAAGCTTGAAATAAATTTTGTAAATTCTTTAAACACAATATTGTTTCACTTGCACAACAACATCCCTTACTTTCTCTAATAATCATCCAAAGTTATCTTCTTCCACATAGTCTGTGGAACCATTTATAAGAACTCCCAGTCATAATTGGAAGGGCAGGCAGTAATAAAAGCAGACAAACTCCAAGAAATCATGAAAGATTTGAAGGAATTATCCCAGGAAGGGAAAAACAAGGAAGGCCTTCAAGGCAATCATCGGTACTGCAGCAACTCTCTGTCATTGTTACTAAGGGACATGATAAGAAAACACAAATGCAGTCTGGTAATCCCAGAAATGAGTTCTTGGCTGATCAGTAGTAAACCATCTTGTTTACTAGTAAAATGAATGCATACATTCTGTGTGTGATCTGTGTGACCTGTGAAGCAGAGCTTATCATTTCTTCCTGAAGCATCATTCCATCCCCGTCCACTGAGTGGAGACTCATGATCAACATTTTCTCACTAGGAGTCATATTTTCCCAAACAGGATCCATGGAAAATTGACACATAAATGCCAAACACACATTGCAATATCATGGCATTCTATGTCCAAGGTCATGTCCCTGTGAACTGTAATCTATATAGATTATTAACCCCTAAATATGTAAATTTTATGAGGAGAGAATCCACATCTTATTCACCACTTACACCTAGCATTACATAGAAGGAACATAATCAATTAATACTTACTGAATGCATGAGGATTGACTAATAGGTGAAATTATGAATTAAATTAAAAATTTGGGTTATAAACTAAGAAGAAAGTACAATATTACATATACAATATGATTGCAGCTATGTGAAACATTTGCATCTGGGTAAGGTAATTTGCAAATATTTGCATATGAGGGGAAGAAGGGTGTGAATTGTTGGAGGGGGGCTCCTTTATTTCTTGTTTCTTCCATCCTATTTTCAAGAATAGAGATTTGATAATGAGTTCCATAGGCTTCTTTCAACCTTGAAGAAGAGAGTAGAACTGAGAGATGTCAAGAATAAAGAGTATGAAGTTAGAGGCCCTGAAAACTTCTTGGAGTTGCCACACCAGCCTTGGGCCAATTACTTTAGACTGCTTATCTAGGTTTTTATTTATTTAAGCCTGCACTCTCTGGGTTTTTTGGTTGGTTGGTTGTTTCTGCTGTATGCCTCTGAACCTAATCTTAATCAATCTGTCATTCAAAAGAATCTAAGATTCATTCTATATTTAGCATAAATAAACAATTACAAGTGTTAATTATAATTTTAAACTAAATACAAATATTTTTACTCATAACATAGCTTGTTATACTACATCACTGAATATCATATATTACTTTTAATATTCTAAATATGTTATTTATCAAAGTATTTACCAAAATGAAAAATGGTACACTGCAATATTTTGTCATTGTTAGCAATCATTAAATTTAAAAGTTTTGTAAATAGTTAAACAGTTTCGGTTCATATTTTTCTTCTGTTTCCAGTTCATTTTCCACCCTAACAATCAGAGCAGTCACTTTTATTTTCAGTTTTTTCTCTTTGTTTCAGGACCATCATATTCCACTCATGGGAACTGGCTAACTCTATTTAGTTTTGGCAGTCACAATATATGTTCCCAGGACAAACGGCCCATGTACACTGTGAATTGCATACACAATTCCCAGCTCAGAATAATGCTACATGTTAACAAGCAGATGCATACAGCTGGCTTTTTAAAAGGCCTGGCAAAGTTCACTCTTTGTTCAGCTTTCCTAGGCTCAATTCTTACAGGATTTTTCTGAATATTTTACATTGGTCTTACTTTATACTAGAAGATTTAAATTGAGAAAAAAAGAAAGCTAAACACACATGGTGCATATACAATCATTAAGTCCCAGAGTTTTTCTTTTTTAAGACTTGGATGATCCAAACTTCAATGTCACTATTTCTAGAAATAAATATTGCAGATGCTGCTGATAACAAATCAAGTATAATGAGGCATTAAGAAATGTCAGAAATGTTTATTAAAATATGTGCTAATTATGTGGAATAAAAAGCAAAAAGTAGATTTTATTTTGGCGAGCCAGAGAGAAAATATGGGTGCATGAAAGAAATGCAAACTTTGCAAAGATTCCAGCTTACTATACACAAGAAAAATAGCATGTAATTTTTAATATATTTTTTGTACCGATTCTATGCTACACAGTTAAAAGAGAGTAGCTTCTGCTTAAAAGTTTATAATGATCACAACTCAAATAGACAAGAGGGAGGGAAGGAGTGAGGGAAGGAATGAAGGAAGGAAAGACGGAAGGAGGGGAGGGAGGGAGGGAGGGAGAAAAAACAGGTACAATGCTTTGCACGAGCAGTGTTACAATTAATTTCTCTAGCAAGCATGAGTTTCCAGTGAATGCCAAGGACATCATTATTAGGTTATATATACATGAGCCATTAAAAACAGGTGTGCAATGTTCAGATATGATTCATAAGTTATATTTTAGTAATTTTTATTAACAATGTACATAAGGATATAAAAGTTAATTGATTTTGCACAAATTTTCATGACAATAGAATGTTTAGTTGGGAAATTTTTCACTAGGATAATGCATAACTCAGTGGTCACTAGTTATATCAAGCCAGTGGAATGACAGTTAACAATTTTTCAAAACTTTGATTACGAATATAGTCAGAAAAGGTAACACATAGGACAGTAAATTAAGAGTTAAAACTATAGGCTCAGTTCAATGATTCCTTCTCTAAAAAGCCTGTCCTTCAGCCTGACCTGCTTTCTCTGAACAAACATGGCAGCTGATCTGTGCCTCTGACATGACACTGGAGTCTTCTAGCTCACATTAAAATTATGCGTAGGTAAATTTTACATGAGTCATTGTCCCAGCATCCTACATAGTCTCTTTTCCCCCAATCTTGTTCCTCTTTAGTCTAGCTATTCTCAAACCTGAGCATACATTGGGATCATCTGAAAGATTTCTTAAAACACATAGTGGTGGGCTCCTATCCCAACAGTTTTTGATTCTGAGGATCTAGAGGATCGAAAATTTGCATTTCAAACAAGATCCCAGGTGATGCTGATTCTATTGGTCCCAAAAACATTTGGAAAACCACTGATCTAATTTTTTCTCTACCCAGGAGACAGAGAGAGCTTTAAAAATACAGACCCAAGGATTAAAAAAAAAATGTGGTATACATATACAATTGAAATACTAGTCAACCTTAACAAAGAATGAAATCCTGCCATTTGTGACAATCTGAATGAAACTGAAGGACATAATGCTAAGATACACCAGACACAGGATAAATACTGTGGAATCCACTTACTTATATGAAGAATCTTAGAAATGGCAAACTCATAAAAGTAGAGAGTAGAATGGTGGTTGCCAGCTGCTGGGGAGGGGAAAATGGAAGGTGTCTGTCAAAAGACACAAGGTCTCAGTTTTGCAAGATGAATAGGTCCTACAGGTTTACCACACAGCATGGTGCCTACAGTTAACAATACTGTATTGTACACCTAAAAACTTGCTAAGAGGGTTGATCTTAAGTGTTCTTATCACAAATAATAATAATAACAATAATAAAAGAAGAAGAAGGAACCTTTAGAGGTGATGGATAGGTTTATGGCATTGATTGTGATGGTGATTTCATAGGCATATACTTACCTTCAAACTCATTAAGTTGTATACATTAAATATGCATAGCTTTTTGTATAGCAATAATTCCTCAATACAGTGAATATATATAGTTGAGAAAAAACAGTTCTAATATCTTAAGTAGTTTAAATAGAAAATACTTCTTTAATTCCAACCCACTTTTCTGCTGAAGCCTATTTCTCACCAGCTCCTCCATCACACTCCAGAAGCAGCCATATTAAACTTTTTTTGGATTCTCAAATGCAGCAAGTTTTCTTTCTCTTCGGAGCCTTTATGTATGTTCTCCCTGCAGCACTTATTTCTGCCTTCAACTGGCTAACTCCTGCTCATGTTTCATGTATCAGACATATCTTGTTTCAAGAAGCCTTCCCTATCTACAAAGGAGGTGCCACTCCTATGAGTTCCCTAAGAAGTCTACTTCCCATGTCAGCCTGGCAACAAAACCATAGGTTTTCACTCTGTTATCCAATCCATGATGGATAGAGGCAGCAACTATTTAGTTCACTGCCATGTAACACAGGACCTGATATGTACTGGCTGCTCAAGAAAAATTTGCAGAATGAATGAATAATTGAATAAGTGAATGGACAAATAAATGTCCTGGCTGAACTAGCAGACTGTAAATTTACAGAATAAAGAACTTGGTGTCTGAATCTTTGTCTCCTTCATAGCATCTGGAATAGTTCCTTGTGTATAAGCACTATCTAGTGATGATTGGGTAAAAGAAGAGGTAGATAAATATAGAAATAGATGAAGTGTGGCGTGTGGTAACAGGACACAGAGCCAAATACCTAGATGTGGTTATAGTATTTGAAAAAGCTAGATAGCCAGGCACAGTGGCTCACCCCTGTAATCCCAGTACTTTGGGAGGCCAAGGCAGGAGGATCACTTGAGACCAGGAGTTCAGGGCCAGCATGGGCAACGTGGCGAAACCCTGTCTATTCAAAAAAGTTTGCCAGGTATGGTGGCATGCACTTGTAGTCCCAGCTACTCAGAACGTTGAGGTGAGAGGATCACTTGAGGTTGGGAGGTCCAGGGCAGTGAGCCATGATCATGCCACTGCACTCCAGCGTGGGTGTCAGGGTAAGATGCTGTCTCACAAAAATAAGAAGAAGGAAGAAGAAGGAAGAGAAGAAGAAGAAGAAGAAGAAGAAGAAGAAGAAGAAGAAGAAGAAGAAGAAGAAGAAGAAGAAGAAGAAGAAGAAGAAGAAGAAGAAGAAGAAGAAAAAGAAGAAGAAGAAGGAGGAGGAGGAGAAGAAGAAGGAGGAGGAGGAGGAGGAGAAGAAGAAAGGGGGGAGGGGGAGGGGGGAGGGGAGAAGCTAATTATAAAGCTCTTATATTTGCTAGGACAAGGAAAACAGATAAATGTGGGGAAAAAAGGCTCTGTGACAGAAAATCACTGACGCTAGCCCATAAAAGGAAAGCAATGGAAAATATCTGTAATAGAAAATGGAAGACAAAATTTGATGGGTATTCCATCATCTGGATGCTCAAGATTAGAAAACACTAAATCTTACTAGAAAAATATTCCTAGGAGGTGGATAGAAAGAAATGTTCCCAATAGAAGCAGCACTCATATTAATAAAGGAAATGGCAATATCACATTGCATCTATGTAAAAAAAAAGACACCGCACATGAGTATTCAGACATTGGCTTCAGCTGTGGCTGCCATCTGGTAGGTCACAGTGTGGGAAAAAATGAGAGCTGTGACACGGGGGAATAAGTCATGGGCTTGGGAAGTGTAAAATCAGAATTCAGTTATTGACTATGGTTGCTGATTTGCTATATGAACTTGAACATGTTGAATTCTTTAGTTCCTCATCTAAGAATGGGGGCTAATAAAATCTTCAGTAAGACAAGCAATGATGGATGAATGTCTGTGAATACTGAAAGCTTTTTGGACATATTACTATTTCAAGGCAAATTCAGACACTGTTTTTCTCCAGTCTCAGTTTTTCCCTGCATTCAAATATGGTTAAACTTCCTGTTATTTTGCAGTTTTATGAAGTCTGTGTATTATATAAAATTGCATTTCCCAAGCTGCTGAGTATAGTGATTATTCTTGCCTTCCATGAGAAATTCTGCAGATAACAGAAATAAATGGAATTGAGCAGCTGCTAGCTTTCCCATTTTTTTAAAACAATTATGAATGGTTTCATTTTGTGTCTTATTTGCTGTTCTTACATTCTTTTTTCTTGCAGCCAAGAACTAAAGACTTTCTGTTATAAGCCTATAGAGATTAAGAATTTAATTAAGAAGCAGCAGAACTTGTAGTTGGCACAACCCCCAGCAAACATGGTAGAAAAAAACACCACTGAGCAGGAAAGCCAACTGCAACCAGCAACCATCCCCAAAAATGCAGTATAAAAGAAACCTGGAGAGAAAAATCTGGCACACTGGAGAGACCACTCAACCCTCAGGGGGAATGCACAAAAAGTAACAGGCAAATGCAGCTGATATGCAACATGGGAAGATAAACATGAGCTTTCCCATACACCTCTGGCAACTATGCAATTATCTCAGGCTCCATTGCTACTCAGGTGGGTAAGTCTTGCAGAGTGTTTACTTTCTACCAAGTAGAACTTTTCAATAGTGGCTTTGCTCATGTGATTCCAATAGCCTAAAACACCAATTCTTTCCATTTCCTTTTCCCAATTTATTCAGCACTTTGGTGGAGATGTCTTAAACCCTTTCCCAGTGAAAGACTTGCCGTTATATCTATAATAGAATAAAAATCTCATTATATCACAATTATTTCGCTTCCTCTCTCCAGCCTTATGTGACATTCTTGGGAATGGGGATCTTATTCTCCTTCATGTCTGCACTGTTCCTTGTCCAGGGTTCCAGGCACATAGTAGATGCTTTATAAAGGAACAACCTCTCGGCCTTTGGATAGAAGTTCCATTTTTAAAAGAGATAAATGTGTGACTGAGTGCCATTCATCATCATTACCTGACATAAGACTAAGTACATTTCCTTTTCTTCAGGAACTTCATTGGTGTTAATGGAAGCTTGCACACTGCCTCCTTCAGAATTCACAAGTAGCTGCTCACTCCTCATATTACTACAAAGTCAGAATAATAAAAGCATCTTACATCATAGACCTGGCATTGGATTAGCTCAGTGGTGCGTTTTCCATATAAAGGCCAATAAAGGGCCTGGCGCGGTGGCTCACGCCTGTAATCCCAGCACTTTGGGAGGCCGAGGCGTGTGGATCACGAGGCAGGAGATCGAGACCACCCTGGCTAACACAGTGAAACCCCATCTCTACTAAAAATACAAAAAAATAGCCAGGCGCGGTGGCGGGCGCGTGTAGTCCCAGCTACTCGGGAGGCTGAGGCAGGAGAATGGCGTGAACCCTGGAGGTGGAGCTTGCAGTGAGCCCAGATCGCACCACTGCACTCCAGCCTGGGCCAAAGAGCGAGACTCCGTCGTCTCAAAAAAAAATAAAAATAAATAATAAAAAACAAAAATAAAAAAGGCCATTGAAGAAAAGTCAAGAGTGATTATTAATTAAATGAAGAGAAAATGTTGTTCTGATTCAAAGCCAATTGATCGTTTTCATTGCCAAGATGTTCCATTCCAGCATCTTCTTTCCACAAAGTGACCTGATTTTCAGGGAACTAAAGATGCTGACTTTTTAGAAAGATTTCGGGTACTCTCATCTAAGACGTGAATTTGGGGAAGGGGCATGTCCAGTATTGAAGTAGTACAGTGCTTTGTTTTTGTATCAGACCCACAACTCTTAACAAATAAATGGGAAATCTAGAGATAAATTTCTAGAAAAAAATCTACTTGGGCTGTGCTAAAATAATCTGGGTGAATTTTAAATTGAAGCTGCCAGATACATTACATTTTTCAGCCAAGTCACTAATATCAGTACACGATGCCAAATGCTGACTTGTAAAAATGCTGCTCATTTATGAAATTATACCCATTAAATAACACCCTAGTTTTCATTTTTAATAAATGAACAATTACATTGGCAATTTAGAATTATATCCTGTCACAATTCATGGACATTGAGATACAATTTTATAGAAGTAAAGCAAAGATTTTCTTCCTTTTTTTTTTTCTTTTTACATTTATCTTACTTTATCATCTCCACAAAATGCCTCATTTTGTTTCATGCCTGGTGTTATTTGGGCTTCATTGCCGTCTGTGAAGTAATAGTGAGCAATAATTTACTCAGATTTCAGCTAATGTCTAAACTAGTTAGTTTGTTGCTTCTCCCAGGGAATTTCTGGAGAAATGCAAATTTCTCCAGAACATTTTAAAAGACTTAGTTGTCAAAGCAGGTGCAGAGGACTGATGGTCATGCTTAAGAGATTAACTCATATGGGCACTGGTTTCCTAGAGAGGTGCTAGAAAGGCACACAGACGTCATGAAAGGAAGGACTGAAGCCCACACCCCCAAAAAATTCTGCTTACTTTATCATCTAGGGATATAATCTACAATGACAGAGTGTGCTCTGTGGTTGAGGGGATGCCTGAGAAGTATATGAGTAAGGGAAAGCACAATAACACTTTTGACTATAACATCAAGGGTAACATTGAAAGCAGCCATCTCTAAATTTTTTATCAGTCTACAACTTGGCTAACCTGTGTATGCCCTATCAAATTATTTGCACACATAAGCAATTAGAAAATTTCTTTGAGGATGATGGCTTTGATAAGTGTATATATAATGTACATATACTGCAATTAGTCATAATAAACCCTGGGAAGTAGAACTTAGGGACAGGAATCATAAAACAACACATACATTGTCTGAACTTTTGCAAAGAGCAAATATTTTCATAAAAAATAAAAATTAATTATAGTAGTCAGTCTTATTTTTATTTAAAGATAATAGACTTTTTCCTAATTATACAATTATACATTTTTAATTTAAAAATGTTCGAAAATACATATATTTACCTAGTCTTAACTACTACCTAGAAATAATCACCAAAAACATTATTGTGTATATTATACTTCCCTTCCCTAGTGTAATGAAACTTTTTGCAAAATTCTTATATAGCATAAATACTGTTTTCCAGATGCCATATCATATCATAGATATCCCTTCATGTCATTAAATGCGAAGTTTTCCCTTGCAGGCTTTACCATCATTTGTTTAATCCCTCTACGGATGCCCACTTAACTAGATTCTATTTTTCTCCATTATAAACAAGGTTCTGTAGAACATCTTGTTAGATAAATATTTGTCTTCATCCTTAATTAGTTAATTAAGGAAGCTTCCTAGGAGTGTGACTTGGACACACCAATGAGAGTGCTTACTTTTAGCGATCTTAGTAAATATTGTTTATTTTTTTCTCCAGAAAAACATTATCACATACTTTTGTTTCTATTTAATGTGGCCATTTCATTTGCCTTTTTTTCATTATTTGTATTGATATTACATTTAAAAACTACTTTTCTTTGTAAGCAGCAAGAAATGGTGAAGAGTTTAAATTTCTTCATATTTTGTAGCTGCTCAGCAAACCCACCTTCTACATATATACTAATCCCAAATGAATTTATTTTTAAACATTGCTATTAATATTCAAATATATCATAATTAATTTAATTTTTATATATTTGATTATTAGGGAATTTGACATGTTTTCCATGTGTTTATGGTACAGTTGTATTTCTTCTTTTGCAAATTTCTGTGTGCTATTTGCCTATTATATTTATCTGTTAGAACATTGATCTTTTTCTTATTAACAAAGGTCCTGTATATTACAACTATTTACCTTTTAATTATGTGTATAGAATTTTTATGAGAAAACATCTTGTTGTTAAGTATATATAATTTTCCTATTAATTTGCAGCATATTTTTATAATATACTAACGTACATATTCATCATATACCAAGCATACTTGGTTCTCTTTCTAGATTTTATGATATATTTTATTTTTTGCTTCTTTCATAGTAATACCACTCTATTCTAAAGATTTTAGAATTATGATATGTTTTACTATCTATTAGTACAAATCCCAGTACTTTGTTTTGTTTTGTTTTGTTTTTTTGAGACGGAGTCTGGCTCTGTAGCCCAGGCTGGAGTGCAGTGGCGCGATCTCGGCTCACTGCCAGCTCCGCCTGCTGGGTTCACGCCGTTCTCCTGCCTCAGCCTTCCAAGTAGCTGGGACAACAGGCGCCCGCCACCACGCCCGGCTAATTTTTTTCTTTGTATTTTTAGTAGAGATGGGGTTTCACCGTGTTAGCCAGGATGGTCTCGATCTCCTAATCTCGTGATCCACACGCCTCGGCCTCCCAAAGTGCTGGGATTACAGGCGTGAGCCACCGCGCCTGGCAATCCCAGTACTTTGTTACAAACTTAAAGTTTGGGGTTATTCTTGCTCATTTACTATTTCAAATAAACTTTTGAATCATTTTGTGAAGAATACCCTCTGCCAAAGTCATATTAAAATGTCGATTGGGATGGCATTATATTATGAAAAAATTTCAATAGAATTGATATTAGTATAATATAGAGGCTTTATTTCTGATAATACATAATGCTTTTTCATTTATCCAAGTCAACTTTTATATCGTTTACTAAAGTTTGCAGTCTTTGACTTCTGTAGGTTTCATTTTAATATTCTCTTATAACAAAGTTTATTATATGGAGCACCTAGCATAGAACTGAAATAATCTGCACAAATGCTCATGTGTGTTAATAAAATTGTGTAGTTTTAATATTGTGAATATTTCATTGTAAATTCCTTACTGCCTCTACTAAAACCCAATAAGAATTCAATAACTATTAGTAAAATAATCTGATTATGATATATAAATGTCAACCTATACCAAAAAAGCCATATAGAAAGCTTCCTATTTACCAAAAAAAAAACCACTTTTTAAAAATGTCATTGAAAAGCTACTTGTACGTGAATTTTACATTGCCAGTGAAAATAACTTACTTTACAAACATAATTGGACATCATTGCCATCATTAGGATAAGCACTGATGGTAGAAAGATGAGTAAAAACTTGATTTTGATTTCTATCCTGAATAATTTTTTAAGGTAAAGGAAAAAAAAGAAGATAAACATTCAATTTGTAATTCAAGTGTGCTAAATGTTATAACAAACGTAAAAGCAAAATGCTGAGAGAACAGAGAGGGAGGTTCTCAGGTTAGTTAAAAAAGAAACTGCTGATGTAGCCCTATGAATAATCTACTTCTTCCAAAATATTTAGAAAACATTCTATATTTATAACAAAAACTGACAGAAAACCATGATGTTGCAATACAAGTACATTAGGGAAGGAGTTCATAATTACTGGTAAATAGGATTTTCATTTACTGTGAAAATCTAATGTATGTGGAAATACAGTTTTAATTAGACCCAAATATGAGAGAATTAGGAAGAAACATCTTCAAAGATTCTAGGATTTGAGATCTCCACTACTGCACCAAAATTCACATTGTCATGATTTTACTTTTATGGCTAACCTTGTGATTATATATATCAGTGATAACTAATGTCAAATTTTGACTTACAAATACAATGAAGAGGAATGGAGAAGAAAACGGGCAGGTAGTAGATTTTAATTAAGGCAATTAACCAAGCATTAGAGGGAAGGGGAAAATGAAAAAATATTAAGGAGGAGTATTTGTGCATTGTAGAAGACTGTGCAGGAAAAAGATGTGCTCATAAGATACCCTTATACTTATTGTTTATTAATATAAGTAATCTCTTCAATTTTATGGTTTACAAAGTGCTTTCCCTTGTTGCACCTCACCTTGTTCTCTCTGTAACTTAATAAAGTAGTTATTGTTAGGACCACTAAAAAAAATCCAAAACTCAGATTCAAAATAATGTGACATTGCATACCCAAAGTCTCTTACAGAGTAAATGATAAAGCCTAGGTCTCACACCCAAACACGTGTTTCCAAGTCTAGAGGTTTTCTCGCTGTTTCATCACAGCCTTTATTCTTGGGAATGTTCAGCTCTCAGAGAAATAGAAGAATTATATGAACCCCTAATTTCAATAAGTCCATTGACTTTTCTTCTGTACCAATATTATTTTACACATGTATAATGCCTGATTATTTTTTACACTTAATATTCCAATAACTCCTTGGAACACAACAGATGTTCAAGTGCCATTCCATTAATAACTGTATGTTTCTCCATGTCTAGATCTGTTAAAATACCATGTGCAAAACCAAACTGATTTTAGGATAATTACTGCCTAATTTCTGGAGTTATTGAATTATTAACTATTGTCCGATCAGAAACATTGAGAATGAAATATTTTGACTGCTATTTTGGTCTTCTGATTAATTTGCCAGCATCATAGAAAAAGACTCTGTGCTTATTGAGGATAAGAAATTGTTTCAATTTCTCTCCTTGGTATGTAGCTCCAAATCTGGCACAGAATAGACACTTAATAATTGTTGAGTGAGTGGATATATGAATGAGTGATAGATGTCAGAAGACTATAATTATATTAATTTGTAATTATGGCTAAAGTATTAGTGATAGTCTACTTAGAATTACATTACTCTTTTCTATGATGATAATCTCTAGGTATTAAAACAAACAAAAGTGCTTGGTGAAGTGGGTGGGTGGATGGTGAAGTGCTAAGGAACCCAGAATCTGGATCTCATTTTCTGACATTTTCACTGGATAAAATAAGTTGAAACAAGAGTCCTTCCCTGCCTGTCTCACTGGGGCTTTGGCTTCCTAATTTAAGGTGAATGACTATTCATGTCATACAAATCATCCCACAAATGTACACTTTTATTGCCAAGAAAATGATTAATTTAAGCAAGGAAAATTTTAAAATTGGAATATATGCTTTTGATCTTAAAAACTAAAATAAACTACATAACCCTAAACTTCTTATCAAAAAAGTGAAACTATCTTAAACTAGTTAGGATCACTAAAATAAATCTTAAACTATCAAGTTCTGACAATTCTGATCAATATTTTCTGACCCAGATTTTATAAAATGAATCTTTCTTTCTACACTCCTACTGCCAAGCAGATTTTTCTTATGGCCAAGGGTACAGAAATCTACATGAATATTTTGGATATTTAAGTTACAATAAACATACCAAAAAAAAAAAAAAAAGACTTTTCTAGGTGTAATGTATTTATTTGCCCCTAAAAGAGAAGGAGAAACCTCCGTGAGTCTGTGTAATTTCACACATCTTCATCCCCTGGTTTATATGTTTAATTCAGGGTATGTGTGGGTATAGCAAAGCCTGAAGGAATACGCTGCCTAAATCCTCGCCCTGCAGTCCTAAAGCCCTGGTGAATTTTGAGTTAGCTTTCTTCATGTCTCTAATGGCTAAATTTTAAAAAAGAAAAAAGATGAGGAAAAAGCCCTGCCCTGCAATTTATTTTCCCTTCATTCTCCTTTTCTTGCCACCCTGATTCCCACTTTCCTAATCTTTTCCTGCACAACAAAAAGTTGATGAAAACACAAAAGGACATAAGACAGAAAACCTAAGCAGTATCTGCTTTCCTTCTCCATAGACTACAGAACAGGATGCATGGGGAAATTAATGTCGGTTAACCCATGTGATCATAGCTTTTGGGAAGCTGTAGCCTGGAAACAAATCACTTCCCCTAAATGAAATGTGAGAAGATTCCACCCAGAGACAAAACGCAACCATTAGAATGGCAAGGAGCACAAGGGTGTCTGGGGTGAAGCCTGTCCAGAATCCTTAATGTGTCTGAAAAGCCCCAGTGCTGTGCAGCAGCCTGAGTCTGGCTAACCTGGGAGAAGGATTAAAGCCTGCATTTGAAGCTTTGAGAAATCACCGTCTGGATGTGACATTGTTTAAAATATTTTCTTTCTACTATGTAGTTTTAAAAGGGCTGGTAAACAACAAGGGAGCAAATCATACATGAAAGTTACAAGCAGGGCGCAATTTAGAGTCACTCCATTCTGATAAGAATTTACACAGAAAAAAACCGAGATCATCAAAATTCAGATGGATGAATGCATGCATTAACATGAGCTCTTAAAGACAAAATTCTTCTGATTTTTCAATTAGTGCTTTTACTCAGAATTAAACCTATTGTGAGAATAAACATCATACTCCTACAACTCCATTCACATTATGATGCATGAATGATCGAGCCGGAGAAAGGCATGGTAACTTTGCATTTTATTAAAGAGCAAAAGTTCTTGCTGGTTTAATCTAAACTGTTATTTAACTGAAGGGAATCAGCAATTTTCTTCATGTCTCCCTACTGAGAACCAGAAAACACAACAATTGAAAGTTAAGAAATAGCAAAATCTGCATCATCTCCCAAATCAGTTGAAAAACTGCCACATGCAACTGACAAGTTTATTCCTTATCAAGGGCAAGAAGAACTCTCGAGGCATCTGACGGCCAGAAAGTGGACAGGAGCAGTGACAGCACCCCTTGGTAAGATGGTTGTTGCAGTGAAGGTGACTGGACAGGGAGTGTGAGTTAGAGAAGTCCTTGGGGCCCTGTCATTATGACTGTGCACTCTAGTCACCTCTGAAGAAGGACTAATGGAGACTTCCAGTATTAAACCTGAGGTATATACACAGTGCTGTTCCAGACCAGAAGTCAGCAAGTATTTTCTGTTCAGAGCCAGGTAATAAATGTTTTAGGCTTTTCAACTCATATGGTCTCTATCGTGATGGTCAATCTCTGCCACAGACAATACAGAAATGAATGAACGTGGTTGTGTTCCAACAACATTTTCTTTAGAAAAGCAGATGGCAGAACAGATTTAGCCCAGTTTGACAATGCCTGTTCTAGACTGTTCTGTATGGAAGGAGTTTCATAGTGCTACTGATGAAGTTTCTCAGAATTTCCTCCATGTAACATAAAGAACAGAACAAGGGAAGTCTACATAAATAAATACTTGTACTAAAGACAGCATGGATGAATACAGAGATCAGAAATTAGAGACACAGAGAGTTACAGGACCTAAGTCATTTCCAAATTATTGAGCAGAGAATAAGAATACTCTGTAATGATTAGTAAGGTCTTTAAAGCAAGAAACCACCATCTTAGGTCACATGTAACAACAAATTAGCATGCATAGAGGACTCTTTATATTATCCCTTACCCATCCCCTCAATGTCATTGATTGAAGTTTATCATTAGTTTCGATTCAGAATGATTAAGAGGCAGGAAAGGACATTCTCCAACACTCATTGTTCATTGTCTGTAACATATAATGAAATATAGGTCTTATTAGAGAGTTTCTATTTAGTTATTCCCATTTTGCTATTTTTTTTAAATGCTGAGTTTCAGAAGCCCTTCATGTGTTGTTAAACACACCCATGAATAAGGCATATCCTACCCACCTAATACAAGCAAGATTTCAAAGCCCCAGATTGCCTGAAGGGAACAAGTTCTTTTAAATTGTTCACTAATGTTTCACTTTCCTCCTCATAGAGCTCATATTCATGGCTCACTACCATAACTACTTTCATGGAAACATCTTTGCTAATCCCTCTTTCTTATGTACTCACTCCGGAAAACACTATAGCAATTCAATCCAATAATTTGCTGATTCTACAACTGCACATATTAAATAGCAGGACATGGCTAGAGAAACTTTTACATTTCAATTCTACTTCCTTCAAATTTAAAACCAAAATCTCAAATAAGCCCTTAAATCTTGAGACAGGTTGCCCACGTAGTAATCTCACTCTTTTACTCCCCAAAACAATTTTTTCTATGTGCACCTAAAAATATCCAGCATGTCTCCCACCTTCACTAACAAGTGGTGACCTTATTATATACATAAAAAGAGGCAACCGTATGACAACTGCTTTATCTTTTCACCATAACCCCTCCCTACCTAGGTCTGTGGCCACAGAGCTAATTTATCCTCTCTCCTGTTAGGAGCAAAAAAATAGTTCCTTCTATCTAATCAACACCACCACTTGTGACCTAGATCAAGCCTCCTCTAGCCTTTTCAAGGACTTTGATCCTTCAGTTTTCTCATTATACTGCATCAGCATTTTTTCTTTCTCTTTTATGTCTTTTCCATTACATCAACTTGCCTTATTATCACCCAACTTAACCTTCCCTATACTCTATTAAGATGCAATTTCCCACAGCAAAACTCATCAAAAGGTTGTCTATAGCATCCTCACCTTCTATCAACATCTAGCCCAATGTCTAATCCTTAGTGAATACGTGTTATTTATCAAATAAATAACAAATAACACCCCTCCTCTAGGGTTCACAGCATAATATAGTATCTCATACACATCTTCATTACAGTATTTATTACTATCTATTATTAGAGATTTCCTTCTGAGTTATGAGCTCATAGAAAAGCAAGTGGTATATGCTTCACCTTTGTGTTCTAGAACCTAGTCCAAGACCTGACACATGTTGGGCTATTGATACATGCTAAAGGAGGGAAAGAAGGAATGGAGAAAGGAAGGAAAGAAGGGGCTTATAATATATTGCTATTAGGTAAAATATGCACTACAAATGTTTTTTCACCATACAAAATATAAGAGAAATGCAGCTAGAAACAAATAGGGAGTGACTACTTTGAAACTACTACCTGGTCCAGTGTGATGATGATGTATAAAGGATTAATAGAAAACTGATAGATTAGGAAATCATATCAAAACCCAACAATATAGAAATCTATATACAAGGTTGGACCCAAAGCTTAGGCAATACCTATAAGGAGATAGTCCTGTGAACAAATACAAACTTCAAAGTGATATGTAAGCATGCAAGCAGCCTTTTAAAAAATCTCTGTGCATACATTAATTCTGCTCTGCTTCCAGTACAATGCATGGATTACCATAGAAGCAGCTGCAATTTTATGAGCAAAAGGCCCAGGAATTAGGCATAATACAAGCATGAAAACTTACCAATCCACATTTCCTTGTAATGGAAGAAATTTGATAGGTTTAATTTAACACATGAGCAATATTATTTTCTAAAAGTGACCACAGTATTTGAATAATATTTTTTGGTGGGTGTTATATGGTTGTTATTTCTGTATGATTGCATTTACAATTAAGTATTCTCTCCCATCCTGCTTTTCTTCCTCTTTCTCCTCCTCCATTTTTCTAACATATCAATATGGTGAAGTTAAGCAGAGTTTTGAGTTCCCATGTTATGATTATGCAAAGCTCCGTCACGTACCTTATGTGACAAATACCTGCTGAAACTCAAAAGATGCATGACTTTCCAGGATTTAGCCATGGGATGGCTTTCCTTGAAAGAATTTTCTGGGCCATATAAAGAAGATCAGGGAAAAGAGAAAAGGGAAAGGGAAACACCTCCGGCTAAGCTACTGGAACTTTCACTCAACCTAGCATCTGTGATGACAAGCAGGGATTTTAGCAAAGCTACCGGTGTTTGAATCCTGGCTTTAGAATTTTTTTATGACCTTGGTCAAGTTATTTAATTTCTTTTGTTCTCTATTTTCTCATCAGTAAAATAAGAATAATAAATAATAGGGTCTATTTTGTAGACATGTTATTAGGATTAAATGATCGAATATTACCAAGTGCTTAGGACAGTACCTAACAAGTGGTATGCGGCACTTCAGTGTTGGTGAAATGTAACAGATATTTCTAAGCAGCACAAAGTGGTAGACTATTATAAATATTATCCCTGTTAGGCAACAAGTGGACAAGAAAATAAGTGACTCATACAAGATCGTGCCCAGATTAGGATCATTTATGAATAATAAATATTGCTATATCCCCAGGTGCTACAATAATACCTGTTAGGTGGTCTATGGATGTTTGTTGTTCTAAAGCAAGTAAATGATGCTAATAAAAAAAGTAAACAAAAAGTAAAAATGGATATTTGTTGCGTGAATGAGCATGATCCTAGGACTTAGATTAGGACTACGCTGTCACTATCCCGTCTGAGGCCAGAATTATAATCATTTGGATAAAATAATTGAAGTGGGATTGCATCTAAGAGCAAAGTCCTACAGATGGATGTTAGGACGAGGTAATTGGAACTTGTGGTAGGTGCCTGTGTCTCAGGGGATACCTGACAAACCAGACAGGCCCAGAACAAGAAACAGATGGGATCAAAGCTGGAAACCAGTCAGAACAAAATGAAGTCCGGATGAGTTGTGATCGGTAACAGACATAAAATAGCACAGTCTCAGCATTTATAGGGACCAAAAAGTTATCAAAGAGTGTGTTTTTCCTTGTTCCTAAGATCATGTCTACATATCCAAAAACGTGGATGTGCCTTCCTGATTCAATTCTTTCTACAGAGGGGAACAATGCCCTCCCAGTGCAATAGAATTTATTTTTGGATAATTTTAATCAGTAGATTGTTCTTTAATATGTTAAACCCTAGCTCCATATATTTCATTAACCAATTTTTCCTAGGTCTGCCCTCTAAAGCTTCATAATATAGCAGATAACTTCTATGCAATTATTTTTCACATATATGAAACCACAAATATAGCTACCTTATTTCCTAGGAATCTTCTGTCCTCTAAGGAAATTATTTCCAGTTTCTTTCACGGTTCTTTATGTAACATGGCTTTTTTGCAGTCCCTTTACATTTCCCATCTCTGTCTTCTGGATAGTTGGTAATGTCCCTAGCAAAATGTGGAGTCCAGAACTGAAACTATTAAAAAGGATAAAACTAAGCAGTAGTGTCAAAAATGTCAGGGGTTATTATCTCCATATACATGGACCATCTATATGTATTAACGAAAACTATTTGCATTAGATCAAGGCCAACACAACTTTTCATAAACGGCCAGATGGTAAATATTTTTTGCTTTTTGGTCCTCAAATTCCTCTTGCAATATGCAGTTCTGTTGTAGCATGACAGCAGACTTAGGCATGCTGTAAATGAGTAAGTACAGTTATGTTTCAATACCATTTCATTTATCAACAGATGGTGGGATTTAATTTGCTAACTCCTGTATAAAAGCACTCATATCCTTTCCATCAACTAAAGTTTCTAGGCTTTCTTCATATCATGTTTCTAAGCTATAGACCTCCAATGTTTACTTGAAAAGGACCATGTCTACCCTTATTAAAATTTTATAATTAGACTTAGCCTGTACATCTAACATGCTATGATATTTTTGAATCTGATTTTATTAGTCGTTATACATAAAAGCGCCTCTTTTCTACCTCATGCCATCTGCATATTGGCAAATATATCCTTTCTTAATTCTAATGCAAACTATTGACAAAAATGTCAAATGGGACAGGGCCAAGAAAAGAACCTTTGCCTCCAAACTCCAAGTTAACAGAAATCCATTAATAGGCGTCCTTTGGATGGCCTTTAACCAGCTAGTATGGATTAATTTTACCACCTAGCCTACATTTTCGCATCATATTCATAATAGTGAGAAACTGTCAAATATCTCAATGGAGGGCAAAAGCAGTATCTATATTACTTTTCCAATATTATGAATTATTACCTCAACAAAAATATCTAAACTGAAATCTTTCTGTGAAACCTAGTATGAAGTTTCTCAGTATTCTGAGGCTGTAAGTTTTTCAGTTTTCCCTATCCACTTAAGACAAAACAAGTACAATGTTTGAACTTTTAAGAAGTCAAATTGCAGCTTACACAATGAAGAGGTTTCTAAAAGGTATGTGCAATTGGAATGAATTGTGTCACCAGGAAGTGTGGTTTCCAGTCATTGAATGACAAAATTTAAGGATACAAGAGCAATTCTTGTATTAAATAAATAGCAGAATAGATAACAAGACTGTGCCTATCTCTGAGAGTCTATGAATCGAAAAGTTTGTTCTGCCAAATAATCATCAAGGGCTTAGCAGAGAAACAGCCCTTGTCTTCCCGCTGATATCTTTTAGCTGGAAGGGAGGTAAAATACACAGCAAATAGCTATAGCACATATCTCACTTTCATTATCAATCCCTTGTTATCTGCTGCTCCTGAGATTGTACCAGCAATGGCTCCAAAAGACAGGATATAGAATGAGATTGAATTTCAGAAAGCCTAAAAGTCATGAAATATTTATTTTTACACAGGAAAAGGGGAATTGGAATGATTCTTATTTGAGATCTAGTCATTTAAGTTATGCCCGTAGCCTCAGCAGGATCAGCCCACAAAGGACTTCAGGTACGCCACCCCTCTACTTTGTTTGGTATATTTCCCTAGTCATAATTTGTATCAAGAATAGTGCAGTATTTTAATTAATAGCACTATTGCCTGCATTGTCTGTAACATTTTGAGGTAAGAGGGTGGACTGAGGCAAAACCTTCATTAAACTTTAAAAGGTTGGCTTATGATTATGTGTAAGAATCAAACTTAGATAATTACTTCTCAAAGCCATTTTCATCAAAATCTATTCATTGGGTGTTAATTGCTTTTTCTAAATACAAAAGAAACACAAAAATACAATCACTATTTAAACCTTGAAATTACGATAACATTCAAAGGCAGTATAGTAACTTGATTAAAATGCAATCATGAATATAGTTTTATCAGAATTTCTAAATAAAAAATCCCTGCTTGATTGCCTAATGTTTTTGAATTCACGTGGTGTGCCAGACATTTGGCAGCATATGCTTGATCACATTATTTCTACTATCCATGAAAAATCCTGGTATACATTTCCTGGTGAGTAGAATGCTATTTACTTTTTTTCTTTAGTATTTCCTTCTTCTCCCATCAGAAGCGTTTACATCAAGGCCCTTCAGTATTGCCACAGATCAGAGAAGTCATAACCACGAAGTTCATTCACGGAGTTTGGGGTTATGAAGCTTGTTATAATAACAATCACGGAGTGTGGAACAAGGAAGAAACCAAAGTAGAGTGAGGGCGCGGTATAGCTTCTCTCCTGATTTTGCCATATTTTTGCCAGTAAGTCACAATTCCTTTTTGAGAATGACAAACTGCATTTTGTGAGCATTTTTTTTATTCTGCCTATTCAGAATATCATTCTACTTCGGGAAAACTGTTTTTCCCTATCTGTTATCATGTGGACAGGTGGAGGTTTCCAGACACAGTTCCACTCCTACTTTTATCTGACCACTCAGCTGGAACAATCAAAGGACTGCTCACTCTCACCCTAGTAATTGTATAGAACATGGGTAGATCATCCAGGTTTTGCCAATTGAATTTATCCCAGGACTTTCTGAATTAGAAGCTAGTTCTTCAAAAACAGACTGGAGGTTAGAACTGGAAGCCATGAATTATACTGAGTAGAGAAGGGTATGAGTTAAGATGCTCTTGGTTACAGTTCAAAGGAAAAACTAAACTCGAATTCTTGTACATGTAAGTGGCAGATAAGAGGTGACATTAGTGGGGATGGCAGAATGAAAACCTCAAATATCCTCTGCTCATTAAAAGCAACAAGAACACCACCACCACTTTTAAAAAAATCAACATTTTCAGAACTGTGGGAATTAACCAAAGACTTGCAACAATCGGAGGAGTGTTATTCAATAAAAATTTCTGAATTTCAGTGACAACAGTGAGCCTGTGGCAATTTAACTTGTCCCATTCCCATCCCTTAGTTCTGCAATAGCCTTAGTTCTCTCCTTAGTTCTGCAATAGCCTTGAAAACCAACAGCCTGCAATCATGGTGAAACCAGCAGCCTAGCAGTCACTGATGAGAGTACAGGGCTAGAGCTTTTTCAAAGTCCCGTTCTCAGATAACCATCACCCCCTGACCTATCTAGAAATTCCTTGGAAAATCCAACTCCAAAGCTTGCGTTTATTGGACCTGAATCAAAGCTCACTCAGCTCTGATCTTTTTCCTGGGGGCATTTTAAAATAATCAGCAGCAGTTGTTTAACACTGCAGTTGCCTGATATGGCAATAACAACTGGGGCAAACAACATGTGATTAAAGAACTTAAACAAAAAGCCTAGGAGTTAAGATATCTAAAGGGAAATTTGAAAAGCTACAACAAATTCTTGGGAATCTAGGAGGCTATCTGCATGCAATGGTCTATGTGCATGTCAAGGACTATGTGTATACCCCGAAATTATAAAGAAGGCTCTAAGCACTCACCTCTGGCTGACCTTGAGCCTCTGCATGAGCAGGAAATGAAGGGAAAGGCAGAGATGCAAACTGCCTGCTGCCGCACTGATGCCATGCCCCCAACATGCATACAAGGCCACTCAGAAAATGGGAGACTTAAAGAATCTCTGTCCACTCATTAACTGGCCATTAAACTCAACATGCAGAGACTTTAGAGCTCACAGACAATAAAGAATAAAGGCTTTTTTACAGGTACTTAGGCATGAGGTGGGAAGGAGAGGGCTCTCCCCCCACCCACCACTAGAAATGTTAGGTGACAGTTTGGCAACTATCACATTGCCTTTCTAAAAGTGATAACTTGGCAGCTGGCACTAGGGAGAGGCCATTTCCTGATGGTCCACACCTATTGCACGACTGTTTTAACTGAATGCAGATGCCAGAGAGAAGCAACTTCCTGGGGATATACATTAAGAGACAAGACGGCGGAGTACGAACTTCCGGGAGCACTCCATTAGAAAAGGGAAGAAAACCTCAGATGGGCATGCGTACAACTTCCTAAACACACCCCATGTGCCCACTTCCCGAGGGTCAAGAGGGCACTGTGCATGCAGGCAGCCCACCCTAAGTGAAGAATCATGAGGAAGAGGCCAGCCTATAAAGTCCTAAGAACAAGGTTAAACACCACCCTTGATCTTAGTGCTCACTTGGGGCTCTTCTAAGCGTACTTTCCTTTCCTTTCCTTTCCTTTCTTTTCTGTTCTAAAGCCTTTTAAATAAACTACCACTCCTGCTCTGAAACTTGCCTGTCTCTTTTTCTGCCTTATGCCCTTCAGTTGAATTCTTTCTTCTGAGGAGGCAAGAACTAAGATTGCTGCAGACCCATATGGATTCGCGGCCAGTAACAGCTTCAAATGGTTAGTGCAGGAAAGCCATTAAACAAACATAATAACAATAAGTAGCAACAACAAAACACACTGATAGGAGAGAATCTAATTTCCAAAGTTGCCACACTGTATTATTTCAAATGTCTAGTTTTGAAATAAAAGTTATGTGACATGCAAGGAAATAAATAGTAAAAATAAGCGAGTCAACAGAAACAGTACCTGAGGAAACCACGATGTTGTACCTACTAAAAATATTTTAAATCATCTATTTTAAACATGCTTAGTAAATTAAAGAAAACCACGTCTTAAGAACTAAAAGAAAATATAAGAACAATGTCTTAGCAAATTGAAATATCAACAAATAACTGCAAATAAAAACAAATAAATGCTTTTTGATATTATCATGGATTTTGCATCTATATTAATAAGGGATATACTTCTCTGGTTTTCTTATTACGTCTTTTTTATTATTATTTTCACCTCTTTACTTTTTTGAGATCTATTTCAATTTTCTATTTTATCTTGAGTTTTGGTAGTTTGTATGTTTCCAGGATACCATTTCATCTAGGTTATCAAATACATTCACATATAATTGTTCATAGTATTCCCTTTATAATCCTTTTAGTGATCAAAAAACATCCCATAGAGTGAAACTCAGGACCAGAAGGCTTCACTGACGATTCTATTAAACATTTAAAGAAAAATCAATACCAAATCCTTCACAAACTCATCCAAAAAACTAGAAGAGAAGGGAACATTTTCCAACACAATCTATGAGGCCGGTATTACTCTGATATAAAAACTCATAGCACCAACATTACAAGAAAGAAAACTGCAGACTTATCCTTCTTATGAATATAGATGCAAAATCTGTGATAAAATATTAACAATCTGAATTCAGCAACATATATAAAGGATTATCCACCATAGCCCAATGGGATTTATCCCTGGAATGCAAAAATTACTTAAAATACAAAAATATATTAATGCAGTATACTATATTAATATAATAAAGCACATTAATATAATAAAACACAAAACCCAAATGATTATCTCAATAGACATAGAAGAAAAGCATTAGAAAATAATCAACATCCTTTCATAAAAAGGAAATACTCAAAAAAGTTGAAATATGAAGCTCAACTCAATGAAGAATATTTATTAAAAGTCCACAGCTAACACCCTACTTAATTGTAAAAGACTGAAAGCCTTTTCCCTAAAATCAGGCACAATACAAGGATCTCTGCTCCCATCACTTCTAGTGAACATTTTTGGAGGTTCTATCCAGGACAAACAGGCAAAAAAGAAGAAATGAAAGGTATCAAGATTGGAAAGGAAGATGTAAAATTAACTCTATTTATAGATGATCTGAGATACAAAAAAACTTACGGAATCCATCGTCATAATAATAAAAACTACTAGAGCCAATAATGAATTTAGACAGTAGAAGATTGTCTAAATGAAATCAATGAAAATCAATTTTATTTATATATTACAATGAATAATCCAAAGATAAAATTTTGAAAAATTATTTACAGTAGCATCTAAAATAGTAAAATATTTAGGAATCATTTAACAAAAGTGGTAGAAAACTTGGACACTGAAAGCTACAATAGTCATTGTAAGAAATTAAAGAAGAGCAATATAAATGGAAATACGTTCCATCATTATGAATTAGAAGAATTAATATTGTTAAGATAGCTGTATTAACAAAATTTTCCTACAGATTCAATGCAATCTCAATCAAAACCCCAGATAACTTACAGAAATTGATGAGCGGTTCCTGAAATTTAGATGAAAATGCAAGAATAGCCCAAACAATCTTAAAAACAGAGAACAAAATTTGAGAAATCACATTTTCCAAAATTAGTACAATTTCCAAACTTACCACAAAGCCATGAAAATTATGTAGTACTGGCATAAGGACAGATACATAGATAAATGAAAGGGAATTGAGAGTTCAAGATAATCTCTTACCTTTATAGGTAAGTCATTTCGGACAAAGGTACAAAGAAATCAAATGGGAAAAGAAATATCTTTCAACAAATGGTGCTGGAACAACTGGATATCCACAAGATAAAGAATAAAATTGGGTCCATACCAAATAGCATATATAAAAATTAACTCAAAATGGATTACAAACATAAATATAAAAGGTGAACCTATAAAACCCACAGAAAAAATAGATATAAATCTTGGTAACCTTTAATTAGGCCTTGATTTCTTAGATATGACACCAAAAGCACAAATAGTAAAAGAAAAAATAGATAAATTGGGTTTTATCAAAATTGAAAGCTTTTTTCCTTCAAGGAACACTATAAAGAAGGTCAAATATAATATATAGAATGGAGGAAAATATTTGCAAACCATCTTTCTGATAAGGGACTAGTCTCCATACTATATAAAATATTCCTACAACTCAGTAACAAAAAGTAGCCCAATAAAATGGGGACAAAGGACAAGAACAGACATTTCTCCAAAGAGATATGCAGTAACTAACAAGCACATGAAAAAAGCTCAACATTAGTAGCCACAGAAAAATGCCGATCAAAACCACAATGAAGTATCACTTCAAACTCATTAGGATAGCTAGAATAAAATGGATGGTAAACAACAGATGCCGGTGAGATTATGAAGAAATTAGAAACTTCATACATTGCTGGTGGGAATGTAAAACAGTGCAGTGGCTTGGAAAATATTCTGGCAGTTATTTAACAAGTTAAACAAACATAGAAGTTACTATATGATCTAACAATTTCACCCTTTCTTATATACTCCTCAAAATGAAAACATATGTCCACTCAGACACGTGTATACAAATTTTCATAGCAATTCATAAAAATGTTATTCATCATTGGCAAAAAGTAGAAACAACTGAAAAGAAACAATGAAAAAAAACTCTCATAAACTGATGAATAAAAGTATGGATAGTGGATAAGCAAAAGTGGTACATCCATACACTGGAACTATTACTTAGCCATAAAAAGGAATGAAGTATTGCTGCATGCTGCAACATGAATGATCATGGAAATATTATGTTAAGTTAAAAAAAAAACCAGACACAGACACAAAAATATATTGGACGATTCCATTTGTATGGAAAACCATAGTAGCTACATCTATAGACACAGAAAGTAGATTAGTAATTTTCAGGGGTTGAGAAAAATGGAAGGGAATGGAAAATGAGTGCTAATGTGTGAAAAGTTTCTTTGAGGGATGATGAAATGTCCTGAAATTAGATCATAGTAATGGTTGTACAGTTCTGTGAATATACTACAAAGCACTGAAGTATACACTTTATGAGGGTGAATTTTATGCTATGTGAATTTTATCTTAATAGAAAAAGAAAAACAGTGATATAGAAAAGGCCAATGTCACAGTAGGCTAGTGGCACAATCTAAGGCTCCCTTTGTTGGCAAATGTATGACTTTGATTTCTGATGTCAGGGATAGAGTTAACATCTCCAGAACCATACAGGTTTTCTAGCAAATCTGGAAGAAGGTGGCATGCATACTGGTGAAGTTACAAACAAGTGTCCACTATACCCTGAAAGGCTGAAGAGTACAGCTAGACACAGAACGGGACATAGAGAGGGAATCTGAGACTTAGACTGGGTTGCATTCTTTTTTGTGGTTTAGTTATCACCGCCAATAATGTCTTCCTTTTTCCACTTAAGCTTTTGGGTTGGGTTTCTGTCATTTGCAAGCAAAAATCTGGAATAATACCTGTATTTAAAGAAAAACAGCTCTCAAAATGGCTTAAACTAGTATAACACTGAAAATAGGAGTATATTGTATAGTGATGAGTGAAAGCGAAGATATGAGAGTGTTGTATTTCAATAGCATTGGCCAGAAAGTTATTAATGGATAATTTAAGCTCAAATCCTTAATATAATGATTCTGAAGCTAGAGAAAAAATCTTGATAGTATCAAAGCTCAAAATGTTCAGGAAGAATATTACTGTGAATTATCAAGCCTGGTTGTTATGAGCAACCTGTGCTTGACTAATCTCTGTGTTTTAATGCAGTGAACAAGCTTTTATAGTAATGCTACTGAATTATTTTCTAGGCTACAGAATAAAGTAGTCCAAACAGGTTTTTATTTCCTTCCATATAAAACATGGCTTATATTCAGCTTTTTGAGAAACAAAAATTTATTTTCCACCTAGTATTGCTTTCTTTTACTAAATAACTCAAATTAGTACAATTTTAATTTTTTTAATTTTGCTAATAATAAAATCAGCCTAAAGAAATTGTGCCAGAAATTTATACTGTATCTCCTCCAGCAATATACTTACTTACAGGGCCATGGTTATCAAATTCATTATTCATCTTTTAGTATCTATTAAAATGTGTTTTGGGAGTGAAATTAAATTATTTACTCATAGAATAATTCATTTTTATGCTACATAGGTATAATTAATTTTAAAGAATAAAATAATTGGATTGAATTGTATGCCTCTAGCCTCTAAAGGAAATCCAAAATATCTTAAATTAGTCTGATTAATCTTTCAGTAATAAATGAAAAATTAATATATAGGTATATAACAACTTCCTACCTGTAAACAAATAAAGAACAAGTAAAATGCAAGAGGTGAATGAATTATCTTACTTAACAAATAAAAGTGCACATGATACACAATTACTGACCTAACTCTAAATGATATCAAAAATAAACACTCATTGATAAATGAATAAATTCTTAGATACAGACAGATACATAAATAACAAAGGCAGATCTGTAGATAATGAAAATTTTAGTGACCTATGGAAATTCTTTGTTGTTGTTGTTGTTGTTGTTGTTGTTGTTTTTGAGACAGAGTCTTGCTCTGTTGCCCAAGCTGGAGTGCAGTGGTGGAATCTCAGCTCACTTCAACCTCTGCCTGGCAGTTTCAAGCAATTCTCCTTCCTCATCCTCTTGAGTAGCTGGGATTACAGGCACTGCCACTGTGCCCAGGTAATTTTTGTATTTTCAGTAGACATGGGGTTTCACCATGTTGGCCGGGCTTGTCTCAAACTCCTGACCTCAAGTGATCCTCCTGCCTTGGCCTCCCAAAGTGCTGAGATTACAGGCGTGAGCCACTGCGCCCAGCTGGAAATTCTTTAAAATAGGATTGTTGTCCAAAAATATTTGGATAAACTGGAGATCCAAATCTATTTTCACTAGAAGATATGTATGTGAGTGTATGAGAGAGAAACAGAGACAGAGAGAGGGAGAGTTAGAGGAAGAGAGAAGAAAAATAGCTCTATGGGATGGAAAGTACAAGGCTTCTTGTTGGTAGCAGGGAATTCCTGACAATAACTATCTGACAATAGCTGGAAGGCTAAAAGTACAAAAAAAAAATCCTTTACTTTTTATAGGCAGAATAAACTGCAATTTGAAATAAATGGATTATTTTCTTAAAAAAAAAAAAAACTGAACCCTTGTTTCCAGAAGTAAACACAGAAAATATAATAATTTATCCAAATACATGTAGCAATTGCTTACTATATGCCACATAAAATATGTTACTGGTGTCTTGGAAGTTTTTTCCCTATTTAGTGGGACATACTGAATCTATGAGTATTGACTGTTTCATACTGATTATTTAGCCTTTGGCCAATTTTGTGAAATCAACAAATTGATAAAACAGTCTTCTGGTTAGTTGGATTCAGTGTTTTAACACGCAATTTAGAATATTCCTATATAGTGGATTTTTTTTTGCTCTAGAAATGGGTTTAGTTGATTTATTTTTTGTATTTTGGCCCCACAATAAGCCTGCTCACTCAAGGATCTTCAACAGTTAAGCTGTCTCTGTGTAACAAGCCCATGGTAGGCCTGATGCAGCAGTAAGAAATAAATGTGTCTACAGCATAAAAGTGTTGTCTTCCGTATTGATAGGAAGACAGCTGAGTGTCAATGTGGCCTCCGCCCAAGCCTACTGGATGAAACAGCCCCATTTCTTGGCTGCTATCACTGAACAGGATTCTCAATACCTACAGGATACTTTGACTCCTGAATTGTGGGAGTGTCTCTGAGAAACATAGGGTGTCTTTACAGAGCTGTTTCCAGTCAATTATTTTATTCTCAATTCTTGTGACCTTTGCACTACTTGTTGGCTATTTGGGTGGTAAACTGAAATGAAACACCACGGATGCCAGTCAGAATTAACATTCTTGCCAGTCTTCAAATCCAGTCCAGCATTTTGTGGTCTAACTCAGCTCATTTGCTATTCCACGAAGTAAGTAAGATTGGTTAAAATATTTTTGTACTCCCACTGCTTGTGTCAGTGAAATTCAAATAAACAATCACAGGTTACATTAAGGATAATAACTATATAAGTCTAAATATATTTTGATGGAACAAATGATATAAGTATAAGATATATAGGGAAAAGAAGATGCGTAGCTAAGAAATCTTTAGTATGCTAGATCCATCTACTAGTGAAAAACAATCCTTTAGCCCTAATATCAACAACATGAATTGATGTACAACAAAATAAATAAGGTCACCGTTGTCTCAAATATATCCTTGTAATTTAGTAAGCATGAAAATATAAATAGAAACGTTAGCTCCCCCAGATTACCAACCACCTACTGCCTAGGTACCCATATCCTCAAAGTGCCAAAGTAAACCACAAAAATCAGAAGCATCCTCCTGGTGGATAAATTTTATTGAAATATTTCATAACAAGTTGCTATATATTAACTTTTCTATAACATCAAATATTTTCTCATCAAAATCAGCATAGGTATATGTGGAGTAGAAGATGAAATTTATTTGAATTTTACAAATTAAAAAAATGCCAAAGAAATGCTAGACATTCAGAGAGCAGTCTCCCTGTTTCACAATATTCACTCCTTTCCTTATGACATGAGAAATACATTAATGAAAATATTTGAGAAGCATTAATACATGATTTTAAAAGTCACCATTATGAAGGTAATTAGTAAATGCTTTTAATACTAATTAGAGTGACTAGAGAAAAATGCATCTAGTAGTCTACATTTACATTATACATTAAAAGCTGTCAGTGCCCCCACCCGGGGGCCCTTTACTTAGACAGTCAGCATCCTGCCTAGCTCCTATAAGTATTGGCTGCTAATAGCTCACAGCTGCCCTCTATAGTGGAGAATTGCTTTCAGCCAATGAAAGCCATCTTACTTGGAATGTCACAGCAGCCCCCAGACAATGGTTGACTGATAAGGAAGGACTTTCAGATTCCAGGACTGTCCCTGGGTCAGGCCCAAAGCTAAAGGCTGAAGCTGGACTCCAACTGAGACCAAATCCATGCTTAACTTTTTCCATGTAAAAATAGAAGCCAGAGCATGCTTCCATCACTCCTTTTCTCCCAAGAGGGCTCTCCCAATAAATAACTTGCACCAGAATGGCTAAGCACGTTCTGCTTCTAGAGAACCAGGTATAGGCATCATATTTATGTCTGTCTCCACACCTGATCTACCACTAATCTTATGAAATGCTTAAAATCTTTGTAGTTTGTCCTGCCCGTCTAGACCATGCTTCATGAGCTTTTATCTGTCTCTGGTTGTCTTTGACTTGACTTTTTCTTTCTCTTTGGATTGGTTTGGATGAGATATTATTTTTGTGAGCCTGGAAGGGAACTTTAGAGATAACTACAGGCAGTTGAGTGTCTCAACATATGAAAACTCAACCCATTTCAATGTATTATCATCCTTAAAATTAGCACATTTGTCTTTATGTCCAATTAAAATGTGTCCTTTCCTTCAAGCTTATTTTTTGTTCATAAGATCTACTTATTTGAGAACATAAAGAATAGCTCCCTAGCAAGTCCCTCATAAAAATTTACCGACTAGATTTGTGTCTAGATCATTTTGCAAAAGCCAGTTTTTCAAAAGCCAATAAACCAGGCAATCCTGCAAATAACCAAATTTGCCAAGTTTGCTTGTTTTTTCAACTATTTAGTTTCAATTGGCTGATTCTCATTTGGTTTTCAAAAGAGGCCTACAGGCTTAGACAAATAAAATATACTTTATAGCATTTTTATGTGAGTATAATGCAAAGTAGTCAACTAAAATTAAATGCTTATTAAAAAACAAGCAAATTCTGTAAATTGATTGTCTGTTGGCTAAATGCTTGCATCTATTAGATACCTACCTAGGCCATATAGTCTCAATTTCTTCTGTATTTTCTACTGTTTAGAACTAATTTCCATCCATCCATAATTATCTAAGCTTTTCTGATGTCAGAAACATTGGGATATGGTCTGTCCTCAAATAGGTTCAAGTTTTTGTTATTTTTCCCACTTATTAGAATACAGATTGTTTCCAACTTAATTTTAGTACTACCTATATGTAATTACTTGAGAAATCCAAGGCAAAGATTTTGTTTCCTTCTTAAGAATTTTTTTTCAAGTTGGAAAAGTCACCCTTACCCGCCGATGGTGGGAATAATAATTGCTACCAACTGTACTAAAAACAGATTGGGAACATTTATTAAAAGACTTAAAAATAATCTCACCCTTGGATCATTAATCCAATTTCTAGTAATTTTCTTAAATAATCGGACATGAGGACAAAGATTTGCTGAGATATTAATTATAGCATTTTTATAAAAATTTAAATTTAAAAAACCCCAGAAGTTCTAGTTTCAGAAATTGATGTTTCAGAATTCAAAACATGCTATCAATAATTTAACCTTTCTTTGCCGCAGATTCTGTTCCTCTTCTTTATTTTTTTATATGGTGCTTCCCAGGACAATATCCTGTGCATTGACTCAAATTTTTTCAGATGCCCTGTCCTGAAGAATTCTATGGCCAGAAAGCAGAGATAAGTTGACTAGTTTAAACTAATTAGGATCTATCTATGGCACTTCAAGCAAAAACAATCTTACCCAAATCATAGGTTGAGAGTAAAGGAAAATTAGTTATTAAAAGAAAATTTTTCATAAAAATGAAGAATGATTTCTAGTGTCAGAAACTGAAGATGTCCCTCTATAACGATACACACTTGTGATCACGTAGCCATTAAAAGTTAGATAGTTAAAACCTGTTTAATTCTAGAGGACATGCTTAAGATTAAATGTTACATTAAACGAAAGCTGGGGAAATAGCCAAGTATGAGCCTCTGAGGCAGAATAGATTTTGACCTGTGAAGAATGAAGAGCTATATGAGTTCAGGCATAATGAAGGAGAGAAAATATTTATAAATAAGTCTGGAGAGGCAGGCAGAGGCCGAATCATGAAGCCTCTCATAGACCATAGTATTCATTTTAGTCTTTGTCCCAAGTTCAGTGAAAGACATCATAGAGTGTCTAACAAGAAGTCTGTATGATATAATAAATATTTTTTAAAGAACAGTCTGACAAATGTGTGGACAATGGATTAGGCAGGGGCAAGTATGGAAACAAGAATTAATACTTTTTTTTGGAACAACCAGGAACCTCATGTCTATTTAGCTATATGTTAAGCCCATTTCCAATGATCTCACCATCACCTTATTACCTATGTTCTGCCATTAAGCACTCCACCATGTACACATCAGTTTTGCTGAGGGCAGGAACCATATCTACACATTTTTTGCATCTCTTTCTATACCTAATATATCCTAGGCATTGCATGTTTGTGAAATCTCTGTCTGTGTGAGTGTGTCAAGACTTTGGAAAAGGTAAAGACTTTGGAAATTTCTGTAAGTTTTATTGAAACTACATACAATACACTTAAACTTTTTTCTATTAGCAAATATTACATTAAATAACACAGTGATCCCATCTTATCAAAAGGTACATTGAATCTTAAACTATGATTTAATAATTTTTTAGAAATTACTGAGCCCAAAATATATTTGTGATAACACTATCATGAATAGTTTTTTAATAGCATTTATGTAAAAAATGACTTAACTTTCATTGTTATACCTGATGCTTTCTGTAGTTAACAAAATTTTTATAGGCAAATATTACATAAAAGACTAAAAATATTAAAAAGGTACATTTTCCATTGGTTCTCATAATATTTAGGTTGTTTTCCTGATATCTGAGCATATATGCAGTCAAGTTTTATACCTTTATATATAAATTTGAAGGAAAAGTTTTTCTAAGCAAAAGGCACCAGGCACTTAATATTTACTAAGCAAATATTTTCTAAGCAAAAGGCACTAGGCACTTAGTATTTACCAAAGTCTTTTGTAATCAATATTTTTATATCAATTTTATAAAAGCCAAAATTAGGGGATAAAGAAATTGTTCAAAGTTATCTAGCTAATTGGTGGATTTAACTTTGACCCGTACATATATAGTCAAATCGCTATTTAAAAGTTTATGTTCTTGCTGTGGTTTCAAATACTTTCAGTGAACATTGAACATTTCTTATTCTCTAACGCGGGATTAGATGCTTCTCTTCTGGGCCCTTACAATACTTTATTCTCGCCTCTGTCACTGTATTTGTTTTACTACATTTTAGCAGCCTGTTTACTTGCCTGTTTTCCCAACAAGATTATAAACTCCTTAAGTGTAGGAATTGTGTCTTTTTCTTAGGCACATAGTAAACACTTAAAAATTAATTTAAAATAAATGATATTAATATTTTAATATTAATTTAATATAAATGATATTATGATTTAAAGATATTTATTTTTTATAGTAGCTGATGAAAACAGCAAAGCCTTACCACTTATGGAAAGTCTTCAGCGAACTAGAGCAACATAATTTCTTAGCACTATCCCATGAAAAGAAGAATTTGGAGTATATTTAAACACACACATGCAATATATAGCACATTTTTTTTGAAACATGGCCATTTGGCACTGCTTTAAAGAAGACTCCTTAGGACTGATCTCAAGTACATATTCTTGAAGGGAAAAAAGCAGGGATAGGGGGGATGAACCTTCATATAGGCAAATTGGCATCATTTGATCATTTGTCCTTGGATAGCATTTCAGCCAAGAGAGACTCAAGACTGTGTTGGCACAGCCAAATAGCATTTAATGCCACTTGTGGGTATTTCAAAAATTTCATGGAAAAAATAGTTCTCAGGTTTCTTATTTAATAACATGGGTGGTTGCCAGTGATGAGAAAATGCCAAACCTATTTCAATTTTGAGGTTTCAAATTGAATTTACTCAAAATAAATCTTATCATATCCCCTAAAAATAGTTGCTACTGAAGTCTTAGAGAAGTGTGTCACTTGTATACCCATTTGTATTTGCAGAAATAATGCTAGAAACTTATTTTAACCTCAGTATTGTTTTGTTTATTCAATGAAACTTTGTTTAAATGGGTTTTGGTTCACTAGCAAAAATATGATGTATAGAAGAAGGAAAGATGAATTGTCAAAAATAGGATCCCAGAAAACTCAGGCATTGAGAGAGAAGGCACAAAATTAATTTAATTCTTCAACAAATATTGCAAAGCAGTTCACTTAAGATGGCCACCTAGTAAATTGCCACATTTCCAATTTAGTCAAATGTATGCTTTTTAAACACGCTTCTGATATTTTGAGTACTCTACTAAAGTGTTTTTGTGATCATAGAAGTGTTTCACAGCTTTTTTTTCACCTATTCATTGAATAAAATTGGATAGATGGTTGTTTATATGGAAGTGCTATTTTTTCTTCATAAGAATCAAAATAATGATTAATCGCATTTATTCCTCAAACTTCTCCAAGCCAGACAGAAATCTCATTTAAAGGTTTCTTAGTAGCCTCTGGGGCAGTAAGCAGTGGCGTCCAATCTCTCTGTAACATGCAAAGTACGTTACCCTTCTCCTTTTCTGCTTTAGTTCCCTTTTCTTCTCCCTTTTCTCTCATAGCTTTTCAAGGTCTTTTGTTTGTTTTCTTTACATACCTTTTTTCCTCCTCTATCTTTTATTATTTCCAGGGAATTTTGGATTAATGTAATTTAATGTTTCCTGTGAAGTATTGCGTAGGATCAAAATCATGAAGTCATTCAATAGACAAAGTCTGTTACCTGACACACTTTTATTCCCTTGATGTTTCCACACATTTTCCGTCCTGGGGTGGGGCCCATCATCCTCATGTTTTCTGTCTTTTGTTATTCCTGTGAATTTCCCTGAACTAATCCCACTTAATGGCATACAGTCTAAATTACAGGACAGAGACTTCTTCAGAGCTGACTGACACAAGCAAAGCAGAGCCCAGGCTAGCTAGGAGAAAAGCAGAGGAAAGAAAGCTAAAGGAGCTGCTCTCTTTTTATTCCTTATATTTATTCTTGATGATCATAAGCCCCCATCCATCACCTTTTGTGCAGAGATGGGTTCAAATTTTCTGCAGCCTCATCCTAAAATAGGCACTGTTTTAACTACATATCTTCATTTTTTGTCAAATCAGGTCTTCCTTTGAAGCTAAAGACCGCTATTAGGAAACAACTTTCACCCCTATTTGCTTAATAATGTGCTTACCTGTCTTATTCCCAGATAATACAAACACACACATACACACACACACACACACACCTCTTAACATTTTCTCTTTTAAGGCAATGTGCAGTTTCAAAGACTAGTAACTAAAGTTTCTTGCCATCATATGTAATGGTTCATAGTCCCTTGCAACGACAAGGGGGCTGAAATCTTTGGAAGAACAGGGCTTATTGTCTGGGTTCTCCCACAGTTCCTTGGAGGTTGCCACATACACCCATCCTCATCTGTCAGATGCTTCTTTCTGTCAGCTTCATAGCATCAGCCACAATACTGCTTACTACTCTGACTAGTTGAGGAAGATAACTAGAAGGTTTCCCTGAAGTCATAGCTTAAGGTATTTTAACTGTTGCCTTCTGGGGATAGAAATCCTAGTTTTGATTTCCAAGCCAAAAAGGAGGGTATTAGGTTTTTTGTTTTTAAAATTCAGTACATAGTGTTATAAATAAAGTTTCGGTGCCACAAAAGAAATAGCACTCAAATATAAAATTTTCTTTTCAATCCTCAGCAAGGCAATTTACTTTTATAGAAGGGTGCGCCCTCACAGATGGAGCAATGGTGACCACACACTTGGACAAGGGAGGGGAAGGGGTTCTTATCCCTGACGCACGTGCTGCTGTGTTGTTCCCCTATTGGCTAGGGTTAGACCGCATGGGCTAAACTAATTCCGATTGGCTAATTTAAAGAGAGTGACGGGGTGAGTGGTTTGGCGGGAAAAATGGTTATGACAGAGCAGGTAATTGGAATGAGTCAGGGTGGAGTAGGTAATTGAAAAAGGTTGCTTTATGAGGAAGTTAAGTTTAAAAGTAGAAGGCAAAGAATTAAACATACTGACATATTGATTCTTTGAAGAGAAAATTTAGAACTCATATCTAACAATAGGAAGGGAATTTTAGGGTCAGCAAAGTTTATCTGTATCTGTTTAACTTTAAATTACATCACCTAGGTAGAATATTAGGAAGAACAGGTATGAATTGTTAACATAGTCATAAAAGTACTAGGTATATTCATTATTATTTTAATTTTAAAGCTTTGTGAAAGGTTAAGAGTGATATGACAAATATAAGTAAAAAGACTTACCTGCATGATGTAGCAATAGACTTTAGCAGCTTTTAAAACTAAAGTGCCTCATTTTCCAGGGCCTCAGTTTACTTAACTGTAAATGGAGGATAATAGTTCTGAGGATTAGAAGAAATAATTTGTATA
The DNA here is from genome assembly GCF_000001405.40 of Homo sapiens. Classification (NCBI taxonomy): domain Eukaryota; kingdom Metazoa; phylum Chordata; class Mammalia; order Primates; family Hominidae; genus Homo; species Homo sapiens. The sequence continues at coordinate 124,522,233 of NC_000004.12, forward strand.
AATTATTTGTATAAATTTGTATTTGTATGAATTATTATATTTGTATAAATTTGTATAAATTATTGTCTACCATGAGCAAACATAAACATTTTCTATTGTTATTTAGCCAATAAGTTTAAATGACTCATACACACAGAAGACAGTGCTAGTCTTGCTAATGAGGACTAAGCTCTGATTTTTTTTAATCTTGCCCTAATTCCTATTTAAGGGGTCTGGAGAGTCATACCTTACAAACCATAAATTCTCAGCAGACCCTATATATTGTGACTTACTTCCCAATCTGACTCTTACTTTCCAACTATATGACAAAGAAGAAAGTCAAAATATTTTACCCCAAAATATGTTTCTTTGCCTTATTTTGAAATGGCCCTGCAAAACTGTCCTTTGTGGGGAAAAATTTGCATCTGTAAAGAATCTCTATTAACATGGCTAGATCTTTTTCTTCCAGGTACTCCCAATCCTAAAGAGATTAACTAAGAGTCTAGTACCTTTTAAAGGTCTGAATAGGAAACACTTGTCATCCTCTCTCTCTAACGGCAGCCACTATAATACTTCAAAAAAGTCTTGGTCACCACAATCTTTTATCTTAACCTGAACATTTCCTTTCTATCATTCCAGGTCTGTAGACAAACTCGACCAATTGTCAAGTGGAAAAGTTACCTATAGCCTGGAAGCCCCGGCTTTCAGTTGTCCTGCCTTTCTGGATCAAACCAATGTATTTCTTAAATGTGTTTGATTGATGTCTCATGCCTCCCTAAAATGTATAAAAACAAGCTGCACCCCAACCACCTTGGACATGTTCTCAGGACCTCCTGAGGGCTGTGTCACGGGCCATGGTCACTCATATTTGGCTCAGAATATATCTCTTCAAATATTTTACAGAGTTTGACTCTTTCTGTTGACACTAACAAACAGAATAATAGAAATAAATCAAACTCCTGTTCACACATTGTATTCATATATTGTATTCATACTACAGGATAAGAGAAAATATACAAAATTTCTCAAAAAATGATAGAAGACAAATTGTACCAGAAGCTCTTAAAGAGGTATCAACAGCTGCTGTGGGAACTGAAGGTTAGAAAGGGTAATAGGTCTTGGGGTTCTGGAAAGGTCCACGAAGGAGCAGAACTTTTTAATCTGAGCCTTAAAAGGAAAGGAGGTATGAGGTGGAAGTTTATTTATATAAATGCCAATTACACCCAGCAAACCGATAATATAAAAATGATAGGAGTCGCCTAGACGACTGGCTCCAGGCAGCTAACATGTGCTCTTTATTATTTTCAAGACAGAGTTGAGACTAAGCATAAGGAGAAAAGACTGAACTGAACAAAGATGTGATCACTCATATTATATACACACATTGCATTGTTAAAGGGATCTTCTAGTTTTAATAGAGTTAGGAGAAAGTAGGTTGCCAAATTTAAAACAATGTTCTTTTTGGAGTTTTTTGCCATCAAAAAAGTAACATTTCCTTAGGTCATACAATACAGTAATTCAAAAATAGGTGAATATGTATGTATGTATTTTTTGCATGAATGTGTTTATAATAGATTTTTTATGTATCCAGAAATGTAACTTAGACTATCATGTCCTCACAGTCAACCAAATTTGTTTAAAATTACTTTATTTAAACTAATTTTCCAATTTCAACATGTGTACAGCTAATACCTTTTCTTCCATGCTGAGCTCTTCTCTAAGCTGTTTGCTAAAATGAAGCCTTATTTTTGATTCTCTGAAACTACTGCCCTGGCTTACACACATCTCTTGTAACAGTCCATGATTTGAATACCATATGTGGAGGAAATGTTTATAAGTGAAAAATGATCTACTCCCAAACAAACTGAGCAGCATAGTCAAGGTCTTCAGAGGAAGAGGAGTGGGGGCTGTAAAATAGAAGGGGCTCTAGGAGGCTGTTTCCCACTGATAGCTGCATATGGATTCCAGAATCTACACTATGTTGATACTTATTACTCTCTCTCTCTCTCTCTCTCTCTCTTTTTTTTTTCCAGACAAGGTTTTGCTGTGTTGCCCAGACTGGAGTGCAGTGGCCTGATCACCACTCACTGCAGCCTCGACCTCCCAGGCTTGAGCGATCCTCCCACCTCAGCCTCCTGAGTAGCTGGGACTACAGGCGTGCACCACCATACCTGGCTAGTTTATTATTATTTGTAGAAAAGGGGGTCTCCCTATGTTGCCCAGGCTGGCCTCAAACTCCTGGGCTCAAGTGATTTTCCTGCCTTGGCATCTCCTGCCTTGCCAGGATTATAGGCATGAGCTACCACACCTGGCCACTGTCTTAAGCCAGTATATCCAACACACACACACACACACACACACACACACACACACACACACACTCATACAATGAACAGGTTAAATTCGATGCTCAAAAATACTATTCTGAATCAATGATGACATTTTACTTTGTGAGGAGAGGAAACAGGAAATGCTACAATCTAAAGTGACACCATTGTCCCAGCTGGGGTGGGAATACATGCAGAGTGAGAACATCCAGGGGGATCTAAGACTCTCTTCCTTCCGGCTTGGTAGAATCACCTGGGTTTCTCAAATCTTGGTGTTCTTATATTTGATATTTTTACCAAAATCAAAGGGCTACTATGAATATGAAATGGGATATTTTATGTAAAACACTTAGCACAGCTCCTGGTACAATGGATGTAAAATAGCATTGTAAAAATCAATTATTAAGTATAAATAGCACTTCAATGACACTGCACAAATGCAGGACCCAAGTGTTGGAAAGATAAAGCAAGTGATGTAAGTTTGATCAAGTTATATGGGGAATTATGTGTGGTAATTATACGAACAGGCGACAGAGAAATACTAGGTAGAAGAGGGCAGTTCCTCGGCAAAGGCCCCACTCTCAATCCCGGATACCTGCAGCCCTAAATAAGGACAGGCTATCCTGTTTTTGTGCTATAAAAGTTGCCTTTTGGCCAACCACACCCCCTATCCTGTACCTATATCAACGATGAACCCCAGGCCCTAGAGGGAGATGAGGAGACAAGGAGACAAGCAAATGAACAGCAGAACGGCGCAGCAGAGAAAGAGAAGGAGCGTCTGAGAACCAAAAGAAGTTCGGCTGGAGCAGTCAGAGAGGAGTTCGGCTGCTGGACAGCCAAACTCCAGGGGAAGATCCCACTCCATCCCCCTTCTAGCTCCCATGCATCCCACTGAGAGCCACCTCCACCACTCAATAAAGCCCCGACATTCACCACCCTTCAAGTCTGTGTGCGACTCGATACTCCTGGGGACACTGGACAAGAGCTCATGACACAGAAAATGTCACACTGGCCCATTACAGAAAAGCAGAGGGGGCACTGAGCTGGTTAACACTTAAGCAGTCTGTGGACAGCAGAGCTAAAAGAGCACTGTAACGCTGGGGTCACAGGCACCCACCATTAGACACTACCATGGGGCCAGACCCCAAAGCGCTTGCCCTGGCTCCCGCACCTGCTCATCTGCATGTTCCCGCTCCTGAAAGGGGTTTGAGCTCACAGTGGTGGTGTAGAGAGCCACACCCCTGTCACAGGCCCTGCAAGGGGAGCCAGGGAACTCTCCAGTTTCAGTAACAACACCCATTAATGCTATATATTAGGTGTTATATATCAGTTTTTACCCCAGAAGCAGATCTCTAATATGCTCTCCATTTCTCTTTCTCATTACAAAAATAATGAAAATTTCTGTGGTCAATTAAATAAATAATTCTGCTTGCAAAACTGTTAAACTAAGTTCTAGGGAAGTAAGAGCAACCCTAGGAATGGACTGTAAGTATGAAGACACTTTCTTTTTTACTTTGAGAAAATCACCCTGCCAGTTTCTCAATTTATGTGTCTTCTCCTATAGCAATCGAAATATTTTAGCAGTTTTTGTTGTTGTTCTTGAAAATCTAGGTTAAAATTAGATGGTTTCTCAAATAGTTACAACTTACTAGAGGCCTTGATTTCTCAGTGTATTTCCTCCAAAAAACAATGTTCTCAGAATGAAAATGTTAATTCAATCATCATTAGCATCTGAGATTCTTCCTTTACAAAATCGGAGAGACGGTATGTTGAAAGTACATTGACCAGGTACATCTCACTCTTTGTTGCTCAACAGGTATCTCAGGGGGAAAAAAAGTAGTGGCAAAAGACCAGGTCGACAGAAACACTGAGAGAAATCATATACCGAGGAAGTGCTCCATTTCCTTTGTTCTTTATGTGTTCTATAAATATTTCATGTATTTGTTAAAGCTGTGTTATTGCTGGAAGCCAGCCTTCTCCCTTGTTTAATTCTTCTCCCATCCTTGAAGCCTAGAAATGTTTGAAATATAGAGTCTGCATTCCTTGTACATGTTTTGTTAATAAACAACATGTGAAAATTAGGGATAAAAACTTCTTAAAAGGAAGAGAAAGAAAAATAACTAGGATGACTGGCAAGATAAAAGTCTCAACACCCTGGGGGTGACCTTGGGGCAATGACATTTATCAAAAATCTACGAATTGAAAATATGAGTGGTTGGTTCAAATGGGAATGAGAGTCAGCTTTTTCTTCTCATGGCTATGTTTGCCTTCCTTGGCCCATGTGGCAGGAAAGTCAGGCAGGTTTGAGGGGCTTTGTTAGAAAGCTGCCTGCGGGTGGTTCATCGCCAGTTGTGTTTACTTCAGTGCTAAAAGGGTATATTTCCTGTTTAAATAGTGTGCAACGTTGAGGTCATGGGACCTCTATTGGAAATGTCAACAAAACCATTTCACTCACTAACATTTTAAACCCAGAAGCTGGAATAATGGAAGAAATCAATAAATCAGAAATAAACATGGAATTTTCTTCCTTTGGAGACCCTAATGACCCTGCTGTTTCAATCTCATCTGGGTTGTGAATTGAGCAGCAGTGGAAACGTTTGGGCTTTGGTAGACACACACTTCAGCTTCTCTTTTTTCCCTTATGAACATGACGATCAGACTACTACCATTATTTTTCCTCTCAAAATAATAGTATGTGTATTCTAAAACGGCATTAATCAGTTGGAAAGGTGTGATCTACTTCACATGGGTATAAAAACAGTGTAATCCAAATGTGGATACCAAAATTAACTTGCACAAATAAAAAAGTGCCAAAATCTACAACAAATTCCATACTGTGTTCTGTCTTTTGTAGAAAATAGCTATACCATTTAATATATGCCAAACAATGTGTAACAAAATTAGCTCATTTGTCTTCAAACCATTTTATAAATCTCCATTTTACTGACGGGGAAATGGGGGCTCAGAAAGATTGAGTCCTGGTCAAAGTTCATAGAGCTGATACACACGGAAGTCCAAATTCCAATCTATGCTTGTCCGATTGGACACCTGAGCACTTAGCTGCTCCCACACATTCTCCAATTAGAAGTTATATGGCTGTACTTGCTTAGGAACAAGGCTGGTTCAACTCTTATAGACAAAGTCTTACTAAAGATATTTGAATCACAGAAGCTCAGGGGTATTGAATGCTAAGATTACCATATAATGCATAGTCTTTCAAACCATGATACTTTGTTGAATGAAAGAATGAGCTAATAAAACTTTCCTAGAGAAACAGGTATAAACCAAGACTGATCAAGATCAAGGAAAGTTGGAATGTTTGTTCCTTCTGCTTATAATCTTGGCTAACTGTCTTATGGTTCATGAATTTTTTAGCATCATACTAATATTAGGAATTATAATTTCATTATATAATATATAATTATAATTTATATAATTATAATTTAAGTTTGCTATTAAAATCCAGATTTGTTTATATATATTAGTTTATTATCAGAGCTAATTCTTCAGTTAGGAATTATAATTTTCTTTTTACAGATTTACAAAGATTCAGAGGAGATAGGTTGACTTGTAAAAGGGCAATTAATTGGGAAAAATTGGGATTCAATCCTAGGTTTTAAATATTACCCTTTGTTCTTTTCTTTTGTTTTTCTTGGTTCCTAAATGCCTAGGAAAAGCTTATCAACAAATTGCTGTGAAACCTATCTTTCAATTATTTCAGTCACACAGAATTCATTAGTTCTCAAGATGGAACTTTATTAGATAATCCATTTAGAATATTGCATCATGAGGGCATAAAAAACAAATACAACCATCTTATTTCCCACTTCAAATTCTTAGAAGAGATCAAATGAAGCCAAGGTCAGCGCGATCAGCAGCCTGCTCTGACTGCCCTTCCATTCAAACAACCCTCAGAACTGACATCCATCCACGATCAGCATTAGGAATCTTCCAGTATAAAGATGGCCAGAACACCACAAATCACCAAATGTTTGAGGAAAAGTAATACCACAAAAGTATTAAACTGAACAAACTGAACAACATAAAAGAAATGTAGTCGATAGGAATAAACAGATTTCCAAATGATATCATTAGAGAGACTGAGAATCTACTGCATCCACAAAAATACATCAGCTATAGACATTGTAAATTCGTTTGATTTCCATAATAAATGCTTATTAGCAGACAAGAGCAGCATGAATGTAGCTGAGAAGAGAATTCATATGTTATAAGAATCAGTCAAGGAAGTCTCAGAATACAGAGTTAAAGCTAACAAATAATCAACAAGAAGGGACGCAAAATATGAGGAAGGCTTAATTGACTTTGTGGCTAGATTAGAAAATTTCAGTATTCACTTAAGGGTGATCCAGAAGGCTTGAACTAGGCTGGATATGAAAGGAGGAAATAATTCTTAAGACTTAAATAAGACCTAAGTATTTGATTTAAAATGACGTGCTAAGAGCCACACAACATAAATAAGGATATATTCCCTTAAACATTTTTAAGACATTTCAAAACAATAATGACAAAAGGAGAATTTGAAATGCTTTTGAGGAGCCTAAAAAATACAGGCTCAACAACCAACGTTTTTTTCTTTATTGGGAACACTTGACCCTAAAAGACAATAGGGTATCTTTTTCAAATTCCTCATTAAAAATTTTGATCCTAGAAATCCTTCCCTAACTGTTCGCTAGAGATTCTCTCAATTCAGCAGAAATATAACTCTAGTGGTTTAAAAAGAGTTTTCACTTAACAAGATGTTTCATATTAAGGCAACCCAGAGCTGATGCAACAATTTCTCAATGCCATTAATATCCAGTAAGCTCCTTCTATCCAAGGATCACTATCCTTTGGATGTGATTTTTACCTTCACAAGGCATCTAATGGCCATGGGATGACTGGCCATTCTTTCACATCTGCATTCCAAGAAGGAGGAAGAGGAAAATAATGGGACAGCAGTTGTGCCTATATTGGAAACTATATTCAATACTGTGGCTATACTGAAAGGCAAACTTTCCTAAACATGCCCAGATCTGCACCTACAACTGTCTGTGACCAGACCCATGTTATATGCCCACATTTTCAAAAAAGGCGGGGAAACCTAGCTTTTAGTAAGATGCATTTCTACCATCAACTAAGATGGAGTTACAATCACAAGGAAAACTGTCTGAGAATGGGTATTGAATAGGAATTCAGCAGGGTCTGTGCATGACTTTCCTTAGTGTAGCTCACTAATTCTTCTGTTAATGAGCACTAATTTCACATGTGCTTTTTAAAGCACCTTAACACAGACTTAGTGCATGTAAAGCTCACTGGTTTTGCATTCAAGTTTATTTTACAGATACTGACAATTAGCCATGTCTTTTCTTTATATTTTTCTTGGTGGAGAAAATGTTTTTTATCTTTCCTCAGCTACTCCATGAAAAGTCACTGAGGTCCTCAATTTGCTTGTTCAAATCTACCTTATTCCTAAGGATTTGTGCTTTTCTGCCTGCCTATGAGGCTCACAACTAAGTCACTTATTCAGATCGAGAATCTGGAAGTCTAGTCATGGTGCCAGGCTTCTAAGTCATCACATGAGTTCAATTTTGGCTAATCAGATACAGACCGTAATGCGTACTAGAAAGTTCATGGAACCATGCAGACCAAATGAATCCTGGGTGTGCTAGAGCTGTGAATTCTTGGGCATGTTACTTAATCTCATCTTTCTAACATGCAAATGGAGAATCTCATGCTTATCTTCTACTATTATTGTGAGCAATAATTAGGTAACAAATGTAAAATTACCTAGTAGAATGCCTAGCACACAGTAACAGCCAAAAAAGAGAAATAATTGCTCTTGTTGCTGTTGTTATTTTTACTGCTCACCCAGAGGTGACACCGGGTTACTTTGTGTGCAATTTTTAAGTTGCAGGTTTCAAAATTCCATCACTCTCACTGGCCCTACTTATATAAACAGGTTTTGATTTCTTTTGCATTGTGGTGTTACTATGCCAATATCCTAAGCTAGTTTTTAAGGACTGTGACCCTATCTGGAACTTCGGTGAATGGAATGAGTGCCTAACTTTCTGGCCAGCCCTTTTCTGCAGACTGTACCTACCTGTCCCCTAGGTATCCCACCACTGGCCTGGCTCTTCCTCTGCCTTGTACATAGTTCAGAAAAAGCCTGAGGGGCCATTTTTAAAAAAATAAATAGGCTTGGGTTTGCCATTCCCTCTGGAGACTGTGCTTTGATGTTTTGATGGTTTGAAGTTCATGTTTGCCTCTGGGTCGGTTACGATGTCACCACAGTTCTCAAGTTAGGTTGTGGAATCTGGACTTTCGTACTCTGCTTAATGTTGCTGTGTGATCTATCAGCATTGCATCCAAACACGCTAAGCTATGACTCACATGTTGTATACTTGTGAAATTGGATTCTTTGCTTATAAACACAGGACTTTTAATTTATCCCTGCTTAGTCAATTGCATCTATTTATGTTAAATGCCTGCAGTAGGTAGAGTATCTTATTCTTTGGCACTTCCAGCTTTGTATCCAGCCTATATTTGATAAGAATGTCCTATGCATGTACATCTAAGTTACTGATGTAAACACTTAGCAAGACAAAGCCATTGACAGTGCCCAATAGCATACCAATCAGAAGCTTTCTCCAGAGAGAGATGTATCATTTCAAAAGTACATTTACTTATATTTGTATAGGAATCAGTGTATAATAGATTCAGATTTCCATGCTTCTTTTTTCTACTATAGGAGAACAACTAAAAAACTTTAAATTTCTGGATTATGTTTTGACTTCTGTCAGTTCCAAGATACTTATGTGTTTTGGGTTTTACTAGGCCAGGTATTTAGAGAAAGTACCCAGCTCTAGATTTAATAGTAACTTCAGACCTAAATTTGCCTATTATACAATCATATTTTATTTCTTTAAATTCTAAAGTATCAATTTTACAAATAGATCTGATTTTTCAACGGAATTTTCCTAATTGTTGGAAGAAAACTTATCTGAACTTCGTACTTACCTGAATCCAAGAAATTTTGTCAACTGATAAAAATCAGTACATTAATAATTTTTATTTTATTTTATTGTGGTTAGAACATTTAACCTGAGAATGAACTTCTCAAGAAATTAAGTTTACAATACATTATTGTTGGCTACAAATACAATGTTTTATAGCATATTTCTAGAGCATATTCATTTTGCTTAACTGAAACTTGGTGCCTGTTGATTAGTAACTTCAATGTCCCCCACCCCCTGGCATCCACCATTCCACGCTTTGATTCTAGGAATTAGACTACTTTAGGTACCTTGTATAAGTGAAATGATGCACTTTTGCCTTTCTGTGACTGGCTTATTTCACTCAGCATAATATCCTTAAGGTTCATTCATGTTGTGGAACATTACAGAATTTCCATCTTTTTCAGTCTAAATAGTGCCCAATTGTAGGTATTTGTCATATTTTCTTTATCCATTCATCTGCTAATGGCCATTTTTCTCTTTTTAGCTAACCAGTTATTTTAATAGCAGATAGATATAGCTAGCTCTACTTTATATGAACATTTGGAGTGCTTTAAGTAGAATTAATTAGTTACAAACTTTATTTTGTTTAATCCTCACAAGAATTTACAATGAAGCAATTAGCTCAGTGAGGTGGAGTAATTTATCTAAAGTTGCACAACTAGTGAGAAAAAACTAAGGTTTGAACTCAGGTAGGCTGACACCAGAACAATTACAATTAATCACTTAACCATTAGTACTTTATATACAATATTTATGTTCAACTTTAGAACAGTTAAAGTGGAATTTTGTTACTTGTTTAGCTTTTCCAACATAAGAGATTTTCTCTGGAAATTCCTGGGCCAGATGTAGTGGCTTACGCCTGTAATCCCAATACTTTGGGAAACTGAGGTGAGAGGGTCCTTAATCCCAGGAGTTTGAGACCAGCCTAGGCAAGAGTGAGACCCTGTCTCTACAAAAAAAATAAGAAAAAAAAAATGTTAGCTAAGCATGGCGGCACATGTCTGTAGTTGCACCTGCCTAGGAAGTTGAGGTGGGAGAATCACTTAAGTCCGAGAGTTCAAGGCTGCAGTGAGCCATGATCACTCCACTACTAGAGGAAAAGTCCACATCAATACCTATAGCATAAAAATATAGGAGAGGTTATTCTCCTCTGAGGCCGCTGAGGTATGTCATTGCTTTTGTGTTTTGAATGACTTCAGTTTAAAGATTGAGCAAAATAGCATAGAAAGGGCTTGCTAGGATTTCAAGTCTAACTTTGTAATGAATCTGGTGCTTCGTTACATGGTGGATAGATGTAGAGATAATAGGGACGGCTGTCTTATTGCTAGGAACAATGGTTTTCTTAGCATGACTCTTTATCCCTATAAGCCATCCAGGATTATATTTCCTAGTCCTGTTGACCAAGCTGGAAGCTGTCTCTCCAGCCTCCCTCCCAGCTTCCATCCTCACAACAGCCTCATCAGAGCCTGACTCAGGATGGGGAGTTTTCCTTTCTTTCTTTGGGGTGGCAGCAGTAACAGTTGTTGCTTATGACATTGATAGTGGTAGGGGTGGAAGTTGCAGAAAAATTCATGCTCTTTGGGTGTTAAATTGCAACGGCACAAGCTTACAGCCTTAGAATTTAGGTTGGTGGCCACAGCAATGAGATGCACATTGCATTGTGCATTGTTCCTGGCTGCTAAGTTTTGAGTCTGATTTTCCAACACCCCCCAATATTTCTGTGAGGTACCCAATATTGTTTCAATAAACTAGAAACATAATGTGGGGTATTGGTTAAGAGTATAGGCCCTGGGGCTAGAATCCCTGAAAATAAATCCCTGCTCTCCACTTCTTGTGACCTGGGGTAAGTAAGTTAACCCCTGAGTGTCTCAATTTCCTTATCTGTGAAAGGGAATGATAATAGTGTGGGAATTTGATGAGTATGTAGTATTCAGAAGAGTCAATGGCAGGCAGAAAGCATTCCATAATTGTCTCTTATATTATGAGGCTAATTTTCTCATTAATCAGGCAAAGTCTGGTTCTTACAACTAGGAACTATGACTGATAATTATTAATATTTCCAGTTTTAATGAGGAAACTGAGGCTCAGAGGAATACTTAACATTATAAATGTAAAGACCTGTGGATGCAAGAAATTAAGAATAAAATTCAGATTTATCCTACCCTCAAACTAACTTCAGTCTGTTTTATTCCCTGAATTAGTATAGGATTACTTAAAATATCCTTATACCAAACAAATAGAAGTAACTTACTTCAAATGCAGTTGAATGGGGAAAGAAGATTGGAATAGAAAATTTTCTTCTAACTCTGTCAATATTACATTTAGGAGACCTCTTATCAGACTGAAATTTCAATCTCCAATAAGACCACAAGAAAAAGAAAATGTCTGTGTACATAAGATATGGCATGAACCCAATAACTTAACACTGTTTGTTAAAACTGTCTATCAGTTAATCCTATTATATAGCTATTTAGTGCCCTAGAAGCGGACATGATTACTAAAAGAGAATGTGTGTAGTTTTTCTTTAAATTTTTTTTCTCCCATCTCATTTTCTTGGCTTCAGAATTCAGTAAGCTGCAAATCTCCACTTTATTTCTGATACAAAATGTAGCAAGGTTAGCAGAAACTCTTGATATAAGGGCTTATCTTTCCCCCTTACACTCACCAGGCAGAATTTCATCTCTTTTGCTGTGGCTGCAAAATAAAATGCATGTTCCAAATGAAACAGTCAAGCATTTCACATTTGAGCTAAGCTTCTTTTGCCATAGTCAAAAGCACTTTGCACGTCGATCAATGAAATCATCAGAAATGGGCAATCATTTTCCACCTGACATGTTTTCCTTTGTACAAGCCCCACTACAAATGAATATATTTATCTTTTCTAAATGTTCCTGTAATTTCTCTAAGGCCAATGTTGATGATTTGATGGAAAACACAGGAAATTGTCTTTTATACTGTGCATTGTAATTGCACCATTTACATACTTTATGCAAAGCTAATCATTGTGCATTATATACCAAATGCTTTTTTAATTGCTTCTTTTAGAAACTGAAAATTTTTTATTCTTTTCTCTTCTAAATTCACTTTTTAGTTTTAACATAGAATATGAAAAATAGCATTTCCATTATTTTTTAATTGCATGTAACATTGAATGTTTTAAATGTATACATCTTAGTAACACTTATAATTTCTCCATTTCAGACTGTGTTATTTTTCATTTTTCCTTATGATCACCAACAAGACATACATTTTTCAAACAAAACTGATAAATTCTCAGTTTATTAAACCAAGCTAACATAAAGTATTTTAAATATTCAACTTCTTGAAAAGCAATTGTAAAATACATGTGTGCAGTAATATCTGGTTAAGTAATATTCTGGTAGTAGAGTTCATCGTCTTTTTCTTGTCCTTGAAGAATAAGACTTTGCTATTTGTAGTATGTTTAAAAATATATAAAGGGCTTTGACATTGATTTTCTTAATTCCAACAACAACTATATAAGCTGTATAGAGAGGATTTTGTTACATTATCATTTGAGAACATGATGACTAGAGAGGTTAAGTTGCACTGCACTATTCCCTAAGGGTGTGAAAAAAGCGCAATAAATGTCAAAGCTGGGATTTGAATCCATTATTCTAAAGTCTCCATTCAGTGTCCTTCCTACTACAGCAGTTTTTTTTATTCTCTCACTGAGTTCATGTGACAGTTTGAAGTGAAATCAGTTGCTTTATCTCAAGGATCCTGCTCTGGCTGCCAACCTTTCTGCAGAATATACAATGCTATGTTTCTAGGTTCACCTGGAGCAAACCTATCTTAGCCTTCCTTGAGCTGAATGTATGTTTTACTTTCCAGCCTCTCTCTCTGTAAGGCCTGAGGGAATACAGTGTGCATAACACAGTGCTGGCACCAAGTAGATATCCAATATCTGTTTGTTAAATGAATGAGTGATGTCTGGGCATGCTTGTAATCTTGTGGAAAGAACACTCAAACCAGAATCAAAATGTTTGACACGACACTATCTGTGGTCACAGGTTTAAGTGACCCTTTTGAGCTCTGTGTCACCGCAAAAACTGATATATTATTAAAAGGTGACATTTTATAAATAGGCTTATTGGTCTTGGCACTGTTTTTGAGTTAAAATAAAAAACAGAAACAAGAACAACAGCAGTACCCTTTCCTTCTTAACTTTTCGATGAGCAATACAATCTTTTGCCGTAGTTTAAGAAAAGTCTACATGAATACCTTTAGCATAAAAATATAAGAGAGGTTATTCTCCTCTGAGGACACTGAGGTATGTCATTGCTTTTGTGTTTTGAATGACTTCAGTATAAAGATTGAGCACAATAGCATATAAACGGCTTGCCAGGATTTCAAGTCTAACTTTGTAATGAATCTGATGCTTCGTTATATGGTAGATAGATGTAGAGATAATAGGGACAGCTTTCTTATTCCTAGGAACAATGGTTTTCTTAGCATGACTCTTTATCCCTGTAAGCCATTCAGGATTATATTTCCTAGTCCTGTTTCCCTTCTGGCTGAAAGTGACATATATGAAATACCAAATTTTCATTTATGTTTGCATTATCCCTTCACTAAATCTTCAGAAACTTTTTTTTCATAATAGTTTAAGTCCACATTAACACCTGTAGCATAAAAAGCCTTTTTCAGAAAAAAAAAACAACACAAAAAACGTAGATTTAGACATGATTTTCCTCTTTAAGGAATAAAGTATTTGTAATCAACAAATTAACTCAATGGCTAGAGTTTAATGACAGCTAAGAATAAAATGACAAGGAACCTCAAATAATATTTAGAACTCATATATGTCTATTATGAGGCACACATTTAGACCAATTCTGCTTATTTGAAAATGTATTTTAAATGATTACATACAATTATGAAATGATAGCTAGGTGTATAGTATGAAAATTAGTAATTCTTATTTATATTTATTATTATTATTTTTAAAAATTAGAGACATGATCTCCCTATGTTGCCCAGGTTGGCCTCAAACTCCTGGGCTCAAGCGATCCTCCCACCTAGGCCTCCCAAAGTGCTAGGATTACAGGTGTGAGCCACCACGGTTGGCTGGTGATTTTTTAATATAATGATTCTGTTAATATATGAAACTCTCTGAGATTCCAGTTTTCTCATCTATAACATAAAATTTTAAGCTAGATGATTTGTTTAGTTCTTTCAGACTCCAAACTACAATGATTTATCTCTCTTCCAAAAAATGCAAAGTTATTTTACAACAATAATATTTTATAAAGTTATTTTCTTCTCTGGTTTCTTACATAATTCCATGAGAATGTCTTATGGACTCTTGAAAACTTCATGAAGGCTGTCATTCATGTAATAATCAAGTACTAATAGCGCATTAATTATGTAGAAGACACCATACGCTACAAAATACCCAAGGAAAAATAAATCGTTCATACCTTTAAGGAGCATACATTCTAATCTGACAGACAATAAATACAGGAAAAGTTAAATATGTAATCATTATCTAAATGGTGTCATAAGGAAGTTAACAAATCTGATGTAATTGTAAGTGCAACAGGAGCTGAGTTCATAAGAAAATGAGCCATTTGGGGTTGAACTACGGACCCAATAGTTCTCATGAAAAAGGAGATTTGATCTGTGTCTTGAAGAATGGGAAGAACTGAATAGGTAAAGAGAAGAGCCATGACAATCATAGATAGCTACTAGCTGTAGAGCTTTTACAGTGTGATGGGTGTTTTTACATGGGAATGTGACGAGATGTTATAACAAATATTTTTATTCCTATTTCAAATGAGGAAAGCAGAGGTATCAGAACTGAAGCTCATATTCTGGTCTCTGTTCTCCAGTCTTCCACTCTTACCTTTACTTTAAACAGAAGCCTGAATATGTATCATTTCTTAATTTTATTATTATGATTTTTTGGAAGAGATTGTAGGATTAATTAGTATCTTAATTGCAAACTTTCATTCCACATTATCTTTTTCATATAGATTCCTGTGGTATTACTATTCTTATTTAACAGAAGAAGAAGCTGAGGCAAAAGCAATTCTACATAGAAATCCAAATCATGAATGTGGAAAACTGTAAGACATTAGGCTGTGAATTTTGTCTTAAACAGTTTACAGGAAAAAAGACATCCAGAAAGGTTGATTGTACAGCTTCTCTTTCACATATAGTCAGCTTGTATCCTTTAGACCCTAAAGAGTTCATAAACCTTTATGCATCTCTAATATACATGCAAGCCCTAATGTACCTAACTAGGAACTCTAATTATCATTATTATTTAGAAATCAGTAAGTGGTTTTTAAGTGCTGGCCTTGTGCCAGGTGTCAAGCCCATTGTCCCCTCATAATTAAGAATAAGCAACAGTTGAATATTTTTTATAACTACTTACCCAAATGTGCTATAATTACTAGGAAATTTCAGTTCTAAATATCAGCTCTGTTGTAGGTAGAAAAAAAATCTTTAAATAATAGACAATTCTCTCTTAACATCATGTAGGAAATTCTAAAGGTCAAATTGCTAGCTGAATGTCTGCCTTCCTCCTGGAAAACAAAGTGTGGGCTCTGGAGGATGTGTTAGTAGCCATTGTGTACATTTACAGAAAATGACAGGAAAGGAATTTTATGCAATCAATAGTTGGACTCCTTGAAAACTCTAATCAGGGACTAATGAAAGTCCTAGGCCTTCTCTCAATCAAAAGAAACAAGGGAAGTGTCATTTTGACATCAAGAACTATCTTCTACAGCCTTGAAGTAGTTTTCTTAATAAGAACACAAAGCAGGAAATACAGAGGAGGTTGGGGAGCTGGGAAACAAAATTTCTGCAGTAGCATGTGATCCATTTTAACCCTTATTTCCCTGATACTAAAAATTTCATAATGTACTTTTGTAATTTCACACTGAAGAATTAGTTCGTAGTATAAATTTCTTTCTAAAATAAACAATTTCTTTTTCTAATGAAAACATTTTGTTTAGGTCTACATATCAATGAAAGCTTTTTTCATGTATTTAATCAAATGATTCAAAAAGGGTCCATCATAAGGTGGACCAGCTAATGTGAAAGGCTCCTGTGTCCAAGGATCTTTTTAATACTCCATTTTTTTTTAGCAGCACAGAATTTAGTATATAGCACCTCCACTTTAATACTTAATAGTCAAAAATAAGTATGAAAATTAGTATGAAATTTGTACAGTGTTTCCTTTTGTGAAATTGTATCAGACTCACTGGGGGTAGTACTTACATACTTATCCTAGCTTGAAAAGATACCTGTTCATAAAGGAACCTTTTACACTGGGTATTCCATCTCCCTTTGCAAAATGTATTTGAGTGTGAATAGGAACTTTCAAACAATCTAAATAGATTTTTCCTTCCATATGCCTCAGGAATGCTGCAGGAACTATTTGTCTATGGCAGTAGTTCTTAAACATGCTGGTCTCAGGACCCTTTGCACTTTTAAAAATTACTGAGGATCCTCAGATAATTTTGTTTATGTGGATTATATCTATCAATATTTAATTAAAACAGAAATAGTAATTTAAAAATAACAATAACAAATCCTCTCCATGTGAACATAAATAATATACTTTTGTGGAAAATATATTTTCCAAAACAAACCAGAAAACTTGGCAAGAATAGTGACATGGTTTTACATGTTTACAAATCCTTTTAAATGTCTGTATTAACAGAGGACAACTGGTTTCTTACATCTGCTTCTGCATTGGATCTATTGAGATACATTATTTGGGTTGAAATATATAAAGAAAATACAGGCTCACATAAATTTTTAGTTGGAAAAGGGAGGTAATATTTTAAGTCTTTTCAGATATTTCATGTATTCTTCCTTGATACTTCATCAAAATTTGACAAGCAGTAGTTTCTTAAGGTTTAGTTGCACTATGAAATCTGTAAACATATCAATCAATATTTTGAACTCTATTAAATTAAAATCCATTGGTTTAACTTGTGCTTTGAATAGATATTTTATCAGGCATGATTTTGTAAAATCATTCATTGGTCATACAGAAAAGTCACTAACTTACAGTACCACCTCATGTTGACACCTTTCATTATACAGTATCTTTAAAAATTATTAATATTATCATGGTTTCATTCAAAAAATCTTTAGGTATTAGAAGCTGTGGAGCTCATAGTAGTGATACAAGATTTCTAAAATTCTAATTTTTACTTGCTAGCTTGAATTTTATCACTAGCAACAAATACTGTCAGTTGTTTTCTTTGAGGTGACAGGTCATTTTATTTATTTTTGAGAAAATATTGGCCAGATACAGATATACAACTCTAAATAACCCCAATTTGTCTGCTTGTCATTCATTTAAGAGAAAATGGTGCTCCATGAAAAAAAATCTAGATTAGTTTGCAGTTGAAGAAATTACGTTAGTACTTTTACTTGTACAATAATTTCTGTGTGTGCACCCAACAGAAGTGCTCTATGCATACTCCAATTTTATCACATAAAGGTTAAAATATCAAATGTTCTCAAGGACGAATATTGAATAAAATCAATCCTACTTGCTGTTTCATCAGACATCCTTGAGTGAAGCTGGCAATTTTTATAAATCTGATTGTGTGCTGAAGAAGACTGCAATAAGTATAGTACGAATTGGTGTCACTTCCCTGATTCATTGTAAGGCTCAGCAGTTTCACACACCATTGCTTTTTGCATCATCACTGCAAATGTCAACACAATGAAATAGAAAAATAATGCCATTATATCATTATGAAAATAGATTTAAACTCACAGACCTCTTGAAAGTGTCTTAGGAGCTCCCAGGAGTACACAGATGGTACTTTGAGACTGCTGATCTATAACGTGAAAATATTATAACCTCAAACCCTATCATTCAAAGTTCATTAGTGTATGAATTATATGTGTTAGAAGATTTCTATTTGTAAATATATATAGATACACAATACATGAAAAATAGCTCATAAAATTTTATGGAGGTTGAAAATTTTATGAGACTAAATACAGCTAGGTTTTATTAAAGTTTAAAATATTTCTATTTATTATTTTATTAAGATATTTTAAATTTACAGTTAATACTCCCTGAATTTTTTTTCTTCAGGTTATGAAAAATACAAAGTAAAAAAGTGTTTTCTAAGACATCCCTGGTTGTTCACACCAGAGAGTTAAATAAAATATTATTATTCACCCCTAATGAAACATAAGTGCTTTAGATACTAACTTAATATCCAGAAGTTAGACCACTCCATATTAATAATATTATATTTACTTTCCAGTTATAAATGAGAACTAGTTTTATAATTTCATTTTAATTAGTTCACTTAATGATATTTTGGGTCCCTGAACTGAGTGGTCAGTGTACAAAGATAAGGTACAACTTCTGCCCTTAAGGTGTTTATTGCAATACAGTGTTGGGTATACTCTAAGGTGGTAGATACTATAATAAAACAAAAATGCAAGGAACTGTGGAATTACAGATGCAGAGGGAGTAGCAACTCCACACGGGAAAACAGAGAGAGCCACATAGAGAAGGAGAAACTTAATATTGATTTTTGAAGACAAGTACTTAAAATAATAATTACCACTTCACTTATTATGTGATGGATGCTGTTCCAAGCAGTCTGCACTTATTCACTCAGTCCTTATACAGGTTGAGTATCTGAAAAGCTTGGGGCCAGAAATGTTTCCAATTTCAGATTTTTTCAGATTTTGGAATATTTGCATACACATAATGAGATATCTTGGGAATGGGACCCAAATGTAAACACAAAATTCATTTATGTTTCATATGTACTTTATACACATAGCTCAAATATGATTTTATAAAATACTTTTAATGATTTTGTACATGAACACAGTTTGTGTTAAGTGCTTTTGTGTGGAATTTTCCACTTGTGCCATCATGTCAGAGCTCAAAGGTTTGGATCTTAAAGCATGCCAAATTTTGGGTTTTTGGGTAAGGGATGCTCAACGTGTAATAACCCAATATGATTAGTACAATTATTATCCCAGTTTTACAGGTGTTGAATCTGAGTCACAAGTGATTAAATGGAAACCTATTCATGGTAAAACAGCTAGCAAGTATTGTATTCTTATTTGAACCCAAGCAGTCCAGCTTTAGAGTTTGTGCTTTTAATAATTGTATTGTTCTAGAGTCTAAAACTACATTGAGTCTAAAATTAACCTAAAAATTACTCAATAACTATTCTGGGATCTATATGTTGTACACTAACATCCCGTGTGTGCACAGAAGGAAAAGACATGCTGGGTGAGAAATGACGTAGTCTGGTGAGAATTCACGATATTCTGCTCTGGTTCCACTATGACACAGAAAGCAAAGTCTTCTTCTTGGAAGAAAAGACAGATAAGGAGATGTGAATGTTGGACTTCAGTAGATATTTAAAGAGTTATAATAGTCACAGTAGTGTATGCAGAAAGGAAATAACTACCCATAAATACAACTAAAATTTAAGATCTTATATATTTAGTGACCCAGGTCCACATTGTTACTGATTTTTTTCCACAGATCTCAGAAACTGAGAAAATATGGATTGTCCCAGGGTTAATAATAAAATAGGAATCATAGATATTTTCAAAGAAGTGCCTAAAATCATGGACTCAGGTTTAGGCAGAATAGAAAAAGTCCTGACAGAGAAAATGCTGAGCTCTGTTATTTTACTTTTGACTTCTCTAACTATGAAAAGGACGTTCAGTCTGGAAATGGCAGAGAAACATTGATCAAACAAATATTGAAGTCCAAGGTAAATGGAACTATTGTTATGAGTGCATAGAGTTTCCAAGTGAATGCATGTTGTCTGTTCCAGAAAAGAGATGAGAATAAGTTTCCTATCTGAAGTCTGACTGCCTGGGTTCAAATGATCATTTTTGTGATAGTGAGTAAATTGTTTAAACTCTAAGCTTTCCTATACACAAAATGAGAATGATAGCTGTAACTTATGTCTGAGTGTTATAATAAGGATTAGCTGATTAAACCATGACACGTACAGATTAGTTCTTGGCATAGAGTAAGGACTTAATAAGTGTCCGCTCTTACCACTAATATTGATGTTATTATCATCATAGACTAAAGGAATAAAGATGAAGAGTTGTCAGATGAAGAATTCACTATACGATAGCTTTTGTTTAAGACAGTCAATCAGAGTCTGACTACTTCAAAAATAGCTTAAGTACATTACCCTGGAAAAAAGAAAAAATTGTAAAGTAGAATTTCTGGTATCTAGGATCTTAGAAGCAGAGGAGGAATGTATTTCTTTGTCATCTCTCTGAGTTAGTCCCAGTAAATTTGAATCTTAAGTATAAATTGTTGGTTGTATCCCTAAATAAAAATACAGCGCTTATATTTCTGTAATTCTTCAAAGTGTATGAAATTTTTTCCCTAGTATAAAAATAAAAAAGCGCAATGAGTAGGTACTAAGCCCGGTAAGACTGCCAAAGCAAACTAATGCAAGCTTTCTGGAATCTGTCCTACAATCGCCAAACATGTCTTATATCCTCACAAGTTTAACTGACTAATCCTTCCTTATCCTGGCCTTAACTAAAACCTGGCTCTTCTCAGATTTGTCGGAATCCGTTACTTGCGCCCCCCGAACAACTATGAATACATGTATCAATTTGCGGTCAAATAATGCTTATGATTAATTATCCGAGTCTCATAGTATCAATGAAATAGACAAGGATTCTTGATCTATTTGACTGAGTTTTTAAAAATGTTGTGGAAAATAGGTAATGTCCATAATTACATGGTGGCTAAAACAGAAGAAAGTTGGTTGAAGGTGAGTAATACCAATAAAACAGCTACCCTAACACAGTGAAACCCCGTCTCTACTAAAAATACAAAAAATTAGCCGGGCGAGGCAGCGGGCGCCTGTAGTCCCAGCTACTCCGGAGGCTGAGGCAGGAGAATGGCGTGAACCCTGGGGGGCGGAGCCTGCAGTGAGCCGAGATCGCGCCACTGCACTCCAGCCTGGGCGACAGGGAGACTCCGTCTCAAAAACAAACAAACAAACAAAAAAAACAGCTACCATGTACCAGGTATTGTTTTAAGTGATTCACATACAACTGCTACTATTAGTAAGTAGGTACTACTGATATTTCTTACCTTAAGAATTAGAGAGCTGAGTCCGAGAAAGATTGCATAATGACCTAAGGTTTTAGAGGAAGGAAAATGTCAGGATTATAAAATATGATTATAATTATACACCTTATGGATAATCTTTCTGTAGTACAAATTTCTGCTACTATAATGGGATCCAGACTATAATAGATTTTTTGTTTTTACATTAAATTATGCATGATCTAGAAATTCAAACAGAAATTAATAGTTCCTATATTGTAATGGCTTCACAGTACCCCAAAACAGAAATGTCACTGCTTTTTACTCTTGGCAGACTTCTTGTCATCAAGAACTTAGAATTTCTTTTGTTTGGTTTAAATCATCAGGGTATGATCCATGCGGGTTCTTCAAGACATGCTCAGCTACTAAAACCTATCAGTCTGCAGACTGTTTCCAAGAAGATATTTTACAGGTAAATGTAAAACCTCATCGCTTTGTCAATCTTATGAACTCTTGCAGAATTCTGTTTTACACAGCCCTCTCACCTGACTGACTTTTCTACTTAATCCTTGCTGGAACAGAGTTGAGCCATCACTCAGTCAGAGATAACACTGCACTTCTAGCAGCCTCCCAGACCCTAATCTAATTTTCTGTCACCCTTTGAATCTCTAATAGGACTATTTTATTAGGCATCTCTCTTTCAAACTTTTGACTCAGTCTGGACAGACTCTCTTCAGGAGCTGCTCTTGATTTTCAAATTTTTGCTGACATTGTAATGGTTATAAAAAAGAAGCCTCTTACTATGTACTACAGTGCTTTAACCTTAATAAAAACAGACTGATTTCTGAAATCTAGGTTTCCATTTCAATATACCATCCTCCAGAAAATGGAGTTGCCAGTAAAACTAGATAAGCTAAATATCTTTGGTCATATGTAGACAGTGTTCATGTCGAGCAAGCTTTCTCGCCCTCTGTTTTTTATGTAAATACAATATTTAAATAGTCATTAAATTTTCTTAATGTGGGGAGGTAAGCCTATGACTGTGGTAGGAGTTTCTCAGGAACATCTAGACTTTAAGCAAAGCAGTTGATGTAAATAAATCAATTTTCAAACTTATGCAATATTTATTATGCCTAAAATCTGATCATTTATGGGGAAATTATTGGCTCATGTATTATCTCTTTTCTTTTAAATCATAGTGAGGAACTTTTTATTTCCATTTCTTGATCTTTGCCCTGTATTAGTTAATATGATAAGATTATTGGGGAATTCAATGATAGTATTAAGTAGTGACTAAAATATTGCACATATGAAAACCTAGGATTAAAGTTTAGATATGCTGTCCTCCAGTTTAGTTAAAGCTATTTTCTCACCTCTGCCCTTTTACAAGGCATACATTACTGTTACATGTGAAGGTTCTATAGGATAGTAGACTGGGAGCCCAAGAGTCAATTAAAATAATCTGAAATTGGATACCAGGAGTGTGAAATCTGGAAAAACTGCAGTTAAAAATTTTTCTGTTTCTTTGTTTTTTGAATAAAATTAAATTTGAAGCTAGAAAATATAATTACTATCAACAGTTAATACACAGCAAATTAGAAAATGTTACAAGAAGAGTTAGCACACGAGCAGTGTGAAATAATTATTTCTAGGGCCATCTGTAAACCTAAGAATTCAGGCATTCATAAAAGGAAACAATAATGAATTGAACTTCATCACAATTAAGAATTTTGTTCTTCGAAAGACCTTGTTAAGACAATGATAAAGAAAAGCCACAGGCTGAAAGAAAATAGATGTCAATCAATATTTCTGATGAAGTATTTATATCCAGAATATATACAGAACTCTCAAATCTCAATAATAACAAAAAATTGTATAAAAATGAGCATAACATCTGAAAGGCACTTTACCAGATAATTTATGTCAATGGCAAATAACCATATGAAATAATGTTCAACGTTATCAGTCATTAGGGAAATGCAGATAAAAGCCACAATGACAAATGATTGTACACCTATGAAAACTACTTTTAAAAATGAAGAGAAAGAAAGACATTGACATTACTAAGTGTACTGGGAAAAATGAAGAGCATTGCATTGCTTTTTGGGATGCAAAAGTTTAGCTAAGAGTTTGCCACTTTTAGCAAGGAGTTGCACAGTTTCTTTTAAAGTTAAACATGCCATTATCATATTACCTAGTAATTCTATTCTTGAATATTTACAGTACAGTCAAAACTTATGTTCACATGAAAATCTGTATGTGAATGTTATAGCAGTTTTATTTGTAATTGCCCAAAGTGAGAACATCCTAAATATCCTTCAACTGGTGAATGAATAAACTGTGCTGCATCCATATAATGTGACACTGCTCAGCAGTAAAAAAGAACAAACTATTAATACTTGAAACAATACGGATGGATCCCAAATGCATTATACGAAAGAAAGAAGCCAGACTCAAAAGGCCACGTGTTATATAATTACATCTACACGACATTCTGGGAAAGGCAAAGCTATGTAGACATAAAAAGGATCAGTGGGTAAAGAAGCAAGAGGGAATTTATGGAGTGAATAGAATTTTTAATATCTTGATTTTAGTGATGAATGCATGGCTGTATGTGATTATTAAAAATCAGGGAACTGTATGCTAAAAAAGGGTAAATTTTGTTGTATATAAATTACACCTCAATTTTAAAAAACAGAAGAAACCTGAGTCACAATTACCACACTCTAATGCAGAGAACAATCTAAACAAATCTAATAGTACTTTTTAAAAATTATCAAAATCTATTGTTCCATGGTCTTCTGTTATATAAAACTAGAAAACGTAGAAAACTAGTTTAGAGGCCGGGCGCAGTGGCTCACGCCTGTAATCCTAGCACTTTGGGAGGCTGAGGCGGGCGGATCACGAGGTCAGGAGATTGAGACCATCCTGGCTAACACGGTGAAACCCTGTTTCTACTAAAAAACACAACAAATTAGCCGGGCGTGGTGGCGGGCGCCTGCAGTCCCAGCTACTCTGGAGGCTGAGGCAGGAGAATGGTGTGAACCCGGGAGGTGGAGCTTGCAATGAGCCGAGATCGCGCCACTGCACTCCAGCCTGGGCGACAGAGTGAGACTCCGTCTCAAAAAAAAAAAAAAAAAAAGGAAAAGTAGTTTAGAAAACTAAACTAAAACCTTGGTCCGTTTTAAGGTTCTGGGATAAAAGCTGTTCACCTGCCTTAAACACCATGAATAAAATTGTAAATACAATAATAAATATTAAATTAACTTCTGATCAAACATAACTTTTTCAGAAAAACAACTGTTTTCAAAGATTTACCTTTAAAGGTAAGTGTTCCTTGACTGGAAGTATTTACAGTGAGGTCAGATGACTCCCAGTTGGAATCCTTTTCAGCAACCTATAATCTTGTACTAGCATGTAAGTTCCCCTCCATACTTTTTCAAAATGGTCCAAGCAAATGTTTATATCAGTCTGATGTTCAAAGAGTTTAATTAGAAGTAAAAAACGTAAGTTGGCCTATACCAATGAAATCTGCATTCTTTATTGTGCTGCTTATTATTCCACTGTGTTATAAAAAGATCATAAAATAAGACTGCTATAATTTCTTTTTTAAAAATGAGAATATAGGCATACAGAACTTCAATTGTAGGGGGAGACAATGGAGAAATTAAAAGAAAATTTTAGATTAAACCTTCACCAAATCTTTACATCTCTTTTCTATCTGGCACAAAAGTAGTTTTAACCACTATTTTCATTTTTAACTTTTTTTTAATCAAGTATTCTGGTGTTGTACAGATACAATATAATTCAAAAAATAACAGGACATTTTAGATAAGACAGGGATGCTTACTGCGACTCCACTTATCTGTATAATCAAGATAAATTTCTCATAAAGACAGGTTGAGAAATTATGCTATAGAAACAGGAAATTGGTTTATAACCTTTGTTTATTCTTTATTTATAATAAAAAAACAAAAATATATAAGGTATGAGTCACAGGTTTATCCATTATCCATTAAAAATTGGAACAATTATGTGAAAGGTACTGGTTGAATAGCCATAAGAAAGCTGAGCCTGACAGCTCTTTATTTAGGAACAAATAGATATTTTATGATTTACAAGAGAAATCTCTTTCTCTCTCTGTCTCTCTCTCTCTCTCTCTCTCACACACACACACACACACACACACAAACACACACTCCTTACATACAACTTTTTAAAGTTAAATTATGATTATAATAAAGTACATTGAATTTTTCTTTCAATGTTTGTTTCCAGATTTGAAGTAGCACAAAATAACATCTATGCTTAGGCCTGCTAGCTTTAGAAGGAAAAAAGGTTCATTCACAAGACATATATTTCAGAAAGACAGAATAAACAGGGCCTATAAGTACATGGGCAGTGATAGATATTGGAGCTGCATAGGAGCTGGGACACTACCAAGAATGCATGAAAAACCTTGTGTGATTTATCTGTCAGTTAGAGAAATAGTGTATCATTGCTAGTTTGAATGTTCACCCCCTACAAATCTCATGTTGAAATTTAATCCTCATTGTGACAGTGTTGAGAAGTGGGGTGTAGTGGGAGGTGTTTGTGTCATGGGTGCAGATCCTACATGAATAGATTTATGCCCTCCCTGGACGAGGGGGTGAGTGAATTATGAATATTTTAGTTCCTATGGGAGTTGGTTGTTTAAAAATAATAATAAAAAAAGCCTGGCACTTCCCTCTCTCTCTTGCTTCCTCTCTTACCATGTGATCTCTGCACAGCTCCCCTTTTCCTTTCACCATTTGTGGAAGCAGCCTGAAGCTTTCACCAGTGCCCTATCTTCTTCATAAATTACCCAGCCTCAGTTATTCATTTATAGCAACACTAAATGAACTAAGACAACCATCTAGCCAGAGACTTCAAATAACCAAGTAGAATTAAGCAAAACAACTGAAACCATGTACTACAAACATGGTAGTAAAGCTAGTTTAAACCTTTATGTGTATATATACACACACAGTGTGTGTGTGTGTATATATATATATATATATAATATATATATGCCTAAAATATCTCACTGCTGATAGTTTTTCTTCAACAGCCAATTAACAACTTGTTAAAAAAATCAGAATAAAGTAGTTTTGTTTTAATCTGAAGGGATTTCTAGCTTTTTTCTATCAATTTTTAAAACAATATAAGAAAAATAAAAGTATCCTATCATTCTTGTTACTGTACCAGCCCCTATGCAACTCCATTATCTATCACTGCCTAAAGAATGACAGGTTATATGGAAAATAACCTGAATGGGATAGGGATTGGCATTTATTTGTTTTTTGCTTTCTCCGAAGCAAATCCTATAAGCAATAGATTATTAATAAGAGAATTTGCATGGTCATTGGTACCAAGAAATTTTTGGGTTTCATTGGTCACCAGGCATGTATTCCTCTCAGAAGCAGAATTATTCCTATAATTTTATCTTTTTTTCCCTTGATCAACTGCATATTTTCAGTCTTTCTTGTAATTTCCACTGCAATAAAGATAGAAGAAATTGAGAGGCTATTCTTTCTGATCCACAACAGTGAGGATTTAGTATTTCAAAAGCCCAGAGGCATTTGCCAACACTCTTGGATACCTAACGGAGATAGTAATCTTTTTATTTTTTGGCTGAAATTATATTTACTGAGTGAGGGTGGTTGTCATAATGATAGAAGACTAGATTGATAGTAAAAAGATTTGTCTTTGAAAAAGAAAAATGAGGAAACAAAGTTTAATCAAATAAGGCATTTTATTAGGTAGACCAGATTCTTCAACATATGGAGTACATGTGGGAAAACATAATAATAAAAAGGTCATTGATGGTAAAAAGTTTGGGAACTATATACTAAACTGTCTTCTCTTCCCAAATGTTGAGAATGTTTTTAATGTTGAATGGGGGGAGTTAAGAAAGAAAATGTCAAAAATCTCCATCTTCTTTATTTCAACAGGTTTATATAAAACTGTAGCCTGTAGGAATTATTTGTAAAAATGTGTATTAAATTGTTAAATAAAATGTGGCAAAGTTAGCAAAGGGCTTAATTGTTCTAACTATTTTCAAAGCTTTTGGGTAAAAATTGGGTGGTTCAATTGTATGTATGGTATGCATTGTGCCATTTTGTAAGATTCACATAGGTCAGGAATGTCGTTAATCAACTTACCTAAAATGCTTATTTTAAATGCAAATATAAGAGCATTTAACTCAGATACAGAATTACTGAAATTATACAACTTGTATTTAGTAGCTCATACATGCATATGTATTTTGTTTTTACCAGGAGAGTACAAATGCTGCACAAAACTTACTGTTTTTATTTCATTTCTTGATATGTGCATATTCTACATATTCTATCAACACTCTTGACCTTTGGCTTACTAACGAATAAAAATAGATTTAAAAAAAATGGAACTATGGGCTGCCTATGTTTCTCTTTCCTTCTAAGTCACATTTTCAAGGCAGTGTTGGCTAACACAATGAAGTAACAGGAATAAAAAAGAATATAAGATTTCTTGGTTGATTGTGTTTCTTGGTATGTCATTGTCTGCTTTCTGTATTTCAAGCAAATTAAAACTTTTTATATTTTAGTTAGTCTTTTCATATTTTCCATTTATCTTTTCAATACATTTAATTTTTTCTACCTCCTTAACCATATGGAATATAATCATAATAACTGTTTTAACCTACTTGTCTACTTTTTCTATCATTTGCATCATTTCTGAGTCATTTTTTGTTAGACTTTCTGTTCTTTATAGGTTATATTTCCCTGATTCTTTGCATGCTGGGTAATTTTTATATTAAATACCAGATACTGTGAATTTCATTTGTTTTGGCTCTATAATATTTTTGTATTCTTATGAATATTTTTGTATTTCTTGAGCTTTGTGCTAGATCACATGTGTTTTAAAAGTTGGATCCCTTTGAGCCTTGCTTTTAAGCTCTATTAGGCAGGACAAGAGCTGCATTTATTTTAAGGTTTTCCTACTACTGAGCCAAGACCCTTCTTTGTACTCTTAATGGATACCTGTGAATTTTAAGGCATTTTTATTCTAGCTGTCAGGAGAAATCACTATTCTTGGTCCTGTTTGAGCTATGGCTACTTTTCCTGAAAATTATTTTGGGTGGCTCTTTGTTTGGCCTCAGATAGTTTTCTCACCTGCATGGGTTGATGACTATTAAACTGAATACTCAAGGGGGACCCTCTGCAGATCTCTGAGGTTTTCTCTTCATGTCCTCTCTCTTGTCTGGTATTCTATAAACTCTAGGCACATGGAAATTCCTACTTATCTCTACTGGCTTTTCCCTCTCTACCCTATGGCTTGGAAACTTTCTCTAGGCAGTAAGCTGGGACAGTAATAGGACTTACGTCATTTGTGTTCCAACTCTGAAATATCACTGCCCTTCTTTTATAATATCTAATGTCTTAAGTACTGTTGTTTCATATGTGTTGTCTGGTATTTTAGTTACCTCAAGCAGAAGGGTAAATCAAATCCCTGCTACTCCATCTTAATTGGAAGCAGAAGTAAGGCAATCTTGACTCTAATCTATAGATCAATTTTTGTTGTTTCTTAATTTTCTAATAAATATATATGAGAATTTGAAATTATATTTATCATGTCTTAAGCTTGCCAGAATTAACTGGCATGTACATTATAAAATTTTATGATTATTATTTCCACTCTTGTGGAAATAATAGTCTTGTTCTTACTTGTTGAAAGTCCCCTAAAGTCTTATTATTCAGAATGGTAGGCTGACTAAAAGCATTGGTATCACTAGAGAGTGCATTTGAATTTCAGAGGTAAGGCAGAATCTCAGGCTCCACCCAGACCTACTGTCTTAGTCAGTTTGTGCTGCTATATCAAAATACCACAGACTGAGTACATTATAAAAACTAGAACTTTTTTTTTTCATGGTTCTGGAGGCTGGGAAGTCCAAGATCAAGGATGTGGCAGAATGGGTGTCTAGTGAAGGCTGTTCTCGGCTTCCAAAATGGCAACTTGTTGCTGCATTCTCCAGAAGGTAGAAACATTGTGTCGTTCTGTCACCCAGGCTGGAGTGCTGTGGCAGGATCTCGGCTCACTGCAAGCTCCACCTCCCAGGTTCAAGTCATTCTCCTGCCTCAGCCTCCTGAGTAGCTGGGACTACAGGCGCCCGCCACCATGCCTGGCTAATTTTTTGTATTTTTTAGTAGAGACAGGGTTTCACCGTGTTAGTCAGGATGGTCTTGATCTCCTGACCTCGTGATCTGCCCACCTCGGCCTCCCAAAGTGCTGGGATTACAGGCGTGAGCCACCACACCTGGCCAATTAAGTGTTTTTATAATCAGTTAATCTAATTCATGAGGGTGGGACCCTTATAACTCAATTATCTCCTGATGGCCATAGCTCTTAATGTTGCTGCACTAGAGATTTAGTTTCAACATAAATTTCAAAGAGGGCAAAACATTTGAATCATTGCACCTACTGAATAAAAATCTTCATTTCAACAAATCCCCAAGTTAAACATGTAAATTTTAAAAAGCAGTGCACTATGAGGCACCTGTTAAGAAGGAACCTCCATCTCATTTTTAGTTTCCTAGTGGGAAATCTTAGTCAAGGTTAAGGATCTTAACCTTGTTTGTACATCAGGACATTCCTCTTGGTAATATAGCCATTATGCATTTGCATCCCTGCTCTGTCAATTTCTAGATGTGTGAATTTGGATATGATAGTTTTTAGTCTGTTTTTTCATCCACAAAGTAGAACTAATGCCACCTACTTTATAGGAATGTTTTAAAAGTAAAATTAAATATTACATTTAGTATCTGGTACATGATAACTTCTAAACAAATGGTAATTATGAATATTATTGGATTATTAGGCTGTAAGTTTCTGGAAGGAGAGAGTCATATCAAGTTTCTTTGCATTCCCCTCAAACCTAAAAGAGTAGATACTTAATAAAGGTTGGCTGATTGATTGATTGCAATGACATTTGAGTAATTCTCCAGGTAATTAAGAAATGAAATTGAAGTTAATAAACTACCTCAAATGAGTAGATTATATGACTCATTGAGCAGTCATAATCATTGAAGGAGAAAATAGACCCTCTCTACTTCATTCATGTTTAAGAGCAGAGTATGCTAAACCCATTGATTTTCAATGTTCATCAAGAGAATTTCACATAAAGTTAGTTTCACCTACTTCTTATTCCATCTTAATCAACAAAGATACTGCCTTACTAAGATATCTTTATTACATACTCCTGCCAAGGTCTAATTGAAGGTGCAATGGTCCCCATTGTAGTGCTGCAATGCACTTTAATTATATTCTTCAAAATGATATTTTTTGGAGAGATAACAACTCAAATAAGGAAAAAAGGAAATTTCAGCCCAATGCATCATTATTCAGTGTGTTGTTCTTTAAATACAAAGATATGATTGCCTTGCAATTTCCAGGACACCAATTTTAAGATATTGTTTCTACATATCCTCCTCCGCCTAATTTTGATAAAATATTGGAGCTAATCTACCAATGCTCTTTCCAATTATTTCTCTTTTAAAATATAGAGGAATAATTTTTGAAAAATTATGGAATGCTCCATAAGCCTCAGTTTCTAAACCCAGTGGACTAAAATAATGATTACAACAAAATTAAGAGAATAATCTAGCAAATGAACATTTTATGTCAGAAATGAAAAATTTTAACATTACTCAAAAGCAATTAAAAAATAATATGCCAGAAGTATCAAAATAATTTTTAAAATTAACCTACTCTTTAATGTTGTATTCTAAATGTAAACACCATTATTAAATTATTTTAAGGTTATAATGTACTGGTTTATTTGAAATAGAGAAAAACATTGTATCATTGTATCTTCTAATTAATACTAGGAATTTTTTTCTTTCATTTGAGAGTTTATTACCTTTGAGAAAGGAAGATAAAATCTAGATATAAAATGTATGATCTTTAAAAGAAACAATTGGTAATTAACAACTAACAAGTTTTTATATGAAAATATACTCTTCCATAAATATGAACATCATGTGACCCAGATGATTTAAGTGAATAAGATTTTAGAGAAACAAATAAGATACCTTTGGGGTATAGGTTAGTGGTTAAAAGCATGGGCACAGAAGTCAGACTTTCCAATCTTAATTCTAATGCCTTTACCAACAACTTCTGGCACTTTTGGAATTAAAAAAAAATCTTCCGTTCCTTAGTTTATTCATTTGTGAAAATGAAGACAATGACAATAATGCTTTTCTCACTTTGTTGTTATAATCACTAATGGATTGCTATTTGAAAAGAATGTTGAGCAACGACAAGAACATAGCACACACAAGATAAATATTACTAGTAAATGCTATCATTACCAAACATAATATTCTCCCTATACTGAAAAAGACCACTTTGATTTTATAAGAATGTACTTACGTTCCTCATGATAATATCAATGGAATACTCCAATTGATAGATAAATAGTCTTAAATCTCAATAAAATTTCAGAATATTTAATAGTGTGATTAGGAATGTAAAAAGAGTCATTCTGAAGGTGGGCAACTTGGATAATGATTAAAGGCACAGGTTTTAGAGTCTGACAGACTGAGTATGAAATACGGCTCTGCTATGCATTAGCAGGATAGCTTAGGTCAATCTCTACTTAATTTATATAAGCCTCCATTTCCAAATCCAGAAAATGAGAGTATGGGTAATTATCTCACAGAACTATTATAAAAGCTAAATGATTGAAATTTAGGTTTTCAGTTACATAAAAACCAGCAAGTATTTATGTCTTAGTCTATTTGGGCTACTATAAGACAATATCATATACTGGATGGTTTATAAATAATAGAAATTTACTTCTCACAGTTCTGAAGGCTGGGAAATCCAAAATCAAGGGGCCAGAAGATTTGATGTGAAGTGAGAGCCTGCTTCCTCAAAGATAGTCTTCTTCTACTGTAACTTCACATGGCATAAGGGGCAAAGGATCTTTTTGGGATCCCTCTGGAATCTCTTTTATAAGGGTATTAATCTCATTTCCTCATGATCTAATCGCTTCCCAAAGCCTTAGTACCATCACTTTGCAGGATAGAATTTCAACAGAAGAACTGGTGCTGGGGGACACAAACATTCAGATTATAGTAACTTAATTATAATCTACTGCATTTATAATATCAATTCTTGTTGGATTTGGTCTCTGCCATCAAATATTTTTACTCATATTGTATCAAGAAAATAATAATTCTAATTGGGCACAGTGATGCACATCTGTAGTCCCAGCTACTCGAGAGGCTGAGGGGAAAGGATCACTTGAGCCCAGGAGTTCGAGATCAGCCTGGGCAATATAGCAACACCCTCATTGAAAAAAAAAAAAAAAAAAAAAAGATATATAACCTAAAAAAAGCCATAGAGGCAAGTAATCTCTGTATAATACTATTAAATAAATCAATGGTACAGCTACAAATGATAGTCATTTAGAAACATCATTCATTTGGGCCTCAAAGGTTTTGATCTTGTCCATTACTTTCCCTCCAATTTTCCAGGTACTCCTTTAGCCTTCACTGGGAAAAGGGAAAAGTATTTAAAAACATGTAAATAAGAGAAAATCATCTGTAGCCTAGATTAGTTTTTCCAGTCATCCTTCTACCTTATTGAAAGGTAAGTTCCTAACTACAAATAAGACTTTTATATTACATAAAGTGTCTGTATTAAAAACTAAAAAATCTATCTTATTATAGACTTTATAACATACATTGACAGATTTTATAACAAAGAAAAATCTTTGAGGGAGGGTTTGGAAACGTGAACACCTGAATGCAGATGCCTTTCCCGATTCATTTACACTTCCTAAGTAAAATTGCTGCTAGGGCCTATATACTGCTGAGAAGTATGAGGCCGACATTGGAAAAGTTCTCCAGATGATACTAATAACTAATATGATGCTTTCTTTTCTATGGACTGGTTGAGAGCCCAGAAACCAGTTTTTGAGGGATCCCAGACAAATAGCAGAAAGCAGAGCATCCTGGGGAAAAGTCCAATCTTTTCTGTCTTTTGGGCTGAGAAAATCTCAGGTGTCTGTGGAGCAGTACCTAGCCATGGCACTGGCAAATGTCCTGTGCATATACTGCCAGACCACAAGAGAGTGTTTCAGCTGCCATCGGGACTTGTGCCATTTAGCATCTTCCAACAACCAGCTTTCATACCCAGTGAGCTAACAAAGGAAAATAGCAGTCATTTAAGAACCTCCAGCAAACTGAATGATCAGTCAGTGTCTCAGTTAGGGTCCAATTAGGAGACAGAAGCCATAACAATTATTTTAACAGAGAAAATTCAAGATAAAAAATAATTAAGCAATGTTATTTAGGTAACTGAAAGGTCAGAAAGAGAACTCTGAGTTTTCGTGGAGGTAGCAACTATACAGCGAAGTTACCCCGCAAGGCGAAGGGAACCAGGGAAAGAGTTTAGACATACTGAAACTTGGAGAAGACGCCCCACAGAGCTGACATTCAGACCTTTGAGGAAGTGGCTCAGTTTGGCTGGGGATGGCATCTCTGAGCTGGAGGAAGATGTGCCATTGGGGGCTGGGACCCAGACTTCTGAGGAGGGTCTGTCAGTTAGTTGGTGCTGCGGTATCTGCCGTATTAGGATAAAGCTGGTGTTTTCAGAGCTGGAAACACTGCAAACAGGATTTAACCACTGTTATGGGTCAACACATCTGCTACTAGCATGAAGACGCATTGCTAGGGTGATACAGAAAAAAGAGACTGTCAGGAAGTAACAGAAAGCCAATAGGATGAAAACAGAAAATAGTAAGTACCTTCTTACTCCTCTTGCCTTGCCTTGCTTTGCACTCTCTCTCTCTCTCTGTCTCTGTGTGTGTGTGTCTCGTCCCCTATTGACAAAGCATAAGGAGAAGCAACTGACAACGCTGAAATGAAATTAGCCAAGTCGCAGTTTCAACATCACAAATTCTAGTATAGATGGGTACAGTTTGGGAGCTGAAATGCAATAACTTAATTGGCTGCCATAGGAAAAAAAAAACAACCATGCAAAAATAGAGCAGCTGAGAGAGGCAAGTGGAAGTGGAAAATACAGGAAAAAATAGTGATTCAAAAGCAGAATAAAATAATCATTCTATAGGTTTAAAAAAATAATTAAACATGATTTTCTAAACAAACCAGACAACATGAAAGAGTAATTACCACTGAAATCTAAATGAATGGCATGGAAAATCAAGTAACATAAATACCAAAAAGAAAAGGACAAAATGTAAATTGAAGTAATGACCAAAAAAAATGTAAGAAATGTAGAACAAAGATCCAAGAGAGCTAAAGCGAGTAATAGGAATTCCAGAAGTAAAATGAACAAATGGAGGATTAATTGAATAAATACAGAAGAATATTTATTTGAGCTGAAGACCTCAATCCACGGTTTAAGTTTTCACTGACTTCCAGGATACACTGAGAGTAAAACCTGGGTATAAAAGTGCTCAAGCTAAAATGAGAAATCTTACAAGTCTCCAGGCATACAGAAAAAGTACCATCAAGAGAAAAATAATTGGCCTGGCATCCAAATGCATGTCCAAAACAACAGCCAGAAGCTAGCAGAGAGTAAAAGTCTGTTAGCTAATTATGGAGAAAAAAAAACTGATTAATAAAAATCAAATTATTGAGAAGTAAATACAAACTCAATTACCATGATAAAGATGGAATGAATATATACAATTTTCAACACCAAGCAAGTAAACAAAATAGAGGGTTGTTGAACATGAAACTATTTTAGCCAATGTGGATTTTCACAGACTGGTTGGAATCCCATTTCTCCTGATAAGATAAGCAATAAGAGAAAATTTAAGAAGGAGGAAAATGTACACACTTCACACTGGAAAGGCTAGTGTATATATCCTTAGTGTCTTCAATATACTGACTGTCACAACATTTTTAAAGAAAATTCTGAAATCTAAGTAAATTAATAAGTTTATCTGATGCAGAAAAAATCATTTTAAGAAAAGCAGAACTCAGAAACTAACAAAAATGTAGGCAAACATTTACATATAAAAAATGGAAAACAGAATGCATAGAGAGCCCATATTTGTATGCGAAACTATCTATAAAGGCCATTTACAGAGAGCACTCTCAAACTTAACACATCAACATTAACCTCTAAATAAGCAAAATTTAATGGGCATAAAATGAAACTTAGCAAGTATGGTTCATTCAAGGTCTTTTAGGGAAAAAAATGGATCAACTGCATCATCTATTAGTTCCACTCAATTTACAAACAAAGTGGAAAGCAGAAATTGTAACTGCCAACCCATCCTAAAAAACAAATCTCTGGAATAAAAATGTATCATTTTTATATAGGACAATGATCTTGAATCTAGATCAAATGTCTTTCTATCAATGAAAATATAAATATAGAAAGCATGGGCAACACAGAAGAATTAGCCAAGCCATTTTTAAGAATGTGCCTAGGACTTATATTTCTACAAATTCAAGACCTCCACCCCCTGGGCCTTGCAATGAGTTGATGCTGAATAAATGCTGATGATAGTAGTGAATACTGTCAGAGGCATGTGAACCAGAGCAACTTTATCTTAAATAGGAGCTGGGTAAAATGAGGCTGAGACCTACTGGGCTGCATTCCCAGACAGTTAAGGCATTCTAAGTCACAGAATGAGATAGGAGGTCAACACAAGATACAGGTCATAAAAACCTTGCTGATCAACTAGATTGCAGTAAAGAAGCTGGCTAAAACCCACCAAAACCAAGAAGGTGACGAGAGTGACCTCTGCTCATCCTCACTGCTACTATCCCACCAGCAGAATGACAGTTTACAAATGCCATGGCAACATCAGGAAGTTATCCTGTATGGTCTAAAAGGGGGAGACGTGAATAATCCACCCTTTGTTTAGTATATCATCAATAAATAATTATAAAAATTGGCAACCAGCAGCCCTTGGCTGCTCTGTCTATGGAATAGACACTCTTTCATTCCTTTACTTTCTTAATAAATTTGCTTTCACTTTACTCTATGGACTACTCTGAATTATTTCTTGTGCAAGATCCAATAACCCTCTTTTGCAGTCTGCATTGGGACCCCTTTCCTGTAACATCTTTTTGGCAACCATGAAGGGACTATAGTGCAGAAGCCCCTGACCCAAATGCTAACTTTGGGTAAGTGGTGGGATCCAGTAACATCTTTCTGGCAAACCCTGAAGGGACAATACTGAGGAGACCTCTCTTCCCACACGAAATAGACTGCAGCACTGATTGGATGACTTTGGGTAAGTGGGGTGCACATATCTGGGTAAAGGATGAGATTGGGTTAGAGGCCCAACTTAGGGGAGTTAGAATCTCTCCTAGCACAGAGAGAGTTAAAGGCTCCTCTCAATAAAAGGCAAGGACACTTGACTGACCTTGGGTTAGAGGCCCAACTTAGGAGGACTAGAGTCCCTTCTAAGATTTAGGGGGTTAGAGACCCTTCTCAGTAAAGTGCCTCTTGGCTAAGAATGGGTTTGGCACCACAGTATGTTAACTGCTATTCTCTTTGGATTAAGCTGCCTTGCAGTCGTTGCTGACGGTAATGGGTAACATGATTAGGCATTTACAGGATCATGGGACATGGGGAGCTTTTTCCTGCCCCAAAAGAGGAAACTTGACAGCTGATGGGACTGCTTGAAGAAAATCTCTTCACGACAGCAGCCGCCTGAATTTTTCAGTGTCGCTGCAACATGGTTGGGTCATTCTCTGGCCTCCCTGAGCATTTTGCCTTCCCCACCCTGCCACAGGCAATGATTTTCTCTTTCTCCTTTCCGTTTTTTATCTTTTTTATTACTCAGGGCAGCCATCTTGCCCAGAGACCACATGTTGAAACTCCTGGTTGGAAGTTGGATTAATGATGATGTGGGGAAGTTTGAGCCTTGGCAGTTTTCAATTGGGTGCTAAGCAGAGTGGTTAATGTCTATGTCTTGCCACATGTATTTTACTCTGGCCAGAATGGAAAGAGGTAATTTTCCTTTGTGCTGTGGCTTGGCCCCCAAGGCTGTGGCGCAGCAAGCCAGGTCACTAGGGCCGCTCAGGGAAAGGGAACCCAGAAGCCTGGCATGACAGCAAAGGGTAAGAATTTCTTACCAGTCAGACTTCTGGTCTCTATCTCTCTCTTTCTCTGTCTCTCTCCATGTGTGTGTGTGTGTGTGTGTGTGTGTGTGTGTGTGTGTGTGTGTGTGTGAAAAGGATGAGGTTTCCCTCTGGTCAATCATGTCCTTGGGAGCTTGACCTTGTAACCATGTGATCATGCTTTCCCTTTTCGCAGTGGTGGCCTGGGTTTAGGGTCCAATTCCTGGCATAGGGAATGAATGAGTCCTTTATCTTCTGTCTATGTATTTATATGTATTATGTGTGTGTAATATAAAAGAGCTTTGTTTAATTGGTTTAATAATAATAAGTGCTGAAATCAAATATTTTGTCAGAAAAGTAAAAAGTGGAATGACTTTTAGTTCATGTGAGTTAAGTAGCCTTTGGGAAATAAAAACAGTTTTAAAGATTATTAGTAAAGTAAAGACATTTGGTCTAAATTAGGCAGGTCAAATATTAAGTTTACTAAATGCTTTAAGGTCATAAACTGCTTCTTTGTCTTTTGAAAATTGTTCAATTCTACCTTGGAGACATTAGATTCTAGATAAGGCCTGGGGACATAATGGAGTTAGCCATGCCCCCTAGCTGTGCTGGAGTCAGCCATATCTGTTCTTCTGCCTGGTGTGTCCTAGGCTAGGCTCCACACCTAGTACATGATTAAAATCTGGAATTTACCAAGCTTTTCGCCAAAAGTAAAAGTTGCTAAGAGCTTACATTGTAACATGCATTTGAGACTACTGAAGAAACAGTTGTACATATAAGGTGTATACAGAAAGTGAAATGTGTTTTTGGTAAAAGATGATAAGAAGGCATGGGAATGTTGCTTTCTTGCCTAAGATTAAAGGGTTAAAGGATTGTTTTAAGTTAAATAGAATAAAGCTGAAAGTTTGAACAGTTTTAGAAGGTTTGTGAAAAATTAATTGTAAAGAAAATTTCTATATGTGAACATATTGGCTAAAGGTAAAGCGGTATTATTCAGTTTTTCTGTAAACTGAACACTGGAATAAAAACATAACAGGTTTTTCTTAGAGGAAAAACATGCTTATGATCTGCTCTTTAACAAAAATTATAAACAGTTATAAAAGGTTTATGAGAACCTTAATTTATGGTCAAACTGATTAAGATTAAATATGTTTGTCTATAAGGTTTCATTAAGAATTGAGTTTGACATCAATAGTACAGTAATATAAAAGTGACATTTGGCTTATTTGGGATAGTCAAATCATACAAGCATCATCATCAAATGTAAAATAATGTTTGGTTTTCTTTGGGCTGTATTTATATAAATGTGTTATCGGTATATATTCCAAAATTATGGGAAACTCCTATAATTCTGATATGAGTTGGTGTACATTATCACTAATAACTATAATTGTTACATAAAATCATTGTATGCCACAGGGGTAACCAGGTTTCTTTGTCAATTGTGTTTTTGACTTTGGCTGTCCTAAGATGTTTTTGTCACCCACAAACAATTGTTACCTTGTTTTAATCCTCTTTAGATGGTGGTTTATAATCAATTATAGAACTCTAACAGGTGTTTTTAAATGCAAATTTCTGATAACTTTGGAAATTGTGACATTAGAATAGGGGAAAAAACTTTTAGGATTCTCATGGAGAGCTGAAATGTTCATGAATATCAAAAAGGAGTTAACTAAATTAACTGAACCAATAAAAAGTATAAAGTAACATTTTAAACTTTTTGCTGAAAACGTTGCTGATCCTTTGTTTTGTTTTCCACAGTCAAGAAAACTTTTCTTTTGAGCTATTTATAGCCTTTAACAATTAAGTAAAGTATACTGCTGTGAACAAAATTTGAAGCATATTTGTTTCTCTCCAGAAACATTCTGAAATCAGAAATATTCTGATTTCTCCAGAAACTGGAAAATATTTGTGAGTATTCTTAATTTATGGCAATATAGTTATTTGCATAAGTGCAATAAGAATCTATTTTCTTTTGCAACAGGACACAATTAGAGAAAATGGTTATTTTACCAAGGCTTTGACTGGAATGGTGTGCTTTCCTTTAAGGAATCAAATTTGACTTGTAAAGCCAAAAAGTCCTTTTGGGAAACTGGCCTCATACCTTGCCTATACAGTCCCTGTACAAGGTCCCTGACCTGTGGTAAGTAAAGAATGTCAGTTTCTGTCAGATCCAGGAACCCCAGGTTATCTTGGGACCCACGGAAGGAGATGAATTTACTCAACTCATAGGTATTTGAGGGTACAAACCTATGGCTGGGCTCAGCTTTAAAAAAGTCTTACCTGAGATTCCTTCTATGGAATGGAGTTCCATTGAAGCCAATTTACAAAAAGCCTATGTGAAAAATAATTATTCTTGCTGCACTTTATACAAATAATCAGGCCAAGTATAATAAAGGAAATTGACCTTACCATGATTTTTCTTTAGTAAAAATTGGAAACTGGAGAGAGAACTTATGTTTTAAAAACTATGGTACACTTGTTATTAAAACCTTGTCTCATAGTTAGTTTTAAGTTTGTTTCTGCAATTTGTGTTAACCTTGATTGTTCCTGTGAACCAACTAGTGATCTCTGGCCACAGCTCAGAAGAAACAAGAGGGATGTGTAATGTAAAAATCTGAATCAATATTCTAATTCTGGGCACACTGAAATCAGCTAGTGACCCCATGTTAGCTTAGTTCCAACAGTCCCACAGTTCATGGAAAGCCTTCTTATTTAGTTTAGTTGGGATACTTTTATTTATTTTGCTTTACTATTATAGAATATATTGCTGTTGTACTCTGTGCAGGAATGAGGATAAGCTTACTCAACATTTTCTTAAATTGAAGACTCATTAGTCTTCCAGATATCACCTCTTGTCGGAACTCAAGAGTCACGAAGGGCCTTCGCCATACTGATGCTTTCTGACTGAGCTCTTTCTACCCTGAACACTAGAGACACTAATAGTTAGGCAGGAATATCATCTCCCCTTTTCAGCCTGAAGAAGCTACAAAAGATGGATCTTCATCCCTCTGCAACCCTTAGGATTAAGAGTTCCCTTATAAAAGGAAAAGGGGAAATGTCAGAAGCATGTGAAACAGAGCAACTCCATCTTTAATAGGAGCTGGGTAAAATGAGGCTGAGACTTATTGGGCTGCATTCCCAGACAGTTAAGGCATTCCAGGTCACACAATGAGATAGGAGATCAGCACGAGATACAGGTAATAAAGACTTTGCTGATAAAATAGATAAAATAGGATGACCTCTGGTCATCCTCACTGCTACACTCCCACCAGCACCATGACAGTTTACAAATGCCATGGCAACATCAGGAAGTTACACTATATGGTCTAAAAATAGGAGGCATGAATAATCCACCCCTTGTTTAGCATATCATTAAGAAATAATTATAAAAATGGGCAACCAACATCCCTTGGGGCTGCTCTGTCTATGGAGTAGACATTCTTTTATTCCTCTACTTTCTTTCTTTACTCTGTGAACTCTATGGACTTTACTCTATGGACTCGCCCTGAATTACTTCTTGTACGAGATCCAAGAACCCTCTCTTGGGGTTTGGATTGGGGCCCCTTTCCTGTAACTATACCTTGCTGACGATGGTAGTGAAACTGCCTTTACAAAAATTATAATGGTGAGAAAAAATATGACAGTGAAAGAGATCTGACATAACCGACTCCCTCTTGCTTCTAATCTCCAAGCTGTTCTTGTTCATTTCTGGACGTAAGCTAAACCAACTTTGGGAGGAACTTATAGTTTAACTTTGAAACAAAGATAATGTAACACCCCCCTTCCAAAACAAACCCTTGTTTTCCTGGGTACCAGACTGCTTTCATAGGACTAACACATTAGCAACAGGATTAGAAATTATGTTTTAGGAGTCATGCAGCTAGGGGCCACAAGATTCTAAACCTTCCCAATTGCTCATAGGAATAATATCGCTATTTTAAAACCTAAGATCGGTGCTTGAAGTATTTTTCAGACCCTACACTTGATGGATCAGCTGGCACCACCCAGATAGATAAACTGGCTCATTTGGTCCTGTGGTCCTCGCCCAGGCACTGACTCAGTTTCGCAAGAGGACACCTTTGACTCCCTATGATTTCAGCTCCTACCTAACCAATCAGCCCTCCCTACTCCCTGGCCCCCTACCTGTCAAATTATCCTTAAAAAACCCCAGTCTCCAGATTTTCAGGGAGACTGATTTGAGTAGTAATAAAATTCCCTCTGATTCAGCCAACTTTACTTGAATTAAATTCTTTCTCTGTTACAATACGTTGCCATTGAATATTTATCAAATTATTAAATGAAATAAGAAATCAAACATCACAATCAATAACTGATTTAATAAAATAAGAATCATTAGTGAGATGATTATTATCATTTCATGTTTTTCCTAAAGCCAAAAAATCAGATTTTTTTGTTTTTTTTTTTTTTTTAATTGTGCCTTTGCAAGTTTTTAGCTTAGTTATCACCCTGCATAACATCTTCAATGTCTTTCTAACTTTATTCACCATTGTTTAGTTTTCTAAACAGGAAATTGAGAGCTGAGTTTCCCTACTGTTTTCAGGAACATAAATATTTGAATTGGAAGGAAGAGACGATTCATTTACTATTGCACATTGCTGAGTCCAATATGCCAATGAAAACATTCTCATTTTGTTTTTTGAAAAGTTTTTGTATGAGGTTTGTTTGTTTTGTTATATATGGTAAGGGATGCCTTCTTATTTAGTGGGATTACACAATAGAAAATAATAATTCACAATTTTATGAAGACAAAGTTCAAGAAATCATATTGAATTTAAATTATATGTGGAACATGGAGTTAAATAAACGAAAGACTATTGAGAATAAGAGAATAGATGAAAGGTAAAACAGGGCTCTAATATAAGAGCCATACTTTCTGACCAGCTGAGCTTTGTGTGCTATTTGTAAGGTACCCGTGGCAAAATTGTGAAAATGAATTCTGCCTTTTCTGTTCTGTCTTCATCTTTTAGTTTCTTTTTCCCATGAAGGGTATGTACATACATGCTATCTGGAACAGGCCAAAGCAATCAATAAAACTAATATTAATGACTGTATAATCCACCATTATAGTCTGCCACTCATCAATCTTGGCCTTTAACGTTAACTTTCTCTTTATGGCTCTAGATCAGTAGAGGATTCGGGGACATAGAATATGTGTTCATTAGACTTTTATTTAATTTTTGCATGTAATTGCCTGCATTGTAAGAAAATAAGAAAATACAAATAAGCAAAAATAATAACATCAACAATAACTATACTTTGTTAACATT
This sequence comes from Homo sapiens, assembly GCF_000001405.40. Taxonomy (NCBI): domain Eukaryota; kingdom Metazoa; phylum Chordata; class Mammalia; order Primates; family Hominidae; genus Homo; species Homo sapiens. The sequence continues at coordinate 124,565,028 of NC_000004.12, forward strand.
CCATGTTTCTAAGCCTATGCATATACATAAATAATGTATGAATAAGTGAATAGATGATAAGAAGTGAATGAAGGAATAAGTAAATAAATTAATAACTAATAGAACAAACTGAGAAAATCCATGTATGTGTGTTTGTGTATTTAAGACCTATTTTTTAATTCAAAAACAAACTGTAATCATCTCTTAATGCCAGTAAATATAGAAATACATTGTCATTAGGATACACTTTTAATGGTAAAGGAATCACACGTATTTTCCAATCTGCAATCTAGTCATCTGTTGCTAATGACCTGATTTTGATTTGTTGCATAAAAAATTCACAATTCTTTATAGGCCTTTTGCAATATTACATAGAGAAAACTACTCAAAATCCCACATGTTTACAACCTTTTTTCGTTGAATTCATAGTCTAAGAGTCAGCAAACCTTTTCTGTAAAGGGTCAGATACCAAATATTTTAGGCTTTGGGAGCTAAACAGTCAATGTGAAACTTTTTGACTCTGCTATTGTAGTGCAAAAGCAGCCAAAGACAATACCTAAACGAGCATGGCTGTGTTCCAATAAAACTTTACAAAGTTTTAATTGCCCCTTCCAGTAGGGTGATTTGGCCCAGTTTTAGCACCCACTCCCATTTTGCCAATAAATCATGACCTTGAAAGAATTTTGCTCGAGATCACGAAGCTAGTTAAAGACACAACAGCTACTAGGATTTGTATCTACTAAAACCTAACTCCAGCATTCCTTTTACATCCTAAAACATCAATTTTTATTTTCTGTCCTTCCGCAGTTCCAATTATAACAGTATATCACCCAGAAGAAACTGTAACATGCATTTCACTTCTCACATTTGATTCATCAATTCTGTTTTCAAAATATATGAGAAATACTTCTCAGTGCCTCCCCTCCTCCTACCTTCTCCCATACCGCTGTCCTCATTCACTTAGATGACTGCAATAACCTTGCCACTGCTGTCTCCACTTCAGTCTTTGCTTCCCTTCAGATTATTTTTCACAAAGAAGCAAAAGTGTTCTTTTAACAGATGTCAGGTCACTCCTAGGCTGAATAAATCTTTATCATTGTGTTTAAGGCCTTCCACAATCTGACCTTCAATTGCCTTCTCACTTCATCTCCTACCACAATCTTCTTAACTCTGCCCCAGCAACCCTCATCACCTTGCTCTTCCCCCAAACACTTCAGGTATGCCAGCCTCAAGGACAGATAACCACATGCCTGTCTCCCTCACTTCTTCAGGTGTTTACTCAAATGTCACATTCTTAGTGAGGTATTCTCTGGCTGCCATGTCTAAAGTTGCACGTCTCACACATATAACAACACACACACACACGTTGTATCTCCCTTCTTGCTTTATTTTCCCTTTTAGCTATTACATCAGTATTCTTTTTAAATGAGTATTCCCCTCACCAGATTATAAACTCTGTGAGTGCAGGGTACAGAGAGTTTCATCTGTATTGTTCACCAGTAATTCCCAGCACTGTGTGTCTGGCATACACTGATTTTTTATTTTTTTATTTTTATAATGAATGAAGGAATATAAACATTTGGTTGATTTACAACTAATCTTGAGTGCTAAACATACTGAAATTAATCTTCAAAGTAATTTTGTGTATTTCCTTTAAGATCCAAAGAAAGAGTTGGGTTTGGTACAACCATTGTCTGTGTGTGTGTGTTTGTGTGGGTGTGTGTGTGTGTGTGTGTGTGCGCGTTTGTGTGTTATAGTTGAAAAAGTTTTACCGTCAACCTTAAAAAATACTTGAAACAGGCCAGGCGCTCATGCCTGTAATCCCAGCACTTTGGGAGGACGAGGTGGTGGATCTCCTGAAGTCAGGAGTTCGAGACCAGCCTGACCAATATGGTGAAACCGCGTCTGCACTAAAAATACAAAAAAGTTAGACGGCCTTAGTGTTGGTGCCTGTAGTCCCAGCTACTTGGGAGGCTGAGACGGGAGAATCGCTTAAACCTGGGAGGCGGAGGTTGCAGTGAGCCAAGATCGCACCACTGCACTCCAGCCTGGATGATGGAGCAAGACTCCGTCTCAAAAAAAAAAAGAAAAACTTGCAATAGTAAAGATGATAGAATGGCAAATTCATTCTGAAGCCTCACTAAACTCTAATTGTTTAACACAATCACATTACATAATCCTTAAGAAGACTTACCTTAGAGTAAAAATCCTTACTCCTTGAATTTTGAAGGACAAATATGTGTTTACACATATTTCGACGTGTAAGCATTACAGATTAATTTGAGAGATACAGGAATTTCAATCTTAAATTTGGAAACTAGTCCTGAAATGTGAACTAAAAGTATTACAATAATATGAACACAATTACGCCCTCAAGATGAAGAGGAGTGCTGCAGAAATCACTATGGAATTTTATACCCTGAGTATTTTGAAGGCAATTTCTGGCATCCCTGTCAGATTCTTCCACACACCATATTTACATTAATTACACTAAGAGACATAATTATAACTCATGGCTAATTTGTTTTTAAAAAGAAGAGAAATAACCCACAATAACAAGCATGTTAGAAATAACACTGAGAATATAATTTAAGTATTAGACTTAAACCATTTAGTACCAAAATACAGGCTTCCGTTTCTAAGCAGGTTTAAATCTACATCATTATAACATGACTTGATTTTCCAAACAATAAAAGACTAAACTTTCACAAGAAGCGACCCTTTAAAAGTGTCTCTGTGTTTTTCTATGTGTATTTTATTTAAGTAAAATGGTTAATTGCATTTGAGTGTTTTCCATTATGTACAATTGCACTTATGAAAAAGATTCATCAATGATTATGTTCATTCTTAAATAGTCAATAACTGACCAAAATTAAAAGATAAATTTTCAGATATGGAATTAGAATATTTTGGCACTAGGTACATGGTACAAAAATACCCAACTCATTGAGTTTTTTAAAAAAGTCGTTCAAGATTTTGAAGAGTTTTTAAAAAAATCATAAAATATGATAAAAATATCATATATTGTGTACAATATAAAAGAAATAATTAACTTTAAACTTATAAAGTAATAAAATTTTAAAGCCTCGATTTAAATGTCATTGTGCTATGTTTATGAAGATTAAAATGCCAGGGTATTTTGTGAAAGTTTAATATTTTACGTTTTCACATTTGATAATATAATATTAATGTTTCTGTTTAGATCTAATATATTATAATTGTAACCATGTTTATCTTCAGGATGTTTAGACATGCAATAAATATAAATATAAAAATATAAAAATTTTATATTGTGGGAACATGCTCTAAAATGAACCAATAGTCTTAGCTGCCTAATATGAAAGTTACCATACATCTGACATCTGTGGACTAGAGCTATGTTGTTTTCCTAACTGAGCCATTTGAACTACTAGTTGCTGCTTGCTGCTACCAGAAAACTCTTTAGTATTTATCCCTAAATGGAGGGCCTCTTTTCCTCATTCCCAACGTTTAATTTTGAAAAAAATTGCTCTCCTTAAGGATAGCTGCTTCTCCAACTATAGTGATATCTGTATGTGCATATTTAATCTATGGAATCCCTGAGAAGTCTGGTTAATGGAAATTATATGTATTATCAGAATGGGTAGATTATACAATAATTTCAACACTAAGATGGTCTTTAAAAAGCTATGTATAGTGCCACATATATATAAATGCTATATATAGTGGATGTTCATGGAAAAATTAATATAAATTGTGTTGATCAAGTCTTTGCTTCTTTTACCCTTGAGAAAAATGAAGGTGTGGTGCTTTATATTTTTGTGATAAAATGACAAATAATTTCATCTTTAAAATGTAAGAAGGATGTACGTTCATTTTCTAATTTTTTATAACCAGAATAAGAAACTCAGGGTACTAAATGATCAGTGATGATGAGCATTACATCAATTGAAAGCAGGTACATGTGAAAAATTATAGAAAATATGGAAATAAAATCTAAGACAAACTTCAAAACATTCTTTAATAAGCTGTAATGGCTATAAATCCATATGGTTTGAATTTGAAACTATCAGAATAGATTTAAAAGTAAAATAAAGTTCAACTATATAAAGACTGAAGGGCCCTTACCATAGCCTCAAAAAGGCTAGATGAGAACACTGTGTAAAAATGAACATTCTTCAAGCTGTGTGTTAAGGGTGCTGTGTATGGATGTTGAGATTAAAGGGCCAGAGGTAGTGCATCTTGAGACAAGTCCTGCCATATCCATCTGCACATCACCCTCTGAATAGTTGAGATGGTGCTTGAAAAATTAATGTAATCTCAAGAAATAAACTTCATTGATCTAAAGACAAATGTATCTCCCACCCACTGCACCTGTCATTGATTCATTTAGGAATGAGCATGAGTCCCGATTATGGCCAAAGAGAGATGAGAAAAACGTTCCTATAGACTCCTGGAAACAATTTCCCTAATTCTCAAGAGGTGACATTGGGAAGCCATGCACTTCCACTGAACACCAAGAATGAAGTTGAGTATAATGTTTCTGGCAGCAATAACCATAAGTACACTCAATCTTAGGATAAAACCAACTCTGCAGGTAAGCAGATCAAAAGACAAAAAGAATCTGGAATCTTTTTATATTTGAACTGAAGAACCAATTAACCCTAAAACCAGGCCTACTTCTGGAGTACCAGTTATATGAGTCAAGAAATGTCTTCAGTAAAGCCAATTTGATTTGTGTATTACCTATAGTTTCAGGCATTGTTGCTAACACACAACTTGGTAGATATTTGGCTCAAGGATAAAACTAAGCATCAGTCTGCCAAAGCTAAAACCCATAAAAGAGAAAGTCATAGCAATAATTTAAAAGTATCTGGAATCTATAAAATAAAGGATAATGTGAAGACATATTTGCATTCTTCTCTATAGATAGTCTTGAAAAGCTACTTAAAAACCTACAGCTGCCATTCAATCCTTAAGTGATCACCAACTCTGTGATTAACTTCTACCTGGGATTTAGTATGCAGATTCAACCTCTAATTGGGTTGTAGGGATAATTTCATGGTTTAAAGTTTGAACTCTGCTTGGAAACCTCTTTGAAGATCAGCCAAGAAGATTATGATAGTGCAAATAACTTGCAAAAGCTTACAGCTGTCCTCCTGTAGTTCACACTGAGCAAGCAGTCATTTTCTCAATGTGATAAAAATCAGATTACATCGAGGATCACCTTCTACAAGTTATTATATTCGCATCTCTAAAATAAACTAATCTCTGTATTTTTTTTCTAATTTTCATAGCACTGGAATGTTAAAAGTATGCTTTCCTCTTAAGCAAACATGACTCTTACTAAGAATGAAATGCTCTTTTTACTTAGATTTGGTAGCAACCCAAGGAAGTGGTTCTACACACTCAAGATTTGCTATTTTGTTTCATCTTATGTAGAAATGGTTGGTTATAATGTATTATGATTTCTATTAAATGCAAGACTCATAATGTTTTTTTAAGAAGTAGTATATATTTTTTCCTGGCACAATTTTAAAAACATATTGTTTTCAGAGTGAATAAAATGTATTTTTATAAAGACTGCATTTTTAACTATTTTTATGACTACAAAATAATTTTCAAAAATCATTCAATTTCGAAAGCCAAGATTGTGTGAGTGAAACAAACTATTGTGTAAATCTAGAGTAATTTAACTATAATTAAAGTCAATAGGTCAAAGTAAACTTCCAAGAACCTTAAATTATCAAGAGGATTGTCCTTTAACTTGCATCCCATATTAAAAATAAAGTTGAGCCCCTCAATTCATGTTTTAAAATAATGATTAAAAGATAATAAGTTAAAAATTGGTGATTCTTGCTCTTAATAATACAGATACAAGGATAACAAATGACTGCCTTAAAATGAATCACTTATTTTCATAAATAAAAATATCAGATTTTGTACACACATTCAGGTTTCGGTGATGGCATATGAACATATTTCTACTTGTAATTTATTTTTAAAAATGATTATTGGAGACCAAATTTACAAAATTTACTGTACATAGAAAAACAGTAATCAAAGTATATAATTACATTTGACCCTATTATTTCTTTTTTCTTCTTGCAGCCCGAAACATAAGGCTTCATTGAATCTCAGCATTTATATATCACTAATATAAATAACTTTGTTCACTATCGGTTACCAGTTCATATCAGAATCTTCTTTTAAAGGGGGAGAGACATTACAGTTTGTAAAATACCTGAGCATTGTCTCATTTTCATTAAAATAAAATTTTAGAATTCTACCTAATTAGTAGCGTCATCTGCAGTTCAAGCAAGCGTTGGAAAAATACCCGAAGAACTATTTTGCATTGTAATATTTACATCTAATGCTTAGGAACATTTATTGTATAAATATGAAGAATAAATATTAACATGAACAACTGTATGTTGCCTCTTTTATTAATCAATTAAAAATAGCATTTTTATATATCAAAATTAATATTAGGAAAACTAAAATATAAAGGTTAAAATACACAAAAAAATTTGAGTATATTATTTATAATCTTGCTGAAATAGATAAGAAAAACAGTAATTTGCATAAATATCAGGCTAATGTTATTTACTCACCTTTATGTGCTGTTTGTTGATCTGCCCATATTGTTCGTAAGTTCCATACATCATTGCCCACAGGGAAACCAAGATTCACCTGCATACAGAATGGCTGGAAGTGGTTGTATATTCCCTAGCCAGTTTTTCTAGGTGAAATAAATTACCACATACTGTTATCAAATCTATGATATTTACCTCAAGAACACCACATACTAACCAAATAATTGAAGTAGTTTAAACACAGATTTCCAACATAAATAAATTTTTAGACATTTGTTAAAACCAAAAACGTATGGGTACTATGAAGAAAATATGAATAATTAAAAACAAAGGAAAACATCGGCCATTTGTGTAGCAATAGATATAAAAAGACTCTTAAAAAAAATTATGTCCCCAATAAGCATATAAAACAGTGCTAAACCTTATTCTGCTAAGAAATAAAATGATCTTCCATATTAGCAAAAATATAAAACTTTATAATGTCCAGTCTTGGTGAGGATGTAGGGAAGTAGCTATTCACTTACACTACTGGTAAAAGTCAAAATTGGTACCATACATTGGGGCAGACTTTTGACTACATAGCCGATCTTCAACAGTAGTGATTCCTTTACCATGCATCTCCCAGGAAAATCTTTGCAAAATTATTCCTAAATACATGTAAAAAGTACACTCATTTCAGTGTTGTTTAGCAAAAAAATGGAAAAGCAACTTGTTCCTTTTGTTTCTTTCTTGAGTGTAAAGCTGTATTTTCCTCTTTTCTTTCATTCATCAAATATTTAGTAGAACGTTTACTCTGCGTCAGGTATCTTTTAAATTCCTAAGAAATCATTGCAGTGTTTTATGTACTGGCCTCATTTAAAAAAATTTTTTTATAGCCTGGCCAACCTGGTGAAACCCCATCTCTACTAAAAATACAAAAATTAGCCGGGAGTGGTGGCGGGCGCCTGTAATCCCAACTACTCGGGAGGCTGAGGCAGGAGAATCACTTGAAACTGGAAGGCAGAGGTTGAAGTGAGCTGAGATCATGCCATTGCACTTCAGCCTGGGTGACTGAGGGAGACTCCGTCTCAAAAAAAAAAAAAAGAAAGAAAAGAAAAAAATTTGTTTTAATTTATTTTTATTTTGAAAGATTACTTTGGCTGCTGTATTATTCATGGTTAGCTAGAGGGACAGAACTAATAGGATATATGTATATGTGAAAGGGAGTTTATTAAGGAGAATTGACTCACGCAATCATAAAGTAAGTTCCCATGATAGGCCATCTGCAAGTTGAGGAGCAAGGAAGCCAGTGGTGAATCAGTTTGAGTTCCAAAACCTCAAAAGCAGGCAAGTCGACAGTGCAGCCTTCAGTCTGTGGCCAAAGGCCCAAAAGCCCCTGGCAAACCACTGGTGTAAGTCCAAGAGTACAAAAGCTGAAAAACTTGAAGTTTGATGCTTAAGGCCAGGAAGCATCCAGCATGGGAGAAAGATGAAAGCCGGAAGACTCAGACAGTCTCCTCTTCCATCTTTTGCCTTATACTAACCTCGCTGGCAGCTGATTAGATTGTGTCCAGCCAGATTGAGGGTGGGTCTGCCACTACCAGTCCACTGACTCAAATGTTAATCTCCTTTGGCAACACCCTCACAGACACACCACACAGACACATCTTTGGCAACACCCTCACAGACACACAGGAACAATACTTTGCATCCTTCAATCCACTTGAGCTGACACTCAGTATTAATCATCACAGCTGTTGTGTATATGATAGATTTGAAGAAGCTGATAATGGCAAGAGGGCAGAAAGAAGGGACGTGGGAAGGGTAGTTACACGAAATTTAAACACTGGAATCTATGCATATAATTAAAAGAAGAAGGAAGTTCTACACATTTTGATTTGGACAAAGCACCATACTCTATTAATGTTGTGAAAGTAAAAAATAAATATACAGACATGTATGTAAAAATATATAAACATTTCTTTCCAGGAAGGGTAAAGGAGGAAATAAAAGTAAAGATTAAAGAAACTGGGGAAAGCTAGATGTTTATCTTTAATTTTAAATATTTCTTCAGTGCTCTCATTCTTAGAGATTTCTAAATATATTATACAAGTTTCTTGTATAACTTTTACTAAATTTTGCAGAATTAATTAGCTTTGGATTATAGACCATTTTATTTTCTTTGTATATTATAAAGTAGAAGTATTATATTCACCATTTAAAAGTGTTTTCTCCAACTTATTTTGTTCTTACCGTTTGGTTAGAAATATTTTATAATTTTAAGCATGATTTAACAATATTTAATTAGCCTTCTTTTTCCTTAACTTTTCTTTCCTTAATGAATAGGATTAACAACAGTTTAAATAAACAAAACCTAAAAAAAAAAACAAACTAAAAAATAGACATTTTCAGTTCAATTCCTTTAAAAGGTTTATTGATTTGTTAAATCTATGGCATATTTACTTTCAAAATGGGGCATATCCTTTTGCAAGAATTAGATTTTACACAATCCCGATAGTCTGACATTTCAGATACACATCTGGAGTTATTTTTGATGCCAAACCCAGGACAACACAATAACTGCTTTTGGTTATTCTATTTCACTACAATAGAGGGGATTGGAAAAAAAAGTATGAGTCAAGAGTAAATTTCATGTTTTGAGAAAGATAAAATTCTAATGAAAGGAACAAGGATATCGGCAAGAATGCTTTCTGACATATTTTTTAGACTGTTTTAAAATTAACTTCATACAGTATTTGCCCTTTTCTGACTGGCTTATATCACGTAGCATAATGTCTTCAAGATTAATCCATGATGTAGCATATGTCAAAATTTATTTCCTACTTAAGGCTGCATAATATTTCATTGTATGTATTTATTACATTTTGATTATCCACTTATCCATTGATGGACACTTAGGTTGCTTTTACTTTTTGGCTATTTTGAATGGTGCTGCTATGAACCTGGGTGTACAGGTATCTGTTTAAGTTGCTGCTTTCATTGCTTTGGGGTATATATTCAGCAGCAAAATTAGTGGATTCTATGACAATTCTATTTTTAATTTTTTGATGAATCACATGGCTATACAGGTATATTTTATATTATGTTTATTTTACCACAATAAAGAATGTAATTTCACATCGATGTAAAGATTCTGATTTCACTGAAAGTCCCTGAAACTCTGATTCTGCATCAAGGAATTGCTGCCAATTAAACTAGTCTGTCTGCTGAGGGTAACTTAGTTCTATACTCCCCACACAATTTGCACTGACTCTTTTCTGTCCTAACTTGTGCATCTTTCAATTATATAACTTTTACACCACACTAGCCCTCTCCACATGCACACACACACTAGCCCTCTCCACACACTCCTTCATTGCACGTAAAGCTGTGCCACCTCATTTTCAGGACCTTTTTTACATAAAGAAGGCTGTGCCACCTCATTTTCAGGCCCTTTGCTACTGATTATTGTATTTTCCCAGGTTGAAAATAGTTTAGAAGTCAGAAAGTCCAATTTTTGTCTCTGCCATTGACTCAAATTGTGACTTTTCACAAATCACTTTACTATTTGTGCCACTATTTGCTTATTTATTCACTTTTTATAAACTGTATTGTGCATCAAGTATTTGCCAGGAACTACTCTAGGTGTAAAGAATGTAAAGGTATTGTGACATGTCCCTGCTCCCAGAAGTTTACAGTTAGTGGGGCAAAAATAGCTGTTCAATATCTTTCACAAAGATAAAGTTGAGAATTAAAAAAAAAAATCAATGAGAAAGGGCTTTGAACATTTTAAAGCATTCAATACATGAGATGTGATCAATTTCTCACACTGGCTCCTTGCTATGCTTAGAACACTCTCAAATTTACATAGCAAATAGGAAAATGAGATCTTAACCATAAAGTGAAAGAATAGCATTCCTTACTTGTACAGAAAAAGAAGTTATGACTAGTAATTTATATTTTTTAAATATAGAAAAATCTAACTGAACTTAAAAGTAATTGAAATCTAAATTATTGGTCCCTTTCCAGGAGCCACACACTTAAATTTACTGATCACTCTAAAGATGGGTAAAAATAAAAGGAAGGGCTGCATATGTTTCTCTCCCTTTAATTAAAAATGAAAACAACAAATAGAAAAAATAATAAGGGAAATAATCCCTGCCTTATTTCAGGCCATTTAACATGCAGTAAAGATTCTACAGGTAACCATCTTTGGATATTACCTTTACTGACCTCATACATCCCCAATTTAAATAAATGGAGAGTGTTCAATGATAACAATGCTGAATATCAGTTACATGGATAATATCCCACCATCAAAGAGCAATTAGATGCCCCCATTATCTTTGTCTCAAATACTCTATTAAATAATGCAAAATAAGCAGGTGTGATCTCTGTTAAAAATGTAATAAAATAATTAAATAGTCTATCAGGCTTATTGCATTTTTAGCAAATAAAGATTCCTTACCATTAAGAATCCAACCTAGGAAGAAATTTGTAATATGAATTAAGCAAATATTGAACCAACTTAAAAGATAATATGAAAAACCTGTTGGGGAAAACAAACATTCAGTTGCATCATTCAACAGAGAAATATAGAGGGGAATTTGCTACTGGTTTTCAGTTTTGAAAACTATCAAAATTATTTGAAATGATCATTAGCATTTCTCTATTAAAACAATAAAATATGCATTAGTTTTAACTAATGTTATAAAACTAATGCATATTAGTTAAACTAATTCATTGAATAAATGTTTCCTGAACATGCACCATGTACCAGAATGAGTGTCACATAAGCTGCTGTGGAAGCACAGGACAACTGCTCAGGGAAGGCTTCCTAGAGAAAGTCTCCTATTGAGATTAAAGGAGAAGTTATATTGGCAAAGTCAGAAGAGTGAGAAAATGCTTCAAGCACACAAATAGCAAGTACAATGGGCAAGAGGTGAGCAATAAGAGACACATCTTAGAATTAAGAGTAACTCAGTATTTGAATATTGAAAAGGCAAGGGGAAAATTACTTGATAGATGAAGCTGAAGAGTTTTAGAAAGCAGATCAAAAAGAAACAAGCTTCTTCTTTTTTTTTTTTTTTTTTAGCTATAGTGAGAATATACAATATTTGTCTTTTTGTGCCTGGCTTATTTCACTTAACATAGTGTCCTCCAGGCTCATTTATGTTGCCACAAATTACAGGATCTCGTTATTTTCATGGCTGAACAGTATTCCGTTGTGTATATTACCACATTTTCTTTATCCTTTCATCTGTTGACATTTAGTCTTATTCCATATCTTGGCTATTATAAACACAGCTGCAATTAATATGGGGGGTGCAAGTTTCTCCTTGATATACTGATTTTGTTTCCTTTGAATAAATACCCAGTAGTAAAACTGCTGGATCATATGGTAGTTCTAGTTTTAGGTTTTTAAGGAAACTTCATACTGTTTTCATAATGGTTGTATTAATTCACATTCCCATCAACAGTGTATAAGGGTTCCCTTTTGTCTGCATTCTAGCCAGCATTTGTTGTTTTTTGTCTTTTTGATAATAGCCATTCTAACTGGGGTGAGATGGCATCTCAATGTGGATTTGATTTGCATTTCCCTGATCATTAGTGATGTTCAGCATTTTGTCATATATTTGTTGGCCATTTGTATGTCTTTTTTTGAGAAATGTCTATTGAGACCCTTTGACAACTGTTTAATTTGAATTTTCTTTTTCTGTTGAGTTCCCTGTATATTCTGGATATTAGTACCTTGTCGGAGACATAATTTGCAAGTATTTTCTCCAACTCTACATGCTGCATCTTCACTCTATTGATGATTTCTTTTGCGGTACAGAAGATTTTTTTGTTTAACATGGTCTCATTTGTCTATTTTTTGTTATTATTACCTGTGCTTTTGAAGTCTTACCCATTAAATCTTTGTCTATGTCCTAAAGCATTTCCCCTTTGTTTTCTTCTAGTAGTTTTACAGTTTGGTATCTTACATTTAAGTCTTTAATCCATTTTTAGTTGATTTTTGTATGTGGTGAGAGAGAGGGGTCTCATTTTATTCTTCTGCATATGGATATTCAATTTTCCCAACATCTTTTTTTTATTTTATTTTACTTTAAGTTCTGGGATACATGTGCAGAACATGCATGTTTGTTACACAGGTATACCTGTGCCATGGTGGTTTGCTGCACCTATCAACCAGTCATTTAGGTTTTAAGCCCCATATGCATTAGCTATTTGTCCTAATGCTCTCCCTCCCCTTACCCTCCACTCCCCAACAGGCTCTGGTGTGTGATGTTCCCTTCCTTGTGTCCATGTGATCTCATTGTTCAACTCCCACTTATGAGTGAGAACATGCAGCCAACACCATTTATTGAAGAGGGTATCCTTTCCCCAGTGAATGTTCTTGCCACATTTGTCAAAAAACTATTGACTATAAATACATGGACTTATATTTATGTTCTCTATTCTATTCCATTGTTCTATGTGTCTGTTGTTATACCAATACCATGCTGTTTTGGTTACCATAGCTTTGTAGTATATTCTGAAGTCAGGTAGTGTGATACCTTCACATTTGTTCTTTTTGTTCAGTATTGCTTTGGCTTTGTGTGGTTTCATTGCATTCTAGGATTGTTTTTCCATTTCTGTGAATAACATCATTGGTGTGTTGATAGGCATTGCATTTCATATATAGATTGCTTTGGGTATCATAGTCATTTTAAGAAAACTATTTCAATCCATTAGCATAAGATTTTTTTTCATTTTTTGTGTGTTCTCTTCAATTTCTTTCACCAGTAGTAGACAGTGTAAGTGTGGTCATTAAAGGATGGGAGATATAAGGGGAAGGGGAGGATAGGGAGTGGTTGGTTTACAGGTACAAAGTTATAGCTAGATGGGAGGAATAAGTTCTATTTTCAGTAACACTATGGAGTAAATATAGTTAACAATAATTTAATGCATATTTTCAAAAGGTTAGAAGAGAAGACTTTGAACACAAAGAAATAATAAATCTTTGAGGTGATGGACATGCTAATTACCCTTATTTCATCATTAAACATTGTGTCTATATGCAGAAATATCACTTGGTATCTCATAAATATGTGCAATTATTATGTGTGAACTAAAAATAAAAGGGAGAAAGAAAAGAACCTGTAATTCATTAGGGAGTTGTGACTTCTTCATACTGAAAAATACTCTGGGATCTCCCAAAGCATTTTAGGTAAGAGAATGACTTAAGTGTTACCAAAATAATGAGATGATATGATTTTTTTCCAATCATTTTTTAAATCCACCTGCTAACCTGAAACTAGTCATCTCGAATTGTGGTAACATTTCAGTTTTCCATGGAGATGATCATGTCAGAGATATTGTATTAATATTAGGAAACTGAGTGTGTCTTTTTAATAAATTACTTCTACCACACAAAGAGACAGTCAGGAAGAAACTGCAGGAAAGAAGCAGCCAAGAAAAACTGGATTTGCCCATATAAGAGCTAGTTTAAAGAGCCACTACAGAATGGAAAAAACATGTTTCCAGTATATGTATCTGGCATGTGGTAGGTGTTTAATGAGTACTTGTTCACTGAAGAGTACATTGGTGCAGCCTGTATAAAGAAGAAATTACATAGTAGACAATGAATGCTGTGTCATATGAGGATGCAAAGACCAGAGAAAAAGGATGGCTTTAAAAGGAGGAGAAAAATAGAGAAAGAGAAAACAATACTAAAAGAAAACTGGAGGAAAAGGAAAGGTGCTATCAGGATTTATAATTAGGGCAGCAATGTCCTAGCAAAAGAAGAAAACATTGGGTTGATTTTAGGAGTTACAACCACCTGAAGCATACATGAGAGGGCATAAAATAAAGGACCAGAACACACAGGTGTCCTGAAAAGCCTCACCAACTTACAAGAAAAGTTATAGCAAGGAGACTCAGTGCTTGAAATGAAGCAAACATGAATACATAATTAAATTAGTTTAATGTAAATGCATAGAAAGTCTATTTTACAATGTTTCCATGAGGAGATCAAATTTACATAAAATAACCAGTCTTAGTTGAAGCTTCAAATTTTGGATCCCAGTTCAGTCTTTGTTTCAAGTAGAAATATTTCAATCTGGTTAGATTCTATAGGCATACTTATAAGCATCCTAAATCTGCTACCCAAAGAAGTCACAAAGACAACTTGAACAGTTAATTTTGACCCTGAGAATAAGGAACTCCACTACTCTCCTTCTTGTGTGGGCATAATCAGTGTGGGTAGGCAAGGCACCAACAGGAGAGATGAGGGGAGAGGAAGAGTCCTTCCTGCAAAAGGGCTATACTTGAGAATCACAAAACATTCACACTCTATTTTATATTGTAGAATCCAATTCTGTATTTAGAATAAGTTACAAAACTCTAGATGACTTTTTAAGTGGATTCTTCTTTTCCAGAGATTTTTATACTATGCTCTTTTCAGAGAAATTCAAATATTGATGTTATTATCATGGTTTCTATTATGATCCCTTATCAACTAACAGCCATCACTATATTATAAACTATGTGTTAAGTGACTTTCATTATCTCATTTAATCTTTATAGTCTTCCCATAAAGTAAATATTAATATTATCCTCATTTCAGATGAGACAAAACTCAACTCCATTTCTATTTCTCTTCAACAACTATGTTGGTTAAATCCTATGCTCTACTTCCTTTCTTCTGTGTACCTAAATTTTATAGAAAGGCACTTAATCCTATTACAAAACCTATTACAAAAGGAATTTAGTTATATTTCATTGCTGTAGTCATTGAAAGACAAAGAGAGTTGGGGTTGGGGTAGAAACAAAGATTTATTGAGATCAACTTTGCACCAGACCACACTTGGATGCTTTCCATATAGTATCTAATTGGATGTCCACAACAATCCAAGGAAACTGCTGGAACTTACTACATTTCACAAATAAGAAAACTGATTTCATGAGTTTTTCACATGCTTAAGACCCATTGGTTATTAACAGAACTGAAAGTTGAGGGAGTATCTAACTTCAAATCTTACTAGTGAAACTACTGGTTTGTGTATTTTCTCCTAAGTTATTTTTATTATGTACATTTCTGTAGAATACTAAAATAAAAATGCACTCCTTAATATCCTAACTCCATATCCACTGATTTGATTTGTCTAGTGTTTTTAATACTTTTCTCTAACAACATTAATTGAGTTCTATCCATACCCTGAGGCCACTCCTTCTCCATAGTTAGCAGATGTATTTATTTTTTATCCCACTGTATTAGTGCATTCTCACACTGCTATAAAGAACTAGCTGAGACTGAGTGATTTATGAAGATAAGAGGTTTAATTGACTCTCAATTCTGTAGGCTGTACAGGAAGCATAGCTGAGAAGCCTCAGGAGACTTACAACATGGTGAAAGGAGAAAAAAAGCATGCCTTACCATGGTGGAGCAGGAGAGAGAGCAAAGGGGGAAAT
Organism: Homo sapiens; assembly: GCF_000001405.40. Classification (NCBI taxonomy): domain Eukaryota; kingdom Metazoa; phylum Chordata; class Mammalia; order Primates; family Hominidae; genus Homo; species Homo sapiens. The sequence continues at coordinate 124,581,014 of NC_000004.12, forward strand.
GCCACACACTTTTAAACAACCAGATATTGTGAGAACTCACTCACTATCATGAGAACGGCAAGGGAGAAATACACCCCCATGATCCAATCACCTCCCACCAGTTTCTTCCCTCAACATTGGAAACTACAACTCAAAATGAGATTTGGGTGGGGACACAGAACCAAACCATATCATTCCACTTCTGGAATCTCATGTCCGTCTCACATTTCAAAAATGAGCCTGTAGAATCAAAAGCAATTTAGTTACTTCCTAGACACAATGGAAGTACAGAAATTGGGGAAATTCTCCCAATCCAAAAGGGAGAAATTGGCCAAAACAAAGTAGATACAGACCCCATGCAAGTCTGAAACCCATCAGGACAGTCATTAAACCTTAAAGCTCCAAAGTGATCTCTTTTGACTCCATGTCTCACATCCAGGCCACACTGATGAAATGGGTGGGCTTCCAAGGCCAAGGGTAGCTCCATTCCTGTGGCTCTGCACAGGGTACCGCCCCTATGGCTGTTTTCACAGGCTTGTGCTAAGTGTCTATGGCTTTTTCAGGCACATAGTGCAAGCTGTCACTGGATCTACTATTCTGGTGTCTGGAGAATAGTGGCCCTCTTCTCTCAGCTCCACTAGGTGGTGCCCCAGTGGGGATTCTGTGTGGGGACTCCAATCCCACATTTCCCCTCCACACTGCTCTAGTAGAGATTTTCCATGAGGGCTCCGGCTCTGCAGCAGACTTTTGCCGGGACATTTACACATTTCCATACATCCTCTGGAATCTAGGCAGAGGCTCACAAACCTCAACTCTTGCCTTCTGCACACCTACAGGCTCAACACCATGTGGAAGCCAATAAGGTTTGGGGATGCAACCTCTGAAGCAATGGCCCAAGCTGTACCTTGGCCCTTTTTAGCCACGGCTAGATCTGAAGAGGCTGAAACACAGGGCGCCATATCCTGAGGCTGCACAGAGCATCAGGACCCTGGGCCTAGCCCACAAAACCATTTTTCCCTCATAGGCCTCCAGGCCTGTGATTGGAGGAGCTGCCACGAAGGTCTCTAAACTGCTCTGGAGACATTTTCCCCATTGTCTTGGCTATTAAAATTCAGCTTTTCTTTACTTATGCAAATTTCTTCAGCCTTGAATTCCTCCCAGAAAATAGATTTTTCTCTTCTACCACATGGTCAGGCTGCAAATTTTCCAAACTTTTTTTCTCTGCTTCTCTTTTAAATATAAGTTCTAGTTTCAGGTCATTCCTTTGTTTATGCAAATGAGCATAGGCTTTTAGAAGCAGCTGGGCTATGTCTTGAATGCTTTGATGCTTAGAAAATTCTTCTGCCAGATAACCTAAATCATCTCTATTAAGTTCAAATTTCCATAGATCTCTAGAGCAGGAGCACAATGCCACCAATCTCTGCTAAAGCATAGCAAGAGTGGCCTTTACTGCAATTTCCAGTAAGTTCCTCATCTCCATGTGAGACTACCTCAGCCTGGAGTTCACTGTCCATATCACTATTAGCATTTTGGTCACAATCATTCAACAAGTCTTTAGGAAGTTCTAAACTTTCCCTCATCTTCCTGTCTTCCTCTGATCCCTCCAAACTGTTTCAATCTCTGCCCAATACCCATTTCCAAAGTTGCTTCTACAATTTCAGATATCTTTATAACAGTGCCTCACTTTTTTGGTAGCAATTATCTGTATTAGTCCTTTCTCACACTGCTATAAAGAACTAGCTGAGACTGGGTAATTTATGAAAAAAGCTTTAATTGACTCTTAGTTCCACAGGCTGTACAGGAAACATGGCTGGGAGGCCTCAAGAAACTTACAATAGGTGGCAGGGCCCAGAAGGCTGACTAGAAACAGCAGCGTTAGGAGGCTCCCATTGGAAAAAAAAAAACATAATAAGCATGTGAATCCTTCACTGGCAACCAAGGTATCCAAGTTGTCTCACCAGAACTGACTAGGAGGCTGGCATGACCCACAGAATGAAGAAAGAACAGTGCAGTGTGGTGGCCCACCTGAGAGCCACACGGGGCAGGGAAGCCCCTTCTCCCAAGCCAAGGGAGGCAGTGAGTGAGCTCCGGGGAAACTGTGCTTTTTCCATGGAACTGTGCAACCCATGGATCAGAAGATCCCACTAGTGAACCCACACCACTCAGCCTGTCAGCTGGAATCTGCTTAAACCTACCAAACTCGCAGGGGGAGGGGTGACCAGCACCTTGGCTGCAGCTCCCTGCTGTCTAAGCCATTTGAGCTACTTGTGGGAGGGACAACAGCCAGCACTGGGACTCACAACTGTCTAATGCGCTAAGCTCCCTGGGTGGGAAAAGGGCAGCAAACATCTCTATAGCTCCAAACTGTGCTTTTCCCCTGCTGGAGCCAGGGAGGCTGGACGGCTTGGTTCCAAGATTTGTACCCACAGGCAAATACATCAGCTGTGGCAGTCTGCAGCCAGAGTGCCTCTTCAGGCGTTACCTTGACCCATCCTTCCTCACTGGGTGGGGCTTCCCTGTAGGAGCTCCAATAACTCCAGCTGAAGGCTCAGGGACACAACCTGGATCTCCCTGGGCCTGAGCCCCTAGCAGGATGGGTGGCCACAGTCTCTGCAGACCAGCAGATTTAGCATTTCCTCCTGGTAGTCCTGAGGAATCTGGGCAGCCCGATGAGTGGGTTTCCCCCTATTGAGGCACACCCCTGCCACCAAGGGACAAAGTGCCTTCTTAAATGGGTCCTGTTCCTCATGCCTCCGAACTGGGTGAGACCCTCCAACATGGGTTGTCAGACACCTTATACAGGGGTGATCCTACAGGCATCAGGTTGGTGCCCCTCAAAGTCAGAGGTCCCAGGAGAAGGAGTAGGCACCCATCTTTACTGTTCCCCAGCCTCCTTGAGTGACCTCTCCAGTTGCAGGAGCAAATAACATGAAAAAGGCCTGAAGTGAATCCCCAGCAAACTGCAGCAGCCCTACAGAAGAGGGACCTGACCATTGAAAGAAAAACAAACAAGCAGAAAGCAACTACAACAGCATCAACAACAAAAAAAGCCACCACAAAAACCACATCCAAGGGTCAGCAGCCTCAAAGACTGAAACTAGACAAATTCATGAAGATGAGAAAGAATCAATGAAAATATGCTGAAAACTCAAAAGGCCAGAGTGCCTCTTCTCCATATGATCGCAGTGTCTCTCCATTAATGGCACAGAACTGGACAGAGGATCAGATGCACGAATCGACAGAAGTAGGCTTCAGAAGATGGATAATAAAAAACTACACTGAGCTAAAGGAGCATGTTCTAACCCAATGCAAAAAAGCTAAGAACCTAGATAAAAGGATAGAGGAATAGCTAACTAGAATAACCAGTTTAGAGAGGAACATAAACCACCTGATGGAGCTGAAAAACACAGCATGAGAATTTTGTGAAGTATACACAGGTACCAATAGATGAATTGACCAAGTGGAAGAAAGGATATCAGAGTTTGAAGACCACCTTGCTGAAATAAGGCATGCAGACAACACTAGAGAAAAAAGAATAAAAAGAAATGAACAAAGCCTCCAAGAAATATGGGACTTCATAAAAATACCCAACCTATGATTGATTGGAGTACCAGAAGGAGATGGGAAGAATAGAAACAAGCTGGAAAACACACTTCAGGATATTATCCAGGAGAACTTCTGCAACCTAGCAAGACAAGCCAACATGCAAATTCAGGAAATACAGAGAACATCATTAAGATATTCCATGAGAAGATCAACCCCAAGACACATAATCATCAGGTTCTCCAAGGTTGAAATGAAGGAAAAACTGTTAAGAGCAGCCAGAGACAAAGGCCAGGTCACCTACAAAGGGAAGCCCATCAAACTAATAGTGGACCTCTCCGCAGAAAGTCTACAAGCCAGAAGTGATTGAGGGCCAATATTTAACATTCTTAAAGAAAAGAATTTCAACCCAGAATTTCATATCCAGCCAAACTAAGCTTCATAAGCAAAGGAGAAATAAAATCCTTTCCAGACAAGCAAATGCTGAGGGATTTTGTTACCATCAGACCTGCCCTGCAAGAGCTCCTGAAAGAGCAGTAAATATGGTGGAGGGGGAGCCATTACCAGCCACTGCAAAAACCCAGCAAAATATAAAGACCAATGACACTGTGAAGAAACTGCATCAACTAGTGTGCAAAGTAACCAAATAGCAGCATGATGACAGCATCAAATTCACACATAACAATACTAACTTTAAATATAAATGTAAATGTAAATGGGATAAATGGGTTAATTCACACAGACTAGTGAATTGAATAGAGTCAAGACGCATTGGTGTGCTGTATTCAGGAGACCCATCTCATGTGCAGACACACATAGACTCAAAATAAAGGAATAGAGGAAAATTTATCATGCAAATGGAAAGCAAAAAAAAAAAAAAAAGTAGGGGTTGCAATCCTAGTCTCTGACAAAACAAGACTTTAAACCAACAAAGATTAAAAAAAAGACAAAGAAGGGCATTACATAATGGTAAAGGGAACAATTCAACAAGAGGAGCAAACTACTTTAAATATATATGCACTCAATACAGGAGCACCCAGACTCATAACACAAGTTCTTAGGTACTTGCAAAGAGACTTAGACTCCCATACAACAATAGTGGGAGACTTCAACACCCCACTGTCAGTATTAGATAGATCAATGAGACAGAAAAATAACAAGGATATTCAGGACTTGAACTCAGCTCTGGATCAAGTGGACCTAGTAGGCATCTACAGAACACTCTACCCCGAATCAACAGAATATAGATTCTTCTCAGTGCCACGTGACACTTATTCTAAAATTGATCACATAATTGGAAGTAAAACACTCCTCAGCAAATGCAAAAGAACAGAAATCATAACAAACAGTCCCTCAGACCACAGTGCAATCAAATTAGAACTCAGGATCAAGAAACTCACTCAAAACCATACAATTATATGGAAATGGAACAACCTGTCCCTGAATGACTCCTGGGTAAATAATGAAATTAAGGCAGAAATCAAGAAGTTCTTTGAAACCAATGAGAACAAAGGGACAATGCACTGGAATCTCTGGGACACAGCTAAAGCAATGTTAAGAGGGGTATTTACAGCCCTAAATGCCCACATCAGAAAGCTTGAAAAATCTCAAATCAACACCCTAACATCACAATTAAAAGAGCTAGAGAGGCAAGAGCAAACTAATCCAAAAGCTAGCAGACGACAAGAAATAATTAAGATCAGAGAAGAATTGAAGGAGACAGAGATAAGAAAAACTCTCCAAAATATCAATGAATTCGGGGCTGTTTTTTTTTTTTTTGAAAAAAATTAACAAAATAGATAGACCTCTAGCCAGACTAACAAAGAAGAAAAAAAGAGAAGAATCAAATAGACACAATAAAAAATGATAAAGGGGATGTTACCACTGATCTCACAGAAATACAAACTACCATCAGAGAATACTATAAATGCCTCTACACAAATAAACTAGAAAATCTAGAAGAAATGGATACATTCCTGGACACATATACCCTCCCAAGTCTAAACCAGGAAGAAGTTGAATCCCTGAATAGACCAATAACAAGTTCTGAAATTGAGGCAGTAATTAATAGACTACCAACCAAAAAAGCCCAGGACCAGACAAATTCATAGCTGAATTCTAACAGAAATACAAAGAGGAGCCGGTACTATTCCTTATAAAACTATTCCAAACAATTAAAAAGGAAAGACTTCTCCCTAGCTCACTTTGTGAAGCCAGCATCATCCTGATAACAAAACCAGGAACAGACACAACAAAAAAAGAAAACTTCAGGCCAATATCCCTGATGAACATAGATGCAAAAATTCTCAATAAAATGTTGGCAAACTGAATCCAGTAGCATATCAAAAAGCTTATCTACCACGATCAAGTCGGCTTCATCCCTGGGATGCAAGGCTGGTTCAACATATGCAAACCAATAAATGTAATCCATCACATAAACAGAACCAAAGACAAAAACCACATGATGATCTCAATAGATGCAGAAAAGGCCTTTGATAAAATTTAACATCCTTTCATGTTAAAAACTCTCAATGAACTAGGTATTAATGGAATATATCTCAAAATACTAAGAGCTATTTATGACACACCCACAGCCAATATCATATTGAATGGGCAAAAGCTGGAAGCATTCCCTTTGAAAACTGGTACAAGACAAGAATGCCCTCTCTCACCACTCTCGTTCAACATAGTATTGGAAGTTCTGGCAAGGGCAATCAGGCAGGAGAAAAAAATAAAGCATATTAAAATAGGAAGAGAGGAAGTAAAATTGTCTCTGTTTGCAGACAACATGATTTTATATTTAGAAAACCCCATCTCCTCAGCCCAAAATTCCTTAAATTGATAAGCAACTTCAGCAAAGTCTCAGAATACAAAATCAATGTACAAAAATCACAAGCATTCCTTTACACCAACAATAGACAAACGAGAGCTAAATAATGAGAATGAACTCCCATTCACGGTAGATACAAAGAGAATAAAATACCTAGGAATACAGCCAACAAGGGATGTGAGGGACCTCTTCAAGGAGAACTACAAACCACTGCCCAAGGAAATAAGAGAGGATGTAAACAAATGGAAAAATATTCCATCCTCATGGGTAGGAAGAATCGACTTCATGAAAATGGCCATACTGCCTTAAAGTAATTTATAGATTCTATGCTATTCCCATCAAGCTACCATTGACAGTCTTCACAGAATTAGAATAAAAAAACTATTTTAATTATCATGTGGAATGAAAGAAGACCCTGTATAGCCAAGATAATCCTAAGAAAAAAGACCAAAGCTGGAGTCATCATGCTACCTGATGTCAAACTATACTGCAAGGCTACAGTAACCAAAACAGCATGGTACAGGTACAAAAACAGACATATAGACCAATGGAGCAGAGCAGATACCTCAGAAATAAGGCCAGGAGTGGTGGCTCATGCCTGTAATCCCAGCATTTTGGGAGACTGAGGTGGGCAGATCACCTGAGGTCAGGAGTTCGAGACCACCCTGACAAACATGGAGAAACCCCATCTCTACTAAAAATACAAAATTAGCTGGGCATGGTGGTACATGCCTGTAATCCCAGTTACTCAGGAGGCTGAGGCAGGAGAATCACTTGAACCTGGGAGGCGGATGCTGTGGTGAGCCAAGATCGTGCCATTGCACTCCAGCCTGGGCAACAAGAGCAAAGAACTCCATCAAAAACAAACAAACAAACAAAATAAAATAAACAACAACAACAACAAAAAAAAACAAGTAACCAAAATAACACCAGACATCTACAACAATCTTATCTTCAACAAACTTGACAAAAACAAGCAATGGAGAAAGGATCTCCTGTTCGGTAAATGGTACTGGAAAACTGGTTAGACATACACAGAAAACAGGAACTGAACCCCTTCCTTACACCTTATACAAAAATTAACTCAAGATGGAATAAAGACTTAAATGTAAACCCCCAAACCATAAAAACCTTAGAAGAAAACCTAGGCAATACCATTCAGGACATATGCATGGGCAAAGACTTCATGACAAAAACGCCAAAAGCAATTGCAACAAAAGCCAAAACTGACAAATGGGATCTAATTAAACTAAAGAGCTTCTGCACAGCAAAATAACTTATCATCAGAGTAAAAAGGCAACCTACAGAATGGGAGAAAATTTTTGCAATCCACCCATCTGACAAAGGTCCAATATGGAGAATTTACAAGGAACTTAAACAAATTTACAAGAAAAAAGAAAGTCAAAAAGTGGGCAAATGATATAGACACTTCTCAAAGGAAGACATTTATGTGACCAACAAACATAAGAAGAAAAGCTCTACATTACTGATCATCAGAGAAATGCAAATCAAAACTGCAATGAGACACCATCTCACACCAGTCAGAATGGCGATTATTAAAAAGTCAGGAAATGACAGACGCTAGCAAGACTGGAGAAACAGGAACACTTTTACACTGTTGGTGGGAATGTAAATTAGTTCAACCATTGTGGAAGACAGTATGGCAATTCCTCAAGGATCTCGAACCAGAAATACCATTTGACCCAGCAATCCCATTACTGAATATCTATCCAGTAATACACATAACCAAAGGAATATAAACCATTCTACCATAAAGACACATGCACACATATGTTTATTGCAGCACTATTTACAATAACAAAGATATGGAACCAACCCAAATGCCCATCAATGATAGACTGGATAAAGAAAAAGTGGCATATATACACCACAGAATACTATGCAGCCATAAAAAGGAATCAGATCATGTCCTTTGTAGGGACTTAGATGAAGCTGCAAGCCATCATCCTCAGCAAACTAACACAGGAACAGAAAACAAAACACCACATGTTTTTACTCATAAATGGGAATTGGACAATGAGAACACATGGACGCAGAGAGGGGGAACAACACACACCAGGGCCTGTTGGGGGTGAGGGGTGTGTGGAGAGAACTTAGGAAGACAAGTCAATAAATGCAGCAAACAACCATGGCACACGTGTACCTATGTAACAAACCTGCATGTTCTGCACATGTATCTCCTCCTTTTTTTTTTGGAAGAACTAAAAAATAAATAGAAAAAGAAACTTACAATCATGGCAGAAGGCAAAGGGGAAACAAGCATGTCTCACCATGGTGAGGCAGAGAGGGAGAGAACAGGGAAGTGCTACACACTTTTAAACAATCAGATATTGTGAGAACTCACTCACTATCATGAGAACAGCAAGGGAGAAATCCGCCTCCATGATCCAATCACCTCACACCAGGTCTCTACTTCAACAGTGAGGATTACAATTCAACATGAGAATTGGGTGGGGACACAGAGCCAAACCATATCACCCATCTTGTTTCAAACATGACTGATACTTGTGCCATAACATTTGTGGGCACTTTGGCACCACCACAACAAAGGCTAAGACCATACATCTCAGAATCCCCTTCCAAGTAAATGAAAAGAACATATAGGGGAGTTCAAAGAGGAAATGAAGTAAAGATAAAGGTCTTCTGGGGTCAAACAAGAAGGCTTTATCAGAGGCAACAGCTTTGCAGATCTCTCCACAACCTCCTGCTTCATTCACTTATGGGCTTTGAAAACCATGCCAAGAGCTCCACGAGCAGCCATGGCTGGTTTCATACACTTACTTGTGATCTCCAATGTCTTTACCATCACCCCTCACCAATGTTTCACACTGAGACATTTACTGTCAACATTGGCAGCAGCTCCCATTTCCTGCCTTGGGGCTTTAGAATCTCGAACAAGGTTTATCTGCCTCAGCATCATTGACACTTTGGACCACATAATTTGTGTTGGTGGAAGGGGAAAGCTGTGCTGTGCATTGTGGAATGTTTAGTAGCATCCCGGCGTATTAACCATACTTCCAATTTCTGTAAATTAATGTTTTTATGCCTACAAAATGGCCACTGGCTGCTCCCAAGTAAACCCTGGCTCATCTAAAAACATCTGGAGACTTCAGTCAGTCCTAAACTATAGGCTCTGACAGTCACAGTGAACCTGAACTTAGCAGGAGAGCCACCTTCAAACATAGTTAGCCAACCTTAAGCCTGCTGCCCTGCCTCACCTGCTCCTTTTCCAGGAAACCACAACAGAGAAGCCTCCCATGCTTCCTCTCAGTGGCTCTGCATTGCATGCTATACTCTCCTCAAGGAACTGCTGAGTATAACAAAACTGTAAAACTCTTTCTGGTTCCTCTTTCTTAACCTGTCTCTGGCCTCACCAAACCTCACCCAAAGTAATATGGCTAAAGCATCTGGCCTCACCCATTGGAAGCTGGTAGCAAACTTCTCCACCTCAGTCATGATAATCAAAACTGTGTCCTGACCTTGCTGAATGTTCCATAGGGGACAAAATTGTCCCAGTTGAGAAATTCTGGTCTAAAATATTCACTGTCAACTCCTAACCTTCAATAGCGGTTTTCCTAACATCCTTACCCTTGTCCCTCCAACAGTAGTTATAAGCACTTAATTCTGAATTAAACTTTGCATTTCTGACTTATACAGAATAGCTTCTGGTTTACTAGCCAAACCTGACTGAGAGTGTTACATAAATAATACATTGTTTTTTGCACATGAGTAATCCAAAATGTATTTAATTTGGTCACATAAAATATTTAGTAGAGAAAGTTAAGTATTCGCATGGTTTATAATATGATATAACCTGTTTCTTTTCCACAATTTTTCAATATAATAGCATCCTTACTGTTAAAAGAATATTATTTTAATATTTGGAGATATCCATATTCTTCAATCTATTGCATTTTGGAGAAAAATATGACTTATTTTGCAAGGTTATTTCTGGAGAGATAGCTACTGTCTTATATTTTTAGAATATGTTTATGCCAGAGTTAGATTATAATTTACCAAAATGTTAAGTATAAAAAGGCCAACTAAAAATAAAAGTATCTGATGTGGTTGTGGTAGAGATTATTTTGTACTGTGGATACATATGCAGGACACATGAGAGAGAAACTGGTATTTTCCCTTAATTGCCAATGGCCTAACTGGACTAGAGCTGAGAAGAAGTAAACAAAAAACTAAGGCTTTGATGCTTTCTAAACTGGATTAGTTCTATTTGACATTAGATCTTATTGACAAAACAAACAAACAGGCAAAAAAAGCCCCTTCTTTTTATTTGTTTATTATAATTTCACCTTCAATGCAGCTTGATTAATCTTCCCTCAGATAATTGTTTTTAAATTTGACCTATTTATAGAACTGTGAGGCTTTATGGGCTTTGAAATTCTCCAATGAAGGGTATTATAGAGGCACCAGGTAACTAGAGATACAATATAAATCTTGACTGAATGTTTCAGAGTATAGAATTTCGTGCCTTTCTTCTCCCATCTGTGCTCTAATCCTGCGTTTGAGAAACAAAGCATCAGGGGCACTTCACAGTGTGGTGCAGAAAATATAAATAAAACTTTTTAAAAAGTCTCTTCTTCAGTAAGTCAGTACCCACTGAAGTCATGCCAACCTGGGAATTACAGTTTGCTGAAGCTTTATACTGAGGATAAAATTGCAGGATACTATATCCCATGTGAAATGAAGAAATGTTTTTCCTTTTATATCATGTAAAACAGAACAAATACTCTGACCTAAACCAATCCACTTTGAAATATTGTATATTTCTCAGCCTACAGGAGCTTCCATCCTTATTCATCAGTCTGTTGTACATGTCTTATAATACTCATACCATGGACCAGCAGTGCCAACTGCAGTTCTGGGGTTTGCTCCAGCTGACCCCAGAGCATATGCATTTTAAGCTTAACACAGAGAAACAATTGTAGCATGTTGAAATCTACATATATATTTTGACCCTGCATCCTATTAATATATTAGCTGCTAAAAGCATGTTGTAGTTCTTACAGACTCTGCTTGTATGAATGAAATAGAAACACCATAAGATGAAATCTCTACTAATGTTATCATAAACAGTTTCTTGACCCTTAATAAATGAAATTTTAAAAGCATCGATTGCCTCTAGTCTAAAGATTATCCTCTATTCTTTGTCTTTCTGGAAAATACGCTTTATGATATATTCCCTATAAATCATTTCTTCCTGCTCTGTCAATTAGGCTTTCTCTTTTCTGTGTTTTTATTTATTCAAGAAATATTTACTACGTTTCTGCTGTTAACTAGCTCGGTTCCTGGGTTATATGGTTTGGCTCTGTGTCCCCACCCAAATCTCAACTTGAATTGTAATAATCCCCACATGTTGTGGGAGGGACCTGGGGGAGGTCATTGAATCACAGGGGTGGATTCCCCCATGCTGTTCTTATGAGAGTGACTTCTCATGAGATCTGATGGTTTTATAAGCATCTGGCATTTCCCCTGCTGGCACTAATTCTCTCTGCTGCCGCCCTGAGAAGAGGTGCCTTCCACCATGATTGTAAGTTTCCTGAGGCCTCCACAGCAATGCTGAACTGTGAGTCAATTAAACCTCTTTCCTTTATAAATTACCCAGTCTGAGGAATTTCTATATAGCAGTGTGAGAACAGACTAATACAGTAAATTGGTACTACTGCAGAGAGTGGGGTATTACTATAAAGATCCTCAAAAATATAGAAGCAACTTTGGAACTGAGTAACAGAAAGAGGTTTGAAAGGTTTGGAGGGCTCAGAAGAAGACAGGAAAATGTGGGAAAGTTTGGAACTTCCTATAGACTTGGAGGGCTCAGAAGACAGGAAGATGTGGAAAAGTTTGAAACTTCCTAGAGACTTGTTGAATGCTTTTGACCAAAATGCTGACAATGATATGGACAATGAAGTCCAGGATGAGGCAATCTCAGGTGGAGATGAGAAAATTCTTCTGAACTGGAGCAAAGGTGACTCTTACTATGCTTTAGCAAAGAGACTGGTACTATTTTGCTCCTCACCTAGAGATCTGTGGAACTTTGAACTTGAGAGATATGATTTAGGGTATCTGGCAGAAGAAATTTCTATGTGGCGAAGCATTCAAGAGAAAGAAGAGTATAAAAGTTTAGAAAATTTGCAGCCTGATGATGCAATAGAAAAGAAAACGCCGTTTTATGAGAAGAAATCCAAGCCCACTGTAGAAATTTGCATAAGTAATGAGGAACAGAATGTTAATCACCAAGACAATGGGGAAACTGTCTCCAGGGCATGTCAGAGACATTCACAGCAGCCCCTCCCATCACAGGCCAGAAAACCTAGAAGAGAAAAATGGTTTTCTGGGCCAGGCCCAGGATCCTGCTGCTCTCCATGCAGCAGGAAAGAGGGAAAAGAAGTAAAGAACAAAAGGAACAAATAGAAAACATCTAGCAAGTAGGCAGAGTTTAATCAAAACATATTTATGACCATATTAAATGTTAATGATCTAAAGACATAAATTAAAAGAGATAAATTGTTAGATCGGATTTTTAAAAGCAAGACCTTAATATAGGCTTTTTATAGTTTACCTGCATTAAATATAAAATATAAAGAAGTTAAAATTACAGAAAAAGATGCACTAAAAGAAAATGGAAGCAGCAACAATAATATTAAAATAACCTTCTTAACAAGGTAAGTCACTAGGTATGAAGAAGAATATTACATAATGAAAAAGCAGTCAATTCTCTAAGTGTATAAACATACTAAATGTTCATGCACTCCACTACAGAGTTTCCAAAAACAAAATGCAATAATTTAAAGAATTATGAGGAGAAATTGGCATTGCCACAGTTCTAGTTGGACTTCCTGCACTTTTTTTCTCAGAATCAGTAGAATAGCCAAATACAAATTCTGTTGCAAGGTAGATCACCTCAACAACACTATCACCAACATAGAACTAGCTGACAATTATAGAACACTCCACCCAATATTATCAGAATGAAAATTTGTTTAAAATGAGCATGTAAATTAATATTCAGAAGGCGAAACTACATTCTGGAACCTAATTAAAAACAAACAAAGTATATTTTGAAATGAAACTAAATTAAACAAGAAATCAGATAACTGAAAATGTCCAAATATTTGGAAAAAAAATAGCACACTTGAGTGAGGATTACCCTGATGCCAAAACCAGGCACAGACATTACAAGAAAAGAAAATTGCAGGCAAATATCCCTCAGGGGTATTAATGCAAATTTTTTCAAAAAGTGCTAGAAAACAAATTCAGTAATATATTAAAAAATAATATATCATGTCCAAATGGGGATTATTTTAGGAACTCAGAGATTATTCACCATTCTAAAATCAGTTGATATAATTTACCATATAGATACTAATTAAGACAAAATACACAATTATACAAAGTATAATTCTCAATTCAGAAATAGTCTCTTACAAAATTCAACATCCCTTCATGATAAGCCCACTGAGAAAATGTGCGTGTTTATACAGAAATATATATTGTTATAGTTTGGATGTTTGTCCTTTCCAAACCTCATGTTGAAATTGATCTTCAATATTGGAGGTGGGAGGTGGGGCCTAGTAGGAGGTAATTGGGCCATGGGGATGTTTTTCTTATGAATAACTTGGTACCATTCCTGCAGTAGGGAGTTCTCACTCTATTCTCCCAAGAGCTGGTTGTTATAAAGAGCCTGGCACTTCCCCAATCTCTCTTGTTTTCTCATTCACCAAGTGATAGTGGGACACACATCTCCCACTCACTTTCCACCCAGGCCGCACCAGAAGCCAAATAGATGCTAGAGCTGTGTTTCTTGTACAGCCTGCAGAAAAGTGAGGCAAATAAACCTATTTTCTTTCTAAATTATGCAGTCTCAGATATTCTTCTATAGTGACACAAATGGATTTAGACATATGTGTGTCTGTGTGGAGATATATATATGTATGTATATAATTACATTATACAGAATTATCAAAACTTAATTTAAAAAACAATAAATTAATAGCAAGAGATTTTAATAGGTACTTCCTCAAAGAAGATATATGAATTTTTTAAAGTGTATTAGTTTTTAGGACAATACAAAAGTTTAAACCACTAAGAAATACTATTATGCACCTATGAGAATTACCAAAGTTTAAAAAAGAAAGTGTCAGTATCAAGTGCTCACTAGTATATAAAGCAACTGGAACTCTCATATATTGCTGAGATTATTGCAAAATGGCCCAGCTACTTTGGAAAACAGTTAGACAATTTATTATAAAGTTAAACATACACTAATTAAATAATCCAGTAATCTCATTCCTAAGTGTTTTCCCTGTAAATTGAAATCCTATTCCCCACACCAAAGTCTTAGATATTAGTAGCAGTTTTATTCCTAGTATCTCAAAATTTAAAACAACTCAAATGTGTCTCAACTGGAAAATAAAGAACCTGTGGTATCTAAATAATTAAGTACTAGTTAACAAAAAAGAAAGAACCACTGGTATACATGGCACTATGGAAAAATATCTATGCATTTTACTAAGTGAAAAAGTCCAGATGCAAGAGGCAACATACTATATAATTCCATACTATATGACAGTCTGAAAAAGGTGACGCTATAAGGGCAGAAATTATACAGTTGTTGCCAGGGACTGTGGGGGTTGGAGGGAGCAGGACGTGCATAGTTTGACCAAAAAGAAATAGGAGAATTGGGGGTGACGGCACTTTTCTAAATATCTTCATTGTGGTGGTGGTGGTTACAGAAATGTATATATTTGCCAAACTTTGAGGAAGTATACACTAAAAAAGGAGAACTTTACAGTGTTTAAATTACATCTTAATTTTTAAAATTAAAACGAAACTATTGAAACATAAAACATATAAGAAGGGTAGCCAAATTAGTCTTGTCCCTGAAGAAGTATCCCAGTGCATAGATACTTCGCTCACTTGGTTTTTCTGCTGTTTACTAAACATTAAGCTTCTAGACAGTAGATATTTTGTTTCATTGGTTTCCATACCCCAGCATCCACTATGATGTCTGGCAAAAAGAAAGGTCTTAATAAAAGTTTGTCACGTGTACTAATTAAGTGAATTGGTTCGGAGTTTTAAAGCTCAGCCGATAGATCTGATTGAATGATTCTGCATAATAAATATCAGAAAAAAATCAATATGATACAGAACTTTTAGAAAAACACACGATATGTGGATGAGAGAGGAGCCAAACTGAAGAGTCCCAAATGGCCCTTGATGAGAGGCTTATTACTTGCTTAGAACATCTATTTTAAGAAAATTCTGGATCTGTCACACAGGATTGATGTGATTAACAGTAAGAAAATTTAAATGGCAGCAACACAAGTTTGGACCTGGGAGTAATGAAATTGTATATCTTAATGTAAATTATCCAGGTCCTAGGGGGTCCAAAAGAGTCTATCTTGTAGCTAGAAAGGAAATAATCACTCAAACACATTAAGGAGAAGCAGTTCTCCTGGGAAGGTGATAAGAAAGAGCTGAGAAAGCTCAAGCCAACCTGAAGCTTGATGAAGGGATCCTGAAAGGATTTTTATTTGAACCAGCTTAACGGCAATGGAGTCCTGTGAGATTCTCAGTGCACCAGCTGTTCTCGTTCTTCATGGTGTGTTTGATGTACAGGGTTGTGCCTGGAGCCGAGAGCTTCAAGAACATGTGCAGTTTTCCAGCTTCATTTGCTGACAGAAATGAGAGAGCTGGGAGTCAACTGAATCAGTGTGAAGCACGTTATTAAGTGTCTCTCTGGAACCACAGATTGGGGGTTGGGAGGCAGATTCTGCTTGGTAGACATGTAATAAATTATTTGTTGAAATAATAAATGGATGAATGAGCGAATCAATACGTGAATGAATAAATGAACAGGGCTTAATTTGTGTCATTAGGTGCTGAAAAATAGAAGCTAGGATATTAATGGTAAAGATGATTAACTTGTATGGGGCAGCATTTCAGAATTCAAACCCGCTCTTCACTAATCCCCATCATTTACACGTGGATTTGCTGTGGGCATGATTCATTAGCTTCTCCTGTTTTTAGTTTCCAAAATTCTAGGTAATTCTGTCCCTTAGGAACTCTTCTCTGATACTCTCATTCCCTGCATTTCTCTTTGTCATTCTCTCCTGTAAATATATTCTTCTCACACAGCCTTTCAGTAAGAAGACTCATACTTCTATGAGCCCATAGGCTGGTCTTGCATTTTATTTTTATAAACAAAAAAAATAAAAGAAAGAAAAAAACTTACTTTTGGGGGGATTAACTAGAGATTATATCCACTGTTTACATGTAACACTTTCCTTCTTACAGCTTTAAAATAGAAAGCAAAATGTCTCCTTTGTACTAATTCACCAACTTAAGAGTTTCCACTTCATTTATCAAGAAGACAATAATGGATTATAACAGAACAGATGTATTTGGAAATACTGACCAAAGGAGTTTCATATACCTCCTTACCAGAGTTTTGCCTTTATTACTTTAGCATTAAAACAGAAATCATGAACTGAAATAAAGGCAATGCCTGCTTGAAACAAGCAATAGAAATATATGTCAGGCTACATGAACTCACTTTGAAATCAGCTAAAACTACATTAGGTTAGAACTTCCCAAAATAGTGTTTGTAGTATCCATTATTGAAAAATAAGAGGCTAGGGTGCAGCGCACCAGCATGGCACATGTATACATATGTAACTAACCTGCACATTGTGCACATGTACCCTAAAACTTAAAGTATAATAATAATAAATAAACAAAATAAGAAAGAAAAATAAGAGGCTAGAAATGTGATGACTAGGATAGTAGTGAATTGGTGAGTTTTAATTTTGTGATTTCCTAGTTGTACTAATTTCATAAAGATGGTGCAGACAGAATCCTGTAATACAATTTAAGAAATTTGGTAGTATCTCATTCACTTAATGATGCATCATAGAAGACTCACAATCCTTCTGTTCAGTTTCCTTCCACTGGAAAGCAGATGATGATAAGCTTTGTAAGATATTTACTTTACAGAGCTATCGAAAAGATTTAATGAAAAATGAACAAAAAATGAACTTATTGAAGTGTCATACAGAAGAGGGAATTATGCATACTACTTAGGAAATTTGATCTTCAAATATCTTAAATTCTGATTAGATGTTAGTCAATTGACTCAGTTGACATTTTTAAATATGGGTTACATTATATTGGCATTTTTAACTTTAAGCTTTGTGCATATTTTTTATGTTCAGGTTTTCATAACAACTTACAGAAGTAAATAGCAGGTTTTTTTTTTTTAAAAGTGAGGTTCACAGACTAAAAGGTGTTAAATCAAGTTTAGCCTAAAGCTGCTTCCTTACATATTTTAAGCTTGACTTAAAGCTTTCTCTGTGTATTGTGAACTATAACAAGTAGAGGGGCAAACAGAACATAGCCTACACTTGTGCCAAACACTGAGTTTTGGCCAATCAAATGTAGCCAACTGTTTGAACTGTGTTCAAATAAGGCAAATGCTAATCTGTAACCAATCCAGCTGTTTCTGTACCTCACTTCCATTTTCTATATGTTACTTTCCTTTTTCTGTCTGCAAATCTTCTTCTACCATGTGGCTGCACTGGCGTCGCAGAGCCTACTCTGGCTCAGGAGGCTACCGGATTTGAGAATCGTTCGTCGCTCAATTAACCTCCTTTAAATTTAATTTGACTGAAGTTTTTCTTTTAATAAAGAGATTGCTCATATCACACAACCTGTGCATGGTATGTAGAGGGTGGGATTTGAATCCAGGTAATTTTTACTGTAGGCCCTATTCTCCTAACCAATTGAAACTGTTTCCTCCAAGTGTATCCACATTGGAAAGCAGTGAATAGATAGACTTATCAGTATAATCTGAGAAACTACTCCAGTTTTAACATTTATGGGCTTTCATGTGGTATTTTTGCTCCTAAGAAGTGGCATGGTGATTAGTGCTTAGAGTGGAGCAGTAATTCACTTTACAAATAAGTGCATGTAAGACTATCCTTAGATCCATTTTTTTTCTGGCAATAGTATGCTTCTATGGTTAGAGTTTATTGATTAAGAATGAAATATGGAAGATTTCCATTGTTTTTGGGTTTGTACAGGGCAGGAAATTATATTATTTTCTGTAGGGTTTTCCCTCACTTGATTTTGATCTATTTTTTTCTGAAAACCTGGGAATTTTCAAGAAATAGCTCATTACTACTCACCTCCAACAGTGGAATAGCCAGGCCAACTCTTTCTTTAAAAATGTCACCTATAAACTTGTGAAGAATTTTACTTAATAGGGTTTTGAAAATTTTGGGTATTCCATTTCTCTAAGAGAGGAAGCATTTCTGAATCTAAGACTAATTAAAAAAAACCGAAACTGCTCTGATTTCTAAAGAGTGATACAGATGGCTTCCTGTTAAGTCTTTTTCAAAAAATGGCTGAGTGTAGTTTATACTATTTTGAATTCATACATTAGGCAAAAGCTAAGACTTATTAGTTTTAGATTCTTATTTTGCTAAATATGGACAGCACAATGGAGAAAAGATTTAGAGAAAATGTAACATTACTGTCAGATTCCTTGTCAGTGAAAGACGTTTACTGTATTCATAATGCTGAGGACCCCAATTTTGTCACTTCTTCTAGCCTTTTTATACAGCCCCCAGATTTTCAGGTCTGGCTATTATGACAATGATCACCTCTTGTTTCTAACACTGCAACATTTTGACAGGTTTTTTTTTTTTTATTTCATAATGTCTTTTCATGCCCAGAAAAAATTAGGCATGATCTAGCATTAGAATGGAGTTTACATTTAAAAATGGGTCCTCTAAAAACTCAGCGATACGGTATGTCGAAAAGGCACAAAAGACAACAGAAAGAGCTCCCAATGGCCAAAGCTGAAATAGTTTAAGCAACAAAATGAAGAAAGTAGTATTGGATGACAATGCAAGGTATAAAATAAATACCTATTTGTTTACACTGCTGTAAACAAATGACTGAATAAATTAATAAGTGAGGGGAAAAGAGGCAAATCTCCTGTGCAAAATTCCAAATAAACTATCTAGATACTTCACCTTTAAGGAGGGAAGGCAAAACTTCCACTCTGTAAACATGGTCTGCATGTAGTGACTTTCATTTAAAGAGAAGATTGAAGGGTGTGGGGTAGGAATAGACTAACCTTACAATCCACAAGCTTGACAAACACTACTTAAGCCAAAAGTAATGACTAAGATTAATATTAGAAGCCATAAATATGTTGATAGTATGTACCCTTGATTTGAAATGATGAAAATGGCAGTTTACCTCTGTGGTCTTCCTTCCAAAATCCATAATCCCAATATCACCCTGGGAAAAACACTGGGCAAATTCCAATAGAAGAGAATCCTAAAATATACCTGATCAGTGTTCCTCCAAACTATTAAGGCCATTAAATAAAAGAAAAATCTGAGAAACTGTTACAGTCAAAACACATCTTAAAGAGACATGATAACTAAATATAATGTGGTTTCGTAGATAGGATCCTCCAACTGAAAAAGACATTAGGTAAAAACTAAGGAAATCAAAATAGAGCACAAAATTTAGTTAACAATGATGTATCAATATCTGTTAATTAATTGTAACAAATGTATCATACTAATGTGAAAGTTTAATAATAGATGGAGCTGTGTATATGGAACTTTCACACTATTTTCCCAACTGTTAATGAAATCTAAAACTGTTCTAAAAATAAAACCTAATAATTAAAAAAAATGGGTCATCCAGCTGTGTTTAGCAGAGTGAAACCAACAAAATAACCTCTGGGGAAGGTTGAGGTCAGAGTACTCCATAGTGAAGTAAAACCATAATTAGATGACAAACTACTTGAAAATCATATTGTCTCCTAGTTACAGAATGACTTTTAAAAAATCTTTTTGAATGTATGTTTTATTTGTTAAAGATCATAACATAAAGACTTTAAAGGTTATTTTAAATGGAATAGATTAAATATCCCTCCTTAATACTTTTCCTGATATTGCTTTTCCCTATTTATTTCAGTCTGTTTACATGCATATATTCACAAGGTTGTCTTATGTTTGGAAACGTTTGGCTAGTTCATTTACATTACGCATTTCTATGTTGTTATTTGTCCCTTATAATTATAAATTGACTTGATAAAATCATTCTGGTTCACATAAAAACCAAATTGTTTTTGAAAACTTAATAGAAATAAAATGAACTGAAAGTATTATTCACAAGTGAATTTTCTTTTATATGACTTTTGAAAATAAGGATGACTTGAGTTCCTAGAATATTTTTTGTTTTATTTTTCACTTGAGTTAAACTACATTATTGTATAAAGAACTAAGACTTAAAAAAAATTCAGAAGCACTAATGGTTTTATTTTATTCACTATATACATAGAAATATTTTTAGTGAACAAATGAAATGAATAAAACAGATAAAATATTAAACCAAGCCAAAAATACACCCTCAAATCTCTGCTTTTTTTTTGTCATTGGAAATCTATTAACATTTTCTGATTTCAAAGATGCAGCCTTGTGTACCTATTTTAGTTGTGATTTTATGTTATATTTCAACTATTAATCTGCTTTCATTGGTTTTACTATTCTATTTATATATCAAAAATCAAAACATCTTTATCAAGATGTATGATGTATGTTTATTTCAGTATACAAACCAAATTGTCTTGCAGATCTTCATTGCAAGGCATAGTTTAAAATGTGGCTTTCATCTACAACCATCTGAGTTTTGACAAACCTGACAAAAGCAAGCAATTGGGAAAGGATACCCTATTTAACAAATGGTGCTGGGAGAACTGGCTAGCCATATGCAGAAAATTGAAACTGGACCCCTTCCTCACACCATATACAAAAATTTTAACTCAAGGCGGATTAAAGACTTAAATGTAAAACCTAAAATTATAAAAACCCTAGAAGAAAACCTAGGCAATACCATTCAGGACATAGGCATGGGCAAAGATTTTATGATGAACTTGCCAAAAGTAACTGCAACACAAGCAAAAATTGACAAATGGGATTTAATTAAACTAAAGAGCTTCTGCACAGCAAAAGAAACTATCATCAGAGCAGAACAGACAACCTACAGAATGGGAGAAAATCTTTGCAATCTATCCATCTGAAAAAGGTATAATATCCAGAATCTATAAGTAACTTATGCAAATTTACAAGAAAAAGCAAAAAAACCATTAAAAAGTGGGCAAAGGACATAAACAGAAAAAAGACATACATGCAAAAAAAGACATACATGCAGCCAGCAAACATGAAAAAAACTCAACATCACTGCTCATTAGAGAAATGCAAATTAAAATCACAGTGAGATACCATCTCATGCCAGTAAGAATGGCGATTACTAAAACGTCAAGAAGCAACAGATGCTGGCAAGGTTGCAGAGAAATGGGAACGCTTTTACACTATTGATGTGAATGTAAATTAATTCAACCATAGTGAACGGCAGTGTGGCGATTCCTCAAAGATTTATAACCAGAAATGCCATTTGACCCAGCAATCCCATTACTGGGTGTATACCCAAAGGAATATAAATCATTCTATTATAAAGATACGTGCACATGTATGTTCATTGCAGCACTATTCACAATAGCAAGACATGGAATCAACCCAAATGCCCATCAATAATAGACTGGATAAAGAAAATGTGGTACATATACACCATGGAATATTATGCAGCCATAAAAAGAAATGAGATCTTGTCCTTTGCAGGGACATGGATGAAGCTGGAAGCCATTATCTTCACCAAACTAACACAGGAATAGAAAACCAAACACTGCATGTTCTCGCTTATAAGTGGGAGCGAACAAGGAGAACACATGGACACAGGGAGGGGAATAACACACACTGGGGCCTGTCAGGGGAGAGTAGGGGTGGTGAGAGCATTAGGGAAGAAAGCTAATGCATGCTGGGCTTAATACCTAGGTGATGGGTTGATAGGTGCAGCAAAACACCATGACACATGTTTACCTGTGTAACCTACCTGCACATCCTGCATATGTACTCCGGAACTTAAAAAAAATCAAAAAATTTTTTAAAATGTGGCTTTTAAATCATCTAATATTGAATACTTTTAGAATATAAAAAGAAGAATGTATGACTCTTAAAACTTTCATAACATATTGTTAAAGCAAACTAAATATGGCCTGAGAAGGACTCTGTACTTCTATATTTGAGTCCTTGTGGATGGACTGTAACCTAGCCTAATAGACAAAATTGAAAACCTAACTTATTAGTATGCACCTGTAACAATAGCTGAGCGCTGGCCAATCCCAGTGGCCCTACTTCAACCACTCATAGACTACTGAATGTTCAAACTGTGTTCAAATAAGGCAAACACTGAATTGTAACCAGTCTCACTGCTGCTGTACCTCACTTTTGATTCCTGTACATAACATTACCTTTCTTGTCTATAAATTTATTCTGACCATGAGGCCCTCCTGGAGGCTCTGTGAATCTGCTATGATTCTGGGGGCTGCCCGATTTTTAAATCATTCATTGCTCAATTAAACTCCTTTAAATTTAATTTGGCTGAAGTTTTTCTTTTATCAATATCATAAAATGCTATGCTGCTATTAGCCAAAGATATTTTCATATAATCCTGTAATTTTGCAGAATTCACAAAAAATAATAATATCATTGTAATATTGTGCATCAGGCTCTCTGATAAGAGTTTTTAAAAAATTATATTATCCTTTTAAACCATACAACAACCTTGTAACATCAGTACTATATCGATAACATCATTTTACAAATGAGAAAACTTATGCAAGGAGGGGCTAAGTATTTTGCCCAGGTAGTAATTACAAGAGAAGTGATTTTATAACAGGTTATGGAACTTCAGAGCTTACAATTAACCACTTCATCAAATTCAAAAATTTAAATAAAATAGATAATTCTTTTAAATTAAAAAAAACTTATAAAGAGGCCCTGGACATGTCTGAACCTTTAGAATTACACAGATCACAGCCAAAGAGTTTTTGTCTTTTCGATTACTAATAAAAGGGGGTTTAGTAATGCAATGCTAAATAAGGTCTCTCTGCTATTCAATCTTATAGCACATAGTGTTTTCCCTAATCACACTTTTCACATTTTTAAATTCTATTTTTATTGTTTAAGTTCTAGTCTCCCCCGTTGCTCTGAAAGTACCATCGAGAGAGACCATGTGTGTTTTGCTCACTTTTGTATTCTTAGAATTTAGCAAAGTGCCTGGCCAGAATGAGCCATCTTATTTGTTAGGATACCTTCTGCTCCCAATGACACACTAGCCTACTAACAATTCTGAGATGATGTGGACATGTAATTATTTTATGTAATAGGAAAGTTGGAGTTATTTGGAAGGGGGTTCAGTTGCTCAGAGATGCTAGGACACTGGCTGAGCATCTTGGTGTGTGCTATTTAGCCATTGCTGCGTTAAAAAGAACTCAAGATTTAGTGGCTTAATATCAGGTTGCTGCAAAAGTAATTGCGATTTTTGCAATTACTTTTAGTTGCAAAACCACAATTACTTTTGCACCAACCTGATACTATAAGCATGTGTTATATACAAGTTTGTGGATCAGCTGAGTAGTTCTTCTACTCTTCCCAGCTGGATTCAATCTTGAATTTGCAGTCAGCTGGTGGATTGGCTGGGGGTGAACTTGTCCAGGATGAACTCTGCTGAGGAGACTTGTTGCAAGCTCTTTTCTCTGTAACCTGTGGTATCTCATCCTCCCGCAAGCCAGCTTGGACTTTTCCACATGGTGGTGGCCGAGATACAGAAGAGAAAAAAAGAAGCACATATGGTTCCTAATACCTACACTTAGAATGGGTCCATTATCACTTCTTTCATATTCTATAAATCAAAGCAAGTCATAAGAAATAAGGCTTATATACACTCATTATATTCAGAGATATTCTAGTGTGAAAGAAAAATAAATCTTGGAGCCCCACAATCACTAAACTAAAGGGAAAAGTCAAGTGAGGAACTGCTTAGGTGAAACCTGCCTCCCATTCTATTCAAAGTCATTCCTCTGTTCACTGAAATAAATGTATATCTGATTGCCTCCTTTGGAAAAGCTAATCAGAAATGAGAAGATCAGGAATTCCCCCTGGACATGTAAAGTTGACATGTGGATATGTCAAATAAGCAATTGGATATGAGTTTGAAATACAAAATAGCAGTGTGAGCCTGAGATGTGTATTCTGGAGTCATTAGCTTATAGATGGCATTAAAAGTCATTATCAAAGGAGTAATGTAGATAGAGAAGAAAAGAGGACCAAGGGTGGAGCCTTAGCATGATGCAACATCACACATTAGGTACAAGAGGAGTCAACAGAGGAGACTGAGGGCAGGCAGCCCGTAAGGTAGAAGGTAAACAAAGGGCGTGGGGAGTCACAGAAGCCAAGGGAACTAAGTATGAAAAGGAGGGGCCAGTTTGAGTCCTTGATTTGGTCACTGCCAGTCAATCCCATCTACCATGTGGCTCGATGGAGTTAACAACTTAAGTAATTAAATCACAACTCTGGCTCTTACTGCTCTTGGGGTCAGCTAAAGCATTCAGGTTTTGCTTTTTATTTTTTTTTATTTATACTACTGTATAGTGTACTTTCCTTCATTCAATTCCACATTTTTATTAAAGATAGAACTTATACAAATTTTATATATAATTTCTTCAAGTTTCTTTTTTTACAATTTCAACTTTCCAAAATCAGTGTCTTATAATTGATGTCTATGATGTTATAATGCTTTCGATTTTCCAGCAAACACTATTTTCAAATCGATGGTGAACCTTAAACTAAGGTTAAAGTATAGGTTAAGGTTAAGGTTAGGCTAAATAATTAATGGCATATTTGAAGCAAAAAATCTTGAGGATTATCTCTGGGACAATAATAGTAGCTAATATTTATCAATCCTTAGGAACCATACTTAGTGTTTATTAGATGTATTAGCTCACCTAATTCTAAATAAAACTTTATGAAGTAGATCATGTGATTACTCCAATTTTACATATAAGAAATTGAAGCTTAGAAAAGTTAAGTCATATACCCAAGATTATACAATTAATAAGTACGAAAGCCTAAAATTGAGCCAGGTCTTCCTAACGAGTCTATGTTCTTAGCCTTCATGCTATCTAAGCCATTTAAGTGACTAAAATCCTTACAGAGACATTTGTAATTATAAAGAATTAGAAAAACTTAATGTGTACTCTCTGCTATCAAATTTCCAGTTGATTGTGAACATGTCTTAAGATTATATTACCAATTTCCCTTAAAACTACCTGGAACTGAACGAAAGCATCTTATTCCCCTTTACCCTTCAACATGCTTTCACCTACCTTCTTCAGTTGAATACTAATTATAAAATGTAGGATTTAATTTATGTATTTCTAATAATTTGATTTTGTATATACCTACATACATATGTACATATATACATGTATGTAGAGAGAGAACTTTCATATTCTAATTTTTCCCAATAGTTTTTTGAGGCTAATTCCCATGTCAGTACAGCCTACATTTATTGTGTACATGTATGTTTCAATAATTTCTACTTAACTGCAATAATTAATATAAATCTGAGGCATAATTAAGTCAAATCCTTTAGGTGTAACGCATTTCCTATTTAGTGCAGTGAATTTTGTTATAATCATAAAGAGTTATTTTGTCTTTTTATTACTACTGCACTCTATGCTGCAATTGGTTTGGTCCCTTAGTTGAAGGCAATAGTTTGTGGCTGTGGGGTACACACCAGACAGAATAATAATATTTTCTCAGAATACTTGGCTAATACAGTTTTAGGAAATCAATCCAAAAGCAATTACAGTATAACTCAAATTCTAATTTAAAAGCAGAAAATGTCCTATGTTTACATTTTTATTACCTTGAATTTGCCTTGTAATTATAGTTACCAGTTATAATACTTACAGTAATTTAAAAGTAATGTGGCTTTTATGCCCTCTAGCTCAAATCCTCTACATCATCTAATGGAAATATTGCAAGCTGAGGCATACAGAGAGAAATGAGGATATTTATAGTGAAGTTTTTCTCTTCATCTAGATTTTTAATTATGGCATTATAAATGGCATTTTGGGAATAACCTCAATCAGTTGCTAAGGATAAGGATTGCAAAACTTACTGGTTATTTAACTACATCAAGTCCTTTCATCTGGAAATACAGATGAAAACTATAGGAGTAGATTATTCAACAGTAAATCCTTCCAGATTTATTTAGAAATAGTCCAGTAACAGCCACCAAAACTTGTTTCACTTTTTTCCTTCAATATTTGATTAAATTCTTTTCAAATATTAGAATATTTTTACATAAAATATTGTTAAATTGACATCTTTATATCCTAAGGAAGCTACGTATAAGTGAGCTATGTTGAGATTTTACTGAGTAGATCAAAGTCAATTTAAAATTTACAAAGAGTAATCTTAGGACCCATCTCTGGCAGATTTTATTTATCAAAGTAGCCTATTTATTTCAACCTGCATCAAGTTAAGATTAAATTCAGGTTGAAAGGACAGAAAGCTCAAATTAGCAGTGGCTTAAATAAGATAAATGTTCATTTCTGGATATGAGCAGTACTGGCCCATAAGGACCTAAGGCACTTTATATCTTCCTATTCCTATTTTCAATGCATGGCTTCTCTTTTATGGTCCAAAACAGCTGTTCAAGCACAGCAATCACATCTCATTTCAGTGGACAGAATAGAAGAAGAGACAAAGAAAGGCATGCCTCTTTCATTCAAGGGCACTTCTCAGAAGTTGCATATAACTTCTGCTTACCTTCTACTACCAAAAAATTAAGTCACATGTTGATATTTAACTACAGATGAGGGTGAAAAATGTGTTACTTGTCCCAGGCAACCATGGAGTCAGCTAAAAATCAGGTACACTATAACCATGTAAGAATAGAACAACTATTAGTGACAACCCGCAATATCAGCCATATTACTTTTTGTTTAAATCTGTTGCTTATCTATGGTAAACTATCCCTCCTCCATCTCAACGGTAATTCATTTATTTAGAAGTAAATGTTAATCCCTTGACATTTATCCTTTCTAAAGTAGGTCCAGTTGATGAAATGGTGATAATTTTTTTCCTTACAGTAACTATATTGAGTTTATCTATAAACAGTGCTGTCACATAACTGCAATGTTGAAGATTGTGAAAGTGTGTCCCTGAGTAACGATTGTTTGTCTAGGTAAATGAGTGGGCACATGCTTCCACCATGTTCTGTTGATGTTTTGCTTATGATTAGTTATATGTCTGCTTAAATAACCAGTGATCTTACATTTTATTATACATTCTATCAAATTGCATAATAGGGAATTGAAATTCAGAAATAAAATAATTTTCAAAGCTTCCTAATAGAAGTGTTCATATGATTACCTAACACTTGGGAAATTCACTCTTTCTCTTATTGAAGTCAAATAAAATATAAAGATGGACCTCTAGATTTAAAATGTTTATCTTATCCTTCAGAATTTATATGAGCATGTAGTTGAAATGCTTACTAAATTTAGAGATGTATATAATAATGGCTGACAGTTTTATTGTTCCCTCTATGGTAGGTACTATATTTCAGTTGATCCCTACAAACATTCTGTAAGAGAAATGTTACTATTTTTTATTAAATATATGAAAACTGAAACTCAGCTAGGTTGACTGGGTTACCCAAGGTTATACAATCAGTAAGTGGTAGACCTCTACTTAATTAGACCCCATGGACCACGGATTTAACCAAGAGTCCAGAGTGCTTTTTATGGAAGGTAGTAGTTCTCCCTGAAAGTAGAGACTGTGAAAGAAAGCAGAAGCAAGTTTCAAAACGTGTTCCATAATCTGTAGAGCACTGTGTTAAAAAACTTGGGTTTAGCCCTGTCTCCACCAGTAACAAAGTATGATCTTAGATCACTTAGAGTTCCAGGTCTAATAAAGTAAGATGACAGCATTACATAATTTCAATTAGATACTCTCTAATATTCCCTGGATCAATAATTATTTGCAAATTATATTTTTTAAGTTATGTGTAATAAATGCTTAGGTGACTTACATTGATTTTAAAATCTATTTTTTACATAATCACAAATTTAATGAGTCAATTGTATAATCTGCTTGTTCAAAATTAGCAAACCTTTAGAATTCATCAGTATTTGGGGTGTGTCCAGAACACAGGAAGTGATAGCCCCACTGAGTTGTTAATGGCTCAGACAGCATTTGCAGTGTTCATTCAATTCTGGACCTAGACAAACAGGTGACATACAAATATGTTAAATTGGAATTTCAGGATTTAGATCAGGACATGGGATTCAGGTGGGACTGGTCAAGAACTGGAAAGGTGTCAGGTAAAGTGGAAACTGCAGATCAAAGAACAAATCCGTAAAAGGTTGTATCCAAGAAGACAAAGGCTTTACAAACCCAGAGTCAGCCTTCTCTGTCTCCCCACCAGAATTACACCTGGGGCAGGAAAGTGGGCACAAATACAAGACTCAATGATTCAAAATGAAAAGGAAGGAGGAAGTTAGGGAGAGAGGTAAGGAGAAGAGGAGAAAGAGAAATAAATGGGAAGCTAAACTGAACAATAAAGAGTAAATTGCCTGGGGAATAAATTAACTGTACGAAAAAGAAAAAAAGGTAATGGGTTTGGCAGATAGCTTGGAAACTATAGTACACTTTGGCTGTGGAAAGAATACTTGCAAGTGGAACACCTTGCCTGCAGAGTAATGCTGAGTGAAGGCAGATCTTCTGAAGGAGAAAAACATTTGTAAGTGTCAATACAGATTATTCTAAATCTGTCCATGACATATAGGTTATAGACATGTTTTGCTAATAGCTGGGAAAAAATAATTTTCTACGTGCAAGAGATAGAAAAAGATACAAGGCTGCACACTCTCATTTAAATATATTTCCAGGACTCCACTGGAATAAGAGATTTAAGATTTCCTGAATTTCTCTCCCTGCCTTTTGAGAAAACAATAGTGATACAAGTCATGCAAACTTCAGTGGTCAGACCGGTGGAACCACTTGGCATTTGTTAGCACTTGCAAAATAGTGGGTAGTGTCACAGCATAGTTACCCCAAAGTTGAGCCTAAATGATATGATGTTCTCTGGAAAGAATTCAGCAGGAACTCCAAAACAGTATTGTCCCTCCCTGTGTCAAAAACAAACCTTGCAAGGTCCTCTACCCCTCCACTGACTGTGTCTTCTCCAGCTCTCCAATCATATCACTCTTCTCTCTCCCACCTCTCTTTTCCTGCAAGCAAATCTGCTTAAATTCCCACACACTCAATCTTTTTTAAGACTTCTGTCTAGAAAGCTTTCTCTTGTCTTTTTCAACCCATTATCATTCCCCTGTTAAAGGTTCATTCAAGATGTATTTTCTCTAAAAGAGTTGTCTCACTGATTCCATAGGACCATGATCACTTGTGAAGTGTGCACTGCCGCAGTACACTGAATAAAGTTATATTGTCATTTTTATATATGCTGTAGTGTATTGTCCTTATCTCTATGTTATTTTCTCAGGCATTATTTCTAAAAGAGGAGTAACTATGATCTCTTCTTGATCACTTCTTTTCCTTTACTTATCTGAACACACACATACACACACATCTACTTTACTTAGGTTAGTAATTTTATTCAGGGAGGATAAATAAATAGGTACACTAGATTATCACTATTTCTCAAATTATCTTCCGTAACTTAGATTACATTCACCTCCATATAGAATTACTCTACCATCAGAAGACATGGAAGGATATTTTTCTGATGACACAGCTCCTCAGGAAAAAAAAATGTTTCATATTAGAAAAATAAGGGCTACTGCTTTGCTTTATTCTTAGGAAATTGGATTTCTTGTATAAAAGAGTAAGATCATACACCTCACATAGACAGCAAAAGAAGTATTTCTGTCTTCTCTCTGAAATTCCTGATGAGAACTCTCTCCAGTTGATCATGTCATCACAATCTATTAATGGATGAGAGATGCTAACCATTATAGGCACACAGTGTGATTAATATCACATAAAGTGGGTAAAGCAGGTAAGTTTCCTCTAAACTTACAGTCGAAAATGAAAAAAATAAAGATTCATCTAAGGAGCATGTCTAAGTCCTAGGCACTTTGAAATGGTTAGATTCTTCAATAGCTGTCAAAATCATTTTACCACCTTTCTTTTTGAAGTGATAAAACAGGGTCTAAACAAGCTAAGAAAAGGTCCCACATTCATACAGATGATAAGTATAGGGGTTCAGATTCAAACCTGATCTTTGAACTCCAAGCCCAATCTCTCCACAACACTCACAACTGCCTCAAAATAAAACAAATACATATATATTTAATTGGACTGCTTAGACAAAATATATGCTTTCGATTTTGTTGATTTAACAAAGATATGGTAAAATGATTAGATAAGAGTCCTATATAGGTAGGCTGACATTAAAAAAAAAAAGCCCAGAAACATAAAGGAAGCCAATATAAAATACTCAAAAGAATGTGGGTGAGAAAGACCCAAACATGAAAAAGAAATTTATTTATTTATTTTCTTTTATGAGTTTTTTTTTTAAGATTTTTTTTTTTATACTTTAAGTTTCAGGGTACATGTGCACAACGTGCACGTTTGTTACATATGTATACATGTGCCATGTTGATGTGCAGCACCCATTAACTCGTCATTTAGCATTAGGTATATCTCCTAATGCTATCCCTCCCCACTCCCCCCACCCCACAACAGTCCCCGGTGTATGATGTTCCCCTTCCTGTGTCCATGTGTTCTTCTTGTTCAATTCCCACCTATGAGTGAGAACATGTCGTGTTTGGTTTTTTGTCCTTGCGATAGTTTGCTGAGAATGATGACTTCCAGCTTCAACTATGTCCCCACAAAGGACATGAACTCATCATTTTTTATGGCTGCATAGTATTCCATGGTGTATATGTGCCACATTTTCTTAATCCAGTCTATCACTGTTGGACATTTGGGTTGGTTCCAAGTCTTTGCTATTGTGAATAGTGCCACAATAAACATACGTATGCATGTGTCTTTATAGCAGCATGATTTATAATCCTTTGGGTATATACCCAGTAATGGGATGGCTGGTTCAAATGGTATTTCTAGTTCTAGATCCCTGAGGAATTGCCACACCGAATTCCACAATGGTTGAACTAGTTTACAGTCACACCAACAGTGTAAAAGTGTTCCTATTTCTCCACAGCCTCTCCAGCACCTGTTGTTTCCTGACTTTTTAATGATCGCCATTCTAACTGGTGTGAGATGGTATCTCATTGTGGTTTTGATTTGCATTTCTCTGATGGTCAGTGATGATGACCATTTTTTCATGTGTCTTTTGGCTGCATAAATGTCTTCTTTTGAGAAGTGTCTGTTCATATCCTTTGGCCACTTTTTGATGGGATTGTTTGTTTTTTTCTTGTAAATTTGTTTGAGTTCATTGTAGATTCTGGATATTAGCCCTTTGTCAGATGAATAGGTTGCAAAAATTTTCTCCCATTCTGTAGGTTGCCTGTTCATTCTGATGGTAGTTTCTTTTGCTGTGCAGAAGCTCTTTAGTTTAATTAGATCCCATTTGTCAATTTTGGCCTTTGTTGCCATTGCTTTTGGTGTTTTAGACATGAAGTCCTTGCCCATGCCAATACCTGAATGGTATTGCCTAGGTTTTCTTCTAGGGTTTTTATGGTTTTAGGTCTAACATTTAAGTCTTTAGTCCATCTTGAATTAATTTTTGTATAAGGTGTAAGGAAGGGATCCAGTTTCAGCTTTCTACATATGGCTAGCCAGTTTTCCCAGCACCATTTATTAAATAGGGAATCCTTTCCCCATTGCTTGTTTTTGTCAGGTTTGTCAAAGATCAGATAGTTGTAGATATGTGGCATTATTTCTGAGGGCTCTGTTCTGTTCCATTGATCTATATCTCTGTTTTTGTACCAGTACCATGCTGTTTTTGTTACTGTAGCCTTGTAGCATAGTTTGAAGTCAGGTAGTGTGATGCCTCCAGCTTTGTTCTTTTGGCTTAGGATTGTCTTGGCGATGCGGGCTCTTTTTTGGTTCCATATGAAATTTAAAGTAGTTTTTTCCAATTCTGTGAAGAAAGTCATTGGTAGCTTGATGGGGATGGCATTGAATCTATAAATTACTTTGGGCAGTATGGCCATTTTCATGATATTGATTCTTCCTACCCATGAGCATGGAATGTTCTTCCATTTGTTTGTATCCTCTTTTATTTCAGTGAGCAGTGGTTTGTAGTTTTCCTCGAAGAGGTCCTTCACATCCCTTGTAAGTTGGATTCCTAGGTATTTTATTCTCTTTGAAGCAATTGTGAATGGGAGTTCACTCATGATTTGGCTCTCTGTTTGTCTGTTATTGGTGTGTAAGGATGCTTGTGATTTTTGCACATTGATTTTGTATCCTGAGACTTTGCTGAAGTTGCTTATCAGCTTAAGGAGATTTTGGGCTGAGACAATGGGGTTTTCTAGATATACAATCATGTCATCTGCAAACAGGGACAATTTGACTTCCTCTTTTCCAAATTGAATGCCCTTTATTCCCTTCTCCTGCCCGGTTGCCCTGGCCAGAACTTCCAACACTATGTTGAATAGGAGTGGTGAGAGAGGGCATCCCTGTCTTGTGCCAGTTTTCAAAGGGAATGCTTCCAGTTTTTGTCCATTCAGTATGATATTGGCTGTGGGTTTGTCATAGATAGCTCTTATTATTTTGAGATACATCCCATCAATACCTAATTTATTGAGAGTTTTTAGCATGAAGGTTGTTGAATTTTGTCAAAGGCCTTTTCTGCATCTATTGAGATAATCATGTGATTTTTGTCTTTGGTTCTGTTTATATGCTGGAATACATTTATTGATTTTTTGTATGTTGAACCAGCCTTGCATCCCAGGGATGAAGCCCACCACTTGATCATGGTGGATAAGCTTTTTGATGTGCTGCTGGATTCGGTTTGCCAGTATTTTATTGAGGATTTTTGCATCAATGTTCATCAAGGATATTGCTCTACAATTCTCTTTTTTTGTGTGTGTCTCTGCCAGGCTTTGGTATCAGGATGATGCTGGCCTCATAAAATGAGTTAGGGAGGATTCCCTCTTTTTCTATTGATTGGAATAGTTTCAGAAGGAATGGTACCAGCTCCTCCTTGTACCTCTGGTAGAATTCAGCTGTGAATCCATCTGGTCCTGGACTTTTTTTAATTGGTAAGCTATTAATTATTGCCTCAATTTCAGAGCCTGTTATTGGTCTATTCAGAGATTCAAGTTCTTCCTGGTTTAGTCTTGGGAGAGTGTATGTGTCGAGGAATTTATCCATTTCTTCTAGATTTTCTAGTTTATTTGCATAGAGATGTTTATAGTATTCTCTGATGGTAGTTTGTATTTCTGTGGAATCAGTGGTGATATCTCCTTTGCATTTTTTATTGTGTCTATTTGATTCTTCTCTCTTTTCTTCTTTATTAGTCTTGCTAGTGGTCTATCAATTTTGTTGATCTTTTCAAAAAACCAGCTCCCGGATTCATTAATTTTTGAACGGTTTTTTGTGTCTCTATTTCCTTCAGTTCTGCTCTGATTTTAGTTATTTCTTGCCTTCTGCTAACTTTTGAATGTGTTTGCTCTTGCTTCTCTAGTTCTTTTAATTGTGATGTTAGGGTGTCAATTTTAGATCTTTCCCACTTTCTCTAGTGGGCATTTAGTGCTATAAATTTCCCTCTACACACTGCTTTGAATGTGTCCCAGAGATTCTGGTATGTTGTGTCTTTGTTCTCATTGGTTTCAAAGAACATCTTTATTTCTGCCTTCATTTCATTATATACCCAGTAGTCATTCAGGAGCGGGTTCAGTTTCCATGTAGTTGAGTCGTTTTGAGTGAGTTTCTTAATCCTAAGTTCTAGTTTGATTGCACTGTGTTCTGAGAGACAGTTTGTTATAATTTCTGTTCTTTTGCATTTGCTGAGGAGTGTTTTACTTCCAAGTATGTGGTCAGTTTTGGAATAGGTGTGGTGTGGTGCTGAAAAGAATGTATATTCTGTTGATTTGGGGTGAGGAGTTCTGTAGATGTCTATTAGGTCCACTTGGTGCAGAGCTGAGTTCAATTCCTGGGTATCCTTGTTAACTTTCTGTCTTGTTGATCTGTCTAATGTTGACAGTGGGGTGTTAACGTCTCCCATTATTATTGTGTGGGAGTCTAAGTCTCTTTGTAGGTCACTAAGGACTTGCTTTATGAATCTGGGTGCTCCTGTATTGGGTGCATATATATTTAGGATAGTTAGCTCCTCTTGTTGAATTGATCCCTTTACCATTATGTAATGGCCTTCCTTGTCTCTTTTGATCTTTGTTGGTTTAAAGTCTGTTTTATCCGAGACTAGGATTGCAACCCCTGCCTTTTTTTGTTTTCCATTTGCTTGGTAGGTCTTCCTCCATCCCTTTATTCTGAGCCTATGTGTGTCTCTGCACATGAGATGGGTTTCCTGAATACAGCACACTGATGGGTCTTGACTCTTTATCCAATTTGCCAGTCTGTGCCTTTTAATTGGAGCATTTAGCCCATTTACATTTAAGGTTAGTATTGTTATGTGTGAATCTGATCCTGTCATTATGATGTTAGCTGGTTATTTTGCTTATTAGTTGATGCAGTTTCTTCCTAGCCTTGATGTTCTTTACAATTTGGCGTGTTTTTGCAGTGGCTGGTACCGGTTGTTCCTTTCCATGTTTAGTGTTTCCTTCAGGAGCTCTTTTAGGGCAGGTCTGGTGGTGACAAAATCTCTCAGCATTTGCTTGTCTGTAAAGTATTTTATTTCTCCTTCACTTGTGAAGCTTAGTTTGGCTGGATATGAAATTCTGGGTTGAAAATTATTTTCTTTAAGAATATTGAATATTGGCCCCCACTCTCTTCTGGCTTGTAGAGTTTCTGCCAAGAGATCAGCTGTTAGTCTGATGGACTTCCCTTTGTGGGTAACCCGACCTTTCTCTCTGGCTGCCCTTAACATTTTTTCCTTCATTTCAACTTTGGTGAATCTGACAATTATGTGTCTTGGAGTTGCTCTTCTCAAGGAGTTTCTTTGTGGCATTCTCTGTATTTCCTGTATTTGAATGTTGACCCGCCTTGCTAGATTGGGGAAGTTCTCCTGGTTAATATCCTGCAGAGCGTTTTCCAACTTGGTTCCATTCTCCCCGTCACTTTCAGGTACACCAATTTGATGTAGATTTGGTCTTTTCATATAGTCCCATATTTCTTGGAGGCTTTGTTCATTTCTTTTTATTCTTTTTTCTCTAAACTTCTCTTCTCACTTCATTTCATTCATTTCATCTTCCGTGACTGATACCCTTTCTTCCAGTTGATCGCATCAGTTACTGAGGCTTGTGCATTCGTCACGTAGTTCTCGTGCCGTGGTTTTCAGCTCCATCAGGTCCTTTAAGGACTTCTCTGCATTGATCATTCTAGTTATCCATTCAGCTGGTTTTTTTTCTAAGTTTTTAACTTCTTTGCCATTGGTTTGAACTTCCTCCTTTAGCTCAGAATAGTTTAATCTTCTGAAGCCTTCCTCTCTCAACTTGTCAAAGTCATTCTCCAGCCAGCTTTGTTCCATTGCTGGTGAGGAGCTGTGTTCCTTTGGAGGAGGAGAGGTGCTCTTATTTTTAGAGTTTCTGGTTTTTCTGCTCTGTTTTTTCCCCGTCTTTGTGGTTTTATCTACCTTTGGTCTTTTATGATGGTGACGTACAGATGGGTTTTTGGTGTGGATGTCCTTTCTGTTTGTTAGTTTTCCTTCTAACAGTCAGGACCCTCAGCTGCAGGTCTATTGGAGTTTACTGGAGGTCCACTCCAGACCCTGTTTACCTGGGTGTCAGCAGCGGTGGCTGCAGAACAGCGGATATTGGTGAAC
This sequence comes from Homo sapiens, assembly GCF_000001405.40. Classification (NCBI taxonomy): domain Eukaryota; kingdom Metazoa; phylum Chordata; class Mammalia; order Primates; family Hominidae; genus Homo; species Homo sapiens. Next base: position 124,617,264 of record NC_000004.12, read on the forward strand.
CGCAAATGCTGCTGCCTGATTGTTCCTCTGGAAGTTTTGTCTCAGAGGAGTACCCAGCCATGTGAGGTGTCAGTCTGCCCCTACTGGGGGGTGCCTCCCAGTTAGGCTACTCAGGGGTCAGGGACCCACTTGAGGAGGCAGTCTGCCCGTTCTCAGATCTCAAGCTGCGTGCTGGGAGAACCACTACTCTCTCCAAAGCTGTCAGACAGGGACATTTAAGTCTGCAGAGGTTATGCTGTCTTTTGTTTGTCTGTGCCCTGCCCCCAGAGGTGGAGCCTACAGAGGCAGGCAGGTCTCCTTAAGCTGTGGTGGGCTCCACCCAGTTTGAGCTTCCCGCTGCTTTGTTTACCTACTCAAGCCTGAGCAATGGTGCGCACCCATCCCCCAGCCTCGCTGCCACTTGCAGTTTGATCTCAGACTGCTGTGCTAGCAATAAGTGAGGCTCTGTGGGTGTAGGACCCTCCAAGCAAGGTGTGGGATATAATCTTCTGGTGTGCCATTTGTGAAGCCCATTGGAAAAGTGCAGTATTAAGTATTAGAGTGGGAGTGACCCGATTTTCCAGGTGCTTTCTGTCACCCCTTTCTTTGACTAGGAAAGGGAATTCCCTGACACCTTGCACTTCCTGGGTGAGGCGATGCCTCGCCCTGCTTCAGCTCACACACGGTGCACTGCACCAAGTCCTGCACCCACTGTCCAGCACTCCCCTGTGAGATGAACCTGGTACCTCAGTTGGAAATGCAGAAATCACCTGTCTTCTGTGTCACTCATGCTGGGAGCTGTAGACTGGAGCTGTTCCTATTTGGCCATCTTGGCTCCATCCCTGAAAACGAAATTTAAATGGTGTTTCACATCAGTCTATTATATGGTTTGACTGTGTCCACACCCAAATATCAACTTGAATTGTAATTCTCATAATCCCCATGTGTCATGGGAGGGACCCAGTGGGAGGTAATTGAATCATACCCCCATGGCAGTGGTTACCCCCATGCCATTTTTATGATAGTGAGTGAGTTCTCATGAGATCTTATGGTTTTATAAGGGACGTTTCCCCCTTCACTCGGCACTTATCCTTCCTGCTGCCATGTGAAGAAGGACATGTTTGCTTCCCCTTCTGCCATGATTGTAAGTTTCCTGAGGCCTCCACAGCCCTGTGGAACTGTGAGTCAGTTAAATCTCTTTCCTTTAAAAATTACCCAGTCTTTGGCAGTTCTTAATAGCAGCTTGAGAACAGACTAATGCAGTCAAAAAGTGATGCTATTTGACTCTTCTCAACAAATAAGAAGGTAAAAAGAATTAAAAACAATAATGCTTCCTTCTAACCATACTCCACCCATTTCAGTTATATCACCCTTGATCCACACTGCTTCAGTTTGAGGCCCTTGAAGATTGATGGCTGATGAAGCACCTCTTGGCAAATTTACATTCTTTGTGTTCCCTGAAGAGATGGCAGAGAGGATCCCTAGCATGATCCCAGATTTCTCACTTTCTCTGGAGCCTTCACAAGTTATGCCTTGTGTTTCTCTTATTTTTACTGCACATAAGCCCTTCCTTGCAGGATGAGGCTCATATAAGCCCACCTCCAAAAAACACTTCTTAGGAATCTTAAGAAAAAATTAGTATAAGGTGGCTTTGAAGTATTTTCATTCATCTTCTTCACTTTTCCCAGATTCCAAAGGTACATATTATTCCACATTAGATATTGCCATCATCTCTAATTGCTCCACTCCCCAAATCCCTCACTCAAACAGCCCAATCCCAATTCACATCTTCCTCTTCTACTTGCTTGTCCAACCATGTCTACTATGAGCATGAACGTAAATTGAGTCCTCCAGCTTTTTGATCTCACAACCAAATCTTCCATTTCTTGAATCCTACCTCCCTTACCAGGCTTAGCTTTCTGCAATCCCAGCCACAGCCATCCCCTAAACATTTTCTGTGTGTATTGTAATACATTCAATCTTGGCTTAATATATTCTTTCTTCCTAAAATTACATCCTCTCCATCATTTGTATCTGTTGAAATCTACTCTACTTTTTCAACTCTATAACTTGATTTTACGCAATGCTTTTTATTAAAAAAAGTCTTTTCTTCTTATTAGTCTTTCCCTTCCTCAAACTCTAACATCACTTAATTTGAATTTCTTGCTCACCATATTCTATCTTAAATATAATTGCTGTTTTGACGAAATGGTTTGTGAGCTCTTGCAGAACATGGGAAGAATCTTTCTTCTATGTCTTCAACATAGCTAGCTCAGGGTTTCAAAAGTAGCAGTTGCTCTATAAGTTGCAATTAAATTATTTCAGGTTTTTTATTGATAATGCAGAAATCCTTGTCTTATGTATATAAATGACAAATGCAAGGTCATTTAGAACAAAGTTATTTTGTTTATACTTCTCTGTGACCTACCTAAAAGCTGTGTGAATCATCATTATTAGAAACAGAAAGGAGAGAGCTGTATTATTTAACATTATTTTAGTAGCTCACAGCATAAGCTATGTTTAAAATTCTGTTAGTTTCCCATCCTCTGTCAGTTAATATAACCATTGGTACATCACTGTGTAGTAGGCACCATGAAAACAACAGATTTATTTCCTAGTATGTTTATAACATAAATGCGGGTATATTAAATGATTCAATAAAATACCTGGTCTGAGAAGTCACTATATCATAAAGATAAATATTATAGACATCACTGAAATCACAACCTCTTACATGAAGTAGTAATTTTTGTAATATGTGTATGCACCCATCAGTAGAGAGATACCACTGAATGTGACCCAAGGCAATTTCTGGGAACATTTCTTCACTTTCTTATCTAATTTGTTCATTTTCTTTTAATCATCCTTCCTTCTATTTATTTTCTTATTCTTGCACCCCTTATTTCTTTTCCATCCTAAAGCTTGGATTGAGCAGGAATACATATGGGTGACTTCAATTTCCCCTCAGGGTGTTTGGAGAGAGAGGTCACTGGCTCCAGTTTAGAAGGTGCCATTTTCAGAGTCATCATTCATTCTTCTTCTTGGTACCTTCCTGTGAGTTTTCAATAAGTTGTCTCAGCTATTAAACTTTAAACTTAATCAATCAAAAAGTTCAATAAATTGATTGTTCTAGATTACTTCAGCATTCTGATTAACTGCAAAGAAAAGAATTCTTGGCGTTCTCTATGTGTTTCTATTTTTACAATGAAGAACGCATTGGCCTACTTTGTTGCCTTAGGAAGTAGAATATATTGAAAATAACAGATTCTTTTTAATGAGGATTTAACATAGCCTAGGATCAATAATTAGAGGATAGATATAAGCATCATATAATAAAGAGAATAGTGGAATGGAAACATTGTTTTTGAGGCTTGTTTTATTCTTTTCCTATTGAATAGGTACTGACACCAAACTGTGCTTCTAGAAATTTTGGTAGAATTTTGTAAAATAAAATCTTGACATAAGCCTATTTTTTTGTGTGCTCCTTCATTTTTTCAGCTTTTTGAGGAAAAACATAGTTAATTCAATGTTCCAGTCGTATGGATTAAATTTAATCAGAATTTCACCATGCTGAAACAAAAACTCTTGAAACGGTACACATAAACTCAGTCATCTTCTTTCTTTTGAGGCCACAGACTTTAAAGTCAGTGGTTAAATAACCAATCCACGAAAAAAATGACAATTTTCTTTTGCCAACATTATTTTAATTGTAAGTTCCAGTTTCTTCAGCATTTTGTTTGCTGATACATGGCTAGCTTACACAGCACCTTGGTTTGCTGTTCCAAGTAATGTATTGGTTTTTCTTCTTTCCTATAATTAAATTCAAGTAAATTTTTTCCCCAATGTACAACTCATAATTAGCAGTTAAGTGCATGAAATTTTTCATTAGCTTTGTTTCTATATTATTAAAATTTTAATATAAAAAGTTGGGTTAGCATACCCACTTTGTAAAAGTCTAATTTATCAGATGACACTTAATAAAAACTCAAATATTTTTATAAGTAGTTATGTATATCTTTCTCTTTGTCCCTATAAAATAATTTCAGCTTTAGGAACAGGAATTCCAATCCTAGTATTATTTTACATAATTACAACTTACATTTTCCATTTTTTTGCCTTTATTTGCTAAATGTAGACACATTTCTATTTATTTATACAAACAGTGATTACAGCTTTGAGTTTCTCTTTACTTGATCCCACTGTGTATTTCTTCAGTGTAAATATCCCTTACTAAGGAGGAATACTTCCCCCGCTTTGCAAGTAAAACAAATCACTCATCACAAAATGATGTAAAAATATAGTTTAAGTTTTTGTTAGCATATGTGATAAAGTGTCATAAGCCCGCAGTGGCTGAGGCTAATGAGAGAGAATGATGACTTTCTGAATAAAATATATTTTCTCATTTGCTGCTGATTCAGATTGATTATTCATTACCATCATTGAAAGATAGAAAACACACAAGCATAGGCTGATATATATAACCAATCATCTGATATGCTGAATAATTAATCATCTGATATGCTGGTTATCAAATCAAATTGATGCACCTCACCTCTAGAGTTACTGGTTAAAAAGTTTGGAAAATGGTTGAAATTAGTGCCAATTTTGTAACCTTGTTATTCTCCTTATCCCCCACAACTACACCTGTCATATGTAATTCTGAAGCACAGTTACTTGGACCACATCATGTGAAAAAGTGCATTAGAAACCACACTTCTGTATTGAAATCTTCTTCTGCTCTTCTAGTGAAAAATGGTCAACTATCAGCAATTTCCTATGACCCAACCTAGTATTTTCCCCTCTTGTCATATTAACATAAAGCTGGCTTTCCATTGGGTTGCAGAATTCAGTGTTGTTGTGAAATAATATTTTGAAGTTTAGCTAACTGGTCATTTTCTATATTTTATGTTACCCTGCGACCCTTTGACATTAGGGCAATGTCTGAGGACGTTTCTGCCACTATAACAGAATACCACAGACTGGGTAATTTATAAAGAAAAGAAATTTATTTCTCACACTTCTGGAGGCTGGGAAGTCCAAGAGTAGGGGTCTGACGTTTGGCAAGAGTCATCCCATGATAGAAGGGCAGATGGCAAAAGCCAGCACATGAGACAGGGAGAGGAAATCAGGCTGAACTTATCCTTTTATCAAGAGTCCACTCCCATGATAATTAACCATTTCCCACAATAATGCATTAATATATTCACAAAGGCAGATCCCTCATTATCTAATCATTAAAGGTCCCACCTCTAACACTGTTACAATGGCAATTAAATTTCAATATGTACTTTGGAGGAGACATTTAAACCATAGCATTATGCCCCTGACTCCCTCAAATTTATGCCTTCTCATTTACAGAATACTTTTTATCTATACCAATAGCCTCCAAAATCTTAATTAATTTAAGCATCAACTCTAAAGTCCATATTCTTATGTAATTCAAATATGGATGAGACTCAAGGCATAATTCATCTTGAGGCAAATTCCTCCAGCTGTGAGCCTGTGAAATTAAAACAAGTAATTTACTTCCAAACACAATGGTGGAACAGGTATAGGAAAGACATTCTCATTCCAAAATGGAAAAACAGATAAGAATAAAGGGGTAACTGTTCCCAAGAAAGTCTAAAACCCAACAGGAAAAACAGCATTAGGTATTAAAGCTGAAGAATAATCTTTTTTACTTCATCTCTCACATCCTGGGCACAGTGGGGCTAGGGTTGGGTCCCCAAGGTCTCGGGCAGCCCTACCCCTATGGCTTTGCTGGGTTTAGTCCACCCAGCACCTCTCATTGGTTGGAGTCCCCTGCCAGCAACTTCTCCAGGCTAGCATTGTAAGCTGGTATCTTCTATAGTTCTGGGTTCTTACGGGTAGCCCAGCTTCCATGGCCCTACCAGGCACTGCCCTAGTGGTAGCTCTCTGCAGTGGCTCCATCCCTGTGGCAAGTTTCTGCTCAGACCCCCAGGCAATTCCTAACATCCTTTGAAATCTAGATGGAGATAGCCATGTCCCCACAGCTCTTGCATTCTGTATGCCTGCAGAATTAGCACCACACAGATGCTGGCAAGGCTCATCACTTATACCTTCCAGAGCAGTGGATCAAGCCACACCTGAGTCCACTTGAGCCATGGATGGCATAGCCAAAAGACACTGAGTGGAAATGTGGGGAACAGAGACTTAAGGCAGCACTGGGAAGTGAGCCTGTGTAGGGTACCCTGGCCTATCTCCCCAAATCATTGTGCCTTTCTAGTGCTCTGAGCTGCGATGGGAGGGGCAGTCTTGAAGACCTCTGAGATGCCTTTAAGGGTATTTCTCTCATTGTTCTGATGAAGAGGATCTGGCTGTCTTCTATCCATATTAATATCTTTAGCAATGGGGCACTTTGCTGCACCCTTGGTATTCTCTCCCTAATGTACCTTTTTACTGCTTATGTGGCCAGGCTGTGAATTTTCCAAATCTTTTTATTCTACTTCCCTTCTAATGATAAATTCTTCCTTTAAGTCATTCCTTTTATCTCCATATCACTGAATACAGTTGAAGGTATCCAGAAATCAGCCTGAATGCTTTGTTGCTTAGATATTACTTCTGCCATATATCCTAATTCATTGCTCTTGAGTTCTGTATTCCTTAAAGCCCTCAGGCATTGAAGCAGTTCTACTAAGGTCTTTGCCACTTTATAACAAGAATGACCTTTACTCTAGTTTCCAAAACCTTATTCCTCATTTCTGTCTAAGACTTCATCAGCATGACCTTTTCTGTTCATATTTCTACTAACATTCTGGTCACAATCATTTAAGCAATCTCTAAGAAGATTCAGATTTTTTATACAGCTCTCTTCTGAGCCCTCATCAGAATCACCCTTAATGTTCCATTCACAGCAATCTGGCTTTTTTTTTTTTTAGCCTGCTCCTCTAAATTCTTCCAGCTTCTAGCCATTACCCAGTTCCAAAGCCATTCCACATTTTTAGATATTTGTTATAGAAACAAATACCTCCCAATATCAATTTTCTATCTTAGTTTGTTTTCTGCTGCTGTATCAGAATACTACAGACTTGATAATTTACAAAGCAAAGAAATTATCTCTCACAGTTCGTGAGGCTGAGAAGTCCAAGAGCATTATACCAGCATCTGACAAGGACCATCACATGGGGGAAGGGCAGAAAGCAGAAACAAGCATATGAGACAGAAAGAGGAAATCAGGCCATAATCATCTTTTTATTATGAGCCCACTTCCATGATAACTAACCTACTTCTATAATAAGGACATTAATCTATACATGAAGGTGGAACTCTCATAATCTAATCACCTTGTAAAGGTCCCATCACTCAACACTGTTACAATGGCAATTAAATTTCTATACAAATTTTGAAGGGAACATTCAAACCATAGCAGGCAGCTAAATCATGCAGCATCCATTGACTCCTAGAAAAAAAATGTACTCACAGAAACAGAAAACAATCTTTTGAGGATCAAAAGCCCCTATTTCTTATTAGGAAAATGTAGCCCACAAAGAAACTCAAGGCACAGATATTTTATGACTCAAGTGAAATTTTTCTGCTTCTGTCCCCTCCTCCCTTCTCTTCTCTCATCCCAAGATAAAAAGCAACCCCAAAAGATGGGAGAAGACAGTGGGAAGAAAATCTATGAGTAAATAGATATTGTAAGCTATTGGGATGGGGCATCCACACTCTGCTGAGAGAAGTCTTGAAGGAAGATGACAGAAGGACTCTCGATCTGTTGTGGAAAACAAGAATAGAGAGAACACTTGCCTCATTTTTCCTAATAGAGATGAAGAAAGGGAAAGCTCCTCAAGGTAGCAATGGCTTCAAAATAGAACTTTCTTATACCAGGAATAGATAATTCCCCCTTTCCTGAGTAAATAGGAAGAGGTAAAGAGCTGAGCTACATGAAGCTTGCTGTGGTTTGGATGTTTGCCCCTGCGAAATTTCATGCTAAAATTTATTCTCCAGTGTGGCATTGTTGGGATCAGAGGCCTAGTGGGAAGTGTATGGGTCATGAGGGTGAAATCTTCCTGAATAGATTAGTGTCTTCCTTTGGGGTCAAGTGAATTCTCACTCTATCAGTTCTCATAAAAGGTGATTGTTAAAAAAGAGCCTGACACCTCCCCACTTTCTCTCTTGCTTCTTCTCTTGCCTCCTCTCTTGCCATGTGACCTCTGCTTATGCTGACTCTCCTTTGCTTTCCACCATGAGAGGATGCAGTTGAGGCCCTCACCAGAAGCTGAGCAGATGCCACCTCCATGCTTCTTGTACAGCCTGTAGAACCATGAGTAGAATAAACCTCTGTTCTTTATAAATTACTCAGCATCAAGTATTCTTTTACAGCAAAACAAAATAGACTAAGACAAGGCCCCATTGGGTTTCTGTAGTCTCAGGATGGACAAGAATAATAAAGTGATACTTGTGCATGGAAGAAAGGCCCAGGCATTAACTGGGTCATAACATGACCCATGGAGCCTTGCAGTCAAGATTTTAAAATGTCATAACAGCAATCAGCATGGGTCAAAACACAAAGGCCAGAAAAGGCTGCAACACAGAAGGCTGCTGCAGGAGATGAAGAGTGGCCACCCAAGACAGAAGCCATTCTTAACTACTTGGCACTCTGTAAGCTCCTTGAAACAGAGACAATCCCAGAGAAAGGGGAGCGAGTATTTTTGGGGTGGGTAGAGGGACAGTCACCAAGTGAAATTAGAGTTCATGTTAGAAATACCAGTTGGAGAGAAATAAAGAAAAATCTATTTGTTGGACCTTAGAGTTTTGAGGCTAAACTGGAAGAGTTATGACAAAAATAAAAACTATATGCAGCAGAAATACATTTCGAACTGAGAGAGGATTAAATCATTTGACCATCCCTTTCCAAATGCTGCATTAAAAACAATAAGCCATTCTAGGTCTTTCTTTGAGTAAAAAATTTTATTTTACAGCCCATCTTCCAGTTTTAGCCACATTAGAAGCTAGTGAAATAGGTTCCGTCTTTGGCTTTTAAGTACATTTCATCCTTCACTACTTTAGTAAGTACCATAAAGTACTGTCGCTCAAGATTCCTGATTTTTACCCTCCTTTCCTATTCTTATTTTCTGACTTTTCTCAGAGTATTTCGATTAGCCTGTAACTCATTCTTGACTCTCTTTGTCCTGATTTCCTCTTGTGTTATAACCAATAGATAAAATCCATTTCTGCTCACATTTTTACCAGAGCTCTTCTCAAACTTTCATCAACCCCTTTTCCCCCAAACAGCATGCTTATGTATGTTAGAATTGAATCTCATATTTACCTGTTAACATTTTTACTTTAAATTTGTGTCACATTATATTTCCTAAACCATAATTTCCATCCTACACATTTTTCTGTAATGCAACTTTTCCACATACTTATCAAGTGGTAGAGTGTATGTCTGTGTACTTCTTAAATCCTGAACTTATTTTAACTAATAGAATATCATAGAAGTGACACAATTCCAGTTTTGGGGGCAGTCCTTTACTGACATGGTAGCTTCTGATTCTTGCTCTTTAGAAGCTAGCTGCCACAAGAAGTGAGACTATCATTCTGTGATAGTCCTAGCTACATGGGGAAGACATGGAGGACAAAACATCATGAAGACTGACCAAGAGGCCAAGGAGGACTGAGGCTCCAGACATGTGAGCAAAACATTCATCTTGAGCATCTTCCTATGAAATTGTTAGATGGTATGAGAGGCCCTAAGAGAGAACTGCCCCACTGAGTCCAGGCAAACTATAGAACCATAAGAGATGATATGTTATTGTTTTGTAGTCATGTATTTTTACTTAATTACAGAATACAGTATATGTGTGTGTATATCACATTAAATTATAAACCATAAATCATATTTTCTTATATAGCAAATGGTACATATAACAACATGTGTAATGGTGTTGTGGGTATGTTAGATGCTCAATAAATATATGTCAGATGAATTATATTTATATCTTATAGATATCAATTAAATGAGATATGTTTTCCAAATATAAAGTATATTACTTGTCCTTCAAGGGCTAAATCTCTTTGCACTATAGCAAAGCTATTCAAAACTCTCCTCATTTATGAACTTTCTACTACGTTTCTAGTTAGCAGGGTGCCTAAGTGAACTGACCCAGATATTCACTTGGCAGCTTTAATAAATTGTGGTGAATTAGTAAGTAAGCCTTTAAATCATCCTGGTTCTGCCACGATGTGAAGACTCACTCTTTGTAATTTCTCAGAATATTGTAACCAACTTTTATTGAACATATGTCTACTTTGATGACATTTTTAAAATAAAACTATTAATTGGGCATAGGGAACATCAGATCTTCCTCAGTTCTAGGGAGTAAGGTGGTGGGGGATGAAGAATGAAGCATTGGTTACAATAAGCCAGTCACCAGGAAGTGAAATAATTAACACAAAAGTATTTATCTTTCGGTTCTTCCTCTGTGACTAGACTCTTGTGTCCTTTACTACACCTTGCTCTTTATTTCTCATCCTGCTGTCATAGATAATAACTTATAGCAGAACTGGACCCATGATGACCAGTGAAGAGTTTGGGTTCCATTGTTCCTCTTATCTTCTCCATATACCTAGCAAGACACTTCAGAGGTAAAGAAAATAGAACTGGGTTCATCAGAATCAATTTAAAGAGAGGAAAAATAAAAAAAATAAATAAATAAAATAAAAGATTGTCCACACGGTTTTTAACAAGAAATCCATAAACATCCAAGTAAGTGACATTTCTGTCACCAACACACTTGGGTCTGAAAATTTACTTTCCATATACAAACCTACATAATTAAAAAAGAACTAGTTTTACAAATAATCGAATTGCTAGTATATGCTAACAAAAGATCATTCCAGCCTTCCCAGTATTGAGAGGAGAAATAATCAATGAATGTGAGTAAATCAATGAAATTGTAACTGAGCATTTTCAGTTGTATTAGAAGACTAAATAATGAATGGTTTATCTAACATTTATAATATAATATATTGACATATTTTCAATATCTATATCTTTTGATCAAATTGGTTATAATTCCAAAGAAATTTTAAAATACAGATTATTTTATTGACCTAATATTTGTTTTTTTTTTCTTTTTTTCTGAGATGGAGTCTCACTCTGTTGTCCAGGCTGGAGTGCAGTGGTGGGATCTCAACTCAGTGCAACCTCCGCCTCCCAAGTTCAAGCAATTCTCCTGCCTCAGCCTCCCAAGTAGCTGGGATTACAGATGCCCACCACCACACCCAGCTATTTTTAGCATTTTTAGTACAAACAGAGTTTCACCCTGCTGGCCAGGCTAGTCTTGAACTCCTGACCCTGAGTGATCTGCCCACCTCGGCCTCCCAAACTGCTGGGATTACAGGAATGAGACACCATGCCTGGCCATATTTGTATTTTTCTAAAGTATGACATTCAAGATTATCTGCCTGTTTCAAATTAATAATTCCATAATAGAACATGCCAGAAGTAGAAGACATTTGAGCACCAAAAGTTATAATGCTTTGATATATGAAACATTTATTACAGAAATTCAATTATTGTTTGATTCTATGGTTTTATATTTAATAAAAAGACGACTCTGATCTTAACTTCATCTCTAATCTCTTTAGAGATTATATGCACACACATTTTGTTTTTATCATATTTCTTCATACTGCTTTACTTCATGTAAGCCCACTTTTATTAAAGATGTTTAAATACAATCATGAGAGGTTTTGATTTTCAGAAACCAAAGTACAAAAATTCAGTTTAACCAAGTGTGATAAAGTGTTATTTCTGTCTGGAACTTTTTAACAGCCTGGATCTTACAGAAATACACCATAAAAGAAACAATTTCTTCCACTGCATTGAAAGTGCTGCTTCTGTATAGTAGATCACTACCTTAGTGCTAATGTTTTTTAAAAAAGAAATCCTAAATGAATTTCTTTTAAACATTCTGAAATAACTTCTTTTTCTTCTAAGGAGAGACACAGAAGGGTTTTGTTTCTTTTGTTATTGTATTGTTTTATTGTATTAACTAAGTGTCCTAGGAGGAGCATAAAAAGCAGGTGTTGGCTCTACTAAATAAATGCTTGAAAGAACTGGAATTCGAAAAAGTTAAAGGACTTCTCTGATATGTTATCACAGAATAAAAATTAGAGACATGAAGCCAGCTCCCGGTTGTTCTGTACCACACCCAGTATTAAACTTCACCTCTCTAGAAGGATTAGTAGTTGACCACCTCTTAAGATACTAATATTCTGCCATACTATGTTAATAATTCTAACAGAATGTCTTAACTTATCAACCTACAAAATGACACCTACTTAGCTGACATCTCTCATGCCTCGATATAGAGAAATTTGTGCCTCAGTATACATTAAAGGTTGACTGTAACCTCAGTTTTTGAAAACCCAGGATCTTTTGCAGTCTATATTTGTGGCAAGGGCTATATTGCCTGGTTGTACTAAAAACACATAAAAATCAAGAAAATATTCAAAACGTTAAGCAGATAATATTTTTTCTCACATAAAACTATTTTTGCATGTCTTCATAGGTATATAATTGTTCATGCATATACTTATTTTTATCAGGTGTTGCCTAGCAGCAAATAAACCCCTGGGTATCTAAATTAGAGCACAGAAGTAACTGAGCAAGCCTGGGGGATAGTGGAATTTCATTTTCAACATAATTAGCTCTGTAATTGTAAGGCCCAGCTTAGTAGATGTATTTGGAAATGTAATTAATTATGATTGATTTAAACACTGTTTAAAATGCATATTTTTTATGTTCTAAAAGCTGAATTATGTAGGGAAAGATTCAATTTTGAAATTAGTAGTGTTTATAAACACTATAGTTTTTTAAAAGTTAATGTAATAAAGTTAGCTACAATTGCCTAAATGTAATTTTTAGATGAAAACATTATACAGCATAAATTAGTATAAATTACAAGAAATTTAAAAATCTGTTTTATGTCAAATCAACTAATAATAGAAACATTACTACTTAAATAATCAAAATATTTTTAGAACAACACATTCTAATAATATTTATAGTCCAAGGAATATGAAAAAACTATAAATCTATCTCTAGAGCTATTTTTAAAAATTATTTTTATGGTAGTTAAAAACACAGAACATAAAATTTACCATATTAAGGATTTCTAAATATACAGTCCAGTAGTGTTAAGTATATGCACATTGTTGTGCAACTAATCTCAGGAAGCTTTTATCCTGTAGAACCTAAACTCTGTACCCACTAAACAAAAACTCCCCATTCTCTTCTCCCAGTCCCTGTCAAACACCAATTTTACTTTCTATTTCTATGAATCTAACTATTCTAGATACCGCATATAAATGAAATTGTAAAGTTTTTGTCTTTTTGTGACTAGCTTATTTCACTTAGCGTATTGCCCTCAAGGTTCATCCATGTTGTAGCGTGTATCAGAATTTTCTTCTTTTTTAAGTCTGAATAATATTCTCTTGTTTGTATTCACCACATTTTATGTATCCATTCATCCATCAATAGACACTTGATTGATTCCACTTTTAGCTATTGTAAATAGTCCTGATATGAATTTGGGTGTGCAAATATCTCTTTGAGATCCTGCTTTCAATTCTTTTGGATATATATCCAGAAGTAAAATTGTTAATCATATGGTAATTCTAGTTTTAATCTTCTGAGAAACTGCCATACTGTTTTCCATAGCAGCTGTACCGTCTTACATTCCTACCAAAAATGCACAAGGGTTCCAATTTCTCCATATCCTTGCCAACATTTATTTTCTGTTTTTTTCTGATTGTCTTGTTTTGTTTTCTTTTGTTTGGTGGTAGCCGTTCTAATAGGTGTGAGGTGATACTTCATTGTGGTTTTGATTTGCATTTCCCTAATGATTAGCAATGTTGAGCATCTTTTTATGTATTTGTTGGCCAGTTGTATATAATCTTTGGAGAACTGTCGACTCAGATTCTTTGTCTAGAGACAGGTATTTTGACAAAAGGAATGCTAAAAAGGAATCCTAAATGAATTTCTTTTAAAAATCCTGAAATAACTTATTTTTCTTCTAAGGAGATACACAGAAGGGTTTTGTTCGTTTTTTTATGGTATTGTTTTATTGTATTACCTAAGTGTCCTAAGAAGAGCATAAAGAGCAGGTGTTGGCTCTACTAAATGCTTGAAAGAACTGGAGTTCAAAAAAATTAAAAGACTTCTTTGATATATTGTCACAGAATAAAAATTAGAGACATGAAGACAGAATGATAATTAGAGACAAAATATCTGTCTCTAGACAAAGGACCTGAATAGACATTTAGGTCTAAATATATTCACTGAATTTTCTAAACAAAAGACAGAATAAATTCTTTAAAAAAAAAAAGTCAGGGTTCATAAAGTTCCATATCAGAATAGAAGTAATTTGCAAAATAGTACTCAAAAAATTTTGTTTTGCTTTGCCTTTTGTTTGTCTTAAGGCCTAATGGGTTAAAAAGAGAAAAGAAAAAGAATAGTGCATTTTTCTTTCAATTAAATTTGCTGAGAGTAAAGCCTGTCCTAGAGTTGAGGAAATGAGGGAATTCTGACTTCCTCAGCCGGGAATGGCTTACAGAGGTGAGTAGGCAGAAAGTAGTGATACTATAGTCTGGAATACTTTTGAAACTTGGCAGAGGGCCCCACTAACCCTGAGGCTGTGTTTCTTTGAAGACCAGCAGAAGCTGAAGGAAGTCATGAGTCATCACAGTCTCAAGGCTTGAATGGCTCATTGGCCTTAACTCTTTCTGCAGAGTAATCTCTATGTTGCTCTTTATCTCATCAGCCTGATAATTTCCTAGGCTTTTGTCACAGTCACTTGAACAAGATACTGCCTTATCCTTCTCCATTTACCAGAAAAATTAGTCCAAATCCTCCTCTGCCCTCAGTTTCCCTTGCCAAGGTTTCTCAATTCAAGCACAACTAATCATTTATCTCTCCCATTCTAAGGTGTATTGACTTCCTCCAGTTTTGTTTTACCCTTTTCCTGGGAACTGCACCCCTTTTGCATTAGGATGCTGTTCTCCTCTTCCCCTAAGACCTTGAAGTTCTAACAGGAACTGACAATAACACTTTACCTGCCTTGATAGAGTTGACTTATTCAAGGGTGGGCCAATCTAGATACTCCCCTTTGAAGACTGAAAAGACTGAAAATCCCTCTGTAGTGGTAATATTATGAGATTTGAAGACCCTAACCTATGAAAGAAGCTGCTCTTCAATAAAACAATAACCTTACATCTAGAGAGAACAAAAGAGAGACAGTCAGGAGGATGTCCAGTTCCCGGCCTCAGCTGCCCCTCAGGCTAAGCTGCATTCTGTTGTTCTATGGTTAGGCAATCCAGCCTTTCCATAAAGTCCCCTGTCTTGGGAATAATTTGAATGGATTTCTGTCATGTGCAAACGGAAGACTCATTATTAATATATTTATTTCCTTCGGCCATTGAATAACCCTCCTTTTATGCGATCTTAGATCTGGCCTGGTGGGGCCTTTGCTTCTCTTTGGCTGGTTAGCATGACCTTTTGATGAGGCTTTACTGAAACCATCTGAAGCAAATACATTACTGTTGTCCTACAGAAATGCTTCGTAGGAGGCAGGGTTTCAAAGTTATTTCAAGACTGAATAACATTTTTTTCCAGAGATATTTTTAACTAAACTGGACCTGTATCATCCAGCTTAAAATGTTTAATACCTATATGTACTCACATATTCTGATGAAGGATCTACCATATCAACCTGTTCTCTCAGCCAAAAAGCAAGTTTATTTTAGATTCTGTATAAATGGGCCTGTCTCTCCTCTTCTTCCAGGCCCTGCAGAGTTGATTTGAATTTAGAGTCTCCAACAAAAAGAACTTATATTCAGATTAGCTTGGGGCATTAAGGATAAAGATAAGAGAGCAGTCTTAATGTGGTGCTTTCAGCACTATAGGATTGCAGTGGGTTTGGGCACAAGAGCCATTTTGGCTTCATTATTAATTTTAGGGTGAACACATATCTATGAGTGGCAGAACAGAGTACAGCAGAGTTCTGTAAATAAGTAATATACAAAAGTAAACTAGAATGTGGAGTTTGTAATAAATCTACAATCAGGTACTTTCAGGAGCTCATTTTACAGACCATAACCTGACTGCCCAGCCCATGACCTGATTCTGATGTAAGGAGATACTCAAATATTCCGTGAGAAATACAGCTCTGTACATGTTAGAAAACCCTTTGTGTTCTTTGCTCCCATTAAGGATAATCCAAAACAGACTGAGAAAAAAACCAGGGAAACACCTCTAGTCATGAACTAATCATTACTTTACACCTCAGTGTGGTCATACCTGCTTTAGGCAAATATCCATGAGAATTCTAAATGTTTTGATTGCTCAATAACCATTGGCAAAAGCAAGGGGGTCTCTTGAGCCGCCATAGCAGGCCCTCCCAAGTGTGAATTACCAAAACCTGCTTGTTTGCCAGCAGCTGCTATCTTCTGATCTCCAAAGCTACATTTGCTTGGAGCTCAGCCTTTGTTTAGATGAATTAAATTGCTCTAGGCGAAATGCATGTTTCTCCCTTTACTGTACTTTTCTCTCTTACTTCTCTGCAATGTATTTACTTTAAAGAGAAACATATGGACATGAAAAAGCATGTTTGGGGGATTAGAAACAAAGCTTTATGGTTCTAGAAATTAAACTTTCATGTCACTCTTCTATTCATGAATGAGAAATGATACTGGAACCTTCTTTTGGGGGAATACATGTTCTCGAAACACATGTGTCAGTTACCAATGAAAACATATACTGTCCCATAGTAAAGGAGATGCATGGCTATTTTGGAAAAAAAGAGTAGGTTTAAAGATCTTGACTGTTACTATTCCGACTTATTTTCTTCAGGGAACATTGGCCTTTTTCAGGCACATTAAAATTAGGGTTTTGAAAATGTTTGTGGTGCATTGTGTCGTATGAAGAGTGGGCTTGGACCTCAAGCTTAACCTGGAAGAAAATATAGCGGTGACAGGTAAACTGTAGGAATCCAAATGATGAATTGTAGTTCTCCAAAAGGCCAATAAAATACTGAATTATAGAACAAAAATAGAACTCTGGAAACACAAAACCATATTGCCATAGTCCAGTGTCATAGGGAGGCAAATCTGAACAAGATACAGATTATCAAATACCATCATTAATCAATTATATTCACTTTTAATATTTGAATATAATTTTTAAGTTTTCTCTCCTCATTGTAGCCTTCTTGTTTTCTTCTTTGTAAATGTTTGAGATTTCATGTCTCCTGGGTATTGAGAAGATGCTGGAATTTATGACTATTCAAATTTACTTTTGAACATTTTTATTTTATTAAAATCTAGAAATAATTTTCAATCAATTTTCCAGTATTAACAATCACCAGTATTTAAAATCTAGATATAGCATCTCTCATTTTACGCTTGGGAAGATATTTCACATAATCATATGAACGGCTGGAAGAATAGGAATCATTATTTCTCTTTTACAGATGAATAGAACAGTAGCCAGGAAGGAATGTGGAACGAAGAACAGCAAAGTGTAGATTACTTTCTAGGTCTCCTGGGTGCTAACTCAGTGATCTTTCTAATACATCACATGCTATTTTTTAAAAAATGTCTCCAAAGTTTAATTACGAAAGAATGGCCCCTACAGAAACCTATGAAATTAAATTTTTCTTTGTTTTGCTCTTGTACATGTACTGCAAAAATTAACAATGATGCAAAGATAATTTGCCAGGAATAAACCACACATGTAGGTGTGGGAGATTTTCCAGCTTAGCATTTGAATTCTTAGTGAATGGAATTTATGTTTCATACTAATAGAAAGCACAGCACCATTAATCCTCAAGATTCACTGAAAGACAGCTAACTAAACCTTATTTATCTTTGCTAATTGATGGATCCCTGTGAAAAGGTATGAACACAGTTTATTGTTGTGGTTTTAATGAATGAAAACGCCTTCAGTTGTGGATTGGTTTGGTAGTCAGCGTTTTGTTTAGATTGCTTTTTTTTCTGTAAGGATATTGAATTTGTATCAAAGCCTTACTCCAAAATCTGTTTATACATAATAGCTTATCATATTTTCATCTTATATCTTTCCTGATATTCTGATATGATTTGGATTTCTGTCCTTGCCCAAATCTCTTGTTGAATTGTAATCTGCAGTGTTGGAGAAGGGGCCTGGTGGGAGGTGATTAGATCATGGGGGTGGATTTCCCTCTTGCTGTTCTCCTGATAGTGAGTGAGTTCTCATGAGATCTGGTTATCTAAAAGCGTGTAGTACCATGTGAAGACAGCCTGCTTCCCCTTCGCCTTCCGTCATATAATTGTAAGTTTCCTGAGGCCTCCCCAGCTATGCTTCCTGCACAGCCTGCCAAATGATAAGCCAATTAAACCCCTTTTCTTTATAAATTACTCAGACTCAGGTATTTCTTTATAGCCGTGTGAGAACAGACTAATACATTTTCAAAGATAACCAAACCCCGTGGCAACTCTTCCACTCCCCACACATTCAAAACCCTATCAACAACATGCCAGAATCTCATTTTCTGAAACTGTTGAAAAATCCTCCTGGAGGTTTATCTGACTATTTAAGCTCTCTGCCTAAAATGCTCAGAAAACAAGAAGAAACTCAGGTCACCCTGATCATCTGGTCCTTTTTTTTTTTTTTTTTTTTTTACATCCACTGATGTATCTTCAGTTTTGATAACTTTTCCCTATCTCGTAATTAAAAGGCAACAATTAAGACATAAGAATTAAGAGGTCATTTCATTCTAAATCCTCCCTATGGGTAGACCTTTTTCATCAAAATCACATATATTTTAATTTTTTTAATTTTCTGAGGATTGTCACCCTTAAATTTTTCCTATCACAAATCATTCATTATAACTAAATAATTATAAATTTAAGTTGTGCCTATTCTTTTTTATATGTAAGGTACAAAACAACTGTGTAACAGTTTCCTTATTGATTGTATGAATTCACAGGCAATATTGTCACCCTTTATATTTTATTATTTTGTTCCCTACATTTTGCAATCTCAGTTTACTGGACTCATCCATAGATGCCTAAATTGTCACCTGATTCTTCAGCTTTTCCTTCAACTTAGCATTCAATAATGACAAATAAAAAAATCTTGGCTCTGTCTTTTTACTTACTTTGTTGACAATGACTAAGTTATTTAACCTCTCTAAAATTATTTTCTTAATTCATAAAATATAGGTAATAAAACTTATTTTATAAAATGTACATTTTAAATGCAAAATAATTGTATATACTGATCTTAGGACAATGTCTGGAATCTAAACTTCTGGTAAACTGTATCCTCTTCACAGATCCCTAGGCTGAAGAGGACGAGGGCAGAGAGGAGGATCTATAATTTACAAGCTATTTCTCCTTCAAAAAAAAAAAGAAAAAAATAAAATCTCTAAATTGCCTTTACCAAAATTCATAGATTCTCCAGGAAAGGCATTTCTTGCACTCTGGTCAGTTCACAGTGCTGCCTGTCTTTTGACCATCCACTGTGGCTGTGTTTGCAGGGGCTGGCTCTGTTTCTGGCTTTGCCTATTGGCTTCATCCTAAACAGGCTATTTCTTTACAAACACATCCCTTGATTGCTTTACGCCCATGTGTTCTGCCTGCTGTTCTCATTTCCCCAACTCCTGAGCTGATGTTACTATTCTTCAAATTGAGGGCACCCTGAGGATGGAAACCTGCAGGGCAGCAGAATGAATTTAATCCCACTGTTAGATTCCATTCTAAACTACTCAGCAGGCAAAGAGCAACTCCTCACAGAATGTGTTGCTCCTGAGAGTGAAAGGGTAATGAACTGTAAAACCAGATGGCTCAATCCCCCAAAGCTATTACAGGGTTAACTTTCCTCTTGCCTGGGATCAGCAAGGGTACCAACTCCTGCTGATTGTCTCTCCAAATCCCCAGGATAACTAACTCTGTGTCCTAAAAGATGTTTCCTTTTTGGGGAAAAAATATTAAAATGTGTTAAGATGATCAAGAAAAAGTGAAATTCTCAATTTCTTGTTGTAGAAAACTGATAGACACTGTTTAATTTTCCTCCCAGTAATTCTAAGAGTTGATACTTTAAACTGGGAAGGTAGATGAATGTTTTTGCCTGTGGCTTGAAAAGAATACACCCAATTAAAATGGATTTTATTCAAGAGAGAGGCAAAAAAGAATGCTGGTAAGGATGTGGAGAAAAAGGAACTCTCATTCACTCTTGGTGGGAATGTAAATTAGTACAATCATTATGGAGAACAGTATGGAGATCCTCAAACTAAAATTAGAACTACCATATGATACAGCAATCTCATTGCTATGTATATACCCAAAAGAAAGGAAACCAGTATATCAGCACTCCTGCGTTGTTGTAGCACTTTTACAATAGCCAACATTTGGAAGCAACCTAAGTGTCCGCATACAGATGAAAAGATACAGAACATGTGGTACATACACACAATGGAGTACTATTCAGCCATAAAAAAAGCATGAGATCCTGTCATTTGCAACATGGATGGAACTGGAGATCATTATACTAAGTGAAATAAGCCAGGCACAGAAAGACAAACTTTGTGTGTTCTCACTCATTTTGGGGAACTAAAAATTAAAACAATTGAACTCATGCAGATAGACAGCAGAAGAATGGTTATCAGAGGCTGGGAAGGATAGTGAGCGAGGAAGAGAATGAGGATGGTTAATGGGAACAAAAAGTATCATTAGAATGAATAAGATCTGTTATTTGATAGCACAACAGTGACTGCTGTCAACAATAATTTATTGTACATTTTATAATAACTAAGATTATTAAAAAGTAGAATGTTCATAACATAAACAAAGGATAAATGCTTGAGGTGATGGATTTGGTTACATTTTCAACAACATGCTCTGTAAGAAGCTTCATACCAATGTTTCTCTCTTTCTTATGACCTTTCTACCTATAACTTGATTGAAAGAATTCACCATCGGTGCAGGCATATGTCCCACATAAAGGCTAATAGAAACTGCATCTTCATGCACATCAAGGAAAGGCTTTTCCCATTAAAACAAAACAAAACAAAACAAAACAAAAACACTAAAGCTTTGGTCCTTTTTTTTTCTATGCATTCTATTTTTTAAAAAAATACTGTTTAGAGACAATTACAGGGGCCATTTGTGATGTTATTGGTCAACATGGTTCTAAGGACATATTTTTTTTTCTCAGAACTTGGTGAAAAGTGCTTTCATCCAATAAAGGCAAGAGATGATGATGAGAAAGCTGGCTTTGTTCATTTCGTCAATATGCAATTTTTGTCGTCCTTTGGCTCTTTTTCATATTGTAATGCTGTGATGAATCAAACACAGCTACAAATCTTGCAATATTATTTCCATTATAGATTGTCCTCAAGGATAACCATTTCACTTATAACATTAAATTTCAGGATAATTTTTCAGAAATGAATTTGGGGGCCAAATGCCAGCCCTTTGAAGAAGTGTGTAAACGTGTCTCATTTTTTAGTCTTGACTTTCAGCTATAAGTTTCTGACAAAGACTCTCTTTGACCAAACTGTAGTCAGGCTCCTCTGAGCCCTCTTCTCAGCTAGGCTTCAACCTCAGGTTTCCCTGTTTTCCTGGGGTCCAGTTATAGCAAGAATCCTGCTAAGTTAATTCAGAGAGAATCTCTCAACCCTTGATATTTGATCACTCTTAGTATCTATTAATAATCAGATTCCTCATGCCCTACCATCAATACCTGACCATTCTGGCCTGCCTTCAGCAAGAGTCTTGTTAGGTCAGTTTCACCAGAACCCCTGCTGCCCTTCATGTCTCCTTTTAGTAATTTTTTGTCTACCAACGACTCTCCAAACTGCTCTTTTGTTATAAATCTCCCACTAGTTTTTGCTGTATTCAGAATTGAGCCTGATTTCTTTCCAGTATTTTGATAGCTTTTATACCTATTGCAATGGTTCTGTAATAAAGTCTTCCTTACCATCTTGTCAGAACTGTCAGAACAAGGTTTTTTTTTTTTTTTTTTTTTGACAGTTCATTAGTTTTAATAAGTCTCAGTAATTGTACGCTTGGGAATTCTCAAATAAATCACAGATACCTACTGGATGAGCTAACTTGTAGCTTCATTTTTCTAAGGAGAATATTTCAGAATATTTACTAATCTTTGAAGATAAAGTTTATTGCAGATGTTAATCTGACTTTTAATCTGCTTTCATCTTTTTCTTATTTATCTCTGCCTCACCTCTATTACTAACATGATATTATTCAGGAATAAATGTTCTACTTCTAGCCTCTAAATCAAAGCATATAGTTTCATACAATAAAATCAATTCTGACTACTCAGGGAAAAAGATAAGCTTGTCTGTATCAAAAATCTATTTAGAGTTTTGATGAAATAAACTTTTTCCAAAAAATCCATAAGCCACCAATTAGCATCTTATGAAGGAATATGCTATGCATTAAGACTATTTAACTAGTTTGAACATTTAGATGGCCAATTATAGTCTTAGTCACAATATCAGAAAAAAGCAGAATTTGTATGAGTAGAGTTAAATCAGAACTACTCGTAATCATAATAATCAACTCCTCAAATAACTATAAAAGTTATTAATGAATAAATAAGAGACACATTTGACTCAAGTCAGTTAATTTAAAATAGTTTGCCTAATTTAGCAAGCCATGTGGAAATCAAAGAGAAAAAGAAAAGGGCAACTAACATTTATTTAGTGCTTCAACAGGTGTTTCATAATGTTAACTCCTTTAATCTTCACAACCTTGTAGTGAGTATATTATCTTAATTTTAAATAAAGGAAACAAGATGTGAGAGGTTACGTAATTTGCCTAAGGTCAAAGTGCTAGGAAATGGTAAATACCAGATTTGAAATTAAGCCTGACTAAAAAAGTTCACGCCTTCACTAAGTCCTGCAGTTCAGGCAGGAAATAAGTTTTGCATCCTTAGCTAGTCCATGGGATTGCAACCATGGCATGCTAAGGTGACACTGTAATGAGTCACCATGGCATGACTCCAGCCAATGTAAAAATTGGCAGATGGGACCTACTTGCATTCAGAAAAAAATGACTAAAAGGGCCCCTAACGAATAAATAATATTTCAAAATTTGAGCTGAAAAAGAAGTTCAAAGAAACAAATTTGTCAGTTTCATTGACTTATTTTAAATTGAGAATACATTCACTTGGTAAATAAATAGAAGTATCCAGTGAAAAGTCTACCTCCATCTTTGCCATGTGAGCTGAGAGTTTCTATTCCCCTCTTTCCATACATAAACCATGTGATCAGCTTTTTATGTGCCCTTCCAGTGGTTGTTTCATGAAGACATTTTGTCACCTTTCTTATGAAAAAGGAAGCATAAGATACATACTGTTCTACACCAAGTTTTTTTCTCACATAATAGAATAT
Source organism: Homo sapiens (assembly GCF_000001405.40). Lineage (NCBI taxonomy): Eukaryota > Metazoa > Chordata > Mammalia > Primates > Hominidae > Homo > Homo sapiens. Next base: position 124,640,669 of record NC_000004.12, read on the forward strand.
CTTGGAGAGTTTTACTAATCTTTACTAAAGATTGGTACATAAATAGCTACCTCATTCTTTTTTTTTTTTTTACAGTTGCAGAACGTTTCATTAAATAGACAATAATTTATTTAATCAGTCTCTACTAATGGGCATGGTTTTCAAATTTCTTGCCATTATCATTTTTATTTTTGTGCTATACTTTCATTATTGTTGGTCAATTATCTTTTAATTATTCAAATAATGCTTCAATGAATAAAGTTGTATATACATAATTTCAAACAGGTATAGGCATATCTGTAGGTAAACTACCAAAATGGGATTGCTGGGTCAAAGAGTAAATGAATTTATAATTTTCTAATATCATAAGTAAATTGCTTTTCGTAGGGATTGTGGCAGTTTCTACTCCTATCTGCAATGTGTGAGCATGCCTATTTCTCATAGAGTTTATTAAAAAGAGATTTTTTTAAATCAAGTTTTGAGATTTTTGCCATACTAATAGATTAAAAAATGCTATTTTAGTATATTTGTTACACTACATGTTGTACTCAGTTATTGTTTGTATATGTAAGAATGATTGAAAATACGTATTTTTTACTTTACTGCATTATTGAAACCTCTCATTACTTATCAGGTAGTTTTTCAGGTTATTCACTTGGGCTCTTCTAAGTATACAATGACATTGTCTGCACTCAGTAATAACTTAAACTTCTTCATTGCAAACTCCACTGTTTTTTTTGTTGTTGTTGTTTCTAATTACATCAACTACTAATTCAGAATCTATGTAATAAAATTTCATATAACTGTAAAAAAAAAGAGAAAGAGTACATATAAAAACTTGTGAAACACTAGTCTATGATTTTGTTACAGTATTGCTCCAATGTCAGTTTCCAAGTTTTAGTAAATGTATTGCAGTAATGTAACATGTTATCATTGGAAGAATCCGGGTAAAGAATGTACATAGGAACTCTGAACCATTTACGCAAGTAAAATAAAAGGTTTCCTTGCATTTGATAGACTTCTTGCTCTAATTCTGACACGTATTTCTTTATAGAAATTTAGGCTTTTTAGATATTTAGATATGCTTATAGAGGGTAATGGTAGAAAACCCCATAATATTGTTTAGTCTACACACATTCAAATTTATAACATGTCTTATGTGTTGTGGTTATATTTCATACAGCATGGTGATCTTTCTCAACTTGAAAAATTAGATAAAAAATTACTCACAAGTGGAAAATATGCTGCCGTTTCCTGTACTCATCCCTGATGGGAAAACAGAGGCGCCTCTCTTCTCTGTGTGACAGGTTGAAGAAGGAATATTGATCCAGTCTCCTCTGAAATAATGCATCTTCACTGTGGATTCCCTTATAGGGAAGAAAGAATGTTAGTAAAATCGATGTGAAAGTAGAAACATAAAATCTTAGGGGTTGAGGTGGGGATGGAAAATCATTCAACATGGATTAAGAAGATCTGTCATATGAATGAGACTAAGTTTTCTGAGTCATTCTCTTAAAGGAGGAAGTTGAACTAGATGACCCAATGCAGCACTTGTAAGCATCGCTGATTTTCAGAAATGCTGGGAAGCTGCCAAGGTGATTCAGATGACAAGCCAGGTTTGAAAACCCACTGATTCAAGACAAATTTTATGTCTAAGTTATTATTTGAAATAGGATCAGAATATCATCCATTGCAGGGATAACTGTTATTCCCAACAAATAACCAATTGACTGAAAAAGTGAGAGTTCTTAAACCAACCCAAATATGCATTTCAGACCTTAGAAAAATAGTTATTCTTGTTTAAAAATTACTTTTCACCTTGAAGGAAATTTTGTATAACCTTCAAGTCTTCATTATTAAGCACTCCATTGAGAATATATTTGACTTAAGTACATCCTAAATAACAGCTTTAAGTGAAATGAGTCAAACTTTTCTTTCATATGTTATGAGCTACTGTATTTATTTAACATTTGAATAGGATCACCATAAAAAAAGGGGAAATACTTCAGAAAAACGCTGTATCAGACTTTATAAATGATTATACAATTCTTACATAGTTGAGGTTTTATTTTAATTCTCTCTAGCTCTTCATTGCTTAAATTTCAAAAATGACTTAGCAGGTTTTCTTTCTCTTAAAAAATATTTTTACAATTGCTTAGGTAGAATCTTTCGCCTATATGGGGCTAACTGCTGTTAAGTCCCGACTCTCACTTCAACCACTATAACTTCGTGCTTTACCTTCAGACTTTTTATCTTTAATACTAATGTTTACCCTTAACAGACTGATGTATTTTTAAAACAGAAACCAAGAACTGCTTCTTCAACTCTTCCTAAAAGGCACCTTTCATTAAAAATAGGTGTAGGCAGGGCGAATAAGGGACCTTGCCCATACTTGCCTATCTTCTCTCATTAAGGTTCTAGGGTGTCACTCTTGGGTCAGGTCCCACATTTGTACTCTCATCACTGCCCTGTGGGGAGGGCTGAGACAAACAATGACAGAATTTGGCTTCTGTTCTCCAAGGAAGTACCTGTGAGCATAGGCAGAGAAGTTATCTATATCATACATAGTAAGTCTTGATGGGGAAAATATTTTAAAGCCTGATGACCACAGTGTTCGTCCCTCTTAGAAGTCTATGAAAGGCCCTGCTGCTATGCTAGTAATTAACACCAAAGAAGAGCTCGCTCCTTGAAGGCAGCATCATAGATAAATGCTCTCTCACTAAGGCAATGTCAGAGGTTAAGTCCTTAATAACGAGGCAATGGAGTAAAGTTGAACTCTTGGTTGAATCCTAAACTGAGCTCTGCCTGATCTCTACATGCTCCCACACCTTCTTCACAAATAAATGTATGTAATTTTTCAAGTTCCACCACACAGATGGAGGCAAAAAATGTACATGCTGTTCTTGATGTTATAAGCCAGCCTGACCCACACCAGCAACAAATAACAATCAGGGTTTTAGGATAACTCCATTGCTGCACCTGGCTTTCTCTGAGTCTGCAAAAGCCAAATTTCTTAGCTCTGTGACCCTAATATTATCTTTATCCTCTAGTTCTTTTGACCTTTAGTTCTAATGTTTTGGACATTGGCTTTCTCTTCTACTTTTGACTTAAATCAGACATTCATCTGTCAGTATTCCTTTACTCATCTTAACCCACACTCTTACTTTGTTGGGAGACAATTCTCCAGGGGTCTCATGTTTTTGACCATCCTGTGACAACTTCCATTCTCTACTACATTTTCAAAGATATTTGTGTAAGAAGGAAACAACAGACACTGGAGTCTACTTGAGGGTGGAGGGTGGGAGGAGGGAGAGGAACAGAAAAGATAACTATTGGGTACTGGGCCTAATACCTGGGTGATGAAATAATCTGTACAACAAACCCCCGTGACATGTGTTTACCTATGTAACAAACCTTCATATGGACCACCAAACCTAAAAGTAAAAAAAAAAGTAAATATAAAAATATAGGCAGGGCGCGGTGGCTCACGCCTGTAATCCCAGTACTTTGGGAGGTCAAGGCTGGCGGATCACAAGGTCAGGAGATCGAGACCATCCTGGCTAACATGGTGAAACCCTGTCTCTACTAAAAATGCAAAAAAAAAAAAAAATTTAGCCAGGCGTGGTGGCAGGTGTTTGTAGTCCCAGCTACTCGGGAGGTTGAGGCAGGAGAATGGCGTGAACCTGGGAGGCAGAGCTTGCAGTGAGCTGAGATTGCGCCACTGCACTCCAGCCTGGGCAACAGAGTGAGACTCCATCTTAAAAAAAAAAAAAAAAATATATATATATATATATTTATATTATATATATATTTATATATAATATGTATTTATATGTTTATATATATTTATATATTATATGTTTATATATATAAAATAAAAATTAATATATAATATAAACATATAATACTTAAAACCCCAAAGATATTGTGTAGTAAATAGCCTTGCAGGTATAATACCTACTTCCAGCGCAGAGGACAATTTCTTTATTGTCTAAGTTAATAAAGACAATAGCTCTCTCCGGGGCAAAATTTGAGCTAGTCTGTTAGCAGCCCTTTTAGAAGATTGAGGGTTTCTTAGTCTCTGGGTTCCTCAGCGCAGCCTCTGTGGATGCAGCATTCTCCTGTGCCTGCCTCTAAATCATCCGAGTGGGGCTTAGGGTGAAACAAAAACCAATGCAAAGATGGAGCTCATGCTGCCTGCTGTGCTATGAGTAATAAAGTCCTTTGTCTCTAATTCAGAAGTCTTATGTCTTCTGCTGGCATCTATGAGATAGTAGCTGGCTAACTTGTGAGCTTCTAAGTAGAGTAAAATCCCACACCATTTGCAGCACTTGACATGCCTCAGTTCATATAACTAGTATAGCTGGCATTGTTTCTTTGGAGTTTTCCTAGAATTTATTTCCCTTTCCTAATGGTACTCTGGTTCCCTCTCGAGAATTACATGTTCCCCATTGGATACTATCTTCAGGAATTTAATTAGGTGTTCTGCCCTCTCCTAGCTAAGACATGGAGGCATGATGCAGGCTGAACTCATTGGAACTTAAACAAAGACAATGAAAACAATTGACATTGATTCATCCCCAGCAGTGACTCCCTAAACAAGTATTATCTGCTATTTCTGTACATCCTTTTCCTAGAATCTATAGATAACTTGAACTCTGTCTATGTCCAGGTCAGGTTCCTCACATTTCCCATGAATTGTGTGAGATTCAAATATCCCCAAAATACATTTCTTTTGGTTGAAGTTGGCTTTTGTTTCTTTCTGCCAAAGAACTCTAACATAATCAGCCAGCATTCTGGGCAGTCTGCGTCTCACTCCCCACAAGGTCATGTGTGTTTTTGTGTTGTGGCCACCTGCATTTTCATAAAGCATGGTTATGTCCCTCTACTTATGGGGATTAGAAACAAGATACTACTGAACACATAAATAAAAACAGTAAAACACCCTACATTTCTAGATTTTGTCTATCTCTGGTTAGAAACCTATTTCAAAGGATTCATTCATTCATTAAAGACTTACTTCCTGAGCATCTCCTTTATGCCAAGAACTGCAAGATGTTAACAAAAGAGAAATGGCCTCTGCTGTCATTGAGCACACATTCTAATTCTATTCTGTATCACATTTCTACTCTCTGTTTAAAAAAAGAGACTGTTAGAATATAAATTCCTTGTGGGCAGAAATTGGGCTTTTTAAAGTCACTTTCTAACATGGAAATTAGTGGATATTAAGTATTCAATAAGCATTTATTGACTAAATAAATAAATGACATTTCCATTGGAAAGTTGAAATGCATTATTGGTCACAAACAGAATTGTCCAAGACAAACATTAAATGCATTGAACCTAAGATGATGAAACAATAAATAGGTTTCTTCTTGTATTTAAGTGAGGCCAGTCTAATAGTTTTCACAATTAGTATGCATTTGGCAAATAAATTCTCAATGTTCCAGGAACACTAAAAATCATTCTGGATTAATTAAGAATTTAACTGGAAAATAAGCATGACTACAATTAAATAGAAAAAATTAAGTGTGAGAAATGTAAATAAAAAGCATATAAGAAATGTGTGAATAAAGTTTATTTTACAGTTTAATGAATAATAATGTTTTTTTTGCACAAATCAAGAGATATAGTCCAGAACCTTAGAGTAAAATCATAGACTTTATTGATTGTTTATCTGGTTTTTTGTTTGTTTGTTTATTTGTATTTGTAGAAACAGAGTCTCACTATGTTGCCCTTCTGGTCTCAAACTCCTGGCCTCCGGAGATCCCCCAGTCTTGGTCTCCCAAAGTACTGGGGTTACAAGTGTAAGCCACCACATCTGGCTTCACTGATTATTTTTTGTCACTTTATCTTGCTTTCCTTTGTAGGGCCTCTATTTTTGTTCTAAGATTATGCTTTATTTTTCATCCTTGTATAGCTCTTCTTTTGTTTTCCCAATTTTATTTTATATATTTATTTTTGAGACGGAGTCTCGCTCTGTCGCCCAGGCTAGAGTGCATTGGCACAATCTCGGCTCACTGCAATTGTAAGCTCCACCTCCCGGGTTCACGCCATTCTCCCGCCTCAGCCTCCCGAGTAGCTGGGACCACAGGTGCCCACCACCACCCCCGGCTAATTTTTTGTATTTTTTGTACAGACGGGGTTTCACCGTGTTAGCCAGGATGGTCTTGATCTCCTGACCTCATGATCCGCCCGCTTTGGCCTCCCAAAGTGCTGGGATTACAGGTGTAAGCCACCACACCCGGCCTATTTTATTTTTAATGAGCTAGTTTTCCCACTCATCTGTTTTTAATTCAGCTTCTATCATAATTTACATCGAAGGAGTCATTACCAGGTCGCAAATCAAATACCTATTATTATTATTATTGCACCAGTAGCATGTATGGTTAATGCTCAGAGGAAGGGTTGTGATATGAAGTGTGGCTGACAGCCCACACTTGTTCTTTTTGCATACGTGAAACCTCCTTTTTCTCCATGCTTGTTGGATAATTAGAGGACAAACGGACAGGTCTTTTTGACCTCAGTGTCAGCTACTAAGTTCTTCTTAAAAGAATCAACTGAATTCAACTTAATTATCTCCAATAAAAAGAGGTCAGGGCAGAGTATCAGCTAAAAGCAATTAAGTAGTCAACCCACAAATGTTCAAACAAATAAGTGATGAATAATTGGTTGGTTTCCTATTATATTCAATACAAACTGACTGAGTAGAACAGATGGGAAAGCAGGAATAAGAAAATATAAACTATTTTGTACTAAGAGTTGGGATCCTGTTTGAGAATGATTAAGTGAAGAGTATGTTTTAACAAGTGGCCTAAAATAGCAGGATTTAAATGTTTCTCACTACCACACAGCTGTTTCTGAATGAAAAGAAATTGGAATTCAAAGATTAGTAATTGAACACATACTATGTACAAGACAATCCAAAAGATATCAAGATAAGTAACACTCATTTTCTATCTAAATGAAGATTACAGTGGGAGAAAAATGATACAATCTGTTTAGCATAAAACAGAAAAAAAACCATGAAATATAAAAATAAATTACAAGAGTCATTAAAAATAAATAATCTCTGTCTGGGAGAATAGAACAAAGGTCAATGTGGGCAGAGAAATATAGCTGTGAACGAGCATAGAGTGTTCCAGCAATAGTAAACACTTCGATGGGGATGTGAGCAGAGGGTTTGGTGCCTGTGCAGTGGTGGTGAAGTGGCAGAGAAAATGGAGGAAGAAGCAACTAACTGGAAAGGTAGGTGAAAGATAGCCTGTAAGAAGCTCTGTGCCATGCATGAACTGGCATTCTGTTAGAAATGAGAGATCCTAAAAGTTTAGAGGTAGGATTATGCTGTAATAGAGTGATGTTTTGAAAAGATAACTGGTGGCCACATGAAGGAAAAACTGCAGAGCAGATGCGCTAGACTGAAGAGCACAGAAGAGGCTGTGACATGGTCAGAGCTCTGCTGGAATATAGTTTAGCTGCCATCAGCTTGAAGAGTTGGAGAAGGCAGAGCACTAGAGAGGAGTACGGGTTAAGGGGGAGTCCCAGGAGACCAGGAGAGGCTCTAAACAAGGATGGAGGAAATGGGCAGAAGTACAGAATAGGAAGGTGAGAAATGGGGTAGAGTTAGAGCCCATAGGCTCCTAGGCTACAAACCTGTACAGCATGTTGCTGTAAAGAATACCATAGGCAATTGTGACACAATGGCAAGTATTTGTCTATCTAAACATAGAAAATGTACAGTAAAAATACAGTATAAAAGATCAAAAAGCAGACCCCCAATCCCTATATAGGTCATGAATAGATTTTGCAGCAGTGGAAGTTGTTCTGGGTGAGTCAGTGAGTGAGTGGTGAGTGAATGGGAAGGTCTAGGACATTACTGTATACGACTGTAGACTTTATAAACACTGTACACGGAGGCTACACTAAATTTATTTTAAAAATTGGTATTTCTTCAATCATAAATTAACATTACCATACTGTAACTTTTTTTAAAGTTTATTTTTAAATTTTTAAGGGTTTTGACTCTTTTGTAATAACAGCTTAAAACACAAATGTAGAGCTGTAAAAATATTTTCTTTATATCCTTATACTATAAGCTTTTTTCTATTTTTAAATTTTTTTAACTTTTTAGACTTTTTCTGTTACAAACTAAGTCACAAACACACATAACTAACCAAGCCCTACACTGGGTCAGGATCACCAATATCACTACCTTCCACTCCAACATCTTGCCCCACTGTAAGGTCTGTCATCGCCTATGATAATGATGTCTTCTAGAATACCTCCTTTAGGACCTGCTTGAGGCTGTTTTACAGCTAATTTAAAAAAATTAAGTGTAAGGTATATATTAGAAAATAATGATAAAAAGTACAGTGTAGTAAATAACCAGTAATATAGTCATTTACTATCAAATATTATTCACTGTATATAATTGTATGTATTTACTTTTGTATGACTGGCAGTGCAGTAGGTTTATTTACCACAAAGCATCACACAAACATGTGAGCAAATGCTTTGCTCTTAACATTACAATGCCACTAGGTGACAGAAAATTTTCAGCTCCATTAAATGATTTGGGACCACAGTCGTGTATGAAATCCGTAGTTGACTGAAGCGTCATGATGCGGAGTGTGACTGTACCTAGATGTGAGAGGTGAGAGAAGCAAAGCAATTCTGGAATGCATTCCTTACCTAGTTTTGAACAGCATAAATTTGTAAAAGAATGTGGAGGCAGGCATTTTATTGTCAAAAATTGTTTGAAAGAAACACTAGTTTTTGTAAGGTTAAATAGTTAATATTTTTCCTGAAGGACCTCTCAGAGTCTTTAATATGACAACATGCATTATAATTTTCTAAGAGAGAGGAATAACTTGCGGCAATTACTAAGCCTAGTGTAACATAAACGTTTATTTTAGATTTATTGACACAATTTGGAAACAAAGTTCAGTAAATGTTACTTTGGAGTTTTAAGCCTAAGTGCCTGGGAGAGTAAAGTGTACAGTGGAAGCTCTTTTATTGATTCAACTAGGATGTATATTTAGTTTTCTAATCAAAATATTTGGTTGGTTAATTATTTAAAATTTTAGTCACAAAACAAAAATGTGCATCTTTTCACCAATTTCATGAGGAAGAACAAAGCTTTTCTACTAAGAAGAGTTCCCAGATGCAGTTCCTTGTCCTCTTTCATGCTTATGCCTCCCTCATACAGCATCATCTACAATATTAAATTTCAGTTTCTTTAAAGTAGAATGAAACACTGTTAATTCTCAGAGGAGTCCAGGAGATAACTCACGGTTGGATGGGGAAATTGATGGTTTTCAGTTTGGATATACTGAATTTTAGGATTTTTAGAATTGCACGTAGAGATTTTTAGCTGGTATTTGGAAATGCGTAAATTGCCTTTCCCTATGAGAATTAATGGCAATTATAATACTTAGTTTAACTGTATGTATGTGTGTGTATAAGAGTGCCTGTTTTTTCTTTATCTCCCTACAGAAGTATGTTAATAAAGTTAGTCACCAAATCTAATAAAATTACATGGTTTAATTTATTGTAACCACTATCGTCACAATAAACATTACTTTCTTCAGATATAAAGTTTAGATTTAGATAAAAAAATTACACAGATGCGTTGGTTCTTGTCTCCAAGAATCACAGGGAAACCCGAACAAGTACTGCACTAATGCCAACACATACTTCTTGTTGAAAACCACAGTTATGAGGAGTTAGACATGTAGATGTGTCCATAATATTCACAGATTTTAAAATTTTGGCAGTGAGCAGTGGCTCAAACCTAAAATCCCAGCACTTTGGGAGGCTGAAGCAGGAGAATCACTTGAGGTTAGGAGTTCAAGGCCAGCCTGGGCAACAAAGCAGACCCCATCTCTACTAAAAATAAAATAAAATAAAATAAGCCAGGCATTGAGAGGTGATAACGTGCTGGCGGCCGTCGCTCGCTCTGGGCGCCTCCTTGGCCTCCGCGTCCGCTCTGGCTGCGCTTGAGGAGCCCTTCAGCCCGTCACTGCGCTGTGGGGGCCCCTCTCTGGGGCCGGCCGAGGCTGGAGCCAGCTCCCTCTGTTCGCGGAGAGGTGTGGAGGGAGAGACGCGGGCAGGAGCTGGGGCTGCGCCCAGCACTCGTGGGCCGGCATGGGTTCTGGGTGGGCGGAGGCTTCTTGGCCCCGCACAGCCGGCGGGGGCCTGCGGGGCTTGATGGGGGGGGCGACGAGCTCCCTCTGGGCTGCCGGAGTGCCTGGGCTAGGTGCCACAAAGTCCCGCGGCAAGTGCTGGTGAGAGGTGAAGCCGGCGGGGCTTCTGGTGAGAGGTGAAGCCGGCGGGGCTTCTGGTGAGAGGTGAAGCCGGCTGGGCTTCTGGGAGGGGTGGGGACTTGGAGAACTTTTCTGTCTAGCTAAAGGATTGTAAACTGCAGTAATCAGCACTCTGTGTCTAGCTAAAGGTTTGTAAACGCACCAATCAGCACTCTGTTAAAACGGACCAATCAACTCTCTGTAAAATGGACCAATCAGCAGGATGTGGGTGGGACCAGATAAGGGAATAAAAGCAGTCCACCTAGCCAGGAGTGGCAACCCGCTGGGGTCCCCTTCCATGCTGTATTCTTTTGCTCTTCCCAATAAATTTTGCTGCTGCTCACTCTTTGGGTCTGTGCTGCTGTAACACTCACTGCGAAGGTTTGCAGCTTCACTCCTGAAGCCACCGAGACCACAAACCCACCGGGAGGGACGGGAGGAACGGACAACTCTGGCCGCGCCACCTTTATGAACTGTAACACTCACTGCGAAGGTCTGCGGTTTCACTCTTGAGGCCAGTGAGACCACGAGCCCACCAGAAGGAACGAACAATTCCAGACACGCAGCCTTTAAGAGCTGTAACACTCACCGCAAAGGTCTGCAGTTTCACTCCTGAAGTCAGCGAGACCACGAACCCACCAGAAGGAAGAAACTCCGGACACATCTGAACATCTGAAGGAACAAACTCCGGACACACCATCTTTAAGAACTGTAACACTCACCGCGAGGGTCGGCGGCTTCAGTCTTGAAGTCAGCGGGACCAAGAACCCGCCAATCCCGGACGCGCTTACACCACTGCATTCCAGCCTGGGCAACAGAGAGACAACTTGTCTCTAAAAAAATAAATAATAGGAAAAAAAAAGAACATTGTATTCATTAACACACTTCCCTTGGATTATTTTTTAAAATATAATTAAGGTAGGCCACAGCCAGACATAATAAGAATTACAACATGGAAGTAAGTGGCATAGCATGAAATTCCTAATAACAGGGGAGACCCCTAAGTGTGGAGGTGGTTTTGCCCCAGACTAATGTAAGGAAAGAGCTCTGAGCTCTTCTAATAATGCAACGCCCTGCTCCCTGTGTACCCCACAAACCACCCTGTACATGCCTCTTATGAAGAGAAGGATATGCTGGGGTGCTGTGTCCCATTCATGACCTTGATCTTGGGTACATTCGTGTGCTGCTTATTGGCTGATTTAATAACAAAGCTAAGTGAAAGTAATCCTTGTCAGTCTTTTAGCCACAGTTAGACTTTGTGACCTAGTCTAGCTCAGTAGCTTAGGACTTGGAGCATTTTATCTATTTGCACATTAAGTATTTTGGGTAAGCTCACCAATTATCCTTGAAGTTTTTTCTTCCTAAAAAGATAGATGGAATTCCTTAATAACTTGTTTGCTGTTTTACACATGGTACATTGTTAAAAAGCACATTTAAATATGAGCATTTTTATAGTGGTTACAACAATTAAGTTCGTAGTGGTGAGTAAAGATAACTGAATGGGATCTTTAGGAAATTTTTAATTAGGTTGCAGCAAACAAGTTATTAAGGAATTAAGAATTTTAACCTAATACAACAAGAAAGCCTAACACAATATTCCATTTGCCAAAATGGTGTATTCACCAAGCATAAAGCATTTTTGTAGTTAGTAGAATCCTTGGTCTAGAGAATTCTTTGACCTAGCATTTGGGAATTTTATGATACATAAGGACAGAACTACTTTTCTTTTATAGCAAGATAGTATAACATAGGGATTTGTGACATAGGTTCTAAAGCTAGACTGCTGGTTCAATCTTGGCTTTTGGGCTCACTCACTATGTGCACTTGGGCAAATCACTGAAACCTCAGTACAGACCTGGGGTGTCTCATCTGTAAAATGATGAGGATAATAATATTTACCCTATGGGGCTACTATGAAGCTTAAATGAGTAGATAAACTTTCAGACCAAGTTATGAGTAAAAAAAAAATAACTTTAATATGTAAAACATACGAAATTCTCCCAGAAGCAGAAACAAAGGCAATTAAATCCTTTTCTGCTCATTAGAAGTAGTTTATAAGCAGGAGAAAACAGAACCAGGAAAGCAGAAATTCAAGACAGTGTAATCCCACCTGGGGGGGGAGTATGGCCAGGCAATGACACCCTAGCTGTCAGTTAACAAGGCCTCATACCGATGGACAACGCTGTGAATCAGTGAGACAGAAGCAATCAGGCAAGTTATCAAGGAAGATTAGACATTTAGATAAGTAATAGATTCAAAATCAGATGAAAATTACGATGCTTTTGGTGAAAAAATAATTGTAAGATTCATGGGACCCCAAGAGTCAGGTCAGAGTAACCAGGAGAAAAAGTGAAAGAAAAAAGTTCATAAGGTAAATTACTGTCATTCAAGATGCAGTGTGAAACTTATTTCTCAGGGAGATTTTTTTCCTAACCACCAATCTAAAGCAGTAAGATATCATGACAGGTCAGATTATCAAATTAGACACCTAAATCAGAGATCTCACCCAGTATCAAGTTAAAAAAATTCCAAAGATGAAAATAATCAAGAAGGATCAGGAAGCAGCAAGCTAAGAGAGGATCTTAAAACAATTCCCCAGGCCCTTTCTTTCTGCATTGTACACACTCTGGTCCAGGATAACAGGTGAGTTTTTTAAGTGAGGGATGTGGTCATCTAAGTTGCAACTGTATTTTATTGTATACTAATACAAAGTTAGTACTTATTTGACATTTTTCAGGGAGCTATGCACCTTAAATCCAGTAATATCAAGTTTGCTTATCTCAAGCACTCCTCGCTCAGGGACATCCTGCTGAAAGTATTCTATAGAAGACTCTCTAGCTAGAAAATACTACTAGTTTATTTATCTGGTGGTCTATCATTAGCATATGTCCAAGATTAGACTGATCCCCTGTGCCTTCTTTCTTTCCTGCAATGATTCTGCTGCCTAACTCCTTCCTTTCCAAGAAGTTACCATGTGATATAGTTTGGCTCTGTGTCCCCACCCAAATCTCATCTCAAATTGTAATCCCCGTGTGTCAAGGGAGGGAGCTGGTGGGAAATGTTTGAATCATGCACAAGGTTTCTCCCATGCTGTTCTCATAATAGTAAATTCTCACGAGATCTGATGGTTTTATAAAGGGCTCTTTCCCCTTCGCTGTCTTTTGTTCTCTCCTGCTGCCATGTAAAGGTCCTTGCTTCCCCTTTGCCTTCCACCATGATTGTAAGTTTGCTAGGGTTTCCCCAGCCATATGGAACTGTGAGTCAATTAAACCTCTTCCCTTTATAAATTACCCAGTCTCAGGTAGTTCTTTATAGCAATGTGAAAATGGACGAATACACCATGTTTTAGTTTTCTACTTGGCCCACTGCATTTGTGCATTTGTTCATTTTCTATCCCTACTCCCTGCCTACCATCATCACTAAAAGGTAAGTTCTATATAAGTATTGCTGTTTTCTCAGCCCATAACAAAAAATAGGGGCTCAATAATTACTTATCATCTTCATAGAACAGTGGTTAGTTATTTTTGGGGGGGGGGGGGGACAGAGTCTCGCTCTGTAGCCCAGGCTGGGGTGCAGTGGCGCAATCTCGGCTCACTGCAAGCTCTGCCTCTCGGGTTCATGCCATTCTCCTGCCTACCCACCACCATGCCCGGCTAATTTTTTGTATTTTTAGTAGAGACGGCGTTTCACCATGTTAGCCAGGATGGTCTCGATCTCCTGACCTCGTGATCCACCTGCCTCGGCCTCCCAAAGTGCTGGGATTACAGGTGTGAGCCACCGTGCCCAGCAAACAGTGGTTAGTTTTTAAGGATGAATTGAATTTTGGCATGTTAAGAAGGTGAAGATGGCATTCTAAGTCACAATAAACTGTGTACAAAAGATTAAAAGAATAAAAGCATTTGAGTGGACACAATCTGCTGGAATAGCTAAAATTTTACTTTCTCTTAATCATGGTCTTTTGAGATTTGAAGACTCATCCCAAATAGCTATGAGTACCAAGTTTGTTCTTCTGTACCACAATAACTATCCTTTAAAATGTTGATGTTAAACTGAACTTTTGACTATACAATCTTAAGTCCATTTAAGATATTTAACACATTCTTAATTACAACAGTTTTAAAAGTTTAATGGAGCTATATATTATGTATATAGAGACTTTCTACATAGATGATTTGTCATATGTTTATGTAACACACTATTATTTAACAGATGAAAGACCAAATGCCAATTACTGTATGGAAGGTGAAGTTGAATGGATATTGCCTCCCAGATACAATATTAAAGCTAGGGTAATTTTGAAATAAAAAATGTTTACTCCATCCAAATTATCTCTAAATTAAAATATACAACACCATCTTGAAAGGCAATAGAGAATAGAATTTAAGAGCACAGATTCTGGTGATCCTTTTGGCAGTAGATACACTACAAGAGAGTGCAGGTTCTAGAATCAGACTGATTTAATTCAATCTCCACTTCACCATTTGCCTTTTAAAGTTGAATTAGTTCGCTCAACTCTCTATGCCCATTCAACATTCATTCAGGATGAAAAATTCTTCACAAACTAGAAATAGAAATACACTCTACATAATTAAGGGTATCTATAAAAGATCTACAACTAATGATGAAAGACTACTTTCCCCCTAAGTTTGGAAATAAGACAAAAATATCCATTCCCAAAACATATTCACCGTTATACTCAGGGCTCTAGACAATGTAGTAAGGCTATGAAAAGGAGTAAAAGGCATGTAGATTGGAAAAGAAAACATACAAGTGCTTTTATTCACAGATTACATAATCACTTATGCAGAAAATCTCTAAGAAATTACTGCATATCTATACACATATACACAAATTGTATTTCTGTATAATAGCAACAAAAATTGGAAAATAAAGTTAAAAATACCATTTGAAAAAGCATCAGATAAAAACTTGAAATACTTAAGGATAAATTTAAAAAATATGTTCAAGAACTATACACTGAAAACTATAAAACATTGCTGAGAAATAGAGATATATTGTTTTCATGGATCAGAAGACACAACATTCTTAAGAAGTCAAGTCTCCGCAGTTTATCTGTAGATTCAGTGAAATCTCAATCAAGATCCAAGGAGGCTATTTTTTTGTGTGGATATTAACAAAGTGCCTTGACAATTTACATAGAAGTGTAATGAATAGGAAAACCAAAACTGCTTTGAAAAAAAATGTTGAAGGCTCATCTACTTGATATAAAAACTTACTGTAAAAGTAATCAAGATAGTGTGGTATGGACATAAGGATAGATATATAGACCAATGAAACAGAATATTGTCCATAAACAGATTTACATGTATGTGTTCAACTGATTTCCAACAAAAATGCCAAAGTAATTCAATGGGAAAAGGATAGTCTTTTTAATCAAATGATCATTATATCTAAAATATATAATGATATTGTCATATTTCCTAATAAGAAAATAGAATTTTGACCTAATTGAAAAATGGAAAAATGTTCAAACAGACTCTTTATCAAGTGTATAGATGGCAAATAAGCATGTGAAAAGAGGCTCAGCATTATTACAAAGTAGGAAGAAAAACAATTAAAAGTCACAATAAGATTCAATTACATATTCACTAGAATGGTTAAAATTAAAAAAAGACTGAGAAGGAACTTTTGAACCAAACACAGTGGTGTAGACTCATTTCTCCAGCCTCCTCTCCACTAAGAATGACTGTAAACTATTTACATCGGGTAAGATGCAGCCAAAGTAGAACTTTGAGATATGGTAAGAGGAAGGCAAACTAGTTTAGCAGCCTATGACTACAGAAACAACACAGAAGCAGGATGTCTTATGACCCCCACCCAACTGATAGAGGTGACCCATGTCTCGCTTTTACCAACCCCAAACTAGTAAGAGACAGCAGGTGGGCACCACTAGCAAGGGAGATTCATCCCCAGCTCCACTAACAAGAAGCAATCTGAAGAAGAGCTCTCCAAAAACAAAGCAAAGCAAGCAGAAGGAAGAAAATAATGAAAATAATAAATAGTAAAGATAAAAACAGAAATCAATAAAGTTGAAAGTAACAAATGAGGAAGTCAATAAAATAATGCTGTATCAGATATTCTGAAGAGTACTATTATAATCATTAAAAATTTGAATTCACGATTAAAAATCTCCTAAAGAAAATATTGTCAAGCCCAGATGGTTTAGCTGAAGAATGCTACCAATCATTCAAAGAAGAATTAACATCAATTTTATATGATCTCCTGAAGAAAATAGGAGAGGAGGGAACACAGCTCAACTCATTTCATAAGGATGTTAGTATCTTGATACCAAAACCAAAGATAGTACAAACAAAGAAAACTACATAACAATATATCTCATGAACTTAGATGAAATTCCTCAACAAAAGATTAGCAAACCAAGTCTAACAATGTATTAAAAAATGTACATCATGACAAAGTGGGATTCATTCTAGATATACAAAGCACTGGAAAAAACCCAACACCCATTCATAAAAAAACTCTTCAGTAAATTAGAAGGAGAGGGATATTACCTCAACCTGATGAAGAACATCTACGGAAAACCTACAGTCAACATCATACTTAATGGTGAAAGACAAAATATTTTTCCCTTAAAATTGGGCATTTTTAGACAAGAATATCCATCCCCATTGCTCTTATTTAATGTGGCACTGCAACAATTAGCCACTGCAGTGAGGTAAGAAAAAAAGATGAAAGGCATACAGAGAGAAAAGGAATAAATAATATGACTCCTATTTTCAGATGGAATGATTGTCTACACAGAAAATCCCCAAAAATCTAGCAAAAAATAAAATGGAAACATTTAATGTTTAAAATTACAACAAAAATACTAAAAATGACTATGTGAAAATTTAATTAAAACAAATTTAAAATTGCTACAACAAAAGTTAAATATTTAGGTATACATATAACATTACAGGATCCATATATAAAAAATTATAAAATGGTAATAAAAGGAATCAAAGACCTATGGAGATACATATTATATTCCTGGGTTGAGAACACCAACAAAATCTTTACTATGTTAGTTCTCTTTAAGTTGATCTACATGTTTATGCAATTTCTATCGGAATCTCAAAAAAGTTTTGAATAAACTTAGAAAAGCCTATTTTAAAGGCACATGACCTAGAATAGCTGAAACAATCTTGGAAACAAAATGGAAAGGTTCACCCCTGATCCACATTAAAGCTTACTGCATAGCTACTCTATCAAGACAGGGTGGTACTGATAGAGGGATAGACACACAGATCAATGAAACAAAATAGAGAACTCAGAAATAGACCCACAAAAATACGCTCAACTGATTTTTGACAAAGGTGCAAAAACAAATTAGTGAAGGATTGACTTTTCACCAAATTGTGCTAGAGCAATTGAACACCCATCATATTTCACATTTTAGCAAAAATATGAACGCAACCTGAACCTCATACCTTATACAAAAAGTAATTCAAAATGGATCATGGACTTAAATGTAATGTGTAAAAACTGTAAAACATTTGGAAAAAAAAGGGTAAAAATCTTTGGGGTCCTGGACTAGGCAAAGAGTTCTTATATATGACACAAAAAACATAAGCCATTATAGAAAAAATGATAAAATTGAACCACATATTTTTGCTCTGTGAAAGACTAGGTGAAGAAAATAAAAAGACAAGAGACAAAATAAAAAGACGAGAGACAAAATAAAAAGACAAAACAGAAAATATTTGCAAACTATGTATTTGATGAACTAGTATCTATAATATATAAAGAACTTTCAAAACTTAACAGTATAAACAAACCAACAAAACAACCCAATTGCAAAGTGAAAAAGATACAAACATTTCACTGAGGAGCATACATAGATGGCAAATAGACTCATGAAGAAGTGTTCAACACCATTAATCATTAGGAAAATATAAATTAAAACTATAACAAGATATCACTGTACACTTATGAGAATGGCAGAAATAGAATATTATGACAGCACTAAATGCTGGCAAGGATATGAAGAAATTGGAGCACTTATAGATTGCCAGTGAAAATATAAAGTGGTACAGCCACTCATGAAAAGTTCATTTCTTATTTTCTTTTCTTTCTCCCTTCCCTTCCCTTCCCTTCCCTTCCCTTCCCTTCCCTTCCCTTCCCTTCCCTTTCTCCCTCCCCTCCCCTTCCCTTCCTTTCCTTTCCTTCTCTTTCTTTATTTTTTTTTTTGAGACAGAGTCTTCTTCTGTCGCCCAAGCTGGAGTGCAATGATGCAATCTCGGCTTGCTGCAACCTCTGCCTCCCGGGTTCAAGTAATTGTCCTGCCTCAGCCTCCTGAGTAGCTGGGATTACAGGCATGTGCCACCAAGCCTGGCTAATTTTTGTATTTATATTTTTGCCATGTTGGCCAGCGCAGGAGGTGTCAAACTCTTGACCTCAAGTGATCCACCCGCCTTGGCCTCCCAAAGTGCTGGGATTACAGGCGTGAGCCACCGTGCCCAGCCACATTTCTTGTTTTCTTAAATAGTCAGTATCCTGTTCCATTAAAGTAGCTCAATAGGCCAGGTGTAGTGGCTCATGTCTGTAATCCTAGCACTTTGGGAGGCCAAGGAAGATCACTTGAGTGCAAGAGTTCAAGAGCAGCCCAGGCAACATAGCGAGCCCTATCTCTCTTAAAAAAAAAAAGTTCAAAAAAGGAAAAACAGTAAAAGCACAATTGAAAAGTTCATTTCTTATAAAACTAAACATGCAATTATCATGTGACCCAATATTTACACTCTTGAACGTTTGTCCCAGAAAAGTAACTTACATTCACATAAAAACCTACATGCAAATGTTGATAGCAGCTTTATTCATAATAGCTCAAAACTGGAAACAGATCACATGTCCATCAATGGTGACAACCATTGGTTTCATTTAATAGATTTATCTTTTAAGAGATGTCATATAAGTGAAATGATATAATAAATAGGCGATTGTTCCTGGCTTATTTTACTTAGTGTAATGCTTTTGGGATGCATCCATGTTGTAGCATGTATGAGTAGCATGGCTTTTTAATCCTGAGTAGTATTCTGCATTCCCCTGTAAGCTTATACCACAATTTGTTCATCCATTCACAAGTTCATAGCTGTGATACATACATACTGTGGAATACTACTCAGCAACATAAAAATACACCACCATTGATACACAAAACTTGGGTAAATCTCAAGGGAGTTCAGGGTAAAAAAGTCAATCTCAAAAGGTTACATACTCTGTTATTCCACTTATGTAACTTTTTTAAATGATAAAATTATAAAAATAGAGACTAGACTAGTGGTTGCCAGGAGAAAGGAATGAAGGGGTTGGGTAGGAAGGTGGGTGAGGTTATAAAAAGGGCAACAAGAAGGCTCCTTGTAGTTAAGGAAGTGTTTTTATTTCGACTATTGTGTAGAGACAGGAACCTATATATGTGATAACATTTAATAGAACTATGTATTAGTTATACAAACACACACACACTTCAGAAATGAGTACAAGTAAAAATGGGGAAATCTAAATAAGATGAGTGGATATTGTCAATGTTAACATACTGGCTATGATGTTCTGTAGTTTTGCAAGTTGTCACCATGGGAGAAAACTAGATAAAGGGTATATAGGATCTATGGGATCTCTTTGTATTATTTCTTATGATTGCATGTGAATCTATGATCATCTAAATTAAAATTTCAACTAAAAAGACTGACAATATCAAGTGTGTGTGAAAATGTGGAGAAACAAAAAATCTCATCCATTCCTGGTGAGAATGCAAAATGGTACACCCATTTTTGCAAAGGTTTTGTTAGTTTCTTATAAATTTTAACTATACACCTAGCAACCCAGGAATCCCACTCCTAGATATTACTCAAGACAAATGAAATCACATATTGATATAAATATCTAAACGCAAATGCTTACAGAAGCTTCTTTCATATTAGCCAACAACTGGAAACAACTCAAATGCTATGAACTTGTGAATGGATAAACAAATTGTGGTATAAGCTTACAGTGGAATACAGAATACTACTCAGGATTAAAAAGCTATGCTACTCATACATACTAAAAGATGGATGCATTCCAAAAGCATTATGCTAAGTAAAATAAGCCAGGCATAATCAACTATTTATTATATCATTTCACTTATATGACATCTCTAAAAAGATAAAACTATTAAGAAATGAAACCAATGGTTGTCAGAGGCTGGGGATAAGAGGAGAAAATTGATTAGGTTGGCACAAAAAGTAACTGCGGTTTTTTTTACTTTTAATGGAAAGAACTGCAATTACTTTTGCACCAACCTAATAAGAACCGTTACTTAAGGTAAAGAGGATCTAAATCAATGAAGGATATAACAACTTCATTGACTGGCAGAGTAAAGATATTAATAGAAACAAATCAATTCACCCAACACCACATTTATCTGTAGATTCAGTGCAATCCTAATCAAAATTTCAGATTAAAAAATAATTAAGAAGACTATTATAAAGTTTTATGGAAAGCAGAAGGCCAAAAGAAAAAAAAAAGCCAAGGCAATCTTGAGGGAAAAAGTGGGAGAATTTATACTATCAGATATTAAACTTATAAAGGTACAGTGATTAAGTGGATATAATATTGGCTCAAGGAAGGACAAAAAGACCAACGTATATAAGAGTACCTGATTTATAACAAAGTTACCACTAAAATGCAGTGACAGATAACTGCTCAATAAATAATGCTGGATTAACTTGATAATTAAGAAAAGTAAAACTATTTGAACATAAAAGAGTATCATCATGACCTTGGGATAGGCAATTTTTAAACAATAGGACACAAAAAGCATAACTACTAAAAAATACCAGATTAAATAAGAATCTTTGTTTATAAAAATATGTCATTATGAGAGTGAAATGGCAAAGCACAGAATCTAAGAAGACATTTGCATTGCATACGCTATAAAATGACTTAAATCCAAAATATAAAATAATTTCTACAAGCCAAGAAACTCAAGGGGAAAAAATGTGCAAATTTCTCGACAAGATAGGATATCCAAATGGACAGAAATCATATGTAACAGTGGCTGATTCATTAGTCATCTGGGAAATGCAAATTCAAACCTCAATGTAATGCTAGTATAGAACCAAACAGAATTAAGAAAAGAAAGAGGAAAATGAAATACCAAATGTTGGTAAAGATGTAGAGCAATAGAGAGTAAAAATTAATAAAACCACTTGAGAAAACTGCTGGGCACTAGCTATTAAAGCTCATCATACACATACCCTAAAATCCAGTAATTTTGTTCATATTATTAAAAAGAAATGTATGCACACGGATACCAAATATATGTACAAAACTATTAATTGCAGTATTCTTAAGACCCCCAAACTGGAAAGAATCCAAATGTCCATTAGTAGTAAAATGTATTTTAAAAAGTATGGTATATCCACCCAGTGGAATACTGTGCAACAATTCAAAAAGGACAAACAAAACAGTGTAAATGAATTTCACAAACATAATGTTAAGGGAAAGAAACCAGCACAGAAAGGACATATTGTTTGATTCAATTTATGTAAAGTTAAAAAAAAAACAGTTAATACTAATGGTAATGGAAGTCAGAAGAGTGGTTTTCTTTCTTGGGGGTAATGTCTGGAAATGGCAAGGTAGGTTTCTGAGATTAAAGTTACAGCCAACATCTTGATCCAGGTAATAAACAGGTTTGTTCAATTTGTAAAAAATTATACCATAGCAACTTAGGATTTGTGTATTTTCCTAAATATCCATGTTAGAGTTCAATGTAAGTGTACAAATGAAATGGGGGTAACAGATATACCCGTTAAAATGTAACATCAATTCTATCAGGATATACCATTATCAGTGTTCACACATATAGAACAATAATGAGTAAAAAATATAGGCACACAGGGGTCTTCTAAACATTACAAATATATTCTTCTAAGAATACAGCCCTCAGAACTTAGCTAAATTTTGCCAGTGTGGTAATAATGGTGTGAATTTAAGAGTAGAAATGTAAACATGCAGTAAATTTCAAATAATTTTATTTTAAAATTGGCTAATTATAATTTTACTATAACAGCAAGACTGGTAAGCAGAGGCTATATCTTGAAAATAAGATTAGCACAAATATTTGCACAATAAATGAATTTTTCACAGAAATTCTACAACATAATCCTCAGGGTGTATCTCATCACTGCTACATTCAGCCCTTCCTATCTGTGGATTCTGCATCTACAGATTCTCCCAATCACAGATGGAAAATACAATATTGGAGAGATGCAGAATCTGTAAATACAGGAGGCCAACTGTGGGACTTGAGCATACAAAGATTTTAGTACCCACCTGGGTTCCTGGAACCAATCCACCCAGGATACAGTGGGACGACTGTAGTTGTAATCCTTCCAACTGCTAGGGCAAAGGAGTGAAAACATTAATTATCACCAAGTTCTCACAGTGTATTTCCTTGGACCATTAGCTAGAAAACTCCATGTAAGTTTATTTAGCTACCGGTCTGTTTTTAAATTCTTCTATGTATACCATACATTTGTGTTTAAACACATTGTTATATTATTAATTTTTTAGAATAAGATTTATATTAATTCAACAAATTTATAAAAAATATAACTGCAGAACACTACAATTTTCATGAAATTACAGAACAGAAGATACCTTGTTGGCCTTTTTAGAAACCTCTCTTTGGAGTAATAGGATAGTTATTCATTAGTAAACATAGGGAGATTGTTTCCAGGACTCCTCTTGGATACCAAAATCCTCAGACACTCCTGTCCCTTATATGAAATGGCACAACATTTATATATAACCTACGCATATGCTCTGTATACTTTAAATCATCTCTAGATTACTTACAATACCTAATACAATGCCTACACATCACTTCATTCAGGTGGACTCAGGTAGTACTTGGCACATAGCAAATTTGTTTTTCAGAACTTTAGAATTTTCTTTCCGAATATTTTATCTGAGATTGGTTGCATCCAGGGATGTGGAACCCACAAATTCAAAAAGCCATTTGTGTGTATGTATACATACAGCATGTGTATGCTGTGTTCTGGTGGGGAAAGAGGTCATGAAGAAGTGACGCAAGTTTACTGAGTGAAGAAACACACAAATTTTATTTAGAAAATGAATGACCATGTTTGCAATAAACTCCCAAAATATCCGCCATAAGATGGCCATAATATTCTGATGATCAAGGAGCACACATATACAAAAGTTATTGGATTACTGCAATTCTCAGAGGCACAAAACCTGACATGGTGTGATATAGTATATAATCAGTCACGGGGGGGAAAAGAACATTAAGTCTTTAAAAAGGCTTAGGAAGACATAAACAGTAAATCTTTGTTTTTCTACCTTCCTTTGGACAGTGTTATATTTCACTTTCTTCTTTGCAAAATGTTTCCAAATTCATTTGCTCAGGATTTATTTAAGATAATAACTTAAAACAACTAACAGTTGTTTATGCTATATGCATATCATGCATGTTCTACTGGTTCAAGGACAAAATTAAAACAAGATCTTCTCTGTAAAGCAAATATATTTATTATGCACTTTCATATACACAGGGATTTTTTGAGTAATATCATACAAGGGATAAAATAAAACTTTTACAATGTGAAATTCAATGTACATTTTTGGCTATTTACATACCTCAAACCAAGGGAAAAATAAAAAGAAAGCATTTGTTTGCAACTACATTTGCTGAGAAGTGTAAATGGAGGACATTAAGCAAAACAAATATTTGCATAGCCAAAACAATATTGAGAAAAGTATTTACTTCTGTTTTTTAAGTATCAAACTATTTTTGGTGAGAATTCCAGTGAGGGTGGGGGTGAAAACAAAGAACAAAAATTATTGGCTGTACTTTGCAGTACGCACTGATTTCAGGTCATTTTTCCTTCCAAAACCTTTCTTAGAAACATTCAGATTTTTATTTCATTACTGTATTTTTATCACTTTCCTTATTATAAACTCATGATATTTAGGGAATAGACACAGACGGAATGTTATAAAAATGTTATAAGCACATGCCATCATAGTTGTGTAGTGGCAACAGCTGATTTATAAAATTTAAAGATTTTAATTTCAAAAATATCTATTAAGGAGTTTTATATTTGGAGGACAATTTTTACTTTTTAATGGAGCAGAAGCCATTTTCATTTATAGTATTAAATCCCCCACAGAAACAAATAAGCAAGGCAGGGCATCTCCAGCACCCATCCTATCATCCTTATCCTAACTCAAAGTCATTTATGTTCTATTCCAAAACATAATTTATATAAAAACATCCCGAGGAATACTTACTTTTGAAAATCGTATTTTTCCAATAGGTTCTCTTCCTACCAATTGCTTCAAGTGTATATAGTATGGATATGAAAACAGTTAGCTCTTTGAAAAACATAAATCCCTTATGCAATGTCATATCTTCGCCCTTTGGACACAAGGTGCAATTTTGTAAAAACAATAAAATTAAATAAATACAATTTCAATAATTCAAAGTTAATAGAAAAACTGGCAGCTTTCAGGGTTCTCTTTCTAAAGAAAATTACATGTAATAGAAATTAGAGCTTCATCCTCTACAGTAATGTAAATGTACTGTATTTGAGATATGAGTAAAGTTGGTTCTAATAATAGTATGTGTTCATATTTATTAATAGACTCATTAACACTTTTAAGGCTACTTTGCAAGAGTCCCATTAATTTTATTTAATAAATGTCCCATAGGGACAAGAATTCAATACTTGAAACATTCACATTTGAGTTATTAATATTGCCATGTCACCTTAATATCAATTGAACTTATCAACTTATCTCGTAGTCCTCACTATGACTTATAGATGACAGACAAAATGAGTTTTGCTGACTTTAAAAAATAAAAGCAAGAAAAGCCTTACAATAAGATTCAAGTGAAACATTTATCATAATTATACATTTCTATTTCCACGAACAATGTATCACATGTGTCCTTCATATATGAAGATGACATTACTGACCTTTGTTATTAGGACATATTCTAAAGATTTTGTTCTAGAAGTAGCAATGGTTTTGTGCTGAATCTCCAAATTCTCTTTCCTCATTCCTCATCAACAGTACATGAAAAGAACAGAATTTCTGGGTTCTATAAGATTAACAGGCCCATTCTAAGATCAAATCCACAACCTTGGCTTCTAAACTGTTATGACAACTTTTCCAGACATATAAACGACCCATCTAAGCTACAGCTCCACTGATTTAAGAGTAAGGAGACTAAGGCTGTGGGACACATGCTCATTTGAACCAATTTTACCTTCCTTGTCATGAATTTCTCTCTTAACCCTGGCATCCAGCCCTCCTGCATGCAATTGTACAAAGAAGAAAACAGGAAAGAGTATGAGGATAGAAAAGTGCAAATCCATCACTATTAAGTAACAATAAAAAGTACACATGTGCTATGATTGACAGGGGAGTGGTGTCATCTGTGAAGGGCAGCACATTTTATATTCATCCAGAATATTCATCCAACCAAACCATTAAAATTAATCCAATTGATTTTGAGTGGGGCTATTTTGGTCATGCAGCAATTTACAAAATAGAAACCGCTGAGAGAGAAGCCAGCAAAATTAATTTATTTAGCCAGGAGGAAGAGGTCAGTTTAGTCAATGAATTATTCAGGGATCAAAAATCTACCCTTAGATAGACAGGTGCATTTCTCTCTGCACACACATGTGACTGAGGCATGGCTTTGTCCCTGAGAATTTTCATGCCTCAGGAATGATAGTCTGTCTTCTTAGAGGTGGAATGACAAAGTGAATGGAAGATGAAATTGTATCCCAGCGGATGAAATAGGACTTTGTTCTGCCTACAGACTGGTTGGTTGTTTGTTCTGACATGTTTAGCCAGAGATGAGAAGAATTCTACTGGGAAAATCCAGATTTAAACTACTTAAAGCAGCTCCCTAAACTACTATAAAATATTTTTTTTAAACTGCCAAGAAATCATTTTTTCATTTCAATGTGATATTTATATAGAAAATGATTTTTATCCAATGCTGAAGGTGTAGTGAACATAGAACAGTTGCAAGATTTGTTTTATTGAGCAACGTCTTTAAAGATACAAGAAACAGGCCATACACTACAATGCAATGTGACTGAAACAGTATGTTTAAGTTTCTTTTGCCACAAAAAGAAAAAAAAATAAATACAAGGAACACTGCCTTTTCATATATATTTGATTATGGCACATGCACATTTTTTATCACATCTTAACTTAAAATACTCAAATTTTCTTTTCAGCTTTTATCAGGGAACTGCAGTATGTATCTGCATTTTTAAAAAGTGCTTATTCCTGTGTAGTGAATACAAAGCACACAAAATGAAATTTTTTAAGCACAGAGGGTTACATTGAGAAGGCAGCCTTACTATTTAGGCACATTACAGTAATTAAGGTAACTGTACTGCAGAGATCACATTCTTCATTTTTTTTGTTTTTTCAGCAAATCAACAGGCATATGTTTCCATCCAGTAGCTGAAGAACCACTCCATCACAATGTCTTCTGTTTCACAGAATAGGAAACTAATGCAAAAGTTAAAAAAAAATTATTTTCTACATTGTATTATACAGCTACATATCATTTTAAAACTTTATTTAATACATTTACCTCTATATATCTTTATCTATATATTTACCATGCAAAGCACAAAGCAGACTTAACTATTATTTAACTTATAAGCCACTTTTTAAATTCCACAAAATGTTTACCTTAATTCTGGTGTTTCATTTTTAATACGTATTTATATTTTGCCTTTAAAACAGATATCATGAGAGTTGAAAGGGTGCACCATCAGAACTAATTATTTTAAAAACGAATTGCATTTGGGGACTGAATTAAGTACTTTATTCAAATTATTTTTGAATGACATTTGGTCACCCCTAGATTCACATTGAAGGCTGTTTATTATTAGAATATATGAGGAATTTATCTATAATAGTGTTTCACCTATTATATCCCTAAAATATATTTACAAAGACAGAAGCAGCAAAAAGGAAAGAGTATATATAACTTTGTTAGAGGAAGAAAAATCATTAAGCAAAGTGGGATAAATATAGCTGCAGTGTATGCTAGGAAAGACCCCTAATAAAATCTTCAGATTTATCTCCAATACAGGAAATGAGCTTCTGAAAAAGTATCTAAAATATAAAACTTACATACCTATTTTCCCACTAACATCCCCTATATTATTAATGAAGTATCCTTTGTTACAGGAAGGAGAAAAAAAAATTTATTTAACAAATATGACTATTTTATCCAGGTATAAAGTGCCCTAAATACCAATATTGCAAAAACATCCATTTATCATTTTTCACGTCTATGCCTTATGTGTGAAAACATTACTTAGAAGAGTCTCAAGAGATCTGTCATCATAAAAACTACCTTCTACTAAGTTTTTGACTTCTTTCTGAGTGAAAAGGAATGAAATTAATATTTACTATCTACTATGTGCTACAGACATTATTGCATTCAAACCAAAAAGATGAGTTTGAAACAGCCCCTCCCTCTGACACCATCAAAATTCTTTTAAAAGGAGGACATAACTGAATAGGAAAGAATTCTTAATCTGGGATCCATAAGTAGTATATTCATTCATTCATTCATTAGTTCATTCACTTATTCAACAAATTTTTACTGGGAAACTACCATAGGTCCAAGCACTATTCCAAGTACATGAAATACAGTAGTGAACAGATAGAAAACCCTACCCTCACAAAGGTTGTATTTTTAGTTCAGAGGAGAAAAATAATAAAGAAAACATCTGAAGTATTTTAAATAGTAAGTGCTTTGGATAACATAATGCACGCAAGGGGGAAAGGAGTGCTAGAGGCAGGAGAATTCTGATGTAAAGGGGTGATGAGGCAGGTCTGGCCCAGATGACATCTGAGTAGAGATTAACTGAGGGAATTGGCCTTGTGATCAAGGAAAAGAGCATTCCAAGTAGAGGGAACTCTACTTTTGTTTTTTACTCTTTATGTTGACAAAATATTACCTTTTATAATGGTGTTTCCTTTTTATAGTTGAAGCTAGGGTCAGAACCTTCAATCTGAAGCTTCAGAGCTTGTTTAAGGCTTAATTCTGTCTCTGAGGAAGGGTATCCCTCCAACACTTCCTGATGCCCTCTATCTTGCATTGTTCGTGGGACTGAAACCCTACCAAGAAAAACCTGGTTGCTCTGAAGATGATAATTTGGATTTGTCATTATTCCATTTCTCTTCTTCTGTTCCCCACTTTGTTGGTGAATAAGAAACTGCTGTTGAGATCGACCAATTTCCTGCTGAGCTGAAGGTATCATAATTTTGCATTGAGATTCTGCTGGCATTTGTTTAGGTGGTGCAGCAGTCCCGGATTTGGCTATAGGTCCTCTTCTATCAAACTGAGTCATTTCATATTCTAAAACCTTTGGCTGTGAAGAATTACTTTGTTTCGCTTTTTTCCCAGCTGATCCAGACTTGGCAGAATTTTCTGATTTCCCCCCTTTACTTGCTTTAGTTGACTTCAAACTGGGCTTTACTTGACTCCACTCAAATTCACTACTTGGTGAATTATGACTCTGTCCTAAGGACTGTGTTGTGGAAGATGGGGAAACAATTGACTGTCGACTTCTACTGCGTGGCAATGAATGCTGCTGAATTTGTTCTGTAAATGACAAGTTATGAAAGCTATCAATTGGCACTGTTTGAGCCGTTGCTGTAGATGAAGTAGTTCTCAAAGATGAATTTTTTGAGCTTTTCAGGGAATTATTTGACAGTGATGACTTCTGCCGGTCAACTGTAGAATCTGGAGATTCTGAAGGAGAACTAAAAGCATGAGTAGGCCCATTAGGTAAACCACGTAACGAAGGCTGCATATCCCCTCCACCAGTACTACCAGAGCTATTTGATTTAATTGTTAATGACTGCACTTTTGAAGACAATGACTGTAGAGGTTTTTGCTCCATTGTGTGAACAGGAGATGGGGAACAGCCATTCAAACTAGATGCACCATATTTTTCTAATAATTTAATTATCTGAGAATGTCCATTTTTGGCTGCAACACGCATAGCAGTGCGTCCAAATTGATCAGCATGGTTTGGATCAGCACCATGCTCTAATAAGACCTGAACAACATCAATGTGCCCTTCCTGGGCTGCAATACAGAGTGCAGTTGCACCTTGGTTACATGTATGGTCAACTACAGCACCATGCTCAATCAGAAGCTGAACCACTTTTACATGGCCCTGCCAGGCTGCAGACTGCAAAGCAGAGCGCTTTTCATTGTCTGCAGCATTGACGTCAGCATGGTATGCTATCAGGACCTGCACCATTTCCATATGGCCTTGCCAACAAGACACATGAAGTGCTGTCCTTCCTTCAGCATCACTTGCTTCTACGTTTGCACCATTTTCTAAAAAATATTCGGCCATTGTAAGCTGATTTTCTAAGGCCAAGATATAAAGTGTAGGCCGACCATCAGCATCTTTGCAGTTAACATCAGCACCATGGCTAAAAAGCAATTCAACAATGTCCCTGTGCCCTTCTAATGCAGCAACCCGCAGTGCATTTCTTCCATCATAACCTCTTTGATCAATGTTGGATTTGTTTTCCAGTAATATTTGAACACAATCATAATGACCCTCTTGTGAAGCTAATATGAAAGGGATTCGTCCATCATTGTCAATCTCATTTGTTCTAGCACCTTGTTCAATAAGTGCTTCACATATCAATCTGTGCCCTTCAAAAGCTGCCATGTGCAAAGGTGTCCATCCAGCATCATCTCTGTGATTTTCATCTAACCCTCTATCCAGTAGAGTACGTACCACCTCAACATTTCCTTGTGCTGAAGCTATACTGAGGACTGTCCTACCTTCACTATCAATACTATCCACAGCTGCACCCCAAAACAAAAGTGTATTTACAACTGATGCATGACCCATAGACGCTGCTGCTAAGAGGGGTGTACGGCCATTGTTATCTGTGTGATCTACATCTGCTCCCCCTTCTAGAAGCAAGTCAACCACATCAACATGTCCTTCATAGGCAGCTACCAGCAGTGGAGTCATGCCATCTTTATCACAATGATCTACTTCAGCACCTCGATCAATTAAAAGGCTAACAACTGATGCGTGCCCTTTACTTGCAGGCACACAAAGTGCAGCTACAGAGAGTGCAGTCCTGCCATCAACATCCTCATGATTTACTTCTGCTCCATGGTCCAGTAGGTGTTCCACAATCTCTCTATGTCCCATGTATGCTGCTGCTATCAAAGCAGTTCTACCTTCATTATCAGCTTTGTTCACTTCAGCGCCATGTTGTAGCAAATTCAGTACAATATCCTCGTGTCCTCCCCATGCTGCTGCTCTCAAAGCTGTTCGGCTATCAGCATCTGCACAATCCACTTTTACGCCAGCATAAAGTAGTGCAGAAACTACCTCAGTATGGCCACCCCAAGCAGCAGATCTTAATGCTGTCCAACCATCTTGATCAGTATGATTAATATTTGCTCCACACCCAATCAAACAATTAACCACCTTGGTATGTCCCTGTCTAGCCGCTAGAGTGAGTGGTGTATGTCCATGAGCATCTTCTATCTCTAAATCTGCTCCCCTAGAGACAAGTAAATTGACTACATCAAGACTGCCACTATATGCAGCATTAGCCAATAATGTTCTCCCATTTGAATCACACTGATTTACTGAAGCTCCATTATCTAATAATGTCCGAATGGAATCCTCTCTTTCTAAGGCTTGTCGAACTATGCATGATGTGCGATCGTCTTCACTGTTGACATGAGCCCCAGCTTTAACCAACAGCTGTAGCACTTCTTGTTCCTTGGGTATCAAAGTAGAAAGGGAATCTCTGACAGGTGTACCATTCCATATCATCCACAGAGCTAACTCCGCTGTCTCTAATTGTAAGTTTGAGTTAATTAAGTGCAATGCAAATTCTTGTGCTTCCAATGGTGTTAAATTCTTGGCTTGACAGGTATAACTCATAGCCAACATTCTGTGTCCTTCTGCTGCATTACATAAATACTTCTGAGTACAGTGTTTCACATCCAGAAGCCACTCGGCAAAACTATAATGAAACAGTATTTTTGTATTTCCTAGTCCATCAACAAGAAGTTTGGAGAGGATATCTAACTTGCGTTGAAAATCTTCCAAAGTTAACGACATGTTTTTGGTCCATACTGCGTGATATAATTCCGTTATGGTCAAAGGTCGGCAGGCTGCAAGAATCACATTCAAAATAGGCTGAACCTTTGCAAATTGTTTTCTTACAAAAAGTCTTTGGCACAGCCAGAGATATAAACCATTTAGAGTTCCTGGGATGTCACGAATTTCTCTTAACATAATAAAATTTTCTACAACTCCATCTAAAACTCGTTCTAGGTAAAGAAAGCATCCACTGCTTTTAATGTGCAGTTGATTTAACATCTCTGCAGTTTCTTTTGTGAGGTGTTGTCGCAAAGCTTCTTCTTGATCTAAACGATGAAGAATGTACTGCTGAACATCCTTGACGATATATGCCTTCCGAAGGTCATCTAAACTTATTTTTCGAAAACCTAAAGAAGAGATAAAAAAGTAGATGTAATCAGTTGAAAAGGATTATAGAAGTACCATATCTTCAAAGAGAATGTCAACATATAATAAATAAATCAATTAATAAATTAATACTAATAAGCAGATCAATTAATACCTATTAGTATGTAAATCAGTTTTCTTTTCTTTCTGCAAAAACACACTGATGGCAGAAAAATTTCATTTTCCTACCTACAAATTGAACTACTTATTCCTTTAGTAGCTTGGTGCCTCTCTCAACTCCATTGTAATAGATACTAATTAAGAAGCAGACAGTCTTACATAACCATAAAAGTACCCAGTTAACATCATCTGAACTCCCAAGTGATTGGGAAAAAAAGTTGCAGGAGACATAACAAGTAAGGTTTCTTTTTACAAAATCTCTTCCATATAAATAATTTATATATTTTCACCTATACACTTGAATATACACTAGCCTTAATTATGTGACTGAATATTTACATCCAATTAGAATATCCAGTCATTGTCTTTAAACTACATTACTGTACATTTTATCAAACTAAAATAACTAAATCTCAGACCATCAATAAATAGCTTGAACCAATTAAGATCCAACTTTTTGGCTAAATTATGGTCAAAAAACTTCAGCACTGTAAAATAAATAATAAGATTTAAACCAACCTAAAAATATACTAGCTATAGCTATTTTAAACTCATTTTAAGTTCTTTAAAGGAAGCCATAATTTCACTGTCTAAAGGCAGATGACATCATGATATACAGATATGAACTTATTAGACAATTGTGTATTCATCTTACAGAACAAAAAACTGCTAAGTGAATGAACTTACCAAGTCTCTAACATGACCAGATTTGCATTTTGAAGGAATATTCTAACATCTAAAGAAGAACTGGAGCAAGTCAAGACTAAAGGAAAAACGATTTTTAAAGAGGCTGTGATGCACTCTAGATGAAAATCACTATGAGCCTGAACAGCCATGGTGGTGGCAGCAGTTGCAGCAGCAGCAGCAGCAGCAAAAATAACGTGATGGACTTGGGAATTTTTAATAAGAGCTAGATTATACAGTGTTTGGTGAATGTGGAGAAGTAAAGAGAGAAGGACGAGTCAAAGCTGACACTAACTTGTGGCTCTGCCAACAGGACTGAAAAAGAGACCAGTGAAGGACAAATAATAGGTTTGGAGAAAAAGCTGATGAACTCAATTTTGTAATACTAAGCTTTAAGTATGTAGACAAAATGGACAGTTATTGAAAAATTAAAAACAACCTACCAAGAATAAAATATGAATAACAGTTGTACTAATATAGCCCTTTGTATATAGATTTATATAGCCCTAAATCTATATAAAAATAGAATCTAATTTTACATATATATGTATACACACACAATTGATTATTAAATCCTCAACAGAAATAATTTCAAAAGATAAATTTCAATTGTGAAAAAGTCACTGCTCACCTAAGGAGGGTTTAAAACATACCTAGAAATTTACAGCAATCTATATTTACCAATGATGTGAGATGATTTGCCTCCAAATCTTTTTCTGTGTGTCCATTTGCTTTTGACTTTATCAATTCACTTTAAAATTTAAGTTAGATAAGGGAAATACCTAGTACATTGCTAATAAAATAAGTTACTTAAGAAATAATATTATTTTACATTATATAGTGTTTTAAAGTTTCTGAAGCAATGTAATACTTTACATTACTTTAATGTAAGACTTTATATTACACTACTTGATTTACATGAAAGATAATACATTATGAATAAATATCTAAAATTTAAACCTAATTAACTAAGATGTCATGATTGGAACTTGAGATTATTAAGACAGAAACTCCACAGTAACAGGTAGGGTTCTACAGAAAGGAATAAAGGAGAGCTACATTTATTGAGAGTCAACTAAGGTAGTAGTTTAAGTATTCATTATTTATAAAACTTCCTTGTCTGTTAAGCCTGGGAGATAAATATTTCTATTTTAAAAAATGAGGAACCTAAAGCTCAGAAAGGCTAAATAAATTGCTCACAGTAACACAGCTAGAAAGTGATAAATTTTGATTGTTTTGTTTGACTTTGAAGTTTGCTCTTTTCATTAAGATAGGAACAAGAATAGAAAGCTGTGAAAGAAAACTCAAGTGTTTGACAGGGGAATGAAGAGGAGGGAGTAGGGACATAGGATTAATTCTATAAGAAAGTATAGAATTTCATAAAGAAAACTTACAGAGAATTTATAATTTAGAGAATAAATCTCCCCCCAATCTAAATACTTAATAATATGGATTTTAGATAGAAGAAATTACCATGTTCTTTACCAATGATGGTTATAATAGTTATCTGTTCATTAAAACAGAACTAAGAATATCTATTAATCAACAACTTAAATATCTTGAGTTACAGTACTGAAAATAATTACTTTTAAAAATTATAACTTCTGACTAATACACATGTAATCCTCTTATTATGAACACACACAATATATAGCTATCAAAGCACTTTTAAACATAAGATAGGGCTGAAAAATAATCAAAACTTCTAGGGGAATAAAAACATGACTTACTGAAATGATGGACCACCTACCTCCCTATTTCTTTTCTATTCTTACTTGAATAGAAGTATTTTTCTATTCTTTTCTATTCTTACTTGAACTTTTCTATTCTTACTTGAACTTTTCTATTCTTACTTGAAACATTTCTATTATTTTCTATTCTTGCTTGAATTATTTCTCAGGGTACCGCATTACGCAGTACTGGTGAAAACAGAGTGAAAGAGAAGACCTGTGCCAATATTTATAAATTGATGCTTACTGAAATTACTTATTATCATGAAGAACATATGAGGATAAGCAATACGAAAATAAAACCTAAAAATATAACAAGAAGTTTAAGCAAATGCCAGCATATTAATATACAAATAAAATATGTAGGCATTAAAATAGTCATTAAAAAGACAATATGGTGACACTGAAAGGTTTGTCAATGTTAAATTTAAAAAGCAGAAAATCAAATTGATATATAGCATGATCTCAACTAGGAAGGGGAACATATACAGAATTTAACACAACGTGTTAATAATAATTAAGCACTCTTATTAGTATCTGGTGTAATATTTGTGTATGTTGTCATTTAAAATATGTTCTAAATGGAGCCTGTAATACTTTTATAATCAGATAAAATAAACACATAAATAATCTTTTAAAAATCTTGGAGGGTTAATTTTTTGTGCACAAAATGTTTTGAAATAGGCTGCTATTTCTTTCAGTCCCATAACAAGGCCTAACAATGATCAGCCTATGAGAATACCCTAGTTGTAGTCAAAATTGTGCTTAGTGCCAAAGTCATTTTCATTAGATTAATCTGAAGCCATTAATGAAAATGCTACTGGTCAGTATAGTGAATACATCAGAAAAGTTATAAAAACTGTCTTTCCAAAGGCTTAATCCTCAGATATGAGTAGGTGAAGCCAATTTAGACATAGTAAAGATCTTAATGTTACTGGCTATGATGATACACGTGCAATTTTAATTTCAAATGCATACAACTAAAAACACATACATTTCAACTTAAAACGTAAGCAAAGACCAGAAAGATATGTGTAGGACATATAGAAGGATAACTGGAAAATCTAAGGAGAAACTTGAATAAATGCACAGATATGTTATGTTTATGAGTAGAAAGAAAGCATATTTTAAACAGCAAATTCTTTCTTATTTAAATTGCAATTTTATCAAAATCTTAATAATTTTTTGGTTTATATCACTGACAGTTATAATTTAAAATATGCTATTACAACCTAGAGGAGCACAGGTAAAAATATATAATTTAAAATAATAATAATGATGGCAAAGAGGGCTGGGAAGTAATTGCACAAGAAAATTACAAAAATTAAGCCAACATTTTATTTGCATAATAATGCTAACAGATAGTTTAGAAGAGCAGATGAATAGTTTAGAAATAGAGTAATAGTACACAGACATATCTATATGTACACACACCCAAACTTAATGTATGATGAAAAAAAATCACCAAGTAATTGTAAAGGAAGTCAATAAATTGCTGAGAAAATTTATGATTTTACAGATTATTCAAGTTAGAGCTTTATTTCATACCTTTTAGTAAAAAATAGTGTATATGGGCAAAATCATTAAAGGTAAAACTAAGAATACAGAATAGTAAAGGACAATACATTAGAGGTTACAAATAATATACTTCAAAATAATTATTACAATTTTAAAAAGCTGAAGAAAATAGTTGCAAAGAATTGAAAAAATATCAAATACAAGCCCTGAAAATCAGTAAGAAAATAACTTTGACTTCCCAATAAAAACATAAAGGTCAGATAGCAGAATTTCATGGAAAAAAGGCAAATTGATGAAATAAGCATAAGGGAGAAAGGGTTCAACAGTAAACAAGAAGTACAAATAAACATAATAGAGTATTTTTCACATACCACATTGACAAATTAAAGAAAGACATAATTCAATACTGGTGCAAGTAAAAAGAAACCACCCAACACTTTCAGGTAGGAATATAATAATATATATCCTTTTGGAAAGCAATTTGACAATATGTATTAATAACTTTAGCAATATCCTTAAATTTTTACCTCAAAATTCCACATCTACCATGAACAGAGTGGTGGTCACATGTTTATATACAGCCCAACAATTTAATAATTAATATCCCAAAAAAAGAAGTAAATTTAACTGGAGTTCAAAATGTACATACTCTATAATCCAGCAATTACAAGTCTAGATTTATAATGTAAACTTTCAGCACATGTGCACAAGAATACATGAACAAATATGTTCATGAAGCATTTTTTGTAACAGCAAAAAACTGAAAATGATCTAAATGTCCATGAACAGGATAACGGAAAAATAAAAAGAGATTTATTGATGGGAAGGAGTACTATCTACCAATTAAAACCAATGAAATGGATTTATAATGAATATGGCTCAAAAATATTGTTGGCTAAAAAAAGAGAATCAAATAATAATAGCAACGATATATTTCTGAAGCACTTACTATGTATTAGGCATTGTCTTAAGTGCTTCATATGTAATTTGTCATTTAACCTTACAAAAATCCTATAAGAAAAGTAATATTATAATCCCCATTTCATAGATAAGGAAACAGAGGCACACAGAATATAAATTGTGTAAAGTCACATGGCTAGTGAGTGGTAAAAGCTCAGATGGTGTACGGAGTGTTTCATTTATGTAAACTATAAACATACATAATATAAAATATGAGCTGAAAGCATATAAAATAAGTGAATAATACTGGTTTTCTCTAATGAGGAAAAGAAAGGAACGGTGACACAGACCAAAAGGGGCTTCTACTGTACCTATGCCTGACATACTAAATGCTACGTTAAGTGTTAGCTATTGTTATTTAAATTACTAAACTTTTACCAACTATATTTTTATCAATAACAACAAGAAAGAATGCCATATGTGGAAACCAAAAGTGCTGCCTTTAGTAGCAAGGGAATTGAAGAGAGACAACCTGATAGAAGGAATAAAGCCGCTTACAGAAAATTATTTTAACAAACTAACAAGATTTCAACATACTGTAAAATGTATAGAACTACTCAAAAGTTATATGGCTAATTAATCATTAATATCTCTCCAATTACACTATATATCCTGTGATATGTCCTTGTTTTACACTTCTTTTATTTCCCACAAGACAAAGAGTGTGTTAATCTAATAGGAGTAACCACAACTTTATTACGGTAGTAAATAAAGAAAAGTAAAAAAAGTAAGAGAAAGAAAAAAAAAGAAACTCTGACAGTGTGCTTTTATATATTACATAGACTGTAATCTCAAACATCAGAAAAAGGTTTAAATTGATCATGATACAACAACATAACAAATGCAGCCCCAAGATGTATAGCAGCAAATATGGCATGAGATACTCCTGTTACTAAAGCACTTAGGAAAAGAATCTTGAAAAAAAGTATGTTTAAATGATCTTAAAAACATGCTAAGGCTTTTTTATATAAATTTCAAAACGCACAATTGAGAATAGCTGATAGAAGGAGCAAATGCAACACGCAGATGTTCAACTGCATACTTTTTCCTCTAAGAAACTAGTTCATTAATGAAAAGCATTTAAGGATGGCAGTAAGTAATTATGCTTACCAGTAAACATTTTAGTAACAGCCTTACTCTGCTTTCGGGCAGAACAGAGAAGCAATAGCCATGGTGGAAAGAACTCATGGTGACCAGCTAAAAGTGCTGCAACAGTCCCAGATAAGCTGGTAGACGTTTGTTCACCTTCAGTAATGTTACACCCTTCATCAACAGAATCAACAAGCAGGTATAGGCTTTGCTGGGGAGGCTTCATTCCCAGAAGAGGGAGTAGAACACACCTGTAAAACACATACACATGAGCATTTTGAATGTTAAGTGGCTATGATGTTAAGATTTATTATTCAAACATTAGAGTATTAATTATAAATTCTTTAAGAATAAAATAAGGTATTAGAACAAAAAATATTATACAAGTTTCAATTCCTTACTTTAAGTACAACATTGGTCCCAAATAGTTTGTATTTCCAATTACAGCATTTTGAACAATCAAGAGTAGGTGGGTGTGTGGGTGTGTGTAATTCAGCATAATTAACAAAGGCATTCAGAATTGAAGAAAACTATATTTCAATATTCCCTTTCTGATTGTTTTGAGTCAGTGATAAAAAGCGTGATTTCCTTATGACAAAGCTAAAATGTGTTGCAGAGTGGAAAACAAAACAAACTCTGGGGATCAC
Source organism: Homo sapiens (assembly GCF_000001405.40). Taxonomy (NCBI): domain Eukaryota; kingdom Metazoa; phylum Chordata; class Mammalia; order Primates; family Hominidae; genus Homo; species Homo sapiens. The sequence continues at coordinate 124,679,302 of NC_000004.12, forward strand.
CTTAATAAAAAGCAAAATATCAAGAGTTCTGTAGTAGAAGTATTTTATCACCACTTTTCCCACAAAATTACTGCAGTTTATACAAGCTCGTCTTCCACAAATTTTATTTTAAAAGACTGTACAAAGATGAACTATATTCTAGATCCCATTTGACATATTTTCAAACTTCAAAGTAAGAACAAAGTATTAGGCTTTACTCCATTAATTAATGCATTTCTTATGCGTGTAACTTATATTGCAGTTGAATATAACTTTTTCATAAATACAACACGCTCATTCATTTTCAACAAATATTTACTTGATGTGTGCTGTGGGGTCAATAAGGTGCTGAGCAGATACAACAGTGAAGAGGACATAATCCATCCAGTTATGCACACCAGAAACTTACAAATAATGTGTTCTAAAAGTGTGTTTTCTTAGTCTTTCAATATAATAGCCACCAAGATCTAATTTATCACCATGCAAGAATCAATATTTCTTTTTAAAAAATCTCAAATATCCTGTAACATCATCACTGTAGGCCAACCTACCTCAATTCTTCGTCTCTTTTACCTGGGCTACCCTAACAATCTACATGCCTCCAACAGCTCACCTCCTGTGAGTTTCTACTGCAGCCAGGGTCACTTCAAATGTTATTCCAGCCAGACTAGCCTTCTTTCAATGACTTCATGAGACACAATTACACGTGGGCCTTTTCATTTGCAGTTTCCTCTGCCTGGCATGCACTTCCCGTCTCTCTTCATGTAGTTTATCTTCAATTTTAAGTTGAGAGTAACCTTCTCAAGGTCAAATCCCTATTACATGCTTCCATAACGTCAAATACAGTAGTTCTTTTCCACTCCACTAACAAATTTGCAATTTTATATTTAATTATGTAGTGTCTTTTTAAAATTTTTCTTTAACTGTAAGCATCAAGAGAGACTAAATTGGTTTTACTCATCAGTATACCCCTAGAACCTAGCATAGTGCCCACAGTAGAACCTAAAGACTTGACATTGTTGCAAGCTAGAATGGAAAATGAATTAACTTCAATGCACTGTTCTCAGTGCTATAAGAAAAAGCAGTAAAATTCCTAACAAGATAAAAAGAAATGACCAACTTAAGTGCAGTAGGTAGGGAAGGAAGAGAATGTCAGAATAATATTCATATATTAGGTGCTCAAGATGAACTAAGTTTTGAGGAAACAATCATACTGCTACAGGAGGGTAGAGGGAAGGTGGGGTAATCCTGGCAAGGAACATGCTGAGTTTGGGAAAACCTACTCTATTGTATCTTAAACATATATTTTGTCCATTATGAGCATAAAGATGGCTGATGAAAAATCAGTAACGTAGTCATATAGTACAATATATAGAGAACACAATATACTAGAATAATGTACATAATAAGTACCACTTCAGATATAGCACACAGGAAGCCATCTTAAGTTACTTTTGACAGGGGAAGTGTGGGGGAGAGGTCAGGGAAATTGGGAATTGAGGTTGGTAAGGTAATGAGCCAGGAGAAGGAGTTTAGTCAGGAGAAATAGCTGGGGGTAGGGGAGGACACACAGGAAAGAAAATCTAGTTGAGGCAACAGCACATGCAAAGGCTTAAAGAAGAGAAAGACCAGTGAAGTATGGAAGAAAGAATTATGAGAAGCATGAAAATGAGTAAATGCTGGGTATTATTATAAATTGTGGGCTTTGCTCTAAGGGTATTAAGAAGCCACTGAAATATTTTAAGCAGAAAATTGATATGTTTATACTGGAGTTTAGAAAGGTAACTCTGGTATATGTGAAGGAAAATCTGATATAGGGTAAGTCTAGAAGGAAAGAGTGAGATATGAGGCCAATGCTTAGAACTTAGAAAAAAAAATCTCCATCCAGAACTACCACTATCACCAAGGCCATCACTGCCAACTTTAATTCAGTGCTCTATATGCTTTAAGTACTTCACACATCCATTAACTCATCTGATTCTCACATTAATTCTTTAAGGTGGGTACTATTATAATACTCATTTCCAGGAAAGGTAATCAAGGCACAAGAGGATCAGTCACTTGTTACTTTATAAGTGGTAAGAAAGGGATTCAAGTCCAAGGTCTGGTTCCAGAACCTACACAAGGGGGACAATCCATCCTGGTTTGCCTGGGACATTCCCAGTTTCAAGTACTGTGTCTCAGGACCCAGCCCCGCCTCTTCCCAATCTCCTTCTCCCCTAGTCCTGGGCACATCATAGTGGGGGTCAACCTAGTCTCCACTCTTAGCCACTATGGTCCACTGACTAGCCATAACCAATATGAGAAAGTAAATTATAAATTAGTAGCAGTGGGGATAGCAAAAAGTAGACAGATTTGAAAGAAATTTGGTGAGTAATATTAATAGGATTTAGTGATTATCTCCTTTCTTTTGCCTATTCCAGGATATTTGCTCTTCTTTACCTAGTTTCTTACAGTGGAAATTGAAGTCATTTTCCATACTTTCCTTCTCCTCTAATATAATCCTTTAATGCTGTTAATTTCCCTCTAAGTATTTTCAGTATCATCCACTTAAAAATAATTTCCCTTTGATTTCTTCTTTAAAACATCCATTATTCAGAAGTGAGTTATATAGCTTTCAAATAATTGAGAATGTCCCAGTTATCTATATCTGTATTATCACAGTTTAATAGAATTGTATCAGATAACATGTTTTGTGTAACTTCCATAGCTTCAAATTCATTGTGACTTATTTTACGGCCCAGAGTATATCTATCCTAGCAAATGCTGTGTATGCACTTAAAAAGAATGCACAGGGAGGCCGAGGCGGGTGGATCACGAGGTCAGGAGATCGAGACCATCCTGGCTAACAAGGTGAAACCCCGTCTCTACTAAAAATACAAAAAATTAGCCGGGCGCGGTGGCAGGCGCCTGTAGTCCCAGCTCCTTGGGAGGCTGAGGCAGGAGAATGGCGTGAACCCGGGAAGCAGAGCTTGCAGTGAACCGAGATTGCGCCACTGCAGTCCGCAGTCCGGCCTGGGCGACAGAGCAAGACTCCGTCTCAAAAAAAAAAAAAAAAAAAAAAAAAAAAAGAATGCACATACTGTTGTTGCTGGGCAGACTGTTCTGTAATTGACAATTAGGTTGATTCGGTAACAGTATTGTCCAAGGGTCCTACGTACTTACTGATTTTTGGTTTATTTACTCTATCAGTTGTTAAAAAGGGAGTGTTAAAATATTTGAATATAAGTGTCTACTTCTTAAAATAGTGTTAGTTTTGCTTCCTATATTTTGAAGTTCTGTTTTAAGGGCTACAAATGTTATGACTGTTATGTCCTCTTAAGTAACTGGCCCCTGTATCATTAGGAAATGACTCTATATCTAGTAATAGTCTTTTCTCCAAAATCTACCTTGTCTGATATTAATGTTAGGCACACCACCTTTCTTTTAATTAGGGTTAGCATGGTACATGTTTTTTAATTTTTTTTATATTTAAGCTATTTGCCTCTTTATATGTGAAGTGAAATTTTTATAGGCAACATATAATTAAATCTTGTATTTTTACCCAGTCAAATTCTATCCTTTAATTAAGATATTTATCATTTACACTTAATGTAGTTGTTAATAGGGTACAGTTTAAATCTATCATGTTTTTGTCCACATAATTTTGTAACGTACATGTATGTCAGTAGGATATATTACTAGGAATAGAATTGTTAGATTAAGGGACACCTTTATGTATATTTTGATAGATATTGCCAAAGTGATGCTGTCCTTATAAATTTTATATATATACACACACATACATACATATATACACACACATAATGTATATATATACCCATATATGTAATGTGTGTGTACATATTTATCACACACATATATATGTATATATTTATACACACACAGGCAACAGTTGTGTAACAGTAGGTGTTTTCCTAGCCTCTCCATAATAGTGATTAATGTTATTTACTTTTTCTACAGCTAGGTGAAAAATGGCATCCTCATTATAGTTAAAAAAAACTATACAATACATATATTAATATTATATACTATATAATAGTTGTACATATTTTGGGGGTACGAAATATGTGATATTTTGATACCTACATGCAATCTGTAATGATCAAATCAGGGTAATCGTGGTACCTATCACCTCAAACATTTATATCTTCTGTGTACTAAGAATATTACAATTCTTCTTTTCTAGCTATTTTGAAATGTAATATTGTTAACTAGTATTATTGAATACTAGAACATATCCCTTCTATTTATGTACCCCTTCATGCTTTTAATTTATAATTCCTTACCATAAGGGCAATCATATTCACATGTGCCTAGGAATCATATTTCTTTTTCTTTAAATTGTGTTTTCATACACTTTACCCATTTCCCCAAAGACTGCCAATTTTTCTCTTATTGGCACTCTTTAAGTGTTAAGAAATTGAGATAGTGCCACTCCACTCCAGGCTGGGTGACAGAGTGAGACTCCGTCTCAAAAAAAAAAAAAAAAAATTGTTTGTTGTATGTAATACAATTTTTTTCCACCATTTGTCATTTTTCTTTTGACTTTTTGAAAGGTTTTTTTTGGACATGTACAATTTCTTTTTTTTTTTTTTACTTTTATATAGATAATACATCAGTCTTTTTTTTTTTTTTTCCATTTATAGCTTCTAAGTTTTATGTCACATTTCTAAGGGGATTCCCCAGTTCAGTGACAATAAGAAAAGATTTTTGCTATGTTCCATCTCATTCTGTTGTTTCACCAACTCTTTTCCAAGCACTTATATCTCTGCTTCATGCAACTGTTTAACTTGGGCAATCACTCATTAATTGTTTTCATTTAAGGCAATATATTTGGTCAAAGATTCCTTTTGTTCGATGAAAACATTTTTTATGGTGTTTCTTATGCCCTGTTTTTCACATTCCTTCCCCATTTGTTCTTGAGATATATTTTATGTATCCTGTGATAGCTCTTTTTGAGTAAATTCTTTCTGGATCAGCAATTAAAAGTTGAGTGTATGCAGTGTCTAGGCTGGCAAGAAGTCTCCTTATGCGTCAGAGTTATAGGTATAAACAATTTCTTTGAGCTTTGACTTCTCCCCAGCCAATTAAGATCAAAAGCTATGGGGATGTACACAACCCGTAGAGTTTACTACACCCAATACCTTTTACTACACCCAATACTACACTCAATACCTTCCTCCTGCACATACATGGCTCATCTGTGTGACTCATTCTGCCTTCCCCTCTTCATTCTTTCTATATGCTTATCTGGGTCCAGGAAACTGCTACCATAAGTCTATAACTTATCTCCCTGGGATCAAATGAGAGCTTTTGTCCTCTTGATATTCATCAGCATATGCACTTATTTCAACGAATAATGGTCTGCCAGCTTTGCATCTCAATTTGATATTAACTTTCACATTAGATTGAGGTTTGGGATTATAGGTCTCTCATAGTTTCAAAATACATAGAGCTTTTCATTCACTTTCTTGCCTTGAAGTTATTCCCCAGTACTATTTAAAATGGTCTTAGTCATGTAAAAAGTAGATAGGATTCATTCCTAAGTCCTCCTTTTCGTTTTAGCACATTGTCTTCCTTTCTGTTTTAACACCAAGCTTTTTTCTTTTTCCCCCCCATTCAGGACCTATTTCTAACACTGAGCTTTTTTCTCTACCAAGAAAGCTCCCTCGCCAGGCAGTACTTCTTATCCTTCAGGTTTCAGCACAAGTTTTACTCCTGAAAGAAGCCTTCTCTGACCACCATATCTAAAGCAGCCCTCATCACCATTACTGTTCCTGCAATTGTTTTTTTGTAGCATTTATCACATTCTTAGATTAACTTGTTGTGTTACTTCTGTACTGCTTTTGTTACAAGGCTGAGAGTGAAGCTCCTGCACACCTCCACATCTCCTTGCCCATAATGTAGGCTTCAGGAGGGCAGGAACTATGCCTATCTTGTGCACTGTTAAATTTCCCAGCACTCAAAACCACTCTTAGCACATCACAAACACTCAATAAATTTGCTTCATGAATGAATGATACTTGATGGAAAAAGTTTTGTTACTTTAAAACAAAGGATTAAAAATTTACTAAACTCAGAATTTCCATATTAAGTTCCCTTTCAATTATTTCAAAAGCACCTATTTGGGGATGTCTACATCAAGTGACACACAGATTCACATTTTTCTGTTAGGTTACATTTTATCATTTGTAAAATGAAAATCCCACCAAAGTATGTGTACACAACACATAAATAATTTAGACAGTCTAAAACAGACTTTTCTGTATTTGTGAATATTTATATACATGTATATTATTATTATTCCAAATGAGATAATGTAATGACAGTCGGTTATCACAATCATACAAAGATAACACTGTATTTAAAAGCAACGGTATTGTACAGGGTTTGACTTTGTATGTGTATCTTAACTAAATGTCTTACATTTCTTACCTTCATTAATATTGAGCCAATATTTATTACATTCTTAATTTTTTATTAATTCAATTTAAAATCCTAGAGTTAGTTTTTCCCCCATTTTCACTTGTCTTGAAAATGAGGAATGCCAAGATCATCCTTCTGTAGCTAGCCTTTTGATTGATTTACTTAATTTTTTTAAAAAGTGACAGATAAAATTATATGTATTTACCATGTATAACATGATGTTTTGAAGTAGATATACATTGAGGAAGGCCTAATTCTAACTAATTAACATATGCATTACTTCACATAGTTATCATTTTTGTGGTGACACTCTTGATTTCCTGGCAGAAAGGCAGCTGAAACTGAAATGAAAGACATCCATTGTTCTTTTTCTTTGATACAATGAATTTACTTACTGCCTTTTTCTTAGGAGATTAATAAGCTTTTAAAGCTACTATAAATAAATTATAAGGAATATACTATTAGATAATAGATGAACAGATTGAACATGAAAAAGTGTCTTTAGAATTAAAATTGTTTCTATGAAACATCAGGTTTCAGCTCACTTTCTTCCTCACTTGTTCAGACATAGAGTATTAGGAAGAATGTCCCTCCTAGCCTTTTAACAAAACACCTCAGACAAGCTGGAGGGAGAAAAATTGTGAATTACAGACAGAATGTGGAGCCCCTGGGGCCACTGATAAAGAGCGTTCACACTCGCTTGCTGCCTTTTCTCTACTGACCCCTTAGGGGTTTAAAAACTACAGCAACCACCCTGGCTGGGAAAGGTATGGAATGAAGCTCCGCCCCCAGACTAGGCTCTTCTCCCATATGACCCCTATGGAAAAGCCTTAACAAGGAGTGGGTGGGGAGGAATAGAATAAGCATTACTTGTCCTTGAGGCACAAGTGAAACCCACCGCAGCCTACAGCAACGGGATGGGCAGGATCAGAAGACCTCACCCCAGTCTGAGGGGTATAATATAATCTTAATCAGAAAAACAGAAAATGTCCCCATTCTCTGCCCTCACTGCTGAGAGAGTTGTAGAAGAGAAGAATTTGAGAGCTGAAGGTAGAGAAGATATTGAGAAAATCCACCTGGAAAATCAGCCCATGCCCTAAATACAACATATTATTAGAAGATTTGAGGTCAGAGGTGCACTGAGGGTACCCACAGCAACAACAAATATCAAATTTTGTGACTCCTGACTAGCTTAACTCACCTCTCCTCCACATTAAAGCCTCCTGCAGAAAACAAAAACTAGGCCCATTTCCAGGTAAAGACCATTTACAATTATTTTCCAGTTGTTTGACATACGGTATGTGGCTTCAAAAAATAATTATAAAATACTAAAATAACGGAAATAATTCTGAAAGAGAAAAATAAAGTTGAAGGACTCACACTACCCAATTTTAAGATTTACTATTAAAGCTAGTGCAATCAAGACAGTATGCTATGTATTTGTTAAAGACAGATTAATAAAAATTCTGGAAACAGAGCAGCATAAATATAGGAACATGATTTTTCACAAAGTTGTAGAGGTAATTCAATTGAGAAAGGCAGGTTTTTTGTTTTTTTGTTTTTGTTTTTGTTTTTTTTCCAACAAATGATGCTGAACAAACAATAACAGCTGGATGCCCAAATGCAAAAAAGACGAACTTCAATACATATCTCTCACCCCGTCCCACAAAAATTTACTCAACACAGATCATAAACTTAAGTGTAAAACATAAAACTATAAAACTTTTAGGAGAAAATCTTTGTAATACTGAGTTAGATAAAGAGTTTTTAGACACTTCACCAAAAGCGGGATCCATAGAAGGAAAAAAAAAATTGAAAACTTGACTTTATCAAAATTAGCTATAGCTATTAGATACTGTTAAGATAATGAAAAGAAAAGCTGAAGACTGGGAGAAAATATTCGTAAAGCAAATTTCTGACTAAGGCTCATATTAAGAATACATAAATCACTCTCAAAACACTAAGAAAACAAATTGTTTTTAAATGGGCAGAAGATTAAAATAGACACTTTAGAGAGGAAGAGAGAAGGGCATCAAATAAACATAAAAACGTGCTCAACATCATCAGTCATTAGAGAAGTTCAAATTAAAACCACAGTGTGATACCACTAGACACCTATTAGAATTGTGCAAATAAGTAAAAACCCTGACAACACCAAGTGCTGGTGCAGAGCAATGGCATAGCCATTTCCAACGGTACAACCACTTCAGAAAAGTCTGACAGGTTTCTAAAAAAGTTAAAGATACACCTACTACATGTCCTAGCAATCCCACTTCTAAGTATTTACCAAAATGAACTGAAAATGTATGGCCACATGAAAATCTGTACATAAATGACATAAATGTTTACAGCAGCTTTATTTATAATCCCCCAAATTAGAAACAGTGTACAGGATCTTCTACTAGTGAAGGGATAAACTAACTGTGGCATATCCATACAACAGAGTATCACTCAGTCATAAGAGAAAAAACAAAAAAGGAAAAACAACTACTATTGATCCACACAACAGCATGGGTGAATCCTAAATCAATTTTCTAAGTTAAAGAGCCCAGTTCCAAAAGGCTGCACATACTATTGCATTTACATGACACATGGAAAAAGTAAAACTATTGTAGGAATAAAATTTACATCAGTGGTTGCCATAGGTTGGAGTGGGGGAAGGAGTTTACTAAAAAGGACAGCAAGTAGGAATTGTTGGGGTGATGGAACTGCTCTATATCACAACTAGGTGGATCCATGACTCCATGCATCTATCAAAATTATAAACCTGTACTCTACAAACAGTAAATTTTACTGTATGAAAAATGAAAATAACGCAAAATTATTACTTGTTAACGTTTCTTTGAAACGCAAAAGACATAGCTTGGTACTACCAGGGAGTCAGAATACTCAGAACTCAGGAGACTAACTATGTCCTCCATATGTGCAATATTGAGCAAGTCACTGTTAATGAGTTGTCTTCTTTCCAGTTGGTATTCTGAGGTTCTTCTGAACAGACCAATGCTCTTAGATCAGATCATTAACACTGAAGTCAGCGAAGCCCATCTAAACCTACTAGAATGCTGAATCAAACTATAGGATTCTGTTTTCCAGGATCTGACCAACAATTGGCGCCTTATCAATTTCTCTAACCTCATCAGCCCTGCACTTGGTTCTTTAAACAGATCCTCCCTTTGGCCTTAGAACTTTCATATATGCTGGAATTTCCACCACTCCTCACTTCAAGGTTTTTATTATCCTTTAGAGATCAGCTCAAATATCACTAATTCAGAGAGGTCTTCCCTGACTACATTTCTCACCCGACAACCCAAAGTAGGTAAAATTCTCTATGTATACACTCCTATAACATCCATGAAAGCCCTTATAACAAATGTAATTAATCAAGTAACTAAGGAATTGGCAGTTTAGCATCCACTTTCAAAAACTTTGGGAGAGAAGGAACCACCTACATATTATTCACCACCGTATTTCCAGCAGCTAGCACAGAACTTCACACAAAGTGGATGATTTATAAATATTTATGGAATGAATGAATGAATGGGTTTATTTCATTATTGATATACAGAACAGTGCTTATTCATTCCAGTGTCACGTCTTTAAGATTAAACAAAAACAACAGTTCACTGTTGGCTTGCACTCAGCTCCTAGGTGCTTGTGATGGTTCATTTTATGTGCCAACTTGACTGGGTGACAGGGTGCCCAGACATTTGGTCAAATATTAATGCAGGTATGTCTGTGAGGGTGTTTCTGGATGAAACTGACATTTGAATGGGTAGACTGAGTAAAGCAGATTGTCCTTCCTAATGTGGGTGGTGGCCTTCATCCAATCAAAGATTGAATACAACAAAAGGCTAACCCTTCCACCTGACTGCACGAGGTGGGACAGCAGTCCTTTTCTGCCTTTGGACCTGAAAAATCAGCTCTTCTTGGGTCTTCAGACTGCTGACTTTCATACTGGAATTTACACCATTAGCTCTCCTGATTCTCAGGCCTCTGGGCTCCACTGACATGAAACTAGTGGCTCTCCTGGGTTTGCAGCTTGTTGACTACAGGTCTTAGGATTTCTTAGCCCCAAAATTGTGTGAGCCAATTCCTTACAATAAATCTCTTTTAATACATATATGGCTCTGTTTGTCTAGAGAATCATAATACAGGGCTTACTGCAAAAATTTCCCTTCATATAGGTTACTTTATTAAATTTACTCTTACATAATTTGTTTTTTAAAATGTGTATTCTATATCTTATACTTGTATCCACAAAACATTTATATCTTCCCACCCACTTTTGCAGTATTAGTCTATTCTTACCATACTCCAAAGTACTAGATAAAAGGCTGTATGATTTTTTTTGGTTTGGGCTCAAGAAAGAAGCAAATTAAGCTGCTACCAAAGGAAATGCTAGAGTTACACAAAAACAAACAAAAAATTCATGTGTCATTAAGAGAGGAGTACCTCTCAAATGCAGGGACATTTGGAATATGCCAAAATGTGGCAAAAACTGTTACTGTCACTCAGGAGTAACAATGAATACTCAACATCTTTCTTTGACTTCTGCAAGACTAGAGAAATATCCATATGTCATCTCTGAAATCCCAGCTTCCAGAAAAATGGCAACACACAATTACCTCATTTCCTATACTCTTGATAACTGATCTTTTCTTAAGATTAAGCTGCATTATATAAATTACCAGCTAACCTTTGAGGAGAGGGAGCAAATCTTCTGAGAAAAGTCTTTTTTAATATTTGTAACAGATTTATTTTCATGTAAGAGCATTTCCCCAAAAATGTACATTTCCAGCTAATAAGCTAGAAAAAATAGATATTGGTAATTAAAACTAGGACAATACAATAAACAGTACAATAAAATAATCAGTTATTTAAAATAAATAGCATTACCTTTACAAATTAAAGTGTTACCTTAAAAATTTTTAAAAAGACCATGCATGGTTTACTACAATTAACTGCTGTAGGCTTTAACATCTCCCCACTCTTGGGATGCTGTTAAATAATTCTCACAATTTTTGATAAAAATTATACTACTAGAACACTCTACTGTAAGTTTGGGGTGAACAGTACAATTATATTTCTTTAAGGCCACTGACTTGTGTGAGAGATGGCAAGACCAAGTATAGAAAGAAGTAAGGAAGAACGAATCAATTGTGGCTCATGTACCCCAAACAAATTTGTGAGTATTTTTCAGAGATACATTGTCTGACTCACTTATACTTTCTATTAAATAGTATAGGCATACATTAACTCAATAAATATAATGTATTCTCTTTGTTATGGCCTTAAGAGTAAATGGTAGAGGAATATCAGGAGGAACAATCAAATAGGACTGAGAGAGAAAGGAAGAAAGGACAAGGATAGAAAGAAATAGAGGAAGAGGCTCTATGGTTTGAATTGTAAATGGAGTGGCAATTCCCCACTTTCACTTACGATTCAAAATATTATGTTATTCTGCACTTGTTTGTTATCCATTGGCTTTAAAAAGGAGAACAGGCCGGGCGTGGTGGCTCACGCCTGTAATCCCAGCACTTTGGGAGGCCGAGGCGGGTGGATCATGAGGTCAGGAGATCGAGACCATCCTGGCTAACAAGGTGAAACCCCGTCTCTACTAAAAATACAAAAAATTAGCCGGGCGCGGTGGCGGGCGCCTGTAGTCCCAGCTACTCGGGAGGCTGAGGCAGGAGAATGGCGTGAACCCGGGAAGCGGAGCTTGCAGTGAGCCGAGATTGCGCCACTGCAGTCCGCAGTCCGGCCTGGGCGACAGAGCGAGACTCCGTCTCAAAAAAAAAAAAAAAAAAAAAAAAAAGGAGAACAGTACTTAACATTTCTAACTCTCTGAAGATACTAAAGTTCAATAAATTATTTTTTTGGGTTATGATCAGCGTAACATTAGTAAAACAAAGTTTGTAGCAAGGATTTCCCATTTCTGCTCTAAACAGTACACTTAAAACATTCTGATGTCTCATGTAATTCTCTCCCCCTGGCCCTTTTTGAGTCTCCTACAAACAGTGCAATATGAATGAAAAATACACTTTTCTCTAGGAAAAACTGTGTGCCTCTAGTGAAAGGTCCTAAAATTAGAGCAGAAGAGAAAACTAATGCAACAGCAATCCAAAATTACTGATCACTGATTTCTACTTGAAAGCAGTACACAAGTTGAGCATTCCTATTCCAAAAATCTGAAATACAAATCCAAAATGCTCCAAAGTCTGAAACTTTTTGAGCACTGACATGATAACACAAGTGGAAAATTCCACACCTGACGTCATGGGACAAGCCGAAGTCAAAATGCAGGCACACCACACACAGTTTATTTGTGTTCCCAAGGGAAAAATAAAAAATTACCTTCAGGCTATATGTATAAAGTATAGATGACACATAAATGAATTTCATGTTTAGACTTAGGTCCCATCCCCAAGATTTCTCATTATGTATATGAGAATATTCCAAAATCAAACAAAATATATATCCAAAATCTGAAACATTCTGATCCCATATATTTTGGATAACGTATACTCAACTTGTATTAATTCAGGCTGCTCTGCATTTGGAAGTGGATAATGAACTAAAACTCTCAAGTACTAAACACTCAATATATAGACACTGAAATATATGGTTGGAAAGTGACTTAACTGGTAAATATTTTAAAGCAATTTGGCTTTCTGGAGGGAGGTAATGGTTGGGGGGATATAATGCATTTGTCTTTTAAATTAAATACATATGTAATGTATGTTAATTAATTTTCTTCTTCAGGAAGTCAAGCTAAATATAAAAAAATCATCCTGCTATGTTTAAATGTTTGAGTCCCTCCCAAAATTCACTTTAAAATCCTAACCCCCAATGTGATGGTATAAGAGGCAGGGCCTGTAGGAGGCAACTAAGTCATGAGGGCAGAAACTTCATGAATGGTATTAATGTTCTATAAGAGACCCCAGAGAGCTAGCTCATCCCTTTTATACCATGCGATGACAAAATACAGCAAGAAGGTGCCATCTATGAACAAAGAAACAGGACCTGACCAGACTTCAAACCTGCCCATATCTTGAGCTTGGACTTTCCAGCATCCAGAACCAAAAGAAAAATGCTGTTGCTTATAAGCTACCTAGTCTATTGCATTTTGTTTTAGCAGCCTGTATGGACTAAGACACAAACTGACATTTATGCCTAGAGTATGTAGAAGCACGATCTCTATGGATTTACCCATTTATCCCTCACCCAAATCCTGTAAATTAGATAATATTATCACTTCCATTTCACAGATGAAGAAACAAAGGTTTTGAGGGTAAGCAGCTTGCTAAGTGAGACAAGTAGTAAATGGCAGAAGAAGAAATAGAATTCTCTTCATTTTGAAGTCCCTCTTCTTAATTATTGTGTTAAATTGCTTCTGAAAATATCAAAGAGTATAAGATAAGAGCATGAGGTCCAATATTAAACAAGGAAGTTCTTAAAACCTGGCTAAACCAGGCAAGTGATGTTAACTTTTTAGCAATTAAATTAGCTGAAAATATTTTTGTGGAAGAAATAATATTGTAACTTTTAAGGTCTTGTAACTGAATATGCTACTTTTCAAATTTCACTTTCCTGAGGGTATTAAACAGTCCTGTTTGTTTGCTACAAATTCTTTACTAAAAATCACTTATCTCAATACTGAAATTCCAGAAAAATCAATAGATGGCAGGTGCTTGAAATGATTTTTCTGAAATTATTATATAATTAATATCAAGGGTCTAATTACCTATAGCTCCTGAATTCACTAAATCTGGATCTGTAGTTAATTACCTGCGATGTATCAGAATACTTTTTATGTATATCTGAAGCCTGCTCTCACAAGTTTTATTTTATTCAGTTACCCCTTATACTACGCTAAATGCAGAATTATGATTTTTAAACAAAAATATCCTCCAATTTAATGGTTTTCAATTGTCCGTATCTGTATATTTTTCCTACATTTATTACCAGTTACCTTGATATTTACGGGATTTAAAAAATTAAATTATACATAACATTAGCAGTTTATCCATTCTGATTCTGAAGCCTGAAATCTCATTACTACCTAGAAGGTAAACTCTAAATGTACGTTTTGATGATAATTTCAATAAATAGTAATGAGATTTGTTTTGATGCTAAATTTCACCTAGAAACTGAACTTTCTAAAATAGTTGGGGAGTATATGCTGACACATCTGCCTATCACTTTATTAACCAAATGATTAAAGTCTTGCAAAAAGCCAGGTATTAACAATATGTTTTTATATAAGATGAGAAGTAGAAAAAATAATGCACTAACAATTCTTACCCAATATATCTTGTCTTATTTTGGGAAAACAAACCTAGACCTTCTTTTCTTAGGAGCAAAATTACCCATCCAATAAAGTAAAGCAAGTGGAACAGGAAAAAACAACAACAACCAAAAAACAGGCAATACAATTAATACTTCCAATCGGGGAACAAATATTATCTATGCATTTACTAGGATAAAAAACTAGTAAGTAAAATTGATAATTAAAATTAGTCCAGGAGTTTGGCCCAAATGTAGAATACAATTTGTCTCTGAATTTTGGACTAAGGTGTAGTGATTTCACGCTTTTATGAACTGTCTCCCCTTTGTTAAAACATAGCAGGGACATATGGAATTGAAAATAAAAAGAAAAATATAGCCAGTCAGGAATAAGGTAAACATTTCAAAGTATCAGAAATGAAAAAGAAGCATAACAAGATAAAATCTCTAGCTTGCCAAGAAAGTATGCAAGGCAACCTAGAGATTTGCTGATGGAAGTAAAGGGAATACAAGTTCTCCCACTTCTAGCAACAGGACTCAGGCTCACTGTTTGGAACTAGGAGCTGGAGCTAGGGCATGTCTTATTAATAATGAAAGAAAGATGAAACAAAAAGCACTGCTGACTACCACCCAAGGCTATGGCTTTTAAGAAGCAGCAGGGAGCACATAAAGTTAGTCTCAATGGAGACAGGAACTGAACCTAAAAAGATCATGGGTCAGTGACTGAATTTACAAAATCGTTAGTATCAGCTTGGAGTAGGAACTTCATATCTCAATTTTTAGCCCTCATTCAAGATCATACTGGGGATGGGGAATGGTGGAGGCAATCAATAACAATTAGAGCAGGAAGAACAAAGATGTAGAAATGGTAATAGAGAAGAAATCCAAAAAAGAGAGTGAAAAAAATTACAAAACTTACAATGCCGAGAAAGAGAGCAACAAAATCAATGATCAGAATATGAATTCATATCCAAATTAATTTATAAAACTGCCAAAAAATTAAAAGAAAATGTATAGGTATAAAGTTAATTTTTTTAAAAAGAAATTATTTAACAAAGGTACATATCCAATAAAATTGGAAAGAGCCAGAGAAATCTTGTTTATAGAAACTTCTACTGCCAGATAAAATGTAGTAGGTGGCAGCAGCCCAAAACTTCCATTGCAAGAACTAGAAAAAAAATGAATACATTACAAAATTTACATTTTTCAAGATATGAGAGGGCTTGTTGAAGCAAGAAGATAAGATGAATTAGAATTTCAGAGGATAGGAGCTCTTCCAAAGTGAGCAAAAGAATGACCTGCTAATTTCTTCCCAGGGGTTATTTGCTAATTTGGGAGGCCTATACTGATTTTAGTTACAGACTAAGAATCAGGTTTGGCTCACCCTCAGGGACTCTACCAGGAGAACCAAACCGGCAAAGCTTTCAAGGGGTCAGTTATATTCCTCTAAGCAAAGTGCAAACATGTGGTGTCCTGAACACGAGGCTGAATTTCCTCAACGCACGTTTACTTAAATTCCGGGCCATGCTTAAAAAGCTGGGCAACTTGGCCAACTGCATCTAAAAGCCAACATGAAATCTCTCGTAGTATCTTGGAAACAAAATTCTGCTAAAGGGATGGTGCTTACTTTAAGCACGTAACTCAGGAGATTTGCAAGAATTTGAAGGTATAAGGGGCAGGAAGCTAAAGAGCTAAACATAATTTCTTATGTTGGGGGAAAGAACTGAATTACCAAGGGTCTTTCAGAGCTGAAAAGACTCTTCTGAGTCTCCAACCAAAAGCTTAAGAGAACCACATAAAAATAATATAAATAAACCAAGGGTCTTAGTAATATTATAAAAAAGTACCAGCTCCACTTAATGCCTGACTGCATCAGCCCCTCACCCTATCTGTCCAAGGTTTTCCTGTTGTTGTTACTTTGTTTTAATTAGCCTTTTCTGATAAAAGACATCACCTGGAAATCTACAATCATTTAACACACTATCAGATATAAAATAAAAAATTATTAAACAGAAAAAAGTCAGGATTATAGATTGACAATCTAGAGAAAAAAGAGATAATAGATGCAGACGAATAATGCAAATATTTTTGCTAGTATAAACTAAAATAACCATGACTAATATGTTAAAGAAAGTAGAGTAGATGGATAAAAATAGATAAAGAATTATAATTTTAAAATGTAACCTATAAAAATAATGAAATAAAATTCCATTCTAGAACCAAAAAAAATATAATATTTGACATTAGGAACCCTGAATGTATTCAACACCACTCTCATTAGAACAGAAGACAGGATTAGAAATTCAAAACAAGTTGATAGAAAATACCCAAAATGAAGGACAGAGAAAAGACAGAGAAAACAGAAAAAATGAAAAAGATGTGTGGAACACAGTTAAAAGGTACAACATACATACAATTGTGGTCCCCAAAGAAAAAGAATGAAGAGGCACTATACTATCTGAAGAAGTAATAGATTAAGGCTTTTCCAAGCTTATGAAAAGCATCAATCCACAGATTTAAGAAACTCAATAAATATAAAATAGAAAAAATACCAAGAAACCACATTTTGGCATGTCATGCCAGAAATCCATAGACAGAAACCCTTAAAAGGAGCCAGAGAAAAAAGGCATTATCTCCAAAGGAGCAAAAATAACACTTCAAGAAGCTTTTCAACAAAAACTAAAATTAAAAAGGTTTGAAAAAAATGAAAAACAATGCCATTAAGTTTTTTTGTCTTGGAGAATATAGTTATTGTTTTATCAAAATGTTATTTATATTAACATGTAATGAATTATTAAACATGAATATATACATTTAAAATTTATCAGTTTAAATTTCAAATATAGCAAACACATTGATAGATATAACTGACATAAAAATTATTTGAGGATCTAATGATTTTTCACACCCCACATCCAATATGTCATATCAATCTTGAAACATAAATTAGAGTACACTTTTCACTTGTACTGATACTTCACCAAATCAAATCCAAGCACCACTGTCTCTCACTTCAATTACTGCACTGGTACTTACAGGTTTCCTTAGAAGGATAAAGTTGCTATTTATTAAAAAAGAGAAGACTAAGGGAGCAGCAACATGTGGGATGGAAGTGAGAAGTCTAATTTTGAACATGTTCAACATTAGAAATCTAAGCAAAGAAGTTGAGTAAGCAGTTAGATTTATAGGTCTAGATTCAGGGAAGAGGTCATGGCTGCATAAATAATATTGGGTCCACTGAGATACAGTTGATAATTAAGGCCATTAATGAGCTTCATGTAAGAAGCAAATGTAAACAAAGAAAAGCCAAGATTTTAACCCTGATGTATTTCAAAATCAAAGGTTGGTGCTATGGTTGAGTGTTCCTGCCAAAACTCATGTTGGAAGCTTAATTCTCAGTATAGCAATGTTGGGAGGTGGTCAATTTAAGAGGTGAATAGGTTATTAAGGTAGATTAATATGTTTCTCTTTAGATTAGATCTCCAGGGAATTGATTAGTTCCCAAGAAAGCAGGTAAGTTATAAAGAGTGAGGTTGCCTCTAGTGTGAGGTCTCTTTGCATGTGCCGGCTTCCCCTTCCACTTCTCTGCCATGCTGTCACATAGCCCAAGGCCCTCATCAGAAGCCAAGCAGATACCAGCACCATGCTCTTGGATTTCCCAGCAACCAGAATTATGAGCCAAACAAACCTCTTTTCTTTAAAACTTATCCAGCCTCAGGTATTCTGTTATAGGAACACTAAATAGACTAATACGGGTGGTGAGAGATGAAGAAAAAGTTGCTGGTATAAGAGGAGAGAACCAAGTGAGAAAGTGAAGAAAGTGTTGCTAGAAGTGGGGTGGGGTGGAGGATGGGCAGCAGGAGATGAGTTATGTCAGGTATTTCTGCTGCGTTGAAGATTGAGAATTGAATTTAGCAACATGGAGGTCTTGGAATACTTGTAGAGTGGAAAATACAGCTTGATTATACTCTAATAGGACCATGAATGCATGAAACAAACAATAGTAAATATAGACAGAATTTTTTGAAGCATTTGCTGTAAAAGGGAACAGTGAAGTTGAGTAGTAGTTGAAGAATGATATAGGCTGGGGGAGTGTTTTAAAAAGGGTACTAGTACAAGATATTTGAATAATGATGGGAAAGGGTAAAGTGCTTAAATATGTCATTGAGTAGGTGAGGTGGGGTGGGATCTGGTAAATAAGTGAATGGAAAAGGAGCACAGATGGTTTAACCATAGTTAGAGTATAGATCCATACTCTACATCCATAGTTAATGTAAGGCAGACTATGTAGATATAAATGCAGGAGGGTTAGTACAGATCTTCCAGTAAATGTGTAGATGTTCTCTTCTAAATATACATACGTGTGTGTGTATATATATGTTATTTATTTTTATTTATTACATATATATACTATTTCATTTTATTTACTTTTTATTATATAGGAAGCCAAGTTAACAGCTAAGAGTAAGGGTTGGGAGGTGGGCAGGGAGATATTAGAGGTTGAGAAGAGAGAAGTGTGAAATGGTCAAGTAGGTGAGCAAGGGAATGGATAGTTAGTGTTTCTCAGAGTGTGGTATGGGGACCCTGGAAGACTCTGAGAACTTTCCAAGGGGTCTGTGAGGTCAAAATTATTTTGAAAGAAATATTAATACAATATTTGCTTATTTCACTCTCATTTTCTTCTGAAGATATGGTGGAGCTTCCAGGGGCTACACGATGTGAGGTATTGTAAGAGACTGAATGCACAAACCATCCAATTGGGATTTTTGTTAGGATTGTATTGAATCTATAGGTTATTTTGTGGGAATTGGCCTGTTTACAATATTGAATCCTCTAATCCATAAAAATGATATACTCCTCCATTTACTTAATTTTTTTCAATTTTTCTTAATGTTTTGGTTTCCAGTGTACAGACTGAACACATCTGTGATTAGATTTATCACCAAGTATTCAGCTTGTTTTGTGTTATTGTAAAAAACAATTGTCTGTAAATGAATTAAAAGAAGTTTGAAAACTGTTGCTATAGAATAAAAAATGTACAAAACTAGAGTTTGTAACAATTACGTGTGTATACCTATATATCTCCCCTTATGGTCAAACTACATTTACTTTTATAAAAAGTAAATTCACAAGAAGGGTCATCTATGGAGTGTGTGTGAGTAGAGTAGATCTGAATTAGAAAGGATACCCAGGGACTTTAAGTGTGGATTGTTTGTTCTTTAAAACAAGACAGAAAATTCAGATTTAGAAGCAGATATGATAAAAAAAAAAAAAAATTGGGTAGGTACATGTATGTTTGCTTTCCTGTTTACTTTCCCGTATCACTGAAATGCTTCAGGGGATGAAAACAATCTATTATTTCCCCAACAAATTGCTTTCTTATAAGGATTTCTTATCCTCTGGGGCCATTAATTTTTCCCTTTGAATTCCTGTGACTTTGTGACCTGTGTCACTCTAAGCAGCAATTTAACCAACATATCAATTGAGATTGAATTCAAGTTTTTTCTCCTTTCCAAATAAATATTAATTTTAAGTGACAGTCTCAGAAAGAATGACAGCTATTCCACAGATCAAACTATGGATTTATGGAAAAGAGGCAAAAGGTGACCTCATATGACTCTCATCAAATAACATAAATCTAATGCTATTCAAAAGATTTTCTATTTGATAAAAATTAATTTCAATGTAAATTTCAAAAGATACAAATACAATAACCAAAATAGGGTTTAAAAGAAATCCTTTTCATCTATAACTATATAATCTACATATATAAATTGTTCTACAAAAAAAAAAAACCATGGACTACTTAAAAACTGAACATGGCTAAAGCAATAAAAATTACCAGTGTGAAGAAGATTATAATGTTTTAAATTAAAATATAAATATTCATTAATTCAAGAAATAATTACTAAGTTCCTACTGTATTATAAGCCCTGGATACAAAGAGGACAAGAAAAGCAAATACTCTGTTATGCCAATAGATGAGCAGAAAGTCAAAAGAAACAAATGCACAAAATAGTTCCAGATCATTACAGATACTGAAAATTAAGAATAAGGACAGCTAAATGGGGTGATGTGATTTAAGACAATGACTGGCTAGGGGACTTCTAAAGATTCAGTGAATAAGGAAAGCTCTCTGAGGAGGCAATGTTAAAGATGGTACCTAAATGAAAATAGGGCAAATAGCCATACAAAAATGTGCTGGCTGGAACATGGCTTATTTCAGAACATAATAAGGGCAATGTCGATGAAGAGCAATGTGCAAGAATAAAGTAGTACAGGATAAGGTCAAAGGCTAGGCAAGGGTAGACCATGTAGAGCTTAGGTTTTATTCTAAACATAGTAAGAAGCCACTGGAAGGTTTTAAGCAGGAAAGTAACATGATCTGATAATTTTGCTTTGTGAAAATAAGAGAAACAATAACAACAAGAAGAGCAGTTAGGACTCTAGTGCAGTAATAGTCCAGCAATAGAAAATGGGAGTAGTAGTGATAGAGATAGAGAGAAGTGGAGGTATTTGTTTTATCTTGGAGACAGAACCAAAGTAACTGGTGGATTGAATGTAGATGACGAATGAAACTGAGTTATCAATGGTGACTCCTACATTTCTGATAAAAATTAATGACTTCCCATTTTAAATATTTAACTTCTGTATCGTTAGCTATTTTCACAATAGTGGTATATCATAAACACCCCAAAACTCTGTGACTTAAAGTAACAAGCATTTTAGCTTTCTTCTGCATCTCTGCTCTTGGTGATTTACTGTAGGGTTGCAGGTTGGGTCCCATCTGCTCCATAGCTCTCTCATGTTCCTTGGATCAGCAGGCTAGCAAGATCTTGTCCTTCTCATTGTGGTGGCAGAAGCACAAGACAAGCTCAACTTTAAGCTTCTGTTTGGGTCATGTCTGTTAATCCACTGGCCAAAGCAAACCTTAATGGCTGAGCCAGAATTAAAAGATAGAGAAATACACTTTTTTGTGTGTGTTTGAGATGGAGTTTTGCTCTTGTTGCCCAGGCTGGGGTGCAATGCCGTGATCTCAGCTCACTGCAACCTTCGCTTCCCGGTTCAAGCAATTCTCCTGCCTCAGCCTCCCGAGTAGGTAGGATTACAGGCATGTACCACCATGCTCGACTAATTTTATACTGTTAGTAGAGACAGGGTTTCTCCATGTTGGTCAGGCTGGTCTCGAACTCCTGACCTCAGGTGATCTGCCCGCCTCGGCCTCCCAAAGTGCTGGGATTACAGGCGTGAGCCACCACGCCCCACCAAGAAGTACACTTTTCCTCTAGTGAAACGACCTGCAATCTCTTATGACAAACACCACTAGTAGATGGAGGTACAAAGAATAGAGACAAAAATAGAGACAAATGAAAGAACCATAAAAGGCTACCAGTTTCTGGAAAGCTCCAAATCATTCCTCAAGATAACCACGAGGAATATGTAATTCTTCTTAATACTTAGCTTTATTAAGCAATTACATAAACATTTTCAAATTCTATTTTATCATTAAAGACTATACTTAGCTAAAATGTGTATAGTAGAAAGAAAATGGCATTAGAAATATTTCGAGATTAGGTTAGCATAATAGATACAGGTTTGAAATTTAAAACAATGAAAATTATACGGTCAAAGACACTAGTAAAACAACTAGAGGGTAAAGACAGGCAACCAACTGGAACACACTTCAAAGTGATTTGTTCATTTGTTTGTTTATAGAGATGGGGTCTCACTGTGTTGCCAGGCTGGTCTCAAACTCCTAGGTTCAAGTGATCCTTCCACCTCAGCCTCCCACACGTGTGAGCAACCACACCCAGCCAAAGAGATTTTTAAAAACAAAAAAAAAAAGTATCTAGTTACCTTATTTCATAAAAATCAAACCATTTTACTTCACAAAATTAAAATTAAAAAAGGCAAAATTTCTAAAAACGAGACCTAAAAGCAAACTGCAAAAAAATCAAACCCTCAACATGTATCAAACAAAAGCTTCATATGTCTACTGTTCATATAAAGGTTTTATTAAATGCTAAGAAAAAGAATGTTCTCACTTGTCCATATTCCCTAGAAGCTTTAATATGTCTCATAGACTTAAAAATAATTCTTGAAAGAATGAATGAGCATAATGCGCTCTGTGAGGTTATAGAAACACATGTTAGATGAGGCATAACCAAATTATTAAAAGTTTCCAAAGCTAAGCAGAGAAATTTGAATTTGTTATGTGGGTTATCACAGGCTCAGAGGAATGTCCTAAAGAAAACACTGTTTTACTATGGTTAATTAGGCAACTGTGAGAAAAATGAATGAAGTAAGTAAATCAACTGGAATGGGTGAATAAAAATTGTAGATTAGGGTAAATGAATTCAAGGACTATCCCAAGAAAAATATTAAATATTTTAGACCAGAATATTATGACAGAAGACAGTCAAAGAAAACTCTAGAATCCAGCCTAGGACAGTGCTTCTCAAAGTACTCTAATGCACACAGGATTCACTTAGGGATCTCTTTAAAGGGCAGATTCTGATTCCCTAGACCTGAGAGTCTGCATTTCTAACAAGCTCCCAGGTGATGCTAATATTGATGATCCTAAGATCACATGGTTTAGTAGAAAACGGCCTATGAACTAAGAATAATTATAGAACCTAGATAAGGAGTCAGTTTTCCCAGACTTGTAGATAATAATCAAGCTTCCTATTATATGCTTTATCATCCTGTTTCTTCCTTCTTAGCACTTATCAAAGGTGTGTTCTAAACATGTATTCTTGTGACTATTTGTTCAATGTATTTTACCTCACTTAACTTAGTGTTCTGCTTGGCTCAATACTTTAGCCCTAATACTTAGTACACATCTAACACATAGTTGACACTGAATACTTGATTAAGAAATAAATGAATCATCAATGAATAGAAATGCTTCAAGAGAAGTTAGTTTAAACATAGGTTAGTGAGGGACTACCAAGTGAAAGGATACATATTGATCAGAATGATAAGGCTGTTGATGCAGATTTGATTGCTAATAAGATAGCAATCAAATCTGCGTCAACAGCTTTATCTATGCATTGGTAGCCATGTAAGTAAATAAAATAATTGAAGGCATATGTGTAAAGAGAGAAGATCTAAGCTTGTGGGGCAAACACCCAGAGAGGACCCAGAGGAAGGTCCACCAAAGAATGGAGTCAGTGCGAGATTCTGAAAGAAAAAAGTACAAATACTGAAAAAAAATACCTAAAATACATCATTTAAAGCCTAAAGGCAAATTGAGCAGTACGTTCACAGGCAATCATGCATAAACATCTTTCTGTAAATGTGTAGAGATGAACGTTAGATTTCAGCAAGCTAGGAAGAAACTGATGGGGAAGAGGAAGGGAAACTGATACGGAAGAGGAAGCAGCGCTTGCACATACGAACTCTAGACAGTATGAGAGCAAATTCTGGGAGTGATAAAAAATGCAGCATTTTTTTCAGAGGAATAGAAAACATATTTGTCCTTGAAAATGACTATAGGAGCCAAGCTGGCACATGTAAATACATGAACTGGTCCTGCTATAGAATAATAGAGCATGGTGAAGGCTGAACCAAATTAGAGCATGCAGGGCTTATATAAAGACAGCAGCTGACTCAAGTCTGTAAGATTACTGCCTCAAAGGAATGAGAACCAAGTACTGTCAAAATTTCCAGGTTTTTTTTTTTTTCAAGAAAAAGCAAAAATCTGGATATGTATATGAAATTTGCTGCATTGGGGTAAAAACATCCCATACTCAACTTGTAGAGCACCACTTCACTCTCTCTGGTCTAAAAGGAATCTGAGTTATCAAACAATAAATTGGACTGCAGAACAGAACTAAGAATGTGGCTAACTTCAAAGTTCTAAGTATGCAAACAGGAGCAATATGTTATGTCATTAGAGCAGAAGTGATTAGAGGTTGAGGACTGGTTCAGCAAATGATAAAGAGTACCAGGAACCAAAGGAAGCAGCACTTAGATTGAAATATAAAAGGAACAGACAAGCTAGGGTAAAAAGAAAAGATTTTCAGAAGGGAAAGTGGGAAGATTTGAATAAACAGAAGTTTGTATCTTAAAGTAGAAAGGACATAGTTAAAAGTTGGAAACAATAGACCATTCAGTGAAAGGTGATGATCTTTAGACTAAAAGACAAACATGTAAAGTTTTGATTATGAAATTATATTGATTCACTTATTTTATTTAAAACTTGAATAGTAATGGGACTTTAGAATAATCTTTTAATTTGACAATACTTAAGAATAGATAATGACAGTTATTTTAAATAGCACTAGTTATACAAGATTGATTACGAATGTAATATATTTTGCCTTGAAAACATACAAGTGAGGGTAAGAAGGAGGCACACATTCCAACCCCCTTCTGTTCTTCGCCTCTTTGTTGAGTGCCAAAAATCCTTGGAGCCAGTTGAGACAGGAGATAGATATCTGGCCACTTAAAACTATCTGGACTAATGCCATATTAATACATGGTAAAGAACAGACAGCAGGTTAACAAATTAATAATCACTATACCAGTCTGGTCTGCATTTAAAACTGACCTAAATCACATAACATTTCAATTTCCTTTCTTATTCAAGAGCTTCAGCCTTCTTTCAATTAGGTTCACACATATTCTAGATAGGCAAGTAGCATTATGCACTCATTCAAAAGACAGTCATTTAACAATTATTATATGCAAAGTGCTATATACAAAGCACCATGGTAAATATAAAAAATTCATCAGTCATGAATAACGTTATGAAGAAGCATATGCCTAATAGGGAAGATAACAAAAGATATATACATAAATAACTACAACACGGCTGGGCGCAGTGGCTCACGCCTGTAATCCCAGCACTCTGGGAGGCCGAGGTGGGTGGATCACGAGGTCAGGAAATCAAGACCATCTTGGCTAACATGGTGAAACCCTGCCTCTACTAAAAATACAAAACATTGGCTGGGTGTGGTGGTGGGTGCCTATAGTTCCAGCTACTTGGGAGGCTGAGGCAGGAGAATGGCGTGAACCCGAGAGGCGGAGCTTGTAGTGAGCCAAGATCACGCCACTGCACTCCAGCCTGGGTAACAGAGCAAGACTCCATCTCAAAAAAACAAACAAACAAACAAACAAAAAAACTGCAACGCAAGCTACAAACCTAAACAGATATAAGTGAAGATCCATAAATGCTCCTGGAGGAGATAAGATTAGAAGGATTATTCAAACATTCAATGATTCCCATTTGACACACAAAACAAATGTCAGTATTTGGTCTCCCAGTTTGCACTCTTTTTCAAACAAGGCATACTGCCTTTCACCATTAGCACAAATTTTCTATTAAACTCTCAAAACTTAGAGTTATTCATCTTTAATTCTTTATTGCAATTTTACTCCATTTACACTTAACCCGTGTTACCCCTGAAGATATTTAATTTTTCCTATTAACATTACACAGAACAAAATATTTCTACCCAACATAGGAAAACTGACATCACATATCTGGTCCTGCAGACTGTTAACAAGAAATAAAAGTGAGGTAATGACATACACTAAGAACAAAAATTTGTATTTCCCAACACCATATCCTTTTAAATCTCCAAAACGATTTCTGTTCAAAGTCCAGAAAGGTGTTTCTGGTTGATTGAAACAGCTATCTTCTAAACCAGCCACAAAACCTAATGCTACCACCCTCCACCCCTCACTAACTTAGTTGCTTGAGTTTTTTGTCAAAAATAATTGGAATTTGTTTTATAATTATAGGACTACTAGGAGTCCACCTCTAACACTAACTCTAGAAAAGACACAGTCAATGTAAAATATACAAAGTTTTGCACTAAAGGCCTAAAGTGGGAGGCAGAATTAAAGAAATCAGCCTTTGGCTCTCAAAGTAAGTAAAAATATAAACATCAACTTAGTTTCAGAAATGAGGAAATAAAATATTGTAAAGAAATTAACAATAGCATTGTACTTTAACCAGATACGAAAAATAAAAATGAAAAAAAGATAGCAATGTGTCTTCATATCATTCCCTTTAGCAGATCACAAAATTCTATTAATGTTTAAATGTTCATGTGTTTCATGAACACTGTAACAAGTATTTACTCTGATGGTTATTTCTCTCTATATGAATAAGATAAATATTAATGTTAGAATTTGAGTTCCATGAAGGCAGAATTCTGTCTGTTCTATTCCCTGATTTATCTCCAGCTGAACTCTACCTAACACACAGAAGGTTCTTAATAAATAACGCAAATGAACTATGCTTCAAACGGAGAACACTCTCATTATTTGTCATACAAATAAATGAATGTCAGAAGAAATTTCGTGACAACTATATCTAAAAAACTATAGAATATACTATACCATGTCAGAAGGGAAGAAAGTGGCAATGTTTCACTAGATTAAGATGAAGTTCCTTTCACTCTTCCTTAATTATTATGAACTAGTAATTAACAAATTACGATTTAGCCATATAATTTCATGTATCACGTATTCTATCTACTATCATTAGGCACAAAAAAAATTAAAGAAAGCTAAGAAGCAAACTGAAGAAAAGATAAGTGGATTTAAAAAGCATCAAGTAAATCACTTCTCTGCAATTTCCCCAGCTTTGTGAATCTGTGAATAACTGAGATTTTTTCATTATCAACTTTCTATAACTATTAAAATTGTTTCACACATGAATACGGATGCTCCTTAACCTATGATAGGATTACACCCTGATAAATCCATTATATGTTGAAAATATCTTAAGTCAAAAATGCATCTGATAACTCTCAACCTACCAAACATCATCGCTTAGCCTACCCTACCTTAAGCATGCTCAGAATACTTACATTAGTCTACACTTGAGCAAAAGTATCTAACACAAAGTTTATTTTATAATGAAGTGTTGAATATATCATGTAATTTATTGAATACTATATTGAAAGTAAAAAACAGAACAGTTGTATGGGTACTCAAAGTAAGGTTTCTACTAAATACATATTGCTTTCTCACCATCCTAAAGTCAAAGAATCTTAAGTTGAACTATTATAAATTGGGAAAAGTCTGTATATGAAACCATCAATATTAGCAGAAATTTAAAGGTTAAAAAGTAATAATGCAAAAACTGGTTTTGGATTTAGTTTTTGTCAAAAGCGAAAAATAAATATTTTCCTGCTGTTTGCTTACATTTATATTTAATCTCCTGTCATGTTATAATTAGCTACTTCCATTTCCATTTCCCTCAAAATATTGTAACTCTTTGGAAACAATGGTTTTCAGCCCCATTTTCCACCTGTTGAATTATATCTATCCATGCCTAAATAAAATACGTTCCTATTAAAATTCTCTAAAGGACTTATTTAAGAAATCTGTCAATCAATAATAGAACCTACAATAAAATCTTGAATTATTTGTCCAAAAGTAGAAGCCTAGATAATGTAATATCACATACCAAACAAAAATACATCTTTTTAACTTTGAATTGTGCTCTCAGGTTTGCAAGTGAATATAGCTGTATTATAGCTTCACAGTTGTAATGGAAATGTGTCTCTATGAATGATCAAAAAGAGTGTTTCAATACCATAGTTCCCTAATTAATATCATGATCAATTACTTTAACGATGAAGAAAGAAAGTGACTCAGGTTTTTGAAAAGTCCAGTAAGAAATCAGTGAAGAGCACCAAAATGGTCCAAGTAGAAAGACTAAAGCCTTCTCTTTTATTAAAGTGTAAACTGGGAATGCAAAGTGATTGGCTCCTTCTGTCAATCAGAAAAGCAGGGCTGGTATGGTTTTTACACACAGCTCTAATTGCTTCTTCTTCCTCTTCAATTAGCTAATAACTGAGAATCACACAGGAAAAAGAAAAAATAAAAGAAACAATTGAATAAAAGAATTATTTTTCAGGAAAATCTATGATACCATAGAGAAAGCTATGCTTAGGATCAGAATATATCAAAAATACAGTAATCAGACATGATTTTTAAACATTCAACATTCAGGTATCAGAAATTTACATATGAATTTCAATAAATTATAAATTACATACCTTGGTTACATCAGATTAAGTTCACCTCAGACTAAGCTCTTTGAAAGTTATTGGTAGGTGTCAATAAACCTAAATAGCTTATGAAATTACTTATCACAAAGAAATGAAAATTCTGCTCTGCCACTAGTATCTTCAGAAAAAGCAGTAAGAAGAAAAGAGTTGCTTATGTACAGTTTTAATTCTATTAAAAGGTATAGTTTTATATTAAAGACTACATTATTTATTCTGTACAGTGATTCCATATTGAACACTCTCCATCAAACCTTGCATCTCACATGCCACAGGCATCAACTAACAGATTTCCTCATTAATTTAAGAATGATACAACAGTTTTAACGCTGACTTTGATGGCTAACAACAAAAGATAATAGATTTGCCTTTAGTTTTATTGGACTAAATTTACATATTAAAGAGTCTACAAGAATATCACACCTCTCAAAGATACATCCCTTTGGCTGACTTTAATAAATTCCTCCCATATTTGAATTCTGTACCATCCCTAACTCTCATTCTAGAATACCACTCCCTCTATCACTATATGGGTAATCTGAAAACCACACTCAAACCACACTGTGACACAACTCCTGTTCTCCAGCTTTGCCATACATAACCTTCTAAACCCCTCCTCTTCCCATCAAGTCCCCCAGAGAATTTCTAAGATTACTAACACATACACACACACACACACACACACACACACATACACACACACACATTTAAAATCTCAGCCCTGCCATTTACTAGTCTGTAACCTTGAACAATTTATTTAGCCTCTCTGTACCTTAGTTTCCTCATCTATAAAATGGGAGTAGTAACTACCTCACAGGATTATTATGAGGATTAAATGATCTAATATTTGTAAAGCACTTAGAATAATGACTGACACTTACTGTTTACTGTAATTACTATTAAATATTTTCAATATTACTTTCAAAATGTATAGATTTCACCCCATTAGATTTGAGGATATCATAAAAACAAACATCACTCTTTTTAGAGTGATTCAAATCTCTCCTAGAAACACACTCAAGCAGAAGAGAGCCACACACACACACACACACAAACCTCCAGTGCACAGTATACCAGAATCTTTGGAGAACAAACTTTTGCCCGCTAAGAATGTTATTGTAGAGAAAAAGCTTATGGCAAAATGGGTAATTCAAGCAGAAGTGAAGCACAAACTAACAATTTGCCTGCTACTTTTACAATGAGCAGAGGCATGATATGCAAAAAAAAATGTTTTCAAGGAATTATATTTTCTTGAACAGATTTGAATCTGAAACCACTCTGGAAAGCAACTTGCTCACTTCCTGGACCAATCCATTTACCATGGAAAAAAAGCTTTGCTGAAGTTAGGAAAAAACACTTTCTTTGTACCACTCACTAAAAGTAAAAGTAGTAAGATGATCCCAAATGTTCGCTATTTTATAAATTCACATACTTCTAAATACCAGTTTTTCAATTAGTTAGTTAATAGGAGAATAAATCCCAAAACTCATCAGCAAATTTTCTTCAGATTCTCAGTGGCCAATAATCTCCTTTAAAGAAAACCTTTCTTACTTAAAAAAATACTACTACTATAAGGAAAAAAATAAAAAGATACTAGATGCTATACTGATAATTACTCTAAGTTCAGTTCACCCTCTGAAAATGTAACCTATTTCCAGACAGCTAAATGTGCTTCTCTACCATAAGAACAAATTTCCCTTACCATTTATAGGCAATGTAAGTAACATTATGTTATTAAGTAAAATTAAGATACACTTTTAATCCATTTTAATCCATATGCTGTGCAATACCAAAACCTAAATTTTACTTCCTTTGATATTCAAAGTAAACAGGTATACTCATAACTTCAGATTAAGGCCAAATGTACAGCACCAGTAAAAGTAACCCACAAAGTTAAAACAAAAAACTACAACTAAAAATTAATTTAATTTCAGCATAGAAATCTGAACACCATGACATTTTTATTGTTACCTTTTAAATGCTTCGGCTGGGTTTCTCTCGCACTCCCCAGGCTGTAAGAGGCTTTGGACTGCTGGATCCCTTAGCTTGTCCTCATATCCTTGGAGTAGTCCACTGCGGCAGATCTGGGCTACTAGACCTCTAATAAACCCTCCAACACACAAAGTATCAGAGTCCTGGGCTTTGCAGAAATGAAAGGCCAAAGCTTGGCGATGTAAACCTCTCTGCAAACTTGCAGGTGAACTTGGCCATAAGAGTTCAGTACATAGGGCCGTCTTGCCACTGCCAGGCCCTCCTACCAACAACACACCCCAGGCAGCTCCCTTTCCAGAGACACCACTAGCATTATTCCCAGAATTCATTACAAGTGATGGTGCATTGACAGCACTATTGCAGCAGTTACTTTTCTCCTGGAGGCAATGCTGAAGCTTGTGGAAAACCCACTCCCTACAGTAAAACTGCTTCCCTTGCAGTAAACTGGTTTGAGCCATTTTGCAGACTTTCTCTTCCCAAGGATTAGTCATAACGGGTTTTTTATCTTCATTTGCTAGAGTCTGGATACATCAACACAGGTCTTTCCATCCATTATGACATAACTTGTATATTAAGTTGACTCTGAAGACAGAGTAACTAGTTACAGTAAAATTCAACAGCCACAGAGTTCCTCTGTCAACAGAACGTGCATGACTTTATTTGGTTCCTTATTCTTGATCAGCAGTCTATGTATTAGTTGTTGAACTGAGGGAGAAACGCCTGATTCCACAGCTCAGCAACACTTTTCCTAAATTTTAATGAGTCACATAACTCCATGGTTATAACTGGAGTTTATGTGATTGTGGATGTTTCAAGAACAGAGATGAGACAATACATGTGGAAAACTAAAGAAAAAACCCAATCTTTCAATTTGTACAAAATGCTTCTCCAGATTCCAAGTGTTAATTCTGCATCTGACAATTAGATTCTGAAAAGAGGTCCACTGCATTAAATGGCATCAGAGAGATTACATTTATACGGTATGAGGTACAGTATGTAAGTAGCTCTGTATTTCTCGTTGAAGGATGATCACTCAAGAGTACTAGATCGTGCCAGTTTCAGGCATCTGGGCAACTGCCAGGAACTGTTTCAGATTATAGTCTCTTATGTGGCAGAAATGACAACCACTGTTAACACCTTCTTAATTCAAAGCATTCATAATATGCATTTTTCAAGACAGCAGATTCTTAATGAACCTGTTCACAGGTTTCTTGGTTTTAAGACGTCCGGGTAATCAACAATTTCCACAAGTAACTAAAATAAAACAAACAAAAATACCTCAGTGCAAAATATCATATGTTAAAAACTTATTAAGGACAATAAAGGTTGCAGTGTACCAGTTAACGTAATCTCAAAAATCCACGTACTTCACCTTTGGCACTTTCAAAAAGTTGGACAAAAACCACTGAAATAATCACATTCTCCCTTCTGCATTTTTCTTCCTCATTGTTATGCTTCCCAAACAGCCACATTTTAATCAAGTTACCCAAGATTTTTGCAACTTCACCATAGCAAAGGAGGGGGGGAGAAACTTTACGCACATACAGTAACACCCTTAACTCCAGGCAAAACGCTCATTCACAGTAGACTGGTAGAACAGCGCCAGCTAAGGAAGCTCTATTAACTTACACAGTCCAGTCAGTCAAGGACTGTCTACTCCTCCAGCCACACTTCTTTGTTGATAATGTGCAAAAATCTAGGGGAAGATTACCAGGGTTGCAGCTGGATGGGAAACGGTTTAAAAAAAAAAAACAAAAACGATGGGGGATGACTGTTCTTATAAGAATGATAAAGCAAACACAAGTAAAATGTGAATCCTTCCTTCCTCTGGGCCAAGGATGGAGGTCAGGGATAAAATCTACCAGTCTGGCCGGAGAAAAGGCTGCTAGAGAGAAATTCCTTCCAAGACAGGAAAGGGATAAAGAGTAGAGTGCTTCGGTGCTGGTGGGTGTCTGCCCACAGGTCCGGCCTCCAGTTTCAGCTGACAGACAAAAGGAACTCCGGGATTCCCAGCGCCGGGCACCACCTTGGGTTGGAACCGCCCAGAGGAGCCACAGGGGAGCCACCTCAGAGAGGCCACGAGCGAAGGTGCAGCCTCCACACCGAGGTCTGCCCTTCCAGAGGCTGGGAGCGCCTCTGCACCCCGCCCCGCACCGAGATTGGGGTGTGTCTTTTGAAGGGGGAGGGGGTGACTGAGGTCCTTGCCAATCCCAGACGAGGGGTCGCCTCCCGGTCGGCTTCCGCCTCTGCGCTCCCGCCCCATGCCCCGCTCCCGCTCCCACCCGGCCGACGGCGGTGCGAGGGAAGAGGGCAAATCTGGGGCTCGAGGCCGGAGAGGGTGGGTGGTTGGGTCAGGTCCAAGCCACGGCCTCGGCCTCCCAGCTTCCAACCCGAGGGAGGGGCCTCGCTTCCACCGCCGCCGCCGCCCCCCGGTTACCTCGGCCCCAGCCGCCGCCGTGGCCGCCGCTGCCGCTGTTAGGGACTCTCAGTCTCAGACACTTGCTTCGCTGAGAAGTCGCTGCCAGCAGCGCTCCCAAGACTCCACTCCAACTGCAGCCGCCTCCTCCGCCGGGCCCGGGGCACGCTCCCAGCTCCGGATCCTCCTCTTGGCCCCCGGCGGCTGCCAGTTCCAGCTTTCCCAGCAGAATCGGTCGTGCTCGCCCCAGCCCCCACCGGCCAACCGCCGCCGCCGCCGCCGTCAGGGCAGTAACTGTCTCAGGCAGCCCCCGGCCGGCCGGCTCCGCCCCGCCCGCCCAGCCCAGACCCCGCCCCCGCCCCCGCCCCCGCCCCGCCGCTCGGCCTTTCTTTGCCCGCCGGCTCCGCCTCCGCGTCCTTCCCCTCCCCCACCGCGCTCTCCCGCAGCATCCCGTGCCTGGGCGTGTGCGGCCGCCTGGGACCCGCTGCCGGCGCGGCGGGGAGACCTGTCTCGGGGCGGCGTGGGGGCCCCGCCTTTCTCAGGGGAGGCGGAGAACGGGGCGGGGGCTGCGTTCTCACGTCTCCGAGCTCACGCGAGTCGTTGCCCCCACCCTCCCCGTCACCACTGGGCCCTGATCCTTCCTTTGTCTTCCAGGCCGGAGGGACTCGCCGGCTGTTGGTGCCGTATCTGCTCCTGGGAGGGGCAGTTGGGTAGGGGGAGATTGCCTCTTGCCTCTCTCTGCTCAACCCTTTTGCCTCTCCCTTAACCCCGTTGCTTCCAAAGCCACTTCGGGCCCCGTTCTACCCCTCAGTCGTCCGGTCTCCTTTCAGTCCATTAAATTCCAGGGATGCTTTTACTTTGGCTGGGACGAAGAGAAGGAAGGAAAAGACTGGGAAGAATGTTGCGAAAATAGAAATAGTGGGGGTATACAGCGACATTCCTACCAGCCTCATGAAAAGGACGTGGCCTCCATCAGATGGAGGTTGACAGCAGGCTTGACTGGGTCTCAGGCCCCTGCTCCTCAGGGCCACTTGATCACCCGCAGCGTCCACTAGGGGGGAAGGTCTTGGTCATGTGGCGTCAGGAAATGCCCTAGAGGGCCTGCTCACAGGGGCCTGTTGGACTAAGCATGTCAGTTGTTTGCACTTACTGGACCTGAGTTGCTTAGATTCCAAATTTCTCCCGGGAAAATAAGTATACCGTCAACTGATGGAATAGGAAATGTAGCATTTTTTATTTTAATTGTTTATGCTAAAATCCAGAGTGCTCTATTTCCCATTCCTCATTAACTTGCATGTGGTTATTTGCCAAAATATTAAGCCAGTCTCCCATCTAGTTTTAGAAATTTCATAGTATAGCTATCACAATAAGAAAGATGGATAAACAAATAGATCGTGTTTGTGCTTACTCTTTCATATTGTTTATTCGTGCCAATTGAGGTTTACTGATCTTAGTATTTAATTTTAATTCATGTACCCTGAATTTTGGGCTTCTTTCCTAAAACACAAGCAAAAGAGGCAGAGTATAAATTCTCCAGAATTAGGGGGATGAAAATTGATTTTTAAAAAGCTACAATTTTTATTTATTTTTGCCTAAGCTGTTTTAATTCCCACTTAGCTTGTTTGCCACGCAGCTTTATAGTCATTGAACAGGTTGACTCCTTCAGTTTCATGGTTGTAAAATTTTATGTTTAGAGGAAAATTTAAATGAGAAATAATGTATATCACATTATCATTTCTATTAAGCCGTTTGCTAACACAATAATTAAAATAATTTCTGCCCAGTAGAGAAGTTACCGAAACTTTTTGTTTAGTGGGCCTCATTTATGATAACTAAGCAGTATCATGGAATGCTGTTTTAAATAACATCAGCTGTAACTAAGCTGTAATTAATCTTCAGACCTATTTAGAATTTTGTTTTTTGCTTTAAAATTTATTTCACATTTTATTTTTATTGCTTTTTGCTTTTTTTAATAGAAAACCCTTAACAGTGACGTATATGTATATATACACACATATATAATTTTATGAAACTTCTTTTTATCAATTACCTAAATGTTAAACGTGGCATAAGCAGAATACTTACTCTTGGTACATATTCACATACTTTAATCAGTTTCTTAGTTGTATTTTCTCCAATACCAGATACTCGCATTTTTCCAAAGAATGCAATTTTTTTCAATGTGGCCTTTCTTATTTTTAATTTGTTCATAAAATTTCCTGAAATCATCACAGTTTCACATAAATTTGAAATTACTGACAGCTTTAACGAATGCTTCTCTGAAGACTATAATGTTTTAAATGGAAAATTAAGTGGTGAGATACGTATTAAGCTCAAAACACACTCTGCTAAATAAAATATATTCTCCATTCTAATTTCTCTATATTGAAATGTACAAATTTTTCAGTTCAAATCTTTTCCTAGCTGTTGTATTTTTTTAAACCTCACTCAGTTATATTGTGCAACAAGTGTTTTTACAAAACAAAGCTCATTATATAAGTCTTGAAAATGTACGTTTATTTTGATGGTATCAATCAAGTTTAAATACTACAAAATTATGTCATCTCAATTTTAATCCATTTAGATACAAAATATAGTTTCATCCAATTAAAAGCAACAGCTCCATCAAAAGATTCCACAAGTTGAGATATTCCAAAGCACAATTCTAAGTTTCAAAAATTACGTCTTTTATAATGTCTGTGTTTTCATCATCGAGTACATTCAGTTCCTTGTTTGGTAGAGGTAAATTTGAATTTCTTTATATTTGCAAGTTCTGTAATAATTATAGCAATACCTGAAAGCTACAAAATTTGAAATCTATGACTTTAGAGTTCTAATGATTTTACATGAAAGGCTGTGAAAATTTAGAGGACTCATTTTAGTCCTCTAAATTAACTTGTGTAAGTCACTCAGGTTTATTTACAAAGTGATGTTTTATGCTTGGCAGTCTTTCAGGTTATGCCACAAATTTAAAGAACTCTGCATTATACAAAAAGAGTTCAGCCTACTTGCTATACTCTACTACAGGATAAGTCAGTCTCTATTTCACATATTTCAGATATACCTCACATGTAATTTTCTCCATTTACTACTGATTCTCAGAAGTGGCTTCTTGCACGTGGAAGGCAGCTGCAGCAAGCCAGGGCACACTGAACTGCTATGCCACGTGTCTAGCAGGATCAGCAGCCTTGAGAGTTTCTCTGGTTACTACCAAGCCCAGGATTTGGTATATATTATATGTATATGTATATGTATATGTATATGTATATGTATATGTATATGTATATGTATATGTATATGTATGTATATGTGTATGTGTGTATATGTATATGTTTATGTATCAACCACCCATATCAAGCTATATTTTATTTTTTCAACTAGCAGTCTGCATACTGTCCTTCAAAGGATAGTTACTTTGAATCTGGAAAAGAGTTATTACTGGCAGCCTTTCAGATTTCCCCACAAATTTAAAGAACTCTGTTTATTTCATCTCATATACTATTTGAGGAGACCATGGCAGAAGCTGGAAATAACGAAGGTCCACCAAACCATTATTGTAATGCTACTATTAATAACATTGTTATGTTTACATAAATACACATTTTGTTAGTATGTTCACTGGACTTGATGTGGACCTAGACTATAGAAAAACTTTGATTGACATGGGAGGCATAATGATAGGAACGTCCAGCTGTGGCTACCCTCTTAAATACCCTTTTAAAAGAATGCTTATTTAAGCCTTACATTTTAAAAGTAATTGTTGCCAGCTGTATTCATTCCTGTTCTTGAAAACAAGCCTAAAAATAGCTGTTGCTTATAAAATGTGTAAGATATAGGCCTTTTCTTCAAAGAGTTAAACAAATCCCCAAATAAGATTTATTTTGCACAATTACCAGTGAAGGGAAATAAAGACTCATTGGCTATGGTTATTAGGTGGCTAGTTACAACGCTTCACCTTTACCCTTCACTTTTTCCCATGCTCCTAGATAGAGCAAAAGCTCTTAGTAGACCCCAAAATTACACCAACAGTACACATGACAGCATGGATCTGAAATTCATATTCTCTTTCACCTCAAATATGCAGCAAGAAATTTAAAGAAGCAAATTAGGATTATCTAACATGTCCCTCTATTGGATTCCCAGAACCACTTTTTCCTACCTTTTCTTCTATGAGTCTATATGTAGTTTAAATGACCTCCCTACACCAACCACGAAGTCACCTTTTCATCAAATCTCACCCTTTCATCAAATCTCAGATGCCAATAAATACCCTCCATGAAGTATTCTTTGAACTATATTTTAAATATCCAAGAACTGATGAAACTGGCTTAGTAATAACTCATATCCCCGAGTCCTGTGTCAGTCATATGGTCACACGCAATAATAGCAATAATTACATGTAATTATATTAATTTGAAAATAATTCAGTGTCATATGTGAAGGTAAACTTTCTCAATTATGTCCCCTATGCATCCTTTGACTGGATTTTGGTGAATCATTAGATAAATTAATCACTTGCCTTGCTGCAGATAATTTATTCCTTTGACAGATTCCCAAGTAAATGAGAGATACTATTTCACTTATTGTCCTCAGACTCTCTGTTTTGTAGAACCACATAGTATTTTTTCTTTGTCCAAGTGTCTGTTACTTGCTAAACTAGTATGCCTTGGCATTGGTAACGTCGGGAAGATAGATTGTATTAGTTTGGAAGTTTAATATTACGTACTAGAAAGCATAAAAATAAATTAAACAAAGAGTCTGTGGGAGTAACACATCTTATAACATCCTAAGGCCACAGAGGCTCTTGTAAATACCACACTTCCTGTCCTACATACATTTCCAGGGAACTGTAGTGATGATGTGGGCAGGGACAGCTGCGTACCATAGTTGAGCCAAGAAGCCTATGGCTTGGTGGTTACTACTCAGAAAGTTTTTTGTTTTTTCTAAGTTAGGTGGTAAAAGGCCACCAAAAGGTAATTCAAAATATCCTGACTAGTCAGTGTATCTTACCTAGGTGCCTATATTTCTTGTTAGTGCTCTCCAGTCAGCTTAATATATGATCATTCCTTTGGAATGTTAATATATATTTCTATTTTCATTTAATACTGATTAAATCCCTTCTGTTTTTGAAAAGTATTCTGTCAGAAAGATGTAACTGGAATCACAAGTCTAGACTAAATTGGTTGAGGAACACTGTATGCCAAGTGGTTTTTGTTTTGTTTTGAGACAGGGTCTTGCTCTGTCACCCAGGCTGAAGTTTAGTGGCACAATCTCGGTTTACTGCTACCTCCCACCTCAGCCTCCAGAGTAGCTGGGACCACAGGCATGTGCCACCAAGCCTGGCTAATCTTCATATTTTTAGTAGAGACTGGGTTTTGCCATGTTGCCTAGGCTGGTCTTGAACTCCTGGACTCAAGGGATCCACTGCCTCAGTCTCCCAAAGTGCTGAGATTACAGGCATGAGCCAGTGCACCAAGCCCCAAGTGTTTTAACTGTGAAGCACAGGGCCCTGTCAGAGATTATTGCTGTTCTACAAACATACTGAAAATACCAACCTACAGTTATTTTCTACGTACATGTGTAGATTTCCACACTCTTGGAAAAGGAAGCCATGATTTTATGCCTTTTTTCCAACTCGCTGTGTGTGGTAGCTAGACTCCAAAGATACCCCCAGTGAGCCATGCCTCCTGGAATTCATGTCCTTAAGCCGTCAACTTCATATTGTATCTGGTCTTGCATTAACCATTGGAATGTGGCAGAAGTAACAGTGTGCCAGTTCCAGGTCTAATTTTGAAGAGGACTAGTAGCTTCTGCATCCTACTTTGGAATGCTCACTTGTAGGAATCACCATTAACAAAATTTGGCTACCCTGCTGAAGAGGCTATGC
This sequence comes from Homo sapiens, assembly GCF_000001405.40. Taxonomy (NCBI): domain Eukaryota; kingdom Metazoa; phylum Chordata; class Mammalia; order Primates; family Hominidae; genus Homo; species Homo sapiens. The sequence continues at coordinate 124,718,324 of NC_000004.12, forward strand.
AGAGGGACCACACAAGGAAGCCACGGGGAGAGGCCCTGAGATCACATGGAGAGATGGAGAGGCCCAGCCTAGCATCCCAGTGGGCAGGGTGATGGAGGGGGACTCTTCTGATGACTCTAGCCCCAGGCAACATCTAGCCAACTTCTGCAAATGATATAGCTCTGGAGAAATGAATCAATATGCCCTTGTTTATACCATCCTGGTTTTATGTGATACATAGATTATCCATTTGCAAAATAATTAGAGAAACAAGATAAAGGTTAAATGAATTTTTAAGTCTTATAGACTGAATGAGAATACATGCTTATTTCCAAGTGTCTTTTCTCTCTATTACATACTCCTTATCTCATTAGAAACCTTTCATCAACAAGGAAGCCTCTGATTCTAGCCTATTAGACAGCCATTTATTATTTCCAAACATACAAAAAGCATCTGGCTCCAGCATAATGCTTCATAATACATGAGAGTCAGAAGCTCCCCTCTCAATTCATCTGCAAAGTTTTATATAAAAATGGAATGGTGGCCGGGCGCAGTGGCTCACGTCTGTAATCCCAGCACTTTGGGAGGCCGAGGCGGGCGGATCATGAGGTCAGGAGATCGAGACCATCCTGGCTAACACGGTGAAACCCCGTCTCTACTGAAAATACAAAAAAAATTAGCCGAGCGTGGTGGCAGGCGCCTGTAGTCCCAGTTACAGGCGCTGGGTGGCTGAGGCAGAAGAATGGCATGAACCTGGGAGGTGGAGCTTGCAGTGAGTGGAGATTGCACCACTGCACTCCAGCCTGGGCAACAGAGTGAGACTCCGTCTCAAAAAAAAAAAAAAAAAAAAAAGGGAATGGTATGCTGGGGAGGGGAGGGGAGGATAACGCAATCTAAATCAGAAGCACATTATCTCAGTAATGCTATGTAAGTTCTGAATGCCTAGAGTTTGTAACTGATTCAAAATTTAAAAAGGAGGAAAAACATTGTTTCTCCAGCATTTACCTTAAGGAAAAGCTTTTGTTTAATTTCTTTTTTTTTCATGGAGGATTGTATATTTGCTCATTATTGTCTATATATTTATATTCTATATTTGGATATTATTAAGAAAATTGTACCCAGCTAAAATGTAAATAATTCAGGTGAACAAACGCATTAATATTTTACTCAAGAGTCCATGTTTATTGCTACAGTATTTAAACATGGAGATAAAGTGGTTTAATAGAACTCAGGGATCATAATTTTATGTGAGAGTCCCACCAAATTTATTGTTACAATCTCAAAAAGCTAATAAGAAAAGTAAATTATTTGCAGCCAAATCAAGTGGATTAAGACCCCAAGGAGGTGGGAAGCAAAGAAATCAACCTCACACTTAGAGACATACACTTTAAAAGAGAGAGGGACTCTTTTTTTCTAAGAGACCTCATGGAAGAAAGAAAAGGGTATATGATCTGGAGATGTTTGAGAGAGAGAATACATCTGAGAAACAGCTTGTCTGTAAGGTGGAACCATCATTTGAGCATTAAAGGTTTTATGGTTTAAGACAGTGTAGTCTTGGTCAGGGACACCACGTGTAGCTAGCTGCACAGCTTCAGGCGACACCATTCAAATGGACTATGATGTGGTTCCCATGGACTAGAGTACATCCAGGTTGTGAATGCAGTTAAAGAGCATGTTTCAGTATTTGTACAAAAGCCAAATTTAATGAGTTGATACGTAAAAGTTTATTTCTCTTGTCTAATAAAAAGCCCATAATTTATATGGTAGCTCTAAGATGCCATCAGGAACTGCCCTTCTTTCTCTTCTGCCATCTTGAGTAACTTTCATCTTCATTTTCACTTCAGTCTTTGGTAAGATAGCCAACTTCTTCCATGTTGCCTAGGGCTTTCTCTGTTTTAAAATGAAAGGTCACATGTCTAGGAAAACTCCGCAGTCCCTGGTTTTACCAGGAGGGTTGGTCACCCTACAAGGTCTCAAAATGGCATTCTACCACCAGCTCCTCTTATCCATTAGAAACAGAAGATGAGGGAAGAAGTAGTGAATAAGTGGTAACTGGCACCTATATCAGGAAAATAAAACTTTTTGAATAATTGTCAGCACATTTGTACTTACATCTAATTTACCAGAACTACACAAGGTAGGTAGGGAAGTAGAATATATTAGCTAGACACATTGCTGCTCTAAAAAAAAATCAGAGTTCTATTAATATTGGAAAGAATTAGATAAATTATATTAGGAAGAAATTAGAAGTGTCTGCATAACTTTGAGGCTTTCTATAGTATTCTCAGTATCTCTGGAACACAGTGCAAACAATAAAGGCAAACTGGGGCTGGGGATTGTCAAAAAAAGAACACCAGAAGGCCAAGGAAACATTATTTAGGGATATGCATATCATTATTGAAATGATTCATTATGCAATACATACTGGAGAGAAATCAGATAAAACTAGGAATAGTGTTACCTATTGAGAAAATGGTAGAAGGGTTAAGAATTTAGAATAAAATATCAAGATTTCTTTTAGCTCCTGGGGAAAATACCTATATGAGATTTATTTCACTTCATTGGAAACAGATTGCCTTCAACTTAATATTTACCAAGTAGTTCTCTTTTGTTCATCTTAACATCCTAAACTTTAAGGAGGAAACTTTATGTAAAACTTATATTAAAATGATATTTCTGTTACACTGATAACAAATGAACAAAGAAATTAACAATGAAAAGGAAAATCAAATAGAAAAAGAGGTAGTGATTTGATAACTGAAGGATTTTTTAAAATTTATTTCAGTGAATATGTGTGTGGAAAGTTTAGCTAAGCATCTCAATGTCCCATGACAGTTTGAATAGATTATGAATCAAAAAGGAAAGCCCTTCATCTGCAAGTCATAAGTGACAACTGAATTGAAAACATCACCTTGTACTTAAATTAGACCACACTTGAATTAGTATTATATGTGTTTATTCTGACTGGGAATAAATAGTGCAGTAAGAATCCCTATGAAAGACATAATGTTTATATGTGAATGTTCCAATTTCTCCTAGTTATAGTTAATGGGATTAAAATACAATTTAATCCAATCCAGTGATATTTAAATAAATATACTTTAGAGAATTAGTAAAATATAATAGGTCTGGAATTATTCAAATTTTTCTTTGTGTCTACAAATAAATGAGAATGAAGTGACAGACTTAATAGACTAAGATTGTGAACATGCTGATAGTAGGAATTTTCAAATGTCATGGTGAAATATAAAACAACCTTTTGGAAAGAAATAACATAAATTTGATTTTAAGGTGTGGACCTCATTTTGATTAAATACTATTAAATATTAATTATTATTATTATTATTTGAGAAGGAGTCTCACTCTGTCGCCCAGGCTGGAGTGCAGTAGTGTGATCTTTGCTCACTGCAACTTCCACCTCCTGGGTTCAAGAAATTCTCCCACCTCAGCCTCCTGAGAGCTGGGATTACAGGCACGCACCATCATGCCTGGCTAATTTTTTCTGTATTTTTAGTAGAGATGGGGTTTCACTATGTTGGCCAGGCCGCTCTCAAAGTCCTAACCTCAGGTGATCTGCCCACCTCAGCCTCCCAAAGTGCTGGGATTACAGGCGTGAGCCACCACACCCAGCCTAAATATTAATTATTTCTTTCAATACTATTATACTAAGGATCTGATACAGGGTGAAAAAAAACATATAGAGTAGATGATATAGATATATCGTAATTATTTTTGAGTCAGGACATGGTGAACATAAAATGATTAATTTCTCAGAGAAAGAATCCTCCCTTATAACATTTAAAAGTGCAAATTGGAGATTCTATATATTTATATAAAGATGGTTGATATGTTTTGGATATTTGTCCCACCCAAATCTCATGTAATACCCAGTATTGGAGGTGGGGCCTAGTAGGAGGTGTCTGAGTCATGAGGGTGAATTCCTCATGACTTGTTTGTGCCCCATGGCTTGCTTGTGCTATTTTTGCTACAGTGAGTGAGTTCTCATGAGATCTGGTTGTTTAAGAGTATATGGCACCTCCCCCAACCCTCAGTCTTCCTCTTGCTCTCACCATGTGCACTTTCCACCCATGGCTTCTTCTCAACATGGTGCTTTCAGAGTTCCCTGAGAGTTTAGGAAGGATGCATAAATCCTCTTGAGAACTAGATTCTGGAACTCAGTGTTACTTCTGCCAGAGAAATTCACAAGGACAGCCTAGATTTAAGAGGTGGGGGAATAGATTTCACCTCTTTATGGGATAAGGTACAAAACATTATGATCATACTTGTAAAGTAACAGAAATGGAAACCCTTAATAATTTGATAAACAATATAAAAGCTTCACCAGAAAAAGCAAAAAGCACACATACACAAATTCTATGTTAATTTTAAAGGAATGATGCCCTTCTATGTCATAGGACCCCAGATCTTAAAACTTTGATTTAACCAGCTGAAATAACTCAGAAACAGAAAATAAAGTATGGCATGTTCTCACTTATAAGTGGGAACTAAACAATGGGTATGCATGAACATACAGAGGGAAGTAATAGACACTGGAGATTCCAAAAGGGAAAAGCATCGGAGACGGATGAGGTCTGAAAAATTAGCTACTAAGTGTAATGTTCACTGTTTCAGTGGTGGGTATACTAGAAGCCCAGTGCCCCCACTACACAATATATGCATGTAACAAAAACTGCACGTGTAACCCCTTGATCTATAAAAATTAAAAAAAAAGTCCTGCTGGTCGGTGCTCAGAAGGAAGTGAGGAATATATTATTGGAAACTGGAGGAAGGGAGATCCTTGCTATATAGTAGCAGAAAGCTTGGAAAAAATTGCTAAATGTAGACAGCAGACCTTATAAATGATGAACTTGGATATTGGGTTGAGGAGATTTCTAAGCAAAGTGTTGAAGGTGAAGCCTGGTTTCTTCTTTCTGCTTATAGTAAAATGTGAGAAGGCAGATAAACTGAGGAAAGTACTTTTCAATTCAAAGGAACCATACTTGATGATTTGGGAAATTCTCAGCCTATATGGATGGCAAAAGATGCAAAAATTAAGAGATTGCTTCTGAAAGTATGCCACAGAGAGAAACTCAGGATGTGACTGTACAACTTTTTGCCGCAACCTCAGAAAAATCAAAAGGGCAGAGTGTTAAATACAAGAGATTAAAGGTATTTATCATAGCTCTTCTCAATCAAACCAGAGAGCCTCTAGGAAGCTTATTGGCATCGTCCCTCAGCCATGTCAGCAGAAGCCAAAAATAGAGAACGAATTATCTCAGAAAAATCTGTGGATGACTTTTTGTCTAATGGAATGAACTGTGAAATCTACGAAAAGCCCACAAAGTAATTGGGAATATTTTATGAGAAGAACTCACAGCTGAGACTGAAAGGGACAGAGACAATATGAAGAAGAAGAAGACTCTCTTAACCCTGAATTTATCCAGGCAGGAAGAAGGGGCTATTAAAACTACTCATCAGCAACACATGCTACCTTTTATGAAAAAGAAAGGATGACTCAAAGCCAAGATCCAGAGGACACAGTGGAAATCTACAGAAGATATTCCCAGGCCTTGAAACCTAATGGAGTTTTCTCAGCTGGATTTAAAACTGCTTCAATTTTCCTCATTTTGGGAGCAGAATGTTTTTAACTGTGTTTTCTATTGCCATGTAACACATGATCAAAAATGCAGTGGCTGAGCAGAGGTACCTGAGACAGGCTCCAGTGTTCTCTTGTATCCAGTGTGGTATGAGTGAAAATCATGTGTTTGTTATATGCTTTGGAAGGTCTCACACATACGTGAGATCTAGTCATCTAGATTATGGTTTAAGTAGGATTAAGGAAGGAAAAGCAGTAACTTACATGGACCAACAACCAGAGAACCAATGAGAATATGGACATTTTTAGCAGAAACCAGTGTGACTATATGATAACAACCATTAATCAGACCATCCTCTTTCCATTTCCTGCTGTTTCTTACTCTACTATATTTGGGCACAGAGGAATCCCTTGGAACATAGATCTAATTTCAAGGATCAGTGGGAAGATAGACTCTGAATTGAGGAAACCCGGCATTGACTGAGGAAACCCAAAATTTTTTCTGAGGTTATCCTAAATTGACTGAGATTCTGAGATTAAGTTTCTAATATTCAGCAAAAGGGGAGCCAAAATAAAAAAAAGTTTGAATTACGGAAAAAGTATAATCACATTTCATGCACATTGAGTTGAAGACTAAATTTTTTTTACATGTTGAACTTCCAATGTGGGTCGTATAACATTTTATTTACTTTATTTGTTGGCAGTTCTGTCTTCTTCATGTAGATTGTAAACATTTGAAAGGTGGTAAATTGGTCTTACTCGTTTTGGTATTACCAATGACTGCGTGCTACTTGCTCACAAAGGTGCCCAAGTACATGTTGAATAATAAATACTTACCATCTTTGATTATTGTATCTTTGATACAACATCCTTGTGATTCTTTTATGAATAAAAAAGGTATTTCTGAGTGGTCACTATAATGGTTTAAAAATATAAACTTTTTCTCGTTTAAAATTCATTTATTTCTTCTTTTTTGATTGTATTGGTAATACGAAGAAAAGGAAAGTAAAAGAATAAATAGGAAAAAGTAATTATATGTTTTACTGACATGGAAATTGGATTCTAATCTTCAGTACCCATATATACACATTTAAAGTAAACAGTGAGTCACTGTTTTTGTGAGTGTACTATTAGCCTTTGAGAGTTAATTAATAGAGATGTAAGCTAACATTAGCTAAATGAAAAAGAAAAAAGATAATGATAAACATATTTAGATCATTTCATGCAATAAGAATGAGTTAACAGAAAGGTCCAAGGGATCTTGTTCTAATTCTATTATGTATACTTTAATATTTCTATAGGGTATATTTAAAAATTCAAATGCCAAACAGTATAAGATAAGAAAGAGCAATTATATATAGGTGCTTGATTATGAAATTGCCCTAAAACAATTCCTTTATCATTTATGTAGATTTGGGGGCAAGAGATATTAGTTATAATTGAGAGGTATTTAGCAATGTGTGCTTGCATGTGTGTGCATGCTTGTACCCATATATATCCACATAAATATTAAATCTCTTAAACTTTAAATTGAGAAATATGAATTTATAAAACCTGAAATCAACCAGCATCCAACAACATACCTGTAATTGTCTACCTCAATATTATTAAACTTTGTGAGAGAATACAATATTAATTAAAAACACACTCCCAGACTTGACGTATATATACTGGATTTGGAAAAAGAAAACAATACTGATAAAATAACTGAAGAATATTTATAGAATATGCCACAAAGTGAAGTCAGCCTCTACATTTTAGACCCTGTTCTGTGATTTGCAAGTTGACATCAAGCCAAATATGTTACCACCTGTTGCATTCAATTTAACTTTATAAGTTCAACATGATCATAGACGATATTATACTAACAAGAAACAGCTGACTATATATTTTTTAACTATTTAAAATACAATAATCAGGAACTATTTTACTTTAACACTGAGTGGTATATTTTCTAAGACCTCCCGCTTAGATGGCTTCTTTTGACTGGACAAAGGGTGGGCAGCTGACTCAAGTCAGAGGATTTATTGATTGATCGGGCAGCCTATAGGGTGAAGAGGCCTGAAAAGTTCTGCAAAAACTGGGATGAATTGGACCAATAACATTGTACACTATGGAGCAGATATTAGTATCCACAGAGAAAATTAGGCAGGTAACAGCAGGAGCTAGAAATGAAAGGATGCAGATACCATGAATTCCTGGATCATAATGGGTCATGTTAAAGCAGAAGTTATGAGAACACAGAAATTATCAATAAGCAGGACAGCTAAGGTAATAAAAAATAAGAAAATTATAAAATCAGTTTGTAAGAGAAACCAAAAAATAAAGACTCCAAAAAGGAGGCACAGGAATGAAACTAGTGGGATCATGTTCATTGAAGAATCATGAATTTTTGCTTCTGATGTCCCTAGTGCTGCCTTGAATCTAGTTCCAACCCCACACGTCCTGATTCTACTCGGGATCTTACTCAGCTATTTCTGTATGTCTCATCTCTCTCATTGAGCCTTATGTTAAATCTCTGTTACTTGAGATTGTTTAAATGACTTTGTTCCTTGCAGCCAAAAGAGCCTGATCAAACATTATGTTTTAGGTGCTTGGGATACAAAGAATCTCTGTACCTACAGAGTTTAGTCACCTGAAATAAGGAAAACATTATAAATAGATGATTCAGAATATATATGATAAATACTGAATCATTATTCCCGCAATGGATATCATATTTTTTTCTGATTTTCATAATCCCACAAACATATAAATTCAGGCCTAAACTCTTCTTTGACTTTTGTTTCTTTTTTGCAAAAGTTGTTGGACAACACCATTTGAATGACCAGTGAAATTCATCCATGGCTTATCTCATTATTTTCAACAAAAAAACTTTCTGTCCTTCTAATTTTAGTTAATGTCACTAGGATACATCCAGTAATATTGGTTTGACACCATCGTGTCTTTTTTTATTTCATTTCTGTCAATTCTAACAATCTAACAAGACCCATAAATTGGTCTTCCTCTTTTCTCTTTCCTATACTAGCTAGAGTCCCTTAAATGGTTTCTTTGTAAACCAGCTTCAAAATTAGTGTTAGTAAGAACAGCTCTGATAGGTCATTCATCCCCCCTTCTCAGAAACTCTCAGTAGATTCTTATTGCTACTAAGTCAAATCCTGATTCTCTGACCTCTTTCAAGATCAAATTTGGTTTCCAGTACTAATACTCATCATTACTCTATATATAATTTCCACTTTGGTGAAACTGGGTAAGCACTAGATGTTTCTATGTGGTTCGCCTTCCCTGCATGTGCCCATTCTCTTCCCTCTATTAGCATGTCCTTCCCACATTTTTTTTCTTTTTTTTTTTTTTAACCTATCAAAGTTCTGTTTCTTCTTTCTATCTTTCAGGTATAATTTAAATCCCATTTTTTAAAAAGTGTATTTTCTTAAACTTGTCACCAAATAAATTCTTTCTTACTGAATTCTCATAGCAATTGGTTTGGACATCTCTAATGATAAATACTGATTATTTATGTAACTTATTTCCACTCTCATACTCAATAAACTTTTTAAAAGCAGGGACCATACATATTCATTATTGTATTATCCACCCCTATCCGTTACGCTGCTTCGGCATTGCTATTACTCAGGGACTGTTGTTGAATAAATAAATGTACTATGACTAACGCAGGGAACCACAGAACTACTTTTATAAAAAGCAACCTCATTTAATATAGCCACAACATGATATTTTCATTTTAATTCAAATGAACATATCTTTCCATCCCACACAAATCTGTTCCTCCTCCTGGTTCCCTCTTACTGTTTGGCTACATTATCTACTTGGTTGCCCAAGTCAAAAACCTAGGATTCACTATACACATTTTTTTTCTCTTCGTAATAAACTATATATTTTTCCTACTAAATATATTTTATATCTGTCCTTACTTCACTTTCTCATCATTACTATTTAGTTAAGATTTTCATTATCTCTCTTTTCTGGTACTCCTGCTTCAGTTTCAACCATCTTCTACACTATTGCAGAGCAATCTATCTTCCATGCTACTGCCAAAATGATCTTTTGAATACAAAGAAGTATGAACATCATTCTTCTTTGTTAAATTTTTTTCTCATTGACTGCCCTTAATCTATGTTAGAGCTAATATCTTGCATATGGCCTTTTGTGATGTGTCACCTAACTAGCAGTCCAAGTTATCTCTTGATCTTTTTCCCATATACACTATATGCATAATAAATTACTTGTGTACATTATACTTTCATACTTTTAAAGCATTCTGTGTAGGGACAAGGATTATTTTCTTTAAACACTTATACCCTCAGAATTCAGTGGAGTGCATTTCACCATCATTTAAAAGGCACATGGTAAATTCTTTTGAAATAATGAATTAATAAATATAAATTATAGGAAAGGGAATTCTTATATTTCTTAAATCTTAAATCATTCTATATTTCATTGTCAGTAATTATCAATCTTTTAAGGAGTAAAAGAAACATTAAGCATTATCTTTGTTCATTGCAAAGGAATGGCCATAAATAAAACTTATGACTTGAGGCAGCAATAACGTAGCCAGAATTTTTATTTCCTTTAGTATTAAAAAGTAAAATGAGTAACCAACACTATAAATAGAATGCTAGATTATGCTTGAATTTACTATTTCACAAAATTTAAAAACACATACAACATTCTGTATTTTAGAAATGTGACAACATAAAACATGTTTATGGAATTTTTCGATGATGAGGATAATTGAACTGGCTTTTTCAGAAATTATTATTATCACTACTTTGGTCATCCTACTGCCCTTAAAACCTATATTATGTTAAAGAGAAAGGATGAAGAATTGTCTCTCCTTGGGAAGATACACAAATTCTTATGTCTTTGGCAAAAAATATATCACAATAATAAGAAATATTATACTTCAATAAAAAGTAAATATATTTTATACCACAACAGTTGGCATAAAATTGGGCAGTATTCTCTCTGTGGGACTCACCTTATAGATGAGAAACAATAAAGTAATTTTAGAGGATTAACAAGCTCCATAAATCTTACTCTTCTCAAGTTAGCAGCTTTATTTCTCTAGCTGAATTTAACTTCATTTTACATTCTATTTTATAGATGTAAGTCAGAGTTTTAAATATAATTAATATAAATTAACATTTAAAGATATATTAATGTATTAATTATCCAGAGCTAAGACAGGTTATTTGGTATCCCAGTATTTTTCCTACACCAAAACTGTGTCAAGAACACTACAATAAAAAATGAACAATAGAATTTTTAATGAAAGAAAGTACCTTGGATCCTAATATGTGAAAAGAAAGGCTACAATATAGTACACTGTAAAATATTCACTTTATCCTGAAATGATCATAAAATAATATGCTCAATTGATTCAGATGTTTGTTTTATAGCTTTACAAATCAAATTTCATCATTTATTAATACGAAAATCTAATTATTGGGCTTTTACTGCTAAATATTATTATAGATCCTAAAAGTACATTGTTTTAGTCAATTCTCATAACTCTGTAAAGTATAAACTATTTTCAGTACTTTACCAAAGAGAAAACTGAGACATGGATTGGTTAAGAGACTTTCCCATAGCCATGCAAGGTGGTAGTAGATTTAAAACCAAACTTTCTGAATCCAATCTAGGTGTTTTATTGCTCAGTTATACTAGCCTATATATGATTTTTGTTTACATCAACATTGGAAGGTGCTCAAGAGGAGACATATATAATAACCTGGTAGTGATTGTGTAGAGAGGAGTATACATTAGCTTGGATGTAGGATTAAATACAGTTTAAGAGTGGTACTATCTTTATCAGTGCATGAGGCTATCTCTACCTTCATTGTCACCATCTTCTCAACTGAACAACTACTCTAACTGCTTACCTGCTCTCCCTTATTTCACCTTGTACTCCCTCCACTCTATTCTCTGCACCTTAGTTAGAGAGATTTTCCCAAATCTGTGTAACTTTTCCGTTAAAAATCTGAAATGGACAATAATACTTAGAATGATTTACATTCCCAGCATAGGCTAGCTCCTGTCTGTCATTCCATCCTCCCCCTGCACTACTGTCGTTCTTTGAGCCATACTTTCAGGGCCATAGCCATAGGCCATATAAGGTAGCCAAAAAGTAACCCCAGAGGTTCCATTCATGCAGTCTACAAAGGAGTTGTTTATGGTGCACTACGATCCCTTCTGTCAAAGGACCTATTCAAAACTTATTTTCTTTGCATGGATGACTTTCTCCTGCACTCCTGCTCATCCCTCATATCTCAGTTCTTTGCTCATCTTCCAAGGTCAAACTTCTCTGAGGCAGAAGTTTAGAACATGTTCTTTTCCTCTAGAATGTAATTATAGAGTCAATAATTTAATTTTATATATATATATATATATATTTTTTTTTTTTTTTTTTTAGAGACGGAGTCTCGCTCTGTCCCTCTGTCGCCAGGCTGGTGTGCAGTGGCACGATCTCGGCTCACTGCAACCTCAGCCTCCCGGGTTGAAGTGATTCTCCTGCCGCAACCTCCCCAGTAGCTAGGATTACAGGCACGTGACACCATGCCTGGCTAATTTTTTGTATTTCTAGTACAGACGGGGTTTCACTGTGTTAGCTAGGATGGTCTTGATCTCCTGACCTCAGGTGATCCACCCACCTTGGCCTCCCAAAGTTCTGGGATTACAGGCGTGAGCCACTGCGCCCCATCTTAATTATATGATTAACATAATTCTATGTTGGACTCTTGAAGACATGTTCCCATTTGCCATCATTTTATCCACTATACCTAGCAGTACAGCACATAGTAGGTGCTCAATAAATATCTTGACTAAATGAAAGTATTACATGAACTTCTGTTCCCTCCTCTATAAGTTACAGAGAACATTTCAAAGTATCCTTTGAAGAGGACTATAACACAAAATGTAGTAAAAGAGATAAATTGGCTAGAATAACACATATCTTAAATATATAGTATTTTAAAAAATGAAACTAGATTTTCTAAAATGTCTCAAAATTATTTTCATCTAATACCATCATTTAAAATTTTTACTTAAAAAGTATAAAAACAATGTTTTCAGAAGATTTGGAAAGAGTGATAATAGCATTCAAAACCACTAAACATTACTATAGAAACCCTTGTCTAACAAATTTGATAATCCATGTTGATAAAAATAAGATATTTTTGATAAAAAAAGTAATGTTTTTCCCTAAACTACCTTCTCATTTAAACCCTAACCCAGGGGAAAAATTCAAATGATTAAACTACCTATAAAATACAGACATTGACTAGTCACAATTGATGCTGGCATGTCCATAAAGAAGGGAAACTGAAAATAATTGCTTCAAATATACCCACATGTGTTCATTGATTATCAGTCCTTCCTGTATTTCATATCTCCTTGGTCAAAATATGACATCTTGAAATAGTTTTTTGACATCTGTATTCTTTAATTAATACACTCAGTGAACATTAATTAGGTGAGGTATTGTGCTAGTGTTACAATGGTAAACAAAACCAGGTATAATTTTTGTCTTTCTGGAGTTTGTAGTACTCAGGCACAGTGGGTACATTGGCACTTCTATGACTCCCTGAGTAGGCGTGGTATTCTAGAGGCCACCCCAACTATTCTTTCTACCTGCCCATCCAGGAAAGATTCTATTTAGAGATCAAGGTGCGCTCTCTCTCTCTCTCTGTGTGTGTGTGTGTGTGTGTGTGTGTGTGTGTGTGTGTCTTGCTGGTTCTCACTTTCTCATGCTGTCTTACACTTACTACCACTTCTACCGTAATCACTTTCCCAATGGACTGCTAAATATGTACACCCTAAAACACACATTCAGAGTAAGGATAGGGGGCCCCAGTTCAATCTGAGGTGAAGTTATGTTCTCCTCTTAAGGCTTTCCTAAACAATCACAAATAGGTTGTCATATTATGCTTTTATGGATTAATACAATTAGTTTTCATTTGAATATTCTTGTGAGTATACTGCATGTGTCAGAACTTGAAGAGGGAATGAGATGAGAGACATGCCAAATCTTTAAAGATTTTAGGATATATTCCCAGGAGTAGAATTCCTGGGTCAAAGAGTTTGCCTCTTTTGGAGCCACACTTTTGAATCCGTCTCTGTATTCCCATTTCTTCTACTCTATTATTCCTCCATTTATTTCAATTTGAGTTTCTCCCTTACTGAAATAGCTCTCATTAAGATTATCAATGACTTTTTAATTGCAAATTTAACAGTTGATATTCAAGTGTAAAATGAGATAAAATGACTCACTCTCAGTGATAGAAATTCAAAGTTTTTATACTACTACTCATGACACTTCAAAATTATGCCCCAAACTATTTTTTGCTTAAAATATTTTTCACTCTTATTAGTTTATTACTTCATGCTCCTTCCTTATAAATTAATGAGCTAGTTTTATACTTCACAGAAAAACTACAAGCCATTAGATAGACATCACTCAATTCTCTTTGTACTCTTCCCTGCACCACCACTTCCTCTACAAATTCATGTACCAGTGCGTCCGGGTTTATCTTCATCCCACTATACAATGGAAGTGGTGTAAAGCCAGTTCTTCCACAGTCTTTTCTAGAACTTTACTACATTATTTACAAACTTTCAGCCACGTAACTCCAACATTTCTCTCTCCAGTACATTCCAGCCTGTCAGAAATAAGAGGTGGCTAAGATACACTGAAGCTCTTTTAAAGTCCTCCTAGATAGTAGGTATGGGGAAGGCATAGGGTGGGGAGACCTTTGGTTTACCAATATAGTGAGCACATGTAGGTTGAGCCTCTCCTATCATCTGATATTGTCCTTGGGTTCTACTTGAGATTAATTCAAACACCAATCAAATCAAGGTTGAGGATCCCTCTCTGATATGGTTTGGCTCTGTTTCCCCACCCAAATCTCATCTCAAATTGTAATCCCCACACTTCCAGGGAGGGACCTGGTGGGAGGTGATTGGATCATGTGGGCAGTTTCCCCCATGCTGTTCTTGTGATAGTGAATGAGTTCTCATGAGATCTGATGGTTTAAAAGCATGGCAATTTCCCTTTTGCGCTCTCTCTCTCTCTCTCTCTCTCTCTCTGTGGCTCTCTCTCTCTCCTGCCTCGCTTCTCCTTCACCTTCTGCCATAATTCTAAGTTTCCTGAGGCTTCCCAAGCCATGGGGAACTGTGAGTCAACTAAATCGCTTTTATTTATAAATTACCCGGTCCTGGATATTTCTTTATAGCAGTGTAAAAATGGTCTAATACACTGCCATAGAAAAGATATGATAGTTTAGTTTTTCTGGGGAAGTAACTTAGAATTCTAAACTTCCAAGGCAGAGATGTCAGAACAATTGCTCTCTACTTATTTGTAAAAGCCTGTCAATTCTTACTTTACTTGTATGTGTGTCAGCTTCTCTCTGCTAAGGAAGAAGAAACCTTAATAATCATCAAAGGTATCTTCAAAATCTGCAGTGTAAGAGATACCAGTAATGGAACTCATCTATAACTATAATTTTATATGGTGATTCTAACAAGGTCCTTACCGTGGTTTTAAAAACATGTTCAAATAAACTGGTTTTGAAAGAAATCACAATAAATCACCTATTTTAAGGAACCTATCCATGTGAATACATATTGTAAAAAGAAATTCATTTATTTCACAAAGACATGACTTATAGAAATTTGTTCTATCATTTTTCATAATTAATATTATTCAGGGAGTAATGGTTTTAGCAGGAACAAAGAGCCAATGCTTTTGTCTGTCTTTGGTGATATTTAATACTGAATTTCTGATTACTAGTTTGTAAATTCCAGTGCACAAAGTTTCCATCCTGCTAGACTGTACAGGAGACAGTGATGCATAATAAGTCAGCACTGGATTCCTCAGGGCAGAGACCTCTTGGACATATCACTGTGTTAATTGCTCTGAGCCTGTAATCCCAGCACTTTGGCAGGCCAAGGCGGGAGGATCACAAGGTCAGGAGATCGAGGGCTTCCTGGCTAACACAGTTAAACTCCATCTCTACTAAAAATACAAAAAATTAGCCGGGTGTGGTGGCGGACACCTGTAGTCCCAGCTACTCAGGAGGCTGAAGCAGGAGAATCGCTTGAACCTGGGAAGCCTAGGTTGCAGGGAGCCAAGATCGCGCCAGTGCACTCCAGCTTGAGCAACAAAGTGAGACTCCATCTCAAAAAAAAAAAAGATTTTTTATGAATCTTTATAAAAACTCCCATCTAGCTAATGGGATGGTGGACTCAGTGAACTGTGTTGACTCAGAAGAAATTAAAATCTAGTAATTCTAATGGATTGAACAAAGCCAGGACACACAGCTTGTAACAACTCTTTCAGTGCCCATTTCTTATGGCGCTAAGCTTTGTTGTGACAGTTTTGCACAGAGCACATGCAAAAAAAAAATGCCATTACATATTTTATTAAGAAATGTGTGTTGGTACTGTGTAAAAAGAAGAAAAGAACCTCTCAATACTTTATAAGAACATAAAGCAATAACCCAGATGTACTTTCTTTTTTAAGCTCACCATGTGGCAGAAATGGCAAAATATGCTTGGTGAGCGACTGGAGTTCTCAGTATTATAAATGATTATCATTTTACAGTTCCCTTTAATGTGGCAGATGCATTTTATTAAAATCAGTGGATTAGAAAATAAAACAATGACAGTTACTCTTCAAGGGGAAGGCTCTGGATAAGAAAATTTTATAAAAGCCCAGTTTGCTTTCAGCTACAACCACGTTTTAGAAATAGAAAGTTTGTGGCTAAATCCATGTGGCCTTTTATTGTCTTTGACTTCCGTGGAAGTTTTCTGCCTTGCCTTGCCTTTTTTTTTTTTTTTTTTTTTTTTATTGACATGGAGTCTCTCTCTGTCACCCAGGCTGGAGTGCAGTGGCATGATCTTGGCTCACTGCAACCTCCACCTCCTGGGTTGAAGGAATTCTTGTGCCTCAGCCTCCTGAGTAGCTGGGATTACAGGCATCCACCACCAAGCCTGGCTAATTTTTGTACTTTTAGTAGAGACGGGGCTTCACCATGTTGGCCTGGCTGGTCCCAAACTGCTGACCTCAAGTGATCTGCCTGCCTTGGTTTCCCAAAGTGTTGGGATTACAGGCATGAGCCACTGCGTCTGACCCCGACTTTACTTTTCCTTCAGGAAAATAAAGATTAAACATTTTTATTCTTTTTGTGTTTGAATTCCTTTTTTTCCATATAGTCAATATTCTTGTTTCCTAAAGAAGGAAACAAGTTGAATGTGGTCCACACACTATACACACAACTGAAATTTAAAAGCACATTTAAAATGATATCATCCATCAACTCTTAGTAAAGCTACTCAGAGATAGACATGATGTGGTCTCCTTTGGTCCTCATGCCTGATATCGTTTGGCTCTGTGTCCTCCCCACCCAAAACTCATCTCCAATTGTAATCCCCATGTGTCCAGGGAGGGACCTGGCGGGAGGTGATTAAATCATGGGGGTGGTTTCCCACATGCTGTTCTTGTGATAGTGAGTGAGTTCTCATGAGATCTGATGGTTTAAAAGTGTGTGGTGGTTCCCTGCTCATGCCCTCTCTCTCTCCTTTGCATCCCCTTCACCTTTTGCCATGATTTTAAGTTTCCTGAGACCGCCCTAGCCATGGGAAACTGTGAGTCAGTTAAATCTTTTTTTAAAATTTAAATTTTTTTTTTTTATTTTATAAATTGCCCAGTCTTAGGTAGTTCTTTATGGGAATACAATGCCTGTCCTTCCTCTTGTCCCAAGCAACTTCCTAGTGCTCTCTGATGTCCACACTCTTATCTTCCTATTCTAGGCCAGACATAACTTTCAGCTAGTATTGTGACCTATTTGATTTATAATTAAGCTCTTCAAGGCCTGAATGTCAACAGGGAGAATAACATTTAAATAACTAAATATATTGGTGCTAATGTACTAAGAATCAAGGACCATATAACATCGCTGGGGTTACTACACTATAACTCTGTCTATCTAGTAAAATATGTTCATTTGAGTAGTGTCTTTTTGGACAAAAGGTGGAAAGTGAGATACATATTTATTGTGAGGTTTTGTGCTATCAATTTTGAAATTCTCTGTTTAAAAACATCAATATTAGCAGTCCAATATAAGGACTTTCCAGCCATCTAGGTTGTTGGGTGAGCGAAGGAGGACCAGGAAAGATAGTGGTGAAATTCCTTTGGAGCAGATGGAAACTATCAAAGAACACAATGTGAATTACTATCTATTTTGCCAAGAGAATGGTTAGTTTACTCCTTTACTTTGAAGCTTACTAGTGATTGCTTCAAATGCTGATGTACAGTCATTATTCTTTGTTGTAAATTGTCCACAGGTTATTCAATATAGGTTTGCATTTTATTTATTTTAAGATATCAATCACATCTTAAAATTATTATGAATACAGTTTCTGGTTTTAATATTTTATTTTTTATAGGAGATATGCCACTGAAGCCTCTTTTTACGCTTATATTTAGCTGTTTTAAACACATAGTAGACAAAAAGTAGAAGAGGCTGAAATTGTGGTTTGTGTTTTCTTACTTTTCCCCTAGTTCTTACTTCACTGCATGCACTTTTTATGTTTTCTGAGCAGTTTCTTAACATAGAGATACTTTATGCTGTAGAATAGTGATTGTATTAATTGTACCTGATTTTAGAATTTTATTGGAAATATTTTGATTATGTCACTGTTAAAGACCTTTTATTCTCTAGATTAGAAAGAACGAACTCAAAGTTCTTTGTGCTTCACATCAAGAAAAAAGTTTAAATAGGGTTACTAAATTGGGTTACATGAATGATGCAATATGTTTGGAAAAGGCAAACAAAATCACAGTTTTTCATTGATTTCTTCTTTCAATTTCTAGGGTACAACAATGCAAATTTGACAGAGCAAATATTTTTTCTCCCTTCCTTTACTCCATTTTCATTTGCAAATAACATGGAACTTAAAATTATTATTTGAAATTATTCTCATTTTACAATAAATGGGGCCATAAATGCATTGTAAATAAAACTCTGAATTAGGTGGATTCTATTAAATTTCACAGGATATAACTTTATGGGATTTTTATTTGAACTCACAAGAAGTGTAAGTACCAGATGGATTTAACATGAAGCTGATGAAATTTCTTGAGGCTCCACCCTCATGACCTAATTACCTTACCAAGGCTCCATCTCTTAATACAATCATATTGGGGGTTAGAATATCAACATATTAATTTTGAGAGGACACAAACATTAGTCCATTGTATTGGAACATGCTCATTAACTCATTTTTCTTTTTGCACAAGACATTCTTTGTGACTCCCTCTCCACTGTCTCCTGTTTTTTTTTTTTTATTTTAAAGTTCTATCATTTTGAATGATAGTGAACAAAAGATGCCATAATGTAGTTAATACAATGTGGGAAAGCCTGTCTCCTTTGCACCTTAGATATATAGCTTAGTAAGTAAAACATTTTATTTAACAAAAACTATTAAGTGCTTTACATTCCATAAAAATTTAATAACTTAGAACAATTATGAAAAGAGGGGACTACTGAACAACTTGAACTAGAATATGGAATAAAACATTTTTTATTTGAAAAAGTATGAATTTGAACAAGATAAAGAATATTTATTTTGCATTGTTGTCTGGTTATGTGAAGAGCTTCAGGAAATAAAAAATCTTGAATTGTTTCTCATAGGATAACATTAATAAGGTAATTGTGGGTAGTGCATCAAAAAATGGACACAAGCAATTCCAGCACATGAGCCTATCTGCTGTAGAAAGAGCAAAGATTTCTCTCGAAGCTCTTGGAACACTAGTAGACATCTTCAATACATGTTTTGGCAAACTAATTTATGAAAACAACAACGTATGACTTGGCTCTTATATGCATGAATCAGAGTTTCAGGATCTTGAGGCTAACCATTGTCAACATAATGAAAAGATTTTGTAAATTCTAATAGTAATACCAAACAATAATATGGTGCTAGGCACTACTCTAAATACTGCACATGTATTCACCCATTTAACCCTCATTTGACAGATGCAGAAAAAGGCACCAAAAGTTAATTTTCCAAAATCACACCAGTCCCAAGAGGCAGAGCCAGGAGAGAGATTGAGGCAGCCTCGCTCCAGAGTTTATGCTCTCAACACTATGTTTCTCTCCTCAAAAAGGATTATCATAAGTGTGATAACCCATTGGGCTGGGCTTACTCGCATACACTGTCTACATATGAGAGATAATTTTAATTAAATATATCAAATCAATTTTATACTAGCTGAACTCTTCTCCTTCTGCCCCCATAGCCAATTAACCAGTTTATGAGATTTGACTATGATATAATTTAGTAGTTATTAATAATTATGTCCATTTTTCATAAGTCTATGCAAACTTTAATGGCAGTGGAAAAGGTCTTCTTACTCTTTTGGCATTCAAAACTTTTGCACCGTGCTTAGAATTAGTAAATGTTCAACAGAATGCTAGCTGAATAGGGAATGAATGATAAAATGCAAAGCATAATGTTAGTGTTTTAGGGGACCCAATAACTGGAACCCCTCTTCCTCACTCAAGATCTGAAGTAATAACAAAAACACAAAAGATGCAACATTTGGAAGGTAAAATTTCACCTTTGGTATTTCAAGCTAATATTGGAGAATGTAACTTATGTCTGCTAACAGATATAACATTTGGCAGCACTTAACCTCTTGTATTAATTCTCTATCACTCTATATAAATGATCTCAAGATTTAGCTTCAAACAACAATAAACATTCATTATATAATATCACACAATGTCTCCTGATGAGGAATTCAGGAGTCGATGGCTCTAGCTCAGCGTCTCCAATGAGGTTGTTGTCAAAATGTTGGCCTGGGCTGTAGTCTGAAGCTTGATTGAAGCCAGAAGATCTGCCTTGCAAATGGCTTAATTACATCACTTACAAGTTGATGCGGGCTATTGGCAGTATCCTCAGTCCCTTTCCATAGGACTGTTTGAGTGTCTTCATAACATTAGCAGCTGGCTTCTCCCAGAACGAGCAAGGCAAAAGTCACAATTTCTCTTATGGTTTTGCCTCAGAAAGTCACACACTGTCATTTCTCCATTATTCTATTGGTTTTACAAGTTAGCCAGATTCAGAGTGGTTGGTGTCTACACAAACAAGAGATAGCCAGAGGAATGAATCATTGGTGGCCTGTTGGATGCTGGCTACCAAGTCTCTTGTCACTGTCAGTGACTGGGGTTGGCCTCCTCCATCAGAAGCTGAACCTGCCAGTGGAGGAGCATTGTAAAGGAAATGCATGGCTTCCCACTGAGTTCACTACCAGAAAAGAGAAGAACAAAGGGCTGAGCTATGTGGGTCAAGTTTCTTCCTCCAAACTCAACCATCAGAGTATTGGTCTCAATTCCCCTGGAGCAGAGAGAGTAAGAATGGCAAGAGATGAGGAGTGTTATAATGGAATTAAACATTAAAAGTGGAATATAATAGTTACAGCACTAACACACAATACAAATTTATGACTGGAAATCCTTTGAACTGGGACCTTAATTCATTGAATTCTAGTGAAGAGGATAATAATAATTACCCATATCTATAGAGTTATTTGCAGTTAAAAAGCTCTTTAATGTTCATTCCTTTATTGAATTCTAACAATGTATTATTATCCCCGTTTTGTAGATGAATAAAAAAGAGGCCCCGAATTTAAGTAATAGATTTAGTTTATATGTGGCAGCACCACAGATAAAATTCAGGTCAGCTTTTGCCATTTTATCTGGATGTCTCAGATTCCTTGAAACAGATGTTTTTGTCAGCATAGGTAAAGTAGGATGGTTGTAATATGTATGAAAAAAATACTATTGACTTGATTGGTGGAACTGAATAGAAGGGGACTATAGAGGTTTAAAATATATTACTTTGAAATTTTAGAATAGAACGGTGGGATCTGTGGGAAAATGGCCACTATAATGTTTTGTTTAGCCAATACTGGACTTACAAAAAGCTGCAAATTTGTCTTCAGCTGCTTCCTAGATTGTTTCACTCTTCTGCGGCTAAACAGTTAAAGAAAATAAAAGAGGACTGGGTGTGGTGGCTCATGCCTGTAATCCCAACACTTTGGGAGGCCGAGGCTGGTAGATCACTAGGTCAGGAGTTCGAGACCAGCCTGGCCAATATAGTGAAACCCCGTCTCTACTAAAAAATACACAAATTAGCTGAGCATGGTGGTGCACACCTGTAATCCCAGCTACTGAGGAGACTGAGGCAGGAGAATCGCTTGAACCCGGGAGGTGGAGGTTGTGGTGAGCTGAGATCGTGCCATTGCACTTCAGCCCTGGCAACAGAGTATGACTTTGTCTCAAAAAAAAAGGAAAAGAAAATAGCTTTTTTTCTTGAGATATTAATCAGTACAGTTAATTTTTTGTGCTCCTTACTTTGTAAGACTTATTTTTTTAACGAATTTTTGTCCTTCAACTAAAGATGAATTTTGTCAGCTATTGTTTCCTTGTCCATACCTCTTACTGTCAGAACATCTCCCTCATGCAAAAGATTTAGGGTGGAAATTAATAAGAATGGCATTATAAAATAATCTCCCAAAGGTACTGCTGTGAATTATCAATTAACACTGTTTGGTGCTTTCATATTTTAAAAGGTTTAAATGGGGAGGTTTAATGTATGTGTAAAGATGTGTGCAGAGTAAAAGTCCTGAAGCTACTGAAAAGAATACTATCAATCACAGATGGATTTCAGAAATTTCTGAGTGAGGATGCAGATCATGACCACATTACTTTGTTTATTCAGATTCAACCAGGGTGTGGCATGCCAGGGGCTGGATATTCAGTGATGACCAAGGCAGACAGGTCTCTCATCCCTAGGCATATAATTGAATTAGGAGGAAGCCATCAAATAAGTAAACAGGTTACTATGCGATAAAAAATTGCAGTAGGTACCATAAAAGAATAGATTTGAGAGAATATAATGAGCCTGCTTTAGATTGGAAGGTCAGAGAAATCCTTATCTAAAGAGAAGAGTTTTAAGGCTAGATCTGAAGAATGAATAAGAACCAGCTGTGAACACTTCAGACTGAAGTTACAGAGATAAAAAAGATTTTCCTTCCCTGGAATTGACTCTATATCTGTGAATGTATGGCTAGATAGAATAACATGTTTGTTATCTCTGTTCCAAAAGCCTTTCCAGTTCTTACCATGACATCACTACATTATTCCTGTTTTAGTAATATTGTTACATTGAGGAATTATGTAGGAGTTTAAGTAAGCACAAAATAAAAATATAAATCTATCAGAAAGATCTGAAAAAATGCATTGTTTCCAACATATTTTCTAGGTTGAAAATTGGACGACTTCCCACAGAATTTGTATTTGAATTAATTGTTCAAATGTATTAACCTTGCTCAGTGGAGTTATTTTCAAAATGTCTTTAGCTTGATCTTAGATAGCAATTTAAATCTTATAAGTCCTTTTATTTTCATTCATACAAGACCTAAAAGCAAGTCTCTATGTATATACATCCTTAATTAAAAGAAATTCTTATGGTTATTTTGTTATTTAAACAATATGCTAAGCTTCACATCTGATACTTTTAATTCAAATATGCTGGTAACAACAAAAATAAACCTTAGCTCACTTTGTTCACAGCATCTATATCAGGTTTTAATTTTTCTGACTTCTGTATAAGCTTTTTCAGAGATTAGCTATTGCCTTCTCTATCTCAGCATTTCCTAGCCCTAGCATGGTACTTGACAGCTGGTGAGTGTTTCATAAGTGTTTATTGATGCATCCTTGTTGACTTAAAAAGGTAAAGGGTGTGTGATTGTCTTTTTAAAATAAAATATAACATATTGGTGCTAGAAAGGTGACCTTTAAGTTGCTATGCCAAATAATTGAACAGTGAATAAGCCTTGGTGCCATGGTTGTTAAAGTTTGGGTGAGTTTTCCCTTAGATGAAATTTGAAAAAAATGTTTTAAATTTATGATACTATACTTTGTTGGTATGCCATGGTATTTTTGCTTCAAAGAGATTGGGTAATGGTTTCAGTAAAGAAGACAGGCAGGGAAGTGAGGGGCATGGGAGTTTGCCCACCTGGTCCTGTAGCACTATAATCCATGGAACACGTTTGGGAGATTGTTGGAATGGGAATTGTTTTAATGAGGAAAGTGAAGAGAGCCACATACGATCTGGATTTCATGGAGTAGAATCTGTCTTCCTTTTCAAAGAGTAAGCTTTACTTTTTACATACATAATGATAATAGGTCCGTATAATTTCAGTGAAAACTTTAAAAATCATGTGTATTTTGGAACCATTACACAAAACAGATTTAGACCATTAACTGTTTAGTTAGACTGCTAATGTTAGAATCTCAGCTTCGGCATTGACAAGCTATGTGGTCTTGGACTAGTTAGCTACCCTCTCTGGGCCCAATTTCTTCATTTGCAAAGTGGACATAATACTAGTGCCTGCATAAAAGGGTTGTTTGTCCTGAGGATCCAAGTACTTTTTACATTTAAAATGCTAAGAGCTGTACCTTGCACATAGTTAGCTCTATAAAAAGTATTTGTTCAATAAATCATAATGAATATTCATATTAAAATTCAGGAATGTTACCATAAATTATGGATAAGGGAACTGAAGAATCTTCATCAAGTGCTCCAATTCAATGACTGGAGTTCATGGGAGAATAGCTCAAATTCAAAGCTTCTAATTCCAAGACTGTCGGCCATATGTGTGCCTGCTTTTTTCCAATTAAGCCACACAGGATTAGAAATTCTCTGTTACACAGGGCTGGAGTGTAAGAAGAATTATATATAGATCTATAAAGATAAAATCAAAGATCTCTGAGAAGACCCAATATGTGTATAACAGAAGGGATAGCCCCAGACTGTGATGAGTTGCCTTACTGTGAACCACTGTGAGCCACATAGAAATGCATATGACCTTTTTTTCTAATAAGGAAAAAGGCATTAGGAAAATTGTAGAAATAAACATAAAATTTTGTGTATCATTGAAATAAAAAATGATGAACAATTTGCCACTTAAAATTCTTTTTGTAATGAACAAGATATAAATCAACAACAAATGGATTAAATTACTTCTTAGAAAATACTTCAAAGAATATTTCTTGAACGTATAAATTAATGAAGACTTTGAAAAGGTCAGAACAAAGCAAACGAAGAATTCCTTGGGCAATTCATTGGGCAATCTTGATATATGTGAATTAACAGGCTGTGCTGACAAGTTCTGTGTCATGATTTTTAACCCCTGCATCATGAAGTTTGGAGAACTAGAGCAAGCATTTAGAACCCGCTGAGAAGATGGATTTGCTGAGGCTGAACATGCTGAGAAGCTCATCTGACTGACTGAAAGAATAGTTTATTAAAAGACCTCTGATTCTCATTAGTGATATTGTGAAAAGTCTAATGTCACATTACCTATCACAGAGGTATCTTAGAATTAGCAAGATACAAAAAGGACCTGGATATATTGACCCCTATTCCTACCAAAAGAATGAAGTATGTAACATTTTTATAATAATTTTTAACACTTGAGGCATAAAGACATTGCCTTCTGTTATGTGGAAATGACCATGGAGTTAGAATTGGAATTGGGTCATATCTATTTTACCTTAGCCAATTTCTTGTTTAATTAATTTAGGTAATATTATCTCTCTTTTTCACTTTCAGACTTGCTTTCTTGAAATCTTCATTCTTCAAATATGTTTTCAGCACCTTTGGATTTTAATGGCCTCTACCATCTTACAGGCTATTACATAATAGATGGACAAATAAGAGACATAATTCAGTTTCAGTGTTAAGGAGTTGTTTCTGTTTCAGTAAAGATGTTTTACACATTATTAGACTGGAAAAATTAGAAAGCTGAATAATGCCAACTGATGGCAGAGATGTGAGGATATGGGAAGCTTTAGTCACTCTGGAGGACAGTCTGGCACTTTTTGGATAAATTAATTATAAAATGGATGATGACTCAGCAGTTCCATGCCTGGGTCCATATACCAAAGAGGTGCTTACAAATTCATGATGGGGCATCTAGGAGCACTGTCATTGCAGAATTGCGTATGTGCATATGTGTATGAGATGAGCGTGTATGCGTGTATGTGCATACGTGTGGATGTGTGTGCAAGTGTGTATATGTGAGTGTGAGCATGTGGGAGCATGCACGTGTGTGTGTGTGTGATGGCAGGTTCTTCTAGGCAATCCAGACATGTAGTATTGAGGGAGTAAATGCACGCTGTGAATTATGTACAGGAATTAAGTGTAAGAGATTACATGGATTCACAGCAACCTGGATGTATATTATATACATAATATTTTGTTAAACTAAGAAATGAAAAAATCAAAACCAATACATTTGCATAAACTTAAAAATACTGACATTTGAGGTATATATTTTATAAAACTACACAAATAAAATTATACTCACTAAACAGAATGAGTGATTGCTTATAATGGAAGTGGAGATGGGAGTGTGTGAGGAGCTAAAAGGTAATAAATAAATACCTAAAATCAGAGAAGGGTTTTGTTTGGACCAATGATGGTAATGGGGCATGAACTGAGAAGTGCAGTATAATTACTTCAACTGTCTGCTCCCGACATCCAAGAAAAAAAGTATTATAACAAAGGGAAAGTTTTCCAGAAATGCTGTAGAAGCACTTGGAGTAAGCACATGCACAGAGAAAGAAAGAAAGAAAGAAAGAAGGAAAGAAAGAAAGAAAGAAAGAAAGAAAGAAAAAGAAAGAAAGAAAGAAAGAAAGAAAGAGAGCGAGGGAGGGAGGGAGGGAGGACACAGAGGGAGAAAGAAGAAAGAAAGAAAGAGAAAGAGAGAGAGGAAAAGAGAAAAAGAATAAAATAACTGTCATGTAGGAGCATCCCAGAGGAAATGAGATTTGAAATGTGTTTTGTGCTGTTGAGTAAGAGTTGGCCAGGCCAGGTGGTAGAGAGGGAAAGTTAACTAGAAAGAGAAATACTCAAGTATATTCTGAACAATAGGAGTTGCAAATTCAATGGCATGAACTCAAGAATGTGTGCCTTCTACTTGGAATCAAACATAGTTCAATATGACAAGAGTATGTACTTCAAAGTGAAGATATGGTAAGATGAAGGGACAGAAAGGCAGACAGGACCGAGATCATGCAGGGCCTCATATTCTGTGCTTCCATGTTTGAATGGGATTCTGAAGACTATAGGAAGGATTTCCAACTAGAGTGTGATTTTGTATTTTTACCATTCTGTCTCTAATTTTGGACATAGTTATATTTAATGCCAGTTCAAGTTTTATTTTTTCTGAGAAGTCTTTCCTTAGTTCAATTCCTAAATGAATTGGATATAATCTCTTCTTATAAATCTCTGTAGCATCTAATACTCTTTTTTTAATAGCAGTTAGTGTACTCACAATTATGTGTCCTCTTCTTATCTGCCTTTTGTCACTTAGAAAAATAGACCATACATTGATAGATTACAGAAAATACCAAATCATCCGTTGTTCAGTATGGCTCAGATGGGAAATGCTTTAAACTCGGGAGAGAACATTTTACTTAAGTATGATGGTTCAGATTTAGGCAACACATGACACAGGACATATAGCGGGGTTTTCTTCAAATATGTTACCAAAGAAGGCAATCACAGTGCGGATCAGAGGGGCAGAGAGTAAAACTGAAGGAGGATATTATCCTCAAAAAGTGACTTTTGATTCAGAGAGATACTTCCAGCCTTCCGAGAGTTATCTTAGGGCTAGTAACCATAGTCACCATCGCTTGAATTTTTATTTTATCATAATAGTTCAAATAATGTGGGTCATAAAAACGTATCAACTACCAAATAAGGTTGTCAGCTACAACTTCAAAAAAAAAGTTTGAATTTAGTTCTGGATAGATGATACAACCCTTCAAAAATATGGAATGTACATTCCAGGTATATACCACATTGTTGAGTTATTTGAAATATAAGGTTAATACTTGTGATTAAAGTATTAAAGGAAAGCTTTCCTTCTTTGTTTGAATTTCACTGGTTAGTTACATATTATAAAAATCCCTAAATCTGTAACTGTAAAGCATATTTCTGCTGAAGGCTTTTATAAATAAAATTAATGTTTGGTAAGTCAATTTCTCAGTTGAATCTTTCCCTGCCAGCTCAACCACAGAATTAGAAATAAACATGAATTTCATCTCAAAGTTTTCCAAAAGATTTTTGTTAGTGCAGTAGTGATTCCCAAATGATTTGGCAACAGGCCAATGACAATGTTTATTAGTTATCTCCCCATGTCCCCAAATTCCCACTGCCTCTTCCTGCCCCACCTCTTTCTCCTCTAAACCTCCTTATCAGCTAGGAATTATCGTAAGTTTTCAGTGACTTTCTGTTTAATATATTTGTAAATAAGCTTTGGGGTAGTTATAATGATGTAAACTTCTTCAAAAATCTGTATTTGGTCATATATTCCTAGCAATGATATGTTTCTGTGCAAGTATTTGAGGGAGTCCAGCCCCTCTTCCCTATATTCTATTTCAGTACAAAGGCAGCGTGCCAGATTTAGTCCTAGCAAAGTGGAGGGCTGCCCAAGCGTTTGCTTCATTTGAAACATTCTGGTAGTCAAATGTTTACACAGAGTCCCCAAATCCTCTGTCTTGAATCCATCATATTATTTCCAACTTACTGTCTATTTATGAAAACTTCTAGTTTGGATGCTGGTTTCCAAGGGGGAAGCAGTGAAAGTGTCACTATTGGTCACTGTTAAAACAAGATTAGCCAATACACTGGAATTTGTAGAAACAGAAGAAATCTTACCCATTCTAAAGCATTCTTGTTTCTTCACAAATTTATCTCCGAAATATCCTGAAACGCACTGCTTTTTAAAATTAGTTCTTGGAATGTTATTGTGAAAGTTTCCTGAAGTTGCGGCTGATAAGCCTTACTTGGAACTATGTTAAATAATATTAAAAGAAAGACAAATTCGCCATTTAGAAATCTACAACAGAGATGTTAAAATAATTAAAAACTTACATGAATGTAAAGAATCACACTTTAATTAATAACCTATTGATTCAAATGTAATTATCAATACTAGGAAGCCAATGTTCAAAGGCATTCCATAGACAGGGATTTATTACATGGAAGAAAGTACCCTGTGTTTTATATATATAACATATTCTGTCATACTGTGGGTAAGTAGAATAGACAATTTGTAAGCATGTTATGTGCCAACTAAAGATATATAGATTAACTGCAAGTGTCTGTTGAGATTTTTGAGCTGATTTAAGCAGTGTTGCTACATGAGAGATTTATAGACTAAGGAAAATTCTACTCGGAGGACAGAAGATTATGCCTAACTGCATTATACTTATTTTAGTTACACACACATTGTAAAACAGCAGTGAGAATACCAGCATATATGTGCACACATTAAATTACATGTTGTTCATATTATAGTTCATTGTGGTGTTGTTTCCTTTAGTTGCCAACAAGGTTTGCTAATCAAGTAGTTTACAGATCGCTACTAAGTAAGAACAAAGTGTCACTAAGAGATACTGTCTCTCTAATGAAAAGCCATTTGTCTGCACACAGGAAATAATAACCAGGGTTTTATAATTGTATACTTTCTTTGAAAATGCTATTCAAACATGCTGATGGACTTAATGAATTTGCAAGTTATTTTTTAAAATTGCACTTAGGTTTATAAGATAAACTCAGCATCTCTTTATCTTGAGTGATCTTCTAAGTGCAATCATTTGATCCTCTTTCACTCATGCTTTTTTAATAATCCTACAGTACTTTGCATATGTTTTCACTGCAGTATATTAGACTTCATAATTTTTTAAAAAATAAATCTGCCCCTAAATTGGATAACTGAGCTGTTACAGGAAACTATAAACTCTATAAACTCACCTCTTTATTTTCAATTTAGCCAAGGATCTGGTACTGTAGAATCTGATACACATTTCATAAATGTTTAATATAGATTCCCTTGCAGAGTACAACTACTTCCTTCTGCACATATAGTGAGAAAAACTTCATTAATTGCTTCACTGATTTAGATTCGATATTCTCTCAACCATTAATTTGTCTGAAAGAGGGTAAATACATAAGGGAAATACTGATACCAGTTTGACCTGCTTTTTCTTGAACTTTCTAATAAATTTCACTTTCAAAGTTTAGACAGAGCAGGTCCTTGAAGGAATAGTTTTGCGGTCATTGAGTATTAGACCAAAGAAATATTACATTTTCTGTAGAACTTGCTTCACTGATGACCTTAAGACAGCATGTAATTATTCTTGGTTTCTTCAATAAGCATGAAGCTCACAATCCGTATAGCCTGCTGTTCTTTAGGCATTTTAACAGACATTTTCATAAATAAGTTTCGTTTTTTTTTTTTTTTTTTTTTTTTTGCTTTCTAAAAAGAATAACTTGGCACTTTTAAAAATAACATTTTCAGTGCCTTCCCTTGAAGATTTTTTTAGGGGCCCAGAAATGCGGATTTTTACAAGCCCCATAAGGGATTCTTATTTTAGTCAAGTTTAATAAATCCAAGACAAATTAGTTTAAAACTCCATCTCTCTCTCTCTCTCTTTCTCTCTCTCTCTCTCTCTGTCTCTCTCTCTCTCTCAATTTAAAACTCTCTCTCTCTCTCTCTCTCTCTCTCTCGTGTTTTAAAGTGGAACTACTTAGTGGGTAATTGGCATCTACTTGTGGGGAAGAGAGGGAGGGAAGGAGGATGGGGAGACCGAGAGAGAGATTTTCAGAATACCCAGTATTAAGGGGGGCAAAAGAAAACACTTAAGCATGAGCACAGTGGGTGATCTGCTGTAGTGTGGTGTAACATTTTTGCAGGATGTGTATATAAAATGTATATAAAAATTAGACCTCTTAAAATGGTACATATATTTTGACCCTTCAATTTCTCTTGTATACATTTATTCTCAGGTAGTTGTTGTGAAATTACGTTAAGATTTATCTGTAAGGAGGCACCCTGGCATGCTTTTTTAAAAAAAATTAGTGAAACATTGAAAACAAAGTAAATGTCAAAGAATTTGACCGAAGGAAATATAATTCCAGGTTTCTCTTTCCTGATCCAGGAATAGGGTATGCTCTATACCCTCTTAGCACTGTGCTCTTCTTAGTACTCAGCACACTTGTTAATATTCCTTTGTTAATACTGAGAAGTCATTACATATAAAGCCTATAATGACAGAGACTGGGTCATTATATCTGCAATACTTAGAATAGAATTTGGGAATTACGCAACTCTAAAACAATATCTGCTGAATATATGAACAAATGAATGAAGAGGAACTAGGCTGCCAAAAAACACTATAGAAAGATATTTATTATCTCAAAAGTTAATAATGTTTTCAGTTGTTTAAAAACAATTATAAAAAATTATTTACATTATGTTTCTGCCTTAGAAAAAAATATATATACATAAAAATTCAGAAGTTTAATTACCAAAGGATAACACTGATTACATCATACGCTTGTACTTACTGTTAATTTTTGTGACTTTTCCCCAAAATTTTGTTTATCTATAATTTTTAAAGTGTCTCTAAAAGAATGTATTGTCTTTGTAATAAAAAAAATTATAACATTTTAATACTGCTGCCTGAAATGAATAATTTAAAGAAAGTCATGCCAGGCCCCAGGACTTGGAAGACTTGAGGCAAGTAACAGGGGTTTGAAATTTGATAAGAGTGGGCAGGGCTAGAGGGTGGGAAAGAAGAATGCCATGTGGAAAATATTTGTACAATAGGATAGCCAAGTAAGAAATGGACTTGACAACTGGATACGAGAGGACACAATTTCAGCTTCCTACTCTGAGCTACGTAGTGTGTAAGAGAATATATTTTTGATTCATTTGATTAAAGTAATTTCTTTAAAGTTGTAATAACACAGAAACATACACATTTACACTGACCTGTGAATGTGTATATTGGAGCTTCCTATCAATTTTCCTTTAAGATGTTCCATCAAGGATATGTGATCATAAAAGATTTGAGTGTTACGTTAAGTTCCTACAGAAGCAGAGCCCGAATCAAAGGTTTTTGTGTTGTGATTTATTAAGGATGTGATCCTGGGGAGTGGGAGTATGAGATAACGGAGGGAATCAGGAAAGGGAAGGCAGCCAATAAAGGGATATATAGAGTTGACATCACTATGGACAACTGGTGCCCAATGTCATAGGATGTACTGCAGAGACTTAGGAAGTATAGCTCAAAAATAAACGTCCACCCGTTGGTTCCTTCTCCCACTGGCAAACAGTTGTTGACATGTGCATTAATTCTCTTACACTCTAGACTTGTACATCCACGAGTGAGCACCCAGTTCATACCAAGGTGTCCAAGAAGCTCTAGTCAGAAAGCAAGAGGCATGTGTTGTAGTCTTGGGGTTGCTGTTTGAAGCTCGTGGAAGTTTGTGTGGAACTGGTTGCTGCAGAAGGGCCCGTAATAAAAGTTGAGGCTATAAAGATTTGATGTGGCCTACAAGGTTCCTAATTTGCAAGGGCCTAGCCACATGAACTGAAATTACTCAATAATTCTAGGCTTCTGCTTCCATACCACCACCCATCACACATCCATATATTTAGCTGGGCTGCTTAGACACAT
Organism: Homo sapiens; assembly: GCF_000001405.40. Lineage (NCBI taxonomy): Eukaryota > Metazoa > Chordata > Mammalia > Primates > Hominidae > Homo > Homo sapiens. The sequence continues at coordinate 124,750,526 of NC_000004.12, forward strand.
AGTCATGCAAAACAATTAGGGGCACAATTAGCACAAAAGAAGCTTTTGAGTGAATTATAAAAGTTGGTCCTGGCCGGGCGCGGTGGCTCACGCCTGTAATCCCAGCACTTTGGGAGGCCGAGGCGGGTGGATCATGAGGTCAGGAGATCGAGACCATCCTGGCTAACAAGGTGAAACCCCGTCTCTACTAAAAATACAAAAAATTAGCTGGGCGCGGTGGCGGGCGCCTGTAGTCCCAGCTACTCGGGAGGCTGAGGCAGGAGAATGGCGTGAACCCGGGAAGCGGAGCTTGCAGTGAGCCGAGATTGCGCCACTGCAGTCCGCAGTCCGACCTGGGCGACAGAGCGAGACTCCGTCTCAAAAAAAAAAAAAAAAAAAAAAGTTGGTCCTGCCCAGTGGATGAATTATAGAAAGGTGTCTTTTTACATGGAACCAACCCAAATGCCCATCAATGATTGATTGAATAAAGAAAATGTGATACATATACACCATGGAATACTAGGCAGCCATAAAAAGAATGAGATTATGTCCTTCGCAGGGACATGGATTAAGCTGGAAGCCATCATCCTCAGCAAACTAACACAGGAAATCACATGTTCTCACTCATAAGTGGGAATTGAACAATGAGAACACCTGGACACAGGGAGGGGAGCAACACACACTGGGTCCAGTCGGGGGGTGAGGGGCAAGGGGAGGGAGAGCATTAAGACAAATAGCTAATGCATGTGGGGCTTAAATCCTAGATGATGGGTTGATAGGTGCAGCAAACCACCATGGCACATGTATACCTATGTAACGAACCTACATGTTCTGCCACTTGTATCCCGGAATTTAAAGTATTAAAAAAAAAAAAAGAGGTGTCTTTTTTCTTAGGCACCTTAGTCGCATTCCAGGCAGTAAGTTTGTGTACTGCTCAACCAAATGCAGAAGCCCTCTAAAAACACAATTAATATATTTTAAAAAATAGAGTATTAAACTAATCAAATGATGTGAAAGGAAAAATATCTAGATTGAAATTTCTATTTCCTATTTATGAGTGCATAAATTACATAGATTCAAATCCTATTAATGTGAATTATAGTTTTGGGAATTTTTTTTCTTGTACGCTTTTATTTATTTATTTAGAGAGGGAGTTTTGCTATTGTCGCCCAGGCTGGAGTGCAATGGCACGATCTCGGCTGACTGCAACCTCCGCTTTCTGGTTCCAAGTGATTCTCCTGCCTCAGCCTCCCAAGTAGCTGGGACTGCAGGCATGTGCCACTATGCCTGGCTAATTTTTTTTTTTGTATTTTTAGTGGAGGCGGGGGTTTCACCATTTTAGCCAGGCTAGCCTCGAACTTCTAACATCTGACCTCAGCTTCCCGGAATGCTGGGATTACAGGCATGAGCCACCCACCACACCTGGCCTCTTGCAGCTTTTAAATTATGTTGTTTTAAAATTTGTTTGTATCCATTAGTCTATTTCTTTCACCAGATTATAATGAACTAATCAAAGTCATCTTACTCTTTGAATTTAAGTTATGAAATGTGAGTTTCTGTCTTAAACTTAGTGTCACCCAGGTACTTCTGGTTCAATTTCAGAGAAAACTTTCTAGAAGAGGATAGAGCCATGTTTTAATTAATTGGGTACAAGCAGCCTCTACATTCTTAAAAGGTTTGATTTTGTGTGTGTGGGTGTGTGCATATCTGTATTCAGAAACATATGTTATCAATGGTTTCATCAAAATATATGCCTATATATTTTGAAAATTCATTATTTTGAATGTTGAACTCAGTTAGAAAGCATATTAATAAATAAGCCAGAATATTTGGGACTCAACTTAAAGGTTCATATCATCATTTGAAAATATGATTCTCTTTTCAGTATGTATACACATACATATATATTTACACACATATCAATATATAGTTATACATATATAAACACAAAATATACACACATATATAGATACAGATAAAATAGGTATATACACACTATATATAAATATATATCATATTCTAAAATTATGAATTTTGAAATATATATCATATTTTGAAATATATATCATATTCTAAATTATGAAAAGAGAATATGATTCTCTTTTCAGTAGCTGTCACTGTAGGCAAAAATGCCCATTATTCTGCTAAATATCTAAGTGATGCTTGCTACTATTAACTGAATGTATATACTAGCATCAAAATTTTAAAATATCCCTTTACTTACTTATCTCCTCTCTTTCTTTCTCTCTCTCTACAAATACACATACGTATATATACATACACATATTGATATATAGTTATACATATATAAACATGCAATATACATACATATAAATTGATGTAGATACAGTAATAGATATATACACTATATATATAAATATAGCTATACACATACACATATATGTATTTAAGTAGTTATCTACTAGCACACACTTTAGACAAGCATTAACTCCACTAATGACTTCATGGAAGATTTGACTTTATTGTTTGAGTGTTAACATTAGTGATCCCTCTAGATATTACCATCTCTATGCATTACCTATGGTCAGGGCCCAATTAAAACTCAGATATCAGCTGCTGATACAATACAGCTACATAAGTATATAGTGGGATTAACAGGAAGAGTTCTCCAAGTTCATCATATGTGAGAAAAAATAAGTAATTTAATTCCAGGGGCTATTAAATCACTGTGTGTCTGTGTGCACATGTGTGTGCATGTGTGTTTGTTCATTCTAGGTATTACTACTAGATAGGATTATCTTAAGAGTATTGGAAAGTAATCTTTCCAATCTTGAAATATTTAATATATAATATAGTTATAGTATGTAAGTATGTAACAAATAATATAAATATTATATTATATAGGACAATTTAATATATGATATATTTATATTATATAAACATTTAATATACAAAATAAATATTATATAATAGATTAAAAATCATATTATATATTAAATATTAACATTATACAAAATATTAAATATATTGAATATTAAATATTGAATACAAATATATAAAATATAAATATTTTATTATATGTTTATATATCTATATTATAATATATAAATAATATTATTTATAAATCATTAAAATATATAAAACTCACAAATATACTAAACCATACACCCATATATTTTATATATATATATATATATATATATATATAAAAGAGTTTCTTAATTTTTAAAAATATTTACTAGCAGTTTCCATTTACTTCTTGGCAATAGAAACTTAATTGGCCTGGATATTTTAAGTTAAAATTTTGTGAGATAATATTCCTGTGCATCCTTATCTATGAAGGGGTTGGACTGATACAGGTCAAGACGTCTTTCAGCTCTACTCTTTTTCATGTTTATTTGGTTCAAATACACACCTAAATTTGGGAATAGTAAGGAATAAGGAAACATATTTCAATCACTCTCTTCTGCTCCATTTCCCTCTGACATCATGCCCTTGCTCTGCTACTACTACTAGTAATAGCAATTATCAACTGAGTGCTCAATGTGTGCAAGCTTTGACTAAGCCCTTGCTTTCATCAACTCATTTGCTAGCCCAGTGACCCTCTGAGATCCTTTAGTGCTATTACAAACCTAAGTAAACTGAAGCACAGTTAGGCAACCCTCGAAGTTTGCACAGCTGTGTTAGAGCAGGGCTAGAGGTTGGCATTGCCTTCTGGAGCTCCTGCTCTTAACTATTCACTGGTGGGCCCTTTGCCAGTGGGCTGCAGAGGCAAGTGGGCTATTGCTTTGGGCAGCCAGATAAGGAGCTGCTGCCCCTCCTTCCATCTTAGGCAATTTCAGTCTGAGGTCCCTAACTTTGCCACACTACCACACGTGGCTACCTGTTGACAAAAGCAAATGTAACAAGAGGTTAAAAAGCCAAGGCGAGGCCTCTGAGACTGTTCCTGCTGTCATAGTTATGAACCCAGTTGCTCCGGGGCTATGGATTGGCCTATAGGTAATCCTGTACCCAAGGAGGGAAAGACACAAATGGGCACAGGAGCCACATATTTACAATTTTTCTCCAGGTTTCTGCTCCACTGCTTTTGAGACTTATTAGTAGGTTTTAAAATGAAGTTAGAGGTTTGCAACTAGCATTAAAAAATAGAATAGAATTAAAAATTCTAGAGTTCATCATGAACAGTGGAGATAGTACTATTTCTTGAAATGAGTGTTTCAGTTGTGTATTTACCAGGTCATCATTTTATAAAAAGATATTCTCACTGAATAATCAATAATTCTCATTGAATAGTTTGGAAAGTATCTATGTTAAAATGAAAGGGGGAAAATGTGTGAGTATCAAGCTTAGTATGTTTGTTTTGCAATGAGTGATCAGCAATGTTCTATTTACATACCATGATACTTTAAATATGAATAATAATGCCCTCTCCAGATTTAAATTCTTGCTCAAGTGATGTCATTTCAACAATCTTGGTCAAAAGAAAGCAAAACATCATTATTCTCCTACCAAGTGGACTTGGAAGATCTAAAAATCCCACTCTCCTTCTAAACCATTTTGTCTTAAAGAAAGATTCTTTATTGTTCAGGCATTTTTCTCTTTTAATTTTAGTTTTGTTGAGTTGTTTTTCTGTGAACCTGAGTAATTTTCTTAACAGTTCCCAAGCTCAGCTTCCTAATCTATAAAAAGGAGTCAACAGCAATCACCTTCCCCCCTCCACCTCTGTCACCCAGCTCCCTGCCTCCGTCATCTTTGTACTGTACTGCTGCACTGGCCTTCTAATGGCATCTTTGCTTCCACACTTAGCTCCTTTCAGTCCAGTTTCACTCAGGGGACAGAGTAATATTTTAAAACATTAATCGGGCCAGGTGTGGTGGTTCATGCCTGTAATCCCAGCACTTTGGGAGGCCGAGGCGGGTGGATCACAAGGTCAAGAGATCGAAACCATCCCGGCCACCATGGTGAAACCTCATCTATACTAAAAATACAAAATTAACTGGGTATGCTGGTGTGCTAGTCTCAGCTACTCGGGAGGCTGTGGCAGGAGAATCACTTGAACCCAGGAGGCAGAGGTTGCAGTGAGCCAAGATCACAGCACTGCACTCCAGCCTGGGCGACAGAGAGAGAATCCTTCTCAAAATAAATAAATAAATAAAATAAAATAAATTGGATCACAACAGTTTCCTTAAAACTTTCCAATGAATCTATTCATGTATGATTTACTTTCAGCTATGTCTGCCATCATCTCCTAACCCTCTGGCCTTGGCTCACTCGATCCTAATAATGACTGCTGGACTCTTCATGTTCTTTATATGCGCTGAGCTCATTGTCGTTCAGGGCACGTATTCTTCTCTCTACCTGTACCATTTTTTTTTTCTCAGACACACATACAGTTCACTCCCTCACATCATTTATTAAAATATTGCTACCTTTAAATACACCACCTCTTTCTTATCTCTATAACCTGCTTTAGATTTATTTACAGCACTAATCATTAGATAGCATTATGTCACATATTTATGGGTGTATTGGCTTACTGTCTGACCTACCTCACTAGAATATACGTTTCATGAAGGCTGGGACTTTTTCTGGTTTACTGGTATGTGCATGGCCCCCAAATCATCTCTGGCACATTTTAAGTGCCAAATAAATAATTGGTGAATAAATAAATAAGAGAATTTAAACCCCTTACAATCTTGACATGTGGATTAAATAAAATAATTTATGAAAAGTATAATAACAATTGGCACAAAATTATCACTCAGTAAATGACAGCTGTTTTTATTGTTGAAGCTAAATTTTCTTTTCCCATGAAGTATGTAGAGTTATCATCAGGATAAAACATATAAGACATTTTTTTTCCTTTATCAGTGAGAATGCTGTGATAATTAATTTCATATGTCAACTTGTCTGAGCCATGATGCCCAGATATTTGATCGAATACTATTCTGAGTGCTTATCTGATGTTGTTTTGGATGAGATTTACATTTTCATTGGTGGGACTTTGAATAAAGAAGATTGACCTCCATAATGTGTGTGGGCCTTATCCAGTTGAAAGCCTGTAAGTAAAAGGCTGACCTTCTGCTATCAAGAGGGAATTCTTCCCCAAATGACCTTCAGAGTGCATCTGTAATATCAGTTCTTTCTGTTTCTCCAGCAGATTGCTTTTCAACTCAAACTTCACTCTTTCCTGAGTCTCCAGCCTGCCAGACTCCCACATCAGATTTGGGACTTGTCAAGTCCCCGTAATCATATGAATCAATTTCTTAAAATAAATGTCTTGTACTCATACACACACACTCTATTTGTTCTGTTTCTCTGTAGAACATTGACAAATACAGTTTCTTTCAGCTGCAAACATGTTCTACCAGCTAGACTCTATTATGTCTATTGTCACAAAAAGCTAAAACATTGGGGATTTATTTTTTCACATCAATGTGTTTGCTTATAAGCAGTTTGGTACTGGCAGAACTGTGGCTTTGCATCTCTCCTCGTCTTTGGTCTTCCCTTTAAAGACACAGTATGGTGGCTGCACTTTCAAACAATTGGATTATCATGTAGTCACATCAAAGAAAGGAAAGAACAAATGATGGATCTCCTCTAATGGTTTTCCCATTTATCAAGGAGGAAAATCTTTTCCTGAAGCCTCCCACATTACTTCTCATGTGTCTTTCTGACTTGAATGGATTTACTTTTCCATACCTTATTGCAAGGGAAGCTGGGAAAATGTTATGATAGAAAAAAGGAATGATGGGGAAATAGCTGTTGTTAGACAACTATGTCATAGGCCATGTGTCATAAGAAAATATGGAAACAATATAATGGAAATACGATAGGATTCTAAATGAGTCACACCTGGTACATAAGATTTCTGTTGCTGCATAGCAAATTGCCACAAATTCAGTGGCTTTAAATAACAGACATTTATTATCTCACAGTTACTGTGGGTCAGAAATCTGAGCACAGCTTAGCTAGGTCCATGAATCAGGGTGTTAGGAAGCTAAAATCAAGCTGTGGACCAGGATGACAATCTCATTTTGAGCTCCAGGTCCTCTTCTAACTCCCTTGTTGCTGGCAGATTTCTGTTTTTTGTGGTTGTAGGATTGAAGTTCTCTGTCATATGGCCCTCTCTACACGTGCATTTTGCTCTTTCAGACAAAAAAGAGAGCACCTGCTGCTGCTGCTTCTGCTCTTACTTCTAGACGGGTGTTTAAAGGCCTTTCATGATTAGGTCAGCTCTATCCAAGATTCCCTGTGATTAATTTAAAGTCAACTGATTTAGGGATCCTAATTGTATCTGCCCAACTTCTTCATCTTTTCCATAGGACATAATCACAGCAGTGATGTCCTACAACTGATAACCACATTCTAGTGGTGAAATTCCAGTTACAGGTCCTTCTCACATGAAAGGGGAGGGAATTGTACAAGCATGTGGATCATTGGGGATCATCTTAGAATTTTCCCTATCATACCTGGATTCTTGTTTTTATCTGTATAGCCTTTATCTAGTTGCTTAACTTCTGTGAGGCTCACCTTTTCCATATAAAAATAATGGGGTCAATTAAATTTAAAGGATTGCTTAAGTGTTAACTGCTGTAAGTATTCAAATATTTGGAAATACCAAGCTCTGTAGTTGGCTCATAGAATGCAAATACTACACTCCTGTCTAATCATCTATAGAGCTGTTAAATAAGGTGAACTAAGTAAAATGCTTAGACAGTATCTGGCACATAGAAATAATAAAATAAATGTCAAATTCCTCTTCATTTTTACATGATTTTTTTTTTTTTTGACACAGTCTCACTCCATCACCCAGGCTGGAGTGCAGTGGTGCAATCTCAGCTGACTGCAACCTTCACCCCCTGGGTTCAAGTGAAACTCCCACCTCAGCCTCCCTAGCAGCTGGGATTACAAGCTCACGCTATCACACCTGGACAATTTTCGTATTTTTAGTAGAGACAGGGTTTCACCACGTTGGCCAGGCTAGTCCAGAACTCCCGACCTCAAATGATCCTCCTGCTTTGGACTACCAAAGTGCTGGTATTACAGGCATGAGGTACCATGTGCAGCCTACATAATGCTACTTTACAAGATAGTGCTTTAAAAAAAAAAAAAAGGCAAACATCATAAAAAGATTTATAATGTTTCTGACAGTTATTTAATTTTTAATGAGTTTTTATAATTTCAGTTAAATCCTAAAAATAATTGAAAAATCTGATCTTCTGACACTATTTAAGTTGAAAATAATTTTATTGACATAAGATTTCTTTAAAAACTATAAAATTATATAAATTTTTATAAAATGCCCTTTATACTGTAGCATTGTTGAATGTTTTCAATACCTAAAGATAATGTGATACACAATTTGGAAGGAAAATATTATTATAAATACTATTTCAATTTTTAAAGTTTCATTTAAAATGTCGCTTGCTTCTGAAAAAGAATTTGAAGCAGCTTACAAGAATAAATAGCAAAACATTTTCTTTAAAAAAATTTAAAAATGGAAAGTCAGAGACCATCTATTTAGATAAATGAAGACATAAATGCTCCCAGAAATGTGTTACTGGAGGAGAACACAAAATTTAGCTCGTATTTCTTAGCAGTTAAAGCAAAAAGGAAATAGTAGTAAGTAAAGTCATTAATATTCTCATGAGAAGAAATACGTATGTACCTTTATACTCTTTCAGTGCAGAAAACCAATTATTTTTCCACCTTAGCATCCCTTTGGCCTAGCCTAGTGTCTTTGACATTAGGCACTAAATACATGGTTCTTGAACTGAATTGACCCGTCACCAAAACTAGCTTTCATCTGAATATTAATAGAGAATGTTATCACGTGGCTACTGACATAAGGGACACTGGTTAATATTATGAGCAAGATATTCCAATGTATGTTTGAGAAGATGCAAAAATGTTCTTCATATAGTAGCTTCTCATGGCTGGTATATAGAATTTAATTTTGATAAAGTTATTTCCTTAAGGAGCTAAGCATAGTCTTTAGAAATCCTTAACTTTTAATAATTTATTTACTATTAGACTTTGCTAAAGCATTTAAATGTTTTAGATATGGCCTTTGCATTCCAAGAAATCACAACACAACCAATGTGGGATTGACTTCTCTGACAAGCCCTGAAATGTTAGCACTCTGAAGAGGTTACACTAAAAGATCAAGTGATGTTTGAATCTGTTATTTTGTTAATCAAGACTAACATATATTTTACTCAGGAAAAAACAGCCATCCACATTCTGCACCAGTGTGCCTCCAAATGGGTCCAAGATTGTCTGCAAAAAGAGGAAATTGCCTAAATTCTTGAGTTCTTGATTTAGATCCCAAAGTCTGTTGCATAGAGAATAAAAGAAAAGCTGGCCTAGATAATTTAAGATCTTGTGTGGTGAATTGGCAATTTTAATAATTAAAGATCCCAGTGCTATGGTTGGATATGGTTTGTCCCTACCAAAATTCATCTTGAAATTTGATCCTTGATGTGGCAATGTTGAAAGGTAGGACCTAGTGGGAGGTGTTTGCGTTATGAGAGTGATTCTCTCATGAATGGCTTGGTGCTGTTCTCATGGTACTGAGTTCTTTCTCTTGATAGACTGGATTAGTTCTCAGGCTAATGAATTTGTTCTCATGAGAGTGAGTTGTTGTAACGTGAAGGGCATCCCTTGGATTTTGCCTCTTAGCCTGTGTCCACTTTCTTTTTGATTCTCTAACACATTGTGATGGAGCAGGAAAGACTTTAACAGAAGCCTGCAGATGCCAGGGTCATGCTTCTTCTACTCCCCAGGCTGCAGAACTGTGAGCTAGATAAATCTCAGCCCCAGGTATTTTGTTACAGCAACACAAAATGGACTAAGACACCCAGTATGGCTCCCTTAACAATTTTCCTTTGAAAAATATCATATAGTAATGATATTACCAAAGTAAGTTAGTGTGAACATATACTTCTATGCCTGACTTGAATTACTGAATGCAGTATTATTCCTATTGTTACTTAAAATTTGTAAAATATGGAACCAAAGTCAACAATTTTTGTTGCTTCCCTTTTGCCAGCAACTAGTTAACAGTTTTGACTGCTCTTGAAAGAAACTATTGGCTCATAATAGCAAAATATGCCAACAGTATTGAAAAAAAAGTAAGCCTGTGAGGTAAACAGAATTCTAAATGACTCCCTAAGATTCCCTTGTACCTACACAGCTTACACCTGTTTTTCAGTTAAACACTAACTAGATACTGCTGTGAATTGTGTTGATGTAATTAATGTACCAAATCAGCTGACTTTAATATAGAGCAATTATCCATGTGGATCTGAGCTAATCACGAGGTCTTTAAAAGCAGAGCGTTTACTCTAGTTGGTTGCAGTCAGAGAGACACGCTTAGGTGGCTCAGAGGAAAGCCGGTATCCATGTTCTCGATGGTGCATGTAGGCCACATGGAAAGAAACTGAAGGAGACGTCTAGAAGAATAGAGTGGTCCCTGGCCAACAGCTAAAAAAAAAAAAAAAAACAAAACACTAAAACGGCAAATAAGTTGGGACCTCAGCCCTACAACCACAAAGAAAGAAATTCTGCCAAAACACACAGAGGACCTCCAGCCTTCGATGAGAACCATAACCCTATCAAAAACCTTGATTTCAGCTAGTGAGACCCTGAGTAGGAACTCCGGCCAAGCTGCACCCTGGATTCTAACCTACAGAAAGTTTAAGGTAATGCATATATGCTGCTTTAAGTTAGTAAATTTGTGGTAATTTGTTGCACAGTATGCATTTAACCGGAATTAATATATAATACATTTGATTAATCTAAAATCAAGTTATTAGATACATTAAGAGAAGGAATAGTAGGATTCAAGTGTCTAGACTTCTTAGAATTTGTGTCTAAAATATAGAGGTAATTTCTTCCAATTTCAGCTTTCCCCATGCACAGAGTTAGAAAAGCATACAACTTATTTAGAGAACATCAGGTGGATATTATTAAATTGCCATATTGCTTATTTGAAAGTAGTTGTGAAACATTACTGGAAACAAACAAAAAATAGTTTAATGTTATGTCCAGGAGGACTGTCAATGGAGTTTGCATATTACTCAGCATTAATGTAAGCCATTGAACGTTTTTGAGTGGTTGGAGAGGCTGATTGGAATTATGCAGAAGAAAGATTGCCTTTCCATAGATTAGGAGAGGACCATGAGGCTGTTGTAATACACCATGTTAAATCATGTGCTATGAACCTTCATGAAGATAATAGTAAAAGAGTAATGAGCAGATGTTAAAGCCAGAGAGTTTGAATTCTAAGGATTTGAGGCCAAATGGATATGTGCTTTTGCAGTCTAAGATTATAGTTTTTAAGCCTGAGTATGATTATGGTGATTGTAGAGCCGTTAAGAAAAGTATGTAAGTCACAAAGTAATGAGTTTGAAGATGCTGTATTTAGTCTGGATAAATGAATGATTTCCAAGCATGTCACATTTTAAGTAATGAGATGGACAAGTGGTGGGAAATGAGCAAAAATTCCCTAAAAAGGGGAGATTTGTTGCAGAAATAGATTTGGGTTATCAGGATGTATAGTCTTGACAGGTGTCCCCTTCAAGGGAAAGAGGATGAAATAAAAGTAGAGAATATAAAAATACACAAGTGGGAAAATGTTACATTCAGAAGACGGTAACTTAACAGTAAAAGTTGAAAAAGCTGTATTATTAAGACAACTTGAACAGATACATTGAGAGACAGATTTTTTTTAAGGAAGGTAATGACAAGTTATTCCAGTGGGTACAATGTGATGAATAATGATAAAAAACCTTTGAATTTGGTTACTGAGATGTTGATGGTGAACTTCAAAAACAGTTTCAGTGAAATAATAAGAAAACTGCACATAAACTTTGTATAATTGAAGTTGAAGGGAAAGAGATAAGATATTAATGGGGAGAGGGGTCATTTATTCATCTGTATTTCTGTTAATAAATTCCAAGACAGTGCTTGGCATAAGTCTCAGATAAGAATAAGACCAATTTATATGCACATATATGATGATTAAGTTGAAGTTTCTGGTAGGCTTCTTGTCAGGTTACAATTTAATGCATCTTATTCAGTATTATATGTACATAAACACACACAATATACATAGGCATTTTATGTATCTACATATAACATTCAAGCTAATAATTTAGTTTTTGAAATATTCAACCAAATGATCTGTTTAATATTTTTCCTGAAGACTCAAAATACTTTGCAAATCCCAGTTCATTAATCCTTGCTAGTACTTGAAAAAAAAGACTTAATAACTTTATTCAGCATAGAAATGGGCTTAACCTCAGGACTATTTCTTGAACTTTTATAAAAACCAGTAAATGAATATATATTTAAATTTCAGATATAATATTTCCACTGACATGGTTAAAATAGTAAATATTTTGTTTTAAATTAAGGTTATGGCCAGCATAGATTTCTTTGCAAGGAAACTTAAATGGTTGACAGTAATTAGGGTAAACTCATAATGGTCTGAAGGACAGACATTTGTATTCAAGTTCTCTTTATTAATATATTCACATAAATCAAATTTCCATTTCCCCTAACAGAATAGGAGGCTTTTTTTTCTAATGCTGTGTTTGAAGAAAGACTATTCATAGTGTTAATGAGTGAAGACTGCACTCATTGAGGAATATCTATAGAGGAAGCACAGGAAGCATCCTTTTGCTAAATATAGCACAAAAACTGCATTCAGGAGACAAATCTTAGGTTCATAATATAGTACATAAAAATGACGGCTGAAAGCTTGAGAGTCTGAAGAAAAATAGGGCATTGTGTGTGAAGGTTAATTCAAGGCTAAAACTGGGATTTTTAGAATTCTAAATCAATGATTGAAAAACATGCCTATAATCAGAAAACTTTACAATTCAGTATTGTTCTGCATTAACTCCTCTGAGGGAGACTTCTGTTAGCAATCAGGGTAGACTTCTGCGACTAACCTCAGAACTCATTCATTCATATTAGTCTCAGTAGTTCTCATCCCCAAGCATAACTAAGAAATAAGTGAAATTCTATACAGTGTGTCCCATTCCAATGTCCCAGGCTCCTTTGGGCATCACATCGATTAATGTTTGTTCTCAAGTTGATATATGTCTTATGATAGATACTCGGACTGCTGGCGACACTTCACCCTCCACCCCCACAGATAGAAACTCTAGAATTTTCCTCACACTCTCTTTACTTTCCAAGGTGGCGAAGAGAACTTTTGACAGCTATATCAGTGCTACTGTGTTCACTGGGAAGGTTCTAACTATATGAGCTTTCAAAAGCAGTCCAGTTGTTTCCAAACCCAAGTATAAAGGTTTCTTTTAAGGTCTAAACCTTTAAATGTCCTCGTATAAGAGTAGTAGTATTTTAAATACACATTTATCAAGGAAATTCATATGTTTATAATGGACTCAAGGATTCTGTGTAATAACTCATAATCCCTGTGGTTCAAAACCTCAAAGATAAGAAATCATCAATTTTAGCCTTATTTTTTATTTTTAAAAACTGAAGCCTAAAGAAGTTTAGTGACTTACCCAAGGTGTAACATTTAAATGGGGGCGGAACTTGGGACTAGAACCCAAGGGTCTGCTAACTCCCAGAGAGAGTCAAGTATTGTAAGGTCAAACTCACCAAAGACCACTAGGAATACATCTTCAATCAGGATAATTTCTATAGCAAAAGAGAATGTCCATCATTGGAACTGTGAGGTGTCATGGTAGGAGGCAGTAAGGAAAGTCTTATTACAAGATTTGGGGATATTCTGTGTGATTCTAAAAGTTAAAGAAAATTGAGGCCATTCTGGGTTGGGTGCCTTCTGGAAGTGGGAACAGTATGGTAACTAGGTATATTGGTAATTTTTATCTAGGAGGGATTACTGAAGTGGAGAGAGAAGAAAAGGAATATGTTTAGTTATTCTTGTGGTTGCAGAGTCTCTATATTATTTTTGACCTTGTCACTGAGTGGCATTGTCTTTGTCTTGTTCCGTCACAGTCATGTGTGCTTTGTTTGATAATTGTTTGTATTGTTTATATCCTGTGATCTTGTTTACCATCTGCTTGGAATATCATGGCCTAGCTGTAGGCTTCCAGAGCCATTTATCTTCTTCTCGATCACATATAGGGCCGACTATACTTACTCTGCACATTGATGAGAAAGCAACATTTGAACCAATAGATTGAAGTTGTAAAAAGAAACATTCCAGTTCAGTACAGGACACAATATGATGTTTAAGGATAAAGTGAGTTGTCTCACAAACCTGCGTATCTCCTGCTGCTGGAATGATCTACAAGTCAGGATCCTCTAGTAAGAGCATGATTGGAATAAATGTAGTTTGCATCTCTAAGACTTTGTTTTTTGGTCTGATACACAAAGTTTCTATAATCGTAAAGGTTTGGAGTTCAGTTGGAAGAGAGAGTCATGGCTGAAAGAATTTTTTATCAGGTTATGATGGTCAAACATCAGCGTTTATTTCATATATCCTAGTAAATTATGTGCCTTCATAAAGGTTTATGTTGTAATTCAAATACTGGATTTTGTCTCCTATCTTACACTCTATATTTCATAAAAACACATTTGTATAAGCAACACATCTAAAATTAGAAGAATACATAGAGTGTCAGCAGTCTCTTGCAAAATGATGAAACGTACATTCACTTAAAATTTCCTTAACTTTTTTGAACACTTTCAACTCTTCCCATTCTCCATGTATTTAAGATCATTTCTCACCCCTTATATCTCAGCCTGCAGCCTGTTGGATTACTATCCTTCCAACAATATACAACTGGAGAAATCAAATGTGCTTCCTGAACACAACGTCTCTGATTCTATCCTGTAGACAATGAGGTGAGGCCTGAAATTAAGGCCAAATATCATGTGCTGTATTGACATCTGGTGAAACCATGAAGGCTTCAAATAACCTAATTGGAACTTCTCTTCACCCTGTTCTTGTGGATAAGTTCCCCCTAGCCACCTTACTAACCCCTTGCTACCCCCTTGCTAACCCTCCTTAGCAAGAAATCAGGTACAGTTCCTGCTTATCCTTGGGTTTCTGTTATCAGTAAACTCATAAAATTATTCAAACCAATCACGACCTCCCATGGGAACCATGGGGCATCTCAACCTCTTGATACTGCAAAGCCTGCTCCCCGCAGCCACTGGTTGTATACTCTATTCCCAAATGCAACCATTGTGTGTGTCCCTGTGTGGCAGGCAGCATTGTTCTTCCCAGGCTGTGGATGTATGTGAATACTAAACCGGTGTTGATCTCATCTGTCCAGTGTTAGGTGTTGTGTGTTTGGCCATCCGCATAACTCTAGGGTAGGAATCCCTCTCTCTCCAAAGGGTTGAAGAGAAGGTGATTGACATATAGACCTCTCTGCTTTTCCTAAAGTAGTAAAAAATACTTTTTATTACTTTTCTTTAATACTCTGTATTCCCTAGTACTAGTTATATTGTGATTTAAATTATAATTACTATTTCTCAAATGTGATTCCTTATTGCCATGTGGACAGGAATTTGAGTCTTACCCAGCTTTGTATTTTCTCTATGGCCTAAAATGGCATTTTACAGATTATAATTTAGTTTATACTCTATTAGTACGTTTCACCTTCTTTCTAAATTTAGGTCATCTTGTGTCTTTTTTAAATCATAAGAAACATTTTTATTTGTAAAATTGAAACTTTTTATTTTACTGTTTAAAAAAAAGTACATTAAAAAGAAATATTTTACTGGATTGGCCCTGAAGCTGGCAATAAAGCTGTGACTGAGAGCCACTTCAGCAAATTTCATCAGTTCTATGTCTGGCCGGAGGCTGATGCTAAAGCTAGTTGTCCCATCTCTCCACCATCAGCCTTACCGGGCTGACACATTTCTTGTTAATTTGCTCCTTTATTTCTGTACTACTGGACATCATGCACCACTGACAAAACCAAGAATATAACTGCTAAATCATTGTTAGAAATTGAACCGTTTTTATAGTTTAGGCCATCTCCAAAAAGTGTTGAATTTTTTTTGTTAGCTTTTGCTTTAATAAGAAAGTAATTGAGACATGCACACACAGCTAGAAGATGAGTTAGAATATCCAGTAAATAACAAGAATATACACTACACAAGATTATATGAAACATGGTCCCTATTTCTTCATGTGCAATCTGTTTGAGAAATGTTACTGTATTATTTGTCTCTCTTCCTATGTTTTAGTTTATCATGTTCTAATTTAAACTTCATTTAAACTTGGTTAGTTCTAATTAATATTTGGGTCATCTTTGGGTCATCTTTGCATGTAGTAAAATTATTGCTACTTGCCTCTTGATGAGCATACAGTATAGTACATCATACACAATTCTTGAGTAAATAGTAAAATAAATGAACTTTGGCTCTTATTATTCATGACATAATCTATAATTCTGTTTTCAGCCACTTAGATGTATTGGTAAAAATATGTCCCAAAGCAGAAAAAAACATAAATTCATGCTTTTAATTTTTTTCTAAAGAGATATTATGATCTTATTTCACACTTTTTAAAACTGTCATAATAGGTGGTGATCTTCAGTATGTACATGCATTCTTCAATATAATAAGTGTATAACAGTTCAATTTCTACTCATCTAAGAATTTTAAAGAATGTGGTAAGTTTCAATGACTATTGATTACTACTAGTACTTATTTCACTGGCCATAAACTGCTTCTAGGTTTTAATGTGAAAACTATCTAAAAAACATGATTACATTTAATTTATTATAGATAGCTGAATATACTACCAACATTCATTCAGTCTATGGCAATTCATAGTCATTTAAATATTCAGCAATCATATATTTATAGACTATTGTACCATTTGTATTCTACTTAAGAGTCTGTGTTTTGTCTGCTTGATTTCACATTTGATTAAATATTTTAAATGGATACTCATTGCTCACAGATGCCCCTTTCTGTGATGTACCATATCAATGGTAGACAAGTGTACTGGACCTCCCTACTGCCCAACTTAAGGGGGCATTATTCTTATACAGTTTACTTGTTGGTACCTCCTGGAACATGACTTCCTGTAAGGATACCACAGTTTCTGGTTTTAGTCAAGTTGAGGAGAGAACACTAATACAGATAACAAAGCTAGACCCTTGCAGATAAGAGGTATCAGAAGGAGCAACACTAACGGGAGAACATTTCTCTAAAGAAAATGGAGGTGAGATGTAAGAATGTATGGATATATTGACTCTAGTGAAGGTGCATAGAAAATGTTTTGGAGAGACTGAGAACAAGAAAGAGAAGTTTAACTACATAAGCCTGGGTAACAGAAGCTTTGTAGGCTCTTGAGCAGAGAAATGAGAGGAAACTCAAGTTTCTGGAGATCATGATGGATTTTAGAGGGCAGGGGGAAGGTAATACTAATGTAGAAGTGAAGGGATTTAGGCCTATTGTGAGATAAGATTGAAGAACAAAGCTGTCTCTCAGGTGTCTAGTCAATTCTTTCCTAGAATTTCTGGCAAACTTCCAGTTTATTCTTAAATTTTCCCCTTTCTGGTAGTCACATTTTCTTATCACACCTACTGAATTTTAATGAAGTTATATAGTATTCTCTAAATATTTAATGCATTTGTCTTGTTCTGCTTTGTGTTGCTCTGAAGGAATACTTGAGGCTGGGTAATTTATAAAGAAAAGAGATTTACTTGGTTCACAGTCCTGCAGTCTGTACAAGAAGCGTGGCACCAGCATCTGCTTCTGCGGAGGGGGCTCATGGCAGAAGGGGAAGGGGAGCTGGTGTGTCACATGGTGAGAGAGATAGCAAGAGAGGGGAGGGTGGTGCCAGACTCTCTATCGATCACTTCCAGTAAGAATAGAGTGAGAACTCACTCATTACTACAAAGAGAGCACCAAACCCTTCATGAGGGATCTGCCTCCATGACCGAAACACCTCCCACTAGGATCGAATTGCAACAAGAGGTTTGGAGGGGACAAATATCTGAGCTTGTATGTCTTGCTTCCTAAATAATATTAGAAAATTATTAGAAGACATCACTAATACTTATGTTCCATAATTATTATATCTAGAATGATTTAAGTGGAGATTTCATGAATTCTCACTGTATTTGGAAAGGCGTAAAGTAGATTTTAGAGGAGTTTGAAGAATGCATTTGAGAATGGAAGGGATATATGTGTATATATTCTTACATATATTTTATATATTAAGGTATATACCAGAAAGAGTCTCAAATGCTTCTTTTAATTGACCTTCACAATAATTCTGTGAAACAATTCTTCTATAGCAGAGGAAACAGGCCCAGAGAATGTGACTAATAGGTTAAATGTGATGAAATCCAGAATGAACCCAAGCCAGGTTGACTCCATTATGTTCTCATCAGAGACACTAACAGTGGATTTTACTGTCATCATATTATTACGTTAGTAGAATAAGGCAGTGTTGTCTATTCTCCTAAAAGACACAATAATTTTTATGTTGACAACTACAATTATTATCTATTTAAGTTACCTTTTCCTAGAATCATGAGAAAGTAAAATATAGGAAAAAAAAGATAGGCAACTTTATTTCATAGCTTAAGAAAAATGTTACACACATATGCCAAGTACATAGCCAGACCATAAAAGACTTAAGTTCCTAGAAGTTAAAGATGCTCTAAAATGAAAACCATGTAGAAGTTACATCATTATTTTGTTTACTTGAAATCTTGCAGTTATTGCAGAGCTGTTTCTTAAATGTCTCCTAAGCGGATGACATTTGCTATGTTCAATATGGGATTCAGAGCTTGACTCCAGTAACATGTTAAATTGAATTACAATGAATTAACTGTGAACAATTATCATTAATGAATAGCTATAGGGTATTACCATATTTCACAAAAACATTATCTATAATTATCTCCAAACTTATTGGCATATATTTTCCAAATATCAGTGAATACTTATTAAAGGTAAACTAGCTCTTTTCTTTTTTTGTTTGAAAATGATACATTGAATGTTCTTTATTAAGAGCCCTGCGTTTGTAGCTATTCCAGTTGACTTCTGAAATATTGAAGAAAAGTTTTGATAACATAATAGGGTAGCAGAAAGGAATTTACAAAAAATATAGATAATATGTTTGGGAGATTTACATGTAATTGTTACAGTATTTCCAAATAGAAGTGCTGGGAGAAAGAATTATAAGCAGCTCTAAACAGCAATGAGGGCTTAGAGTTCACAAGTTCTGGATTACATGTCTGATTCTAACGTAGGATTTACATATATCCCCTGATAAAGCAATTAATCTATTCTGCATTAGCTCCCCTATTGTAAGATTAAACACTGGCATATATTTACCATGTAAGGCTATTTTAAAATCTGAGTCATTTAACTTAGTATTTAAACATTTATGAGGCTGGATGACATTTATTTTGATGTAAAAATTATTATCATTGCTATTTTCAGGTTATTTGGACTTGCCAAAAAAA
The DNA here is from genome assembly GCF_000001405.40 of Homo sapiens. NCBI lineage: Eukaryota > Metazoa > Chordata > Mammalia > Primates > Hominidae > Homo > Homo sapiens. The sequence continues at coordinate 124,769,920 of NC_000004.12, forward strand.
AAAAAAAAAAAAAAAAGCTTGTCTGCTTGCTCTGTAATCTTACATATTCTTTAGCCTCACAAAAAAGGAGACAGTAAAATTAGGCATCTGGCATCCCTGAGAAAAGTCTTCGATGCATTCCAGGTTTTTATTTCTTCTGCCAGCAGGGCTGTGTGTTTGTGTTACTCAGATGGGATGCAGGTGTGCATCCATCCACACTCTTACAACCACATAACAAATGGAGAAAATGGAACACAACACACTACTCAGAGTCTTTGGGAACCAAAAATGCTCAGTAATGAAGTTTACCTCATTTTCCTTATATGTGCATCCAGTCAGACTTCACAGTGAATGGAATTAAATTACAAAATCCTGGTTTTAAGAGCCAAGAAAGCTCAAACCCCTTATAGATATTCTATTTGGCCTCTTTTAAATATATCTTGCTTTTTACTTTTTTGGGGAAAGGAGATATACACAAATGCCAGGCCTATGGTATTACACTTTTGTTAACCAGAATAGAGTCTAGTTTTGACCACTATGATAAGCCAGTTTCACTAAAGTGTAAAATATTTTATATCAGACATGACATAGGAACTGCTGATATTCTTATATTCTGCACTTGAGGTTCTTTTGAAACTTTCCCATTTTTAGGGTAGATGAATTATAATGGTTCCAGTACTCTGAAAAGGCAATTGTGCAGAAACAAACCAGAAAACCTCTTGTTTTTATTCTTTTTCAGAACTCATCAGCTTTGTTGATAATTGTACCATTCACCTAACACTAGATACATCATGCACTGTAAATTTTTTAATTCAATTTTCCATATGACACTGTCGCTTTGGGGTCATGTGAAGGACATGTCAAACATTTTGAGTAGGAAGCTGTTGAACGGTTAGAATGAATTATTGAGGCTTACATTTCTGTTATTAGCCTATTAGTGAAATTTTTCATCCACTGTACTTGTCAGTTGTGTATTAGAACTATTTGTATTTATATTTATTTTCTTTTTCTTCTTGGTGTCCTATTTCAGTTATGGATGATAGATTTTTTTTAGAGTAACTCAGCTAGTTACTTGATTAGCTAAATATTTTAAATTGTATGCTTATATCTGTGAGATGACTTACGAGCAATGCTAAAGAGAAGAGAAATTGAAGTGATTATAGTGGAGACCATAATTTTCAAAAATAGCTAAATATTATTAAAACAAAAAGATTGTCTGTGTAACTTGTGAGCCATACCCTCTAAAAAGCTTTGGGAATAATATAAAAGTTTATTCTCTGAAGTGTCTTTATGTATTTTCTGGTAAAGTCATAAATTATTCTTTCCAGGCAAATGTCTGTCTTTCTCATGGAGCTGTAACCACATGGAAACCTTGCTGCAGTTTTGCTTTTCTTTTTCATTCAACCATTTATTTTGAAAATAATTTAATATTCTGTTGAAATTAGGTATACAATTAATCTATGCTTAAAAATATATTTTAAATTTATTATTTTATTTAATTTTAACTTTAATTTTTAAATTTTAATTTCAATGGCTTTTGGGGAACAGGTGGTTTTTGGTTACGTGGATAAGTTATTTAGTGGTGGTTTCTGAAATTTTGGTGTACCCATTACCCAAGCAGTGTACACTGTACCCAACATATAGTCTTTTATTCCTCATCCCCTCTTACTCTTCTCAAGTCCCCAAAGTCCATTATATCATTCTTATGCTTTTGTGTCCTAATAGCTTAGCTTCCACTTATAAGTAAGAACATACGATATTTGGTTTTTCATTCCTGAATTACTTCACTTAGAATAATGGTCTCTAACTCCATTCAAGTTGCCGCAAAGGCCATTATTTTATTCCTTTTTATGGCTGAGTAATAGTCCATGGTGTATATATACCACATTTTCTTTATTTACTTGTGGGTTGATGGGCATTTATGTTGGTTCCATACTTTGGCAATTGCATATTGTCCTTCTATAAACATGCATGTATATGTGTCTTTTTTATATGACTTCTTTTCCTTTGGGTAGATACCCAGTAGTGAGACTGATGGATCAAATTGTAGTTGTACTTTTAGTTCTTTAAGGAATCTCCACACTGTTTTCCATAGTGGTTGTACTAGTTTACATTCCCACCAGCAGTGTAAAAGTGTTCCCTTTTCACCACATACACACCAACATTTATTATTTTTTGATTTTTAAATTATGACCATTCTTGCAGCAATAAGGTGGTATTTATTTGCATTTCCCTGATAATTAGTGATGTTTAGCATTTTTCAAGTTTGTTGGCTCTTTGTATGTCTTCTTTTGAGAATTGTATATTCATGTCCTTTGCCCACTTTTTGATAGGATTATTTGTTTGTTTGTTTTCTTGCTGATTTGAGTTCCTTGTAGATTCTGGATATTACTCCTTTGTTGGATATGTACTTTGCAAATATTTTCTTCCACTCTGTGGGTTGTCTGTTTACTCTGATAATTACTTTTTTTTTTTTTTTTTTTTTTTTTTTTTTTGAGACAGAGTCTCCCTTCTTTGCCCAGGCCGGAGTGCAATGGTGTGATCTCGGCTCACTGCAACCTCCACCTCCAAGGTCCAAGTGATTCTCCTGCTTCAGCCTCCCCAGTAGCTGGGATTACAGGCATAAGCCATCATGCCCAGCTAATTTTTGTATTTTTAGTAGACATGGGGCTTCACCGTGTTGGCCAGGCTTGTCTTGAATTCCTGACCTCAAGTGGTCAATTTCCTGATCTCAAGTGATCTCAATCTGCTTGCCTCGGCCTCCCAAAGTGCTGGGATTACAGGCATGAGCCACTGTGCCTGGCCTGATAATTACTTATTTTGCTGTGCAGAAGCTTTTTAGTTTAACTAAGTCCCATCTATTTATCTTTGTTTTTGTTGCAATTGCTTTTGGGTTCTTGGTCATGAATTCTTTGCCTAAGCCCATGTCTAGAATAGTTTTTCAAATGTTATCTTCTAGAATTTTTGTGGTTTCAGGTCTCAGGTTTAAGTCTTTGATCCATCTTGAGTTGATTTTTGTATAATGTGAGAGATGAGGATCTAGTTTTATTCTTCTACATGTTGCTTGCCAATTATCCCAGCACCATTTATTGAAGAGGGTGTCTTTTCCCCACTTCATGTTTGTGTTGGCTTTGTCAAGAATCAGTTGGCTGTAGTATTTGGCTTTAGTTCTGGGTTCTGTATTTTGTTCCATTGTTCTATGTGCCTATTTTTATACCAGTACCATGCTGTTTTGGCAAATACAGCCTTGTAGTATAGTTTGAAGTTGGGTAATGTGATACCTCCAGGTTTGTTATTTTTGCTTACTCTTCTAGACATTGGCTTAGGCAAAGAATTCATGACCAAGAGCCCAAAAGCAAATGCAACAAAAGCAAATATAAATAGGTGGGACTTAAACTAAAAATCTTCTGCACAGCAAAAAAAAAAAAAAAAAAAAAACATAATTATCAGAGTAAACGGACAACCCCCAGAGTGGGAGAAAATATTTGCAAACTATGCATCCAACAAAGGACTAATGTCAAGAATGTACAGGGAACTCAAATCAGAAAAAAAAAAAACAAAAAACCGTAAAACAAATAGTGCTTTGGCTATGAGGGCTCTTTTAGTTCCATATAAATTGTAGGATTGTTTTTTTCTAGTTCTGTGAAGAATGATGATGGTATTTTGATGGGAATTTCATTGAATCTATAGATTGCGTTTGGCACTCTGGTAATCTTCACAGTATTGATTCAACCCCTCCATGAGCATTGGATGTTTTTCCATTTGTTTGTGTCTTCTATGAATTTTTTTTCAGCAGCATTTTGTAGTTTTCTGTGTAGAGATCTTTCACCTCCTTGATTAAGTATATTCCTAAGTATTTTATATATTTTTTGTAGCTGTTGTAAGAGGGATTGTGTTCTTGATTTGAGTCTCAGCTTGGTCACTGTTGGTGTATAGCGGTGCTACTGGTTTGTAAACATTGATTTTTGTCTCTCGAAACTGTACTGAATTCATTTATCGATCTAGGAGCTTTGTGGATGAGTCTTTAGGGTTTTCTAGGTTTATGATCATATTATTGGTGAACAGTGACAATTTGACTCCCTCTTTTCCAAATTGGATGCCTTTTATTTATTCCTCTTGTCTGGTTGCTCTGGCTAAGACTCCCAGTACAACTTTCCCCATTCAGTATGATGTTGGCTGTGGGTTTGTCATAGATGGCTTTTATTATTTTGAGGTATGTCCTTCTATGCCAATTTTGTTGAGCGTTTTTATAAAGGGATGTTGGATTTTGTCAAATGCTTTTTCTACATCTATTGAGATAATCATATGATTTTTGTTTCTAATTCTGTTTATGTGATGTATCGCATTTATTGACTTGCATATGTTAAATCATGTCTGCATCCCTGGTATGAAACCCACTTGATCACGAAGAATTATCTTTTTGATATGCTGCTGGATTTGGTTAGCTAGTGTAGTATTGAGGATTTTTACATCTATGTTCATCAGGGATATTGGTCTGTAGTTTTCTTTTTTTATGTCCTTTCCTGGTTTTGGTATTTGGTGATACTAGATTTATAGAAAGATTTAGAGAGGATTCCCTTTTTCTGTATGTTTTGGAGTAGTTTTAGTAGGATTGATATGAATTCTTTGAGTGTCTGATAGAATTCAGCTGTGAATCCATCTGGTCCTGAACTTTTTTATTGGCAATTTTTAAATTATTGATTCAATCTTGCTGCTTGTTATTGGTCTGTTCAGAGTTTCTATCTCTTCCTGAGTTGATCTAGGAGGGTTGTATATTTCCAAGAATTTATCCATCTTTTCTAGCTTATCTAGTTTTTGTGCAAAATGGTATTCATAGTAGCCTTGAATGATCTTTTGTATTTCTGTGATATCAGTTGTAAAATACCCCATTTCAGTTCTAATTGAGTTTATTTGAATCTTTGCTCTTCTTTTCTTTGTTAATCTCACTAATGGTCTATCAGTTTTATCTTTTCAAGGGACTAGTTTTTTGTTTTGCATATCTTTTGTATTGTTTCAATTTCATTTAGTTCTGCTCTAATCTTTGTTATTTCTTTTCTTCTACTGGGTTTGGGTTTAGTTTGTTCTTGTTTCTCAGTTCCTTGAAGTGTGACTTTAGGTTGTCTATTTGTGCTCTTTCAGAATTTTTGATGTAGGCATTTAACGCTGTGAACTTTCCTGTTAGCACCACTTTTGTTACATCCCAGAGGTTTTGATAAGTTGTATCACTATTTTCATTTATTTCAAAGAGTTCTTAAATTTCCATCTTGATTTCATTGTTAGCTCAAAGATTATTCAGGAGCAGATTATTTAATTTCCATGTATTTGTATAGTTTTTAAGGGCTCCTTTTGGAGTTAATTTCCAGTTTTATTCCACTGTGATCTGAGAAGATACTTGATATGATTTTGATTTTTCTTAAATTTATTGAGGCTTGTTTTGTGGCCTATCATGTAGACTATCTTGGAGAATGTTTCATGTGCTGATTAGAAGAATATATATTTTGCAGTTGTTGCATAGAATATTCTGTAAATATCCAAGTCCCTTTCTTCTAGGGTATGGTTTAAGTCCATTCTTCATTGACTTTTTGTCTTTGATACGTGTCTAGTGCTGTCAGTGGAGTATTGATACCTGTCTAGTGCTTTCAGTGGAGTATTGAAGTCCCCCACTATTATAGAGTTTCTGTCTGTTGCATTTCTTAGGTCTAGCAGTAGTTTTATAAATTTGGGAGCTCCAGTGTTAGGTGCATATATATTTAAGATTGTAATATCTTCCTATTGGACTAATCCTTTTACTACGTAATGTCTTTTCCTTTTTTCAGTGTTCTTGCTTTAACATCTTTTTTGTCTGATGTAAGAATAGCTACTCCTGCTCACTTATGGTTTTCATTTTTGTGAAATATCTTTTTCTGCTGCTCCTTTACCTTATGTTATGTGAGTCCTATGTGTTAGGTGAGTCTCTTGAAGACAGCAGACACATGGCTGGTGGAATTTTATCCATTTTGCCATTCTCCATCTTTTAAGTGGAGTGTTTAGGCCATTTATATTCAATGTTAGTATTAAGATGTGAGGTAGTTGTTCTATTTATCACATTAGTTATTTTTTAAATACTTTTTTTTTCACTGTGAATTGTTTTTTAGGCCCTGTGAGATTCATGCTTTAAGGAGATTCTATTTTGGTCTTATTCTTGATGACAACTAGAAGGATCTCTCTCCATGAGTGTTTTGGTACCAAATTAATTTGTCATTACAAGGTTCAGTTCAACAGTTGGTTGTCATTTGCACTGTACTTTATATTAACTGTACATCTGTTTGTAAAAATGCTAGTATTAGTTTTCTTATCATTGATAGTAGGAGAAACAAGACAAAACCAACATAAATCCAGTAGGCCAATGATTTAGATCTGGAGCTAATTAATTCCAATTATTAATGAATTCCAATAGCAAAGGATTGAAAATTTAGTTCATAATCTGTCATAATTTAAAATGTAAACCCTTAACTTAAATCTTGAAGAAGAGGCTGAATCAATACAACCAGTCTAGTGAGGACTCAGAGTTAATGAATGTCAGTAAATCCTCATTTAATATTGTCAATAGGTTGCAAACTGACTTTAAGTGAAACAACATACAATGAAACCAATTTTATCATAGGCTAATTGGTGTAAGGGTGTTTCTGGTCACAAAAACATCACCAAACATCTAAATAAAGACCAAAATGTGCCAGGTGTGGTGGCTCACACCTGTAATCCCAGTATTTTGGGAGGCCAAGGCAGGTGGTTCACTTGAGGCCAGGAGTTTGAGACCAGCCTGACCAACAACGTGAAACCCTGTCTCTACTAAAAATACAAAAACAGCCAGGCATGGTTGCACATGCCTGTAATCTCAGCTACTTGGGAGGCTGAGGTAGGAGAATCACTTGAACCTGGGATGTTGAGGTTACAGTGAAATCGAGATTGTGCCACGGAGTACACTCCAGCCTAGGTGACAGAGTGAGACTTTGTCTCAACAACAGCAACAAGACTAAAATGCTTCTAATATTAAACACTGAAATAAATGTGACATTGAAATAAATGTGAGCTATACATACATTTAAGAAAGCGTAACAAGGACAAGATAATTATTTACCCAGTTTGTGATAGTTAGTCAGTGATGGTTTTCACAGTGGTGATGGGTTAAATCAAGAAATGAGTCCTTGAAAAGTGAAGTTGTAAGAAGCATCTCCTACCAGCATGCAGTTTGGAATGAAACAGTAACAAATATGGGGGCTCACTTTGCCACCACATAGTTTATTGTTGAGCTGTCTGTATGACTTTTGTATACTTTGCAAATTTTTACTTTACAGTAATTTACAATAACTTTATTTGTTTTTCAACCACTTACTCCAGTTCAGGGGTCACCAGTGGCTGGCACCTATCCCAGCAGCTCAGGGAACAAAGTGGAAACTTAACCCTGGACAGGAGGCCATTCCATCGCAGGGCATACTCATACACTCACTCACTCAGGTTGGGACCATGTAAACATACCAACATACCTAACATGCAGAGCTCTGGAGTACCTGGAGAAAACCCATGAATACATGGAGAGGATGTGCAAACTCCATGTAGATGGAGTCCCCAGCTGGAAATACACCTTTTTCCCCCCTTCTCCCCTTCTTCTCATCAATGTTATAATGAAATGATGTTGAATGAAAAGATGTTACTTGACTACCTGTTATATAGGCTTTAAAGATACCAGATTGTGGCTGATTTTTTACTGTATTTTCATTGCAAGAATACAGTAAAGACTAAAACTAAATCTTTGCTCTAGCATATGCAATTATGAAAAATATGTAATGTAAAATAATTTTTCTCTTGAAAGCTAGTTTGTGGCTAGCCAATTTTTATAAAGCATCAACAATTAACTCTGTACTGGCAATACAAAGGAAGGCTGACTTGTTGCAGCCAGAAATTTACTGATATTCTTGCTTTTAATCTTGACTTCTTTAATATTGTCTTATTCCATCTCACTCACTCAGGACTGGTTTTGCTTATTCTGTCTCAAGGTCTAAATATGAATGTTAAGCCTCAGAATGGAGGAAGCCAGATATCCTGGCTTTCAAATTTAGTTCTGGACTACCAAACAAAAACAAAAACAGAAACAAACAAAAAAACACCTACCTAGGTTTGCTACTGGAAGCAGTGGTAGTCGAGTAGAAGTTGAAAAGAAAGGCAAGAAAAGTGGAAAGAGAAAAAGCATGAAATGGCTGCAGGAAATGAAGAAATACTTAGGAAGCAGGCATTTTACTATTTTGAATGAAAACTAATACTATGAATCATTCCTTATATATATATTTGTTTTATTTTCAATACTAATTAAATTCATCAGCCTAAAATTTTAAATTTCTATGTTCAATATTGTTTTATGTATAACCAGTCTATACACCTATACACTTTTATTGTCAAAGTTCATCTTTTATATTTTTTAGTATAGTTTTTATGATATTTGAGTGTCTAAAAATGTCTTTCTCTTAGAGTCTTGAAGGATAATTTAACTGTTTATACAGAATTATAGGTAAGTAGTCTCACCTCCACTCTTGCATATTGATGATTTTAGCCTGGTGTTCTATGTAGTCTGTTGCTATTGATGATGACTTAATGCTGTCAATCTAACGGCAACTTCTTTTTTCTTATTGGTAGCATTTAAAAGTTTATTTTCATCCTTGCATACATTCTTCAGTTCTGTGATGTGTTACGATGTTATTTATTTTTCATTCTGCTCAGCACTTTGAATCAAGGCCTTCTTTTTATTATGTTGACTTTCTTTTAATTCTTAAATTCTTAGCCATTTTTTTATATTTCTTCTCTGTCATTTCTACTATCTTCTAGAACTACTATAAGAATTATGTTGGAGATTATCCTACTTGTTTTCTAAATGTGTCTTTATCAGTTGTAGGTTTTTTAGATTTTATTTATTTATTTATTTATTTGATCTCCTTCTGGTAGAACTCTAGAGTAATATGTTTTAATTTTTTTTTTTTTTTTTTTTTGAGATGGAGTCTCACTCTGTCGCCCAGGCTGGAGTGCAGTGGCACGATCTCGGTTCACTTCAAGCTCCGCCTCCTGGGTTCACACCATTCTCCTGCCTCAGCCTCCCAAGTAGCTGGGACTACAGGTACCTGCCACTGCGCCTGGCTAATTTTCTGTATTTTTTAGTAGAGACGGGGTTTCACCATGTTAGCCAGGATGCTCTCAATCTCCTGACCTCATGATCCACCTGACTCGGCCTCCCTCTAATTTTTTAATGTCAACATGTGGTAGACACAACCCAAAGTGGCACCCTCAAAGATGTTGTATTATTTACATCTCTTGACTATGGGCAGAACCTGTGATTTGCATTCAACCAGTTAAATATGGCAAAGGTGATGAGACATAACAGCCTTGATTACATTTTACATGAGAATGTCTTTGAAGGTTAGAGTGGTAGACTGTCCTGCAGGTCTTGAAAAAGTAAGCTGCCATGCTGTCATCTGCTTGTGGAAAGGACTACACATCAAGGAACTATAGGCATCCTCTAGGATCTGAGGGCTTCAGTTCTACAACTGTAGGGAAATGAATTCTGCCAACAACCACATGAACTTGGAAGTTGACCTTCAAATCCAGAGAGGGCATAGCACAGCCAGTACCTTATTTGCAGTCTTAATGAGTTCCAGCTAAGCCTTGCCTGGGCTTCTGACCTGTGGAAACTGTTAGATAATAAATGTTTGTCATTTTCAGCTGCCCAATTTGTGGTAATTGGTTATGCAGCAATATAAAACTAAGGCTGGGAGCAGTGGCTCACGCTTATAATCCTAGCACTTTGGAGGCTGAGGTGGGCAGATCACCTGAGGTCAGGAGTTTGAGACTGGCCTGGCCAACATGGTAAAACCCCATCTCTACTAAAAATACAAATTAGCTAGGTGTGGTGGCCTGTGCCTGTAATCCCAGCTACACAGGAGGCTGAGGCAGGAGAATCACTGGAACCTGGGAGGCAGAGGCTACAGTGAAGCTGAGACTGCGTCATTGCACTCCAGCCTGGGTGGCGGAGTGAGACTCCGTATCAAAAAAAATTAAAAAAATAAAAATAAAACTAAGACAAACTGTTTCCCACTTAAAGTTTATCATTTTCCATATTTTGTTTTACTTTAATGAATATAGTTTCTTTGTAAAAATTTCTAATTTTATTTCAGTATTACTGTTAATTTTTTAGATATTCTTTCATTTCATTAATGAGGATACTAACAATGTATACCTTAAAATCTGTACCAAGTGTTTTGTTAATGTAGTTACAGCTAGAATTGAATCTTTGGGGGGGTATTTTTTAATATTAGATTTCACGTGCTTTGGAATTTTGGTTAGCATGCTTATCACATGTGTGGAGTTTGTTCTTGCTCTTTTTAATTTTTCTGCTTGCTCATGAGTTTGGCTTTGGTTGTCTCCACCCATAACTCCAAAACCAAGTCTTATTATGGCAGTACTAGGAGTTCTGCCCTAGATGATTTCAGAATGATCACAGATTTTATTACCAAGTCAACAAGTGGCTTGGCTTACTTTCTAGTGGAAGAGCTTTGTTTGTAAGCTTCCACCTTCTTAGGCATGCTACTTTTTCTTAAACAACAACAAAACAATCCCATAGCTACTGCTGGGATTTTTTTCATAAAAAGAAAATTACACCCTGACCTCTAGCTTTAAGCAGTGAGTGGAGTCCAGCCCCTGCATGTGTGAGGCAGCTTTTAGTCCACTTTACCTCAATGCAGCCAAGCACCTGGTGCTTCTGCCCGCTTCTCTCAGCCAACACTAGACTCTCATCATGTTTACCAATTTACATTTCTGTGTTTCTGATCTACAAAAAAATGTATCTTGTTTTTATTATGACTTTTTAGCCTTTGTATTAGTTTGCTATGGCTGCCATAACAAATAGCACAGACTGGGTGGCCTAAACCAGGAGTCCCCAACCCCTGGGCCATGAATTAATACCTGTCCCTGGCCTGTTAGGAACCGGGCTGCACAGCAGGAGGTGAGAGGTAGACAAGCAAGCATCACTGCCTGAGCCCTGCCTCCTGTCAGATCAATGATGGCATTAGATTCTCATAAGAATGCGAACCCTATTGTGAACTGCACATGCAAGGAATCTAGGTTGCATGCTCCTTATGAGAATCTAAGGCCTGATGATCTGAGGTGGAACAGTTTCACCCTGAAACCTGAAACTGTCCTCCTCCCCACCCACTGCCAGTCTGTGGAAAAATGGTCTTTCCACATATCAATCTCTGGTGCCAAAAAGGTTGGGGACCACTGGCCTAAACAATGGAAACTTATCTGCTCATGATCTGAAGACCAGAAGTCCGAGATTAAGATGTATGTAGGGTTGGTCTCCTCTAGGGCCTTTCTCCTTGGCTTGCACATGGACCTCTCCTCTGTGTTTTCACATGGCCTTCTATCTCTGCCTGTGTCATTTTTCTTATAAAGACATTGGTCATATTGGATTAGGGTCCACCCTAATGACCTCATCTAAGTTACTTCTTTGAAGGCCCTGTCTCCAAATACAGCCACGTTTGAGGTAATGGGGACTTCACCATATGAATTTTGGAGGTCATAATTGAGCCTACAATAGTCTTTTTATTTGGAAATGATCCAGCATCGTTAGAATATTGAATATACTGTGGTAGGGGTGGGAAATGGGACACTTTCTTCACTTATTGCACGTATGGCTGTATATGCTTCCGAGTGAACTGAAAATCCATTTCTTTTGAGATCTATTTTTATTTCTTTTCCCTAACTTAAAACACATAACATGTATCTGCTTATTTTTATACTTCTGATTAGTAGGGTAATATCTAAATTCATTCTTCTAATTGTACAAGCTTGTTGTATACTTGTACAAGATTTGGAATGGTAAAAACTGATCATACGTTGCATAAGATGTAATAATCTCATATTGTGCCACGTGGCCTCTGTTTTAGGACATATAACCACTGGGGTTTGGAATTTGACTAAGAGCAGGACATTGACTGCAGTCTGCCCTCCTCACTTACTCTGAAGCTGAATGGAGCTAAGAGACTGCTTTGGATCACCTCCATTCTAGTTTGCTGCACTGTGCAAAAAACTTTGAGCTTCTTCTTCTAGTTAATAAAAACACAACTGCAAAATTAATTAAAATGTTGTTTCCTAACTTCTACCTTCAGCTATTCCTGGGTGATTAGAGCAAATTATTAATGCAGTGCTTCCTCTGATTATGACAATGAAAGCGAGAAGTACATTTAATTAGAAGGCCTCTGAATTTTTATAAATCACCAACTTTTCACATTTCTCCGTTAGTTTTGCAGAAGAAGCATCCAATACACTCCCAGCACTTGTCTGGTGTCTCTTCACAAGATGTTAGGTGCATTGCTAGCTCTATTTCCTCTACCCAAAGGTGCAGAGGGGGCTGAGACTTGCAGAAGCTGTACCAAAGAGTGGGAAAGACAATCAAGTGCCAAGAAGCTCTTCCCTCTCTTACCCTTCCCAGTGGTGAGCAGATTACTGTTTACCAAACTGACTTTTTAAAAAAGTGTATTTATTCACATCTCTATCAGGATGTATCAGTGGTGTCTTGCAATTACTATTGGCAGTTGTGTTGCAGTTGACATCACAACAAATCTCTGCTTCTCATCTTCCACCTTTCTGAGTTACCTTTTCCTTTAATAGCTCAAGAAAATGGCTCCAACTCCCATTTGTCACGCTGTGTGGAAAGAAGAGCTACAAATCCTTTTCCTTCCAGATGAAGGAACATAGATTATCTAGAAGGTATACATTGTTTAAATCATGCTTTTACAACTTCTCTGTCATCTAGTCCAAATGTTGCTTATGATGTTAGAGATTATTTTTTGAAAGATCTTTTCGACATTTCCTACATAGAAAAAAATATTGCTAAAATAAAGCTAATGTTTAAAGTAGGCTTTCTGTAACGTTTTGAGGTAAAATAAATCAATTAAAACAACTAAAGTAAAAAGTAACATAGATGAAATTCTCCAATCTTTTTCCTTACAGAATTTCTAATGCATTATGTACTTCCATAGGCTTTAGTGGAGATTTTTCCTTTTTTTATCCTTTATGCTAGGACTTGGTCTCTTCTCTAGGCACTAGCAGACAGCTCCAAAGTTCTTGTTTTTTGCTGTCCAGAGAGATTTAATTTAAAAATAGTCATCTAAATAGCACTTATTTGGCTATATCTAAAAATGAGGAAGTCCTTGCCTTTCTCCACTTACTCTAAGACCAAGCATTTGCTTGCTAAAAGCGAATCATCTCTGTTGGAGACAAATTCTTGCCACTCTTAGAAAGCATAAGAAACTCAAACTGTTTTGTTTTTTTAAATACCAAATTATTTTCCCTTACATTTATTTCTATAGACGCAACTGCCTATAGACTTACTTCTTGGATGCCCTGTCACTAGTTACTTCAAACTACAATGTTTAAAACTCAGATTCAAAATGTTCAACTGAACTTATCATGAAGACCTTCAAAACCTGTTTCTCATCTTGAATTTCATCTCAGTGATTAAGTACTCATCTAGTTGTCCAGAATTGTTATCTTGGATTTCATCTTAGATTTCTCCCTCTTATTCAATCCCCAAATTCAATTACTATATCCATTCTACATGCTAGAAATTTCTAGAATCTGGCAAACTTTTTCCAAGTCCCCTGTCTTAGTGTAGGTTAGTACCAACTATACATCTCGACTCCATCTTTCCATTATTTTTTCACCTCAGGTAAGTGAGGGTCTGATGGGTAGAGTTTAAGGTAGCTCCATGACTGCCACCTCCTAGTGTTGATGCCTGTATAATCCTGTCCTCTTGAGTGTAGGTGGGAATCTGTGATTTGTTTCTATTAATAACTAATAGAATGACAAATAAGGGATTTTACTCATGTAGTTACATCATATGCAACCATATATCAAATTCACTCTATCCATTTCTGACTTTGAAGAAGCAACCTACCATGTATCCTACAGACACAAGGAAAAGAATTCTGGTAGCAATCTGGGGAAGCTTGGAAGAGGATCTTTCCCTAGCTGAGCCTCTGATGAGAACCAAGTCTTAGTAGACACCTTGACTGAAGACTTGTGAAATCATAAGCAGAGGACCCAGCTAAGCCATGTCATGACTTCTGAGTCACAGAACTGTGAGATAATGTGTTGTTTTAAACCACTAAGTTTGTGGTAATTTGCTACATAGCAATAGACAGCATACAGATTCCTTACATAAAATGTGATCATGTTACTACTAAGCAAAAAATAAATAAATAAAAAAGCCTATTAATGACTGCTATGGCTTGAATGGGTCCCCCAAAGTTCATGTGTTAGAAACTTGATCCACAATGTGGGGGTTTTGGTAGGGGAGCCTAAAGAGAGGTGTTTGGGTTATAAGGATACCTCCCTCACAAATGGATTAATGCTGTTTTTGCAGGAGTGAGTTTGTTGTCATTGCAGGAGTGGGTTAGGCCCTCTCTTATTCTCTCTTGTCCATGTGATGCCTTTTGCCATGTTATGATGCAGCAAAAAGGCCCTCCTAAGATGCTGCCGCCTTGATCTTAAACTTCCCGTTTTTGAGAACCATAAGCTGATAAATTTTTGTTTTTTGTAAATTACCCAGCCTTCAGTATTCTGTGATAGCAGCACAAAAGAGACTAAGATAATGACTTAACATTTCCCCCAGGGTTGAATCAAAACTCTTAACAAGACCCTTTACTCCACCACCCTTACTTAAATTTCCATCATTGTTGAAATTTGTTTCAGCTTATCAGATGAACCATTCTCTCCCTTTCTGCCCCAGATGTTTGTACATATTCTTTATAGTTTACATTCTCCTCTGGCTGCTTTTCTCCTCCCAACATCCTCTCCTCTTTTTAACGAATTCTTACTCATAAATTTAAGTTCTGGTTTAGGTCTGACTATTTCTGGGAAGCTTTCCCTGACCCAAGCAGTTGGGTTAGGTACCCTGTTATTTTTTTCTCTCATATTTCATTATAATTGCTTGTTTGTCTATTCTTCTCAGTAGAGTCAATGAACCACGAGGAGAAAGATCGTATCTTTCTTGCTGATAAGTATATCATCAGTGTCTGACCCTGAGTTAGGGCTCATTAATTATCTGTTCTATGAATAAATGAATGGCTTATGATAAATAGAGACTAAATTTGACACTTGACTTTTAGTATCAATAACTAGAACCACAGGACACTGTCTTGCTGGGGAATCATAGGAGTGTTCACATTATGCAGCCCCAAGGTGACTCCTAAGACTCAGGGTGCTTTTCCCATTCTCTTTCTGTCCTTACAACCTCAACTAGCTCCTGTCCTTCCCCTAAAAAGATTCTTGCATCCACTTTATTTTTTGGTATTCTCACCATCAAGATAGTATTTGTTTCTTCCACAAAGTCATGTTTATAATTCTTTACTTTTAGGAAGGCTATAGTAACAGAAGTCCATAGTACAGAAGTGGAGGAGTTAAAAAAAATCACATTTACATAGCTCATACAATCATGGTCCAAGATCAAAATTTACTGACTGCTTTTTGAAAAAGTAACTGGAAGTTCCCTTTAGACTTCTAACTTTTGCGTCTGTTTTCAAGGATAACAGTAAAATATTCATCCTTAAGTTCTGACTTAGCAGTAAAGATATACTTATTTCTTTCTTTTCTTCTCCTTCTAATAAGAAATCAAAGTGGAGCAATAAGTATCTTTTTGTCTTATTAATTTGCATTTCAGAAGATTTCCATTTTTATCAAGACTTTTACCCAGAACAAATCTCTTGTATCATTTCTCTTGGACATTCCCTGGAATTACTGCTAAAATTTATTTATAGCCTATCTAGTCAGGATGTATCTAGAATACTTTGAATAAACTTGCTGTGGTTGTAATATGTTGATATGGTGTTGATAAAGTAAGAAATACTGAAATTAACTAGCATAATTAGGGATTCATGAAAATCTTAAGTCAAGCTTATGACTTTTCCCCTAGTGGCTAGAAATTAAATAACTGTTGAAATAATAAAGTGGTCAGTTCACATTAGAAAACAACATACTCTTTCATAAGGTATGTAGGAAAATGACGTTTGTGTTATTTGTGCAGAATAAACTATTCACCATTAAGTAACTAACTACAATGGTATAACGAATCAGTCAGGTCTGGGAAAGAAATATTAAGCCAGAAGTAAATAAAAGCCTCATATAAGTAATTATCTTTCTTACACGTTATCTTGTATTTGAGAAATAAAAATTATCTTGATTTTCTAAAGCGTCAAAGGTTTCAAACTGCAAAATAAGTAAAAATGATATCCTGCTTTCATAGATATCATTGCTTTATTTGATAACATTCTTGAATATCTTCTTTTTGACAATTATCAATATCTGGTAGCCTAGCTGGTAGGATGTTGTGTCTCCTTTTTCCCTGCTTCAATGGTTAAATGTAGAGATACATATTTCAGTTTGCTTTTAATAATGAAGGCCCTTCTGTGGCATAATTTATCTCATATGTATAAAAGAGTTTTGGCCAGACTGTGAGGATTAAATTTTTAAATAACAAAGGGATCAGAGTGAGTACCTCTGGTCTTCACCTTTGAAAACAAATCACATAAGTCAGGCTACTTAAACCACATGCTGGTAATACATATTAAATAGTTTACTGATTTATTTTCAGCATTACTATTTTTCCCAGAGGATTCAAACACCCTTAAATGTGACTTATAGGAAATGTGCTCACAATTGATTACTATTATCATCCACTATGCAGAGTACTTGAAAGTTCATTGTTTATCAAAGAAAACAAAACCTTACCAGAGCAAAATCTATTTTTAGATTGTCATAATTTACTTTTAAAGGTCACCTTCAAATAATACATTAATGCATTATTTGTATATACAGTAGCCTTCTCTGGGGATATGTTGAAACACATTGCTATCCATCAAAATGCTTTCTGTTCATGTTTTTCACCCACAGATTTAGGCCTTTTTCATTATAAGTGCTTATTGTGCACTGTGGCTGTTAACTTTTGCCATTTGAGGTGTGCTGCAACACTAACACAAGCTCATTTTCTCCTCTTTACAATTTCACAATACATAAATAAGAAAGCTCACGTTGATGGCCTAATCCGTGATTTCTTGAGGCTTAAGTCAAAAGAAATCCATGCTTTCTACATGGTAAGAAATCATTGTGTTTTTATCTATAAAATGCATACTTAAGCATAATCGTAGAAATATTAATAAGAAATACATTACTTTGTGGACTGACTGGAAACTTAGAAGTCAGGAATTTGGAACTCAAACCTAATTTTGAATTCAAATCCCACATCTTTCACTGATTCAATCTGACACGGTAGCCCAATAGCCTCAACTTGGTTATTGTGGCCAAACCAAAATGTATGCCAACTGAACGTTTATTTGAAGCCTGTTCACTTTAGTGGTTCCTCTAATAATAATCTTTCTGAGTTAAAAAAGGATGCCCTAAATATCTACACTGCTGATTCCCTTGTAAAGCTGGTTAATAAATAACAGAATGAAGCAGAATCTCAACAAAGTTCTTTAGCTTTACTTATTGGATTAAAAAATATTTCATTGTCAAAGCACAAATATGGCACTGTTTCCTTCTTCCTTTGCCACATCAAAATTTTCTACGTTGTCTCAGAAAAACAAAAACAATATTAGAACATCATGTAAATTGGCTTGTTAAATTTAAAGGGATGTGCAAATAAAAAATGATCCATCAAGCGTAAATGTTCACCATATGGTCTGCCTGTGTATTTTAAAACAATTTGATGTGAATTTGCCATTCTATAGTAAATCCTAAATAATTAGGAAGCATTCATAACAATGTAAAGCTTCTACTCAGTTTATGCTAAAATTGTGGAGATGGATATGGTACTTGTACATATATACCTACGCCAGCCAAGATTTTTCAGATTTTAGAAAATACAATTTATTTAGAATTCTGTTTTTCAACTGAGATTTTACATTCATTCTATCTTTTCAGCAGTCTATTGTAAATTGTTTTATGCTATTTAACATTAATTTGTCATGGTCTAGTTGGACATAAAAGCAAAGATTACACTTCTCTAAACACTAAATTGGGAAACTCTGACAAAGTCCTCTACTTTTGTCCCATCCTGACTTCTCCCCAGAATATCCATTTGGCTTTAGAATTTATGTGCTTCTCAGATATGGAAATAACTTAATTGGCATGACAAATAATCATTAAGCTACATTCTTATTACCTAGTGAATAACTCACTTCAACTGAGTGGAAATTAAATTAATTGACTTCAGGATCCATGGATCCTTGATTATAATATGCAACCTAATTAGCATTAGTAATATTTTATAGAGAGCTAGAAATATGCGTGTTTGCTAAATAGTATATTCATTCTTGACAAGTTCTTCTCATGTAAAAGCAATACAATTTAGAATATATTACATCCAATCAGGAAATAGAATTTTCTGGAAAAATATATAACATATTATGAATCATTTTTACCTGAAATTTTTTATTGTAAAAACTCAGGTTTCAACATAAGTAAATAGATTGAATGCTACCACTGTCATCTCTTTTTTCTTTTTCTTTTTTTTTTTTTTTTTGAGATGGAGTTTCGCTCTTGTTGCCCAGGCTGGAATGCAATGGCACGATCTTGGCTCATGGCAACCTCTGCCTCCCAGGCTTCAAGCTATTCTCCTGCCTTAGCCTCCCGAGTAGCTGGGATTACAAGCATGTGCCACCACACCTGGCTAATTTTGTATTTTTAGTAGAGACAGGGTTTGTTCATGTTGGTCAGGCTGGTCTCGACCTCCCGACCTCAGGTGATCCACCTGCCTTGGCTTCTCAAAGTGCTGGGATTACAGGCGTGAGAGCCACCACGCCTGGCATCTGTCTTCTCTTTTTATAGTAATTTCGACTAATAGGAAATGAGTTGCTATCTTCTGTTTTACTCATCATTACTACTTGGAGAAGCTATCATTTGGAGGGTTACAATGATTGAGAGTCTGTAGTTCTCAGAATATCCAGGTTAAAATTGATTAATTTAATAGACATAATTTTAGTTAGTAAACATTGATTTATATGTTATTGGCTAACATTGTGATGTTCCCTAGGAAGAAATCCAAGCCTTATTTGTCTTTGTGACTCAAATTAGTGCTAAATGCAAGGCTTCCCATAAGATAGATACCTAATTTAAATATTCAAAATAACAACATCACACATGCTTAGCCTATTTCATACCATTTCTGAACCCATATAGATTCAGGACAAAACTGGCAATTCTTTCTAATGTGATACGGCATTATGTAGAAAAATCTCAGTAGCTACCAGTAATTTGGGAAAAAAACTCTTTAGCCATAAAATTAAGTCTGTTTCACAAATACAGTTTTCTGCTTCTTATGTTGCTGAATTTTAAAGGCTCACTTAGAGAACATAGATTTTCTTCTACTCCAGAATAGCAGGAGAGGGATTCTCTAAAAATCTGGTTTAGTAAATTGCTGTACAGAATAAGAGCTTGACATTGGCAGTGAAAATCTTTGAATTATCAATGGCCTAATGTATATATTAATAATTACTTGTTACTCAGACGGTGACATGAGTTGAAAGTTATAGTCTCTGGTATTAATAATTCTTATGATAAACATAAATGGCGTTTACTTGTGAAAAGTCAAATTTGAATCTAGTTCAACATAGGATTACTTATCATTTCTAATTTGCATAAAAGTTTTAAAATTTAATTTCACCTGAATTTTATTGTTATAAATTGGTTGTATTATATTTCAAATTACATGTGATCATAGATAGTTCAGCTCAGTAGATACAAATTTACTTAGAATTGTTATTTTCTATGCCAAGGATAAATTGTCTTAGAAAATATTAAGAGATACTGTAGTCTGTAGCAAGTAGTTCATTTGTAATTATATGATATTTTAATGTTACTTCAGTTTAATATTCATCTAAACATACATTCTTTTATTTTTTTATTTTTAAATTCAGCAATAGTCCTATTGCAATATAAACATGCATTCTTAAATCTGACACTAAACAAAAAATAGTCCTTTTTGTGGAATTAATAATAAGAGGAAGGTATTTTTGTTTAAGAGTCATTCAGTTGAAGGTATCCTGTTTAGGAGTCACTAAATTTTAGATTTCTTTTTTTTCAATTAATTTCAGTAATATGCTGGTTATCGAGCGGGTTATTGATGTTAGGAACAGAGATAAATATGCCTGGGCTCAAACACATATTCACACTACAGTGAGCATATTTACTCTGTTATCCCTACTATAGGGATATTTAACATATACCTAACTATATTAAAAGGCATACTAAGTGCTTGATGGAGCTACAAAAAATATTGTGAAAGTGTGATAGAGAAAAATATAAAGTTTTTCTAAGGATCAGGAAAGGCTTCTTGGAAGAGGTAGAATTTGAGTTTTAACTTTTAGTGGGGATAGGCAAATACGTTAAGCATAGGGAAATTGACCGAAAGTGAAAGCTATGATTCTGATTGGGGGAAAAAATGAATATGTATTTTTTGTTTATAACAAACAGCAATAAAATATTCATATGAAATAATTTTTACAAATCTAGTTCTTTATGCTGAAGCAGCATGATTTATTATTTTCCTAATAAAAAGAATTTGCATGTGGTTTTAGAGGGTGGGAGGAGAGAGTTGAGTACAATGTGTTTAAAACCCAACAATTTTCAATAATTGCTGCAATTTTCTGCCTGCTTAGTGAATGCCAACTGGAATCAGCATTACCTATGAAGTACAATGGTGGGTAATGTAGAGTGCCTTGCCCTAATTATCATGGTTTAAGCCTTTAGATAAAAAATGTATTCAAGCAAGTGTGTTTTTACTGTGTGCAGCCTATCAAGTGGAAAAGAGCATAGTTCTTAACAAGTTACAATACAGGAATTCTTACTAAGACTAAAATAACAAGCATGTTATTTAGTCAAGATAGTATTTTATCTATTTCCCTTGCTTTCAGAACTCATGCCTCCCCAGTTTTTAAGAAGACGTCCAAGAACTAAAATATTTGCCACTTATTTGACATTTTCCAGATTCCTATTGTATCTAAAGGTTCATAAATTATTCTTAACTACAGTTACAACTATCTAAAGAGCAAATAAATTTCTTTCATTCATGCTAGATACAGAAGACATGATTGTTGTTCTTGAACTTGTCGTTCTTGAACTTCAGGCTTTCATAATGCACTGTATTCGATAGCTTCACTAATATTAATAATTACAGTTTCACTAATATTAATAAGCCTCAATTAATATTAAAATTATAGTTTCACTAATATTAATAAGCCTCACTTTCCAAGCAGGAAGAAAATATACCTACCCCACTTTAACAAGCATGAGAATAATTATCAGCTTTTAATGAATATTATTATTTTCAATATTTTAAAAGATCTTATTTCATCAGATTATAATTTATACATATAAATTCATACATATGTATATATGTAGGTATATGTAAATATTTAACCTAGGTAATGCAATTGCAAATCTCAGTATCAAAAATGGCATTTGATGGCACAAAACCAAAGGTGTTAAACCAGCATCTCTCTAGGTCTAATTTTGGGATAATGTAAGCTAATATAGGCTAATTTATATAGAATTTTTTTCCTGAAAAAGAAGTTGACCAGTGTTCCACAGTGCAATAATCAAAACTTCATTCAGCATGGGCCAACTAGTTTTGACATACATAGTGACACTTTTCTCTCAGTTGTATGTAATTTCTTGTTATGAAAACTTCCATCTAGTGAAAACTATTTATGATTGAAATGCATTGGCTTTCAACTTTCCCACTCGAACATACTATTCTTAGATATTAGGATCTTCTGTGAAGTATGTTATAAGTAATATACTATTAGTAGAAGTTAAAATACTTACATATTTTATGGACCAGGTGCTGTTCACTTAAAGCTTTTCCCTAAATTAATGTTCTGTTTACTTTCATTTTACTATCCTTTCTTGAGTGTGGAGAAATGAGCAACAGAAACCAATAGGATGTAGTGTAATCATCAGGTTGTCCTATTTATGACATAGCTGTTAATTTTTCAAGTGCATCAACAATTGCTTAGCAATAGCATTCAGCTATTATAGTGCTGGGCAAAATATTTTAGATGTTCTATTAACATCTCAGTATGCTCATTGTATTAAATAATGATCCTTGTGAACATGGTATCATACATATTGCAGGAGGAAAAAAACAAGGGTTTGCTATTCATAAGTGACTTTCAAAAAGATTGAATCCTTCTGGTTTCAATACCCTACAGTGAACACAAGAGTTTAGTTTCACAGTGTTTGCTACTCTTGCCCAATTTCAGCTCAAGCCATTTAAATTTTTTAAGTTACATTCTAACTGAAATGTGAAAAGAGCTGGGTAAAAAGTAATATTGATTTGTGTATGTTGAACCAGCCTTGCATCCAGAGGTTGAAGCCAACTTGATTGTGGTGGAGAAGCTTTATGATGTTTGGCTAGATTTGGTTTCACAGTATTTTATTGAGGATTTTTTTTAAATCAATGTTCATCAGGGGTATTGGCCTGAAGTTTTCTTTTTTGTTGTTGTATCTCTGCCAGGTTTGGGTATCAGGAAGATGCTGGCCTCATAAAAAGAGTTAGGGAGTAGTCTCTCCTTTTCGATTGTTTGGAATAGGTTGAGAAGAAATGGTACCAGCTCTTCTTTTTACCACGGGTAGAGTTCAGCTGTAAATCCATCTGGTCCTGAGCTTTTTTTGTTGGGCAGGCTATTTATTACTACTTCCATTTCAGAACTTGTTATTGGTCTATTCAGGAATTCAGCTTCTTCCTGGTTCAGTTTTGGGAGAGTGTATGTCTTCAGGAATTCACCCATTTCTTCTAGATTTTCTAGTTTATTTGCATAGAGGTATTTATACTATTCTCTGCTGTTAGTATTTCTGTGCAGTCAGTGGTGATATCTCCTTTAACATTTTGTACTGTGTCTATTGATTCTTCTCTCTTTTCTTTATTAGTCTAGCTAGCAGTCTATTTTATTAACTTTTTCAAAAAACCAGCTCCTGGATTCATTGAGTTTTTTTAAAAAACTTTGGTTTTTCATGTCTCTATCTCCTTCAGTTCTACTCTGATCTTGATTATTTCTTGTCTTTTGCTAGCTTTGGGATTTGTTTGCTCTTGGTTCTCTAGTTCTTTTAGTTGTGATATTAGGATGTTAATTTGAGATCTTTCTAGCTTTTTGACGTGGGCATTTAGTGCTATAAATTTCCCTCTTAGTACTGTTTTAGCTGTGTCCCAGAGATTCTGGGTTTCCTTGTTCTCATTGGTTTCAAAGAACTTCTTGATTTCTGTCTTAATTTTATTATTTTCCCAGGAGTCATTCAGGAGCAGGTTGTTCAATTTCCATGTAGTTTTGTGATTTTGAGTGAGTTTGTTCATCTTGAGATCTAATTTGATTGTGCTGTGGACTGAGAGACTTTTATGATTTAAGTTCTTTTGCATTTGCTGAAGACTGTTTTACTTCCAATTATGTGATTGATTTTAGAGTAAGTATCATGTGGAGCCGAGAAGAATGTATACTCTGTTGTTTTTGCATAGAGACTTCTCTACATAGCTAGCAGGTCACTTGATCCAGTGCTGAGTTTAGGTCCTGAATATTTTTGTTAATTTTCTGTCTTGACTATCTGTCTCATATTGACAGTGGGGTGTTTAAGTCTCCCACTATTATTGTGTGGAAGTAGCAAAATAAACCATCATCAAAGTGAACAGAAACCTAGAGAATGGGAGAAAAGTTTTGCAATGTATCCATCTGACAAAGGTCTAATATCCAGAATCTACAAGAAACTTAAATAAATTGACAAGAAAAAAACAACCCCATTAAAAAGTAGGCCAAATACATGAACACACACTTCTCAAAAGAAGACATTTATGTGGCCAACAAACATACAAAAAAAAAGCTCAACATCACTGATCATTAGAGAAAAGCCAATCAAAACCACAATGAGATACCATCTCACATGAGTCAGAATGGTGATCATTAAAAAGTCAAGAAACAACACATGCTGGTGAAGCTGTGAAGAAATAGGAACACTTTTACATTGGTGGTGGTTATATAAATTAGTTCAACCACTATGGAAGGCATTGTGGTGATTCCTCAAAGACCTAGAACCAGAAATGTCATTTGACCCAGCAATCTCATTACTGGGTATATACCCAAAGGAATATATTACTCTAAAGATACACGCACACATATGTTCATTGCAGCACTATTCACAACAGCAAAGATAAGGAATCAGCCCAAATTCCCATCAATGGAAGACTGAATAAAGAAAATATGGTACATATACACCATGGAATTCTATGCAGCCATAAAAAGGAATGAGATTATATCCTATGCAAGGACATGGATGGAGCTGGAAGCCGTTATTCTCAGCAAACTAACACAGGAACAGAAACTCAAACAGCACATTTTCTCACTTATATGTGGGATCTGATCAATAAGAACACATGGACACAGGGAGGGGAACAACACACACTGGGACCTGTCATGTTGTCTGGGCGGCAAGGTAGGGAGAACATTAGGGAAAAGAGCTAATGCATGCTGCGATTAAGTACCTAGGTGATGGGTCAATAGGTGCAGCAAACCACCATGGCACATATTTACCTGCGTAACAAATCTGCACATCCTGTACATGTATTCCAGAACTTAAAAAAGAAATATGGTGCTTTTTAATGTGCTACCTTTTTTAAAGGAGAAATATTATTTGACTTGTTTGTCTTTTATACTTTAGTCTCATTTTCCGTTATATGGTACAGAAATGATAGGTGGTCCCTTCATTTTAAGGGAGTGATACAGAATGTTCCTCATGCCACTGAGTGATTAAAGCTCCAAAAGCATAATTGCCTTCATGAGAGCCTAATCTCTAGGTGAATCAGTTATGGCCCATTGTAAAAGATGCTTTTTTCCTCTCTGATAAAAGAACACAAAAGGAAGCCATCTGTGTTTTGATTTTCCCAGTACATTTATTACTCGGTCAGCTTTGGTCACCCTTATTAAGTGTAGTGATTTGCTAGCCGTTGACACAATCTTCTTTTTACATTGTGGGTGCTGCACCCTCTTCTATATCTAAAATTGTATCAATATGAAAATACAAATGTGTTCCCTCCTTGGAAATTATTGAATAATAATAATAGAGTTACATAAGTCTGTCCAGATCTTCACTGAATTATGTCAAAACAATGTCTGTGGTATTTTTTTCAAAGCACAACTTATGAAATATTTCATAAAAAGCAAACCAAACTGTTTCCAAAAAACTCACTATTTCCCAAGCCCTATTCTATAATAAATATATTGTAAAGGCATTCAGATGAAGAGGAAATGCTTTTCTCGAAAGCGTCCTTCAGCAAATGGGAAAAAGAAATATTTCTTTTTTTGTGTGTATATATGATCTTTTCTAGCATATTCACAGTATTCTAGATACAATTGGTATTTCTATTATTCCCTCTGTCTCCTCAATTTAAAATAATTATCTAGAAAGCAGTATTCTCTTTTCATAAAATTGTCATTTATTTCAAACTCATTCTGAGTTGTTGGTAAGTTCAGATCTTTTCAAGAAATATTTATTAAATGCCTTTATTTTTGTACCAGGTATTACTTTCAAGGTATTCAGGATGCATTACAAAGATGTGATCTCTGTCCTTACTATCTAA
The DNA here is from genome assembly GCF_000001405.40 of Homo sapiens. Lineage (NCBI taxonomy): Eukaryota > Metazoa > Chordata > Mammalia > Primates > Hominidae > Homo > Homo sapiens. Next base: position 124,795,598 of record NC_000004.12, read on the forward strand.
AAAGCATTTAATTAAATATTTAAAAGTTATTATTCTGAACATCTTGCAAATCAAGCTCTCGAAATATTTGACTTATTTGCTGTAGTTTTGTAATTTTCAAATAGGAGTGAAGGAGCTTTTAAAAATTGATAATTGACTAATTTTTAAAGTAGAGATTTAGCAGAAATAAAACTATCCTTGTGTTTAAATCCCATTTCAAGCAATTTAGCAATGACTCAACCGTCCCAAGCAAAGGCTAAATATTTCTCCTTGACAGTTAAGGATTTTTAACTGGAATATCCAAATTTAGAAAGAAAAATAGTGCCAAATAGCACAGTTCTGAACACTGAGCAGATGCTCCATAAATAATTGTTGAAGCTGACTGCAAATAATTCCCTCTTAAGTTTATAAGAAGACTTTTCCCCAATATGGTCCCAACAACTGTGTTTTACCTCTTCTATCATCTGCCTTACTTGGCTACAACCATTACTATCATACAAGCATATACTTAAAATTAGGGGGTTTTCAAAGACTGAAGACACTCCCAATAAAAGCCCAAATGTAAGACTGAGGCATGAATTATTTACATCTTCCAATTAGTATATTTATAACACATCCTTAGATGTGTCTATATTAACTATGATTTATGAAATAAATTTCATATCATTAGATTTGTTCTTTTGTAAAAGTAAATACATTTAACATGATTTCATATGGTTAAAAAAAGACATACCAATATAGTCAATAAATGAAGTGAATTTATATTCCATTTTAGCTCAATTTTATTAAATTAGATACTTTGCATTTAACAAAATTAGTATGACTAATATTTTCATCAAATTTGTTTCTACTTTTTTTGCTAAATTATTTCCATAAATTTCTTATAAAAAATCTCACTCATGAAATGTGTAGGATTTCATTGTAACACCATTAAAAATTTTCAAAAAAAGAATACTGTGAAGAAAATTTCAAATAAGAATTCTCAGTTATTTGTAAATGTCAATGTCATTGGAATATGTGCTGAGTGTCCTGAAGTCATAAATGAAGGTAGGCTGTGTGGGGTCCTGTGCGTGTGTATTGAGTTTTATTTACCTTGAGTTTTATTGTTTATGGATAAATAAAAGAAAGCTTTAAAAAAAAACCCTTTGATTTCCAACCTGAAATTTGGATGATGGGAAATACTAATATTATTTTTTAAAAGTAAACCATTTAAACAACTCTTTCTTTATGAAATGGTAACTAATGTTTATCGTGTGTCAGTTATGTCAATGATCCTATTGTAGTGTTTGTTTTACAAATACTTTTAATAATTACAACAGGTAATTTTATCTCCATTTTACCACTCTGGTCTCAAAGTTGTATGTGTCCTCACATATTGTATGAGCAGCTAAAAGTAGTAACTGATGGAGCCATGACTGAAACTTGGGTCTTTTTGTATCTATGACCCTTTTGTTTTTTGAGGTATCCCGTGTAGTCTCTTGAAATGTAAATATATTAACAATCAACAAACATATACTTTTAATAGATCCTGGAGTCTCATCATGTGATTATATGAGCAAGTTTTTCTGAGAAGAGTAGAGTAGTGAGGACGTGAAGCAATAGGATAAGCAATACATCCTAGAATAGTCTTGTATCTATATATGATGACAATTTGTCAGCATAGCTGGAAGAAATAGAGGGCCAACAGTTAATTATATTTTGAAATTTTAACTAAAATTCTTGTTTGTCCAAAGCCAAGTTTCTTGTTGGTCCGAGTATGTAGACTTATGCTAACTTGCCTATCTTTTGTATTTAGTTTCCTTTCAAGAAAGATAATTATAAGAATAACATACCACTGAGATCATTTCCACACACATACCATCTGGGAAAATTTGTATATCAGCCTGTTTATTGCAAATGATATACCATATGTAAAAAAAACTGCTTTGAAATATACTGGGTGATTTAGCATTCACTTGGTAAAACATGATTACAGTTCATATATCATACATATATAATTCCGACTTCTATTTCTGTCAGTTTTAATCAACGATGATTTCTTCTTACTGATTGGAATTGTGTCATCTAAAACTAAAAAAGAAATTCACATTCAAAAATTCCTTTTTTCCTACATGAACTAGAATAAATATTTTAAATGTTCAGTAAAGAAGTAGGTTTTAAAATTTCTAAACTGTTTGCTAAAATTAGTCATACTTTCCAGTTTTAAATGAGGTCTGAGTTCATGTTATTTTGCCATTACATTTGAAAATATTTTTCTTAGAGTCCATCCTATTTTTCCTACAAGGAAGCACTCTCCTATTTTTCTCCCTGTTTTGCTGGAATCATTTTAAACCCCACCCCTTTAGGAACTCTCTACCCAACTTAATTAATTCCCTTTTTTACTTTTCTAATTTCTCTAGTGCTTTGCTTGAACTATACTATCAAATTATTAGAAACTATTTCTTAGTATCCTGAATAGAGAAGTAAAACATTGAAATAACTTCACCTAATTAAAATAGCTTCTTAAAGGAAGATCTTTAGGATCAAGTGGGCTAGAAGGGAACTTTGTGGGCTAAGATGTGTATTGTTAGCCTTTTGAGGACTTACTTAGTGTTCAGACTTCTTAAAATGCTGTCTATCCAGGAGATGGTCTTTAAACCAGAAAAAGATAAAAAGGTACATTGAAAGCGGGGAGACCAATGAGAAATTACTTAATGGGTACAATGTATATTATTTGGGTGATGGGAACCCTAAAACCCAGATTTCACCACTAAGCAATGTATGCATGTAACAATTGTACTTATACCCCTTAAATTTATACAAAATTTATAAAAGTCAAGGTAAATAGTTGTAGAGAGAAAAAAATTTAATAACTGGAGAACAAACCATTCTCCAGAGTGTTTTATTTAGATTATATAAAAGCATACAATATTTTTTGTTTTCATTTTTCAGTAATTCAAGAAAAGGCTATAAACTATGTTATGGAATTGGGCAATAGGGAGAGGACAGTACTTGAGGCAGATAAAATGATTGCAGAGAGGTCTGTTTGAAGTTTTGTGTTTTTTTTCTTCATGTATTTCATGCAATTATAGAATAGTCTTACGATATAATCTGTGATTCCAGTGATGACAGTTTTGTAATGAATTATAATAAATGATATATTGAATTGTAATGAAACACTTAAAACAAGATTATGGCATTATTTAGATTACATATAATCTTAGCTATAATATTTTTGTGTTTATGACTCACAATCTTGAATTACTACAGATTACTATTTTTGATTTAAGGAAAAAGAGCAGAGATATAATTATTCTGAAGGAGATAGTATTCTCTAATAGAACCATAAAGATCTATTGTGGTATTAGGATAGTCCCTGGGTTATTGTAAAGAGATTCCAAAGTATACTGAGTTAATAAGTTCTGATGTAGCACTTTAGGATGACTTTAATTAACAATATTATATAGTTTCAAATAGCTAGAAGGCAGCTATTTAATGTTCCAAACACAAAGAAATGATAAATGTTTAACATGATAGATATGATAATTATATACTATATATATCACGACATCGCTACGTGCCTGATAATTATGTATAATTATGGTGAATTTTAAAAATTTAAACATTTAAATTTTTAAAAAATGGCATCTCAGGCTTTTTGAGCAACTCTGCTCCGCCAGATCATTCAAGGGCTTAAGAGTCCTCCATTGCATTGCTCCTGTCTATACCTGGGCCATTGACACCTTCATGTGCAGAAGTGCGCACAAAAACGGACCTCCAAAAAAGGTATTTTTTAAAGCAAATAATGTAAGACGTGTAGGTGTGACTTTCACTCATGTTCCATTGTCAAGGTCTTGAGCATATGGTACACCTTCAAGGGAAGATGTAAAACACTTAGCCTATAATTAGGTGATTATGGGAAAAGGTGGCAAAAGTTATGGAAACAACTAGCATTCTACTAAAAGAGAGATTGTTCATTTGCCTTCTCTCTTTATAAAAAGCTATTCAATGGGAGGCCAAGGCGGGCGGATAACAAGGTCGGGAGATCGAGACCATCCTGGCTAACACGGTGAAACCCCATCTCTACTAAAAATACAAAAAAGTTAGCCAAGCGTGGTGGCGGGCGCCTGTAGTCCCAGCTACTCGGGAGGCTGAGGCAGGAGAATGGCATGAACCCGGGAGGTGGAGCTTGCAGTGAGCCGAGATCACGCCACTGAACTCCAGCCTGGGCGACAGAGTGAGATTCTGTCTCAAAAAAAAAAAAAAGAAAGAAAGAAAAAAACTATTCAAGTTACAGTGTTTGAATATTGAATTTGACATTTCAGCATGCTTTTTTCCTGGTATTCCATTTTTAATATAAATATTCAGGGAAATTTATTTGATTTTTTTTAATTGCACATAATCCATTATAACTACAACAGATAACCAGAAAAGAAAATGGTTTCTTGGAATCTACAGCCTCTACTTAGCTTTGGAATCAAAAATGAGTTGTTTTATATCAATTGGGCAAAAATAAAGTTTTTATACAATGTATTTTTAATTACTAATATTCTTTTAGCTTGAAGGTAACCTAAAAATCAATGTTAAGGGAGATCCTATAACATTGTGTTGGATTATAAAATAATAGTTTATAATAAGTTATAGAGTTATATTGGAGAAACTAACAGGTAAATTAAATCATTCTAGAGCATTAATATGTATATATTACATCACTGTAAAATCATAAAGTCCGGTATATAGTTGTAGTGTTGATTTCTCACTTTCAACATGTACATTGGTTTAATAGCAAACATTTTGGATGTTTAATCCAATAAAATCTGTAACCATAGAATCTCTACATGATCCCTGAAGGATAATGGTAGACAACAACAATAGATGGACTAAGTGTACTGTCCTCATTCATGAAATACAATATGATATAGTAAGATATAATAAGCAGTTGGAAATATTAAAAACTAAGTGATTAAACTTAAGTTTACAAGGAAGAAATGGCACTTAACCATGTCAGAATTATTCCCCCCCCTGTTACCTTCTCAGCTCCTTCAAGGATCCTCCCAGGAACATAATCCCACCAGTTAAGCCTCATTCGGGATATTAATTCTTCCATTTTTTTTTTGTATTCCTCTCCCTCTGACTTGTAATATGAGTAAGTTCCCTATTTTCTTGAAGTGGGAGACTTTCACTGGATTTAAGCACCATTGTGTCAAGGACTTTGACTGCCTTGTTCACCACTATGTCCAAGCACTTGGAACCCAGTTGACTACTGCTCAATAAATATTGAATTGGTGAGGTAATTTTATCAATGTCTTTCTCTTTTTAAAGAAGCATCCTCAAGTGTATGTTCTATACCTTCTGCTTCCATTTGTTCACCCCCACCAATTCACTTTTGAAGGCCAATCTGATGTTCCTGCTCACCACTCAAACGGAAATGTGTTCTTGGTCATCACCAGCCCTCATGAGTTACAAAAGTCTTTTCTCAGCTCTCATTTTTTTCAAACAATTTTGCTGCATTTGATACTGATTTTTCATTTTTTAGATTTTTTACCTCCATGCTTCAACTACCATTCCTAATAGGTCAGTTTCTGATCTTTTGTTCTTTTCTGTACTGTAAATAAGTCTTTTTTATGCAGTTGTCTGTCAAATCTTAATTTCTTATTCTAGTACAAGTTCATAAAGAATTGTTCATTTATATATATTTATTTAAAATGCTCTTTGTCTCTACCATGCAAATTTCTGCTTCATTAAGATTCAGATCAAACGATGAAAACATCGGTTTTCTCATGAAGCCCTTGCCTCACAGCTCTGTTCATTTTCAAATGTATTGCTCTTTTATCTTCAGCTCAAAACACATTCAGTTGTTTCATCTTTTTCCTACCATATTAACTATCTAAATATCAAATATATTATCCCACATGGTTGTAATTTACAATCTACTTTCTATTTACAATCTACTTTCTTAATACTCACCTTCCTTGAGTAAAGCAAGAAGTGCCTTCCTGAATTCTGGTTCTTCAGAATCTGATTAGTTGTCTAGCACTGAGTAGGTACTCAATATTTATTGAACAGAATTTTGATTGGATGCTCAATTGTCACTTGTCACCTCAAATCCAACATGTATGCAAAATGGGAATTAATATTTATATCACACTATTTAATATCTCCCTATCTTTGTATCATTATCATCCTAGTGACCTAGAATCAAATAAACGGCATCATCTTTTATCCATTTCCTTTTGTTAATGTTTATCCTTTTCAAATGAAATAATGGCATTCGCAGCACCCTGAATGGAATTGGAGATCATTATTCTAAGTGAAGTAACTCAGGAATGAAAAACCAAACACTGTATGTTCTCACTCATAAGTGGGAGTTGAGCCATGAGGAAGCAAAAGCATAGGAATGATACAATGGACTCTGTGGATTCAGCGGAAAGGGTGGGAGGGAGGGTAAGGGATAAAAGACTATACATTGTGTACACAGTGTATACTGCTCAAGTGATTGATGCACCAAAATCTCAGAAATCACCATGAAGAACTTGTCCGTGTAATAAAATACCACCTGTTTCCCAAAAGCCTATTGAAATAAAACAATTTAAATAAATAAAAATATGTATTATTTTCTAGTCATTCACACAAGTTGCATCCTAGTTTCAGGATTTATCATCTCAAGCTTTGACTACTGAAAAGTATCTAAGAGTGTCTCTTCCCTCTAAACCTTCCTCTTCCAAAGTGGGCTACAAAATGTTGTTAGAGCAATTTTTCTAAATCACACCTGTAATCCTGTCACCACATACTCAAAAAGTAAAATCCTGCTGCTTTCAAGATAAATATAATTTCCTTAGTATGGCATTTAACACACTCAACCACGCCTGGCTAATTTTTTGTATTTTTAGTAGAGATGGGATTTCACCATGTTAGCCAGGATGGTCTTGATCTCCTGACCTTGTGATCTTCCCGCCTTGGCCTCCCAAAGTGCTGGGATTACAGGCGTGAGCCACCGCACCCAGCCTGGCATGTAATTTTTCATAACCTGACTTCAAACTTATTCGCTTAGTACTCTGCAACATGAATACACCAATCCAAAAAGAGTGGTCTTCTCATTGCTTCTTAAAATTTATCCATGTATTCAAGGAATAGCTAGTGAAATTAATGTATACCAGACATTGTGCTAGTTTCTAGAGATACAAATTTCGTTTCCCACCAAACTTAGCTTATAGTCAAGGGAGAATGGCAAGTGGCATGTGAAGACGATTTCCTAGAGCCCTGCTTGGTGATACACTCAAAAAAAAAATGCATAGTTGCTTACTCAAGGTGAATTGCCTGGCAAAAAGTAAGCATTCAAAAACATTTGCTGTATGGAAAGAGTTCACAGTGTAAAAGAGAAGGTAAGTATCAGTTATAAAGAATCAGAGGTTACTGACAGATGATTGGGAATGCTAATCTCTCACACCACGCAATAACTGTAGCTACAGTTCACTGTCAGCACAGAGGAGAGACCAGTTAACATTTCCTCTTCAAAGAGGCAGAGTTAGCAAATGCTTCTTACATTCACTGGTGTCTGAGCTGGATATTAAGCATATGTAGAACTTCACAATGCCTATGGAGTAAGAAAAGACAGTGGGAACAGCAACAGAGATGATGTGGAGGTTTGAAATATAAATCATATCATATCTGGAATGATCGACCTAACTTGAGAGCAGTCACAGATAAGGCTAGAATTTAGTTTGGAGCAAGATTTTCAGCATCTGGAGTGTCCTGATAAAAAGTTCAGATTGTACTGATTTGGTAATGGGAAATCTTCAAGGAGTTGAAGCAAAGGCTTGCATGATCACATCCTTTGCTTCCTTTCCTATCCAAATATTTTTATTCAAATTTTACTTTCTCTAGGATGTACCTGCCAAATACTACAGCCTTTTCCTTATCTGGAAATTCATAGCAGTTTTTTTCAGTAATGCTCTTCAGATATATAATTATAAAAGATTTACATAGATTTTAGAGATACATGTCTTATTTTTCTTAGTAAATTTTTAAGTTTGTAATTCTTGAAATGGTCACCAAATTAGCTTATCATCTATTTCTTCTTGAATAAGTTATTTAGTAAATTAGTGGATAAATGGAAATATTGGCTTTTTTTTACAATAAAATATAACATTTAGAATATGAATCTATTATGGATATGAATCACTTCCTCAGAAACATGGATGCTACCCAGCTTTCCTGCCAATCCTGGGCTTATGCACACACAGTCAATTCAACCCTGCCTTCTCTAGATTTCTCAAGTGGTGAGAAAGAGTGAGGCAGAACTACCTCTATGACTCAGCCCACTGCCTACATGTCCTAATACAATCCTAACCAGTCAGGTTTGAGAGCACTCACATATATTCAGCCACCATCATTCCTACGTGTTTTCCTCTCCATCATATGGATGGCTAGAGTATTTCCTAGGGTAAGAGTAGGAATATAGAAACACTCAGTATTCTGTATAGAAAGAAAGATTTCTTGGCCTCCTTTAAAGTGTAAATGTATTCATTCTGATTCTCAATTTTGATTATCATAGCTTCCATTATCAGAATAATTTAGGAATTTGATGTTTCAGTAAGAATTGAGAAAGAGTCTTTGCAGATAGATGTGTTGACTAATGTAATGACAGAAATGTTTACAGGTCTGGTTGGATCGGGGCGTTGTCAAGACCTGCTTGCCACAGCTGCGGCTTCCTGACAAGATTTTTCTTCCCAGCAGGCTGCCTGAAAGACCAGGCTAAACTCATAGCTACTTGGTACTTCTGCAGCTATAGCAAGAGATTTGGGCCAATGACACGCTATGTTGCAAGGCTTTCTAGATTGTTTGAAGTATAATTTTTTCTCCCACCTTCTTTGCCTTACTCTGACCTGTGAATGTCTTTGTTCTTACTGACCTGTAAATGTCTTTGTTCTTAATTTTTTTATCTCTCTCTTGCTCTCCTGTCTTCCTTGTTCACATCTATCTCCGAGTCCTGATTTTTACCAGTTAAAACCAACTTGATTCTGATCTCTAGTAACTGGAAGTTATTTAACTATGTGAAATTAGAAGCTTACATACTTATAGGCACCAGGCTGGTGATAGAAGAAGAAATGGGACTTTATCAGTCAGCTATTGCTGTCAAAATACAACAGACTGGGTAGCTTAAACCACAGAAACTTATTTAGTCACAGTTCTGGAGGGTAGGAAGTTCAAGAGTAAGGTTCTGTGCAATTCAGTTTCTGGTGATGGCTCTTTCTGGCTGGCAGACAGATGCTTTCTCTCTGTGTCCTCATGTGGTCTTTCCTCTGAATGTGCACTAAGAGAAACAGACCAAGCTCTCTGGTTTCTCTCCTTGTAAAGATGCTATTACTATTGGATCAGGGCCTCTTATGATTTCACTTAAGTTTAATTACTTCCTAAATACCATGTCTCCAAGTACAGTCATGCTGTAAGTTTTAACATATGAATTTTGAAGGGACCCAAACATTATCAGTAATAGGACATGAGTGAGAACAGCAGAAAGCTGGAGAGTGAATGATTCAATTTATTTCCACTTGATGATTGCCATTTGGGAATATGAACCAAGTATATAAAATTAAAAAGGAGTTTTAAAAACTCTTTGCACTAACCAGAGCATATCTCTGGGCACATTTGGATCATAGCATGTCTTTTTTATGTTTTGGTACTCTGAGTTAATCCTTAAGTAACATCAATTTCAAGTGCAGTGGTTCATTTCTAAATGCTAACCTTATTTTTGCCAATTCTCTTAACTTTATTGAGCTAGGCAATGGGGTTTCTATCTCACTGCTCAAATATTTTTACCTCCATATTATAATATTATTACATGTCCAAATCAATGATTACCTACACTAAATAGAACATAGTTTCTGAGCTCTTTTATGTGCACCATTTCATTTAATTCACATCAGCTTTAATAATAGGCAGTACAGTGGCATTTTCTAGATGGGCAAGGACCTCTCCCAGAGTCACAGAGCTGGAAGTAGTAAAGCATCACATTGGAATCAGAGCTCTGAGTAAGCTCTTCTATTTCTGGTCCAATGAGTATACTATTATGCCAGTAGTTGTATCAGTTACTACTTTCTGTAACAATTTGTCTTTTAGTTAAATCTTAGATATTTATAGTGTAGCTCTGTCTTTTAATTCTCATATTTTAAAAAAATTTCTCAAAGGTTAACGTCACTAATCATAAGCCTAAGATTCCTAATGATATTTGTCACTGACCCTGGAAATGAGATGTTTACAGATGGAGTTCTCTCATCTGACAAGATAAGTCAAAGACAAGACATCAAAATTATGTCCCTTGCTTTTGTGCTATGAGAGCAATTTTTAGTGAGTCTTTCATTTATAATATACTGTATTAGGATGGTCTTTAAAAATTCCTAGCCAATGGTAGTAAAGCATTAGTGGAGCACCTATTCTGTGCAAGAAACATGATAGGTACTTTATGTAATTGTTTTATCTTCATAATAACTTGGTAATTTAGGTATTGTTATTTTACCTATAAAGAAATAAAGACTGAGATGTTAAAAGATATACAATTTGCCAACAAACATTGTTCAGTACGTAGAGTTAGCCACACTCGAGGTTAAGTGCACAGTTCTCCAGATTACCAAGTCTGTCCACAAATCTGACCCCAACTATAAGTTCATCAGTTTCCCAAAACCACCCTCAGTTTTGATCATTTGCTAGAAAGACTCACAGAAATCACTTAAACCAATTATACTTAGTCATGTTTATTGCAAGCAAAGGATACACATTAAGATGCATAGGGCAGAATCTGATACTGGCCTGGTTTTAAATGTGAAGCTTCCGTTGTCAAGGATATGTTATTCTCTTGGTATGGAGTACTGCTGACTCAGGAAGACTACCTGAGCTTTAGTATCTGGAGATTTATTGAGGTTTCATTACATAGGCATCATTGATTAAATCATTGTCCAGGTGGTTGAGCTCAGTCTCCAGCCTTCCTCCCCTCCGCACAGATTGGGCTGACATTGGCTGGCTCGAAGCCCAACCTCTAATTACACAGTTAGTTTTTCTGATGTGGCCAGCCCTCATCCTGAGTCATCTCATTAGCATAAACTATTTAGGAAAACACCATGAGTCATCTCATTAGCATAGGCTATCAGATATGTTTCAGTGACCCACTATGAAAGACAATTTTATCACTTGGAAATGCCAAGGATTTAGAGGTTACTTCTCAGGAATTGGGCACAAAAGCCAGTCAAATTCTTTATTACACAGGTGTATTAGTCCATTTTCATACTGCTATGAGGAAATACCTAAGACTGGGTAATTTATAAAGAAAGAGGCTCAATGGACTCAGAATTCCACACATATGGGGAGGCCTCACAATCATGGCGGAAGGTAAAGGAAGAGTAAAAGCATTTCTTACATGGTGGCAGGCAAGAAAACATGGGCAGGGGAACTGCCCTTTATAAAACCATCAGATCTCATGAGACTTATTCACTATCATGAGAACAGCATGGGAAAAACCCACCCCTATGATTCAATTACCTCCCATGACGTGGGGATTATGAGAGCTACAATTCAAGATGAGATTTGGGTGGGGACACAGCCATACCATATCAACAGGTAATAAACATCAGAATCAGAATTTGATCAAAGGACTGCTGAGATCCAAATATTATTATGTGCATTTTCTACTCATTTGCTTAGCACAGTGTCTAACAATAGGTGTCCAATGAATCATAATTAAATGAATAAACCCAAACTTTTTTATTCTGCACAGATAGAGTAAAATTTCATGGTAATGGTTGATACATCTAATGACTGGGTAATTTTGTCATTTTATGAGTGAAGTAAGCTCTCAGAGTCATGTGCTAATTATAAAACCTTGTAAACCAGCTTTTCTCCTGAAAACAGCTTGATATTGTTATACAGAATTACCAGGAAGTAAAGGAGGAGTTGGAGATATAGAGGAAGAATAACCATTTTTTTCCTTCAACAATAGGATCTTAGTTGGAAACAAGCTCTGTCACAAAAGAAAGATTAACAAGAGAGAAAGAAACAGAAGTTTATTAACACATATTTTTCATATGTACATGGGAGACAGCCAGAGAATGAAAAGTTCTTAAAGAAGTGGCTTCAAATGTTAGTTTACATAACAACTTCAACAAAGAATAGTAAATTTTTAGAGAAGTGAAGACAAAGGAAAAGGACTTTGGGTATCTAAGAGCAGCAATTTGGAGGAAGGCAAATAAAGGGCAGATAAAGTCGAGTTATAATAGTAAAGCTTGTTAATGCCAATTCTTCTGTCACCATGTCCAGACCAGTGAATGTATAAAACTGTCTTTGGTGACTGACCTTTGTTCTCCCTGGTGTGTATGGAAAAAAAACAAAAAAACAAAACTTTTGTCTTTGTAAATCTGTATTCTGCTTTCAGAGCTTCCCAGCATCTGCTCTTGCTTAATTATCTTCAGCTCAACAATCCTTCATATTGTGGGGTAGCATAGTCTGCCCACAGGGATATAATGCTTGTAACTTAGGTGATTACAGATGAGACTTAATATAAATTGGTTTGAAGCTATTCCTTGGTGTAAGAATATCATTTCTCAGGAGACATTATTTTTCTGAGAGATGTTTGAGTATAGTCAGATGAGATTTTCTTTTAAATACAATATAAGTTCCACCATGTGTTTCAAAAGGTTTGTACAACAAAGTAAGATAAAAGCCACTTTAAAAATACATTATGAGGCTGGGCGCGGTTGCTGGTGCCTGTAATCCCAGCACTTCGGGAGGCCAAGGCAGGCAGATCACAAGATCAGGAGTTTGAGACCAGCCTGGCCAACATGGCGAAACCTCATCCTTACCAAAAATACAAAGATTAGCCAGGCATGGTAGAGCATGTCTGTAATCCCAGCCACTCGAGAGGCCGAGGTGGGAGAATTTCTCGCACCCAGAAGGCAGAGGTTGCTGTGAACTGAGATCATGCCACTGCATTCCGGCCTGGGCAAAAGAGCAAGGCTCTGTTATAGAAAAAAAAAAAAAAAAAAAAAAAAAAAAAATATATATATATATATATATATATATATATATATATATATATATATATTCGTTTGTGTGTATGTGCACACACATTGTACAATGGGGAAATGTAGATGAGAAGATAATTTTAGGCCAGGGAAATCAGCATTTTTTTTGAATTGTCAATTTTAAATATACCTTAAAGATCTCTGTATTTTGCTTAAAATAAGGGTCTGATCAAAGTGAATTATAAATAATATCTAAAGTTTAGTCAAAAGCAGGTAGGAAGCATGTTTTTCTTTTATCCTTTTTCTGCTATGTCTACTGTTGCTTTACATTTTCTGAATATTATACCATCAAAATGAAATTAATGGAAACAGCCTACCCCATAATTCAAAATGGATGGCTTAAAGTAATCTCTGTGAAAGGTGAGAGAAGGGAGGTCATTTTAGTGTTATATATTCCTGGAAATTTTTTCCTACTACATAATCACTAATATGTACAATTAAACAGACAATTATCTCTTTGGGTGTATTCCCATGCTTCTGAAAACTACAGGTTTTTTCTTATTGAAATTATTTTATTTATGACTTTGTGTTTTAGAATATATCTAAATGTAAAGCTATACTACTGCTAGTTGTTTTGCCCTACAACAAAGAATTAAAGTTTGAAATGTTATAGTTACTATGCCATATCCCTGATAAATTTTACATAATTGTACATTAAACCAATTGTGCCTTTACAAACACAAAATGTAGTAACAGTATATTATTAGACGGGAGTAAATTTATAATGCCAAAAATGTCTTAATCATCTAAAATCTCATGTAAAGGCAGAATTCAAAAGACCATATTCCTATATACAGCAACAGTAGCTTTGGGGCCCTGAAAATGCTAATTAATAAGATATATAATATGGCAAATTCTCATCATTTTAACCAAGATGAATCCATATTCCTTTAATGATCAGTTTATAAATCTGAGAACAGAGAGGCTTTGTAAATACATATTTTGGTCAATCCAGAATCCAGTCTCCCAGCATTTCGTTGAAATGCAGGAGCCTTAAAAAGGGTGTGTAACTCTCTCAGGGGAGATTTAAGGAGGATAAAGACGTGGGAGACAAAAAAGTAAAATTACTAAGGGCTTTCTGAGCTTAGAGGGAGGTGAGAAACTGCTTCAGGCATTAAATTTAGTCATTCAGTAGGTCTTCCTCTTTCTTTCAGGTTAACTGTTATCAGAGCTTAATGTCCACATCTGTAAGCAGATGACCTCTGGGTGTGCTTCTCTGTGAATCTTCTAATGCCCTAGAAATACAAATCAGTTTCGTGCTGGCCTTCTAAAATGGCCTACTGGTTGGTGTCTTTCAACACACATACCTTCCACTTTCCCACTGAAATGGCTTGATAACTAGGCCCGTTCAAAAATCTTTAGCATCTTTTCATTCTATAAGAAATTGCTTTTAGAAAAGTCCATGTCTCTCAATGTGGAATTTATTAATAATATGCAAAAAATACCTAGTCGTAAAATATCATTTTAATAATTCCCAAAATTATTAATTTATGCATCCTATGGTAATGATTCAGATGGCTGCTACCACAGTGATAATCAAGTACTTACTGCATTGTGCTAGACATTTCAGGGTACATAGAACGATCTGTTCCCTGACTAGCAGAAGTTTGCTAGGTTTATTTTGCTAATATCTATTGGTCTTCACTCTAAATGCAAATATGTAAAGGTAAATTCTCACTAGGATTGATAAGTAATTTAGTGTAGGCAAAAGCTTGGATACATTTTGGAGAGAGGTGTGTTTTGGCAACTGGGAACATGGAACTGTTAGAATTGTTTAATAGTTTGCAATTAAGAGGCAGAACTGTGGCCCAAACATGTTCATCGGAGTTCAGTTCATCTTTGTTTACTTTGATTTTCACAAGAAGTAAAAGATTTTTATCTCAATCTTATAAGTAGGTGTAGTATCCATTACATTTATCAGAATCACTTGAAAATGAATGGAGCAATTTTGATTCTATACAGTTGAATGTATCAAAATGCATGCAGTGGAATGCTGCTATGACCAATGGCATAGCATAAATATGTAGCAAAGAGAAAGGAAACAGCTTGATAGTTTTTACTGCAATATTGAAAGTTTATTTTATACAAAACATTCAGAGTAGTGTAGGTTAGTGTTGACAAAATCCATGCAAACAAAAACAAAAGCAATAAATCATGTTTAGATAATCATAAAATAGAATGACTCTTTAGAGTTTGCTATTATTATTGCAGTTTTTAACTGGCATCTTACCAGTAGGAGTAATGAGAGTGATGAATATTGCTATTGAGACAAGATACAATTTTTGTTGTGTTAAATGCATATTCTACATGTTCATCAGACCATATTAAGTCTGTTCCCTGGTGTTTCTGCTGTAGTGCTTTTTTTTTCCCCCATTATTTTTCTGTTGCTAAGAAAACACATTCTGTAACTATGGTCTCTTTATGACCACTGGCTGTCAGTGCTGATTATAATTTAAATAGCACAGGCAAAGGAAATTTAAATTTGAACCAGCAAATAGCTGTCATCAACACATTACTAAAACAAAGTCATTTGGAGGACCCAATGAAGTATATTAGCATTCAGACTCAGCAGGCTAAAAATGAAAATAGGCTGAATTTAAAATTACATTGTTTTTTAGTAAATCACGATAAATGTACTTCTAAATAAGATAATTAGGCTGCGATCAATGAAAGAGAGTTATTCCTGGTGTGGAATACATTAAGGTGTGAAAACAGACTTAAATGGAAATATTCAAATAATGTGAATTAATTCTTTTAAGTTTCATCAAACAAAGCTCAGCTCCCTTACCTGTTAAAAACCAAAACAGAAACAAAAACAACCAAAAAAGCCCAACTATTGATTTTGCCAACAATGAAGATGTTTTCAATCTATCAATAAGAATGCCTTTTGCATAGTTTGTCTAGTGGGAGTGATGAATTTGTATTTCTCATCCCCAATCTCGACAGATTTCTTTATGCTCAGGAACATGGCTATGGACACCGTGTATGAACAATGAAGATCATTAATAGTTTTAAGTATACAGGGTGCATAAAAGTGGCATTAACACTTGTCAGGGAGGAGGGAAGAGATTCGTCAAGAAGCAGCTATCTAACCTGTGTCTTCAAGATTGAGTAGGAGTTCTTCAGTAGCATATTAGAGAACCTAAGGTAGGAAAAGCATGTTATAGCAGTAGGAAATAATAAAGAGCATGGTATGTTTGGAGAAAGGTGACTATAACTTATTGGGGGAACTGCCCCCAATATTTCAACGTAGGTTCTTTCTATTTTCCATAAGTGTCGGCCGGCTGAGAAATAAAGAGAGACAGTACAAAGAGAGGAATTTTACAGCTGGGTTGCCGGTGGTGACATCATATATTGGTAGGACCATGATGCCCACCTGAGTCTCAGACCAGCAAGTTTTTATTAAGGGTTTCAAAAGGGGAGAGGGTGTAAGAACTGGGAGTAGATACAAAGATCACATGCTTCAAAGGGCAAAAAACAGAACTACTAATAAGGGTCTAACAAAGATCACATGCTTCTGACGGAACAGGACAAAGGGAAAAAGCAGAACCACTGTTAGGGGTCCAACAAAGATCACAGGGCAGAGGGCAAAAACAGAACCACTATGTTCACTGGTGCACGTATTGTCTTGATAAACATTTTAAACAACAGAAAACAGGGTTTGAGAGCAGAGAACCGGTCTGAGCACAGATTTACCAGGGCGGAGTTTTCCCAACCCTAGTAAGCCTGAGGGTACTGAGGGAGACCAGGGCATATGTCAGTCCTTATCTCAACTGCACAAGACAGACATTCCCAGAGTGGCTGTTTATAGACCTCCCCCTAGGAATGCATTCCGTTCCCAGGGTATTAATGCTAATATTCCTTGCTAGGAAAAGAATTTAGTGATATCTTTCCTACTTGCACGTCCATTTACAGGCTCTCTGCAAGAAGAAAAATATGGCTCTATTTGCCTGACCCCGCAGGCAGTCAGACCTTATGGTTGTCTTCCCTCATTCCATAAAAATCACTGTTATTCTGTTCTTTTTCAAGTGCGCTGATTTCATATTGTTCAAACACACATATTTTACAATTTGTACAGTTAACACAATTATCACAGTGGTCCTGAGGTGACGTACATCCTCAGCTTACGAAGATAACAGGATTAAGAGATTAAGGTAAAGAAAAGCATTAAAAATTATAAAAGTATTATTTGGGAACTGATAAATGCCCATGAAATCTTCACAACTTATGTTCCTCTGCCACGGCTCCAGCCAGTCCCTCTGTTCGGGGTCCCTGACTTCCCACAACAACAACTGAGGGTCTGTGGTGGTTATTCATAGTGTTTTGGGACTGGGAAGGTAAAACAGACCTATGGTTTATAATTGCTCATCTAGCAATGGGAAGGTAAGACGATCTTTTGACCAAATTATATGTACAAGTGGTTATATATATTTAAAATTTTTCTGTTACAACTTTAACATTTTATTGTAGTACATATATAAATAATTTCTAAGTGGCAATGCTTCTGTAGAGCTTGTAGCAATAAGCAAAAGCTCTTTGTTCCGTTACCCTCTACTCTTCCTCCCCTGCCCTCCCGTATTCCCTAGAGGTAATTGCATTTGACTCTTGTTTTTTCTCAAGTGTCCTGTAAATTCCTAACTTATATGTTTATGTTAATTTTTAAAAATTAGTTGTATGTGTTAACTTTTGAATTTTACTACAAAAGATAGAAGTTTAGTATACTTAGAACCATATCCTTCTTACACCTTCTGCCAATTACCGTTTCCCATTTATCAATATAGATATTTATAGTTGGTTATTGATTAAACATCTATATTATTGTTTACATTCACATGTAATGTCAATATAAATTATTATATAATTATGTAATAAGTATATAATATGTATAATTTTATATTAACATTATTGAGCCTATATAAATATGATTAAAAGCTGAGCTATGTAATGATTATTTTTCTATTCTTGTACACATTTTTATTTTTCCTTAATTTTATGGGACTCAATTTTGATTTTTTACTGGCTTGTTTTCTTTATATCTATCACTAAATCATCTCAAACACTCAAAAATATAAATGATCTCCTTCCTGCCTTTTTTTCTTCTTTTTTTGGTGAATCTCACATCTCTCCTAGAACCCTTTAACCTCTTGCCAATCTTGAATGTTCTTTTCTTAATTTCTTTGAGGAAATCATTTCTACTGTGAATTAGATACTGTGCCAAATTTTGCAAATAAAAAGATGAACAAGATAAATATGGACTCTGACTTCAGGGAGCTAATAGTCCAGTAAAGAAGAAAGTGTTAAGAATAAAAAACAATAAATAATAATTTAAAATGAGAAAAGGTCATGTGCCATAAACAAAACACACAGGAACAGACAAAAAACAATAAGAGAGATGGGGAGTGAAGATTTATTTTATATGAAGTGGCCCAGCAGGCTCTCTCTGAAGATTTTATCACCATTTATTTTTCACATATGAGAGAAATAAAGTTGTGATCACATGGGTTGTATGGTGAGAAATGAAACCAACATACTAGGACTGGGTATACTTTTCTGTTGCTGTGTTAAATAATACAAGGAACATATGTTCCTATCTCTATTTTAACAGCGTTTACACCAAGCAAAAATAACTTCAATGCCTACTCCAGGAGATACCTCCTCCTGGAAGAAAAGACTGTGAACTAGGCATTATCCTTATAAAGATGACAACTTTTTTTTTTTTTTCCTGAGACAGGGGCTCACTCTGTTGCCAAGGCTGGAGGGCAGTAGTGCAGTCATGGTTCACTGCAGCCTCAACCTTCCAGACAGGTGCATGCCACCATGCCTAGTAATTTTTCTGTTTTTTTGTAGATAAAGGGTTTTACCACGTTGTCCAGGCTGGTCTCAAACTCCTGAGCTCAAGCAACTCACCACCTCAGCCTCCCAAAGTGCAGGGATTACAGGTGTGTATTAGTCCATTTTCATGCTGCTTATAAAGACATACCCAAGAGTGGGTAATTTATAAAGAGAAAGATGTTTAATGGACTCACAGTTCCACATGGCTAGGGAGACCTCACAATCATGGTGGAAGGTGAAAGGTACTTCTTAGATGGTTGCAGGAAAGAGGGAGAATGAGAGCCAAGAGAAAAGGGAAACCCCTTATAAAATCATCAGATCTCATAAGACTTATTCACTACCATGAGAACAGTATGGGGGAAACCACTCCCATGATTCAATTATCTCCCACTGGGTCCCTCCCACAACACATGGGAATTACGGGAGCTACAATAAGATGAAATTTGGGTGGGGACACAGCCAAAACATATCAAGGTGCCAGCCACTGTGTCCAGCCAAGATGAAAACTTTCTTATTAGGACTTGCTTCAGAACCCCTTGCCTTCTGTGCCTACCAGTTCAAAGCTGTTAAATCATAAACTCTACCTAAACTCAACCAGTTGGCACCTCGTAAGGCTCACTCAGGTTAAGGTCCTAATTTACCATATTAATGTTATAGTAGTAGGTAGTCAGACAAGAGCAGGGCAGGAGAGGGCTCCCTCACCACCAGGAATGTCAGGCAACCATCAGGTATGGTCGGGCAGTTGTTAAATTGTTTCTCTAAAATAATAATTTGTCATAGCCAGTACCAGGGAAAGGCAGTCTCCCAACAGATAGAAAAAACCTGGAACTGGTGATCAGCAGCTTCCCAATAAGACCTCAGAAGCTGGGCAAGTGGGCTCAAGCATGCACATTAGAGACAGACAAAATGGTGGTGTTTTACCGGTATATGACCTTCTAGGGACATTTGACAGCTAAGGGAAGAACATCTCAATTGAGCATGTGCACAACTCCAGTAAACACACTGTGCAGCTCACCTCCCAAGGGCTTGCAGGCCACTATGCATGTGGACATTCCACCCCAAGGGAAAGAATCCAGGGAAAAAGGATGTGAGACCCCAGAAGCATGCCAATGTATAAAACTCCAAGTCAAAGATCAAACAGGGCACTTGATCTCTCAAGTTGCCTGATTGACCCTCTTCCAAGTGTACTTTACTTTCTTTCATTCCTGCTCTAAAGCTTCTTAATAAACTTTCACTCCTGCTCTAAAACTTGCCTCAGTCTCCCCTGCCTTACACCCCCTCTGTCAAAATCTTTCTTTCGAAGAGGCAAGAAGTGAGGTTGCTGCAGACTCTTACAGATTTACAGCTGTGTAATATTAAGACACTTCTAAAGTGTCTTACTTAAGTGTAATATTAATACACTTCTAAAGTGTCTTAAGTGTAATATTAAGACACTTCTAAAGGGCAGTCAAGGTGGTACTCCCTCATGCTGGGATAAGTCTAAAATCCTTAGTTTTGCTGGCAGAACTTTGGAGAGTCAACAGATGACAATGACATGCCAATAATCACAAAAATAGTAGTAGAGAGCCCAGTCTCTACCCCAGAACTATGAATTGGTAAAGTCTTTATATCTACTACTATATTCAGCCTCAACCTGAGGTGCAACATTTGCCTTTTGCTACCCTATTGTATCATACATTTCTCTCACCTCGAAGACAGCAATGCTCCTCTAAAATCAACCTCCTGCTTCAGCTCTTGATTCCATCTTTTCCCAATTCCAGAGAAGACTTTTCTTTGATTTTAGCACCTTCAATTACTTAATTGGAACTATTTTTAAGTAAAAAAATGCATTTCAAAAGCATAAATCCTCTTATCAAAAACTGCATATAGTAAAATCTCATAGGATGAAATTCAAATTTTGTAGCTTGGTAATTGTGTAATTGTCACTTCTATAACTTCTTAGAAATTGACCTATTCTGTGGCTTTGTCATACTGAAATGTCTTTTTGGGACTCCTCAGTAAACACAGACTGGTAAAACTGGTTGAGTGAAAGGAATGAGTGAGAATTGTGGATAACTGCATGGTGATATTCTACCTAAAAGTGGACAACCTCTACTTAGCTCCAGTTGATTTTTGCCATGTGAGAATGGGGGCAGATTTTGCTTGGTAAAGTCTCCATTTTAATAATTTTAATCATTAATTTTTTTTAATGTGGACAACTTATAATAGAAAATATTTGAAAACCACTCTGCTTGCCAAACAATACTCAATGGTAGAATCTAGCCATGAATTGCATCTTCCCCCGTTCAATTCAAGTAGATTTATTATCTTTTCTACAGGCAACTTTTTTTTTTTAAGACTGTCTTGCTCTGTTGCCCAGGCTGGAGGGCAGTGGTGCAATCTTGGCCCACTGCAACCTCCACCTCCTTGGTTCAAGGAATTCTCCTGCCTCAGACGTTCAAGTAATTGGGATTATGGGCATCCCCCACCAGGCCCAGCTAATTTTTGTATTTTTAGTAGAGACCATATTTCACCAAGTTTGCCAGGCCGGTCTCAAACTCCTGACTTCAAGTGATCCTCCCAGCTTGGCCTCCCAAAGTGCTGGGATTACAGGCATGAGCCACGAGCCACTGTGCCCGGTCTGGCAACTTTTCATTTTTGATTTTTTAGTCTTTGTCATGATGCTTACTTAAGTTCTTCTCTTTGCTCTCTACCTTATTCAAACACATTCTTCTTCAAACTTGATGTCAATCTTACCTGTTCTATTGTTTCTGTATCAATATCAGCCTCTTCTGAGATAATATATATTTATTATCTGAAGACCTAATCTGTGACTTTATAATATACTAATTTTAATTTTTTGTTAGTTCTGCCAATACTTTTTTTTTAATCAAAGATGGAACTTTTATGAAAAAAAAAGTTCAGATTTTAATCCAACCCCTCATTATGGAAAGATTTGGAAAAGTTAAGTAAATCCCCTAACATAATATTGCTAGTTGACTATTGATTCTACAGACTTTTTTAAAATTGCCTTGAGTGTAGTAGGTATTGAATACATACATGCTGATTTATTTTTTAAATGGCTGTCATTTTAACACCTTCCTTGGCTTTTGTTATAATTTCTTAACATTTAAACGGAAAATTCTGAATTCAGCAATAACATTCATGTTTTATAGGGTATAATGTATAAACTGTAATCTCCCTCCAAAAAAAATGTTTTTCTCAAAATAAACCTTCCCAAACTCAAAACAGTGGTATGTGTTTGCATTTCTTGTTAAGCTGAAGAAAATGAGTGTGCAAGTTGCTTTTGTTTATGAAATGCAGCTGTGCCTCTGTTTAATTTTAGAGGCAGTTTAAACTGGTAACCATTCTTTCCTCAGAATTTTAAGGTTGCTTACCTATTAAAAATGTTAGTATTCATTTTTTTCCCAGGTGAATATTTGATAGTGGAAGATTTTTTTAATTACAAAGTATTTTGAATTTTTAGGAAACTATTAAAATGATGTAGCCAATATCCAAATAAATACCACCCAGAGGCAGGGTGCGGTGGCTCATGTCTATAATCCCAGCACTTTGGGAGGCCAAGGCAGGCAGATCAACTGAGGTCAGAAGTTCGAGACCAGCCTAGCCAGCATGGAGAAACCCTGTCTCTGCTAAAATACAAAAATTAGCCAGGTAGGGTGGCGGGCATCTGTAATCCCAGCTACTCAGAGGTGGGGGTGGGGTGGGGCGCTGAGGCAGGAAAATTGCTTAAACCTGGGAGGCAGAGGTTGTAGTGAGTCAAGATCATGCCACTGCACTCCAGTCTGGGCAACAGAGTGAGACTCCGTCTCAAATAAATAAATAAATAAATAAATAAATAAATAAATAAATAAAACCCAGATATTACATAAATTAAGAATTTGCAATATTTTCTCCAATCTGGAAAATTTAAGTGCACATTGTCATTCTAACCAATACTATTCTCCTGAAACATGTAATATGATTAACATATAAATATTGACCATAATGTTTAGGCATGAAAGATTGGGCCTAAAGAAATGATTAGACTACAGGCAGGCACAGTATTAAAGGATTCTCCATCTTTTAAAATCAGAATGTAATTTTTCAAAATATTAAATACATAGTCCTCAGTTCATAGTATATTATCATCTTTTTTTGTCTAGACCTTCTTTTATTTAATCTATGTGATACGATTTTGCTCTGTGTCCCCACCCAAATCTCATGTTGAATTGTAATTCCCAGTGTTAGGGGAGGTACCTGATGGGAGGTGACTGGATCATGGGGGTGGATTTCTCCCAGGCTGTTCTCGTGATAGTGAGTTCTCATTAGATCTATTGGTTTAAAAGTGTATGGTGCTTCCTGCCTTGCTCTCTCTCTGACATGTGATGACATGCTC
The DNA here is from genome assembly GCF_000001405.40 of Homo sapiens. Classification (NCBI taxonomy): domain Eukaryota; kingdom Metazoa; phylum Chordata; class Mammalia; order Primates; family Hominidae; genus Homo; species Homo sapiens. The sequence continues at coordinate 124,818,836 of NC_000004.12, forward strand.
ACTTCCCCTTTGCCTTCCACCATGATTGTAAGTTTCCTAAGGCCTCCAGGCCATGCTTCCTGTACAGCCTGTGGAACTGTGATTCGATTAAACCTCTTTTCTTCATAAATTACTCAGTATCAGGTAGTTCTTTATAATAGTGCAAGAATGGACTAATACACTATGTATTTCCTTTTATCTCCATATCCTACTCCCATTTCTCTTCCTCTATATGTAACAATGGCTGAATAAAGATGACTGTATCTGTCTTATCAAAAGATGAGGTCTGCTTCCCCTCACTCTGAATCTGAGCTCACCTATGACCAACTATGTTATTCTAATTATGATGGAAGTGATGCAACATAAACTTCAGGACTAGACTTTAAGAGTATTGACAGTTTCTATTTTGCTCTTCTAATTTGATTACCTTTATGGAGAAACCATATAGACAGGCCCTGAAGATACAATGGAGGAGAGGGTTCCAGCTAAGCAAAGCCTTCTAGTGTCTCTGCCAAAGTGTCAGACATGTGATTGGAGAGGTCTTAAACATGACAGCCCAATTCAACTACCACTATAACACATCAGATGACATATATAGATACCAAGTAAGCGAGATATCACCCATTCTAGTCACCCGTGAATTCTTGGCTCATGGATCTGTGAGCAAAATGAATGATTGTTGTTTAACACCAAGTTCTGGAGTCATTTGTTACTCATCAAAAGATAATGGGAACAATAGTCATTCTACTGTGTTTAATTTGTGTCTTTTTAAAATATGTGTTCTTAAAGAATGTGTGTGTTTTGTGTATAGGTATTTTGATTTATTTAAATAATAGTACAAAAAAACCTCCTGTTTTTAACTAAACACCATGTTTATGAGATCCATTTATGTCACAAGGTATGTATCTATTTATTGCTTCCATTTGTTGTGTAGCCTCGTGTTCATCTACTACATATATTTTTATTTATTTATTTATTTTTATTATTATTATTTTTTGAGATGGAGTCTCACTCTGTTGCCCAGGCTGGAGTTGCAGGGATGCGATCTCAGCTCACTGTAAGCTCTGCCTCCTGGGTTCACGCCATTCTCCTGCCTCAGCCTCCCAAGTAGCTGGGACTACAGGCACCTGCCACCACGCCCAGCTAATTTTTTATATTTTTAATAGAGACAGGGTTTCACCACATTAGCCAGGAAGGTCTCGATCTCCTGAACTCATGATCTGCCCATCTCGGCTTCCCAAAGTGCTGGGATTACAGGCATGAGCCACTGTGCCCGGCCATCTACTACACATTTTACCTACTAATTTCTCACAGTGATGGATACCCAGGTTGCCTCCAAATCCACATTGCTACACACAATGCTTTGATAAATATCCTGGAAAATTCCCTTTAACTACTTGTATGAGAATTTCCTTGGGTTTATACAAGCAGAATAACTATCATAGGTAATGCCCATACCTTGTTTGCCTAACAATGACATATCTCTCCAGTGCAGACGTACCAGTCTACCCTTCCACTAGCAATGCAAAGCATTCTTAAATCACCACATCTCTCCAATAACTGAAATTATTCAGATTTCTCATTTTTCTATATTATAGTTCAAAATAAAATCTAGTTTTAAATGCATTTTTCTGACAATTAATTTTGAGCTGTACTTTTTATGTGTGTTGGCCTTTTGGGTTTCCTTGATTATAACCTACCTGTTCATAGTTGTTGCCACTTATCAGTTAGGATTGCTGTCTTCTTCATGTTATTTTTAGAAGTTTCTTATATATTACAGAGATTACTCACTTGCTGTTCAAGACATTACAAATGTCTTGACCCATTAATTGGTCTAGTCATTTTTTCTCATGGTATCGTTACTTGAACAGATATCCATACTTTAGTCTAATTAAATTGTTTAACTTTTTCCCATATACTTAAAAAAAATGCTGTTAGCTCTATTTTTTTCCATTTATATTGAGGTATAATTGAAAAATAAAAATTGTACACATTTAAGATGTACAACATAATGTTTTTATATATGTATACATTGTGAGATTATAAGCCAATTAGCATATCCATCACCTCACATTACGTTTTTTGTGATGAGAACATTGAAGATCTACTCTCTCAGCAAATTCCAAACATTCAATGCAGTATTATTAACTATAGTCACCATGTTATACATTAGATCTCCAGAACTTATTTATCCTGCCTAACTGAAACTTTAACACTTTGACCAATGTCTCCCTATTTCTCTTACTACCCAGCCTCTGGCAAGTATCATTCTACTCTGTTTCTAGGAGTTCAAATTTTAGATTCTACATGTAAGTAAGATCATACAGAATTTATCTTTCTGTGCTGGATTATTTCACTTAGTAAAATGTCATCCAGTTTCATCCATGTTGCTTCAAATGACAGGATTACCTTCTTTTTAAAGGCTAAATAATATTCCATTGTTAAGTATTCACTACATTTTCTTTATCCATTCATTTGTCCATATATATTTATTTATCTTGGCTATATTTATATATCTTGGCTATCATGAATAATGCTGCAATGAATATGGAAGTACAAATACATCTTTAAAATGCTGATTTCATTTCCTTTTGATATATAGAAGAAGTGGGATGGCTGGACCACATGGTGGTCCTATTTTTAGTTTTGTGAGGAACTTACTGTTTTTCATGATGGGTGTACCAATTTATATTCCCACTAACAGTATACAAAAATTTAATTAATTTTTTCTTTGTATAGTTCATTGTTAGTATGTGGAAACACAACTGATTTTTGTACGTTGGCTTTGTATCCTGAAGCTTCACTGAATTTGTTATTATTTTTAACGGGTTTTTTTGGTTGAGTCTTCAGTGTTTTCTATACAAAGATTATGTCATCTGCAAGCAGAGACAATTAATTTTCTTCCTTTCCAGTTTAGAAGTCTTTTACTTATTTGTCTTGCCTAATTACTCTGATGAGGTATTTCAGTACTCTGTTGACTAGAAGTGGTAAAATTGGGCACCCTTGTTTTGTTCCTAATCTTAGATGAAAACCTTTCAACTTTTCACCATTGAGTATTATGCTATCTTTGGGCTTGTCATGTATGATTTATTATGTTGAAATTCATTCCTTCTGTACATAGATTGACTACTTTAACATTATGTAGTGTATTTGTCTATTGAGACAGGCTTTGACTGAAAGTATATTTTGTTTATATTTGTCTATAGAAGTATAGCCACCCCAGCTGTCTTTTGTTATCATTTGCATGAAATATCTTTCTCTATTCCTTCCAGCCTGTGTGTGCCTTAAAGCTAAAGTGAGTCTCTTTAGGCAGTAGGTGATTAGATCTTGTGTTTTTTGGGTTTTTTTCCTTTTTTTTTTGTTTTTCTTTTTAAATCCATTCAGCCAGTCTTTGTCTTTTGATTGGATAACTTAATCCATTTACATTTAAAGTAATTATTGATCAGTACAGACTTACTATTGCCATTTTGTTAAATGTTTTCTGATTTTTTTGTAGTTCTTTTGTTCTTTTCTTCCTTTCTTGATGTTTCTTTGTGATTCGATTATTTTCTATAGTGGCATGCTTTGATTCCTTTCTATTTCTATTTTGTATGTCTACTAGATTTTATTTCTTTATCGTTACCATGTAGTATACAATGATGCATCTCTGAACTCTGTTCTTTTCCACTGGGTTATCTTTCTGTTCTTTATTCTTTATTTTCTTAAGGGTTGATTTACCTATTGCTGGAAAAACATTCATTTGTATAAACTTTAGAATAAATATATTTTATTTTATAAGAAATTTGACTAAATTTTTATTTTGGTTACATTGGATTAACATATTTAATTGACATCTTTTTAATTTTAAGTCAAGTGTGCAATGTCCTCCATTTCTTCAGAACATCATCTCTCTTCAAACAGTAAAAAGTAATTTTGATGAGGGTTTTATATATTTTTCTGCAAGTTAATTTCTAAGTACTATATATTTAGTTGTTATTTTGAGTAATATATCAGTTATTACTATACTTTCTGAATAGTGTATTGGAAATATCTCAGGGCACATAGTAATGCATATTTGTTTTATACTCGTGTGTGTAATAATTGACCTGCTCAAAATGTCTTATCCTTGGGTCTACCCAGAGAAATAGGGTCTCCCTGGGGCCTGATCTTCTTATGGTGAAGGTCAGAAGCTTCCAGATAGGTAAGTAGAAACATGCAGTGCTCAGAACTTGCATACACAGTGTCACACATATTGTCACTTCTGCCCATATTCCATTGGCCAAAGGATATGATATTGTCTAGCCCAATATCAATTGAATGGGAAAGTATTCTTTTCCCATGTAGGTGGTTTAGTGGGAATGAAATTTTGCTGAGCAGTTACTATCTTCCACAAGTAGCCAATTAGCCTTCTAAACAGGCCAAATGAGCTGATATCATCATGCTGTTAATTTAATAAAATTTTTATTTGAAGGAAAATGTTGGATTCAAATTATTTTTAATTCAAATATTTAATTTTTAAAATTTTACTGGCATTAATTTTAATTATTAGCTTTATTCTCAAAATTGTTTTCATTTTTAAACATAAGATTGAACATTGAGTCAGCTTAGAATATGGAAAAAATAATTTTATGAACCAATCAATTGTTACTACCTACTTTTACATGGGCAAATGAAATTATTTTTATATCTGCCCCACATTTTAGAATATTTGACACTGTATGCAGTATTCTATATATATATATACAGTAAGTCCTAATTGAATGTCATCAATAGATTCTTGGAAATTATACATTTAAGTGAAATGATGTATAATAAAACCAATATTATCATACATGCAAAGAACATGCAACTTCACACCGACAGTGGTCCTATCTGGAAATTGATTTTTTTCTTATCAACATTATAATGACATTGAACAAAATGACATTCTTTGAAGATCTGCTTGTATATATATATTTTATTTTGTATGTATGTTTTGTTTTCGGTGAATGTATCCATCATCTAACCTAGGACCTAAGGGCCCAAAGCTTTCTCAGTTCTATGTTAGGCAACTTAGTGGACAGAATTATGTCATATATTTCCTTGAGTTTCAGCAAGTCTACATATTATTAATTATAAAATGAGTACTTTACTACATTTTTAATTAAATTGAAATAACTAGATAGATGAAATTATTAGTAAAACAAATTATAGCAAATGTTCTTACATATAATGTAATAAAATTTTATCTTATACCAAACCACAGTAGTAGAGTATGTCCTGACTTTACTGTTGAATATGTAAATATGATTGTATCTTAAAGACTGTTGCATAATAAAAATCAATGTGAGTTATCCTGATAAATTATCTGAATCAAATTCCTTAGTGTAGTCTAACATTGTTCTTATACTGAACTTTGATAAAAATTAATTACTTTATTGAGCAATATTTTGGTTTTAAAGACTTTGGCCAAAATAGTCTGTTTTGTTAATTTTTAAAAGTCACACTTGTCTTCATGAATGTACATAATTGCATTTACAGACACATGAAAAACTCTGGATTCAAATAAAAATGTATTTGGTAATATATTTTAGCATATTTTAATAGAGAATTAGAGGTCTTTTTCAAATATATATAATATATATTATTTAAATTTTTATACATATAATCAGGAAAATTATGCTTAAATATTATGGAATAATGCTTTCATATAGAAAAGACCAGTGAAACACCACAAAGCAACAGTAAATAATTTTAGGCACAGTCTTGAACAACAAGAACAACAACAAAAAAATCTGTCATTGAACTGTCAGTTAATTTTTATAATAATTGAGGAACATTTGAGATACAACCTAAATCCATTTGTTTTCAGCTAAGTAAGGCATAAAAGCACAAATTGCCAGAATTTGATTAACTTATTAATAGTAACGCTAGACTGCCAATTTAAAAATGCCCTAGAGTCTTTCCTAACATTGAGATTTTGTACTTCAAAAGTCTCATCTGCTATGGCAAATGAACAAACAGTGTTCCTAAGTCTGCATCCATTAATCTGGAGACATGAAAGGGAGAAACTGGGGACATGTGGACCAAGTTTTAATGCCTTATAACCTCCTGGAGGACACATTTCTCCAATAGTATGTTATGAAAAAATTTCTTTTCATTGTAATATCCTTCAAAGGTACAAAAGATTAAATGTGGTTTAATGTTAATATCACGTTTGTTTTACATTGAAAAGAAAGAGAAAACCCTAATATTCTTTTATGGTACCATTGTCAAGAAAATAGCATTCTTTCAACTATCTTTGATGGCTTTCATTTTTTCCTAAGAATGATGATGTTTGGTGACAATTAATATTAATAATGCTAGAGACCAAAAAGCTCTTCATCTTTTAAATGGGTATAAATATTTAAACCTAGGTTAAAAGAGTATATTTTAGATTGGCTTTGGTTTAATTGGCTATAGTATTCCTCCTTTATGTTTCTGTAAGATTTAATACCAAATTGAAATCAAGATAGTGATAAACAATCCTTTATTATTAAAAATTACATAGTATGTCTTCAAACTTGTGCTGAGGCTCAACAAATGACAAGAAGCTTTACGATGTAATTCCTCTTTCCATGGAAACATGTGACTTTATTTCATATGTATTTTTGGAACATCACCACTGTTTGTGTACTTCATCAGCAACATTCCAATAATGCATTAAATTATAGAATTTCTGTTTTACCATTATTTTTGGCAGGATTAGAATTAAATAATAAAATAGTATAAATGTTCTATATATGGGAGTTACTTCAACAACCAATTTTACAGATTGTAAAAAATTCTCTTCAAATTTGCAAAATAGTGTTATTTATTGTTTCTTAATGTTGTATGCTTTGAGTAACTGAGACTTCTTTCCCTTTGCTTAGAAGAAATCCAAACCAAAACTGGCTTTGTTTCAACACTTCAAAAGGAGTTCTACCAAATGAAATATAAATTGAATTGCTCTCAGAAATAAAATCACTTAGTTGCCTTGAATCACAATTTGAGATTTTAAAGAGCGAAGAATTCTGCTAAGTGCATGTATGTCTGTGTTTTCTATCTTGTGTTCCTGGTTAAGTACCACATGGAAGAATAATAGACTACTGACTGAACTCTGAAATTCACTTAGAATTCCACTTCTGCTGAAGTAGAAGATTAGTTTTATCTTAGCCATAACTGATTTTGACAGTCAGGTATTAGTGTGTGATATTTTATATGATTTTCCTGTCTCCACTAATTTCCTCAGCTTTACTATCATACATATTATATTATCATAGGCTGAATATATTTGAAATATTTTAGGATGCAAATAACTTCAAGTGTATTCACTTATTCCTTCTTTTCAGATATTTAAGTAAGCAAGTGTTACTTATATTTTGGATTACCAACTTGATTTAAACATACATTATCCCAGAATTTGGGAAGCACAAATTCTATTATCCATGAAGTATCTATATATTATATTTAAAATCGCTATTCCAAGAGTGAATTGTAGAATAAACATCTAATCTTTGTAGCAAATGAAGATTCCATTCCACTATACTGTCCTCGAAGGTATTTTTTCTGATTTTTGCCATCCTCTTTCTTGGAGAAAGATTTAGAGAAAACATTTAGAAGAGGCTATGCAACTTCCATCAATTTGTTGTCTGGTTGAATTGTTTGAACTCTCCAAACCCCTAGTATCTGTCGAAACATATTGCAAACAGAGTTAAGTACTCCTAAATTCTTAGATTTCATTTCAAACATGTCCTTCTTCATTATTGTCCAAATAGCTTTTTGTGCTTTTTTTTCTACATTAAATTTTCAGGTGATGAATTACCTACAAATATTGTGCCGTTCACCACATGGCAAGATTCTCTTGTAGAATTTTTAATTTTTTAATAATGTAATGTGCTTGGAAAAGTGTATATGTAGTTACATGACATATAATGTTTCAGACAATGTTGGACCACATACACAAAGGCAGTCCCATAGGATTATAAAGGAACTAAAAAGGTATATTGCTAGAGATGTTTTAGTTGTCTTAATGTCATAGTGTGATGTATTCCTCATGTATTTGTTGTTATGCAGGTATAAACAGAACTGTGCTACTGGTCATATAAAAGTGTAGCACATACAATTATATATGGTACATAATACTATATAATAAATGACCATGTTACTTGCCATACGATGCTTTTTATTGTTATTTTAGAGTGTACTTCCACTCATATATATATATAAATTAAAAGTTAAATATAAAACAGCCTCAGGAAGCTCCTTCAGGAGGTATTTCAGAAGAAAGCAATGTTACAATAGGAGATGACAGTTCCATGCATTTTATTATTTCCCATGAAGACCTTCCAGTCGGACAAAATGTGGAGGTAGAAGACACTGCTATTGATGATCCTGACCCTGTGTAGGCCTAGGCTAATGTGTGTGTTTGTGTATTAGGTTTTAACAAAAATGTTTGATAAGTAATAAAATAGTAAAAAGCTTATAGAATAAAGATATAAATAAAAAATTGTATACAGCTATACAATGTGTTTTAAGCTAAGTTTTGTTACAAAAGAGTCAAAAAGTTAGCAGATTTAAGAGGTCATAACATAAAATGTTGTAGTAAGCTAAGGTCAATTTAATATTAAAGAAAGGCTTTTTAAATAAAATTAATGTAGCCCAAGTGCACAGTGTTTATAAAGTCTACAATAGTGTACAATACTGTCCTAGACTTTCCTTTTCACTCACCACTGACTCATTGATTCACCCATAGCAGCTTCCAGTCCTGCAAGCTTCATTTATGGCAAGTGATACAGGAGTACTAGTTTTATTTTTTATACTGTATTTTTACTTTACTTTTTCTATGTTTACATATGTTTAGATACATAAATACTTACCATTGTTTTTAATTGCCTATTCAGTAGAGTAACATGCTGTTCAGGTTTATAGCTTAGGAGCAATAGGTTATATCATATAGCCTAGGTTTACAGCAGCCTGTACCATCTAGGTTTGTGTACATACTCTCTATGATTGCAAAATGAAAAAATCACCTAACGATGCAATACTCACATTGTATTCCCATCATTAAATGACATACGACCATATATGTGTTTTTATTCTTTTGTATGTTTTTGCCTTATAACATATAAACATGATACATTAAAACCAGTAGCTGGCCAAGTGTGGTGGCTCATGCCTGTAATCCCAGCACTTTGGGAGGCTGAGGTGGACAGATCATGAGGTCAAGAGATTGAGACCATCCTGGCCAACATGGTGAAACCCCGTCTCTACTAAAAATACAAAAATTAGCTGGGCGTAGTGGCGCACACCTGTAGTCCCAGCTACTCAGAAGGCTGAGGCAGGAGAATCACTTGAACCCGGGAGGCAGAGGTTGCAGTGAGCTGAGATCGTGCCACTGCACTCCAGCCCGGTGACAGAGTGAAACTCCATCTCAAAAAAAAAGAAAAAAAAAGTAGCTATGTAGAATGTATGTATGGTCATGTTCTAGAATGAATTTCCAAGGTGATTATTTTAAATTACTTTCATATCAAGCAGCATAGAGCAATGAAATTTTAACATGTACCAATGCCTTTACAAATTCAATATTGTCTCTTGCATTTTATATGACCAGCTTGAAGTCCAACAACTAAATAACTATGGTCAAACCACAATTTATCTCATCTGATTATTGTACATAGCCATACTAACTAATATTGGGTTCTAGTTTCAACTTGGTTAGGTGTGATAAAACCACCTGGACTCACACAGTTTTTACTTACTTGTGTATGTAATTGCACCTGTAAATCTCCCTAGAGTATTCAACCTTGGCTGTACTTCCTCTTGCAGTTATTACTACATTTCTCCACTTACTTTATTTTTAAGCTGTTAGGTAAGTGGCCTTCAAGCCCTTCACTTCAATATTTTTGCCATCAACTTTCCACTTATTCCAATTACCTATTTCCTCTTCAATAATCATAAGTACAACAGAAGAGAGTAACAGATGATTGACTGAATCCTGCCACTCACTTGAAATTCCACATTTGCTGAAGTGTGGATGGTTTGTTTTATCTCTGCCATGATTTCAAGGAATTTTTCTATGACTTTTAAGTTGTCAAATTTATGACATATAGTTGTTCATATTATCTCCTTATTTTTTAATATCTGTAGGATATGTAGTAGTATCTCCTTTTTCTTTCCTGATATTTGTAATTTGTGTTTTCTCCTTTTCCCTTCTGATTAATATAGATAAAGATTTATAAATTCTATCAGTGACATCAAAAAATAGGTTTTGGTTTTTATTATTTTCTGTATTTTTTTGGTTCTTTGATTATTTTTTCATAAGTTATTGGAGTACAGGTGGTATTTGGTTACGTGAGTAAGTTCTTTAGTGGTGATTTGTGAGATTTTGGTGTACCCATGACCTTAGCAGTATACACTGCACCATATTTGTAGTCTTTTATACCTCTCTTCCCTTCACTCTTCTCCCAGGTCTCCAAAGTCCATTGTGTCATTCTTATGCTTTTTGTCCCCATAGCTTAGATCCCACATATCAGCGAGAACATATGATGTTGGTTTTCCATTCCTGAGTTACTTCACTTAGAATAATAATCTCCCATCTCATCCAGGTTACTGCAAATGCTGTTGATTCATTCCTTTTCATGGCCGTAGTATTCCATCTTATATATATACTACAGTTTCTTTAACCACTCGTTGATTGATGGGCATTTGGGTTGGTTCCACGATTTTGCTATTGTGAATTGTGCTGCTATAAACATGCATGTGCAGGTATCTTTTGTGAATAATGACTTCTTTTCCTCTGGGTAGATACCCAGTAGTGGGATTGCTGGATCAAATAATAGTTGTACTTTTAGTTCTTTAAGGAATCTCCACACTGTTTTCCGTAGTGGCTGTACTAGTTTGCATTCCCACCAGCAGTGTAGAAGTGTTCTCTGTTCACCGCATCCCGCCAACATCTACTGTTTTTTGATTTTTTGATTATGGCCATTCTTGCAGGAGTAAGGTGGTATGGCATTGTGGTTTTAATTTGCATTTCCCTGATAATTAGTGTTGAGCATTTTTTCATATGTTTGCTGGCCATTTGTCTGTCTTCTTTTGTGAATTGTCTATTCATGTCCTTAGCTCACTTTTTAATGGGATTTTTTTTTTTTTACTGATTTGTTTGAGTTTGTTGTAGATTCTGGATATTAGTCTTTTGTCAGATGTATAGATTGTGAAGATTTGTTCCCACTCTGTGGGTTGTCTGTTTACTCTGCTGACTGTTCCTGCTGCCATGCAAAAGCTCTTTAGCTTAATTAGGCCTCATCTATTTATCTTTGTTTTAAATAGATTTGCTTTTGGGTTCTTGATCATGAAATCCGTACCTAAGCCAATGTCTAGAAGGGTTTTCCCAATGTTCTAGAATTTTTATAGTTTCAGGTCTTAGGGTTTAAGTCCTTAATCCACTCCATCTTGAGTTGATTTTTGTATAAGGTGATAGATGAGGATCCAGTTTCATTCCCCTACATGTGGCTGGCCAATTATCCCAGCACCATTTGTTGAAAAGGGTGTCCTTTCCCCATTTTATGTTTTTGTTTGCTTTGTTGAAGATAAGTATTTGGGTTCATTTCTGGGTTCTCTATTCTGTTCCACTGGTTTGTGTGTCTATTTTTATACAGTATGATGCTGTTTTGATGACTATGGCCTTATGGTATAGTTTGAAATCAAGTAATGTGATGCCTCCAGATTTGTTCTTTTTGCTTAGTCTTGCTTTAGCTATGTGGGCACTTTTTGGTTTCATATGAATTTAGGAATTGTTTTTTCTAATTCTGTGATGAATGATGGTGGTATTTTGATGGGAATTGCATTGAATTTGTGGATTGCTTTTGGCAGTATGGTCATTTTCACAATATCGATTCTACCCATCCATCAGCATGGGATGTGTTTCCATTTGTTCGTGTCATCTATGATTTCTTTCAGCAGTGTTTTGTAGTTTTCCTTGTAGAGGTCTTTCAGCTCCTTGGTTAAGTATATTCCTAAGTATTTTAATTTTTTTTGAAGGTATTGTAAAAGAGATTGAGTTCTTGATTTGATTCTCTGCTTGATCGCTCTTGGTGTATAAAAGAGCTACTGATTTGTGCACATAAATCTTGTATCCAGAAACTTTGCTGAATTCTTTCTTCAGTTCTAGGAGCTTTCTGGAGGAGTCCCTTGGGTTTCCAAGGTAAAAGATCATACCTTTGGAAAACAGTGACAGTTTGACTTCCTCTTTACAGATTTGGATGCCCTTTATTTCTTTCTCTTGTCTGATTGCTCTGGCTAGGACTTCCAGTACTATGTTGAAGAGAAGTGGTGACAGTGGGCATCCTTGTGTTGTTCCAGCTCTCAGAGGGAATGCTTTCAACTTTTCCCCATTCAGTATTATGTTGGCTATGGGTTTGTCATACATGGTTTTTATTACATTAAGATATGTCCCATGTATGCCAATTTTGCTGAGAGTTTTAATCATAAAGGATGCTGGCCTTTGTCAAATGCTTATTCTGCATCTATTGAGATGATCATGTGATTTTTGTTTTTAATTCTGTTTATGTGGTGTATCACATTTACTGACTTGCACATGTTAAACCATCCCTGCATCCCTGGTATGAAACCCACTTGATCATGGTGGATTATCTTTTTGATATGTGGTTGGATTTGGTTAGCTAGTATTTTGTTAAGGATTTTAGCATCTATGTTCATCAAGGATATCAATCTGTAGTTTTCTTTTTTGGTTGTTTCTTTTCCTGGTTTTGGTATTAGAGTGACGATGGCTTCATGGAATGAATTAGGGAGGGTTTCTTCTTTCTCTATCTTGTGGAATAGTGTCAAAAGGATTGGTACTAATTCTTCTTTGAAAGTCTGATAGAATTCTGCTATGAATCTGTCTGGTGCTGGACTTTTTTTTGTTGGTAATTTTTTAAATTACCATTTCAATCTTGCTGCTTGTTATTTGACTGTTCAGGGTATCTAATTCTTCCTGATTTAAGCTAGGAGGATTGTATTTTCCCAGGAATTTATCCATCTCTTCAAGGTTGCCTAGTTTATGTGCATAAAGGTGCCTATAGTAGCCTTGAATGATCTTTTGTATTTCAATGGTGCCAGTTGTAATATCGCCTATTTTATTTCTTAGTGAAGTTATTTGGATTTTTCTCTCTTCTTTTCTTGGTTAATCTTTCTGATGGTCTGTCAATTTTATTTATCTTTTTAAAGGACCAGCTTCTTGTTTCATTTATCTTTTGTGGGGTTTTTTGTTTCAATTTCATTTAGTTCTGCTCTGATCTTGGTTATTTCATTTCTTCTGCTGGGTTTTGGTTTGGTTTGTACTTGTTTCTCTAGTTCCTTGAGGTGTGACCTTAGGATGTCAGTTTGTGCTCTTTCAGTCTTTTCGATGTTGGCATTTAGGGCTATGAACTTTCCTTTTAGCACTGCCTTTGCCGTATCCCAGAGGTTTTGATAGATTGTGTCATTATTGTCATTCAGTTAAAAAATTTTTTTAATTTTCATCTTGATTTTGTTTTTGACCCAATGCTCATTCAGTAGCACATTTTGTTATTTCCATGGTTTTGAAGTTTCGTTTTGGAGTTTGTTTCCAGTTTTATTCCACTGTGGTCTAAGAGAGTGCTTGATATAATTTCAATTTTCTTAAATTTATTGAGGCTCATTTTATGGCCTATCATATTGTCTGTCTTGGAGATAGTTCCATGCACTGTTGAATAGAATGTGTATTCTGTGGTTGTTTGATGAAATGTTCTGTATATATCTGTTAAGTCCATTTGTTCCAAAGTATAGTTTAAATCCATTGTTTCTTGATTGACTTTCTGTCTTGATGACCTGTCTAGTGCTGTCAGTGGAGTATTGAAATCCCCCACTATTATTGTGTTGCTGTCTCTCATTTCGTAGGTCTATTAGTAATTGTTTTGTAAATTTGGGAGCTTCAGTGTTAGATGCATATATGTTTAGGATTGTAATATTTTCCTGTTGGACAAGGCCTTTTACCATTATATAATGTCCTTTTTTGTCTCTCTTAACTGCTATTGCTTTAAAGTTTGTTTTGTCTGATATAAAAATAGCTACTCCTGCTCACTTTTGGTGTCCATTTACATGAAATGCCTTTTTCCACCCCTTTATTTTAAGTTTATGTGAGTCCTTATGTGTTAGATGAATTATATAATGTCCTTTTTTGTCTCTCTTAACTGCTATTGCTTTAAAGTTTGTTTTGTCTGATATAAAAATAGCTACTCCTGCTCACTTTTGGTGTCCATTTACATGAAATGCCTTTTTCCACCCCTTTATTTTAAGTTTATGTGAGTCCTTATGTGTTAGATGAATCTCTTGAAGGCAGCAGATAGTTGGTGGGTGGGTTATCTATTCCGCAGTTCTGTATCTTTTAAGTGAAGCATTCAGGCCATTTACATTCAATGTTAGTATTGAAATGTGAGATATCATTGTGTTCATCATGTTCTTTGTTGCCTTTATACTTTGTTTTTTTGTTGTTGTTTGTTTTTTGCTTTTTAACTTGTATTTTTGTTTTATAGGTCCTGTGTGACTTATGCCTTAAAGAAGTTCTGTTCTGTTGTGTTTCCAGGGTTTGTTTCAAGACTCAGAGCTCCTTTTAGCAGTTCTTGTATTTGTGGCTTTATAATGGTGAATTCTCTCCGCATTTGTTTGTCTGCAAAAGACTGTATTTTCCCCTCATATATGATGCTCAGTTTTGCTGGATACAAAATTCTTGGCTGATTATTGTTTTGTTTGAGGAGGCTGAAGATAGGGCCCCAATCCCTTCTAGCTTGTAGGGTTTCTGCTGAGAAAACTGCTGTTAATCTGATAGGTTTTCCTTTATAGGTTACCTGGTGCTTCTGTCTCACAGCTCTTAAGATTCTTTCCCTCATTTTCACTTCGGATAACCTGATGGCAATGCGTCTAGGTGAAGATCTTTTTGTGATGAATTTCTGGGTATTCTTTGTGCTTCTCCATGCTGTCAGAGGAAATGTCTAGTGCTGAAGGCTATTGTTTAGATTATTTTGTCCTACGTGTTGTTCCCTTGATGCAGTACTCTTCCCCTTTTCCTACAGATATGGCTTCCTGTGAGCTGAACTACAGTGATTGTTGTCTCTCTTCTGGATCTAGCCACCCGGTAAGTCTACCTGGCTCCAGGCTAGTGCTGGGGGTTGTCTTCACAGAGTCCTGTGATGTGAATCATCTATAGGTCCCTCAGCCTTGGATACCAGCACCTATTCCAGTGGAGGTGACAGCAGGTCAGGGGTTGTGCAATGGACTCCATGAGGGTTCTTAGCTTTGGTGGTTTAATGCTTTATTTTTGTGCTGGTTGGCCTCCTTCCAGGAGGTGGCACTTTCCAGAGAGCATAGCTGTGGTAGTATGGGGAGGAATGGGTGGTGGGCGGAACCCTAGAACTCCCAAGATTATATGTCCTTTGTTTTCCGCTACCAGCGGGGGCAGGGAAAGGCCATTAGGTGGGGATGGGGCTAGGCATCTCTGAGCTCAGACTCTCCTTGGGTGGGCCTTGCTACAGCTGTTGTGGGGGATGGGGATGAGATTCCCAGGTCACTAGAGTTGTGTACCTAGGAGGATTATGGCTGCCTCTGCTGAGTCATGAATGTTGTCAGGGAAGTGGGAGCAAGCTGGCAGTCACAGGCCTCACCCAGCTTTCATGCAAACTGAAGGGCCAGGCTCACTCCCATCATGTTCCCCCCAACAGCCCCAAGTTCATTTCCAGGGGATGGGCAAGATGGGCTTGAAAATCTGCCTCAGGCTATCCACCCACCTCCCAGGTGCAAAAGAAAAGGGCATGGTTCTTCCCCCACCTGGGGAGTCTGCACACCACATTTGTGCCCTCCCCCAAGTTCTGGCTGGGAGGTTTCTCACCCCGTTCAAATTGTTAACAAAGTTCAGCTAGAGTTTTCCTTCTCCCTATGGAGTTTTATCCCCTGCTCCTCTGCTACCCTCTGGATGGATCCTGGTGGTACCAGGCAGGAATGGCCCGCTTGGGGACCCAGCGAGCTCCCAGGGCCTTTCTGCTTCTTCCTCTACCCCTTATTTGACTTGGCTCTCCAAACAGACTCAGCTCCAGGTACAGTCAAAAATTTCTCCCACAAACACACCTTCAGTTTCTTCAGTGATGGTGTGTGTTCAGAAGAGGAGGGTCTCCCTTTCCTACTTCTGCAGCTGGGGCCCTCACAATATTTGGGATGTCTCCCAGGTCCTGCAGGAGCAGTCTGCTTCCTTCAGAGGGTCTGTGTGAACTCTTGGGATTGCTGGTTTGTTCTTGCAGTCAATTTGGAGCTAAAATTCACAATGCGAGCCTCTGCACACTGCTCTGTCCAGAGCTGCAATCTAGTCCTGCCTCCAGTCCGTCATGATGATCCAATCCTGTATTTTTTTCTCAATATTATTTTTATATTCATTATTTCTTTCTTCTGCTTCTTTCAGTTTAACTTTTTTACTAGTTTAAGTTGGAAGTTTATGTCATTTATTTTAGATCCTTTTACATTTTATAATTTAATCCTGTAGTGCTATAATTTCACTCTAAACATTGCTTTAGCTGAAAACAATAAATTTTAATGTTCTATTTCATTTTCATTCTACTCAAAATATGTTATAATTTCCTTTGTGATTTCTGATGTGACAAATGGTATAGTTATAAGTATATGGGCTTTTCCGGGTATCTTTCTATCATTGATTCCAACTTGAATTTTATTATTGCCCAGTAATCTGTGTGATTTCTACTTTTAAAATTTGTTTAAAGTTGGTTTTACAGCATAGAATATAGTTCAACTTGGGGAATGCTCCATGTGCTATTGAGAATATTATGCATTCTCTCACTGTAGGGAGAATTTCCTATAAGTGTCATTTAGATTACTTTGGGTGATAGTGTCATGCAGTTCTTCTAGGTTCTTATTAATTTTCTGACTTCTTGTTTAATCAGTTACTAAGAAAGGAGTTTTGAAGTCTAATACTATAATTTTAGATTTGTCTACTTCTGTATTGAGTTCCACTGTTTTTCATCCCATGCATTTTGAGGTGCTGTTGTTAAGTTCACACATATTTAGGACAGTTACACTTTTTTGAGAATTAATTCCTTTATAATTTTATAACTTATACCCTTCATATAAGGTAATTTATTATTTCTTTTTTTCTTTTTTCAGCTTTCTTTTGATGATGTTATAATTGTATGTTTTTTTAATACTTTTAATTTTTATCTACTTATGTCATTTTATTTGAAGTGCTTTCTTGATAGATACAGTATAGTTGAATTTTACTGTTTCATCAAGCCTAATAGTATCCATGTTTTAATTGGTATGTTTAGACTGCTTATAATTAATTTTATTATTAATGTGGTTGGAATAAAACTTAGTATCATGCTATTTCTTATTTGTTCTGTCTCTTCTTTGTTTCTTTTATCAATTTTTCTGACTTTTTAAAGATTATTTACATGTATTTTGAGATTCTATTTCATCTTCACTAATTATTATTTATGGTTTTAAAAAGAATTTTTAGTGATTGCCCTCAGGGTTACAATATTAGGTTGGTGCAAATATAATCGTGGTTTTTGCCATTACTTTCAATGGCAAAACCGTGATTACATTTACGCCAACCTAATATATATCCTTAATCAGAGTATACATTAAAATCATGTTATATAGGTTCATATGTAGTCCCAATTCTGTCCTTGCATTTTTTTTCTGCTTTTAGCATATATTTTGGTATTATGTGTGCTAACTCAAAATGTCTTGTTAACTATTTCCATTTTAGGAAGTCAGTTTTTCTTTAAAGCAATTAAAAATAAAAGAATTTTATAATTATCTTTATTCTACTTTTAGCACTTTTTTATTTCCGTGTGTAGATACAAGTTTTTGAATTTTAAAATTTTTTGTGGGTACATAATAGGTATATATATTCATAGGATACATGAGATATTTTGATATAGGCATACAATGCATAATAATATCAGGGTAAATGGGGTATCAATCACCTCAAGCATTTATCCTTTTTTTGTGCTACAAACATTCCAATTATACTTTTAGTTATTATAAAATGTACAATAAATTACTATTGACTGTAGTCACCCTCTTATGCTACCAATACTGCATCTGCTTCTTTCTATTTAACAATATTTTTGTACCCATTAACCATCCCTACTTTTCCACGGCCACTACCCTTCCCAGCCTCTGGTAACCATCCTTCTACTGTCTACCTCCATGAATTCAATTGTTTTTATTTTTAGCTTCCAAAAATGAGTAAGAATATGTGAAGTTTGTCTTTCTGTGCTTTATTTCACTTAATGACCTCCAGTTCCATTCATGTTGCAAATGACATTATCTTATTCTCTTTTACGCCTGAATAGTGAATGGATGAACGGATAAAGAATGTTTCTTTAAAGAAATATCTGTTGGTGGACACTTAGGTTGCTCCATATCTTGGCTATTGTGAATAGTGCTGCAATGAACATGGGAGTGCAGGTATCTCTGATATATTAATTTCCTTTCTTTGGAGTATATTTGTAGCAGTGGGATTGCTGGATCACGTGGTAGTTCTATTTTTAGTTTTTTCGAGGTTTTGCTGGATCACATGGTAGTTCTATTTTTAGTTTTTTTGAGAAACCTCCATACTGTTCTCTGTAGTGGCTATACTAATTTACATAACTAAGAACAATGCACCTGGAGTTCCCTTTACTCCACATCCTTGCCAGCATTCATTATTGCCTTTCTTTTGGACAAATGCCATTTTAACTGGGGTGAGATAATATCCTATTGTAGTTTTGATTGCATTTATTTGATGATCAGTGATGTTGAGCATCTTTTCATATGTCTGTTTGCCATTAGTATTTCTCCTATTTTGAGAAATGTCTATTCAGGTCTTTTGCCCATTTTTAAATTGGATCATTAAAATATTTTCCCCATAGAGTTGTTTGATTTCCTTACATAGTCTGCGTATCAGTCTGTTTTCATGCAGCTGATAAAGACTTACCCAAGACTAGGAATAAAAATATTTAATTGGACTTACAGTTCCACATGGCTGAGGGGGCCTCAGAATCATGGCAGGAGGCAAAAGGCACTTCTTTACTTGGAGGCAGAAACAGAAAAATGAGGAAGAAGCAAAAGCAGAAATCCCTGATAAACCCATTAGATCTTGTGAGACTTATTCACTATCATGAGAATAGCACAGGAAAGACTGGCCCCATGATTCAATTACCTCCCTCTGGGCCCCTCCCACAACACATGGGAATTCTGGGAGATACAATTCAAGTTGATGTTTGGGTGGGGACACAACCAAACCATTATCAGTCTGGTTATTAGTAACTTGTCAGATGGATAGTTTGCAAATATATTCTCCAATTTCGTGGGCTGTCTCTTCACTTTGTTGATTGTTTTCTTCACTTTGTGAAGCTTTTTAACTTGATATGATTCAATTTTGTCCATTTTTGCTTTTGTTTCCTCTGCTTGTTCAGTATTACTCAAAAAATTCCCCCAGATCAATGTCATGGAGAGTTTCGGCAATGTTAGTGGTTTCACAGTTTGAGGTCTTACCTTTAAGCCTTTAATCCATTTTGATTTGGTTTTTGTATATGGCAAGAGGTAGGGGTCTAGTTTCATTTTTCTGCATGTAAATATCCCATTTTCCCAGCACCATTTATTGAAAATACTTTCCTTTGACCAAATGTATGTTCTTGGCATCTTTGTCAAAAATAGCGACTCCTGCTTCTTTTGGTTTCTGTTTGCATGGAATATCTTTTTCTATCCTTTTATTTTTCAGTCTATGTGTGTCTTTATAGGTGAAGTATGTTTCTGGTAGGTAATATATCATTGGGTCTTTTTTTTCCTTCAACTTTTAAGTTCCAGGGTATATGCACAGGATGTGCAGATTGGTTACATATGTAAACATGTGCCATGGTGGTTTGCTGCACAGATCGACCTATCACCTAGGTATTAAGCCCAGCTTCCATTAGCTATTTTTCGTGATGCTTTCCCTCCCCTAACCCCCAGCCCGAACAGGCCCCATTGTGTGTTGTTTCCCTCCCTGTGTCCATGTGTTCTCATCACTCAGCTTCCACTTTTAAGTGAGAGCATCTGGTGTTTGGTTTTCTGTCCCTGCATTAGTTTGCTGAAGATAATGGCTTCCAGCTTCATCCATGTCCCTGCAATAGACATGATCTCATTCCTTTCTATGGCTGCCTAGTATTCTTTGTGTATATGTACCACATTTTCTTTATCCAGTCTATCATTAATGGACATTTGGATTGATTCCATGTCTTTATTATTGTGAATGGTGCTGCAATGAACATATGTGTGCATGTATCTTTATAATAGAATGATTTATATTCCTTTCCTTATATACCCAGTAATGGGATTGCTGAGTCAAATGGTATTTCTGGTTCTAGGTCTTTGAGGAATTGCTGCAGTCTTTCACAATGGTTTAACTAATTTGCATTCTCACCAACAGTGTAAAGGCATTCCTATTTCTCCACAGCCTCGCCAGCATCTGCTGTTTCTTGACTTTTTAGTAGTTGCCATTCTGACTGGCATGAGATAGTATCTCATTGTGGTTTTGATTTGCATTTCTCTAATGATCAGAGATGTTGAGGTTTTCTTCATATGTAACATTCATGCTGCATGTTACATATGCTTTCTTTCATATGTAACATTCATGTTGGCTGCATGGATGTCATCTTTTGAGAAGTGTCTGTTGGATGTTATTTTTTTAAATCAATTCAGTCACTCTATGTCTTTTTTGGAGAATTTAATGCATTTACATTTAGTGTGATTGTTAATAAATAAGGACTTACTCCTGCTATTTTGTTGTTTGTTTTCTGGTTGTTTTGTAATCTCCTCTCTCCCTCCACCCCCTTCCCATCCCTCCCTTCCTCCCTGCCTTTCTTCCTTCTTTCTTTTCCTTGAAGGTGATTTTTCTCTGCTGGTATTGAAGCAGAAGTTAAAAAGGGAAAAAACAAATTTTCTTCTTTTCCTTTGGTATGAGAAGCTTCCCTCTTGAATCCCTCCCTGCTCCATGCCATTGTACCCTGCTCTGCAAGTTTTTATGAGTTTATAGATTACTGTTTTCTGTAACAAGAGTCTGTAAGTCTCTGTAGCATTGCAGAGGTCATGAGACATGCTTGAGCAAGCTTAGATTGCAGCCATCTGGGCACCATAGAGAAGGACACGAGATAAGATTGTGTAGGCATCTTGAGCAAGCCTAGATAACAGCCACGTGGCTTGCATAGCAAGAGTCACATGAAAGCCTGAGTTATGAGCCTGTTACTGTTTGATAAACTGTATTTGTTCTACCTACTTTTGCACCACTGCATTTTGCACTACAGATAAAAATCAAGCCCTGTCTTTGTCCAGGGCTCAGCCTTTTGGATGTGAATCCGCTGAGCTGGTGTACCTAAATAAAATCCTCCTATTCTGCCCTATTGCTCTCTCTGGTCTCCTGATTCCCACAACAGTATGTTTTCATTTCTTGCTTTTGATTTGTTGTGTATCTGTTATAGGATTTTTTATTTGAGGTTGCTATCAGATTTTCAAGTAATGACTTATAACCCAGTATTTTAAACTGGTTGACAACTTAATTCTGATTACAAAAATAAATGAGCATACTAACAAATGAAAAGAAAACTAAGAACTCTATACTTTAATCCTCCCACTTTTTAACTTTTTGTTCTTTCTATTTATATCTTATTATAGTGTCTATGTCTTGAAAAGATGTCATTATTTTTGATTGGTTCATCTTTTAGTCTTTCTACTCAAGATATGAATAGTTTAGACACCACAATTACAGTGTTATAATATTCTGTGTTTGTGTACTAACTATAACTAGTGAGTTCTGTACCTTCAGATAATTTCTTACTGCTCATCAACAAACCTTTTTTTTCCAGACTGAATAACCCTCTTTAGCATTTCTTGTGAAACAAGTCCGGTATTAATGAAATCCCTCAGCTTTTGTTTGTCTGGGAAACTATTTCTCCTTCATGTTTGAAGGCTATTTTTTTGTTACATAAACTATTCTAGAATAAAAGTTTTTTCTTTTTTATTCAGCACCCTAAATATGTCATGCCACTTTCTCCTGTACTGTAAGGTTTTCAATGAGCAGTCTGTCCAAGTTCTTTTGTATGTGTTTCTCTTCTCTTGCTGCTTTTAGGATCCTTTCTGTATCTTTGACCTTTGGGAGTGTGATTATTAAACGTCTTGTGGTAGTCTTAGGTTAAATCTGCTTGGTGTTCTATCACCTTCTTGTACTTGAATATTGTTATCTTTCTCCAGATTTGGAAAGTTCTCTGTTATTTTCCCTTTGAATAAATTTTCTACCTCAATCTCTCTCTCTGCCTCCTCTTTATAGCCAATAATTTATAGGCTTACCCCTTTGAGGCTATTTTCTAGATTTTGTAGGTGTGCTTCTTCCTTATTCTTTTGTCTCCTCTGACTGTAATTTCAAATATCATTTCTTCACATGCATTAATTCTTTCTCTTGCTTGATTAATTCTGCTGTTGAGAGACTCTGATGATTACTTCAGTATGTCAATTGCATTTCTAAGCTCCAATATTTCTGCTTGATTTTTTAAAAAAATATTTTCTTTGTTCAATTTATCTGATACCATTATGAATTCCTTCTGTGTTATCTTGAATTTCATGGAAATTTCTCGAAAGAGCTATTTTGAATTATCTGTCTGAAAGGTCACATATCTCTGTCACTGATCAGAGAGACTGGTCCTTGGTTCCCTATTTAGTTCATTTGGTGAGGTCACATTTTCCTAGATGGTCTTGGAGCTTGTGGACATTTGCTGGTGTCTGGGCATTGAAGAGATAGGTATTTATTGTAGTCTGCACAGTCTCAGCTTAGTTGTAACTGTCCTTCTTGGGAAAGCTTTCAAAGTATTCAACGAGGATTGAGTGTTGTATCTAAGTTTTTGGTCATTGTAGCTGTATCCACATTAGGGAGCACCCCAAGCCCAGTAATGCTGTAACTCTTGCTGGGTTTTAGAAGTACTGCCTTGGTGTTATTGGATAAGATCTGAAAGATTTCCCTGACAGAAATTCTTGTTCTCTTCCCCTACTTTCCCCCAAACAAACGGAGTCACTCTCTCCCTTGGCTGCCCCAGCTGGTGGCTCACTATGTCACATACACTCCAAGTCCACTGTCTCTGAGTCCCAGAATTGCACAAGGGACTTGCCCAGGAATAGCAGTCTTTGTGGCCTAGAGTGTCTTTCAAGTTTATTGAGAACCCCAGTGCTATTTAGCCTATAGTGGTGGCTGGAACTCAGGTTTTGACTGCTGGGATGGACTATTCCCTTATAGCTAGGGTTGGTTTAAATGCTTCTTCCTTGGGCACTGGCTGAATTCTACCTTGTGTTGCTTTCCACTGTGAGATGCAGCACTGAATTCCAATGCAATCACTTTGCTCTCTGTCTTCCAAGCACACAGATCTCTCTCCATGCCACATGGCCACTGCTGGCAGATAGGGGAGCAGTGATGTCAGTTATTCAAGCTTCTTTCCTACCCTGTTCCAGGCCTCTTGTGTTTAAAACCAGGTACTGTGATTGCTCACCTGATTTTTGGTTCTCATGAAAGTGCTTTCTTGGGTGGACAGTTTTTCTATTTATTTTTCCTACAGGGGGAGGATTGCTGGAGAGTTTTATTCAGCCATCTTGCTTCACCTCTTCTAGATCCACATTTTGTATTTGTATTTTACTTCTTTGCCCGAAGAACTTCCTTTAACTTTTTTGTAGTTCTGAGTAGTTCTGGCAATACTTTCACTCAGTATTTGTTGGTCTGACAAAATCTTTTATTTTTAAAATTTTGAAATATATTTTCATTGTATATAGAATTTTAGATTAAAAATTTTTTTATAAGCAGTTTAAAAATGTTACTCCATCATCGTTTGTCTTGCATAGATTCTGATGTAAGATCTGCTGTAATGCTAAATATAATTTTTTTTCTCTTATTTTAACATTTTGTCTTTGTCTTTGGTTTGGAGAAGTTATACCTGAATATTTCTGTTTCTGTTGGCATTTTGTTTCTTTTGAAATGTATCCAATTTGTATCCTCTGAGATCCTCGGCACATAGTGTAGTATCTCATTAATTTTTGAAAAATTCTCAGTCACTATTTTTTCAAATAATTTTTCTCACTTGTGTATCTTCTCCTTCTGAGATTCCAAATAAATATTTATTAGGTCATTAAATATTATCCCATAGCTCACGGATACTCTCTTCTTCTTTTAATTCCTTTTTTCCTTCGCGTTTCATTTTGAGTAAATGTATTGACTTGTTTTCAAGTTTATTGATGAATTCCTCCACTATGATGATCTGATGAGCCCATCAAAAGCATTTCTCATCTTTCATACTGTTTTTTGTTCTAGCATTTTTGTTTCGTTCTTATAGTTTTCATCTCTCTACTGAAATTACCCACCTGATCATTCATGTTGTCCACCTTTTCTACTAGAGGTCTTAACCTATTCATAATAATTATTTTTAATCCTGCATTTAATAATTATAATACCTGTATCATAACTGAGTCCTATTCTATTGTTTACTTTATTTCTCAACAGTATTTTTCTTCTTTCTTCTTTTCTTATCTTGTAATTTTTTGTTGAAGATTGACAGTTTGTGTAGGACAGTAGAGACTGAGGTACATAAAAGGTATATGCCTAGATATGAGCACCCATTTTCTTCTATGGAGTATTTAATAAATTTCATCAGCAGTTAAGCTGTATTTGGTTTTTATTGTTTATATATTTATCCTCAGTATACAACACACTTCAAATTCCCCTGGCATTACCTTAGATTTAAAGTAGGGGCTGGTTTGTCTGAGATGTTTTCTTAATGTCTCCTCCACCCACAACTTTCAGCCTTACATTTGTGCTGTGCCTCAAAGATGGTTTCTCTTTATGCTCTTGACTCTCTCCCAGCAGTGAATTTGTCACCTGATACTTGACATTTGTTAACTCAGTGATGGAAAGTTTGTGTATGTGGTGGTGGTAGAAGGTTGTTCTCTGTTGTTCTGATTAACTTGAATATTAGGCAGGTACTTTGTTTGTAGGTCTTGAGGATGGGCCTTCTCAGCGAGTCTGCCTTCCTAAGCTACAAGTTGTGGCCCAACATATTTTCCTGCTGAGGATTGAGAGTATTTTATTCTTCTTTTCTTGATTGCAATGGGCTTTCACGAGGGGCCTAAGGGAACAGTCCCTTTTGCCTTTGTACCACTGGTTTAGGGCTTTTGTTCCATAGCAGGAATAGACAAGGGTCCAGGTGGAAATTGAGCCTTTCTTTTTTTTTTCTCTGAGACGGAGTCTTGCTCTGTCACCTACGCTGGAGTGCAGTGGTGCAATCTCGGCTCACTGCGGCTCACTGCAAGCTCCGCCTCCCAGGTTCACACCATTCTCCTGTCTCAGCCCCCCAAGTAGCTGGGACTACAGGCACCCGCCACCACGCCTGGCTAATTTTTTTTTTTTTTTTTGTATTTTTAGTAGAGATGAGATTTCACTGTGTTAGCCAGGATGGTCTTGATCTCCTGACCTCATGAACTGCCTGCCTTGGCCTCCCAAAGTGCTGGGACTACAGGCATGAGCCACCGTGCCTGGCCCGAAATTGTGCCTAAGAGTGACTGCTTATCCTCTCTTCTAAGCTCTCATCACAGGGATGCTTCCTCTTGCCCTAGTTGTTTCTCTGAGTATCTACTGAGATCCATGGCTATGAATGGATACAAATTCCCCTTGTATCTACAGCCTCCAGGAGTTCAATGTTCTCTCCGTCACTCCTTTGCCATTAGCCTTTATTAAAACTTTTAGCTGGATTCTTACTGTTGTCTCATGGCATCTTCTCTAGGAAAGTGAGTTATTGTGTCTCTTCACTCATTCGAGGCACCTGCCTTTCCTCAGATTTCCACTTAGTTTGTTGCCTTTTTACCTCAGTTCTCTGATGAGTGTGAGAAAAGTTGTGAACGTAGAGGTTTTCTATTATTTTTCTTACAACGGTGGGAGTGTTGCTTTTTTCCACTTTCTAAATCCTAAGTAGAAGCCCAGTAACCAAATCATTCATTCATATATATATATATATTTAATTTGAATCTAATGGGTTCTCATAAGAAAAAGAAATTCTCTTCTGCATTTCAAAGTGCCTTTCCTCATTTTGAGCATGATAACAACACCTCCTCTCTATTAAGTATTGACCTTTGTTGAGAATTTTAGATATAGTATCTCCATTAATTATTTCTGATACACTAAGATGTAAGTTTATAAGATAAAACAATCATTTGTGTATATTTGTGTGTATGTATATGTATGTGTATGTAATTATTTTGTTACCCTTACAGTGTTTCTATCATTGCCCAAGAATCATTTCTTGGAAGACTAAATTACAAAGGAACATACAGTTATGTTCCTGGGCTTAAAGCCCATGCATACAAATTCCCAAACACTAAATATTTTATTTTGTGTACAATGTCTCCTAACACACCCAAGGAAATGCAAATCAAATTTTACAGGGTATTTTTCTCAGATTCTTGTATATAGAACAAATTCAACCCTCAAATATTTTACACATTTCTGTTCCAATTAACATTTTAATAAAATACAGCATTGCTTTCTTGACAACATAATTTTGAATATCAAACCTTTAGATTTAAAAAAATCTCCTAAATTTCTTAGTCTACAATTTAAAACAAAACCTGGACTAGCTAAATTGTAAAAAACGTATTTTTTTTAATTAAACAAGTAAACATTTTGAAGAAAATTAAACTTAGTTTTTCATATTAATGTTTTACAATTCATTTTATTATAATCCAAATGCAATCTAAAATGCCCTTTAGATAATTCAGAAGAATTTGTTGAGCAAACATATTAATGATGGCCAGAGTTCCCTACAACTCACAACATTGATGCTTAGCTGAGACTATTATCCATCAAATGAGAGCTTTCTGTAGGAGACCTGCTTACAGAGAAATTGGGAAATTTATTATGTTTTATACATTTAATAGTGTCTTAAAATATCTATTTTTTAAACACACAGAAAAAAGAATTATTTCACTTTTTAAAAATCATAGTATTGGATTGTGCATTCTTTGCATGTTGGAACAATATTATTGGTGTTTTGTTTGTCTTGTTTTACAAGGGATCTTGCAAACAGATAATTAAAAATATGAGCAATCAGGTGTGAGAAATAACTCCATTATTATCCCAACACTCTCAGTAAATTGTTATTCAATATTACAAGTAAGAATAAGATGAAAACAATTTTATTTTCTATTATTAGATTTTTAAGTGGAATCTACCTTGGTATATATATTAGAATTACATTTTATGAAATACAGAAACAATTCCCAGATTGACTTACCTTTTTGACTACTCTTCCTTCTTATTCTGGTAGGTTTCTAACTTTAGCCACCATCACTCTCCCTTTCTTTTCTCCTTCTTTTTCCTTTTTCTTGAGACTGGTAAAGTTTCTCTGTCCTTCAGTTAGTGTTTGGTGGTATTTGGCTGAGGTCTCCAGAAGGAGATTCAGAGAAGAAGGTGATTACACAGGAACTTTATTAGAAAATGTTTCTATAGCAACTCTCATGGAAAGGAAGGGGAGGAAGCAGGATTGGGTAGAAGAAAGTGAGCTGTGTTACAGTCTCAACAAAGGCCTCTGCAAGTCCCGTGGAGAGATCCAAAGCTTGGATAATCTTTCAGAGCTATGACTTGGGGCGAGGGATTTGGGTCTTAAATTCCCATGTGGATTAGTCATTGGGTGAATTGCCTGGGGAAGTACCTGTGCGCTTTGAGGTAACTCTCTTTACCGAAGTACTTCCTAAAAAGGCCTGACAATTGAAGGATGTCCACATGAAACACGCTATGCAAGTAAAAGAATAAGTTTATTCTAGAAGGGGGAATTAGATAACAGTTACAGCAGCCACAGCAGTTCACTGCACCACTCAGAATCACATGTTTATACTAAATCTGGGAGCAGCTCCTACAGTTTCCAGGGTGGCAGGGGGAAGAGAAATCCTGAGAAATTAGTGAACCAAAACTGTTACGCCTTTCCTGCTCTATCATTTTTAGATTTCCTTGATCACAAGCTAGAATGTCTACTGTTCTTGGTGGCTCACCTGGTAACGTGACCCAGACCTCCAACCCTGAGAAGTCTGAGCCCTGTATGCTGTTCTGTCTAGCCATGGTTGCTACATTATTTTTTTCTATTTACCATAGCAGTTATGCACAGGAATGCAAAGAGGCACCCAACTAGATTACCATGGTTGAAACATATTTCTTCCTGTTCCGTTGTGTAACAGCAGCCCTACCGGGTTATCAAGATCAACTATCCCTTCTATGATGGTGAGTCTTCTTGTTGATTCCTGGTCTCTTGGCATAAGGAAACCAAAATGACAACAATCCCTATTCATAAAAATATCAGATATCCCAGTGCTGGAACACTGACCCAGTTGCAACTGATCTTTATAGTTAAATGGAACTATTTTTGTGTCCCCTGATTGAAGTGTTGCCTCTTTGGGAAGGAGGACTTATAAACTTTCATAGTTCACAGTTGTAGAAATGGAAAACACACATTCCCCAAAAGCTGTGATAGCAGAGTATCCCCTCTCCCTAGCACTTAGATTCTGGGTCCAAGTATTCTATCCCTTAAAGATATAGCACCATATAAAATCCATTGATTTAGAATGCCCTGCATCCTGGAACATGGCACCCCATACTCCCAAGTTACTGTGTCTAAGCTGGTGCTCCAACTAAGGAGGACTTATAAACTTTCATAGTTCACAGTTGTAGAAATGGAAAACACACATTCCCCAAAAGCTGTGATAGCAGAGTATCCCCTCTCCCTAGCACTTAGATTCTGGGTCCAAGTATTCTATCCCTTAAAGATATAGCACCATATAAAATCCATTGATTTAGAATGCCCTGCATCCTGGAACATGGCACCCCATACTCCCAAGTTACTGTGTCTAAGCTGGTGCTCCAACTATGCTTTCACCATCTCTTTCCATCACTTTATTAGCCAGAGCTTATGGGTAGGATAGTATATAATATAACCAACAAATCTCATGATCTCTGCTCACACCTTTGCTCTGCATGTCTTTTGCTATAAAGTAGTTCTGTGCTGCTGGTGAATTAGTCTTTAGAATCTCAGATAGTGCTGATGGCTACAAACCTGAAGTCCAACAATACACACCTATAATGAGACTATAAGTATATTCCTATCAAAATAAACCATTGCCACTTCCTAGGTAGAAGGGGTCAGTGTAGTCAGTGTGCTGCCAAAAGGAGGGTTTGTTCCACATTGAGGCTCATCATTGTTTTCCATTGCTGACTTGAATATGCCTCAATGGCAGTACTTAGTCTACTGCTGTAAATGGGAGCTTAGCCTCCATCCCTACCACTATGGCTTCCAAGTATGCATCTATTGTTCCAGCACTGGGATATCTGATGAAACACGTTAGCAGAGGTCACTGGTTGATAGTTTTGTTGACCTGGTTAGTTGGTGCCTATTCGCTTTCTACACAGTGCAGGTGACCAACTGTATTGCGTACAGCTCTACTGTGTGGAAGGATTTTTTTCTCACTATCTTCTTTCAAGATTACCTTCTTTCAAGTGTAGCTTCCAGCCATTTCCAAGTTGTACCCACATACTGAGCGAACCCATTAATCAAGATTTGTTTCTGCCTCTTTCGTCAGTTGCTCACAGGTGACCCCTTCATCAGTCATTAGATGTAAGTTACTTCTAGGACTGAAAATTTGGATAAAGCAGTTATCCCAAATGGCAGACAACCAGCAAATTTCTGCTATCAGCAGTCCCAGCATGTAGAGGAATAAGTCCTTTATTCTTGAAGAGATAGCTTGGTGTCTGTGATACAATTTATATTTGCAACTAGGATAATAATTTCCTAGAGTAGAAAAGTAGAATATATGACTAAGATTTACCCTAAGATGACAGGTGTCATGATACTTTGTCCCACTGCACACAGAATTCAAGAGATAAACTATTAGTAATTATTCTCAAACTGTAGTTAGAATATATAGAGACCAAGTCTTCTTAGCCAGAACATTTCTCTATTAACATTCATTCTTACCAAAAGTCAAGTGCAAAATCCAGTTTAGATGTAAAAAATATTCTATAATCTGGTCTTAATTGATATTTCAAACTAATTTCTTACTTAATTCAATCATTTACTCTATGTTTTCATAGCCGTCCAATTTATACTCATGACAGGCCTATATTTTACATTGTACTGTTACCTACATTTTATATATGTGGCAGTGAGAGCTTAGAGAAAGTTAGTAAATTGCCTAAGGCCAAAAATTTTCCTAGTGATAGTGTAATCTACTATTCTTATTTACTCCAAAATTTTATTCATATGGTCATCCATGTTTGACAAATACCTTATTGACTTAGAAATGGAAGTGTAGTCAAACTAACAACCAAAAAATGTTTAACTATTTAAAACACCTTGTCCTAATGTATTAACCATTTAACTGTCTAAGCCAACAATCTATACCACTAGTCTTTCAATAAACTAATATGGAAAGTATTTTTATGAATAGGGATTGTTGTACTGTTTTTAAAATTCCAGAGTTCAGTAAATAGCTGCTTATTTTATATCTTTGACTTTGTACAATGTATCTAAAGTAAATTCCCTACAAAATTAATTAATAGCCTCTGAGGTGCAGAATGAGATAATAGAAAGAGGATTGTAGGACAAGAATAATAAAGCAAAGGGGTTTGGTTCAGATTTCTCAGATCTGTAAACAACAAACAAACAAACAAACAAAAAGGTATCTAGAAAGTAATAATTTCCCATGAAGTTAATATATTGATAATATCAGTAAACATAGTGTTCAAATGATCATTGCCATACAGGATTCTGTAAGCTGTAGCTTTTTTTTTTTTAATATTCCTTACCCAAATCACTATTATGATTTCAATTGATGAAAGAACTATAAACTTGTAATTTTTTTTTTTTTTTTTTTGATGGAGTCTCACTCTGTCGCTCAGGCTGAGCGCAGTGGTGTGATCTTGGCTTACTGCAACCTCCACCTCCTGGGTTCAAGTGATTCTCCTGCCTCAGTCTCCTGAATAGCTGGGACTATAGGTGCCCGCCACCATGCCTGGCTAATTTTTGTATTTTTAGTAGAGACGGGGTTTCACCATATTGGCCAGGCTGATCTCTAACTCCTGACCTTGTGATCCGTCCACCTCGGCCTCCAAAAAATTGCTGGGATTACAGGTGTGAGCCACTGCGTCCGGCCTAATCTTGTAATTTCTAAGAGGTTCAGTTTTAGGGGATTTAACCACAGTCAGATTATGAATCATATCTTAGATCTCTTTTCCTTAGAATGGCACCTGGGTTAAGGGTGGTTTGTTGGTTTATAAGGGATGACATAATAAAGTATCACAAACTGGATGATGTAATCAACAGAATTTTATTTTTTCACAGTTCTTGAGGCTAGAAATCTGAGATAAAAATATTGGTAGGGATGGTTTCTTCTGGGGCCTCTCTCCTTGCCTTGTTGATGGCTTCTTCATGTTCACAGAGAGTTCTCCCTTTGTTCCCAAATGTCTTCCTCTTATAAGGATGTCGCTCATGTTGAATTAGGGTCCATGCTAGTGACCTCGTTTTAACTTAATTACCTCTTTACAGACCCTGTCTCCAAATATGGTCATATTTTGAGGTATAGGAGATAGGAGTTCAACACAGGAATTTTCGGGGGGACACAAGTCAGCCTATAGCTAGTGGGAGTGCTTGTAGAAGTTGCTGGGTGATGCTGGGCCTTGGTTGTTTTCTGGGCTCTCTGGCATGCCTGGAGGTGTATATCATCTGGTCTGCCCAGCAGCCACTCTCTGAGCTCTTAGTTGTCAGATCTACATGCCTTTCTGCCAATACCATCCCTTGTCCTACCATGAGATCTCTGGGTCTGTTGGCTGTCTATCTCAGTGGGCTTCTAAGTCCTTCAGGAGTTTGGGGAAAGGTTTGAATCTTGCAGACTGCACTGGCTGCAGGCCTGACTATGACACTGCCTTAGTCCTTCACTGCCTCTAATACTCCAGGAAGCCATTTTTTTTTTGCTCTCCTGTTCCTTCATGGATATTGCTTTCTTGTGAGCAGGCATAGAATCCTCTTTGCTTTAAAATCCCCAAACTTTTCTATTGATTTATTATCTTCCTTTTGGAGACATTAGTACAGTCTGCTTCCCAGTTGTCCTCCTTTCAATGTTCTCCTTTCACTCAAATCTTGATTTTTTTTTCGTTGTTATATAGCAGAAGGGGAGGTAATGGGGGAGTAAAGAATGGGCTCTCCCTAAAGATATATTATTCTACAGTCTATTCATTCTTTCATCTAGATGTATATGTTCAGTGGAAAAGTAAGAATTTTTCTCCCCTGAAAATTTGATTTCTTAAAGATTTGGTAGCCTCATGTCTTCTATACTGAATGGAGGAGTGTCCTAGTTAAAAAGATGGGACAGGTAAAAAGCATATGTTAATATTTCCAAAAGTTATTCCTCTATGTAATTTATGTCGAAACCTTAATACTAGTAGTCAAGGGTGCAGCCCTTCTAGTAAAAATCCTGGGTGAATTTAGGCCTGTCCTTTTTTCTGGATCCCGGTTACTCATGTATAAAATGGTATAGATGATAAGAGAAGTCCTTTCCAGCATAAAATTCTGTGCCTCTGAAATGATATATTGAAGTTTACTCCATCTACTAAAGAACTACTTTCTATAGGTATTTTAAAATGAACAAAAATGAGATGCCTATCTTCTTCCAGTTTTTAATTTCATGATTGCCTGTGGGGTTTTGCCAATACTCATTTTCTTTGTTAAAGTTACAAATGATTATATTTTTATATGACTTTCCAGGCAATTCCACAGTCCTCAAATTTTTTCATGACCTATCATTTAAGAAAGAAATGATAGATTATCAGTCCACAAAATTGACAGGGTTTCTCTTTGAGAACAACCAGATAAATAAAATTACATATGGTCAATAATTTCAAAATCAGCTCTAAACAATTCATATTTCAAAATAGTACTTATTGAGTTACTTGTTTTGAATATCTTGGAGACCAGCCCTGCTTTTGTTGACAGTATTTCTGGGAATGTTGACATTCCAGCAGCAGCACCCATCAGTTTAGGGGTAAGTGTTTGGAGTATGGGATGGTATAGGAGATTGTAACTCACCCTCTATAAAGTCTGCTAATCTGGTTTTACCTGATTCTAGTTCTTATGAGGTTTTGAAGGGAAAGCCCGAGTGTCAGCCTTGAGCAAAGTGTTAGAGTTGAACTATAAAGCCTTCAAAAACATACAGAATTATAATTACGATGGGTGAAATTTTAAATGGTTGAAGGCTCATTTTGTGTAAACATGTTGAAACCTGACTTGATTTAAGCCATTTCTCTTAAATATAGCCAGAAAACTTTACAATGTCATGTTTCTGGTGTCATGTCTACTACTGCTATTTGCTGCCCAAACAGTTGGCAAAATTTCAATAAGAGATTTGCCTGAGTCTAAAAGTTGTCCCTGGGAATAGAATAGGACAATACAATGAGACTGTGTGTTATATTCTCTGGGGGTAAGTAATATAAAAATTCAATAATAATTAACAACAAAAAGTTGGAATTTTTTGTTTGGTTTTATTTCTAAAAATAAAGTCTTGTCAAGCGAGCTTTATATTTTTCCTCATTTGGTAGGCCTGGCAATTGTCAATTAAATGGGTACTATGTTGGGCGACATCATGACTCCCTGCCTCTGTCCGTGCTAGTCCTTCTGTCCAGACTGTATACACCTTCCTCAATCCTTCATCGTCTCTCTCCTCTTTTCTCTATATGACTAACTCCAACTCATTCTTTAAGATTCATCTGGAAAGTTGCTTCTGGCAGGTGACAGCTTCTCTAGACAGATTTTGTTATTTTTCTTCACTGTGTTTTCATAGCATTTTTATATTGATTTTGTAATATGCATCATATCATGTTGTAAGAACTCTCCTGACTGGAAAATTATCATACGTGAAGCCATAACATTTCTTGCCTTTCCCATAGTACATTGAACATAGTAAACACTGAAAAAAATGACTAAGTGAAAAACTTCATTCATAAGGGTAGTTTGTATGTCAGATCAAAGGCTTGTTTCCACATCTGCAAGAAAATACTTAGGTTTATTATGATTGTAATGTTAAGTGATTGTAGTACTTGCCTACATAGAGTCTTAAGCCTGAAAAAGAAGGTGGAACAGAAAAGTGACTTATGACAAATCAGATTTAATGTAGTTTAAACGTATTCGTGGGGATGGGGTTTGAGGTAGAAACAACCCAAGAGTACGATCCTTGAACTTGTTATAAACCACAACAACGAAACACAACGAAAACTAAAAGTCTCACACTAAACCTACAAAACCCAGTTTAGTCCTTCCTTCTGGAAAGAACTTTAAAGATCATCCAACTTACTGTTTTACCCACTTTTTTCTATGAAGATGGTTCAGCAGCTACCCAGATTGACTGACACTGACCAAAGGATGAATATCTGGTGTCCCGCATATGCTTCCAACATCAAGGTCAACTTTCATTGTGTGTTTTATTAGCTCAAGACTACCTCCCACTCTTGATTTTGGGGTACTTACATGTTGTTTCTGACCTCCATAGGCTGATAAGCTTCACTGATTTACACATTAAAAAATATTGCAGAACCCATGTGTTTCTAACTTGAGTAGATCCCCTACTTTTTTGTTCCCAGATTGCCCTAGGAACACAAACTTCTCTCCTGACTTATGCTTCTGCTCAGCTCCAGCCAATATACAAAACTTCTGTGAGGAAAGGGAAAGCAGAGAACTTTCCAGCGCTTGCTATAGTTTTTTTTCTCAAGAAAACACAGTTCTCAATAAGAAGAACTCTAGTGTCAAACTGAGGGTAATGATATTTTCTTTGCTCATTATGCTGGTTTTCAATTGAGATACATATTGGAATTCAACAGGATATTTCATGTGAAGAAAGAGTATTTACAGCTTCAAAATTAAATGATGAGTTAATGGGTACAGCACACCAACATGGCACATGTACACATATGTAACAAACCTGCACGTTGTGTACATGTACCCTAGAACTTAAAGTATAATAATTTAAAAAAATTTAAAAAAAAAACCCTCCCAACATCCACCCCCCCCCCTCCCCGGCAAAAAAAAAAAAAAAAAAGAAAATCCTTAAGTAGTTTGGGTTTCAGGACATAATTTCCATTGCACTAGATGTGCAAGGTACAATAAAATATGTCATTCTTTACATAGATTCAATCATGTTTAGATGTTCTATTTTCCATAAGAGATTAAATCCATAAAATAAAGATATAATTCATACATGAGAAAATAACAGGGAAATCCTGTTTTACAAGTTATATCTATATATATATATTTACACACACACACACACATATACACACATATATATATATATATATGCTATTCTAATTAAATTCTCAAGCCTCACTCACTGGAAGGCACAAACATTAAAATCCATACTTAAAGGCCAGGCGCGGTGGCTGACGCCTGTAATCCCAGCACTTTAGGAGGCCAAGGCGGGCGGATCATGAGGTCAGGAGATCGAGACCATCCTGGCTAACACGGTGAAACCCCGTCTCTACTAAAAATACAAAAAATTAGTTGGGCGAAGTGGCGGGTGCCTGTAGTCCCAGCTACTTGGAAGGCTGAGGCAGGAGGATGGCGTGAACCTCGGAAGCGGAGCTTGCAGTGAGCTCAGATCGCGCCACTGTACTCCAGCCTGGGAGACAGAGCAGCGAGACTCCATCTCAAAAAAAAAAAAAAAAAAAAAAAAAAATCCATACTTAAAATGTCTTAGTTTTAGATATTTGCTAATGTAAGACCTCTGGCTGCTGGAAAATTTTGAATATGCTCAGAAGCAAATCTTATTCTACTCTCAAATCTAGCTTCCTTGAGAAAGTATGCTTTCTGCAGTCCACTTGCAAGTGGACTACCCCTTCCACTGGTGCTCTGCATGGGATTGTGTGTTGGCTGGGTGCCATCATCTGTTTGGATTTCACACTAGGCACCTCCATTCTTGCCTGCTGGCCAACCTTGGACCTCAATACCAGTGGGGATCTATGATGGTTGTGGAAACAGTGAGCCTACTGCCACATTTTGTCGCTTGAGCCAGGAAACCACGTTAGCACGTAGAAAAACAGAGAATTTCATCTAAATATCTTCTTCAGTATTTGCTTTAATTCTTACCACCACTGGGGATAAAAAGCATGTTATACTGACTGAAAAAAGACACTCTCAATTCTCCGTTTTCACTTCCTTTTCCTAGACTAGCCCTAATGTCTGGGT
Organism: Homo sapiens; assembly: GCF_000001405.40. NCBI lineage: Eukaryota > Metazoa > Chordata > Mammalia > Primates > Hominidae > Homo > Homo sapiens. The sequence goes on from NC_000004.12 coordinate 124,855,129, forward strand.
TCTCTCTTTCTGTCTCTCTTTTCTCCTTCAGCCTGAAAGTAAAATACCTTCTGCCCACCCACAACACATGCAAATAGCTTTCTGGAGTAGTCATCATCCCACTGATTAGGCAAACTGATTCTAAATTAGTTCGGGCTGGGTACAACTGGAACATCCAGTTGCATTTATGTTTTTATAGCATGCTACCATTTATAAAGTGCTTTCATGTACTCAGTTCTCTTATTAACCCTAAAAAATACTAGGCCCTTATCTATCACCAATTTACAAACAAGGAAATTAAGGTATGAAGAGGCCACATAGATTGCCCAAGTCACAGAAGGAGTTAATGGTACATCTGTCACTTCAACTTAGGTCTCCTGGCACTCATAGTCAGTGATGATGATCGAATAACCTTGGCGTAGAGTGGTCTTTGAGGACTGGATTTAGTTACAGGCATTCTTCTTCCTCTTTTAGCCACATTTTCTTTTCTTTTTTTTTTCTTCCAACCTCTTTACACCTACCGCCTCCCCAACTTATTTTTCTTTATGTTCAGCTGCTTAGAAACATGATCGAGGGAAGAGGGAGAGTAGAGAGAGAAGAATCATCTGCTAAACCTGTGTTCCCATATCCCTTGAATGTTTACTTGGTAGGCTTCTAGGACCATTACGTTGAGACCTGAAAGTTTGGTTTTTGTAATACATAATGGGACCTCGAGGAGTATCCTTGGGGGACATCCCAGCTAGTAGTTACCTGTGGAACATTTGTTATTGGCAGACACAATAGCTACCAGGGGCCTGTTCTGAGCTTACTGGGAGTAGATACTGTTTCCTGGATTTCCCACAATGCTCTGCACAGTGCTAGGCAAAATTTTAAAATGAATGATGAGAGTGGATGATGTTCACGCTCTACAAGATTGGGAGGGTAAGAACACATGGCTGTGAAAATTGAATAAATAAGTGTTTTGATTTGTCACTCATACTACCTAGACTAAAGAACTATAGAAAAGTGTAACATAAAGGTCTTGGGAAAGAAAATTTATTATATCAGTGTATATTGCCAAAATAATAAAGTGATATATAAGACATATTTTCATTTATTTAGAATAAGCTCCTGCAGAAAACTGATATATAATTTCTATTACTCATTTTAAATAAAAAAAATTTGGCCGGGCATGGTGGCTCATGCCTGTAATCCCAGTACTTTGGGAGGCCAAGGCAGGTGTATCACTTGAGGTCAGGAGTTCAAGACCAGGCTGCCCAACATGGTGAAACCCCATCTCTACTAAAAATACAAAAATTAGCCTGTTGTGGTAGCATGTGCCTGTAATCCCAGCTATTCCAGAGGCTGAGACAGGAGAATCACTCGAATTCGAGAAGCAGAAGTTGCAGTGAGCTGAGATTGCACCATTGCACTCCAGCCTGGGTAACTGAGTGAGACTCTGTCTCTAAATAAATAAATACATTTTTTTTGGAGGCCTATCTATTGAAGCAAATCAATTAGCAGAATATACATTGGCCAAGATCAGCCCTCACATTCTCATGTATCAGGCTGACAATTTTAAGTAGGTACTATTTAACGGACACATAGAGTAAGTTTTTAGTTCTTATTTTGATGTTTTACATAAATAGTCATTTAAATAATATATGTTAATTTATTATAAAAATTCAAACTATACAGAACAGTAAGGGAAGAAAAAATATTAAAAGGGCTTATCCCCAGTCTACATTTTTCTTTTTTTCTTTTTTTTTGAGATGGAGTCTTGCTCTGTCGCCCATGCTGAAATGCAATGGTACGATCTTGGCTCACTGCAACCTCTGCCTCCTAGGTTCAAGCAATTCTCTGCCTCAGCCTCCCTAGCAGCTGGGATTATAGGTGCCTGCCACCAAGCCTGGCTAATTTTTGTATTTTCAGTAGAGACAGGGTTTCACCATCTTGGCCGGACTGGTCTTAAACTCCTGACCCCGTGATCCACTCGCCTCAGCCTCCCAAAGTGCTGGGATTACAGGCGTGAGCCACTGCGCCCAGTCCAGTCTACATTTTTCTAAATGGAAGATTTTAGTGAGAATTCAGAGGATTTTGTAGTCATTCCTTTTTTCAGTGTTGTTTTGGGGAGCAAGGGAGCTGACAACTATCCTATTAGACTCTTCTGTTTCATTTTTTAACTTTGCTTTTTGAGATTTATGGCTTCACTTTGTTCTTGTGTCCTTATTTGGTTGCTGCTTATAAAAGAATTCTTTTTCTTTTTCTTCTTGATTTAAAGCTATTTTTGTTCATTTTATTAGTCTGGGGGAGGGTGATGTTATGGTGCTGCATAGTTTGTTTTTTGTTTTGTTTTGTTTTGTAACCCAAAAACTCGTGTTTGGCTTGCAAAGCTAAAACGTAAAGTGGACCGATGTTTCCAATATCAATTTTGACCCTGTGTTTTGCCTCTTCAAGATTTAAGATTAACTTGGAATGCTTGTACAAGTAAAGGAAAAATGTTACATTCTGAGTCAATCAAGCTCTGATCAGCTGGAAGAATTAATAAAACCAATCTCTGAGCTGCATTGTCATCTTGAAAAATAATGAGTTTTCAGAGTTTAACCAGTGCATTATATGCATATGCATACATGTCTATGTACAGAGTTTCACGTGTCACATGTTTCTAGGGGAGGTACTACCCACATTTCCCTTTGGTGAAGGACTTGCTGCCCCAGCATCTAGGTGTGCTCTCAGCGCTTCAGGAATTGCCTCACCTGCTGAGAGCTACCAAAGTCACACCCCTTTCCCAGTCCGCCACATCTGGTGGCTGATCTACATGGGAGAATAAAAGTCTGACCCTTTGACCCACTGAAGGATGACTCTGGCTTCAGAAGTCTTCATAGGGTCGGTAAAACCTGTCATTAGGCCTGCTGCTCTCCCCACTCCAGCTTTCCTCCCCTCTCTTTACAGGTGTTGATCCCAAGGGAACTCTCTAATAAACAGTTTATTAGAGATGCCAATAAACTAAACCTCGCTCTCAGAATCTGCCTTGGAAAACCTGATCAGTGACAAAAACATACTGTGTGCCTTCCTCTCAACAGCCAATTTCTCTGTGTCCCACTGTGTAGCGGCATTTCATTTGGTGGGTTTAGCTCAACACTTAGCCCTGGCGTGAATCCTTTATCTAAACCAGTCAGGCTCTTCCTATCTAACTAGCAATAGCCAAATGTTCAGATAATCCAGGGTTAGTAAGTGAGCATGTTACAGTTGCCTGATCACGGGCATTGATTCAGGGACAGTCCAATCAGTGTGAATTTCAGGACTTTGGTGATTGTAGAAATTAATACTGCTGGCTTGCTCTTGAGATATGAACAATATTGCCCCCAATAGCTGCTAGTCTCCACCTTCCAACAATATTGGGAAACAGCTTGAAGAAGATGCTAGCACACAAAGAAAAGACTAACTGAAAGAGATATTCAGAAAATAAGCTAGGCCCAGATGGAACTATGCCGGAATCCTGTCCTGCCAGCATGGGTGCAAATGGTTCATGAGGATGGCAATTTTTTCTCCTAACAAGCAACATTTCAGAAATAGCAAATTAAATGGCTCTGGGTGCTCTCAAAGGTTAATTGAGAAAGTGGAATTTTTAGCCTATGAGCTGGTTAAGGGAACAAACCTGGTAATGTTAAGAATAATCATTGTTGCCCTATTATGTGAAAGTCAGACCTACATAAAGAAACACAAAAAAATTGCATATAATGGATCTCTCAAGCAATTTGGCCACATATATTTGTTGTATATTTGTCATAATTTTATTGCTTTTACCTTGGAGCCATTGCAGATGCTTAGTAATTATATTAGTGAGGCAATGGAAATTTTTTTTCGTTCTTTCTCTTTTATCCATTAAAGTAAATTGTTAGGGAGAAAAAAGGTTTAACACAATATGAGTACCTTAATGGTGATTCCTTTATAGTTCAGTGACACTAGGAAAATGCAGTATGTGTTGTTTTCTTTCTCAATTGAATTTTGCTTAAGGGGAAATTTAGTATTGAGTTTTTATTTAAAGGAATGTGGAACACGGATATAGGTGTAAGACTTTGGTCTCTTTGTGGGTACATTTTGCAGTATTGTATTTTTAATTTTATTCTGTTTCATTTATTGTAAGAAACAATGTACACATGCAGATGGAAAACACTGGAAGCTTAGTGATATTCAGCTAACAAAATGAGTATGATATTTTCTGGAGATCTAGCTCAAAATTATGTATATAAATGAACAAAGGACAGAAAAAAAGACCAAAAGTAGCAAGAGGGTAAAAACATTCATTATTGAGGTATGCATGTGTGTGTATATATTTTACATATATATAATACAAAATTCAGCAAAAATGATTCCTTGACGAAGAACTAAAATCAGAGAGAAGCAAAAACTCTTGCTGACTGATGATTCAACAGACTGCAAATAACTTTTCCACAGTACGCTTGGTAATTTATAGACAGAAAATGGTTTCAATTATTTTCTGAATGAAATCCCATGTGAACTCTGACATGGAAAATGAGAATCTAAAATGTTACTGAATATTACCCTGAAAAGCTTAAGAGTACATGAAATGTAAAGTTTTTAAATACCTTACCTTGATATACTTTATTTTGTTTTTAGAGGAGAAAGTCTGGTTTGCCAGAGGGAAAATAGAAACTAGGTGGTATTACTACTTTAGAAGTTTTTCTTTTATTCAGTTGCATTTTGTTTGGGGTTCCTAATAATAGCATGGTTTTTTTTCAAATAAAAAAGGAATGCACAATATATTGGATGGTAAATTTTCTGATAATAACATTAATTGATAAAGATTACTCAGGAAACTTAATTTACATTTTATATCAATTTCAGACCACTCTAGGCAATGGAAAGAGAAAAGATAATGTAAAATTTCTACCACAGAGGCAATTGCACTATTACAGTGTTAAATATTGAGCATATATTCTAGGTTAACCAATAAGAAGGTAATATAAAAGTGAATGAAATAAAGGAAGGATAATTGTTTGCTGGCTTAATATATAGAAGTTTTAATATATAGAAGTTTTAATCTAATTACTTAAAATTACTCAGTGGTTTTTTACTTCTTATGAAATATATTCCCAAGTCTATCACTGGCATTTAACCTCTCTCAAGTATTCCCAACCTAATCTTCTAAACATATCTCCTTCCACAGATCCTCCTCTCCAGCCATGCTAGACTACGCCTTATCTCACCACCGTGCCTTTGTTGTTTTTGTTTCTGCTCATGGGAAAAATGTCTTCTGTAATCGCTAGCCAGAACACTTTCTTCCTTCTACAAATTCATATAACATGTTTGATAAGGTGAAAGAAACATTATTTTACTAAACACTCCAGAATTCATCTGAGGAAAGTCTCTGTTTGTGCATAGAAAACAAAGAATCTTTGATAGAATAACTGAAGAAAACAGTGAGACCTTGAGGGGATAGATTTCCAGAGTTACGGAAATAGACTCATGAGTTAAAATACTCTGACAAGAATAAGCAGGAAGAGAAGGAGAGAAAAGAGCAGGGAGTGTGGCAGGGGTGTGTGTTGGGGTATGGGGTTCAATAGAAAAGAGAAAGTAAATGCATGTAAAACATGGCAGATTTATGTTGGAAATTTTAAAAGCTGGCATATCTGATATTCTATTTTAAATTATGTTTCTGTGATATTCAAATGTGTAAATTCAAGAGATTCTACTCTACACAAAAGGCGTTTTGAACGTTTTCTTTCTCTTTTATTTTGAGATAGAGTATAAAGTCTATATTTGTTTAAATGGCAATAAGGAAATTAATAAAGAGCCTTAAGATTTAATGCAAAAAGTAAAATTCATAAAAAGCAGGAAATAGGAGCTAGAGGTGGATAAAGAAGTATCTTTTCCTTAAAATTTAGCCAGATTCTTAAGGTTAACATGAACTTTCCACTGGCACACACTGATAGAATTGCTACCCCTTATTGTAGGATGGCTGTCTTTTCTATTTGGGCTGGTATAACAGAATACCATAGGCTGAGTGGCTTATGAACAATAGAAATTTAATTCTGTTTTGGAGGCTGGAAAGTCCAAGGTCAAGGTGCTTGCAGATTCAGTGTCTGGTGAGAGCCACTTCCTCGTTTATAGATGGCTGTCTTCTTGCTGCATTTTGCATAGTAGAAAGGTCAGGGAGCTTTCTGGGGTCTCTTTCATAAGGGTACTAATACCTTATGCCATTCATGAGGGTGAGTGCTCATGACCTAATTACCTCCCAAAGACTCCACCTTCAAATACCTTCATATTGGCCATTAGGTTTCAGAATACAAATTTTGGAAGGGAGGTTGGGGGTGGGGCATAAACAGTAAGTCTCTAGCAGTGAACATCCATCTGTTTGCCTTTGGGCTTTCCTGGGTGTTAAGCAATCAGTGCTTAAACTGAGAAAGTCCCAGGTAAATGGAAATGAGTTGTCCATCCTAATAAGGCACAGGAAGACACCAACTGATACCCATGTGCCACAGGAACTCTCTCTGGCATGCTTATGGCAACTAATACATTATATCTTGAATTGTTAGTTACTACTCTTTTTGTGAAATATGTAATAAAATGGTAAGATAACTTTTTTTGCAAAAAAAAAAAAGGGTCCATCTGATACACACACACACACATATAAATTTGAAATATATACATATTCCCAATTATCTAAAGAGTCTTTATTCTTAATAATTATTCTAGTAATGACTAAATACATTTTTGATACTCTTCTTTTGGAGTTATTCAGGTCACTGAATTCTCAGCTGGTTCTCAGCTGGTAGTGATTATGCTCTCTTTCTCTAGAGGACATTTGTCAGTGTCTGGAGACATTGTGATTGTTGAGACTCGGGGGAATGGAGAAGCATGGCTAATGGAATCTACTGGGTAGAAGCCAGAGATGCTGCCGTACAACCTACGATGTACAAGACAGCCTTCTACAACAAAGAATGATCCAACCCAAAATGTTAATAATGCCTTGGTTAGAAAAATCCTGACTTATTATAGACCTTGAATATATTTTTCTACCCTAGTGTTGGCAAATGCTTGACTTGACATGAGGATTTGAAAGTTGAAACCCATAAAAAGTGTAGGAGGAGGTGACACTTTGAAAGCCTGTTTTAAATCCTCTCTCCATGCCAAACACATCAATGAGAGGTAAAATAATTTTTAAAACATCAAAATAAATATCCATAAACAATATAAATATCTTTATGTACCAAAAGTGGAATAGAAACACCACACTGTAGCCTGAGCTGGTGGGATCTAGCTTCAAAAGCAAACAAAGTCAGCCAGAGTTTGACTCTGGGAGAAAACAAAATCCAAAATGCCCCATCCCAGGGGATCCAAGCCTGACTCAGCTTCTGAAAGCACTGAGGGCTTGTTGCAGCATTCCATTAGAAAGAATAAAAAGCTTCTTACTATCACTCTGAGTTACAGCTTTCATAAGGATCTATATTAGTCAATATAACCTAGATTATGATATTGACAAGCAGCTCCAAAATCTACTGGTTTAAAAATGACAAAAGTTGATTTTGTGCTCAGCTACATATGCATCAGAGGCTGATAAGGAGTCTTCACTCATTGAGGTTTGTGTTCATTTTAGACTAAGGTTGATGTAGAAGCCTCTGCCTTTATATGTGCTGACATCTGCATTAAGATTAAAGGGCTCTAGAGGGTCTCACATTAGCTACTGTGTGCTTGGTAGTGAAATATCACTTTACGCTGGAAGTCATCGGCTAACACTGGTAACATGGTCTCATGTAGTACTATTCTATCATGTTGCTGGAAAGAGGGTTACTGCTTTAGTGAGTGCCACAGGCTCTTTATCTAAAGCTCTTTATCTAAAGCTCTGAGAAGTATGAAAAGCTAAGAACCAGGTTTACCAAGGTGCTTGCTTCAATGACTGGGTCTGTGTTAACTCCTATTTTATAACAGGATAGAAGCTTAGAGCTATCAATATGAGATCTTGTTATAATGTGGGGGTTTTGGTGAGTCCAGGATGACTACATATTATTATACAGGTGGAGGAGAGTGAAGAGAAAAAATATCCCACACTTAAGATCAGCTTGCAACCTATCATCTCAAGCCACATGATGAAACTCAGTAATATTTCCAGTTCTCCTTCTGAACAAATGGTAGGATTGCACAACCTTGGTATCACATAGTTAGGGCTGGAACGTGAGGAGTAAAATGATGTGTGTCACTTTCAGTTCACTATCAGATCTGGCACGTGATTTCCCCATATTTCTTTCTTTCCACCATAGAAGCAGGTAGATTCCAAATACTCTAGACTGCAACAGGCTGGCAGCTGAGTGAAGATCACATAGAGCGGATGCCTCTGTAGATCTAAGATGGACATGTAGCTTAAATGAGTGATCCTACCTACATTTTAATCCACTGAGGTTCTATTGTTATGCAGCCAAGATTACTGCATATCCTGAGGGAAACAGTAGGTATTCAAGTGTTGGGGCACAGAAACGGATACCCCAAAACATGGTGTTTTGACATGCTAAACTGAAGAAGAAGCCTCAAGTTCTCTGTGATCCCCTACCTCCTGTTTTTCAGTGCTCTGTCTCTCCCAAAGCACAGGATTATAATGTTCTCTAAAGATTTTTATCTGCCTGAAATCTGGACCTACCAAAGCAGAATACAATTACCTTTGGTTCCACACCTGAGTTTTCATTAACTGAACTCATATCACAGGAAGACTGCAGTCTGTCAACAAACCTGGACAGACTTTTGCCACAAACCATTGTCTGCTCTGTGGGCCCAAAAGACTTTGTCCCAGGCAATTGTATGTTCTTCAAGCTCATTGAATTCCAATAAAAATCATTTATTACCCCCACCTAAAGTCATTCACGCTTCCCTATTTCTGTTTCCCCTAAGAATAGGGAACATAACCATCTGTACCTCATTGCCTGGTAGGACAATTTCTCTGTGATTCTCTTCTATGAATGTTAATACATTTATACGTGTTTTCTCCTATTAATGTGTCTTTTATCAGTTGATTTTCAGTGAACCTCCAGAGGATGGAGGGGAAGTTTTTCCTTGGCTCCTTACACAAGATATATTTATTGAATGCTTAGCGCATTTTAAACCTGATGAGTGTTAAGCTAGACTTTTATTTTTTTTGAGACAGGGTCTTGCTATGTTGTCCAGGCTGGTCTTGAACTCCTGGGTTCAAGCAATCCTCCCAAGTAACTGGGATTACAGGTGTGCCCCTCCGCACCTGGCTTCAAGCTGGATTTTTCTGAAGAGTGTTGGGTATGAATTGGTGAAGGTCATCATAGAGGACATTCCAGGCTCTATAAACAACAGAGGTAGAGTGCTAACATAGTGTATTTACATGACAGCACAACTGAGGATGTTTTGCTTGAGTGTGGAGGTGAAGGTCAGCTGGGAAGAAAATTCCACGGGAAAGTTATAAAATGTAAATTACAACAGTTAATTTGTGTTAATAGGGCATCAGTTAATGAAGGACGTTTGGTTCTAGTTCGAAGAATTTGATTCTTGCTATCTTGAGATTCTTGCTATCTAGTTCTTATGAGGTGAATGTGACATAAATACTAGTTTTTGGTCTTTTTGAAATGACTATTAATATAGTAGCCATACTTAGAATTATTTAAGATGTGGAGAAGTAAACTAAAACTATTATTATAATAAGCGCAGTTTAGGTATTGATAGCGGTAATGGTATAGGAGTAAATTTGAGAGTGATTGGCCAAAAGGGAATATTAACAGGATATTTTGATTAGTATATATAAGGGAATTAGGGGGCACAGGCTAAAGAAAATAAATCTAAGTCAGAATGAAGGTGGCACACTTGACCGATGACTAGGGTGTTTTGTTTGCAGAAGAAGACAATACATTAAACTGTAGATTTTAGGAGTGGCTGGACATATCATGGTAGTAGCTGGCATCAAGTTATAAATCTGTGGCTCATGTGGAAGGTTAATACTGGAGATGTAGATTCATTTCCAATCACTGCATTTATTCCATTGGGTTATTCATATTCACTAGAAAGGCAAGCAAACATTTCAACGAGTCGTGATGTTCAACAAAAGTAAGAGCAATGCCAAGTCTGTAATTATGTTGTTAGATTTATCACTGACAGGCTTTAGAGTTTTAGTTTAAAAAATGGCTATCATGCAGGTAAAGGAGAGAAGAGATTGCCAAAAACTTGGAAACTTTATCATTTATACTTCAGATTTGTTCCTTTTACCCTGCTTTAAGGAGCTTAATTTTCAGCTACAGACTTAGCTTCTGGCTGATCTGAAGAACAAATAAGAGCTTACTCTGAGAGTTAATCTTTTTTTATTAGCTCCCTCACAAGTTTTAGGTTATATATGTGCACTGCCAAGTCTAGTCATTGTACTTGCTGCTGTTGAAAATGTTTGATTTTTTTTTATAATTCAAGAATAGACTCATTGTAATTATGACTACCCAAAAATAGGCTGTGTTAAATGAATTTATATTTGAGTTCAGAAACATTAAAAAGATATTTTTTTTCAGTTCATGATATTTTATCATCTTTGTTGCTATTGTTAAAAGCTAAAAAAAAGAAACAGCATTATCTTTATGTAAAGTACTTAATACAAAAATAGTATAGTATTAAAAGTGTTTCATAGGAACTTAATAGCATGAAACTAATTAAGAAGCAAGCCACTAATTCTTATGTATTTTGTTATGCTCATAAAGAAACTAGCCTTGTACAGGCAATAGAGAGTAGTCAATACTAAAATAATTTTTATTATTTTTATATTGGTATTGGATCAGAACACAAAGCAATTATATTAAGAGTTCAGGAATCTTGACAAATGCTGTACTATCATAGAGTGAATAAAATACACATGCTAAAGATAGCATTTAAGTTAAGTTATTTAAAGGTTAATCATGTGCCCATTATTGAATATATATTAGTTTTGTGTGAAAAAAGATATTTCTGATAGCATTATTGTAATTAGAAAGAGGAAATTCTTATAAGCTATGAAGTCTAAAAATTAAATAAGCTCTGAATGATTCAAATATTTAGGGTTCCTAACTCAAACATTAAATTTATAAAATAAGCCCAACAATGTTTTTTTTGGCCTATTGATATCATCTCTAAACAATACAAACTTAAGGATTGCATTTTTTTGACTTTTTCTAGCACAATTAAGATGCAGGCTGCTAGATGCAGATAGACAATGTTCTGCGCCTCTGTAATCCTCTAAGAATCATCTTATTTTCACATTGTCTGAAAATACATTTGGGGACTTTTAAGTTATTAAGAAACACGTGCTAAGCCATGTCTGAAAGGAAATGCTTAAAAAAACTGATGGCAAATTTCTCCTTCTATGTGGGAGGATTCTTTGTGTGTGACATAGGATGAATATTTTCTTTAGGATGAGAAACACACCAAATAATCTCAACACATCAATGGAACATTTTAACTCCATGAAACACATATTTCCAAAGAGAGATCCTGAACACTGTGGAATTTGTTTTTCTCCCTTATGGGGCAAAGAAAACATTTTTATCTTCCCCTTTTTTTTTTAACTTAATTTATTAAAAACAACTTGTAAAAAGCCACACACATTTTCTTAGTAGTATTCTCATTCTAATATCTTAAAAAAAAATCCTAACTTTTACATGCTTGTTGTAACCCTATAGAAAAAAACATTATTGATTTTATATTTCAAGTATCATAGTTTAGCCTTCATTTTGGCTAAATTACAAACTTAAATAATTTTATACCAAGATGAATAACTGTGAAAGTAAAGAATTTAGCTGACTGCTTAATGAGGTTCCCTATTTGGAGTCTTTAAAGCAATGTGGAATTTTGTCCAAACAGGACGGAAATATCTGGTTCTATTACTGAGATAAGCACCTGGATATTTAGATGCAGAAGCACTCCAGCTACTGCTAGTTGCCATGATAGTCATGTATAAATTGCCAGGACTCAAGTCTTAAAAATGTAGATGAGAGATTATCACTTCTATATCAGAATTCATTGATTACGCAGTGCTTATATAGCACAATTTTAAGTATTTTTAAAATGTTCACTCTTAACAACCCTAATGGATAGGTACCTTATTATCCCTATTTTAGAGAGGAGGGAAGCTGCCACTCAGCAAAGTGACTTTGGTCATTGGTTAAGTGATACAGTTAAGAACTGGCTAAGGCAATATTTGAACTTGGCAGACCAGCTCCAAAGTCTATATGGGTGTGTGTGCTGCCCCTCAGATGAAAGCTGTAATGGATCAGGGAGCAGCACTTGCCAGAATTTGTGTTTTTAGTCATCACTTATTAAGGCTAATGCTTGCCCCCTGCCTTTGTTTTGTACAATACAAGGGAAAATTTTCTGTCAAACAATGTGAAAGGCTGTTTTATCTTTGATCGGTGTGGAAAAGAGAATGATATTGTCAATTTTCATTGGTTAACAAAGACCACTGGGAATGTGGTAAAGTATCCTGAGAATTCATAAGTCTGAGGTATCTACATCTCCCTCTTATTTGTGGAGGATGTGTTCCAGAACCTCCCATGGATGCCTAAACCCACAGATAGTACTGAACCCTACATATACTGTGTTTTTTCTTATACAGTTAATGGGTAGGTAGCATATATAGTGTGGATACAGTGGAAAAAGGGATGATTCATTTTCCAGTCTAGACAGAGTGGGCATCTGCAAGATTTCATCACATTGCTTAGAATAGTGTCCAATTTAATACTTCTCAGTTTGATATTTCTGGAATTTGATATTTAATACATTTGGACCATGGTTGACCATGGGTAACTGAAACCACTGAAGAAAAAACTACAGATAAGCGGGGACTACTGTCCCCTTCAGAAGTCACTTCTAAGGTAAGTGTCAAATCTTGAAATTATAAAATAATCTAATGAAAATTTAAAAAAATTATGAAGTCCATCATCTTGGTGCTAATCTTGACAGAATTGTATTCATCTGTAGTTGCTTATAACCCAGTGGGGAAGATGAATGAGGAATTGCCTTATATCTTACCACACATGTAGCATAAACTGTATACATGTACAGACTGGCATACACTCACATAGTTAACACAATGTTTTTCGATTTACTTTTATGGGAAAATTTTGGGACAGAAGCTTCATTCTTGTGAATATATTACATTGAGTGTTTTGGTTACAGGGACTGTAGTTTGAATCCATGTGGCTCTTGGATAGTTAGCAGAAAGCAAAATAATTTCCAACATCCTGGAATATTCCATGCCCTCAGCAGGCATGTTATAGGTGAAGCCATAGGCTGAACTGTTTCAAAAAATGTCTCTAAATGAATCAATGATTTATACAAGTGGAAGTGAATAAGAACCAGTTATTTCAAAAATTGCATTATATATCAGGTGAATGTCATCTAGATAATTCTGCAGTTATTATACAACTCCAGCAAGCTAATGATGTCAAAGAATATATAACATTGTTCAACATCAAATATTCATCATATTTTTAAAAAACAAAGTCCCTCTTCTCTGCTTGCAATGCAGTGTCTCAAAAGTATGGCTAAAGCAGGAAGAAATCCTTTTTGTTTCCCTTGGAACTAAACCACGGAAAGCGTATGACATATATTTACCAACTTGTGAAACTTGTTTCCTGGGAGACCTGAAACATATTTATTTTGGAATATTATACTGTACACTAAAAAAAGTATTTGCCAGTGAAACAAGTGTGATCCAGAAATATTTACTGGGAAAATTGAAATCATTATTCTGAAATAAATGAGTGTGCATCATGTATATTGCTCACCAATAGAAGCAGGTATAGGAAAGAGCAGTTAGAAGGAGGGGCATGAGTATGGTGCTGCAGGAAAGATCACAATTTCCTGCTTGTTTCTCAGTTTGAAAGTTACTCTTCTAATTGTCACAGCATCTTGTTATAATGCAGAAGCAGTCGCTGAAGAAATTTATGCCCTAAAATTAGAGAAAGATGGAAAATTTGAGGACCACACAAATAGAGAATAGTGATTTCTGAGCTTATAAATATTTAGTGAGAGACATTTTGCAAAGAAAATTGGAAGAAGTTATTTCCCACCCACACTTAAGAATAGCATTAATAGAATCTGGTATTAATACACACAACTGGAAAACTTGTCAAAGTTGAGAAAATGAAGAACTCTGCCCAAAGATCCTTCACCTAGCAACATCAGGATGAGAGACTTACTTTAAACTTACTAAGGAGCAAATTAGAAATCAGAACCCCGGTCTATCTTCTGAAGTTCATGATATACAATTTTTATTATATAAACTATACAATAAAATCTAGTTCTCTTTTTATTATGCAGAATCTTTTTCATTGTTATTGCTCAGAGACCTGGCAATATTCAGATGGCATATTCAGAAGAGATAATTGGACACAGTTTTATAAAAGATCTATTTATAAAGTATGGCAAGGACCAGGGAAAACAAGCAGTGAATAGTAAGCAACCTAGCACTACTAACAGCTGGACAAGTGAAGGTAGCAGTTACCAGAATCCATTAGTTGGAAAAAGTAGCTGTAGGAGAGTGGCCACCCAGCAAGAGGAATGCTCTTAGTTAGAGAAAGTCAGCTAAGGGAAGACAATACATAGCCAAGGGGAAAATTACCCAACATGTCTCTCTGATCTTTTACATGTACCTCCTGTGATGTGCTAACTTGTGTCCCCCAAAATTCATATGCTGAGGTCCTAACCCTCAGTACTTGTATTTGGAGATAGAGTCTTTAAAGAAGTAACTGGAAATGAGGCCATTAGGGTGGGCCCTAATCCAATATGGCTGGTGCCCTTATAAGTAGGGGAGATTAGGACACAGGCACACACAGAGGAAGACCATGTAAGACAGAAGATATCCCATGACAAGGCAAGGAGACAGGCCTCAGAAAAACATCAACCCTGCCAACAACTTGATCTCAGATTTCTAGCCTCCAAAATTGTAAGAAAATAAACTTTTATTATTTAAGCCACCCAATCTGTTGTACTCTCTTATGGCAGGATAGCAAACGAATACATCTCCCATTGCATAAACCCGAACTGAAGCCAAACAGAAAGGAACTTGGTTGATACAGTAAATGACAGCATGCTCAGTGCCAGAAAGAAGTTGGAGAACGTTAGGAATCAATCTGGAGTGGGAAAAAAATCTTGAGCACATTCAAAATGAATTTTTGTAGTTTTCAAGTGTAGAATTACAGTAAGGTAGCTGGGAAATCCAGTGAGGTCAAGAGTCGGGTGCTCAGCATATGCAAACCCAGTTATCAACAACTTTTATATAAAACTTGCTTGGCTAAGACTTATGTCTTCATAGGTGTGCGTCTACATTCAAGGGACTTATTCTATCCCCCCTGCAAAACTAGAATTCTGCCTTAAGAATTCTGGGAAAAAAAAAATCTTCCGGTTCTGAAATTATTTTTTACTTTTAAAAGCTTTTTATTTGTAATGAACAAATAATAATTGGAGATACAATGTGATGTTTTGATACATGTATACATTGTGTATTGATTAAAGTAATTCACATTCCATCATATCAAACATTTATCATGTATTTGTGATGGGAACATATAAAATCCTCCCTTCTAGCTATTTTGTAATACATCTTACTGACTATAGTCACCCTACCGTGCAATAGGACAACAGAACTTACTTGTCTCTTTCTTTCTTTCTTTCTTTCTTTCTTTCTTTCTTTCTTTCTTTCTTTCTTTCTTTCTTTCTTTCTTTCTTTCTTTCCTTTCTTTCTTTCTTTCTTTCTTTCCTTCTTTCTTTCCTTCTTTCTTTCTTTCTCTCTCTCTCTTTCTTTCCTTCCTTCCTTCCTTTCTCTCTCTCTCTCTTTTTTTTTTTTTTTTTTTTTTTTGAGTCTTGCTCTGTCACCCAGGCTGGAGTGCAGTGACACAATCTTGGCTTACTGCAACCTCCGCCTCCCAGGTTCAAGTGATTCTCCTGCCTCAGCCTCCTGAGCAGCTGGGATTACAGGCATGTGCCACCATGCCTGGCTAATTTTTGTATTTTTAGTAGAGACGGGATTTCACCAGGTTGATCAGGCTGGACTCAGACTCCTGACCTCAGGTGATCCACCCTCCTCAGCCTCCCAAAGTGCTGGGATTACAGGGTGAGCCACTGCACCCAGCCTATTTGTCCTTTCTAATTGTAACTTTGTATCTGCTGACTATCCTTTCCTCATCTTCCCCTTCCTCCTACCTTTTCCCAGTCTCTAGTTACCACAGTTATAGTCATTACTTCTATGAGATCAACTTTTTCAGATTTGCATATGAGTGAGATCATGTGGTGTTTGCCTTTCTGTGCCTGACTTATTTCACTTACATAATGTCCTCCAGGTTCATCCATGTTATCACAAATTACAGCATTTTGTTCTTTCTTATGGCTGAATAATATTCCATCATGCATCTGTTTTGGAAGGGTTATTTTATTTATTTATTTATTTATTTTTTGAAAAAAGAGCTCACTGTGTTGCCGAGGCTGAAGTGTAGTGGCACAATCTCAGCTCACTGCAGCCTCGACCTCTCAGGCTCAAGCAATCCTCCTGCCTCAGTCTCCTGAGTAGCTGGGGACCACAGTGATGGGCTACCCAGCCTAGCTAAATTTTGTATTTTTTGTAGAGATGGAGTTTCATCATGTCCAAGCTGGTCTCAAACCCCTGGGCTCAAGCAATCCACCTGTATTGGCCCCCCAAAGTCCTGGGAGAACAGGTATGAGCCACTGCACCCAGCCCATTTGTCTCTTGATGGACACTTAGGTTGATTCTAATAGTATCGCAAAACTATACTTGACTATTGTGAATAGTGTTACAATAAACATGAGCGTACAGATACGAGATTCTTTTTTCACTTTGATCAGTATAGAAAAATATTCTTTTTGGCTGGGCTCAGTGGCTCACACCTGTAATCCCAGCACTTCAGGAGGCCAAGGTGGGCGTATCACCTGAGGCTAGGCATTCGAGACCATCATGGCCAACATGGTGAAATCTTGTCTCTACTAAAAATACAAAAATTAGCTGGGCGTGGTGGCAGATGCCCGTAATCTCAGCTGCTCAGGAGGCTGAGGCAGGAGAATCACTTGAACCCGAGAGATGGGGGCTGCAGTGAGCCGAGACCGCACCACTGCACTCCAGCCTGGGCAACAGAGTGAGACTCTGTCTCAACAACAACAAAAAAAGAAAAATATTCTTTTTGATTGCTCAAAGAAAACTACATATGAGCCAATAGAAGACATTTAGACCATCAAGGATGAAAAAAGAATCAACGAAGGTATTTTTTATACTATTATGAGATAATCTCACAATCCACATATAAATCCACATGTATATTTTGGTGCAGAGTAATTAATCAAGTTCTCTGTTCTAAAGAAAATTTACTCAAAATACAATGTGTTCACTTATTAAAATCATATTTTAAAGGCACAGTGCAACAAAAAGTTCTGTATGAAGACAGAGACCCATGTGCAACTGTCTTAAAAATCCTTTTGGTCTTTGTAAAGACTATGTACTGTGTTAACTTATCCACATATTTTCAAAAGACACACAAAACTCCCTGGAAATTCATGTTTTGGTCCTTGAAAGCAATTTTATTGCAGAGGTTCATAGAGCATTTTATCAGTCATTTCAATAAATGAGAACTTTCAAGTAAAATGTGAAATAATTCCTCCCCCCTTTCTTGTTTGTTCTGACTCTATGCTCATGTTAATAAAAGATGAGTCCCTTGTGGATGAGATAACTTGAGTCATGCATCTTCTCCTCTGCATTCATCACTTGCAGGTGATTCCTGACTACGTGACAGAGAGCTTATCATCTCCGATCAGTGAAACACATATTTCCATGTTATAACATGATGCCTTCTAAACAGTTCCATGCAGCTCTCTACTTGCTAAGTTAGTTGAAGCAGGTTTGGGTTATCTTTTCACCTGGCAACAACAGAGTTCAGTTTTTATTTCCATGTCTATAAAATATAACTGGCACATTGACAGTTTTAGATCTTATGGGCCCGAACACTTGCAGAAAGAGGTTTAAAAGAACACGTTTTTCCTGTAATAATATTTCAGGTTTCTACATCCTATGCGTCCTCTTAAAAATCATTTCATTGGCTATCTGAGTGTGCAGGGCTATCTGAGCAATATTCTCTAGAACTGATTTTCTCTTACTTTTAAAGCATAAAATGTGCATAGTTACATCAAAATATTATCTATTATTAACTAGAAGTGTCTTTGGATATCTGAACGGATGCTGTATCAGGGTGACATGAGAGTAAAAGTTTGCTTCTTATTCTAAACTCAGCTTTCAGTAAATCACTGGGAATATGTATTGATATGTAGCTGCATTAGAACAATCATAATATTAAAGCTGACACTCTTTAAGGTACTTTTTTTTTCAGGATCTGAAAAGAATTTCCTGTAATTCTCTCTCTACAAAGGAGAGAGAGGCTTTTGTTAAGTCATGCGTTGCAGGTGAACTCAGAGCAATGGTTGAAAGCTGTGATTCCAAACCATGCCACCACCAGCCACATGATGTGACCTCTCTGGGAATTTCTAGGAGCTATTACTGCTCAACTCTAGAAGTTTTCTCACACAATAGTTTGGAAAATAGATGCTTTGAAAAGTAAAGCATAGGTTTCTTTAAAACAGCAGTTTTACTGAAAAGCATCCATTGATATCACTAATGAAGGTTTTATCTATTTGAATAGGTAACATAAGGAGAAGAGAAAACATAGAGATTTGAGTCTGTCATACCCATGTAGAAACCCATCTCCCCTAAGGGTTTAGAAAGATGTGTAATGTATAGGCAGCCTGTATGTGATAAGAAGAAGAACTTCATTAGCAAATCAGTTCCTTGAATCCTTGAGAAGCGTGTGTGATAACCTTTAAAGTCTTGATTGTTTTTTATTTGACAATATCTAGCTTTCACCCTTGCTCAAGGTTTCACAATTAATGGGTAATGCCAAGGGTCAAATCTCCTGTCTCTCTTTCAGTGACCCTTCTAGCCTATTTACATATTTACAAAGAAAGAGCAAATGCTTTAAAATGCAAATCAAATTCTTTAGGATTTGTAAGTGTAAACAAGTCCAAGAGAGAACTGGGGAATTTGGAGGATAGCTTTGCTCATTTGAAATTTCTCGCTTTCATCTGTTTGGTCTGATAAACAGTAAAAGCTATTGTCTCTCTTCCCTTAAAAGCATGGCATCTGACTGTCATAAAATAATGATGTGTTTAAGAGAGAATTGACAATGGAAATGTGTCACTTGGTGAAAGAGAAGTAAGCAAAGGTCACAAGTTAAATGCTCAGTAAATTAAGGCAAGTTTTTGACTAGTGCGTGCTAACTTAAAATTTAAGTAGGGAATCTGCAAACAATTTTTATTTTTAAAATATTATTCCATACATTTAGATTTGAAGAAACTGTGTTTTGTTTTCTCTTTTTTTGTTGTTTCTCTTTTTCCTTCATTTTTGGTACAACAAATCCTTTAAGTCTTAAATATAATGAAAGAACCAACATCATATTTAACTTCAATAACAAATTTACTTTTTTAAATGTCACATTGTGTCTAAATATGTTGTACTGGAAACAAATTTTTGATGTACTATTTCATATTCTAAAGCCTTAAAGCTTGCTGAAACAAACACAAAAATAATACAACCACCTCTTTCTAAATGAGAAGCAAGGAAAAATGAATACTACCATAATGATGACCATAAAGGCTTTGTATTGATTGAAGTATTGGCTTGTTCTAAATGGAATCATGTTTAGTCTGCAGAGCTCACATCATCTGGCTAAAACATGTTGATTTCCTTTTCTCTAGCATTTACGTTGCTGGAGCTGTCTTACATTTCCCTCACCTTTAGAACATATTGTTGCAAGTGACAAATATCCGAGTTTCACGGCACCAAATATGTTATTAGTGGAAGGTGTCTCAGTTACTAGTGAATTCGTGCAGGTCTGCAGCTATCTCAGTTCTTGCCTCCTCAGAGGAATTCAACTGAGAGGTATAAGGCAGAAAAAAAGACCAAAGGCAAGTTTCAGAGCAGCAGTGGAAGTTTATTTAAAAAGGCTTCAGAACAGGAAAGAAAGAAGAGTTCACTTGGAAGAGACCCAAGCAGGCGCCTTGAAGATCAAGTGCAGTGTTTAACCTTGATCCTAGGACTCTATAGGTTAGCCCCTTTCCCATGATTCCTCCCTTAGGGTGGGCCGCCCACATGCACAGTGCACTCCATATCCTCAGGAAGTGAGCATGCACCATGTACTTAGGAAGTTGTATGCATGCCCATCTGAGGCTGTCTTCCCTTTTCTGGTGGAGTGCCCCCAGAAGGCCATACTCCACCATTTTGTCTCTTAATGCACATGCTCAGGAAGTTGCTTCTCTCTGGCATCTGCATTCAATTAACACTTTAATGTAACATGTGTGGACCATCAGGACATGGCCTCTCTTTTGTTCTGGCTGCCAATTTATCACTTTAAGAGAGACAATGTGACCATTGCCAAACCATCACCTGACATTCCTAGTGGTTGGGGGTGGGCACGCTCCTGCCCCACTCATGCCTGTCTAACTACCTGTAACAATATTTCAGATTGCCTATACAAGCTTATATCAGAAAAACACATAATTTTTAAAAAGTTTTAAATTAAGGTAAACTCACAGACAGTGAAGTGCAAAGATCTCAGGTGTACTACTTTATGAATTGTTACAACTATGTAACTACCACCTAGATCAAGATACAGAACATATCTATAACTCCAGAAAGCTCCCTCCAGTCTTCTCACAGTCAACACTCCCAGAAGATAACTACTCCTCTGATTGTTACATGCATCCATGTGAAGAGACCACCAAACAGGTTTGTGTGAGCAATAAAGCTTTTTAATCACCTGGGTGCAGGGGACTGAGTCCAAAAAAGGAGTCAGCGAAGGAAGATAGGAGAGGGGCAGTCTTATAGGACTTTGGGTAGGCAGTGGAAAATTATTGTTGGGACCTGGCTTGGCCTGGCAAGGAGCAGCCTGGGGAGGAGGGGAGAGGTCAGATGGGTCCATAGAAAAGGAGGATTCAAAGACTCAGAACTTAGGGTGGAGACTGAAGGAACAGACAGGAGAGAAGAAGAGATTTGGGACGAGTCGCATTGGAAACAGAAACTAGGGAGGTGAAACCCCGTCTCTACTAAAAATACAAAAAAAATTAGCCAGGTGTGGTGGCAGGTGCCTGTAGTCCCAGCTACTCGGGAGGCTGAGGCAGGAGAATGGGGTGAACCCGGGAGGCAGAGCTTGCAGTGAGCGGAGATCACACCACTGCACTCCAGCCTGGGCGACACAGTGAGACTCCGTCTCAAAAAAAAAAAAAAAAAAGAATGCCTGGATGTCAGGCACCTCAGACCATTTGCCCATTTTATGACAAAAATTATCCAGATCTTGTAGGATGGAGAAATCGAAAGTGCTATTCTCTGGTCACTTAGAACTATTGTCAAGTTTGTATTGGGGCCAAGTGGTCTTACAGAGGAAAATAAGACGTTTAGGTTTTAGGTCAGGTGTTAGTCGAAGGGGTTTTAGGTTTTTAAGAACACAGGCTAAAGGAGAAGAAGGGGGAATGGAGGATGGAAGGTTGCCCATAGTGAAGGAAGTAAGTTTAAAGGGAAAGGTAGAGACACGGAGAAGGGGCAGGGGGGCGGTGAGCAGCGCTGTAATGTGGGCTGTAATGTGGGTGAGCAGCCAAAGCAGGTGTCCCCATAACTGGATTGCCACCAAAGGAATGTGGGTGAATGATCAAGGCATGTGTCCCTGCGGTGATCAGACACCAACAGAATGTGGGCAAATGATCAGGGCAGGCGTCCCCGCTATGATCAGACACCAAGGGAAGACTGTCTTCCAAAATCCGTGACTGAGGTCAGAGTTTTCGAGTTCATGGATAAAATGTGTCTCCTTTGTCTCTACTAGAAAGGAAAAAGAACTGGAATTGAAAAGACAGGGAGATTGAAGGGTAGTGAGAGAGACTGGAGAAGACAGTGAAGAGACTGGTTACCTGATTTGAAATTGGTGAGATGTTCCTTGGGCTGGTCTGAGGACCTGAGGTCATACGTGGATCTCCTCACAGACTGAGGGCAAGGACAGGGGACTGGGCTCCCGAAGGAGTCCCCCTGCCCCAGGTCTTCGGTACCAAATGTCACGTGCATCCCTGTGAAGAGACCACCAAACAGGCTTGAGACTCATTGTCCAGGGGAGGAATGTCACAAGGTCGATTGATTAGTTAGGGTGGGGCAGGAACAAATCACAAGGGTGGAATGTCATCAGTTAAGGCAGGAACTGGCTATTTCACTTCTTTTGTGGTTCTTCAGTTGCTTCAGGCCATCTGGATGTGTACGTGCAGGTCACAGGGGTTATGAAGGCTTAGTGTGGGCTCAGAGGCCTGACACTGATCTCTGCCATCAGAAAGGGTTTTGTTGTGGACATTTCAATTTTATACAAATGGAAGCACATAGCCTGTGTTCTTTTTTTTTTTTTTTTTTTGAGACAGAGTCTCATCTGTCGCCCAGGCTGGAATGCAGTGGCGTGATCTCTGCTCACTGCAAACTCCGCCCCCTGGGTTCAAGCAATTCTCTGCATCAGCCTCGTGAATAGCTGGGATTACAGGTGCCTGCCACCATGCCCAGCTAATCTTTTTTTATATTTTCAGTAGAGACGGGGTTTCACCATCTTGGCCAGGCTGGTCTTGAACTCCTGACCTCATGATCCACCTGCCTCAGCCTCCCAGAGTGCTGGGATTATAGGCCTGAGCCACTGCTCCCAGCTGCCTGTGTTCTTTTTTGTCTGGTAGTTGTTCAGTATTACATCTGTTATGTGGTCTTTGAGAGTTACTCTCTCTTGCCAGATTTTTAAATGTAACTAAGTTTTCATACACAATTCTAATTTTTCTGTAAGTGTCAAATCCAAATCACAAAATCTTGACATAAGGAAAACTGTGCATTTATCTGAGATTAAATTGTTGAGCCACTTTAATAGAAAGAAAAACTTTTTTAGACCCCCACGTTTAACTTCCCACCCTTGCCCCATCCCAGCATCACAAAAGAAGCCCACCTAATACCAACCACATTAAAATCCTGGAAAGAACACTTAAGGCTTCAGCTTGACACAGGTATAATCACTACAAATTCTCAATTATCTCAAAATTATTTTGGTCATGAATTTATGTAAAAATTTGAACAGAGGTTGGGTGGTGGAAATTATTTGGAAGACTACCAAAAATATTCTTTTCTTTAGATTGGCACACAAACTGTAAACTGCAACATCAAAACAACTTCCTGAAAAATGTTAGCAAAAAATGATCAAGTTGGACTAGAGGAGAAATTACTTTTCTAAAGAAAGAATGTAAAATTATGGCTGAGTACAGAGCAAATTAGTAAAACAAAATGGAACACAATGAAAACAAATATTGTTCTCTTCCAGGTGGCATCTTTCATGGAAAGCTGAAATACAGTGGGCCATAGGCAGGCTTGAGATGAGATGAACTGAACTTCATTTAATGTAAATAAGGAATTGCATTGAAGAGAAAGGGTTGTATGTAATTGAAAGGACAGTTACTACTTCTTAAGGAATACATTTCCATATTTGGAAAATTATTAGAAAAATATTGAACTACACTTAAAAAGTATATTCAGTAGAGAAGATATAGAAATTGGTATTGAATTAAAAGGTGTCAATAAATTTATGAACACAATTTTTCTATTAAAAGATTTAACTTCTAATAACAGTGTTTTAAAGAAAAACAAACACTACATTTGACCAGTTAGAAAAGGAGGCTAGTTTGAATTAGGAAAAAAATCTCAATTACAGAATTCTTAAAGGTAGACCATTTTCGAGGTGTAATCTTAAATAAGGGGTGAAATTAAAATTATTTAACAATTGGTAACATGTGGCATCAACTAATCAGGATGGATGTTGCTGGTCATAACTGGAGCAGGGTTCTACAGGTCCCCTGCTCTGCCAGGCAATAATGCCTGAGTTATTCAGGCAAATATATATATATATATTTATTTATATATATAATTTATAAATATAAAATTATATATAATTTATATATATGATTTATAAATATATAAATCACATATATTTATATATATAAATTTATAAATTATATATATATAAATATATATATATAAATATATATATAAAGCCCTGAAGTAGGAACAGCCTTGGAAAAAGACGAGGAAACTTGGGAGCTTGAAGCAATCACAATGGAAGTACTTAAATATTTTAAGTGCATTTTGACCTTATCTATGCAAAGTGGTTTAATGTCAGCTCTACCTGAACTTCCCTGTTTACATTGGCCTTGCTGGTATTCACCTTTAGTCATTAGATAAGGAGGAACCTTTAAAGTTGATACATTCATTTGCTTTTAAACGCAAAAGTCCTTGAACAAGTTTATTTATTTAAATTGAATGAAACCATCCCCTATAACCATGTGTATGTTTTAAGTTTATTGTCCTCTTTCTATGTAATATAAAGAACAACTTTAGCTGTACTCAGACACATCAGTTTCTTTACTAGAAAATGTTATCGTAACTAGCCTGGGCATAGTGGCTCATGCCTGCAATCTCAGCACTTTGGGAGGCTGAGGCAGGGGGATCACTTGAGACCAGGAGTTCAAGACCAGCCTGAGCGACAACCTGAAACCCCATCTCTACAAAAAAATACAAAAGTTAGCCAGGCGTGGTGGTGCGCACCTGTAATCCCAGCTATGTGGGAGGCTGAGGCACAAGAATCACTGAAACCCAGGAGGTAGAGGTTGCAGTGAGCTAAGATTGTGCCACTGCACTATAGCCTGAGCTACACAGTTGAGACTCTGTCTCAAAAAAAAAAAAAAAAAGAAAATGCTATTGTAACTAATGTTGTATATATTCATTCACTCTTTCATTTATTCAAGAATACATTTGTTCCTGCAACTGTTCATGCATTTAACACAGTTTGAGAAAAGCATCAATTTCTGTGTTGTCTCTTCTAGAATATTTAGGAAACTACTTTTAAAAATCTTTTATATTTAAAATATTTCCAAAATATAAAACTAGTATTCACCCCTTGTGGAAATATATGAGAAGTATAGAAGTATTTTAAGAAAGTAAAAACAAATACTCTGGTTAACTACTTACTGATACTGCCTGGTGGACTTTTGATATGTTTTTAGAAATAAATTTGTAATTCAAATTGAATATAAAATTTAACATTCAGACATGAGCATTTCATGAGCATTCTTTTTATTGGAAAGAATAAAACCATCTTAAATATAAAATTTTAACATTAGACATGAGCATTTCATGAGCAATCTTTTCATTGAAAAGAATAAAACCATTATTTTAAACATCAAATAAAATGTCATATGTTTCATCATTTACCTAACTATTCTTTTAAAGTTGGATATATGTGATTAGAAATAGTACTATGCTGAATATGTTATGCATATTTTGTACATGGATTTATAAATATCCACTTATAAATGATTTTGATTTATTAATGGAACATAAAAATTTTAAGAATCTTATCAGATATTATACAATTTATTTCCATAAGAGTTATATTGATTCCTACTAATAGGTTAGGGTTATGTTTATCTTACTGTATTCTACTCAGATCTTCAATATTATTATTTTAAAAATTTAAAAATAATCTTTGTTATGAGATAATTTTAACCCCAATTGTTTATAAAGAAATATGGTTTTTGATGTAGAATATTTTGATTATTTTATTATTTTTGTTTTTGATTCTTACTATTTTCCAAAATGGCTCATTTGTCTTTTCTTCTGCTGTGTTAAATACTATGATTGATTTTAGTCTTCAACAGACCTAAGCTCTTTCTATCCAAGACTGTTTAATAATCTTTGTATTAGCTGTACTCTTTCATGCCCAGAATATGTCTATTAAATATGTCTTTAAATATGTTTATTTAAAGAGTGAATAAATAGTAAAATGAATAGATGACAAATCATCAATTGAATAACAATGTTGCACATTATGGTTTAGATTTTTGTGGAATAATCCTTTAAATATTAAAATGGTAAGAGAAAGCTGAGCTACTTTAATTTCTACTAGTTCTCCTAGAATATTTTAAAAATATGGTATTTATCTAACACTGCTCTTGAAGATTTAAGCACAATATCATTAGAGAAAAAAAAACACTACAGAAACACTCACTGACTACAAAGAATCATAATAAAAACATTTGCATTCCAAAAAGTCTGGAGTAACACTTTTGAAAATATTACATCTTCACTGTAGTGTGTATATTCTTTTCATATTTCTTCATAACACTTTACTTCAGCTTGGAATGCAACTGGTTGCTTTTCTTTATGCTTTTGAGGGGAAAAAAAGGGTATTATCTCTGATTTTTACCTTGTGTTTAAATCTTTTATTTGTCAATCATGACAGTTGCTCCCTCCCCTGGCTCAGGAGTATTTCAAGTAGATTATAAATAATGCTTGTTTAATTGGAAATTCCTGTTCAGCAATGGACTCATTTCTGGCTCATTCTGAATTTCTTAAAATGTGTACAGTCACTAAAACATACAAGAGGCATTTTGACACACAGATTTCATTGTGACATAGGAAGGGATATTACTAGTTAATTTTCTTTTAGGTTTCAATTCTCTGAAACTTGTTATGTATCAAGTTATAAATTTTTTTAAAAGTTACATAAAATGAATATATAGTCAATATATATCAAACATTTATTTCACAAATTAAGGAAGCAGCAGAATGGCAGAGCTAGCTCAAAAGAGGATACAAAAAATTAAAGTATATATGGACAATGAAAGAACAAAGCTGAAATAAGACATCTAAAGTAGATTCAAAACCAGTTAATGCCCTATAAAGCAACAAACCCAAAACCTTTGAGTTTTTGTTTTTGTTTTACTGCTAAATAGAAAAGTTCTGTATCTCTACTTGTCAAAATTTATTTGCCACTTATCAATCTTTCACAAGTTAAAATTCAACTTTATGTAATATAAGAAGTGATCCTATTCTTTTTTTTTTTTTTTTTTTTTTTTTTTGAGATGGAGTCTCACTCTGTCACCCAGGCTGGAGTGCAGTGGCGCAATCTCGGCTCACTGCAACCTCTGCCTCCTGGGTTCAAGCGATTCTCCTGCCTCAGCCTCCCAAGTAGCTGAGATTACAGGCACCTGACACCACACCTGGTTAATTTTTGCATTTTTAGTAGCGATAGGGTTTCACCATGTTGGCCAGGCTGGTCTCGAACTCCTAACCTCAAGTGATCCACCTGCCTCAGCCCCCCAAAGTGCTGAGATTACAGGCATGAGCCAGCGTACCCAGCGAAGCAATCCTATTCTCATTGTTGACATAAGAGGTATTTAATATTTTATTTGAAATTTTAAATATAAGAAACAAACCCACCTGATTAAAGTACTAAGGTTCTTTATAAAATCTCTATCTATCTAATAAGTATTTTCAAAGGGCTTGTTAGGATCCATTATCTGTCAATAGGATAAAATATTAATGTGGTAGAGTATTTGGCTAATTTTGCTTTGTTTTAAAATCATGAAATATATTTATATACTGTCATATATATCAGTGCATAATACAGTAGAAAAGAAACCAAAAACCAATGTATTTAATACAATCCAACTCAAGGGAAAGAAATGCTAATATCACTAAAGTTTTTTGTATATTTCTTTTCAACCACAATCACTCTCATCTTCAGGTAATTGTTAGCATGAATTTGTGTTTATAATTCCTTTTTTTGTAGTCCTAATAAAGTGTTAGATTATAAACATATATTTAATGTGGTATATTTTAAAGATATTATAAACGGTATACTGTACATATTCTGATATTTTAAATTCAAATTTATTTTTTAAGATTCATTCATATTGGGATATTTGGCTATTGTTTCTTCTTTTCCATTTGATTTCTTACTGGTTGTTAGCTATAACAAAAATTGATGCCATAAACATTTTTGTACCTATCTCCTAGAACAGTTCCCAGTATAAAAAGACTTACACATTCTAGAAGATGCATAGGGTCAAAGGTTTTATGCATCTTTAATGTAACTAGACAATTCCCAGTTGTTTTTAAGGAGTTATACTAATTTATACACCCAACAACAAAGTAAGTTGTTCCATATTCTCTGCAAGATTAGGTATTGTCACACTGTTTAAACTTGCCTATTTGCTGGATAAAGAATCACACCTGTTTTAAAATCTTTGTTTCTCTTATATAGAAGTTGTACATATTTTTATGTGTTTGTTTTCATTCTTGTTTCATCTTTGTTGAATAATTGTTTTGGTCTTTTCTTCATGTGTATATTTTTATCCTATCCCCTTAATTATTGAATGCTAAGAGTTCTGGATGTATGCAGCTACTGCTTCTTTTTTGTTGGTTATATAGGGCTTGTCTTTTCACTGGTAATAACATCACTTGATAATCAGTAACTGTTTTTGAACTTTTACTTTGAAAGCAATTTAAAGCTTACAGAGAAGTTACAAGGATAGTAAAATGAAATTGTTTATTCTTTATCTAGTTTTTCTTTAGCGATCTGTGTATGGATATATGTTAGTATTATGATCATTGTGAAAACATTTGTAGATACAAAGGTTGTATAATGCGTAACTCCATGGGGCCCCGCTTACATAGACGATAGCAGAAAGAGTGCCTTCTCTAGATGTGAGGCATGGTGTGACTGAATATGTTATATTTCTTTTCCATGGAGATTCTTGTCTAGGTTAGTAATGTCTTATTCTGGTACAACAGGAAAACTAATGATGTAATGCAATGTTAGCCTCAAACCTAATGAGGCAGCCTCATTCTTACTGAAACAAAATGAGCTAAAGATAAGCAGCACGATTGTTATGCAATTGCAGACTGTTATAGAGAATTCAAATTGAAATCTTCAGTTTCTTATTAAGAAAAAAATGACAAAAATATAAAAATTACACAAACAAAAATAGAATATGTGTTAAAATCAACCCTTGTTTACATAGGTGGTAAACTCTTTAGAAAAGGCTCTCTATCCCTGGTGATGAACATTCGCCCTGGAAATAGATCCTATTAGAGGAAACCAGTACTTGTTAAGTTGGGTTATAGTCTGGCCACATAGAGAATTCCTATCTATAGACAGGAAAACCGTCTCAGGCTACAGAGGTTATGCAGTCTCCACCTCACGGAAGTGGGCCAAAGTTAGGGAGAGTCAAATCCTAAATGTCATTACATCAATTTTCACATCACTCTTAAATCAGAAGTGACACCCTAAATTTTAGTAAAATCTGCTCCTCATTTTAGATGTCTGCAAATAATTAAACCTTATTTCACCCCCCACCACCCCCACAGCCAAAGTTTATATGTTGGTAACAGAAAAACATTAACAAGAGATTAACAAGAAGAGAGTGAGCCATGTAATTACAGAGTCTGGGGCTTAGAGGTGAGTGACTCCTAAACAGGTAGATGGTTTCTCCTCCTTGTCAGGCTCTGAAGGTCTGGCTGTATCTTAGTAGGGAGGGCGACAATTTCCTTACACTTCACGAGTAGATAAAGATGCATTATACTCTTCTGAAAGGTCATCAGAGCTGTTAATTCTTTATTGCATCAGAGAAAATCAATTGAAATGTAGGTGGTTATAAGGAGAGAAGAGCCTTAGGGGAAACTTGGAATTAATTTCACCCTTTCTTACCTTGTTGCTATCACAAATAGATCCTGCTTCTTGCTGTGACAACAAAGAATGGGCTACCTTGTAGCTACTTACCTATTATGAAACAGTTAAAGGGGAGGCTGAAACATCACTCACAATGGATGGATTGTTAAAAAGATTGAAGCACAAATAGGGCAGCCTGGATAAAGATTACTTTTATGCTCCTCAGTTTAATATTTTATTTTTGTATTTAAATGCACATAGAAAATGGAGTATTTAATTGAATGCTTTATTCTTTAAAAATTAAAGATTTGTAATTATATGCTTCAAAAAACCTTGAACTATTTTGTTTTTATAGCTCATTTTTGATAATATCACACATCTCCTACAAACAGAAAAACCAAAGCCTCCACAGAAATACCTTTTTGAAACCCAATAAGTTATGGTAGAAAATATTTTTAATGTTAAATTAATGAAATTCTAGAGAAACTTGCATTGATTGATTTAATGTTATTGGTAGTTTTCTACTATTCATAGGAACTTAATTACTATATTTATAATTTACATATGGTCAGTGATTTGATGAATAATATATAAATCAAATAAAAGAATAGGATTGTTGTGGAAATAAAAAATAATTTTGTCATTCTTTAAACGCATTTAAATATAGATCATATTTGCTTAAGCTAGTACTCTTAGCACAGACAGGAGATCATCACTCTGAGTAGTTGAATGCATTTATGTTGCCAACTGGTGAAATATATAAATCCCTAAATTATAAAATTTATTATCTGAACCACACAGAGTTGGGAAAAGTCGATTTTTCAAAGCATTGGTATACAAGGACTGGTTACTAATTGAATATAAGGTTGACTTTTAAAATTAGTACAAGTCCTCTACAGCAAGGCTCAGGAAGAGACTCATTAGTTTCACAGGCATATTTCTTTCATTGCAACGTTCAGAGGCATTTCAAGTTGCCAGAGCATTCTCAAACTGTTTTCTTGGATACACAGTATGTTTCTTCCTCTCTTTAGTTCCCTATCCCTAACCTTCCCTTGGCATTTCAATAATTTCAGGCTTTAATGTGCGTCGGTTTAAAATGTGGGCATCATCTGAAATGAGACAGTAGAATACTAAGGCTTTGTATTGAAAAGAGAAAAGAAGAGCTCAAGTTACCGTATTCCCTATAGCTCCTTGAAGCATTAGAGAAAGAATTTTCTGAATTCACTAAATACACTGAACACATATAATCTGAGACAGATTATTGTCTAAATTTCCAACCACTATGTTGAATTTAAGGGTGTCAATTGGATCATAAGTTAAATAAATTTAAAATTTCAGTTGAGCATCTTCAAGTCAGAATCATAATGTGCAAGCAAAGGTTACATAGTGTGCCAAGGTTACTTAGTGATCATCCATGTGCATTGTTTTTATATTGCAATGATGTATGCATAAGGCTAGCTAATAATCTCACGTCTGTACAGCCTGTCTGAAAACCTGAAAGACTGTCTAGTTTTGTATCATTAATTGAAATTAGATTTGTGTGCATGCATATACACTTAATTTACATACTGTACAATGTCAACCACCTTAACATTTGAGAATTTTCTAAACTTGGTATTAAATAACAGGGTTTATGGTACTTACTTGATCTTAACTATAATTACATTTTGAACATTTTTTTCCACTTTTGTGCAAGCGTTTTTTAAAATGAAAACCAAATTTTACAGAGCCTTTTTATTTTTGAAAATAATTTAGAACTCATCTGTCTCTGCTAAAGAAGGGTAAAAATTTTGGTGGAAACATTAGCAGTTGAACAGCACATCTTTAGGATCCAAACTAGCTGGAAAAGAGTTTAAAGTAAATGATTTGTTTCATTTTAGCACCATACCTGAGTATCATGGAAGTGCTGTTTTTTATTTTTCTCTAAAAAATAAGTCTTTGGATTGTCTTTAACTACCCCTAGAGAGATGTTTTCCCATAGTATAGATAACACCGAGAAAATAGAACACTTACAGGTCATATAATATTATTCCTGGAGACATAGATCTCTCCAATAGAATAGAAATCTTTTGCCAAGTTTACCCTAGGCTTAAAGATTATGGTGCTGTGTATTAGGGTTCTTCAGATAAAAAGAGCCAATAGGAGAGTATATATGTATATATATAACCTTTTGACTTTAAAAAAAGTCAAACATATTCAATTATATACAGATATAATTATGTATACATTTTATTGGTTCTTTTGATCTTAGCTACAATTAATATATACTTTGTATTCGAAAATGCTGAAATCTGACATTTTTGCAAAACCAGTATGTGATGGTTAGTTTTATAGGTCAACTTGACTGAGTCATAGGGTACTGTCTCATTTTATACATATAAAATGAGATTTATTATAAGGAATTGGCTTATTTGATTATGGAGGCAGAGAAGTCCCATGATCTGCCACCTAAGAGCTGGCAACCCAGGAAAGCCATGGGGTAGAGGGAAGTGGTGGTGTAGTTCCAGCCCAAGTTCTAAGGCCTGAGAGACAGTAGCAGCAATGGTGTAAGTCCCAGTCTGGGGTCAAGGGAAGACCAATGTACCAGTTTAGCAGTCAGAGAGAAAAAGGGAATCTTCCCTTCCTTGGCCGTTTTGTTCTACTCAGGCACTGAAGGACTGGATGATGCCTACCCACATTGGAGAAGAGGACAATCTGCTTTACTCAGTCTACTTATTAACATCCTGAAAGACACATCCAAATATAATGTTTATATGTAAATGTGTGGGTACCCCATTACTCAGTCAAGTTGACCCATAAAACTAACCATTACATGCTGGTTTTTCAAAAATGTCAGACTTCAGGGTTTTCAGATACAAAATATTTCCTATTCCTATATTATTTTATGACACATTTCATTGTTTTAAATATTTGATTTGTGTCCAACTCAATCATATGTTTACAGCAATGAATACATAATGTTTCTCTTGTTTACATACTTTATCTACTTTTATTTAAATCATTATTTCCTAGAAAGTTACATGTGAGTTAAATTTGTTAAAATGAAGTACAGTAGTGTGAATCTGAGAGGTGGTATCTCATAGTAGTTACAAGTGTGGTTCCTCTAGAAGGTAAATATCTAACTTTGAATCTCAGCTTTAGGACTAAGCTCTGTGCTCTTGTATACGCCAGTATGCCCTCTAGTCTTCATTATCCTCATCTGTACAGTAGAGATAATAATGATATCTATTTCGTAAGATTGCTTCAGGGAATAACTGAAGCAATCTCTGATCAGCACTGAGCATGTTGAATGTCAACATACATAGGTAAACAGACTTACCAAATGTAATTTTATAAGCCTTTAATTTTCGCCTATTATTTAGCCATTCTTTGAATTTTGTTAAGGTTTCATTAGCACTGATTGTTATCAGGGGTGTTCATCAGAATTACCTGGATAACTTTCCCCCCCTAAAATACACATGGCTTAATGAATCAGAATCACTGAAGAATGGGACATAGACATTTGTGTTTTGATAAAGTTACTCGTTGTTCTTACAGGCACCAACTGCAAAAGAGTTTAGTATAAACGATGAGTTTTATTGTAATGCTATATCCCCAAATTTCATGGAGTGCCATTTTTATTCTTCTCTAAAAATGAGACTTTTGATTCTCCTAACCGCCTCTAGGTATTTCTTTTTTGGCAGCAGAGATAGTGCCTAGAAAATTGAACACTTGTAGGTCATTTATAGTTTATTCATTTAGACTTAATTTATAGCTGAAATCTTTAAAAGTATTTTTTACTGTTTCTGAGTAGATCACACAATGAGCTATTTCTGATTTGTTTAGGTATGATATAATGCAACATTTAAGATACAGCTAAACAGGCAATAGCCAATACTTAGTCTTCATTATTTCTACTTACAGATAGGTTTTTATCAACATGAACTTATTTCACATATGGGTTTCACTTAGGGAAAAATGTCAGGGGCCCAGATGAAGAGATAGAGAGAAAACAAGTGACTGCCAGAACAATGAGTGGTTTTTGAAGTGGGTACTTCTGAAGTCAAAGATATGCTTCATTAATATATTTGACTCTAAATGACAAATATTTTAAAGTACATTTTTAAAAATTCAGTGTATTCTTTGAGGGCAGTCTCATTTTTTAGTCTAACTTATTCTCTACTCTGAGGTTTAACTTAGACTGTAATGTAATTTCATCTTTAAATTTCAGTAATCCCTAGATGACATAGAATAGAAAACAAAAGCTAGAACATCCAAATTTAATAAAATAAAATGAAATAGTCTATTTTAATATTTAGAAGACATTACTTTTTAATTTAAATTTATTTTGAAGTATCTCAATCATTCAGGAAAATATAGAGAATATGGCTTATAGAGTTCTGCATTTCGGAAGACTTCGCCTTCTAACTTTCCTAGACCCAGATGGAAGGAATAGTTCACCAGGAAGCCAGGGCTTCCCTGAGCACGCTATGGGAGAGGAGAAGTAGGACTGTGCTATTCAGTAACAAATGACTATTGAGCCCTTTTTTCTCTTCTGGATAATGTCTTGATTTCATTTTTCATTTTCGGTCTATATCTCTATCCTATAACTCTAGGAATTCCTTTCAATTTAACATCATGTTTATAGTTCACATGACAATGTAGTTTGAGTTCCCTACATTGTTATGGGTTCTACTTTGGCTGAAAAATCTCTATCACGAGTGATATGGTTTGGCTGTGCCCCCACCCAAATCTCGTCTTGAATTGTAGTTCTCATAATCCCCACGTGTCATGGGAGGGACCTGGAAGGAGGTAGTTGAATCATGGAAGCGTTACCCCCATGTGGCTGTTCTCTTGATAGTGAGTTCTCACAAGACCTGATGGTTTCATAATGGGCTTTTCCCCTTTTGCTTGGCTCTTCTCCTTGCTGCTGCCATGTGAAAAAGGACGTGTTTGCATCCCTTTCTGCCATGCTTGTAAGTTTCCTGAGGCCTCCCCAGCCATACTGAACTGAGTCAACTAAATCTCTTTCCTTTGTAAATTACCCAGTCACAGGAATGTCTATTAGCAGCATGAGAACAGACTAATACAACCAGGAACTTGCCTTTTCTTTTTCCCATTATTTTATCTCCAAATCCTAGCAAAGTACCTAGTACCTAGTAGGCACAATAGAAATATTAATTAAATAAAAGAATATGATAAATCTGAACTGAATATTCTCCTTTATCAGCAAAATATACATTGCATATCTCGTGAACTTACCCAAGGGTATGCTGACTTCCACCACCACACTAATCATATAAAAGTAATTTTCTGGGGACCAATTACAATTTCTGTCATTTTTCTATTCTAAGAACCTCAACGGGAAGGAAGAGTATAGATCTGGCTTTCCCCTTTAACCTTTTGCATCTTTATATAAAAATTTTATTTAGCTAATGAAAAGTACACAATAAGTATTCATTGTGATCAAAACAAGGTACTTTGCATATTATCTAAATTAGATCTCTACAACATTTTGAGGTAGGAATTTAAAGGTATATTTTTAAGATGAGTAAAGGGTAAAGCTCAGAAAGTTTAAGTTCTCCAAATGCTACCTGTTAGGTGAAGGAGCTAAGACCAGGAACTGGGAAGTAAATGACTGTACAGCACATTGAATTCCCAAGATGTCATATCTCTTTGAAAGGTATTCCTTTGACCAATGGTTATCAAGCAGATAGTCGTTAACTCATTTGCTGAGGTGTTTCTGTTTCTGAGAAGTCTTTAGCGGAGAACAGTGTAGTCCAGTTTACAACTCTGAAGTATGACTACACCTGGTCAAGTCTTAATAAGAATCTTCTGGAATCAAAATCTATTCTAATCTATCTTCGAAATTCTTTCTAAAGTGTAATATTATTCAGAAAGTTCTTTTGCTGCTAAAATTTTCTTCCGATTATTTTTCTATTTAAGCTTGTTCCTTGGTATTCTGTTCTCAGTAGACATTTCCTAATTTTGCAATTCTTTATTTACATAATCTACTATTTGGATGACAGTTTCAGTTAGTCATAACTGGCTAATATACTTCCAAGCCCATATTTTACACAGAAATAAAATAGTCATGGGAAAAAAATTCTACGTCAACATTTTCTGTCAGTGGTTTCTCTAAATTATGTAAATCATAGTAATGATTGAGCAGAACAATTGCACTTCATGTTCAAAATAAACAAATGGTTGTTCAGCTAAATATTTGAAATGTCACATATATATTTCAACTAACCAAAGTTGAAATACAGTTAGTAAGGCCATTAGTTACTAATTCAATTCATACATTCAAATTTAAATAGTCATGATAAAAGAAAAATGGTCATTTTTAAATTTGTGCAAAGAGAGTTGTGGTCAAATACCATTTTAAGTCCAATTTTTACCCCTGAAATCTCTTATTCTCCTGCAAACTTTGATTTCTAGGTGTATTTTTACAATTTAATACATCTAATACATTTGTTTCCCAACTTAGTTTTCTTGCTTTTTTGTGTGAAACTGATATAGTTTGATACATGAATGTTTCAAAAAAGACTACAGTATTATTTCTCTGGGATTAGATTTAACTTTAATCTTTTTGTTTTTGTCTTAGACATGATTTTTATAAAATGCCTAAAAACCACCCAATTAATATTTCATCACAAAAATTAAGGTACAAAAAATACATTTAAATCTGTACATTTTACATTGATATATATGTTCATTTCTCTGAATTCTCATTCTTGGATTGATACGTGATTTCCTTGAAATGTGACCCTTTGGATGGGCGTCCTTGGTGCTGCCCATTGTGGCTGGAGAGAGGCCACTGACAATGATCTTAGTTTGTTGTATTGTTTGAGGATATTAAATTCTGTAAGGAGAAGGAAAACAAGGTGTGGGACACTTATAAGAAATATTAAATATGGATAATAAGTAGCTTATGAATTATAGTAAAAATGTATAAGAAGTAATATACATAATTTAAAAAGTAGTAGCCTGTAAAATAAGAGCAGAGTTGATGTGTTAAGGATAAAAAGTAAGTTAGTAATATGCAAAACACACCAAAAATAAATAGATTTAATAGAAAATATGATAGAAGAAACACAAAGATGAATGATGGACAGAAAGGAAGGGAAAGAGCAACTCTGATTCTACCACTTCTGGGCTAAGAGCTTATCACCTCTAAATCAGCCACCCATTGGTGACAGCTAGTATGTTCCTATTCTGACCCCACATATGCTCTGTTGAGGAAATATAAACAAAATGCAATGCTGTTCAGCAGGTTAATGACAATCTGCTTCTGTAGCTTCATACCTGTCTGTGTGTCCTTCCAATACAGGAAGTGTATATCACTGGTTTGGAGAACTTTGTGTCTGTGGACCCCTTGCCCAAACCTCACCTCTGGTGCTTGCGACCACACATGTTACAGGGAAGGTTAACGAAGCAGAGACAGAGGACATAGGAACTTTGTATAATCCCAGACCAAGGCAGGGTGGCCTTTTCACATTTGCATGTTACCCTAAGTCTGTTCCTTATCCCATCTCTCTCTCATTCTTGTTGCTGTGTGATTAAATCAGTTTAATAAACTGTGTTATTTGAGCATTTTAATTGGTTTTGTGAGTACTTCTGTTTCCTAGCTTCTGGGATAGCTTACTTGGTATTATATTTGGAGTGTAGTATTGTTTCAGAGTAATTTTCCACATGACACTGACCTTGTTCACCTGTGCGGGACAAAAGGTCTAGAGCTAATAGGGAGTCTAACCAAGTAAATCTTCAGGGTCTTTAGTTTGATGGGTCACTCCTGCTCAAACAGAAAGGATCACTATTGCTTATTACATCAGGTAATGTGCCACTTCCAGAAAAGATCCAAGGAAAAATAAGCTTGAGATCCCACATGAATGCAATATAGCTACATAACTTGTTCCTTAGCTGTCACTTTTTTTGTTATTATCATTAATAGGTCAAATTTATATATAATATACTATAATATTTCCTAATTATAACTGAGACCTACATTTGAAAAATGATTTGAGATTTTATTATAAGCAAATTATATTTTTAGAACTTAAATCACCAAATAACAACCAAAACAATACAATATTTCCCACAAGTCCTTTTTTTCCTCCTAAGAATTGGAAGAGTTGAGATTCTCTGCTTTTCAGTTTATGAATTCAAATTAAAATGACACATATTTTAATAAATTTCTTGCATAAAGGTAGCTCCTAGTCATGAGTCCTTCTTTTTTTTTTTTTTTTTTTTTTTTTTTTTCGCTTGAGAGACATAAAAAGCACAATAGGGAAATCACTTTGAATTCAAAATATTTAGTCCTTGCCTGAGATCAATGTTACTTTTTTTCTGAAGTGTACAGAGAGCAAAATCTGTCATAATATGCTGTTGGTTTTTACTGGATTTGATTTTTAAAAATTTTTTAATTTTTTTTATGTTTCTGAGACCAAGTCTCACTCTTTCCCAGGCTGGAGTGCAGTGGGTCGATCTTGGCTCACTGCAACCTCTGCCTCCTGGGTTCGTGTGATTCTTTTGTTTCAGCAGTTGGGTTTACAGGAGTGCACCATCACACCTAGTTAATTTTTGTGTTTTCAGTAGAGACAGGGTTTCACTATGCTGCCCAGGCTGGTCTCAAACTCCTGGCCTCAAGTGATACACCCTCCTCTACCTCTTGGGATTGCAGGCATGAGCCACAGTGCTCAGCAGATTTGATTTTAAATGCGTCTGGGCTCCAGGGTGGTGTAAACTGCACTTCATCATAGTTCCTACCACTCCCTATACGTTCTCACTGCTTTGTCCAATGCTTGCTTGACTCCTGAAGACATCTGGGTCTGTAACTCTAGAATTTGAGGAATATTGAAAACTCAATGGGAGCACATAAGAAAACAGCAATGATAAATTAATGTGGGAACAGGTTTCACAAAAAAAAGGTGAACTTGCAAATCATTCAGCAGATTGGATGGAGTTATACCCCGTTTTTCCTTATCTTAGGGGTTTTGATTTATCTTTATTGAGTCTATTTGTATAATGCAATAATATTATAAAATACATTTAGTTGATTTAATTTACTCATCATCTAGTTTTCCCTGTTTTGAAGTATTTTTATAAATATTTTTAAACGTTTCATATTGAATATTGTGTGCTCAAAAATAAAATAGATGTTCATTATTTATTAGATAAGCCCTTTGTTACATACAGTAGAAAAAATGCAGAGGAAAAATGTCTTAAAATTCTGTGGTGAGACTTTCGCTTCTGGGGAGAAGGAGTAGATGGAATTTTCCCCATTCCTCCAACTAAATACAACTAAAATCTCTGGAGTATATACATATATGCATACAGGTATATACAGGTATAACAGATACATGCACACAGACATATGTAAACAATTATAAGAAAACTCTCACAGGTGGGGAGAAGACAGGAGCCTGGACTAGCTGGGAATCTTGGGTCTGAAGGAAAAACACTGGTGGTGAGTTCCTTGAGTTTTCTTTTTGCCTCATATATTACAGAACCAGCAACTTAAACATGTGAATGGGCACAGACAAAGAGACCCTAACCAAAGCCTTCTCTGTCTAGCCAAAGGACTGAGAAAGGGAAGTCTAACAAGAAGACTTCCCTTTTTTATAGAATAACTATTTTTATAAAATAACCATTGATACAGTTTTGATTTGTGTCCCCACCCAAATCTCCTGTTGAGTTGTAATCCCCAGTGTTGGAGGTGGGGCTTGGTGGGAGGTGACTGGATCATGGAAGTGGAATTCTTATGAATGGTTTGGCATCCCCTTAGTGCTGTTCTTGTGATAGTGAGTTATCATGGATCAAGTTTAAAAGTGTGTAGCGTTTCCTCACCCTCTCTTGGTCCTGTCCCTGTCCTATAAGATACTGCTCCCACTTTGCTTTTTGCCAGGAGTAAAATCTCCCTGAAACCTGCCCAGAAGCAGGAGCCACCATGCTTCCTGTACAGCCTGTGGAACTGTGAACTAATTAAACCTCTTTTCTTTATGAATTACCCAGTCTCAGGTATTTCTTTATAGCAGTGCAAGAACAGACTAATACAAGCATTCTACTCTAGCCTACACCACAGAAAAAATAGAGACCCCATGGAGATGGGGAGAGTGGAGAGCCTCATTTTGCCAGGAGCCAAACCCTCTCCCCCTGACTTTCCACCAGGGTAGTGTCAAAGAAGACTGAGGGGAACAAGATAACAGGAGATAACAGGACTCTCCACTTGTCCAGTGTCCTTGGAGACCACTTGGGAAGCCTGGACTTTCACCCTTGCCCCTCCTTAAGGGTGTGGTGTCAGAGGAGGCCTACTGGAGAGTAGGGATCTTCACCACTGCCTAGTGATAAAGACATCACCCCCATACTGTATTAGTGGAGGCAAAATGGGTTGCTATCGAGAGACACTCCTGCCTCTCTGTCATCTGGTGTCAATGGAGGCCTCGCAGAGAAGCCAGAACCTCACTTCTATCTATCAGTAATGAGGAACCCTTCTCCTGATACTGTGTCAATGGAGGTTGAGTGATGGACCTGGACTTCTACCACCACCTGGCAGTCAGGAGGCTACCCACATTTCTATCCCTGCCAGCAACCCTGCTGGAGTAGTGTCAGAGGAGGCCAGATTAAACAGAGCATTAAATAAGAGCCAGAGTCTCACAACACAGAATATCCAGGTTTCAACGGAAAATCACTCATCATAATAAGAACTCGAAAAATGTCAACTTGAATGAAAAACAATTAGCATCAAGATGACAGAGATGGTAGAATTATCCAGTGCAGACATTTCACTTAAAAGCATATACAGAACTGCACACAAAAATGTTCAAAATCATTAGGTATCCTTTGCAAAATCATTAGGCATCAGAGAAAAGAAAATTAAAGCTATAATGGAATATCGCTACATACCGACTATAATGGCTAAAATAAAAAGCAATGACAGTGAAAAATGCTGAGGAGAATACAGAAAAACTGAATGATTCATACCTTGATTGTAGGAATGTAAAATGATACAGCTACATCCAAAAACTATTTGGCATTTCCTTAAAAAAAAAAACAACTAAACATAACACCTTAGCAATTGTCCATCTGCACCTTTATTCCCGAGAAATCAGAGCTTATGTTCACAAAAAACCCTGTACATGAATGTTCATAGCAGATATACTTGTAACAACCAAAAATTGGGAACAGTCCATCAACGGGCGATTAAGAATACTGTGGTATATCCAAATAGAATACTACTCAGCAATGAAACAGAATAAACCACTAATACACAAGTCTCTAGAGTTTTATGCTGAATGAAAAAAAGCCAATCTCAAAAAGATCCTACCATATAATTTCATTTATATAACATTCTTGGGCTAACAAATTTAAATGGAGAACAGATCAGTTCTTGCCAAGAAGTGGAGAAGGGGTAGAGAGGAAGGGAAGCTTCAAGGTGGCTATAAAACTAACACAAAGATCCTTGTGATAGAAATGTTTTGTATCTTGACTGTATCAATGTCAATATCCTGGAGGTTGTAATTTGTATTATAGTTTTACAAGAGGTTACTATTAGGAAACACTGGGTATGGGGTACAGGGGAACTTTATTATTTCTTACAACTGCATGTAAGTCTAGAATTATTTCAAAATAAAAAGTTAAAATAATCTAATGGTAAATACTACATGGCTACAGATTATCTTATTATACCTGTGCCTTTAATTAGCATTCTTATTAAAATGGAGCATGTTTTCATGTAATTCATAATTATATTCATAATTACCAACTAATTTGAGTAAGTAACTTTTTTTTTCCCTGGTCTAGGTTCCTATTATGAACAGTTCATAAAAAGAGGGAATCCTCCCTAACTCATTTGATGAGGCCAGCATGATCCTGATACCAAAGTCTGGCAGAGACATAACAAAAAAAGAGAATTTTAGACCAATATCCCTAATGAACATCGATGCAAAAATCCTCATTAAAATACTGGCAAACCGAATCCAGCAGCACATCAAAAAGCTTATCCACCATGATAAATTGAGCTTCATCCCTGGGATGCAAGTCTGGTTCAACATACACAAATCAATAAATGTAATCCAGCATATGAACAGAACCAAAGACAAAAACCACACGATTATCTCAATAGATGCAGAAAAGGCCTTTGACAAAATTCAACAGCCATTCATGCTAAAAACTCTCAATAAATTAGGTATTGATGGGACATATCTCAAAATAATAATAGCTATCTATGACAAACCCACAGCCAATATCATACTAAATGGGCAAAAACTGGAAGCATTCCCTTTGAAAACTGGCACAAGATGGGTGCCCTCTCTCACCACTCCTATTCAACATAGTGTTGGAAGTTCTGGCCAGGGCAATCAGGCAGGAGAAAGAAATAAAGGGTATTCAATTAGGAAAAGAGGAAGTCAAATTGTCCCTGTGTTTACAGATGACATGATTGTATATTTAGAAAACCCCATCATCTCAGCCCAAAATCTTCTTAACCTGATAAGCAACTTCAGCAAAGTCTCAGGATACAAAATCAATGTGCAAAAATCACAAGCATTCTTATACACCAATAACAGACAAACAGAGAGCCAAATCATGAGTAAACTCCCATTCACAATTGCTTCAAAGAGAATAAAATACCTAGAAATCCAACTTACAAGGGATGTGAAGGACCTCCTCAAGGAGAACAACGAACCACTGCTCAACGAAATAAAAGAGGATACAAAGAAATGGAAGAACATTCCATGCTCATGGGTAGGAAGAATCAATATCATGAAAATGGCCATACTGCCCAAGGTAATTTATAGATTCAATGCCATCCCCATCAAGCTACCAATGACTTTCTTCACAGAATTGGAAAAAACTAAAGTTCATATGGAATCAAAAAAGAGCCTGCATTGCCAAGGCAATCCTAAGCCAAAAGAATAAAGCTGGAGGCATCACGATACTTGACATCAAACTATACTACAAGGCTACAGTAACCAAAACAGCATGGTACAGGTGCCAAAACAGAGATATAGACCAATGGAACAGAACAGAGCCCTCAGAAATAATACCACACATCTACAACATCTGATCTTTGACAAATCTGACAAAAACAAGAAATGGGGAAAGGATTCCCTTTTTAATAAATGGTGTTGGGAAAACTGGCTAGCCATATGTAGAAAGCTGAAACTGGATCCCTTCCTTACACCTTATACAAAAATTAATTCAAGATGGATTAAAGACTTAAATGTTAGACCTAAAACCATAGAAACCCTAGAGGAAAACCTAGGCAATACCATTCAGGACATAGGCAAGGGCAAGCACTTCATGTCTAAAACACCAAAAGCAATGACAACAAAGGCCAAAATTGACCAATGGGATCTAATTAAACTAAAGAGCTTCTGCACAGCAAAAGAAACTACCATCAGGGTGAATAGGCAACCTACACAATGGCAGAAAATTTTTGCAAACTACTCATCTGACAAAGGGCTGATATCCAGAATCTACAAAACTCAAACCAATTTACAAGAAAGAAACAACCCCATCAAAAAGGGGGTGAAGGATATGAACAGACACTTCTCAAAAGAAGACATTTATGCAGCCAACAGACACATGAAAAAATGCTCATCATCACAGGCCATCAGAGAAATGCAAATCAAAACCACAAAGAGATACCATCTCAGTTGGAATGGTGATCATTGAAAATTCAGGAAACAACAGGTGCTAGAGAGGATGTGGAGAAATAGGAACACTTTTACACTGTTGGTGGGACTGTAAACTAGTTCAACCATTGTGGAAGACAGTGTGGTGATTCCTCAAGTATCTAGAACTAGAAATATCATTTGACCCAGCCATCCCATTACTTGGTATATACCCAAAGGACTATAAATCATGCTGCTATAAAGACACATGCACACGTATGTTTATTGTGGCACTATTCACAATAGCAAAGACTTGGAACCAACCCAAATGTCCATCAGTGATAGACTGGATTAAGAAAATGTGGCACATATACACCATGGAATACTATGCAGCCATAAAAAGGATGAGTTCATGTCATTTATAGGAACGTGGATGAAACTGGAAACCATCATTCTCAGCAAACTATCGCAAGGACAAAAAGCAAACATCGCATGTTCTCACTCATAGGTGTGAATTGAACAATGAGAACACTTGGACACAAGAAGGAGAACATCACACACCTGGGCCTATCATGGGGTGGGGGTAGGGGGGAGGGATAGCATTAGGAGATATACCTAATATAAATGATGAGTTAATGGATGAAGCACACCAACATGGCATATGCATACGTATGTAACAGACCTGCACGTTGTGCACATGTACCCTAGAACTTAAAGTATAATTAAAAAAAAAAAAAAAGAATGGGACTAACACTTCAGGTTGAATACATAAGTTATATGCAGGCTCTAAGGTTACAGTACAGATTCCTCATTCTAAAACACTACATGTTTATAGGGAACTACTTAATAATGAGAGATTCTTGGTCTAGGAAATTGTCTTATCATAAACAGGGAGCCTCTGGGGCATAGTGGCTAGAATCAGACTGCACCTCTGTTACGCTAACTCAGAACAGTTCTAGTTAAGCTACAAAAATAGGAAAGGGGGCAAAAGCAGGGTACAAGGGAAAGTTAGTTAGCTGTTCAAGCCAGTGTAGTTAGCCTTCCCTCAAGTTCAAATATAATCATTTAATGCTTTTACATTATGTATACAAGTCACGTAGTGTCAAAATATTGAAGCCAAAATGTTAAGAAATACAAGCAGAATATTAAGGTAACAAAATTACAGATTTTGCCTCAATTCTCTCAATCCGGGGGGAAATTGGCCAAACATAATAGTAGAAGGGATCTGAATATACAATTAATAAGGTTGGGAATATATATCACATATATGCAAAGGAAGAATATGACAATACAACTTATTTCAAATGAACTCACATGTTCGGCTATGGACACAAATTGAATCTCAACAAAATTTGGTGAGGGAAAAATAACTAAAATAGAATGGCCTGGGTACTAATCCAAAAAAAAAAAGAGATGAATTGTAGTACTGCACTAGCTACATAGCATTACTGAAAGGAGGAACACTGAACTCAGGAGAAACACAAGCATAATTCAACAAAATGCGGAGTCCAGAAGCCTCTGGAACCCCCACACTCTTGGCACTCAAGCAGGATCCTCTCTGAAAGGAGGTGGAAATATGCTTCTACCCCCTTTCAGAGATGATCCTGCTTGAGTCTCAAGAGTGGCAAGCCCATATAATAATGGAATATAATAAAAATAGGGGCAAACAGGCCAAGGATTAACCAGTAGGAATGCAGTGGCACTCTGCTACACAACAAGAACTTATATTTGGTAATCAATTAGAC
Organism: Homo sapiens; assembly: GCF_000001405.40. Taxonomy (NCBI): domain Eukaryota; kingdom Metazoa; phylum Chordata; class Mammalia; order Primates; family Hominidae; genus Homo; species Homo sapiens. The sequence continues at coordinate 124,900,033 of NC_000004.12, forward strand.
ATAGAGGGAAAGGTTGAGCTGCTGAGAATTGGGATTGGAAGGAATAGTTTGAAAGATTAGACTCGCCCAGGCCAGAGGGAATACGGGTCTGAGCCTGTAGTGAAAAAACCTGAACGGAAAGGGTTAGGCCAGAAGACATGCCCCAGGCTTGTGGAGGGCACAGATAGCTGGCTGTGTGTTATGTGCCATTTTAGTCATCTGGTATAAAGCGCAAGGGAATTATTTCTAAATCAAATTTACTTGTGAAGAGGAAGTGCCAGGCACTATTCCAGAATGGGCAAAGCAATTAATAGGTTTTGGGGTTGTCTTTTTACATCAAGAGATTTGTTTAGAACAGAGCAGAACTTATCAATAAAACGAGGCATTTGGATAAGGCACACTTTAGGATTATCCTATTTTAGAATTTGATAAATCTATATATAAATAAAATCCAGATTAGGTTTTTAAAAATGTATTTTATTGTGAACTTTATGGAGGAAGATGATTATAATCTGTTTTATTGTGTTTTAAACTTTAATAAAGGATTAAAAATTAAAAATAGAAAAATAATACAAAATAAACATGAATAGTAATACATTTTTAGTCAATCCCTTCTCACAATATTTGAAATGTGTAATGATAAAATGAATTTTAAGCCAGAAAAGGCACAAACTGATCTCTAATGTTTCTGGAGATAACACAGTAAAAGCATAATATTACCCAACAATCAAGATTGTTTTAATGTCCAAAAACATTTTACTGACAGAATTATACTGAAAATCTAAATGATGAATTATTAAAGAGTAAAACTCACTTATCATTTTTTACTGTTTAAAGATAATATTTAACCTAATTCCAGGAACTTACTGTGACACACTCTTCTATATAATCAGTAGCATGCATTGACTTTCTGCTCCTTTTACTCCACTGATTTTGGGATTCACATTATTAACTGCCTGGTACTTTTCTTTTTTAAGTGCAATGTGTTATGATGCAGAGTTAATTTGAAAAATACCTTCTGAATCTTACCAGTACTTACTCAAGCAGGAAAACAGAAAAATAAATCATAAATCATTATTAAAGAGCTATTTTAGATTAAAGGGTACATAAGACACGACGCTATGTGAATGTGTACGTACATGCATCAATTTAAAAATGTAAAAATCAAAAACAGGCAGTTACATCCTTTGACTTTTGAATTCTGCTTAATCTTAGTAGGACTTTCCCAATGCTTATGAAATGCTTATAAAACCTAAGATCATCTTTTATCATTTTGAATACATTATTTCACAGCAACACTATGATTGATCACTTAGTTTAATTTAGGTTGATGAGCTTCACATATTGTATCTTTTCACTTTAGTATTAACTTCTGTGTTAAAAGAAAACAAGAGTTAAAAATCCAGTTTTTCTTGTCCGTTTAAATGCAATAGTTAATGAATTGAACAATAATGCTTTTTCTTTAAAAATGGCATATTGAGAGCACTTGAATTCAAAATGAGAGAAAATCACAGCAGAGCTAACTGGTGTTGTGTGCTGTGCCGTAGGCTGGGCACCGATCTAAGTATTTCACATTTATTAACCCATTTAATCTTCAGAACCTAGGAAGCAGGTGCACTTATTATACTTTTACAGAGAAGGAAAATCTCACACACAGAAGGTAAGTTGCTTGTTTAAGGTATGAGAGCAAGTAAAGTTTTGCATTCCGATGTCTTCCGATTCCAGAATGTGTACTTCTGAACCAGTAACTATTCCATTAACCATAGTCAATTCTAAGGTAACACATTAAAAGAAAAAACCTCACGTGAAAAGGTTGATATGTAACTATATTCTCAAGGTACATTTGGAAGTCTGTTGGGAATTATACTGAAGCATGATATTTTCCCCACCACTTTTGCAGTCAATTTGTATGCTTACAATTGTGAATGAGCTATAATAAAGACTGAACTGGCCTACAAATAGGATTTTAATTTTTCTCTTGGGTGGTGAAATTTAATAAGTTGGTGAATAATTTACACATCCTGAATTGTTATCTGTATTTTTCTGGATAAAGAAAATATGACTTTGAATATGGATATAAGAGATTATGCAGGCCAATTGGTCAAGCTGCCAAAGATATGGTTATAACATCCTTTCCTGCAAACAAGCTATGTTTTGCTGGATTCCAGTCAGCTGAACTTTTTCTCTTTTGTAGTGAAGAATTGTTTCTATTTCTCAGGAGGACACACAGTGACAGAGAATCAGGTTCAATAACTCAGAGCATCTGTCTCAGATGTCCCAGGTTAAGACCTCTCCTAAAGGTCAAGAACGAATCACAACAGCTGCTTAGTTACCCAGCAGAATAATAAACAGTTCTCAAGCCCAATCTCTCTGTCTGCAAACATACTGTGTCTCTCACTCTTCACTGCAACATTTTAAGGTGAATTGTAAAGAGTGCTGTTGTTTACCAAGCAGATGTTAGAGTATTAATGGTATACTATTTACATCTCCTTGGTGGATGTCAAAGTTTGTGTTTGCTTGCCTTGAACCCTCCTTATTAACACAGCTGCCAGAGATGGTCTGTGAAATGTTTGAAACATTGCTGAGAGCTGCTGCTAGGAACCACATTCTCACCACATTCTCAGCATAGAAATCAATATCAGTGAAAGGTGTCTCATGTTGGTGCATTTATATCAGGCACCTTTACTTTCAATGTGCTTCCCCATATGCAGATGAATACATCATATTCATTTTGCAAGGCATATCAGGGAATCTCCTTCCAAGATGAAATGAGGCAATCAATATGTATTGTTTTTGCTGCCTATATCAGTGACTATTCAATATTTAATGGATCTCAAGCTGTGCAGCATTGACTACTCTGGCCAAAATAGTAAGCACCCTAGAAAATCAGTGCTTGTGTTTAAAGCTTTCTATTTATTCTGCAGAGAAAGAGACAATAAAACAGACTAAAGAATAATGGCAGGTCAGCAATATCTGGGGTGGAACCAAAAAAAAAATCAGCAATCACCAGCAATAATAAATAAACAAGTTTGTTTTAGAAGACGGAGGTATCTGCTAATTAATTTTGAAAGGCAATATAATGGAATTCCCTCTGGCTTTTCCATGGGAATACACATCACACAAAAATATTGAGACAACTCTTGAAATCTATCAAAGCTAATCTTACAATGTTCAAACACATGGTCAATTATTTTTAGGTTAAATCTACTTACTCAGCTGTGGTAACATAAAAGGCATGAATTTATAAAGTTTTGGGTTTCTTATGGATACAAGTATATTCGTTTTGCAACATTCAAGAGACAAAAGCCCTCTCACCATTTTTTGCTATAGATTATAATCATAAAAATTATGTGATATGCTATCAATGATTCTTTCATAGTTACCATCATTAAAAAATCTATTCCTGTGATTTCTATAAAAGCAATAACAATTAAATATATATATCCATGGGAATAATTTTATAGCAGGGCTAAGTGAGCAGTAAGGTTTAGTAGATGTGATGGAATTGGAGATTCTCAAGCCACTTCCTGTTTACCATAGGGTAAAAGAGTAAATGTTTTCCTCTTGTATTTCTAGTTTGATTCTGTGTATCAAGTGATTGAATAGATCTGCAATACAATGAAAAGGAAAAACAAAAACAAAAAACCATCAATTCTCCAGGCTTCTCTTTCCCAGATAAGGAGCTATCCCCAGAGATAGTTTCCCAGAGCCAGGTACTGACCTCAGAGTCCCAACTCCTGGCCACATGAAAACGTGTGTGTGAGCTATGCTTTCTTTTTGTCCTGGAGTTATAAAGGTTCTGTTGTTCACAATATCATGTTGGATACCACAGCTCTTGGTTACTGTTAAAAGACTAGTCACCATTTTCACAAAATTTTTACTTTTCTAGAGTGAAAATTCCACCTCCTCAAACTAAGGAAAAATCTTCCCTTTCCCCAACAGAGTTTACTTTGGGCTAGCACGTTTCTCCACTTCTGTCCCAATGTTCTCATTAGAGAACATTGAAAGCACTAAGAATTAGTGCATGCCCAGTAAGTCCCAAGTATGTTTTCAGTGTGCACAAAGGGCTGGGTTTCTATTTAGGTGGAGCAGGCAGCTGCCGAGTGGTGTGAATTCAGAAGAAGCTCTGACTTCTCCCTCTTCCTTGCCCATTCCAAAATCTGCTTTCCCCACCTGTTCACTGGCTTAGGACATTCCTTTAACAGTGGATAAAAGCGTTCAATTTATAATTAGAAATATGACTTAGGAAACCCCTCTGCCAGAGAGTCCTAAGCACAGCGGCCGAGGTTACTTTATGGGGTGTCAAATTTCTCTTGGCTTTGGCTGCCACCCAGAACATTCAGAAAATCTTTCCACTGTGCTGCTCCCTAGCCTGCCACCATCTTCTTGATGTGTAGGACTAGGGCAGCAATAATGTTTCTGTGAGAAGCTTTATTAAAATAGACAAAATTCAAAAGCTGTTACACGTTTTTCAAGTGTAAGTTACACTATGTAGAGCCCCAAGATTACTGCTTGGTGTTACAAAGGTGTGCTCTTTTAGAAAAATCCTCTGTGAATCACTAACGTGAAATCTGAGATAGTGCCCCTGGCATTAGCCTTCTGTCCACATAACCTGCTTCCTTTTCTTTCTACATCATAGTATTCAAATGTTGTGATTGAAGCCCATTTTCAAATGCAAGTTTTAGGTGTTTAATTTGAAGAAACAAAGTTTCACCCCAGTTTTTAAACTGTTACAGGAAAGTGAAGATTAAAAAAAAATACTTTCCAGAGTTTTTGGAAACCTGCAGTCACTTGTAGTACTGGCTTGCAGTTTGTATAGAGCTATACACTTCCTTAACTGTACTGTTCTGTATGTCAGGAAACTACTGAGTGTTTCAGTAAACACATGGCTTTGCAAGGGTGCTAGCTTGGCTGTTACCTGTCTACACAGCAAGTTATATCCACTCTAGACTGTATCAGCTAGTCCATGTAGTTAAACAGTATTAGAAAACATTACTTTTACTATTGATCTAAATTTGTCAGCACATGCAGGGAGGGTTTACAGTAAGCATTTTAGTGTGCCTGGATATAGTATTGTAAATGTCATAGGGAATTCTTGATGTGCTATACCAGATTTAGGTGTGGCTGGTCATTTTCCAGTAATGCTAGCAGTACATTTAATACCAGGAATTTCTACCTTGAGGCTATTTCACTTTCAACTTAACCAGTCTAAAGAAATAATACCCCTTGGGTCAGTGTTGCTTCTGAACCCTTTGATCTTAGTGCTCTTCTGCTAGGAACTATAAAAGTGAAATGGGTAACTTCCTATTGGCACAGGTTAGTTGAGACCTTACCCCAACCTGATATCATTCTCCACCTCCTAAAAATAAGGACAAATCTTCCCTTTCCCCAACAGAGTTTCCTTTGGGCTAGCACGTTTCCCCATTTTTGTCCCAATGTTCTCATTAGACATTTTCCCAAAATGAATTAGGAAAAAAACAAGATGATTCTCAGTAAAAAGGGTTAATCACAATGGCTACCCATTCTGGGTAGCCCCACTATGGAAGATAATAATTCATCATCATTGTTATTATTATTGTTTCTGTGAGGGAGCTTCCTTTGACGGCTGCTGTCAGTTTTCCTTTCCTGAAAACAGAGATTTTGTTTACTTTTGTAATACACACCCTTTGTTTCAGGAAAATTACTGGGTTGTGTCCGTTAGATTCGTAAAATTAAAGCAAGCTGTTACGAGAGTCATCCATTGTTGTAGAAGAAAACATAAAATATATCACACATTTGAATGAACTTTGTTAGAGCCTAAAATTTTAAGTGTTCAGTTTCATATCTAAGTTAGGCAAATCATCAGATGGACTGTTATTTGTTTTGTTTTACCTCTGGTGAATAACTATCAGAACCATTTATCAAATGGGTATGTTGTATTATTCTTAAGTTAATCTTCCAAGCAGAGGTTGTAGATCTACCAACTGTCAGTTAAAGTTGTTTCTCCTTCTATCATTTAATTATACTGGACTATTGGGATCTCACACTTGGTGTGACTTATGAATTAATCATCCAGATTTGAGAAGTAACTGTCCTTTGTATCTCCTGGAATACAGAAATCAGACCATCTCCTAGAGAGGGGGTTGGAAGAGGAAATTAGAAATGGGAATGGGTCACTGAAAAAAAAAAAAAAAGAATAATTCCACTGTTCTTTTTTGAGCATGTGTTAAACTACGGAGAAAGTGTGTTCTTGTTTTGTAACTAAAGAGTAAAGAGTTTTTGGATTCCATATTTAAATGCCCTAGAGATGCTTGTTAGCAGGAAGCTTTCAAGAACTAGGCAGAGATCTTGAGATTAAGTTGGGCTCCTCTGGGCTATAGGAGTAATTGGGGTGACACTGACCATGCAACTGGCACATATACCATAGCTCTGTTATCCTCTATATCCTAGATATTCTTGAAATGAAAGCAAAGCACCATAGCCTGTCCTCATCTCTGCTTTGACATTTAAGAGCCACAACTTTGTTCATGCTTAGAGTAAATATCAATGAGGAATTGAGTTTAACAACATGGACATCAATGAGGAATGGAATTTTTAACAACTCTTCTGAACAGTCTTATCAGGCAGGTAATATTATTATCTTTATTTTATAGTTAGGGAAACAAAAGGAGAGGTTAAATAACTTCTTGTAGGTGCTAAGTGATTTGTAGTGCTCAGGATCAAAATTTCATTGGTTCATTCTTTCATTCATTCATTCATACATTCATTTTGTGCTTTCTATATGCTGGTCACTATTTAAATTGCTTGGGATCAACCAAGGAACAAGACAGAAAATATCCTTCCTCTTCTGGAGCTTATCTTCTACTGGGGCAATGGCAGTAGGAGAAAGAACCATCCACCTTATAGATTAGAGAGGAATTCCTCGGAAATACTAAGAAATTACTCATGGAAGGAAATACTAGAATGAATATACTTTATGTGAATGGGGGGCATGTGGGGACTTGAAGTTTGAATATCAGAAAGTGAATTTAATTAAAATTAGAATCTGGTACCCCTGCAAGGTGATGTTTCAAGCACAAGAATGTTTTGTGGAGGTAATGCATGCATTACTTTTCATGTTAAATTACATATATACAGAGAGTAATGTGTGTGTGTGTGTGTATATATATATATACATATATAATGTGTATGTATGTTTATACATGTGTGTGTTTATGTATGTGTGTTTGTGTGTGTATATATATATGTATGTATGTATATATAAATCAACCTAAGTTCCTTTCTACGAATAGCTTTTCTGAAGAAGAGGAGCGCACACAAGAAACCTAAAATTGGGGTAGGCCACAAAATTGGAGAAGGATGGACTATATGTTCTGGTATAATAGTTGTCATGTAGAGACAGTAAGTGATTTTTTTTCTAGCTTTATTGAGTATAGTTGACAAAATTTATATATATTTAAGGCATACAATGTGGTTATGTATGTATACATTGTATAATGATTACCACAATCAAATTAATACCTCTTTATCCCACATAGTTACCATTTGTGTGTGTGTGTGTGTGTGTGTGTGTGTTGTGAGGGCACTTCATATCTGCTCTCTTAAAGTATTTCAAGTAAACAATACGGTATTATTCACTATAGTCACCATTCTGTACATTAGATTCCCCAGAATGCATTCATTTTATAACTAAAAGTTTGTACCCTTTGAAAAATATCTCCTCAGTCCCCCACCCCTACCCGCCCTGCCCCTGGTAACCACTGTTCTACTGTTTGCTTCTATGAGTTTTAGTTTTTTTAATTTGACATATAGATGTGTTAACGCAAATTATATGTAGCCTGAGAAGTTCTCCGTACTTCTATATTTGAGTCCTTGTGGATAAATTGTAACCTAGCTTAATAGAGAAGATTGAAAACCTAACTTAGGAATATGGGCCTGTACCAATAGCCAAGTCATGGCCAAGCCCAGCAGCCATACTTCAACCATTCATACATTGGTGAGTGTTCATACTGTGTTCAAATAAGGCATACGCTGAGCTGTAACCAATCCAGCTGTTCTGTACCTCACTCCCAATTCCTGTATGTCATTTTCCTGTTTTTGTCTATAAATCTTCTTCTACCACATGGCTGAGCTGGAGTATCTCGGAGTCAACTGTGGTTCTGGGGGCTGCCCAATTTGTGAATCATTCATTGCTCAAACTCCTTTAAATTTAATTCGGCTGAAGTTTTTCTTTTAGCAGATAAGAACATAGAGCATTTGCCATTTCTTTGTCTGGCTATTTCACTTAGCATAATGTCCTCCAGGCTCTTTCATGTTGTTGCAAATGACAGAATTTCCTTCTCTTTATGACTGAATAATATTTCATTGTATAAATGCATCAAAATTTGTCCATTTATCAATTGATGGACACTTAGAGTGTTTCTAAATATTGGATATTTTGAACAATGCTGCAATAGACATGGGGTGAGAGGACACAGATACAGATATCTCTTTCAGATACTTGCTTAATTTTCTTTGGATATATACCCAGAGGTAGGATTTCCATATAGGAGTTCTATTTTTAATTTGGGGGGAACTACTATACTTTCTGGAATTGCTGTGCCAATTTACATTCCCACTAACAGTGTACAAAGTTTCCCTTTTTCTACAGACCCTTCCCAACACTTACTATCTCTTGTCTTTTGGTAATGAATGTCCTAACAGGCAACAGTCCCCAAACATTTTTGACACCAGGGACTGTTTTCATGGAATACAATTTTTTCCACGGACTGAGAGTGGGGAATAGTTTTGGGATAATTGAAATGTGTTACATTTATTGTGCATTTTATTTCTATTATTACATTGTAATATATAATGAAATAATTACACACCTCACCATAATGTAGAATCACTGGGAGCCTTGAGCTGCATTGAAACAGTCCCATCTGGGGGTGATGGGAGACAGTGACAGATCATCAAGCATTAGATTCTCATAAGGGGCACATAACCTAGATCCTTTGCATATGCAATTTACAATAGCATTTGTGCTCCTGTGAGAATCTAATGCTACCACTGATCTGACAGTGGGTGGAGCTCAGGTCGTAATGCAAGCAACAGGGAGTGGCTGTAAATACAGATGGAGATTCTTTCATTCCCCTACTGCTCACCTCCTGCTGTGCAACCTGGTTCCTAACAGGCCACAGACCAGTACCATGAGGTGACCTGTTAGCAGGGGTCCCCAACCCTGCTAACAGGTATGCTGTGACATCTCTTTGTAATTTTGGTTGGTATTTCCCCAATGATTAGTGATGTTTAACATCTTTTCATATGCTGGAGGGCTATTTATATATTTTCTTTGGAAAAATGTCTATTTAAATCCTTTGCCCATTTTTAAAAGGGTTATTTGAAGTTTTTGTTTTCCTTTTGATATTGAGTTGTATTGAATGCCTAACGTTTGGATTTTAACATTTTATCAGATATATGGTTTACAAATATTTTCTTCTATTTCTTAGCCTGTCTTTTAATTTTGTCTGTAGTTTCCTTTGCAACACAGAAGCTTTTTACAGTGATGCACTCTCACTTGTTTATTTTTGCTTTTATTGCCAGAGCTTTCAATATCTTATCCAAGAAGTTATTACCCAGACCAATGTCAAGGAGCATTTTCCCCACTTTTATCCTTGGAGCTTTATGGTTTCAGATCTTACATTTAAGTCTTTAATCAGTGTTAAGTTAATTTTTATAAAAGGTGCAACATAAGGGTACAATTTCATTCTTTTGATGTGGATATCCAGTTTTTCTAACACCATTTACACACTGAAGAGACTGTCCTTTCCTAATTGTATATTCTTGGCACCACTGTCAAATGTTAGTTGACTGTACATGTGTGAACTTATTTCTGGATTACCTATTTCATTCTCTTTAATTTTTTGGAAGACTTTGATAAGAATTGGTATAAATTATTCTTTAAATGCTTTATACAGTAACCTGTGAGGCCATCTGGTCCTGGAGTTTTCTTTGTTGGGAGATTTTTGTCTACGGATTTAATCTCCTTACTCATTATGAGTCTGTTCAGATTTTCTGTTTCTTCATGATTCAGGCTTGGTAAGTTGCAGGTATCTAGAAATGTATCTGTTTCTTCTAAGCTTTCCAATTTGTTGGAGTATAACTGTTCACAGTAGTGTTCTATGTGGTATTGGTTGCAGTGCCTCCTTTTCATTTATAATTTTGTTTGAGCCCTCTCTTTTTTTTCTTGGTTACTCTGCCTAAAGGTTCATCAATTTTGTTTATCTTTTTAAAAAACCAACCTTTAGTTTTGTTCATTTTTTACACTGTTTTTCTAGTTTCTATTTTATTTATTTTTTCTCTGATCTTTATTTTTTTCTTTCTGCTAACATTGGGTTTAATTTGCTTTCTTTTCCTAGTTTCCTGAGGTGTAGGCTTAGGCTTTATTTTCTTTTCTTTTCTCTTTTCTTTTTTCTTTTCTTTTCTTTCCAGACAAGGTCTCACTCTGTCACTGTGTTACTCAGGCTAGAGTGCAGTGGTGCAATCCTAGCTCACTGCCACCTTGATCTTCTGGACTCAGGCAATCCTCCTGCATAGCTGGAACTACAAGTACATGCTACCACACCTAGCTAGTTTTTAAAATTTAATTTTAGGAGAAATGAGGTTTTGCTATGTTCCCCAGGCTGTGCAGGTATTCATCATAAACTTACCTCTTAGGGGAAGTATGTAGTAAAGTACTGTTGCTGCATGCCATAAGTTTTTATATGTTGTGGTTCCATTTCATTTGTTTCAAAGTCCTTGATTTCCCTTTTGATTTCTTCTTTGATTAATTGGTTGTTTAGGGGTGTATTGTTTAATTTCCACATTTTTGTAAATTTTCCAAAATGCTTCCTGTTATTGACTTTTAGTTTTATAACATTGTGTTTAAAAAAGATATTAGGTATGATTTCAATTTTGTTAAATTTGTTAAGAATTGTTTTGTGACCTAACATATAATCTGCTGGCCATTTGTTGAAAATAGGTTATTGTAGTTCCCTAGTATTATTGATTAAAGTCTGTCTCTCCCTTCAGATCTATTAATATTTGCTTTATACATTTAGGTGCTCTCATGTTGAGTGCATATTTATTTACAATTGTTATATCCTCTTGATGAATTGGTTCCTTTATCATTATGTAGTCTCTTTTTGTCTCCTGTGACAGATTTTGACTGAAGTATTTTGTCTGATATAAGTATAGTCACATATGCTCTCTTTTGGTTATCATTTGCATGGGATCTCTTTTTCAATCCTTCTTGCAGCCTATTTGTGTCCTTCAGACTAATGCGAATCTCTTGTAGGGAGAATATTGTCAAATTTTTTTTCAATCCATTCAGCTCTGCTATGTCTTTCGATTGGATAATTTAATCTATTTATATTTAAAGTAATTATTGACAGATAATGATTTATTACTGCTATTTTGTAATTATTTCTTGGTTCTTTTGTCATTTCTTTGTTTCCTTATTTCTCTCTTCCTGTGTTCCTTTGTGATTGGATGATTTTCTATAGTGACTTTTTTTATTTTTAAAATTTTATCTTTTAGGTATTATAGGTTTTTTTTGTGGTTACCATGAAGCTTATATAAAACATTTTATAACAGATTATTTTAAGTGGATAACAACTTAATATCTATTGCATAGAAAACCCTAATCTTTTACTCCCCCTCGTTTTTGTGTTATTGATGTCACAATTTACATATTTTGGTATTGTATATCCCTTAACAAACTACTGTAGTTATTACTTTTAATGCTTTGTTTTTAAACTTATGTTCTAGAGTTAAAATAATTTACACATTACCCAAATAGTACTAGGATTTTCTAATTTGACTATGTATTCACCTTTACCCGTGATTTTATACTTTCTGATGTTTTATGGTTTTACTTAGCATTCTTTCATTCAACTTGAAGAACGCTCTTTAGCATTTCTTCTAAGTTAAGTCTACTGAAGATGAACTCCCTCAGCTTCTGTTTGTTTTGGAATCTCTCCTTCATTTCTAAAGAACAGCTTTTTTTGGTATAGTATTCTTAGTTGGCAACTTTTTCGTTTTGCACTTTGAATACATTATCTTACTCTCTCCTGGCTTGAAAGTTTTTTCTGAGAAGCCTGGTGATAGTCTAAAATTCCCTTGTATGTGATAAGTCGCTCTCTTTTTTTTTATACTGCCTTAAAGATTCTCTCTTTGTCTTTGACTTTTGACAATTTGATCACAATGTGACTTTTTTTTTTTTTTTTTGAGACAGAGTCTTGCTCTGTCGCCCAGGCTGGAGTGCAGTGGCACGATCTCAGCTCACTGCAAGCTCCGCCTCCCAGGTTCATGCCATTCTCCTGCCTCAGCCTCCCTAGTAGCTGGGACTACAGGTGCCTGCCACCACACTCGGCTAATTTTTTGTATTTTTTTTAGTAGAGATAGAGTTTCACAGTGTTAGCCAGGATGGTCTCGATCTCCTGACCTTGTGATCCGCCTGCCTCAGTCTCCCAAAGTGCTGGGCTACAGGCGTGAGCCACTGCGCCCGGCCACAGTGTGACTTTTTAAGTTGATCTTTCTTAGGATCCTTGAAGCTCAGTAAATCAGAATGTCCATATCCCTCCTACATTTTGGAAAGTTTTTATCCATTATTTCTTTAAATAAGTTCTTTGCCTCTTCTCTCTCTTCTCCTTTGGGGAATTCCATAATTCATATATTTATTTACTTTAAGGTGCTCATAGGTCCCTCATTCTTTCTTCCCTTTTTTTTCCTTTTTTTTAACCCTATAACTGGTTAATTTCAAATAAATTGTCTTCAAGTTTGCTGACTCTTTTTTTCTGCATAACTGAGTCTGCAGTTCTCTGTTGTACTTTTCAGTTCTGTCATCATATTTCTCAGCTCCAAGATTTGTGGGTTTTTTTTAATGAGTTCAGTTTTTTTATTCAACTTCTCCTTTGTTCATGTATTGTTTTCCTGATTTCATTTAGTTGCCTATCTGTGTTCTTTTGCATTTCACTGAACTTTTTTTCAGAATTATTATTTTGGATTTTTTTTTAATCAGGCATTCATAGAGATACATTTCTTTATGGTCCATTACTGATTTCCTTGGGTAGTGTCATAATTTCCTTGTTATTCATTTTTTGGGAAGCCTTGATTTGGTGTCTGTGTATTTGAAAAGGCAAGCAACTGCCCCCAGAACCAAGCATGCTGATCTTTGTCACTTAGGAGATCCTGAAATGGCCCTACAGACTGATTTCACAGCAAAAGACTTTCTTCTCTTCAGTCTCCATACTGATGAAATAGCCTTCAGGATCACAGTCAAGTGTGATTGGAGGTCAGTCATGTGGCTGCTTTTGGGTTCACAGTGGAGTCTGCTATTTTGGGGGCTTTTACTAGATGTGTAGATAAGAGTGTCTCCCTCCAGGTCCCTGGGAGGACAGCTGTTCTGCCACTAGGTGGGTCCCTGGTCAAGTAAGACTGGTGCTGGACTGAGACTCAGAGGGGCTGCAGCTAAAGTATAGGGCTGCTTCAGGATCTACAGCCAAGATAAAAATCTTTAGGCTTGCATCTGGGGCTACAAATGAGCATCCTCCCCTGCCTGATTCCAGACGGGGGAGGACTGCCTATGGACTGCATCTGGGAGAGAATGGAGTTGGGTTGCAGGGCTACTTCAAGATCAGCACTGGGTTTGAAGTCAGTGAATTTGCCTTTGGGGGCATGTTTGGGCATGTCTCCTTCTTGGTCCCTGCGCAGGCAACACTTCTCTCAGAATGCAACTGAAAAGGGCTACAACTAAGTTACAAGGTCATTTCAGAATCTCCTGTGTGACGAAGATCAGCATGCCTGGTTCTGGGGGGCACAAGCAAGTGTTTCTCCTGGCAGAACTCATAAACAGGACTGCTCTTAGCCTACAGCTTACACGGGCTGCTTCAGCATTCATAGCCAGTGAAGTTTGTGGTCCTGCCACCCAAGGCATGTGATTCTTTTTAAGTCGCTTGGCAGATACTTCTAATAGCAGGACCAAGGCCTAATGGGGCTGTAGCTGAGTTTACAGTGGTACAAAGCTGTTTTCAGATTTGGAACCAGAACCACAGTTGCTGAGTGTGACACCTGGGTGCAGGCCTTCCCTCTCAAAATGGCCTTCCTCTGTCTTGGGCTCTTGGGCTTCACCAATGTTTTTCAACCATCTAAGTGGTCCCAAAGCTCCCACAAAGGCAATTTTGTCTATGAATTGTTGTCAAATCTTGTTGCTCTTGGGTGATGTAAGCAGGGGATCTCCTATTCCACCACCTTGCTAAAGTCACTCCCATTAAGTAATTTTATATAAACTTTTTGTTCCTTATATTTATGACACTTGGATATTCTTCTCTCCTTGCTTATCTTTTTCTCTCTTTCTGGTTTAATAACCATAAGAATTGCTAGTCTCACGAGCCATTGTATACTATTTTCACTCTCACCATAGTTTTCTCCTGAGTTTTAAATCTACCGATCTGCCAGTTTCTTTGTCTTTTCCCTCAATTTTTTTTTCCATATGATTTATATGGCTCAATTTCCTCAAGTTTATGCTCCCATTTTATTATGTGGACAAAGCTATAGAAATTTTATGAGCAATTTTATGAAGAAAAATCTTGAGTCATTAGGTAATTTCTTATTTGCTTGCTACCTGACAGCATTAATAGCTTCAGCACATGGTGAATGCCTGTTTTTCTCCCAAAACTGTTGTGGGAAAAAAAAAATAAATGGCATCAGGAAATGACTGAAATTCATAGTAAGAGTTTTTAATGCATTTTCTAAGAATTTGAACCTCAGCTCTGCATTCTTTATGTATTTCTTTGAAAGATATCAACTTATTTTTTTATGTAAAAATTTGGAATGAAATGTTATTTAAGTGAAAATTTCCAAGCTCAGTCAGTATATGCAGGGTATATATATGCAATATATACCCATTATAGGTTATATTAATGTAACTTACCCATTTCTCACTAATATGCCATTACTTTTTTGTATTATGCCAGTATTTTACTTTCTCTGATTCCTAGAACTTGCCGTGGTCTTTTTCCCTTTATCACATGGTAGCATAACTGAAAGTAAATATTTTTCCCTGCCAATCACAGACACATAAACTCCATGAATATTGAATTCATTTTGTCCACTCTCCTAAATAAGGCAAAAGAAAAAAAAAAGAGATTTCAGGTATATTTGGTGGGAATAATAAAGGTATTCACTTTGCATTTATTATATTTATCTATTCATTGAGAAGTTGAAGATGTTCAGAAAAATAAAGAAAATCTGCTGACTCTGCTAATGATCACAATGAAAAAGTATTTCAGTAACTATTCTCCTTATAGTTTAGCATATGGCATTTCTTCATGAACATGGCAGGTACATTATTAACATATATTCTGCAGTTATTGAATGCAGTCTTCTGCAATGTTGATTAAGTCAATTTGATAGTGTTGTTCGAGTCTTTGTCTTATTTTTCTGTTATTGAGAAGGAAGTGATAAAATCTCCAGTTACAATTGGGCATTTATTTATTTCTCCCTGTAATTCTGTCAAGTTTTTCTTCATGTTCCTTTAAATTCTATCAAGTTTTTCTTCATGTCTTTTAAGCTCTGCACATGAGATTATGTGCAGAGGATACATGGAAAATACATGGAGGATTTTCTTTTCTTTCTTTCTTTGTTTCTTTCTTTCTTTCTTTCTTTCTTTCTTTTTTTTTTTTTTTTTTTTTTTTTTGAGACAGGGTCTCACTATAGCTCACTGCAGCCTCAACATCCTGGGCTTAAGTGATCCTCCCACATTAGCATTCTGAGTAGCTGGGACTACAGGCTTGAGCCACTGTGCCTGGCCCAAGGATTTTTACACATACTTGATAAGTTGACACTTTTTTTTCTTTCTTTTTTTTTTTTTTTTTTGAGACGGAGTCTGACTTTGTTGCCAGGCTGGAGTGCAGTGGTGTTGTCTTGGCTCACTGCAACCTCTGCATCCTGGGTTGAAGTGATTCTCCTACCTTAGCCTCCCGAGTAGCTGGGACTATAGTTGCGTGCCACCACACCCAGCTAATTTTTAAATTTTTAGTAGAGATGGGGTTTCACCATGTTGGCCAGGATGGTCTCCATGTCTTGACCTCATGATCTGCCCGTCTCGGCCTCCCATAGTGCTGGGATTACAGGCATGAGCCACTGTGCCTGGCCAAGTTGACCCTTTTAATATTATAGCATATTCCTCTTTGTCTCTGGTAATACTCATTGTCCTGAAGTTTGCTTGGATAATATAATGGTAATACCAATGTTTTTATGTTTAGTGTTGTTGGCATTTCTTTTTCCTTCTTTTATTTTAACAGGTCTATATCTTTATATTTGTTTCATCTCTTGGGTATAGCATATAGTTAGGTTTTCTCTAGGGACTGTAATAACCATCCTTAATTCATCACAATCTACCTTTAATTAATGTAGCACATGTATAATGTAAGACATTTACAACATCCTTTATGCTATTTTTATGATACATTTTATTTCTGCAAATGCTATGAGCCCCATGATATATTGTTATTTTTGCTTAAGCAATCAACTGACATTTTTGTTTTCTATCTTAAAACTTGATTGTAGGTAACTCAATAAAGGAAATAAAATAATGTTTCTTATTTCCCCACATATTTACCATTTTCAGTGCTCTTCATTTTTTTATATACATCTGAATTTCCACCTGCTACCATTTACCTTCTTCTTGAAGAAATTCCTTCAGAATTTTTTTGTAGAGTGGGTATGGCTGCCAGCAACAAATTATTGGCTTTTGTTTATCTAAAAAGTCTCAATTTTATCTTTAATTTTAAGTGATATTTTTGGTAAATATAGAATTATATGTTGACAGGTTTTTTTTCAGCACTTTAAATATTTTGTTTTATTCTGCCTTCATTGCTGTTAATGAGACAACAGCCATCATCGTGCTTATTATTGTCCTCTTGAATGCAGTATATCTTTCTCTCTGGATGTTTTTAAGATTTTCTCTTTACCTTTGGTTTTCTACAGTTTGACTATGATATATTTAAATGCAGTTTAAAAAAAATATTCATCCTGCTTGGGTATTACTTTGCTTCCTGAATATGCATTTGTTTTTTTTAACATTAAACATTTTAGCTAATATTTCTACACATATTTTCTGCCCTATTAACTCTTTTCTCTCTTAGGAACTTCAGTTACATTTATATTAGACCAGTTGGTATTTTTAAATTTTTTCCTGTGCTTCAATTTGGATAATTTCTACTGACCTGTTTTCAGATTCATTGGTGCTTTCTTCTAATTTCTCCATTCATAATTATGGCATTGAGATAATTTTTAATATAGATATTACATGGGTTTTTATATAATTAAAAAAATATTGCACACCTCAAGTCCATTCCTGTTAATTCCAAAATATGGGATATCTGAGAGTCTCTTTCCATTTATTATGTTTTCTTTTGAGTCATATTTTCTCACTACTTCTCATGTATATTTACTTTTATCCAATCTTGGACATTGGAGAGATACATCCTAGTGAGTTGGGATTGTGTTATCCTCTTCTAAAGAATGGTTTGGTTTTGGTAGGGAGTTAAATTTATATTGATTACTATGGACTTGTGGAGGTTTGAGTTTAGGCTTTTCTTATGGTATGTCTATTTTACTTTTTCCCTTACTAAGATGTGATCCTTATTTCCAAAGCCTGGTCCTTCTCAGGTTTTAATGGAAATCCTGAATTGTTTACTACTCTCTAACTTGGCAGAGTTGAGCTTTCAAGGTTATTTCCCCTAAAATGGGAAACTTTCGGAATCTCTCTTCATTCCTTTCAAACTTCTTCATGATTCACATCGGCCACTTAGGTTCTTGTCATATACATGCACAGTTAAGTGTCAACCAGTGATAGGAGGGGAATTTTATGCAAATTTGGGGCTCCTGAACTTCTTCACTCAATTTCTCAGACACACAGTCTCTAATTCTGACTTCTGAATCATCATCCCAGGGAGACCTTTGTTTTTAGCTTGAGTTCTATTCCTTGTGAAACGTCGGACAGTGGCGTGCCCTCAAAAGAAAGCCTATAAAAACATGAATTTTACCAATGTGCTTCCTGTTTCAAAACATGGATTTTCTCCAATTTCTATCTGTTTTGTTTGCTTTTCTGAGCCTGCAAATATATGCTTTTAAAAATACTTTATTCAGAGGTTATTATGTTATAATAATAAGCTACTTTGCTGTAATGAGGAACAAGATTCTGTATCTTCCTTATGGAAAGTCATTTTATCCACTATCCATCTTTATAAGCTGTCTAAAATCAAATTATTAAAAAGACAAATCATTTTGTATACTAATATCAATTTTTGTATGATAGACTCCTTTTATATGGACCAGAATATGAAATATTTTACTAACACTCTATAGCCTTGATGACTTAAGGAATTATGAAAAATATACCAATTTGGCTGCATTTATGACAAAAAGTATTATTTTCTATGTCTATTTTATATTATGTCCTTGTGTTCAGAGTGAGCTCTCAAAAGGTATACCTGGTTTGTAAAAAATATTTTAAAAGTGACTTTTATGTCATTAGTCACCACATACCTGACACTTAACTGGTAGACACTAAGGCCAATTCAATTAGGATGCTGAATTTTTCAGTAGTGGCAAATGCTTGGCTCAATTGGCTATATTTCAAATCAGAATCCATGTCATCATTAGGATATAGGTCAAGTAAATGAGGAGTAATAAGGAAGCTAAACCCATTAAAAACCTGGCCAGAACTTGGCCTTACTAATGATAACCATATGCAAGAGCACACAATATGCTGGTTTCTTTGCCAAGAATTAATATCTCTAAAGCGAAACTCCTTTAAATTCCTCTAAACGTGATCAAATTTAGCTGTCATCCATATTCCTTGCTCTGTTTGACACATAGCACTAGATGAAGCAACTCTTTTGCTTCAAGAAGAGATGTCTCCAATCCCATGTCAATCTTCTCCTTTGTTGAGCATTATTTTCAGCAGAATTGATATGTCCCAGTGGATAAAGGAGAATATATCACTACAGGTATTCTTGACAAAATGTATGGACATTGGGATTAAAATATACGTCTGGCTCATCTGAGATGTGTGGCACTGTGAAAGTCACATATCCTCTGATTCCGAGTCTTATGTTTAAAATGGAGAAATATAAGATATAGTCAAGGAAATTTTCTGAGGATTAAATGAAATTATGTAAAGAAATAATTTTGTTATTAAATGTTAACTATTTGTTACATCAATTTTTTTATTTAATAAGATTTTACTTTACTTGGCTTAAAATCCTCAAAATTACATATAAGAAGTTTCATCTGACATTAAGCTTTTGATGATAAACGACCAAAGATTTAGCATATAAAGTAGGCAGCTTTGCTACACAATGAATTGATGTTAAACGGGGCACAGATAATAAAGAAGAAAAACTTAAGTAATCAAAGAATTATTAGCACTTAAGACTGATATCTAGTGGTGAAGGGCTCATTTAGGTTTTGGCAACAGAGAGAACTGGATCCACGTACAACTCTGCCATTGTACCCTTGGCCAAAATACTTAATCTCTAAACTTCAGTTTTCTTATTTTTACATGGGTTTGGTATTAAATATCTATCTTAGAAATGATTAGTGAGGCATAATGAAAAATGTCCATGTTAATCACTGAGCCATGGGCCCAGCATAGAGTGACACTCATAGGATATTGTTGTGTGTTGTTATTAACTCAGTAACCAAGGTGTGTCAAATATTATCCCAAGTAAAATCAAATGACCCAAATAAGGGCCAGACACGGGGGTTCACATCTGTAATCCCAGCACTTTGATAGGCCAAAGCGGGAGGATCACTTGAGCCCAGGAGTTTGAGACCAGCCTGGGCAACATGGCAAAACCCCTTCTCTACAAGAAAATACAAAAATTGGCCTGGTGTGGTGGTGTGTGGCTGTGGTCCCAGCTACTCAGGAGGATGAGGCGGGAGGATCACCAGAGCCTGGGAGGTTAAGGTAAATGTAGTGAGCTGCAATCTTACCACTACATTCTAACCTGGGTGACAGAGTGAGACCTTGTCTCAAAAAAAAAAAAAAAAAAAAAACGAATAAAATTTAATTTGGAATATTATACTGATTTTATTGTCACTACATTAATTGCTTTATGCATAGTACTTCATTTGAGTTTACCAAGATCCTGTAAAAAAATTTTTAACCGTGCTTTACCAGAATAAAACTGAAGCTTGGATGGGTTAAAAACCATGGAATGAATAAGGTAGGAGGTTGGGATATGAACTAAAGCATATCTGACTCTACATTCCATACTCTTAACAATTTGATTATTTTAAAATTCCTATAATGTCATAAATCGTATAACAAAATTATTTTCAGGCCTCAAATTCTGGCTCAGAAATTACAGTCACTATAAGATTTTCTATTATGTTGGTGAGATACACAGAAGTCAGAGACCCCTTTTTTGGGAATTAATTGGTAGTTCAATAAGAAAACTAAACGTTTTTAGAAATAAATAAAATTAAATAATGCTATAAGCAGCTGATCCAGAAATGATTTAAATATGCATATTAATCACACACAAATAAATGCATGAGTGCCAAGAGTTTGCTGGAAAGCTAGAAGTGTCTAAACTCAAATGATTGATAGGTAAATCAACAACAATAAAACAACACAAAGAAAAAAGGCAGCAGTATTTTTAAGACAGATATGATACAGAGGTGTCAAGAAATAAGCTTTCAATGTGAGAGACGTAGTATGCAAAGAAATTCCCTTTAGTCAACTTGATTTTTAGCTATATTTCAAGCCTATTTAGAAAATTGAAATTGAATCCACACTACCTTATCTTAAAACACAACCCTGTGGGTATATACTTCAACAAAACTTTCCTTTTAATCAATTCTATTTATTTTCATTTTCATTTTCTTTCCCTTTCTACATTCCAAGAGATATATTTCTTTGAACACTTTTTATATAATCTACAAATCAAGGGTAGTCTTATCTAACAGTCTCTAGCGTGACATACCTCTTATTTAAGGATTTAATCACATTTTGACACACTTTTAATAGGAAAATCTGGTTTACTTTTTCAGACTAATGAGAGATACCAGCGGTTCATGAGTTTTATGGTTTGTTTTTTTGTTTGTTTGTTTGTTTGTTTTTGGTGGTGGTTGTTGAATTTGAAAAGAGGAAAATAGAGGGGCAAAAGTAAGTGAATATGTCCAAAGCCTCTGAACAATAAAAATGCATTGGGGTAATTGTAAAAAGAAGAAATTTTGGAGGGATGATTGGTTTCTTACTAAAATGGTAAAGTATACATCTTTATACAATCAGCAATATATAGGCATCACAACATGAAAATACATGTGTCATATAATTCCTATCAAGAGAACCTGGGTAGGACCTAGACTATGTTGTTGCAATATCTTTGGAAATTGCATGTGGATGAGAATTACAGTTATTCAGGCTTTTGTCAGATTATTAAAGATAAGGGATGATGAGGGTCACTAAAATGAATATTCTTATCAAAAAAGAAAAATTACATTGGCTATTAAATGTGTTAAGAACAGGCTTTTTATCTACCAAAACACTATGGAAGATAGTCACTATGAAAGTATTATGGGTTTGATGATAAAGCTAGACTGATATAAGAACAATTTCTATATTTGAGGAAGAAACAAAAGATTTTTATAAAATATCACTGTTTAATTACAAAGATAAATTATGGTTATAGGATATGTTAATTTTTATTTTTATTAAGTTTAGTCACTTGAAAACAATTTATCGACTTTTGATCAATTGTTTCTCTGTTATCTGTGTTTGTAATTATTGTCAAGTGATGAAATTGATAAGCTTTAATTTTTTTATACTCTGTTTAATATGAAATATAAATATTTTGTAAGCATGTTTTATTTACGTTATTGAAAACATAAAGCAATTTTTAGAGAGATGCATATATACAAACAAATAGGTGATAATATTTTAAAAGCTGCCTGACATTTATTTTTATTCACTAGATTCTTATGTTATTAATTGGGGGATATCTTTATACCTTAAGTAAGACTAATTACTTAAGGCATATGCATTTAAAGTAATTTAATGCATCAGAAATATTATTTTTCTCTACTTAACAATATGGAAGTATTTAGATTTCCACTGAATAAAAAAATTTCTTGGGTGATACAGCCATACATTTTTATCCCTATGTCTGTGCACTTAAATGTGTGGCAAAATAACAGTGTTAGTATGATAAGTAGATATTTAGATGTTTTTAGTTTCTCTTTACTTCTTTGTATTTTCTAATTTTCTTATAAAATGCCATAAATCTCTATCAAAAACTTGTTTTAATTGGAAATCTAAACAAGGGTAAAATCAAAAAGTAGAAAAATAAAGGAAAGCACTTATATATTAAATGAAAGAGAATAGTTTAACATGGAAGCAGTGGAATATCCTGGAGAAGTGTTTGTTCTTCTTACACTCTGATAAGGAAGCAAATGCTGCTAGTTGCCTAGTCAATATATCCAATCATTTTTTTTCCCATCATACAAGTGTAATGACAATTTTTACAAGGTAGCAGTGTGTCCTGTTGAATGCTCTCATACTTGGATGTGACATAGTATTAGCAAATGAGATGTGTATTGTGCAGGTCTTGGACTGTTTTGCTCTTCAATCCAGAGATGCTGCCTCCATCTCTTCATCACTTCGTTTGTTTGTTGTTGTTGTTGTTTTGTTTTGTTTTGAGACAAGGTCTTGCTCTGTCACCAAGGCTGAAGTGCACTGGCCGGATCTCCACTCACTGCAGCCTTGACCTCCTGGGCTCAAGCAATCCTCCCACCTCAGCCTCCTAGGTAGCTGGGACTACAGGCACATGCCACTGTGCCCAGCTAATTTTTGTAGAGTTGGGGTTTCGCCATGTTGCCCAGGCTGGTCTCAAAATACTGGGCTCTTGGCCGGGCGCGGTGGCTCACGCCTGTAATCCTAACACTTTGGGAGGCCGAGGCGGGCGGTTCACAAAGTTAGGGGTTTTAGACCAGCCTGACCAACATGGTAAAACCCCGTCTCTAATAAAAATACAAAAATTCGCCAGGTGTGGTGCCACCCCCCTGTAATCCCAGCTACTCAGGAGGCTGACACAGGAGAATTGCTTGAACCCGGGAGGCAGAGTTTGCGGTGAGCTGAGATCCTGCCACTGCACTCCAGCCTGGGCGACAGAGCCAGAATCCGTCTGAAAAAAAAAAAAAAAAAAATCCTGGGATCAAACGATCCTCTTACCTTAACCTCCCAAAATGCTGGGATTACAGGCGTGAGCTACCACGCCTGGCTCTTCATCACTTCTTATTCTTGTTGCCTGGAATGTGAATGCAGCACCTAGAGGATTAGCAGCCATCTTGCAACAGTGAGGACAAGGGTCACATACAAAGTATAGAAAGCAGAAAGATAAAGGGGCTGTGGCTCTTGACAATATCCTTCAACAACTGAATCTTTCTCTAAACTTCTATTTATGTAGGGACATAAATATAAGTTGCCATTTTTTACAGTTTCAGTTAAGTTGGAGCCAAACATGTCTTAACTAGTAAATGCTAATGTAGGTCTTCCAACAGGAAGCCTGTGGTGCCTAAACATCAAGAGTTCCAGAAAATAAATAGCTCTTTCATTCAGTACTGCCCTCATTCCAGGCAAAATAGACCCTCTGAGTCCCATGGCAATACCCACATCTCTTGACATACGTCCTTAAAGCAAAAGTTGACTGTGTCTGAATCCCATAAATAGTTTCAGATTGTGCCAATGCCAGCTGCGAGAAGGACACTGCTTTGCAGATCAGAGTATTTGAACGGTGAAAACAAAGTCATTTAAGAATGAATATAAATCAGTTGACCTGTCAAATCTGGTGTCTCAACAGCATACATGAAATAGGTTTTTTTTTCTATTTTAAATATATTTTTCTCAGTGGTGCTGAGTATCCATTTTCTTGCTTCTCTTCATATTCTAAATCATGGCTCTACAGGTTCTCACAAATGTGAGTGTTATTCAAAGCAGTTGCACATAGCAACTGAAGTATATTTTTCAATATTAAACACTTTATATTTCTCTCAAATTTCAATATGTATAAATGGATGCAAAGTTTAAAGTATGATATCATTTCTAAATATTGGCAACCAAATAGATAGTAAATGTTAGAATTAAGAATATTTTTATTTTATAGAGACTTCTAACAATACTGATTAACTTTTTAAAAAGTAAAGAAAAATGTTCAGCTCTTTATTAAAAGGCCATTGATGGCAAGCTTATGATAATGCTGCTAACATGTTTGATAAAGCAAATAGCAGCCAATATTATGGCCAAAGATCCACGGCATTCTTTGTGCTACTTAGGGTGCACAGTCTGAGTTTTTACTAAAAGACATATCTTCAATTTTGCCAGAATTGATGACACTTAGGGAACAATTACAAATTTACAGTCAAATTTTCTAGACCTTTTCACATATAGGAATCTTAATAAAGCCTATATAAAATTTGAGATTACAACTA
Organism: Homo sapiens; assembly: GCF_000001405.40. NCBI lineage: Eukaryota > Metazoa > Chordata > Mammalia > Primates > Hominidae > Homo > Homo sapiens. Next base: position 124,924,513 of record NC_000004.12, read on the forward strand.
CCCTTGGACTTATGATTGAAATGACATCTAAATGTTATTAAAGGTGTTAAAATCAGTATAGACAAGATACAAGATGCATGAAAACAGGTAAAATAGATGTGCAGCTAAAGATGTCATTTTTTGTTAAAAAACGTAGTGAATTTGAAATATGCATGAACTGCATTTTTGAATATGAACTATTGCTTATAATAGTTTAGTAAAAGCTTACAGAAACTCAGAGATCTACATTTGGTAATCTCAGTTTTAAAGGGACTAATTGCTTTAAAAGTTTTAAATTAAATGTTTTTTTCCCCCTCTGTCAAAAATAGACTGCATGTGAAATATACAGCAAAAGCATCATTCCATTAAGATATAACAATAATAGAACACAAAAACTAAAATGTTTGCTTGAACATGAAGAGGGATATTTGCATACAAGTAAATTCCAAACTAATATTTAGAAATTATTTTGTAACAAATATAGTTCAAGATATAGTCCTGATTGAGTAGTATATTGCTTTTTAAAAATTTTCTATATGGCAAAATAAAATATTATACAACTTACATGTTAAAATGATAATTTATCATTTGGGATCTTCTTTGTATGATATGTATAAACCAAGGCTCATTCCAGAATCAAAGTATTGATTTAAGAATTGATATTTCCTATTGATGATGACTCAATGGAACAATGTCTTCTTTAAAATTTGAAAGTATAAAAAACAATCTAATTAATAAATGTAATAACTCAATAAATGTTTAATTTGGCACATCTGGCAATAAAATACAAATTATGTTAAAAAGCTTCTTTCTAATTAGACCATAACTTACGATTTTTTTTTTTTTTTTTTTGAAATCGACTCTCACTCTATTGCCCAGGCTAGAGTGCAGTGGTGCAATCTCAGTTAATTGCAACCTCTGTTTCCTGGGTTCAAGCGATTCTCCTGTCTCAGCCTCCCGAATAGCTGGGATTACAGGTGTCCAGCTCATTTTTGTATATTTAGTAGAGACAGGGTTTCACCATGTTGGCTAGGCTGGTCTTGAACTCCTGATTTTACTTATTTTACTTATCAAAATATTTCAGACCTGTCAACAAAACACAGGGACATGCACAATAATTATTTATTTCAAATTACTCAGTACTTTGTCCTCTTTCAGTCCCATAAATATACTTTGCACATCTCCACATGTGTTCATATAAAGTATATTTACATGTAGTGTACATGGGCTTGCATTTCTATTCTTGTCCTAGGCCCTGAAAATGTCATGGAACAGCCTGTCACCATTTCACGTAGTTGCTTAAAAATAAAGAGCAGACATGCCTGTACTCGTAGCACTTTGGGAGGCCGAGGTGGGCAGATCACTCGAGGTCAGGAGTTTGAGATTAGCTTAGCCAACATGGTGAAACCCTGTCTCTACTAAAAATACAAAAATTAGCTGGGTGCCTATAATCTCAGCTACTCAGGAGGCTGAGGCAGAAGAATCGCTTGAACCCCAGAGGCAGAGGTTGCAGTGAGCCAAGATCATGCCACTGCACTCCAGCCTGGGTGACAGAGCGATACTCTGTCTCAAAAAAAAAAAAAAAAAAAAAAAGAATAAAGAGCAGAGTTGATATCAGCATAATGTCAGTATGGAGGGAGATGATAGAAGGAAAATTAAAAATCAATAAAACTTACATTGGTTGAGGAGCTAGTATGTGCTAAGTTGCAGTCCACATTATCTAATTTTTATAAATGTCTGATATTGGTGGAATAGATCCAATTTAGAGATGAGAAAATTTAGATTAAGGAATGTTTTATAATTTTCCAAGTTAATTTTGCTAATTGTCTGGAATAGCCAGAATTCAGAGCAAGGACAGCGTAGGCAGGCTGTAGTCACACAGCCGTTTCTAAGCTTAGGTCACAAAATTAAATGCAACTTGTCACATTAGAGGACAGATATCAGTAGGCACAGAAAGTACAGATTATAGAAAATTGGTAGAAATGTAAAAATCAGTAGGAAAAAAGAAAAAGAATGTCTTGGGAGTTTTAAAAGTACTAAATTTCTAAATTCTTTTAGAATTAAAACATTTGCAAATTTCAAAACAAATCTGTAAACTCTCTCCACCTATGTAGGACTATGATAGATGAGTCCAGTGAGAAGTGATGGACATTTCAACAAATAGTGTTGGATATTTAGTTTTATTTCTACATTTACACAATAAATTGAAGATTCTACAATAAATTTAGGATGACAAAAATTTATATGGTAGACATTTAAAGACACAAAAATAAAGACCCTGAAAATTAATTTTAAGGTAGAAAACTTTTTCTAAATATTGAAATGGGAGAGTTCCCTTATTTTCCTCGCAAGACGTGTGACAGGGGTGTGGCCTGCCTGCTGGATCACCCCACAGCTCAAACCCCTAGTAGGAGCATGCAGATGGGCAGGTACAGAGGCTAGGGTGAGCGGTTTTGGGCTCTGGCCCCATGGCAGCATCTAGAGGTGGGCTACTGCCGAAGCCCAAACAGGCGTGTGTTACAAAGCTCTTTCAGATATGCCATCTGCAGACGGCTTGTGTGTTAATAAGTTGAATGGACCCTCTGCCTTATCAGAAAGGCAGAGGGCTAGTGTGACAGCCCTCTGTATGCCAAGCTCTTGCCCAGTGTCCCGAAAGAATCGGATCACACCCAGGCTTGAAGGATGAGTACAAGGTTTTATTGAGTGGTGGAGGTGGCTCTCAGTGAGATGCAGGGGAAGCCAGAAGTGGGGATGGAGTGGAAAGGTGGTCTTCCCCTGGAGTCGGGCCTCCCAGTGGCCAGACTCTTCTCCAACCACCCCGGCCAATCTCCCCTTGGTGTCCAAATGTCCCTCCTCTTCTCTCTTTCTCTGCCATGTCATTCCGCCGGCACTGTTCTGCTGGTCTTCATGTTCAGCCACTTGAGTGCGTGCCCGCTAAGGTCTCGAGTTTATTTGGGGGCAAGACTAGGGGGCATGGCGAGCCACAAGGCAACTTTTTTGAGTGCAAAAACAAATGTCTGTCCTCATTTAGGGCAGTGGGTCTTCGGGCTCGAGGATGGGGCCATTGCTCAGGGAACCACGCTCTTCTACCCAGTCATAAGGATAAAACAAAAATATTACAGTACTTTTCTTTTTTTTCAGTTGAACTGAGATGATGTTTGCAGCACTATGACAGGCCAGGATTCAGACTATTGATATTAAAAAAAAATCTTACAAATTGGCCAGTCGTGGTGGCTCACACTCCCATCACTTTGGGAGGCCGAGGCGGGCAGATCACGAGGTCAGGAATTTGACAGCAGACTGACCAACATGGTGAAACTCCGTCTCTACTAAAAATACAAAAACTAGCCCTGCGTGGTGGCGTGCGCCTGTAGTTCCAGCTACCCGGGGGGCTCAGGCAGGAGAATCACTTAAACCTGGGAGATGGAGGTTGCAGTGAGCCAAGATCGTGCTACTATACTCCAGCCTGGGCGACAGAGCTAGACTCAGTCTCAAAAAAAAAAAAATTAATATATACAGATAGCTCTCTCCACCACCATCTCCCTCCAAAAAATGAGCAAATGGCACCAATGGGAAATTCATACAAAATGAAATAAATTGCTACTGAACCACTGGGAAAGTAATTTGTTTTCTCTCTCTCTTGCTTTTTGCACTTTGACTTTTTCAGAATATTATTGCAAAGTTCCTATACAGGCGATATTAGCTCCCAATTGTTAGAATAGGTTTATATTTAGCTGCTTATTAAATCTTCATTTATCCATAGCATAGCAATTGCTTAAAGAAATTTATCTTGGAGAGCTGTTATAAAGCTCCAATGCAGGGATTATAACCAGGACTTTTTCTAATAATAAACCTAAAGGTAGGTGGATATTACCAACTTTATGATTACTGATCTAAATACTACATTGCATTAAATACATGATCATTGGCTGGATCTATTTTCATGTCCTCCAAACAAGAAGCGGGGCTGGTCATATGATTGCCATGCTGAACAGAGGCTTCATATCTGGCACTCAGGAGAAGACCTTAATGAGTTCATGAAGGGTCATGCACCATAATGTCCAAATCACTGATAAGGTTTAATATTTTCCCTCTGGGGTGGTAATTTGCATTTCAATAAGTAATAAAAGGATTGGGCTAATTAAGGAGAAACCAATCTATAAAGCTAGGACTTCAGGAAAGATTGAAACCAGTGGGTTAGGTCCTCAGGTGTACAGGAGGCCTTCTACAGCCTCCAAACTGGTTCATGGAAACATGTGCTTACCTGAGCCACACTAGTAAGTAGGTGGCAACATTGAAGGTTTCTTACACTGACCATTCTATAAGAATAGGAGAAGAGGCCATAGATGCCAATTTATTTTTCTATCATTTAGCTCTCCCTGGTTCTTTCTCCTCTGAATATTAATCCTACCCCCTATTTTACACTTACACATCTCCTATGGAGAGGGTAAAAGTCATGCCAAATAAATGCTTTATAAAAGTACTTAGTTCTTTGTTGATAAGCCCAAATTGATTATTTTTAGATGAGCAAGTTATGAGAAAAATTTTATATGTCCTAGCCAATGTCTGCTTGATAAAGAGAGGTGAGCAAAAAATAGTGACAGAGGTACAAATCGAACAAATTTTTTTAGCCTTTACAGTAATAACAATATATGAAAACAAAATATAGTTTGGCTTAGAGTATAAATCACATAATGTTTCCAAATAAAGTCTGTTCAATGAAGACCTTTAGTGATCTCGCTGAGGCACGTGGAGTAAACATGAGTGCTAGATATTTCTACTTTGCTTTCAGACACATTCCTGCTGATAACCCAAGTTTCAGCTGAAACTTGACCTCTGACAGAGCACTTAGGTGATCAGTATCAGTAGTTTAGAACTAAACTTACCCTTTAGTAAATCATCACTGCAGTTTCTAGACCATTTATTGTATTCTTCTGTGATTCTTCTGCTGCAAACATAGTATAGAATATTTTAACTGATATCTATTTGGTCAGAAATAATAAATAGTATGAGGCACTCTCTTAAACAGAATAAAATTTTTAGAATAAGTCAAGATATTGATTTGGTCTCCACTCTCCACATGACTTATAGAAATCTGAGTCTAGCAATTAAAGTGTAAGGATTGTTTATTAGACATTGGATCTAACTTTAGAATATAGTTTTTGTTTTATTTTGCCAGAGAGGACATATTTTCTGATTTTCATAGAAATATGAAAAAGAGAAAAATAGTTATATATATAATTCATAATTTATATGCATACATAAGTATATATAAACAGTAAAACATATTTATGGAAATACATATACACACATAAATCATAAGAGCATTCACATTAAAAGTTACTCATTCAGCCACATATATAATGTAATTTCTGCCCTTTGCATTTTGCTACTGATAAGGAATAAATATAGTTGGTATGATGTGGTGGAAAGTGTTTTATACTGAGAGTCAGAAGATCTCAATTCATATAGGCACAGAGAATCTTTTATGTTCTCATCTCTAAAAGTAGTTCAAATTGAACTGTGATTTCAGAGGCCCCTGGACTCTAATATACTATATAATCTGGCATTTGTATAGCTCTATATGTAAAGAAAAGTCAATCTAATTTAAACAGTTCCAACTGATCATTACACTTGTAGGGAATGAAATGCGTATTTTATCAGCATTGAAATAATATTTAGGGACTAAAAAATAATTATTAAATTAGAAGAAAATTTCTTCTGAAAACAGCCTGCACTCATGCAAAGTGATAAGACTTTATGATTAAACCTACAAAAAATACATGATAAATGTATAAATGTTTAATGGAAAGAGAAACTAGAAATCAAGCAGGCAATTGGGTTATAGAAATGGGCTTCTAAGGTTCACTTTTTGTCTTAATATTTTTTTCATTATACCATTTTAATTTTTATCCTGAATTTTAAAAAGGCAAAAGATCAGAGTACTTGGTAACTGTTATATAGCACATTTTGCTTGAAAATATTTGTGGATTGGTCATCCAAGGAACATCTTGAAAACCATTCAGTTTGGAAAGTAATTTTTTACTGTTACAAAAAATCTGGTTGTATCCTTTCATGTAGACACATAAGTATGTATTTTCTTTCCCAAGAATTTGAGTAGATTTGTAAGAGCTGATGATTGATACCCCATAGAGAACTCTATCATTTTGAGTGGACTCAGATTGCCCCAGACCCTCTGCCTGCCTAGGGAATAACATCCTAGAAATTTGTCTGAATTTGTAGAGACTGCTTGAACCTGGCTAAACCAGTGACTCCTCTTTCCCCTCAGTCTAGTCTCTGTGAATATTGTACAGGAAGAGATACATTTTGGAACAGTAAATGAGAATGCACTATGTTTAATTAGTTTATACGTCAACATACTTTTTTTTGGGAGAAAATGTTTTGTGAGCTCTTGAAAATGTTGACAGAGATGTTGCCAGTTACACATAAAATGAAAAAAATGCAAACTTCATAAGGCAGTTTTCTGGTGACTATAATAAGTTTTACACCATCTGTATGAAATTTATAATTTGAGACCTGAAGAATAGCAGGACTTAAGATGAAACCCCTAAGTTTTGCCCAGTATTTGCTCAGAATTATTAATTGGTCCAGGTTTGGCATCCCAGTAAAGTTTGCATGAAACTTAACTAGGGCTAGCTAAAAACTTGGCATTTGTCCTTGGAAAAAAATCATCTTGAGTTTACTTAAAGGTCTGTGAACCTCAGCAAACCTCTCAGTGACCCTTTCTACAGTGTGGTGGTTTCTAGTGATATCTGAAACCAGGAATGTTTTGTGAAGGGTTTAGGTTTCATTTGGAAAGCCATATCTAATCCTAGGTACTGCCTAATGAATTAAGAGGCTGGTCGTCCTTGAATCCTCATAAAGGCAGGGCTGTGCATAAAATCCATGAGTTTTACTACAGAGTAAAATTACACCTTTTAATTAGTCATTTAAAAATACCTTGTGTGTATTTCTAGTGTTTTTTCTGTGTGTAATCTATTTATTCTACTATCACTGTTATCTGAAGCAGGCATGCATTGAGTCTACCATTTGAAACGACAGCACAATTTGTTAAATACAAATAATTATTATAATAGGTAACTATTTTATACATATTATACATTCTAAAAATGTTTCATATATTTTGCAAGCAAAGACAATCCTAAGAATAACAAGCTTTGACCATGTAGGGCTAGGGAAAGTAACTACTTTCCAAATAACAACTAATTGGTTGGTCTTTGGGGTATTGAGTTGGGCACTGGTGCATTGAGCTTTCTCTTTCTCCCTTTCTCCCATACCATGACTCACACTGGCCCGGATATATATACAATTGCATATGGAATGATGCATTTTCCCTAAAATGGGGAAAATGAGACAGTGGGCATTAGCATTAGAAAACAAAAACAATTACAAAAGAAATTTAAAACATAAAACCTAGAGCTGATTTTCAAGGAAGGCATGCATTATTTTTAAAATGGGTAATGGATACAAATTGCAATAACACTCTTTATTTTCCTCTTTAAATTCTCTTTTGAGGCTTTTTTGGCCTGAATAAATTTTAAATTTTTTTTGTTCTAAGTATTTGTTGCCCATATTTTTTTTTTTTTTATGTATTTATATCTCAAATTCTTAGTTAAAACACCTGAGATGTTCTGACATCCTTTATGCTTCTAAATCTGTTTAGTCATTATTATTTAAGGGCCTGTTTCCATTTTAGGAATCAAGTTAAAACATTTTAGGAAACATAATAAAAAAATTCTTAAGAAAATATGTGTACATATATTTCTTTCAGTATTTTGAGCCATGTTCCAACCATAGAGAGAAAATGATATTTACATTAAGAACTGATTCTGATTACCAGGGATTTAAGGACAACCTCTGTTGGGGTCAAAAGAGAAAATGAAATCCTAGTGGGGTAAGAAATAGCCTCCAACTTTGATATATAGGCTCTAGTAGCTTCTTTTCTACTGATTGTTTTTGATCCTGCATAGCCACGCACAGTCAATTGCTTACTTTTTTTATTTGAAGCTTTTAACAATAAAAATAAATTTGTCAATTGATATCTTATGAGATATGCTCCATATTTACACAAAGTACTTTCTACTTGGATGACATTTCTGTGGACACACTTACCAGGGAAACATGTCCAATTTTAGTAGGTCCAATTAGACTTTCATTTTTGACTCATGAGACTTCATGTGCAAATAGATGTCAATATTACCAGTCACATAGGTATTCCTGACAGATATGACCCTGACTACAATTTGTATTACATATCTTTTTATTATCATAGGCAGCAGAAGGAAAATTTTCAAGGACAAGGACACATCTTTGTGCCCTTTTCAATTATAAGGCAGTTATTAACAAAGGTGAGCACATAATCAAGTAAAAGGAATGCAATGCGTGAGCTTTGGACCATGCAGTACCCCAATAGATAGATGCCTGGAGGTAGGTTATGCCATGTTTTTGCCAGTGATCTTATACTTCAACTGCCATTATGGTTACAGATCTTTCTAAACCACCTCTGAACTATGACTTATATATTTCAGGTCTTTTAATAGGCGGTTAGCTTTTGGGGGGCTTGTCACATAAGTTCCACATTTTCTTATAACATCTTAGTTGTATTCTATGTCTTAGTAAATCAGTGACTTATGATTTTACTTCTCACCGGTTTTGTTGTCAAGGCAAATGTCTTGTCCTTATACACAAAAGTCATCAGTCTGCCTCTGTCTGCCGTTGGTTTTTCATCCCCACTCCACTGCTACCTCCTCATAAAGACACTCACATGAATTACTAGTTTCATGCATTTTTATACTTTACATAATTCTCACAACATAGTATTTCTATACATCCTAGTCATTAATAGGTTGTATGAGGTCACTGTTTCTATCCCAAAGTTGCCTTTCTTTATTCTATTCATTCTTTATTCTCTTCAACATCTTGTTTATAAGCTGTCTGTTCATACCTGTCTACTTTTGTAGAGTGTGGTTAATTGATATAAATTATAATATCGAGCTACATTTTGCTAATAGACAAAGTTATTTCCCTCGAAATAATTTTATTGTAGGATGTTAAGTCATTTGCAGGAATGGAAAGTTTGTTTTCTGAAGAAAGCATAAGAAGATGATGAAATATGATGAGATATTTTATGGAAAACAGACAAGCTCTTTTAACTTGTTTTTGATGAAAATGGTAACTTATCTCAACAAAGAGTAGATTAAGCTTGTCAAAATGTCAAAGTCAATCACGTTATCATTACCTCTTCAGTCACTATCAGAAGTGATTTCATTTCAGGAAAAAAAAATGAAAAAGCATTCTTTGGCCAATATGCTGTCATTAAACTATCCAAAGAATTTTTTTCTTTTTTCATTATTTCTTGCAAGAAAATTTACTTCTCCTTAATACAAGTTGTCATCTTTCTTCCTTTGACTATATAGAATCAGAAACACGGTTGATAAAGGAAATCAAGATCACTGTAATTATAAGATCTACAGATAGATTTTCTTAAGGCAGAATGTTTATGTATAATTCCAGGACAGCGCTAACATGAGATGTTGCACAAAGAAGCTTGACTTTGGGATAGTTTGCCTAGTGGGTTCTATGTATTTATGGTTAATTTTGAAGTGTTACTTTTCTGCATTTCCTAGAACCTGGAAATGAGTAACTTAGGAAGTCTTTTCTGTTTCTATTCAGTTTGTTTCCTCTTGTTCCAGAGGATTTTGTGATATAAGAGCAGGTGAAGTATATAACTTACTAAGCACATCTAGGTGGAAAGCAGAGTCTAGGAAGCTTGTCATACACTTTATCACTTAATTCACACAGCAGTCTCTTGAGATAGGCACTGTTATTTTTCTCATTCCCCTTTTAGAGATAAAGAAACTGATATACCCAGAGTTTAAGTAGCTTGCTTATGGAGATACAATTCGTAAGTTTCAGAACAAGAATTGAAATTTAAGTCTTTAGGATTTCACACAAATGTAGCACCAAGGAGCATGGGCTCTGGAGCTGTACTCTTGGATTAAAAATCAAGGATATCAAAACATCATGTTACCCATTTGAAATATGTACAATTAAAATAAAAACATCCAGCCCTTTAAGATTTGATTATTGTGTCACTTTGGGTAAATTACTTAAATTTTCTGTGTATCAGCATCCTCAAATGGAAATAATAATTATTTAACACATGCAAAGGATTTAGGACTTAACACATGGGAAATGTTTAATAAATATTAATTGCTAAAATCTCTTCAAAGCTTTTTGTTATGTATTCAATATGCTGATCATATAAATTATATATATAAGTACAAATTCAGACTTTTATATTTGAAATATTTCAACACTGACTTTATTATATTCTAGACGTAATACATGTCTTACCTTTTTATGCTGAATAAGAGAATGCTATGCTTTCTTTGAAAACATAAAATGTCACTTTTCCATACAGGATGCAAATGCTTTATTTCAAAAGGCCAAATCTAAAGGTGCTGTCTTACTTGATTCATTTGGGCCTATTTTAATGAGGACTGCTTTGCTATACAAACTAAATTGCTTTAAGGAGGATCTTTTTCTGGAAGCATATTATCATCTTGGCATTTTATGTCTGTTCAAGAGGGCCTAATTTATGCTCACACAGCAGGGTGCTTCCTTCACTGCAATTGGGCTTCTTTTAGCTTCTTTTCTTCAGTATAGAATAGGACTTTGGTAGGAAGAAGGAGAAAAGCAAGACCAGACAATGTCATGGCACAGATAGTATCATGACAAAGGATAAGCAGGTCTACAGGAATGTGGGCATGCATGCAAGTTCAAGAGAATCTGATCATATAACTCAAAGATAGGTTGCTGATGGTTACTCTCCCAAAGCAATCCAACTTACTTGAACAGTTAAGACTATGGGATCTCAATAACCACGAGTAATCAATATTGTATGGAATTTGGTAGAATTCAGAATCTCCATCCAAGTCTTTGCTTCAAAACATTCTCAGAAATAGCAGCTATCCTGTATAGCTGAGCAAAAAGAGTTTGTGAGCAGATAGGAGATTTATCTGAGGTTCTGCACCTTATTAGTTTTAGTGGTAAAATCATGGATTCTAGAACTAAAATCTTTTCATTATAAATCCCCCCTCTGATAGATATTACAATGCTTATAATCACTACCCAATAACCCAGTGTGTATGAGTGATTAGCATTCTGTGATGAAGAACATTCAGGGAAGATTCACAGGGTCACCAGTCCATGGGCTGGCACTGAGGATAAACAGACCATTATAAAGGACAGAGTTCATAGAAGTAATTTGCCTTTTTGTACTATAAGAGCTATTTGCATTAGGAAGATCAAAGTTAAAATACATTAGCAGCAATTTGAAAGACAGAATGAACACGTAAGAAAACAGTATGGAGACATATATGGCTAGAGTTGGAATGTACCTTGATAAGTGCTTAGAGAAATTAAGGCGGAAGAAGTAGGTGGCTTTCTTTGCTAACTTCTTGTGCCTCCTGTCTTCTGGTTGCTACTGCTGTTTCCTACAGGGGGACATAGAGAAACACTGGTAGAATGGATAAGCCATGACTTAACTATGTCATTTGACAAGTAGTATACATGTCCTTAAAAATTAACAAGATTTATTTTCTTGTGCACTTAAGTCCAGATGCAATAGGGTGAAAGTATGTGTAAAGTTTGCCAACCACTGAAAGCAAAATAAACTACCAAACAACCCATGTAACTCAGGAGCACAGCAAGAAAAGATCCAAGGGAGTTTAGGAAAGTGAATGAAAAGGAATATAATGATTTATCAAATATGTTATGACCCAACATAGTTAATGGGAATAATAACACATTTTCATATAATGCCTCCTCTGAGCTCAAGACTTGGTGGCAGATGGAATACTTCCATTGTTCCCTTATCTCTTTTCTGTCCTCTCTCTAACTTACAAAATAAAAGCATTTATGAACAAGGAAAAAACCTGTAGGGAAAATGTCCACTCATACAGCCAGATAGCCACAGTTGCTGCTAACCATGCACGTTTCACAGCTTGGTGCTTGGCTCTGCAGCTGCCAAGTATTATCTCAAGAGTAACTATAAACACTGTTGGCCCGAGTGGTGTAAGGGATCCAGAAGGCTGACAGAGTCCATGAACTGATTGCCAGCAAGGGATGGGGACATGCCAAATTGTGATTGAATTACACCCGTGTGACACTTCCTACTGTAATCACACCCTCCTTTCACAGAGGCCAGGCTGAGACTAGAAAAGCAACTACTGTGAGTCAATGTCATTAGAGATGGATGGATTTGGTGCCGACCCCAGCTCAGCAGTTGTTGTGAGAGCTGGGTCAGGGATATGTGTGCTCCAAGAGGGACTTGCCTGAAAGGGCTAAGTGAACAGATGGAAGAAAGACAAATGTTTTTACAGAAATGTGCCCCGTGCTAAATAATGAGTTGATTTTAATGAGCTATAGCAGGAATCAAATGCTTTTAAAAATAAGGGTTTTGGAAAGTCTCACTGGACAGGGCACACAGAAAGCAATACAGGGAGGGGATGGCTTGGATTTTTTTTTTTTTAAACTTGACCAATATATGAATGGAAGATCTTATGTTCAAGATGTTTCCATGTAATCATCTTTCAAGTATTTTTAGTATATGTACTCTCAAAGCTTCATTCCCTTTTCCTCTAATTTCCTCCTTCAATTTAGTTCAGTTGTAGTTTTCTAATACTGGGCCTGATGTCATTAAACCAGAGTACTCCCTGAGCTATCAAGTGTGTACCCAGCAGTGTGCATCGCAGTAGTATACAAGGACTAACATTGAATTATATTCAACTTTAGCATCAACCATGAATTAACTCTTGCTTTCAAAAGGTAGGTTGGTTATGTCAGGAAGTGAAAGTACAAAAAGCAAAGAAATAGAATCTTTCAATTACAGAAGAAGTTGCTCTTGCATTGGTCTTGCTTCTTAGCAAAATTCTGTGTTTCTCATTTTAAAACTCTTTTTTTCACCTTTATTTCCTTGTTACTTTCTGTTGTTTCTTTTTGTAATGCTATTGTAGATACATACAAATACAACTACCAGCATTTTGCTAGGAAGATAGACAACCAGCTTGTGCTAGGAAAAAGGTGTCTACAGAAATGAATAGTTGCATATTTAATTGAAAGACATCTTAATAATTACACTAACAATGACAGAAAATAAACTACAAACAAAGGCATTTAAAAAAAAGAGGCAAATATTCAAACAGTGAATGTGAGAAATGGTCAGTGGGAGGTCGAAAGGCAGCAGCATAGTCTAAAGGTAAAAAAAATCCAGCTTGGACCCAAATGTATGTTAGTTACGGTAGATAGCTAGTCACACATGAACAGGGCAGGAGACCCTCCACCCCCCAACTAGGAATGTCAGGTGACCACTGGGTGATGGTTAGGAGGTTGTTAACTGTCTCTCTAAAAAAATAATTGGTAGTAGCTGGCTCCAGGGAAAGGCAGGCTCCCAATATATATGAAACACCTGAAACTAATGATCAGTAGCTTCCTGATAAGATCTCAGGAGTTGGGCAAGTGGTCTCACACATGCGCATTAACAGGCAAAGTGGCAGAGTTTAACTGGTGCCTGACCTCCTAGGGACATTTGGCCGGTAAAGGAAGAACTTCTCAAGTGAGTATGCATACAACTCCAGTAAATACACTGCGCATGCTCCCCTCCCAAGTGCTGGCAGGCCACTGTGCGTGAGGACAGCCCACCCCCAGGGTAGAATCAGGAGAGAAGGAACACAAGAGACCCCGGAAGTATACCAGCCTATAAAACCTCAAGTCAAAAGGTCAAACCACACACTTGATCTCTCAAGTTGCCCACTTGGCCCTCATTCAAGTGTACTCTTCTTTCTTTTTATTCCTGCTCTAAAGCCTTTTAATCAACTTTTACTCCTGCTCTAAAACTTGCCTTAGTCTCTTCTGCCTTATGGCCCTCAGTCGAATTCTTTTTTCTGAGGAGGCAAGAATTCAGGTTGTTGCAGACCCATATGGATTTGCTGCTAGTAACAATTATGGGGCATACATTTGGAGGTTTTCTGTTTATTTATTTATGTTCATTAGGTAACATATTTATGATGTTTGTGTGAAGCTTAATCAAATTCCAAGTTAAATGACCTTTTATTCTATTACCATTTTATGAGAGATTTGAATTTGTAACCTCTCATTCATTGGTCCCAGTAAGAATTCTGATAAACCCAGTGGGATAAATCCATATTTTTCAGAGTATGGTTTACAGACTAGCTGTCCGTCACAGGGCAAGTACAGAAATTGAGAGTATGTGGTTAGAAACATTTAGAGCAATTTGAGTCATTTTATGTCTGCTGAATCAGATGACAAATAATTTGGGCTTATGTTTAGTGTGTCTAATTTTTCAGAAGTTCATTTTTATAATATTTACAATATTATCAATCCATGAAGAATAGGGAATTGTTAAAATGTTCTCTACCATAGTCCCTTGCATAATACTAACTTAATAAGACTTTATTCTGACTGTGCGTTCCACAATTATTTGTGCATGTATGCATGCTTCAAAGGCCAGTGTTTACAGAAGAAAACCAAAATGAAATTTCTCAAGTCATCCCTTAGGAGAGGCTTTAAAACACACAATATCTATTTCCCAAATCTGACTGCTAAGAAAGCTCAACTGTGTTGGGGGAAAATATTAAACAAGAGGGTCTAAGAGAGTGGTCAATACTTAATGATACATACAACTACCTATGTGGAAACCTTCATCTTATGACTTGTATGCACCAGGGAAGAACACTTTATGTCATGGAGCAGAGTGGAGCTTCCTTTTATACCATTAGCTGGGCATGGTGGCGCATGCCTGTAATCCCAGCTACTCTGGAGGCTGAGGCAGGAAAATCGCTTGAACCCAGCAGGCAGAGGCTGCAGTGAGCCGAGAAAGTGCCATTGCAGTTCAGCCTGGGCAACAAGAGGAAAACCCTGTCTCAAAAAAAAAAAAATAGATATTGTTAATACACAGTGGATACTCTTGTTTTCTGGTAAAAATTGGCTTCTGTTTTAGCAATTCCATAAAAATCTTTTAGTATTGTCACTTTCTTCCCTCTTCAATTTTTTTTCTTCCTCTTTTCTGTACTTTCCTTGTCATTTCCTTCCTTTTCTGTATTTGTGCTGAGTTGTTGGGAGTTGAAGAATTAGGGACTTAAATTTTTGTTATGTACTAGAAATAGATTAGGAATAGATTACCACTTGCTAAAGATGTCATAGGTGATACATAGTTTTACATTTGTAGGTTTACAACTATGGATTAATATGTTTTAATATTTTCCAATTCACTGAAAACCAAACCTAACTCTTATGTGGAAACAGTGTCAGTCCTTTGGAAATCCTCTGGAGGAGTATTTGTATATGCCTACAATAATGTTATGAAAAGAAACTTAATAGAATGTAACAAGATAAGGTGAGAAAATTAGTTTTTTAAATAAGAGCCACTTAATTTCAAGTTAATTAAAGGGCATACAGGAACCTTATCTATTTTGGCATATAGATTTGTAAATGTGAGGTCTTGGTTCTTCTGTTTTGTCCAGACTGAGTATGTTGACCTTTGCAGGCACACTTTTAATTTCTGGTCAAACAAGTTTTTCTGTTTATGTTGAAATTACCTCCAGCAGTTGTTCTTAGGCCAGGCTAATTATCAGAATCACCTGGGGAGTTACCATATAAAAATCTCCGGAGGTAAGAGCTGGGAATTTTTAAACTCCATAATCCCTAAAATCCTACACAGGTGATTTTGATGAATAGTCAAGTTTGGAAGCATTTGTCTGGAGGCAAAAGTCCCCAAAGAGATAAAAATGAATTTAACATTTTTATAAGCATCCTAGTACAAAAGAGGAAGTTCCATTGTTACTGGAAGTTCTACAGTATCTTCTTAAAACATTGGGTAGGTATTCTGAATGTGGACCCTTCAGTTATAATCTCCTTAAGGATGAGGACACAATTTCCTTCCATTGTATTCTTCACATGGTTATTACATTCCACTGAGATGAGACATTCATTTAACTCTGCTGAGCAATTTGACATTCCCAAGAGAAAACGTGGCTAAAAAAGAAATAGAACATTCACTAACTCATGTGCTTTACTTGGAAGACATCCACCTCCAGAGAAAAATGATCAAACTCACACAAGTAGTATTTCCAAGTGCTGATACACAACTGTCATTATTTAAAAGGCAGACTCACTGCTGCTGAATTCCACGTGGACAATCGTAGCTAATTGAGGCAGTTATTTTAAGAATATTTCATAATTTCTAAAGCAGCCATAATTTTATTTAATGTTTTGTTTGACAAATATAGCTTTACAGGCTCTATTGTTCCAATTAAAACAATATTAGACTAAACAATTAAAATGTTTTCATTATAAATTTTTATCATAAATGCTTATAATGACAATGATTACAGTGCTGAGTTTTTTTATATTGAGTAATTAACAATAGTGTTCCATCATTTAAGAAAACCTTATTTCAACATATTAGGCCCAACTTAAGGGCATCGATAAAGATGAAATAAATTGTATTGCCATTAAAAACACTGAAAAATGCCAGATAGTCATTTAGTTATATTTTACAACTTTCTTCTTTTTATATCTTTCTAGAATTATACTGTTATAGTCACTTTGATCTGTTGTTCCTGTTCCTAACTTATCAGATTAATCAATTCTCAAAGATTTGTAGAATGATAAATCAGATCACACCCTGCTCCAAACCAGTCTTTGGGCTATTTTAGCATTTATGCATCTAAATGTTAACCCCGTTACTTAGTTTAAGTGACACATCCATATTCCCTACGAACAGCTTATTTAAAATACCTGACTGATTATACCAAAGATTTCCCAACTCATAATTTTGCCTTGAGTGTAATAGTTTCTTTTTTTCTTATTGTGCATTTTAGGTGTTTGTTCCAGGCAATACATTATCCTACCTAATCTCCATGTTTAGATCTTTTTTTCTCATGCCTTGAAATTACCTGCCTCATGACTCATCATGTTAACTGAGTAATCAACTTCCTCGGTGTAATGTAGTCTTTGGACAAGAGTTGAAGGGCTATGACATCCAATTAATATATGCATTTTTTTTTAGTATTTTCTTATGAGAGCAATATAAGCACTTATTAAAATGTTACAGATGAGTTTATAATGGAAACCAGGAATTCCCTTTCTCAATTCTCACTGTCGTCCTGATCCTCAGAGCGACTGTTTTGAATATATTTTGTTTTTCTTATAGTTACCTTCGTATCTCCCAAATATACTTTTATTACTATGTCTTTATGATATTTAGAAATATTTACTGATTTTTATCTTTTAAAGGTGAGGATTCAGTTTACTTATCTAACCTATCCTCTTCCCTAACACTTTTTCTTATTTATTATAATAATTACTTTATTAAATACTATAATAAAGTAATAAATATTTAATACTTTATAGCTCTTTTACTGGTATTTTTCTAGGTTTAAGAAATTATTTAAAACTTTATTTCATGTTCCATTATAAATGACTATCCTTAATGTATAAAATAAAGATATTAGCATCTTTATCTTTTTTGATGTCTTTCCTTCCCGTCTTCTCTTTTCTACCTTCCATTCAAGTTACACTGCATTATACATTGTTAGGGTGATAACATTTTATTCAGTTCTATAATCCAAGGATAATTTTATGTGCTTTATATATAGAATCACTTTAAAAGTTGAAAATCAATAAACTAAACTTTTCCATTTATTTTTATTTATTTACATTATCTTGACCATGTAAATTTAGTTCACTATATAGGTAAAGTAGTGAGCTATGATTATATTTCTTTCTTAGGAGTTTTAATTTGTCAATTTTGGTATCACACAAGGGTGAATATTTCTACAATTATGTTCAAATGTAATGACATACAATTGTTCAAAGTCATTTTTAATTTTGTCATATTTAATTTAATCAAAAGTCATATTTGATTATGGATTTTTGTTTAATTTTTGACATCTCCCTAGAGTATCTATTGCCTTTGTGTTTTTCTCGTTAGGATAAAAGACACATATCCTTTCTATTCTATCCCTAATATGATTCAAGTTTTTACTCATTTTATTTATTTCTTGAAAGGTATAAGGTACTTATTTTTG
Organism: Homo sapiens; assembly: GCF_000001405.40. Classification (NCBI taxonomy): domain Eukaryota; kingdom Metazoa; phylum Chordata; class Mammalia; order Primates; family Hominidae; genus Homo; species Homo sapiens. The sequence continues at coordinate 124,942,626 of NC_000004.12, forward strand.
CAGACATGCTTCTTGGTAACCATGACCTTCCATTTTACTTTGGACTATTGTTTTTATGCCTATATTGAAAAAAATTAGGGTCATTTTTAATATTTCAGAGTTTTTTGGTGGTTCTGTGGTAGAATTGCACTTCTCCAATTTGAAATTGTGCATGACAAATATGACTTTCTTTGAGTAATAATATATGAGCAGAGGTCTTACAAGCCAGTGGGAAAGGTGCCATAATCTTTCCCCCTGCCACGTAGGTATGGATGGAAACTTTACATTCTAGATCCCAGAGTGACAAGACATAAACCAGGGTTACAGTCAATTATTTAAGAGAGATTCATGTATTGAGTACATATAGTAGTCATCCCTTATCTGTAGGAGATGCATTTGAAGACCCCTAGTGGATTCCTGAAACTGGGGATAGTACCAAAGCCTACATATACTACGCACAATTTTTTTTTCCTTCTTCACAATTTCGTGGAGATTCGTTCTTATTGTAGATCTTAGCAACCTGAGCATATGATTTTTTTTTTTATTAGAGAACTTTTACCCTTTCACTTAAAGGAAGCACTTTATTATTTCTCTTTGGCATATCTGAATTATCAACATCATTACTCTTGAACATTAGGTCCATTATTAAGTAAAATAAAGGGTTACTTCAGTACAAGCAATGCTATACCTTGACAGTTGATCTGATAACCTAGAGGGCTATTAAGTGACTAACGGGTGGTTAGTGCGTATACAGCATGGATACACCGGACGAGAGATGATTCACGTCCTGGGTGGACTGTCTTAAGATTTCATCACACTACTCAAAGGGGTGTGCAACGTAAAAGTTATGATTTTTAAATTTCTGGTATTTTCCATTTAATATTTTTAGACCATTGTTGCCTGCAAGTAACTGAAACCACGAAAAGTGAAACCGTGGATAAGGGGGGGCTATTGCGCTACATGCCAAAAGTTATTTATATGGAGGGGATATAGGAGAGATCCGAATAGTAAATTTCTTGATGACATGATGTTAGGTACTAGTTAAGGTGGAAGAAAGAGAAACTAAATACATAGGTATGTAGTATGCCAGTGGGCAACATGACACAGAAGAATAAAATAGGCTAAGTGGTCAGAATGAGAGTGAGCCATGGTTCTTCCACAGCACGGTTAGAGAAGGCATTCTAAGATGGTAACACTTGAGCAGAGATAAGGATATGAGGGAGAAGGTTATTTAATATTTGGAAAAATAGTTATTTAATATTTGAAAAAAGATGGAATTCCAGTTGCAATGGCTCTCAGTCAGGAGCGTGCTTGGCTTGGAGCAGCAGGGGAGGTCGGTGTGGCTAGGTCAGGAAAGCACTGCTGGGCTGGTCTGAGTGGCCCAGTAGAAGAGTAGTCAAAGACCAGATCGTAAAGAGACTTATGGGCCATGATAAGGTTTTGGCTTTTATTCTGTGAGAGCTGGGAAGCTACAGGAGAATTTTAAATAGAAAATGGCGTGATCTGACTCGCACTTTCGAAGACTCACTCCTCCTGCTGATTGAAGAATAGACCACAGGAAAGGGAGGCATGAAAATCTAAGGTCAAGGTTAAGTTTCCCCAGGACTTCACAGCCTTACTCAAATGCACTCGAGTATTCTTTTTGGCTGATACCGTTGGCATTTATTTTCATTCTTTTATTGGGCAGATTTTTTTGTTATGCATAAGTTTTTAGACTATTCTCACTTTTCTGCTCTGAAGTGTCATAGTGATGTGTTTTGGATCATGAGGCATTTGTGTTTAAAATTTATCTTGCTCAGCAGCTTGTGGATATTTTTAAAGGCTTGCGTCTCCAGCTCTGGAAATTATTTTCTATTATTTCTTTAAAAATATGTTTTTCTCTCATGTTCCTCTATTCTTTCCTTCTAGGATTTTATTATATATAACTTTCTATTTAACTTTGTCTTTTGTATTAAAAAAATTTATTATTATAGAGTTTAGAAAAGTTGTTTGTTTTCTCTGGCTCTGTTAAAGCAGGAAGACCAAAGGTAGAATAAAAAGACCATATGTTTCAAGAAATAGCTGGAGTATCTTTAATGTTTTTGTGTGAAATTGAATAATATTTTAATGTCTTTGTTGTATATGATTTTCATAAACCTTCACCAGTTCACTCCTTTCTGATTCTGAATTTATAATTTTCTTTCTCCTTCATTTTAAATTATTTCACTAGGATCTCAGAAAATAAGAAATAAGTTTGTTCTATAAACCTAACTCATTTCAATGATGTCACTATATTTAAGGGAGAAGAAAACGGGGGTTTGTTCAGTAATTTTAGACTACTTGGTTAATATTACAAGTTTTTTTTTTTTTTCACAAAGCCACCCCTGAATTTTGCCTCTGTATTTCCCAACATTGAATCTATCAGTTTGTATAGTATAATCATTTCTTCCAATAGCTCTTTTCAGATGCCACCTGAAAATCATTTGATGGAAATAAACTGCAGAATTTTATAAGAGAGTTCTCTCTCAGATTTTGAACCATGGCTTGACGTTGTGGCTTTAAATATCATCTACAGAGATAATCATTTACCTACTGCATAAAAAAATAGGAGTAACTGAAACATTAAGTTCATACATTTTGAATAGTGTATAGGATTTTAAAGAGAGTAGACACAGAGACAATGTAAATTTAGGATACCTTTTTAAAAAAGTAAATTAAGCTTATACAGGTAGATACATATTGCTATATGCATACAATAGAGATATAGTTAGGTCATCTATGATGATGATAATCTTTGGATATGCACCATTCTATAAACTGTTGTCTATAAATCTATGGAGACTTGATTCTGGAGAAAATAGAGATGAATTTGCAAAGTATTCACTGCTTGTAAGAGAACCCATGTCATAAGTTTGTGAACTATCAGTATAGCACTCATCTGCTACAGAGAACTGGGTGAATGACATGAGAATTTACTGTTATAACCTGAAGAATAATATCAGCAACAGGTGCTATAGACTTCTGGAACATAAAAGTGAAACCAGCTCTGTCAGCACTTACGAAAGCAAGGCAGTGTTCAATCTCTAAATACCCAGTTGAGGTTTAGTTCAAGTCATAAGAATATTGAAAGAATGACATTAACTCTTAGTACAAGAGGTCCTCTTTGATTCTATAGGGAGTCTATTAAATGTTTCCCTTTTTCCCAAGCAAAAACTTTGTAAAATAATACTATAGGTTGAACATCCCTAAACTGAAAATCCAAAATTCAAAATGCTCCAAAATTTAAACATTTTTGTGTGGCAACTTGATGTCACAAGTGGAAAATTCTACAGCTAAGTACATAATGCAAACTTTGTTTCTTACATATTATTAAAAGGTGTATATGAAATATAAATTAATTTTGTGTTGAGACTTGGGTCTCATCCCCAAGATATTTTATTAAGTATATGCCAATGTTCTAAAATCTGAAATCTGAATTCTTAAACACTTCTGGTCACAAGCATTTCAGACAAGGAATACTCAACCTGTAGTAGACATTTATGTATGCTAAAAAATAACTCTACCTGCTTGCATAAAATAAAAGTGCCTTAGTAATGATACTAATATATTTTAAGAAATAATTTAAGAGATTTTTCTGGCCGGGCGCGGTGGCTCACGCCTGTAATCCCAGCACTTTGGGAGGCCGAGGCGGGCGGATCACGAGGTCAGGAGATCGAGACCATCCCGGCTAAAACGGTGAAACCCCGTCTCTACTAAAAATACAAAAAATTAGCCGGGCGTAGTGGCGGGCGCCTGTAGTCCCAGCTACTTGGGAGGCTGAGGCAGGAGAATGGCGTGAACCCGGGAGGCGGAGCTTGCAGTGAGCCGAGATCGCGCCACTGCACTCCAGCCTGGGCGACAGAGCGAGACTCCGTCTCAAAAAAAAAAAAAAAAAAAAAAAAAAAAAAAAAAAAAGAGATTTTTCAAGCGATGATAATATAAATGGATACAACTCTGGATGTCCTTTTTAATTCCCATAAAATTACATAATTTAGACTTCCCATAAGTACATAATTTAAGATATTGATCCATTTTCTACTCCACTCCTCACACCAGCTATTTCCCACTGCTAAACAGAGGATTTTCAAGGGATTGACATTTTGTTTCATAGACAGCCACTTAGAGTACCCCACATTGGTGCTCCTTTATTTATTCCTTGTTTCATAACATCATCATCACATCATAGCATATGTGTATGTGCATGTCCATGTTGTTTCACACTCTCAGGTTATCTCTGCTGAAATTGAAACTAGGATAATGGTCACACATTGCCTTTAGGAATCTTGGCAGCAAACTAAGGAAGTGAACCCGTCTGGGTGGCATGATCTCTGCTCACTGCAACTTCTGCCTCTTGGACTCAGGCGATCCCACATCAGCCCCCCAATAGCTGGGACTACAGGCACACCACCACACCTAAGTTTTTGGATTTTTTTGTAGAGACAGGGTTTTGCTGTATTGTCCAGGCTGGTCTCAAACTCCTGAGCTCAAGAGATCTGCCCACCTTGGCCTCCCAAAGTACTGGGATTACAGACATGAGCCACCTCACCCTGCTATTTGATATCAACAGTGCTATATAGATAAATTTTGGTTAACAGTTTTCATTATATCCTATTCCTACTTTTAATGTTTATTTGTCACAACTTTTAGGCCTTTTTTTTGTAAATATTGTATTTCTAGATTTAAAAAACTCAATTTGTGTTTCTGTCTTCTAATTGCCATGATTATTCCATTCACATTTACTGGGATTACTGATAGGTTTGGACTTAATTTTATGTTTTGTGGTTTTTTACATACCATGATTTTTCTTAGCTTAGTTACTTTTTTCCCCTCCTACTAATCTCTACTTTTTCTTTACTCCCTTTATTTTCTCCATGCATTTGATTTCTGTTTCTTACTGGTTTTCTTTAACTTGTTAGCATTTGAATATAGCATAACATCATAGTATGAGTAAAGTCAGTATCTCTATTCTCTTTCTTGAGCAATTTAAAAACCTCATAATTCTTTAGGTATCAATTGTTTCACTGCTATGTTTTAAGCAGTTTCTTTTATTAAGTACATACTTAATGAATGATTACTGTGTGTCTGGCACTGTTTTAAATGTTGGTAACACATCTATGAAAGTTAACAGGAAAATCTACATACTTGTAGATACTAAATTCTAGTGGGATGAGGCTTTTTGTTTATTGTTTTAGTTCTACTTTTTTTTTTAATGTCCCAAGTAATCATTAATCTCAGGATTGATTTACGTTTACCAGCCTATTGCCAATTTCTTTGCTCAGCAAGAGTCTTACCTGACACTTCTTTCTTATGACTTTAATTACCTTCTTGCAGATTTAGAGTATCAATGTTCTTTCAGTGAGAGCCTAGGAGTAATTGATTCTCTCAGAATCGATTTTGAAATGTTTTGTTTTCCTTGCCTTCTTGTATGAAAGTTGAGCTGAGTTTAGACTTCTAGGTAGAGAAATTTGCACAGTCTTCTGGCATTTCCTGTTTCGATGAGAAGCCTACTCTCATTTGTCATTCTTGGGAGGTAATATTTATTTTCTCTCTGGTAAATTTTGAGTTTTCTTTTTTGTTTCATTTTCTGCAACTTTGCTTTTTTTCCCTGGGTGGTATATTAGTGTTTAGTAATCTCATTTGTGATCCTTTTTACTCAAATCTTTCTTCATTTATGAAAAATTCTCAGCTAAGTTTTTGTATGTTGTCTCTTTCTGATGATTTCTGTTAACTCTTCATATTGTATTTTAGATTTCTCCTTTTATCATTAATATCCATTGATTTATATTTTATATTTTCATCTTTATATCTCTCGTTATATTTTGTGAGGTTTTTTCCTCCTGTGTCACCCAATTCACATATCCTCCCTTCAAATATGTCTAGTTCACTCTTTAACATGAGTTTTTAGAATTTATTATTTTAATGTTTTTTTTTAAATTTCCTAAATTAATACTTGGTTCTGTTTTAAGTCTGATATTTTCGTTTTTCAAAATAGTCTGCTGGTGTCTTATGTTCTTATTTCTTTTTTTTCATCTCTTTTTACTTATAGTGCCCTTCATTCAGATTTTTGTATAATCCCCAATTCTCCAATTTGTTGTGTGTACTGATTTCTTGATTTTTTTTAACCTATGTGGTTATAATTTCTTGACTGTTACTTAAATATAAATTCTGTGTTTTCAACCCAGGGTGGTACTAGTGCTCCTTAAAAAGATGGTTTTGAGTTTGATTCTTTTCCAGATCAACTTTTAATTAATATCTCACCAAAATATTCCTACCTGACATGGGCAGTACTCCAAACCCTGGTGGCTTAAAATAAGAGCAACCATTTATGTATCTTACAATTCTTTGGGTTGGCAGTTTCAGCAGGGCTTAGTTGTGTCATTTTTCTGCTTGTCTCAGCTGGGCTCACTTCTGTGTCTGTGGTCAGAACCCAGGTCAACTGGAGGCTGCTTGTTCCACAGAGTAGTTCAGCTGAGATGGATGAGCCCTGCTGCACTTGGTCTCATCCTTGCTGGCTAACCCTGGCTTCTTCACAGAGTAATCACCCCATGAGGAGAGATGCCAATTCCCAGTGAGCAAGCACTCTTTAAGTTCCTGAATGCATGTTTACTATTGTCCTCTTATCTAAAGCAAATTATGCGGCCAAGCCTAAATTCAAGAGATGAAAAAATACACTCTGCTTCTTTGTAGGTACAGCTGCAAAATATTGTGGACAGTTTTGCCTGGTACCAAGATTGTGTGTATTTGTCCTCAAAAGAGCAAAGGCTTGGAGTTCTGATTTCTCTGAGGTCATTGCTTTTCCTCCTATTGTTTTAGACACATGGCTAGCTCTTTCACAGAGTTTTAATCTCTGCTTTAATTGTGACTCCAGTGACAACTTCTTCTGTGGAGTGAATTGTGTCCCCTCAAAATTCAATTCTTGAAGCCCTAACCCCCCAATGTGGTGGTGTTGGAGATGAGGCTTTGAGAGCTATAAGATTTAGATGGATGAGGTCATGAGAGTGGGACTCTTATAATGGGATTAGTATCCTTATAAGAAGAGACACCAGAGAACTTGCCAGTTGAGCACACAGGGGACGGTGGCCATCTACAAGCCAGAAAGAGGGCCCTCACCAGACTCCAACCACATTGGCACCCTGAGTTTTGACTTCCAGGCTTCAGAATTTCTGTTGTTGAAGCTTCGGTCTATGGAATTTTGTCATGGCAGACCAAGCTGACTAACACAACTTTCTGTTATTCTGCAGCACCTTGAGTGCCTTATTTTCCTTTTCTATTTTGGCTTTGATTCTTCTTACTCTTTTTTTTTTTTTTTTTTTTTTTTGGTCAAGTGATGCTTTTTAATAATGGATTATTCCATCACGTTACTAAATATCTCCTTTCTTACAATATGGTATTGTTGAACTGCTGGACTTCTTGTTAGCTTTACGGCATCATAGAGTTTATTTCATTTTATTTATTTTTTGTTTGTTTGGTTTTTTATACTTTAAGTTCTAGGGTACATGTGCACAACATGCAGCCTTGTTACATATGTATACATGCGCCATGTTGGTGTGCTGCACCCATTAACTAGTCATTTACATTAGGTATTAATCTCCTAATTCTATCCTTCCCCACTCTCCCCACCCCATGACAGGCCCCAGTGTGTGATGTTCCCCTTCCTGTGTCCAAGTGTTCTCATTGTTCAATTCCCACTTGTGAGTGAGAACATGTGGTATTTGGTTTTTTGTCCCTGTGATAGTTTGCTGAGAATGATGGTTTCTAGCTTCATCCACGTCCCTACAAAGGACATGAACTCATCATTTTTTATGGCTGCATAGTATTCCATGGTGTATATATGCCACATTTTCTTAATCCAGTCTATCACTGATGGACATTTGGGTTGGTTCTAAGTCTTTGCTACTGTGAATAGTGCTGCAATAAACATAACGTGTGCATGTGTCTTTATAGCAGCATGATTTATAATCCTTTGGGTATATACCCAGTAATGGGATGGCTGGGTCAAATAGTATTTCTAGTTCTAGATCGCTGAGGAATCGCCACACCGTCTTCCACAATGGTTGAACTAGTTTACAGTCCCACCAACAGTGTAAAAGTGTTCCTATTTCTCCACAGCCTCTCCAGCACCTGTTGTTTCCTGACTTTTTAATGATCACCATTCTAACTGGTGTGAGATTGTATCTCATTGTGGTTTTGATTTGCATTTCTCTGATGGCCAGTGATGATGAGCATTTTTTCATGTGTCTGTTGGCTGCATAAATATCTTCTTTTGAGAAGTGTCTGTTCATATCCTTCGTCCACTTTTTGATGGGGTTGTTTGTTTTTTTCTTGTAAATTTGTTTGAGTTCTTTGTAGATTCTGGATATTAGCTCTTTGTCAGATGAGTAGATTGCAAAAATTTTCTCCCACTCTGTAGGTTGCCTGTTCACTCTGGTGGTAGTTTCTTTTGCTGTGCAGAAGCTCTTTAGTCTAATTAGATCCCATTTGTTAATTTTGGCTTTTGTTGACATTGCTTTTGGTATTTTAGACATGAAGTCTTTGCCCATGCCTATGTCCTGAATGCTATTGCCTAGGTTTTCTTCTAGGGTTTTTATGGTTTTAGGTCTAACATTTCAGTCTTTATTCCATCTTGAATTAATTTTTGTATAAGGTGTAAGGAAGGGATCCAGTTTCAGCTTTCTACATATGGCTAGCCAGTTTTCCCAGCACCATTTATTAAGTAGGGACTCCTTTCCCCATTTCTTGTTTTTGTCAGATTTGTCAAAGATCAGATGGTTGTAGATGTGTGGTATTATTTCTGAGGGCTCTGTTCTGTTCCATTGGTCTGTATCTCTGTTTTGGTACCAATACCATGCTGTTTTGGTTACTATAGCCTTGCAGTATAGTTTGAAGTCAGGTAGTGTGATGCCTCCAGCTTTGTTCTTTTGGCTTAGGATTGTTTTGGCAATGTGGGACATTTTTTGGTTCCATATGAACTTTAAAGTAGTTTTCTCCAATTCTGTGAAGAAAGTCATTGGTAGCTTGTTGGGGTTGGCATTGACTCTATAAATTACCTTGGGCAATATGGCCATTTTCACAATATTGATTCTTCCTATCCATGAGCATGGAATGTTCTTCCATTTGTTTGTGTCTTCTTTTATTTTGTTGAGCAGTGGTTTGTAGTTCTCCTTGAAAAGGTCCTTCACATCTCTTGTAAGTTGGATTCCTAGGTATTTTATTCTCTTTGAAGCAATTGTGAATGGGAGTTCACTCATGATTTGGCTCTCTGTTTGTCTGTTTTTGGTGTATAAGAATGCTTGTGATTTTTGCACATTGATTTTGTATCCTGAGACTTTGCTGTTATTTGACTCTCCCAGTGAGCAATGCAGACCCAGTAACTGTTCCTATCTCTGATTTTGAGTTTCTTCTTCATTTCTAGCACCTGGAGATTCTTTTTTTTAATTCTAAAATTTGATTAATAATACATTTCAAAAATACGTTATATTTTGACAAGGAACTATGGGTCATGCCTGGGTGCCTTTGGGAGGTCAAGGTGGGTTGATTGCCTGAGCCCAGGAGTTCAAGACCAGCCTGGCCAACATGGCAAAACCCTGTCTCTACAAAAAAATACAAAAGTTAGCCAGGTGTGGTGGTACATGCCTATAGTCCCAGCGGGCAGAGGTTGCAGTGAGCCAAGATCGTGCCACTGCACTCCAGCCTGGGTGACAGAGCTAGACCCTGTCTCAAAAACAATTTTTTTATGTTATATTTTGCTAAGTTTTTTTGTGTGTTTCAAATGTCTTCCAGCAACATGTGCATCTAATATATAAACTGAAAATCTAGTCTGGCCATATTGGGATTCAGGGATAGTAGATTCTGAGGTTTCTAAATGGATAGGTGACACAGTCACAGAAAGTACCATGTGGCAGAAAATGTAATTAAGTAGCAGGTGGACAATCATTTTGGAGAATATCAACAAGGCTTCTGGGAGTCTGTAGTGCTGTATTGTCCAATATGATAGCTACCAGATATATGTGGCTATTTAAAATTAAATTAGTTAAAATATAATTTAAATTCAGTTCCTTAGGTTTACTAGCCACTTTTCAAATACTCAATGGCCATATATGGCTACTGGCTGCAATATTGTACTGCTCAGGAGAACATTTTCATCATCTGAGAGAGTTCTATTCAGCAGGGCTGCTCTAGTGCATCTGCTGAGTATCAGACTAAATACAGGCATAACTGGGACAATATATCCACTTCATCTGTGGAAGGAGATAAGTTTCAAACCCTGTGAGATAGACAGTGGATTATTGATATTCTTACTGTATCTTGATAAATATTGACCCAGAAGAGGGGGAGAGAGAGCCTGGCTGAGAGTGACTACCTTTAGTTTCAATTATACAGTTAGGGCAAAGCAGAGACACAGTTTAAAATAAAACAACAGCAGACAGATGCTTATCAGCTTCCCCACTTTTTGTTTGTGTGAGTTCTTTTTTTGTTTTTGCAGATAATAAAGGTAATATATGAGCACTGAGGAATATTTGAAAAGCATAATAACTTTCTTGTCTTCTTATGCAGAGTGTACTGAACATACTTTATTTCTTCCCTAATGACTCTGAGTCATCATTATTGAATTACAGAATGCTGCATGTAGAAAAGAATGAAGGGCAATGTTCTCCCAGACTATTGAGACATCCAGAGAGACTTAATGCATACATTCCCCCCTGTATTAGGCAACTCTACACTGTAGCTCTTTTTAATCTTGCCATTCTTTTACCTCATACTTTATTATTATCTATAACTCCCTACTTGGCTGGGAGCTGTCTGCTTCTAGTAGTCTCTACTATTTCTACTGTCTTATCTTCTATAAACATAATATACAGTAAAGCATGTTAGAAATAACTAGATAATTATACTTCTCAAATAAAATTTTAAGTTTACCATCTAAATGCCTTTGGCCTGCTCTGCTACTGAGTAGGATGTGTGAATATTATGTCAAATAGTTCCCCACTCCGCATATCCTGCCTTCTCCTTGGAAATCATCAGTGAGACGTGATGCACACAGCTTGGAACACTGAGGAAGGGAGTACAGAATTTGACTTATGGCTCAGCTGTATGATGTCGGCCCTGAGCAAATCTCCTAGCTCTGTAAAAATCAGCTTTCTTATCTGTTAATCATCATGTGCATTATCATTAATGTTAACACTCATAAAGTACTTAGCAGTGTCAAGCGATGTTCTAAGTGTCTTTTATGCATTTGCTCACTGTAATCTTCATGATACCCCATGAATTAGGAAAGGAGCTATTATTTATCTGCAATTTACACATAAAGAAAATTAGATACGTACAAATTCAGTACCATCTCTCAGACCTATATTTCCAAGTTGCAAGTGTTATATTTCTTTGAGAAGCATTTAGCTTTCTTTCGGATTTATGATTTTATTCTGAATGACTGAAGTTTTTGGAGGTGGGTTTCCAGATAATAGAATATGGTAAAGCTCTGACTATTTCAGAGAAACTGTGCAGAACAGCATGCAATAGACGATACTCTCAGTGGAAAACCATTCATCTCTAATGAAGAAGGGGTGATCAGACCAGTGTAGCCTGGAGACAAGTACAATAAATGTAATCAGTTTGGCTACAATTGTTAGGGTTTTGTGAAAACTGTGGGCTGGTAACTTAAGCTTAGGATTTGGAGAGAGTCAAGACAAGGTTTACATGACAAGAAGAAAAATTATTGCATTAGCTTATGTGTAAAACTCAAGGCTTAGTAGAATTTTTGCTCAATTTGGTTTCTAAAAGCATTTCCAAGATTTTATTTTCAAACTAAATATTTATGTTAATATGTTATGTTAATGTGGGCTTAACAGCCTTGTTCTGGAAATAAACTTGTCTTTTTTATGATATTTCTATGGTGATTCTCCCAAATATAAGTTGATGATCAAATACAGTTCTGAGTATCTAAATGACTTTTAAATTATTTGCCTCTTTATATGAAGCCAGGGACTTTATACCAAGAAGAAATCATACCTAGCTACTTTTGTTTCAGGAAAGAAAGGGATTTTGTGATGAGATATTATCCCATGAGCATATATTAGCACTGGAAGCTATCTTTGTCTCGAAAATGGCTCTCAGTAAAAGATGGACAAATGGAATTTCCTACTGAGCTAGGGATCCGTCGATGAGATTACTATAGTGAACTCATACTGGCTAAATTTTACATCAAAATAAATAGGCCTGGCATGGTGGCTCATGCCTCTAATCCCAGCACTTTGGGAGGCTGAGGCGGGTGGATCACTTGAGGTCAGGAGTTCAAAACCAGCCTAGCCAACATGGCAAAACGCTCTCTCTACTAAAAATACAAAAATTAGCTGGGCATGGTGGTGCATGCCTGTAATCTCAGCTACTCCAGAGGGTAAGGCAGGATAATCGCCTGAACCCGGTAGGCAGAGGTTGCAGTGAGTGGAGTTTGTGCCACTGCACTCCAGCCTGGGCAACAGAGTGAGACTCTGTCTCAAATAATAATCATAATGATAATAACAATAATAAATAAATAAATAAATAATGATTTTTAAGAAGCCTGCTTAGAGTGCTGTGATTATTGAAGGTGTTTTGTCATCTTCCTTATAGTTCTTCTGCACACGTATTCTCACATCCCTCCCACTCTCAGAGCCGTACTCCCCAAAATACACAGGCTAATTTTAGCATTCATACATTTAAGAAAACTTAGAATTTTTATTTTCTTTTTTCTTTTAAATTATAATATATTTTAGTTTAGCTGAAAGAAAAGCTATATATCAGGTCTAGCAACACTTCCTCTCAAATGACTGTCATAAAATTGAATTTTTCCAGCAGAGAATTACAGAAGTATTTCGCAGTGTTGTGTGATTTCTGTACTCTGAGAGGTCATGAACTCTGAAATTTGGGGATGTTCATTATCCTGTACCAGAAGACAGAAGCGTTTCCTCAGTACCTCTGGCTGATCACTTGTGCTGGACTTAGCAGTAGTGCTCAGGCTAGCTGGGACCAGGTTGCTGCAATATGTTTGGAACAGGTTTCCTTATCACTCATTTTCATTTACAGGTTTGAGAATAGCTTCTAACATGTCAACAAAGCAAACCTGTATTCATTGGAAAGTAGCAGAGCTACCAAGGCCGTTCAGTACTTTTATCTTGCTGGAAGTTCTTTGTCATTTTTTCTTCTTAAGGCATTTGCAAACTGATTAATAATAGGGAAGTTACTGCCCAATGAAGTTAACATGGCTAAAGACCTGTAGTTGACAAAATTCAGAAGAATATAGGTTACAAAGCATCCACAGGGCATAAATGCAAACTTTTATACTCATATAATATTAAAATCTTAATAAGATTATTTCAATTCTTTAGGAAATAGTGAAGGGAAAGCAGAAAACTAAATTACTCCATAAAATAAAGCATTATAGTGGACCACAGGAACTGAAGGTTGTAGCAGCAGTGTGTGAAAAATAAAACTCAGCCGGGCTCGGTGGCTCACACCTGTAATCCCAGGACTTTGGGAGGCCAAGGCAGGTGGATCACCTGAGGTCAGGAGTTCGAGACCGGCCTGACCAATATGGAGAAACCTGTCTCTACTAAAAATAAGAAAGTTAGCCTGGCCTGGTGGTGTGGGACTGTAGTCCCAGATACTCGGGAGGCTGAGACAGAAAAACTACTTGAACCCGGGAGGTGGAGGTTGCAACGAGCGGAGATTGCCTGGATAACAGAGTGAGACTTCATCTAAAAATAAATAAATAAACAAATAAATAAATAAATCTCATTTAAACCCTGTTTGATTACAAATTTGCATTCCATTGCCTAAATTCTGTAACAAGTTCATGTCACAGGTGCACTTGTTAGAGTTCTCTATAAATGAAAAATACACTGGACTCTTTGAGCTGGTATGTAAATGTTCTGCCCTGTTGTCCTCATATACATGTTCTTATACTCTGCTTTTCTGGGGGACAATGTATCCCTATCTTTAATTAGGAAAATATGAGCACTATCATTACGGGCATAGCTAAGGATATACTAAACTGATTTATGAAAAATGTTTAAAAACATATTAGCCCTAAGGTACTACTTTTACCTCCTGTTAAATCTAATGCAAATAATATCCTGATTACATTAACAGAGGCATGTAAGTTTATGAAAATCAGCAAAACTTCTAAATATCCAGTATGTTTGACCTTCACTTAGCTCCATCTCTCCATGACCACATGAATTTTGCCACTTTAGCTCCCTACTTTCTTGCAGGTAGTCATCAATTTTCCTGCTTCAATTGTTACTAAGGTTTATTCTGTGTAGTTAATTCTTTGCAATCTCTTCATGCAGGCAGTGATAGATTCTTGCCTCATCATGATATAATTAACTTCTTTACATAATATTTAGCATTAAAACAACCTGTTTATTTTGAGAGGCTATTATAATGCAAGGAGGTATGTTAAAGAAAAGGAGAAGTTTTCTTTCTCAAGTTCCAAGAGCATGAGTTTCTGGGCATAAAATTTGAAAGAAAACTCATTGAGAGTGGTTTCTTTCTCTGTTAGAATTACATGCATCTCTACAATTCATTGGTTGCGAACATCTTATAAAACAAAGTTGTGTAAGTCAGCAAATACATCTAATTTAATAATGCCTAGATTCTAAACACAATTTATGAAACTCCAGACATGACATTAGCTAAAGAGAGTTGAGAAGAAGAAAAGGTAAATGTGAACTCTGACAAGAAATTATGGGAAAGGCTCCTTCAAAGAAAGGGGTCAGCAACATAGCCTTATGGCTAAACACCAAGAAGTAAGCCTTGGTGCTGATTTCACGTTCATAGAAATATGCTAGGGAAGTGTAGGTAATATTATATTTACACATCCGTGCTAACCTCCTATTTTTAACACTCAAGTCTAGCATATAAAAAAAATGAGAGTAAATCTTTAGCTCAGAATTCATCCAAAAATGAATTCCTTTTGCTTTTTTGATTAAGATCCACTCATCTATTTTTGCAATCTTTGAATATGGGAAGAAAGAGATTTATCAGATTCACAACATACAACTCATATAACTAAAAAATAGCTTTCTATTCATGTTTCAGGACTGGCAGACAGGTAAAGTATATGAGCTTGGCCTTGTTTAAAGAAATTTGTATTAAGAAAACAAGGTGTGAATGATATGGTTTGGCTGTGTCCACACCCAAATCTCATCTTGAATTGTAGTTCCCATAATCCCCACCTGTCATGGGAGGGACCTGGTAGGAGTCCCTCCAGTCCTTATTGAATCACAGGGACGGTTACCCCATGTTGCTGTTCTCATGATAGTGAGTGAGTCTCACAAGATCTGATGGTTTTGTAAAGGGAGTTCCCCTGCACATGCTCTCTTGCCTGCCACCATGTAATGTGCCTTTGCTTCTCCTTTGCCTCTACCATGATTGTGAGGCCTCCCCAGCCATGTAGAACTGAGTCCATTAAACCTCTTTTTCTTTATAAATTACCCAGTCTCAGGTATGTCTTTATTAGCAGAGTGGGAACAGGCTAATACAATGACACTTTCTAAATTTTTCTTGAAATAAAATCATACAATCCAAGCATATGTTTGATAATAAAATACAAGATGATTAATGCTTAATTTCCATTAAATTTAAAAAGACATACTTGGGATATCTGCAAGTATGAAGGCACTGGGAGAGATGGCTATGAAAAGTGAAAATTTGTACAATGCTTGCACTAGGCCTTATATAGAGAGAAATGTATATATACATATGTGTGGGTGTGTTTGTGTGTGTGTGTGTGTGTGTGTGTGTGTGTGTGTGTGTGTATAGAGAGAGAGAGGAGAGATCTCATCCCAGTGCCTTGGGATGGCTGTGCATTTCAGAAATCTTTGTGTCTTGCAAAATCATGTACTAAAAATCACAAGGTGTATGGGAACAATAAAGCTTAGGGACTGATTTCCCCCAAACAAATGCAACTTTGTAACCAAAGCAATAACAAAACAATTATTGACATGTCATAAAACAACTTAGTTCAGGGATGCCACTTCAGCAACATCAAATAGGTGCAAAAACAATAAAGTAGAAATGCTGGCTTGAGGGCCGCTGAGATAATGCAAACACAAATGAAGGTCTGTGCTCCTTGGTAAAAATACAACCTGCTGAGAGAGGCCTCAGTCCCAGGAGTATTGCTCTAGCATCAGAGCTCCGGGCTAGAGTTTGCTTTTAATTTTCTTAAAATATAGCTAAAAATGTTCTTACCTGTGCAGTAGCCAAGTTGAAAGCTTTTTTTCTTTTCTAACACAGTTATAATTCTACTTCTGCTACACCAGCCTCTCTTGCTTGGGCAAAATTGATAATGAAACAACTCAGTTTCCTGTTACACTGACATCATCTCCCCTACTTACCAATCATGTAAGAATTCATTTGTGCTAGGGAAATATGTGTTATAGCACAACAGACTATAGGTATCTTAGGAGCTGTCTCTAATTTGTATGACAGTCATGAATTGCTTAAAGATGAGGATACATTCTGAGAAACGCATCACTGGGCAATTTCATCATTGCATGAACACAAATTTAGATGGCATAGCCTACTACACAACTAAGCTATATGGCATAGCCCATGCTTCTAGACTAAAAACCTGTATGTTACTATACTCAATAGTGTAGGCAATATAACATCATGGTATTTGTGTATCTAAACATATCAAAACATAGAAAAGTGATAGTAAAAATACAGTATTATAATCTTATTGTACCACCATCATATATGTGGTTCTTCATTGACTAAGACATCATTTTATGACACATGACTATACTTTATTGAGCTATTGATATTTGTATCTATATATAGATATTCATATCTATTTCTTTCTATATTTTATTAATCTTACTGTAGCCATTAAGAATTCCCTCATAGCATGTACTCACTCTCTCCCATATATATTTCTATATATACACATGTACATAAAAAAAAATATATATATATATATAGCTTTAGGCCTTGTATGGAGGGATATATATATATGGGTTTCCTGAGGCCTCCCCAACCATGTGGAAGATATATATATATAGATATATAGATATATAGATATATATATAGTCCCTCCATATAAGGCCTAAAGCAAGCATTATAAAAATTTTCATTTTCATAGCTATCTCTCCCAGTGCCTTGTACCTGTTCAGAGTTAGAGGATGATTATAATATAAATGCGGTAAAGAAAGTGCCACCAGAGGGCTGGGAGGACAATCCTGAGTGTTTGGGGATATGGAAGCCAAGGCAAGAGTCTGTGACAGAAGAAGGGAGACTCAGCCTAGAGTCTATGGAGGGTAAAGGTTGTTGGAGACATATTCTTTGGATTTAAAAGTAATGAGTTTGTCTGTGACTTTAACAAGAATAGTTTCAGCAGAGTAGCATGGCCAGAAGTCAGATTTCAGAAGTTTGCATACTCAACTAGAGGATACAAGTAGAGAAAGCGCTTGTAGATGACTCTTTATGAAATTTGATTATAAAATAGAAGAGAGAATAAGGGGAACAGCTAGAGGAGGATGTAGATTTGGTTATTTGTTTTATTACAAGGAAGAAAAATGTTTAAATGTTGTTGTAGGTGGTGGCCATCTAGGACACAGGCTAGAAAGTGTGTATATTAGGGAGGGTGGTCCCAGAGAAGGCTGTATGTGTTAGGCAAACAGAAATATAGAAGCAAGGTGGGAAACTTTTACATGGTGTATTAGTTCATTTTCACACTGCTATAATGAAGTATACGAGACTGGGTAATTTATCAAGAAAAGAGATTTAATTGACTCACAGTTCAACATGGTTGGGGGGTCCTCAGGAAACCTACAATCATCATGGAAGGTGAAGGGAAAGTAAGGCATGTCTTTCATGGTGGCAAGAGAGAGAAAGCATGCAAGGGAAACTGACACTTTTAAACCATCAGATCTTGTGAGAACTTCCTCACTATCATAAGGGCAGCATGGGGGAAATAGCCCCCATGGTCCAATCACTTCCCATCAGGTCCCTCCCTTGACATGTGGGGAATTTCAGATGAGATTTGGGTGGGAACACAGAGCCAAACCATATCATTCTGCCCTTCCCAAATCTCATATCCTTTTCACATTTCAAAAGTAATCATGTCTTCCTAACAGCCAAAGTCTTAACTCATTCCAGCATTAACTCAAAAGTCCAAGCCCAAAGTTGCATCTAAGACAAGGCAAGTCCCTTTCACATATGAGCCTGTAAAATCAAAAGCAAGTTAGTTTCTTCCAAGTACAATGGGGCTACAGGAATTTGGTAAATGTTCCCATTCCAAATGGGAGAAATTGGCCAAAATGAAGGGGATATCAGCCCCATACAATTTCAAAATCCAGCAGAGCAGTCATTAAATCTTTAATCTCCAACATCTCATTTAATTCCATGTCTCACATCCAGGGCATGCTGATGCAAAGGGTGGGTTCCCACAGCCTTAGGCAGCTCCACCCCTGTGGCTCTGCAGGGTACAGCCCCTGTGGCTGCTTTCATGGGCTGGCATTGAGTGCCTGTGATTTTTCCAGATGGATGCTGGTGCTAGCTGTTGGTGGATTTACCATTCTGGGGTCTTGAGGAGAGTGACCCATTTCTCACAGCTTGACTAGGCAGTATCCTCGTGGGAAGTCAGTGTGGGGGCTTCAACCCCACATTTCCTTTCCACACTGCCTTGGCCCAAGTTCTCCATGAGGGCTCCATCTGTGCTACAAACTTCTGCCTGGACATCCATGCATTTCCATACATCCTCTGAAATCTGGGCAGAAGCTCCCAAAGCTCAGTTGTTGTCTTCTGCACATCTGCAGGCCCAGGACCACATGGAAGCCACCAAGGCTTGGGGCTTATACCCTCTGAAGCGATGAGCCAAGCTGTACCTTTGCCCCTTTTAGCCATAACTGGAGCTTGAGCAATTGGGATGCAGGGCACCGTGTCCTGAGGCTGCACAGAGCAGCAAGGCCCTGGGCTTGGCCCACAAAACCATTTTTCCCTCCCAGGCCTCCAGGCCTGTGATGAGAGGGGCTGCCATGAAGATATCTGAAATGTCCTGGAGACATTTTCCCCATTGTCTTGGGGATTAACATTTCGGCTGCTCATTACTTATGCAAATTTCTGCAGCCAGCTGAATTTCTCCCAAGAAAATGTGTTTTTCTTTTCTACCTCATGGTCAGGCTGCAAATTTTCTAAACTGTTATGCTGCACTTCCCTTTTAAATACAATTTCCAGTTTTAGATAAGCTTTTTGTGAACATACATGACTGAACACTTTCAGGTTGCATCTTGACTGCTTTGCTACTTAGAAATTTCTTCTGCCAGATACCCTAAATCATCTATCTCAAGTTCAAAGTTCCACAGATTTCTAGGGCAGGGGCAAAATGCCTCTAGTCTCTTTGCTAAAGCATAGCAAGAACAACCTTGCCCCAGTTCCCAATAAGTTCCTCATCCACATCTGTTACCACCTCAGCCTGGGCTTGACTGTCCATATCACTATCAGTATTTTGGTCAAAACCATTCAACTAGTCTCTAGGAAGTTCCAAACTTTCCATCATCTTCTCTTCTTTTTCTGAGCCCTCCAAACTGTCCCAATCTCTCCCCATTACCCAGTTCCTAAGTCGCTTCCACATTTTCAGGTTATCTTTATAGTGGTACCCTGCTCTTGGTATCAGTTTTCTGTAATAGTTCATTTTCACGTTGCTATAACAAACTAGAATAGAGGTTTAATTGACTCACAGTTCTGCATGGCTGGGGAGGCCTCAGGAAACTTACAATCATGGTAGAAAGTGAAGAGGAAGCAATGCACATGTATCTTACATATTGGCAGGAGAGAGAGTGCATAGGGAAACTGCCACTTTAAAACCATCAGATCTCGCGTGCACTCTCAGTCTATCAGGAGAACAACATGGAAGAAACTGCCCCCATGTTTCAACCACCTCCCACCAGGTTCCTCCCTTAACACGTGGGGATTACAATTCGAGATGAGATTTGGTTGGGGACACAAAGCCAAACCATATCATATGGTAATGGGAGAAAGGAGGAAATGATAGTTGCATATGAATAAGCATGTAGGGTCAGAAGAAGAAAGTTGAAGTTTTTGTCTAATATTTTCTATTTTCTTTGAAGTAGAAGATAAAAGGAGGTTATTTTATTAGAGTTTTAAAATAGCTGCTGTTAAGAACAAGAAATAGTTGAGACTGTAAGAGGGCTCATAGGACAACTGATGCAGAGAAGGGTCACTGACATGAGCAGTTGATCCCTTTCCCCATCATCCTGGATCTCAGTTTGAGCTGACCCACATGTGACATACATACTTCAGGAAGATGGTTTAACAACCATATGATCCAGCAGAACAGTCCCTTCCCTTATATTATTCTAGTGAGGCCTGTCTAATCCAGCTTTATTTCTCACTGGAATTCATGAGGAAAATAATTATGTTAACCTCAGCATCTCCTCTGTGTGTGCTTCACTGGGGTAAAATAGGAATAACACAGGCTCTGGTACAAGGCCGACCCAGACTGCCTTCTCAGCTTCTTTGTTTCCTAATGGCACAGCAAGGACTTCATTTTTTGGATCTCATTTTCTATATAAAGCAGAGTTAAGCACCTACTTTTCTGCAGTCCTTACAAGCATTCAATGAGGCAATATATGTAAAGGTTCTGGCACAGAGTAGATGCTCAGCAAAGATATAGTTCCTCACTTGTATAGTTAAATGCTGCTTCTAGAAATTGTTAGCTTAAGAAACGAGATGTTATTAGAGGAGATGTTAGTTTAAGAGAAGAGATAAGATGGTTGAGGATTTAGAACAAGAGTCTGACAATGTTTAAAACGTTTCTTTGCTTTTTGTAATTAAATTGTCAAGCAGTACTCCCAGAAGAAGTTTGTTTTATGTATTTAGGTTTCTCAAACTAATAATCATTGTGTGTTTAAGAAAGAAGAGACATTATAGGGCTAATGAACCCTGGTAGGTTGGTATTAAGGCTAGAAAAAAAAGAAGAAAAACAAAACTGTCTGGGTGGCATAAAGATGAATAATATGGGTTTTTTCTGTTGTTTGTTTTGGTTTATTTCTTTTTGGATCTCAATAGAATCATTCAGGTAAATTAGATAATTACTTACCAGATAAAACTGCATAATCATTGACAAGAATTTATTCAGAGTCAAATTTCGAGATTTAGGTTTTTATCTATTAGGTATAATTTGGTGAACTTTTCAACCATAGGTACTCTTTTTGGTCCTCTACCAAGCAAATCAAACACCAAGTAGAAAGCATAAGGTAGGCTAAAGGATATTTCTTCATTTCACATTTTAGCACGTACCACAGGACCTATTTCAATGGGTAGAACTATAGCTCAGGAGGTTAAATACTTAAAGCAGTTTTAGACAGGAGGCATAGCAGCTTACACCCTGCCTGTGTTTATACACGTTTACATATAAAATTATAGAGAGTTTTAATAGCAATTTTTTCCATTTTGCTGGCAATTTATGTTTGTTCATGAACCCTTAGATAGAGGACTTCATGTTTTCTGTTTGTTCTTTTCTTGAGTAAGAAATGCTCCGGAACAGAAATTGAAATAAAACTCAACCCTTCTATCTCAATTACTCTAGTGGACTGCTTGGCTTTTGCCCTCTAAGAAATATTTTTAAATTATCAGAGGAATCAACATACAAATAGAAGCAAGGGTTCAACTGTAAAAGAAAGGCTATAAAGTGAAGATTGGCCTTGCAGACATTGTAAAGGCTGAAGCACTTTCCCTGAACAAAGGGATAGTTGATCTTATCTTGATGATGTGTTGCTCCCAGCTGAAGAAGTATTTTGTTTTTGCTACAGACTAACCCTGGGTCTATGGTGCCATCTGCCCAAAGGACAGTGCTTCCAGGATGGAACAGGGACAAAGAGTCTGTATTATCCTGTGAAATCATAATCTTGTAAAATGCTTCGGAGAGGTCAATCCTGTAAAACAACCTCAAACTCAGAAAAGATTAACTCTTCAGATTATAAATACGTAGTTTGTTCTTTCATGTTTACCAGCATGTTTTCCAAGAGATTGGCCATACCTGAGTTTTTAATCACACAGTTTATATCAATGATAGTAAGGGTGTATAACCTGATCATGCTTCAAAGACATTTATAAGACATAAGATTTCTCATACAGAAATAACTGTATTTTACAGACTAATGATTTGGAGTGCATGAATTGGATCTTATGAACTAATGGATGTTAAAACTTCAGACTGCAGAAACTAGTTCCGACCTTGCAATTTACGATGAAAATACCATGGAAGATACACACGTTTTAGAGAATTAAAACAAATAAAAGTGTAGAGACAGGAGTACGGCTTTGAACCCTTAATGGCAGCTTAAAAAGACTCAGAAATGCTATTAGAGGCTGCTGTTTAATACTTCACACTGACCCAGAGCTAGCAATGGTATAAAAGCCTTAAATTATTACTCAAAGGGGTAAATGGGAGTCACTCTAAATCACAGAACAATGGATGGTCTAATTCAGAATTTATTTCTTTTCCCTGATGTCAGTAAAAAGCTCCAGTGATCAAAACAGTGGCAAATTAGATTTCTGGGCACTTTAAATGGTTTTAGATGTTGAGGTCACACTTCTTTATTATCTCTAATTGCACTTTAAAGTGTATTGCTTTCTTGTCCTTAACACTTGTGTCGATTTATTTTTCTCATATAGGTGAATACCTCTTAGGATGTAGTTAGAACAGGCCAGATAAGAAGTGGTGGGGCATGAGAAATAGTGGTGAAAGTTGAGAAAAGGAACTGATTAAAGGTACATCCATATCTTTTTCAATGATATGTATGCAATTAATTCAGTATGAGAGGCAAAGGAGAGGCAAAAGGAAAAGGAGACTTCTAGTCATTTTCTTCAGATGATTTTGGTTAAATGAAAATGTCTTTCTTTGAAACTGGGTATATAACACAAGAAGGAGGTTTGGAGGAAAAATATATACTTCATTTTGTAATGTTGAATATAAATTGCTCACTTGGTGGGATGTCAAATAGGCTGTCAAATACATAGATTTGGAGCTTAGGTGGAAATAATGACTTGGCTGTCGTGAGTGAAAAGCTGGTGGTTGCAGTCATAACAATAAATCAGATTGCTCAGGAAAAATAAGTAGCACAAGAGAAGGACAAGGATAAAACTCCAAGGAATAGTGAAAATTAAAGGGCAAGAGAGGAAGTGAAGCCTAGCAGGAAACACACTGAGCAATGGTCAAATTAAGTTAAAAAATTGGTGCATTTTAGAAAAACCAAAGTAGGTCAAGAAAGGAATAGTCACTAGTGAACAAAGCCACAGAATGAACAAAGCGATTTTGCAAGTTAGGAAAGTATTGGTGACTTTATAAAGAAGAGTTTTTATGGAGTGGTATTAAATTTGAAACCTGATTATGAGGTAAGTAAATGGAGACATAGACTGATATTTTTGGAGGTCTGACATAGAAAGAGGCTTCAAGCTAGAAGGGAAGTAAAAGGCCCCAGGATCATTTCTTTTAAGTGTAAGAGAGCTAAACTAATTTATTTTAGAAGGGAACACCTGTAAAGAGGGAAAAGATGAAGAATAAGACAAAAGTAAATGATGGAGGCAAAATTTTGGAGCAGACCAGACAACATAAGATCTGGCGTAAAGATGAAAGAATTAGATTTGGACAGAGGAGAGCTGTCTTTCTCTAAGAAGTAAAAAAAAAAAAAAAGGTGTATCTCTTCTAAAGCAAATATGTAATCCAATTCCTTTTATTTTAGTAAATAACATCATAACTAATGTACTTTTAAACTCAGAAAAACTAGTAAACACATAATAGATGATGGTAAATAAATTCAGTCACTCTAATTAAAAAAAAAATCCATCTCCCAGGTGAGAAGCAGGATGCAAAAGACTTGACACATAAATGTAATTAACTTATCTAAATAGAAGGGAGGTCAGGGTGGAATAGAATCAGAGAGGGGGTATTTATTCAGCTGTATCCAGGGGAGTTGTATTGATAAAATCTCTAATTATTGTTGATTCCATGCAACAGCCATAGAACCACAGTAGAAAGGAAAGTATCAGGTAAGGAGCTGAATGACAGTAGCCACTGAGTCATTCAGCTCATTCCTCCTCCTCTGACTCCATGTTCATAATATAACATCCTCCATGTAACTTGGCTTACCACAATAGCCTCCCTGCAAACGGTTTTCCAATGACCATGATCATTCCTTTTCCTGGACAATTCTAATTCTATTTTCTTTCATATCTGGCTGGTAAGATCTGACTTCTCAAAGACCAATCACCACTGGCTGCAATATTGGGATGGTTCTGCACTTTAAAGCTGGGCATAACTGAGCCTTGATGACAATAATTTCATCTAGATTATGTCATCCTGTAGATGCTCCGCTCCCCTAAATGACACCTCTATTATCATCTTTAATCTCAGACAACAGCTTTGTAGACCCAGATGTTTATGAAATTATATGAATAATAGAATGAATAATAGAGTTTATACATTTCTTCAAAACCCCATGCCTTAGGCTTTTCCTAGTTTTTCGGAATGTCCGAGCACACAGGCCTATGCTGCTTTTAGTGACTACAGTGTGCCCCATAGCTAGATCCTAATTGTGCATTGCTAATATTCAGTATTTTAAATGCCTTTCATACTCTCTTATCCTAATATTTTTTATTGTAAGGGTAAAATAACTGAAAAATAATTTCTTTATTTATCTTTTATAAAGCAAGCGGCAAACCAAGATTCAGTCACAACTACAGGCCTTCTATTTCACAGAAACTTAATTTATTTGATGATATGAAAGCTTAGCTTTTACAGTTCAATTACAAGTGTGGTTGAAATCCAAGTATAAAAATTATATTTTACAAATCCTGTAAGTAGTAGAATGGTAAATTAAGTTCAGAGTAAGAATTGAAGTACCAGCAAGAAAAGATAAAATGTTTTTTGATTTTAAGAAAGGAAAGGGAAATTTAACTTTTAAACAATAGCTCGTAATTCTGAGTGGGAAATTAATATGAATCTAGAATTTATTTTTCCTCTAAGCTTCCTTTTTGTGGTTTTTTTTTCCCTTTTCAGATGCTGGTTAAATTTCTTATCTATTTATTTCTATCTTTATTTTGGAATTCATCACAGCCTTATGACAATCACTTGAAAGATGACTATATTTGATATATTTGGGTGGGAATACAACCATAGCCCACCCATTTGGGCAATTCTCAATTTAGGAACAAATGGTATTAAGCATTTGTGGGGGAAAATAGGAAATTTGTGTAACTGTCAAAGCTCATAGCACTCAAAGCCACCTAGAGGATTATATCTCATGGCTCTCTCTTCACACAGTAGCTCTGATAAACAACAAGGGCTGGTGGTGAAGGCATCCCAGCCAGTACACGTAGGGTCAAAATTTACATATATCTGATGCATATAGATACACGGAAACACAGACATACATAAAAGGAAAAAAAGCTTATTCTTCTAGAGTCATAATTTGTCAACTGTTAAAGAGAGGCAAAAGAAAGGATCATTGAATTAATAAAACATCAATTTAGCTCCTCTTTGCAAGTACTTATTTTTAGTTCCTGATAAAGAGGTGATGCTTAAAGTTTATATCACACTTTCCTGGAAGATTTTTATATCCTGCCTTTCTGGAAGTTGAGGAGTAGAGACAAAACTGTGAGAGATTTAACAGGGCAAGATTGTATGAAGCCTAGAGAAGAGTTTGATGTTTATTTAATAATAGGGAAATTACATGTCCTTAATTGAAAATGTATTAACATTAAGTCTAAATTATTTTAAGAAAGAGATGAGACTTAAGTTCTCTTTGTATGCCCAGGTCATATCCATGAGAAGTCACAAAATATTTGTTAATAATAATAACATTAATGTCAATAGCTGTCCCCATGCCACAGTTCTAAGGTACATGAAATATGTTAGAATTGGAAAAAAGAGAGGGACTCAGTGCCAGAGCTCCAGCTCAGCTTTGGAAAGGCTATACTATGGGCAGAATAGAGAGGTTGGATTCACAAAAACAGGTGTTCTCCCAGCCCACACCCAACCCTGCAGCCCAAACTTAGTGTGTGTGTTTTTGTTGTTTTCTTACTTGCTTTTTTCTGCCTTTTTATTTAAGAGGTTTCAGTTGGGCTAAGTAAGTTAATGAAGACTATCCAAGAATAGGCATTATTCTTATGCTCAAAACTGTTTCGAGCTTCCTTCATTTTTAAATGTCTTTATGGTATTTAAATGGGCGATGGTGAGAAGGCATATCAGGCCCTGCCTGACTTCTGCCATCCTAATGCTGGAGTTTTTACAGTTTCAGAATTCTCAATCTACTACATGCAGAACATTATGTATCTCCAGAATAGGAGAAGGGAGTGAGACCAGGTAGATAACTGACATGAGAAATCATATGAAATGAAAAGGATAATTACTCCAAGGATAGATAGTTCAGGAAAAAAGCTAACCTTTTCCCTAATAAGCCCTAATTGTCAGTGAAACACTTGCCTTGAGAAATGCAAAATAATTTGCTATAGTGATAATCGACTTTCTGTTTTATCCTCGTTATTTGGAGTTTGCAGCAGAGGATTCTCAGCTTAAACATTAACATTCAGGACTGTGCTTTATCTTTGTTTTAACCATCCAACTTCTTAATTACCATATTTTGAGATTACTGTCAAGGGCTCTGTTTTCTATTATTCAGTTTATAACAGTGCTATAAAAATTTAGTCATTATTTTACATAATAAAAACTCAATTCATAATCTTATTTCATGCACTAATGTTTAAGTATGCAAACATGATCTTCATGCTTTTAATAATTTCATTCAACTGTTTCCAAAGGATGTTAGTAGGAAGTTTTCATTTTTTAAATTTTTCTATACTTTCAACTTGTATTTTAGATTCAGGGAGTACATTTGCAAGTTTGTTACCTTGGGTCCATTGCATAATGCTGAGGTTTGGAGTATGATTGATCCCATCACCCAGGTACCAAGTATAGTACCCAATAGTTACTGTTGCAAGCCTTTCTCTCTCCCTCCCTCTTCTCTCTAGTAGTCCACACTGTCTATGGTTGCCATCTTTATGTCCATGAATACCCATTCTTTAACTCCCACTTATGAATGAGAACATGTGATATTTCATTTTCTGTTCCTGAGTTAATGTGCTTAGGGTAATGGATTCCAGCTGCAACCATATTGCTGCAAAGAACATTATTCCATTCTTTTTTATGGCTGCATAGTATTCCATGGTGTATACGTACCACATTTTCTTTATCCAATCCACCATTTGTGGGCACCTAGGTTGATTCCATGTCTTTGCTATTGTGAATAGTGCTGTGATTAACACACAAGTGCATGTGTCTTTTTAGAAGAAAGATTCATTTTCTTTTAGGTATATACCCAGTAATGGGATTGCTGGGTCAAATGGTAGTTCTGCTTTAAGTTCTTTGAGAAATCTCCAAACTGCTTTCTACAGTGGCTGAACTAATTCACATTCCCACCAACACCGTAAAAGTGTGCCTTTTTCTCCACAGCTTCAGCAGGGTCAGATGTTTTCTGACTTTTTAATAATAGTTATTCTGACTGGTATGTGATGGCATCTCATTGTGGTTTTGATTTGCATTTCTCTGATGATTAGTAATGTGGAGCTTTTTAAATACATTTGTTGGCTGCTTGTATGTCTTCTTTAGAGAAGAGTCTGTTCATGTCTTTTGCCCACTTTTTAATGGAGTTGTTTTTTACTTGTTGAATTAAATTCCATATAAATTCTAGATATTAGACTTTTTTCAAATGCGTAGTATGTGGCTATTTTGTTCCATTCTCTAGGTTGTTTACTCTGTTGAGTTTCTTCTGCTGTGCAGAAGATCTTTAGTTTCATTAGGTCCTACCTGTCAATTTTTGTTTTTGTTGCAGTTGCTTTTGAGGACTTAGTCATAAATTCTTTCCTAAGGCCTATGTTAATGTTGTTGTTTTCTAGATGGTCTTCTAGGATTTTAATAGTTTGTGGTCTTACATTTAAGTCTTTAATCCACCTTGAGTTAATTTTTGTATATATAGAAAGGTAGGGGTCCAGTTTCATTCTTCAGCATATGGCTAGCCAGCTAGCTCATAAGCATTTATTAAATAAATTTCTTTCCCCATTGCTTATTTTTGTTACTTTGTCAAAGATGAGATGGCTGTAGGTGTGTGGTTTTGTTTTTGAGTTCCATGTGGAACTGTAAATCTAATTAATCCTCTTTCTTTTGTATATTGCCCAGTCTCAGGTATGTTTTTATCAGCAGTGTGAAAATGGATTAATACACTGTGTTTCTGCTAGAATACAGGCATGTTTTGGGAAGTCTGAAGGACTGTTGGGGCAGCTCACCTAGGATCCATGGGACAAAAGCCTGTCAGAAGGGAAAGAGAGAGTCAAAGAGTCAAAGGTGTTTGAAGACAATGGGCCAGTGTCCACAGAGAAGGGTGGTTCTAAAAACAGCATGCTATCTTCTATTCAGATCATCCTCTGGTCTTTACAGATTCATGCTTCAGTGATAGTATAAGCAAGTGGTTAAAAAAATGTATGATAAATGGGTCATAAAGAGTATGAAGTGTCTTCTGCCAGAGGCACATGTACCAGAATTGCAACGGGAGAAACATCTTCAGCAGAAAGTCAGCACCTTCACACTGGCCCCCATGGCTTCCTTGGGACGTGAGCAAGGATTACTAGAGGTGATAAAATTAACTTTTTTTTTTTTTTTTTTTTTTGTCAAATGACAGTGGTAATCAGCTTCAAAATAGCTCCCCATTTTCCTCATCTACTGGTATTCATGCTCGGTTTAGTTCCCTGTTAGCCATATATGTATGGCTTCTTTTTAGGAGGAGCAGTATAAGAAATAATCACAGAAATCTAAGAGGTAAAAAGGAACTGTAGGAACCAAGTGGAAGTGAAAAAGTTTGGTTTGTAGCTCACACCAAAAACAGCTACACAGGTCTTTTAGAAATACTTTGCAATAATTTGGGATGAAGAATACTGTAGTACTTAGAAAGTAGGTGAAGACAGGGCCAAACATTATATAGTTATGCTATTTTTACCCTATTATACTTTTCTCTGATGGACTTAGCTTAGGGAAGAGGATTTATTTATTTATTTTAATTTGATGTCCATTTTAGTGTAGCTTCCTATCCATAAGTTCAAACAGGTGTTAGATATGTAATAAAAATATATTCTGTATTGTGGAACTATCTACAAATAACTTTAAGAGCCTAGAAATACAGGAAGTTATTTAAAAATAATAGACTCCTCAGATATATACGAAAAATTGAATCATAGACTGTTGTACAAAAGTCTCTGTCCAAACTTACACTGGGATAAATACATTACTCTTTGAAATTAACTTTTTTGTTAAATGACTATGATAATCAGCTTCAAAATAGCTCTCTATTTTCCTTATCTACTGGTATTCATGCTCAGTGTAGTCTCCCCTTTTTGTTGGGCTGGACCTAGTTAGTGACTGCCTTCGTTTTTTTATTTTTATTTTATTTTTATTTTTTTTTGAGATGGAGTCTTGCTCTGTTGCCCAGGCTGGAGTGTAGTGGCGTGATCTTGGCTCACTGCAAGCTCCGCCTCCTGGGTTCAAGCCATTCTCCTGCCTCAGCCTCCCGAGTAGCTGGGACTACAGGCGCCTGTCACCACGCCTGGCTAATTTTTTGTATTTTTAGTAGAGACGGGGTTTCACCGTGTTAGCCAGGATGGTCTCAATCTCCTGACCTCGTGATCCGCCCGCCTCAGCCTCCCAAAGTGCTGGGATTACAGGCGTGAACCACCGCGCCCGGCCGTGACTGCTTTGTTTTTATACTTCCTACGTATATTATATTCTATTAATTATCAACATTTTTCCATTTGTCACAGATTGAATAGAATCTAATTCCTCAGTGAATTGATGCTGTTCTTTGTAACCTGGTAATTAGTATAAAAGACAAATTTATGGATTGTGTAAATCTGTTTTATGGTATACCCACAGCACATTTGATGTTTATACAACAACTACATTCAATCTTGACCTTTACCATATATTTATGGTTTAAGAAACCAAGAAGAAGAAACATGCCATCCACATCTTATCGTAATTGTGTGACAAGAGGAAGTTTGAAACCTTCATAGAAGAGAAAATGAACTCTCATTTGTTTTAGAGACAAGAATATACTCTTTTGACCCTTAATTAATTGAAATGAATTTTCTGGAGGAAATAAAGGTTTACATGGACTGTAGATCAAGGAGTCTTTGTCTGGTGAGTCTTTGTAGAAGGAAATAAAATTCTAAAAATTGGCATTTCTTTTTCTCAAAACCTTTTCAGACAGAAATCTGACAATGTGCCTCTATTTATCTCTCTGATCCAGACCTTGGCTTTGTCTGTGTTTTTCAGTCTATCAAAATGTCCACAAGATCAGCATACTGTACTTATGCAGTCAGTTCAAAAAGATGGAGGATTTTTCTAACTAGGGTTTTAAATATACATATTTTTTCCAACAGAGAGAAACACATTTTGTAAACTCCTTGAAGTTAGAGATTTATATTAGTTTCCTTCTTTATTCTCAGCACTAGATGTATCCTATCATGTAGTAGGACCTCATTAATATCGTTGAAATCTTACTCTAACCCAAGGGTGTCAGGAAACATGAAAGACACTGTAAGTATCTGTATGTCCAACCAGAGTATGATCCCTATTATGCATATCCTTGCTTGCTTTTATGATACTGTGTTCTAAGCATGCCCTTTCTTTGATCATGATTAGGCAAGAAGGCCTGCCATAGCCTGGGCCACTTAAAATCGAAAACTTCCTTTCACCCTGTTTTGCTTTGCTTATGCTTTACAGTACTTCCTACTTTCCTGTCTTCTACCGTTCGTATGACTCATTCCACGACTTTTCATTCCATAAAATTATAAAAGCTGGAATAATACTTGGGATAGGACTGACATTAACATCAAACCCTTAGTTAAAGAAAGAAATTTTTAAAAAAATTGAGGCTGGTAAGGAAGCTGTTTAGCTGGGCAGTACAAAATTGACCAGACCAAGGCCCAGGGGAAGCATAGGGAATGAGGACCAGAGAGCAGATGAAAATGTTGTTTCTCCTGATAGCCTGCCCAGCTATAAGAATCCCCTATGGGGTTTTGCATTACTTTCATCCAAAGAGGAAAAGAGGAGTGATATTTGAGAATGTTGATAAAGTTAGTTCTGTCAACAAGTTTGGTGTATTGACACTGATTTCCTCTGGCTTGTTCTACACATTAAAAATAGATTGTGCTGTATTGGCGCTCCATCTGCCTTTCTTCACAAACTCTTAAATCTTTGAAAAGAAAAACATGAGAACAGTGTACTGTTGATTTACTATCCATAGCTAATGTGTGATTTATTTTTAGCAACCAGCTAGACATTTAGTTGAGTGCTTCATATTGAAGAAGACTTGTAATATAGGCTTAAAAGTTGTGATGACTTCAAAATCATGAATTTGTGTGCAAAACCACAAACTTGGGGTGTGTCTGTGTGTATGTGTATGTGTGTATGAGTGTGTATATATGTACATATATACGTAAAATATGATGAGGCATGAGGCTTATTTTCATTTCTTAACTAAAGCCTACTGGTAGCACAAGACCATAATGTAGCCTAATAAAAGATTAGATTTTTATTTGAGGGTAAGCAGCACCTGTGTCAAAATCACCCTGGAGGGAAGGAGGCAGTAAGAGAAAAGGCTTTGTAGACATATTTAAATAAAGCAGGTCTCTACCTCATTGGAATTCCTGACTTATTAACTCAGTGGGTTCAAGAGTTCATAAGAACATAAAATCCTCACATAATATTTAATATGCTTTATGAAATCAGAAGTGAGTTACAGAGATATTAGAGACAACAAAAGTCATTTAATCTTCTATCAGTTCACCTAAAGGCATTGTATTCAGCCCTAAGTTTTTTGTCCCAGTTTATCAGAGTTTACAACAATTATGTAATGTAAAATCAGGTTTTGTATATCAAACAAACTCTGAATGGAATAAGATATAAAATGTACATGGTTAATAGTCTGGATTTTCCTGAGGTTTTAAAATTGGAATATTTAATTAAAAACTCAACTACTTTAATCATAAAAGATTATTGGCATGAAATTGAACTTGAAAATGAAATGTAATTAATGTATATAATCACCTATTTAGTCGCTGTTTCATTATAAAAAGATTTGACTCATAAAAATAAATTTTATGTGAAAAATTAAGCAGGAAATTTCCAAGCAGCTTATCAATCAAACTTTATTAAATACCATTTTAAAAAGGTGCCAGAAACCTTCACACCCATTACCTCATTTAGTCCATTCCACACATTGTCAGGCTTATTTTTAGTGTTTAGAAGACACCAAAGCTCACATCGTAAAGTCCCTTACTTGTCCATTATCAAAAAATAAGTAAGTGGCAGAGTTTGGGCTCATACCAGGATCTCTTTCCCAGTACTTTATCCTTGCTTTCTCTCTATCTTAGAATCATCAAAGTTATAGCCTTCAGCCTATCAAAGGACTACACACAAGACAAAATTTCCTAGTAAGTAAAGTACAAAAACACAGCTTCAACCCATTGCCAAAATACAACAAATCTGAGGTAGGAGAAGTTGTTGTCCCCTTCCTTAATGATAGATTTCCTTAATGATAGAAACA
Organism: Homo sapiens; assembly: GCF_000001405.40. Classification (NCBI taxonomy): domain Eukaryota; kingdom Metazoa; phylum Chordata; class Mammalia; order Primates; family Hominidae; genus Homo; species Homo sapiens. Next base: position 124,975,277 of record NC_000004.12, read on the forward strand.
ATGCAATTTCGCTATATTGTGAATTGCATTCTGAGAACTCAATCACTATCATAAATTAGTATTTTTAAAAAATATTGTTATAGGCTAAGCATATGGAGTTGAAAATTTCTTAGAAAATAATTCCCTTAACTAATGCAAAAATCTGACTTAACCAATATATGACCTGAGAATCAGCCAACATTTTTCCTAATTTGAGATACCAGTAGAAAATCTAAATAATTCATATACAGGACAATTGTATAACATATTATAAATTATTTTGATTTTGATTATTCTAAAATAAAGTATAAGTGCAAATTGCTCCTTATTGGAGAAAAACCTGAAGGTCCAAGTATTTCTGGAGACAGTGTCAGAACAGTACAGACAAGATTCACAACTACAGAGCAAAACTGTTGTTAATAACTTGTCACTATAAAGCGCTGTCCATGTAGCATTGCATGCCTTTTTCCTTTTTTTCCCAAGTTTCTAATGCTACCCGAGTGCAACCACTTTTAGCAGAGAACAAGTCCCATCTTATGGAGAAATCAAGACCATTAAGGCGGTGTTCCTTCATCCAGATGCTTCTCTAGCAGAGCTACTGTGGCTTTCAGACAGACTTTCACCTTTCCTAACATCACAGAGGAACATCTACCTTTAATATTTTAAGGTCAAATTCTCTATTTGTGTTTGCAATGTCTATTTCCTCTCTCACCATTAGGATCTTGCTTTATCATTTATATTCTCTCTATATCATCTACTTTTTATATTTATTCTTTTATTCTTTTCAGAGAAGATAGGGAGTTCAAATAATGTTATAGGACACATGTGGATCTCCACTTTCCATATGCAAATACACTTTGATTCTCATCTACCTCTTAACTGTTCCTATTCAGCTTCTATAGGCTCCATTTTGTTCACTCTACCATTAAATTCTGATGTTCCCAGGGCATCATCCTCAATCATCTTTTATTCTCATTCTACATCTGTAATTCATCAAACTCAGCATTTTAAGTTCTGCTATATATAAATCCAAATCTGTTTTCAGCCTGGACTGTTCTACTTTTCTACTGCTTCCTGTACCTATATAATTATCCGCCTATGAGATATTGCCAACTGTATATATCAAAGCCCCCCTCAAATCAGCATGTCAAAAGTTTTATTAACCATATTTCCACTCATTTATGCATCTTCTTTACTCTAAACAGTATCACTACCAGATTTGAAGTGAAACACTTGAGAACTGTTTTACTCCCATCCCTTTCCTACCATATCCTACTAGTTCCTGCAACGTCTACCCCTTAATAGATTTCATTTCCTCCCCTCTCATTCCTGCCTTACCATAGGCTTCATGCTTTTACATTTGTGTCACTGTAATATCCCCTTAACTGGTCTCACTTCCTTGAGTTTGACTGGCTTCCAATTTGTCACTCAATGCTATTAATAGAACCTCCCACTCTGATCACTTAGGTCTCCAGTATCAGGTAAGTATCTAGACACTCATATTTTACTCTGTTCATCCAGTGATTCTTTATTATTAAAATGACCCTAAATATTATAGATTTACTAAAAGCAAATTTCATGTGAATAATTAAAACAAAAAATATTTTTTATAGGAATCAGCATGAAACAATTTTGTGCCAAGATTAGCAAAATAAATATATTTTAACAAAAGACAAATTTCTTGATCTTCCAAATGCTATAACTGCATTTGAAGTTGGCAGGTTTTCTTTTAGTAACTATTAGTCTCTAGAGGATACCGAAGCAAGGTAACAATAGTTTTGTGAGAGCATTTTCTATTTTGACAGTGGAAACCAACTTTTCATGTTGGGATCATTCAACTTTTCTGTTGGGAACATGGCATCCCTGGAAAGGGACCTTTGAAAAAAACTGTAATTCACTTTTTTCCAAACAGAATGCAGTGAATTCTGCTATAACATGACATATACATTCTTATAAATCAACACACTGTGTAAAATCCTGCAATAAAACCACAGGGTTTATAGGGAAAATGAAGTGAAGGGCATGACATTCAAATACTTTGTCAGTGACTCCTAAGAGAAGATGTGAACTGAACAAAAATGGCAGCATAATTTTACCCATGTCAAATCATTAAGAAATACATGAATACAACAGTAAACATAACAGCTTACCTTGAAAGAAACCCTGAAGTTTTCTTGTGGGAGTGGCCATCAGAAGTATTATAAACGTGGAGTAAAATCAGTTCATGGTGGCTCATAATCAGACACCATCTGCTGAGGAAGCTAGAGATGTTTGAGGTGTGTGTATGCGCCAGGCCTATTTGGCCCAGTTTTTTTGCATTCACCTAGTGTTTCTTATGGATGAATATGTGAATAAAAATGTAAAATTCACATTATGGACAAGTAATCCCTTCAGAAGTTTTTTTTAAAAAATCACTTATTTGTTTACACTAAAAGAGGAACCTGTTTGCTACTTCTGTTTACATCTCTGGAGCTCAGTGACAAGGAGCTCCATTTGCAGACTCTGAAGTGGCCGGGTTTCTTCTATTAAAGCAAGATAAAAATCATCCAAGTTAACTAAAAAAAAAAAAATTGCAGGATCACATTGACCTGGTTAACATGATTTCTCTTTACTTTACAAAGAAGAAATAAACAGTACTGTAGGGCTCTGCTTAATTTTCAGCATTCGTTCTGTATATTATTGAGAAACTCCTCAAGAATCACTTCTATACTCTAATTTCATTTTGAATTTGGTTGCTGTATATTAATATTTTAGGTTTCCTACTCATAGTTAACAGAAATGGCAGCCTTTCTGCATTCTAATGCAAAATATTTCCTCCATATTAATGATCTTTGGAACTATGATAGTAAAAGAAAAATAAAACACAACACTGGCTCAAAGCAATGCATTAATTTTTTGCTTAATGTAAATTATTTTTGTGCTCTCTCAAGAATGAGTCACAGAATTCTTCAGAATAACATAATATTACATTCAAACAGTGAAACTAGCTTTTCTAATATTCATTGTTATCCTCTTTGTTAGCACTGCAAACAAATACTCTGATGAAAACAAAAACAATTTAAAGTTTACAAATAAAGGTGGTATAGAGAATAAAAGGAATGCTCTTTGCATTTTTTTTATCTTTAGCAATAAGAACCTAGACTTTACTATAAATCACAATTAAGTGTGGCTAAATTGTTTCAAACATAAAAATATCTTAAAGACAAATAAAATTTTAATAATGGCACTTTGAACTGGAAACCTGAATATTATATTAATGGTCACGATCATTAACGATATCTTTACTTGGTTAACAAATATCTAGAGATAATTACTGCTTAGATAGTGATAAGTTTTGGCTGTGTCCTCACCTAAATCTCATCTTCAATTCCCACGTGTTGTGGGAGGGACTCAGTGGGAGGTAATTGAATCATGGGGGCAGATCTTTCCCATGCTTTCTTTGTGATAGTGAATAAGTTTCACAAGATCTGATGGTTTTAAAAAAAGGAGTTCCCCTGCATAAGCTCTCTTTCTTTGTCTGTTTCCATCCACATAAGACATGACTTGCTCCTCCTTCTCCTTGCCTTTTGCCATGATTGTGAGGCCTCCCCAGCCATGTGGAACTGTAAGTCCATTAAATGGCTTTCTTTTGTAAATTGCCTAGTCTTGGGTATGTCTTTATCAGCAGCATGAAAATGGACTAACACAGATAGCACAAAATGGATTACTCATTCTTAAAGAATAATCAATATATTAGTTAGAAAAAAATATAAAACTATTTGAATATTCTTCATCAATGATTTTTTGTAATTTCTGACCTTGCTTATGGTATAAAGACTTATGACTTGGTGCCCATTTCCTTGGCAACAGACTTCTTAAAAACAAATTAAACATGCACAGGTATTACTAATTAGTCTATGTGTTTGTGTTTCTGCATTTCTATGCATAGAAAGGCATAGAAGAAAGATTCTATGATAAATTCACTGTTAGATTTATTACTATGATAGATTCATTGATCTTGGTTCAGACCCTATCAACAGTAATTTTAGGGAAGCTAAATGCTTATTTTAAGTAGAGATATTAAAGTATTGTACTGCAATGAAGAACATAAACTCTGGAGCCACTGAATAGCTCTGATACCATGAGTAAGTTATTTAGTCCCTCTGCATCTCATTTATCTCATGTTAAAATGGGAATAATAGTGGTGCCTACCTCACAGGGTTTCTGCAAGAATTAAATTACATAAGGGATATACTTACAAAAGTGCCTGTCATTTATTAAACTCCATGTGATGCTGTTAATGATGCAACCGATGAAGCAGATCAGACACCTTTCTCTATTGGCTCCGTCTTGAATCTCTGGTACATTTTGTTTTAACATGAATGTATTATTCAGTTTCATTTTGTCTAATTATGACTTAATTTTATATTAAACAAGTTGCAGTGGAATGTTATAAAACAACAGAGCTACACCAATGCTGACACTGCTGGGAAATTATTTTATAACAAACACATCATGTAGATCCAAGCATACAGATCCTGTGGTATTAAACTAAAGAGCAAATAGTTTTACATTATTTTCTTTATTAGCATTTTGCTTTAAGACTGAGCAAGTTTCATTTGCTAGCTTCAGACTAGAGTTATAAAACACCTACAGTCAAAAATCTGTTAATTTACTCTATCTTTTCTTCCAAATACCCCAAGTAGGCTTTGCCTGACCTGGGACAGAGGTGTAAAACACTTATCCTCTATTTATTATCCTGTTATCAAATACTTAGGTTGCATATCCATAGATGCAGGAAATTTTCATATTCTTGTAATAATGAATATGATGTTTTTCTAATAGCTAAAACAACTTCCAATGTCAATTTTGAAGTGATTCAATAACCTTAAAAGGCTGAGTTAAGGCAAACAGGTGCCATGGGAAAATAAAAATAAAAAGAGGGGAAAGGGATGAGACTCTGTCTGCGACAGATTTTATTTTATTTTTTTCTGGCGATCTTTATCCCTTCTTATCCTGATTCTATTATTTATAGCTGCATTAAAAAGTATCCCAGGCAAGAGGCATTTATTACCTCACCATGTCTGTGAGTCAGGAATCTCACAGTGATATATCTGGGTGATTCAACCTTAGGGTCTGTGTCTTACAAAGTAGCCATCAAACTTGTTTGGGGCTGCTGTCATCAGATGGTTCAACTAGGTGAAGATCTGCTTCTGGACTCACTCACGTCACTGTTGGCTGGCCACAGAAGATCTATTTCTAAACGTACTCATCTGGGTCTCACTTCAGGGCTACTGCATGTCATGGCAGTGGCTTTCTCCAGATGCAAGGGATCTGAGAGAGGAAGAAAGAACCAAAGCACGCAAGATGGAAGCCACAACCGTCTATAATCTAATCTCAGAAGTGATGTCTCATCACTTCTGCCATATTCTACTTATTACAAATGAGTCATTAAATCCAGCCCACACTCACCAAGAAGGTATTACACAGAGGCATGAATTCCAGGAGGTGGAGATTATGAGAGCCCCTTTTAGAGGCCACCTCTAACACTGAATTCAGTACTGTCATTCAAGCCGATCTCAAACTTGTGTGCAAGAGACTGGGGAACTCAGGTATCTGTCTCTGTAAAATAATAATGGTATGAAGGAAAAAATTTTACTGAAATTCTATTCTTTACCTGAAAATTCAGAAATTCAACAATGACAATAACAAAAAAATGCCTTCTCCCTTAGGGGGAAACATAGAATTTCTTTGTTAATATTTTAATTGTGACATCTGCTATTGGCTTTAAAATATCTCAACTTCATTGCATTGGAATTTAGAAGAAACAAGATGGCAAAGATGTGTTAAGCATTGTTTAACTGGATGATGGATACTTTCTTAAAGAAAAAAAAAGAAACTCAGTAAGTTACCACATCTAAGAAACTTAATACTTTCCTAGAATAATGTAATACTCCGGAAATATTTAAAGTTCTCTGTTTGCCTCCAAAATATATTTTCACAGTTGGTTAATTTAACCAGGACCCAAACAAAGATCCACCTCATTGATCTAGCTGAGTGTAGCTTATAGTGTTCTTTATGTTTCTCTATCTCCTATATTTTCTGTAAATTGCTTTTTATATCAAGACATTTGACTGGATTCAAGGTTCAATTGTGTTGGCAAGAATATTTCATGGGCAATTATTTGTATTTCCTATTCTATGACATCAGTAGGTGTGTAATGATGTCCAATCATTACACATTTTTTCAGGAGCTGTTAGCTTGAATAATACATTATAAAATTCTCAATCAATGTTTCACCTAATTACTTTAGCATCATGATTATTTCCCAGATGAATTCTTTCATTCTTTGCTGCAAAATAGTGATTTTCTAATTAGATCACTTATTTGACATCTGTAAGTTAGAATTCTAAAATAATAATTCTTCCCATCTATTTGGTTTCCTTGAAATATAGTTTATACAAGAAAGGCAAGATAAACTATTGATTTTTCACTTTTATTGATCAATTTATCTAGTAATTTATTTCCCTAACAATTCCTGAAATTAATGAGAGGGTGTTCTGTATCATGGATTTTTATACATTTGATATGTTTACTCCATTGCTTTGGTTATTATAAGCCTCTAGATCTCATAACTCTTTCCCTTATTTTTTCTCAGTTGAGCTTATCATCATCTAATATACTACATACTTTATTTATATCCTTTGTTATCTTTCTTCTCTACTAGAATAAGCTCCTTTAGAGATGGATTTTTTGTTTGTTTACCGTGGTACTTAAGATCTTAGAAGAGTTGCTGATACACCTTAAGTATTCAATAAATTTTTGTTGAAAATGGGTCAGTGACACAAGGCAGTCACCTGCAGACTGTGTGTGTGTGTGTGCATGTGCGTGCGTGCACGCACCCACGCATGTGTCTGTGTATAAAGATGGAAAGAGAAAGAGGGACACAGAAAGTGAACAAACTGCATTGTGGCCCATTAACAATTAAGCACAAGATTTGAGCCAAAGATATGACTGTGAAGAAAAAGAAAAATCCGACAAATGAGTTTTTAAAAATATAAAAGAAAAAGAGTGTTTTAAGAAAGAGAAGGAAATGGAATATTAGGTATAAAAAAAAAGCTAAGAACCTAAGTACACTTTTCTTTTAGTAAAACCATTGAATTTGGCAGCAGGTTGTCAGGGCAGTCCAGGACTGGTTATTTAAGTCTTAGTCTATAGTCACTTCTTTGGCAACCTCATCCAAATCTTAAACTAAATACCGTATATATGCAGATGGCTTTCAAATTTATATCTCTACAAATACTGAAATCCAGACTGATCTGTCCAATTAGTATACTCAACTTCAATATTCCACCTAGATGTCTAATAAATATGTCAATACTTCCAAAATTGCATATCTTCTCCCAACCCTGTAACCAGCCCTACCTATAGAATTATAGGAAAATCTATCCTTCTAATTGATCAAGACACAATTTTTTGAAATATTTCTTAACACTTCTATTTCTGTAGCACCTGGAGGACAGACGGACAGAGTGTGTAGAAATTTAGATATCTACACTAGTTGGATTTCACCATAAAAACATCTCAGTTGTGGAAGGGAGCTTTCATCATGCCTTGGCCACTTCTCAAACACACCAGAAGAGAGTAGAAGGAAATAGAAGGAGAGAGTGACCCTCTCCACTATCCATCAGAGTCATATGAAGAGCATTTAGAAATACAGATATTGGGGTCCAACCTTGGACTTATTTTCAAAATTCTAGGTATGATGTCCAGGTTTATGTATTTAAAAAACTATTATATATGTATGATATGTAGATATGGATTGAGAATTTGGATCTAACAAATTACCACTTGCTGTAAAACATCAGGCCACCTTCTTCCCTTGCCAGGATGATTTTCTCAGCATTGTCCTCATGAAATCACTTTTTAAATCAACATCGTAGAGTGGCTCCTTTTTGGACAGTGATAAGGCTAGTTTAGAGTAGTGGCCTTCCAAATTTTTGTTTATGTAGTTCCTAAATGACCTTCAAATATGACGTGGCCCCTCTATTTTTAAATGACATTTAAACATTTGTCATTATAAATAAAAATTTGCAAAATGTATATTTAATGTTATGTAACAAAATTTATGTATTGATCGAACATCAAAAGTAAGTTAAAAATAAGCTGACAACTAGTGTCTCCTCATTGAAGGTAAAAATTACAAACCAGTGTGTTTCAAACTTTAATGTGTATAAGAATCACCTGGAGATCTTAAAATTCACCTGTAGCATGGCTAAGAGTTTGCATTTCTAACAAGCTCCAGGTGAAACCTATGTGCTTGTGCACACTGTCATTAGTTGTCAGGCTATAGAGCTCCTGATTGGCAGGAACTTCATTTTCTAGTATTTCAGAAATGTAATTTCTCACATTGACTCCAATATTTTGAATTAATCCTTGGCTTAGTGCCCTGAAGGTGTGTATATTCTGACAGTGTACTCTGGTAAGATTCAAGATGGATGTAAAATACACTTTTCTTTTAAAAAGTAAGAGAAGAGCAACTGTGAAAAGTGATACATCCATCACAGGTTGTTATCCAGTCTGATAAATTTTAGGATATAATACGTAAAGAAACTGAAGATCAGGAAGTTGATTTCTTTAAAACTCTGTCTACATACCTGTTAGAAAATGTCTGTGTAACACAAATGTACACATAACCTCTCCCTACTAAACACTGTTTATAGAGAGCACAGCATTTGGGTTCAGAGAGGTCAGGGCTCTGATCTGTGTGATTTGGAGCCCCTTATCTTCCTCATCTACAAAGTGGGGATAATAGATTTAACTCATCAGTTATGGAAAGGATAAAAAATATCACATGTAAAGTGCTACACATAGCACCAACCTCATCAAAAGTGTTTCCCAATTAAAATTTATTATTCTTCTGGGAGGGAATTTTAGTACTCAGAATTTGCGACTTTTCATTCACTATCCTTTCTCAACTTATCTCTTATCTTTACCATTTTTGTTCCTGTATCCAACCTAGAAAATTTTTTGAAAAATTCTTCTTATAAGTATTGTCCATTTATTTCTCTGAACCTTTGTTCATATAATTCTTTCTAATAGAAGGAACAATTCTCTCCAACAATCTAAATTTATTAAATCTCAGGGTGCTGGGGACAGCATTCTCTAATTAAATCTGGCCCATGCTGGGAATTCACTTGGACTCCCTTAATACACATTTATTTTTCCAGTGTATTATGTGTTATTTTCTAAGGATTTGAATACATTACATATGCATATTTGTACCACTGCTAGATTATAATCTCTTTGAGGGTAAGGACTCTACCTTCTGTTTTTCAATTGCTTATGATACACAGAAAAGTTCTACTCACATAACATGTTGAACTAATGTTTGGGGAATGAAGAAATAAATTTTAAATTATTTCAGAAATTTCTTGCTTAATTTTTGTCCACAAGTATGTATAGTAAATGTATTTATCCTCCGATTTTTTTAAATAAACAAAGCCATATTTACCATCTACCAGATAAAATTTCCAAGAGAATCCTTGCCAAAAGCATGCATACTTGGTTTCAAAACTAATGCTGTTTAAACCAAAATTCCAAAACAGATGAACAAATTTGTGTGAATAATGAAAATAAACTACCATATCTCCATAATCAGTGAATTAGGGTAGCCTTGGCTAAAGCCTTTTGCTTCAGAGGTAATTTTTTTTTAAAGAAACAATGTAAAATAAACAGCTTTGAGAAAGGAAGAATATAAAATTAATATTTCTCAATCAAGAAAAATTACTATCCCAAATATTATCTGTGAAGAATAATCATTTTCTGGGACATGGATCTTCTAACATAGGAAAAAAGACAGAATGAAATGTTTTACTTATTTCTGTTTCTGAGCTTCCTTGAAATTAAAAGCCTTTTCATTGTGCCGCAAAGAATTTGTGGATAAGGATGAATTTGCAGGTCAATAACAATTTTAAAATGCTATTTTATGTCTGTACTTGTGCTTTGTCTATCAAGGTTCAATAATTAAAAACCAAATAGTGCTGCAACTTTACATATTTTTATCTGCATTATTTATTTTTAGGTAATCTGATTTACCATGTTTTGCCAAGTTTGATTTATTTAACAAACATCTATCTGTTGAGTATCTGCTAAATTAAAGCACTGGTCTAGGGGTTGTCGGGACTAAAGATACATACGGCATGATCCTTCCTTTGCAGGAAAGCCCCTTCAATTGGGAGTCACAGACATACACTGTGAATATTAAAATAGAAGATATGGGGCGGGGAGAGGTCACGTGCTCTTGGTTCTGGGGCAGTGAGCTGAGTGAGGCTAGGGAATGACAAATGTCTTGTGTTCCTGCTGAAATGGAGGTGTACCAATAAGGAAAAATAAAACTACTCAACCTCACTCTTGAGTGACTAAGTCTGTCTCGGATACTAAAGCAATACATTCTCTTTTTTGGACTCCTAAAATTAGCAATTAAGTATAATTTATCTCATTAGTTGACTCAATTGACCTCTCATACTAAAGAGCAAATGTCTCCTCCATTCACTAGAAATAACTCTGGTATTGCAAAAAATAGGATTTATTGTTTGACCTTAACAGAAAATCTTTTCTTTTTTCTCTGGGTGACATTTGGGATAATGATTTGACTTATTCTGGTTTTTTAGCAATTACATCTTCTGATTTAACTTTTTCTCCTCATCTGAAGTTAGAAGAGATAGTAACTTTTCACAGGACTCTAACTTCAAAACAGGTGGTTTAGTTGTCAACTATTAAAATTGATTATACCCATTTAACTACTATAAACAGAGACTGTAAAACAAAAAGCCTCAAACAGAACACAGAATTTTTAATTTGGAAAGTTGCTGCTACATTAACTTGCTATGTAACTGTAGCATGCAAAGCCGTAACGTTTGCACAATAGGTAGTTTATTACTCTCAAGTTGAAAGACCAAAAGTGGAGTAACTACCCAGTTGGTTATTTGCAGAGTGGTGCGGAACAGTATTTGTTACTACTCTTACACATTCTCTTGTTTACAACCAAAAAGAAAGTAATTGCTGCCGTAAAACTCAGTCTCTCACAATCTGGAAGGCCTCTATAAACCTTGGGAAGGACAAATGTGTTTGGACCAGGTGTCGGTAGTGCTGTAGGGTGAGTGTTGGCCATCCAATTTAAGTAGGTTATTGATATTGAATGGAAGTGGCTTCTTGTTGTATATGCCCTTTACCAATTATGATTGTTTACCTGAGAAATCAACAGACATACCTGCTGTTGTACTGCCCTCTTCCCTCCTGAATTACTTTTACTGCATATCTGCTTAGTCCAACGGAAAAGAAAAGGAAAATGTGAAAATATTCCAGTCTGGCTTTTAATTTTAAAGCTGCCAATTGACAACCAACATCAACTGGCTTATTTATTTCTTCTAAAGCTTATTATTTCTTCTAAAGCTAGTTAACAAAAATATTGAATCCTACTCGCTTTCTTCTCAGCTTGTTAGTCATGTATCTAGTGTGTTACAGCACTGGGTCTGTAATGCAAACATAAAGTCCTGGTCATAGTTTTTCTATAAAACTATCTTCGATGAGCTTTTAACTTTACTGTTTATTCCCATATCAGCTATAGCGGAAATCTGAAGTTAGCTATAATGGAAGACAGTCTCTTTGTTTCTTCTCTCTCTCTCTCTCTTTTTTTTTTTTTTTTTTTTTGGCTCTCTTTGATAAGTTTAAAATAACTTGGCCCTAGTTTTTAACATAAAATGCGGTTTTTCAATCAATGACTGGTATAGACACTTGAAAAAAAATTATGTAAGTTAATTAAAGACTGAAAATAATATATATTCTTGAATTTTGTTATTACAGAGGGTTTTTGCCTCCATTAGATATCAACAGAGCTGATCGAGTTTATTTTGGTGTTTCTGTTCAGTGTCAGCTGCTGTGTGTACTGTCTCTGCCTCACTCTAAAACGTTCTCTCCTTCCAGCCCAGTGCCTCCTCTCCCTGACATGTGCTACCACCACCTGCACAATTCAGAGAGTGCTCTTGAGTAACTTAGGATTCTGGGAGATGAAAGAATACCACATTATTTGGAAGAAAACTTTATAGAATGGGAAGAGGAAATAATACAATAAAAAATAAAAACAATTTATAACTGTTTTAAAAGTTTCCTATTTTATGCCAATAATATCAACTTGCAAGGAAGTTATAATAATGGGTTTTTGTGGGGTATTTATAGGTCATAGATTCTTTAGTTTTCTTACTTTCTATACTTATTATTTGACTTTTAAGGGCCAATTGTCATTAATTTAATAGCTGTCTCATTCATAAATGTAGTACATAAGGGGAATTACTTTGAAAATTTATAAATTGCCATGTATAAGAAAATAAGAAAGAAAGGCCTAATTGGTATTTGGATACACCTAGTAGGATCAACTAAAAAGCCAATTCTAACAGCATTAAAGCTTACACAAAAGTTTCAGTCTGTTTATACTAAAAAGTAGAAATGTATTATTGTTATTATTGATATGAGTATTCTATTTCTATCTGGGAATTTCAACAAGCTGACAGGGACTTTATACAAAATAGAAAAACTATTTTTGACATGTGATAATATAAAAGGAAAAATAATAATACTTGGGACAATTTTTAGTAAACATAATGCATTGTCTTATGCTTTTTATTTATTAAACCATCCTACTTTATGAGCCCTAAGATTTATTTCATAACTGGTTGTGACAAATTCAGTTCTCAGGACTCTAAAAGGGTCTTGTGAAGGCAGGAGTACACTTTGAGTCCTCACCCTTATACCAAATTCAAATTTGCAAAATGGAATTTAATTATTGCTAATTTATTTAAATAAAATAAAGCTTTCAGAATAAGAGTAGATTCTGGCTTGGATGATGAAGTAACATTACCCCCAAAAAATAAGTAAATAAAATAGTCCTAAATACGATTTAAGTTACCTAATTAATTTGTGGGCTTGTAATTGTAACTGCCTGAGAGGTTCTTCCTGCCCACTGCATAAAGACAGCCCACGGCACTGTAGTAGAGAAAGCATTTAATAGACACGAGGCCAGCCACACCACGTGGGAGACGGAGTTCCTACTCAAATCATCTCATCCAAAGCTCATAGGATAGGGGTTTTTCAAGGGCAGTTTGGGGGAAGGGTAAGGAGTGACCAGGCAACAAGGTGCTTGCTGCTGATCGGTGGGGGCAAGGATGAAATCATAGGGGGTTGAAGCTGTCCTCCTGAGCAGGCTGAATTGCTTCTGGGTAGGGCCACAAGAGTTGGGGGGTTTGTTGATGCAGGTGGAGCCATGGCTGTCAGACATGCAATAAAACCTGGAAAGATATCTCAAAAGACCAATCTACAAAAGTGATGTTATTTGTAGGAGTAACTGGGGAGGTTGCATATCTTACAACATCTGGAATAATGTCTGCACCTTAGCAGGACTCAGGTGCCTCTCCTCCCCTCAACCTGATGGTCTCCTATTAGCTTTACGAAAACGGTTGAATTTTGAACAAGTCTTATTATCATTTAAAGTGTAGCCTAAATGTCTTCCAAAATTAGCTTGGCCCAATAGCCCAGAAATAATTAAGGGAAAGGCAAGATGGGGGTTGAGTTAGCTTAGCTTACTGTTGTAATTTTCTCATTGATATAACTTTTGGAAAGGTAGTTTCACTATTCATAATGACAGTTATCTTAAAAGCTAGATTTTCCATCCCATGTAAATATAGGAACAATCAAGTATTTGTCCAGCCTGCGTATTGATGACTTTTTATGATTTTAAAATAAATTGTGATGAATTACAGTGCATTTGATATAATTTTCATGGTTTGCCTGTATAAAATAAATTTTATATTTCCTAGATTCCTTGGGCCGTTTGAAGAGGGTTTTTAAAGAACAAGTTACTAAAATAGTTCAGCAAATCCTTATCAGTGTCATCAAGACAAATGAATATTATTTTGCCTTTAAGGAACTGTGTCCTGAAATAAATAAACATACAGAGTTACACATATCTGGTATTTTCAAAGGGACAATAAGTTAACTATGAAATTTTCACTGGATGATATTTGAAGATAGTATTATATTTTTGTTCTTGTGGTTTAGAATGTTTCTTCTTAAGACAGGTAAAATAGAAAATAAAATGTTATCTGGAATAATTTTTTTTTTTTTTGAGATGGAGTCTTGATCTGTTGCTAGGTGCAGTGGCATGATCTCGGCCCACTGCAACCTCCACCTCCAGAGTTGAAGTGATTCTTCTGTCTCATCCTCCCAGGTAGTTGGGATTACAGGTGTGCACCACCACTCCTGGCTAATTCTTTGTATTTTTAGTAGAGACAGGGTTTCACCATGTTGGCTGGGTTGGTCTCGAATTCCTGAGCTCAAGTGATCCACCTGCCTCGACCTCCCAAAGTGCTGGGATTACGGGTGTCAGCCACCATGCCCGGCCTTGGAATAATGTAATTTTATTATGATGATAAAAATATTTTCTCCAATAATAATGCTACTTTTTGTGGAGGAGGACATAACTTCTAATGATTATTTCATTTTAAAGATTTGGCCATGTATTAAGCAGATGCCAAGATTTGGGTAGCCAAGTGCAGCAGATCCACTGGTGTTCTGCAGAAGTAACTTCACACATTTAGGTATGGCTCTCCTAAAAGTAATGTGAGCTTGCAAATTTCAAACCAAGGATTTAGGGTACAGGCTTTTCTAGCAATGTCAAATGACACTTTCCCCAAGCTTGGGCTCCCAGCCTTAGCATTATACTCAAAAAATATTTCATATATTTTTTTCCATTGCTTCAAAAGTTTTGGTGTTTTCCAAGAGAATAGAAACAAATTATTTCTATTCTTCATCTTTGTGTTTTTTTCTTGTTCCTAGCACCGAGTCTCTTCAAAAACTTTACACATCAAAATCTTGTTACCTAATTGTGTAATTAGTTCTAAAAGCCACTATATGATCTGTCTCTTTTTACTTTAAAAAGTTAACAGATTGAATGTTGAGTTGAGGATGATTGCTAGCAGGGTCTTATTGAACTGACACTCAGATGGCAGAGATTATCAGCAGTGCTCACACATTACTTAAGTGAGGATTTTAATTTCTGTAAATGAACAGTCTATGCATGAAATATAAATGATGAAAAATTAAGCTATAGTACCTTCCTGTAAGGCTAATTAGAAAAACCTGAAGCTACAGTAATGATTAAAACTATGGATTAGTACATCAAGGGAAAATGGCCTTTTATGGTATTTCTATAAATTGAATTTAAATACACCGTAGGTTATGGTAAGAACCTCTAAAAATAGAAGATGACTTTCCACATTAAATATACATAAACACACACCAGTGATTGTTAGATGAATTATTCACCACAGTAACAAAATGCATAATATATTTTAAAAAGAAGTCCTGCTCCCAAACTTACTAATACTAGTACACACACAGAAACACATGCAATGTTGTATTGATGAGCAATGGGTTGAGTAGACTTAATTCTATTCTTTTGCTCAAATATTATGATAGCTGCGTTTCCAAGATTCCACAAACAAATCTATGTTATTGATTTCCTTTAGTAGATTTTGGAAGACTGAACTCTATTGTTAAAGCTGCCTCAAAGCTCTTGTAGATTTGTGAGGTTTAAAAAATAAATGTGTATTAGTGCTAGGTAAACTGATATTTTTGATCAATTGGAAGTTTTATCATGGGAATTACTTGATTTTTATGTGTACCCCTCAAAATAAGAAATTTTATTTAGAGAAAAAAGAAATTGGTCAAATATTATTGGGTTGCCATATTTTAAACCATTTTACATTTAGAAAAAAAATCCCAAATGATCATTTTGAAGCAATACCATACTTTTTGTCTTGATTCCTTAGGTCTTAATCATTGTCAATCTTGTCGTTAATTTTTCCTAACACTTTCTATTCTGGCTCTCATACTCTCTCTCTTTACTCTTTTACCCTCAGATGGGTCAGGATTATTAGTTTCTTCCACACATTTGCCATGGAGTACTTGCTCACGCATGGAAGCTGAAAGGTATACTTTCGGAGAATTCATACCCTTCCTTGTACTCTGAAGATTTCCAAGGTTTTGGGATATGTTTTTCTGAATATAGACATGGGCATAAAGTTTATAAGCTTCAGCACTGAAAAATAACAGGGAGTGAAAATATATGATGAAATTAATTTACATGTCTCCATTTACAAGATCATGGCAATTTAATTTCTCTGGGTCTCAGTATCTAAGTCTATAAAATAATTGGCTGAAGGAAGTGAGGCTACTAAACCAGATTATTTACATAATTCTATTCAGCTAGAAAATGGTATGCTTTTATGGCCTGGCTTTAAATATGGCCTGTTCTTGATGTTTATTAAAAAAAAAAAAAGAAGAAGAAGAAGAAGAAGAGAAATAAATAGAAAACAACTGTAGATTAGGGCCCTAATGTAGCTTATTTGTGTTTTATATTGGTTGGGTGAGGCCATATAAAAAATGTATGAGAGCTATATGCCACAGGTTCAGAAAAATCAATTGACAGGATAAGTTAAAGTAAAGGAAACAAGTGGTCCAGTTTCACACTGTAAGCCTGTGATGAGGATGAGCACACAATTGCCTTAAGCACGACCTGGGCTGAAATATTGACTACTGCCTTGAAGTGAAAAATGTAACCATGAATTACTATGCGTTTTAACAGCAGGGGATTTTTAATTGTGAGGAGGTGAATACATGAAAAAAAAGAATTATTTATATTTTTAAGAAAAAAATTACCATGGAAGAGAATTGCAGAGGGTCTTAATTATCTTGGTATAAAGAGTTAGTGATAATTTTCTGTTAAATGAAGAGCTACTTGGGCCAAATAATTAGTTAGATACCAAATTTAATTATTTCTTTTTCATTGAATTGATGTTCTGTTTTGGTGTCAATAACCAGATTTGGTTTATATTAAATTTAAGCACAATGTTGTTAAGTGAGGTGGAATAGAATGAAATAAATTCATCCTATATAACATATTTTACATTATGGAATAAATCAAGGCAAGGAATCTTAGAATCATTTCATTGTTATGGTTGTGGGGATATCTAGCAACTTCAGGTTCGTTTAATTTGTATTTCTATTAGCAGGAAGGACAGTGAACAGGGATGTATAATTAGAAGGGAAAATTCAGAGTTATATCAGACAAAACAGCAACAGTCCTTCTCTGTGTAATTTTTGCGATATCGGTGTGGATTGTACTGGATTTTACAGAACATGAAGAAAAACTGGTAACAGAAACATGAAACTTTAAAACATTTGATTACACTTTCGAGTTTCAAATTTTGACTCTACCTTTATAAGTACAGATGTAAAAAAAAGTCCAAACAGAAACCACAAGGTGTACAACAGTGTGATTATTATCTTTTATTTTTAAACAAGAACACATAAAATTGTGTTGACTTACATATTTTTAAAATGCAAGAAAAGATTAATAGAGTATAGCAGGTAGCAGATTTTCACTTTTCATTATACTTTTATTTGCTGTCTGCAGTCTCTAAACATTAATATTTTTACTATGCTTTGATATATACTTTATGCTATAACTTCCTCCCAAAGATTCACAATGTACATTAATAAGAATTCTGAGTAGGCCAGGCACAGTGGTTCATGCCTGTATTCCCAGCACTTTAGGAGGCCGAGGTGGGTGGATCACCTGATGTCAGGAGTTCGAGACCAGCCTGCCCAACATGGCGAAACCCCATCTCTACTAAAAATACCAAAAATTAGCCGGGCGTGGTGGTGGGCGCCTATAATCCCAGCTACTTGGGAGGTTGAGGCAGGAGAATCGCTTGAACCCAGGAGGCAGAGGTTGCAGGGAGCTGAGATCGCAACACTGCACTCCAGCCTGGGCGACAAGAGTGAAACTCTGACTCTAAAAAAAAAAAAAGAATTCTGAGTAATTGTTTGTCAAAGATAACTTTAACATTTGTTTAACTAAACAAATCAACTATTTACCTGTGTTTCTTAAGTAAAAACACTTGGGAAAATGCTATTCTTTATAATACCTATATAACTTGCAAGGAAAATGCAAATCATTATCAAATATCTCATTGGTATGAACAATCATATTTTACAAATATTGCTCTGAATCCTAAATTACTCAGTTGGAGAGGAAAGTAGGTGGATGGATGGATAAATATTATAGATAGAGAGACTATTAATAGATAGATAGTAGGTAGGTAGGTAGATAGATGATAGATGACGGTAGATAGTAAGCGAACAAAACCCCAGCTTATCAAATTCACTTTGTAGGTTGATACAACCTAAGTGACAATGAACAGCAGAAACTGGGAAGGTAGTTTCACTTAATGCTAACATCAAGTTATATAAATATTCTCTGAACATCAGATGTATCTCCTGAGGGACAATATATACAACATACACACACTCACACTCACATTCAAGTTCTAGCAAAATGAAAAATTAGCCTAGGCTATTGACTTCCTCACTAAAACACAACATAGGAGATGCTAGAGGAGAGACTAGGACCCATTTTTAGCAACTAACAACATGCCTTTTAGGAACTCAAAAGGACCACAGATTCTGAAGGAGAAATAAAAAAGAGCTTTCCAGGTATGTTCTTTTCTCTACCCATCACTCTGCCTGCATCAGTGTAACATCAAGACCACTCTGGGTCTGGCGGGTATGGTTCTACACAAGTGCAAGTAATTAGGCATCCTCACAATGTTCCCCTCTCACCCTCTCTCTCACAACTAGGAAACTGTATCAGTGAAAAATGGTTTCAAGAAAACAACAGAGCCACAGCCAGCACATCTGAAAGCCCTGTTGTAGATAAGGGAATCCTAGAAGAGAAATCGAGTAGATTATGACCAAGAAAGCCCAGATGTCAATCAAGAAATTCTCTGCCTTGAAATGTGTCCTCAATTCCCCTCTACATATTCACCCCTAGGTGCCTATGCTAGGGCCTAGGTTTTTATCTCCTCCCTTAATAATCAGTATTAGTAGACAACTGATGGTACCAAGTATTTTAAAGGTGAGCTCACAGTGAAGTTTTAGTGAAACCACTGTGAAAGGAAACAAAGGCTGTGAATAACTCATTTCAGAGGACAGGGATAGTAGATACACACAGCAAGATGGGAAAGAGGATTGGAAACATGAAGCCGAAATTGAGAGTTATTAAGAAGAATCTACTAGAGACATAGGTTTTGAAGAGACAATTTTTGACATAAAGAATTCAGTGAATGGGTTTAATAGCTGACTGTATTTGGCCAAAGAAAAAAAATCAGTGAGCTAAAAGGCAGTTCCAAGAAGTTTCTCAACACAAGGAGATATAAAAACAAATAAACAGAATAAATAAAAATGGAGCATAGAAGCAGAAATTTAACCATCAGCTATGAGAAGACCTCAGAAGCAGAAGTACATGAAGGGAACAAAATATTTGAAGAAATAATAAATGATAATCCATTATCCTCAAAAGATAAGAGATCCCTGTTTGAAAATGTACATGGGAGCCTGCAAAAAGATAAACAGATGTGCAGTAGGCACATAAGAACATCAGATATCAAGATGACTTTTTTTTTTTTTTTTTTTTTTTCTGGAGACAGAGTCTTGCTCTGTCACCCAGGCTGGAGTGCAGTGGTGAGATCTTGGCTCACTGCAACCTCCACCTCCCGGATTCAAGGGATTCTTCTGCCTCAGCCTCCCCAGTAGGTGGGACTACAGGCGCGTGCCACCACACCTGGCTAATTTTTTGTATTTTTAGTAGAGACAAGGTTTCTCTGTGTTTCAATCTCCTGACCTCGTGATCCGCCCACCTCGGCCTCCCAAAGTGCTGGGATTACAGTTGTGAGCCGCCACGCCCAGCTTCAAGATGACATTTAAAAGAATATGAGAGAGAAACATAGGTCACTGCAAGTGATCACTGATGAGAAATCAGATTAATATCAATTCTCTCACGGCAATGAAGTACAAAAATATAACAAATTATTTTCAAATTGTTGAAGAAAAATAAATTTAAACCTAGAATTTCATTTTTAATTATTTAAATGGGAGCCAAATAAAAATACTTTAGGTTTACATGGACTCAGATTTTTTACCATGAAAAGACCTTCCTGAGAGAACATTGAGAGACGGTATTACATTTAGAAGATAAGTCAAACTAGGTAAAATGCATTAAAATATGAGAAGTTTAGGTATAGAACTTACTGACATTTATTGTTGCCTGAGTAAACAATTTCTGACAAATGTATACCCATAACAATCTGTAAATAAACTTCACATAGTATCTGCTATTTGAGAAAAAGGATATCAAAAGCTGGTGAAAGCAGAAAAAGATTCTCTTCTTGTTTCAGATTTGGACATACATATAAATAAGCGTTAGATACTGTTAAAAATAAGATAAAAACTTATAAGTACTTAAAATACAAATGTATAAGATAAAAATGTATAAATACTTACCACAAGAAAAAAAAAATACTGAAGAAAACGTGTCTATCTAGTATGAGGCCTGAAAGGCATGAAGACATGAAAGGGAAAAGAAAGTAGAATGCAGTGAATATTAAGAGATAAATTAGATAAAAGAAAAGGCTAATAGTAATTATAACTATGTAAATGGTTAAATTAACCAATTAAAAAAGTAATAGTCCCATGCTGGTTAAAATTTAAGATCCAGAAATACATTTTTAAAAGTGATATTTCAGATATAGTTACCCAAAAGACATACTTAGAAAATAAAATAGGTCAGAAAGGTTGCCAATAAAGTCAGGAAAAAAGTACCAGAAAAAAAATGTCTTTCAAGAGATAGTCATAAAATGCATTTTGATATCAAACAAAATATAATTGAAGGTGAGATATATCATAAGAGCAAACAAGTTTTCCTCCCTAATGAAGGGTTGTATGCCCCTATCCACTGTTGAGCATTTCAGCCCACGATACTTGCATTGATGGATGGATTGAGTATATACATTTTTAGAATATCTGTGATACTTCTGAGCCAAAATATTAGGAACCTTTGTAGTGTGTGGCACCATTTTTTTTTCCTCTGATATCAGCACTGTCTAAGACATGGGCTATTCTGGCCAGGTGTAGAGGCTCATGCCTGTAATCTCAGCACTTTGGGAGGCTGAGGTGGGAAGATTGCTTGAGTTCAGGAGTTTGAGACCAGCCTGGGCAACATAGGGAGACCCTGTCTCAACAACAACAACAACGACAACAACAAAAAGCCAGGCATGGGCGCGGTGGCTCACGCCTGTAATCCCAGCACTTTGGGAGGCCGAGGCGGGCGGATCACGAGGTCAGGAGATCGAGACCATCCCGGCTAAAACGGTGAAACCCCGTCTCTACTAAAAATACAAAAAAAAAAATTAGCCGGGCGTAGTGGCGGGCGCCTGTAGTCCCAGCTACTTGGGAGGCTGAGGCAGGAGAATGGCGTGAACCCGGGAGGCGGAGCTTGCAGTGAGCCGAGATCCCGCCACTGCACTCCAGCCTGGGCGACAGAGCGAGACTCCGTCTCAAAAAAAAAAAAAAAAAAGCCAGGCATGGTAGCACATGCCTATGGTCCCAGCAACCTGGGAGGCCAAGCTGGGAGAATCACTTGAGCCCCAAGGGTTGAGATTGCAGTGAGCCATGATCGTGCCACTGCACTGTAGCCTGGGTAACAGATTGAGACCCTGCCTCATTAAAAAAAAAAAAAAAAAATTATTCTGTTATTCTGTGAGCCTTGAATATGGTGAGAAGATTTGCTGCCTACCTATAATGAAACTCATAGATTGAGTTTAAGTTACAGGATTGGAATATGGACACTAAACCTAGGTATTGTCTCTTGGCTAATTCTACTAGAACTTGTAAATAAACTACTTGTTCAACTTCTTACACTAAGGAGACTTTTCAAACCTATGCCTTTTCTTGCAATAAATTATTTAATTATTTGTTGAGCTTTACTTGCAGGGAAAATGTTGAAGTAGAGTTAGATCATGAAAACTTAGGTTGACAGAAAAGTGGCATATTGTAGAAATGTGACACTTTGGGAATTTACCCATTTACATGCTCCTTTTGACTCCTGCACAGACCAGTTTTTCAACATCCCCAGTCTCATTATGTCAATCAGAAGTTGTTCCTGGTTGCCACCCTTTCCACAAAACAGAGAGAACTCAACCTGGAACTTCCATCTCATTGGCTTAATTTCTTCTAAGAGTCAGTAAGAGAGGTGAGAGTTCATCATTTTGGGCGGGTAATTTTATAGTACTTAGAGATGCAAGTTTAGAAAGAAAGGTAAAAGACATCAAAACATGTTTCAGGGCAAGTCACACTGACCAAATGAAAATATAATGTTTACTAATTGTTCATTTTAAACCAAAACTAAATCACTGTCTGAACAAAATGCATACTTAGTATTACTTTTCTATCTGCAAAAGTTACAATATTGTGTAAGAAAATACCAAAATATAGGCTGATACTACTTTATCATTTTCTTTATTCAAAATGAGCTTAATCACAGAACAAATTTTGAGAAAACTACTAGTACCAATTAACTGTAATTATTTGTGAGGTGTGTATACTATTCAGATTATGCTTCCACTTTCGCAAAGTCTCATAGAAAGATTTGCCCCAGTATGCAAAGAAAAAAATTGAGTTAATTGAAACACTCAGTTTAAGTCATCATTTGAATGATGGCAAAGATAACACCTCAAATTTATTTTTCCTAGTAATTTTGTGTAGTCGTATTTGTTTTTCCTGAGTTTCTCTTTATTTAGTTCTTCTCTGTTTGTTGGCACTCTATCAATCAGTAGCAGAGAACAGAGAAATCATTGGATTCTCTACTGGAAGGAACTAGAGGCAGTATGGAAAACAGTGTTGCCAAGTCAACCAAGCACTCAAAATAGAATTAAAATCTCATGATAACTACAACCACAATATGCCAAGAGGGAAACAAAAAAGAAATTGTTCCCAAATGAGAGAGGAGGGAAAGCAGCATGGAGTAGTAAGACTCTTGGTTCTTTGAATAACTTGCTTTATGTCCTTGAGTGATTCACTTAATTTCCCTGGGTTTTGGATTCCTCTCTGTAAATTGAGAGAATTGGACTAAATCAGTAGTTTCCAAATTATGAACCTTGGAATAATTGCAAGGGGACTTGAATTTGTATGCTTTATATACTTCCACAATCACCAGGATCCAAAAGTCCAATTGAAGTCATGTGGAAGCTGGAAAAATATTTTTACATTTTTTAAAAGGTTATTTAGGATATACTGGCTAAATAACATATGAAGTTTTCTTAGACTACAGAATACCATTATGAGTTAGACATCCAGATGTTGAAATGTTGAAGTGTATAATTCTTGATTAAAGTCTTTCTTGCAAAAGCAGCATTGTTATTGCAAGGAACAATGGCTAGCAATTGGGACTCAGGTTTCTAGGCCAGACTTTCATGCATTAATTTTGTGACCTTGGATGGGTTATTTAAATTTTCAGTTTATTTGTTTGAGGTAACTATTTGAAAAGACTTAGACAAATTTTAAAGTGTTCTTCAAATACAAGATGGTTTTATTGCTTCTATTCATCACTGCTCTCAGCCTCATAATGCTAAATTTGCAGAGCAGGAATCTGAATTAGCTGTCAGGTCTGTTTATTACTGTGGCTGTCCTTGCGTCTTCCTTTTCTTTTACTCCTTCCATATTAGTGTGCTATTTATCTCCCCAGTTCTTTTTTCCACTATTAGGCTGATATATTATTTGTGGCTTAAGGATTTTTAATACTTATATAACTCATACAGTGATACTTGCTATTTTGAGAAAAGAAATAATATGGATTTATCTTATTCTTAGAGACAATTAAAAGCAAGCCAATAGATTGCCTAAAGTTGCATAGAAAATAATAATTTAATATCATTTTGTATTCCAATTATTTTGTCTCCTTCTTTGTGCCTGTAAATTTCTTGGGAAATACAGTCATGTCACTTAACCATAAAGATATGTTCTGAGAAATATGTCCTTAGGCGATTTTGTCCTTATGTGAACATCATAGAGTGTACTTACACAAACCTGGCTGGTATATCCTACTGTACCCATAGGCCATATGGTATAGCCTACTGCTCGTAGGCTACAAACCTGTACAGCGTGTTACTGTATTGAATGCTGTAGGCAATTGTAACACAGTGGTGAGCATTTGTGTATGTAAACATAGCTAAACATAGAAAAAGTATTGTGTTGTGCACTACATTGGGACAGCTACTGATCAGAATTTTTCAGCTCTATTATAATCTAATGGGATCACTATTGTACATGTGGTCATTGACTGAAACGTCACGATACATGGCATGGCTGTTATGATCCTTTTTTCCTCAGATCATTCTTCAGCTGTGTGCATGTGTGTAAGTGCTTGCATACATGTGCATTTCTCTCTCCTTCAGAGCAGTGCTTAGTAAAAAGATCCCATTTCTATTCTTGTCAGTTACTCATGTGTCTCTCTGATAGACCTCATGATCACTGAAGCTGCTGCTGTCCTGGGAGGGATGCTTAGTTTGCTGAGAAACTGATGGAAACTCACTCCTTGTCCAGTTATTGGATTCTGCACTCAAGCAGTTTGAGCAGATGGACTTGCTTGGAAAGGGAAATAAGGGGTTATCTCTTGAAACAGAAGGGATTAGGGCTTCAAATGTCTGGACAGATGAAGCACCCAGCTTTCAGAATTATTAAAGATAGTCTTGGAAAGCAACACAGATTCTCCAACACTCAACAGCCTTACTCTTCATATCAACTTTTAATCTACCACCTTTTAACAAAGTTTTACAGATGTGGATGAATGTTACAAAAGGTCAACCAATTACATATTCATCAGAAAATATAGGATAGAGTAATGAAAGGCCATTTTTGTTTTACTGCAGAAAAACACATGAATCTAATTTAAAGGAAAACTCCTACATACATTAAGAATAAGCTTTTCTATATTTGACATGCTTGGCAAGGGAGCACATTTTTCTTTGATAAATTGGCATGTTATCCTTAAGTATGAGTGCTTTATAATTACAATTTAAAAGTAAAACCAAAAATCTTTCTTGAATAAAAATGTAATAGACTACTATTTTTTAAATTTACTTTGCAGTAGATTGATATTAAGGAACTACTTTGATCAAAATTCCCCTAAATTGAAAAACAAAATCCATCTAAAAGTAGTATCTTTTAGGACACTTGTTAAACTTTATTTTATTTTTGAGACAAGGTCTGGCTCTGTTGCCCAGGCTGGAGTGCAGTGGCACCATCAGGGCTCCATGCTACCTCTACCTCCTGGGCTCAAGCCATCCTCCCACCTTGGCCTCCCAAGTAGCTGGGGCAACAGGCAGTAGAGACAGGGTTTCACCATTTTGCCCAGACTGTTCTCGAACTCCTGAGCTCAAGAGATCTGCCAGCCTCGGCCTCCCAAAGTGCTAGGATTGCAGGTGTGAGCCACCATGCCCAGCTGATTTTAGGACATGTGCAAAGGTGGATATAGAAGAGATTTATTGATGTTCTGGTCCCTACTTTTCTTTAACTTACCTCTCAACCCATCTAAATACGATATGTATTTCTTTTCATGTCTCTCAAAACTTTTTCCCCATTAAGCATTCTTATTTTATTCTGTCTAAAGAAATGTGCTATTGACATTTTTGTGGTATAATTTATTACTAGATAATGTCTTATTCCATAAACAACTTACAACTGACAATTATATATTCTGATATATATTCTTATCAGGAACAAACTATGTAAAGAATGTATGCTACTTTCCTCAGAGTTACTAAAGAAAATGAAAGAGGAATTAAGAACATTAAGAGTCCCTTATCTTAAAGAGGTTACCATTAAGTTGATTACATATGGAATTTGGTATAAACTAAGGCCCTGTTATAAATTTACTTCATCTTCAGAATAATAGCCACCATTTCCTGAGTAACTATTAGGTTCCAGCAACTGTACTAAGCACTTCACATAATCATCTTAATTTTCTCACAAGAATCTTTTGAAGTAGATATTATTAGGATTTTAAAGTAAAAGAAACTGGGACCTAGAGATTAATTAACTTTTACATTATCACATAGTTACAGATTATATCAGCAGAGCCACTGGAAGTGATATATAGTAAGGATTTATTATACTGATTTGACCTTATGCATTTGTGGGAGCTGGTTTAACCATCTATGTAAAGGTTGTCTTTCTGTCTAGTGATGGAGACAGACATCAGAAGGAAAGATAATTGGGAAGAGATGTTGGATGTGAGCTAGGGAAAAACAAGGACAAACTGTACCTCATTATCAATAACTGGATTCTATGAGGATAGCCTGGAACATGTATCAGGCTCTCACCTTCCCTAAGCCTCCAATTTTGACAATAGGAGTCCACGCAAGATAATCTAGTGCTCTTTGTCATGGAGCTAAACACCCACCTGTTCCAGGATTTGGGGAGGCAAAAGGAAGATGGAGTAGGAGCTGAAGGAAACTTAGTTCTGTTTGCTGTCCCACACAACAAGATGAGCTGACAGATAAGTGACAATGTGCATGAGGTGCAATGGCACCTAGTACCCCTGCACTGAACTTAGCTCAGAAAAATATTTTAAAAAATGACCGATGGTCTTGGGTAAAATAGCTACTCTAAACTCTAGGCTGACTTGGAAATAGCAAGAAAGAGAATTGTAAGAAATGTAGTCTCAGCTTGGCTTAATTGACCCAATATAATCATGTGAATCCACGGTGAATCCATGATTCAAACATAGATTTTTTTCTGACACCACACACTATTAACCTCCATGCAAGGGTATGTTGTCCCATTTCCTTATGGATTATTCATTCTACGTTTTTGTTACTGTAATCGACAGTGCTCCTAATTTTTCTCACCCACAACACTCCTGTGTAAACCTACATAATTTGGGAAATACAGTTAAGCTGAAGCTACAAGCAAATTTGCTGATCAGAAAAAAAAATTCTCTAAAAGTTAAAAATGTTGCTTTATTTTGGCAGGAAAATAAAAAGGATTTACACTGGCATCACTGCCCCCTGCTATCCTTCATCCTCTTTTGGCTGGGTTAGAAAATCCTGGAATTGAATCTACTTCAAGAAAGACTCACATTCCTACCTTTCCCCCACAGCCAGAGCATGGCTACTCCCAGGGAAAACCCTACAATTCTCTCTATTCTTGTTTCCATTTGTAACCCCATGATGTCCAGGACTACCAAGTAATTCTTTTTTCCCAGACTCTAATCTGTACCCAACTCTGTAACATTCTTTTATGTATCTATCAGTTACCACTCTGCAACTTCAGTAGACTAAGCAATTCAGTCTTCAGAAATATTTTCCACCTTTTGCGGAATGGGCCTCTCACTTTCTTACTATCACAGAAACCTGGCTCTCCCCAGAAGCCCCAGAATTCCCCACATCCCTCTCAGTGACTATTTTCTCTTCCAGTCTTATTTCAACTGGGCATGGGAGTGACATAGATGATAATTCTGTTCTGCTCAGGCATTTCCGAGCCAATTTCCTTTCTTTTCTGTAAGTTCCCCAGCTTTGGATCATACCACATACCACACTCTATACCTCCTTGTTATACTTGTAGCCATCTGTGAAACCAAGGCCACTCTCTATGCTTCTTTGGAGAGTTTTGCTCCTGCCTCATTGTCACTTCTACAGTACTCCTGTCACATCCTGGGTAACTTCCTTATTGATTTAGATGAAACATGCCCATTTCTGCTCTTTCAATACTTTAATCTTTTTTTCCTTATAATAATTGCTCTCTTACCCTACTTAATAAACTCATTTTCTCATGGTCATAGTTTTTGTCATTAATAACTATAATTATTCCATAATCTCAGTTTTTAGGATTTTGTTCTCAGAAAACCAACTTTTTCCTCTATCTCAGGCTAGTCTCCTTACTCCAATAATACTTCATCCCTATCAGGCCTTACATTACATTGATACTCTTTGCTTGTCTATACTCATTACTTTGAGGATCTCATTAGTCTTATAGTTTCAATTACCTTCCAAATGCTGATGATTTCTTTTGTTTTATCTTCCATCTACAAATTTCCCATGAACTGTAGATTTATATATCCAAGTGCTTGACAACTCAAGCTTTTTCATGTGTCAAACTGGATTTTTTAGCCCCTCTCCCCTAATTTATTTCTCTTACCATCTTTGACATTTTGGCTAATGGCAGTTTCACTTTTCCAATTGCAAAGATCTAAAATCTTAAAGTTATCCTTCATTCTTTCTCTTTCACAATGTATATGTAATCTAAAGGTAAATTAAGCTAGCCTGCTTTTAAAATATAGACAGAAGGTGACCTCTTCTCACTTTCAATGGCACCACTTTTATGAAAGCTTATTTTACTTTTTTGCCTGGATTGTTTCACTCTTTCCACCCTTTTCACCTATTGTCAGAACAAAAATCAAACATGTCCAATTAAAACAACCAAATTATGTCACGTTCTCCTTAAAAGTCTCCAATAATTTCTATTACCACTCAGAGAATAAAGCCAAAGTCATTAAAAAGCCTTAGCTTCTCTACGTGGTTATGCACCCTGCTTCTTCTCATATCACCTCCTATTAATTTCCCTCTGGTAGAACTTGAATATCCAACCTCATTCCACCCTCATTCCATCGGAGAAGTTATAAAGCTAAACTCTACATTTCCTAGACTCCCTAGAATCTGGGTTGTAAACTATTTTCTACAGACTAAATGCACTTGTGAGTGATTTAAAACTCAGAAGAGAGGGAAAGGTCACCTCCTTTGCCTGAGTTCATTGAGGCGGTTGAAATGGTAACCTCAGTATCCTGTGCTTGTCTCCGGCTTCACTCATAGGTAGACACTGTGGGTATCATGAAGAATGAAAGTAGCAGACACCAGTCTCTGTTCTTTCCATCACAGCTAAGATGGTAGAGTCCTTCAACTCCTTAAACCTGTAGCAGACCTTTCCTTGATTCTGTAAACAACACATTATTCCCTGTATTCAATATTTTGTTGTTTGATTTACAAAGAGCAGTTTCTTTTCCTGTATTCAATACCTATTGATACACTTCCTCTTTCTCACTTTGATCTTCAGAAAAATGTCATTGTCTCAGTGAGATCTTTACCTGCCACGGTTCCTAAAATTTCACCTTCCCCAAGACATTTTCTATTTTCATTCCATGATTTATTTTTGCTTAGCACTTTCCATTTTTTAGTATGTAATTTATTTCATATATCTTACCTATTTCTTATCTCTGACTCTCCCTCCCCACATCAGGAATTAAAGCTTTATATAAGCCAGGATTTAAAACAAGGTCATTGCTGCATACTCCCTCCTTCCTCCTTAGAACAGTGCCTAGTATGTTGTAGTTACTCTGGAAATACTTGAGTGAATGAATTTGACTAGGAACTGTGACCCTTTATTCTGTGCTTCAGTTTGATTTCTTATGTATATGTGCAAAAGGATAAGAATATATATGCACATACATTACTGTTAAATATATCCATTATTTATAAAAGACTAGATTTCTTTCAATCTATTTTGTGTCACGGTACAAGTGGAATGGTATTTAATACTTCAGCATTTTCCCTTCTTTTTCAGAGGGTTACAAAGCAGTGCTGTTTCAAACTATACTGATAAATCGAAACAATCGCTACAAAATCTGAGAAGTGTCCTGAATGGAAGAAGGAGTTCATTGTTGTGCTTTTTGACTTCAGATTCCATTTGAAATAACATGAGAAAAGGATTTTAGTTTTCCAGTTGACCCCAGATATTTGGTTGGTTTGATCAGGCTTTACAGATTTTTATTTTTAGCTGTTTAGCTTCATTGAATCTAAGTTTCCAGATTTTTCTGAAGTGTTCTCTGTAGCTTCTTTCTTCATTATATTTCAGTATCAAGTGAAAGAGCAAGGCCACGGCAGAATCTATAGGCTTCTTTGCCTCTTTGTAAATAGGGAAATTACATTATGAAATGCAGTCTGCCTGCCTCATTCTTTGTATTTTTTCTGTCCCTGATGGTTGTTTTCAAAGGCCATGAATACTTCCACTGCAAATAATTGTTGCCACTTCCCCCAACTCTTCCACAGACATACAGACACTAAAACATGCAGACATGGATACCCATAGGCATGCACACTCAAGAAGGATGCACACACCCCCTCCTCCAACTACTAACAAAATATGGAAAATCAATACTTGACTTTTTCAAACCATCAAGACATGTTGGCTTCTCTTTCTACTAGCTGATTCTTAACATGTAATTCCATATTTGGAATTAGAAGAGCTAAATAGCCCATTCTGTTATTCCCAGGTAAAGGGAAACTGAAGAACCTCTCAGGGGATTATTATAGGGTAAAACATCCAAACAAATAAATGACTTTCTCTTCCACAGTTGGGTTGAGTTGAGGAGTTATTCCTTTCTTTTATCATACCAGATCATGGGTCATTTGAATTAAAACAAGAATGTTAGTTCCCTTTGGGGCCTTGGAATTGTTATTGACCTTCCTCTTCTTCTCTTTCCATGTTAGGTTTGTTTGGCTCTTCAGATGCCTAAGAATCTTTCTTTATAATTTTCAGACAAACAGATCAAAGCCTCTGGAATCAATGAGACTGTCAGGAAGAAGGATTAAGGAATTCTAAAACTGGCGTAATATTATTTTTAGTAGTAGCATATAGTTATTTTGAAAACCCTGAGTATTACAAGGCTGTCATATTGGTATATTGTAAGGATATTTTTATGGTGTGACATGGTTGATTTTTTTTTTAAGTGGGAAAGCACTTACTATACAGAATAGAGAAAACTCACTCTCACTCTTGCTTTCTCTATACATGCATGTGTGTTTATATAAATATATATTTCACTGCATTAATTTCAGGTTGCCAACAAAGTTTGATGCATTTGCATGTTTTAATTAGTTTATTGTTTTATATATTTGTATATAAGTTATACAAAATACATATATTAATATATTTAAGTGTAATTTAAGAATTTCACATTATTTATATATTATATATGTTATTTTATAGCAATAGAAATCCCTTAGATGCCATTATTATAAAACCAATATTACTGATTGCTCTTTATGGAACTTTTAGTAAGTTGTCCCTGAAGAAATCCAGTTAACTGATTAATTAATGTCTGTCCATCCACCCATTCACTTATAGTAAGCTTTTATTGAGCATCTACTATCTATCTAGTGTTATGAAAAGAGCTAAAGATGCAAAAAAAAATGACCCATTTTTTTTCCCAAGTGAGTCACGGTTCAGTGGGTTAGATAAATACACAATGCCTTCCCATCACACTATAATAAGAACAATAATCAAAATATATGTGGGGATACACAGAATGGCTTTTCAGTTAACTCAACCTTGTTTTCTTGGATATTTAGTATTTAACTTATATTATTGCCTTTGTTTAAAATATCAAGGTCTGCCTCAATGAAAATGTTTCCCCTTGGGAATTGTTATTCTAAAGCCTCAAAAATGTATTCATTTTATAATTGTGTCTAATCACAGCTTTAGCTAAAATGTTGTTAGTGTTGAAACAAGCCCAATTGTCCCATAAAACTAATACTTACAGTTCTTTGAATAAATACAGAAATTGCCCCTCCCTCATCTTAAAACTTGAAACTTACATTTTTCTCATCTGAGTTCCTCAGGAAACAGACCCTCACACAGTGAAATGAAATTCATCAGATCACCACTTCCATGTCAGATACCACATACATCATGATTGCTTCCTCACTCCTCCTTAATTCCTGTTTTCCTGCATTTCCTGCTATAGAAAGCCTCCAGTATTAATTGGGCAGGCAGAAGAATTTGAGACTTTATCTCCCATTCTCCTCAGCTGCAGCACCTGATTAAAGCCTTCTTCCTTGGCAATACTTGTTGTCTCAGTAATTGGCTTTCTGTGTAGTGAGCAGCAGGACCTAGACCAAACTCCTGGCATTTTGGTACCATTATGAATTAAGAGAACAGAGATTTTGATCTGCTGTATAGTCTTGAAAATGACTGAAATGTGGCTTAATGAAATAGTCTTTTTCTGTAGCATTGATCTCTTCAGAAAATATGGTGTGATAAGAGTTTGAAGGAAACAGCCAGCTGGTCATATGTTATAATTCAGCAATGACTGTAGTTTCAGGAGAAGACAGTTGATTCACCAATTAGGCAAGTAACAAAAGAGCATAACTTTAAACAAACTTTTTGACATAAAAACATTACTATGCTCATCCTGAGGACATGTTCTAAAAATTGTATTATTTTTGAAATTTACATTTTCACTACAATACTATAATATTATAAATATATTTCAAGTTTAAACTGATGTTCTAAAAATAAAAGATAAACTATTTTAGAGAGCTGGTCTTTCAAGATTGGCATCTACATTACCCTGATTCTCAATTATAATGCTGATGATCCGCTACTTGGAATGGTTTGACTTAGAATTTTTGACTTTACAATGATATGAAAGTGATATGTGTTCAGTAGAAACCACACTTTAAATTTTGAATTCTGATCTTTTCCTAGGCTAGTGATATGCAGTGCAATACTCTCTTGTGATGTTGGGCAGTGGTAGCCAGCCACAGCTCCCAATCAGCCATGCAATCATGACAGTAAACAGCCAATACTGTACTCTACAGTGTACTGTAATCAATAAATTACCTGAGATACCCACCATCAACTTGAATATATTATGTAAATATTAGCTACATCTGTTTTGTTAGTGCAAAGCAACTGATGATTGTTCTATCGACTATAGAGAAAACTAGCAATCTTTGTATCTCTTCCATTTAAATCAATAGTTGAATTCATAAATGTCACACATTTTATACAAAATATAAGATTAAGGTAATGTATATATACTAAAAATATTAGTTTTAAATGCTATTCCTTTGTATTCCTAACATGAATTTGTGTCTTTGAAGCCATTAATCTTACATATTTTGGTCAGGGATTCAGAAAGGAAAAGGCACTTTGATGAAAATAGCAATTAAGGATGGCCTCTAATAGAATAGAATGATCATTATCCAGAGAAAAAGCAAGGTCTCTAAAGACTTTTATAGTAATATCCCATTGCATTCACTATTTCAAAATTTTACCCACAACAGAGTCTTTTTCTGTCATTTCAATATTTATATGCATTCCTTCAAACAAAATATTTTGGATTTCCACTTATAGATAAATAAGTCTGTGCACAAGCTAAAATTTCTAATATAAAAATGTTAGTACCTGAAGTGCAGGGGTTCATATATAAAGAGAATCATAAATAAAGAAGTAAGATCTCTCTGAGTCACCAGAATCAAACTATGTTTCATTCTCTGGGTCACATTTATCCTCCAGGTATTGAGAAGTTTCTTCTTCTAAAAACAATCTGCTCTGTATTTTTCTATGAGAATGTCACTACCACAAGTAGCCTTGAACTCATTTTTATCTGAGAAAATAACTCTTATACACTTCTTAAATTTTTAAAGAATATTTATTATGTCAAAAACAGAATAGGGATTTTTTATGTGCTTGTTGCTTCAGAAAAAAGTAGTGATTGTATTTCTTCAAAGTTTCATCAAGTCACAATCATTATGATCCTTGTCACCAGTGCCAAAACAAAGAGAAGAGCAATATAATTTTCCTGTAATATTATGTCCCTGGAATCCAGTCCATAAAATTGAAGCCAAAGCAGATTTCTTTTATTAGATTGCTAGATAACTGTATAAGCCACTGCATTTATAGTTACGGGAAATTTGCCTTATAAAGCAAGCTAACTGGCAGCAACACAAAAATGTAGGTAATTTTCTTGGCAAAAATTGTCATCTAAATTTCATGGTTTATTCTCAGTATACAAATAAACTTTTATAAAATAAAATTCTTTAAAATTTAGACTTGTTCCCTCACTGACTGTGTCTGTTCAAAACATAATGGTCTATGCCATTTTCAGAGGCTTTGCTGAGTACCTAGCAAACATTACTAACATTTGCATTAATCATGATGTTGGGCAAGAAATAAAAATGATCATGAGGTTTATCTTGGTAGCCATTTTAATTTTTCAAATATTGTCAAGTCTAAAAGCCATTAAAAACAGCTGGTTCATATCAATCTAGTGTGTGAGCACCAAATACAGTTCTATCTAAAACTGCTAGTGAAGGTTAAGATGAACTAAGCTTAGACTTAATAACTAAACACAAACAATAGCTTTAATTCTGGAATACTTTGTTATGAAAAAAGATAATAGTATATACAAGTCACTGAAGGTTTTTGACATCTTGAAAAATGTTTGGTAAACACCTTACAATACTGAAGACCCGTTTCAAATTTTTGTTGATTTTTATTAAACTCAGAGATTTAAAATTATTTGTGGGGCCAGGAGTGGTGGCTCACACCTATAATCCCAGCACTTTGGGAAACCAAGGTAGGCAGATGACCCGAGGTCAGGAGTTCGAGACCAGCCTGGCCAACATGATGAAACCCCCATCTCTACTAAAAATACAAAAAAAAAAAAAAAATTAGCCGGGCATGGTGGCAGGCGCCTGTAATCCCAGCTACTCGGCAGGCTGAGGCAGGAGAATCGCTTGAACCTGGAGGCGGAAGTTGCAGTGAGCCAAGATCACGCCACTGCACTCCAGCCTGGCGACAGAGTGAGACTCTATCTCAAAAAATAAAACAAATAAATAAATGTAAAAATAATAAAATTTGTGGGTTTTTGTTTAAGGTATTTTCACCAGATACAGAGAGGATGTATTCTCTATAGGTTGATTTTTGACTCAAAACAAAATAATTATACTATTTTGATTCGACTTATGTTTGAAATTTAGAGTATATACTACTCATTTCAAAATTATGTGTATATAGTATTTTATGTAAATGCTTATTGAATAATTGATGGACAAGATTTTAAAAATCATACATAGAAAATGAAAAAGTGAATTTCAAATAATTTTTCATTTAAGATAAAAACTTAAATTCCCAAAGAGCACTACATTTATATAGTAAATCTGACATTTGAGTCTACAATGTTATTATTTTTTAATCCTTTAAATTTATGAAACTGTAACCTATTTGGGGAGGTATCATTCATAAGCCACATAGCTAAATAATGCTGCTTGCTTTCTATAATAAACAACCATCATATCAACTCATTAAGCTATACAATTTGGAGTAACTATTTTTCAGATTCTGAATTTACCACTTATAAGCTTCCTGGTTTTTGAAAAATTACTGAACAATCTATAAAGCAGGGCTAGTTTACAGAGATGCTATTAGCACCTTGTGGAATTTCAAAGACTTTATAGCTAATAATACTTTTTTACAAATGTTTAGCATAGTTAATAACTGGCACCAGAATTCTCTTTCTGAAGGAAGGCTTCCCAAAGAAAAATATTTTCACAGTCCAACTGATTGCAGAATGTAGAATGAAAGGGAAGAATAAAGTAATTGTTAAATTGTTATATATAACAATATGCAAAGAATTGTGTTTAAGAAAAAAAAGGAAACAACATTTAAAAAAGTTACTGTAAACAGGTATATAAAATTTTTAATACTGATAAAATTGTGGGCATGTATATTTGGTAATGGCTGAAGATATTTTTAAGCATAGTGATTTGAATATTTAACTTTAATATGTTTAATATATTAAATGTAACATTCAATTTCAATTATGCTTTTGAGCTGTAACTCCCTTGTTCTCCATAAACCTTTAGTAAAATCTTCCATAAAAACATACACAATGACTTGTGAGTCATCCCCAGCCATGCTCCCATCCATACAAATCAAGAAAAGGAGTTCACTGGGTAATGCAGGTACAGACTAGCAACATTTCCATTAGTAAGGAAAAAAAAAAAAATCACTGGAAGCTGTAACTCAGCACCAGAAGACGCTAAGAAGCTTTTGCTGGTAGTGAAATCAGTAATGAATAACACAGATCTTCTGCCCTACAAGTTTTCAACAAGTAAAGAAATAGATTCCGTCATCAGATAAAAGGAAATTAAACTACTGGCTCTGCTGTATATATTTTATAGATGGATTAGCTGAACTGGAGAACTTGCCTCGTTCCATAGCCGGAATGTCGCTTCCTACTGCCTTTTGTCTGCTCACACCTGGATGCCTACCTCTTCACGGACCCACACATTCCCCTGGAAGTTTTTGTTTCTGAGGGCAGAGAAGGAATGCGTCCTCAGGACAGGACATTTCCAAAGGGAGAGCCTAGATGGGGCCTTCCTTACATGCTTAATTCCTTCTTTCTGGTCATGCTCTTGAGAGAGAATTATTATTTTTTTGTTTAGGGAGAGACTACAAGTTCTCTAGGAAATCTTCTCATGAAAACATATTGTCAAGAGGACTAGAGTTTGCCATAATATTACTGAAATAGTTGCTTTCTTTACCCATGGGAGCTGACAGTCAAGGCTCCGGTGTCCAGACGTGTAGCTATCAGAGAAGGGAACAGCTAGCTTCTCATGTCACCACTTGTACTTAGTGTTTTCTTCTGGGTCCACTTGTTAGTGTTCGGGAAAATGCCTGTTCCCCATTTCCCACATATTTATAGTAGGAAGGAAATTCCCACTCTGCAGGAATAACAGGGCAGGGAAATTTGTACACTGTTTTCCCTAGGGAAGATTGAGGCGATTGAGAAGGAAACTAGTCATGGGTTTCTTTTGTCTCTTTCTTTCAGAGAATCCTGTGCTCAGGAGGCAGCCATTTTCTGCTTATCCATGTGTCATATTTTCCAGGTGGACTAGAAACCTTCTGTTTGCCCTCTAGTCCCACTGTCTACTTTCTTTTAGCCTGGCATCCATCCCAGAATGCTGACTTGGTTGAAATATAAGTGACTTTTTTTTTCCCCCTCTGGCTTCTGGGTGTACATGACCAATAGGGAGTCCTGGCAGAAGATCCAATAGAAGCAGAATATTGAGTTCAGGTTGTGTATTGCTCTGGTTTGCCTCCCTGCAGGGATGCCCACCTCGTCTCAACATGGCCCTCCCTGCATGACTTTCTCCTTCTGTGTTTTATAACTGCTTTGTGCCTCAGGGATTGAAATAGCTCTCCTGTAACCAGTCCATGGGTCTTTGGCATTCCTATGCCTTGTCTATACATTTCTAAATAGCTCCTTTATTTAAACTTACTTACATGACTCTAATTTCTTTCTGAGACCATAGCTTAGACCCAGAGTATTTTGGGGTGGTAAGCTTAATTCAGAGAAATTTTAGAAGTCAATGGTGATGCTAATTCCAACATTCATTCCCTAGTCTACCTGTACTCATAATAAAGTTGATAATAGATCTCCATTTCTCTTACATGAATATCTACTTTCAGGACTGGTTCAGAGTGCAAAAGAAGAGAAGGGCATTATTTCTGTCTTTATAAAACTCCAATGTCTTGGTGCGTGGCCAGTAACCTTGAGGAATGGTAAAGTCCTGGCATTTGAGGCCCAAAAGAATATGTGGATATGGAATATGAGGCTTCTTCTGTGGCCAAGGGAAGGGTTTTTAAGATTCAGGCTTCAATGCTTTTGTTGATGTGGACTTGGCCATTTTTTTCCCCTTGGCAGTTTGCAGCAGTTTATATTGAACTTGTACAGCTGTATATATTTTTTAAATTGGCATGATCTTCAGTAAGACACCTTGGTCTTAGTATGTAGACTGCTGTGGTTAACCTTGAGCTACACAGAGATACACATGGCCAAGACAAGGTTTAAATCACAGTCAAGTCTCAACTCAGTGCTTCAGCATACAGACTATTTGGGCATTGTGGGGTAGAATATATATTTGGTTCTCTCTGCAGGGTATTTCTCAGTTCTTTAGCTGTCTAGGATCCTAAAGATCAAAAGGCAGCTCTTCAGTATAGAATACTGAATATTATTAGAGTATGAAATGTTATTAGAAACTGGCCTTTACATTGTTAAGTTATAGGCATTAGAAGATAGATTAGCTGGCACAGGTTTCTCAGTCTTCCTTGGATCTGCTTAAAGGGCAAGGAGAAGGTGATCTGGGCTCCTTTCGTTCTGTGACTGATCCTCAGGCTTATGGCCACTCTGCTCTCCATTCTCTATCAATCTGATGTTTACTCTCATTTACTAATAATAAAATCTATGACCAAAGTTTGGGATTTTGGAGATTTTGATTGCAGCTTCACTCACGAAAGTCGGGTTCATCTCATGAATAAACAAATAAGGAATAGAAAGCTTTCTAGATAAGAAGTATTGCATTTTCTTGGGGTGAGAGTACCATGAAAATATCATTAACCCAAGGCCAAAAAGTAACTGAAAAAGGCTTAAGGCTGCTAGAATCCGTTTAGGGAAGAATCAAATCGGTTTTGTACATATGCTTTGGTTTATTGTCACAAGAAAAGAAAGGAGAAAAAGAAAAAGAAAAACAAGGCAATTCCATTGGAATTGTTTTATTTATCAAGTACATACTATGCTACACTGTGGGCCACCAGTAGCCAAAAAGACAACTCCTGTTCTCCTGCCTTAGGTTCTAGTAAAGAGACAGGTAACATATATATTTTAAACTTAAAGGCCTATATAATAGAATATCTGAGATTAATATACTTTATAAAGAAAAATAAAGCAGAAAAGGATGAAGGAAAACTGAGAAGCCTGTGCTATTTTAGCAAAAGATAACAAAAAAACCAAAAAGCAACCATTCTGGAAATGTAGCTTTGAGGAGATAATTAAATGAAGACAATAGGCTAGGCATACAAATATCTCCAGGGACACAATTCAGGTAAAGGGAACAGCAAGTGCAAAGATCCTAAGACAGGAATAAATTTGTTTTGGCCAAGGTACAGAAAAAGATGCAGGAAGTGTATGTGTGGAGGATTGGAAGGTGATGAGGCACCAGCACAGCCAAATAAGGCTTTCTACGTAATGGAATGCCTGTCTGGCTGCATCTGCCCTACCCAAGTTGCTAGTGGGGGAGGATGCTGAGGCTCCCTCCTCAGGCAGTCCCATTATGGATCAGCCTCTTGACTGTGCTAGTCACAAGTAAGTGGCTATGAGCCAGATAGCTCAAAGACATCAAAGACTCACTGTCATTAAAGCACCAAAACAATCTATCTTGGTCTCACCTGGAAGTTCAACCTCCCAGCATATTGCTATGGTCTCCAAATATTTCTGTATTTCTTAAAATTTCCTCATTAGTCAAAGGACTAATGAGGAGAAATATATAAAACCTGTATCTTCCTCTCCAACTTCTGAACCAGCAAAAAAATAGGCACTGAAGTCAGAGAGGTGAAGGACAATCCATCTGCTTTGTGACTGATGAAGCTAAATTGGAGAGAAGTTTACCTGGTCTGTGCCAATAATCAGTGTTTCTAATATTTTCCCCCTTGGATTAAATTTACCAGCCCAGAATTGTAGATTTTAGAGCCAGCTTCCCTATGGGGTAAAGCCATACCTGGTAAGCTTACAACATGGAGGAGCAGGCAACATGAGTGTTCTAAAGACAGGTCCCTTGGGAAGGAGAACCTGTCCCCAAACCACTGAGACTCCCGGATCCCTTTATATGTGTGTGTGTGTGTGTGTGTGTGTGTGTGTGTGTGTGTGTGTGTATGTGTATAAAATATCAGGTTGGTGCAAAAGTAATTGCGGTTTTGGATGTGAATTTTAAGTCATTATAACTAGGCTCAAACACACCTTTATTAATCAAAATAGGACCCACTGCAATCAACACATTTTTCCAATGAGAAATAAGTTTGTTTATTCCTGTAGTGTAAAAATCCATGATTCAGGATTTGATGAACTCATGGAAAGCATTTTCTGCATTCTGCTGGTTGTGGAAGTATTTTCCCCACCAAAAGTTGTCAAGATGCTTGAAGAAGTGCTAGTTGGTTGGCGAGAGGTCAGGTGAATATGGTGGATGAGGCAAAACTTCGTAGCCCAATTCATTCAGCTTTTGATGTGTTGGTTGTGTGACATATAACTGTGTGTTGTCGAGAAGAATTGGGCCCTTTCCATTGACGAATGCTGGCTGCAGGCATTGCAGCGTTGGGTGCATCTCATTGATTTGCTGAGCATACTTCTCAGATATAACGGTTTTGCCAGTATTCAGAAAGCTGTAGTGGATCAGACCAGCAGCAGACCACAAAACAGTGACCATGGCCTTTTTTTTTTTTTTTGGTGCAAGTTTTTCTTTGGAAGTGGTTTAGACCTTCTTCTCAGTCCAGCCACTGAGCTGGTCATTGCTGGTTGTCATATAAAATCCACTTTTTGTTGCATATCACAATCTGATTGAGAAATGGTTTGTTGTTGTTGTGTAGAATAAGAGAAGATGACCCTTCAAAATGATGATTATTTTTATTTTTGCTCAGCTCATGAGGCACCTGCTTATTGCACTTTTTCACCTTTCCAGTTAGCTTCAAATGCCAAATGACCATAGAAAGGTCAATATTGAGATATTTAGCAACTTCCTGTGTAGGTGTAAGAGGATCAGCTTCAGCGATTTCTCTCAATTGGTTGTTGTCAACTTCTGATGGCCAGCCACTATGCTTCTCACTTTCAGGGCTCTTGTCTCCTTTGTAAAACTTCTTGAACTGCCACTGCACTGTATGTACATTAGCAGTTCCTGGGCCAAATGTGTTGTTGATGTTGCGAGTTGTCTCCACTGCTTTACGACCCGTGTTGAACTCAAATAAGAATATCACTTGAATTTGCTTTTTGTCTAACATTATCTCCATAGACTAAAATAAACAGCAATAAGTCATTAGCAAAAAAAACAAAGTGAGAAATGTGCATTAAAATAATGTATAACATAATGACATTTAAGAATGTATTGCAATATCAAATGGCAAATTTCAACAATGCAAAAACCGCAATTACATTTGCACCAACCTAATCCATACTACTTCTTTATAGGAAAGGAGACAGTGAAGTGTATAGAAGGGGTCAAAGTTGTTCTATTAAAAATTGAGAGATATATGAGGACATGGGAGCTGAGTCCCCATTAACAACATATACACTATCAACCTGACCTAGTCCTCCAGAATCCTGGCAAAGAATCTGGGGGAATATGAGGCGTCCCAACCCCTTGAATGGTGTTCAAGTCAATTTCATTTAGATCTCAGAGGGAAGGATCCCCTACTTGATATCTGCCATTACATTTGTAAGGTAATGTTTCCTTTTTAAGGAATTCTTTAACACCAGTTAGTTTTTGCCAGATTGGATCAAAGTACCTTGGACAATAAAATTATAAACTCGACTTAGGGTTACAACCATAATTATATCCTTCACATACTTCATTATTACTGGGTATCTGCATTTCTCTCAATCTGTCATTACGGATTATGTTAGTCTTTCATAAGCAATAATACCAAATGGACACATGAAGCACTTACTGTGAAAATAATTGTTCAATGAAATGATAGTTTGATAGAGAATATCTCTATCCTAACTCCAAATAGCCCTGTTTTTACAATTAACACATTATCACCACACGTTTTAATAGCAGGCCATAATCTGAGTAAAATTTAGCATGTCGACCTCTGTCATGAGGAGTGTTTCAAATATAATGTCTAATAACTAGGTCAAGATGCAGTTTCAACATTGAAGAAAATACGTTTCTAAGTGCCAAGTGATCAATATGTGTTTATGTATGCATGTATGTAATATTGTAGCAACTTGGGTTTCATTTTGTTTTAAATATTCTGAAATTACATATCTATATTTAAAAACATTCCTCTCCCATCAGATGAAATTATCTACAAGACTGCCTCAAATTAGAACAGAAGCAGATGTAATGGGATAGCTCTTGTCTCTAAAACTGCTGACAATGAGAATTAATCTCAAAGATTTCTTTCTGTCTCTCTTTATGCAAAAGTGAGTATAAGCATTTGCCATCAAATGCACACACACACGCTGTTGGCCCCAGTGCATGCGGTGTGTGTCATTGAGCAGATCCATTTCCGGCACCTGTGTCATGTCAAACTGTTTACCGTGAGAGCTGTGTGTGTGACAGCTTCTGGGAGGGGGCAAGCAAGTACAGGGAACTGTTAACAGCATGCTCTTCTTGCCTGCCCATTTACCTCCTATCCACTGAAATGTCTTAAAGTGTAGCTGGAGCCAAATTGTCATGAAGAATGACACACGAGTTTTTCCACTTTCAAGGCAAGCCTGGGAAATTGAATTTTAGAGGAAATGAGCAAAGAGAGAAAAGCATACAGGAAGCATATGAGATGGCTGTTATACTGTGCTCCACTTCATCCAGCAGCCCCCCTCTCTTTCTGAGCACCCAACCACTCAGAAAGGTTTGTTTTTGGAGGAATGGCCCCACCATTGGCATCTATGCTTTTGTTTTAATTGCAGAGCCCATGTAATTTTGTGTGGAGATTTAGTCATTATAATTGGAGCTAGTGATGATTGCTAATGAGGCAAAACTCAAGAAAAAGCCCAGATAATTTGTGCTGTATATCAGATTCTACTTCCAAACAGCTGTCTCATTTTGCTCCATTCATATTGCCAATTGTCAGGAGGTGCTTACGTTATATCATGTATACCAGATTTGTTCATTTTCCAAACATTGCCCTCTCTTTTCCCTCTTATTTTAAATAAAATTTCAAACACCTAGAAAGTAATACAACAAATGTTTATTAATCTTGCTTTCCTGATTTAATAAATTGATGTTTTGCCATATATTTATGAGATCTGTTTTTAAATAAAAGGCCACAGATAAAAGTTGAATCTCTTTGTACCCTTTACTAATCCTCCCTGTCTCCCCAGATATAATTATTGTCCTCAAATTGGCATCTTTGCTATCCTCTGTTTATATTTGTATTACATATGCTAGGTATTCAAAAACTCTAAATAACATTGCATTGGTGAGTTTTTTAATTTCATAAATTTCATCACACTATTCATACATTTTTTTAACTGCCCTTTTTTTCACTTAACACTATGTATATTAAAATTTTATCCTTGCTGATTAATGTTGCTCTTATTGATTTTTGCTGTTATATAATATCCTACCATATGAATATAATGCAATTTATTTGTTCATTTTCTGAATAAACACTAAGACTTTTTCCATTATAAGCAATGCTGAATGAAGATTTGTGCATAACTCCTTGTAAATACATC
Organism: Homo sapiens; assembly: GCF_000001405.40. Taxonomy (NCBI): domain Eukaryota; kingdom Metazoa; phylum Chordata; class Mammalia; order Primates; family Hominidae; genus Homo; species Homo sapiens. The sequence continues at coordinate 125,018,256 of NC_000004.12, forward strand.
TGTGAGTTTCCATAGAACACTTAACTGGAGATGGAATTATTCCATTACAGGTTGGCTGTTTCTTCAGATTTATTAGATAATATGAAATTGTTCTCCAAATAGTGGTACCAATGTATACTCTCACCAGAGACTATGAATATTTGCCTGAGAAGTTGTTTTCTCAGACACTTAATTTTTTATCTTTGATGAAATAATATATGATTTTATTGCAGTTTTTAGTTACTTGACTAATTTCTAGTGAGAGTGAGTATTTTTACATGTTTATTAGCTATTCTTTGAGTTGTCTGTCCATGTCATTTACATATTTTTCTATCAAATTATTTGCTCTTGTCATTGGATAATAGGAATTCTTCATGTACTCTCTGTGCTCTCTCTTTGTTGCTTTTGTCCTAGAGAACAGTGGTAGGACATAAATAGAAATCAATCCAAATGATAATGACATCCATTGGGTCCCACTGACCAAAATCAAAATATCTTCTAAACTAAAAACCAGTAAGGTCTTGGTAAATTCACACAAAAATCTAGTCTTTCCATTAAATGCATCAGCATATTCTCACTTTGTTTTCCAGGTTTTGGTTCCTCATCCAGTGATTGTTTCTAACATGATTTTTTTTCTTTTTATATCAGGCAAAATGTGAGGAGGTAACATATTTCCATAATTTTAAATTTGTCCTGAAAGTGGAAAAACTGACTGAATACCTTTGTCACCCAAGATCAAGTGAAGGTTCAGGTCTCTAAAGTAAAAATTGTTAAAGAAGTTTGACACACATTAAGATATATGTCATGTGTGTATACATGATTTAGAGTTTTGTGATCTGATTTAAGTGAACTACCTTCTCTTGTACTCAGAACCTGGTAAGTAATTTGTGGGGCCCCAAATAAATATGCAGGACACTTTGTTTGAAATAATTTTTCTGAGACAGGGCCATGTATTACTATTTTACCAAAATCCCAAGTGTCCTGTCTAGGTCTCACTGCTTGCTGCACAGAAAGCCAATCACTGAGACAGTGAGCATAGTGAGTATTGCCATATTGGAATAAGGCTTTACCAGGTACTGTAGCTGAGAAGATGGGAGATCAGTTTCAAATCTGTCTCCCTGAACAGACTACACTTTGGGGGTTTATATAGTGGGGAAGGAAGCAATCATGAAGAATGAAGCGTCTGGAATCTCATTATGTGGATGTGGTGATCTGGTGAGTTTGAGTCCCTTGCCCAAGGGTGGGTTTCATGAGAAAGGAACTCAGATAACACAGAGGTTAGTTTCAAGTTTTAAGATCAAGATAGTCAACTTCCATGTTTATTCAAAAACACTTAAATATCATTTCTAGGGGACAACTGGGTCAGTTTCAACTACACAGGCTACAGGAACATGAAACTTACCCAGCCTACATTAATGTTTACTTTATATTTTCTGTACCATTATCATATTTCACATTTCCTCTGTCATCTTATGTGAAACACATGTGACATTTATTTTAATTGCAAATTTGATTTTGTATTTAAACATGCTAAACACAATATTTTAATCAGACAGTGTCAACAATTTTTAGATAAATTGAGAAATTAATAAAATGCATATGCTACTGGGCGTGCTTATAGTATAAAAATAAAGATAGAAGTTTTAAAAAGCATAGAACAAACACCAATATTTATTTCACTATTTAAAAAATACTGACTGTATGATGATGATAATGATAATAACAGTTTTCTACAGATACCACATTTCTGAGGATAAGCAATGTTAAAAGAAAAACTTTAGATCAATTAAATTTAACAGAATTTAATTGAGCAAAAAAGGATTTTTGAATCAGGCAGCCACCAGAACAAAAGGGGTTTAGAGAGACTTTGGCACATCTCTGTGGGTGGAGAGGATTTATGGACAGAAAAAGGAAAGTGAGGTACAGAAAATGGAAGTGAGGTACAGAAACAGCTGGATCGGTTACAGCCTGATGTTTGCCTTATTTGAACAAAATTTGAACAGTTGGCTGCTTGTGGGTGGTTGGCTATGGTTTCTGTGACGGGCCAAGGCATGGCTACTTGTTACAAGAGTAGATTTCAGTGTGTTTACACATCTGGTTAATTTCCAGTTCACTATGTACAGAGAAACCTTTAGGACAAACTTCAAATTTGTAAGGAGGCAGCTTTAGACTAAACTTAACAGCAACAAGACCTGTTTAACTAAAAGGGGATGGAAAGGGCCAAACAGGTGTGACACTGAAATTAACAAAATAATGCTAATGTAGGATAAGACTGGTGCAGTCAGTAGCAGGAAGCATAGACAGGGTAAGCAGACAATTCAATAAATACTTAGTGATTACTTCCCATATTCCAGACCTCAAAGGTTGGAAATACAGACTGAGAACAAAGCAAAGGATTTTTATTCTGCTCACAATAGTTGTCTCTACAGCACAAACAGCTTTAGAATACAGACAGAGGAAGAAAGAATATTGCATGTTACTTGACACTTTTCTGTTCCTATAAAAAGGAAAATAGGAGAGATTCAATATATTAATGAGTAACCAAACAGGCAAGTGGAGTTAAGCATGGAGTCATTTAGAACTTTCTGAAGGTCTAAGATCTAAACTTTCAGCCACTCTGTCAATTGCAAGGACCAGCATGAGCTAACTCCACCTTCCCTTAAGTACTGTCTGAAATGCAGCCTATGCAAAGTTCTCTTGTAAATTTCCAATTAGAACTATATTGTTAAGATACACAGAAGCATTAGTTATAAACATCCTCTGTTTCTCATTTTATTTCTAGATAGCTAATGACTTTTCAGATGTCTAAATTCCCATTTTAAGTATTTTGAACAGAACTGTTTTTCGATTGCTCAACACACTACCTAACTTCTTAAATGCAATATTTGCATAACATATATGTAGGAGATCAGACTCTGCCACCCCAAAATAGGCCTTTTTAGTATAAGAATTATTCTGAGCTGATTATTTTGAGAAACAACACTAGGAGAAGCTCTAAAAACAGAGTAGAAGTTATTCTTTTGTAGGGAAATTTACATCTAGAAAGAAAATCTCGACTTGTAAGACTGTTTCCCTTTCTGCACCAGGAAGAGAAGGATGACTAAATCACCAGTGACTCTTTTCAATTGAAAAACCACTAACTTACTTACATGTGCATAACAAACAAACCTTACTTTTGTTTACACTGCTTTTCCTGGTAACTTACTTCCTCCATAGTCTTATTTCTTTGTTTTGTTGAAGATGCTATAAGTTGCAGTTTTGGCCATCTCTGAGAGTCACACTTTCCCTGAGTTTTCTGTCATGTATATACAAAATATACCCATTAATAAACTTCTGTTTGTTGTTCTCTTGTTAATCTGTCTTTCATTAAAAGGCCTCAGCTGAGAATTTAGAAGGATAGTAGGAAAATTATTTATCTGCTACATATGTAATTTAATATATACATATCCTTCATTATAAGGCTATTGGACTATTGCATGCTGTACTTACTTAACAAGTCAGCTATGTGTGAGGACATGAGTAGGAGCTTTAGCATTATCCTGATCTTTGAAGTTGCTCCCCCTTACACTCTGAAGGTTTGCTTAAAATCTACTGAAAAAAGGAAGGTTAATAAAAGAAAAGGCATACAAATTTATTTAAGCACAGTTTTACTTCACACAGGAGTGTCCAGAATGAAGCCCCAAAGATACAGAAGAAACTGCCCATTTTCATGGTTTGGGTCAATGAAGTATGGGCAGCTGGGTAGAAATATCACTGAACAATAAGGGTACGATCTAATGCTAATTGGCTGAGTATGGAAACCCAGAAGGCTTGTCTGTCTAGATTCTTCTTGGCCTCACCGTACAGGATTCCTTCCTTCTGGTATTTGGCAGGATCTTGTCCGGAATGGGGGTCTTATGACCTACAATCAAGTAAAATAGGTCAGCTAATTTCTTTATGGCCAGTTTTTACACAGAAAAGGAAGGCAGCGTTAGTGTAATATTTTCAGGCTTTATGTCTGGCTTTGGGGAAAACGGATTTTGGTTTTTATGAACCACCTTGAAAAGGAGATTCTAGTTTCTATGGCTGGCCTTGAGGGAGAGTAAGGGGCAGAGACAGGAGGGCAGAAGGTCAGAGAGGGCTGCTTCTAAGGCTTTCGTTTTAGGTATCATTCTCTGAGCCCTACCAGTATCGTCTTTGTCTATTTCTTCATAAGAATATGTTGGTTGAAAAGACTGACACCAACATATAAAAAATGGCATAGACTTTTTGGTAGTTCTTTCAATAAATTTCTTAACTTACTTCCTATCTGCTATTTTCTTACCACTACTAAGTTTTTATCTGTTACTTCCTTCAACTTTGTGTCTGTCAATAGTAAATTATATCCTCATTTATGGTTTGTACTGGACTTTTATTTCCCCCTTAGACATCAAATAGCTATGATTTTTAACTGTTAGAGTAAAATTAAATAGATTCTAAGTGAAAATATGAGGCTCCTTTTATAAATAAATACATAAAATTGGACATTTTTTAGTTCTCAAATTTTTTTACTTTCTAGTTTTTTAAACACACTTATTTTTAATTCTAAATATTTCGGTAATTGTAACTTATAATTAAGAAAATTACAAACATTTGGAATTATTTTTAATATTTTAAACAAAAAGAGAATACAGTATAGAATTAACCAGTGTGTCAGATGCAGAAAGAATATTTCAAACGCTTGTTACTGGTGGGCTTGGGAAGGTCCCTAAATGCCATAGGACCTGCAACCCAGCCAGTATCTAGGCTCTTGACACTATCACGAGAAGGAATTCAAGCATGAGTCAGAAAATAGGAAAGTACAGAGACTGATTGCAAAGCAAAAAGTACACACTCAAGAAAAGGGAGTGCAGGTGTACTCAAGAGAGAGTTGTGCAGTGGACTTTGGAGTATCTATCTTTAGGGTTTTTTTAAATCAAGGAGTGGAATATTTAACATATTTCCTGGAAAAAAGCGGAGATTTCTCAGAACTGTGATACAATCTATTTTTATACCGAACGTGAGTGTTCTCAGAACTGTCATGGCTATACATCAATGAGCTCATAATGAGGTCCTTGGAGAAACCTAGGTCAAATCCAGCACCATATTTAGTCCAGATGGTCTTAGCCAGCTTGTTCCACACCTTGGTTTTTCAGAGTCTTATCAGCCTATGGCCTCTATTCATGTAAAACTTCTGCCTAGGGTGTTTTAATTCTCCTGTGACTATCTGTTTTAATCCTATCTTACAATTGCATATACGTTTATACATTATAGTGTGATAATTAAATTATTCAATATGTAAGCTATTTATAATATATAAACTAGTTAATATATAATAGTATACATTATTATAATATGTAATATAAAATCATATATGCATCAAGCAATAAAGAAAAAATAGAGGCTGGTAATAATATTGCTGGTGAATCTATAACCTATAATTACAAATAACAGTTTTTTGATCAATTAAAATATAGCTTATTTTAATAGGTTGCATATTATAAACAATATAAACTATATATGAAGTTTTTAATATAATAATTTTATGTATTACAACAATATATACAATTACATATTAGTTTATACATAAAATTACAGTTTACATGAGTTTATATATTTACACATCTATTATTTATATATAACTTATATGTATTATATATAATTATACTTTAAAGTATATACATCGTAATTATCTAGTATACAGTATATTAATTGAAATGTTAATTTTATGATATATAACTATACATTATAAAGATAAAATTGCTTTTTAAATGTGATCCTTGATGTAGCTTTTTAAATGTGATCCTTGATGTAGCTTTTTAAATGTGATCCTTCATGTATTTTTTGAAATAAATACAGCAGCAATTTATCTGCAGTAGTAAAACTTCCGAAATCTTACACACAAATAGCCATGTCTGATAAAACTGTTTTTGACTTGTACCATTTTTCCATTTATACTATAGTAATAACTAACTGTGTTGTTTGTTAGAAAATTTCTAACACATTTTCATCTGGTAAATTTTGAAATGTCATTTCTTTGTTTTTTCTCAAATTTGGTTTAGATAAAAGTTAAAATTATCTGTATAGTCCTAATATAAACAATCTTTTTTTCAAACACAGATTGATGCTTACTATATCTTTTACTTATATATCCTGAGTATATTATTTCCTTTCTTGGTGATGCAGGGTAGATGGAATGGGGAGAGATTCAGTGTCAGATATAACTGAGATGAATGCCAGCTTCAACATCTTAAAACAGTGTCGCTGCTTTATTACAGCCTCTAGAAATATGTCTATTCGAAAGCATGGACCCACCTTCCTACTTTGCCACTATTGCTAAGAGATTAGCTTTGAATTTTAAAATTTAATGTATTCTTTCCTTTTCTATGTCATAACAGTTATATTTTTCCTTTGTATGAATTTCCTAAAATCAAACATAACAGTCCTAAATATGTTTCATAAAGAAGAGGACATTTATTGTCTAATAAAAAAAAAACCTTACTGCAAGAACAATAGTATATGCATCAAGCAATAAAGGAAAAAAATTAGAAGCTGTGATAAGGTCGCTGGTGAATCTGTAGTTCATGATTTTCATAACGATAAGAACCAACTCCTTCCTTTGATCAATTTTATTTGGTCTATAGTTTCAGAAGACAGTTTTTCATGGGTCACTCAGTCCTTCATTGTGGCATAATGTGCCAAAAATATGAGACCCTGAGCTATTTTTCAGGTTTGTGTTTTCAGACACCAATCTTAAGGGGTGAGATATATCTCCTTCTGGGATGAAGAACAGATTTGTTTACTTCTTGTTATTAAAAAAAAATGGATTCCCCAATCTCAATGTTCCTCTTCTATAATTCAACTCACTTTATGTGCAAACATCATTTGGGCCTTCTTCATCACTCTCAAGGGATTTAGGGACAAGAACTAAGACAAACATACTAATACTCAAGCTACTTGCTGTGCTATGAGTAATAAAGTCCTTTGTCTCTGATCCAAGAGTCTTCTGTCTTCTATGCGCATCAAAGAAACAGAAATACATTAACATTTTAGCTCATAACTATAGGGCAAACTTATGTATCAGACCCATTCTTATGATGAGAATGGGATTCTGACATAACTAACTTTTCAGAAGAGAAAGTACAATCAAGGTTCAGGGTTAAAACAAGAGTCCCTAAGATCTGATAGAGAATATTTTTACCCAGTTGGTGGTCAAAGGTGAAGACAATAAGGTTTCCCACTTTTCTAACTCTTAATGGGACTGAGGAGCAACAAGTAAGACAGACCGAAACAGGCTGTCTTGGTTGTTGCTTACTGTCTTCTGAGCATGAGGAGAGATATTATGATTGTGGGACAGCAATCAATGTGACCCCAGCTGATAGAGAATGTAGCTAAAGAGTCCCAAAAGCTGATGATGTTGGATTTTTCTTCTTGGTCACTTTGCAAGCCGGGGACTTCTGGCAGGTGATGCCCCACCTGGGCCCTGCTCAGGCACACTGGTGTGCCCCAGCTTGCCTGCATTATAGCTTGTACCTGTGTTCAGCAGTTCCTGAGCTCTCGTACCACACCCAAGAAGAATGAGGATATGCTGGACATTGAAGGTGAAGAGGGCAGAGAAGAATTATTTTATTTAAGCCATGAAAGCAAAGAGGGGACATGGGGGTGGTCCCTCTACCCAAAGGTGGGAAAGTACCCTGCTGTGGCTGGGTCTGGGGATTTTGATGGATTCAGAATGGGGAGTGCATGCTGATTGGTTTGTGAGTAGGCAAGAAAAGTTACAGCAAAGTCACCACTCAAAGTTGTATAGAAAACCAATTAGGAAAGGGTAGGTATATGTAAAATAGGTGAAGGGTAGAGATCAATTAGAGGAAAGGATGCCAAACTGAAAGATAAGTTCTCAATCAGAACTGAGGATTTAACTTGTAGGTTGGCTTTCAGGCTTTAAACTGTCTTTGGCTTGAAGGTGGGGTTTCACCAGTGACCCATCCTATCTGCCTCGGCATTTGGCTGCCTCTTGTCTCTCTCCCTGATATAAATTGTGTCAATAATGACAACTTTGCATTCAAATATACAGCTTTAGATGGACCAAAAATTTATGGATCTATTTGGTTGAGTTGTGAGCAGCTGTCATGTCTGTCAAAACCAAAACTAAAGGCCAAGTCTTGCTTATTAGTATGAGCTGCTTGTTTACATAGTTCTTGCTGATCCTCCCATGCCCCCTCCCCAACAATCCTCTTTTGCTTTAACATCAGCCACTTTAAGTAGAAAGATCATTAGGCATGGACCACAATCTCCTTCTCCTCAAAAGGGATCAAGGCACTTGTCCACCTATATTGGGAACCCTCAAAGAGGGGTAGGATTCAAACATTTTTCGTTCTACTGGATACATACACAAAAGTCAGCATCCTATCAAGTTTGTTTGGCAGAGAAGAAACGTGAATTTATCTGATGAAGATTGGGCAAAAGTCACAGTGGGCAGGGATGCTAAAATGGCCTTGTAAATTGATCCTTTCAGTTGCTTCAATTCACTATGTGGTGGCTTTGACATCTGTACATATCATTGAATTTGTGTTATATGCTTGTACTTCCTGTCTGTGATGGTTAATATCGAGTGTCAACTTGATTGGATTAAAGGATGCAAAGTATTATTCCTAGATGTGTCTGAGGGTGTTGCCAAAGGAGATTAACATTTGAGTCAGTGGATTGAGAGAGGCCGACTCACCCTCAATCTGGGTGGGCACCATATAATCCGCTGCCAGCCCAGCGAGAATAAAGCAGGCAAAAGAAAATGGAATGAGCAGACTTGCTGAGTCTTCCGGCCTCCATCTTTCTTTTGTGCTGGATGCTTCCTGCCCTTGAAAATGAGACTCCAAGTTCTTCAGCTTTTGAACTCTTGGACTTACACCAGTGATTTGCCAGGGGCACTCAGGCCTTTGGCCACAGACCAAAAGCTACACTGTTGTTTTCCCTACTTTTGAGGTTTGGGGACTTGGACTGGCTTTCTTGCTCCTCAGCTTGCAGATGACCTATTATGGGACTTCACCCTACAATTGTGTGGGTCAATCCTCCTTAATAAACTCCTAACTCCTTCATGTATATTCATATAGATATATATTCATATATATATATACATATATATTTCATATATTTATATATATTTTCATATATATTTTCATATGTATATATTTTTTCATATATATATGTGTGTGTGTGTGTGTGTGTGTGTGTGTGTGTGTGTGTGTGTATCCTATTAGTCCTATTAGTTCTGTCCCTCTAGGGAACTCTAAGACACTGTCCCATAAGGGTTAGGGAAAATTCTGTTAGAAGACTGCTGCAAGAAGAAACAAAATAGTGTACCAGATAGATGACTTCTCCCCTTCCCTGTCTTATCCTTCCCTGTCTTATCCTGGCTGGCCCAGTAGAAACAAAATTGACTCTAATAAAGATAAGGAAAATCTCAGTTTTTAATTAAAGATTTAATTAGCCACAGATTGTTTTTACTTTCCAAGGTACACAGCATACTTTTTCCTGACTACTAATAGGGTATATCTCCATCATCCTGCCATTGCACACATTCTTTGCAGGTAATAACTTGACTACATCCAGTTTTCTCTAGGGATGCAAGTATGATATTATACTGATGATGTCCTTTTCTGCGAAGATTCATTTAGTACACTCTTTAAAGACAAACAAATTCTACCAAAGTCGCTCACAAAAATGGGATGAGCCATTGCTTCACACATGGCTCAAGGCCCTCCTACCTTGGTTGATACCTAAAAATTGTTTGATAAATCAAGATCTGCTTCAGTCCTGACACTGTCAATAAAGAAGCTCTAGACCATCTCAGTACCCACAACATGAAAACAAGCTCAACATCTTTAGGTCTTTTTGGGTTCAAAAGGCAGCATATTCTTCACTTACAAATTTTATGTAATTCCAGTTATGTGTTTCATGTAAACTGGCCCATCTTGAATGCGGCCTCCTTCAACAAAAGGCTCTAAAATCAGTCCAAATGGCAATAAAACAAACACTTTTCATCTAATACTTCCACTAGAAAAACCTTTACTGTAGAGGCTCTAACAGTCTTTTCTCATACCTCCTGGAGTCTCCAGACCACCCATGATGGCCATAAGTTGTCAGTAGGCCTCTGATGCAAGAAATTATCCTCCTCAGTTCCATGATGTGTCAGTCCATTTTCCTGCTGCTAATAAAAACATACCCAATATTGGGCAATTTACAAAAGAAAGAAGTTTAATGGACTTACGGTTCCATATGGCTGGGGAAGCCTCATAAACATGGCGGAAGGCAAGGATGAGCAAGTCACATCCTATGTGGATGGTGGCAGGCAAAGAGAACTTGTGCAGGGAAACTCCCATTTTTAAAATCATCAGATCTCATGAGACTTATTCACTTTCACAAGAACAGCACAGGAAAGACTTGCCCCATGGTTCAATTATCTCCCACCAGGTCCCTCCCACAACAAGTGGAAATTATGGGAGCTACAAGATGAGTTTTGGGTGGGGACACAGAGCCAAACCGTATCACATGACATGCTATTAGAATGACAATTGCTGTCCATACTGAGCTCTCTTGGAAATATAGGCTTACACAAGTCTGGCAGTCATGACCCTCCATATTCAGCAGCTTGTTATGCCCTAGGGCATGAAAGCAGCACCTCAAAAGCTCAGCATGGCCACTGAGGTCTCCTGCTACTGAATAGAGCCAAACATGGGCTCCTGACATATTTCACTTGCAGGAGGGGTGTTCAATCCTTTGCCAGATGCTATGTTGCTAAGGGATGTTAACTCCCTTCCCAGATCCTTTGACTTTGTGAAGGTCTTTGGAATCAATTGAATAAACAGCAGCAGGAGTTTGTAAACTTTACAGATAGCATCATCACCTCACACATGATGAAGCTACTGCTTTTCAGTCCTTAACCAGAATGTCCTAGATAAAGTATAGAACCCAAGGGTCAGCATAATTGGCCAAACTTTACAAAGTTATATTAGCACTGGATGACTTGGTCAACAACTGGCCCCATCTGCAAATTTTTACATACTCTTGGGCCATTGCCAATTGTCTGGCTGTCTGGTACAGTGAATGGCAACAATAATTTCTTATCCAGAGTAAAGAACTCTGGGTATATCTTGCCCAACAGATATACAAAATATAAATCAAGGTTAACCCCAATGGGTTAACGAGTATATTAATGAATCCTTGTTGTGTGGATTTAACATGTATACATACATGTTTTAGACATCATTAATACTGACCAAGGCACATATTCGCTTCTCAGAATACATAAGGCTGGGCCTTTGGACGAGGCATTTAATAGAAATTTCACCTCTCTTACCTGCCTCAAGCTACAGGCCTCATAGAGTGTCATATGGTGTACTTAAACCAATTCAAACTCAATTCAATTAAAAAATGACACATTTTAGTCACAGTCAAACATCAGGGGTCAGTTCTGATATCATTTTTTAGTCTTTGTTTACTGACAGCTTTTAAGCTTTACCATTCCCTCTTCCCCTCCTGCCCCATATCTCAGCAAGATGGTAAGAAAGCCCAGTTGCATCCTCTTTTGGCATTGGTGGGAACTTTGAACCAACCTTATGTGGAAACCTTTACTCTGATCTCACTTCCTAACTTAGATAAAAACCCAAGCCAATCTCCTCTCCCTACTCTCTCAAGATGTTTTAAAGCCTTCTGAAAGCTACCCTGCTCTTCCCTTAGAAAGTCTCATGTCTGCAACAAATATTTTTATAGTTTCTTGATGTGCATGAGTCATCAGTGTCAACAGTTGAGCCAAATTTTGGGTAACCTCCATCGTGCTTCTGAGGGAAAGTAATGGCACCAACTACATGCTAGACCTGTGATTCCTGCTAAAAGTGAACCCATTTTTCTTTGTTTGATGAAAGCCACATTGCAGGAGGGCATTGTTCCCAGCGGCTCTTGAAAAAGTAACTGCATTGTAACTTTCACCTTTTTCATGCCCATCTTCTGTGTCTTTCTGAGGCAGACTCTGAGGTTAGAATTGCTGTTCTAGTACTAATGGTTGAACCCAGCCACAGCATGTGGCTTGGAACCCTTGAAAATAAACTGCCATATTTTTGGCTTTTTAGATCATCTACAGTCTATAATTGTGTGACTTTTGTTGCGAGGCCATCCAACAATGGTCCAGTAGTTAAGATATTCAAACAACATTCTATATTCCCTACCATTTACAGACACTTGTTATGGATCACTGAAATAGCCACCTCAAAAATTAATGTAAATATATTACTAACTTTACCTCTCTTATATTCTCATGGTACCCATTCCATATTAAGGCAGTTTTGCCACTGAATGCAGCTATCCTCAGAAATAGTTTGTCCCCTGGATAATGGCAAGGATGAAAGATGTAGGAGGTATGTAGAACTCATTTGAAAATTCTTGTTCCCAATCCTGACTATCCTTGGGTGTGATGCATTTTTCTTTCTCTTAAGCACAGGTGAGCCTGCCACCCTATATCTCTGGGTGGAGGCCTGGCCAGAAGGAGGCCTAAAAAACTCAAAATTCATTTTGGTTCAGCCGTCTGGATTTGCTTTTTCAATTTACATGGACTAAAATCACAAAGGCACTGATTACATCACTGAGCATGCTGCTCCTTAAGTTCTCCTATGGTTGTCCTCTTGTGCCAAAGTGAGAACTATAATGGGTTCTACATATCTTATGAAATCAATCTTGCCCTACTCGCACCTGACTCCCCTGGACAAAAGGTATGGGTTTGAGAGTGACTGGAGAAAAGGTAAGTTTATAATGCTGGGATAGAGCACACCAAGGTTGTGGTCCCAAAAGGAGAGCAACTAAAGCACCTGATAAGGGTATCGAACTCCAAAGATTGCAAAGAAGGAAGAATGATTAATGCTGTCTTTGTCCTCTAGATATGACACTGCAACCTGGCAAAACAATCAGATGGTCTGCCTGAGTAAAGAGCATTTGCCATTGGCAATATGACCCTTTGCTGAGAAAACAAAGTTATGTGTACCTGGACAGTTCTGAACTATTTTGGTGTTCCTGATGCTATCAAGAGCCTTGATGTCCAAGTACCCTTGAGTTATGTCATATATAATGGTTGAGGCTGCAATTTCTAGGTAACCCTGCCCATGTGTATTCACCAAATCCGTGTAATGATGGTCTCAAATAGGTTCAAAAAATATACAGACAAGAATGACCTGTGTACACTCAGATTTTATGTTTGTATGCAGGAGATCATGGACCAAAATTCTCTCGATGGTGGTAGGGACTGCTTTCTAGCCCATGTATTGCTCCCTTGTACTTACTGGCAATGATACTAAAAGAGCAGCAGATTAGTTGCAACTCCCTTGCATGGGTCATAATGGATAAAAGACCTGGCCTCAGACTGCAACCTGGCTGCATAAAATATGACTTACTGATCCTCCTAAAACATATTATTGACTGATTTTGTGATTCTGGAGATATAGTTGAGGTCAATACTGTGGGTTGGAATCCTACTGGTTGACAGTTTGTTAATTAAATGCTTTGTAACAAATTGAATTGGTTTGGTTGCAGCCTCTGCCAGTCAGATTAATCAGAGTGACCAATGGGGTAGTACATTCAAAAACTTGCTAGAAGCCAAGTCATATTAGGACCAAATGGTGGAGATGGTTGGGAGATATTCATAGGTCTTCTGCATTCCTTGACTTGCTGGATGTGCCAAGCAAACCCTGTCTGCTCTTTATCTCGGCCATTTCTCAGGGTTGCATTACTAAAGAGATAGATAGTGTTTTTCAGGGTTTTTCTCAGGAGTATTCGAGTTGTGTCCTTAAGGGTGACATTGAGGGATGAGGTAACATCTACCAACGGGACAAAGATAAGGCTTGCTTACTGATTGCTATTAAAGTGGTGGACGCTCCCCAGCTCAGAATTTCTGTCCTGTGCTACTAGGTTGGTGCAAAAGTAATTGCAATCTCTGCCATTACTTTTGATGAAAAAATCCACAGTTACTTTTGCACCAACCTAATACATTCCATCGTGTGTGCAGATTTTTTCTGGAACTTCATGTCACCTCCACTCCTACCCACGACTGTTGGATTTAGGGACAAAGAAAAGTGATACAAAATGCTGATGCTTGTGCGGCCTACTGTGCCTTAAATCATAACCTGTGTCTGACCCAGGAGTGTTGTTTCTTCTGGCAGTGTCTATGCGATAGTAACAGGCTAAATAATGAGCTGGTAAGTATAGAATAAATGCAAGTCCTAGACTCAACATGTAATACTAGACATGTTCTATAAAACTGGTTCTTTCCAATTCATCCATTAGTTGGTTTGCATATTAGATTCAATTTCTCCTTTAATTACTAGCATGCAAGAATGGACTAGGGTAATCAGTTCTTTGCTGATCTTTTAGGAAGAGTGTAAGGAAATACCTTAATTTGAGATTGGCTGATAAACTACAACTACTAGAAGCAGGTCTGAGTGGTTACTAGGAGTTAAGATTCATACCACCCAGAGAACTCAGTCTAGGGAAATAATGAATACCTATGTTTTCTGTTTGTTTTGTAAAGTATTTTCCAAGTTTCTTTTTAGGCTAGAAATCAGGTTTGTTTCCCTGGTTACAAAGACCAATTTACTTGGGCAATGGGCAAGGTAACTATCTTGACTCAGACTTTTAAAATAGAAAAAATAAATTTTACATGTGCATGTGTTATTTAATAAGCTTTTGAAACAGCTCTTGCACATTATTAAGCTGACTTTTAAAATAGTACACGTGTTTTCCTTAAAATGGGATTAAATATTACCAATAATATTGTCATTATTTGAATGTTTAAACCAGGAACTACATGTGTTACACATATATATTCTTTCACTTATTCTGTTAAAAGAATCTTACTAGATAGAAACTATTGCTTCCATATTTCAGAATATAAAATTCAAACTAGAAGGTTTATGCAATGTTGTGGGAAGTCAGGGACCTCGAACAGAGGGACTGGTTGAGCCGTGGCAGAGGAACATAAATCGTGAAGATTTCATGGACATTTATCAGTTCCCAAATAACACTTTTATATTTTCTTATGCCTGTCTTTACTTTAATCTCTTAATCCTGTTATCTTCATAAGCTGAGGATGTACGTCACCTCAGGACCACCGTGATAATTGTGTTAACTGTACAAATTGATTGTAAAACATGTGTGTTTGAACAATATGAAATCAGTGCACCTTGGAAAAGAACTATCCTGTTCTTTTTTAGAGAACAAAGGAAGACAACCATAAGGTCTGACTGTCTGCGGGGTCTGGCAAAAAGAGTCATATTTTTCTTCTTGCAGAGAGCCTATAAACGGACATGCAAGTAGGAGAGATATTGCTAAATTCTTTTCCTAGCAAGGAATATTAATATCAATACCCTGGGAAAGGAATGCATTCCTAGGGGGTGGTCTATAAATGGCTGCCCTGGGAGTGTCAGTCTTATGCAGTTGAGATAAGGACTGAGATATGCCCTGGTCTCCTGCAGTACCCTCAGTCTTATTAGGGTGGGGAAAAACTCCGCCCTGGTAAATCTGTGGTCAGACCGGTTCTCTGCTCTTGAACCCTGTTTTCTGTTGTTTAAGATGTTTATCAAGACAATACGTGCACTACTGAACATAGACCCTTATCAGTAGTTCTGCTTTTGCCCTTTGCCTTGTGATCTTTGTTGGACCCTTATCAGTGGTTCTGCTTTTTCCTTTTGTCCTGTTCCCTCAGAAGCATGTGATCTTTGTTCTGCTTTTTGCCCTTTGAAACATGTGATCTTTGTACCTACTCCCTGTTTTACACCCCCTCCCCTTTTGAAACCCTTAATAAAAAACTTGCTGGTTTGAGGCTCAGATGGGCATCATGGTCCTACTGATATGTGATGTCACCCCCAGTGGCCCAGCTGTAAGATTCCTCTCTTTGTACTCTTTCTCTTTATTTCTCCACCAGCCAACACTTATGGAAAATAGAAAGAACCTACGTTGAAATATTGGGGGCAGGTCCCCCTGATAATGCAATTTGATGATAGTTCAGAGATAACATGTAGAAGATTTGTATTTAAAATTAAATATTCCTGATATTAGGACCTTTTTCCTTTAATTTTTACTATATAGCTACTGATTTACTGAGGAATGTTATACAAAGCATGTACAGAACATAAAAAAATGTTAGAATAGGGCAAGAAAATCCTAACTCTCTTTCCTTCTTTCTCCAGTTGTCAACTCTAAAAGTGAGAGAAAAAGAGAAAGAAGATGAGAAGAGTCAGACATAGAGAAACAGAAAAGAGAGGAACTAAATGTGGGATGAAAAAGTTAAGCTCTATAAAATGTTACTTTTATTGCTTGAATGACAAGACAGTATGATTCACTTAATCAATCATTGATTTAATTTGTAGTTCCCTTTTATCACCTTTAATAAAAGAGGAAGTTTGAAAAATCATGTCAGAACACATCTAGAGAGCTGAGAAGTGATACATAATTTTTTACCATTGAAGACTTCCTCAGAATGTGAAAAAATATAATATTTTCAATAGATTCTAAAAATGAGAAAAATCATTTGACAGATAAAACTTTAAACGTCAAAAAGACAGAATTCCAAAAAAAATGTACGGGAAGGACTGAAACTGTCGAATTGTTCAACTTAGCATCAGGTTATGAACATGGGACCAAATCTTATATAATCAAAGACACATTACTGAAACATGATATGTTTTCAATAATCTGTTACTACAGAAGATGGAGACTCTTTCAAAAATTAGCTAAAGGGGCTGGGCAGAATGGCTCATGCTTGCAATCACAGCACTGTGGGAGGCCTAGGTGGGAAGATCCCTTGAGTCCAGGAGTTCAAGGCTGCAGTGAGCTATGATCACATCAAATGCTTTCCAGCCTGAGTGACAGAGCAAGACACTGTCTCTAAAAATAAAAAGTAAAAAAGATTAAATATATATATGTAAATAGTGTGTGAAAATATATATAGTATCAGTAAAGTCATTCTCAGGAAAGAGAAGCGTTTGTAGATATTTTAACAGAGATAATTTAAAGAATTGTTAACTAAGTACAAAGTTGTTTTCTAGGTACTGAAAAGGCCTAACTATGATAGAAGTAGCAACGGCAGAAAGCAGCTCCCATTTTTTTGAAAGACATTTGAATTACTAAATCTTGAGAGCTGGTGAAGGGGCAGTGTGGAACAGAAATTCAATATATCTGAAGACAAGACACAGCTGACTGGAGCTGGTACCAATGAGGTGCATGAACTGGTTGGCCCTGCAAGTGTTGAAAAAATCGTAAAATGGACTTGATCCTTTATGAAGGAACTGCTGCTCAGAGTAAAGAAGAATTACTAGGTTATGCTCACAGGAACAGAGAACAGTCAGGAAGCAGCAGGAAGTGAGAGTAAGGAAGATGCCTCCTCTTTCTCTTGCAGTTTTGCAATCTCCTCCATGTGTGCCTCATGAGCAGAGTCTAACAGGGAGCCAGCCAATAAAGCAGAAATCTTTCCAGAGTCTTAGCTGCAGCGTCACCAAGTAGATGCTGAGACAGTAGTAGCTGATATTGGACACAGTTCACCTCTTTAGCAACAGTGCATGCATCCTCACACTTTCCATACATATTTACATTTCCATACAACAACCATAATACCATGTTTCTGCCTAACAAGCCGCAACTATTATTCACAGCACAAAGACATTCTCCAAAATGAAGAGTCTCAAAATCCCAAGAATCATATTCATTTCTGATAAACATTCACATTATCCACCTCTGAGCTGTGTCAATTGTTTCAAAACTAAAGTAAAAATTCCATTTGCAGTAAACTCTGTGGGCTGGATTGGAGTAAGAGATGTTAGTATAAACTCATGTTAATTTTAATATGGCTACATACAGAAGTATAAATAGAAAAATAATTCTGGGTATGTATGTATGTAAGGGTATATATCTATCTGTATATCTATAGATAGATATACTGTATTGGTCCATTTTCACACTGCTATAAAGATACTCCTGGGATGGGCAACTTTTAAACAAATGAAGTTTAATTGCCTCAGTTACACATGGCTGGGGAGGCCTCAGGAAACCTTATGGCAGGAGGCAAAGAGGAAGCAACGCACGTCTTCACAAGGCAGCAGAAGAGAAAGAGAACGAAAGAGGAACTCCTGAACCCTTTTAAAACCATCAGCTCTGGTGAGAACTCACTCGCTATCATGAGTACAGTGTGGGGGAAACTGTCCCCATGATCCAGTCACCTCCCACCAGGTCCTCCCTTTACACATGGGGATTACAACTTGAGGTGAGATTTGGGTGCTGACACAGAGCCAAACAGTATCATATACTTTTACAAATATGTTGTACATGTATTTTATATGTTTATATATTTCACATATGTGTATTTTATATATTTAGTATAAGTATAAAAGGTATATGAATATATAAAACATCTAAATATTTTAGTATATATAAATATTAATATAAATATATAAGTATATAAAATATACACATGTAAAGATAAACAATTACATAGAGCAATGAAACCTCAGTAGCAATGAGCTGACTCAAACACCAGATATTGGTTTCTAAATTGTATTCTTCAATGAGGAAATGGTATTCCTTGGAGAAACGGTTGATTTGGGTGAGACTGAGGCAGGAAAAACACAAGATGATTCTGGAGCATCTTGCAGTGCCACAAAATAAGGCAGTACCAAAAAAAAAATTATAAAAGATGAGACATATCAAAAGGACCCAGGAGCCAACAAGAAAGGTTCATAATGACCAAAGATAGAACAATGTAAGCAACAATAATTTTAGTATTGGACTAAAACCTAAAGAGTAAAATAAATATGCATGAGTCAGAAAAGATATAAATAAATTATTGAATTAAAAAAAAGAGTGAAAGGGATAGACCTTTCTTTTAGAACACTTCCAAGTAATATAATATACACCCTTGCCTTCAGGATGTAAGTTTAATTTCTTTCCCTTGACTGCAGGCTGGATTTGTGGATTCACTTGCAAAGAAAAGATGAGAGAAAGAGGACCACAAATAACTTTACAGTGGAAAAAAGGGCAGATCTACCAAGAGATCAAGGCTGACATCACAGGTGATAATTCATGTTGCTACCAAGTACCCCAGGGCACTGATGTGATGAGAAAACATATAATTTCTTTAGCATTCTTCTGAAATATTTAAATCCCCACTTTAATTATAAGACAACATCAGACAGATTTTACGAGAGAAACATACAAAATATCTGAAGGTTACCCTTGAGCACCAAGACCTCCAAATGGTCAAAGCTCAAAGTTACAGGCATAGAAGCAAAAGGTCAGAACAGAATATTAGAAGTAATTGTCAGAGGAGCCATTCCTAGTTTCACCTCTTGATTGTTCAATATAAGGGCTAACCTATCCTTAAGAAACAGACACTTATTTGACAGATGACTTTAACTTAAAGATTCTCCAATGGCCTTATCATGCCTATCTTAGAATTTCAATGTAGTCTAAATGCGTCCTTCCAAACTACCTTCCTTCCGCCTCTCCTGCATTCAGGCTCAGACCTACATCATGGTTTGACAGCTCTACCAGCATCTCCCGGCTTCCTCCCCATTTGCTATCGCAAGTATTTTTCCCTAATAAATTTATTACACATCTAATTATGACTTGGTAACTGCTTCTCTCAGAATCTAGATTACCATAAAATGAAGAGATTTACATAATTAAAACTTAGAAGCTTTAAGGAGAGGCCACATGGAGTTGGAACTCAGACCTCTAAGGAAGAGATGCTGCTCGACTTATGATGATGGCTCTGAGCTGAGAGGAGAAACCCCATGATGCTTCGACCTGTATCTCTAAGCAGGGGCAGAAGCACACAGGGAGTTGTATCTCAGGGGGCTTATTGAGGCAGGTTCTGCAGGTGTGTGAAGAACTACGAACAGGATTTCACTGATGCTATGGGATGAATTTTTGCTGCCAGGGTGAAGAATTATTGCTAGAGTGATATTCACAGAAAGAGAAAGGTGACAATAAGCCACCAGAAGGAAACATCAGGGACCTGCTCTCTCCTCCAGCCCCGTATCTCCCTCTTGCACTTGGTATAGACACAGCCTAAGACCATCTGGCAAAGCAGAAATATGGTTTGTAGAGTCCCTGTCCTCATGATTATAAAGCAGAGTATAGAAGGGTGAACTTGGAGTTGAGAAACAATAACTTAATAACAGGCACATGCACCCACACATCAAATGGATATGCTAGAGTAATTTGGATATGCCATCCATGTTGGACTTGATGTGTTCAGTTTTTGTTTTTTTTTTTTTTTTTTTTTTTGAGACGGCCTCACTCTGTCGCCCAGACTGGAGTACAGTGGCACAATCTCGGCTCACGGCAACCTCTGCCTCCCAGGTTCAAGCAGTTCTCAAGATTCTCCTGCCTCAGCCTCCTGAGTAGCTGGGATTAAAAACATGTGCCACCACGCCCTCCTAATTTTTGTAGTTTTAGTGGAGATGGAGTTTCACCACATTGGCCTGCCTGGTCCCGAACTCCTGACCTCAAGTGATCCACCCACCTCAGCCTTCCAAATTGTTGGGTTTACAGGCGTGAGCCACCACACCCAGCCTGTGTTCAGCCTTGTATACTCATGTAAATGCTAGTCTTTATTTTTTATTTATCTACGCTCCTGTATAAATATAGTATATTATATCATTTAGTACTTAAAAATTTCTGCCTCCGAAGGCATCATAGAGTTAAGCTTTTTCTATTGCCAGAATTTACATTCCTTGTTTTTTAAGAAATAGCAGCAGTTTTTTTTCCTGGGAAGTATATGTTGAATACAATGGCAATTCTAGAGAATAGTCACATTTTGCTTTTCTTAAGAGGTTGATGTTTTAAAATAATATTAAACACAATGCCTGAAACATATTATGGGATTAATAAATGCATGCTATACAGATTAATAATATTATAGACATCCTATTTTGGTATGTAGCAAAATAATAATTCAAAATTACTAATATTTCTTAATTTTTACGATGTTCCACACACTGTACGATGAATGACTTATTCTTTTAACTGATGTTGATTACATAGTTCAGTTTATTCACTGCATATGCCACTGTGTTAGAATAGATAATATTGCAGACATGGTCTTTTGCCATTTTATAGCATATAGTTTCCAAGGAAAGAAATCCATTAAACAACTGCTCTAAAATTAAGTTCAAATATTTTCACTGAAGGAAGGGATGGGGCCAAAAGGAAAACTAGTGGAATATTACACAATCTGGAATGTATGAGGATATTATTTGAGGAAATTGAAATTTACTCCGGGACCTGAAGGGGGAGTAGTTTTGGTTAGGGAAAGGAGAAGAAATGAAGATAAAGATATTGCCAAAGAAATGGAGCAGTGTGGGTCGATGCTTCCTGGCAAGAATGAGCAGGGAGCATGTGGTAGAAGCACCTCACCCACATCATCTTGCTTCCAGACCATTGTCTGAAGCAGGCACGTTTATTTGCTAATCATTTCCCTTTTTAGAAGACTCATAGAGGACAAAAGACTCAGTAATTTGCATAAGGCCATAGAGATAGCAAATTGTGGGCTGAATTTGAATGCAGGAATAAAAAGCCCACATTTTCATCTATTAAGAAGAGACCGCCTTCTGTTGTAACATGTTTTAGAGGGTGGTTCCGTGAGCAGAACACAGGATGAATTGCCTTCCGAACTACATCAACAGTTAATAAATACTTGAAACTCATGTTTGTGATTCTGGTGCAGTAGGTTTGTAACTAAATATTCAAAGAATTTTCATTTGCTCTTGATCCAATAAAAATTTAAAGAAGGACAAACCTGTATTTGTGAGGAAGATGCAACATACTATAAATTACTATTAAAAGCTTTCAGATGCAAAAATCTAAAGTTTGCAAATGATTAGTATTTTCCTTACAAAAGGACAGTATTTTAGTAAAAGTGGCATTTCCTACATATTTTTTTTTTCTGATATGTTAGAAAGACGCTCAACAAAGTATCTAAATTTTTAACAATTATCCAGATTGGAAATCTAGAGATTATTTTTAATAGCTCATTAATTAGGCTTTTGATTCTTGGCACCATCACAAAACGGTGTTTTTTTCTATCTACAGTAACAATGAGGTTCTGTTTTCTTCATCTGGAAAACTGAGGTAATAATACCAACTTTATAAGCTATTTAGAGGATTAGGGAATATATATGTGCATGGAAACTACTATTCAAGAAAGAATAAGAGTAGGACAGCAGAAGAGGTGGATAGAATATCACTCATGAAGCTCAGATGTAAGAAAGATTCCAGTGCTCTTAACACATTTCACAATTAACGTTTTACAACAGTCATCAGTGCTTTTGTCAGAGGCGCGTGAACCAGAGCAATTCCATCTTAAACAGAAGCTGGGTAAAATGAGGCTGAAACCTACTGAGCTGCATTCCTAGACGGTTAAGGCATTCTAAGTCACAGGATGAGACAGGAGGTCAGCACAAAATACAGGTCATAAAGACCTTGCTGATAAAACAGTTTGCAGTAAAGGAGCCGGCCAAAACCCACCAAAACCACCAAAACCCACCAAAACTCTATGGCCATCAGAGTACCTCTGGTTGTCCTCACTGCTGCAGTCCCACCAGGGCCATGACAGTTTAGAGATGCCATAGCAATGTCCAGAAGTTACCCAATATGTTCTAAAAAGGGGAGGCATGAATAATCTACCCCTTGTTGAGCATATCATCAAGAAATAACCATAAAAATGGGCAACCAGCAGCCCTTGGGGCTGCTCTGTCTGTGGAGTAGCCATTCTTTTATTCCTTTACTGTCTTAATAAACTTCCTTTCACTTTGCACTGTGGACTCGCCCTGAATTCTTTCTTGTGCAAGATCCAAGAACTTTCTCTTGGGATCTGGATTGGGACCCCTTTCCAGTAACCCTTTGAGGTAGAAATAATGTTAAAGGTCAAGTAACAGTCCCATCTTTGGTGCCTTCCTGAGGAGGCTGTTTTAATGGGGAATGAAAGTGGAATCCGAATTCATTCAATTGCACAGTGCTTTAGTGGAAGAAATGTAATAATTATTCTAAATATACAGTAAGTGAAATGGCCAGGAAGTATGGAGCTGTGGTAACAAGAGAATTCAGCATTGGTTAAAGGGGGGATATTTTTTGTTGTTGTTTGTTTCATATGTTTTTAAATACAAAAATGTATTCAAGTTATACAATTGAGTATGTTTGTATTCTAAGGGGAAGGATTGGATTATCAATAGACGAACCTAGGTTTGGAAGGAAGAGTAGGTAGAAACTACAACTCAAAACACAGATAAAAGAATGAGTCAGAATAGTAAATTGCCAAGACAGCACATTCTTTGCAAATGGGATGGACTAGAAATCATATTCATTTGCATCAGCCTAAATAGTGTTCTTTTGTAATTATACACTGAATCCGTTTTTCTGAAGACCCTGGAGGTCAAATCAAAGCAAAGATTACAGGGTCAAACTGCTTTCACAGCTCGTTCCATTTATACTTCTGAGTCATTCAGGAATGTGTTATCATGCAGCATTTGTGTGACTGAATAGGTGTAAATTCCAAGCTGATACTTACACATAGTTGATATTATGTCAAAGATGTGTCAAAAATTCTAGTCAAGAAGTATTTTCACCCTTAGTTATGATCTTTTTTTTGTTTTGGATTTTTGTACTTTACATCAGGTATGAACGTCAGTTAACTCTGCCTTTGAAATCTTCAGATACGCACCCACATAGGCAGAATTTTATTTTCAAAAAAGTCCACTGATTGATGTGCACTTAATCAGTAGCTGAGGTGGTACTTTAGTCACCGGATAGGAGTCTTCATGAATTTAGTTCTTTACCATCCAATAATGGGTCTATCCTTTGTTTTCACTAGAGATGAAATTTTCCTGGGTTATCCAGTATCACAGCTGATCCCTCTTAACAATTAGGATCTGATGTTCTTTTCTTGGCCATAGGACTTACTCATTCTCACAGTCCAGCCTGGACTTGTCAACTCTGGCGGCTTAATGTGATTAATTAGGGATAGTTAAGATCATTACCTCTATTAGTCATGGTTCCCCAGAGAAACAGAACCAATAAGATACTATATGCAGGCATACCCTGTTTTATTATACTTTGCTTTACTGTGCTTTGCAGATACTGTGTTTGTCGCAAATTGAAAGTTTGTGGCAACCCTCCATCAAGCAAGTCTATCAGCACCACTGCATCATTTTTCCAACAGCATGTGCTCACTTCATGTCTCGGTGTCATCATTTTGGTAATACAATATTTCATTTTTTTCATTATTGTACTGATTATGGTTATCTGTGATCAGTGATATTTGCTGTGACATTTTAATTGTTTTGTGGTGCCACGAACCATGCCCTTGTAAGACAGTGAACATAATTAATAAATGTTGCTTGTGTTCTGACTGCTTCACTGACTGGCAGTTCCCCTGTTCTTCTCCCTCATCTTGGAAGTCCTTATTCCCTGAGACACAAGAATATTGGAATTGGTCAATTAACAACCCTGTTGATGGCTTCTAGGTGTTCAAGTGAAAGGAAAAGTCCCATATCTCTCATTTTTAATCAAAACAAAGCAATGATTAAACAAAGAAAGACATGTCAAAAGCTGAGATAGGCCAAATGATAGGCCTCTTGTACCAAACAGCCAAGTGTGAAGGCAAAGGAAAGTTATTGACGGAAATAAAATATGCTACTTCAGTGAACACATGAATGATAAGAAAGCAAAACAGTCTTATTACTGATATGGAGAAAGTTTGGTCTGGATGAAGATCAAACCTCCACAACATTCTCTTGTGCCAAAATCTAAGCCATAGCATGGCCCTAACTCTCTTCCATTCTATAAAGGCTGAGAGGGGTGAGGAAGCTCCAGAAAAAAAAGCTGGAAGCTAGCAGAGGTTGATTCATGAGGTTTGAGGAAAGAAACCATCCCTACAACCTAAAATTGCACGGTGAAGCAGCAAGTGCTGATGAAGAAGCTGCAGCAAGTTATCCAGAAAAATCTAACTAAGATCACTGAAGATGGCTGTGCTAAACAACAGATTTTGAATATAGATAAAACGGCCTTCTATTAGAAGAACATACCATCTAGGACTTTTATAGCTGGAGAGGAGAAATCAACGCTTGGCTTCAAAGCTTCAAAGGACAGGTTGACTCTCTTGACAGGGGCTAATGCAGCTGGTGTTTATGTTGAAACCAATGCTCAATTATCATTTGGATAATCCAAGAGCCCTTAAGAATTATGCTAAATCTATTCTGCCCGTGCTCTATAAATGGAATAACAAAGCCTGGGGAACAGCACATTTGTTTACATCGTGGTTGACTAAATATTTTGTGTCCTGTTGAGACCTATTGCTCAAAAGATGAAAGATTTCTTTTTAAAATATGACCGCTTATTGATGATTCATCTGTCAGCCAAGAGCTCTGATGGAGATGTATGAGGAGCTTAATGTTTTCATGCCTGCTAACACAGAATCCATTCTTCAGCCTTTGGATCAAGGAGTAATTCTGAATTTCCAGTCTTATAATTTAAGAAATACATTTTATAAGGCTATAGCTTATGCAGATATGACTCCTCTGGTGGAATTGGGCTATGTAAATTGAAAACCTTCAGGAAAGAATTCACCATTCCAGATACCATTAAGAACATTCATGATTTATGGAAGGAGGTCAAAACATGAATATTTATAGGAGTTTTGAAAAAGTTGATTACAACCCTCATAGATGACTTTGAGGGGTTTAAGACTTCAGTGGAGGAAACAACTGAAGATGAGGTGGAAATAACAGATCATAGAATGAGAAGCCCTCCTAGGGATAATTATTATTCACATGATTGCTTTTCAGATAAACCAACACTAATGTTTTTTAAAAGTGAGTTAGGTTGCTGGGTGGTGGCTCACGCTTGTAATCCTAGCACTGTGGGAGGCTGAGGCAGGAGGATTGCTTGAACCAAGGTATTCAAGAAGAGCATGGGCAACATGATGAGACCCTCGTCTCTACCAAAAATTTAAAAATTAGCTGGGCAGGGCATGATGATGCACATCCCTAATCCCAGCTACTTGAGGGCTTGAGGTGGCAGGATCACTTGAACCCAGGAACATTGAGGCTGCAGTGAGCTATGATCTTGCCACTGCACTCCATACTGCATGACAGAGCAAGACCCTGTCTCTTAGAAAAAAGAAAAAAAATAGTGAGCTACATTTCTTTCCTTCTCAGTGACCTGAAGGGTACTCTAGCTATTGACAGTCTTTACTCTCTTCAGTTTGCTGGAGGTAACTGATTTCATTCAGTTCCTAATACCATATAAATTATAGTTTCAATAAAAATTAATTCCCATCCCTGAGGAGTGCTTACCTACTCGGGAAATACTATTTTTTTTTTTATACAAGTGTGTGAGTTCTTCCCCTTTAAGATTTTTCATAGGGGCAGCATTCCCTAAAAGTAAGGAATTTTCAGGCAAGTGGGTATGAGTTGAACTCTCATTTTACTATTTCAAACTGAATGAGAGTAAGCCAGCAATTCAGGTTTTTTTCATCAAGACAATAGAAAGAATTTTACCTTTCTTACAGAAACTGGTTATGTTTAATTACATATCATGTGTAAAGAAATTGTCAAGTAGCGAATTCTTATTTAACTCTCCTAAGCCTCATATAAAGGAAAAACAAAACTATCCTTCTCTAATCATTTTAGTACCTCAGAATGTCTGGAATACGTTGTTTTTGATTTTGTGGGGATGATTTATATTGCCATGATTTGTTTTTGGATGGTTTTCTGGCAGCACAGCTAGGCCAAAGCAGCATAATGGCCACAATGGTATAATTTATCTTGCAGAACATATCAAGCACATCTAGAGAAAACAGAGATAAGAAAAATGGATCCTTTTTCTGCAACACGAATCTTATGTAAATTAGGATAAAAAATGGACACATTTAAAAACGCTGAATTAAATGAACTAGATGGCAGGATCTTTAGATCACAGTTAAAAGAAAGAGGAACAATTTATATATATTCTATAAATAGCAATAGCAACATGATGTGGCAAATAACATCAGATAATTTTGGATGATGAATTGACTTTTCCTTATCACACACTAACTGGAAAAAGCAAATAATCTTTTGACAGAAACTAAGAAGAGAATTCTTGTCAAAGAAGGTTGGCCCTGCAGCAGTTAAAGCCAAGTTGGAGTAGATGTAGCTGTACAAATATAAATAAATGAGTAAAAGTTAAAAGCATCTAGAATGCCTTTTACATAGGAACAAGGACATCATGTTCTGGGAAGCCACATATTTTAGCAATATAACCCTTTATTATGAAATGTACAGAGTATGAACTCAGATCTGTCACTATTTTATTAAAACTGATTCCAAGTAAATCAAGGGAAACCAAAAACTTATGTAGGGATTATTTTTTAAAGTAGGAAATTTGTACATTTAGCAAACATTATGTTTTTTGTTGTTATTGTTGTTGTTTTTAATTTTAGCCTCATTGTTGGCCTTTTTAGTTTCAAAAAAACTAAACTTTTTTAGGAACTCAAATATCATTCAGCAACACCATCATCAATAATAGGATTCCAAGAAAATATGTAAAACATGTATAAAGTGGTGGTTTTACCTACTATTTTAAATTTTTCAGTTCTATACTTTTCACCTAAATTCTTATGGAAGAAAAATACTCCAGTTAGATATCTAAATGGTGGAACAGCATAACATAAAATATGAGGCAACTGCAGGGAATACATTTGTGTAACTAATAATGAGAAGTGGCAAAATACAATAATTTTGCTTAAAACATTGATTTTATCAAGAGAAGACTAATTTATTGGGATAATTTTATCAGGAGAAGACTGATTTATTGGGATAAAAGGAAAACCTGGGATAAAAGTTAGCTAAACTTGCATTAATTTCTTTCTTTCTTTTTTTTTTTTTTTTTTTTCAAAGAGAGAGTCTCACTCTGTCACCCAGGATGAAGGGCAGTGGTGTGATGTGCAACCTTTGCCTCCCGGGTTCAAGCAATTCTCCCTGCCTCAGCCTCCCAAGTAGCTGGGACTACAGGTGGCCGCCACCATGCCTGGCTAATTTTTATATATTTTTTAGTAGAGATGGGGTTTCACCATGTTGGCTAGCCTGGTCTCGAACTCCTGACCTCAGGTGATCCACCCACTGCAGCCTCCCAAAGTGCTGGGATTACAGGTGTGAGCCACCGCACCTGGCCACATTAATTTCTTAAATGCTAAAATGTCTCTAGAACTGTACAAAGATCTACATTTTAAGGAAAAATTTTCATTGAAGTATTAGCATAAAGTACACAAATCTTAAATGTACAACTCAAAGAATTTTTACAGATAATTTTATCCTAGTAACCTACACTGTGATAAAAACAAATTACACTACAGAACCCTTCTTTGTGCTCTCCTCCAGTCATCACCCTCAAAAGTAACCTCCTTTCTGACTTTTATAATCATAATTTGGTTTTGTCTTCCATGTAAATGGAATTTGGGAGACTTATTTTCTACTGTATCTGGTTTATTTTTCTTAACACTGTGTCTGTGATATTCATGCATTATATTGTGAGTAGTAGTTCATTTTTATTGATGCATAGTTGATATAGTTTGGATAATTTTCTCTTCAATCTCATGTTGAAACATGATCTCCAGTGTTGGAGGTGGGGCCTAGTGGGAGGTGATTGAAACATGGGGAAGGAATTCTCATGAGTTGGTTCTGTCTTCGTGACAGTGAGTGTGTTCTCATGAGATCTAGGTGTTTAAAAGTTGGTGATGCCTTTTCTCCCTCTCTCATTCCCACTTTCACTTTCGCTTCTGTTTTTCCTTTCATCATGAATAAAAGCTCCCTGGATCCTTCCCAGAAACCAAGCAAATGCTGGCACCATGCTTCTTGTAAAACCTGCAGAACGGTGAGCCAATTAAACCTCTTTTCTTTGTAGATTATCCAGCCTCAGGTATTTCTTTACAGTAATGCAAAAAATGACCTAATATTTCATTGTACAGTAGGCCCCCAAATGTCATTTTGGTCAACAGCTTTTTCTTATAACATTGATGAGGAAAAAATAAAATAAAACATTCCTGGTGAGGCCACTGTCTGTGTGTTAGCAAATTCTTTCCGTATCTGCCTGGGTTTTCTCTGGACACTCCAGTTTCCCAAAGCTGTGCACATTAGATGAACTGGTGTGTCTCCGGGGTCCTAGTGAGAGTGTATGTATGTGTGTGTGTGCCCTGTGATGGGGTGGTGCCCATTGCAAATATCTAGGAATTAACCAAAGAAGTGAAAGATCTCTACAATAAAAACTATAAAACATTGATGCAAGAAATTGAAGAAGACACCAAAAAATGGAAAGATGATAGTCCATGTTCATGGAATGTAAAATTTGATATTATTAAAATATCCATATTACCCAAAGCAATCTACAGATTCAATGCAATATCTATCAAAATACCAATGACATTCTTCACAGAAATAGAAAAAAAATCCTAAAGTTTTTATGGATCCATCAAAGACCCAGAATAGCCAAAGCTATCCTGAGCAAAAAGAACAAAACTGGAAGAATCACATTACCTGACTTCAAATTATACCACAGAGCTATAGTGACCAAAACAGCATGGTCCAGGCATAAAAACAGACACATAGACCAATGGAACAGAATGGAGAACTCCAAAAAATATATATATATATATATCCATACACCTACAGTGAACTCATTTTTTACAAAGGTGCCAAGAACATACAGTGGAGAAAACAGTTTCTTCATGGATGGTGCTGGGAGAACTGGATATCTATATGTAAAATAATGAAACTAGGCCCCTATCTCTTACCACATACACAAATTAAATAAAAATGGATTAAAGATTATTAAAGACATAAATCAAAGACCTCCAACTATGAAAATACTATAAGGAAGCATTGGAGAAGCTCCATAGAACATTGGTTTGGGCAAAAATTTCTTGAGTAATACCCCACAAGCACAGGTAACCAAAGAGCAAATGGACAAATGGAACACATCAATTTGAAAAGCTTCTGCACAGCAAAGGATATAATCCACAAAGTGAAGAGATAATCCCCAGAATTGGAGAAAATAGTTACAAACTACTCATCTGACAAAGGATTGATAACCAGAATATATTAAGAGCTCAAACAACTCTCCAGGAAAAGAAAAAATCTAACAATCTGATTTTAAAGTGGGCAAAAAGTTTAAATAAACATTTCTCAAAAGAAGACATGCAAATGACAAACAGGCACATGAAAATGTGCTCAAAATCACTGATCATCAGAGAAATGCAACAGGCACATGAAAAGGTGCTCAAAATCATTGATCATCAGAGAAATGCAAATCAAAATTACAATGAGATATCTCACCCCAGTTAAAGTGGCTTTTATCCAAAACTCAGGTAATAACAAAGGCCAGTGAGGATGTGGAGCAAAGGGAACCCTTGTACACTGTTGGTGAGAATGTAAACTACACAGTCACTATGGAGAACAATTTGGAGATTCCTCAAAAAACTAAAACTAGAGCTATTATACAATCCAGCAATTCCACTCCTAGGTATGTACCCAAAAGAAAGGAAATCAGTTTATCACAGAGATACCTGCACTCTCATGTTTGTTGCAGCATTATTCACAATAGCTAAGATTTGTAAGCATCCTAAGTGTCTATCAACAGATGAATGGATAAAGACAATGTGGTACATAAGTACAATGGAGTGCTATTCAGGTATAAAAAAGAATGAGATCCTGCCATTTGCAACAACATGGATGGAACTGGAGGTAATTATGTTAAGTGAAATAAGCCAGGCACAAGACGACAAACATTGTATGTTCTCACTTATTGGTGGAATGTAAAAAATTAAAACAATTGAACTCATGGAGATAAAGAATAGAAGGATGGTTACCAGAGGATAGGAAGGGTAGTGGGTGGATTGAGGGCAGGTGAGGATGGTTAATGTGCACATACACACAAAATAGAATAAGACATAGTATTATTCATAACACAACAGGGGGACCTATAGTCATTAATAATTTAATTGCACATTTAAAAATAACTAAAAGTATAATTGGATTGTTTGTAACACCAAGGATAAATGCTTGAGGGGATGGATACCCAATTTTTCATGATGTGATTATCTCACATTGTATGCCTGTATCAAAATATCATGTGTGTCTCATAAATATATACACCTACTATGTACCAAAAATTTAAAAATAGAAAAATTAAAAAATTAAAAATAAAAGTGACTTTTATGAAATATTCTTAATTTCAGTGTAAGGCATTTGCTCAATATTTTCCTTTATTCTTAGTTTTTCTAATCTGCTAAATAATTATTTTACTCCATAGATCTGTTCTGTTATTTTCTAGACACTCAAGCTTTTGAATCTGCCATATTTGGGTATAAAATTCATCAGGAATTCAGTTTTGTTTATATTATGACATATCAATCAAGATTTATTTTTCTCTGTGGATATGTATTTGATTCTGTTAACCAATGCTCTATAGTCTCTATCACTGGAGATTAGTTGTGCATACTTAATAATTTTTTATAAATAAAGCACAAAATATACTATTTTGTGCCTGGCTTTCTACACTCAGTAGTTTTTGAAATGCATCCATGTTATTGCATAATCAGTAGTTCATTTACTTGTGCAATTCTATTGTGTTACTATACTACAGTTTGTTTACATTTTCATTGGTTAGTAGATATTTAGAGAGTTTGGCTATTAACAACAAAGCTGTCATGAACGTTTACATGCAAGCCTTTTTGTGGACACCTGTCTTTATTTTTCTTGGATGCATACTCAAGAGTAAATGTTCTGAATCCCACAGTAAAAGTACATTTAACTTTATTAGACAGTATAAAACTGTACTATTTTACACACCTAATACCAATGTAATAATGTCTTATATTCTCCATGTATCAGCAGCACTTGGTATTTTTCAAGTCTAATTTATTATATTTTTAATTTTACGGTTGGGGATTTTGTGTCATGACAGGGAAGACTTGTCCATCCCCATCTATTCCTGTTATTCTTAACAAAATAAGTCAACAATATTGTATCCTAGAATGTTGTGGTTTATTCTTTCCTGTTTTCTACCTGTAAACTATTTTGAGTTAATTATTGAGTATGATATGAAGTAACAATTGAGGTTGAAATTCTATCCTTTGTTGTTCTTGTCATTTATGTTAAAAAAACGACAAAATGTTTATGGGTCTCTTTCTGGACCTTTCATTCTGTTCCATTTATATACTTATTTTAGTGCTAATAGGACATTGTCTTGATTACTATCAAGTCATAATTAATCTTGATATCAGTTAGTCTAACTTCTCCACATTTCTTTTTCAAAATTAACTTTGCTATTCTAGATCCTTTGCATTTCCACATACATTTTAGAATCAGCTTTTCAATTCATACACAAAAATTTATGTATGGGATAGTGATTGGAATTGCACTTAAACACATAGAGCACATTGCAAATGATGCACATATTAACATTACTATATTCTCCAATCTGTAAAAATGGTATATTTCTCCATTTATTTAGGTCTTGTCTTTTAGTTCAAAACCTGAGAGAAGGTGTCTTGTTCAACAAGAAGTTTTGAGTTAAAACAAGCTTTTCTTTTTAAAAAAAATTATACTTAAGTTCTGGGATACATGTGCAGAACGTGCAGGTTTGTTACGTAGGTATACGTGTACCAGGGTGGTTTGCTCCACCCATCAACCTGTCATCTAAATCAGGTATTTCTCCTAATGCTATCCCTTCCCTTGACCCTACCCACCAACAGGCCCCACTGTGTGATGTTCTCCTCCCTGTGCCCATATGTTCTCATTGTTCAACTCCCACTTATGAGTAAGAACACAAATATGCATCTTTTTTGTCTGGTAAACCATGTGTGGAGCTTTCTAAGGTCATGCTACTGCAGGCCATCACAGGGAGGTTTAGGTTCTATAGTTGGCTTCTGACTCTTCCAGGGCTAATGTCCTAAATACCCTCCCCTATCAGGACATTAGCTTGTGATAACAATTGTATATACATTACACACAGAAGGACGGGGTTTGTTAGAATCAAAAGGAATCCTACATTATCATAACTACACATATTATCATCATGTATACTTATTTTGAAAGCCCATTTAAGGGAAAGTTAATGTACAAACTCACCAGGTTTCACTGGACACATGGTAATTTGATTCTCAGGAAACCATATACAGCAAACTTGGTCACTGCAAAATGATGGTACTGTTTGTTTAGAAAAGAAAACACACACACACACACACACACACACACACACACACACACACACAAATAGAGAAGATACTACCAAAAAAGACAACTCTTAAAATTGGACAGGAGAAAACTAAAAAACTTATATTTGTTCTCTTAACAAAAGTTGGAAAAATTTTATTACTAGAAGGACTTCATTTAGGAAACATTTCTCTATGTTTTATTGGGTATGTAAACTTTGGGATCAGTTAAGTTTCATTGAGTTACTAGATTTTAAAAACTAGATAGCTAAAAAGGCTAAAATCTTCATATCATTCCTTATTACATAGTGTCTTTTCTAAATTTGCTCAGAAGCTGAATACTTAAATCACAAACACCAAGAAAATAAATGGTCTTATATATGTTTTTTATAGAAATGCAATTATTTCTAGTTGGTCACTAGTAAGTAACATAAGTAAAAATATTAGGGATATTATAACACAGTCAAAAGGAAGCATCCTTTTGTAATAGTTTGAAACAGAGCACACTGATATAATGATACTCATTGGGGATTGATGTGCCTTAGTGCTTCTATGCGCCCAATAAAACATACAGGTGAACATAAGGAAAGAATAGATCAAATGAATTGTTTTTGCTATTCTAAATAGAAGAAGATGATTCCCAAAGACAACTTGGGAGCCAAGTAAAATAGGGAAACGTACCGAGATTGTTACATGTTTGCACAGGGCAAATTTATGGACCCAATGTCCTTCCCTGATCTAACACATGTTGTGTTAACCTATTGTGTGGTTGCTTAAGAATCGAAATTTACTTGACCATATTCTTTAAAAAACTCTTACTTTCTCTGGCTGCACCACAGTGGCCTATTTCCATATGAAGAAGGGCTGACTTTCCGTCTGGGCAAAAAGCAGTACTCATGCTTTACAATTTTTATAATAGATTTCCACCTTTATCCCTGGCCATTTGACCTTGAAAGAATATAAAGCAGCCTTCCTTAAGCCATATAAAATATCATAATATGAGGTCATTTCAAAAAGATGAACATCATGATATTTAGAGAAGATTACGACATATTTTTGGTGGCAAAAGAGCTGACAAGAGGAGCACAGGCTAGGACCACTTAGCTAGCACAGAGCTCACTTTTAATTTAAGAACTTCAGATTTAGAATTGTATTCTGTAATTGAAGTTACACTTTAAATCGTAAAGATTTTTTTTTCTTTTTGGAAACTATGAATTTTTAGTATAAGTATTTAGATAATTTTATAACTTTATTTTGGAATTTATTTTTTATTTTTAATGCACAAGTTAAAAAATGTCCTAATTTTCTCTTGACATATAGCTAAACCTTGACTAGATCCCTGGAAGTTAAATTATATTGGCTGAATTCCTCAGAGAATATATTTCATACATTGTAATGCTATAGTCTTTCATAACACATCACTACAACAGATCCTGTTCTGTTTGTTATAAGCAAGTTGAAAAGAGTAAAAAAAGCAGTATAAAAATGGCAGTGCAATTTGAAATGTGAGCTCATGAGTCAAAGACAGAACTGGCTTAATATTGTTACAGATACATGTGCAAATTATGTGTCTTCTCTAAGTTTGGTTTCTTCATTCTTAGAGTAGGGATTTAACTGTTGATGTTAGGATTAAATAAAATACTGTAGCACCACACACAATCCCAAACCCATAATAAGTATCCAATAAGTGTTAGCTTATATCACCACTATTTATAATATCATCTATAATTTAATTGGATTATCTCTATAAAAATCTCCCTACATAAGAAATTTTGTTTAGAATTTATTGCCAGGAAAAAAATGTTCTCTCCAAGAAAGAATTGCTGTGCTTTCCTCTTCTAGATAAAAAGAGCAATATAAGTTATCTTTATCTTCTTATTCTCACTGCCAAGAAATTTTGTGTCAAGTTTAAAACCCATTTAGAAAATGTATTTACCTTTATTCTTGATATATCTACATTCTTTTTCCTTCCTTGGTCTGACTTTGCCTTTTTTAATGCATAAATGGTATACAATTTTAATAGTGATAGATTTCTAATGCTTTCTCTTAAAGGCAAACATTGCTAGAATTGTAAAACAATATGGATAGGGCCTAAGCATGATATATGAGCATAGTTTCACAATTGGTGAACTATTAATACATTTTCCTAGAGCCTTTCGTAAAGAGAAAGAACATGTTTCAAAGAAAGAGAAAACTTAGATTTGTAATTTAGGTTGAGTAAAATAGGCCATATTCAATGTATAAACATAAATGAAATAATTCTTAAAAGTATTAGATTAAATTTAACAGCATCTTTAACCATCATAATCAATGAGAGTTTGTTACACAAATGTAAGAAACTTTTGGCATCAGAAAATCTGTCAAAATAATTCACTACATTATCAAATGAAAAGAATCAGTTGACTCACAAAAAAACTTTTGATTAAGTTCACCTATTTTTATTTTAAAATTTGTATTAGCAAACTGAGAATAAAAG
Source organism: Homo sapiens (assembly GCF_000001405.40). Taxonomy (NCBI): domain Eukaryota; kingdom Metazoa; phylum Chordata; class Mammalia; order Primates; family Hominidae; genus Homo; species Homo sapiens. Next base: position 125,053,982 of record NC_000004.12, read on the forward strand.
GAAATTTTTTTAAATTGATATAGGTCATTTTTTAAGTTATAGCAAATGTTATTCTTAATGGAGAAAATTTAGATTCATTCAATTTAGGAAAAAAATACTCAGGATACTACTAAACTTTAACATAATACTGAAAGTACTAGCCAAAGCTATAAAGAATTTAAAAAGTAAAAGCTAAGATACAAGGATTGCAACAAAATGACAAAACTCCTATTTATACATGATTTGATTATATACCTGTAAAATTAAGTATTGGTTAAAAAAAAAAAAGCTGTTAAAATTAATTTTAAAATTTAGCAAAAAATAGGCTGGGCGTGGTGGCTCATGCCTGTAACCCCAGCCCTTTGGGAGGCCAAGAAGGGTGGATCACTTGAGGTTGGGAGGTGGAGACCAGCCTGGACAACATGGTGAAACCCCGTCTCTACTAAAAATATAAAAATTAGCCAGGCATGGTGGTAGACGCTTGTAATCCCAGCTACCTGGGAGGCTGAGGCAGGAGAATGACTGGAATTCAGGAAGTGGAGGTTGCAGTGAGCTGAGATCTAGCCACTGCACTGCAGCCTGGGTGAAAGAGCAAGACTCCATCTCAAAAAAAAAAAATTAAGCAAAACATATATAAAATATAGCATTTCTTTATTCTAATACTCTCCAATTAGAAAATAAAACGAAAAATGTTTCTATCAGCAGCAACGACTACAAAATACCTAAAAATTAACCTTAAATTAAAAACCACATGTATACATATGATCTCTATGGAGAAAATTTAAAACCTTAGTTAAGATAAAAATATAATCTGATTTTATTGAAGATCTTCCACAATATTTTCTGGAATGAATTAATATTATAAAGATATAAACATTCTCCAAATAAAAGTATAAATTCAATGCAGATACCCTCAAAATTCAAGTGCACTCTTATTTTGAGGTTAATAAATTTTGCCTAAAATTAACCTGGAAGATAAAGGCCTATGTACAACATCTAATTTTGGCCATGACAGAGTGGCCTGCAAAAAACAATTAATGCTTCCTCTGAAAACAGTCATGTAAGCTGAATAAAATATACACAATTACTGTTTGAAGGTATTGGAGGGCTGTCCAAGCAGCATGACTTAAGGGGCTATGATCCCTGAAACAAGGGACATTATACAAGGTGAGCTGTGCATTCACCTAAGCTTTATTCTTAGGAGCATTATACAAACAACAGTGCAGGTAGGAGAGAGCACAAAGAGAGAGCAGCAGGCTTACAGTACCACAGGAATAACCGCGGGATGCTGAATGGTAAAATCCTAGAAAGGAGAGAACTGCAAACCGATTCCCCCAATCTTTAAGCCATACTTCTATCCCTAAACTGGAAAAATCCAGAGTAAGACTCCAAGAACCCCATCAGCAGAAGCAGCTAGGAAGTTAAAGAGCTGAGGAGGTGTATGTCGAAAGTGTGGTGCTGGGAAGAGAGACTGTAGTTCAATGCTGCCAAGAAGTGGCAGGCTTGGTAAACACCCCAGTATTTGGGTTGAGAACATGGAAGATCCTTGCTTTAAGAATAAAGGCTACTTCTTGGAGCAAGAACAACATCCTCCAATAAAAGTTATGCCTTAGGAGTAAAGGCAATACTGAAATAGACCAACCCATCAAGTTTTAAAAAAATCAAACCATAAAGGAAAGAGACACTATATGTCATTCCATTAGAAACAGATAACTTTGAAAGTCACATTCCAGAATGCTATCTTGGCTTGCACACTTTGAACAAATCTAGTAGACTTCTAGTACAAAAATACGCTGAATATTTTTAATGGATTCTCTCTAATTCTATTGTAAACTCCATGAAAAATTCAATGTTATTAATCTCTGTATCAATAGTAAGCCATACAGCACTATTCTATGTGTTCAATAAATGCTAGTTAAATTAACTAAAAATAATTTTAAATAACTAAGATATTTTTGAGACCTTAGTCCCATATCTACTTTACCCTTCTTGTCCATTTGTTACTAATGATTAATGTTTTAAATCAAAGGATTATAACTGTAAACACAACAATAAATAACTTTAAAGCTACAGTAGTGGCATATATAAAATAGAAATTGTCATCTTTTTGGACAGCATTTTAAGAAATTCATGCTCAGTAGTTTACTACATTGAATTATCTTTTGACATTATTAGGTGCCAAAGATACGTTTATAAACCCACGTTTGCAATTTCTCAATATTATTGTTTGTGTGTTTCTTGAATCTTTATGAAAGACACTAAACTGGTTGAGATGTTCTCATTATACATTAGAGGTCAATTATTTCTCTGAGAAGAAAGGCATATATCATTATGTATGTAAAATATATAATAAGGAAATATATATTGAGATTAGGAAAATGTATAATATATTGAGAAGTTGGATAAGAAAGTAGAAATGAAGCATGTTGTCCTCAAAATGAAGCTCAGCAATTGTATTACACTAAACACTATTAATGACTAAGTCTGTACATAGTGAAAGCAATTCAATTCTATTTTCTTTTTCTGAAACAGTTATAATTCCTCTATTGTACCTCCATGTTACTTATCAGCATAATAAACTTTCTCAAAGTAAAACATTTTCAGAAAAAATATGAGTAATATATATGAGCTTTAAAAATGTCAAATGAGCCTTTCTGTTATGGCCAATTAACTTGTATATTCCTTTTTTTCCCCCTCAAAAAAGAGATTCCACTTGAACTAAGGAAAAATTTTCAGGATATGAGACACAACTACACATTTGAATATTTTTTTCTTGTATAAGAAATTGACTTTACAAAGCTATAAACTACTCTGAGTTTATGGGCTTTTGGAAATAATGACCTCCATTAGAGTTTGTAATGCATTCTGGGCAATATCATAAAAAATATGTCAGTAGAGTAATTTCATCCTCAAAATGATCATCTTCTGTGAGTAATAAATTGCGTGCATATATTCATAAAAGACTCTCTGTGGAATATTCCAAATTCATATGCACATACCTTCACTTTGAAATTTTACAAGAAATGAATGAATTAGTACGTTTATGACCAGATTTCAGTTACCACCAAAAAGACTATCTCTACTTCGAAAAATGTGCTTGTGTAGAATTCTACAAGCATTTTTTAGTACTTATCAGTCTTATGTCTATCAACTTAACAGAAAGCTGTCCCTTAAATATTTATAAATTCAATTATTTGAATACACACATTATCTAATCTTTCCACTAATCTCTTATTCTTATATAATAAATATTATAGTTTTATATGTTCTTATTTCTTCTTATTAGGATAACTGATCTTTTATTCCATGATGGAAGATGAAGATATATTTCCTAACAATAATAGCAACAAGTAGTAGAAGTATTATGGTCACTTTTTGAATAGCCTTTTAATTATGAGTATAAATAATCCTATTAAATGATATTGCAAAAATATTAAAAATGTATATGTGTATTAAAGACATAGTGACATAAAATTGAGCTGTTTTATAATATTATTTTTATTGATTTAAGCATAATCATCACTCATTGCAAATATTATAAACTGAATGAGAATCTATCTTTTACAAAATTGCCTAAGGAACTTACAAAAATATACAGGATAGAAATACAAAAGATTAATGCACTAAATGAATTGCGACATTTAAACATCACTGAGACATGCTTTTGCCTCATTGGAAATACAGAGAAATAATACATATATATAAAATATGTAAGAAACAAATTGTAATGTAGATCTCATTTTACCATCTACAATACAAAATCTTTATAGATTGAGTTTTGCTTGTTTGACCTCTGCATCTTCCTCAGCAAATAACATGGTGGTTTTCACACAGCAAAGTTTTGGCAATTTTTTAAAAATCAATGATTTTATCAGTATTTTATTTTACATTTTTATTAAAGGTTTGGTAAATATCATATGTACTGGGTGCTTTCTATGTAGCAGATATTGTTTTAAAATTATTTCATTTATTCTGCATGAAGCCCATAAGAATTAATAAGAATGAAAGTGTTAATAAAGAGTTTATGTGAGTTATCAATTCCTCATGATGTTCTAACACTTTTAATTTTATTTTTATTTAGATAATTTAAATAGATAATTTTAGAAAAATATTCGAAGAAATACAATATGAATTTCTAAAAAACACTTATTAAAAAGAATAAGTGGTAGAAAATAATTAAGATCAACTTCTTCAAAGTTTGAATTATCTTGGGAATAAAGTTGACTAAATTTAAGCAAGCAAAATTAAAATTGTTTTCAACACTTGTAGCACTTAAAATTGCCTAGCAATACACTCTCCTAGATTTGTACTCTGGGACCAATTCAGCATCATTGTGAGATAAATGCAGTGTTTTGTTAAATCTATTTAGTATCAATCACATATCCTGTTCCTATTATCATCTCATTCTGCAAAACATGGAACTATCAAAAATATCTCTAGCCTCTTACATTATGGAAATACTTTCTTGAAAATACATTCATTTTATTCATTTTACTTTAGAAAACAAGCTTGGAGGAGTTTAACTTTTTTATAGATTAATTTATATCATTCTCAGTTTAATCTAGTTTTAAATATGTTTCATTTTTATCCAAGTAAAAATGATATATAATCTACCCCTGACTTTGCAAAGTATCCCGGTTCTATAAAGAACTGAGATTTAATGAGCACACCTTTCTCTTGATTTTGAGACATAAATTATCTAGAGCCAAGATTCTGTGAAAATCAAAAACTCATTAGATTCTAAGAGGCAAATTAATGTCTGTTTAAATGCTTTATTTTGGAGCATATGGGAGTGCCAAAGAAGCTGAGGAAGAGACTTAAAACAAAAACATGGTATCAAGACTTAATGAAGGCATTTGAGAAAGAAAAGAAAAACTGTTCTTAGTGTACTTGTCAGGAGGACAGTGATGTTGTCAATACAGAGATTATTTGTTCTTTACAAGTAAAAATGGACAGGAATAAAAAAATACCTCCAATGTGGTCCTTGTGAATGGTTGCTTTTACTGGGGACATGCTGCAATGGCATGTGTGTCCATTTAAAAGCTATGGCTTTTACTTTAAATGTGATTATTTCCCTCTGTGGCTGTAAATTAGGGACAGCTACTATTACATTTAATTACTTTCTGTAGCAGCATGCAGCTGGGGAAAATTTAGCCCTCAAAATGGGTGATTACAAAGGAAAGACACTTCTAAACAAAGATCATGCTCCCTTGTTTATGTTCATTCACATATCAAAGATTGAGAAACTGAGCCATACGAAACAAACAGGAATTTGGTTAAAGAAAATAAAGGCCAAATTACATGCAATGCCATGACAGAACTATAGTTAGAAAATCTAAATACTCTTTTATGGGAATATATTTTGTACAATGAGCAACAATGATTTTCATTGCTCATCTACTGATTTGGAAAACAAATGACAGGATGTGTCTCAGTAAGAACTATCATCTAACAAATGTTTCTGGCTTTACACACATTATTTTTTTCAGCATTTATGTTACAAAAGCCTTGAGATTAATCAAAATGACCATGAGTAATATTCATAATACTCTTAAAGCAATGAGGCCTTCTTTGTACCTATGTTATAAAAATGAGAAAATACATATGATGCTTTGAAATGTTTAACTCACAGTGATATAGTTATGTAAAGATAAGAACCAAATTAATGGTGGTTTCTACAACAGCAAGCATCATTAATGGTCTTGCTCATAAAATTATGCTTAGTTTAACTCAGTTGTACTAAGTGGGAGGAAGGTTTATTGAGAAGTGATTATCTTCTCTTAGTCTATTCAAAGTTACCTAATTTGTATTTACCCATCCTATGCCAGATAAAACAAACCTCTCTTTCATATCAAGTTACATAATTTACCACTTTTAAACAATATATGTGGAAAGGCAAAGACAGAAATTATGTTTACCATATTAGGATATTTGTATTTAAGTGTGTTGTACATGTAAATGTGAAAGTTATGGAGTTTTTTCTTTTTTTCTTTTTTATTTTTTTCTGAGACAGAGTTTCACTCTTGTTGCCCAGGCAGGAGTGCAATGGTGCCATCTCGGCTCACCACAACCTCCGCCTCCCGGGTTCAAGCAATTCTCCTGCCTCAGCCTCCCGAGTAGCTGGGATTACAGGAAAGCACCACCACACCTGGCTAATTTTGTATTTTTAGTAGAGATGGGGTTTCACCATGTTGGTCAGGCTGGTCTCAAACTCCCGACCTCATGTGATTCACCCGCCTTGGCCTCCCAAAGTGCTGGGATTACAGGCGTGAGCCATGTGCCCAGCTATGGAGTTTTTTTTTTTTTTCTCTTGTGCATTTAATAGAAGATAGAAAATTGAACCGTTTAAAAACAGCTCAGATTCAACTGAGCAAGAGAATCTCTGTGGGTAAGAGGAAAAATGAATGGCAAAATAATAACAATACTTAATATAATTTTCTTATAGGAAGGATAGAGAAAATAGAAGATATCGAGAGGAAAGAGCAAAAAGTTTTGCTTTTTTATTCTGAGAAAGTAATGCATATTTCTGCTCATGAATCAGAATTTCCAAGTAATCCAGACAGTGAGCCTCCACTGAGAACAAAGAAGATCTTCAAAGCCACCAGTCAGCCAAAGAGGTCATAAGTGAGAACCTCTCAGTGAGATGCCAGGACTTCTGGAGAGAACTCCTACTAGAATTCCTCAGAATCAGCACAGCAATGTTTTGCCCAGGCCCCCTTCCCTGCCCTGGTAAGACTGGAGTTGCTTCACCCTGGCCATTAAATTGGAAATAAAATGTCTTTGCGTAGATGATACCTGTTAGCCTGATGGAAGAACTTCTTGTATTATGTTTTTTTTTTCTAATTTAGTTAGAAAAGTACCTTAATCAGAATTCAAAGATGCATAAGCGTACTGTCTTTAAAATTGTCACATTGGTAAGTTATGTAGATTTTTAAAAACATTACTGCCATTTATCAAGGCACTTGGAGAGTATGTCCTTTAGAATTATATTCCAAGTCCTTTCAAAGCTACATTCATTCCTTAGCCTATTCTCAAAACAAATTGGAGAGGATAGGCTTACAGCATAACCTCCTAGAATAGGCAAAGACACCTACAAATACTTATTAAGCTACCTCTTGTCTTTCCAAACTTGCTTACAGTCAGAAAGTCTAACCTATTTAGAAAGTAAGTCCATTCAGTTTTATGTGTGAGAATGGTAACAGTCTAATCACTTCCATTCTTTGGATACTAATGACTTTGGGATATTTCCAAAACCAGATGTACTTTCAAAAAATGGCTATTTGAAATTACTTAGTAATGCCTAGTGAATTAGCTTTTTCTACTTAAAGGTAGACTTCAGCTCTTCAACAATACCTACAAAATCACATAGGTCTTCTTGGTATATGCAAATTTTTTTGTTCCTTCTTTGTAACTGTACGTAAAGATGGATTCTCAATATTAATGGGGATATTCACATCTCTGAATTACTGGAACCAATATTTTTCTAATTGATATAAAGCTAGATATTTTCAAATTTTATTAGATGTTATTGTCAGGTGCTAAGTCAATTGTGTAATATATTATTAAACAATGTAAAGAAGTTTCTCAACATGTTACCTATTTCAATAAAAATAATTTTTGCAACAGCATATGGTTTTGAATTAAAAATAGAAAATAACAAGCATTCATATAACCCTAACATGTCAGTGTTGAATTTTTTGATATTCTCTTCCAGTGCTCGTCTATATTCTTAAATAATTTTACATAGTGTTTGTCATCATTTAGATGTGACCTCAATTGTATTTAATAAATACACTATCATTTAAAATCAAGAAAAATATTTGAAAGGTACTTTAAAAAAATGTCTTTAACTAAAATTAAATGAATCTAAACTTCCCCAAAGGCTTTAATATTTGTCACATTAATATAAATGCCATAAACTAATTTAAAATTATTATTATAGTTAAAAACAAAACAAAACACAACCTTTGAGAGTAGTACTTGTAATCATTATTCAAGGGATTTTCTCTTTGCCAAGTCAGTTATAACTGTATTTTTCTATAAAACCATATTCTATGTATTTCTGTTAATATCTAGTTTAGTAGATTCTGTCAGAGTGGTAATAATTACATGTGCCAGTTGTCTCCCAATGCAGTCCTTTAAATACTCTATTTTTACAGTCAAGTCACAAAATACTAGATTAAAAAACAAAAACAAACAAAACAAAACAAAAACAAAAAAACTTGGCTTCCTCTTCCCTTTGTCTCCCTTCGCTTTTCTCACCTACCTCTCTCATACAAAACCACACAATGACATGCCACAAAACAACAAAAAAAAAAACTCGCCACCCATCTGCCAAGGCAGGGAGGAGAGCTAGAGAATGCCCCTGCATTACTCTGCTGAATTATGAGCTGCAGAGGAGCTGTTTTTCCTGGATCAGTAAGCTCATGGTTCACTGACAATTCCACAGAGATCAAAGTATAAGAATGAAAGACAACAAAATAAAAATGTTTCTGTCATTGAGACCATTTTAACAACATTTGAAAACCTTGCTAACTTTTTAAACGAATGTTGCTCATTGTTGTTCACAAACTTTAATAAAACTGTCCGTACTATTTGTTACTATAAAATTTACTCACACATTATGGAAAGATTTTTAATGATGCCTGTGGGAAGCAAATCAACAAAGATTTCCAAATCGGCTTCCATAAAATGTGTCATAGATAAGCAACTAGAATCAGTCCACTTTGTATGCATATCTGCATATATGTACAAATACATATCTCATTCCAAAAAAATTTAAGAGGGTTCACAAACGTACATGAAATGAAACAACATAAAAATGCACCAAAAGAAAATGAGGTGAACAGAAAATAAAAGTACAAATGCAAATAGAGCTATGAGTAAGGACAGTACAGATGTTACATTTATGAAAATTTACATGGCACAGAAGTATTATTTTGCTTCCCCAAAGCCATTTTTAACCCCCTTCTATTTTTTGCCTACTTAGCCTTTCAGCTAAGGGTGGTCATTGATGTGATTCTAGGTAATAAAATTAAGCAGAAATGTTTCGAGTGACTCATTAGAAAGAATTTTTACTTTTCAGTAATTGTGAAACAATTTGTATATTTCTCTCTGGCAAAAACCCTTCCCCTTGCTTTATGCCTCTGAATGTGAAATGGAAACATGATGTTTAGGGCTCTTGCAGTCATTTTGTAGCCATGGGGTAAGGCTAGTCAAACAATAGGGATCTCAACTTCATTTAAATTAAAGCTGCAAAACCATTACCAACAATTATGCACCACAGGTTTCTTGTTATAGGATAAAACGCATCTCTGTTTGTGTAAGCCACCGTTAGTTTTGGTTTGGGTTGCTTGATGCCAACCTTATTCTAATTTATGCAAACTATAGTCTTACAAAATTTGGATTACTTATGTGACTTTAAGTTTTTAACAGTCGGCATGAAGAGGAAAACATGACCAATTATGATACATATTGCTTATAAAGAAAAAAATAATTTTCCTTGGAGTTCTCATTAAGGAACACGTGTGATAATGTCATGTATTGAGCAAAATCCTTTACAAACACAGTGACAGATTTTATAATGCTCCTCTTCATAACATTTCTTAATGTAGCCAATGCCATATGACAAAGGCATAATTCAGTGGAAGCAGTTCTCCTGGAAGCCAGCTGTATAGTTGTTGATATGATAGGTACAACCACTCATAGAGACTATCAATGATATGATATGAAAGGCTCTGTTGAAATGATAGGTACCAAAATCTGATACAGGTTTTATTGAGAGTGTTATTATAAACATTTAATTATGTTGACTGAATAGAAATTATTTTAGGGGGGGATTTTCTTGATATATTTCTAAATGTAGAGGATAAGATAGCATATAATTAAGAAATTAACCTTGACCAAAAAGGGTTCTAGCCTTTTTCCCCAGTTTTTGGGATGTAATCTCTAAGCCACTGGAATTTCATGCCTAGTAAGAATTTATTTCCCTGGGGTCCTTGTGTCATACCCGATGTCCAACAATTTGATTTAGAATTGAGGCTTTGGGGCATGCAGTATCAAATCAACCTCTGAAAGTGCTGGAGGCTTAGACCAGCTACATAGACAGTCAACTGTCTATGTGACAGAGCCTCAAGAAAAAGACTAGGGAGTTTGACTTCAAGGTGGCTGACTAGAGGCTCCCAGAACTTGCCTCCTCTGCAAAGAATGACCAAAACTGCAAGTGGATAACCACATATTGAACAGAGCTTCTAAGAAAGAACATTGCAATTCAGCAAGGAAATGGCAAGAAGCCCCTGAGGCAGGAGAGGGAAGCAAAGCTGCCCAGCCAGAATCAGCTTAGATCCAGAAGGAACTCCCCATTGGGAAAAGGTGAGAGATCTCCAGTGGTCCACGGGCTAAAATTCTAGCCGTGAGAGCCCTTCAGGCCTTGTAGGCCCTGAGGTTAGTATAGCAAGCTGTCTAGAGTCCATGCAACAGGAGTGTTCCAGAGAGGGAGATCATGCTGAGTCCCACACATCCCTGGGACCCAAGAAGCTGAAGCATGGTGCCATTTTGTGAGCCCAGCCCTCACTAGACTATGTCCTGCCCTGGGGCCCAAAGCTCCTCCATCTCCACATCCCAGCAGCCCCACTGACATTCTCCCACATCAACTCAGAGGGCTGAAATGTAGCAAGGCTGGACCCAGCAATGTGGCTGGGTGCCTAGCACTCTATCTTATGCAATGTAGTACACTCAGGGAATGCGCAGTGCAGTGCACTGGAAAGGCTCCTATGGAACCAAAAAGGACAAAGCCTACACTTCCTAGAACCTGAGATCCATCTACCTAGGACCACTATCAGTAACACCAACCCTTGCCCTCACAAACAGCAGGACTGTTGTACAACTGCATGAACCTTGAGCAGTCCCAGGAACAAGCATGCCCAGGTGCAGTCCCAGGGCCTGAGAACAGACCCTCCCTACTCACTGCCACCAATGCCCACATGTACCATCCAGGGTTCTGAGGACAGGTCTGCCTTGCCTACCAAACTGCTACTGGTATGTAAACATGCTAACTGGGAGCTTATGGATTAACCCACCATGGATACCATTGCCAGTGCTCACATTCACCAGTGGGGGACCTGATAACTGGCCCACCCTGCTTGCCTCCAGCAGTACCCAAGCATGCTATTTGGGATCCTGGGTATTGATCTGCCTGGTCCACCACTTCTGGTACCTGTGCTCACAATAGAGGGGCCTAAGGACATGCCTGCCTTACCTATCACTGTTACTACAAGTGTCTGTGCATATTACCTGGGGGCCTGGTGATTGATCCACTCTGCCTATTGCTTCTAGTGCTCATGCATGCCTTCTATAGCAGTGGTCCCCAGCCTTTTTGGCACCAGGGACTGGTTTCATGGAAGACAATTTTTCCATGGACCAGGGTTGTGGGGAATAGTTTTGAGATAAATCAAGTGCATTACATTTATCATTAGATTCTCATAAGGAGCACACAACTTAGATCCCTTAGATTGTGCTCAGTGCACAATAGGATTTGTGCTCCTATGAGGATCTAATGCTGCTGCTGATCTGACAGGAGGCAGAACTTAGCTTTACTCGCTCACCTACTGCTCATCTCTTGCTGTATGGTTCAGTTCCTAACAGACTAACACTAGTCCATTGCCTGGGGGTTGGGGGACCCTGTTCTACAGGCATGAGGATGGGCCTCCCATGCCTGCTGCCACTGTACATATGCACTATCCAGGGGTTTGGGGATAGTAGACCATGCCCACCATTGCCACTGCTGATGTGCAAGCACACCACTTGGGGGCAGAGGGTTGGGACAGAAACACTACTACCACTGCCAAAACTAAACACATTGCCCAGAAGCCTGAGAAACCTCCCACTGGCCTTGCCCACTGCTGTCACCACCAACATGTGAGAACACCATCTGGAGGTCGAGGAATTGGCCTACTGGGATCCTCTACCCCAATGCCTGTGTACACTGCCTGGGGGCCTGAGGACCAGAACGCCTCGTGTCCCTATTCCCAGCAAAGCCTTGCCACAGATTCCACTGAAATTATAAAACTCCTGGAAGAAAACACAGGGAAAATGCTTCAGGACATTGGGGTAGGCAAGGATTTAACGGCTAAGACTTCAAAGCATAGGAAATGAAAACAAAAATAGAAAAAGGCAATATATTAAGTTGAAAAGCTTCTGTATAGCAAAGGAAACAGTCAACAAAGAACCAGTAGAATGGGAGAAAATATTTGAAAACTATTCATCTTAGAAGGGACTAATATTCAGGATATATAAGGAACATAAATAGCTTGATAGCAATAATAATAATAATGGGCAAAGGATTTGAATAGACATTTCTTCAAAGCAGATACACAAATTGACCAATTGGTGTATGAAAAAATTCTCATTACCAATAATCAGTGAAATGTAAGTCAAAGCTTGTAAGATGAGACATCATCTTACTCCAGTTAGAATAGCTATTATCAGAAAGATAATACCATAACAAATGCTGATAAAGATGCAGAAAAAGAAAACTCATACATCCATGGTAGGAATGTAAATTAGTACAATCATTATGGAAAACAGTATGGATATTTCTTAAAAACTAACAATAGCACTATCATACAATTCAGCAATCTTGCTCCTGGATATAGAACCAAAGAAAACGAAATCAGTATATCAAAAGGATAAAGAGCACCTGCACCCCCATGTTTATGGTAGCATTAGTCATAAGGGCCAAGATATGGAATCGACCTTAGTGTCTATCAATGGATGAAAGGATAAAGAACATGTGGTATCATGATATACAATGGAACATTATTCAGCCACAAAAATGAAATCTTGCCATTTTTAGCAATGTGGATGGAACAAGAGGTCATGTTAAGTGAAACAGACTAATAGACCAGGCACAGAAAGACAAATATCACGTGTTTCCACTCACATGTGGGAGATATAAAAGCTGATCTCATGGAGGTAGAGAGTAGAACGCTAGTAACCAGAGGCTGGGAAGTAATGGGGAGAATTGAGTGAGGTTTGTTAATGGGCTACAAGCATACTGTTAGCTCAAAGGAATAAGTTCTATTGTTTGACGGTACAGTAGGGTGACAATAATTTATTGTATACTTCAAATTAGATACAAGTTTTTAAATGATACCAACACAAAAAATTATAAACATTTGAGATTATAGAGATCTTGAATACCCATATTTGATCATTACACATTGTATGCATATTTTAAAATATCACATGTATTCCATAAATATGTACAATTATTAGGTATCAATAGAATATAGGAAAAAAAACAAACTCTAGAGACTAGCTTTGTTGAGCTTCCCTGGTTTGTAATACTATGTGCATGTTTTCACACATCGATACAGGAAAAATAATATTGTTATAATTCCATGCGAAGGGAACATTAGAAGCATCTCATTTGGTACTTTCTGAATTCCACTGTATACCCTTAAACTTGTCCCATTTTAACCTGTATTTTGCCCTATGCCCTTAAGATTGTCTAATTTTAATTAATTACTTGTCCTTGTAATAAACCATAATCACGAGCACACAGTTTTCAGTAAATTCTCTGAATCTTTCTAGTGAATTCCCCAAAATGAAGGTGGTTTTTCAACCTCTGAACTTTCACTTGGTGTCAGGAGTGAGGGCAGTTTTGTGGATATTTTATGTCCACAAATAAAATATATTTTATATTTTATATGTACATAGCTTCTTTAAAACTTACAGACATGACTTCATTACTGATAAAAACCCAGATGAAAATGTTAAAGTGATTATTTAATGTACAGCTGATTCTGACATTTATTAAAATCTTTTCATTCAATACTATAAAATACTTGAGCATCTGTGGTTTGAGGTTCATTCAAGAAATCTGAACTCTTCTGAAGAGTATTTTTTTCTGATATTCATACTGGATAAACTAATATTTAGTTTGTCAATATACTCACAGATTTTTTTCACAGTGAAGGAGATGAAGTCTTCATAGATGAAAACGTGAAGACTACATTACTCGCAGTTGTCATAAAGATATGTCAGTTTTCACCTGCAAGTCTTCTGTAGGAAATACTGATCTGGGTAAATTAACTTGATTACTAGTCTATCAATATTACTATAATAAAGGTCTGCTGTGGTTACCATGCTAAAGACTCAAGCCAAGTTCAATTAAATCAGGTTAGCCTAAAATTCATATTTTATTTGTTACCATAGCTTGGTGATATGTTTTTTTGAAGATGAGGAAACTGAGACCTGAGAATATAAAGTGACTCATCCAGATTACAAAGCTGGTAAGTGTCAGATGCATATTTACGCTACACCTATGCTCAAAGTGGTCTTTCTACTACAGTACAATAGCCATAAATATAGGACTTTCATCTATCTACCTATCTATCTATCTATCTATATATATATTTTATCTAACATGTGGAGATAAAAAGTAGGTAAATGATACAATACTTTGGATAGTCATTTATGCAAAACAAAACTGAAAATAGTAGAAGCAAAGAAGTGCTGAAATGTGGGGCCCCAAATAGTTTTATAATAACTCTGAAAAGGTAAAGACAATTTGTGGTCCTTAAGAAGTACATCTATCTAATCTGTCTATCTTTTTTTTTATTATCTATCTATCTTCCACAGTAGTTGGTATTGTAAAAATGAACCTAAATGTTGAAACAATAAAAATCTATCTTAGTAACCAATGGGAAAATTACCATTATTTCATGATCTTTAACTTTATTAAAAATTTTAAAACTTTCTTACAGTTGGTTATAAATGTATAGGAAAATAAAAAAAAGTAAACGAATATTTAGTACACTAATTTAAAACATTAGAAACGTCAAGCTTTATTTTATTTTGTTATGAAAATGTATCACGATAATAAGTGTTGCTGAGGAGATAGAGAAATTGGCACCTTCATAAATCCCTGGTGGGAATGTAAAATGGTGAAATTGCTTTGTAAGTTAGTTTGTCAGTTCCTCAGTAAGTTAAACATAGAGTTAATGAATGGCTAATCAATTCTATGCATAAATATATATAATTCCATATATAGAGAGATTCCATATATATATTTCATGCAATGGAATATTATTCAGCCATAAAAAAGAATGAAGTCTTGATAAAATGCTACAACATGGGTGAACCTTAAAAACATTATGCTACATGAAAGAAGACAGTTACTAAAGGCACATATTATATAATTCCATTTCATTAAATGACCAGAATAGACAAATCTATACAGAAAACAGATTAGTGGTTACCTGACAGGTAACAATTGAGAGGAAATGAGGAGTGATTGTTAATAGATACAGGGTTTATTTTTGGGGTGATGAAAATGTTCTAAAATCGATTGTGGTGCTGGTTCCATAACTCTGTGAACATGCTAAAAATCACTGAATTGTACACTTAAAATTGTAAAATATATGGTATATGAATTATATCTCAATAAATTTGCTATAAAAATAGAAAAATGCACACACACATAGGCACACATACACACACATAGAAGCCACCATTTTTATAAAAGGTGTAAGTGGATGGAGTCATGCAGGGAAATTTAGATCGATGATGCTAGATACAAATAAAGAGGAGAATTAAAAAGGAGCCTCTAGAGCCCTTAGGGCATTATTATTTGCCCAATTTTACAGGTGAGGAAACCGAGCTCTATACAAATGTAAGAATATATAGCTAGTATAATATGGAGCCCAGATTCCAACCCAGAAAGTTTGATAGCAGAGCTGGAGCCCTTAGCTGCTACACTACTCTGCCTCCCAGAAATGTGTCTCTGCTCTAAGGTAAAGGCAGGGTGGAGAACATTCATAGCTCAGAACATTTAGGTAAGAGCACTCTTTCTTCCTCGTGCCAAATTCTCAGAGCTCATCAGAAAGCACTCATCACAGCCTACTATCTGTTGAACAGACATGATAGACATCTTTGTTTCTGTAATTTTTACAGCAAAATGTAGGACAAAGCAATCTCTTTGAAAATATTCAGGATACAGCTTTTCTCCTTCAAGGAAAAACAAAGTGATGTCTGCTGACAAGAATATTCAGCTGAAAATGATCTCATAGAAGGCTCTGTCACACAGCTATAGTGGTTATTTTTGCCCATATAGTGGTTACACGCCCATCAGCTGGAATTAGTGTCTACTCTTATTTACCTTTGTTATTGTATTCTTTAAAATTTCTCAGTTACATCTTCAACAAAGTTTTATTTTATTTGACAATCTGTCATTATAGCATCTTTGGAAATTTATCAATATTTTATATCAGAAATTTTAAATCATAGTTTACATTCAGAAGCATGGAATATATATAATCAATTAATGAAATGTATTGAATTTATAGAACTGCTTTCAGAAATGTCCCTAAGAAAATCCTCTCCAAATTTTTTAAAGCCATGCAGCTTCATATGTTTTTATGGGGAACACTTAAATAAAAGCAACATGAAAAGTTCAAATCAATTTATATGACAATGAAGCATGAGCATTTATCATTTGCATAATAAAGTATAACCTGTCTCTACAAAAAATAAAAATTAAAAAATACACTGCTAAAGCATGAAGTGAAGAAAGTCAAATTTAAACACACACCCATAAAATCTTTTAATTTGCTCTCTTTCCCTTTACTTTCTGATATGTCTAAAAAATTATCTCAGGACAGTTTTAAAAAGTTGACTGAGATTATTATCAGGGAATAATAAATAATGAATAGCAGGCAGTCACGTGACTCCAAACACTAGGTACAAGAAGTCTTATTTCTAATAAACTGAATTTCTAATATTCTTCCAAGAAAGATTTGCCACATTAGCTCAAGAGACACATACTTATGTTTATATTTATTTCAATCATTGGAGAACTCACTCTCTCTGGCTTTTAGAAAATATGAAATGTAAGTTATACTATTTGTTTATATTGTGGAAATAATTCATAAATGATCATCACCCTGTACTCCCTACCACATTGCCTGACATCAATCAGCTGACCCACCCTGGAGCTGCCACAGCAGCTTAGTGCATGTGTCAAGTACCTCCAGGTTGCTAAGGAGCTGCAGAGACAGAAGGTGAAGACTGGAGGAGGGACAGGCTAGTTAGTGCAATGTCAGCCACTCTTGCCATATTGCCTGGTGACCTCTAGTGTCTTTGTGAGATGAAAGAAAAAGCCATGCATCAGAATAAATTTTGTTTATTAGGAAAGCAGAAGGATATTATAAGAATATTTATCCCTATTAGGGAGATTTCAAAAATACAGCTAGATATCACATATATTTAATAGTTACTTATTCATTAATTTAGTAAATATCATTGAATTCATTGAAATAAGTATTATACTTTTTTTTTACATTTTTACCTTTGCAGTCATGTACTTTTGCCTAAGAAAAACAAAATCACTAAAAAAATAGTATATCTGAGCCTGTAATTAATTGAAGGAAGTGTCTGTTTGAGCTGGACTGCTTTGCTTAGGGATGGAAAAAAATAACTTCAGAAAGCTGAAGTGATTTGCTCAGAGTAGCAGAGCTAAAAATGGAAACAGCTAAATAAAATGTCTCTATTTTAAATTCATTGCTTGTTCAGGTTTAACATACTAAGTATCTCTTTTGGGATTTCGAGGAAAGTTCCTGCAAACAAAGTAGACTTGATCTGGACTGTGAACATTGGGTTGACTTTGTAAGCAAGAAAGAGAAAGAAATATCTACCAGGCAAGGAATGGCATGAGCAAAAGCATGAGAGGTTTAGCATGTGTACACTACACTAAAAGAATGAGACAGAGAGCTCTGTGGGGGTAAATAGAAATAAGCTGGCAAGAAAAAGGAGAGAAAGGTCCAGAGAGATTAAACCAAGATGTCAGAGGGAGAAATCCAGAAAGCTTTTTGGAAAAACGAATCTTTGATAGAACTGGGGTGAGAATTTGGGTTTTATAAGGTTAATACCTAGAGATTAGGCTGGGCACAGTGGCTAATGCCTGTAATCCCAGCACTTTGAAAGGCCGAGGTGGGCAGATCACCTGAGGTCGGGAGTTCGAGACCAGCCTGAACAACATGGAGAAACCCCATCTCTACTAAAAACTCAAAAATTATCCAGGCGTGGTGGCACATGCCTGTAATCCCAGCTACTTGGTAGGCTGAGGCAAGAGAATCGCTTGAACCTGGGATGCGGAGGTTGTGGTGAGCCGAGATCTCACCATTGCACTCCAGCCTGGGCAACAAGAGTGAAACTCCGTCTCAAAAGAAGAAAAAATAAAATACCTAAAGATCATAAAGAAGGCATAATTTATTTTCTTTTTCCACTATCACCCAAGATACTCATCATTCTATCATGCATGATTTTAGAACACAAAAGTTATCAATTTATGACCCATCCATTTTGGCCATAGACATAAAAAACTGACCCTACTCAAAAAGTACTCTCATCATACAAGAAAACAAATGATTCTTTGTTTATTGCCTGCACTCTAGAAATGTGGAGAAATATATTTTACAGAGTGATATGTCATATTTTATTTACACATCATGAATGCACACATAGTAAAGAGTGAGGAATTCAATTAGTCATTGATCTCTACAAGTAACTGGTTTGCATAAAAGGTACTAATGAAAAAATTACTTTTAAATTTAAAACACCAATTTTTTTGGTAAAGGATGCTACTTGTAATATCTGAGTGTCAGTAAATATAAGTGGAATGGAGAATCACTGCCTATCCTTGAGTCTTTTTATAGATGTGACCGATATGAAGAAAATGAAAAAGAAGCTATAGGAATTATTTCTAGATCTTTCCTTGGATCATCAATTCCATCTTGAGAAATAATAAATAGTTTTAATATTGGCTTTTCTTAGAGCCCACATAGCCAAAGCAAGACTAAGCAAAAATAATAAATCTGGAGGTATCACAATACCTGATTTCAAACTATACCATAAGGCCATAGTCACCAAAACAGCATAGTACTGGTATAGAAATAGGCACATAGGCCAATGGAGCAGAATAGAGAACGCAGAAATAAATCCAAATACTTACAGCCAACTGATCTTTGAAAAAGCAAACAAAAGCATAAAGTGGGGAAAGGACACCTTATTCAACAAATGGTGCTGAGATAACTGGCAAGCCACATGTAGGAGAATGAAAGTGAATCCTCATCTCTCACCTTATACAACAATCAACTCAACATGGATCAAGGACTTAAATCTAAGACCTGAAACTATAAAAATTCTAGAAGATAGCATTGGAAAACCCCTTCTAGACATTGGTTTAGGCAAGGACTTCATGACCCGGAACCCAAATGCAAATGCAATAAAAACAAAAATAAATACCTGGGACTTAATTAAACTAAAGAGCTTTTGCAGGGCAAAGGGAACAGTCAGCAGAGTAAACAGACAATCCACAAAGTGGGAGAAAATCTTCATAATCTATACATCTGACAAAGGACCAATATTCAGAATCCACAATGAACTCAAACAAATTAGCAAGAAAAAACCAATCCCATCAAAAAGTGGGCTAATGACATGAATAGACAATTCTCAAAAGAAGATATATAAATGGCCAAAAAACATGAAAAAATGCTCAGCATCGCTAATGATCAGGGAAATGCAAATCAAAACCCCCTTACTCCTGAAAGAATAGTCATAATCAAGCAATCAAAAAATAATAGATGTTGGCATGGATGCGGTGAACAAGGAACACTTCTACATTGCTGGTGGGAATGTAAACTAGTACAACCACTACGAGAAACGGTGTGGATATTCCTTAAAGAACTAAAAGTAGGACTACCATTTGATCAAGCAATCCCACTACTGGGTATCTACCCAGAGGAAAAGAAGTCATTATACGAAAAAGATACTTGCACATGCATGTTTATAGCAGCACAATTTGCAATTGCAAAAATTTGGAACTAACCCAAATGCCCATTAATCACCGAGTGGATAAAGAAACTGTGAGATATATATATATATATATATAAAATATATATTTTCCATCATATATGTATTCCATCATATATATCTGTATATCATATATAGATATATATCATATTTACAGATATATATGTCATATGTAGATATATATATCATATGTATCATATATAGATATAAATATGATGGAATACTACTCAGATATAAAATAGGAATGAATTAATAGCATTCACAGCAACCTGGATGAGATCGGAGACTATTATTCTAAGTAAAGTAACTCAAGATTGGAAAACCAAAACGTCGTATGTTCTCATTCATAAGTGGGAGTTAAGCTATGAGGATGCAAAGGCATAAGAATGACACAATCGACTTTGGGGACTCAGGGGGATAGGGTGGGAAGGGGGTGAAGAATAAAAGATTATAAATTGGGTGCAGTGTATATTGCCTGTGTGATGGGTACACCAAAGTCTCACAAATCACCACTAAAGAACTTACTCATATAACCAGACACCACCTGTTCCCCAATAACCTATGGAAATAAAAAATAAAAAAAAAGTCTTATGAAACTCTACTTACAAAAGCGATGTGGAAAATACAGTTGTCCTTTAAATCATTCTTTTAATTAACTATTGAGGAAAAAGAAAAGAGAACATAGATTCTGGAATGTTAAAACTAGGGAGAACTATAGAAATCATCTAATTTATCCTCAATATATTCTAGATAAAGAAAGAGAAGCTTACATAAAACTCCTACATTTATGAACAGAAAATAAATTATGGTAGTTTACATTAGCCCCTTTTCATAAACAGGTATGTGTATATTCTTAAAACTGAAAGGACTATTTTTTTTTATCAGTCAGTAAACTGAAAGCATCTAAAATACACAGTATAATTTTATTGACCCATGTTAATATGAATTATATTGTTGACATCAACAAAAGGTTAATCAACACTTTTTTTACTTCGTCAACAGTTGGGAAAAGCCAAAGCTAATTGATAGTATTTTAAGACTGCTGCTGCTTTCTTCCTTTTAAGGAAATGTACTTAACAAAAGTTTGCTTAACATTGAATGCATTGTTCCTGGAGCAATTAACTTCTTACATTTGGGATGCCTTAAGTAAAAATAAAAGAATCATTAGATGGAATATTAACTGGTGGAAAGAACAGACCCATTAAATAAAGACATGTGCTGCCAGGTTAAAATTAAAAGAGAGTAGATGACATACAAAGTACTAAGAGAAGGTTGAATATAGTATTTTTACAAGTGTAAAGTTATTTACAAGAAGTTGATATTCCTTCTTGAAGAATAGAGTCAAGGGTTTTTTTTTGTTACTGTTTCTATCACTATTCCTCCTTCCACCTTATTTATCTGAGAACTCAGTGGAGTATGAATAACTAGACTATTTTTTCTTGAGTTTCCTCCTCCTCATAAGCTCAAATGGAAAAGCTGCTTCTCACGACCTCTAAGAATATTATAGCTGGATGTTGAATCAATTACAAATCATAATTCTGTGCCTATTACATGACTTTAATGTCCAGGAATATGTTTTAACTATCTTTCTAATAAATGTCTTAGCTATATAAATATAAGTAAGAACTTATACACTATATCACCAAGAAAAAGTCAACAGTCTCACAATGTGGGTATAATTCTTCCTTCCGTATTGCTTCTTTATACGTTCTCCCACTTCATCCATTGTCCTCAATTTATATAGGTTTGTATTTTTTCTTTCTCTTCAACATCTCATTGAACACTTATTGAGTCCCTTTTCTGTTCTGGACATAGGGCTTATTCCGTTACCAACTTTCTCATTCTACCTTTAAATAAGAATTTCCCCTCAAATCTTGTTCTTAGCTCTTTTCTTTCTCACCGTGTTTTTAAACTCCTCATTTCCTTCCATGCCTTCCAATATAATTTCCACAATAATTACTTCTGCACTCTTTATGGAGAGCCCTGATTGGTTAACAAACTTTTTTTTCTTAGACTGCTTATCCTTTACTTTAAACTCACCAATCTATAACGAAATTTCTAATCACTGATTCTGCTCTATCCTATAGCAGATGCAGCTCCAGGGAATGAGACTCTGAGGTCTGCACCTAACAAGACCTGGGGACACACCCAGTTTTGTCATAGGTCAGCTGTGAGATATTGGACAAGTTTCTTACATGTAGGAAAGTTTCTGACCTTTTCTAACACTAATTTTTCCTAGTATCATGGGTATAATAGAGGTACCTCCTCAGGTTTAGCATGGGTAGAAGGAGCGTTCAGAGTTAGACGTGAATAAGGAAGTGCAGGCAAATAAAAGCAAAGTGAGGAGACTGCCCCAAGATTTGGATGAGTTGCAAAAACAAGCACCAAAGAAAAATCTTGGTGTGAGGGCATTGGGAAAAGAATTGAATCTGACACAACAGCTTTGGCAACCTTTGAAAGAAGAGTTTATTTTCTCTATGCTTGGTAGAATTGTGCCTGCTATTTGCATGGAATCTTTATTTTGGTTGATGGCCCAGCTGCATATTTCATTCATATCTCTTTAAAAAATAATTTGAGTTGTAAAACAAAAGAGGAAATTCACTCTTTTATATCCCTGTTTTTATACATACCAATGCCATTATGTAATGTAGAAAACCTGACAATATTGCATACTCATAGATATATTTTGCCCATATTGTGATTCATATTTTGTGTTTGTGTATTTTAATCTAACTCGTTAATATTTTTCATCTATAAAGCTAGAAGCTTTTTTTGACTTGTTTAGAAAAGGTAAATGAATTTATTTATTCCATCAAAATGTTACACCATCCAGTATTTTCTTGGGAAATGTTCTTACACCAAAATTGAATGAGAAGAAAAAAGCGTCACATTCACTCAGAATTAATTTAAATTTTACTTCATAATTCAAAATTTTACTTCAAAATTATTTGTGAAATAAAAATATTTTCCAAGGTACATAAAGAGCTGATAAAATCATTCTGTATTTCAACTTTATCTGGAAACCACTGATATGTACAGAAAAGAGAAATGCACAGGAAATATATATATATGTATTTATGGTTAATATTTGCCCATCGAATTTTTTGAATTAGTTATGATATTTAAACTAATATGAAAGCATACAACATGGTGCATTGCTACACTGCCACACTGTGAAATAGGACAGGGAATATTTTCCTGCTTCATTATCCAATCACCTGATGCCCTTTAATTAATTAATTTTATGTGCCTAACATTTAAAAAGGATAATTTTTTAGTGATTTTTAAGCATTTATCTGTTTAATTCTAGAACTACAAACACATTTCCATTGTCATATAACTTACTTTTTCATCCTAGTATTCGTTTTGAGTTTCACGAATAATCATATCAAATGGGCAGCAATCTGACTAGCCTGTCATGTATGGTTTATTCTCCAATTTTAAAAAACATACATTATCAAAATGTTTTAATATTATCGATCTATTTCTTTTTTTTTGCCACGTCCATTTATTTGTTCTCAATTTTCTCTGACTTCTGTAAAATTTTTTTTGGTCAGGGAGGAATGTTGGGCTAGATGATTTCTAAGGTCTCTTTTGGTTTTGATATTTTATTGCTCTACACAGTTTGGTTTTTGCATTAAGAAGTAATTCACTTGCTTTTACTTAATTCAGCTTTTTCTTCTATAACGTAGAACATTTCCTTTCCAAAGACCTAACAGATCACTGGTGATTTATATTTTGGACTACAACCACCTTGTAAATACATAGAACCTAAACAATTCTTAGAAATAAATAACCTGTTTTTAGTTTTATAATTCTTTAAATAAAACTTATCTTGATGCCCTCTGTGTAATACAACTGAGGGAATTTATAGTTGAATAATTGCACCAGGGAAAATACAATGGAGAAGCTCAAAGTCAAGCTGATATTTTTCTCCTATTTTATGGGGTTCTGATTAGGAAGATCAAAAATTGAAAATTGCAGATAAAATAAAACATATTTGTTTTATTTCAAGCAAGTTGTTTGTGGGTTTGTTTTTATACACACAAACAACAGTTTTTAGAATGAACAGAGAGAGAGCTGACTTTCCTAGATGCCATCAAGTCCTTTCACAGGTTTCAAAGACTACAGAACATAATCATTACATCTAGTAAGTGATCAGTAAAAAAACAGGATTAGTTATTATTATGTAGCTAGCTTTCCATTGATCCTTTCTCAGATAATTTTCCAATGCTGTTACTCAGTTGCCCCTTTGCAGTTCATTCATTCCACTCATACAGTATTCTTTTTGTCCCAAAACCAAGACAATGTCACAACTTTCACACAATCTTATATTCTATAAAACTTTTTTCTTAATTTTTATGTAATGTTTGATATATCACAATATACATTAAACTCCTATACATTTTGACATATAATGATGATATGAATAACTGTGAAACTATGAGAAGTGAGACTAGAATTGTTGACACCAGAACTTAAACATTTCCCCTATCTTCCAAGTTTGAAGAAGTCATTAGCCAACTGCTAATCTAACTCATTAACTGAAATGTAAATTTCAATCAGTAGTAATTTTGAATTCTGTAAGTTCAGTTTGACTCTTTTACAAATGTAATGGTAATCGTTTATAACTTACTATCTATTTATATTTGTGATTCTATCCTTTGTTAAGCATAGTTATATTTAGTATTATACACATTTTACAATTTATATGATAATCTTTTAGGATTAGAAGTCAAAATCTGTTTTTTTAAATTGAACTTACTGTTTTGTGTGCATGTTCATTGATGCTAATCTGCATATTTTCACCAGGCCACCTTTGGGAGTTACTTTCCTCTAGACAGGAATTTTGGTTTGCTTCTATAAGCCGTCAAGGTTTGCCAAAGACTTGGAGCAACTTTATTCTCATTCCCAACACAGAAGCCCAAATCAGTTATGAACCCCAAACTTAACCCCTTACTTAAGCAGTGTCCCAAGACCTGTTGTACCTATGGGTGGGCTATTACAAACCACTGCCTTCAGAGAAATCCTGACTACCCACAGTTTTATGTATGAACTCCAACACCAGGTACAGGTGTTTGGGAACAAAATAAGCAGAGATAAATAGGGATTCTTTGGGGTTTTGTTTTTAAGAACTCCTCCAATTTTTACAAATCTAGAACATTTTTTTTCTATTTAGAATCTAATTTTCTTGAAGCAGGAAGCTTCTTAGACCACCTAAACCACCATAATATCAGAAATGACAGTCTAACATGAGCCTAGTTTACTTGCCTGTGTCTTTTGAATGTGCATATCTTATTGAGAACTTGCTTCTGACATTCACATGCAGAGTTTTCAATTTACTATTTGATATTTCCATATGCTTTTATCTAAAACTAAAAATGTATTTTGAAAAGCACTTAAAACAATTATTTTAAAATAACATTTTTGTTTTATTTCACACTATAAACCCTGTCCTGTTCATCTTTATTAACTCTGGAAATAGATTACTGTATTTCATACCAATAACACAAACCTATTAATGAGGATTAATCAGTATAAGTCAGAATCAAATAGAATATTTGCTGCTGAGTTTCAAAATCATATAGACTTGAATTACATACCTTTATGGATCTGAAGGAGACTGGTTTTTACTAAAATGTCTTTTTCTGATAACAAAGAAAATAATCTATCTCTACAAGGCAATGACTTTCTAAACTTGCTCAGATCTTCCACTGGGTCTTAAACATTATTTTCATATTTCTATGTATTAAAAAGAAATCACTATGGCATTGAGGAAACCATGATTTAAATGTTTTATAAATAGATGGATCAGAAAGTAAAAGGAGAATGTCACAAATTTGGAAATGAAATTACATTGGTCCAGATACAAGAAGCTGCATATGTAAATACATTACAATAAGTTTAGTTGCAACAACCTAAAATTTAATTTAGAATTGCTTATAAACTAAAAGGTGACCTATTGACTCTTTTAATTACAGCAACTTAGCAGTGTCCTTTAGGATGTGTTTCTTTTTGTTTTGTCTTTGGGAATAAAAGCTTCAACCTAAGTTAAGATCCTCCCGTGGTCATAGACTGACACCATGGCCAAATGCTTCCTCATTGACATCCAAAGAGGGGAAATGGGAAGGAAAGTTTCAGGTAATCTTCTTGAAGAAGAAAGATACTACTTTCATAAACATTTTATCACTTCAATTGCATCATTTGCCCATCTCTGAATTAATTATTATGGAAAGAGGATGGACTTTGCTGAATGGCTTAAGCCAATTAGGGCCCACTTTTCGGGCTCAAAGTAGGGTCATGAACTTCACGCAACAGGAGAAGGGTGCACCTTTCAATGGAATATCAGCAACATTTAACAGAAGGAGAAATTATTTGGGAAGGTACAAGCAGGAGGTGTCTACCATACTAAAGAAAAGCTGATTGGGTCTGAGGGGACTTTTTCCCCAAGTGTGTACCTCTATGAAAACCATAATCCTTACTTCACTTTAGTGTGCTTACTCCTCTCTTCACAAGTGGCCCTATTGTTTAGTGGTTAAAAGCTGGCCAGAAGCTCTGCTGTGAGTTCAAAGCCTGGCTCCGTCATTTACTAGCTGCATAACCTTGGTCAAATTTAAGTATCTGTGCCTCAGTTTCTTCAACTTCTATTGAATATAGTATCTACCTACTATAAATATTATGGGGGTTATATGAGTTAATCTATGTTGTAAAGCATGATATGTGGTAAATATGTGTATGTGTGTATATATACATACACATATATACATATATAATTGATATTTAAATCATCTCTCAAACAAAAATCTTGCTTTTGTCTATCATCATCATTTTAAAGCTTTTTGTCTTTGATTAACACCCCATCTCATCTAAATTATCTCACGTTGATGCAAGATGAATTCTTAAGGTACCATGTCCCTTCTTACAAACCTTCCATTTTCAGTATCGCTTAGGATTTTAATTTTCTTGACCATCCTAGCATTCAAGACCTTTTTGAAAATTTCCCTTTCAAAACCTCTCTTCATATGCTCAAGTTAGACTAATTACTCTTCCTCAGGATCACACATTTTCTTCATTTCATGTCATTTCCTATACTGTTTCCTGTTTCTCAAGTATCTTTCCCATTTTTTTCTTTCTTCTAAGTCTACCTTAAATAACACCTCCTTTGTGACGAACTTCCAGATCTCTAACAACCAGATGTACAATAGAAGTTATCTTAATAGACCTTCGATGACAGAACTTAAATAATTAACTAACACTCTCCATTCTCTCTCTAAAATGTTCCAACCACTGCATGCTTGTGTAGTATCCCCTGGCCCAAGTCCTGAGATATGCACAGGATGATTTGTGTGTACCAAGAGATCATTGCCTTTGGTCTGTTAAATATATCAGTGGTACTTGTTATTATAATATTTTATTGAATTCCTTGCTAATTGATTACATTTACATACAAAAAACAAAGTGTTATATTAGAAAAAATTACATTGAAAGTTTTGATATATAAAAGTCAATAATTGAAAACACTACTTAGATATTTAAAATGAAACTTATTTATGTAACCAGGGAAATAAAAAAGAAAAATTCTAAATTTATGCTTCACTCGGATTGTTTCATCAGCGCTTTATAGCAACAGCAATAGAAAATTCTACTTAGTACCTTATGACTACTACATATACAAGACCGACCTTGCAAAACATGAATAGGACACCTCTGCTCAGAGAAAAGTCCTGGATCCTTTATTAAAATCTAGGCAAATTATTTTTTCCCCTGTTTAAAGCTGAATTAAATATGTGCCATGAATATGCATTTTTAAAATAATTTCTTAATTTAAAAATATTAATGAATCAACTTTTTGTACCAATCCCTCAGATGAATCACCAGCAATTGTTTTATTACATGTTATTTTATTATATTCTATTGTGAAATATTGAAGAATTGAGGATAATGAGAATAAAATATCTCCCCTTTAAATAAAATTAATTATATTGGAAAGATAATTAAATACATAATTACAGAATACAGAGGCAAATGCCAATAGTGATTTCTATAAATTACTATTGCTCTGTATCTTTCTCAAACTTTCTTCTTGAGCTGTGAATTTCTCGAAGACTGGTGTTGGCATTACTTCATATCTTGTCAAATAAAGATTGTTAAGTAGATGAATTGAACTCATGTTGAGACAAGTTAACTGAGTTGCTAAAAGTCTATAGCATCTCGAGTTTTGCAAAAAGTGAAGATCTTGTTCTATGCATAAGTAGACAAGAATATATTATCTTACTCAGCATAGCACAGCTTCATGTAAAATAAAAACAGTTCTTTATGTTTCCAATATTGAATAATAATGACAGATGTTGCCAGGCATGGTGGCTCATGCCTGTAATCCCGGTACTTTGGGAGGCCGGGGTGGGTGGATCACAAGGTCAGATTACAAGGTCAGGAGATCGAGACCATCCTGGCTAACACGGTGAAACCCCGTCTGTACTAAAAATACAGAAAATTAGCCAGGCGTGGTGGCGGGCGCCTGTAGTCCCAGCCACTGAGGAGGCTGAGGCAGGAGAATGGCGTGAACTTGGGAGGTGGAGCTTGGAGTGAGCTGAGATCACACCACTGCACTCCAGTCTGGATGACAGAGCCAGACTCTGTCTCAAAAAAAAAAAAAAAGACAGATGTTGATACAGACCCTACTAGGAGGCACATACTAGTTTAAATGCTTTGTAAGTATTGATTTCATGAATAACAATAAAAACCCTATGAACTAATTTCTGTTATTCATTCTCACAAAAAGGTGGACTGATTTGCCAAGGAAACAGTAACTGAATACTCAGAATCAGACTTACTCAGTGCTGCTTTAGAGACCTTATTCCAAATTTTTACTATGTATTTATTAGTTCATTCAACAAGCAATTACTGCAAGGGTGCTTATTGTCAATTACTGTGCTAGGTTGCAGGGCAAAAGGATTAATAAAATAATCTCTTCATTTAAAGAACTTCCAGTCTAATAGAAGGATGCAAAGCAAACATATATGGAAATGTGTTATAGCTTTTGTTTCAGATATATTTGCAAAAAGCACAAAGCATAGAATGCTAATCTCCTGGGGACATGTGTCATCTAAATAGAGTCTTACATAAACTATTCCAGTTTTATTATAATCTGAGTTCCAAAGAAAAGTTAAGAAACTTGTTAATGATCATTGACTTAAAACAAAATAAGTGGAGGGTATAGTTTTAAATCTGCATATTTGTTTCATTTGTAGAGAATATCTAATGTGTTAATATTGGATTCCTCTAAGTATGGTAATTTTTTGCAGATAATTTAACATTTTGCAAGTTATTTTATCATGTGAACTAGTGACACTGAAAAAAATGCACTTCTGAGTCATGATATGTAGTAAATAAATACCGACTTGCCATATGTTGCTTTATTCCGAGTAAACTATAAATATTGGTCAGGGATCAGAAGGATCCATCTTCCTCTCTTAAAAGTGTGAAATAATGAATACGAACTGCCGGAACTAGATAAAAAAGACTAAGCTTTAAAACTTGTTTATTACTGCCAGTATTTTATTTCACTGTAAAAGATGAATTTTAGAGAAATGCTATCAGGAAAGTAAAATAGGAAAACATCTATTTTAAGCAGTGCCAAAAGAGGTAAAAAGAAAGTATGTACTGACACCATACATAAAATTTTACTTTATAGATATTTATAGTGCTTATCATGCTCCTAGTTGTAAATAATTATGAAAGAAATGAATTGTCAACCATAACTTTTGTAGAATATTGTAAAAGAGTTGGAAGTGAAGCAACATGTGGCTCCAACTGCAGGCATACGCATATTCTGCCATACTTGGCAAGTTTTTCTAATATCATGTAGCTGCTAAGCCCTAGCAAGTAGGAAAAATGATCTGCTTTTATTTTACCTTTTAAATATAGACACTGTGTGCTTGACTTAAGCTTCCGAATCTTTTTGATGCCAAGCATTTGAGTTAATCAAACATCTTGAATTTTATATCAAGTATTGGTATAAACAAAGTTCTAAATATACTTCACTCTGCATTAACAGAGCAGTTTACAAAGCAAGCATAATATTACATAGACTTTATAATCAATGCTAACTTCAGACACTTTGTTTGTGTATTAGGAAGTGGGGTTGGTTAATAATCATATATTTTCATTTGCAACAGATCAAACATGAGGGCTGTACAGAGTAGGCCCTGGTTGACCACCTGTGTAAGTCTGCTTAGGTGCTATAACAAAATACCATAGAGGTGGGCGGCTTAAACAACAGAATTTTTTTTTTCTCTCCCTCTCACAGTTCTGGAGACTGAGAGTCTGAGATCAGGGTGCTGATGTGGTGGTTGTTGGTGAGGACTCTCCTGCTGGCTTGTAGGTAGCCACCTTCTCTTTGTCTCCACATGGCCTTCCAATAAAGCCACCAATCCTATCACATTAGGACTCTACCCACACAACCTTATTTAACCTGAAATACGTCCTGAGGGCTGTATCTTCAAATACTGTCACATTGGGGTTTAGAACTTCAACATATGACTTCAGGGGGTGGCACAATTACATCCATAGCATCTCCCTTTTCTTAAGTAAGTTCCTTCTTTTCAGTCTCCTCCAAACAAAACCCACAGTGGACTGGCATGAGATTATTAAATGTTTTCCTACTAAAGGAGCTGCTTGATCTCAAAAGGCAACACTTTGTAAGATAAATAAAAGAGTTTCTCACTTCCAGACCTAGGGAAAGATCCCCATTTAGGCTCCCTCTTTTTCTTTTTCCAATGCCTCTTCCTTTCTGTTACCTCCTCTTTCAAGTAATTTAGTCCACAGCTCTACCTTGAAAGTATCCACACTCCCATAGAAGAAATGTCTCTTAGCAGATCTGGACAGATCACTTCCTGTGGCTTGTCGATGCAAACATCTCAGGCTTTAGCCTTGTGCTGAGGAAGGCTCTTTGCTCAGAATAATGCTGATTCTAACAAGAACTGATACTGGCCTTAAGTCTTCTGAAAGGAGGTTATGGTTAATGCTCAGATTCCAGTTCAGTTCCCTGATCAGCTTAGAACTGTGGCCTTGCTAGTTACCTAAAAAGGAAGCCCTTCTCACCTGGGCAAGTCTCAGATGAGAAAGCAGATTATTCCTGTTACTGTGATTTTGACCTGTGCTTTAAGAACAATTTATTTCTAGAAGCATTTGACTCTTTCTTAGCCTTAATAGCAGGAAATAGTGCCAGCTCCAATTACTTCTTCCTCATTTCAATTAACTCCCCTGAGAAAAGAGGGCTTGGAGTCAGGTTTTATCTTATTCTATTTGTAATGACTTTTGTTCTGCCTATTCCCTTCTGAACTGTGCTCTCTAATTTCTATTTTCTGCATTTTCTTTCACAATTCTGTGATAGAGAAGATATACATTCTGCATCTCTTGCCAAAAGAGAAATTTTCTTTTTGATGTGTGAGAAAACAATATATTTCTTGTATGCCAATGTGACATTACTGTGTACCAGGATTTAGCATTACTCTAGATGAGGAAACTTAGGGGACATCCTATTTAATTATTCTTTGTTGATGTTATATAAGCTATACCATCATCTTATTTGAAAGCATTATAAATCTTTGCTTGAATTGCTTTAATACCTTCCTGACTTCTCTTCTTTCAACCAATTTAACTGTTGCTGCTAAAGTTAACTTTTTAAAAAGATAGCTTTATTGTGTTACATGCCTACTCACAAACAATCAGTGAATTCAGTTGTCTTTAAGACAAAATCCTTCCTTTTAAGCTTAGGATTCTATATTTTCCATTAGCTGGCCTCTCAATTTTTTAGCTTGATTTTTATTTGTAATAAGAGATCAAACCTCCACACTTGCTAAGCTAGTCTATTCAGTCTTTCTAAATAGACATTTTCTGATGAACCACCTGAACATCTTCCTCTCTCCCTCTTCTTTGCTTGGTCTTGCTCCTATTTGTCTTCTCTTAATTAATTATACCTCTTATTTCATTACATAGAAGCCTATTTGCTCTATGCAAGTTTCCCCTATTCTTTTTTTTTCCTCATCCCACATCCTAACTCCCAGTACTCTTTCTTTTTGCTATTCTAGATATGTTATCCATTCTAAGTTATTTATTCACCCTTACTTTCCAGGTCTCATAACAGCCTTTTGAACTTACCACTTTTTCTTGATAGAATATGCCTTTAAAGACCCTTATCAAAGGAGTTCTGTTTATAATAAGGAGTTCTGTTTACAATAAACCCTGAGACATTTAGCCTCTTCCTGATAATATATTCCCCTAGTCTCCAGATTGATACGATAATTTAGCTGGTTACACAATTGTGTTTAAAGTTCTTTTCCTTCAAAAAATGGAAAATATTACTTCACTGTTTTCTTTCTTCTAGTAATGATGTTTAGCATATGCTATTCTTATTCCTTTGTAGGTGATCTCTAACAGGTTTTATAATCTTCTCTGTGTTTAATGCTTTGAATTTCACTATAATGTGTAATTTACAATACAGTTGACCCTTGAATAACATAGATCTGAACTGCATGGATCCACTTATATGTGGCTTTTCTTCTGCCTCTGCTACCCCTGAGACTGCAAAACCAATCCCTCCTCTCTCTCCACCTCCTTATAATTTTTAAATAACATTTTCTTTTCTCTAGCTTACTTTATTGTAAGAATACAGTATATAATACAGAAAACATAGTCAATTAACACAACACATATTTTGTATGTTATCTATCAGTAGGGATTTCAGTCAATAGTAGGCCATTAGTAGTTATGTTTCTGGGGAGTCAAAAGTTATCCATGAATTTTCAACTGCATGGGGTGGCTTAGCACCCCAATCCCCCAGTTGTTCAAAAGTAACTGTATTAATCTTGGGGTTGCTTCAGATCTTTCAGTCTGAAATATTAGCTCTTTCTCTAATTCTGGGAAGTTACTAGCTTTCATTTTATCTGATTTTCTTTACATTAACATACAGATTTTACTCACCTTCAGGGGCACATATAATGCATATCTTGATACATTTACTTTTATATCCCATATCTATTCTATTTTTATCCAGTGAAATCTTTTTCATATTTTTTGTCAGTTATATCACTTTGCAATTCAACTCATCTACTGAGTGTTTACCTATTGTAACCTGAAGACTTTATAATTTCTTATTTTCACTTCATGTTTCAATTATCCTCTTTCAATTATTGAAGATTCGCTGTGTCTCCCAGGCTGGAGTGCAGTGGCGCAATCTCGGCTCACTGCAAGCTCCACCTCCCGGGTTCAAGCCATTCTCCTGCCTCAGCCCTCAAGTAGCTGGGACTAGAAGCGCCCGCCACCAGGCCCGGCTAATTTTTCTGTATTTTCAGTAGAGATGGGGTTTCACCGTGTTAGCCAGGATGGTCTCAATCTCCTGACCTCATGATCCGCCCACCTCTGCCTCCCAAAGTGCTGGGATTACAGGCGTGAGCCGCCGCACCTGGCCAATTATTGAAGATGTTAATAGTCCTATATTATATTTTTTTACTTCTGCCTGGTTCATTAATTCTGCTTGTTTTGAATTAGGTATGAAGTTGTGGTTGTGCCATTACGTAGTCCACCCTCCTAACAGAGTTGCTGTTTTCCCTGTGAACTCATATTCCCCTGGAGGTGTTAGTAACCTCAATGGGGATATGTATTCCAGAGAGTCAATAAAGCCTCCATTCTAGCTTATGCTGCCTCTGATAAATTTAAGATGCCTATTTGTGAAAGGAGAATATCGGCCTCAGTGTAGAGAACTTGAGTGTTTTAACGTATACTTCTGTTCAGATACAATTTTTTACTTTTTATTTTTTATTCTTGAGATGAGGTTTCACTCTGTTGCCCAGGCTGGTGTGCAGGGGCACAATCACAGCTCACTGGAGCCTCAACCTCCCAGGCTCAAGTGATCCTCCTGCCTCAGCCTCCTGAGTAGCTGGGACTACAGGCAGGCTGAAGGGCTCCTCAAGTGCCGCCAAAGTGGGAGCCCAGGCAAAGGAGGTGCCTAGAGTGAGCGAGAGCTGTGAGGACTGCCAACATGCTGTCACCAATCAACTGCAGCCTCAACCTCCCAGGCTCAAGTGATCCTCCTGCCTCAGCCTCCTGAGTAGCTGGGACTATAGGCATGAGCCTCCATACCCTGCTAATTTTCAAAACTTTTTTGCAGAGACAGGGTCGAGACCAGTGTTGCCTACACTGGTCTCGACCATCTAGGCTCAAGTGGTCCTTTCACTTTAGCCTCCCAAAGTGTTGGGATTACAGATGTGAGCCACGGCAGCTGGCCTAACTTTATTTTCGAGTTTTTTTTCTTGAATTGTAATTACAATGTGATATGGAAGGGTTCAGTGAAGGAAAATATTCACAGGGTTAGCCAGTCTGCTTGCACCTGTTTTATTTTTGCCCCAGCCACTGTAATGTTTCCTCACTGACTTACACTGCTTGCCGAGTTCTCCCTTGCAAGGCCTTTGGGACAGTAAGGGTTCATCTAGAGCAATGTGGGCAAGAAAAAGGTATAGTTAAAATAACCATATTCCACCCAAGAGTGTATGGATGGGCTCAGAAACTTTGGCTTTGCCCACCGTTTTCTGTTGCTGCAGAGATATTTCATATGTCTATATTAGTTTTATAGATCCATCCAATTCTAGATTTTGTGACATTGCTACCCCATGTTAGTGTACCATTTTAGCAAAATTCTACTAATCATCACTCAAGGCCTAGCTCAGAAGCACCCATCACTAAAAACCATAGTCCAACCACTTCTACCTATAGTCATCTCTCATCTACAATTTAAACAGTAATACCAGGTATTTAGCTAATCAGGCTATAAAATACTATGACTTTAAAAAAGCATATATATCTCAGCTAAATTTGTAATTAATAGTCTAAGCAATAGCCATTGAAAAAGTGAGTAAAATGTTTATTTTAGCCAGGATATGCTGTATGTTACACTAATATGTAAGAAAGGGGGCCTAGAGTATATATTTGGCCTTAGTGATATGAAGAACCTCAAGAATAAGGAGACTCTGAAGATCAATTTGCTCATCAGTCCTAGAGAGAAAGCTACTTCCCCTGAAATATTTATTATGCCCCTAATCTGCTCCAGGTATTGTGATAGAGATTACCTTAACCTTTGAAATAGCTTGACTAGTTCCAATTAACAGATGATTAAACTGATAGTTGAAGAGTTCAGGAAATTTGTCCAAGCTCACAAAGTTAATAAATAGTGGAGGGATTTAAATCTATACATCTCATCTCCTTTGCCAAGTCATGTGAACGTCTACTAGCAAATCGTTCCCTATAACTGGTGTGGATTAATGAGAACCCAAACTTGGGGAATTGATTGTTTCAGCCACTTAATACAAAATGATCTTCCTCTAGTTACAGACTGTTTCAAGTCTGTAATAACTGTAGGGATAAGTGCCCAGTCAGGACAACTGTGAGAACTTAGTTTCCTTACAGGCTCAGTTTTAGCTTCTAAGAAAGAATCAGTTCTGCTGATCTGCCTAAGTCATGTGCTTCTATTTGAAGAAATTGAATGTAGCTGAAGAGTAAAGCAGGATGCATGAGAGAGATGGTTAGAAACATTCCTTTGCCTCCCTTTCAGAGCATACACCCCTCTGTCAAGATCAGGTCTCTGCAGTTAGGCGACAAGACAAGGAGAAAACACAGCCACATTCTCATTATAATTTCAGGTAACACAGATGATATGAGGGGTTTAACGAATTGAAGTTGGGACAAATCATAGGCACATGCATTTTGAGACTAGTGGAAAAGTTATATTATTTCCATTTCTAATTTTGAATCTTTACTATCCAAATTTATTCTATCATAAAATGCAATGCTGTACTTGAATCCAATGTTCTATTGCCACCAACCTGAGTGTCTTTAATGTAACTTGTGAATTTAATTATCTGTACTAAAGGCACATTTGAAATAATTGTTTTAAAATTATTGTAAGTTGGGAACTATTTATCATTTTAATTGTGATTTTGTTTTACTACTTTTAGAAATCCTCAACAAATAGACCTATATAATCAAGAGTTGCCAATATTTTCTCTGCAATATTAGTATAGCAATTTGTTGTTGCCAGATAAATTGTTGAACATAAAATATAAACTCAGAAATTTTGATAATTTAAAAAATAACTTTTTTGTTATCAGCTGCAAAGCAGAATAATGTGCAGATGTAAGGGGTAATTAACAGAATATGAGTGTTTCTCTGTAAGGAATATACTTGCTATATCTCTTCATCTATAATGCTGGGTATTACAATTAAAGAAGAAATATGTTAAAGAGACTTGATGCCACTCAGGTTCACAGGGTTCTCATCCTCAATTTTCTAGGTCAAAATAGTAAAATCTGTCAGCATAATCAGAGTTTACCTGGGTCTCAAGTCCTAAATAATTCTAAGAAAATTCAATAACCTATGCATGTATCAAAACACCAATACATTTTTTACCCCAATGCCGTGTCAAAACTTAATATTTATGTACAATATCCATACCATTTGCTTCCTGGTATCAGAGTACCTGGAAGGTGAACTATAACCAAAAGTTAGCTTGAGTATTACCAGTGAGAAAAAAAGAGAGCTAAACTGCTTTGCACACACACAAAAAAATAGAAAAGTAATGGATATAAGTGTGAGCAAGCTAGACAGTTTAAGAAACTTCAAGTTATTAGTACAACAAATGATACCAATTGTATAATTATGCTATATTCTTGATTAAACAGAATTTTCTAGACTATTATAAATAACCATTTTACTTTTTGTCTTTATGTGAAGTAATGTGTTCTCATCTACATAAGTGATAAATACAACTAGTCTGTACATTGTGGACTTTGCATTATGAGAGCTTCAGTTTTCCTTTGTCTACTTTAATCAAATGCTTTGTTTCATTTATTTTAATATGAAATTACATTACCTAAATCTGAAATTAAAATAAAGAAGAGTTTGTTCCACTGATTCTCAGAAAAGGATAATCCTCTTTAATTAAAAGGGCACATTACATGATCAGATTCTCTTCACTTCCCTTATCCTTGTCATCTTTTTGTATTGCCATAAAATTTCTCCCGTCTTTTCAAGTTTGAACTGAATTAATCACGAATAGTTTTTAAAACTCCTTCATTATTTAAATTTGATTTTTGTCCTTTAGTTTTAGAGTTACATCTAACTTAAAACCAAGTATCTGTGTTATCCAGGCCCAAAACAGCCTTATTATAAATACCCTATTTTATTTCCAGACTGGCAAGAAGCCGCAGGAAACATG
Organism: Homo sapiens; assembly: GCF_000001405.40. Taxonomy (NCBI): domain Eukaryota; kingdom Metazoa; phylum Chordata; class Mammalia; order Primates; family Hominidae; genus Homo; species Homo sapiens. The sequence continues at coordinate 125,091,102 of NC_000004.12, forward strand.
TTATTTGCTCCAATGCTTAGCTGCATTAAGCAGTAAAAGGCATTTGATTCAGCAAAGGCAGCTGGTGATATGAATGCAATGTAAACCACTATCATGCCTATAAAAAAAGACAGATTAAGTTCATAACTGTGGCCATAACTTTGGTCTAATAAAATAAAACAAAATAAGGCCCATTATGGTGTATTTATGGCCATCTGTTACTAAATCCTCCTTTTGGATGATTCTGGAACAGCTTCATAGCCTTCACACTGAGCCGGCTGTCTATGAAATGCAAAACTCAGAGGAATTAGAAAGACATTAAATGAACTCACATAACAAATGCAAATCCTCTGTGTTCAGACATGCTATATTGTCAATTTACAATACCTGAATTTTCACTGAATGGTTTCCATCCTAGGGAGAAGCCACCAAGAGTTTGTGGAAGACCGCTTGCTGTGTTCTACATTTATATAGGGCCTGTGACCTATGCATAATTTAAATGTAGCTATCTTCATCACTTGCCTTTGAAGAATCCATTCCTCTAGTTTATGAAGATAAAATTAAAATACAGGCAATATGTAATGGATTATAATATTGAGATAGAACAGACCAAAATAATGTATGTTTATGGTCCCAAGAATAATGGCTCAGCAACAGGGCAAGAGTAGACTCAGTTACACCCCACTCTCGGGAGAGCCAGCAGACGTTGCTTGGAGAGAGATGAGACTGCTAAATTTTGTCCAATCATTTGCAGAGCGAGTAGTGGGAATGGAGTCAGGCAAAAAAAATTAATTTATTCACAAAATGAATCTGTGTACTATTCCCCCTGCTCTGAACCCCTTGCAATGAACGTTGTCCATTCCTCAAACACTGTATGATGGACAAGTAAAGTGAACAGTAATTTAACATCCAAAACAGGACAGTATCAAGCACTAAAAGGGGGGCACTATTAACAATTACGATAGTGCAACAAGATAGTATGAAAATTGTAGATTCTATATGTATAAGATGGATGACATTCCTTTTTAAATCATTTTAGATTTAATCTTTCTTTATGCTTAACCAGCTTGTTTATCCTTGTCTTCTAAAAAGAACCTATGTTAAGATATATAATTTGCTAATCTTGTTCTACATAATACTGAGTATTTTAATATATTCAGGACCTGAAGAAGAATGAAAAATAAATGGCCATTGTACTTCATTTTAATTTCTGATTAATATAAATATATACCTATGTATGTATATTCATATGCATTTACATAGATATATTAGATATCTGTGCATATATAATTTTTCTGTCTCACATAGATAGCATTGCTCAATAAAAAATACTTTTGTCATTTGCTAAATGACCTTTTACATGCAGGATTAATATTTTCAATAATATAATCTCAAACTAAATAATTAATTTGCACTTAGGAGTCAAGCTGAGATATACACAAAATGTTTGTCTGTATTTTAATTAGAATGTATAATTAGGAAAGGGACAGGGATATATCCAATTATGACTCTGGAGTCCCATGGAAAAAAAACAAGACAAAAATAAAAGAGAAGCTCTGTTGCCAGAACTGGAAATAAGGACAGAGAAAGAATAGGGTAAAATTTAGTTCAATTCTGAGTCTTCTGACTTTAAAAGTTCACTACTTCTTAAATATTGTCCAACTAAGAAAGCAACTGGTCCCCAAATCTAGATAGATCTGAGTCCTCAGGTGCATGTCAAAGGACTTCAACTTTGGAGGGAAGATGCTATGGGGCCTAGGCGACAGTGAGGTTAGCCTAATCATCTATTTTGCCTTGTCAAATATAAATCTGTTTGTCAATCTGATGTTATTTACATTTTTTGGAAAGTATTATTTTAAAGACATCTTTGATATAATTAAAATTTTTGTAAGAAACACTCTCAATTTATGTGTAGATATCATAATTACTATATTTTAAATTCATCTGATTAGAAGTACAAGGAAAAGTTTTGTAGGAGTTTTAGAATGTGAAGGCTGAAAAGACTCAGATAATTTAGTCTACTTCCATTGAGTTATAGGTGATGAAACTAAAATCCATAAATTTTAGTTGATTTGCTCTAAGTCATAAAGCTAGTTCATGGGGCAAAACTGGTGCTAGATTCTGAGTCTCCAGAATCCTGATTCAATTATTTCCCCAGTATGTCATAACACCTCACATTGCCCTCATATATGTGCCCTAAAAGATGCCTATTTTTCTCCATCATTGTATATTTGACTATTGATTTTGTGAGCTTTCTGATAGTCTGTTCTGTTATTGAAATGCCAGAGTAATTAAAATAGTATTTGTTTTTAATATATGTAGAAATATATAACTATACATGATACATATATTTTATATATGTAATTGTAACCATCATCAACTTCATATGTTAAGAGTCCCTATTTTTTTTTATATTTAAAGTAACCTAGGTACATTTTTATTATGTTTCTCCTTTAATACAATAAACCCATTCTATGGAAATTACTTCTTGTATTTTTACTTTAATTTAGTGATTAATTCATTTATTCATGGATTTATTAAGAAAACAAAGTTATAGAGTGCCTGTTATATGTTAGCAAGTCTTTTAGGTACTAGAGAACTACTAATAACAATGAACAGAAAAGGAACAATAGATACATACCTAGTTCTTAAGGAACATCTACTTTTTTTTTTCTTGGCATAAAATTTTTCTCGTGATAGAAAAACTGAATAATTAAAACACAGCAGTTTAAACATGACTTTAAGTCAGTTTATGTGGTTTTCAGAGTATATTTAAATGTCACATTAGATTAACTAGTCATCTCAGATTGAATTTGAAAACATTTTCAGTATTCTGCTCAGGTTATTCCAAGAATTTTCTTTTATTAGTAAAAAATAGTAGTATTTTAAATCATTTGAATAATTAATGTCCCCAGAATCCTCTAACCCCATTAGATCTATCTCCACTTTGCCTATTCAACACCATCTTACACATTGTTTTATTGTTATTTGTCATTGCAATAATGGGATCACTTGATCAAAAAACGTTTTACTGTATCTTTATTATATATATTGTGAAAATTTCTACCTATAATATTGCATAAATGAAAGCTCTCAAAATTTTATATTGCTCATTTTCAGAAATATTTCAAGTCTATTAGGTATCCTCAGATTATAAAATATAACTCAGTATAACAGGAGAACATGGTATATTGTTTTTATATTTTAATTTTCAAAATAAATGATATTGAAAACATTTTAATATGTTTTGGCTCATTTTTATTTTTTGAGGGGGTAATCATTCCTTTGCCCACATTTTTTTATAGAAATCATGGTTTTTCCATTTTACTTTCTGTGATATGTTTTAATTTATTTTTCCAGCTTGTCTTTTTTCTCACTCTTCATGTTTTTCAATAGAAATTACATTTTAATATATATAATATTTTCTTCATGGATTCCTAAATTTTATTTTGTTTAGAAAAACCTCTGTCTCCATTATTATAAATAGTTGCTTTCTTCAAGACCTATTAAATATTATTTGCATTTAAATATCATCTGTAATTCATTTTATATGATAAAAATATAAGACTGATGTTTTCCAAATTGAAAATAAATTACTCCATGTGTAAAATATTCCTTTTGCTTTCTAGTTTGTGAAGCCTCTGAAAGAATTTAGTACTTTTGCAATGTTGCTATTGTGCAGAAATGAATGGAAAATAACAAAATTGATACCAAAAACCCTCTTTAAGAACATATCTTAATATATTGTGTTGAGGGAAGATAGTAGCTTGCACGACGTGGGTGGCAGTATAGATGGAGAGGAGTAAAGATGTTTGTACAAATTGAAAACTTAAAGGGACTGTTGATTGATAGAAGTTTGTAAAGGGGAGAGGAAGAGAGAGAAAGATATACATATACAAAAGGATAATGTTTTAGATACATATACAAAAGGATAATGTGTTGGATACATATACAAAAGGATAATGAGGTGAAAATTAACAATGAAGAAAGAGGAGATTTATATGTAGAAAGAGATATGAAGACATTTCTGGTCAGAAATGACATGGTAAGTGCAAGTTTAATGATAACTTGCAGTACAAAGGTACTTGTACTTTTAAGGTAGATAACAGTGCCCTTGGAAGCTAAATTAGGAGGTAGAAAGAATATAAACTACTTTGTATTGGTCAGAGTACTACAGATAAAGACTTGAATAAAATGAAACTCGGAAAACATTGAAAGGCACTTAGGATATATTGAAATTCAAGAAACTGATGGTGTCAAAAAATATCTGGTAAATATTCTGACACATAAGTTAGTTGTGCTTCAAGTACATGGGAGCACATGGGAGCTGACAAATTGGTATCCCATCACACTGAGAGTCTGTGAATATTTTTAGATTTTTTTAAAGGAGATTCTGAGTGCACCTGATGACAATTAAGGAACACTATGCTTCTTTCTTCTGTGATCCCAAGCAATTCAGCTCTAGCCCAATCTTGCATAGCACAAGCAGGAAAAAAAAAAAAAAAAAGCCCTGTTTCTCACAGGATCTTCACTTAGAAATCAGATTATTGACTAGTCTTCAGCAAGTTCCTGTGGAATTTAATCCTCTACATAAAGAGACTTTGTAGGTTTTCCTTCCAATTCTGTACTGCCATATTCTTCCTTAGATGAGTTCTGGTTAAGTACATTTTTCTCTTCAAGATTGTTGACCCAGGCATCTGCTTTACTGACCCAGGCCTTAAATCAACATCTGATGACAGAAAATCAAAGCTGCTCATAGGAATTAAGTTGAAGCAGAGAGAGAAAAGAAGAGAGAGACAGAGGGGTGTAGAGAAAGGACAGATATTCTAATGACACAGAATCAAGAACAAAATATGGTAGCATGACTGAATTCAGGGAGGAAAAGTAGCAATAAACAACTCACAAAGCAGTAATGGAATTGCTTTAAACAGAGATCTTATGCAATATTTGAGGCAGAGTCCAGAGGAAACAATGATGGAACATAAGAGCATTCTCATTCTGGAGTATTTAGCCCCAGTAAATCTATGAATAAAACCAACAGTTAAGGACTTCGTCTCTTATGCGATGGACAGTGAAATAAGGTTGAATTAATAGGCATTGTGATCTTTGGCCTGAAAGAAGGATCCATAAGCCTACTCTGTTATCTTCTGTTTGTTCTACCAAGAATAAAGACATCGTTAGAACAAACGAGTATTAAAGGGAATTCATTCTACTTCTGCACTGAGCATTTAAGAATTGGAGCAGAGCACCTTTTTACATGGATTCAAGTAATAACAGACTATATACTTTGCAAATCAGTCAGTTTTGTAAAGTTATGCTTATGATGATCCTGCATACGTGGTGTTAACTTTTTACAATGCTTAACTGATCTAACCTCTTTTTTTTTTTTTTTTTTTTTTTTTTCGGCAACGGAGTTTCACTGTTGTTGCCCAGGCTGGAATGCAATGGCGCAATCTCGGCTCACTGAAACCTCTACCTCCCAGGGTTCAAACCATTCTCCTGCCTCAGCTTCCCAAGTAGCTGAGATTACAGGCACCTGCCACCATGCTCTGCTAATTTTCTGTATTTTTAGTAGATAGGGGTTTTCACCATTTTGGCCAGGCTAGTCTCAAACTCCTGACCTCAGGTGATCCACCTGCCTTGACCTCCTAAAGTACTGGGATTCAGGTGTGAGTCAGCGCGCCTGGCCAACTGATCTAATCTCTTAAGTGCAATTGTGTTTATTCTTTCTTTCAATATTTATTTCCATGGTACCTTGAAACACGACACATTCTCATAGCACTTGATATTTGTTATTCCAGTTCTATCAGTCCCCAAATCAGCAAAATCTGACAGCAATTTACAATTCTTGCAGTGACATATTGAGAAGATTAAGCTGTCAAACTCTGATTTTTTTGATATCTCTTTTCTTCTGGGAGAAATTTTAAAAGGAATTTAGATGTCAGTAAGTGAATTAATTATAGTCCTTCAATTGAAGGAGGCACTATTGACAAAAGTTTGTTCAGTAATATAACTGTATTTGTGTAATTTAATTCCAAATAAAAGAATATTATGAGACAAGGTAGACTTTTTAAAGCATAATGCTATAGGATAAGACAGACTGTCAAAATGAATTGAGATATTGAGCTTTCTTACCCCAGTCTTATCCAAAAAAAGAGTAATGACTTTAAAATACGATGTTATGGGATACATATAGTAAAATGGTTACTGCGGTGAAGGTGATTAACATATTTATCATCTTACGTAGTTATTTATGTGTGTGTGTGTGTGTGTGTGTGTGCGTGTGTGACAAGAGCAGCTAAAACCTACTTATTTAACAAAATCCCTAATACAATTTTATTAATGATAGTCCTCATATTGTACATTAGATCTCTGGACTTGTTCATTCTTCATATCTGCTATTTTGTCTTAAAAATGGAACATTCTTATAGGCGTGATTTCTTATGCTAGTTTCAAAAATTTGACAAGAGAATAATATTAAAAATAGACATAAATTAGTTTTAAAATACATGCTGAAAAACTATTTTTCTGGTTTTGAAATTGATTATATTTTATATGTATATATATTCCATTCCTTATTTCAAATTATCAAGTGGATATTAAATATATAGAACATAACTTGCAATGAGGATGCAGAACTTACCACAGAAAAGATAGCAATAGACTCTGCTGCAAGATTTCACTTGGAAGCCACTAGCAACAACTCTCATTTACAGTTTATTCATATTCATGTTTTTGCCCTAGCTGCCCTGATGTGCCTAGATGAGACTTCTTTTTGACCTTGCCAATCTCACACGAGTGAGATTATTGGAAAATAGGAATCCTACAGACAAAGATTCTTGAAATGAGTCAGCTTCAGGCATTTCCTCTGCAATTAAGGGGAGCAACATTTCTATAGGGTGTTGTGGAAGGGAATACACTTGAATGGGCAATTAGTCTAGCACAATTTTGCTGGCAGTTTTACATTATGCTGAAGTGGTTAAAATTTAAGTGAGATATAAGGGGTAGCCCATTCTATTTTCTTCTGAGAAATGATGTCGACAGATTTATTTTTCAGGAAGTCAGAGACATGTATGTTCTCTATTCTTCTAATCATTTATTTAGAAATAGAGATCAAAATTCTCTTTTCCTGATGATTCCATTCTTTTTCAGATTACCTCTTTACTCTGCTCAAAGCTATATATTAAGTTTATTCTAGCTTCTATTTGTCAACTAGTTTGAAGATAATTCTATTAATAAGTACATATAAATTATCTACCATTGACTTGGCAGTTCATGAGACTAGAAACAGGACATAATTCTAAATGCATATATATAGAATTATTCTTTAGTTTTTTAAAAGATATTAGAATTGCAAAGACAGAATAAGAGTATATAAAATACTTTTATAAGTATATAAACTAAATAATAAATTAAATATGATGCTAAGTGCAAAGTTTTTTTTTTTTTAATGGGATGAATAGACCAGTGTTGACTTTGTTCTCCAAAAGATTGGAGGATAAATGAGGTGAGTTGAATTTTTCTTTTGGGTGGGGGAAGAGAGGTCTATAAGCTTTTTTATTCATTACAAATGTAAATAAACCTAAGAAAACTAATGCGGTATAATGTAAAATTGTAAATTGCACTTCTGCAAACTTCTAGAGTCCTACTTTCCAAGGTCTACCAGTTTTAACCATTATATATTTGTGTGATTCTAGTGGATTCTCCTGTAAGTCTAACCTTATGCCTTGTTTCATCGTCTTTAAACTGCATCGTTTGATTTTCTCTTATGGAAAATAAGGAATATAACTAGCATTACTCTGTTTTAACTTCCTATCCTCTGCTTACAATATTTTTAGTCATTTTGTTTTGCTATTGGTAAGCTTTATAATGTGCATCACTATTTCTTGATCCATCAAATTTCAGGTTTCTATTGCCATTCTGTGAAATACAATGAGGAAATTAGTTCCTCTTCAATGCTCTACCTGACTTACACACCCAGTTGTATGACTGTCATCATCATTATTACACTGTAAAAGAATTATATACTTTACATCCCAGTTTATGATTTCATCACCATTTGCTTACCTTGTAATTCCTAACGATGTTTATTCTTTTTGACAAAAAGAAAAAAGTTTGTGCTCTATATGCTCACTTTGTTGTTAAGAATTTTCTTCTGCTCAGACAAATCCAATTTCTTCTTGAGGTATACTTTTTAAAGCCTGCTAAATTATTTTTCTAATTTACATCAGTTTATGTATTGGATTATCAGATAGCTATTATTCTAGGACGTATATTCATTGCACTCATAGGTGAAGCCCATTGTTCTGCGAAATCTATGATAACTACTTAATTGTAACCTTTTCATTTTTATTGTATACGATCAAAATTTATCACCAAGTAACTTTTTAAAAGAGGTCCAAAAAAGTAAGCTTCCTGGTTAAATACATGTATGAAAAATCTAATTTAATATGGCCTTATTTTAAAAATTATTTTGGCTGGCTAATTACTTCCAGTTTAAAAACATTTTCTCATAACTTTCAGGCATTATTTTTTCTCTAGAATTTAGTGTTACTAATTAGAATTCTGAGGTCATTCTTATTTGTTAGTCTTTTTTGTTCTTCTATTTTCCTTGAATCTTGAAGATTTTGTGATTGCATGTGTCTGGAGGTCACTTTTTCAGTCACTGAGTGAGTGCTCAATGAGGCATGACCATCTTAAAATATATACCTTGGATTTTTTTTCTAATAATTTTATCCCCTCCATTTTCTTTATTCTCTCTGAGATTTTACTTTAGTGGATATTGCACTGACTGCTTAGGTCCTCTGGATAGTTTATCTTTTCTCTGTTATTCCTAATGTCTGTAATATGGGATGTTTCTCTGTTTTCAACTTTCATTGTTTGTACATAAAGTTACATATATATTTAATGCATATAAGATCTTCTGTTTTAGGAATTGTTCCACTGTCAGGGAATTCATTCCTTATTTTGTAGTGTATCTTCTCAAAATTCTCTCAGAATTCTCTTTGCTAAGTTATTTCTATTTTTTCAGAGAGAGATACTATGCTTTGGTCTTTCTGTTTTACAGTGATGATTTTTGGATTTGTGTGATGGCTGTTCTGTGAACATTTCATAACTAAGAATAGAGACGTGGACAGCTGCTAAGAATTTTCTTTGTTATTGTGATAGTTGCTTTTTTCCTCCATTATGTCCCTCCCTTTACAATATCTGAGACACAGCTCTGTGTATGTGGATAGACTGTATTAAGTATATTCCTTGGACCAAGCATGTGAGCAACTGCTTACCAGATTGTGGACCCCCAAGTGCAAAGGGGAAGACTTAGCCCAGGAACACCTAGGTAGGCAGAATAATGGCTGGCCACAGACACCCACATCCTCATTACAGAAGCAATTAAGTTAGAGAGCTTGAGATGGAGAGGTTATCTTGGATTGTTACGTTGCACTCAGTGAATGTAATGACAATGGTCCTTACAAGTGAGAGGCAGACAGGAATGTCAGAGTCAGAGATGGAGGTGTAATGACAGAAGGAGAGATCAGTGATGCAGTTGATGGCTTTGAAGACAGAAGGAGGACATGGGGCATGGGATGTAGGTAGCCTATAGAAGCTGCAAAGGGTAAGGAAACAGATTCTTTCCCAAAACCTCCAGAAAAAAACACAGTTCTGTTGACTGCTTGATTTTAGCCCAGTGAGACTATTTTGGATTTTTAACCTCCAAAACCATGAGACTTGTATTATTTTAAGTCACTAAATTTGTGGTAATCAGTTATAACAACCATCAGAAACAAATGTTAATTTTGGTACCTGGAAGTGGGTTACAACAAATAAAAAATATGTGGAAGGGGCTATGGAATTAGGCAGTGGGCAGGACTGGAAGAGTTTTGAGGGACATGATGAAAACAGCCTAGATTGCTTTGAACAGTAGAGTGAGGAATATGTTATTGGAAAATGGAGGAAATATCATATAATATTATGTAGTGGCAGAAAGCTTAGTTGACACATGTCCGACACAAGTAATATGGCAAGCAGTTATATGGTAAACGAAACATGGAAACTATAAATTCAAACATTTAGCTGAGGAGATTTCCATGAACAGAGTTGAAAGGATGGTTGGTTTCATTTTCTGCTTATAGTAAAATGTAAGAGGAAAGAGATGGATTGAAGGAAGAAATGTTAAGCAAAGAGAAACTAGACTTGATGATTTTGGAAATTATCAGCCTTTTCAGACGGCCAAAATTAGGAGATTCATTCCAGAAAAGTATGCTCTGGAGAGAAAGCCAAAGGTGTGGCTGGGCAACCTTTTGCTACTGCCTGGAAAAATCCAAAGGTCAGAATGTTCCCTCTCACAGAGGGCTCACTGAAAGGATTAGGCAGATGACTTATGGGTTCCCTCACTCATCAGAAATGAAAAATAGGGATGGGATTATCCAGAAAAGATATGTGGACAAGCCTCTTGTCTGTTTAAGTGAATCTAGGACACACACATGGAAGACCTACATGGATAACATTCCTGAGAATGTTATCCCAGCAGAAACACTGCCAACCTGAATGGAAAGGGACAGAGAGAAGACATAATATAAGAAATCTATCAGACTCCCCAAATTCTACAGGCAGGAAACAGGCTGATAACACTACTCAGCTGCAAGCACACGCTACTCATTCAAAAAAAAGAACAGTAACTCTAAGGGCAAAGAAATGCACCCAGAAGGCAAAGTCACAAGACATAGAGAATTATTCCCAGGCCTTGAGACCTAAATGAGTTTGCACTACTACCAACGAGCAGTATGAAATAGTTTCCCCATTACAAATGAGCAGTATGAAATAGTCAACAGGCGGAGTCTTTGGGATGAATCTGATGCCAAATTGAATCTTAGCTCCTTTTTCTAACTGCCTAGGGGCAAACTATTTCACCTTTTGGTATTTCAGTTTCATCACCTAAACATTAGGATGATGACACCTTCCTTCACACATTTGTTATAAATAGTGCATTAAAAATATGTAAATTGTGTAATCCATATACTGACCCATAGCAAACCTTCAGAAACTGGTAGCTATTATTCTACCAGTGAATCATGGAGGGAAAGTGAAAGAAAGGATATCATTCTTGCAGTTTACCACTATATATAATATAGGTATAATATTTTAAAAGTTAGGCATTGTCATGTAAGTGATAAATCTATATTTTTAGTATTTCCATGATGACAAAATATGAAGTATTTCTACCTAAGATTATGAGTAAAATTTAAATATGAACATTTCCTTCTGTATTAACAGAAATTTTGCCAATCTCACAGTAGCTACAAAACTAGAAAATAAAAATCTATCTTTGAGAGTTACTGTTATTCATTAATGTAACTAAAATACTATTAGGATTGTGATGTCAAAAAGTCAACTGTGACAAAAATCTTTAGATTTGTATTCTTATGGCAGGGAGTGGTGGCTCATGCCTGTAATCTCAGCACTTTGGGAAGCTGAGGCGGGCAGATTACAAGGTCAGGAGATCGAGGCCATCCTGGCTAACATGGTGAAGCCCCTTCTCTACTAAAAATGCACACAAAAAAAAAAAATTAGCTGGGTGTGGTGGCACATGCCTGTAGTCCCAGCTACTCGGGAGGCTGAGGCAGGAGAATCACTTGAATCCAGGAGGTGGAGGTTGCCGTGAGCCTAGACAGCGCCACTGCACTCCAGCCTGGGTGACAGAGTGAACTCTGTCTCAAAAAAAAAAAAAAAATTGTATTCTTATAATTGCATTCTGAGATTGGAGCAAAATATAGAATTAATGAAACATTTTATCTATAAAGCATCATGTAGTGATGGTTTAGAGTTTAATGGCGTGGTACAAATACAATATTCATCAAAATGCCTCAGCAAGAGTCAGACATCTACTTGCCTAAAGGTTAGCTTTAGATGATGCAGGTTTTATAATCTACACAAAGGCAATGCTAGCAGATCAATTCTCATTCTTGGTGGTGGTACCACATACTCCTTTTCTGAGCCCTAGGAGGAAATAAGGAGTGGCATAAAAGTGCTTCTTAGCATTTTATGGCACATAGTGTTACTACAAGGTACTATATCTTTCCTGACTTATTACATCCCTTAGTAGCCATGTAAATCTCAAAGAATAGAGACTAACCCTTATGAATTACTTTAGAATATGTACCATGCTGTTAGAAATGAATTATGTTGAAAAATCATGAAATCAAACTGATAGCCTACAAAGTTTTTCCTCTTCTCATAATCATGCCAAATTATTACATTTGCTGTTTGATTAGACAGGTAAGTGAATATATTTCTTCTACTCAGGTTGGTTGAGAAGGAGATTTAAATGATGCTCTTCCCTGAAGAGCTGATAGATGCAGGCAGGGTTGATAAGTTGTTTTCTGCCTAATTTTTGTCTTTGAGTGTAACATAAGCTTGTGACTTTCTTACCATAGTCTTTATTGTGCATATTACAGAGGTCAAAGCATTTCTATTCCACTGATTTTATTATAACAGAAGCTCTGGAAACTGTTATTGCATGATAAACAAAAAAGATACAAAGATACAATGTTTGAAAAATGATTTTAAAAAGCGAGTAACAATTGTATAACAGAGAAGAATCTATTGAAATGTAAATTTAAGTGAAATGCCAAGGAATATGCTTTTAATAATAACACTTTATGATCCTTTTGCCTCAGGTTTTCTTTCCTCCATCTATTCATTGAGCAGCCATTAATGACCAATGCAACCAAATGAAAGAAAAACAGTTGTCTTTAATGACATAGCTATTATGGTTTTAAAACGCTGTGGTCTCATTTCAAGTAAGATGATTGATAGAGGCTTATTATTACCATTATTGAGTTATTTCAAACAAACGCCATTTTAGAAACAAAATAGGATGTAACAACACAATAATGGTGTACATGTTTTTCTAATATTTGTCATGTATTGTAAAACAAATAAAACAAATGGAAAGCTTAGTTTTTACTTTAGTAAGGCCTATGGTTTTCCAAAAAAAGGCATTAACCAAACATTTTTACAGGGAGATGGGTGATACAATAGCCTGTATTATAAATAGATTCTCAGTCATTATTACCATATGAAATTGCTAAAAAGAGGCATACTACTTAACATTGTTAGACTACCAAATCCAATGGTATATATACTATTCATTATTAGAGCTCTATGTGATTTATTTATATAGCAGAGACCTGCTTTGTTTGAAAAGCACTCTTTACTGCAAACCTGTCTTTAACATAACATACCAAAAGTAAATGAATGAAAATATGATGGCAGTGATTATTTTGAGTGCCCCTGTCTTTACAGCATTAGGATTATCTCACTTGATTACCCTTCTCTTTGTTTTATTCTGGTTTTTGTGTTCTTCCTATGCTCGTTTGCTTTCCCCCGTGCTCCTCTTTCATAAATGTCTGCCTGCTACATGCATTTTAATAGCAAGGCAGAGGGAAGGGCCTGGGAATCCAAAGTTAATCTCCATGTTTCTACTGTCATCTTTCACCCCCAGCTTCTGCTATACTTTCCATCTCTGAGTCCAAAGCACCTGCAGGAGAAATTAAAAATAAACAGCTGCAGAAAGGGTAAGGCAGATGGGTGTGAGAGAGACAGATACACCAGGCTTACTGGGCAAAAAAAGGAAAAATCTGTGTTAAACCACTCTGTTTACAGTCTTGAACATCCCCGCTACCTTCCACTGTTACCGTATGCTTCCAAGTCCTGAGTCATCCTTGTGGTTCAAAAATAATTTCCTTGGTACTTTTTGCTCCCCAACTCTGTAGGCTTTTAGGTAATAACAGTTTTCACTTTTTAAAGTAATTTGCCCATCCTCCCTCCCCCTGCTTCCTGTATTTCAAAGAGTTATTTAAATCTCCAGTGTCATCTCATTATTTCTTTGTCCTTGTGGGTTTATACCTTTTTATGCTATCACTCTCCTTTAATGAGGTTTTGAGAAGTAGAAGTGATACTTCTCTGTAGTAAATCTGCCATATTTATCTGATTTCTACTAGAACTTTTGCGTATCTAATGCCACTGCAAATCATCCCAAGCTCCTCAGATGCTAGATACTTAATACAATCTTTGAACTTGTATACGCACAGAATTAGCAAGTTTCTAGGTGCCAGGACTTAAAGGAGAGTAATGAAGAAAGATACACTGTGCTCCTTGTCATTAAGAGACCCTTTGGCAGCACTGTAATGATTTTCTCTGACCTTGTGAATGCCTTATGGGAACTCTGTACACACTCATCTATCTACTTACTATCTTCAGAGTATCACTGAAATAGTTTCTGCACATTAATGAGACTTCATCACTTCAAAGGCATTTTTGAAAAAGAAAAATAGCTGAAGGTAGGAACAATTATATTTTTAGTATAGTTGTATAATCTAAACAAAAAAGTACAGTAATTTTGAATAGACTTATTAGACTAAAAAAAGAATTAACTGGCTATTTAAAAAAAGAAAAAGGTGGGGACCTATCATCTTGGTTCTTTTATGTTTCTTCACCTTTAAAAGACAGATAAGATCAGAAGTGAAATAGAATGGCTGCTTTTGTTATGACAGTAATGAGCTAGAACTGGACTAAATAGAAGAGACTGCAGATATGGGGTCACAGAGTGGTGAGACTTCATGAATTTATTCATTGAAATATGTCCATGTCCTCATAAAATGGGATGCCATCATTACATGTGTGGATTGCTTTGTTGCACAACACTGCTGTCTAACTTTGCTCTTGGGAAGTAATCCAAAACTGGTTTATATATTTGACTGCAAACATAAAAATATTGAAGTTTTAAAGGGACAACAAGCCTTGGATCACTCCTGAGATGATTTAGGATTTTACTTTCTGATAACACTAGAGTAAATAAAAACGTGCGTCCTGAAAGAAATGGAATAATATTTTTGTGGATAAAATGTTGAATTTTGAGTTATTTTTAAAGAAATGAATAAGAAGTATTTTCTTAATCTGAAGAAAATTACTTTTGATGGAGATTTGAAACTGTCTCAGAAACACATTTTTAAAAGTTACATTGTTTTGATGTCTTGCGACATATGGTATTTTCATTCATCCATTCATTCCTTGGCTAATCTCTAAGATATTTAGGTTTTTTTTTTAATGGCCCAGCCTCACAAATAAGCAATAAAATTAACAATTATTGCTTAAATTAGAAAGCACATTGAAAATAAATGGCAATGAATTTTTACAAATACTCTGAACTTAAAAAAAGAACAATAACAAACTTTGAAGTCTATTTTGATGTTAGATTTCCCCCATGCCCTATGAGTATTACTTAATTCTTCTTCAAGAAAATTCTTTAGACTTTTACTACTCCTATTTTCTTTCTCTTTTTTTTTTTTTTTTTTTTTTTTTTTTGAGATGGAGTCTCGCTTTGTTTCCCAAACTGGAGTGCCGTGGTGTGATCTCGGCTCACTGCAACCTCTGCCTCCTGAGATCAAGCAATTCTCCTGCCTCAGCCTCCCAAGTAGCTGGGACTACAGGCATGCACCACCACACTCGGCTAATTTTTGTATTTTTAGTAGAGACAGGGTTTCAGCATGTTGGCCAGGCTGGTCTTGATCTCCTGACCTCGTGATCCTCATGCCTCGGCCTCCCAAAGTGCTGGGATTACGGGTGAGAGCTACCATGCCCAGCCTACTTCTAGTTTCTAACTCAGGATCTTTTTTCATGAGACATAACTAAAGGACAAATGTATTTTTTAAATATATAAGAACATTGTAAAAACTATACATTCTATAGTATCTTTAAATATTATGTGTACATAATTTTTGCTATACATATTTAAACCACACAGAAAAGTGCAGGGAGTTCTATAGCAAATATTCATGAACCCACCTTATTAGCCTTAGTCATTCAAAGAAAATTACAGATGTAATTAAAGCCACTTTGTATCCTCTTGAAATATATACCTAATTCATATATTTAAAGCTTCTGAAGAGTTCTACATTACTCTTCTGCAATAATCAATCTTAGCTTTTTTTTTGTATTTTGCTAGATAGTACTTTTTCAAAAATGTAGCAAATTATTATCTCACTTTTATTTTTATATTGTTTTAATAAATTCTGATATATTTATGATTTTATTTTAGATTTTTGTGTTTCAATCTTTTAGCTTTATTTGTATTTGCTGTTTTGTTTTTTTAATTTTCTAATGCTTAACACTTTCTTTCAATATCTACTTAAAAACACATTTAAAACAATACAAAAATACCCACTTTCACCACTACTATTCAACATTGTACTGAGAACTTCTAGCCAGAGCAAATAAAAGTCATCCAATTGGAAAGAAAGAAGTAAAACCCTCTTTATTCATAGATGACATGATTCTGTGTACTAAAAAATCCCAAAGAAACCACATGTAAGCTACTAAATCTAAGAAATAAATTTAGCAAAGTTGTGGGATGTATTATCAACACAAATAAACTAGTTGTGTTTTTATGTACATGAAATGGACAATTAAAATGGGAAGTCAAAAAAGTAATTCCATTTACAGTAGCATCTAAAAGAAAATAAAGTCAAGTATACATTTAACAGAGGAGGTGAAAGACTTACACACTGAAAACTACCAACCATTGCTGAAAGACATTAAAGAAAACCTAAATAAATAGAAAGACAACTCGTGTTCACGGATGGGTAGAAAGTCTTAATATTGTTACAGTATCAATAATATGCAAAATGATCTACAGATTCAACACAAACCCTACCAAAATTCCAAGAGCATCTTTTGCAGAAATGAAAAGCTGGTTCTCAAATTCCCATAGGACTGTATGTAGCCCTAAATAGTCAAAACAATCTGGAGAAAAAGAGCAAAGTTAGAGGAGTTACACTTACACAATTTTGAATTTTACTACGAGCTACAGTAATCAAAATAGTGTAATACTGGCATAAATATTGACGTAAAATAGAATTGACAGTTCCAAAAAAAACCTCAGACATCTATGACCAATTGATTTTTAACAAGGATGTTAAATTCATTTCATGAGAGAAAGAACAATTTCACAACAAATGGTGATGGGACAACTGAATTTGACAAACAACCAAAGAAGTTGAAACTATACTTCACACCCTATACAGAAATTAACTCAAAATGAGGAAACAACCTAAAAATAAGAACTAAAATCATAAAATCTTTGTAAGAAAACAGAAGGATAAATTGTGGCCTTGGGTTTGGCAATGCATCAATGAAACCAAAAGCAAGAGCAATAAAAGAAAACATAGGTAAACTGGACATCAACAAAATTTGAAACTTTTGCACATCAAAGGGCATTATAAAGAAAGTAAAAAAAAACACTAGAAAATGAGAGAATATAGTTTTAAATTTTATATCTGATAAGGAGTTAATATCCAGAATATATTAACAAGTACTAAAAGTCAACAACAGAAAGACAAACAACCCAATTTTAAAAATTAGCAAGGCCTTGAAAACACACTTCTGCAAAAGAAGATAATCAAATGGCCAATAAACATCTAAAATGATGTTAAGTAAACTTAGCCATTAAGGAAACACAAGTCAAACCACAGGAGATATTGCTTTATAACTTCTAGAATTACTATAATCAAAAAAGGGAAAATAACTAATGTTTGCCAGAACATAGAGAAGTTGGAACCCTTGGAACTTGTTGATGGGAATATAAGATGGTGCAAATGATGTAGAAAACAGAATGGAATGTCACTTCCTCAAAAACATAGATTCATAAACATGGAATTATCATATGACACAGCAATGCTACTTCTACGTATATACCCAAAAGAATTGAGAGCAGAGATTCAAACAGATGCTTGTACACCAAATAGTCATAAAAGCGTTATTTATAATAGCCAAAAGATGAAAACAACTCAAGTGTTCATTAATAGAAGAATGGATAAACAAAATGTGGTATATACAAACAATGGAATATTATTCAGCCTTAAAAACATTAAGTTCTGACACATAATACGACATGGATGAACCATAAAAACATTATGCCAAGTGAAATAAATCAGACACAAAAGAACAAATATTGCATGATTTTACTTCTATAAAATATCTAGAATAAAAACATTCTTAGAGATAGAAAGTACATTAGTGGTTGCTAAGTGATGGAGAGATAGGAAATAGGAAGTTACTGCTTAATAGTTACTGAGTTTTTGTTTGAGGTAATAGAAAAATTTGGAAACAGATAATAGTGATGGTTGCAAAACAATGTGAATATAATAAATGTGATTGAATCGTACACTTAAAATTCATTAAAAAGGTATAGTTTATGTATAGTTTAGGTATACATATTTATCATGATTTTTTAAAAGATACATTATAACTATAAATTTGCTTCTATGTCTTGTTGATAGGTTTCTCCAAATCGTGACACTTTGTATTCTACTTGTTATTACATTTTATATATTTTCTAATTTTCATTGCTATTTCCTCTTTAACCCATACATCAATTAGAAGTGTGGATATTTGTTGCTGTTATTCAATTCCCAAAGGGGATATTGTTACTTTAAATGTTGACTTCATGTTTAGGATGCTCTTTGAAATTAAGATGTTTTTTGAACTTGCACGTAATATTTTAGGGAACTTTTCCTTAAGTGCTTGAACAAAATAGTGATTCCGTAGATGCAGTTCCAAAATAAATATGCCATAGAATTATTTGGTTAATTGTTCTCTTCACATTATTTCTAACCACAATTATTTTTGTCTGCTAACTCTGGTGTGATGTTTTATAATTTACACTTATAGTTCTATTTAATTATTTATAAAAACTTTTTAACATTTAAATAAAATGTATATCAAGGCTATGTTATTAGGGGTATCAGCATTTAAATAATTCATTTTATTGGACTGTTTAACATATAGCCTCTCTCATTATATCAATTAGTAGTGTGTACCTAATGACATTTTTATCTAATAGTAATGTTACAGCATCTATCTTATTTGTTTGTTTGTTTGTTTGTTTGTGTATTTATTAATTATTTAGAGATGGAGTCTTGCTCTGTCACCCAGGCTGGAGTGCAGTGTCACAGTCTTGGCTCACTACAACCTCCGCCTCCTGAGGTCAAGAGATTTTCTTGCCTCAGCCTCCTTAGTGGCTGGGATTACAGGCACCTGTCACCATGCCTGGCTAATTTTTGCATTTTTAGTAGAGACGGGCTTTCACCATGTTGACCAGGCTGGTCTCAAACTCCTGAACTCAGGTGATCTGCCCATCTCGGCCTCCCAAATTGCTGGGATTACAGGTGTGAGCCACTGCGCCTGGACACAACTTTCTTTTAAATAGTATTTGTGTACCATACCTCTTACCATCCCTTTATATTCATGCTTTTTACTTGTTATTTTTTAGGTTTAAGTTGTATTTAGCTAGCGTCTTTTTTTTTTTTTTTTTTTTTTTTTTTTTTAAGTCTAGCTCTGTTGTCCAGACTGGAGTGAAGCGATGTGATCATAGCTCACTGCAGCCTTAAAATTCCTAGGCTCGAGCAATCCTCCTGCCTCAGCCTAGTCCTGAGTTGCTGGGACTATAGGGATGCTCTACCACACCTGGTTAATTTGTTTTTATTTTTTGTAGAGATGGCATCTCACTTTGTTGCCCAGGCTAACTAGTTTATTTTTTAAAGCCAATGTAAGAATCTTTCATTAAAAAAATACCACAGTGATTAAAAGTATTTCCTTTGAAAGCCAGATTCTAGATCTACATCCTAACTCTACTATTTACTTGCTGTGTTATCGTGTACTTTGTTTTCTTCATGGGTAAAATTAGAATAACAACATTTCTTACTTTCTGTGAAGTAATTAGAACAGTTTCTGGCATGGAACAAAATCAATAAACATTAAAAATTCGTGTTATTGAAACAATGAGTTCAATGAACTAACTTTTACTAAAATTTCTGATATTTATTCTTGAGCCTCATTAGTGTTGTCTTACTAGTGTTGTGTCTGAGTCTATTTTTTAATTGATTTTCCTATGCCTCCTTCCTTTGGAGTTCCAAGTTTTTCTATATTCCTATAATTCTATATTATTTGTTTTAAATACTTTAATTGATATCTTCAAATATTATGTTTAAATTTGTTTACATGCACATTTTTTTCCAATTAAGTATAAAGTTTATAATATTTCTATCTACCTTCCAGACTGACAAATACAGTAGCATGTTGTGGTAGGCAGGTTCCAAAATAATTCCCAGTGATCCCCTCCACTCCTAATATTTATGCTCTTGTGTAACTCCCTGTCCTTGAATGTGGGCTACATCTACTCATTTGCCTCCAATCCTGAAATCTGGTAAAAGTGATGGGATGTCACTTCAAGATTACATTACAAGAGTCTGTGACCTTTTTCTTCTTCTCATTCTCTTAGCTGTTGCCTTTTCACTTGCTCATTCTTATGAAATCAGGGTCCAGGTTGTGAATTTCCATATGTAGAAGCCCACATGGTAGCGAACTGAGTGAGGCCTCCGACTGACAGTTTGGTGAACAATTGAGGCTTTCAATCTAACAACCCAAAGGAAAGGAATCCTGGCAGAAACGACATGAATTGGCTCAGAGATGCATCCCCAGGTAGGTCTCAAGATGACTGCAGTCCCAGGTCTTACTCACTTTACTCACACCTTGATTGTGAGAAACTGAGATGCAGAGGACTGAATGAAGCTATGCACATATTTCTGACCCTCTGAAACTTTAAGATAATACATATTGTTATTTTAAGTCACTAAATTTTGGGGTATTTGTTATGCTGCAAAGGCAAATAGATGGTTTTGAAATTTTTCAGGCCTTCCAGAAAGCAAAAGATGCTAACATTAAGAAAGGGCTTCTGAGCCCTTTCAGAAACACGTGTCCTATGTGTTTGGCTGTATAGCTATTTGCTAAGTATTCAAACAGATCAAAGAATAAGAGGTTTATTCACTTACACAAAGGACACTTTAAGGGCATTAAGGGTGTGCCTCAGATCCTCTTAATAAAATAGGGCCACTAGAGAAGTTTATGGTCATTGTATTCAACCACTTTGCGGAATTAGGTAGAGAAGGACTTATCTCAAAAATATTTGCATGGGTGGCTTTTGTCTAATATACTTCAGTTAGATCACTGATGATCCACAAAGCTTTTGAGAACAATACATTATTAGCAAAATCACTTCTAGCTTGCAATGAGTGGAACATACAAAATGAGTAGAGACTGTTGGATCCTAAAATTTTACTGGCGAAAGGAAGCTTAGAAAACTACTCAGTTGCAAAAACAAACAAACAAACAAACAAACAAACAAACAAAACAACTCAGAGGGCAGAATCAAGAGTCCTGAGGGTCTGAGGGTAGCTTTAAGAGCCATGGCCTTAAAACCTAACAAGAAACTTCCAGTATTTTACTGGCTGGATTCTACAACCACGATTGACTAGTGACTTTTTTTGTGCCTCTTATTTTCCCCCCTTATTTTTTTTGAGAAAGAATGTCTATAGCTGTTGTCCTATGCCTGTCCCACCATTATATGTTGGATGTATGTTGGAGGCACATAACTTCTCTCTGTAGCTTCTCAGATCAAGAGAAACTGTCCTTGAGCAGTTAAAGAACTATAACCCACGAACCTAATTAATACCTCAATATGGTTTAGATAATAGGATTTTGAACTTTGGGCTGATGCAATAATGGGATGTGACTTTTGGAGACCTTGGGAGGGCCAGGGAATGTATACTGCATGTGAGGGATCTGGATAATTGAGGACAGATGTCAGACTAACAGGCAAACTTCTCAAATGGCCCCCAATGTTTTCAATCTCCTTCTGTCCACGTCTTTGTGTAATCCACTCTCCGTGATGTGGGCTGAAATTAATGACTTGTTCTTAATAAACAGAATATTTCAGAGGCAATGAGATAGTACTTCAAAGATTAGGTTAAAAAAGACTGTGACTTCAATCTGGCTGTCACTTTCTCCCTTGTTCTCATTTGCTTGCTGTGATAAATGAAGCAGCCATGTTTGAGCTACACTATAAAGAGGTTCATGTAGCAAAGAACTGTGGGTGGCCTCAGACCAACAACTAGCAAAGAACTGAGGCCCTCAATTCAACAGTCCATGAAAAACCACGTGCTTGAGTCCAGAAGCAGGTCCTTCCTCACTTGAGCCTTAGAATGACCGCAGCCCTGACTGGCAGTTAATAATAAGAACGATCTTCTTATTATTGACCTACAGAAACTGAGATTTAAAAGGTTGTTTTAGGTCACCAAATTCTTGAATAATTTGTTAAACAATAAATAATAACTAAATATTGAATATCCCCTTTCTTTATCTTCTGTCATTGTTTTCTGTAGTTTAACTTTTAAAACAAAAATGGAAACATGTTATTCCTTTATGTCAATATCAATTGCTAACATAACTTAGAAACATTTTAATCCAGTTTTTTGCTTGTTTTGGTTTTTGTTAATTTTATTTTTTCTTGTTGAAATACATGATTTGGTAATTCTTACTGTAGAATCTGTGAGTAATGAAACCAGTTAGTTTATTATATCTTAAGAAATCTATCTCCTCTTAAATGACAGCTTAACTGATAGAGAAAAATAGCTTGAAATCTGCCCTTTGCACTTTGAAAATATTTACTGGGGTTTATTATTACTATGGAGAAATCCATTGTTAGTCTAGTTGTTCATCTAGTGATCTTTACCCTCAGGTAACATTAAAGAGTTTCTGCTTTATCTTTGCTGTTTTGCATTTGCACTATTAGACAGTAAATTAAAAATAAATACCCTGCTTAATAATCATGATTTTTTTTGTTTTTTGAGATGGAGTCTCATTCTGTTGCCCAGGCTGGAGTGTAGTGGTGGGATCTCCGCTCACTGCAACCTCCACCACCCAGTTTCAAGTGATTCTCCTGCCTGAGCCTCCCAAGTAGCTGGGACTACAGGCACCTGCCACCATGCCTGGCTAATTTTTGTATTTTTAGTAGAGATGGGGATTTCACCATGTTGGCCAGGCTGGTCTCGAACTCCTGACCTCAGGTAATCTGCCCACCTCAGCCTCCCAAAGTGCTGGGATTACAGATATGAGCCACCGTGCTTGGCCTCATGATGTATTTCCAATATGAAGACAGTTCTGGAAAATTATCACCTATCATCCACTTGAGTTTTATCATATCTCCATTGTATTTTGTATAATTTCAAATTATTTTTAATGTCTTTATTAACCCTTTCATATTTCATATCTCTTCCTCTGTGAGCTCTTCACTAGGTTTATTCTTCAACGTGATCTTTCAATTTCCTACTTTTTCTACTATTACAGCAATTCCACTTCATTCTAAAGTTAGATCCATTTATAGATTTTTTTAAATTCAGTGATGAAAATATTTTAATTATGATTTTTTCAAATCTAAATACTGATGCTTTTTTTAAACAATTTTTTATTTCTAATGGTTTGTTTTATTTCATCTATCTCTGACAATCAAACATACAAATTCTATTTTAAAAATTGTTATATTATTGAATTTGGGGATAAATTAAGGATCTGAGTTCTTTTTAAAAATTATGTCCACTGCCTTTCTTAGCATTACTGTACAGTGGATCCTTGAACAACACAGATTTGAAATGTTTGGTCTACTTATTTGCAGATGTTCTTCTGCCTCTGCTATCCCTGAGATAGCAAGATCAACCAGTTCTTCTCCTCCTCCTATTCAACATGAACTTGAGAATGAAACCTTTATGATCCATTTCCACTTAATGAACAGTAAATTTGTATTGTCTTCTTTATGATATACTTACTAACATTTTCTTTTCTCTAGCTTACTTTATTTTAAGGATACAGTATATAATGTCTATAACATACAAAATATGTGTTTGACTGTTTAGGTTATCAGTAAGGCTTCTGGTCCACAGTAAGCTATTAGAGGTGAAGTTTTTGGGGATTCAAAAGTTACGTGTGGACTTTCAGTTGTGCAAGGGTCAAACCCCCTAACCCTTGTGTTGTTCGAGACTCAGTAGCACTTGTATTGGAAATTTGCTGGGAAAGTTCATTTCATGAGTAAGCTTCAGTCTTTCCCATGTCTAAGCATTTATCTTCCATTTTTTTTTGTTCATCTTCTTTTGAAATGGGAGAGATTTTTATTTTTTTCTGCTTTTGTTCGTAATGTATTACTGTTATTTGTTCAAATAAAAGATAAGCACTTTCGAAGTGTGAATTTAGAATGCAATCTTGGCTAAAAGCATAAATATTTTTCGAATGTTTGGTTAAAGTATTATAAGGAGAGAAAGAAGAGTTGAAAATCCAAAGAGCTTTTTATTTTAAAATGTTTTCAGATAGTATTATTTTTCATTTTTAGGTATATGAATATTCTTTTCAACTTATGAAACTTTTCTGGATTTTTTAAAATATACATTTCTTTACTATCATATCATGTGCATTATGATGTTAAAATGCCATGAAATTCTTGGCTCAGTTTTTTATAACATTTTATGCATATAATATTTTAAGGAAAATTCATGGAGATAATAAGTACATTTTGCTAAAAAATTCTTGAGAACTGCAGACTTTCCTTGGTTACTCCCCACAGAAGACATTTATGCTTGAAGGACACAGAACAAAGGTTTACGGGTTTCTTTTAGCTGTGAAGTAGTTGTCTGATTCTGTTAAATGCTGTAATCAACAGGAATTCTCTTTTGGCAGCAGTGCTGGCTCAGTAGTTACCAGCATTTGGAATCAATGATGAGCCACTAAAGAAAGATCCCTTATTTTATTCTTCTTTCCTTATTAGTTGGAAATTTGCATATAAAACTAAAACTTTACTTCAAGTCATAAATGGTCATTGTTTCTTAGTTAATGTATGAAACATTCTAAATAATTTCACTCCACTATAAAGTTATTTGAAAAAAAATACCATATTGGTATATAGAGCATTATCAGGTGTTCTTTTTTGTATACAGTAGTCTCCCCTTATTGCAGTTTCGCTTTTTGTGGTATCAGTTATCCACAGACAACCGAGGTATATTAAATGAAAAATTCCGGAAATAAACAATTTATAATTTTTAAATTGTGCACTGCTCTGGGTAGCACGACAAAATGCTACTCCATCCTTCTTTGTCATACCTGGGGCATGAATCATCCTTTTGCGCACTATGTGCACACTGTATACACTACTGGCCTGTTAGTCACTTAGTAGCAATTTCAGCTATCACAGGGAAAAAATATAGTATATATAGGGTTTCAGGCAACCACTGGGCATCTTAGGATGTATATCCTTCAGAGAAGGGGGGACTACTATACCAAGCTAATGAACACTAAAAATATTTAGTATATTATTTATAGATTTTATAGCCACATAGTGAAATCGTAATTTCCAAACAATTCTGCAGCATTGTAAGAAGAATATAGTAAATGTGAGAGAAACCAAGATCTTCAAGTAATTTAACTCCTGTGTTCTCATGTTTTACACTATGGTCTTTCTGACATAATTATTAATGCTTTTAATCTTTCTACTTGAATTGTGTAAAAAAGATTTGATTTTCTTAATCAGCTAGGGGAAAGAAAAACAAGTCTTTGCTTTTATCACACATGGGAAGTATTTACTGTTCAGCTTACTGATGTTGAGAGGTCGATTACTCAAAAGATTTAGCTTTAGTCAAATGCTCCCAGAACAAATACTCTTGCACATAAACATGCAAGAAAGGAAGATACTTGATATTACATCAGTGACTCTTTCTCCCAATGATTTCTTCTTTACTACCACTTAAAAATAATTTACAGAATTTGAAAATCCACTACAAACTAATTAAAAGTTATAGTGAACTCACTATAAAAGTATAAAGTGAACTCACGATGAATGAAAGAACTTCTACAAGGAAGTCAAAAAAGCAAAAAAGGGATATATATATATATATCCATATATATGCATATATATGGATATATATATATATATATATGCATATATATGGATATATATATATATATGCATATATATGTATATATATATGTGTGTGTATGTATATATATATATATATATATATATATATATATATATATATATAAAACCACATACTCTGGCTGAATGAATAAAATTCAGGACAAGAATGACCAATTAGGAACATCTTTTAGTGGCAAACTAAAGTCACCCCACGTAGCTGACTTCAATGATGCACTTAACAAATGGATTAACGGGCCTATGACACTCCCTTTCTGGGAAGGAAAAAAAAAAAGAATTTTACCAGGCATTCTGGGCTATTATTTGAAATAAAAGTAATTTTTGCTAGGCTTTAAAATAATCTATTTTTATGCATGGCTTTCTACATAAAGGGTTAATAAAGTTACATCTGTTTTAAACAGAGGACACTGAGCATCAGGCTTCAACATCTACTTTGATAACAAGAAAACACACAAGACTGAAAACCTCAAGAGCTACTGATTTCCTACCACAACTAGCTTCAATCAAAATGGCTGGTCTTTTTCATATGTTTTGGAGAACTTATTTTATTTAGCTAAAAGTCATTGCTACTGAAAGTCATTTTCAATTGCAATACTCATCATATTTTTTAAACAGAAAAAAATCTGTAGTCAGAATGAATGTTCCTCAAATATCTAAAGCCATCCAAATAAAGCATTCACTTTGAGCCAGCGGCCCTCCCTGGGTGCTGATGGTTGGTGGCCATCACTCTACTTTCCTCCACTTGTATAGCTCAAAGCAACAGAAAGGCAGGACTTCTGGGATTTTTCAGTGATGCCGTACAACATGGACAGAAGCTCCTCAAAAATAAGCGGAGTGTACCTTAAGTGTATTTCAATGCTCAGTGTCAAAATGTTTAAGCGTATTACTAAACTCAATGAATTATGATTACCTGGATATGTTGAAGTATCACATCTATGTTCTTTTTATTATTTAGTTAGTTTGTTTGTTTGGAATGTTGCTCAATGAGTGAAAAAGGAAAAGAGGATACGGGATTTTTTTTTTTTAGTGGATAAGCTTGTGGGATTTATCTCTTCCTTTTACAATTCTATTTCTTACCCATGGTACACATCACTTTTTATATATGTCCCCCACCCCTACTGTGAATGTAAGCTTCATAAAGGCTTGTTTTGTTAATTGGTACATTTCCAGATCAAAATAATTGTTCACGGTACATAGCTAAAATTCAATAAGCAGTCATTGAGTCAAGGAGTTAGCAATGTTCCCAGATTTGGGGAGGGGTTAATACAATAGTTCAGGTGAGAGCTCATGAAAAATATCATCAGAAGCAGAGGCAAAGGTGAACAGTAAGAGCCCGACACACATTAGCAATTAGTAGCATCAGGTACCTATGATTCTTGATTTTGCCCATGGGTGACTTAATATCAATCTCAAAGAGAGATAAAATGTAATATATTCTACCTAACAAAAATTATCATGAAGTATATATACAAATATGATTTCTTTCAAAGGGTCTGTTTTTCATCAAGTATATGAAGTCCTTTAAAATGATTCTAACATCTCAGATGCAAGCAACAAGAAGAAAGATATTTTAGATATATACATTTATATATTTGCATATTTATTATATATTATATAAATGTATATATGAATATAGATGTATACATATATATATACACACACACGTATTTGTAATTCCACCATTGTGACTCTTTAAAAATCTGATCCATGCTAACCTTAATAATCCAGGAGCCTACTACATGTTATTTTTCAGCAAATTCCGAAATTAAGTATAATTATCTTAAATGAATATCGAAAAGAATGAGGAATACAATACATACCTCACCTCATTGATATTATTTGAGAAAGCTAATCTAGACTCAAAAACTGATTTGCTTGTCATTTTATTTTCCACTCTACAACCAGTGTTACTTTTCATTTTATTTGTTAAAACAGGAAATAATTATTTGACCTTGGTCAATTATTCCAGACCAGTGACTAAACACCTTTATTATTTTTATTTAATCAGAATGCTTTTAAAACACCCTTACTTTGGAATAAAAATATCAATTTCCATCAAACTTTGCAATAGATATTCTAAAATTATATGCAGAAGTAATAAGTAAATATCTACTGCCATTTTACATAAGACATTAACTAGGCAATTTTAAGTAATCTAGTGTTTTTAGTAGAATATATTAGTAAATTATGTGCCACTGATCACAGTGAAAAAACAGAGTATAGCAAATCAACACAAGTCATTTCCTGTAATCAGAGCTATTAAATACACATATAAGACTGCATAACTATTCGATAAATTAAGTGTTAGCATACCAACAAAATCTGTATTCTTGTCTTCCTAATTTTTATAACAGTAGTTGTAAATAAATGAATAAGCAAAATTGTATACATAATCAAAATAGTATAATTTCAAATTCTCATAAAAATAGCTTCGAGTGCTCAAATACGCATACATATACATATATACATATACATATACATATACACATATATACAAACACACCCACATACATAGAGACATATATACGTACACATACATACATATATAGAAATAATTTTCCCTTACAAGTATTTCTGTCACCTCCAGTATACAGTATCAGAGATATTTCTCCTAAAAGGCTGAAGCCATCTAAGGATCTAAGGATTTCTCTTACATCCTGCCTGCCCAAGTATATTTGAAATAAATCTTCGGAGTCATACTCCAAAATCCTAAAATAAGGGCTGATGGAAATACTGATTCTGGACATTGATTTGTGAAGGAGTCATTGCACTATTGCCCTAAATGATCTCTAACATGCTCTATATAAGGTGTAAGATAATTAAAAGCAAATGATTTCATATTTTCTTTTTCTAAGCAAGGGGAGAATAAATATTTAAAATAGAACCAAATTCTTTTTATGTAGCTGTGCTAATCCTGGTTCATTATTTTTTATGTTGCTGTACTGTATTCCATGGTATGAATGTGTTCTTTATTTATTGCCTCTAGTATTGATCAATATTTAGATTTTCTAGTATTTGAATATTACAAATAATGTTGCTATGAACATATGTGTGTGTGTGTGTGTGTGTGTGTGTGTGTGTGTGTGTGTGTGTGTAGGTACATACATAACATACATAAATGCATTCCTCTTGGGAAAATATCTTAGAGTAGAAGTACTAGTATGTATGTGTAATATCTTAGAGCAGAAGATATTACTCTAAGATGTAATATCTTAGAGTAGAAAATAGAGTAGAGGTATTGGTATGTATATGTACACTTTTATAGAATATGTCAAATAGTGAGCCCAAGTGATTGTATCAATTTACATTCCCACCACCAGCACTCTAAGATGGATAGACTAGCTTTTCATTTCACCTGCACAAAATATTGTTTTTGTTTTTAACTGTATCCATTATCGAGATGGTATAGTAATATCTCATTGTTTTATTTCGCATCTCCTTGTAGAATGATGAAAAAGATCACCTTGTCATTTGCCTCATGGCCATCATCTTTTCATATATATATAAATAAATAAATATATACACACACACTGATTATATATACTGATTATATATATACTGATTTTATATATATACACAATGATTATATATATAATTTATATATATATAAAATTTATATCTTGCCTACTTTCAAATGGGTTGCATCTTCTTCATTTGGAGCAGTTGTTTATATATTTTGATGTACAGTTTTTGCTTTTAGGTTCATAGCAAAATTGCGTGAGAAGGTACAGAGATTTCTCATATACTCCCTGCCCCACACATGTACATCCTCCCTCATTATCCATCACTATCAATAATCCCCACCAGAATGATAAATTTGTTATAATTGATGAACCTACATTGACACATTATTATCACCCAGAGTTCATAGTTCATATTAGGGTTCACTCTTGTTATACATCCTATGGGTCTGGACAAATTTATGATGACATACATCCACCATTATTATATCATACAGGTATTTTCACTCTCTAAAAATACTCTGTGCACTGACAACTCATCTGTTCTTTCCTTTAACCCCTGGGCAATTACTGACCTTTTCATTATTTCCATAGTTTTGCCTTTTCTAGAATATCATATCATTGGAATCATTCAGTATGTAGCCTTTTACATTGGTTTCTTTTACTTAGAAATATACTTCTAAGTTCCCTCCATGTCTTTTCATCACTTGATAGCTAGCTCATTTCTATTTGGCATTAAATAACATTTCATTTTCTGAAGATACCACAGTGGATTTATTCATTCACTAACCAAAGGACATGTTAATTGCTTCCAAGTTTTGGAAATTTGAATTTCTTTGCCATATATTTTCTTGAATATATTATTCACAGTTATTTCAGTGTCTGATCATTGTAATACTCAGATAATGTATGGGTCTTTTAATTATCTGGGTTTTCTCTTGGTCAATATTTGGTTTTTAATTAAATGAAATTTTTACTGAATGCTGAAACTTACGTATGAAATAACTTGTCCCCATCTTTCAATCTCTCATCTGTCCTCTTTTTGATTAAAGCTTTTTAGTTCTATTTTAATAATTAGTACACACTAATATTATATACTTATGACTATACCTTTCTTTTATGATTCTTCGAACCAAATAATATATTTTTTCAAGTGTTAAAATAGAACCAGAATTCTATATCCAGAGAAAATACTCTTTATGAAGGTGAAATTAAACATCTTCATGAAGAAAAATTGAGACAATTTGTTGCCAGTAAACATGCCCTAAAAGAACTACTACAGGAAGTTTTTCACATAGAAGGAAATGACAGCTGAAACAATTAATGGAATATTCAGAAGGATAATACCAAGTGCTGGCTAGGATTTGCAGCAGCTGGAACTCTCACATACATTACTGATGGGAGTGCAAAATGGTACAGCTGTTCTGGAAAAAAAAAGGTTTGGGAATTTCTTATAAAGTTAAACATATGTTTACCATATAACTCAGCAATTTCACTCCTACATTATGTTTACAAAAAGACTTATGAATTTATTAATATATAAATATTTATATATTAATAAATAAATATAATTATTTATAAATTGCAGGTCTATTTATAAGTGCCCCAAACTGGAAACAACTCATATATCCTTCAATAGGTGAATGGATAAACAAACTCTGGCATATCTGCAAAATGAAATACTAATTAGAAATAAAAAGGAATGAAATTTTTCTTTTGATTCTGATGGTGATAGAGTTTAAACGATTTACAGATAAATTAAAATTCATATAATTTTATACCAAAAGAAACACAAAGTCAATTTTTCTATTTTAATTTAAAAAAGAAAACTTTAAAAATGTAAATGAATTTTACTTGTCTTAACGAACATCTTAGTTTCAAACAAATCATAGTCCTTTTCTTTATAGATGAAAAATTTCAAATTATAAATTATTTTATTACTGAAATTAAAGTCCATTTAGTTCTTAACTAAAACTTGTATCTATGTCTAGACATACTTGAATGGTTTTAGCACTTGGTGAAACCAGTGATGTAAGAATTAAAAATTAAGAATAATTTTAATAGTCTCAATGAATATTTGATTTGTCTAGAATTGGTATTTCACTTGTCTTTGAAATTTGTGATTGTAAGTGATGTCGTATATTTACTGGACTGTAGGAGTAGAAATGGAGAACAGAGGTAAGTCAAGATATTCAAATATTTTTGGAGACAAATAACAAGGAATGTTTTCATTTGGGGATGCAGGAAGATGAAGGAGTTGAGGATAAAATATCAGATTAAACCCATTTGGATGTAAGGTGGTGCCATTTGCTGAGGTAGGAGATGTCGGTAGAGAGGCCATTTTGGATGTGTAAGTAAAGAGAATTCACCTTGGTACCTGCCAAGGATGAGATATTCCATTTTGGTGTTAAGTAGGAAGTTGGATAAGCATGTTTAGGACTTATCACGTGGACTAAAAACAAGTGGTTTCCATCTCATTTGTTTTCGAATAAGATAAGATTCTTAGTCATATATTCCTTTAAATCTCAACTGTGCCACTGGGTAGCTGTGTAAACTAGATCAATTTACTTAGGCTCATGCACCACTATTTATCAAATATTATAATACAATAATATGATTAATGTTCCATAATTATTGGGAAATTATAATAAAATGAAATATATAAATTATCATACAGTTAATATTGTATCAATTATATATATTTTTTCCCTTTCCTTTGTGGAACATAAATTTTGTGGGTTGCAAACAAGTCTTTATTTTCTTTGAATTAAACTCATTACCAATATCTAGGGGAAAGTATCTATAATATATTGCTCTATTTGAGATAAATTCCTCACTAAGTATAAAATATTTTTTCATTGTAAATGTGTTGACCTTATGTGATACGTCACTGAAGATAGTGTGGTATATTCAGACTGCAATTTTACTCCTTATTGATTACATTTATTGGATAATTGATAAGCAACTTGTTGCGTTTTGACTAGAAAATAAGATAAAATCTTCTTATTCAATTATGATAAGGAGAAAATATCCGTGTTTAAAAAATGCATTCAACTCTTATTCCTTGTGTTTGAATATAGGAATACTCAGGGAAATATCACTGAGATGCTAGAGGTCTACAATAAAAATTATCAAGACCAAACAGCTTGGCTTCTGCTACTGGAACTCATTTGTTGATGTCTAATTAAAAGAATCATTTACATTTGCTAATGCATGTGTTTAGCTTTTACTCAAATAATTATTGAACAAGCATGTGATTTAATTTTAATCTCAATTCTCTAGTGGCTCACTTTTCATGGTTACTTAAATATTACCCTTCAAGATGAGTGTTATTAATGTGTATGGCACTTGTGCGTTGTCTTTTCATCATAATTTATTTTATTGGATTTTCCCCCATTCTCTTTTTCTCCTGTTTCCAGCATTTATTTTAGCACCCTAACTCTGGATGAGCTTGCATTCTGGAAAGGAATGCATCAAATTCCAAAGAATCAAGCCTTATTTTTCCAAAAATTGGGTGAGCGCCCAGGAGACATTTAATGCTTCATAGTTTTATAGTTTAAGCAATAAAGGAGAGGAAACTAATCCCCTCCCCTTTCTCATGGCCTCCCTCTAAAGATAATTGAAACAGTTTCTGTGCTCTTGCTGATTTCTTTTGACGCCCATGAACAATCTTGCTGAGGTGCATTTTTTTATTTCCTCTGCTATATCCATTATTGATTTTATTAATCTTCCAGGATGCAGCATGGATAGGATGTTATACAATTATTAGGCCAAATTCTAAAATATTTAAATGAGAAGGTAATTGATAGCCAAGTATGGGAAGTATTCTTGTGAATATAAGTTTTTATCAGGATAACATAATTCTTACTTTTAAGTTATTTCATTTTTATTTGGATGTTGAAATTTTGTCTGAAGAATATCTAGAGCTGTCATTTTCAAACCACAAAATTCCATTTCCAAGGTCAAAAATCATCAGAAATATAGCAACATATTTTATTTCTATTATTTTTTAAATCTCAGTTTTTAAATTATTAAACATGGAAAATGATTCACTTTTTTGATTTTTATTGCCTTTTTTGGCTCAATCTGTATTTCTATGAAATTAATGATTCATTATATAGCAAAGTCTTAATAAAATTACTTATTTGGTCAAGGAACGTGGCATGTATTAATAACTAGAACACCGGTAATGATTTTCACAGACTTTAGCTTGAGCTCTGCTACTACAACTTTTTCCCATTAATTTTATTTCACTCCATGAAAGCTGGAAAATATGCAGTGAAAATCAAGATGCACAACTCCAAGATCCAAGTTAAGAAGGAGGAAAGAAAAAGTGTTTTAATTTCACTTTTATAATGTTTTTGAATTTTTACTATTCTAGTTATCATGCTGATTCTATTTGTTTGTACTTAAAGCAAATAAATGGAAATTCTCAAATAATGATTTAAATATTCTCCCTTTAATTCATAAAAATAAAAGGCATAAGCCACTACATTTACAGTGGAAATTTTTAAAGGGCAAATCCAGACTATACGTTCTTTTACACCTTCTACATCTAACACTTCCTTTGAAATTTGATCACTACATCTGGAAAATATCTAAGAAGTCACCATATACAGTTTTATCAAATTGCTATATTCTTTTGTTGAGACATTTCCAAGTGCTGAAGAAATGAGAGATTAAATTAAATACAGTATTTAGGATTTTATGGTAGGAGAATAAATTATGGAATTTTAAAGACTTTAAATTACTTACACACTTTTTATCAGTTCTTTTATACAAATATGATGTGTGTTGATTGGGGGAAATCCTGAAGATTCAGGAGAGGATAAACAAGAGGAAATTATTGTTTCCCTACCCACATATAAGTCTGTTTACATAATGATGTCCACATTTTAGCTCTTTATATATTCATTCAATCAACAACTATTTACTCATAACTGGCTGTAGGCAAACACGATTCCAGACACCCAGCATCCTAATTGTAGTGGGAGGAACACTGAAAAGCTAAAGTAAGAACAACAGAATGTTTGGCATTAGAATGCAGTGGGAAGAAAAACAAAACAAGATAGCATAAAGCACAGCGGGAAAGGGCGAAGGACAAGTAATTCAATTGGGTGGTCAGGAAAGGAGGGAGGATATGTTGTTAAAAATAGAAGCTGAATAATAAGAAAAAGCCAGGCATAAGAGAAGAATTTCCAGGCAGTATGAGGAAAATAAAATGCAAACTCCTAATGTGGGAATAAACCTCAATGTAATGGAAGAAAAAAACACAAGAAATGACAGAAATTCTGGGAAATACGGAGTAAGGGAGAGATTGATAATGAAGTGAAAATGAAAAAGTAGTCAAGGGCCAGATTTGGCTATGGTTAGTTTAGGTTTTACTTTAACTTGAATTCAAAGTAATGAAAGCATTAAGTGTGCTGTAGTATGACATCCTTTTTTACAAAAGGTAATTTCTGGGTAGACAGTGGAATGTGTTGGGCTGTGGAGTACAGGCAGAGAGTTGAAGGAGTGGAATGGAGTCGTATGCTTTAGTTCCCATAAGAGGAAGGTGGCTTGTGTTGGAAGAGTGGCAGCAAAGAAGAAGAGAAGGAGGGAAGATTCACTATGTCTTGGAGTCTGACTCACAGGACTTGGAATAGGATAGATGGCAGGAAGGAGTAAGAAAAGAGGATGAAATCCAGAATGCCACCTAGATTTTAGAGTACGTAGTGGTACCATATACAGAGAAGGGATAAGATAGAAAAACAGTTAGGAGGGAAAGAACTCTGTCCAAAAGTTTCTTTCTTTAAAACATCTCATCAAAAGATGTTTGTTAGATATCCAAGTGGAAATATCAAATAGGCCTGTAAGTTTGGAGATATGTCTATGCGTGTGCGTGCGTGCGTGTGTGTATATGTACATATATATATATATGTCTATGTGGGTGTGTATATCTATATATATATACACACATATATGTCCGTGTGTGTGTATATATATACACATATATATGTCTATGTGTGTGTGTGTGTCTATATACACACACACACACTCACAGACGTAAATGTATACAACATATATGTATACAAACCATGTTTTTGTAACCTATTTTTGCACCTAGTTATTCACAATTGTACATATAATTTATAGACTATCATTTTAAAGACTACATAATATTTGTTTTGTAAATACAGCATAGTTTATATGCACTAATTCTCCTATTGCTGGACACGTAATTGTTTCTATGATCCTGGAGGGTTTTTTTTTTTGATTATTTATAACTCCATTATCATTGAAGATAATTATGCATATCTATTTTATTCCTATGGGTTAAATTTCTAAAAATGGAATTGACAAACCAGAGTTTATATGCTTTTACAATTTTTGATACTTTAGATCTAATACTGCTGCAGAGTGTCCTATCTCAATTTTCTTCAATAGTTTACAAGAATGCCATTTCTTAGTATTACTGCCTAATCCAGTTATATTTTGTTAATCTGTGCCATTTTGCCAGAATAAAATATCCCTGATTTGCAGTGTTACAAATATTCCTTTGATGCTGTTGATGGTGTGTAATTTTTTTATATGTATTTAGCCATTTGCCTTTCTTCTTTACTTAATTAGCTGTACGTGGTCTTTGGCTATTTTTCTTTAAAAGTTTTACGTTCTTCTTACTCATTTATCAGAAATCTTTATTGTTATTAACTTTTCTATAAACATTGAAAATATGCCTCTAGTTTTAACACCAGTCATTGTAATTACGGGGAGCTTTGATGTTTGAAGTAATATTGTAAAACCGTGTGTCAATATTTTCCTCTTTGTGATCTACTTTTTGACAAATACTTAATGTAATAAGGATTCTGACTCCACTTTCTGGTGTTATACATTTGATAACAATCCTCAAACCTCACTTTCTCTTTTCTGCCTCACACCTGGTCAAGCTGATTAAAAAAAGCCTGGGTGCTCCCTCCTTTGGTGCAGAGTAGGGGAGATTCAAGCTACCCAGGTCTGTGCTGGTACATGAGAGCCCTTACCCTGGCCTGACTCCCTAGCCACAACAAAAACCTCAAGCCAGACTCCATTTCTTGCTCTCTCAAACTATTTTCAGATCAGTTTAAGAAGACTGGTCTGTTCTTCCCCAAGTGCCTCATTCCATGGGTAATAAACATTTTCCTATCTTGGTGTGGTATGTGGCATCATGGGTCTTGGCACCTGAACCAAATTATGGCTAGGAGTTCATTCTGAATCTGCAGAGTAGCCGTATGACTGAGAAAGGAAATTTACAGCCGTAAATCAGTTAACTACTTGCCAATATTTTTTTACGTTTCTGCAAATCTGTTTTATACATAGGTAATTTCTTTGAAAATTAAATCTTTTTGGATTATGGCATGAGGTAAGAATGTTTATTTTTTCCAAACATTAAACCACTTGTTTCAACACCAATTAATGACTAGGCCATACTTTCTAATTATTTGAAAAGCCATATTATATTATAACTTATATAATTTAGCCAGAAGAGATCATATGATTCGTTATAGTCAGCTATTCTAATTATTTATGATCTTATTTACATTGTTCTACATTTTACATTTTATTACAAAATTTGCATAATAAACAAGATAATTCCAGCAGAACTCTATAGAAAAAACTGTTTTTTTAGTTATTAGTTAATTAACTTTTTCTTAATTATTTTCATTAAATATACCATAGTTTCTGTATAATTGTTAATGAACCACAAGAAGTTATTTGATTTTGGTGAATAGATTATTATTGTTACACTTGGGTTTCTAACTCAAGTTACGTGAAGTTTCTGTCTGTAGCAATAATTTAAAAAAAAAAGTTTCCTGGATCTTTGGTCTTTTGAAAACATTGATAGTTTAATTGTTGCCATATTATTGTTTTGTATCTCATGATTTGCAGCTTTAATTTATTTCCTGTCACAAATCACAAGTTTACCCCTGTTTGTTCTCAGGACGAATTAGAACTGTATACATTTTGGGTCAGGAGGAGAGAAGATGGGGGAAGGTCAACTCACTGAGGGGTCTGGTGCCAGGCCAATATCATATGTGTGATTTTTCAGGCAATTATAAAAGCATCACCTGATAGATCTCATGGGAGAAAGCTGCCCTCCCCACTTCAGCCTGGGTGCACAGTCTGAAGGGAGTTATAATCAAGGACTCAGCATTCCCAGGCTAGCCACACTTTGACACATGTTGCATTTTTAGCCAAAACGCCTCCATTCAGAGGACTTTTTATCCAGGTACTCTCATCCTACACACTATGTAGGTACCTCTGCTGAGACCTCCTTACTGGGGAGCCTTGATGACACTTTCTCCACTCTGGCATGGTACTTGCACTTTTCTACTCCTAGTCCTTCCTCATCTCCCTCTCCCTGGCCACTGGGCCCATTCAATGGCAGGAGCCTCTGGTTCAGGGTTTACCTCTGCAGCAAGACATTACTTCCAATCTGTGTTGATGTATCTGACCCTCACCAAATGCTGTTTCATGGAGAAAAATAAAACATTAAAGGAGACAGCACCTTTTTTCCAGCCTCATTTATGCTATCACAGTAAGTGAATAAAGCAATAAAGCCTTAATTGTTGCTTTCTGTTTGGCTTGTTGTCCTAATTAACCACCTCAGTACCTGGCATCTCAGCTTTCCCCAGCTCACCTTTTTTTATTATTATTGTACTTTAAATTCTGGGGTACATGTGCAGAACTTGCAGGTTTGTTACATAGGTATACATGTGCCATGGCGGTTTGCTACACCCATCAACCCATCATCTACATTAGGTATTTCTCCTAATGCTGTCCCTCCTCTAGTCCCTCACCCTCTGACAGGCCCTGGTGTGTGATGTTCCCCTCCCTGTGTCTATGTGATCTCATTGTTCACCTCCCACTTATGAGAACATGTGGTGTTTGGTTTTCTGTTCTTGTGTTAGTTTGTTGAGAATGATGGTTTCCAGGTTTATCCATGTCCCTGCAAAGGACGTGAACTCATCCTTTTTATGGCTGCATAGTATTCCATGGTGTATATGTGCCACATTTTCTTTATCTAGTCTATCATTGATGGGCATTTAGTTGGTTCCAAGTCTTTGCTATTGTGAATAGTGCCGCAATAAATATATGTGTGCATGTGTCTTTATAGTAGAATGATTTATAATCCTTTGGGTATATACCCAGTAATGGGATTGCCCAGCTTACCTCTTAACACTATCACCTTACTGTGTCGACCACTCCCCTCCCACTTTGGCTAGGATGTTACAAGGGCATCAAGCTATAGCAGCTGTGTTGGGCCAATACCAACCAAATGTTGGGGCAGAGATGAGAGTCCCTTCTGCTAGGTTGTCGTCTGTCAATTATAGGCAGCTGTTGAAAGATTTTCTTATTCATCATCCTGAAGAAGCACATTTAGCTCCTATAAGGAGCTTCAAGGATGTGCCTGAGAATGTCTCATCAAGTTACTATGGCCCTTATTTTGGTCTGTGTGGCTATGTTCCCCAAGAGGGTAAAGAAAGCACTTACATTATTATAACAACAAATAATGTACTGTACAGGAGGAAGACAGCAAACATGAAAATAGAGGCATATGTGGTGGGGCTTTAGAGTTTGCAAAGTGTCTTGGCATACATGATCAAACTTGGGCCTCATAACAATTCTTAATTGTAAATGGAGAAACCAAGACCTTAATGGGGCTAGTTCCTGATTCAGATATTTGATAATTAAACCCATATTCATTTGAGTAAGTCTGGTATTGAAGAGTGAGTTAACACTTCTTGAAAGCTATTAGGAGGAATGCCAAAGAAGTAGAAGGAAAAATAGTACTTTGGTGCCTTTTCAGGTTTCCATGGGCATGACCATTATTTTTCTCTTAGAAATGTATGAAACTCAGTAAGAATCTTAGATACAATTATGACAGAATTTCCTAGACTTCAATGTTATCTCTGAAACTCTCTCCAAAGATAACTATATTATTTATGAATGTATTATTGGGCATTACTTGAAAATATCCCTAAATTCATTGCAGATTTAGTCTAATTATTACAATGTAATAATTATTTTACTATTACATACCGTTAAGATAAAATAATTATAAAGAAATTGTCTATTAGTGAAAGGTAATTGGCAACATTAAAAGTGGTGAACATGCTCCTACTTTATGGCATTATCAACAGACTGAAGAAGCTGAAAATAATTTCCAAGATTAAAAGTGTAAAAGACAAATAACAATTATAAAAGGCAATTGAGAAACCATACATCTATTTTCTCACTTCTGAGATAATGTAATGGGGTAGAAGTTTTGTTTAGTTACTAAGGGCCTGAAGCCACACTATACTTTTTTTTATTATTTCTCATCTGATACATCTTGGTGAAAAAGAGGAGACGTATTATATGTATGTATGAAAAACAGTGTATGCTTCATCTTTGAGAATGAAGAAACTAAGATCACTTACATTGACTAGTCATGTTTGTAAGCCATAGGATGTAGATTAGAATTCAGGTTACACGAAGTGTAGGCATTCCAGAAATATGTTTCCTTGAAATGATTTTGATGCATGCACGCTGTAAAATCTGTTATTTTTTTAAGAAAAGGTAGCTAAAAGAAATGCCAATAAATGCCATCATTGCAGGTGCTGAACTTTCTCAAATTTGAAGTAATTTTAGCCAGTAAGTAAGTTGTTATGAAAATCAAGATTTTACACTAATTTTCCCTTCTATTTTCAGAGTTCTTTCCTTAGTAGGAACTTGTTAAAGGATTTTCTACAGGTGCATATTCACTTCTCTTACTGTACAACAAAAGGGAACCAATACAAGGAAAAATGAAGCGTATTGTTAAATATCAACTCCTGATAATTGGAGGCCTGAAGTAAGCCTTGGCAGACCAGAAATGACAAGATTCTATGAAGTTCAAATAAAACATACTGGAGGTCAATTAAAACAAAAAAACAAAAACAAAAACAAAAAAGACAGGTAGATGAGAAGCCTAAAGGTGAACCCACATTTTCAGTGCCACATTTGTCATTTACATGTCATTAAACTTATAACGCAGGTCTCTTTAGGTAAGTTTTCAAGATTTGATTTTCTACTTCTTAATTTAACTTTATGAATGGTAAAATTTCCTAGACAGTGTTATCCATTATTAACTAAAGATAATTGTATTATCAACAAATGCATTATTTGGCATTTTATTGCTTGAAAAATATCTCACATATATTTAATCAGCTTCAAAAATGGATTACAATGAGTGTTCTATATTAATATCATAGAAACATACTTACAAAAATCAAGTCTGTGTGTGTTTATATCTTTATTCAGGTATTACTATAAATAAACTGTAGATAAGAATTTTTCATGTAGTGTTCATAGCAACAAATTTTCTGAACTGAAAAATGTATTATATATCCCACCATTAAGGGGTTCTATTGACTTTTGTTCTTAATTTACATTTATAGGATTGTATTCTTCCCTGCCATTTTTCTTCCCCTTTCAGCATACCTTCTGCACTTAATTTAGCAAATATATATTTATCTATCAAATACACTATTTCAATCCCTATTATGGAGAATCAGAATCATTTGCATTCACCTGGCATGAATAGCAGCATATGTTTACAGCTTTGTCACAGAACTATGTTAACTTTCCTGATCTTTGTCACAATGAGGTCAGAGTGAGCTTAATCATCTGGACATTTCATGTTACATCATTCTGATCTATTATTTTGAGGGCAGCATGTTAACCTGACCTTGAGGAAAGTAAGTGGCAAGCACACTGGATGCCCTGTAAAACTTACACATCATCATTTTTTAGATAAATCATAATAAAAATTCAGGAACATGTCACACAAGTATAGTTTCTAAGTGTCCAGAGATTACGGGTGTGGTAATATACCTCCTTTAACATAAAAGACAAGTTATTGTACCCTGCGCCCCCTATCACTAAGAAAAAGGCACAAAGCTTGCTAGGCTTCTCCATATTTTGAAGATAGAATGTACCACACTTAAAAATACAGCTCCACCCCACTTATCAGATGACTTGGAAAGTTGTCAGTTATCTGGATCACATTAAAATGCTGTGCTAAAATCTGGCAAGCCAAAAAGGAGTGTCATAGCACAGACACTCAGGGTTTAAGGCAAGGACATACCAACTGCAGCAAAGAGCTATTCTGTTTAAAAGTGTCTCCTGAATTTCTGTTGAGCCCTAGTTAAGACTGCACAGCTGAGCATGAGATGTTAAGTGAATACAAAACCACAGGTGTTCTTCATGAGCTGCTGTATTAATCCATTTTCACACTGCTATAAAGGTACTACCTGAGACTGGGTGATTTATAAAGAAAGGAGGTTTAATTGACTGGCAGTTATACATAGGTTGGGGGGGGCCTCAGGAAATTTACAATCATGGCAGAAGGTGCAGTTTCCCTTCATATGTAAGCAAGGCACGTCTTACATAGAGGCAAGTGAAAGAGCGAGGAAGTGCCACACTTTAAAACTATCAGCTCTTGTGAAAACTCCCTCTCACAAGAACAGCATGGGGGAAACCACTCCCATGATCTAATCACTTCCCATCAGTTCCCTCCCTCAATACATGGGGATTACAAGTCTAGATAAGATTTGGGTTGGGACACAGAGCCAAACCATATCAACTGGGTATTATAAAAACCATCAAGTCACAAGGGCAAACAGGTACCAAAGTAAC
Source organism: Homo sapiens (assembly GCF_000001405.40). Lineage (NCBI taxonomy): Eukaryota > Metazoa > Chordata > Mammalia > Primates > Hominidae > Homo > Homo sapiens. The sequence goes on from NC_000004.12 coordinate 125,133,087, forward strand.
CCAAAATACAATTGAAATTAAACATTTTGAATCTGGACCAATCAAGTTTGGAAGACACAAGTAACTTACACATGCAGGTGACCATGCCATTTATCATTTTCACTGATGCCTCTCCCTCAGCTTACACCCGTGGTCTCTTGGGGTCTTCCTATGATCTGCTACTGGAAATGAAAAAACTAAGGCCTGGTTCATAGATGGCTGGATACACATATTAGCACAAGCTTAAGATGAACTGCTGTAACCCTAGAGCCTCACTGAAATGTGGCTCTGAATGACAGTGATGAGGGAATTGTATCTCAGTGGGCAGAGATTCAAATAATCAATTTCTGTGGAGGGAGAGCTGACCTGAGATCAAGATGTTCTCAGAATTCAGAGTAGCAGCAAATAGCTTAGCTGATTGGTTAGGGACTTGAAATGGCAACATTTAAACACATCAGGGGATGGGGGAATATGGATGTACGCATGGGATTAGCCACAGAGATAATGGATCTCTGCATCTCCAGCTGATGTTCACTAAAGAACATCCACTGCAGAGGTGTTGTATAACACAATAGAGACAATGAGTTGTCTAGCATAAATCAGCACACCACTAAATTTAGCACACTACAATAAAACTTATGAGGACCTGCTTGGTCAATAGGCCAGCCAGCAAAAATAGGTGTTTTTTTTTTTTCAGTATTGTAGTAATACTGTTCAGAAAAAAATTAAAAATAAAACTTAAAAGGTATTTTATACCAGAAGCACTAATTGATCCTGATTAATACGAGGAAATAAGGTTGCTGCTATAAAGTGGGCAGTAGGAGATACACTTGGGCAACTCATTGTGCTTCCATGTCTAGTAATAGTTGTAAATGGGCACCTGCAGCACTATGGTTTTACCAGGGCAAAGAAGTAAGCAGCTCAGACGCCTTAGGAATGAAGGTTTGAGTTCTGCCGTTAGGCAAGCATTCCAGAAGAACAAAGTGCTGGCTGAGAATGAGGGGTATCTGAAATTAAATGTATTGGAGAAACAAGACGAATGTCCGTTGCTGTAGTTTGTTTCACTAGATCTCCTTTATTAAGTCTTCCTTTGACCCCCTTAAATTGTGATTGACAACCATATTAAAGAAACAGCAATGAAAAGGATGAGTTCATGTCCTTTGTAGGGACATGGATGAAGCTGGAAAAGCTGGAAACCATCATTCTCAGCAAACTATCGCAAGGACAGAAAACCAAACACCACATGTTCTCACTCATAGGTGGGAATTGAACAATGAGAACATCTGGACACAGGAAGGGGAACATCACACACTGGGGCCTGTTGTGGGGTGGGCAGAGGGGGGAGGGATAGCATTAGGAGATATACTTAATGTAAATGATGAGTTAATGGGTGCAGCACACCAACATGGCACATGTATACATATGTAACAAACCTGCACGTTGTGCACATGTACCTTAAAACTTAAAGTATAATAAAAAAAATTTTTTTAAGTATAATAAAAAAAATAAAAAGAAAAAAAAAAAACAAACAGCAATGAGAGGGAATAAATTTAACATTAGGCCTGAGTGGATCTGAGCCATGCTAAATGTAGACTCTAGCATCCACTATGTATTTCATATCCCTTGAAGCTTTTTGTGTGTTCAGGTGGGCTTTCAAATGCCAGTATTTACAGGTATGTGCCTGAGGTATGTGTGTTTTTAAAAAAACAAAAACAAAAACAAAAAACAACTCCACAAAGCTGTAGTTCTCAACCAATTATTCTCTGTAGTTGCTGTTTAATTACCCAAATCCTTTATTACTCAGGAAGAATTGTGAGGTCTGCATTTTGGACCATTTTTCCAAGTTTTCCCAACACTTAACATGGTAGTCCCACTTAATAGTTCAGCACTGAATGGATACCCCTTTTCTGTATCACTTATCTTTTTCCCTAGCAGTGTTGCCTGCATTTCCCAAATAAACTACTTGACTTGAAGCCTTGACTAACAGTCTACTTTGGGGAGAACCCAAAATAATCCATTATGCCAGATATGGAGATAGATGAATAAAAGATGGGGTCCATGCCTGGAGAAATTTATATTTCAGAATTAAAGATTGAGACATAAGAAAATAATTATAGTGTGGTAACAGCTATAATAAAATTGAGTACAAATGCTGGGAGCAAACTAAGAGGAAAATACCTAACGTCCTGGGAGAAGCTAGGTGCATCGGAAACAACTTTGTGGAGGAACTGACACCCCACCAAAGCCCTGAAGGAATGACGAGTAGACAAGCTGCACAGCTTAATGGGAAACTCATTTTCAGATAAAATGATACACAAACACATACTTTTTGTTTATAATTGTTTACTCCTTTAAGGAAACTCAATCCAAATTTTGAGATTCTCTAATGTGAATCATTTCCTGTAGAAAGTGTGCCCTTGTGGAATATTTTTTTAAAAAGCGACACATAGATTAAAAGCTCCCCTAAATAGCTGGTTAAGCAAAGGACCCTTCTTGAGCCTATGAAAATACTACACAGACACACGTTAGTTCTTTCTGTTACTTCTGAAGAGAGGTTAATGGATTTCTTTTGCACGCCTTTTATGTGCAGGTTGCTGGAAAATGAAATTTTCCAGTTCCACAGTTCATCACTCTCATACCTGATTGCAAAAATTAGTGATTAGAAATGGGAATAAAAAGCGAAAGAATGTAATTTCCTTCCAGCTTTGAAACTGCTTTGAGACGGGAAATTTTCTGCTTCTTTATGATGTAATGTCTCCTCATACAATGTGCTGTCAGTAGTAATGAGTTGAGTGAGTTATTTTTTTCTCATATAAAAAAAGTGATCTGAAATATTCACAGGGTAAAAATGAGCCTCAAAACAAATGATATACTTCAGTATTTTCTTGAAGATTAATGTACCAGACATCTAATATTTTTTTTCCTTTCTACACTTACATAAAAATGTAGTTTTCCCTGTGGATCTGTTATTCACAAATAGTCATTTTTTCCTAATGTGTATTAGACTACATGACATTGGTTATAGAAGGATTTGTTCTTTCACAAATGACACTGGGTCTGGTACAAAATGATTGTGTATAATCTTTCAATGGCTATTTTTAGGTGAATAAAAGGATGATCCAATTAATATTGTTAATGGTGTACTAGCCAAATGCAAATCAAGACTCTTTAAAGAAAGATAATGAGGGAAATTATTTATGTCTTACTTTCTATTATCAAAGAATAATGGAAGACAAACTTAATCTTTGTTTCTTTCATAACTGAGTAGTTCCCGGAAGCCTATAAAGTCACTGGGAAAAGTTATTTGTATATTAAGGCTCAGGTCCTGCCTAGCTCTGACAAGAGTAATTTTATCTCCCACTTTTGAAATATGAAACTTCTGTTACTGAATTTTCATGATCTAGCAATGTTATGGATCAAAAACAATTTATGAAGGAAGTTAATATTTGTACAGAACTTGGCTATGCACATGGAGCTTCAGGCATTTATACATTTCTTCAAAATATTTTCTAAAGCATTTGTCATTTAAATATACTTTTTGTAATCTTTCATGGAGATAAAAGAAGGGTTATTCAATTAAGAAGAAGCTTAAAACTGAGAGGAGCATACTGAGTAGGATGTGAAAATGTCATAAATTTTTGATATATGTCAAAACTTCTCAATAAGTCACATGCATTCAATCTCTCCAGATATTAGTTATAGCTAAAATAGCTATAAAGAAGCTATTATTAATCAAAGTGCACCCAGTAGACAAAGAATATAAGAACAGAACAAGTTTTACCAATTCAATTTCAATATCTAAAGCTTATAACACAAGAATCCTTTACATTGCTAAGAATTAGATCTTTTAAGTAGGTGGGATTAAATATTACCCATTAAACAGACCATTATCCATAAACAAATGTTATCTGTTAAACAAGCCATTATAAAATTATGATTTATATTTTAATAACCATAATTTTTAGCTGCATGCAATCTGTGATTTTTATCTTTACGTAACAGAATCAGCTTCATTCATGTCATACCACTCAGAATGTTCAGTGGGCATAACCATAAGATGCTAGAATCTCGCAGGCTTTGAAAAGACACTGAAATGTTAAAAGTGGCTGAGACTTGGTATTTTATAACTTGAAAATTTCTTCTTTATATAATAGTATGCAGCATTTATAAACATAATGCAAAAAAGGAAACCAGTTTGAACATGCCGACACAGTAACAATCGCTCTACACAGAATATTGGCATCAACCAGTAGCAATGGGATTCATAGAAAATCTAAAACCCAAAAGAGCTCATGCTCCAAGAGAGCAAGAGCTGTCTGTCTCTCAGTGAAGGGCAAAGTGCTGGACATATAGTAAGTGCTCAATAAATACCATTGAAATAGTGAAGTACAATGAAAAAACAAAAATAATGATCAACAGTCCATGAACAGTGTTTCTAACCTCAATATTTTGCTTCTTTCTAGATGAGCCTAGATGCATTCTTTCAGGTCAAGAACAAAAATAAATATATAGCATGCAAGTGCATGCATCTATCAAGTTGAAAGCCTTGCTAAAAAGTTATAAAATGGGACTATTTCTGTGTTTACAGAATTGTATATTCTTTTCTTTGTTACTTATGAGCAGTATATAGAGTTATGATTTCAAAGCCAGACTCAGTGTTCAAAATTGGTCAACCAACAAATTACAAGTTCTGTGACATTGGGCAAATCTATTAACTTCTATATGCCTCCATTTCTTCATCTGTAAATGGAGATAATAGTGAAAGCTACTCAAATATAAATTGTAAAGATTTAATTAATTATCACAAGTAAACGCTTGAGAAATGCTTGGTGCATTGTTAGTGCACACGCTACTTATTATTACCAAAAGAAACAGAAATGACTTTACACTCTTATTTTATCTCATCTGAACTACTGTAGTATTCTCTTCATCTCCAATCCTTTCCCTTCCAAGTTATCCCACATGTATTCCATTCAGAGTAATCTCTCTAAAACATGGTCTATTGTTCATGTCAGACCCATACACTAGAAATGTCCACTGACCATAAAACAAAATAAAAAATTCTTAGCCTGGCATTCAAGACCTCTCCCAATCTAATTTCTCAGTCTTATTTTTAACTGCTCCCTTTCACATATCTTTCATGTAAATTAAATTGAATTCCCCATTTTCTGAAATGACCCTGCACTTTTTCATCTATGATCTGCTGCCCTGGCCCTCCTGAGTACAATGTTGGTTCTCCAACTCCACTGTGAATCTTTAACTGAGTCTGGTAGGATGAATTAATGTATTATAAAAATACAATAAGGATATTTGCCTGAGTATGGGTAGACCCTCCATTGATCCTGAGATTATTCATCCTTCAATTTTGTGCATCACAGTAGGACTAAGGATTATAGAATGTATATATTTTTTTTGAGACAGAGTTTTGCTTTTGTTGCCCAGGCTGGAGTGCAATGGCATGATCTTGGCTCACTGCAACCTATGCCTCCTAGGTTCAAGCGATTCTCCTGCCTCAGCTTCCCAAGTAGCTGGGATTACAGGCGCATGCCACCACATCTGGCTAATTTTTTTGTATTTTTAGTAGAGATGGGGTTTCACCATGTTGGCCAGGCTGGTCTTGAACTCCTGACCTCAGGTGTGATCCACCCACCTCAGCTTCCCAAAGTGCTGGGATTACAGGTGTGGGCCACAGCGCCCGGCCTATAGAATGTATTTTTAAAATTATCTGATATTTCTTGACTTATTCATTAAAACATTCCATCTCCTCCTGGATTTATAGATGAAAAATTCTGTCTCATCACCTGGAATATTTTATGCCACTGCAATGCATTACGTTACCTGCACTGTGACATTTTACATTATTGAAATCTGTCTTGTTGAGGGATATCTTGTCTTTGACAACAACCCAGGAACAGCATTCAAGATTAATTATATTTGCTGACAATTTAGACATTACTCAGTTTATGTGAAATCATAAAATTTAGTTTATAATGTCTAATGTCTAATAAGTAATTAGCCGTGTGACCATGGTAGGCTAATTCTTTTGATGAAATGCTTCCTATGTGTCTTAAGTTTAAAGAATAAACATGAAGAAGATAAAAGTGAAATATATGTATCACAGCGAGATTGTAAAAAGTAGATTTTTAATCAGAGGATGAAAAGAGGAGTTGACTTCTAATTAGAAGCTTTGGATTTTTGTTCCAGTTTGACTGCTTTTAGTATAGAGTGTTTATTTACCTTGAATTTGTAGCTTATCTTTCAAGTGAGGATATCAGTTCCTGGGAATCCTGCCTAATATAGTTAAAGGGAGTAGAAAATGAGACTCTGTACATCCTAAGACTTTGAAATTTTGTGCTATACAAATGAAATGAATTATTATTGAAAAAGGATTAAAATGATCTCCAAGTTTTCTTTTATCTCTAAATGTATTGATGTTATGACTGCAGTGAAAAAGTGCAATTAATTCTTACAGTTATTCATTATAACATGAATGGCAGATAATCTGATGATAGGTTTGCTATATTTGCTTCTACCATTGAGCTGTGTTTATCCTAAATATGGAAGAAAAGTCTCTGCCTTCTGAGAGCCTTGGAGTGGGCAGAGTACTTGTGAGAAAGGAGGAATAAAAACATGGGAACTGAACACTCAATTGCTAAGGTTTAGAAATTGTTAGTACCAAAGAGATCTCTGTTAGTTTTCTATTGCTGCTGTAACTTATTACTACAAACTGTGTGTCTTAAAATAACACAAATTTATTCTCTTATAGTTCTGGAGGTCAGAAGTCTGAAATGATTCTTATGGGGCTAAAAACAAGGTATTGTCCAGGCTAGTTCCTTATGAAGGCTGTAGGGGAGAATCTGTCTCCCTGCTTTTTCCAGCTTCCAGAGGCCACCTACACATTCCTTGGGTTGTTGCCCTGCATCATATCATCTTTCCTCCCCTCTGCTTCTATTAACACGTCATCATTTTTCCCCTTTACCTTCTTATAAAGAATACTACCTGAAACTGGGTAATTTACAAAGGAAAGAGAGTTAATTGACTCACAGTTCTGCATGGCTGAGGAGGCCTCAAAAAACTTACAATTATGGTGGAACGCGAAGGAGAAGCAAGCACCCTCTTCAAAAGGCAGCAAGAGAGAGTAAGCAAATGGAGGAACTGTGAAACACTTTAAAAACCATCAGGTCTCGTGAGAACTCACTCACTACTATGAGAAAAGCATGGGGAAATCCACCCCCATGATCCAATCACTTCCCTCCCTCCACACGTGGAGATTATAGTGCTAGATGAGATTTGGGTAGGGATGCAGAGCCAAAGCATAACACCTTCTTAACCTATAATACTCTGATGGCCTTCATATATGTATATATATGAACCTATATATATGTTTGGCCCCGTCTTAATTTATCTTTCCTCTTAGTGAAACTGCTTTTGGTGGTCTGTCTTGCCATCTTTTGTCCTAATACCCACCGGGATAAAATTAGTTTTGACTCAGACTGTCAATGATTGACAGCTTTCAGCTGGGAAAACTGAAATAGGACCAAGTGATAGCTGTAGATCTTGATTACAATGTTGCTTAGCAACTTAGCTACAGGTTTCCATTCTAAGAAATGATACTAGTACATACAGACATCTTACAAAAGATATGTATGTTAGGAACTTCTAACTTACAAAGAAGCTATCATTTCAGATGTGGGAAAACAAAGTCACCGAACCATTCTGTGAAGGTAATAGAATTAAAAGGACACATTCATGATATAAGGCTATTAAAACCCTAAAGTTGGTGTCCTCTTATTTCCTATTAGTTATGTTCCAGTGCTTTTGAGTCCTTTATAGTCTAATATCTTGGAGAGGCAAAAAACAAAACTCATTAAGCAATGGAACAGTAAACACACAACTATTATGACATACTATTAAATACCCATATCTGTAGTTTTGCGTTCTGTGGTTTGTTACCTGCAGTCAACTGCAGTCTAAACATATTAAGTGGAAAATTCGAGAAATAAACAAGTTGTGAATTGTAAGCTGCATGCATTTCTGAATAGCATGGTGAAATCTGCAGCCCAGCTCTGTCCTACCAGGGGTGTGAATCATCCTGTTGTCCATTATATCCATGCTGTACGAGCTGCTCTTCTGTTACTCACTTAGCAGCAGTCTGGGTTATCAGATCAACTGTCCCTACTACTATCACAGTGATTGTGTTCCAGTTACCTCATTTTACTTAATAATAGCCCCAAAGTGCAAGAGTAGTAATGCTAGCATATTGTTATAATTGTTCTACTATTATTGTTAATCTCTTTTGTGTCTAATTTATAAATTAACTTAGTCATAGGTACGTATGTATAGAAAAAAACCCTTTGTGTATACAGGGTTGATTACTATCTTCAGTTTCAGGCAACCACTGGAGACATTGTGATATATCACCATTGATAAGGGGGGAACTATTATGTGGATTTTGAACATTTGAAAATAGGTAAAAGTATTTTAGGAGCAATTTTGTACTCCTATATATTTTTAACAGCTGTTTTATCATAAAAACAAATTGAATATAAAATTTAGGAAATATTAAAAATATAAATGAATTAAATAAAATTCCTGTAACCTCCTTTACCAGAGAATGCCACTGTTAATATTTTTGGCTATGGGTGTTTTGTTGTTTTGTACTTACTATCATAGCACTCAATATTATAGAAACAATCTTTAACACAGAAAACAGAATAATGTCTTACCTATATTGTTAGAAATAACTGAAAGCAAAACTTACGACAGAGAAAAATCTAAATTTCCTGCAATTATTATTATTTGGTTTTAATTATATTTGCCCTTTTAAAGGCATTGAAAACACTAACTCAAACACTCAGGTTTATGTCTCTGTTCCAAAATCTGCAGAAGCACTATTAAAATGATTAATATTTTATAATACTTTTGAGATCATAAAGCACATTCAAAAATTTACTTCACATATAATCTCAATGGCACCTGTGACATTTAAATGTTATCTGCAGAGTACTTATCAAGGCAGAGTTGCACATACAGCCTTGCAGTTTTTGCATTGCAATAGCGCTTTACCAACACAACAGAAAAGCTTCTAATGCTAGAAATAAACTAACTGCTCATGGTTTCAACTCTTTAATCTTATCTGAATAATATATGGATCCCATGAAGAATTTTGCTTTTTGTTTTTTGTGGTTTTTGTTTGTTTGTTTGAAACGGGGGTCTCATTCTGTTGCCCAGGCTGGAGGGCAGCTCATTGCAGTGGCATTATCAGAGCTCACTGCAGTCTTGAAATCCTGGGCTCAAGTGATCCACGCACCTCAGCTTCCTGAGTCCTAGCTAGGACTATAGGCATATGCCACTTGCCCTGCTAATTATTATTTTTATTTTAGAAATTAGGTCTTGTTATGTTGCTCAGGCTGATCTCAAACTTCTGGTCTCAAGTTATCCTCCCACCATGGACTCTCAAAGCATTATCCCAACATATGTGAGCCACCACACTTGGCAAATTTTACTTTAATATGGAACACTGTGATGTTACATGTCCAGTTTTGTACCACTAGTTTGCAGCCAGTGGGTCTTACCATTTTCTCCCTCCAAGGTCATTGGAGGACTTATATTTCACACAGCATCTTTATATACATTCAAGGATGGTAGGATTTTCTTGTTGCCAAACGAAAGCACTAGTAGTAGAGAACAAGGAAACTAAGATGACACCTCAAGGGGAAACTGTCATTGCTCTGTTGTGAAGACCAATAACACTATCTGGTGAATAATATTGGAAGCTCTCATGGTTTGTCTAAGCATCCAACATGAGGTGCTGCACCTAATCTCAGTGTCTCATGAGGCTGGAGAACTGCAGTTGTCTAGGTGCTGGGCACTGGTACTTTCCAGCATTCTCAAGTGTTGGCACAAAAATTCAATTTTCTTAATATTTGACCTCAAAACATGTATTCCTCTTACAAGTCCACTCTTATAGTTATGCACAAAGAGAAAGCCACATGGGGGCAAAGTCCATCTCCAAAAGCAGCGCCCAAAGGGACCCAGATTGATCCTGCCCACGTGTGCCTCTCTTCGGGATGGTAAGAGACCAGAGATCCCTCACTGCTGCCCCTGCTTTCTGTCACTTCTTTTTATATTATTTTATTTTTTGAGACAGAGTCTCTCTCTGTTGCCCAGTCTGGCATGCAGTGGTGCAATCTCGGCTCACTGAAACCCTTGCCGCCTGAGTTCAAGTGATTCTCCTGCCTCAGCCTCCCGAGTAGCTGGGATTGCAGGCACCTGCCACTGCGCCTGGCTAACTTTTGTAGTTTTTTAGTAGAGACAGGGTTTCACCATCTTGGCCAGGCTGGTCTTGAACTCCTGACCTCGTGATCCACCTGCCTCAGCCTCCCAAAGTGCTTGGATTACAGGCATGAGCCACTGCACCCGGCCTTTCTGTCACTTCTAATTTGCACCTAATGATGCTCCAGGCTCTCTACACATGTGTACACAAGGCCTTACATACAGTTGAAGCCAAAAAAAAAAAAAGAAAACATTTAAATGGGTAAATGGGTTATTACAAGGGAGAGGAAAGATAAATAAGAATAGCAAAATATATGACATCAAGACATTGTTCTCAACTGCCATGTATTTCAGCATTAAATGAATAGATAGATATTCAAATATTCATTCCTCTTGTTTGGGAAACATTTTTAAATAACATTATTGCCATTTGATGGGTGCCAACTAAACAGCAGACACTATGTTAAGAATTAACTCTAACCATCATGATAACTCTATTTGGTAGACATTATTATACATATTCAAATTTTATAGAAACCAGGCTGGAGGATTTGAGAAACTTTACATTTGAGGTGGCTCAATTAGGATTGAAACTCAGGTCTGTGGCTACAAAGCCCCAGCAAGCCCTAATATGTTATGGTGACTTAAACGGGTATCTATATTTTCTTCTTTTTAAAGGGAGTGAAAACTAAGAACTTTGCTAGCTAATAAAATATTATATGTTATTATTTGGGATAGCATTAGGAGATATACCTAATGTAAATGACGAGTTAATGGGTGCAGCACACCAACATGGCGCATGTATACATATGTAATAAACCTCCATGTTGTGCACATGTACCCTAGAACTTGAAGTATAATTAAAAAAAACTATGCAAAATTAGGGAATTATATCTGATTATCATTCAGAATATATCCAATTAGAAGACATATTTAATTTTAAATTCTACTTTAGCCAGTTGAAGAGAGACATATGTTGCAACAGTGATGACCATAGCAGCTAATTCTACTTTATATACAGTTCTTATAAAATCCAGATAATTATTTTGAATTGTGAACCACCTTATAAAATTACTAGGAAATTACCACTAATTCAATGTGAATTACTGTTTAGTGCCAAACTACAGATGGACAACAAGTTTATTTTCTCTGTCATGCCAAAACCCACCAGTTAGGAAAATTAAAAGAAAATAAAAGCTAATCTGTGGGAAACAGGCTTTTTTTTGGCAATTATTTTGTATTTATTAGTGGGAAAAACACTGCAGAATTAGAATTTAGGTATGTTACTGAGATTTTATGACTTCTTCAAATTTTTTTCCTGCCTGAAATATTGTCAATCAGTGGTCAAATGTCCTTGTCTTCTTTCACTCAAATTAAAAAGAATCAGGTCCAGAGATTGCCATAAATTCTCAAATAAGACACTCTGGTTTAGAAATAATTTCTCTTCTTTGTTCAGCATGATTAATCTAAACAATCTCCTCTATTGCTAGTCTTGGAATTTACTACATTGATATTACTTATGATAAATGTGAAAATGAGGAAAATACATATTATTTTGCTGAATACTACGTCTATAGTAATCAACTTTTTTTGATAGACAGTTTATTTTTTATTTTTTATTTTTTTTGAGATGGAGTTTCACTCTTGTTGCCCAGGCTGGAGTGCAGTGGCAGGATCTTGACTCACTGCAACCTCCACCTCCCGGGTTCAAGCTACTCTCCTGCTTGAAAAAAAAAAAAAAACAAAAAAAAAAAAAACAAAATATATATATATATATATATATAGTTTTTATTGTTGTGTTTGTTTGCTTGTAATGAGGAAAAGTTACTTAAGAGATGCAAACTGACTTCATAACTTAAACTTTTTCATCTCTAAACAACGCTAAGTGATAAATGTCCCCAGAACTAGAGGCTATCATAACGCTCCATAACGTTTAATGTCTTAGTGGTAGTCATGGCCTCTGAGGGGTATTAAAATAAAGAGGTAATAACACAAATCAATTATTATTACCAAAATACATACACTAGATGATCAAGACAAAGTGGCACCAACTTTATACATGAAGGACGCTATATCTTCCAAAAGGGTCATGATGTATTTTCTGGTTTTATGTGATGTGGCAGTTTACACAGAGAAATAAATAAAAAAAAAAAACATGAAAACAAACAAACAAAAAACACCTTGTAAATTTGGCCAAAATGAAAATACACTCATATTTTATACTTGTCTTCATGAGGGGATTACAAATCAGAATTTGCTTCTCTCTAATTTTTAAAATATTCTAGATTGTTTAAACAATCTGATTCTCTACACATGCTGGAGGATTGTTTTTATTTCTTTTTTCCACGGTTTAGAGCATAAAATTCAAGTAGTGTGAACAACATTCTATGAGTTCTGTTAAAAGGCTTGCTGCAAATATTTACTTGGAAACAAGAGTTCCAAATCACCCTTTGTGAATACTGCTTTAAACACAGACTCTGTACAGTGCCTTCAGCATTTAATGCAGACAACTTGAAAAAAATAATAAAAAGACAAAGCTGGATGATTTCATAATAGCAAATTAGGCAAATGTATAAGAAAATGTCTATAGGGAAGTCATTGCTTTCCCATCTCATGTAAAATCCATCATCAATATTTCTAATGCACTTCTTATCACCTGTATGTCAATACAGATGGGTCTCATACTCTTCATTATAGTTTAATGGCCCTGTTCATGATTATGCTTAGTTTTAACTCCACAGAATTGTTGCTGTGTTTCTAATCATGAAAGTGTTTTATTAGAGATGTAGTTTAAAGCTAAGATTTTAAAAATAATTTTTATTTTGTAAAGGAGTCATTGTCATTTATGCATAAAGCACAGTATTAAAGTTGTTAAATTATGAACAGCTTTTATGGCATTACCTTAGTGGACTGTATTTGTTATTGTTCTGTTCTAGACTACACATTTAATACATAAATAGAAAAATGCATGTAAGTTTCAAGATAAGGTGAGAAAAAGAAATGAGACATAAAAATTATATAAACAAATCAAATAACAAATTTATTTATTTATTTATTTTTATTTACTATACTTTAAGTTCTGGGATACATGTGCAGAACGTGCAGGTTTGTTACATAGGTATACATGTGCCATGGTGGTTTGCTGCACCCATCGACCCGTCATCTAAATTTTAAGCCATGCATGCATTAGGTATTTGTTCTAATGCTCTCCCTTCGCTTTCCCTCAACCCCCCGGCAAGCTCTGGTGTGTGATGTTCCCCTCCCTGTGTTTATGTGTTCTTATTGTTCAACTCCCACTTATGAGTGAGAACATGCGGTGTTTGGTTTTCTGTTCCTGTTTTAGTTTGCTGAGTGATGGTTTCCAGCTTCATCCATGTCCCTGCAAAGGACATGAACTCATTCTTCTTTATGGCTGCATAGTATTCAATGGTGTATATGTGCCACATTTTCTTTATCCAGTCTATCATTGATGGGCATTTGGGTTGGTTCCAAGTCTTTGCTATTGTCAATAGTGCTGCAGTAAACATACTTGTGCCTGTGTCTTTATAGTAGAATGATTTATAATCTTTTGGGTATATCCCAGTAATGGGATTGCTGGGTCAAATGGTATTTCTAGTTCTAGATCCTTGAAGAATAGCCACATTGTCTTCAACAATGGTTGAACTAATTTACACTCCCACCAACAGTGTAAAAGAGTTCTTATTTCTCTACACCCTTGCTAGCTTCTGTTGTTTCCTGACTTTTTAATGATCACCATTCTAACTGGCATGAGATGGTATCTCATTGTGGTTTTGATTTGCATTTCACTAAAGACAAGTGATGCTGAGCTTTTTTTCATGTTTTTTGGCCACATAAATGTCTTCTTTTGAGGAGTGTCTGTTCATATCCTTCACCCAATTTTTGATGGAGTTGTTTGTTTTGTTCTTGTAAATTTGCTTAAGTTCCTTGTAGATTCTGGATAATAGACCTTTGTCAGACGAATGGATTGCAAAAATTTTCTCCCATTCTGTAGGTGGCCTGTTCACTCTGATGATAGTTTCTTTTGCTGTGCAGAAGCTCTTTAGTTTAATTAGATCCCATTTATGAATTTTGGCTTTTGTTGCCATTGCTTTTGGTGTTTTAGCCATGAAGTGTTTGCCCATGCCTATGTCCTGAATGGTATTGCCTCGGTTTTCTTTTAGGGATTTTATAGTTATAGGCTTTACATTTAAATCTTTAATCCATCTTGAGTTAACTTTTTATAAGGTATAAGGAAGGGGTCCAGTTTCAGTTTTCTGCATATGACTAGCCATTTTTCCCAGCACCATTTATTATATAGAGAATCCTTTCCCCGTTGCTTGTTATTGTCAGGTTTGTCAAAGATCAGATGGTTGTAGATGTGTGATGTTGTTTCTGAGGCCTCTGTTCTGTTCCATTGGCCTATATATCTGTTTTTGTACCAGTACCATGCTATTTTGGTTACTGTAGCTTTGTAGTATAGTTTGAAGTCAGGTAGCATGATGCCTCCAGCTTTGTTCTTTTTGCTTAGGATTGCCTTGGCTATAGGGGCTCTTATTTTGGTTCCATATGAACTTTAAAGTAGTTTTTTCTAATTCTGTGAAGAAAGTCAATGGTAGCTTGATGGGAATAGCATTGAATCTATAAATTACTTTGGGCAATAGGGCCATTTTCGGGATACTGATTCTTCCTATCCATGAGCATGGAATGTTTTTCCATTTGTTTGTGTCCTCTCTTATTTCCTTGAGCAGTGGTTTGTAGTTCTCCTTAAAGAGGTCCTTCACATCCCTTGTAAGTTGTGTTCCTAGGTATTTTATTTTCTTTGTAGCAATTGTGAATGGGAGTTCACTTATGATTTGGCTCTCTGTTTGTCTATTACTGGTGTATAAGAACACTTGTGATTTCTGCACATTGATTTTGTATCCTGAGACTTTGCTGAAGTTGCTTATCTGCTTAAGGAGTTTTTGGGCTGAGATGATGGGGTTTTCTAAATATACAATCATGTCATCTGCAAACAGAGACAATTTCACTTCCTCTCTTGCTGTTTGAATAGACTTTATTTCTTTATCTTGCCTGATTGCCCTGGCCAGAATTTCCAATACTATGTTGACTAGGAGTGCTGAGAGAGGGTATCCTTGCCTTGTGCCAGTTTTCAAAGGGAATGCTTCCAGCTCTTGCCCATTCAGTATGATATCGGCTGTGGGTTTGTCATAAATAGCTCTTATTATTATGAGATACGTTTCATCAATATCTAGTTTATTGAGTGTTGTTAGCATGGAGGGGTGTTGAATTTTATCGAAGGACTTTTTGAGATAATCATGTGGTTTTTGTCGTTGGTTCTGTTTATTTGATGGATTTCGTTTATTGATTTGCATATGTTGAAACAGACTTGCATCCCAGAGATGAACCCAATTTGATTGCAGTGGATAAGCTTTTTGATGTGCTGCTGGATTCGGTTTGCCAGTATTTTATTGAGGATTTTCGCATTGATGTTCATCAGGGATATTGGTCGGATTTGTTGTTGTTGTTGTTGTGTCTCTGCCAGGTTTTGGTATCAGGATGATGCTGGCCTCATAAAATGAGTTAGGGAGGGTTCCCTCTTTTTCTATTGTTTGGAATAGTTTCAGAAGGAATGATACCAACTCTTCTTTGTACCTCTAATAAATTCCTCTGTGAATCTGTCTGCTCCTGGGCTTTTTTTGGTTGGTAGGCTATTCATTACTGCCTCAATTTCAGAACTCGTTATTGGTCTAGTCAGGGATTTGACTTCTTCCTGATTTAGTCTTGGGATGGTGTATGTGTCCAGAAATGTATGCATTTCTTCTAGCTTTTCTTGTTTATTTGTGTAGAGGTGTTTCTAGTATTCTCTGATGGTAGTTTTTATTTCTGTGGGATCAGTCGTGATATCACCTTTATCATTTTTTATTGTGTCTATTTGATTCTTCTCTCTTTTCTTCTTTATTAGTCTGCCTGGCAGTCTATTTTGTTAGTCTTTTCAAAAAACCAGCTCCTGGATTCTTGATTTTTTGAAGGGTTTTTCGTGTCTCTATCTCCTTCAGTTCCACTCCAATCTTATTTACTTATTGTCTTCTGCTAGCTTTTGAATTTGTTTGCTCTTGCTTCTCTGGTTCTTTTAATTGTGATGTTAGGATTTTGATTTTAGATCTTTCCCACTTTCTGATGTGGGCATTTAGTATTATAAATTTCCCTCTTAACACTGTTTTAGCTGTGTCCCAGAGACTCTGCTACTTTGTGTCTTTGTTCTCATTGGTTTCAAAGAACTTATTTATTTCTGCCTTAATTGTGTTATTTACCCAGTAGTCATACAGAAGCAGATTATTCAATTTCCATGTAGTTGTGCGGTTTTGAGACAGTTTCTTAATCCTGATTTCTAATTTGATTGCACTGTGGTCTGAGAGGCTGTTGTTATAATTTCCGTTCTTTTGCATTTGCTGAGGAGTGTTTTACTTCTAATTATGTGTTCGATTTTAGAAAAAGTGCTATGTGGTGCTGAGCAGAATGTATATTCTGTTGATTTGGGGTGGAGTGTTCTGTCAAGATCTATTAGGTCTGCTTGGTCCAGAGCTGAGTTCAAGTCCTGAATATCCTTGATAATTTTCTGTCTCGTTGATCTAATATTGACAGTGGGTGTTAAAGTCTCCTACTATTATTGTGTGGGAGTCTAAGTCTCTTTGTAGTCTCTAAGAACTTGCTTTATGAATCTGGGTGCTCCTGTATTGAGTGCATATATATTTAGGATACTTAGCTGTTCTTGTTGCATTGGTCCCTTTACCATTATGTAATGCCCTTCTTTGTCTTTTTTGATCTTTGTTGGTTTAAAGTCTGTTTTATCAGAGACTAGGATTGCAACCCCTGCTATTTATTTATTTATTTATTTATTTATTTTGCTTTCCATTTGCATGGTACATATCTCACTGCCCTTAACATTTTTCCCTTCATTTCAACCTTGGAGATTCTGACAATTACGTATCTTGGGGTTGCTCTTCTCGAGGAATATTTTAGTGCTGTTCTCTGTATTTCCTGAATTTGAATGTTGGTCTGTCTTGCTAGGTTGGGGAAGTTCTCCTGGATAATATCCTGAAGTGTGTTTTGCAACTTGGTTCCATTCTCCCTGTCAACCTTCAGGTACATGAATGAATTGTATGTTTTGTTTTTTCACAGAGTCCCATATTTCTTAGAGGCTTTGTTCATTCCTTTTCATTCTTTTTCCTCTAATGTTGTCTTCACACTTTATTTCATTAAGTGGATCTTCAGTCACTTGATATCCTTTCTTCCACTTGATCATTTCAGCTATTGATACTTGTGTATGGTTCACGAAGTTCTCATGCTGTGTTTTTCAGCTCCATCAGGTCGTTTATGTTCTTCCCTAAACTGGTTATTCTAGTTAGCAGTTCCTGTAACTTTTTATCAAAGTTCTTAGCTTCCTTGCATTGGGTTAGAACATGCTCCTTTAGCTCAGAGGAGTTTGTTATTACCCTCCTTCTGAAGCCTACTTCTGTCAATTCATCCAACTCATTCTCCATCCAGTTTTGTGCCCTTGCTGGAGAGGAGTTGCAATCATTTGGAGAAGAGGCATTCTGGTTTTTGGAATTTTCAGCACTTTTGTACTGGTTTTTCCTCAGCTTCATGGATTTATTTACCTTTGATCTTTGATGCCAATGGCCTTTGAATGGGGTTTTTGTGTGGGTGTCCTTTTTGTTGATGTTAATATTATTGGTTTCATTTGTTAGTGTTCCAACTGTCAGGCCCCTCTTCTGCAGGTCTGCTGGAGTTTGCTGGAGGTCCACTCCAGACCCTGTTTGCCTGGGTATCACCAGCGGAGGCTGCAGAACAGCAAAGATTGCTGCCTGCTTCTTCCTCTGGAAGCTTCATCCCAGAAGGGCACCCACCTGATGTCAGCCAGAGCTCTCCTGTGTGATGTGTCAGTTAACCCCTTCTGGGAGGTGTCTCCCAGTCAGGAGGCATGGGGGTCAGGGGCCTGCTTGAGAAGGCAGTCTATCCCTTACCAG
Source organism: Homo sapiens (assembly GCF_000001405.40). Lineage (NCBI taxonomy): Eukaryota > Metazoa > Chordata > Mammalia > Primates > Hominidae > Homo > Homo sapiens. The sequence goes on from NC_000004.12 coordinate 125,151,368, forward strand.
ATATTGAGTGCCATGCTGGGAGATCCGCTGCTCTCTTCAGAACCAGAAGGCAGGATCATTTAAGTCTGCTGAAGCTGCATCCACAGCCACCCCTTCCCGCCAATCCTCTGTCCCAAGGAGGTGGCAGTTTTATCTATAAGCCCCTGACTGAGGCTGTTGCCTTTCTTTCAGAGACGCCCTGCCCGGTGAGGAGGAATCTAGAGAGGCATTCTGGCCACAGCCGCTTGGCCATGCTGCAGTGAGTTCTGCACAGTCCGAACTTCCTGGAGGCTTCCTTAACACTGTGAGGGGAAAACCGCCTTACTCAAGCTTCAGTGAGGGTGGACACCCCTCCCCCAACCAAGCTCAATGGTCCCAGGTCAGCTTCGGACTGCTTTGCTGGCAGCAAGAATTTCAAGCCAGTGGTTCTTAGCTTGCTGGGCTCCGTGGGAGTGGGACCTGCTGAGTAAGACCACTTGGCTCCCTGGCTTCAGTCCCCTTTCCAGGGGAGTGAATGATTCTGTCTCCCTGAGGTTCCAGGCACCACTAGGGTACAAAACAAACTCCTGCAGCTAGCTCAGTGTCTGCCCAAACAGCAGCCTAGTTTTGTACTTGAAACCCTGGGCCCTGGTCTTGCCACACAAGGGAATCTTCTGTTCTGCGGGTTGCAAAAACCATGGGAAAAGCGAAGTATTTGGGTTGGATAGCACAATCCCTCATGGTTTCCCCTGGCTAGCAGACGGAGGTCCCCAGCCCCTTGCACTTCCCTGGTGAGGTTACACCCCACCCTTTTTCTGCTCTCTCTCCGTGGGCTGCACCCACTGTCTAATGAGTACCAATGAGATGAACTGGGTACCTCAGTTGGAAATGCAGAAACCACCTGTCTTCTGTGTTGGCCTCTCTAGGAACTGCAGACCAGAGCTGTTCCTATTCGGCCATCTTGCCATCTGATCCAAATAACAAATTTAACTTTAACATGTCTTTCTTTTGAAAAAATTCCTCCTGTATTTTGGTTAATTAATATATCCTGAACAAAATAATATTGATATTAACAATAATAAAAAATAAAATAGCTTTTGATTTAATGCCAAATTGGAGGATCCAATATTTAATTTGCACTACTTAAAGTTTCTAGATGACATAAGCTGTCATCATATTAAATCCTATATTTCCAAATTGAAATAACACATCTAAAATTCTGTGTAATTGTTTTTGAGAATAAAAGAAAATCAATAAACAGGTAGTTATATTACCTTCTCCATCAGTTTCAATTGTTTTGCTATCAGATTAATATGTTTCATAATATAACTAATTTTAAAGTCAGTTGTTAATTTACATTTCAGTTTGCTAAGCATTTTGGCCTTTCAAAAGATCTCCTTCTTAATGATCTATTGGGAAAAAACATAACTTCATAGACTTTATTTCCAAATGAATTAAAAATACAGATATTTTGCTTTTCTAACTTACCAAGGAAATTATATATAAAGGTTCAGAATTTCCTTGGAATCTTTTGTTAGTATCATAATACATAATTTTCAGTTTCCTCCATTCTTGCCAGTGTTTTGCTCTACATCTATGATATTTTTATTCATCTGTCTGTATGGTTTTATAAGCCTGGGAAATGTTTTATATTGAAGATGTATTGTTGACCATTTTCATACATTTCTTAGATAAGTGAAGGATTCACCTATAATTCATCTGGTGGTTATAATTTGTTTGTATTCTTGTTGGTTTTGTTGTTATCTTTTGTTTGTTTTATATCTGACTTTGCCAAAACTATCCTTCGGACAAGTGATATATCTAATTCAATGTCTTTATTTAAAAAATTTTAAAAGATGATCTATAACTCTTGTTGTATCTCTAATGTCCTATAGTTCTGTGATTTATAAAATTCTGCTTCATAATTGCCTAGTTTAGTTCTATCATAAAGTCTAGGATGTGATAGAGGATGATATTTTTACCTCATATATATTAATATAAATATATAGCATATATTATAGCATATGTCTAGACTGTTTGCCCAAGAAGAAGAAGAAATTAGAATCAAGGGTAGGGTAAGTGAAAAGAATTGATACTCAGACTTATGTTTGAACCCCAGATTTAGCATTTACTACTTAAATGATCAGAGGCAAATTATGTACCTGTAAGCCTCAGTTTTTTCAATTCACAAATGGAATTAATATAAAAGAAAGACTGGAAAAATTAAATACATATAAACCTAATATACAACAGGGTTCAAAAACTGTTTTCCTTCATATTGGATTTCAAATCTCTTTTTTCAAGTACACAATTCAGCTAGAATACATTGCATTGATAATATAGAAATCTGAAATAATTCTGCCATAAGAAGTTGCTTATAGGTCATTTTAATGCCTCACATTAAGTCAGTTGGATCATTTGTATGTCACCTTTGTCAATAGATTTATTCACTAAGATTTTTTGCCTCCCTACCCCTTAATTTGCCACTTTTCTCTATTTCTGTATCCACCAGCAAAGTCCAACATCCTGTCAGCCATCAGCTGGATTATGGAATCTCATTCAATTTCTAAAATTTTAGGCCACAGTCACAATGGGTTCACAGGATTATTTATTTATTTTTGATGATTACAAGAGGAAGATATCCTTCCAAAATTTTGAAGAATTACTAAATGCTGGCTTTAAAATAATAATGATCTGTAAGGAAACCCAAACATTTACTGTGACACATGAATCAGATATGAGATTGTGATAGTAGGGAATAAATGGAGTTTTGGATGGAGTCTATGTTACAGTGAACTCAATGTGCTCATGGATTTATCCATCAGTTTTTCTCCTTATTTGAAAATTGACAGAATCCTTCCTTTGGCTAGTTGTCTCTTGAATTAAAGCATCTATTACATTGGGAAGGGCTAAGTGGAAGTTTCTAAAACTGATCTCCCCACTGCCACCATTGCATGTTTTAAAAATGTAGAAAGCTGAAAGCAGTGCTATGTCTCTGGAGGAATGATGAAATTTAGTGCCACTATGAAAGACTTGAAAGATAAAGGACATTGATTCATAGTAGATCTTCATTTAACTCATGTATTTGGTGTGCAAATGTGACTTGAAGAAGGACAAGGATTATCCTACACATAATCAACTGATGTTTCCAATGTTAGCTGCTGTGCCAGGTATGGTTTCATGATAAACAAACAGCACAATGCCTTTACTCCCATATGTTGCTATTGATCCAAAAGCCAATGTTGTTCAGGTAGAAGGATAAAGGTCTATAGGCTTCAGCAGGCAACAGAAGTAAGGCTTTTCCAGCAGTGTCTGGCTAGCTCCTGAATCACTCATTTTGGTGCATCAAGAAACTGAGATCACGAGTGCCAATGGTCTGTGATTTCTGCACTCATTCCCTGATGTCTTGAATCTGGAAGCAGCTTTCCCTGATCTTTCCTCTTTTGCCTTTTTAATGGTTTTTCTATCTTCTTATACCCTGTATTAAATCTCCTCCTACTGCTTTCTTGTAAGTTGCAGAATGGTATCTATTTTCCTGACTGAACCATGACTAACTTAACGCAGAGGTTTGCCCTCTCAAGGTTTTCTTGGTCTCCATAACTAAGACATTTATTTAGTTCAAGGCAAAGGCCTTGCAGACATTCTTGATGTTACTCCTTTTTTCAAACCCCACATCCAATCCATTAGCAAATCCTATTAGTTCTACAAAAACATATCTCAAAGCTGTACATTTCTCTCCACCTGTACTGCTGCCACCAGAATGCCTGGCATCATCTTCCAGGTGAACACTGAAATAGCATCCTAACTGGTTTCCCTGCTCCCACACTTAATTGCCAACAATCTGTTTTCCACTCAGTGACAAGAATAATCTTTTAAAAATAAAAGTCATGATCATTTCAAGTTCTATTCAAAATCACCCATAACTTTTCATCATCCTACTTATGGAATATTCAAAGTCTTTACCATCAATAAGACTTTCTGTGTATCTCCACCATCATTTCCCACCATTCCTCCCATATACCCTTTTTGTTGTACTGGAATTCAGTAAGTGTTTGCCTGCCACAGGGCCTGTGCAGGTGCTTCCTTTACTGTCTCTGGTGTTATTTCCCTCAATGCCCTCATCACTTCCTCCCTCACTTAATTCAGGTCTCTGTTCAAACCTACAGAAGGAAAACTTGATGAACTACCATGACCTTCCCTTGTTACAAGTGGTTTACAAAACAAATTGATTTTAATTTTGATTGATGCATTAATTTACTCTCCTTTTTACTAGAATGATAATTCCAAGAAGGCAGAGGCTTCACCTGCTTTGATTACTGATATATCTACACCATCAAAAATAGATTATATAATTAATATAATTTTAATACATTTATTGATGCAAAAAAGAATGAATAAATGAATCACACAAATAGTATATTTATGAATGATTATTTTAAATTTAGTATAAAAACCATAAAGCATTTAAACATAAATATTATGATAAAATAGCATTAAGGACAGTGGTATCTACTTTAATCCGTACCCTTACAGGTATCCTTAAGCACACAGAAAAAAAGTAAGAGTTAAAAGTCAATTTATTAAATCAGCAGTCTGTTGATTTTGCTGCTTGCCTGGCCTGGCATTGTCTACCATGAATATGAAATACTTCACTGTATTAATCGGGTAGCGGCAAATATAGTCTGTATCACAATTCCTGAGAGATAATTTAATTCATCTTTTATGAAAACAATAAAGGTTTTTCCTCTTTAATGTTTGATTCAAAAATGGGACTATGTACTCTATACATAATGTAGTCATAACAATATGAAAAAAATATGTTATATACAGAATTGTCATATTAATTCTATTTTTTCCTCCACTGAGGATCCAATAAGGCCCATAATCACAGGCTGCCTGTTTCAGTCTGAATTCTTCCTTTCTGCCTTTGTACAAGTTCTGCTGCCTGTCTTCCGATGAAATGGCCAGTTTAGTCTTCCCCGAGGGCCACTTTTTTGTGTTAGGATGGTGATTGCTCAGACTATACCTACTGCATGTATCCTACTGTCAGATTTTAAATAAAAGAATACCAATTATATTGCTAAAGAAACTATATCTACCCAATGTACTGTGAAAAAATGCCCTCCCCTAATTCCAGGTACTAAGAATTGGTGTCTCACTCAGACTTCTCACGTGCTAATATAACACTGCCTGTGGTTTCCATGAAATGATGTTTTTTATATTCTCTGTCACAGGGCAGTAAGAGAACTTCATTATATTCCACTATATATGGTATAAGAAGTAACTTTCTAATGGGGTCTGAGCTGAAATCAGATTCTGCACTGGGCAGAAATAATATAATTCAACCCTTTAAGTGCAATACCATTAAACAACCTCCTTTAGGCAATAGGAGCCATTTCTGTTTAATCTTATCCTCACTATTATTATTGCTACACTCAAAAATCCCTACCGTCAAAGTTACATGCTTATTTCGTGGTACGACATTAAAGCAGATAAGTCATTTACAAAGCAGTCAGATTGTCAATTACCAGACATTTATCTTTTTGCACTTCTCAACTTTCAGGTGCTCTTCTCCTCAAGTTATTTTACAGTATTTCTATAATCATTGTGCGAAAAACCTTTAGAATCTTTGTCTCTGTTGAGTAAAAAGCCCTATGCCTATCCTAGTTACCTAAAAATAATCATACATTCAAAGGAATCTTTCAAGTGAGTGCATATCTACAGTGTCCAGAATATATTACAAAGCTCAGGAAAAGGTCTGGACTACAGACACAAATTTGGAAAACATCAGTGTGTTGGTGGCAATTGAAACCAGGAGACTGGTCAAGGAGTGTATGCTTTTTGGTGAATCATATAGAGAAGGCAAAAATAAAAGCATGAACAATGGAAGAGGTGTTCATAAGAGATACAGAAGTATAAAAATAAACCGTGAAAGCATGTTACTATGGAAACTAAAGAAATAAATAGTTTCAAGAAGGATGAAACATGCAATGCTGTCACATGACACAGCAAGAAACAGTGTAATAAGGATTGAAATTACTATTTGGTTCTGGCAATTGAGAGAGTTTTGATGACCTTAATGAGAATGATCTCCATAAGATCAAAATGTAAGACATACTGCAGTGGGCGAGTTAAGGAAGTGGAGACAAGGCATGCGGGCCATTTCAGAAATTTGAGTGGTACGAGTAGGAAGTAAATTCTATCAAATAGTCTAAATGATCAAAATACTAGAATTAGCATGCAAATGATACTCTGAAATTGAAATTGTTATTTGAGGGAATAAAAGAAGATTTTGACCAAAAACTAGTGAAAGTTGATGATAAAGACCCGTCTGCCTGGTCTTCATAAAGCTTCCTTACGAAAGTTGAACAACTCATATAATGAATTATAAAAGTATTTTGTAATATTGATTTACAGTTGGGTTTTCTTGGGTGAGTGTATCAGAAAAATAAAGTCACAATAGAATTAAAGTTTTTGGTGGGAAGGTAGTTGAGATGACCAATCAAATGCAATGACAGCAAATGCATAACTCATATAGCATTTAAAATGGGAAGAGCTATTCTTATCCTCCCCTAACAGACAAGAAAACCAAAGCACAGAGAGGGAAACAAGTTATACAGGATTAAATAGCTACCAAGTTACAGAGCCAGGATTTGAACCAAAGTCCAAATCTAGTGTCTCTGTTCTTAAACACCGCAGATGGATTCCTACATTGTGGCTATAATTAGTTTAAATTAAGTTTGAGTAGTTTAATCAGAAAAATATAATGTATTAAAGAGTGGGTCAGAGTGCAAGGCTTGGAAGTTGTGCAAAAGAGAAAAGCCCCTAGGATCACCCTGCAAAGCTGTGCAGGTGAGGTACACAGATGCCTTGGCACAGTGCAAACACTTCAGCTCACACAGATTACATCACAGTGAGGGCCAACACTGGATATGGTTCCTATCAGTAGAACCTCTGGAACTGCCACCAATAAAACTGAATGTGGCTCATCCTACCCTTGACAGAAGAGAATCCATGTGGTGCCAGTTTTCTCGTCACTTTTTACCTTAATAATTTCCAATTTGGCATGATGCATTTGACTGGCACTGGCCCAGGGTGCATGCCTATGTAGTAGAGCCCAGGAAAGCAATTACTTGGCTTCTACAAGATGGGCCACAGAGTACATTCGAGGGGATTAGCAGCCAAATAAAAAAAGGAAAAAAAAAAAGAAGAAACAGAAAGGCAAGTGCCAGCTTTGCAGGTGGTCTTGGCTAGGTAGGATAGAAAGGGAGCTGAGGGCAGCTGATCGAATGAAAGTAAATGTGGAGCTCAAGAGACTGTCCATGAGTTTAAAGAGCAGGTAGAGTGGGAGAGAGATGGCATGAGAACAAGGAGAAAAAGACACTATCAACATCAAAGAGTGAAATGTTTGAATTTAAGATGTGTAAAGTGGAGCTGGTCCAGGTGATGACCAGACCCAGGTTTGGCTATGGAAGTATTTGCCAAAGTTATGGAGGTAAAGGTCATCACTTTAAAAAAACTACACATTTTAATACTCATTTGTTAGATGTATTTTCTTCATGGACTCTGAGATCTCTTAAATGTAGGATGAAATTTCAGGATGAAAAAAGATGCTGTGGTTGTTCTCAAAGCCTTTAGTGAATGAAGTATACTGACTTTTGGGTAAGTACATGGCAGCAATGAGGAAAGGTAGGAAGTACTAGAATCTCATGGCAGGAGTCTCAAACAAGAATGAGCACTTACACAGCAAAGGGAAGCATTGTGTACAAATGACTGGCCTTAATTACCTTGTCATCCTGTCCCCAAACAATATCAGCTCTTTATGCGATATATTTTCTGGTCTCATGGAAAAGTTTAAAGCTCGTAAACAGCTGCACGGCAGGGATTGCCAGCATTCTTCATTCTTTATTTCTCTACCTCTTCCACTTATTAATTGGTCTATGTATTCATTCAGCAGATAGATATGTGAGAGAGAGAAAGAGGGAGAGAGAGAGGAGTGAGGATAGATAGATACATAAATGTATGTTAGGCTTTAGGTGTACCACCATGGAGAAACAGATTGGGATACAAAAAAATTACAGTGCTATGAGAGGCAGTAAAAGAGAGGAATAATTTAGATTGGAGATTCAGCGATGACCTCCCTGAGGAGCAACAGTTCAGCCGAAACCAAGCGTGGAAAAAATGTAAGAGACGTCTAGATAGAGGACGCATAGCTTGGAGGCTTTTAAAGTGAGAAAAATGGTTTGTTTGAAAAACTGATTTAAATCCAGTGTCTAGAGTATTTACGTTTGTGTTTTTCCTAACTCAAAAATTAGCTCTAAGTATCCTGTGATCTGAGACCACATATATACATAATCAAAGACTTTAGAATCATAGAATAATTTTTTATAAATACCTTTTTATATAAAGTGAATATATTAATCACATATAATGTTATACAATATGTAGTAATATGTATATTAAGGGTATGAATTTATCTAGCTATACCATACATACAAATGTATCAGGGTTTTTGATTTACACACACACACACTCCCCACAAATTCCATTAGCTGGTTAGATGGGTTAGGTGATTCCCTTCAAAGGACAGTAATAATTTTGATAGTCTTTTAATAAATTATGTAAGAAATATATATGGTAGTATGGAGAAACGAGATCTCTTGGCACATGAATTGATTATTAAATCCCTAAGAGCAAGTATTTTTTTTCCGTAACAGTTTGTTGTTGTTGTTGCTGTGAATAAGGCAGGCAGACAAAAAAAAACATGTATGGAGTCACTAAGATAAGACAGGTAAAAAATTAATCAGAGAAAATACAAATACAAATGAATAATAACTCAATTCATAAAAGTTTTCTCTGAGAAAGTTAAGGGAGGTACAGTCTGCAAAATCGAAAGTTTGTGTGGAAAATCTCTTAGTACATCAAAGCTTAGCACTAATGTACTCTGAGGGGTGAATTCTGGAGAGTGGTTCACTTCAGGAGTGGATTTTAATAACAATGAATCGTGGCTATTTGGAAGAAATGTCATTTGTGTTGGTCTGTTCTTGCATTGCTATAAAGAAATACCTGAAACTGAGTAATTTTAAAGAAAAAATGGTTTATTTTGGCTCACAGTTCTGCAGGATGTTCAGGAAGCATGGCACTGGCATTTGCTCCTGGTGAGGGTCTCAGGAAGCTTTCAATCATGGCAGAAGGCACTTGGTGGGAGAGAGAGAAAAAGAGACTAGAGGGAGCTCCCAGACTCTTTGAAGCAACGAGATCTCACATGAACACATAGAGCAAGAACTCACTCACTACCATGAGGTGGGCACCAAGACATTCATGAGGGATCCACCTCCATGACCCAAACACCTCCCACTAGGCCCCATCTCCAACATTGGGGATTACATTTCAGCATGACATTTGGAGGGACAAACATCCAAACAATATGATTCCACCCCTGGCTCCCAAATCTCATTGTCCCTCTCACTTTGCAAAATCCAATCATCCTCCCTAATAGGGCCCAAATGTCTTAACTTGTCTCAGCACCAATGCAGTCAAAAAGTCAAAAGTCAAAAGTCTCATCCGAGAGTCAAGTCAAGCTACTTCCACCCATCATCCTGTCAAATCAAAACAAGTTATTTACTCCCAAGATACAATAGTGGTACAAGCATTGGGTAGATGTTCCCATTCCAAAAACAAGAAATTGTCCAAAAGAAAGGGGTAAAAGGCCCCACACGAATCTGAAATCAAGTAGTGCAGTTCTTAACTCTTAAAGCTCCAAAATAATTCTTAACTCCATGTTCTGCTTTCAGTGAACACTGGTGCAAGAGGTGAGTGCCCAAGGTTTTGGGAAGTTTCACCCATTGCTTTGCAGGGTAAGCCCCTATGGCTCCTCTCTTGGATAGGAGTTGAGTGCCTGCAGCTTTTCCAGTCTTGGGATGTAAGCTGCTGGTGGCTCTACCATTTGGGAACTGTGTGTGGAGGCTCAAACCCCACATTTCCCCTTGACCCTGCCCTAGTAGAGGATCCCTGTAGCAGACTTCTGCCTGGGCACCCAGGCTTTCCTGTATGTCCTCTGAAACCTAGGGGGAAACTGCCAAGTCTCTTTCACTCTTGCATTCTTTGTGCCTGTAGACTTAACACCACATGAAAGATGCCAAGGCTTATAGTGGCTTGTGTTCTCCAAAACAGCAGCTCAAGCTGTATCTGGGCCCTGAGCCATGACTGGAGCTGAAGCAACATATATGGGGAGAGCAGTGTCCTGAGGCTGCACAGGGCAGCAAGGCCCCGGACCTGGTCCCTGACAACATTCTTTCTTTCTAGTCCTTGGGGCCTGTGATGGATGGGACCGTCCTGAAGACTTCTGAAATGCTTTGAGGCCTTTTTCCCCATAGTCTTGGATATTAGCACTTGGCTTCCTTTAGTCATGCAAGTCTCTTTAGCAAGTCGTTGCTCTGCAGGCCAGTTATATTACAGTCCTATAAATGCTTTTTCTTTCTTTGCCACATGGCCAGGGTGCTTATTTTTCCATTTTGCGTATTCCATTTCTCTTTTAATTATAAGTTCCACATTTAAGTCCTTTCTTTGTTCCTGTATGTGAGTTGTAGGATGTTAGAAGCAGCCATACTGCTTCTTTTTTTTTTTTTTTTTTAATACTTTAAGTTCTAGGGTACATGTGCACAATGTGCAGGTTTGTTATATATGCACACGTGTGCCATGTTGGTGTGCTGCACCCATTAACTAGTCATTTACATTAGGTATATCTCCTAATGCTATCCCTCCCCTTCCCCCCACCCCACGACAGGCCCTGGTGTATGATGTTCCCCTTCCTGTGTCCAAGTGATCTCATTGTTCAATTCCCACCTATGAGTGAGAACATAAGGTGTTTGGTTTTTTGTCCTTGCGGTAGTTTGCTGAGAATGATGGTTTCCAGCTTCATCCATGTCCCTACAAAGGACATGAACTCATCCTTTTTTATGACTTCTTGAACTCTTTGCTGCTTAAAAATTTCTTCGGGGCCGGGCGCGGTGGCTCACGCCTGTAATCCCAGCACTTTGGAAGCCCGAGGCGGGTGGATCACGAGGTCAGGAGATCGAGACCATCCTGGCTAACACAGTGAAACCCCGTCTCTACTAAAAATAAAAAAAATTAGCCGGACGTGGTGGCAGTCGCCTGTAGTCCCAGCTACTTGGGAGGCTGAGGCAGGAGAATGGCGTGATCCCGGGAGGCGGAGCTTGCAGTGAGCTGAGATCATGCCACTGCACTCCAGCCTGGGCAACACAGCAAGACTCTGTCTCAAAAAAAAAAGAAAAAAATTTCTTTGGCCAGATAGCCTAGGTCATCACTCAAGTTCAAAATTCCACAGATCCCTAGGACAGAAACTAAATGCAATCCAATCTTTGCTAGGGTATAACACAGGCGACCTTTATTCCAGTTCCCAGTAACTTCCTCATTTCCATCTGAGACCTCATTAGCCTGGTCTTACTATCTGTATTTCTATGATAATTTTCGTCACAACCACTGAACAAGTCTCTAAGACGTTCCAAATTTTCCTCATCTTCCTGTCTTCTGAGCCCTCCACTCTTTCAACCTCTGCTCAGTTCCAAAACTGCTTCCACATTTTCAAGTATCTTTACAACAACACCGTACTCCTGGTCCCAATTTTCTATGTTAGTCTGTTCTTGTGTTGCTATGTAGGAATACCAGAGGTTGGGTAATTTATAAAGAAAATAGGTTTATTTTTGCCCACAGTTCCGTAGGCTGTACAGGAAGCATGGTGCTGGCACCTGTCCCTAGTGAAGGCCTCAGGAAGCTTCCAATCATGGGAGAAGGTGAAGAGGGAGTCAGTGTATCACATGGCAAGAAAGGGAGCAAGAGAGAAGGGAGAAGTCTCAGACTCTTTTAAATAACATGAACTCAGAGTGAGAGCTCACTCATTACAGTGAGGATGGCACCAACCCATTCATGAGGAATCCATCCCATGATCCAAACACCTGCCACCGGGCCCACACTTCAACATTTGAGATTACATTTCAACATGACATGTGGGAGGACAAACATCCAAACTATATCACCATCTACAACTTTTCTTTGCTATTAAAAGTATATGTTTAATATTGTTTTCTCAATTGGTACACATGAACATAAAGATGGAAATAAGAGACACTGGGAATTCCAAAAGCAGAAAGGTAGGAAGAAGTGAGTTGAAAAATTACCTATTTGGTACAGTGTTCAATATTTGGGTGATGGGTTCACTATAGTCCCAAGCCCCATCGTCATACATGTAATCTCCCGTAACAAACAAGCACATATATCCCTGACTCAAAAAACACACACACAAAAACCAAACTTGTACACATTCAATAGTAATATCCCAACATATCAACTACGGTTGCCAGAAACCAATAGTAATTTAGAAACCACTATTGTTTTGATTGATTTTATTCAAATTTACTCTGAATTTATGAATTGAGCAGACATTCTTTAGTTGAAGATATAAGAAAATTTCAATGTCACATAACAAGTTTAAAAACAAAATACTTTTCTTACAATACCTTTTTCTAAAAGAACTTAACCTTGCTTCCATACTTTCCCAAAGTACTTTCATAAAGTGTTTTTGCAAAGTACTTTTCTATAATTTTTGAAAGGTACTAATGATTCTTGTCTTTTTCTCTCATCTCCAATAAAATAACCCTTTGGTTATTAACATTTTAAATCATTTTCATTATAAAGCAAATGAATTAATCAGATTTTTTGGTTCACTGATCTTGATGGAGAGAATAATAATTATGACACCTGAGTATCTGGCTAAGGTAAAGAGAGTTAGTACTAATTAGAGAAATGGCCCACAATACAGAAGTCAAGGACAAGCAAGGAAATATTTTACAATTTCTGAGTTACCTTATCAGCAAAATGATAAAATATTTTATGATATATACTAAACAGATATTTATTGTTATGTTATTCATCTGCTTAAGGAATCAACAAATATGTTGATTGCCTAAAAAGTTCTAAACGCTATTTTTATAAAAGTTGAAAGTTGAATCTCGTGAAAACTGTGATTTATTATTTTGGGTCACATTCTTCCAGCTCTCATTTTCAATATTAGCACAATGTATCAGTCCAAGCCAATCATCAATTTGTCATTAAGGTACATTGTATCACAGACAATAAAATATTATTACATTTTCTTCTAAAGAGACTTCAATCCCATTTGTGTTAGTTGAAATTTCTTGTTTGCAAGAATAGAAACCCAGTGACAAGCAAAACAGGAGTTTATTATAAAAATAAAGGAACATTTCACAGGGTCCAAAGATAGCAATACATCTGGACTGTAGGAAAACAACTAAAAGTAAGGAATATAAATGCCTTCCAGGTCCTCCTATTTCTTTTATTGCTGCTCCTACCTGAGTGTACATTTATATCTCAACACATCAACCACAGAAAGAAGCAATCTTTCTGGCTCTCCAGCCAAGGTGCCAGGAAAGGAATTCCTTGATATAGCTTATGCTGTATTTCCCTCTGTGTGGATGTTAACCTGTTAACTGTGCAAAGAAGTCGTGTCATAAAAAAATACTGTAGAGAGCTCGTTCAACACTCACATAGATAGAAGGAAAAAGAGGAAATCCTACAGAAGTGTGGAAAAACAATAAGTTTCCGTTATACCATTCTGTAGAACTATGAAGTTAACTAACATTTATTGAACACTTAACATTTACCAAGAACTACCTAGATAATCTATTTTCATATTCATTATAATGCACTGGGTATATACAGTGATACCTACTTTATAAATGAAAAAGCAAAACTAAAGAAAATTGAAGGACAAGCCCAAGATCAAAGATTTATTTGAAATTTAATTGAAGCAAATTAAGACACAAGTATTATGCTTCTATTTTGCTAACGAGTGTTCTAAGATTTCAGAATACAAAAGCCAATGATACAGTCCATGACCTTGGAGAGCTTCAGGCCAATTGGAAAAGAAAAGAGAAAAAGATAATTAAAATATAACAGTTAAGCTTTATATTTTTACTAACCTTATCTGTGCCAGAGGTTCCTGTGTGGAGCATCTGACGAATTGTGACCCAGTCCAGGAGGAAAAAACATTATTTGGAGATAGTAATGCTTGAATTTAAAAAGATGAATTGTGATTAACCAGATGAAGAAGAAAGGTCAATGAATTTAGGCAGAAAAAAACATATATGTAAAGATTTGGTCATTTTACACAATATTACTATCACGTTGGGATACATAAGTAATCTCGGATATAGAGAATTTAGGTAAAAGGGGGCAGAAAATGCTTACCAATGAGAATCATCAAGAGAGAGATAGAGGCTAGATCATGAACAACATTGAATATCATGCTTAGGACTTCATTGTTATGAAGAGGCAATTAGAAGTCTCTGACATATTTTTAAAAGAGTATTGCACTTACCAAATTGAATTAAACATTATTCTGGCAAATATAAATAATTAATGAATTGGAAGTTGGCAAGACTAACAGAAACACAGGAGTCAATGGCAGAACGCTCTGCAAAAGATCATGAAGTTCTATCTGAAAGAAGAATAGGACAACGGGTGAAGCTAAGATTCTAGTTATGATGTGGCTTCTTTAATTACACACCATAACTCTTCTATTGTTGAAAATGGAGAGGGAAGAGTGAAGGAGATTGAATTCAATTTGGAAAATTAAGAAATTTCACCCACCACTGCTAAAAGCAAAAATATATTCATTAAAATATCTGGATTTTATTTTAAACTACTTCCATTATCTTAGACTGTAATTGATATGCATAAATTCATTATTAAGCTACATTGTGGAAACTATCATCTGACCTAATCAGGAATCCATACACAGGAGGTGGGCCCGGCACGGTGGTTCACACCTGTAATCCCAGCACTTCGGGAGGCCAAGGCCGGCAGATCAGGAGGTCGGGAGATCCAGACCATCCTGGCTAACACAGTGAAATCCTGTCTCTACTAAAAATACAAAAACTTAGCCATGCTTGGTGGCGGGCACCTGTAATCCCAGCTCCTTGGGAGGCTGAGGCAGGAGAATGGCGTGAACCCCCAGATCGCGCCACTGCACTCCATCCAGCCTGGGCAACAGAGCAAGACTCCGTCTCAAAAAAAAAAAAAGGAATCCATACATGGGAAGTGGTCAGCTAGAACTACTTTGAAAGACCACACTTCAGAGTCACTGCTGCAAGAATTGTTTCTGTCCTTAACTTGAGTATAGTTAAGAGACTTTATGAGATATTTCATTAGCGGAATCTGCGTTTTCCTAATCAGCTTAATGGCTGTTAAAATTGAGCTCCTTTTGGTTACATTATAGATATCCAACCATGAGGACTGGCTAAAATAGTTTAGAGAAGAATCTCACCTTAACATGGAAATGGATAGCATTCTAAAAATCTTATTGCAGGTATCCTTAGAAATAATGCTTGTGATTTAAATGCATAAGGGTTCTGTAGCTAGAAGGATGCTTGCTATCAAGTCTATCATAGAATTCTATAAAATGTTGTTTTGTCATATGTAAGTTACTGAAAGCGAAGGAGAACGAGAAGAGGATAAGTGAAATTTGTGCAAATATTTTTCTCAGAGATTTGATTTTGTTATTTTCCATTACTAAGATGATGGATGTAGTGGCTAATCCACTTGACTCGAATGGCTACAGCGGAAAGAAATGACTTGTCACTATCTTAATTTTGAGCATTTTGAGGCAGTTTCAACCACTAATTTTGATATACCACAACACTTATTTTATAGAATTAAATTTGGGAGCACCATTTCTCATTTTATTAAAGGACTTTACTGCTGTTTGTGTGCTCATTTCTCACTGGAATGGACGCACCATGGGAGTAGAAACAATATGCTATCATGTTTACCATGGAAATCCAGAATCTACAAAGAAACAGGTAATGCATAAAATGGAATGACTTGGCTTCTGGTTCTGCTTCAAACATTTATTATTTTGTGTATTTTTATGAATATTTGAAAGGAAAAGAGGAAGCAACTCAGGTATTATTTTAGCTACCAGCCATCTGAATCCACAAGTCACCCAAAATATTGGCATTCACATTCAGTGAGGACAAATCACTTTTATATGGTTCATGCATATAATTCTACTCAGGTTGACACAAATATCTCTTTATCACTTCAAGAATAATATGCAATTTTGGAAAAAGATGTCCAGTCCATGATTCCGACAATAGGCCAATCGTGTCATTTGTTTAAACTAATTAAAACATATTTCCTAGTTTCTAGAGAAGAAATGAAGCATTTCAGGCCGGGCACAGTGGCTCAAGCCTGTAATCCCAGCACTTTGGGAGGCTGAGGCAGGTGGATCATGAGGTTAGGCATTCAAGACCAGCCTGGCCAACATAGTGAATCCCCGTCTCTACTGAAAATACAAAAAATTAGCCGAGTCTAGTGGCGGGCGCCTATAATCCCAGCTACTCGGGAGGCTGAGGCAGGAGAATCGCTTGAACCTGGGAGGCGGAGGGTGCAGTGAGCCGAGATCGTGCCACTGCACACCAGCCTCGGTGACAATGTAAGACTGTGTCCCCCCCCCCCCCAAAAAAAAGAAAGAAATGAAGCATTTTATTGGGTATATATATTTATAAAATACATGTGTATTTATAAAAAATATGTACGATATATAGATGTATATATATATTTATCATATATGGTAGTTTGGTGGAAGCATGATTATATGGTATGAGGTGATTTAAGAAGTGGACAGTTAAGACTATGATGAGAATAGATGCCTTTTTCCTTATTTTTTGGTTGGGAGGTCATGTTGATTTTATGCAACTAACATGTTCCTTTTTCTGACTAATTCATACAAAAAATCAATGGTAAAATGTATCAAAAATCTATAATTTGATACAAAAATATACGAATATCAAATGAAGTGAGTTAGAAGTATTAGATTTAAATCTTACTAAAATTACAACTTTAAGAAAAGTGAGAGGACAATTCTTTGTTATATATTTTGTCTCACATGTATTTTTCATGAAAGACAAAAATCTAGCAATAATCTTGATGATGTATATAAAATTAATACTAAGTTCCCCAAAACCATTTTTTAGCAGAGAACAACATGAATATTTTAAATTCTTTTGTAAAAATAACCTAAATTCTACCCAAATAAATTAAGCAAAAATCAAATGTATATATTCACTGTATGAGCAGAACTCAAATATACTTTTATTTAATAACGCCCTCATCTTTTCCAGACAAAGTCAGAGACAACCTTTTCAGATGCTTTTTACTGATCTTACATTGTTTTCCTTTGACACTTTATCTTGCATTTCAGCACTAAGTAGTTTGTAAGAAATTTATGATTCCTCAAAAAGGACTCAGAGAACATTTCACAGTAATGAATATTAGGTCAGCTTTGACAACCTTGTAATAAATGTGGTAGAATGTTAAAATGTATTTGCTACTTTTAGAAGCTTTTCAAGTGGCAAAAAAATCTTTGGAATGCAAAACAATGAGTCAATATGATAACTTCTTATTTATACTATTGGTACTATCATGTGTCTATATCTTATTGTTGGATTTCTTTTTACCTCATATTTCAGTGTATCATGTGAGGTTGGATAATTCTTGTTTGTTTTCAAGGTCACACTTAGAGTTACTAAAATAGTAATTTGCATTATTTATATATAAAATAAAAGTCTGGTTTTTAGGCTTGAACGAATATGCTATTTCTGTCATTTTTAACATAGGAATTTCATAAATATGCCATACTTCTCAAATACATTGGCTACAGGCTATTTGATATTCATTAAACACATGCAATCTGTGACCCTTACGAGAATGCTTCCTTTTTATAGTTATAAAAAGAAATAGCATTAATCATTAACGACTGGTAATTTCTTCTGCTAGTTTCTTAATACCAGAATAATACATATTAATTATGAAGAATTTGGGAATTATTGCAGAAATTCACTTACTGAGTTCTGGTTAACTACCAAGATTATCCAAGTCTCCTTGCCTCTGTAAAATTCTGAACACTTAAGTGCACTAGACTCGAAGCCATTTGAATTGTTTTTTTACCAGAGTTTGCTGTGGTTCATGCTCAAACCTGTGTGTATGAGTGTTACTTAACACTGTCATTATGCAATTTAACTAGGTATTAAACAAAACAATGATAGATGGTTGTAAGAAGGGAATTTCTTTCATAAAAATTAAATAAAATACTACAGAAATAATAAATAATAGGATATTGCCTGAAAATCAATTACTGATAAGACATGTATGGGTGAAACAACTACAAAATATCAGCGGGGAAATTATAAACCTTTTTATGGATTTGTAACTCAGATTGCTGTACAGGTGTCTATAAGTTCTTGCTACACATAAGAGAAAGCAAAACTTTAAATCATAAACATAACACAAATTTGGCAATATCAAATCAGATGGTGATGGTTAATTTTGCAATATCTGCTTTGATTTTGTTTTATGTTTCCCCTGGTGATATCCAAAATGAATAAAGACAACAGACTTAGTCTTAATGAGAACAATAGAATTTTTTTTGAAAAAAATTGTGACCAACAACATACTGAAACACTAGTCTTACTAAATGTGTACCAAAACAGTCATAAAGAATTTTGGACATATAAAGGTTATTGCTTTAATGTTGTAATAGGAATAATTATTCCGATGATGAGAGTCAATATCATAGATGGCTGCAAAATTGCTTATTTCCTTTATGTTCATTTCTCTATCTGACTATGAGGAATTATGCTCGTTGTAAGATGGCCAACCTTCATAATTTATGTCTTACCTGTGCCAAATTATAGTTAGGACTCTAAATATGGCATTTTCCAAAAATATAATATTAAAATGATAAAATCCATGATGCTTTTACCACAGTATAAAGGTCTTCCTTTGTCATATTGATGAAGTAAATTAGAATTCTAACATAGGCTATAGTCAAAAATGCCATAGCAATGCCATAGCAACAATGAATAGCAAAATATATGACATACCAGAAGATAAAAACTCTACTGAAGCTACCTCTGCAGCTACCTTTATTTAATACACATCCATTGAATGAAGAGTATCCAACAGGTGTTGACTCAGTCAATATAACATTATCCCTCTCCTTCCTTGTGCACCCAAATTCATACCAGCTACTTCTACCCAGTGAATTTTGGGGTTATAGCTTCCTTCCAGGTATTTTTT
Organism: Homo sapiens; assembly: GCF_000001405.40. Classification (NCBI taxonomy): domain Eukaryota; kingdom Metazoa; phylum Chordata; class Mammalia; order Primates; family Hominidae; genus Homo; species Homo sapiens. The sequence goes on from NC_000004.12 coordinate 125,170,505, forward strand.
TGGTAGTATGTATAACACCAGGGAACTGATAACAAAAGAATTGATAAGACATGGTAAATTGCTGTCCTCAAGAAGTCATGTGTATAGCAAGTAAAAATGCTACTCTGGTTCTTGTATAAATAAGAATGTTTTAATAACAGTTCAAAAGACCACTTAAAATTTATTTTCCTAGCAATTTTCAAATATACAATATATTAATAATAACTATAGTCACCATGATGTATAATAGAGCTCTTGAACTGATCCCTCCTATCTAACTGAAATTTTGTATCCTTAAAAACATAAAATTTTTATTCATCAATTAAAAAAATTGTGCCAAAAAGAAAGCAAGAAAAAGCAAGAAATGTGATAAAAACTGAGTTCACTTATCAAATCTACAGATTTATCATAATTTGTTTGCACATCAAAGAAACCATCGATGAGACTTCATGTCTATACACGTATTCTTGTATAAACAGTAATGCATTTATCATTCTCAATTACTCCTCCTTTTGCTGCATTTTTGGGGAGACTGAAAGAAAGGCTTCATCTTTATGATTATTTGGCACTCAAAAGTTTCCCAAAAGCCTAGAATTGTCATTTGTAATATATAGGAAAGAAGCAAATATTCAATACTTTAAAAAACACATTCTGTTGAAAGCTATGGAAATAGCCTGAAAGTGGACCATAATCTTTATTTGGTCAGATCATATTCTTTATCCTGCTTTATTTGGTCAAAGCAGGATATCTCTACACAATTCATTTCTTTTTATTTAGGTTACATTATATACTTAAATATTTATTTCTTTTATCCAATATATTGAAGTCCAGTCAGGCCAATAATTCTCAATCAGAATGACTGGCACAAGTTATTGTATTAAAATCACCTTCCTAAAGTATAACTATGACTTGAAATCTTGGAAATAATAAAGATAATTACAATATAATTTCAAGAAAGGACATCCGGTATTTTATAACACTGACCCTCAGAGAATGCAACTTAGATTTACCTTTATATTTTAGAAATATTTTTGAATAATAAAATATTTTATTGTTTTTTAAATAATAATATTAAATATGAAAACCAAATTATTACACCCAAAATGTTTATGAGACTTAGGGATAGAAGTCCCTAAACCTCAGATTTATTATTTAAATAGCTGAAAATAAAGACCAGAAGGAGACATGACATGTGGTAAACGTGGCTTATTTTTTAAAACAAATAGAATGTTATCATTTTATTAATAACATCACTATTAAAAATTATGTTTTGATAGTATAATTGATTGATGTATAAATGTATACAGAATAGTTTTTCACAAATATATTCTAATTACTAATCTCTGGATAAGGATTTCCTCCCCTCTTGTGGAGACTATGAATTACTAAAACAGTTTTCCCCTAATGATGTCAAAAATGACTTCTGAAAACCAGTAACAAGTGATCAGAATTGACATGGAATATAAAACCTACATGTTAATATTGTATTCATCTTCCACAATTGGCGTTCCTTAGAGTCTACATTTCTGAGTGTTATTGATAAAAGAGGGACTGTCAAGAGTAAACTAAAAGCAAAGGCATTCCTTTCTTTTTTTATATCAAAGTCATTCCCATCCTTCTTTTGAAATTTAAGAAAAGCCCAATTATGTTGGAGTTCAGCCACTCTGACCTTTAACTTTACTATTTTGAATGTACCTGGAAAGGAGCTGTACCCCCAGAATTTACTGTGCAAGAGTGGCTGGTAAGAATTTGTGTGCATAGGGGAGAACAAGGATAATATTACATCAACTGAGTCATCACCAATTAAATGATAGAGGCAATACCTGAGATATCTCAGCATAGCACTCCCTCCTGGGTCTTCCACTAACTGAAATGGCTGCCTGGCCCATCTGGATTTCTCTGCAGTATTAATGCTCATTGCTCAAAATGCATATTAAAAGAACATGCTACTATGATAAAATGTCAAAATAATTTTTTTGTTTATATAACATATTAATCTGTGCTGCTAATAAAGACATACCCGAGACTGGTTAATTTATTTAAAAAACTAGAGGTTTAATTGACTCACAGTTCCACATGGCTGGGGAGGCCTCAAAATCATGGTGGAAGGTGAAGGAGGAGCAAAGTCACATCTTACATGGTGGCAGGCAAGAGAGTGTGCAGGGAAACTCCCCTTTATAAAACCATCAGATCTCGTGAGACTTATTCACTATCACAAGAACAGCACGGGAAAGACCCACTCCCATGATTCAATTACCTTTCACCAGGTCCTTCCCATGACATGTGGAATTATGACAGCTACAATTCAAGATGGTATTTGGGTAGGGACACAGCCAAACCGTATCAGATAATTAGTTAAATGCTTCCTGTAAGGGTCCCAGGGAACCATGTAAGCTTATGGAAAGGGCCACAGAAAAATGACACCTCCACATATGAGAAAGCGAATTTCCAGGCAGGTATTTTGGCATGCACAAATGCTTCAAAATATGTAGCTTTTTCAAACTATTAACTATAAGAAAATTGTGAATTAAGAATATTTTAGGGCCGGGTGCCGTGGTTCACCATGTAATCCCAGCACGTTGGGAGGCCGAGGCGGGTGGATCGCGAGGTCAGGAGATCGAGACCATCCTGGCTAACATGGTGAAACCCTGTCTCTACTAAAAACACAAAAAAATTAGCCAGGCGTGGTGGCGGGCACCTGTAGTCCCAGCTACTTGGGAGGCTGAGGCAGGAGAATGGCATGAACCTAGGAGAGGGAGCTTGCAGTAAGCCAAGATGGCACCACTGTACCCAGCCTGGGCAACAAAGGAAGACTCTGTCTAAATATATATATATATTAAAATATATATATATTTTAATATGCCAAGGTCAGTTTTCTCAAACCCACAAAATTTGATGTGATAATGTTGAGAAAATTATTTAGGCTTCTCTTCTCCAGGACTTTTTATTTTATAAATAATGTATTTGTTAATGTTGTTAATGAAATGCAACATATTACATGTGATATTATTTGAGACTTTAAACTGGTATGTAAAGAACTATCTTGTTAGTAATACATACATTCTAATATCATATATTATATATTATAATTTATATATTATATACATTATATATAAATGTATACATAATATGTATATAATATATAATATAATATATAATATATAATAATATAATATATAATATGTAACATAATATATAATATATAATAAAATATATAATATTAGAATGTATGTATTACTAAATATATATTACTATATATTAGAATGTATGTTTTATAATAAATGTATTTAATTCAAGCTTTGTTTTTATTTATAAGCCAATAGTACAAATTACTAAGATATACTAAGATATACAGAAATTTTAAGATTAAACTTTACATATGTATAACTCATTCTCAATAGGTAATCAAATAGTTTTAAATTTAATTATTGAATTTTTATTAACAAGATAATCTTAGCTCTCTCAGAACAATAAATGATAGGCCTCATTTGAAAAAAAAGTGTTTTTTATTACATAAATAGCTCTAGAAAGTGAGAATTAAAAAATTAGGTACCACAGTTACTATGTTGAAATTAACTATATCTATAATTAGAAGAATGATATTAAATAAAATCTGTCTTAATAATTGTATTTCTCTTTGGTGGATGCTAAAATGCCTTGTTTTGTGCATGCATTTTTATAGCAGCCTCTGTGTGTGTGTGTGTGTGTCTTGTGTTCTGAAAACTCATTGTGACTTGGAAAATTTGAATTTTCTATTATGCTGGGATGGCTGCTTTTATCCATTCAATATTTGGTATTGGTAAATTATTTATTTTCATGTTTTCTCCCTTTTTCCAATGGAAGAATTTATCCCATATTCCATTAACATGGAAAAATATGATCCACTTGATTTTGTTCCCTGCTTAGACTTACTCCTTCTTCTCTATCTTCTAGTAAATACTCCTCCAAAGTGAGCTCATTTCTTTTTCTTAATTCATGTTTTCAATTTTTTCCAACTTCCCTTTACCCATGGCTAGAGTTATTTTTCTGCCAAGTTTAGCATAGTCTGCTACATTTCAGAGGTTCTTAATATAACAAGACTGAAAAATGTAGAAAATATTAACGTGTATATTTGGATTATGATATATTACAAATTCAAGTTTTTTTCTGTGCTTTATTAAGGTTTGATTGACAAAGATAGTATATATTCACAGTATGCAATGTGATGTTTTAATATATGTATACATTGTGTTAAATTTGAAGTTTTATCCTGTATAACTCAGTTCTTGCATTGCTCTAAAGAAATACCCGAGTTGTGTTTCTATAAAAAGAGGTTTAATTTGCTCACAATTCCACAAACTGAACAGGAAGCATGACGCTGGCATCTGCTTGACTTCTGGGAAAGTCAAGGAAACTTACAATCATGGTGGAAGGCAAAGGGGGAGCGAGGCATTTCATATGACAGGAGCAGGAGCAAGAGAGAGAGAGGTGGGAGGTACTACACACTTTTAAACGTCCACATCTCGTGAGAACTCTATCACGATAACAGCACCAAGAGTATGATGCTAAACCACTCACGAAGGATCCACCCCCATGATCCAATCACGTCCCACCAGGCCCCACCTATAACACTAGGGATAACAATTCAACATGCGATTTTGGTGGGGACACAGATCCAAACCATATCATATGTCTTAAACATACACACAGTAATGTTATTAGTGAAGAAGACAATACGTCCCTGAATAGTCATTCTGCTATTGCCTAAAAGATCGTTGTAACAGTTGTGATTTATGTCATCTCTCTTAAAAGCCAATGAAAACAACAAAATGAATAAAAACAAGAGCTCCCCGAATTTGTATAGTTCTTGACATTATCACGGACTTGGTAGCTTAGTTGCTAGAACCCAGGAAGTCTAAAAGAATAATTCATTTTTCTTCCCTCCTTTATACTACTGTGTATATTATTTTGGTTCTGTTTTTTTTTATTATTATTATACTTTAATTTCTAGGGTACATGTGCACAATGTGCAGGCTTGTTACCTATGTAAACATGTGCCATGTTGGTGTGCTGTACCCATTAACTCGTCATTTACATTAGGTATATCTCCTAATGCTATCCCTTCCCCCTCCCCGCACCCCACGACAGGCCCTGGGTGTGTGATGTTCCCCATCCTGTGTCCAAGTGTTCTCATTGTTCAATTCCCACCTATGAGTGAGGACATGCGGTGTTTGGTTCTGCCTCTTATAATAATCAGCACTTTGTTTCTTGAAGGAATGGTTGAAGATTGTATTTTATTTATATTTCCAGTGCCTAACATTCAGAAATGCTCAATAAATGTTGAATAAATGAATGCATAACCAAATTACTAAAGCATGTTTTTTGAAAAGCTGAAGAATGAAGTATAAGTAGTAGCAGTCATTACATGATGTGTTAGAAGAAGATTAATTCATCTTTTTTTATACAAATAATGTTTTACTTTTGCCACTTTGTATAGGTTCATAAAATTAATCATTTCTCTGGTTCCTGTATTTCTCTTTCTTTTCTAAAAGTTTCCTGATTCATCTAATTTTCTCATACTGAAAATAAAGATATCCATAGAACAATGACACCCACAATAGCAACAAATACCAGAAGTTAAAAGCTTAAGACTTCAGGCCGGGCGCAGTGACTCATGCCAGTAATCCCCGCACTTTGGGAGGCCGAGGTGGGCAGATCACCTGAGGTCAGGAGTTTGAGACCAGTCTGGCCAACATGGTGAAACCCATCTCTACTAAAAATATAAAAAATAAGCCAGGTGTGATGGCAGGTGCCTGTAGTCACAGCTACTCGGGAGGCTGAGGCAGGAGAATTGCTTGAACCCAGGAAGCGGAGGTTGCAGTGAGCCGAGATTGTGCCACTGCATTCCAGCCTGGGTGATAGAGTGAGATTCTGTCTCAAAAAAAAAAAGAGAAAGAAAGAAAAGAAAAGAAAAAGAAAAAAAAAAGAAAAATTTAAGACTTCAAATAATATCTATCATTGATGTCTATTTCATCCAAAAAAAATTGGCACCTTCTCTGTGTGTTGTAGCAAGTCCACACTTAGATGCATCTTTGATTCCAAATAGTACATAAAATGTAAAGAGAAATAAAGCACTTAAACACAAGATAGCATTTCATGGGACATAACTGAAGTAGAGTTGAGTGCGCCAGTTGGCCTGCTCAAAGCTAGAGACTAAAAGAGAGCTTTTAGAGGAGGCTCACAGAAAACACACTTGATGTCGATAGGAGAAAGCAAAAGCAGCCTACTGACAAACTGAACCAAGCACCCCAATAGCTAGGAAACTACATTTGTAGATCCTAAGTATCACAACAGGGCAGGACCTCCACATGCTACAGTTCACCCAAACACAAACCATAATGTATCTGAGAATACACTTAACAAATTAAGGTAAGACATTTATGGGAAAAATTATAAAACTTACCATTTTTGAGAAAAACTAAAGAATATAAGAATAATGAGAAGATATATTCACATATGGAAATAATAAATCATAAAATACTGTGACATCAATATTTTCCCTGTTTATCAGGAAGTTAAATGCAGTTCTAGTCAAAATACCAGATTGTTTCTGGAACTTAAATATTTGATTATAAAATTTCAGTACAAGATTAAAAGGGCAAAAATATAGCCAAGAAAATGTTAAAAAAAGAGGAGGAGCTTGACTGGCATTGTCAAGATTGACAATAATAGTGAAGCCCTGTTACATTAGTACATATTTATAAAGGTGAGTAAAACATAAAACATAAAAAGCAGCACACAAATTTTAAAAATTTGATGTGTTATAAAAACAGAATAATAGGTTAGTAGAAAAAAGAGGCAAAAATTAATCTTGGAAAATGAGCTGTTTATATGAAAGAAGGAAACTTAGATCCCTATCTCACACTACATGTGATAATAAGTTTTCAAGTGGATTAAATATTTTAATGTAAAAGTAAATATAGAAATCATGTAGACAAAAAATACAACTTATCTTTAAGACCTCAAAGTAAGGAACAATGTGAGGACGGATTTCTTAAAACATGACAAAAGAAAACAATTGATATGTTTTACTACGTTAAATTTTAAAATGTCTCTATCAAAAAAAAATTTGTAGGCAAAGTTAAAAAGCAAGTTACAGATTGCAGTAACATATTAACAATAAGCATGATTGGAAGAGGATTAGTATTTTTAATTTAAGAATAATTTCTTTAACCTAAAAAGAAAACACAAAACAAATAAAACCTCCAAAACAAGCAATAATAAGGCAATCTTTAATGAAAAAAATGTTATAGTAATAAAAATGCAACAGGATGCTTAACCTCACTGATAATCATGGAAATGCAAATTGAAAGGTCCCAATGCATTTTGCACAGATAAGCTTAACAAAAGTTTTGAAAATTATGCATCAATTCCATTGTTGTGATTATAGTGAGAGAGGACTCGCATACCCTGTTGCTGGTTGTGTAAACTGTACCATAAGGTTGAAAACTATTTTGGCAATATCCACAAAGGAACAAATTTCATAAAACCTAGTCCCACAGTTCTAAGTTTATTTCCTAGGCATACTTTTAAATGCATACATAAGGGGATATGCACAAAAAAATTCATAACAGTTCAGTTTGTAATAGAAGTAATTTTTTTTTTTTTGAGACAGAGTCTCACTCTGTTGCCCAGGCTGGAGTGCAGTGGCATGATCTCGGCTCACTGCAACCTCTGCCTCCCAGGTTCACGCAATTCTCCTACCTCAGCCTCCCAAGTAGCTGAGATTACAGGCACGCACCACCATGCCAGGCTAATTTTTGTATTTTTAGTAGAGACAGGGTTTCACCATGTTGGTCAGGCTGGTCTCGAACTCCTGACCTCAGGTGATCCACTTGCCTCAGCCTTCCAAAGTGCTGGGATTACAGGTGTGAGCCACCGTGTCCCACTGTAATAGAAGTAATTTTAAAGAACTTAAATCTATTCATTAATAAGCAAATGGATGGAGATATATTCATAAAATGAAATAAGCAAAAGCAAATTAGACGTGGTGCTTCAGATATTCATATAGATAATTTTCAAATAAAAAGTTTTGAGGAAAAATTGAAGTGCCTAAAGATATGCATTGTATTATAATATCTCTAAATTTTAAGAATATTTTAAAAATCTATATATTTTAGATATGTATGTGTATATATGTAGTTGAAGATACGAGGTCATGAAAAAACACTAATTTATTTTAATGTTTCCCCCATGAAGAATAAAGGAAACACAGAGAAAAACATGATCAAGAGTGATATACAATGGACTTTAAACATACCCAAAATGACTTTCTTTCAAAAAAAGGCAAAAATTAAAGTTTGTTAAAACTTTTGTGCTTGTTTTATTATTATTGTTATTATTATTATTCGAGATGTAGAAGCAAATAAATAATAAAAATTTTTGAAGTCAGTATTTTGAAAATATTAATAAAAATTGATAAACTCATAGCTTATCAATAATAGAGAGAAAAACACAAATAATCAATATTAGGAATGATAGAGCATATAAAACTCCAGATTCTATAGAAATGTAAAAAGTGATAAGAAGATATAACTGAAAAAAATCTATAAATTTGACAACATAGACTAAATGATTAAATTTCTTAAAAACGTAACTCATCAAACCTGACCTAGAATAATAAGAAATTATGAAGAACTCACCATAGACTAAATGATTAAATTTCTCAAAAACATAACTCATCAAACCTGACCAAGAATAATAAGAAATTATGAAGAGCTCCACACATGCTGAAAATATTGAAATCAATTATTAGCCTACCTGAAAGAAAATTGACAATTCAGTTGTGCTTTACTGGTGTTTTCATCAGGCATTTCAGGAAAAAATAAAGAAATTGTACATAAACTCTTTTACAAAATAGAGGAGGAAACGCTTTCCAAATGACTGAATAATATTTAAATGATTTTATATCAAAACCTTATGGAGACATAGAGGAAAAGAACTTGACATACATGGGAAAAATTACATGTATTAAAATGCTAAAAAATATTAACATATTAGATGTCATCAACAAGCAGATTTATTCCAGGGCAGCAAGGTTGGTTCAACATTCTAAAATCAATCAACATCGTTTACATATTAACAGAAAAAAGACAATAAGTTCTATGATTATGTCAATTGGTGAATTAAAAACATTTGACAAAATTCAATATCCATTTATAACAAAACTTGGTAATGAAAGCACTATTATCAAAACTTGCGGGATGCGGTGAAAGCAATCTTAGAGGAAATTGTTTAGTTTTAATTTTTTATGTTGAAGGGGATTTTCTACCTTAAAAATGTAGAAATAAGTAAGCAAAGTGAGAAGACTCTACATAAGTAGGAACTTACAGGAACATGCTCAATCAGATAAAGTTTCCAAAAAAAAAAAAAAACCCACCAGGTAACGTCATACTTAATAGTGAAATTTGAACGCAACCCTCCTAAAATCTGGCACAAAGCCAGGATGTCCTCTATTTTCACTACTTCTATTTAACATTGTAATGAAGGACCTCATCAGTGCGACACAGCATTAAAAAAATCATATGAGATTTGGAAAACAAATTAATAAACCTATCTTTTTCCTCTGTTAACATGATTATGTAGAAACATTTATATAACCTTCAAAGAAATCTTTAACTAAAGTGAACACAGCAACTATTTTTACAACTATTTATATATACATTCCATATCATTCTAAACTCTATTTTTTTGTAGAAATGATGTAGCTGGCTATAAAATTTATATGGAAATGCAAAGGACCTAGGGCAGCCAAAATGATTTTGCAAAAGAAGAAATTTGGAATATCAGATTTCAAAACTTGCTATAAGGGTACATAACTAAGAGCAGTATTGGCATAAGAATAGAGAAATAAACTTGGCACAGTGGCACATACTTGTAGTCCTAGCAACTCAAGAGGCTGAGGCTGAGGCTGAAGGACTGCTTGAGACCAGCCTGGCACCATAGCAAGACAAGAAAGAAAAGGAAAGGAGAAAGGAGAAAGGAAAGAAAAGGAAAGGAAAGGAAAGGAAAAAAGAAAAGAAAGAGAGAGAAAGAGAGAGGGGGAGGGAGGGAGAGAGGAAGGAAGGGAGGGAAAAGAAAGAAGAAAAAGCAAGCAAGCAAAGAAGAAAGAAAGAAAGAAAGAAAGAAAGAAAGAAAGAAAGAAAGAAAGAAAGAAAGAAAGAAAGAAAGAAAGAGAGAGAGAGAGAAAGACAAAGAAAGATGGGAGGGAGGGAAGGAAGGAAGAGAAAGAGAAAAAGGAAGGAAGAAAGAAGGAAGGAAGGAAGGAAGGAAAGAAGGAAGGAATGAAGGAGGAAAAGAAAGAAAGAAGAAAGAGAAAGAAAGAAAGAAAGGAGAGAAATAGATCAATGGTACAAAACAGCATTCAGAAAATGGTCTAAAATATGTAGAAAATAATTTTCAACAAAAATACCAAAGCGAATAGAGACAAGAAATGTTTTCAATAAATATTTCAACAACTCAACGTCTGTGTAAAAAAAAGGAGCCTTGACACATTCCTGTCATACTCATACATGTTATGCACAGAAATTTTAAATGTATCATAAAATTAAAAAAATTTAAATAAATCATAAACCTAATTGTGAAATCTAAACTTATAAAATATCTAGGGGAAAAAATAGAAAATGTATTTGTAAATATGAGGATGACAATTCTGAAAAAGGACACTCATTTATTCATTATACATGTCTTTTAAAAATGTATAAGTTAGATTTTAACAAAATACAAACATCTCCTCTTTTAAAGAATTATGAAGCAAGTTAAAGTTACAGAGCAGAAAAAATATTTGTAGTGTACAAATCTGAAAAAGGATATGTGTCCAAAATAAAGACAATCTTATAGCTCAATAACTAAAACACAATAATTTTTTTAAATGGGCAAAAAACTTGAAAACACAATTTTTAAACAAGATACACAAATGCTCAACAAGAACATGGAGAGATGCTCAACATCGTTGCCTGATCAAGATAAGGCAAATTGAAACTACCTTGAGGTATTAATTCATGCTGAGTAGAGTGACTTAAATTAAAAAGATTAGCAATATTGAGAGTTGACAAGGATGTGTAGCAATTTGAACACTAATACATTATTGGTAAAAGTGTACAATCGTAGAAGCTCTTTGGAAAGCAGCTTGGATACACTTGAACTATGATCCTGCAATTATATTTCCAATAACTTACCCAAGAGTAATAAAGTAATAAAAATATATGTCTGCAAATGCACTTATACACAAAAGTTCATGGAAATTGTACTCATAATAACCCAAAACTGGAAGTGATGAAACCAGCAACCGGTTGATTTGATCAGGTCAGCCTGCTTTGCTTGCTTTTTAAATTTTTTACCCCCTTTTTCATGATGCTGAAGTACCATTGAAGGCTAAAACTTAACCTTGAATAGCTACTTTACAGATAACATTCATAGGTCACCATGCTAAGGGTCACTTCAGTTGTATTTTAGGAAATTGGGCCAGCTCCTATCCAGTTGAAACCCGTTGAGATCACTGACCCTTCCACTGGCCCTGCACATGTGCCCAGGAGGTAAGCTGTTGATGTCAGAAGGCCAAAAAGTCCATCCTCAGATTGTACTAACACTGCCATTTTCGGTATGTATGTTCTATGAAATGCCATGAACCCTGAATATGCCTACACAAAATAAACCTATTACTTCATTTTCCTCCACTGCCAATCGCCTTTCCCCATGCCTTAGACCACTTCACTTTCCTAACCTGTAAGTATCCCTAAGCTTTATCTTCAGGGAGATGAATTTACAGTTGTTCTCCCACCTCCTCCTCACTCAGCAGCCTTGTAAAACACATTTGTCTTTTGCACAATCCCTGTCACGGTGATTAATGTACTGGGCATGGAAAAAAGGGACATGGACCTGTCTATAACAGTCACTTAAATTGTCATGACAATTTGACAAGGGAATAAACAAATGTAATATATTCATACAATGAAATACTATTCAGCAATAAAAAAGAGTAAACTACTTATCACACAACAACATGAATGGATCTCAAAAACATTATTCTGTGTGAAAGAAAATAGACACAATAAAATACATTCTATACAATTCCACTTATATTAAATTCTAGAATAGGAAAAAGTAAAATTATGGTGACAAACATCATGGGAATTGTTGCCACAGGTAAGGATTATATAGACTTTATTTAATGGTGAAATGCCCTATGTCTTAGTAGGATAATTATTTGCATGAGTGATTTCTCCTGTCAAAACTAATTAAACTGAATACTTAAAATGCATGTACATCATTATGTTAATCATATCTCAATAAATGTGTTTATTGCTTGGTTTAAACAAAGTTATAAGGAAAATAAATAAATACTCATACCTCACAAATGTCATGTTTTACACTCTTTTTTATAATCTCTTTCCTAGGCAATTATACAAGTTTACATACTAGTGATCATAACATAGATAAAATGTCATATGCTGTATTTACTTCTAAATGATTTAGCATAATTTCAGGCCAAACTAAATTGTTACCAAATTAAAGATATGAAAAGCAAATAGATAAAAATATATAAAACATATAGCATAAGCAACACAAAATTACTTGTGGACAAAGAATACAAGAGAAATACTTATCTAGTAATTCATAAGTTTTGGATTTGATTAATTTCTTGGAATTCCTAACTTTATCCTCTGGAGAATAAATAAGGTAAAGGGATAAAATACAGAATTCTGAAAAAGAAATTTGAATCGCCTTTGATTTGAGAATGGCAAAACAAGAGAGTAAGCTCCCTTTTCCTAAGAATGGGAAAGCCCCTCCATTTAGCTGAGAAAAGTAGGGTACAGAAGATGACCTATGGGGAGATTTTCTGAAGATCTCTCCTCTTCCCAGTAGAATCAAAGCTGGAAATACAATCACTTATGTAATATGGCTTTTCTTTTCTGCCCTAAGAATTTTGAAATAAACTGCTGATGAGAGCTGCATGCAATGGAACAGACCAGAGTGACTGGTTCTTGGCTAGGAGCTAATTATTTGAATCTCAAAGGTTATTGAGAACTCCAATAAAAAACGAAAATATGTAGCAAAAAACAAAAGCAAGAAACAGAACCTAAGTCTACACCCAAGGCTGCACATGGCATTATTGAACACTCTTCCTGCCACCATAGTGTCCTCAGAATACATTTCTCAGCTATTAATGAAGGAAAATATTTCTCACAAAGAAAATAGAATCAAAGATAGTATCTCTTACATCAGATTGCCAACAACAGTTCTAAACAGAGCTGACTGCTTCATTTGTGAGGAAAATTAAAAAGTGCATATCTCATAGACAGATATATTGAATAAAAATTAATTACATAATAGCATATAAATGAGACAGCACATAAAAAATGCATAAGCTCTGAAAGAAAGCACACATGAAGGAAAAAAGAACATTTTCTAAGACTGGTTTGTCTAATAGAACTGAGAAACTTTTTAAGATTAATGGGAAAAATAACTCAAAAAAAGTAACTCAAAAATTATAGCAGACGTTATTGATTGTCTACTCAACAGACAGTATTATCTCCCTTCTACTTTCTAATATATGCCCATGTTCCTCAGATGCCAAATTGTCATCAGTGCAATCAGGGAAAGGATATCTTTTTCCTAGACCATGGGAAGAACAGAGATTAGTCCAAACCGATTTGTGTCTTTATGTTCTTTTTTCACACTGAGTGACTAGGTAGGACTCTGTGATTCAACGTTTATCATTGAGACATGGGCAAATCTGCTGAAAAGCTTCTGTCAGATTTTCCTTCTCAGAATACAAGAAAATTTTCTTGAGGAGATATGCCTCTTTCTGCTTACTGATTTTTTTCCTTCCCCGTAGCAGTTGTATGACAACATGATGATTGGAGCTGTGAAAATAAATCTGTGATCATGAGAGAAAAATTCCTGAAGAAAAGAATCAGTGAAAGGAGTATTGCAAAATGGCAAGGAATAAAAAGAATTTATGTCCTTGATGATATCATTCCAGAATTACATCCTGAAACTGTCTACCTTCAGAACCATTATTTTGTGAGATACTTAAATACTCTTATTGGCCAGGCACAGTGGTTCACACCTGTAATTCCAACTGGAATGATGAAATCCAGAGGATTGCTTGAGCCCAGGAGTTCCAGAACAACTTGGGCAATGTAGTGAGATGGGGACACACACACATACATATATATGTGCATATATTATATATATTATACACTTGCATATATAATATATAATATACATTATATATACACATATATATTATATAGTAAAATAGTAAAATATACATTATGTAGTAAATATATTATACAAATATATATTTTACTATATATAATATACAAATATGTATTTCACTATATATTTACATTATTTTACTATATATTTGTATACATAGACACACACACATATATACGTATACACATATATACACACACACATATATATACAATATGTATGGCAACATATTTATGGTGAAATATATATATAGTAAAAGCTACCAATTCTTTTATATTGACTTCTCATATCCTTTTGTCCACTGGATTTTGTCATGGACAATGGGGTTTTCACTTTATCTTGTTTAAAAAAAGGGTATAGAGGTACTGTGTTTCCTGAAATCTTTGGGAATTTCTCTCTTCTTTTATATATGAATAATTGCGGGTCACTTTTTCTTCTCAGAAGTTATGGATCATTGCTTAATTATAAGTATTTAACTAAATAACTTTTTAATCAAATGCAGAGGAGTCTGGAGACAGATAGATTTCCCCCTTGTGTAAGATTTTTATTAGTTACTTACATGTCTCTAGAATTTTTTTTAATCCTTGAAATTAAATCAATAATGCATATATGTCTCAGGTAACAACTGATTTATTTTCAGGAACATAGTGTGTCTGTTCTGATTACAGATCCACTTTGTTATTTACAGGAAATTTCTATTATGACACTGAGTACATTTCACTACATTGATTGGATTCTAAAGTCATGATAATTTTTCCTGTTAAAATTATATTTGTCAACAAGGTTATCTTTTCTAAAATTGCTTTGATGCTGTAATTTATATATATATATATGTGTATATATATATACACATAGTTTCTATATATACAGTTTCTATATATATAGACTACATATATATATAGTTTCTTATTATCTCAGGACTTCTCTACTTATGGTGGATCAGAGGCCTGCTTTGTCTTTCCTTTTCCTAGATATTTATAATTTATTCATTGTTAGTTAAGTTCTTAATTCTGTAATCTACCTTTGCACATCACTTTATATGTATGCATTGAGCTGCAGGTAACAAAAAATTATTGACTAACAGTGTCTTAAGCAATAAGAACATTTCTTGTGTGTGTGTGTGTGTGTGTGTGTGTGTGTGTGTGTGTGTGTGAGACAGGGTCTTGCTCTGTCATCCAGGCCTGAGTGCAGTGGCATGATCAAAGTTCACTGAAGCCTTGACTTCCTGGGCTCAAGTGATCTTCCCACCTCAGCCTTCCAAGTAGCTGGGACAGGTGTGCACCAACATTCCCGCTAATTTTTAAAAATATATGTATATTTTTTGTAGAGACAGGGTCTCGCTATGTTGCCCAAGTTGGTCTGGAACTCCTGGGCTTAAGCAATCCTCTGGATTCCACTTTCCAGTGTGTTGGGATTACAGGTGTGAGCCACTGTGCCTGGCCAATAAAAACAATTAACTATCTCACAAAATAATGAGACTGAAGGTAGATGGTTTCAGGAAATATTTCTGGGATGATACCATCAAGGGCATAAGTTCTTTTTATCCCTTGTCATTTTGCGATACTCCTTTCGCTGATTCTTTCCTTCAGGCTTTTTCACTCATGATCATGGATTTGTTTCCACAGCTCCAAATGTGTGGTCCTACAATTGCTATGAGGTATATTTTATATATGTGTGTGTATATAATGTATAAGTACATTGTAATATTTATAATGTATGTGTATTAATATGTGTATAATGTATATATTATATATGTATTATATACACTATATACATCACACAAATATATAAAATATATGTGTACGTATTATACATGTACATACACACATATATGTTATATATATACACACACATATCCTGAAACTGTCTACCTTCAGACCCATTATTTTGTGAGATGATTATATGTTCAATATTTGTCCTTCTGTACTTTGCTTATTTCACTTAACAGCATGTGCTCTAGGCTCATGTGTGTTGTCACACATGACAGACTTTCATGTATTGTGGCTGAATGATATTTTATTGTGTATATATATCACATTTTATGCATTAATCTCAATGGACACTTGGGTTGATTCTATGTCTTGGCTATTGTGAATAGTGCTACAATTAACATGGGAGTACAGGCATCTCTTCAATATGCTGATTTCTTTCCCTTTTGATATGTACCCAGAAGTGGGATTGTTGGAACGTATGGTAGCTGTTATTAATTTTCTTAGGAACCTCCATACTGTTGTCCTTAATGGCTGTACTAATTTACATTCCTACCAACTGTGTATAAGAGTTCCCCTAAGTCTAAATTTTTATGTGCTGCTCTCATATTTGTCATCTCTATTGTTTTTTAGATTCTGGAACTGCTTTAAAGTACATTTTCTAAATTGCAAATATGAATTTCTTTGGTGTAAATCTGCTTTTTATTCTTTCTATTGAACATTTTATTTGGCAATTATTTCACATTGAATTTCATACTTTTCTTATCCAAGCATGTCTTTGTTTAACAGAACTAAAGATTTGAGTAATACTTTATAAGTACTAAGAATAAGAAACAACTGTGTTCTACATTTTCTTTTGTGTCATAAACTGAATTCAATTCAGGGAAGGGTTTTCTTCTGAGTCATTACCATTTCATTTCTCTTTCCCTATTTCATAATGCTTTCTTGACATTTTCTATTAACTCCTGTTAGAACTTGATTTGTTGATATTTGTTCCTACTGCAAGAATGGCTGATGCATCACATCTTAAAGTCCTTACCCTAGATCTATTGCAAAGAAAGGAAATGATCCATGCCCAGTGTTGGGTGATAGTAAGAACATGGGTTTTGAATTCTTTTTCCACAGTAGTTTCCTGGATACTGGCAGATACAGTTTTACTATGTAAAATAGATTGTATAACAGTTCGCTCATTGTGGAATTTAGCAAATGCTGGTTTTCTTAGTTACTCTGTGTACCTTTTCAAATTTTTCAATAAAACCAAAGACCTACTCAAAAATATGTGAAAAATAAATTTCCATGGGCCTAGAGTCGTGGTTCAGAGAACAATGTGAAGCGGGCCAGAGGTTATTATCACTGCTCCCAGGTGTAAGCAATACAGGATTTATAGCTGTGACTAAAAAGCTGAAAGGCAAAAAACCCACAAAGTAAGTCCTGGAGATCTTTCAATGTGTGGCTTTCCATGGCAATGTTAGCCAGAGGCAATTAAGGTCACAAGCCTGGACAATTAGTTGTGCAGACTTCCGTGGCCAGAGGCCAATGAACACATTGTCAGTAGAAGCTGGTAATGGCAATTCCTAGTACATTTTGGTCAAGCCAAATGACAGAGAAGTAACAGAGGGATGACTTCTAATTCTAACTCATCTGCTTAAACAGCTAAGCAAATACAAGATAAGCTCACTTCTTGCTTCTCATTGCAAAGATGTTAAACTTTTTTTTTTTTTCCCAAGACAGAGTCTTGCTCTGTCGCCCAGGCTGGAGTGCAGTGGTGCCATCTCGGTTCACTGCAACCTCTGCCTATCAGGTTCAAGGAATTCTCTTGCCTCAGCCTCCTGAGTAGCTGGGATTATAGGCGCGCACCATCGCACCTGGCTAATTTTTGTATTTTTAGTAGAGACGGGGCTTCACTATATTGGCCAGGCTGGTCTTGAACTCCTAACCTCCTGATCCTCCCGCCTCAGCCTCCCAAAGTGCTGGAATTACAGGTGTCAACCACCGCGCCCATCCTAACCTTTTATTTTCAAATAGATTAATGGCTTATTTACAAATCAAACGAAATGTAAAACCAGGGGCAAGTGTTCTGACAGTTTCATTCACTCTTCCATCTTTCTTTCCATAAGTGAGGTAGGCAGAAAATTTGTATTTCTCCAGTTAATACTTTAGATCCCTCCCATCTGAGAACAACATCAAAACAACAAAAAGCATGAATTCCAGGAAAACAAAGGTAACATTTGAAAATCTGCTGGAAAGTTGGAAACAGAAGCTGCACTGGGAGAAGAGTATAAGTAAACATACATTGAATAGTTTAAAGTCCCTGTTTTCTACAGGAAACAGTAGGACATGAATTATCAGTTTTAATAGGGGTAGTGCCCTTGTCTTTTAAAAGGTAGAAATGCCTGGAGAAAGCACCTCCACCCCAGAGAAAAGAGACTGATGCATTGGCTTGGGTATCCTAGGCCTGTGGCTTCTAGCACCAGAGTAGAGAGAAGGAAAGCTAATCTGGGAATCTGCTAGATCTAAATATAGTTCTGGGGAAACTGTCTCTCCAAGGGAACCCTGATATTGGAAGAGTGAATCCCAACAGACTTGGGAGAAAATAGTGGAAGATAACTCTGTGGATCCTTAAAGGGAATAAATAACCTTAGTGGGGCAGAGGAGACATTGTTGCTTTTTCAGCATAAGAATGTAAGAACCAATGATTTAATGCTAGGAAGACCAGTGGGTCTTTGGCTTTTCTCTCTATCTGCACCTCTTCCGTTGTCAAGCCCCCTGCCACACTGCTGCTTCCAATTACATTGGTTCACCATAGTCTCTAAATGTGAAGGGTTAAAGGGTCAAGGCTGCCCTTCAGAGAAAGGCCTTCAGTGCAAACTTCTCATCCTGCTCCATCTTCATGCTCTGAGTCACCTACTATAGACAATTATCTACGCATATTAGAAGATAGACCACTATAGATGAGAAATTGCAAAGAGTTGCTTTTTCTCCCTTTAATCCTGACTAATTTATTGGCAATCATGAATGTAATTTTGCTCATGTAGTAATAGAAAGGCTGCCAGAGATTTGTATAAAATTTTCTTAATGATGTCATGGGGTATTTGCTAATACAAAATCGGGAATATTTTTTGCTCTACATGCCAAAAATACTCTCTAAATAAGGAACCTAATCAGAAGAGTGTCAAATATTCTCTATGGCCTCCATATAAGGTTTATTTTGATCTGGGAGTTGTCAGAACATCACATAGGGTGCCCTTCCTGTGAGCCTGAGGTGAGCAATAGAAGTGAGGTTGGTGGCTTCAGGGTTTCCCCAGTTAGACACTGAGTTTTCCTGCACAAACACAGAACAAATGTGCTCTAGAGAGCCAGAGAATTCCTCCTAAGTACTTGTGGAGTTGAGCTGGAGCAGAACACTTGACATCCCTACAAATCCATAGGTCCCAGCAAGGAGCATGCAGATTGGAAGAACAGCAGCACTGCCACATTAAACTCCAAACTAAAGGGAAATTATGTGACGGAGTTAGGGAGGAAGATCAATAATTTAGGAGAGGAGCCCAGAAGGTGAATGGAAGAAAGTGCCAAATGAATATCTCAGTCTGCATCTAAGAACTGAGGAAAATGGCTAATGTGATTAGAGATGGGAAACCATTATGCATTAGCTCACCCTGAGCTAATTTTCATAGTCTACTCATGCATGCAATGCATGAAATGGTTTTGGCCTGCTGGCATCTTAGCAATGATGCACAGCAATTGACAAATTGATGTTTATAGTTTCTTTTTGTTGTTGTTTGTTTATATGTGATATGGTCATTTAATGAGCTTCAGGTTACTCAAAATTTAACAGATATGAAGAAAATTACAATGAACATCAAAACTATCTTTCTGTCGGGGTGTATGTGTGTTGGTTTGTAATGTATGCATACATAGGTGTGTGTGTACAGAATTTCAACTTTCTTAAAAGGATAGACTACAGGCACATCATAGTGTCAGCTTTTGTTCTAACATTCATTGGCATAAATGTTTTGTGATAGAAATAAACTCCACAATGTGTACACTGAGGATAGGTCTGAAAATGATTCCTGTGTAAAATATAATAATATAATGTTAAGGTACTCATAATATTTTGCACACATCCAGTACACTGGGTTTTGTAATACACATTTATTTAAAGGCATTCTCATATTTCTGATGATTCTTTTTTTTTTTTTTTTTGACATGGAGTCTCGCTCTGTCACCCAGGCTGGAGTGCAGTGGCGCAATCTTGGCTCACTGCAAACTCCACCTCCCGGGTTCACACCATTCTCCTGCCTCAGCCTCCTGAGTAGCTGGGACTACAGGCGCACGCCACCATGCCTGGCTAATGTTTTGTATTTTTAGTAGAGACGGGGTTTCACTGTGTTAGCCAGGATGGTCTCCTTCTCCTGACCTCGTGATCCGCCAGCCTCAGCCTCCCAAAGTGCTGGGATTATAGGCATGAGCCACCACGCCCGGCCTCTGATGATTCTTTCAAAATAGTTTTTATTCTTGTTTTATGGATGAGAAAAGTCAAGTTCAGAGAGACGTGATTAGTCCAGGTAACTGCAATTGTAGGTAATAGAGCTGGGATTTTAAATAGGTGTTCCTCAGTGTAAAGCCCATGATTTCTCTACTTCACTGTAGCAGCAGATGTGAGGAGTTACCATTAAGTCCTCCAGACCTGAGGTAAACCATAAAATTTGCCCAACGTTTTTATATTGCCAAGTATCCAGGATACACAGGAATGGAATGGAAATTTTGAGAGAAAAATCAGCATCTTGGTGAAGCTGGAAGAACCATAAACACTCCACACATCATACATCAAAAAAAAAAAAAAAATGCTACTCTGACCAACTGGAAAATGGTTTAGCAGTTCCTTCAGAACTATACTCAGAAACTTCCTTTTAAGAACTCTTTTATATGACATATTCACTTGGGATGCTATCAAGAAAATGGATGGGTAATAGTGGTGACTCAGTCTATGCTGGTTCTGAGCAGGCCACACAAGCAATACAGAAAATAGGAAGAAAGATTTGTGTGATTAATACAGTAGGAATCAGCATATATGCAATGAAGGCCACTCATTAGTTTGTTCCTGACACTCGTGTAAAAGAAAAAAGCTTTAAGAAAAGGGTTCTTTGGTCGGAAGCGGTGGCTCATGCCTATAATCCCAGCACTTTGGGAGGTCGAGGCGCAAGGATCACGAGGTCAGGGGATCCAGACCATCCTCGCTAACACGGTGAAACCCTGTCTCCACTGAAAATTCAAAAAGTTAGCCTGACGTGGTGGCGGGCGCCTGTAGTCCCAGTGAGAGGCAACAGCGTGCTGGCAGAACTCACAGCCCTTGCTCGCTCTTGGCGCCTCCTCTGCCTGGGCTCCCACTTTGGCGGCACTTGAGGAGCCCTTCAGCCCGCCCCTGCACTGTGGGAGCCCCTTTCTGGGCTGGGCAAGGCCCGAGCCGGCTCCCTCAGCTTGCGGGGAGGTGTGGGGGGAGAGGCGCAGGGGGGAACTGGGGCTGCGCGCGGTGCTTGCGGGCCAGCGCGAGTTCCGGGTGGGCGTGGGCTCGACTGACCCCGCGCTCGGAGCGGCCCGCTGGCCCCACCGCCCGGCCAGTGAGGGGCTTAACACCTGGGCCAGCAGCTGCTGTGCTCAATTTCTCGCCAGGCCTTAGCTGCCTTCCCGCGGGGCATGGCTCGGGACCTGCAGCCCGCCATACCTGAGCCTCCCCGCCCCCATGGGCTCCTGTGCACCAGAGCCTCCCCAACAGGCACAGCCCCCTGCTCCAGGGCGCCCAGTCCCATGACCACCCAAGGGCTGAGGAGTGCAGGCGCATGTCGCGGGACTGGCAGGCAGCTCCACCTGCAGCCCCTGTGAGGGATCCACTAGGTGAAGCCAGCTGGGCTCCTGAGTCTGGTGGGGAGGTGGAGAACCTTTATGTCTAGCTAAGGGATTGTAAATACACCAATAGGCACTCTGTATCTAGCTCAAGGTTTGTAAACACCAATCAACACTCTGTGTCAAGCTCAGGGATTGTAAATACACCAATAGGCACTATGTATCTAGCTCAAGGTTTGTAAACACCAATAAACACCCTGTGTCTAGCTCAGGGTTTGTGACTGCACCAATCAACACTCTGTATCTAGCTAATCTGGTGGGGACGTGGAGAACCTTTGTGTCTAGCTCAGAGATTGTAAACGCACCAAACAGCGCTCTGTCAAAACAGACCACTGGGCTCTACCAATCAGCAGGATGTGGGTGGGGCCAGATAAGAGAATAAAAGCAGGCTGCCTGAGCCAGCAGCGGCAACCCTTGAGTCCCCATGCACACTGTGTAAGCTTTGTTCTTTCTCTGTTTGCAATAGATCTTGCTGCTACTCACGCTTTGGGTCCACACTGCCTTTATGAGCTGTAACACTCACCGCGAAGGTCTACAGCTTCACTCCTGAAGCCAGTGAGACCACGAACCCACCAGGAGAAACGAAAACACGCCGCCTTAAGAGCTGTGACACTCACCGCGAAGGTCTGCAGCTTCACTCCTGAGCCAGCGAGATCACGAACCCACGAGAAGGAAGAAACTCCAAACACATCCGAACATCAGAAGGAACAAACTCTGGACATGCCGCCTTTAAGAACTGTAACACTCGCTGCGAGGGTCCGCGGCTTCATTGTTGAAGTCAGACCAAGAACCCACCAATTCCAGACACACCAAGTATTCGAGGGGACTGAGGCAGGAGAATGGCATGAACCCGGGAGGCAGAGCTTGCAGTGAGCCGAGATCGCCTCACTGCACTCCAGCCTGGGCGAGAGAGTGAGACTCTGTCTCAAAAAAAAAAAGAAAAACAAAAGCATTCTTTAACACAGATAAAGTGACTGTGAAAGCAAGCACATAAAAACAAGAAATACAAATAAAAGAAAAAAATACAGTGGGAAAGAAACAAATTCCCCTCAGGTGTGCGGGAGAATGGACCATGCCCATTCAAGATCTCAGTAACCATGTGTAGTCAATCTAGAGGTAAAGATGCCTGAGAGAGTGGGTATAGGAGATGAAGACATAGCAGTAGCCTTAGAAGTCCGATGTTACCACCAATATCATCTTCCATTGTGACAGTAATATTTTCACTGTAACTAGAATTCACACCAGTCAAGAAGCTAATCAAAACAAAGATGCCAAAAGCTCCATTTTTCAGTCTGGGCTTTTATTCAATTTAATTCTTTTAAATATTCCTTGCTTTTGAGTATTTTTATTCAACCATTGTTAATTTACCAATTTCACAATTTAACAAACTCTTCTGGAGTAAATGTATAGTATTAGTGAACTAGAATCTGAACAGATTTCTTATTCTCCCTCAAAACACTGAGCCAACAAATGAACTTTAATTAAATTATGCCATGACTTAACATATTTAACTATTATATTGTACTGGAATGACTCAAAGGGTGCAACAACAAAGCAATTGTGTTTTGGCCTCTCATTGCCTATTTAATTTTTTTTTTACTGGAGTTAATTTTTTCCTTGCTTGTGAATAAAAGCTTAAGAATGACCTATAATGCTTGTAATTATTCATAGGCAGTATCATTCTCTTTTCTCAGTTATGCTCATAAAACCTGTGTAAGTTCAGTATTTTAAATGCCCAGACTTGAGAATTCCAGTTTCATAGCAGAGATATGGAGCGACCAAAAGAGCATAGCTTCCACACTTATATAAAGGAAAATGCCAGAAAAACTGGAAATATTAGCAACTTTTCTCACACACATTAGATAAATGATATTTTAGGCGAAACAACTAATCTGAAGTCAGCAAAAAGACAGACACCTGCAGGGAGAAGCAGGACCTGATCTTACATATAGTAAAGCTTGCATTAATATCGTATTTGGCAGTAAAATATTTATAAGATTTTAAGATATTTTATTTATAAATTGAAAAACTCATTAAAACTTAGCAATTTTTATCAAAATTTAACACATTTCATTGTTTCTTTTCAGACTCATTATTTATAAATATAATAAACCCAGACAATTAAGTTATTTTTTACAACTTGCAACTCTTTATATTTATTAAGGTTTTGATTTTCACTGCTTTCTCTCACATGCAGTGTAAATTTATGAATTTACTAGTCCGAATTATCCTTGATAAATAAATCACAATCTACTGCCTTGCATACAAACTTTTCTGCCACTGTTGATTTTACTATAGTCAATTATTCATACTAACTACATTTTTGGTTCAAAATAACCAAAGAGAAATCTAAAGAAACCAAAATCTAAAGAGAAAACTGGGAGGTGGGTGTTTGGTAATCATCTCTTACCCAAAGCATTTTAGCAGACCAATAAGACTCGTAAGCATACAAGATATAATGTCTTAAATATACCCACCTTCCTTGTACGTCTTAGCGGCAAATATGAACATAACATGAGCCATAGAATAAGCACTCTGTTACATAATAAGCAAATAACACACACACACACAGGCACAATTACTTGGTGACCAAGGTTTTCATATTTTTATCTAACTTAAAAAGCATTTGTTCATCAAAAGAATATTCATTAGTAAACTTTATTTAACATAAATTTAAGTTCTTAAGGATCTTGGAAATTATATTTGAGTACATATGTTTTTGAACCACTCTTCAGATAAAATGTTATCATAATTAAAAATCAAATTACTTCAATAAAGTTTAATATTTTTCAAATCTATAAATATTACAGAGACATTTTCTTACCTCATTAAGTAAACCAATATAGTAAGTTGAAGGTTTCAGTAGATTAACCAGTGTCTCCATGTGAAATACAAATCTCACTTTTTTAATGCTGTATTACACTGTATACAGATAAACCCAAAGGAAAATAATACAACTATTTCTAGTTGCGCATGGTGGCTCTCGCCTGTACTCCCAGCACGTTAGGAGGCCGAGGAGGGTAGATCAGCTGACATCAGGAGTTCGAGATCAGCCTTACCAACATGGTGAAACCCAATCTCTACTAAAGATACAAAAATTAGCCTGGTGTGGTGGCGGGTGTCTGTATCCTAGCTACTTGGGAGGCTGAGGCAAGAGAATCGCTTGAACCCAGGAGGTGAAGGTTGCAGTGAGAATAAGAAGAAATGAGTAAGAAGAAATGAAATAAACCAGCATCAGAAGAAATTAAATAAACCAGATTAAACAAAATAGATTCAGAGATTCACGTGCTCTCCTAAGATTTGTGGGAGATTGGCTTTTTCTAAGTAATGCTGAGACTTTATTGTAAGGTTGCATAGAGCTCATTAGGCAAGAAATTCTTGGAATCTCCTTTTGGTTTATAGCAATTAGCTGTTTGAATACAGCCTTATTTTTTTGTAGCAATTAACTTTGTGGAAAAATCCCCTGTTAAATTATCTTTGAATAACATTCACAAAACTATCAGTAGTTGTTTTCCTATAACAAGGTCTTCATAATTTCTTCGACCTTTTTGTTGTTGTTGTTACAAAATATCTTCCCATGTACAAGGCCAAGTTCTCATTGCTGCTGAAGTAAGTCAGGGACTATAAGGACAGGGGTATAAATGTATTATGTATGCATTTTCCTCCCTCTTGTGAGTTAGCTGTGAAAAACAATGAGGTATTCTGACTGCCACAAATCAGCTTGCGACTTGCCATTTAAATACTATTTCTTATGAATGCTGTATATCTTAGAAGAGGGAAATCAAATAATGTCCTTTTCTATATTGGCAATTTAATTCATATTCATGAGTCCTCAAAAATTA
Organism: Homo sapiens; assembly: GCF_000001405.40. Classification (NCBI taxonomy): domain Eukaryota; kingdom Metazoa; phylum Chordata; class Mammalia; order Primates; family Hominidae; genus Homo; species Homo sapiens. Next base: position 125,196,198 of record NC_000004.12, read on the forward strand.
TTTTCAAGTTGTTAAGATAGATTGGGCCTGATTATTCCAAAGAGAATAGGCACATCCCCTAATTATTAAGATATTCAAGTACAAAAGAATGTCATATATCTATCCATATCCATATCTGTATTAGTTTATATCTATATGCAGCCAGCTACTCATATCTACCAGAGCTGATCTGGAATACCTCCTCATGGTAAGACAGTTTTTCTCTTCACTCCCTTTGCCATTATGACTCCCCAGTAGTGATAGGGTTACTATCACCTAGGAATAGAGAAATACATGTTTTTTTCCTTTCAGTCAGGAAGTAATGGAAAGCCCACCTGTTCACTTCAACTGCACTTTGGAAAGAATAGGAAGACGGAAGCAAGTTAGGAGATTAAATGCCAGCATCTTTTACCACCAATCTGGATAACAACTTTGGGGAGTCTGTATGCAGCTCAGCAACATCTAGATAAATATGACAGGATGCCTAAGCTTGTCAAAACCAAAGGCCTGTCTCTCAAACACACCTTGTTTTGCATACCTCTTGAAGAAACCTAACATCAGATCAGAATTATGCTCAGATGGAAGTGGACGGATGAATTGAAGGCAGTGTTCTTTGTTCTTGTGTCCTGTAGAGGATGTCAGGATCATTCGTGGTTAAAGTTCCTGCATCTGTGGTGTGGTGAGAAAATATGGAAGTATTGAGATGGTCAGTAGACCAGTGGAGGATCAATATAACCATGAAGGTCTGGGTTTGAACAAAGAGAAGGTACGGGACAAAGACTTCTCAAAACACAGCAGATGTCTGCTGGGTGCGGTGGCTCAGTCCTGTAATCCCAGCACTTTAGGAGGCTGAGGCAGGTGGATCATTTGAGGTCAGGAGCTCGAGAACAGCCTGGCCAACATGGTGAAACCCCATCTCCACTAAAATACAAAAATTAGCCACGCACGGTGGCACGTGCCTGTAATCCCAGCTACTCAAGAGGCTAAGGTAGGAGAATCGCTTGAACCCGGGAGATGGAGGTTGCAATGAGCTGAGATCTTGCCACTGCACTCCAGCCTGGGCAACAGAGCAAGACTCTCTCTAAACAAACAAACAAACAAACAAACAAAAAAAGCCAGCAGATGTCTAAGATTATGTGTAGTTTAGCAGAGGATGTTTAAAAAAGGGGTCCTGAAGTCAAAGAGGATCTTAGGCAGAAAACATCACATTGAAAACCAGACAGCACCTGCACCTCCCTCCTCCACAAGATTGCAAAGACCACATCTACCTGCATACCATCTTAGAGAAGAACATGAGAAGGCTGAGATAGTCTGTCTCTAATTTTATGTTTAACATGATGCTCTAAACATCATGTTACTTTACTTTATCATATACTTTACTTCAAATGAAGTAAAGTATAACAAGTACTTTAATATATTTCTTCTGTATAATTTTGGATTCATTTTTACCTTGACAAATTAAGGTAAAAGAGTCCAAGACATTTCAGAAAGAAGATTTTTGACAGGATGAGATATTTAAACTGAAAGAAGCTGAAATGCTAGTACATTTTAAATCTCTTCTCCCCCTCAACCACTACTCAGTGATGTAGGGCTCATATTAAATAAGTTTAAAAATGGATGAAGCTGCCTTAATGATGACGGATGTAAATTTGTGATCTCATTATATAAATATAAAATGGAAGGTATAAGAAATTTGTGTATATGTTGGCAGATAAAGGAAGATATATATTTTAGAAGAAAGTTTTTTGAAAAATTATTTATAAAAAAAAATTCTCTGAAAGGAACATTTAGAAACACAGAAATCCACTCAGAGTTAAACATTCCATATATATTGTGTTATAATATTATTGGGAATACTGTTGATGAGCAATAATACTATAATTCAGCTAATTTAATAATTTAAGCTACAAAATTACTGACATTTTAGTAGCCCATCCTTGTTCATACTTCATGTAAATTTAGTCTCCTTTCACACTAGCTGATAATTATGTTCTGAGCTATTTGTAGGACTTCCTTTGTGTCTTTGAGGGAGCATACTAGTTCAGCTTCTCTGTGATTAATTAATGCTGTGTCTGCAGGCATGGTACTAGATCTGGTGTCTGCTGACTATACTTCAGAATCATTTCCAACACACTACCTCACCAGCAAGTTCTTGGAATATAATTTCCAAGCCCAACTCAGATTAAGACAAACTCTTTAGAAGGATAAGCCTTCCTCACATCTGGAGTGCCTGGGAAGTACAGCCTAAATACACTGGTATGCATATTTCTTTTACTGCAAGTTGAAGATGATTTTGCAAAGTTGCCAGTATAGATGAACCAGAGGAAGACCTTTTATGTAATTTATATGTTTCCTTATACCACATGTGCAGACAGCACAACAGGCTTTATTAGTAAGTAAGAGAGTTACGCATAGAGAAGTTCCCTTTCCCAAATATTCTCTTTTTCACTATTGTCCCCACTTCCTTCTTCTTTTGCTGTCTTTTAAACCCCTCGACACCACTTCAATCTAGTGTCTTTTCGTCATTGGAAATGTTATCTCTTCCTATGCTAACAAAAGAAACTCTTCTAAATTCCAAAATGGCTCCCCTAATAGAACAGTGAGGAGTGCACATGTCTTAGTTCAACTCTCCACACAAGGCTTAAGTAAGTGAGAATTTTCAGGCATAAACTTAAATATGGACACCATTAAATAGATTCTTAAATGTTGCATATTAAACTGTTTACTTTCCTGCATATGGATCTGATTTGGTGTGAACATTCTCAGATGATTTCTTAGACACTTAATGTTACAAGCACCATAACGTACTGTTGTAATTAGTGGTTAAGAATAAAAATCAATGATCCTTATTACAAAGACTAAGTGATTAAAGAGAAGCTAACAACAGACTTTGTCTTAGTGTTTTGGTTTCCTTTGTAAATAATGACAGGAAGTGACACACATCAATGACTCATGTCACTGCCTCAATATTCACAAGTCAGGGCAGCAGCAGGACTATAAGTCACAATTTGAATTCTAAATACCATTACCGATGTTGCTCTATAAGCAAATAAAGAATCATTTTTTGGCTTTCAAATCTAATATTTTTTAAATTCCATATTTACTTTTATATGAACATGATACTCTGAAGGTTCAAATTAAATAAATAACATGTACTTTCATGTATTTTTCATGTATAAGTTTGTGTCATTTTTACCTTGAGAAATTGTAAGTTAATAATGATGCCTTAGTATTTATTTAAATAGCATTATAATTGGTATAAAAGATTCTCTGGTCATATTGTATGTACATAAAACAACAGTCAAAATAATAGCTAGAAATAGCAACAGACTGAAAATGGCTTAAGCAAATAACAAACCAAAAAAAATTAAAAAGCAAGAAAAAAATATAATATATTCATTGGCATAACTGGGCAGATTACCTTCAGGAGTGACTGGATATGCGGCTTAAACGATGTCGTCAGTACTCTCTCTATTAGATTTATTGGTGGTAAGATCTGACCTTATGCTGGTAGATTCAGGTCTAGTAGAAAGGGCTTCTCTACAACAGATGTCTTATTTTGGAGAGGATTTCTCACTGGCTTTTATTGGCCTGCCTTAGCCTTTGTGTCAACTCCACATTGATCACCGTAAATGGAAATATGCAAGGTCACAGAGGCATTGGTAAAGCACCAATTCAGAGTAAGAAAATAATAATTTCCAATGAAAATTAGAGCACTATTACCAGAGGGAAGGAAGGCAGATAGTAGGAAGGAGAGAATGCCACTATTTTTATTTATCCACTTATTCAATCCACAGTTATTTATTGTATGTTTATCATGAACAAGACATGATTCTTGATACTGGGGAATAAGCAGTGGCTTAAACAAGAAAGTCTCTGCCCTCTTGAAATTTTCGTTTGGTTGAGGAGAGACAGTAAGCATATAAATACTTAAATATCACATAATAGATAAAGCATAGATAAGGGCTATAAAAAAAGTAAAGAAATAGAGAGTGGTGAACAGCATTATGTTAAACGAGGTGGTCATTAAACAGTACAGGCACATCTTATTTTACTGTGCTTCACTTTATTGCACTTCACAGATACTATATTTTCTTACAAAATGAAGGTTTGCAGCAACCCTGCACTGAGGAATTCCATCAGCTTCATTTTTCCTACAGCATGTGGTCACTTCCTGTCTCTGTCACATTTTGGTAATTCTCACAATATTTCAAAAGTTTTCATTACAATTATATATGTTATGGTAACCCATGATCTTTGATGTTACTATTGTAATTGTTTTGGGGCACCATAAACCTCACCCATAGAAGACCGCAAAATTAATCTCTAGATGTTGGGTGTGTTCTGACTGCCCCACCAACCAGCTATTTCCCCGTCTCTCTCCCTCTCCTCGGGCTTCCCTATTCCCTGAGACACAACTATATTAAAATTAGGCCAATTTTTTTAATAACCACACAATTGCTTCTAAGTGTTCAAGTGAAATAAGTAAAAAGCTAAAAAGGATGAGGAAGGCCTGGCCAAAGCCAAGATAGGCCAAAAGCTAGGCCTCTTTGCCAGTTAGGCAAGTTGTGAAAGTGAAAGAAAAGTTCTTGAAAGAAATTAAAGTGCTACTCCAGTGAACACAGGAATGGTAAGGAAGCAAAACAGCCTTATTGCTGATATGAAGAAAGTTTGAGTGCTCTGAATAGAAAATCAAACCAGCCACAACATTCCCTTAAGTCAAAGCCCAATTCAGAGAAAGCTCCTAACTTTATTCAATTCTATGAAGGCTGAAAGAGGTGAGGAAGCTGCAGAATATAAGTTGGAACCTAGCAGAGATTGTCTGAAGTGGTTTCAGGAAAGAAGCCATTTCTGCACCATGAAAGTGCAAGGCGAAGCACAAATGCTGATGTAGAAGTTGTAGCAAGTTACACAAGGATCTAACAAATTGGCGAAGGTGGTTACCCTAAACAACAGATATTCAGTGTAGGCGAAATAGTCTTATATTGGAATAAGATGCCATCCAGGACTTTCATAGCTAGAGAGAAGTCAATGCCTGGCTTCTTAGCTTCAGGGACAGGCTAACTAACTTGTTTGGGATTAATGTAGCTGGTGACTTTAATTGGAGCCAATGCTCATTTACCATTTTGAAAACCCTAGCGCCCTTAAGAATTAATATAAATGTACTCTGCCCGTATTCTATAAATGAAGCAACAAAGCTTGAATGACAGCACATCTATTTACAGCATGATTTGCTGAATATTTTAAGCAACTGTTGAAAGCTACTGCTCAGGAAAGAAAAAGTTCTTCAAAGTATTCCTACTGGTCATTGACATTGCACCTAGTCATCCAAGAGCTCTGATGGAGATGTATTAGAAGATTAATGCTTTATCTCGCCTGCTAATACACCATCCATTCTGCAGCCCAAGGATCAAGAAGTAATTTCAACTTTCAAGTCTTATTATTTAAGAACTACATTCTGTAAGGTTATAGCTATCATAGGTAGTGATTGCTATTATGGATCTAGGCAAAGTAAATTAAACATCTTCTGGAAAGAACTCACCATTCTAGATGCCATTAAGACGTTCATGATTCATGGGAGGAGGTCACAATATGAACATTAACAGGAGTTTGAAAAAAGTTAATTTCAATCCTCACGGATGACTTTGAGGGTTTTGAGACTTCAGTGGAGAAACGTAACCACATTTTCAGATGGGGTGAAAATAGCAAGGAAACTAGAAGTGAATACTAAAGGTATGACTGAATTCCTGTAATCTCATGGTCAAACTTTAATGTATGAGGAATTGCTTCTTATGGGTGAACAAAGAAAGGGGCTTCTTGAAATAGAATTTACTCCTGGTGAAAATACTAAGAAAACTGTTGAAATGAAAACAAAGGTTTTAGAATATTACATCATAAACATAGTTGATAAAGCAGCAGCAGGATTTGAGAGAATTGACTCCAGTCTTGAAAAAGTTCAACTATGGATAAAACACAATCAAACAGCATTGCATGCTACAGAGGAATCTTTTAATGGAAGGAAGAATTCATCTTTTGGCAAGCTTCATTGTTGTTTTATTTTAAGAAATTGGGCCAGGTGTGGTGGCTTATGCAAGTAATCCCAGCACTTTGGAAGGCCAAGGCAGGTGGATCACCTGAGGCCGGGAGTTCGAGACCAGCTTGGCCAACATGGTGAAACTCTGTCTCTACTAAACATACAAAAATTAGCTGGGCGTGGTGACCCACGTCTGTAAACCCAGCTACCCGGAGGCTGAGGCAGGAGAATCACTTGAACCCTGGAAGTGGAGGTTGCAGTGAACCAAGATAGCGCCACTGCACTCCAGCCTGGGAGACAGAGTGAGACTCCATCTCAAAAAAAAAGAAATTGCTGGTGGGCGCAGTGGCTCACGCCTGTAATCCCAGCACTTTGGGAGGCTGAGGCGGACGGATCACGAGGTCAGGAGATTGAGACCGTCCTGGCTAACATGGTGAAACCCCGTCTCTACTAAAAATAAAAAATTAGCTAGGCATGGTGGTGGGCACCTGTAGTCCCAGCTACTAGGGAGGCTGAGGCAGGAGAATGGCGTGAACCTGGGAGGCGGAGGTTGCAGTGAGCCAAGGCTGCACTACTGCACTCCAGCCTGGGCAACAGAGTGAGACACCATCTCAAAAAAAAAAAAAAAAAAAAAAAAAAGAAATTACTGCAGCGACCCCAAACAAACAACCATCCTCATCAATCAGCAGCCATCAACACTGAAGCAAGACCCTCCACTAGCAAAAAGATGAGAACTCACTGAAGGCTCAGATGATCCTTAGCACTTTTTTAGCAATAAACTATTTTTAATTGAAGTATATACATTGTTTTTGTAGACATAATGCTATTGTACACCTAATAGACTGCAGTATAGTATAAACATAACTTTTATATGTACTGGGAAACCAAAAAAATTGAGTTGCTTTATTGTAATATTTGCTTTATTGTAGTTGTCTGGAATGGATTCTGTATATCTTTAAGTTATATCTGTATTCAGAGAAGAATTCGTAACAATATTTCATTTAGGAACTACTATTTTTTCAGCTGTAAATTAAAATGATCTAAATCTAGAGGACAAACGTATTTCTACTAATTTAAAAAGAAATATTTGAATACATGTATGTTGGTTTCTCTGTGTGTTTGTGTTTGTACATGCATATATTCCCATATATATCTATTTACATGTGTGTGAATGGGGATTTAATATATGAGCTTATGTATTAAAAATCGTACCATGAACTATCTTCAGCATTGATGTGTTTCTTAGTGAGTTAATAAATTAATTATGCTGATGTAAAAGAGGCAAAATTTTACCTCTACCCTATAGGGATTTTCTTATTAGTGAAACCTGATAATTAAATGGACATATGACAGATCAACAAAAGAAAAGCATACAAGTTTATTTAATACAAGTTTTACTTGACACAGAGCCTTCATAAGGAAATGAAGACCTAAAGACGCAATTAGAGTTGAACAGTTAAGTACTGCATTCGACAAAGTGTAGCAAAATGTGAAAATGTAACAAGGAAAAGGGGCTGTGGCTAGGGTAGATAATTGGGTGGAGAAGTTCCCAGAAAGGTACTTCCAGGGTTAGTCTAATAATGTTTGTTCGTATACTTTTTATTTTCTGCCTCAACTTCCTGTCTTTAATGATAAAAATGATACTTTCCTCTAATACAGGGAGACTCTTTTGCATGGAATTTCCTCTCCTGCTTTTAAGAGACAGAATGTATGTCACAGTGATCTTCTTGCACCTTGGAGAACTTTTCTGTCTAGCTAAAGGATTGTAAACACACCAATCAGCACTCTGTGTCTAGCTAAAGGATTGTAAATGCATCAATTAGCACTCTATAAAATAGCACCAATCAGCACTCTGTGTCTAGTTAAAGGATTGTAAATGCACCAATCAGCACTCTAAAAACGCACCAATCAGCATTGTGTCTAGCTTAAGGTTTGTAAACGCACCAATCAGCCCTCTGTAAAAACACACCAATCAGTGCTCTGTGTCTAGCTAAAGGTTTGTAAACACACCAATCAGCACTCTGTAAAAACGCACCAGTCAGTGCTCTGTGTCTAGCTAAATGTTTGTAAATGCACCAATCCGCACTCTGTAAAAACGAACCAATCAGCACTCTGTAAAATGGACTAATCAGTGGTCTGTAAAATGACCAATCAGCAGGACTTGGGTGGGCCAAATAAGGGAATAAAAGCTGGCCACCAGAGCCAGCAGTGGCAACCTGGTTAGGTCCCCTTCCATGCTGCGGAAGCTTTGTTCTTTTGCCCTTCACAATAAATCTGGCTGCTGCTCACTCTTTGGGTTCTCACCACCTTGAAGAGCTGTAACACTCGCTGTGAAAGGCAATGGCTTCACTCCTAAAGTCAGAGACGTTGAACCCACCAGAAGGAAGAAACTCTGGACACATCTGAAAATCTGAAGGAATAAACTTCGGACACACCATCTTTAAGAGCTGTAACACTCACCACGAGGGTCTGCAACTTCATTATTGAAGTGAGACCAAGAACCCACCAGAAGGAACAGTTGTATATCACAATATATAATTATCATCTTAATAGTAACACTATCCTTTAAATTATTAATTTTTAAAATAACCTGTTAAGTAATTCAAAGGATTTTTTTCAAAGTCCGTATAGTCCTATTTGAGTTTATTCTTCATTTATTTTCAGGTCTTTTGTTAACAACGTTTGTTATTCCTAAATAATTTCATGTAAGTGCTCTCAATTGACCTCCCATTCCAAACATCTTCGGAAGTACTTGCTACTTCACCATTTTGAGATGCAGTAAATTATTAAGTGTATGCTTTATTCTCAGAGAATTATCCACGAATAATTTTGCAGGAAGCTGATGTCTACTAGGAGGGCTCATTAACAGCCAGACAAATAATAGAGAATCTTTCTGATTCTGTTATTTCATTCTTGATACTGTTAGACAAGGGAATTAGTGTTTGAGGTTCTGTTCTTCTCAGCACCATGCTGATTATTCAATAACTAATGTCTCTACAATTATTCCTCCTGAAGTTATAAAACAGAGACATTCTAGGAAAGTTTACCCACCCACCCCTACTCTGCAAAAACAAAAACAAAACAAAGCAAAAACAAAACAAAACAAAACAAAAAACCCTGAATGGTCACAGGTGTCCCCTGTTAAATGGAAGATTCACACAGTGGGAACGGTTCACATGAAGTCTGGCTTGTTAGCTTCTTCAGAGTTTAAAAGGATGTTTGTAGACATCTAAAAAAAGTCTTTTCATTACATCAGTTAATCTGAAAATTTGCTGCAGTATCTTTCACTTACTTTCTTCTGTATTGTTTACTGTTGTTCCAATGTGTCTTATTGAGATAATGATTTAGGAGTCAAATAATTTATGTACCTTTCTATTCATTCATTCATTTATTCAATACCTACATAGTTTGAGAGACTTAGACAAAGTAATGGTACAGAAAGATGAGTAAGACACCCTACTTACTTTCAAAATTCAGAGTGTAATGGAGAAACATGGACATAAGTTAGTTACCATAATGCAAGAGAGAACATGAAAAGAAAGATAATATAATGGGTATTTTTGAGGTGTTTGCTCAAATCACAATTTTCGGAGAATTGCCTTTTATCCACGTGCATCCCCACAGTCCCACTGTTGTGATCTTCCACAGGCAATCCTGTAACATGTTTCCTGAACCTTTTTTTTTTCGAGATGGAGTCTTACTCTGTCACCCAGGCTGGAGTGCAGTGGCGTGGCCTCGGCTCACTGCAACCTCCGACTCCCGGGTTCACACCATTCTCCTGCCTCAGCCTCCCGAGTAGCTGGGACTATAGGCACCCACCACTATGCCTGGCTACTTTTTTTGTATTTTTAGTAGAGATGGAGTTTCACCGTGTTAGCCAGGATGGTCTCGATCTCCTGACCTCGTGATACACCCTCCTCGGCCTCCCAAAGACCTGAACTTTTTTTGTTACATCCAAAATGGACATTTAACACAAGGTGGAACTTAGTATATAGAATGTTAAGATCCAGACAAACTGGGATGGCCATTTAAAGTAGAGTAACATAAACTTGAGAATTTTGGGGATGCTCAGGTTTACATAGAAGCAGAAAAACAATCTGGTACTTAAAGAGAATTAAGCAACTATAACAAGAAAAGGAGTGATGAGAGATTGTGGGGAGTAGTAGAGGGATAGAGAAGACATACTGTTTGATTATTGAACTTTCTAGTTGCTGGTTGCACTGTCATGTGAAGTCCAGGTGTACCTCCTACCCTTGAGCGAGACACCTTCTTTCAGATTTACCCTCAGTTATTTTTATGATGTTGCTGCTTGAACTATTTCAAATGTTTTTACTTGGTTGCAAAAGAACATAGGCTAATATGTGAGAAGCTTTTTAATACTAATAAAGTATTTTTTAAATTTAAATGCATATTGAGCGCTATGCTAAAAGCTACACACTTGAATTATCTCACTCTGAGAAAGGTATAAATAACTCAGTCCATTTTACAGATGAGGAACTTGACACTCTACAGATGAAGCTACAGGATTTGTCTCTGGGTCTGTCAGACTCCAGAGCCCAAGTTTTAACCATTGAACTCCATTGCCCTTTAAACGTTTTAAAGAGAAGGATAGATATTTTCTATTTTATTGTCATCACTGAACAATGAAATGTTCTTAGATGTTACTTAATGAAATGAAAGCAGTATTTTTCTCATGTAAATGGGTACGAAAGTTACAATCATTACCATTTGGCGAAAATTTTAAAATTAAAAAAAAAGCATGACTTCTTTATTCTTGTGACACCAAGAGATGCAATAAAATGTAAGAACTTAAACTTAACTAAAGAGAATGGAGTTCCAGTGCTAGTTTGGGCCATTTGCTTAACATCTATGGGCCTCAATTTCCTTTACTGCAAGATGGATAATAATGATGTCTATTTGAAGGACTTCCTGAAAAACTTAAATGGCTACATGTATTAAATGAGTATTTTATGTACCAAGCACACAGAATATGCACAGTAAATGATAGTTATTTTCCCTCTTTCCTTTCTTTTTTAATTTTTTATGATTATTATACTTTAAGTTCTGGGGCACATGTGCAGAACATGTAGTTTTGTTACATAGGTATACACGTGCCATGATGGTTTGCTGCACCCATCAACCCATCACCTACCTTAGGTATTTCTCCTAATGTTATCCCTCCTCTAGTCCCCCACCCGCAATAGGCCCTGGTGTGTGATGTTCCCTCCCTGTGTCCATGTGTTCTCATTGTTCAACTCCCACTTATGAGTGAGAGCATGCTTATAGTTCCTAAATTATTGTGCATATAATTCCTACTCTCCTTGAAATCCAAAGACATTATTTTAATCATCAAATATTAATTAAGTATATGACATTTTAGGTACCAGGGGAAACATATATTAATTTATATAATCTAAACCTATAATGTAGGTACCATTTGCATTTTATAAAAAAATCTAAGTTTTAAAGTGTTTAAATAGTATTATCTAAGGTTATTGACTAAGAAGTATAATGTTTGAGTTTAATATACCTTTATAGACCTCCATTTACATCACAAAACTACCATTTACTTGCAGCTATCTTTCATAAAAAACTATTAAAGGCATATATTAAATGAATTCTTTTTTCCAATTGAAGAATTGATTAGAGCCCAATCAATATGAATAAAAGAATAATATTAGACCAGTGTGGATTTGCTTCTGTCATCACATTTTGTTTTATCCATTTTTTTATTCCTTGTAGTATCTATCTATTGACAGCAAAACCTTTTATTACAATTATCAATTTACTTGTGCAACTTTCTCATAAAATAGGTAATTTTTTTATTTTTAAATTTGGGATCCATGGAGGTATATGTAAAGGTTTTTTTAAGTGGGTATATTGCGTGATATTGAGCTGGAGGTATAGATGGTCCTGTCACCCAGGCAGTGAGCATAGTACTCAATCAGTAATTTTTCAACCCATTCTTCTCTTCCTCTCCCCACTCTAGTAATTCTTATTGTCTATTTAACCCATGTTTATATCCATGTGTAGTCAGCGTAAAACAGATCTTATAGAATTAAATGTTAGTCAATTTATTTCTAAAGTTGTGTTTCCCTCCAATATGCTCTTTATAATGCTTATAATTACTGTATAGTTTCTCTAATCTTTAGTTTAATATATACGTTTTATTAACTGTGAACTATTTTCTCTTCTAATATAATGATCAAAACAATGTTTAACTTTTTCTTGGCAAGAAGAATATTATCCTCAATAAAAGTTCTATAAACGTGGATTTCATTGGGCAGAAAAACTGCTTTCATGATACTTTATTGTAGTCCAAAGCATGTTTTCTCAATTACTTCATGACATACATTCAATACTTTATGCAATGATCTGAGAAAAAAGTTATGAAGACTTGAACTGAGTGACAGACAGAAGGAGATTAAGGGGGTGCATTTGAGAGCTATTTGAGAGATAAAATCTAATGAGTGACTAGATGAAGAAGTATAAGAAAGAGGGAGTTGTCACAATGACAAGTTGTTATGTTATTTGACAGGAAGTATAGGAGGAAACACAATTTTTGTTTTGCTTTGTTTTAGTTAAAAATAAAAAGCTTAATGTAGTTTTGACACATTGGACATACTCTTGCAGTGAATTGAAGGTAACAGTTTAGGGAGCAAGAGGGAGGGCTAAGTAAAAAATTACAGGTTGAGAATCATTATAAGTTGGGCTAAAATTAAAGCTAATCAATATGAGAGAAGTACAGAGTAAGAACACAAGACAAAAAATTTCAGTGTTTAAAAAATATTCCTAAATAAAATTTTGCTTCATAGGCAAATAGTAGATATTTTTCTTGCTTAAGACATATATATTCTAACCAATAAGATAGCCTGGTCTTTTGAGATCTCTAGCATGCACAAACAAGAAGGAATCATAGGCAAATTAAAAAATAGATTTTTAGACTGCTAAATTCAATCACGGTTTTATAATATATTCTGAATGTGTATAAAGTGAACATTCAATAAGTGTTCATCTCAGTTTTCCATCACTGCATAAAAACAAAACTAACTTATGATTTAAAATGAGACCCATCATTTATTTGAACATGGTTTTGTAACTAACCAGCACTCAGTGGAGATTGTCTCATGAAATCATGGTCCAGGACTCTTGAGGAGGGCTGGAGAATCCATTTCCAAGATGGTTCCCTCACACAGCTAGCAGGTTGGTGCTGGTTACTGACTGGGAATTTAGCTGAGGTCTCAATTGTCTTCCATGTAGGCTTCCTCATGTGCCTACATGATATTGGATTCTGAAAACATAAAATAAACATATCTATTTCTCTTAATATATTCTCTGTATTTTATTAGTGAAAACAGCTCAAGGTCCTGTCAAGATTCAAAAAGTAGAAACAGAGTTCCCACATTTTTCTGCTGGTAGTAACAAAGAATTTGAGGCCACTCTTAATCATTGTATTCTTCATTCTGTCCATAAATTACTACCAACCCTCATACTTCATCAAATCCTCCCCAAATCTTCAATATTGCATACATTTTGGCACCAAAATCTAGAATTTCATCATTTAAATCAGATTCAGGTGCATATGGCAAGCTTCAGGTGCTGCAGTTCCTCTAGATTTAAAGATCTGATAACTAAAGGGAAATGTTAGCTACTGCATGCACACGACATGCTATAATGTGTAAAGGTCAGAGAAACAGAAAATTCAATTCAAAAACAAGAAAAGATGGAGGCATACTTTGATGACTAATCCATAGCTTGAAAAATTGGGGCAAATGCTGTCAGTTCTCAATATGGTATAGTCATTCTTCCTGGAAGTGTCTCTTGGTTCTGCTCTTTGGGCTCTTGGTTTATTACTTTGAGTTATGTTGGCTTTTCTATGAGATGTGGTACTTGAGATTGCAGCTAAGGAGCTTTTCCAATCTGTTTCCTGCTCATAACATATTGGGAGTCCAAAGTTCTCTTCATTGTGAACTGATGCTAAGATTTCAGTGCAATCCATAATAAATTCTTTAAAAATGAGGCCTCCTGTGTATAAGATTATAATCTATCACATTAAACAAAATCCACAGCTGCTGATTTCTTCAACACAGGCTGTCTCTACCTTGTTCTCAGAGGTAGGATGATATTAGACGATATCCTTAAGATATGAAACCTGCCATTTAGCAGATAGAGTTTAAGGGATACAACCTGGTGATTGTTACAGACACTTTTGTTTAGCCAAGAAGGTCTGTACAGCACCTCCTTCAGTCTTCCTGAAGTCTTAACAATAGGTGTGGCTTAGTTTGCTTTGTGCTTCTATAACACACCTGAGACTGATAATAAATAATTAACAGAAAATTATTAGCTTACAATTCTGGAGGCTGGGAAGTCCAATATCGAGGTGTTGGGCTCTTGCAAAGACCTTCTTGCTGTGTCATCACATGGGAGACGGGAGAAAGGCAAGAGAGAAAAAAGGGCCAAATTCACACTTTTTATAACAGCATTAATCGCACCCATGAGAGTGGAGCCCTTATGGCCCAGTTACCTCTTGAAGATCCCATTCCCACTTCTCAACGTTGTTACAATGGCAATTAAATTTCAACGTGAGCTTTGGAGGACACAAACATTTGGACCATAGCAAGGTGTTAGGCTACACTCTTGAACGTGAGGCCACACATTGAAGACAATACCTTGGATTTGATGCTTGTCCTGAGCCTATTTCTTACATTGTGAAATTTTGCTGCCTGGAGAGGTTAAGAATGAGAAAACGTTTTATTTCCAAACCCAGTGCATCAGGCTTTTTTATTTTTTATATTTTATTATTATTATTTTTTTGAGTCAGAGTCTCGCTCTGTCACCCAGCCTAGACTGCAGTGGCACAATCTCAGCTCACCGCAATCTCTGCCTCCTGGGTTCAAATGATTCTCCTCCCTCAGCCTCCTGAGTAGCTGGGATTACAGGCATGCGCCACCACACCCAACTAATTTTTGTATTTTTAGTAGAGACCAGGTTTCTCCATGATGGCCAGGCTGGTCTCAAACTCCTGGCCTCAGGTGACCTGCCTGCTTCAGCCTCCCAAAGTGCTAGGATTACAGACACGAGCCACCATGCCTGGCCATTTTTTCATAGTTTCTCTAAATTCTGCTTGATAACTGAACAGTTCTGCTTTTTTTTTTTTTTAGCTTATCTCAATTTTCTGGCATTTTACTGTGCAGTTAAAAGAAGCCAGCTGGCACTTGAAAATTTTTCCCGGACATCTCTTTAATCATGATTTCATTAGGTAGACTTTCTATCTTCCATATTATCACAGATTATGATGTTGCTACACCTTCCCCGACCCATAAAAGGAGAACTCCTATAATAATTTCATCACTCTATTTCAAACCTTCATTAAGTGCCTCCTTGAGGCTCTTCAGGCCTCTGCCCACCTCTCCTCGCAATACCCATTCTAAGGACAGTGCCACAGATTTTGAGTTTGTTTACAGTACCACCACACTTCAGAGTTTTGAATTCTGTTTTGGTTATCTATTGCTGTATAACCCAAATCAACCAAATTCTTAGATGCTTAAAATACTAACAATCACTTTTTACTTCATAATTTTGCAATTTGTGTAGACTTGACCAGGACAGCTTATCTGTTCCAAGTAGTGTCGGATGGAGAATTCATTCCCAAGATGGTCCATTCATATGGCAGGCAATTTGGCACTTGCTCTTCTCTGGGAGAATTAATAATTCTCTGCACTTACTGTTCCCTGTAGTTGCTTGCATTTCTTCCCAGATTGACTGCTGAGTTTCATGAAGAAGAAAAAAGAAAGGATCACTTCTTTTAAAGACTAGGGTTGTATCTGGTAATGCATCACTTTTTCCGTGTTCTATTTGTCAAAACAGATTCAAGTGTATGAACAAATAGACTCACCTCTTTGTGGGGAAAGATAATTAACAGGCTTCTTAAATCCACTACAGTGTTTAAATTAGCGGCAATTCAACATTTCCCGTTACTTCCACTATGTTACAGACAAATATATTTTATTTTCAAGCAATATTCCTCATAAGTAGATCCAAAGAGAATAAAATTGGAAATCTGATTTTAAAGAATTTGGCATTTGCTTATGAATTCTGTGTAACCCAGCAAAGTCTAGTACATAAGCACTTACTTAAAAATTTTAACATATATGTTTATGCATGATAATTTAAATTCCTATTTGTCATTGATTGGTGGAGGGAAGTGATACAATACTGTTCATCTGTGTATTTTGCCCACTGCAACCTAGTAATTTGGTACTCAGGTAAAGCATTTTGTGCCATTCAAAATCATATTCATTAAATACTTTTTCAACAGTTTACTGCATAGGAGTTGGGGATTAACTGCCTTTCTGTTAAAAATTCTATATACAAATAGCTTCACATAACTTACTTGCACTACTCAAAAAGGATCACTTGTAGAAAAAAGCAATTTTTTTGTATACTATTACGCTTTTCACTTTAGAGGGTTTTTTTCCTCATTCATTGTGGAGTTTTACAAAACACATCATTATAATAATGCTTAGAAAAATCCTGAGAAAGTTATATTTTATTGTTGGCTAGATTAACTACCAGGATTAATGGCAAATTACTATTTTAGTAGTGAAGCGTTTTTACAGAACTGTTTATGTGCATGAATGTGCATGCGTTGATTTTAGTAATTTTCAAGGCACTGCCTTGACTTCCCAAACCTAAAATTACATTTGCTCAAATTGCAGTGAAATGTAATCTCCTTCTCAGTAATTTTAACCAAAGAGACAGCTATTTTATTTCTAAAACCAATTCCCAGCATTTCTTATCTCCTTTAGATTATGGATTAATGTTTGCATGATATTATAATCAAAAGTCTTATATGAATAACTCATTTTCTTAAACAGTCAAGACATGTTAAAGAATTCTCAGAAAAAAAGAATTCTCAAGTTTATTGAAACAAGCTTTTTCTTATAATGTATAGCAAAACAACTGAAACTAAGTGGCTTTTTCTTTATAATCCTATTTGAGCATTGCAAAATAGTTTAATTTATAAGGACTATTAAAACTTTGATTGAAATTGAAAACTCCTGACTTTACAACATTAACTCACCTGAATGCTGAAGCAATCTGTGTGTTTCAAAGGTCAATTATCCTGTGTGTCAATTCTTTTTGTGGTAGAAGTAAAAGTTCCATTCTTCTCCTTTAAAATATATGTTGTGCTTTTTTTCCCACAAACACGTTACTCCAAATTACAACTAAACCTTTTCTCAGAGATCTAATATCATTTTAAGAAACTGAGGTTTCAAACAAAATTTAAGAATTTGTTTTTAATAAAGTTTCTGTCATTAGAACTCAAGGTATACTAAGAGCACAAAAATTTCAAATACATTTGATTCTAAGCACTTTACAAATGACAGAAAATCTTTAGTTTTAATACAGCAATATAAACCTTATTTATTCATAGGAAAAATAACATTTTTGATTAATGTAATGTAATTACATATTAATAGTAGTTGTAGGCAAATGTACTTTTTACAATCTGAGTATAAATAATAATGAAATCATTTATTATATCTAGTTTTAACTTTTTGTGATTTTATTGTGTATTGCAATTATCTCTGAGGCTCAAGATGAAAAATGTTTGTCTCTTAAATTTCTTTCAGAAATTGGATTTATCAGAAAAATTAAAAAGCAATTGTTGATAGGACTCTGACAAAAAATAAGTAGGAATTTAGAGAGTGGTGATTCTTAATCTTTTTAGGTCATGGATCACTTGAATAACATATGTGTTTATTCAACACATACATAGTGAGTGCTGCAACCTACCCGACCCTGGGCTGACTTCTTGGGTCTGCAACCCTGGCAGTCACATGTGCTCAGAAGTACCCCACACATGGTTTAATGCTCTGCTGTTGCTGTCTTGGAATTCTTAATAATTTTTGAACAAGGGATTCCACATTTTCATTTTGCACTAGACCTAGCAAATGTTGTAGCAGGTCCCTACCTGGCCCTGGGTTCTGTAGGAGCGTGAATGTAGAGACTCCCAGTCTACTTGAGGTGAGACATAATAAAGAGGTAGACAAATGAATCTATAATTAAAAATTATAGTGGTTAGCATGAAAGAAAAAAAATGGGGACATTGTTCTTTTAGTCTGTTTGTCCTGCTATAACAAAATTCCTGAGACTGAGTCATCTATAAACAACAAAAAGGTATTTCTCACAGTTTTGGAGGCTGGGAAGTCCAAGAACAAGACACCAACATCTGTTGAAGGCTCTCTTCTGCTTACAAGACCTTGTAAGATGCCTTGTTGCTGCATCCTTTGGAGAGGATGAATACTGTGCCCTCACAAGACAGAAAGGATGGGAAAAAACAAACCCACACCTCCATAGTTTTGATAAGGGCCCTGCTCTTGTCCATGAGGGCTCTGAGCTTCTGTCTTAATCATCTCCTAAAGGCTCCATCTCTTAATACTACCATATTGGTGATTAGGTTTCAACACATGAATTTTGGGAGACATTCATATAATAGTAGTTATGAAGACTAAAGAGAAAAATGTTAATTTACTTTAAATTGTTTGCTCTACAATGGTCTATCTAGGGCACTGAAATTTTAGCTAATACCTGAAGGATGAGCAGGAGCTGATCCTGCAATAAGGCAGAGAAAGGGCCTTGCATGCTTAGGAAATACATGGGCAGATGTTTTAAGGCAGGTGTGGTAGCCTAGCACACCAAACTTCATCCAAGAGTGTTTCAAGAATCCAGGCGGTAAAGTATAGTTGTGGAGCTGGCTTACTTATCACCTAGTAGTCAAAAAGGATTTCATCACTAGTGGTAGGTGAAGCACAGACAGCAGCTGGCAAACGGCAGCACTCTAATCATTAAAATCCTCACCTGTGGTGAACTGAGACGTTTCACTTGCAGAAGAGAATGCACTTGATGGAGTAATGAAGGGGGCATTTGAGACATATGGAAGAAAAATAGGATTGGGTAATTACAACTATAACTAAGTGCCATTGATCTTTTACAAAATAACAACACATAGCTGAGGGAAAAATAAAAGAAGCCAGATTTAAAAGCTACAGGCCCTCTTTATTTACATACATTAAAAATACTCATCTTTTTTCTTGAGGAGGCAAAGAAAGCTGAGGACCCAGCCCAGGACTTATTAGTAGGTATTATTGAATTTCAAGGCAATTAATCAAAGAAGGACTTTTACACCAAGGACAGGAGCCTAGTTGGAATAACTGGAAGCTTAACACTTAAGACGCAGACCTCTGTCAGATGACCCCACATTTTTGCTTCCTCACATTCCTCTGATCATGGAGATGTGATACAACCCTTCTGATTAAAAGCATGCACACTGTCTTCAAAACTGGAAAACAAGATTTCTCCCATTGAGAATTCCCAAATGTTTCTCTCACATAAGTCAATATGGATCCTTCTCAAAACCCATCCCAACTCTCCTAAAGGCCCCAGGTTTATGTTTTAACATAGCCCAAGTGGGACATGCATTGCCAGAGAAAAGAGAAAAGGAACTATACCCAAAGAAGCTGCAAGACCTAACTGGCATGTTCCAGCAGAGCCAGGAGAGTATGCATGAGACTGGATGCTAAAGGTTCTTAATCAGCGGGGCAGGGTTATAAAATGAAGGGGGACTCCAGAATTGGATGCAAAGTTACTTCCTAGAAGCATGCGAAAAGTGATGGCTGAAACTGAGGGAAGACAAAAGGCAGAGTTTTCATGGCATATAATGGAGGAAGGGATTAAAATGCTCAGGGAAGTAGTTTTGCTGGAAAGAATGTAATATGTGCGTAGAAAATAACTCTTAAATGATATTTTTCACTGGAAGACCTAAAGGACCCATGATGTACCAAGACCATAAGTAATGTGCTAGTGAGGGGAACATCAGCATTAATAAATAGTTCAGTGGTAAATATCCTCCAAAGTTCAGAGCTGATGGTAGAAAGGCTGTTATGGAAGTAGGTTTACTAATATCAAAGAGGGTGATAGGACATTTAATAGTAGAGGTCAAGTAGCATTGCTTAAAAGCCAGAAGCCAAGGGTCACATTCATAGTAATGATGATAAATGACTGGAAAGGTTAGAGTGGAAACCACAAGAACTTGACCTACAGAGAGATATGGAGATGGTTAATAGAATATGTCAGCCCCAAGGGTAAAATATGTGGACCAACAATAATGCCACTACTTAACTTTTACCAGCAGAAGAAATCAATTGTGGATGATTGAGAAGCAGAGGTTTCAATAAAAAGCTATAACCAGTTTTAAAAACCAAAACCAACTGAAAAACATGGTCAGGTCCCAAGGAGAAAGAATCTTGCAACATCAAAGAGAATAAATAATGTAGTGAATCCCCAAGGGGATTTTGGCTAACTGCTCAATTACAGGACACTGGGAAAGAGGAATACCCAATTACTTCAAGTGTCTGAATTGACACTGATATCACGAGACCTAAAGTACAAAAATGGTTTTCTTATTAGATTTGAGAAATGAGGGCCCCAGATAACACACGATGTCAGGGCTAAGGTCTGATTTACCAAGGCTGCTGTGTTCACAGAGTCCGGCGGTCATTTCCCCCGTAAGGGAATAAGTGAAATTGACACATTTGGTTGTTGGTGCACACCTCACATTGGATACATGGTCTGTGGGGAAGATATTATACTATGGAAAGTTAAGAAGAAGTCTCTGAAACTACCAACTATCCTTCCTAAGAGTATAAATTTAAAATGATATCATTCTTCAGGAACATGGGGGAAATTAGTGCCACCCGTAAAGATCTGAGGCTCAGGAAAGGCAGATCTCATCATTTTTGTTTAATTCATTAGGCTAACCCTTGCAAAAATCTAATCTGACAAATCCTATAGATGGTTGTAGGCTATTGCAATCTTGACTAAGTGATAGCTTGCAAAGGCAAGCTTAAAGCCAGATGAAACATCTGTGCTAGAGAAGATGAATGCAGTCTCAGATACATGATGTATGATTATTGACTTGTGAATGCTGTCTTTTCTATCTCATTCAGAATAAAGGACTAGAAACAGTTTGTATTCACTCAGAAGAGAAAACAGTACACAATTACAGTTTTGCTTTGGGCCACCTTCTGACATAATACAGACCAAAGAGATCTAGATTACCTACCTGGACTTTCCACATTTAATCAAAATGATCCACTTTGTGGATAACAGTATTTTGATTGCAACAGATGAGGAAGAAGAAGCTAGTACACTGGAAGTGTTGGTAATTCACATATATTCCAAAGGGTAGGAAATAAAGCCTATGCAGATTCTGTGGCATACCACATCAGTAAAAGCATTAGGGGTGTGGGATGTCAGAAGCTTACTGGGATATTTTCTCCAAACTAAAAGAAAAATGACTGAATCTTGCACATCCAACCAGGAAGAGAAAACAGTGCTCTCAGTGATCCTTTTTGGGTTCTAGACATGGCATATTTCATACCTAGGGATATTATTCCAGCCCATAGCATGGGTAACATGACTGCTAATAGGTTTAGTGGGAACCAGAGCAGAAAGCATCTCTACAGCAGCTTCAGGCTACAATGCAATTAGTCCTGTGGTTTGGGGCCTAAGATACAGTAGACCCTACGTTGTTGAAGATATCAGTGGTAGAAAAAGGTATCCATATAACATTTGTGGAAAACCCCAAAGAGAGAATTAGATGGCCAGTGTGATTCTGGACAAGGCCATGTCATCTGCAGCAGAAAATTACATATCTTTTGACAAATAGCTCCTGGCATGCATCTGAGCTCTAGTAGAAATGGAATGTCTGACAATGGATACTGACTGATATGGTTTGGCTGTGTCCCCACTCAAATCTCATCTTGAATTGTCGTTCCCATAATCCCTATGTGTTGTTGGGGGGGTACCCAGTGGGAAGTAATTGAATCATGAGGGCAGTTACAACCACCCTGCTGTTCTTGTGTTAGTGAGGGAGTTCTTACGAGATCTGATGGTTTTATAAAGGGCTTTTTCCCCCTTTGCTTGGCACTTCTCCTTGCTGCTGCCATGTGAGAAGGATGTGTTTACTTCCCCTTCCAAAATGATTGTAAGTTTCCTGAAGCCTCCCCAGCCATGCTGAACTGTGAGTCAATTAAACCTCTCTCCTTTATAAATTACCCAGTCTCAGGTATGTCTTTATTAGCAGCGTGAGAATAGACTAACATACCAAGTGACCATGAATCCAGAGCTGCTTTCCATGCATTGGGTCCTGTCAGATGACCAAGACATAATCAGGAAGACCCAGCAACAGTTTAGTTTAAGATGGAAGTAGAACATTCAATGTTGAGTATAAACAAGACTAGAACACACAGACAAACTGCCTAAGCAAGAAGCCTGAGCTGGGTGTGGTGGATCATGCCTGTAATCCCAACTACTCAGGAGGCTGAAGTTGGAGGATCATTTGAAACTAGGAGTTTGAGACCAGCCTGGGCAACATAGCAAGGTCTTGTCTCTAAAATAATAATAATAATAAACCCTGAGCCCCTGTGGAATGAGCCACCATTGTTGCACTGCCTCTACTTCAGTTCATGCCTGAGACTATACAGAGCATCCTCTACCACCAGCTGTAAAAGGATGAAAAGTCCAAGCTTGTTATATGGATGGGTTGACTTGGCATGTGGGTATAAATAAAAAATGGACAGCAGCTGCACTACAGCTTTGTCTTGAAGGACAATGGCAAAGGAAAATCTTCACAACAGGTCAAGCTCTGAGTGGCACACTTGGGCACTGAATAGAGAAGTAGCCCAAGGTTAGAATATATGTGGCAGGCTGGATGATTATTGTGTTAGTTCACATAATTTTATCAAATGTAAATACAACTTTAAAAATATCATTAATTCTTTAATTTTCTGGCATATTCACCATTTTATGTTAAGAAAAAACTAAATTTACTGTGTATATTGGGAATTAAACATTGCAGAACATATATGTAAAATGAGCTTGCAAAATTTAAAAAGAAAATAAATAATTACAAATTCTGAATTTATGAACTCTCTCAGAATTGAATAAACTCTGAATATGATTGATTTGGCAGGGAGGGAAATCTAGATACAACCATACTTTGCTAGTTACTCCAAATTTATTAACATTATCTCTTTGTTATTTTTTAGACATCCAAACATATTATTTCAGTTTTGAATGTCACTAAGTAAAAATTATCCAAAAGTAAAACAAACTTCCAAATCCACTGACCACAAAGATTAAAATGATAATATCTCTTGAACACATAACTAACTCCAGGATGGAAAAATGTTTGAATAGTAGTGGATTTCAACTCCTTTTTTATATAAAACTATATTCTGAAATATGCATGGGCAAAGACATCATGAAGACACCAAAAGCAATTGCAACAAAATCAAAAATTGACAAATGGGATCTTAATAAGCTTCTGCACAGCAAAAGAAACTATCAACAGACTTGACAGGCAACCTACAGAATGTGAGAAAATTTTTGTAAACTATGCATCTGACAATGGTCTAATATCCAGCATCTATAAAGGAACTTAAACAAATTTACAAGAAAACAAACAAACCCCTTAAAAAGTGAGCAAAGGACATGAATAGACACTTTTCAAAAGAAGACATATGTGTGGCCAACAATCATATGAAAAAAAGCTCAACATCACTGATCATTAGAGAAATGCAAATCAAAACCACAATGAAATACTATCTCACACCAGTCAGAAGGGCTATTTTTAAAAAGTTAAAAACAACAGACACCGGCAAGGTTGTAGAGAAAAATTTTCACACTGTTGGTGGGAGTGTGAATTATTTCAGCCATTGTGGAAGACAGTGTGGCAATTCCTCAAAGACTTAAGACAGAAATACCATTCTACCCAGCAATCCCATTACTGGGTATATACCCAAATGAATGTAAATCATTCTATTATAAAGACACATGCACACATCTGTTCATTGCAGCACTATTCATAACAGCAAAGACATGAAATCAACCTAAATGTGCATCAATGATAGGCTAGATAAAGATAATGTGCTACATATATACCATGTAATACCATGCAGCCATAATAAAGAATGAGATCAAATCCTTTGCAGGGACATGGATGGAGCTGGAGGCCATTATGCTTAGCAAACTAACACAGGAAGAGAAATCCAAATACTGCATGTTCTCACTTAAAAGTGGAAGTTAAATGATGAGAACACATGGGCACCTAGAGAGGAATAATGCACACTGGGGCCTACTGGAGGGCAGAGGATGGGAAGAGGGAGAGGATCAGGAAAAATAACTAATGGATACTAGGTTTAATACCTGGGTGATGGAATAATCTATACAACAAACCTCCATGATGGGTTTACCTAGGTAACAAATCTGCACGTTATGCAAATGCACCCCGAAACTTAAAATAAAAGTTTAAAAAACACCTATATTCTGACCAATAATTTTAGGAAAAGATCACTTTTCTTATATACAGACGATATAAAATAATAAACATGAAATTGCATACTGACCATGCAGTAGGAAAGAAAAGCCCATTTTCTGGGAGAAATTAAAGCCTGCTGCAGAAATTTGCATAAGTAAAGAGCTGAATGTTAGCCAAAACAATGAGGAAAATCCCTTCAGGACATTTCAGGGACTTTTTCAACACCCCCTCCCATCACAGGATTGGAGGCCTAGGAAGGAAAAACGATTTCATGGGCCAGGTCCAGAGCCCCACTGTTCTGTGTAGCCTTGGGACATGGTGCTCTGCATCCCAACTCCTCCAACTCCAGCGATAGCTAAAAGGGGCCAAGGTACAGCTTGGGCCATTGCTTCAGAGGGTTCAAGCCCCAACCTTGGCAGCTTCCGTGTAGTGTTAGGCCTGTGGGTGCACAGAAGGCAAGAGTTGAACTTTGGGAAGCTCCAGCTGGATTTCAGAGGATGTGTGGAAATGCATAATGTCCAGACAGAAGTCTACTGCAGGGAAGGCACCCTCATAAAGAACCCCTTTGAGGTCATTACAAAGGGGAAATGTCTGGTTGGAGCCCCTATAAGAGTCCCCACTGGGGCACTGCCTAGTGTAGCTGTAAGAAAAGGGCCACCATCCTCCAGAGCCCAGAATGGTAGATTCACTGACAGCTTGAACTGTACATCTGGAAAAGCTGCAGGCACTCAATGCCAGCTTGTGAAAGCAGCTACAGGGACTGTACCCTGCAGAACCACAGGGACAGTACTGCCCAAGCTCTTTTGAGCCCACCCCTTGAATCAATGTGGCCTGGATGTAAGACATGGAGTCAAAGGAGATTATTTTGGAGCTTTAATATTTACCTAATGTAATTTTAGAACAATAAAACACATTCCCATCAAAGACCTAATTATTTAAATAATTACATAAATTTAATAATTCAAAAAATTATAATGTCAAAATGGATGATAAAACTCTGGTGATAGACTTAATACCCTCTCATTATACTTGGAAATTTGTAATTAGAACAAAGACTAACCATATTGGTCATAAATGCACCTTCAAAAGACTCACAATATAATTAAATTATTTTTTGTCCTAATGACAGACATTGAAAGGCTTTTTTGTGGAACTTTGATGAGTTTTATAAACTGTTATAAATTATTCCATCTTTGTTTTCAGGGTCTTACTCTTGTTTTAGAAGAAAACGAGACTTTTCTTTACATTGAACCCAGGAATACTGTGTTTAATTTCCCCCAAAGGCAGAGTCCTCTGTCTTGGTACTCACTGTAAAGGAAAATAGTAAGAAGATCAAAAGACTATTATTAGCACCATTGTTTCCATTTAAATTGGTGTTGGGGCTCTGATTATCCACTAGATGCTAAAAGTTGTTGAGGTGCTATAATGGCTTACCTCTTGAAAATAAAGTCATAAAGAAAATTGAACTACATACAAGCTACATCACTTGACATTTTCATAGGAGACAAGCAGTTTCACAGCAATCTTTACAAGTGTCCCTGAACTTACATTTTTTGCAACTGTTTTTGAAAGTTGGTAACCTCACTGTTTCCAGATGCAGTGAGTGTTTCCACACATAAACTTGCAAGGCAGTGAGAAATTCTGAGTCCTTGGGCCATATACAAGATATTCAAGCCTGTAGTGTACCAACTCCTTTGCAATTCTGGATATCCAAAACTATTTTGACTTATCTCTGCAGAGAATATTCTAAAGGGAAAGTATTCTTGATGCTAGTACCCTTCCCAATATTACTAGAACATCTAATACGAGATGCAAAAGGCACAGCTTGGTAATGGCTATTTGTAATATATTTCAATGTCTTAAAATAGATTCATCTCACCTTAACTGAGCCTGAGAGATTTGTAAATATGAATCTTAGCCAAGCCTTCACAATGATATTACACAGCTCCGTAAGAAAACTGTGTATATAGTGAGGCTTATGGCTACAGGAAACAACTTATTAGCAAGTCAGAATAGGTTTTTTGTTCCTCCAAAGCAGCAAGAGAGATTGGTTTTCTTTTGCTGTTCACATCACAATGTTATATATAGACATCACTTTTTAATTTTTTTAATTTATTTTTATTTTTATTTATTTCTTTCTTTTGAGATGGAGTCTTGCTCTGCTCTGTCTCCCAGGCTGGAGAGCAGTGGCGTGATCTCAGCTCACTGCAAGCTTTGCCTCTGGGGTTCACGCCATTCTCCTGCCTCAGCCTCCCGAGTAGCTGGGACTACAGGTGCATGCCACCACGCCCGGCTAATTTTTTGTATTTTTAGTAGAGACTGGATTTCATCGTGTTAGCCAGGATGGTCTCGATCTCCTGACCTTGTGATCTGCCCCCCTTGGCCTCCCAAAGTGCTGGGATTACAGGCGTGAGCCACCACGCCCGGCCTACAGACATCATTTATACTGTTAAGAACATCTGAAAGACTCATAAGGATTTCTTAGGGGCATGACTCTACCTCACAGTGTCATTTTATTGTTATTGCAGGACTAACTTGTACTGAAATTATGAGTTGCTTAAAGATAGATTCTTGCATGTATAATTGGGGATATAAAGTATCCATAGTAACAGACCAGGGTAAACCTGAATCAGTCACTTCTAAGGAGATATTTAAGAATGACTGGATAAATATAAAACCCCTAAAGGCATATCTAGGGACATTAGCAATGGCTTTTGATTATGCTTTCTGCAGCTTTAATAGAAGAATTATTTATTTTCTGATAACTCCAGGGCAAATTCTAAAAATGTGATTACTTATTACTTATAACAAACTAATGGCTTTGCACACATTTAAAGAGTTTGTTTAGCTAAGCAGAAACACAAATATACTGTATCAGAACAGGGATTCACAATTAGCAATGTTTTTACATTTTTTGTCATAGTTGTTGCTTGTTTTGGTTTGGCTTGCTTTGGGTTTTGGGTTATTTTGTAAGCTACAGAGTTTTAAATGTGCTTGGTATAGAGTATTAGTTGCAACAATAAAACAGTTTTCTTTAATGCCTATCTTGTCCTGAAGTTAATTCTAAACAGTCTCTACGAATAAATATTATTCATATTTATTTTGGGAGTGCTATTTTGTGCATATCTTAAGGCTAAAGATTTTGAATGCATCCTTTAAAAATAAATTCATGAAACTTTCACTTCTGAAAAAATCATTTTATGTCCACATCATCTGTTCCTGTCTTAGAGGCAAAAAGCCAAGTTGAATAAAAGAAATAACCTTTGAAAAACAACAAATTATACTTGATTTCAAAATCAGAATTTTCTCTACCCATCAGCCAAAATTCTATGAAAATATTTGTCACATATTGAAATACTCATTGGAAATTGGAAATTGGAATATGTCTTTAATTTTAAGTCAATCCAGCACTTTTTAATATTGATATGTTAAAAGATGCTATAAATTTAACAATATAGAGATTAAGATTTTGATATAATTGCATAGAGTTAAAAATGAAAGTGTTAACACAGACATTTGCATGTGTTTAGGACATAAATTTATTGCTTTTAAGTATATTAACAGATTAGCTTTCTCAAAATGCTTTTAAAATTGAATTCAATAAAATTTGTCTTAAAACTTATCCTAGCATGTATATTTTTTTCTTTGTGCTGAAGCTTTCATGCAGATTTATAATTTGTCAGAAGAAATTTAGCATTATATTATGGGCCTTTAACTACCTCCTGTCTCTCATCATTTTGTATAAAAAGTTTTCTCCTGAGCAGAAGAGAATTTTTCTTGTAAGACTCTGTGTACAATGCCACCTTAGAGAACTTTATAAGCTATTGTCATAACTTATACCTTTTTTACATTTTTTTATTTTTTGTACAAAAATAAAATGTACAAAAATGTACAGAAAATGTAAAAAAAAAGTCATAGCCATAGTTATCTGCTATCTTAGAAACAGTGACAGCCAACGAGAGTTTGCTCATTCCTGATATCCAGATACATTTATTTAAGCATACTTCTCAGCTATGAATCAAATAGCCTCTCACAAACTTTTAAATAGGCAAAAAGAAGGCATAAGAAAATGCTTCTTTTTGCTGGCACCATAGCAGGGTGAAAAATTCAATAGCTTTTCTTTTATAATTCCTGAATCTTAGTATACTTATTATTTAATTTAATTTAATTTAATTTAATTTATTTATTTATTTATTTATTTGAGACAGGGTCTTTCTCTGTCACCCAGGTACAGTGGTGCAATCTTGGCTCACTGCAACCTCTCCATCCTGGGCTCCAGCAATCCTCCCAGCTCAGCTTCCCGAGTAGCTGGGACTACAGGCATGCACCACTATGCCTGGCTAATTTTTGTATTTTTTGCAGAGATGGGGTCTCACCATGTTGCCCAGGCTGGTCTCAAGCTCCTGGGCTCAAGGAATCCTCCTGCCTCAGCCTCCCAAAGTGCTGGGATTGATTATAGGTATGAGCCACAGCACCTGGCTTGTTTGTTGTTTTTAAATTTAATTATTTATGAACTGTTACATACAGAAAAAAAAACTGATTTTCCTACTTTTATACTCATCATTCAATACATAATACTTTATTGCTGGTCACCAAAATATATGTGAGATGTTTCCCCACACACCAAGCAATTTTATAGCAGGCAACACCTGGGTGTGCTACGATTCAGTTTAATTCTGCAACTTCCTACCTGGGGTTGGAATCAGATCATGCAAGGGCTCAGTCCCACAAGATTGCCCTCACAAGATGCCCATTGCAAATCTCAGGTTATGACTTGTACTTCTGACCAAAAGTGTGCATGATTTTAGAGATAGGAAGAGACACATTTCTAATTGCTATTTATTTACCTATGTCTATTTGCAACAAATTGTTCCTAAAACACTATCATCTTCACATTTAGTATCAAGGTGTTCCAGTTATCTATTTTTGTATAATAAACCATCCCAAACTTAGAAGCTTACATGACAATTTTCCCATTTAAATGAAAGGGCAGTGCTGAAGTGCCAGACAATGAAATCCCTCTTAGTTGACCACACCACTTTCTAAAATGAGAAAACTATGTTTGTATATTACCAAATGTGTCAAACAGAGAATGGTAAATGGTTCACTTGGTGCATCAATCATTCTGAAGTAAGAATATTAAGTTTTTGATGACCAGAGTAAGTGGTAGAATTCGTCCTTTTTTCTCCTTCTTTGGGAAATGAGAGGTTATCAATGATACTTAAATGAAAAGCATGTAAGTTTCAATTCATATATGTTTTGTGAAGGGTAGAAAATTTTGGAAGCTTTTTCTAGTGCCTCTTAATCCTTGGATTTGGACCCTTCTGAAAGAAAGTGATAAGCTCTACAGTTGAACAGCATGGAATGCACTAGGAGGAATGAAACAGTTCACTCACCATGACCCTAGGATAATTCCATGGTTAGTGGCTTGCTCAGAGATGAGAATGGTGAACACTGTGAAACTTTATGGCATTATGAAACTGCTTTCCCAATTCAACTCTAGAACATTACGAACTTGGCCTCTCAAAGCTTCGATTTATTTACTTTTATAAATGGAGATAGAAATAATAATATAGTGGATGACACACAGTATGTAAGAGAGCTTCATGTAGTGGCTAGAAAAGAGTTTACCCTAAATAAGTGGTTGCAGTAGTTATAGGAGTAACTAGATCTTCTTAAAAAGGTATTTCTCTTAAAGAAATACTTATATTAACAGGCTGTGAGTTGAAGACCTAGCAAATATCCACCAAGGTACGCCAAAGGAAATAAACTAATTTTTTAAAAGTTTCCCACTAAGCTAATATTTATTGAATGCTTTTTTTTATGCCAAACGGTGCACTCAGTGAATAAAACAAATATCTTGCCCTTTCGTAGCTTTCAACTAGGAAGAACATAATAAGTAACCAATAAATGAGTTATAAATGCCCAAATTCTAGGAAGGCCACTGATACTTCTGAAAGCATAATAGAAGGAGGCTATATTTACTATCTTTACTTTCCTCATTCAGTGAGGAAGAAGTAAATAAGTAACCAATAAATTGCTTATAAATGCCCAAATGCATTGAAGGATACTGATACTCCTGAAAGAGTAATAGGAGGAGGCTATTCTACTAATCAAGATTGTTCTTGATTACTAAGCATAATCAAGGAATATCTCTGAAGAGGTGATATTTAAACTGTGTCCAGCAATATGACAATCGCCTAACTGTAATTAGTTAAATAAAAGCCCTTAAAATAACAGCAATTATATATACAAAGTCCCCAAAAAGAGACATAGCTAGGACATTCAAGAAGTAAATGAGGCCCATGTAGCTGGAAGGTGGAGAGAGGGAAACTGATATGAGGCTGGGCAAATGAGAATGGGTCAGGCCATACAGGTTCCTATACACCAATATTATAAATTCAGATTTTCTCTGAAAAAAAATAGGAAGACACTGAAAAATTTTAATAGAGTATGCTGTCTCCAATTTCTGTATATTTGTGTGTGTGTGGGTGTGAGTGTGTGAATATTATTTTATAATTGTTTAAAGATTGACTTGAATAAGCAATAGAGGAAGAAGGTGGAGACAAGCAGAAGTAACTAGGGTCACCCTGGAGAAGACAGAAAGAAATGTACAGATGCGAGATATATTTTAGAGAAAGAATTGACAGATTTGATGGATTAGATGTGGGGGTTAAAATAAAAAGAAGAACTAAATAGAAAGGATGATAGTAATATATGCTCAAGTACAGTTAATGAGGTTTTATGGGTAAAAGCAGAAATTCTGTTTTAGGATTTTAATTTTGAGAACTTAGCCTGACATCCAAGTGAAAATTTCAAGTGCACAATGATCTGAATCCAGATTGCAGATATACACTTGGAATCATCAAACCACAGATAGTGTCCAAAAGCATGGATTTAGGAGAGCTCCCCACAGGACAGGGTATGCAGTGGAGTAGAAAGACCTGGAACTGAGTCCTGAGAAACTGCTGATGGGGCCGAGGGGAAAGGCTCACAGGACGAGTGGCCAGAGAGTTAGAAGAAAAACTAGAAGGAAATGGTGTCATGGAATCTGAAAGAGGATTTTGTGTTCCAGTAGGACAGTATGGTGAATCTGGCCAAACGCTGTCCAGGAGACCAAGAAGCATGAGGATGAAAGAGAAACATACTCACTTTGGCAGCATGCAAAGCAGTTGTGACAAGTTCAAGTCATGGAGGAATCCAGATGGACTCCCATGTGGCTCAGGCTCATGTTAGTGACCCAATTAAAGATATAATCAAGCTGCCAAAAGCCATTAATGACAAGTCTTGAAATACATTTATATAAGAATATTAAAGGATATCCAATTCATAACCCCAAAGTAAAAAGTCCTTAACTTCCCATATTCTCTCCTTTTTCATCCTCTCACACATCTGAACTTTCACTTCCTCCAAATCCCCACATTTGCTCCTTTTCTATCTCCATTATTTTCTGAATTCTAATGTATAAAGTTAAAAATCTCAGATTTTTTGTTGAATTTTTTAGTGGTTTTGTTTTACTTTTCCTATGCTTTGATTTTATTCTCTTTTTTTTGTAATAAGCAAAGGTCTGGGAAATATCCCAGCAAACAAAACCACAGTCTTTCAAATGATCTCTACAGCCTTATCTTTCTCTGCCTACATTTTCTACCTTGTCACTAACATTTTGGGACTTAGGCTGGCAAAAGCAGACCTTTCCTCACAAAACAACGAGAAGATGGTGGAACAAAGAGCTAGGGTGCAAAGCAAAAATTAACATCAGAATGCAGAAGGTGGAAGAGAGGAAATAGAAAAGGTGTAAATGTGTGTATGTTAATAAATGTTGTTCCTTGTCACAGACCATCACAGAGATTTATCATTCATAGTGATCCACCTAGCAAAAAGCACCAATGTCAAAGTGTCTTAAAAAAGCCACCTTATTTGCCAAATTCAATGAGAGAAGAAATATATGACCTTTTTAAAATAACTCATTCCATTTGAGACCAAAAAATAGCTTGTTACAAGAACACTTGTACAGTTTAAGAAAGAGGAGTATATTTAGGCAGTGTTGCACCAACTCAAAAGTTAGATATAAAGCATTTAAAATATATACTAAAGAAAAGCACCCTGAGATTTGGTTTTCACTTTCAGGTATGCTCAAGAATGTTAAAATTCTCAGAGGCAATGAGAAGCCACGCTTCCTTGGAATGTGATCCACGGCCATAAATAAATGAGGTTTACTCAGTGTGTCTGGACTGGGTGGGTTCTTGGTCTCACTGACTTCAAGAATGAAGCGGCAAACCCTCGGGGTGAGTGTTACAGCTCTTAAGGTGGCACGTCTGGAGTTCGCTCTTTCTGACGTTCAGATGTGTTCAGAGTTTCTTCCTTCTGTTGGGTTCGTGGTCTCACCGGCTCAGGAGCGAAACTGTAGACTTTCACGGGGAGTGTTACAGCTCTTAAGGCAGCGCCTCTGGAATTGTTCGTTCCTGCCGGTGGGCTCGTGGTCTCACGAGTCAATCTGCAGACCTTCATGGTGAGAGATACAGCTCATAAAAGCAGTCTGGACCCAAAGAGCAAGCAGCAGCAAGATTTATTGCAAAGAGCAAAAGAACAAAGCTTCCACGGTGTGGAAAGGGACCTCAGCAGATTGCCACTGCTGGCTGGGGCAGCCTGCTTTTATTCTCTTATCTGGCCCCACCCACATCCTGCTGATTGGTAGAGCCAAGTGGTCTGTTTTGACAGGGTGCCGATTGGTGTATTTACAATCCCTGAGCTAGACATAAAGGTTCTCCAAGGCCCCACCAGAGTAGCTAGATACAGAGTGTCCATTGGTGCATTCACAAACCCTGAGCTAGACACAGGGTGCTGATTGGTGTATTTACAATCCCTGAGCTAGACATAAAGGTTCTCCACTTCCCCACCAGACTCAGGAGCCCAGCTGGCTTCACCCAGTGGATCCCGCACTGGGGCTGCAGGTGGAGCTGCCTGCCAGTCCCGCGCAGTGTGCCCGCACTCCTCAGCCCTTGGGTGGTTGATGGGACTGGGTGCCGTGGAGCAGCGGGTGGCACTCATCGGGGAGGCTGGGGCGCACAGGAGCCCGTGGAGGAGTGGAAGGCTCAGGCATGGCGGGCCGCAGGTCCAGAGCCCTGCCCCGCGGGAAGGCAGGTAAGGCCCACGAGAAATTGAGCGCAGCGCCGGTGGGCTGGCACTGCTGGGGGACCAGTACACCCTCCGCATCCGCTGGCCCGGGTGCTAAGCCGCTTATTGCCTGGGGCCGGCAGGGCTGGCCGGCTGCTCCGGCCGGCTGCTCCGAGTGCAGGGCCCGCCAAGCCCACGCCCACCCGGAACTCCAGCTGGCCCGCAAGCGCCGTGCGCAGCCGGTTCCCGCTCGCGCCTCTCCCTCCACACCTCCCTGTAAGCTGAGGGAGCCGGCTCCGACCTTGGCCAGCCCAGAAATGGGCTCCCACAGTGCAGTGGTGGGCTGAAGGGCCCCTGAAGTGCCACCAAAGTGGGAGCCCAGGCAGAGGAGGCGCCGAGAGCGAGCAAGGGCTGTGAAGACTACCAGCACGCTGTCACCTCTCAATAGGACTCCAGAACACCAGCCTCTAAACACCAACTAATTGCTAAAAATAGTAAGTGGAGTAAACAGTGCATAATTACGAATTTAAACTCACATTGTATTAAATCTCCTATTTTGACACTTCATTAGAAATATCATATTGGCCAAACCACAGATCTAAAATATTTATAGTTTGATTTTTCTCATTTTACAAATAAGACAATTAAGACATTAAAAATCAGTGTCTTCACTAAGAAAATGAATTTGTTAGACTGGAAAACTGTTGCAAATGTTCAGCTATTCCTTAATGTAATAAAACAAAGTTGACTGGTGAAAAAGAAAAGCTGAAACACTGAAATTTTAGATGATGATTACATTCATATAGTCTTTATAAATAGTCCTCTGGAAAGTAGGGGAGGTCTGGATTTGATATTCTTCTCCACATTATGAGAAAAATAGAAAATAATGCAGCCCTATGGATAATCCAGATATTGAATTAGACAGTTAAACAGTTTTAAATATTTATCACTGATATATTTCATAAATATATTTTCTAAGATATTACATATAGAGAAAAAGATGTACAAAACAGATGAAAAGATTAAAAATTTCAACAAAGAATTAAAATCTATAAAAATAAATAAATGAGCATCTTAGAACTGAAAAATACAGGCCGGGTGCGGTGGCTCATGCCTGTAATCCCAGCACTTTGGGAGGCCGAGGCGGGCGGATCACAAGGAGATCCAGACCATCCTGGCTAACACGGTGAAACCCCGTCTCCACTAAAGAATACAAAAAATTAGCCGGGAGTGGTAGCAGGCGCCTGTAGTCCCAGCTACTCGGGAGGATGAGGTAGGAGAATGGCGTGAACCCGGGAGGCAGAGCTTGCAGTGAGCCGAGATTGCGCCACTGCACTCCAGCCTGGGCAACAGAGCGAGGCTCCGAGGCTCCGTCTCAAAACAAACAAACAAAAAAAGCAACAACAACAAAAAAAGGAACTGAGAAATAAAATTAACAACAATGGAGGAGTTTAAAAGGAGACTAAACAAACGGAAGACAGAATTAGCTAACCTATTAACACGTTGTAAGAAAAGGTTTAAAGCATGGAGAAAAAGCTAGAAATGATTAATCTTAAGAGAAATAATATGGGACTCAGTCAAATGATCTAAAAACATTTAATTGGAATTCCAGGAGACGAGAAGAAAGAAAAATGGGAAAGAAACAATACTTGAAGGAATAAATGCAAAAATTTTTCAAAATTGATGTAAGACATTTGGTCAACCTGAATGTGACATTTGGTCAATATGAATCCAGAAGTTCTGCAAATACCAAACACCAAACAAAAAAAATACATAGAAAGCAAGTCCTGGTATATTATAGTCAAACTTATAAAGTTAATTGAAAAGAAAATTAAAAGAGCTTTGAGAAAAAAAATCAAATTCAAAGGATCAATAGTAAGAGTGACAATTGATTTTTCCACAAACAGTGTGAAAGCTTGAGAAAATGTAACATTGGTATTAAAGTGATGAGAGAAAAGAAAATAACTAGTCTCAAAATCTATAGCCAGCAAAAATAGCCCTCAAAATTTAGGCAAAATAAAGATGTCTTCAGGCAAACACAAGGTCAGGCAATTCATCAACCAAAGACCTGCAGAAGTAGTATTAAGGGAAGTTGTTCAGGCTGCAGGCAAATGAACCCAGAAGAAAACACAAAACTTCAAGAGGGCAATGGTGAGCTGGTGCACATGAGTCATGGCTAAAGAAGGATGGTCAGAGAGTTAATGATCTTGCCCAGTTTGAAGATGGAGGAAAAGGGTCAAGAGTCAGGAATATGGGTGAACTCTGAAAAAGGCAAAGAAATCGATTGTATCTTGCATACTCCCAAAAGGAATGAAGTCCAGTCCACAACCCTGGCAGACTTCTAATCCACAAAATTGTGTGATAATGATTTGTGGATTTTTTTAATGAATTCTGTGGTAATTGGTTAGAGCAGCAAATAAAAAGTAATATGGAAATGCAAATTAAAATAAGACGAGATACTAAATACCTACCAGAACTGCTAAAACAAAGTTTTAGCAAAACTGTGGACCTAAAACTGTGACAATGTTGGTAAGAGTATAAAAATGATACTTGTGTTATTGAAAACAGTTTAGCATTGATATTCTAAAGCTAACGTGCATCCACCTTATGACTTAGCAATTTCGTTAATGAGCATATATATACCCATGAAAATAAATAAATGTGCTCACAAAAAGATACATATATGAATGTTTGTACCAATTGTTTATAATAGCCTCAAACTGAGGACAACTTAAAGCTCATCAGCAGAAGAATGATTAAGAATGGAGGTATGCTCATACAATGGAAAAGTATGGAAAAAGGAATGAACTTCTGATGTACACAATAGTATAATCACGCAGATACTATATTGAGAAAGAAATCAGACAATAATGGTTACATGCGATATCGGAAGTTAGAATAGTGGTTCATTCTGAGGTGGTTAAATACTGGGAAGGTGCATACTGGAAACTTAAGAATTCTTTATCTTTCAATAAGTGAAGTTTACACCATTACTCTGTGTGTGTGTGTGTGTGTGTGTTTATCCATATGTGTGCAGTAAAATCAAGGTGAAAACCTAAGATCAGAGTACTTTAT
Source organism: Homo sapiens (assembly GCF_000001405.40). NCBI lineage: Eukaryota > Metazoa > Chordata > Mammalia > Primates > Hominidae > Homo > Homo sapiens. The sequence continues at coordinate 125,232,785 of NC_000004.12, forward strand.
GCTCCTTTATGTATTTTATTCTTCAATGAAAATACAATACTACATTTCCTGTGGAAGTATAAGTTATGTAGAAATAAAATAAATGACCACAATAGCACAAAAGATGAAAGACATGAACCTAGGTATATAATTAATAAGTTGAGTACAAATAAGCTAAACAATTGAATAATATTAAGCATTTTTTAATGTTTAAAACATTTAATTGGAATTTCAGAAGAAAAGATAAAAGTTATATATAAACACATATCACATAAAAACTACTTGCAGCCAAAAAATTCTCATCATCATTACAAAGTTGAAGATTAGTGCTTTATTTTAGTAGTTTAGCAGGAAAATGTTAAATGGTATTCTCCCAGACAAAGAATACAGAATTAAAACAAGAACACAGAGTTTTGCTTCAAAAGGATCATTGAAGTGGAAATCAAAGTTCTATAAAGTGGTAATTTTAGCTAGGCTTCCATTATACTTCTATGCCTTAAAATACTTTTGCATATCCGATCTGGCTTAAATGAATTGTTTTCATTGGCCTAACTTTTGAAATATTAATTTTTCATAAATTAAATAATCTTATTAGGATATGACAAAATTACCCCCACCTAATTTCAAATATCTCTCCTGAAGGAACATTAAGTTTGTTGTAAATTACTTTGAGAGAATTATACTTTTGACATATAAAGTCAGGCTACATCCTTGGCTATAAGTTAGGGTCTACCTTGAAGAAGGGGACTTTTTTTCCTGTCGGTCAACCATGGAAATGACAAGTATTCAGACACCAACTGAAAGATACAAGTCAGGTTTTATACTGGTGTGAAGGGAACCCATTTTTCATTCATGGCTTTGTCTCTGGTATCTAGATTTTGAGGGTATGATCAGCACAAAGTGCAAGAGGAAAGGCATAAAATTAAATCGTCATAATGTTCTTGCATATTTCAGAAAGTGGTAAAAATACTAATATAAGATAACGCTTGATTAATCCAACCCTAGAGAATTCCTATCTGCTCCTCCCACCCTTGCCACCTGACTCTTCCATCCCAGCATTATGCTCAGCAACACTTTCTACTTCCCACCTGATTTTATCTCAGCTTGATGATGCTCACTCTTGTCCCCCCAACGCTGGAACCTAAAACCCAAATACATCGGTGTTTCATCTCCTCTCCGCAGATTTTTCTCCCAGACTCTTCAGTTGGCTTTTTGGATTCCAGTTTTTTCGCAGGGGTCTTTGACTCAGGGCTTTAACTCCGGCACACTGCTTGTCTCAGTTCAGGACTCCCAATTTCAGCCCAGCAAGCCCCTGTGGACTCCTGATAAAACTCCAATCTTTGGAACAACAGCAAAAAAATGTTATTGACAGCAGGATGTAGCAGTTTAATGAGTTAATATGATGCCATGCAACCTCAAGAAGGTGAGAATTTATTTTTGATAATTTGTCTTTTACACTTCAATGGAAGCCTCTTCAGGGCAGCACCCTCGTCTGTGTTTTTTGCTGTTATATCTTCAGTTGGTAGAACAGGGCCTGGCACAGAGTAAGCACTCGAAATCTTATTTGATGTAAAACTTCAGAATGATTATTTCCACTTTATACTTACTATGCACAGACAAGTTCAATAGCTGGCTTGAGTCCTCAAAGCAAAGTTTGGACTAGAAATCATATTTCCCAGGTCGCCTATGGAGCAGCCCCTATATCCTTCCAGGAATGTCCTTCTAGTTCTAGGATCAGAATATGCGGTGGAAAATAAGACAAAATCCCCATCATTGTTGAGCTTGCATAAGCAGTTGGTGGACAAATACGTATACAATAAACTGTCAGGTAGTCACATGTTTTGGGCAGAAAAACAACATGGGAAAGACAATAAGAGAACCAAGGCTGTGTTATTATAGGGTGGTTAGGGAAGCAATGGGCCAGGGCTCTCTGTATTTGTTCCCAAACTGGCCAAATATCAGTACCTGTAGCCCATGTCAACCAGTTAACAATTAAACTAATATTTTTAATTGAATCTGAAATATAAAGACTTCATTAAGAAATCTAGTCTTATCTTAAGGCATATGCCAGTAGAACTGGGTTTTAGCTTTGACCTCATTTATACAAATCCAAATGTACATGAATAAAAGTTAAAAGTGGTAATCAATAAGCTTCACTAAAATATTAATTTTTAAAAATATTTACATAGCATTTTATACAGAATGATCGGTGAAGTTTAAATCTACAAAAATTATGTACATGTAAGAACCATTATATTGTGAAAGAAAAACGCATAATACTATAGTGGCTTTTTATATACCATTCAGTTTGCACTAAAAAAGATGATTTATTTAAAGGATCTTTTACAAAATTAAGGGTAAGTAGCAGAAAATTATTGACCATAAAGCTAAAAGGGACCTCAAGAGATCAAATGGCTGGTCCATTGTTGTAAAAGTCTGAAAGGCTTAGCAACATGCTCACGGTGACAGATGGCCTGTAAGTTGGTGAATCATTGAAAGAAGAGGGACATAGAACCCACATCTCCTCCTTTTTACTGCAGTGTCTTAGAACATGGGTAATTCAATGCCAGCTGCATCCGTTGGCTGAAAATTTTAATTTGAGATGTAAAGAAAAGTACAGCAAATGGCTAAGAAAGATGCATTCCTAAAGGTTTTTGATTTGTTTTGTTGTGTAGTGTTGTGTTTTTGTATTGTTTTGGCTTTGTCTGAACAATTATAAGAAATTCTGCTTCTTCCTCTCTTCAAGAGCATGATGTTCAGGTGGTGCCTGCTTTGGATTCACATCCTTTTTTCTCCTTGTATTGTTCGATTCAATTCAAGTCTGCATCTTTTCATGAGTAAGCAGCCTTGCTTATCAAAATAGCTCAGTGCTATACTGAAAAAATGCTAATGCACATTGCTCATGGAGAATTAGTACTTTTATTGTTTTAAAATCAAACTGATCTTTTAAAAATAGGATTCTATTCTTTTTTTAAAGCAAAAGTAAGTTTAGGAGTTAAAATGAAGTTAGACTACACTTTTAGATGTTATAGCATTTCCATGGATATTTTATTGTGTTAACATGTGGAATTTTTTCAAACAAAAATAATTTTTTGTAGCACTGTTTGTGAACTAGAATATACAAATACAAAAGATCTTCACTTATTTAAAATATTAGACATTATTTTTGAAAATTTACAAAATCTCAGAAGTTAACTAAGTGTACACTAAAAATATTGCTAAGTTTTGCTTTGACAGAATATTTGCATACCATGTGAAACATTTCCTTTCCAGCTACTCTTACTGAAAACTCAGAGATCCATTTTCTGCCTCTGAAATAGTCACTTGGCTCTGCATTGTGGCAGAGAAAGAAGGGGTTTCAGATGGAATGGCTGAGCACGCATCAACTCCTTCCCTCCACTGGCCCCTTCTCTGAGTGTCACGTGTCAGAGCTTTGAGAAAATAATGCACCATTGTCCACAGTTAGAAAATTGAGGATCTAGCCCTGTGAAGGAGCAGGGCATTAGGGCTTAAGGAATTGCGCTCACACACACCAGCACCCTATTAATTAAATGCCTCTATGACGAGATTCAGGAAGGGGAAGGGAAAAGTGGGTCAAACAAATCTCTCCTGAGGAGCTACTCTTCTGTGAATTTTGTTACTTTTTTTGTTATTTAGCATAGTAATAAAAATTATTCAATATCATAGAAGGCAGCTAATAAATATCTTTAATTTGTTTAATTAGGCAATTTTTCTAATATTTATAGAGTAATTTAACAAGCACAATCTTTAACAGTGATCCAAACTAACTTTTTTCTTTCTTCATTCTACTTTTCTGTATAGCTAGTGTTTCACACCTGATCACCACCAAATTGATAGCTGCAAGATTACGTCTCCTGTCCTTTTAAGAGTGGAATGTTAGCTGTTGATAAGTTAGCCGGCAGACCTTATCAATTTGACCTAAAAGTATCTGTAACTATATGACAGGAACTCCAGCTGACTGATGGCTGACTGACTATATGGTTTTAGAAGCAAGTGCTTCAATTATTTCTTTTGTTTTCAGAAGCTCATGCAAAATTTGATATTCACAGCTGTTAGGCATCAGTTTGATTGAGAAGCAATTTCACCACACACACAAAAAAGCTAACTGATTTCAGATTATTGCCAGATCATGCTTGGTAGTGTTGAAAAGGATTCAAGTGTAAGTGCTGCAAAAGTAGCCATGGCCCAGGTGGGCTATAAGGTTTCAGTAAGTAAGGCCAGACTCCTGTCTGCTGGTACAGCTTGATAGCATCTAGGAATTCCCACTAGTGGAGTGAGTATGGTAGCCATGGATTTTTTTCCTGCATCAGTATGACTATCCTGAAGCCGACAGCTGATAAAAGAATTACAAGATTGAAACTAATACATGTTTACTGAGAAACTCAATCAAAATTCTATTTACAATATAAATAAAGTCAAGACTGTATTGCACTGATGTGATTATTAGGCATTTTATGCCTGTTTCAAAATATCTAATGTACTCCATAAATATATACACCTACTATGTACCCATCAAATTAAAAATTAATTTACAAAAACAAATAATGAGAAAAAATTAAAAAGAATGTGCATTGTCATATAAAACATATATATAAGCATGGTTTTTACAGATGGGGATAAAAGCCATGTATATGGAGAAGCCATGTATATAGAGAGCCTGGATACAAGGCAAGATTATTGAGAAAGCAATTTTTATTATTTTAATCGCATCACTTTAAATATTACTCTTGGAGTATTAGTTACAACTATAGAAATGGAACAATTGTATGAGAAAATCATCCTAGCCACATAAAAGGGTAGAAAGTCATAATGACAAACAACAAAAAGCAGGGGAATTGTAATACATTCTTTTGTGTTACAATTAGAATTCTTGTCAATAACCCTTCAAGAATTAGGTCAGTTTTGGGAATTCATCTCTGTTCAACTATATGTGTGGTAGATTTGTTCTGTAAAAGATTTATTGCTGTAATTAGATTAAATATGCTTAAAGCATCAGTATAACTCAAATTCAAAACATTGCATCTTTTTAAAGTTGAAACATGAATTTAAATGAAAGCATTACCAAAAAGATTTCTACAAACACATTGTTTTGCTTTTCTTTAGCATGTGTTCTATACTCTTAGGAGACAAGATTTCCCTTTTCATTATTTTCTGTCCTGTTGTTACACAGAAATTTTCATGCACTATCACCACCATTCCCACATGTTTATGGACATAAATGTTTTTCTTGTGATTTTACTCCTATCCCATTTTAAACATATATGATGCTGGTTATATTTTAATATTAGCTTACACTTGTTTGCTTTTACCTCTGCCAACAAGTTTTCTGTTTTAGCAAAGTGAGCATTTTCTAATTCTCTATATTGCTTTTCTTCAGCTGCCTACCTACTATCATAAGGCGAAGTAAGACTATTCAGAAACCTCACAGAATATAGACTCTCATACTTCTATTTGGTGAGTCACATGTTTTGAAGGCAGAGTAATAATCAGAAAAAATAAAAGAGTACCTAGCTGGACTTCAAGGAACAGAAAATCAGGAGACTAAGTTATGTGAGCATTTCAGTTTTCTGATTGTGAATCTTACATGACTTACATGTAAAATGAGGAAGAGTAAAAGGTAATTTCTACAGCCTTTTCCAAATCTAAGTTGTTGGCTATCATTAACGCAACAAACATTTATTTGTACACAGCATGATTATGAGCTACAGAATTTAAAGATAAATAAGATATGGTCCTGCCTTCACTAGTATAGATGAAATAGATACAGATATATATATCAATATATATATATTGTTTTGCCTTCTCCCTACTAGTATTCTAATGAATATACATTCTCTTTTTTCTTTATTAACAGACAAATAATTACCTTCAGCGTTGCCATGTGTGTTGCCAATTTGTTTTGTTTTGTTTTGAGACAGGGTCTTACTCTGTTGCACAGGCTGGAGTGCAGTGATGCAAACATGGCTCACTGCAGCCTTGACCTCCTGGGTTCAGGTTATTCTCTCACCTTAGCCTCCCAGGTAGCTGGGACTACAGGTGTGCACCACCATGCCTGGCTAACTTTTAGTATTTTTAGTAGGGATGGGGTTTTACCATGTGGCCAGGCTTGTCTTGAACTCCTAGGTTCAAGTGATCTACCCAAATCAGCCTCCCAAAGTTCTGGGATTACAGGTGCCAAAAATTCTTAATTCCCAAATCCTTCTTTCTCCTATTGATGACTTTATGGCATGATTCTGAACAATGAGATCTAAGATGAAGTCTCCCAGCTGCATTATTTTTGTAAGAAATATATATTTTTTCATGTTAAAGAGTGACAGGTCCAACTAGCAATACCGCAACTTGGAATCCACTTGCAGGAAGATGGAATTGGTGTTTGGAGATAAAGCATTTATCTTGTGACCATGAATAGGGAGTTAGATGGAGTCTGACTTTACTAGTGGCTGACCCAGCACTGAGCTACCTATATTTGAGACTTCTTGTTATGTATAAAATATAAGCTTACATATGGTTAAGACATTATAGATTCTATTTCTGTTATTTTTAGATTAAGCAATCATAACTGATATATTTCCTGTTATATATTTGTCAAGTAGTAGTTCATGTTCAGTGTTGAACACCATATTGGTATCAGTAGATTATTTGGGAACTTAAAGTCAAAATATGTGTTCATAATTTTTATCCTCTCACTGAGTTAATAGCTTTTTATCTCTTTAGTATTCTCTCCTGATTTTGTTCTAGTTGCTGTTATATTATTTCTGATACTGTTTTTCATTCAATATTCGTTTTAGAATTTCTAATTATTTTATCAAAGAACTTTCAAAGGCTCTTTCTTATCTAATAACTCTCTTAATAAAATTTGGTCTAACTCTACATTACAGAGTTCTTTGTTATTGAAGAACTCTTTAGCAAAGTTAGAGAATTGTTATGTTATTTACATGTTTATCAAATACTATGTCTGTTTTTCAAGGGACAGATGACACTGTAATCTCCTACACTTTATGTTGCCAATCCCTTTTTGATTGTATGATTTAGTACTATATACCTCACAAATCCACTTGTTTTGTTTAGCATTTCAACTTACTCTTCATTCTAATCAAAGAATTATTCATATATTTTGACTTTTATTTCCTTGTACTTTATTTCCAGCCTTTGTAATCTTTGGTTTTTATTTTTCTGTATTGCTATTCCTTCTTTGTGTTACTGTCATCTGTGTTCTTATTGCCTTTTGAAATGATCTTTATTAACTGATTGTCTGTATGTGTGGTCTCATTTTTCAATTTGACATTTGGTATTATTCTTACTACGCATGTTGTGTTTTAAGACAACAGACAAGCAGAATGCACATGAACGTTCTCCATGGTTTATGTGCTAGGGAGGGCACTCTTCTCCACTAAGGACCCTTGGTGGGTAGCACATATGCTAAAAAGAATTGTGGTTTTCTATTTTAGAAATATTCCTAAGAAGTATTTATAAGACAGATGATCTATGTTACATGTGGCTAATAAGCTAGGGATTATGTTAAATATTGGGATACATATTACTTTTCTGAGAACTATAATAAAATTCACTGAAATTTCTTAGTATATTTCTAAAGTATAGCTATTGATACAAACTGAGTATGAAGCAACAATTCAGAAAATTATTAGAACTTATTTTATACTCTATACACATTAACTTTTTAATTTAGCAAAATTTGTTTACAAATTTTAGTGTGTTTTGTAATACAATTTAGTACATCTCTGGTACTATGTGAAACTCTGCAGGTCGAAGGGCAAGCAAGACAGACGAGGTCCCAGTCTTTATGACACTTAAGTTTATGTGTTATGCCTAAAATATGTTGTGACTGGTCTAATTCAAGAATTGCAAGCTACAATTCACATGCTAAATCCCACATGTCATTTGCTATTTTGTAAATAAGTTTAATTGAAACACAGCCATGCCAATTAATTGATAAATTGTCCATAACTGCTTTGATGCTATAATGGCAGAGTTGACCACTGGGACAGATAACTTACGGTTGAAAAATATTTAGTATCTGATCCTTTAATGAGAAAGTTTGCTGATCTTGGTCTAATTGATCATATTAGTAATTAAATGACAATAGCAGTAACTTTTTAGCTGTTTGTAGCATGCTGTTTGCATGTGTGGAAGCAATGGATATTGACAAGTGTAGTCAATCAAAAGTCATGCCAGTTTGTAGAGAGTCTTTATTTGACTCTGCCACTGCTGCATTAATATGCTCATAACCCTCTGTCAAACATACAATATCATAACCCCAAGAATCAATGATTCATATTCATCTTATCTTCCCATTTCAGTAGAGACATAATACCATACTAACATAATATCTTATAGTTATTACATTCAGTACTCAAAAGAAATACCCAGTAAGGTGAGTGCATCAGTGGACCACATTAGAATTCATTCTCTTAAATGCTGCAATGACTTTGAGGAGTCCTACTTGTGAAGATAAGAATACTTGAAGATCTATTCCAATGTTTTTGGCTGAGCAAATTTGCTCATGTTTATGAGACCTTATGGATTCTAGTTGTAAACTATGATTGACAGAAAACAGCTCATTTACAGAATAAATTCTAAATTCCCCCACATTCGTAGGAAATTCATTGTCTAAAGCATCTTCTCCCTTCTGCTAGTGATTAGATATTTGAATAGTGCTGGTAAATCCTCAGAGTTGTTCTATCACTGCTAATTTATTTTTAAGGCAGAATTTTTTTGATTAGAAGCATAAAGAAAGTAATCAATTCTTCCCCATTGTGAATTAATTATAGATGTAGCAGTGGTAGAGAATAAAGATTCATTGTGACATATCAATATCTGCTTTCAAAGGAAAGTATGCTTCTATCATTATTTGATCTTTTTTCACATCAGAATTCCAGGTAAATAAACATGCAATTGTAAAAAACAAAAAACCAAAAACCCACAAAACAAAACAAAACTTGCCCAGGATTAAAAAAGAGTACAGTTTCATCATTAAATAACAATTGAAAAAGAGCTGCCCTAAAGCAATAGATCTGAAGTTTACCCACACTTCTTTAAAAGAAAGAAATGTCTGGTAAAATACTTCTGAATTATATTTACTAATACAAAGAGAGATTAACTCTGCACAAATATGTTGGAATAGCTTAAAGTGAAATATGAAAAGTGTCTTCTTTAAGTCAGAATGTTGCAATTGTTTTTTATTATTTAAAAGCCTACATTCTTTCTGTGCATAAGATAGTGTGTGTGAATGCTGTATAATTACTTTGAACCACAAAAGCATTGTAAAAATTGATATAAGGAGAATCACGAAAAGAGTAGACAATGTTGACTGACTTTTCTAGGTAGACTTCTAGATGTCTAACCTATGTAATAATTTATGTTGTTAAGACAGTATTATTTGTCTCACACTTTCATCTTGACATTTTTAACATCAGAAAAAATTAAAGGAATTGGCATTCAGAAAGAATAAATACAAATATTTGTGGTTAGTATATAGTAGACCCAATGATACAACACGTCTAATTCTAAGACCCATATTCTTTCCTTCATAGCATGATGTTTCTTTAAGTTAATTTAACATTTTTGAATGAATAGATACCTATGTACCTATTACATGAAAAATAAATTTGTCTCCATGTACTTGCATAAATACATGGGCAATGTTCATGAAAAGAATGATGGCCACATCTGAAGTGTATTTTCAGACACATCTTCCTCTCTGAATGAGGTAGACAAGTGTAATCTTCAAAGTTTCTGACAATTACAGAAGTCTACAGTTTCCCAAAAAATTAAATTGAAAAGTTGAAATTCTTAATTCAAAAAATAGAATTTTGGAATTTTTACTAAACGTAGAAACTCTGTACAAATATATAGTGATAAATTTGTATAATCAAATATACATTCTGTTTACCAGTATGTGTTAATTCTACCTATAATTTCAGGGAAGCTTCTCAATAATAGTTTTTAACTTTTTTTTTTCAAAATGAATGAAGGCAAGAAGCTTGACACGAACAGCCCAATGTCATGTAACTAATATTTGAAATGTGGTATTAGATCCTAGGATATACTCTCACCAGAAAAAAATGATAAATTGGTGTGGATTCAGACAATAACTTAGAGTTATCAATTCCAGTATCAGAGTCATTCTCTAAAGTTTATTTTTAAACTTTTTGTCCTAATAAAATGTATTATGCATGTGATTTCCTGTATTCCATGAAAAAAATAACATAAGAAATAAAATGTAGTGCCAGTCTTTAAGGATTTCGAATCCATAGTGTGATGGAAAATGAATTCTTATACTTTTACGGTGATAAAGACCCACGTCTCATACTAAAATTTATTTTTAAGTTATATTCATTGACTTCTGGATTTTATAGACACTTAGAAATCCAGTTGTGAAGTTAGCTTTCTAAATCTGTAATTTCTGGTAAAAGATGATGCTATAAATACTAAAGAAGATTGTAAGATAAATAGTAAGGTAAATAAAGCATTGTTTTGGAATGCCATTATTATAAGTAATAATTTTAAATCATCTTCTATTGAAAAAAATGAATATTGTGAATAAAATAGTTTTAAGAAACTACTACTAGCTTTCAACAAAGGAATACCTAAGAGAAAAATAGAAGATATATCACAAATTAAAACAAGAAACAATTTAAGTGGCAGTATAGCTTATAACATATATAAAATCATGGATAGAGTTTATAAATGCAATTTATTTTTGACACATGGTATTAGATATAAAGTTAAAAATCAAAATATAACATTCTTATATATTAGAGATTTTAAAAGACCATTAAATTCTAAAATAATTATATTGAATAAAATTTATATTATGAGGTTGTGAGCCAAATTTGTTCACAAATTGGGCACTGGGTAAAAGCTTATTAAATGAATGAAAATGTAATGGAACAATCTAGAAAAACAAGAACAAAAATAAGCTGAGTCTGCCAAACAATATTGCCTACAAGAAATGAGAAGAAATGCAATCAGAGGAAATATGAAGAGTTTTCTTTATCTTGCTTTTACAGCATTGCCATCGGTCATCCATTCTTCTTGTCCTTTGGAGGTTGAGGAGTGAGCCATAAAAATATTAAATTAAATGAAAACCACTTCATATTAAAATCAATGGATGACTGTTTGAACAGGCACTCTGCCATGGAGCCTAAACATTCCTGCATGTTCTTGCTGGGTATTCTAAAAATGCAAAGTCCTGACTGCTATTTGAGCCATCTTCCAAGGTTGTGATTATGGTGTCCAACCTTGAGAAGAGGTAGCATCTGCCCCTGGACAGAAAGCAGGCTTGTTCCCACTTGCTATAAAAGCAATACATTCCCCAACCTCAATGTTTCTCTGCTGCGGTACAATCCATTGCATGTATAAACACCCGTGGGTCTGGAGGACAGAGGAAACTGGTATAAATATGAAGCTCTGGCTACTACATTTGCTGTGAGTAATATAGTCCTTTGTCTCCTTTACAGGACTTTTGTGTTTTTTTATGAGCATATATAAAACAGTTCCAGGCTAATTTTCTAACTTACAAGTAGGGTAAAATCTCAGATGCTGTGTAGATCTAAACAATGACATCACTATCAAAATGTGTGTGTGCATGTGTGTACACACATAATTCTCTATATTTTTATATGTACATACACATACACATATATCCTGTATCTACTACTTTTTTTAGTCAACTGTTGTAACATTATGCTAATGGTTACATTAAATTGGTTAAGTACATTAAAATGGTTAAGTAAATTGTGCCATTTACTTAAGCCCTCTGTGCCCCCAACTATACATTGAGAATATTATTGATAGATAACTCATAGGGTTGTTATATGAATTAAATGCTATAGTGAGTGGAGTTTTCTTGGAACAATGTTTGGCACTCAATAGCTTTAATTATTCTTTCTTATCTTTGATTACTATTAACATATTTTATAATTCATTATTTTGCAAAGACATTTCACTGAAAGTAGGTTTGTGATCTTTCTATAACTATAAACAGAGACTTTGAGTAAAATAAATATCAATTTGTAGAATAACATCTACATTTGTATATATAGTGACTCAATTTTTAAAAGAAAATTTCACATTTTGTTTTAAGATTACTCAAAAATCATTTTAAAACATTTCAAGTAGGCAGACTGCCTAAAAAACAATACATGACCTCCTTCTATTTCTAAAATTGATCAATTTTGAAGTTACTCAGATATAGTATTTAAAGACGTTCATAATTGTGAAATATATTTAAAAGACAACAGTGGCCCCTAGTGATGCAAAAACTAAAATAACAGGATGGAGACAGACAATCCAAAGAAAAATAAACTTAAATGGTTTACTGACATTTTTAGCTCCATTGATGAGAGATTAATATTGTCTTTCACAGAAAGCACCCCTTTTTCAAAAATGGCTGTACACACTAACATGCATGCTATTTAAGCCAAGCAGAAACTGATACCTTGACTTTTATGGTTTATAAGGAACTGTAGATGCATAGATAGCCAAATCATACATCATCACAAGAATGGTAATTTACTTTTCGAACATGTTTAATTAGCAATGAATTAGAACTTTCTTATAAATGCTAGTACAGATGGTCCTCAATTTGTGATAGTTTTATTTACAGTTTTTTGACTTTATGTTGGTGCCAAAGAAATGTACAGTCAGTAGAAGCCATACTTCGTTTGAATTTTGAAATTTGATCTTTTCCTGGGTTAGTGATATGCAGTGATACGTTCTTGAGGTGCTGGATCAGATCATCTAACATAAAGCCTATTTTATAATAAAGTGTTGAATATCTTGAAATTTTCTTTCTTTCTCATGTGAGTTTGACTGATATGAGAGCTCTTACATTCAGCTATCAGATACGTGAATTCTGACTTCCAAGCACCTAATCTAATTGTATTGTGAATTCTAAACATTATCACAAATTTTGAAACAAGATGAGAATCTGTTGCACCCACAGAATTTAAAAAGATAATATAAAACAAAAGAGAAGTCCCAATTTACTTTGAATACTGTGGAAATAATTCTTACATAAGAAAGAAATTGGACTACTTAAAATTTGAAGGAAACTATTTCTAATCCAGTAATGCAAACTGAAATCATTTTCCATCAATGTTTTATTTGATGGAAACAAGTAACGTTTTAATGATGATTCAAGTAACCATCACAAAATGTCGTCACAAGAATTAATACGAATTACTAGATGAATGCATTTAGATAGATGTGATGCTTTTGAAAAAATGTAAAATCTGAAAAGCAATTCTGAAGAACAATTATCAATGTATGAGCAAGTAAATATCAGTTAACATAGACATTAATGAAGCATAAATTTACATTATGCTCCAAAGACAGTTTGGTAGGCAAGTTAGTAAACAGAAATGCTATATTGCATTTAGAATAAAGTTGAAGAATTTGTCATTTCTGAATTATCAATGATTTTTCATGAATCAGAAAGGATGTCTAGAAATATTTTTCAAATTACATATATATATTTAAAAACTATGCATACAAAGTAAATGTTCAGTTGTAGTTGGAAGATAAACTCTAAACTCAGATTGCTTAAATTTTGTGTGTTTGTGAGAACGTAAGATTTTATTTTTCTTGAATAAATACTTGTACAGTACTAGGATGTGTGGAAAGCATGTTCTTAATTAGAAACTACCAAACTTTTTTCTAAAGTGACTTACCATACTGCTTTCCCATCAACAAGTTAATGAAATGAAATATTGCTATTTCTTTTTTTTTCTAGCTCATTGAGAAATGTCGTTTATTTTGTCATTTACTTTGCTTCTTAATGGCCTTTTTTCTCCCCCACTCTGCTTTACTGAGGTATGATTGGTATATTAAAACCTGCACATAAATAATGTATATAGTTTGATGAGTTTGGATATATGTATATGCTAGTGCTGCCATCACCGCAATCAAGGAAATAATGGGTATAAAGTTACAACTACACAAGATGAGTAAAATCCAGGTTGCTTGATTTTGAATCCTTGTTCTGCCACTTGGTAATTTTGGTATATTACCACCATTGTCTCAAATTCTTCACCCATAAAATAAGAATACAGATAATAGAGTTTTAGTGAGGATTAAATGGGTTCATAAAAGAATAAGCCTATGTAAATATTAACTATGATCATATTACTATAGAGAAGATTAATGAGAAAGAAAAGCAAAGGGATTACCTCTAACAAAAAAAAAAAAACTCTTAGGCAGCAAAAGGAACAGAATAAAGAGACAACTCATATAACAGGAGAAAATACTTGCAAACCATGCATCTGAAAAGAGGTTAATATTTAAAATATATGAGACTTAACTCAATAGCAAGAAAACTAATAAGCTGATTTAAAAATGGGCAAATAACCTGAATAGGCATTTTTCAAAAGAAGATATATAAATGGCCAGCAATTATATAAAAAAATGTTCATTATCACTAATCATCAGGGCAGTGCAAATTAAAGTCCTAATGAGATATCACCTCATGCTTGTTAGGATGGCTGTTATCAAAAAGACAAATGATAACAAGTGTTGGTGAAGATGTGGAGAAAACGGAAACCTTGTGCACTTTTGGTGGGAATGTAAATCAGTACAGTCATTATGAAAACAGTATGAAGGTTCCTCAAAAAACTAAAAATAAAATTACCTTATGATCCAGCAATCCAACTCTGAGTACATATCCAAAACAAAGGAAAGCTGTATGCACCCTCATGTTCATTGCAGCATAAATAGTAAAAATAGCCAAGATATGAAAACCTAAGTGTCCATTAATAGATAATAAAGAAAATGTGATATGTATAAACAATGGAGTATTATTCAGCCTTTTAGAAAATCCTGTTATTTTCAAGAACATGGATTAATCTGGAGGGCATTATGTTAAGTGTAATAAACCAGGCACAGAAAGAGAAATACCACATGATCTTACTTATATGGGGAATCTAAAAAAAAAAAAAATATTGAACTCATATAAGTAGAGAGTAAAAAGGTGGTTACCAGGGCGTAGGAGATGGGTTAGTGAATTAGGAATATATTGGTCAAAGGATATAAAATTTCAGCTAGAAAGGAGAGGTAAGTTTAAGAGACCTATTGTACAGCATGATGACAATAGTTAATAACACTCTATTGTATAGTTGAAAATCACTGAGAGAGTAGATTTTACATGTTCTTACCACATGAAAAAGTATGTGAGTATAATTAATTAGCTTGATTTAGTCATTCTGCAATGTATACATATTTTGAAGCATCCTGTTTTGCACAATAAATATATACAATTTGTATTTGTCAATTTGAAATAAATAAATTAAATAAATAAATAAATAAATAAATAGCAAAGGAAACACATCCACAAATTTTAGGTGGAAAATAATTAGACTAAACAATAGTTAGCCTCATCAATGATTTTTTTATTTGTTTTCTCCAAAATGTACTTTTCACTCACTATTCTTTCAAAAATAAATTCTTCAATTTTTATCAATTATTTTTAAGAGAGTAAAAATAATTTTTTTCTGTAACACTATTTTTAGCTAGACATAAGTTTATATAGCCTAAACTTTTTTTGATAGTTGTTATAATAAATATTTATTGGAGATGTTCTATGAGCCAATCAATACTGTGCTAGGAGCTAAATAGGTAAATGAAATATTAAATAGAATATGTTTAGTGCATTGGTCTTCATTCACCTGGAATGCCTGAATACACAGACTGCTGACTCTTAGCCCCAGAATTTCTAACATGTCTGTTGGGAAGTTCAAGATTTTCCATTACTAGCAAGTTATGAGGTAATCCTGATTCTGTTGTTCTTGGGAAAACACTTTGAGAACAGCTAGTTGAGTACACTAGTGTTGGAGTTTAGCAAGGATGCTATAAGACATATTCCAAACCCAGACTTGATGGACAAGTTAGGAAAGGATCCCTAATAGATTAGGACCTGTACACTGAATCTTGAAGAATGGTGAATGAAGCCAAGTAAAGTCAGACAAATTTTACTGTTGCAGGAGATGAACTTTAATAGACCACTAATCCAGATCGAACCAAGTCTTTCACTAAGCTGGGGATTTTATTCACTGAAAAAATAGCATTTACCCTTTTCAGTTTCAATGAAGTTGAAAGAATGAATTATAGACTTAAGTAGAAATCTGACCTCATAAACCTCGACTAAGCTGGGATACTTTGCTCCCAAGGAAAATTTAGTACTCAACTTTTCTTAAGAGCTGTAGTTCCAAAGGGGTTTAAAAAAGGGTTTTAAAAGACACTTAGATAGAAATTCCATCTTTTTTTTTTTTTTTCTGAGAAGGAGTCTTGCTCTGTGGCCAAGGCTGGAGTGCAGTGGCACAATCTTGGCTCACTGCAACCTCCGCCTCCCGGGTTCAAGCAATTCTCTGCCTCAGCCTCCTGAGTAGCTGGGATTGCAGGCACCCAACACCACGCCTGGCTAATTTTTTGTGTTTTTAGTAGAGACGGGGTTTCACCATCTTGGCCAGGATGGTCTTGAACTCCTGACCTCGTGATCCACCTGCCTAGGCTTCCCAAAGTGCTGGGATTACAGGCGTGAGTCACCGGGCCGGACTATAATTTGATCTTAAAAGGGGATTTTATGTTTTCAAAGAATAATTTACTGTACTTCCTTAAACCAAAACAATATTCAACACAGTATTATTAATAAATTAATTAAATCAACCATTTTCCTATATGTTTCAGCAATATAATGTGTAGCCCATGTGCAAATCACTAAGGCAAAATATATAGTGATAACTTTGCAAGATACCTGAGAACTGGAAATTATAAAGAAGAAAATCAAGATTGGCAAAACATTTTAAAAATTTCTTAAATAAGTTAAGAATATCTGCAGCAATTTGTATGAAGACCTCCCAACAGGAAGAACAATTACATATTTTTCATGAGATCAGAGGCAGGAAATAATAAAGAAAATGTGCTTCTATTAGAGTACACATGGTGGAGAATTGAGGAAGATAAGTTCAAACATGTCATTAGGAACAGTATCTTTTCTTCTTATCTAGCTTCTACTCATCCTTCAAGACCAAATTTAAATCTGACTTCCTCTATGAAGTCTGCAATTATTTAAAACTCAGAGTTAAGGACGTTATAAAATACATACATATAATTCACTCAAGAAGTATTTATTGGGGATTTCTACAGGTAAAGCATGGCTCTGGGTGCTTGGATATACGAATAAACAGAGCAAACAAAATCCCCTCCCTCCCAGGAATTATGTGCTATTTGGTGAGAAAAGTTAACAAACAATAAATATTTTAAAAAGTAAATTAATCTAGGTGTGGTAGCTCATGCATGTAATCCCAATGCTTTGGGAGGCAAAGGTGGGAGGATAACTTGAGGCCATAAGTTTGGAACCAGCCTGAGCAACATATCAAGACCTGTTTCTACAACAAAAATGTAACTTATGTAGTTAGACATTTATAAGTTTAAGAAATAATAAGTGTAAAACAAATAGAATAAGTATGGAATATCAAATATAGAGTGGGATAGGCTAAGGGAAAAGTGTAGACAAACTATCTGGCTGTATTCTGTTTAGTGCTTGAATCTCGGAGGAATTCATCTCAAATATCTTATTTAAAAATGAATGACTAAATGGATATAGTATTATATTCCATTTCTGGAACATGCCTGATTCTGTCCCAGCTTTACTCCTTTAACTGTTCTTTGCTCTAATCTAAATTGTTCTCTCCTCTCATCTAAGTATCTGCCCAATAACATCATTATTTTACTCCATCAAGTTCAAGTTAAGACATGGAGCTTATACTTGTTATAACATGGAGCAAAACCTTTCTCTCTGAACATTAATATTTCATTGTCTGTGGGAATTGTTTTAACACTTTCCCTCATGTATCTTAAATGTAAATGCTTTCAAATGACCCAGTTGCATATTATTTATTGTACTTGAGACTTTAATATGCTAAAATCTTGAAGGTGCATATTTGATCATTAAATTTGTGGAAAATGTTTGCTACATAATGTAATTGGTAGAGCCACTTCTCATTTTCAAACTAATCCACCAAATTAGAGTTACATTCTGTAAAAGAAAAATAGATTCTTTTTTTTCTTCAGTTAGGAGATACTTTAACAGGCCCCCCCTCCCTCCTATCTGCACAGCATTCTCATTTTACTTCAACTTTCTCAAATAGGAAATAGAAACCATATTATCTACTCATGAGTTTGCCACCTAAGTGAAATATATTTCTGCCTCACTCAATATTCTTTGGTTATGTTTCTATAAACACTCCCTCAAGAAAAAAATATACCCTTTTGTTTGTTTTTGATGTCTGAGGAAATGTACCCTGGTAAGAGTCTAGATCAATGAATGGTATGTGTTTATTATGCAGAAAGGAAGATCTACTTTCCTGAAAGGGATAATGAGGGGAAAAAAAGCAAAGTATAGGCAAGTTCTTTTAAATAAATACATTTTAAGGAGGACAGATAGAAATTGAAAAAACACTTACTTGCTCAAGTACTCCTTATAATATCTTTGTGTAGCACTAAAGGTACCACCTTGCAAAGAGCACTGATTTATGGCATTCCTAATAAATGACAATATAATTTGTAATCCAGAACATGCCTGAGAAAGAGTCAGAATTAATTATGCTAGGAGAACTGGTGTGAGCCAGGACTGCCTCCTGCAAACTAGGGCATATGGTCACCCCGTGTATCTATGTACACTCTCTTTAATGGTAGTTCTATAAATGATATATTTTATCTCTACAACTAAATTGTAAATTGCTGAGGACAATATATTCTTTGTATTTTTAAATATAATATATAATATATTATTATATAATATTACATAAATATTATAATATATAATAAAATATTGTACCTAATAGTTGCAAGGTGGTAGCTTTATAACATACTAACCCTTCCAGATAATATGAGGCCTAACCATATTTAAAATATCTAAAAAGATGCATAAAGACCTATAGGAGGGAATGTCAGATGCCATAGCCATGTACATAATCAGGGCAACATTCTTGTTCCTAAAATGATAAGAAATGTCTCTTCTGATGTGATTTCTAAAATGTTATTAAGTTTGTGTGATACCCATCTTAAATCATTAAGTCCCTATAGGTTCCCTGAGATAATGCAATGTAGCATACAGTAGTAAATAGGAGTATTTAATGGTCAGTAATGTCCATAGCAGTTCCATGTGTTAAAAATGCTGGAAACACAATAAGAGATGTTATACAAACAAAAGAGGTTATAGTGATAATCATTCACTATAGCAAATTGTCATTGTTGGGCACAGATAAGTTATAGAACTACATCAGCTCACCAAAAGCCAGCTCACTTAATGGCTATTCCACCACATAATCTATTTGCCAACTTTCAAAAATCTTTTAATTACTTGGTTTTAAAGAACATGTTTTAAATGTTGTATATGTGAACATATTTTAATGGATATATCATTTGTCTTTGATCATATTTTTCAATGCTTTGAGCCTCCTATTCAAGGAAATTGGAACAGAGAGAAGCCTACATATTCATAGGAATATATTCTTTTTGTAAATTATATCATAGTTATTTAAGTATGTTTATAAGATTACTTTATAACCAATAATTATTTTAAGCAAGACATACTAATGAAGTATTAATCATTTTTATACATTTTATACATGTAATTCATAATCAATAATTTATAATCAAGTAAAGAAGAAAATATTCTTGAATTTACTCTTATATGATAAAATGTTGCATATAAAGAACTCATATATATTTAAAAATATATTCAGGAAGACTGGATTAATGAGAATTCTTTATATTTGGGGATTATGTTTTACTTTTATGTTTACATATGTATATTTATAAGGATATACTTTAAAGAAAAATATATCATAAAAAGGATATGTTTATGATCATTTTCTTGAAATGTATTCTTGTAAATACATTATTGAGCATACTCTGGGACATTTTTCAAAACCAGGGCCGTGAATGTCAACTCAAAAATGCTATTCCAAACTGTAATTTTTGAGGATTTAAAAAAATATATTGTATAGGAAATCTTCATGATCAATAAAATATTCTTAAGTTAATGTTTTTGTCCCTCAGTCTCTACCTCTCTCTGCTCCACAGTCTCCATTATCTCCTATTCCCTGACCAAGAGTAGTTGTAGAGATATGAGACACAGGCAGATTGAATATATTTTTCCTATTGACATATTTTTAAAACATGTTCTTTAAGGACATATTATTCTTAAATGAAGCATGGTTAAGAGTATGAAGAATATTATGGAATATGAAGGTATCTTATAAATACATTCTCTTCTTGAACAATAATATAATAATGAATTACGTATTTATAAAAGCATCATATTTAATTTTCTAGGGTTCAGTCTTGCATTTTCAGTCTCTAAATTTCTTCTCTTTGTTCTCAGTTTTCTGTTGCAGCATTAAAGAACTGGGGCAGAGGAAAATATTTCATCAAATGCTGATAGAAAAATAAAATGGAAATATTCAAAGGAATTAAATAATTAGAGGATTCAAAAATTAGAGGATTCAACTAAATAATTAGAGACTTTGGTAAAGTGGTCATTGGTTAATTTGATTTGGGGGACTTGGTTATTTGCATTATAGTATATGTTCAACTAGATTAATTCAACACTACCAGAGATAGCCTTGATAACCTCATTTAGTTCTAGGGTCCAATTCTTAGTTTCACAAAAATGACTTCCCAAAAAGAAAGGAGAAGCCCAAGAAGTGAGTTTTAACAATGGCCCAGAAGAATCCGTATGTCAAAAGGAACTTGCATTTACTCTTACAGATTCTGTCCAACACTAAGAGTCTCTGATTCTATCACAATTTTCTTATTTTCTATCAATCACACATTTTTATTTTTAAATGATCCAAAAATTGCCCATTTATTTGATTAATATAAGCCTTCCTTTTATTAATATAAAGGCATTATATTACACATGTATAATGTGTATATTACACGTATTATACATGGTCAATATTAAAGAAAAAAATATTCTCAGCCTGTCAAAAATATTTCTTAACTAAAACTAAAATCTTCCAAGTGTTAGAATGGCTCTGAACAAACTGTGCTAGATAAAAACAAAACTAAAGTTTCAGCATGAATTGTTTATAAATCTGAATTTAAAAATGGTTAAATAGGGTAATAAGTGTACTAAATACCCAAGATTAATATCTGCTAATTAACATCTACCAATCTTTTTACTTGGGAATCTGAGGTGCTTGCATTTTTCTTGATTTTTATGCAGTGATTAGTCTAAGGCTTTCTAAAAGATTTATACAAATTCACTTGAAATATGTCTGAAATTTAAAAAGTTATCAAAAGAATGTCCTCAAAAAAACAGTAGAAACTATATTCTTTCTTTTCACTGAGCAAGTCTAGTGCTGTCATCGCAAATGATTATTCTCTTTGCTAAAAGATACTCTTGAGACTACTATTGCTGGTTTACAATTTCATCATGTGTTAACCTTTCTAAAAGAACTGGAGGAAGAATTTTCTCTTTAGAGAAAAAAAACAAACACACACATACTTCATATTACAAACATGCCCTGATTTGACTCATTCTTTTTTTAAAATGTGTGGTCTAGAAGCCTGAGCAGGCAAAATGTAGGCATTATTCATAAACAGTTGTCTCATACATTTTTATAACCTTTTGTTCTAATCTCCAGAAACTCATTTCTTTTAATACTTAAATGAAACAATTAACACTCATTTTAAAAAAACCTTATTGGCTTGTAAATTCTTATCTATTAAAAAGATGATCTGATATTTTACACATCAGTATCATGAGAAAAAAAGAATAAATATTTTATATCTATTTTTAAGTCCATAATTTAGACATGTGATACTAATATACAAGCTGCAACTAGTTTTTCCACAGAATAAAAAGAAAATCAACACATACTTCTTGATTGACCTGAAGAAAAAGAGAGTTTTTATTAAAGTATTTTATCAAAATATTATTGCTGTTAAGTCTTTGCTACAGTATTAAAACCATGCTTCTTAAAACTCTAGGGAAATATAATGCAGAAGGGCTTTAGTATATTTCATAGCAGAAGCTGAGTTTGTCTTTAGAGTTGTAGCTACAGTTGTTATTTGCATAGTATGTTCTGGTTTGAGGTTTTCCGTTTTTACTTCTAATATTTTATCCTTTGTTTGCTGTAGGTCAGCTTGATTTCTAGGCAGTTGCTCTGATTTTCTGGTATTTAACAGATATAAAATGTCTTGTTATCTCTTCAAATTCATGAATTCCAACATTTGTCTACATAATTGTTTGAGCATCTTAATTACGTAAAATACATTTCACTTGGCATAGTAGTCAGATAACAGAAGTTTGGCAGATATAAACACTATCCCTAAGGAACATATTCATCTGGAGGAAAAAGAAACATACATAAATAAATTTAGTTCTGTAAAAAGCAGAAATTAGTAAATGCCAAAATGGAGGTATCGATAAAATGTGTGAGAGTCTGGAGAAAGGACAGATAGATCCCAGCTGAAAGAAAAAAGAACAGATATATGAGAGCCATGGTATTTCAGCCTAGCCCCAAAGAATGGTGATATTTGCACAAATGTAATTGCAGAGAAGGGAACCAAGGTGGAGGTAACAATGTCACCAACAGCAAAGACAAAGCTAATCATGGAAAAGAGAAGAGAACTACATCCTTCGAGTACATTGTGGCAAATGTTTCACATTCACCATTAGCTTGAAATAATAGCTTCAATTCTAGTTCCCTCAGCAACATAAAGAGGAATTCAAGCCTTAGTCAAGAGCTTGATGTATTCCTGGAAAGAAGCCTTTGTCCATTGACTGCCCCTACAAGCACTATGACTAAACTATAACTATCTGCCTTGGGACCATCAAGACCAATATCTTTTTTTTTTTTTTATACTTTTAAGTTTTAGGGCACATGTGCACAATGTGCAGGTTAGTTACATATGTATAAGTGTGCCATGCTGGTGTGCTGCACCCATTAACTCGTCATTTAGCATTAGGTATATCTCCTAATGCCATCCCTCCCCCATTCCCCCACCCCACAACAGTCCCCAGAGTGTGATGTTCCCCTTCCTGTGTCCATGTGTTCTCATTGTTCAATTCCCACCTATGAGTGAGAATATGTGGTGTTTGGTTTTTTGTTCTTGCGATAGTTGACTGAGAATGATGATTTCCAATTTCATCCATGTCCCTACAAAGGACATTAACTCATCATTTTTTATGGCTGCATAGTATCCCATGGTGTATATGTGCCACATTTTCTTAATCCAGTCTATAGTTGGACATTTGGGTTGGTTCCAAGTCTTTGCTATTGTGAATAGTGCCGCAATAAACATACGTGTGCATGTGTCTTTATAGCAGCATGATTTATAGTCCTTTGGGCATATACCCAGTAATGGGATGGCTGGGTCAAATGGTATTTCTAGTTCTAGATCCCTGAGGAATCGCCACACTGACTTCCACGATGGTTGAACTAGTTTACAGTCCCACCAACAGTGTAAAAGTGTTCCTATTTCTCCACATCCTCTCCAGCACCTGTTGTTTCCTGACTTTTTAATGATTGCCATTGTAACTGGTGTGAGATGGTATCTCATTGTGGTTTTCATTTGCATTTCTCTGATGGCCAGTGATGGTGAGCATTTTTTCATGGTTTTTGGCTGCATAAATGTCTTCTTTTGAGAAGTGTCTGTTCATGTCCTTCGCCCACTTTTTGATGGGGTTGTTTGTTTTTATTCTTGTAAATTTGTTTGAGTTCATTGCAGATTCTGGATATTAGCCCTTTGTCAGATGAGTAGGTTGCGAAAATTTTCTCCCATTCTGTATGTTGCCTGTTCACTCTGATGGTAGTTTCTTTTGCTGTGCAGAAGCTCTTTAGTTTAATGAGATTCCATTTGTCAATTCTGGCTTTTGTTGCCATTGCTTTTGGTGTTTTAGACATAAAGTCCTTGCCCATACCTATGTCCTGAATGGTAATGCCTAGGTTTTCTTCTAGGGTTTTTATGGTTTTAGGTCTAACGTTTAAGTCTTTAATCCATCTTGAATTAATTTTTGTATAAGGTGTAAGGAAGGGATCCAGTTTCAGCTTTCTACATATGGCTAGCCAGTTTTCCCAGCACCATTTATTAAATAGGGAATCCTTTCCCCATTGCTTGTTTTTCTCAGGTTTGTCAAAGATCAGATAGTTGTAGATATGCGGCGTTATTTCTGAGGGCTCTGTTCTGTTCCATTGATCTATATCTCTGTTTTGGTACCAGTACCTTGCTGTTTTGGTTACTGTAGCCTTGTAGTATAGTTTGAAGTCAGGTAGTGTGATGCCTCCAGCTTTGTTCTTTTGGCTTAGGATTGACTTGGCGACGTGGGCTCTTTTTTGGTTCCATATGAACTTTAAAGTAGTTTTTTCCAATTCTGTGAAGAAAGTCATTGGTAGCTTGATGGGGATGGCACTGAATCTATAAATTACCTTGGGCAGTATGGCCATTTTCACGATATTGATTCTTGCTACCCATGAGCATGGAATGTTCTTCCATTTGTTTATATCCTCTTTTATTTCATTGAGCAGTGGTTTGTAGTTGTCCTTGAAGAGGTCCTTCACATCTGTTGTAAGTTGGATTCCTAGGTATTTTATTCTCTTTGAAGCAATTGTGAATGGGAGTTCACTCATGATTTGGCTCTCTGTTTGTCTGTTATTGGTGTATAAGAATGCTTGTGATTTTTGTACATTGATTTTGTATCCCGAGACTTTGCTGAAGTTGCTTATCAGCTTAAGGAGATTTTGGGCTGAGACAATGGGGTTTTCTAGATATACAATCATGTCATCTGCAAACAGGGACAATTTGACTTCCTCTTTTCCTAATTGAATACCCTTTATTTCCTTCTCCTGCCTAATTGCCCTGGCCAGAACTTCCAACACTATGTTGAATAGGAGTGGTGAGAGAGGGCATCCCTGTCTTGTGCCAGTTTTCAAAGGGAATGCTTCCAGTTTTTGCCCATTCAGTATGATATTGGCTGTGGGTTTGTCATAGATAGCTCTTATTATTTTGAGATACGTCCCATCAATACCTAATTTATTGAGAGTTTTTAGCATGAAGGGTTGTTGAATTTTGTCAAAGGCCTTTTCTGTATCTATTGAGATAATCATGTGGTTTTTGTCTTTGGTTCTGTTTGTATGCTGGATTACATTTATTGATTTGCATATATTGAACCAGCCTTGCATCCCAGGGATGAAGCCCACTTGATCATGGTGGATAAGCTTTTTGATGTGCTGCTGGATTCGGTTTGCCAGTATTTTATTGAGGATTTTTGCATCAATGTTCCTCAAGGATATTGGTCTAAAATTCTTTTTTGGTTGTGTCTCTGCCTGGCTTTGGTATCAGGATGATGCTGGCCTCATCAAATGAGTTAGGGAGGATTCCCTCTTTTTCTATTGATTGGAATAGTTTCAGAAGGAATGGTACCAGTTCCTTCTTTTACCTCTGGTAGAATTCGGCTGTGAATCCATCTGGTCCTGGACTCTTTTTGGTTGGTAAGCTATTGATTATTGCCACAGTTTCAGAGTCTGTTATTGGTCTATTCAGAGATTCAACTTCTTCCTGGTTTAGTCTTGGGAGGGTGTATGTGTCGAGGAATTTATCCATTTCTTCTAGATTTTCTAGTTTATTTGCATAGAGGTGTTTGCAGTATTCTCTGATGGTAGTTTGTATTTCTGTGGGATCGATGGTGATATCCCCTTTATCATTTTTTATTGCGTCTATTTGATTCTTCTCTGTTTTCTTCTTTATTAGTCTTGCTAGCGGTCTATCAATTTTGTTGATCCTTTCAAAAAACCAGCTCCTGGATTCATTAATTTTTTGAAGGGTTTTTTGTGTCTCTATATCCTTCAGTTCTGCTCTGATTTTAGTTATTTCTTGCCTTCTGCTAGCTTTTGAATGTGTTTGCTCTTGCTTTTCTAGTTCTTTTAATTGTGATGTTAGGGTGTCAATTTTGGATCTTTCCTGCTTTCTCTTGTGGGCATTTAGTGCTATAAATTTCCCTCTACACACTGCTTTGAATGTGTCCCAGAGATTCTGGTATGTTGTGTCTTTGTTCTCACTGGTTTCAAAGAACATCTTTATTTCTGCCTTCATTTCGTTATGTACCCAGTAGTCATTCAGGAGCAGGTTGTTCAGTTTCCATGTAGTTGAATGGTTTGGAGTGGGTTTCTTAATCCTGAGTTCTAGTTTGATTGCACTGTGGTCTGAGAGACAGTTTGTTATACTTTCTGTTCTTTTACATTTTCTGAGGAGAGCTTTACTTCCAAGTATGTGTTCAATTTTGGAATAGGTGTGGTGTGGTGCTGAAAAAATGTATATTCTGTTGATTTGGGGTGGAGAGTTCTGTAGATGTCTATTAGGTCCGCTTGATGCAGAGCTGAGTTCAATTCCTGGGTATCCTTGTTAACTTTCTGTCTCGTTGTTCTAATGTCTAATGTTGACAGTGGGGTGTCAAAGTCTCCCATTATTATTGTGTGGGAGTCTAAGTCTCTTTATAGGTCACTCAGGACTTGCTTTATGAATCTGGGTGCTCCTGTATTGGGTGCATATATATTTAGGATAGTTAGCTCTTCTTGTTGAATTGATCCCTACACGGCTGGGTACTCCTCTGAAACAAAACGTCCAGAGGAACGATCAGACAAGACCAATATCTTTATTTGCTTTTCTCCTTTTGTTGCAGATAACCTCATAATTCACAGGTCTGATCTTCTTAGGTAGGATAAGTGTGTATCAGAATTTGCCTGGGACAGTTTTGTCTATAATTATTATTGGGATCTCCTTTTAAATTTTGATATAAATTACTTGATCTTGGTATTCATAAGACTATAAAACATGTATCTTTCCTCATTTCCCACTCTTCAGCAAACTCCCACACTTCCCATGGTATCTTCTGAATTAACCAAGCTCAATTTTCTGAAACATCCCCTCTAATCTTTCTCTCAATGTTCCTATTCCGTTTTTGACCTAATTGCAAATTGGCTCTCCCCTGAATATACATTTCCATTAAAGTCCTCTCACGTAGTGACTATTTTAAATCCTGCACTACTTCCCTGCTATGTTGTTGAAGGCATCATTCTTGGTCCTCACTGTTGCCTCTAGATCCTTCTCCGTTATTCTTCCCTGAGAACCATCATCTGAGAATTTTGTGGTAGAGGATTAAAACAACAAAACTATTTCTCATTGTTGTGGTCATCTCTCAACTCCTGTTCCATTCTCCTTCTTTTCTTAAAGATTTAATATTTTGTTTCTTTGTCCATCTTTACAGCACCACTCCAGTTGCATGTCAGGTAAGTATTCCACCCAATGCCTTAATCTCTTAGTTTCTGTCCACTCTCCACTAGTTATCTTAATCCCCTTCACTACCTCAACCACATACTCTCTTAGTCATAACCTAGATCTTGTCTATTTTTGTACCTTCAGCTCCTTTTCCACAGTCTTGTGCCTCCAATGGTTTGTTAACCCCACTGGGGCTTTCACTCTACAATATTTCACTGTTTCTCATCTTTATTATGTTCTTATTTATACCTTTACCCAGTTCAAGTCTCATGATCAAGCATTGCAATCACTGTCTTGCATATACCCCAAATTATTCCATCTCAATATTCTATTTACTTCATGCTTAAATAAATCTATGCTGTATGTGATAAAGGAAAAGTAAACTCACACACAAACAGACATACACACACACACACACACACACCCATGTTGACTACTCCCACTTCAAATTTTACTATTTGCTATAAGACTTTACAAGGAAGTATTATTAGAAGTAATACAGAATAAGAGATAGAATTGATTGTGTGGAAGAAACCATACATTCTACATATTTCCCTAATAATGTGATAATCAGATTGTTTTCCTAAAGCACTCACTCTCCTTCTTTCCTACTATCTCCTTATCTCTCACTTTTACTTTAATGATCTTGTTTTGTGTTTTCTTGAAATGATCTGAAGCCTCAGAAGAGAACTATTACTATCAAATCTCTTCACCCACGTACATGTAGCCCCATATACTTGCCATCTCTTCTGTTGCTATATATGAAGTA
Source organism: Homo sapiens (assembly GCF_000001405.40). NCBI lineage: Eukaryota > Metazoa > Chordata > Mammalia > Primates > Hominidae > Homo > Homo sapiens. The sequence goes on from NC_000004.12 coordinate 125,260,857, forward strand.
CTGATGTTCCAATTTACAGCAAAGCCTCTTCATGTGCACTCCGTCCCACCAACTTTCACCAGTCAAGGGAACTGACATTCTCTTGTATTAGCTTGAAATAATAGTTTCAATTCTAGTGCCCTCAGCAACACAAAGAGGAATTCAAGTCTTAGTCAAATTGCCAAACTTTCTTGTACATCATCAAGATTTCCTTCTCTCCTGAATGTCTCCATAACATGTTATAACTTATTATATCTTTGAAAGAAGAAAACAAAACAAGACAAAAACAAATCCTGCAGACACTACTTTCCTTTTCATTTGCCACTTCAATTCTCTCATTCTTTTTAATGAAATTCTTGGAAACTAGTGTCTGTGTTTACTGCTTCTAATTCTTCACCTCCCTATCTTTCTTCAAACACATGAGTCAGGCTTTTACCACCACCCCTTTTCTGAAACAACTGTTTTTAAAGTCGTAAGTGACGCCACATTGCCAATCCAGTGGTCAGTCTTTGGTTCCCATCTTACCTGATCTATCAGGAGTATTTTACATAATTGATTATGCTTTTATTCTGTGAAACCCTTTCTTCTTTTGGTGTCCAGATTATAAGACCCGCATGGATTTCCTTTTATCTTACTGACTGTGCTTATTCTCTTATTCACTAAATAACTTACCTCCTTAGCCTCTTTATGTTGAAATGGGCCATGCTTTAGTCTTAGGCCTCTTCTCTCTTCTATCTTCACTTAATCCCTTGGCGATTTCATCCTTTCTGTATATGCCAATGACTCCAAAATCTATGTCTTCTGCATAAACATATCCCCCAAACACCAGAACCATATGTCCAACTGCTTACTTAAGATCTTTACTTGGATATCTAATAGGAATCTCAAATATAACATGTCAAAATGTTAGCCACTGATTTTTCTCACCTCCAAAAGATACTCATAAATCCAGGCTTTTCCATTCCATTTCAAATAAACTCACTCATTTGTATTGCTCAGCCAAAATGTTAGAGTCACATTTGATTCCTCTCTTTGTCTTTCTCTCATTCAACAAATAATTGTACTGTGTGCCTGTTAAAGTGCTATGTACTCTTCCATGTGCTGAAGCTACAACAGTAAACAAATTAGATAAAGGATTCTGGGCTCACAGAGCATACATATTAGTGAGAGAAGTCATATAATAAACATGTAAACTATATAGTACCTTATAATATTATAAGTGGCATGGAGAAAAATAAAGCAGAAGTACTGTAAGTGTAGTTTGGAATTTTTAACTAGGATTCCATGGAAAACTTCACCAAGAAAATTACCACTGAGCAAAAAATGGAAAGCTGTGAGAGATTGAGGCATGTGACTATCTAGGAGAGAAACATTGTAGTCAGAGGACAAAGCAAGTGAGAACTTCTGAGTTAAGAGCAGGCCAGAGCAGCAGGGAGGCCAGTGTGCCAGAGCAGTGGGAGTGCTAGGGAATGAGGATAGTAAAGTAGATGAGTGCTAGGTCATGTGGAGAGTTACAGGTCCTTGGAAAGACGTCGGTTTTTATAGAATGAGGTACAAAGCCACTGGAGTGTCTTGAGTAGAAGCAATACATGATTTCACTTCTATTTTACCAGAATTCCTTTGTATCTGTTTTTTTTTTAAAAAAAACGTGTATGACAGCAATGGTGAAACCAGAATTTCATAGATACTGCAATATTCTAAATGTCATATAGTTTACCTTATTCCATTCTAATAACTACTGTTTAGAAGGGGCATTATTTTCAGGATATTTTGTTGAAGGAATGCTCAAAATTTTAATAAAGGACAAGTCACAGGCACTTGCTAACTGTAAGGGTCACCAGTCTGAATTACCTAATATAGCCAAGCCCATGCAAATAAAGTGAATACCAATTCTGCTAGGCTGCAAAGGAATATGTAGAATGTATGCTCTCTTCCACAAAATCAATTGGATCTCTTATTCTGTATTACTTCTAAAAATATTTCCTTGTAAGGCCTTATAACAAATAGTGAACCTCAGACCACTGCATAAAATTGAACTTTCAAAACAGTTTTATAATCTCTAGAAGTTTGAGTGTATCAAGATCTTCTCATTACTATGTATGCTAATAAACTAACTTAACTCATAACACAGTGGCAGGACATCTGGAAAATCATTAATGTTTAAAATTTATCAGGCATTTAACAGAATTTGAATCCTATATTAAATAACTATTTCGTTTTATTAATTTATTACGCTATATTCTATACATATAATAGATGATATGTTAGAGATTTTTAACATATTATACTATACATCGTGATTTTAGAGAAGGAAGATTAATTCTTTACAGGGTACAATTTTCTTGATGAAACTATCTCCATTTTTAGCTAAAGAAACTGATCTTGATTGTCAGGAAATTACATTAGTACTCCGTGCACATTTTAGATGCTTTGTTTGCAATCTTAATTAATTTAGTTATTTCATTTTTCTACCAAAATGCTAATTCACATTGGTGAATTTCTTGCCTAATCAGAGAATTTGAAGCAACACCATATTCTTGGTGAAAGACTGTCTACAACTAGCCCTATTACTACAAGCCAAACATATGAGGTCAGAGTTTATGATACATCCAGTAAGTCCTACTATATTTTTCAACTTTTCTAATATATCAATATGTTTAAATGTGACTGCATTATATAGTAGTTTTCTGTGCATATATACTTCTGTACTTTTCTCCATGCTTAAACTGCAAATAAAGATACACAGGTAAATTTTTGTAGAAAAATGTGATTATACTGTTCATGCTACTTTAAAAAAAAATTTAATTACATAGTTTATCACAGTCATTTTTCCAGGTCAATACTACTACATTAATATTTTAAATAGAAGCATAACATTTTCTATGGCTTCCATCCAGATTATTTATTGGTTGTTTTTAAAAAAATTTTAAACCAATTAAAGGTCCATAAAAACCTTGTTTACAATTCTAAAATTAATGTTTTTCTGAATACATTTGGTGGAAAACCTGATCTGAAGCAATATAAAGCTATTTATAATCTTTATTTAACGTAATTAGTTTGAATATTTAAACATTTAATGCAGAAATATTAATGTGTTAAACTAAAAGGTGCTGCTTAAGAAAACTGAATATTATTAATAATATATTAACTATGTTTTATATTATTGTTATAAAATCCTAAAACATTAGAATTCTTAAATATATCTGGTCATAAGCGTTTTAGTAAATGGTTTGTAGAATTGTATAAAGATTGCTGCAATAGGCAGAGTGCGGTGGCTCACGCCTGTAATCCCAGCACCTTGAGAGGCCAAGGTGGGTGGATCACAAAGTCAGGAGATGGAGACCATCCTGGCTAACACGGTGAAACCCCGTCACTACTGAAAATACAAAAAATTAGCCGGGTGTGGTGGCATGCACCTTTAGTCCCAGGTATTTGAGAGGCTGAGGCAGGAAAATCACTTGAACCCAGGAGGCAGAGGTGGCAGTGAGCTGAGATCTCACCACTGTACTCCATCCAGCCTGGGCTACAGAGCAGCAAGACTCCGTCTCAAAAAAAAAAAAAAAAAAAAGATTACTGCAATAAAATAAAAAAAAAAAAAGACACAACTGCTGCTGTACCAACACTTATAGACTGAGACTTGCATTTTTATAAATTAGGGTTTCTGAAAGTGAAATCCTTCTATCATAGAACATGCACTTTTTCAGTTTCTTAAATATCCTACATTGCTTTTCAGAAATGTAATTAATACTTCTATTAAAATGTGTTAATATTTCTATTTCTCATGTATTTCTGCAAATTTTAAAGATATTATAATAATTGCACACTCTTCCCAGCCTCTGTATCTATCATTCTATTCTCTATCTCCATGAGATCTAGTTTTTAATGTTCTTATATAAGCTATCATGTGGTTTTTGTCATTCTGTGCCTGAGTTATTTCACTTAATATATTGAATTCCAGTTCCATGCATGTTGCTGCAAATGACAAGATTTCCTTTTTTTAAAATGACTGAATTATCTTTGAACTTCCTGTATCTACAGGTAACTATATTTCTTGCAAGACTTGGAAATTTTTCAACTATTGTTTTGTTAAATAGGTTTTCTATGTCTTTGCCCATCTCTCCTCCTTCTGGACCATACAAAATGTAACGATTTAATCCTTTTGTTTTGAGACAGAGTCTCACTCTGTCACCCAGGCTGGAGTGCAGGGGTGTGATCTTGGTCCACTGTGACCTCTGCCTCCCAGGTTCCCAAGTATCTGAGATTTTCGTCTTTTTTTTTTTTTTTCTGTCTGGTGGGTTATTACAAAAGACCTGTCTTCGAGTTCAGAAAAGTTTTCTTCTGCTTGATCTGGTCTATTATTGAAACTCTTGGTTGTATTTTTAATTTTATTTATTCATTTTTTTTCAGTCTAGGATTTCTGTTTGGTTCCTTTTAATACTATCTACTTCTTGGTTAAGTTTCTCACTCAGATCATGAATTGCTTTTCTGATATTTTTGTATTGTTTATCTGTGTTCTCTTCTATCTCACTGAGTTTCTTTGATATCATTATTTTGAATATGTTTCAGGTATTTCATAAATTTCCTTTTATTTGGGATCTGTTACCAGAATTATTGTGTTTCTTTAGGGGTGCCGTGCTTCTCTGCTTTTTCATATTTCTCGTATCCTTACATCAAAAGCCTTGCATCTGGTGTAACAGTCATTTCTACTTTTATAGATTGGCTTTTATAGGGAAAGACTGTTTCCTAAAGATGTACCTATAGTGTTGATTGTGTGGAGTACTTTGGCTTTAATTCTGGATGAGCCCCGCGGTTTAATCTCGGTATGATTTCTTTGGCTGTAACCAGTGTCAATGGTGTCTGTGAGTTCCTTGGTGACTTAGGCAGCAGTTGTTAGTGCAGGCTGTGGTGAGGCTTTGCTGGGAACAGAGACACCAGGTGGACTTCTCAGGCACCTCCTGAGGTGCCAGTGGCGAGCAGGACAAGCCTGTCTTCAAGCACCTAGATGGTGTGTGCTGGCACCAGTAGTACTGGCAAAGTGGATTAATGCCCAGATTTCTGGATGACACAAATGGGTGTTGGCAGCAGTGGTGGTGGATGAGGAACAACTGTCTTCAGGCCCCTGGATGGTGCACATAGACACCAGTGGAGGTGGGTGGGGCAGATCTATTCCCAGGCCCACAGATAACATCCACAGGTGCTGGCAGTGGCGGCAGCAGCAGGTGGGGAAACCCTTTTGGTTGCTCAGGTGGTATGCACAGGCAACGGCGGTGGTGGGCAGGATGTGTCAATCCCCAGGCCTCCAGACCATGTGCACCAGGGCCAGTGGTGGTTACTTTTACAACATTAATTATGATACGAAGAACCTTGTTCTAATCATTTTCAACGTTGATTATACTGGAATATCCTATAGGAATTTTATACTCCATTTTTTTCTCACAGTCTGCCTTCTAAAAATGCCCATGTTAAATCTTATGTATGTACCCCAGGAGCTAGCAATGCCTGCCAGTTAATGGACTCACTAAAGATTTGATAAATGCATGAATAAAAAATAATAGTGTTTTAAATTTCTGTAAGACCTTTTTACAGTCATTTTCTGAGATTAAAACACAATCACAATGACTCTGATAACAATAGGAAAGTTTCAAATAAGTTAAGCAGCTTGAAAAAAAATAACACTCAAATGTGGCAGAATTTGGAATAAAATAAAGTTTTCTTGTTTCAAAGCTATGCTTTTAACTATTTCATCATTTATATTAGAACATGAATGTTAACAGATAACCCCTTCATTTATTCATTTAGAAAGCATATCTTGATTTTTTGTTGCTTGTTAGCTTAAATACAATGTAAAAATCTAAAACCATGCTGAAACACTACATAGACTGATGAATTAGAATGGGCAAAAACGTGAAACATTGACTTGAAATTATTACATATAATAGATAAATACCAAATGCATGTACATACATGAGCATGAACTCTAAATTCCGTCTTTCTTGACTTATAGCCATTTTCACAGGAAATCAAAGGCAATGACAGATCCCCTTGAGCCAGAAGTTGACGTCTTTGGTTTTAGTCTCCCATGTAGTAATGATAATGTGGACAAAAATAGATGGATGTGATTTTTCAAAGAGAACTTATTTCACTGTACACAGTAGGATAATGCAAAGAACTACTGCTTTATTTTCATGACTAGTACATATGAATCATAATCAGTTCTTTGAATTCCTTCAAAGAGGATGAAATAAATCCAAGAATGCAAACTTCCCTTATTTCACAATATTCGTGACAGATGTGTGACCAGCAGACACCCTTGTGCTTGTTTCTACATGTGGGAAGACTGCAGCACATCCATTAGCCAGTCGTTTCTTCTTGCTACTTCCATATATTGGCAGAACAGAATATTCCCACGCTGGTTTTCTTCAGATGACCCGGTAAATCTTTCAGCTCATCTTTAAAGCTCCCTCCACACCACCTGGGTGTATAGAATGCTTGCTTGTGGTGCGTATATGTCAGGATTTGATCAAGAAGCTGAATGTGGCTCTGTGCCTGGTTTGCATCACAGAGTCACAAAAAAGGTTGCATAAAATCACCCGTCTGCAGACTGTTTACTTGCCTGAAGTGTCATGCCACTTCTGAGATTCCGGGGTTCCAGAGAGCTCCATGGCATTTTGAACTGACTTCCTCTCTGCTTCATCCAAGACAACATTTTTTTGTGCATTTTTTACATATATTTTATATTAACACACTTTTTAAAAGGCAGGAAATTATAAATATCTATAATCTCTTCTGCAAATCTAACATTAACTAATTTGGAGATAAAACCTAGACTGGCCAGACATGAGACTTTACAAAATCTCTATTTATTTTATTTGGTGTGACTACGCATTCAGGTCCCTGTGCAAATATTAATGTGTTTGATTAGGCTGTGCCACCCAAGACATAGTTGGAAATGCTATAATAACATGCAGCACATGCATCATATTATCATTCACAAAACCCTGAATTTCAAAACATCTAGTCCCAAGGGCCTCTGGTAAGGTCGTGTAAACCTATAAATATATCCTGAGTTGTATCTTTATGTACTGACCTGGAAAATTACTGCTATATTCGATTTTTAAAAGTTTTTTAAAAGTATGGCATAATTCCATTTAAAATTAATACATATATGAGTTTATGTGCATAGGGTGTGTGTTTACATGTAAGTATCAATGTACAGATAACTAAAAATATGTGCTATTTTCTTGTATATTTGATTTTACATTTTTTTATGCAAATCAGCATCTTCATATGTAAATATATAAACTTTTCTTGAGAATTTGTATTAGGTAGGGAGGACACAGCGGGAGAAGGTAGTTACATAACATTCTTTTTCTTTCTTTCTTTCTTTTTTTTTTGAAACAGGAACTCACTCTGTCACCCAGGCTGCAGTGCAGTGGCATGATAATGGATCACTGAAGCTTCAATTTCCCAGGCTCAAGCAATCTTCCCTCCTCAGCCTCACAAGCAGCTGGGACTAGAGGTGAGCACCACCACATCTGGCTACAAAACATTTTTGTATTTTTACATTCTTTTACTACAAATATGATTATGTCTAATTCTGCTACTTCCAGTGAAAAAAGGCAGGGCCTTTGTCTCTCCAGCGTGCCTGACCTGGGCTGCCTTCTCAACTGCTTTGTCCCCTTGGCTCCAGGAGGCCCCAGATGGTTAAGAATAACAAACAATGATGAAAAGAGACTCCATTCAGTAAATGTTGTTGGGATAACTGACTAGCCATATGCAGAAGATTGACACTTGACCCATTTCTTTCGCCATATACAAAAATTAATTCAAGATGGATTAAATACTTAAACGATAGACCTAAAACTGTAAGAACCCTGGAAGAAAACCTGGGAAATATCATTCCGGACATTGGCCTTAGCAAAGAATTTATGACTAAGCCCCCAAAAGCAATTGCAACAAAAACAAAAATTAACCAGTCAGACCTAATTAAACTAAAGGGTTTCTGCACAGAAAAATAAACTATGAGCAGAGTAAATAGATAACCTACAGAAAGGAAAAAAATATTCCCAAACTTTGCTTCTGACAAAGGTCTAGTATCTAGAATCTATAAGGTACTTAAGCACTTCAATAAGCAAAAGACAAATAATCCCATTAAAAATGTGGACAAATTATATTAACAGACATTTCTCAAAAGAAGGCATACATGTGGCTAAGAAATATATGAAAAAATGCTTATCATCACTAGTTGATATGGTTTGGCTCTGTGTCCCCAACCAAATATCATGTGGAATTATAAATCCCAATGTTGGCAGAGGGACCTGGTGGGAGGTCAGCAAGGGCAGATTTTCCCTTGTTGTTCTTGTGATAGTTATCACAAGATCTGGTTGTTTAAAAGTATGTAGCACTTTCCCCTTTGCTGTCTCTTTCCTGCTCTGCCATGGTAAGACGTGCTTGCTTCCCTTTCACCTTCCACCATGATTAAAAGTTTCCTGAGGTCTCCTGTACAGCCTGTGGAACTGTAAGTCAATTAAACCTCTTTTCTTCATAAATTACCCAGTCTCAGGTAGTGCTTTATAGCAGTGTGAGAACAGACTAATGCACTAATCGTCAAAACCACAACAAGATAACATCTCACACCAGTCAGAATGGCCATTATTAAAAGATCAAAAAATAACAGATGCTGGTAAGGTAGTAGAGCAAAGAGAACACTTATACACTGCTGGTGGGGATATAAATTAGTTTCCCACCATGAAAAGCAGTGTGAAGATTTCCCAAAGAGCTTAAAACACGACTATTTAACCCAGAAATTTCACTATTGGTTATACAACCAAAGGAGAATAAATTGTTCTACCAAAAAAATACATGCATTTCTATATTCATTGCAACACTATTCACAATAGCAAAGACATAGAATTAACCAAGATGTATGTCCATGCTGGACTCAATAAAGAAAATATGGTACATATACACCATAGAATACTATGCAGCCATAAAAAAGTAATGAAATCATGTCCTTTGCAGCAATATGGATACAGCTAGAGGCCATTATTCTAAGGTAACTAAAGCAGGAACAGAAAACCAACTATCACATTTTCACTTATAAAAGGGAACTAAACATTTAATACACGTGGACACAAAGGTGGGAAAAATAGATACTGGTGACTGCTTGAGAAAGGAGGGTAAGAGTGGGGCATGAGTTGGAAGGCTATTAGGTACTATGCTCACTACCTTGGTAATGAGACTATTTATACATCAAGCCTTAGCGACAGGCAATTTATCCATGTAAGAAACTTGCAAACATACCCCCTGAACCTAAAATAAAATTAGAAAAGAAAAATATAAATAAATAAAAATTTAAAAGTTAAAATGAATTGTTAAAAAATTATTAAGCATTTACTATAAGGCACACATTAGAATAATCATTTGCAATGATATATGTATTTAATAGAAATGCAATCCCCTGAATTTCATTTAATACACTTTTTCTTTCTGAATTTTTTAAAGGTGATCAAAAAGCATAGGACTTAATACACATGGTAGAAATTTCCATTTTTACTGCTTAACATTATAAAATTGATTATTTTAAGCTATACTGAAAAGATTCTATTTTAAATGTAACCAATTTTCTTTAGTTTATTTAGTAAAAATATGCATAAATAAATATAATATGTAGCAATTTTTAAGAATCAGCTTTTGTGGTATAGGAGGAGCCCTAATTTGTTACATTTGTCCATTGTTTCTGTATAAATGCTCCCATTGTGGCTGATTTCAATTGACCAGCATGATACCCTAAACACAAGATTGCAATGAAATATGCACAATTGCTCTTGGGAGCCATTGTCAGTTGGCTCTAGTGCCCCTCCAAGGGAACTCAATAATCCAAGATATAGCAAAGTTAATTTTGAATATTTTAATTTTAAAATTTGTATTTATATTTTTCTGTTCTAATTTTATTTTAGGTTCAAGGGGTATGTTTGCAAGTTTCTTACATGGAAAAATTGCCTGTCACTAAGGCTTGATGGATAAATAATCTCATCACCAAGATAGTGAGCATAGTACCTAATAGCCTTCCAACTCATGCCCCACTCTTACCCTCCTTTCTGAAGCAGTCACCAGTGTCTATTGTTCCCATCTCCCTTACTAAAGAGTGAGTTCAGACCCTTCTTGCTCTCTGGCTTTTTCATGCTCTATTGGCCTTTCAGCTTTTGCCATGGGATAATGCACCAAGAAGACCCTTAGAAGATACAGAACTTCTTCAGCCTTGAACTTCTCAGCCTCCAGAACTTTAATAAATAAATTTCTTTTCTTTATAAATTACCTAGTCTGTTATATCGTTAGTCTGTTACAGCAACACAAAACAGACTAAGACAATGTCTTTATCCAGAATTATAAAATGATGAAATTAGTTCACATTTCTTTCTTCTAAATAATAATTTAGACATAAAAATATATATGTAAGGACTAACACTTGTGATGGTGAATTTTGTTTGTCAAATTAAGTAGATCATGGGTGCTCAGACATTTGGACAAACATTGTTTTGGATGTGTCTGTGAAGGTATTTCTGGATGAGATTAACACTTAAATCAGTAGACTTAGTAAAGAAGATTGCCTCTCCCAAAATGAGTTGAAGGCCTGATTAGAACAGTAACACTGAGTAATAAAGAATTCCTTCTGTCTGATTGCCTTTGGGCTGGGAAATTGTGTTTTCCTGCCTTCAAATTTGAGCTAAACCAATGGTTCCTGCTGGGTCTTTAGCCTTACAGCCATTAGATTGAACTAAATCATCAACTCTCTTGGGATTCCAGCTTTTTGGCTGCAGATCCTGGGAACTGTCAGCCTGTATAATTGCAGTGGCAAACTCATTATTATCTGTCTATTTATTTATCTATGTATGTATGTATGTATGTATGTATGTATGTATCTATCTATCTATCTATCTATCTATATCTATCCATTCATTCTACTGGCTATTGGCTCTGTTAGTAATATTTATTTTGTTTGAAGGACATTAATCTAAAAGATTAAAATGAAGATGAAATCCAAAGTCCTTACTATGAACTACAAGGTCCTATACAATTCATCTCCTATCACTCCATTAGCTCTCTGACTTCATCTCTACTCTTTTTCCTCCTGTTGATTACATTCCAGTCACACTGGCTTCTTTGTTGTTCCTTGAACATGCCAGACACACTCCAACTGCAGGACCTTTGCACTTCTACCAGATATTCACAGATCAGATATCTGATATTCCACCAGATAACTACAGGAGAAACTCTCTTGACTGCTTCTTCAGGTCATTTTTCAAATGTCCTTTCTTTAGTAAGGCCCTTTCTGACCCATCTATTAATTATTCAAATGGACTAACTGAAAGCCAACTTATTTAAATCTAATACCCCAGCAACACTTTATATCATTTTCACTGCCTTGGGTTTTTTTCTCCTTAGAAATTAGTTGTGTCTAATATATTAGAATCATATATACTTTATAATATAATCATACATATATTCACATATATAATATATAATCATATATATCCTTTATAATATATATGATATATAATCATATATATATCCTTTAGTAGGTAAATGAATTAGTAAACTGTGGTAGATCTAGAAAATAAAATATCATGCAGTGCTCTAAAGAAATGAGCTAATAAGTCATGAAAGAACATAGAAAAAACTTAAACGCATATTACTGAATGAAAGAAGACAATCTGAAAAGGTTACATACGGTATGATTCTAACTATATGACATTTGGTAAAGTCAAAACTATGGAGACAGTAAAAAAGTCTGTGGTTGTCAAGAATTAGAGGGAAGAGAGGAACACATAGGCAGAGCACAGAGAATATTTGGGGTAGTAAAACTATTCTGTATGATGCTACAGTGGGGAAGACATGCCATTATACATTTTTCAAAACCCATAGACTCTACAACACTGTACAATACAGAGAATGAACCCTCATGTGAACTATAGACTCTAGGTGACCCTGTTGTGTCAATTTAGGCTCACTGATTGTAGCAAGTGTAGTACTGTGGGGCACAATGTTTATGCAGGGAGGTTGTGAGTGTGTAGGGGCAGTGAGTGTATGGAAACTTTCTGTAATTTCTGTTTAATATTTCTGCAAACCTGAAACTCTTCTATTAAATATAATTTAATTATAGAGACCATTGAGAAGCTATCAACTGAGATATCATTCTAATTTCAAATATACTGTTACAAAGATTGTTCTCTATTTGTTCTTTTCACCTCATTTTCTATTCCAACAAATCAAAATTATTTCTAAGCCTCTGGCATAGTCTTTTAGTATATTGATAGTAACATTATAGGTAGAACCATTCAAATCTCTTCAAATTTTCCCATAATTTTTTCACAACTCATCTATGTGGTATATAGCTCAGTAATTTAAGCAGAGTAAATATTTATTAAACAACTACTGATTGATTTTATAAGACACTATATACATAACATATTCACTGAATTTATTGCTTGAAACTTAATTACAAGTTAATACCCAAGAGTATTCCATGTCTTGTGGTGATCTTGCCTTACAAAGTACACTTTCAAATATTAAATTTAAAAATAAATATTTATCTTTATAATCATTTATCTAAAGAGTTCCTTATTGCTTTAAAACAGCCTCTAAGGAGGGTATTTGTTCACATTTTCTAGGTCTCGTTTGTAAAATTTAGTATCACCGACTCCAAATTTGCGTTACATGATTTTTAAAGATACTGCTTATTATAAAATGATATAATGATACAATAATGGAGCATATAATATTCATTTAATTTTAATTAAACAATTGTGAAATAATGATGTAGTTTAAGGACACTGTACCAAAATTCAGAATTTGTAAATTCCAAAGTCAGTTCTTCCACTTATTAGATGAAAGGTTTTGAGGTACCACTTTCCTTTTCTCTGTTAAAGGTGCTTCCTGTGTGGGTTAAATTAGGTTATTTCTCAGATGTCTCCCAAGTTTAATACTTAATTATTACAGTTTAAGAGTATCAACATTTCTAAATAGTCACCTGCAAACTGTCAAAATATCAACTGCCCAACACAACAATGTGTATTCACTAAGTTTGTACAGTCCCAAAGTTTTATACAAGGCTTTTTTTCTTTTTGTCTTTTACACCTTTCCAGAATTTACAAAGTCAGCCTGCAACAATGTAAAAACAATACCACAAATGTTTAAAGTGCCTTATAGTTTGCTTGCTTACTTTATTTGCCTTGCTATGGGTCTCATTTTTCAATTACAGATGAAACCTAAGCCTTCTATTCCTGGTTTACTATCATTATTTGCTAAATGTTACCTTTGAAAATTTTGCTGATTCATTTGGAAACCCTGAGGAAATAAGAATTAGGGAAATAAAAATATGGTTTATATGAAGATGTTTTCTTTTGTTTTTAAGAACGTTTCATCTTTAAACATCTATAATAATTTTAAATCTATAAACAAAGAGAAATAACTCCTTGACAGTGAGATAAAATGTTTATAGAAAGTTTTCTATGTCTAACATGAAATACTTATATAACTGAATGGACGTAAACAGGTCTCTTATTCATGTATTTCTTATCGAAACTCTATAGTGGGCATCCTTATTGGACATAATGTTACTAGACAATAGACTAAAAAATAAAAGAATGTGGACTCTTGTCATAAATAAGACATCATCTAAATGGTTTATGGAGGGATTTAAAAAGTTTAATAACAATACTATGAGATCAAAGAAAAAAATGAATATTAAGTGCTGAATGAGTATTGTCCATATTGTATAATTTTAGGCATTATGTGGAAAAAGAAACTTTTCAGATGTCTAGGCCTAGGTCCTTTAGAAAGGAAACCAGGAGGTTTAGATTAAATGACGACCTTTTATTTGGGAGGCACTGTCCCAGAAAATTAAGGATGATGAAAAAAGTTAAAAAAAAGAACAAGGCATAGAAAGATGAAATGCTATATACTGTGATATGAAGCATTACTGTACTGGCCCTTTCTTCAAGGCAACCCCTGAAGGGACACAGCAGGTATCTCACAGGCAGATTTATGCAGCACAAGTAACATTGCTAAAAGGGTCGTGAGGTGTATCCTCCTCAGAGGAGTATACAAGCAAGAGAAAAGATGTGGGATGTATCTCCTATTTCCCAGTGGTCAAGGTACATCAGAAAACAACTTCCTATAATTCTGGGTTGCATCATGTGGCTCTTCTGAGGCTGCTGCACTCCTAGGAGTGTATTTCATCGAAGTCTGCAAGAAAAGTATGAGCCAACTTGGATGGCCTGCCAATCAAAAGAGAGAAAAAGTATGTCATTAAAGAAAGAAGTTTAAGAATACAACAGGTTTGAAAGATCAGATAAAATTTATGGGCTTAAATTTGGGCTTTAAAAAGGGGTAGAATTTTGATGATTAAAGAGAAGAAAGAATGATCTTGGTAAGAAAAACACTATAAGTAAAGTCAGAAAGAAAGAAATGTAGAGTTGACCCTTCAACAACACAGAGGTTAGGAGCATGGACTCCCCTCACAGTCAAAAAATATGAGAATAAGTTTTGACTTCCCCAAAACTTAACTACTTATGCTCTATTGTTTACCAGAAGCCTTATTTATACCATAAATAGTCTATTAACACATATGTTGTATATTATATGCTGTATTCTTACAATGAAGTAAGCTAGAGAAATGAAATTCTTTAAAGAAAACCATAAAGAAAACAAAATATATTTACTCCGTATTAAGTGGAAGTGGATTGTCACTATTTTCAGTTGGGTGGGCTGAGAAAGAGGAGAAGGAGGGGTTGATCTTGCTGTCCCAGGGGTGGCAGAGGCATAAGGAATATCTGTATATAAGTTGACCTGCATAGTACAAACCTATGTTGTTTGTGGGTGAGCTGTACATAGTTGGTTGTAAACAGACAGGCTAGAGTAGGCAGCTTTTGGATAAAAATATAATTAGGTGGAGGATTTGATAGAAATTTAGGACAGTATTGATTGTTAGGACAAAAACATTTGCTCTTGACTTAGGCCAGGGAGGCATTGCTAATTCCTAAGGAAGCTAGGCATGTGACAAATGTAGGATATTTGCAGCATTAATTTGACCTCAATTGGATGTGACCAGGTTGAGGAATGAGAGCATGGTTGCAGAAGAGTAATGAAATGTGATGTTTTTAACTACTGTTTATTAAATGTACTTACTGTGATAGTGTGTTAAGCACTTAATGATAACATTGTATGTTTTCTCATTTAATCCTATACAATTTAATATGTGAGACAGTTTTGTTATTATTCTTTCATAAAGGAAATGAAAATTAAACTTAAAAAATTAAGTAACTTGCCCAAGGTCACACAGATAATACTGGTCCCATCATTACAGGGGATCAGATAATACTAATCCCTTCCTGAATTCAAACCTAGACCTACTATAAGGTTTATATTTTAACTCTGACATCAGTGATCTAAAATTTGTTTTATTGCACATCACTTTCATTTTGATAAAATGCAAATATGTATTGCATTAGGTTTAGATATGACATTTCCATAGTAATAGAATTTCACTATAGTTCCAAATGCTGAGATCAATGTAATTAACCCTCAAAATGAAACTTTCCTATTCTAATGTGAGATAGTAGACTACCTACTCAGAACACTGTGAATCTGTTTTTGTCAGCATTAGCCCATTACCCACACCGAGCCTAGGAAGAGAAGACAAGGGGTGAATCTAAAGTTGAATTCTGACAAGCCCTTTATGGAATGCCTTGCCCAGTTTCCTACCCACTCCACAGTGGAGAGAAGTGTGGTGTTCCTCTTCACCAAAGACAGAGTAACATGCAGAGATTGATGTGTGTGCTGTGAAATTTCATTAGGAGACAAATATAGAGGTTGTTTCTATAGTGAGTGTACCCTAGAGTGAGCTGCACTTCCACCTACAGTGGGTCAAATTTATGCTCTCATCTCCATGCATTATCTATGGACACCTGGATGAAAGCAAGCATCCTTGAATAGGATGCATAAACACATTTTCCTGACCTGAAGGAAGAGACCTCAGCAGAGAGAGTGTGAAAGTGAACATTGAGTGCAATAGTGGGCTGGGGGGTTCTAAGTGGACAGCTGGCAAAGGCAGCACCACAGAGAGGACCTCAGCTGGAAGCCCAAAGCACAGGGTCTCTTGGGAACTCAGAGAAGGAGGAGGCTTTGGCCATCTGTCACCTCTGATTACCTGTGGGCCACTCAGGACTTTTTCTGTCCTTCACTGCTGCTCCTTCACATTCTCCAAACCTGAAGGAGACGGAGTAGCACAAATAGGGTGGAATGAAGGAAAGAGAAGCTGAACCACAATCTGTTCACTGCACTGTCAGTATGCACATTTGAGGCAGCCCCAAGGTGAAGACTGAGAAATGCTTTAAATTAGAAGAACTCCAATATTAGACTGGAGTAGACCTGAAAATACCCAAACCTCTACCACTCATAAAGATTGTATCCAAATTACTGAGGAGATAGTAGACTGCATATGGTGTTAGGAAATGAGCAGATGTGAGAAAGAATAAAGCTGCTTTCTGCTAGCACTCCTCAGAAATAAGTGCTTTTATATGGTAACTAATATGTTTATTTGCTTAAGTTGCAGTTGCTTTTCTAGTGACTTTAATACCTAAAAACATATTATAAAACAAATCATTCACATCTTCAAAGGATAAAATTAAAATTAATAGAAGTTCTAACACTGTACTCCCAACTTTCAAAGTTAACCTCTTCTAATAATCACTGTATAAGACAATGAGTCTGAATTCGGTGGGTGAGTGCAATGAGAGAGAAAGATGTGATTATTCAACACACATGTAAGGAAGAAGTGACAGCTGGTTAGAGAAAATAAATTTGATTAGCAATTGGCCAAATCTAGACTAGCAGTAGACTACCACAACATATTATGAGATCTTATCACATGATATTTGATACTTGAATAAATATTAAAAGAAAGCAACATATTTTTAAAAATACATAATAGTGAATTTTTAGTAAAGTATGCTAATGGAAAGAAGACAAACATTTTATATTCTAGGGCAGATGTCGCCAACCCCCAGGCCACAGACCACTATCCTTCTGTGGCCTGTTAGGAACCGGGACACACAGAAGGAGGTGAGCTGTGAGCAAATGAGCAAAGCTTCATCTGTGTTTACAGCCACTCCCCATTGTTCCCATTACCACCCAAGCTACATCTTCTGTCAGATCAGTGGCGGCATTAGACTCTCATAGGACTGCAGACACTATTATGAACTGTGCATGTGAGGGATCTAGGTTGCATACTCCTTATGAGAATTCTGCTGCCTGGTGACCTGAGGCAGAACTGAGGAAGTGATGCCAGTGCTGGGGAGCAGCTGCAAATAGAAGTTAACATTGGCAGAGAGGTTTGACTGCACAGAGACCATAATAAATCAATTGCTGTTAGACTCATACCAAAACCCTATCAGTGAGTGACATGTGACAATGAAGCTGCCTCTGGTGCAGGCTTTAAGTCAGAATCAAACACTTACTTTAGTCAGCGCGTGGCCCACCCATTATTTTATTTACCATTTCCTCCTGCACCTCTTTACTGCACTGCGCACTTGTCTCAGACACAGCTTTGGCAAGCCCACAAGCTACCCATAGCTAAAATGAGTATAAAACAAATGTCATTGGAGAGCTTCTTTGAAAAAAGGCAAAGACCCAGTGAGGAGACAGCAGAAGACTGTAAGACTGCCAACAACGACAACAAAAAAGCTTCATGTAAAGGAAAATACCAAGAGTTCTACTTAAATTACAGGTTCATTGCAACAGGTGATTCACATTCTCCAAGCCCACTTTGTATAATATATAGTGACAGGCTATCCAATGAAGCCATGAAATCTTCAAAACTGCTTTGCCACATGGAGACCAAGCACTCTGCACTTAAACATAAGCCTTTGGAGTTTTTCAGAAGAGAAAAAAACATGGACACAAAGAACAGAAGCAATTATTGAAGGCCACCACTTCATCCAATGTATCTGCCCGGACAGCATCATTCTTAGCTGCATTGCTAAAGCTAGTAAGTCCTTTACTATTGGTCAAGAGTTGATCCTGCCTGCTGCTAAGAACATTTGTTGTGGACTTTTAAAAGAATTTCCAATTCAAAAGGTGGCATATGTTCCTCTTTTGGCTAGCACCATAACTAGACAAATTGATTAAATTAGAGTACTAATTTAGAGAGGACTAAGTCACCATGGTACACCATCCAGGTTGGCAAGTCTACCAATGTTGACAAAAGGCAACAATGCTTGTTTTTGTGGGATACATTTTTCAGGAGGATGTGCACGAGGATATATTATGTGTGCTTTATTGCCAACCAACACCACGGATGAAGAACTGTTCACATCTTTGAATGATTACGTATCAGGAAAACTGAACTGGTCATTTTGTATCGGTATATGCATGGATGGAGTGGCTGCCATGACTGGAGGGCTTTCTGGTTTCACTACTCAAGTCAAAGAGGTCACTTCTGAATGTGAATCCGCACATTATGTCATCCATAATGAAATGCTGGCTAACTGAAAAATGTCACCTGAACTTAACAACGTTTTGCATAAAATTATCAACCACATTAAAGTACATGCCCTTAACTCACATCTGTTCACACAATTCTGTGCAGAGCACACACACTTCTTATACACAGAAGGGAGATGGCTTTCTAAAGGTAGATCACCAGCCAGAATTTTTGAGTTATGAAAGCCACTTCAGAGATTTCTTTTAGAAAAACAGCACTGGTAGCACATTTTAGTGACACAGAATAGGCTGCAAAATTTGCTTACTTATGTGACATATTCAACCTGCTCAACAAACTCAATGTGTCACTTCAGGGGAGAATGACAACTGTGTTCAAGTTGGCAGATAAAGTGGCTGCATGCAAAGCCAAACTGGAATTATGTGGGCAATGAGTGAACATCGGGATTTCTGATATGTCTCAAACTTTAGCAGAGATTTGGAAAGAGACTGAGCCAGGGTCTTCTTCTTTCTTCCAGCTGGTGCGCGATCACCAATCTCAACTTTCAAAAGAATTTGAGCATTACTTTGCAAGCACAAAAGACCCCAGAATGGGAAGGAATGGATCCATGACCCAGTTGTGAATAAGCCAGGTGAATCAACTTTGACTCTGCTAGAAGAGGATCAACTGCTGGAGATCACAAATGATGGTGGCCTTAAAAGTATGTTTAAGACAACTTCAAATCTCTATACTCTCTGGATTAAAGTCAAGGTGGAATATCCTGAGATTGCCACAAAACCACTGAAAGGCCTGCTTTCATTTCCAGCATCCTATCTTTGTGAAGAAGGGTTTTCAGCAGTGACAGCAACCAAAACGAAATTACAGAGTAGACTGGACATAACACACTTCTGGTGACACTATCTCCGATCTCCCCCAGATGGGACCTTCTAGTTGTAGCAAAACAAGCTCAAGGCTCCCACTGATTCTATATTATGGTGAGTTGTATAATTATTTCATTATATATTACAATGTAATAATAATAAAGTGCACAATAAATGTAATGTGCTTGAAACATCCCAAAACCATTTCTCACCAACCTCTGGTCCTTGGAAAAATTCTCTTCTATGAAACCAGTCCCCGGTGCCAATAAGGTTGGGGACTGCTACTCTAGGCTATTTTATTTTCAGTTTTCAGTGATAATTAGTTAAATGCTAGAACCATAGGTAAAAGGATGTGGTCTTTATACATATACCTTAATTCATCTGTGCCACATAATTAGTTTTTAGAGTTCCAATTATAGGAAATGTTTTTATTATTTTATATAATTGTTTGAAATATAGGAATTGTTATATTTTGTTTCATTGTGCAGTAGATAACATGTATGAAAGTGCTATATTAACTTCTGCCATATCTCCTGTTTTCAATCTCTCATATTTTATAGTAACTTTCCCTAAGTCATACTGAGAGGTGACAACGTGCTAGCAGCCCTGGCTCGCTCTCTGCGCCTGCTCCCCTCAGCATCCACTCTAGCCATGCTGGAGGAGCCCTTCAGCTCACCACTGCACTGGGGGGGCCCCTCTCTGGGCTGGCTGAGGCCAGAGCCAGCTCCCTCTGCTTGCGGGGAAGTGTGGAGGGAGAGACAGGGCGGGAACCGGGGCTGCGCGCCAGGCTCGCGGGCCAGCGCGAGTTCCAGGTGGGCATGGGCTCAGCGGGTCCCGCACTTGGAGCAGCCTACTGGCATCTCCGGCCCGGGGCAGTGAAGGGCTTAGTTCCCAGGCCAGCAGCTGCGGAGGGTGCGCTGGGTCCCCCAGCACTGTTGGCCCGCCCACGCTGCACTCGAATTCTCACCCGGCCTCAGCCGCCTCTCTGCCGGCGCAGGGCTGGAGACCTGCAGCCCGCCATGTCTGGCCCGGCCCCCTAAAACCCCCCAAACCCCCGCTTCCCCCGCCTTGGGCTCCCGCACTACTGGCACCTCTCCAACATGCGCTGCCCCCTGCTCCACGGTGCCCAGTCCCAGCTACCGCCCAACGGCTGAGGAGTGTAGGCCGGCAGCACGGGACTGGCGAGCAGTGTGGCCAGAGGCCCTGGCGGGCATGGGATCCACTAGGAGCAGCCAGCTGGGATCCTAAGTTGGGTGGGGACTTGGAGAACTTATATGTCTAGCTAAAGGTTTGTAAATGCACCAATCAGGACTTTGTGTCTAGCTCAAGGTTTGTAAACACACCAATCGGCACCCTGTGTCTAGCTCAAGGTTTGTAAACACACCAATCAGTGCTCTGTGTCTAGCTAAACTAGTGGGGACTTGGAGAACTTTTCTGTCTAGCTAAAGGATTGTAAATTCACCAATCAGCACTCTGTGTCTAGCTAAAGGATTGTAAGTGCATCAATCAGCGCTCTATGTCTAGCTAATGGGGTGGGGAGTTAGAGAACTTTTGTGTCTAGCTAAAGGATTGTAAATGCACCAATCATCATTCTGTGTCTAGCTAAAAGTTTGTAAATGCACCAATCAGCACTCTGTCAAAACAGACCAATCAGCTCTCTGTAAAATGGGCCAATCAGCAGGATGTGGGTGGGGCGCGGGGGGGGGGCGGGGGTGGGTGGTCAGATAGGGGAATAAAAGCAGCTCCCCAGCCCACATTGCGTGGTGGAGTCACTTTCCACGCTGTGGAAAGTTTGTTCTTTCACTCTTAGTAGTAAATCCTGTTGCTGCTCACTCTTTGGGTACCTGCTGCGTTTATGAGCTGTAACACTCACCGTGAAGGTCCGTGGCTTCATTCTTGAACTCAACTAGACCAAGAACCCACAAATTCCGGACACAATGCTATTATCACTAAACCATAATTTGTGCATTTTTTCAAGTTACACACACAGACACACATTCACAGCACTTCCTAGTTACTAAAATGTAATACAGTCTTACAGATGTTTTTTGTATGAATAAATGGATAAGTAAATGTATGAAGAAGGGAAGAAATAAATGTATTTATGTTCAACTCTCTCAGTAATGAGTAACCATTTTAATTTGAATTACTTGACTTTCATTCATGTCGTCTGGTTCAATAAGAAAAGCTGAAGAAGATGTGTAATTTCAGCTGGTAGTCTCGTTCCTTTTTTTTTTTTTTTTCGAGACAGAGTCTCTGTCACCCAGGCTGGAGTGCAGTGGCGTTATCGCAGCTCACTGCAAGCTCTGTCTCCCAGGTTCAAGTGATTCTCCTGCCTCAGCCTACCGAGTAGCTGGGACTACAGGCATGCACCACTACACCCAGCTAATTTTTTGTATTTTTAGTAGAGATGGGGTTTCACCATGTTAGCCAGGATGGTCTCGATCTCCTGACCTTGTGATCCCCGCGCCTCGGCCTCCCAAAGTGTTGCTATTACAGGCGTGAGCCACTGCGCCCGGTCCTTAATGGTCATTCTTTTTGTGGCTCTTTCCTCCATAACTTCTAAACCCAACAACTATCATCTTTTACCCCTTATATTCAATTTTGAGAAAAATAATTTTAAATACTAGTTCCATGTGCAAATATTCCTCTGCATCTCTCTTTCTGCCCTGGGAGCATTGTGTGAAAGTGGAGAATAGTGAGAATTTGATACAGTGATATTTTTTCAACCATTTTTTTTATTTTTATCCTGGACACATGACTATCTCTATGCTACAACTCTCTTTGAAGAATTCTCACTGTGCCATGTTCATTCCTTGTTGTTTCCAGATGTAGTATTACCTAGATTACTCTTCTTTCAGCTGCTGTGAGTGTGTGCATATGAGTGTGTGTGTTCATGGGGATTTCCCTGGGGAAGGTGTATAAACAAACAAAAGAAGGATGGAAGGACACCTGGGAAGGGAAAGGAATATGTGCTGGTTTACAGTTTCCAGGTATACTGCACTATTCCCAAAATTTTGCAAATTAGATTTACTCTGTGATTATTTTTTCCCCAGTTTTCAAATATAAAGGATAAGCTTAATAACCCTTCATTGTTTACATTTCTTTTGTTAATGATACAGGATAGTAATCATAACAACAGTGCGTGTTGCATGTTTCTTATGTGCAAGTCCTGTTCCACGTGCTCTGCAGGCATATTCAGTTCTCACAGGAAACCTCTGGAGGAACTGGTTTTATTATTCGCACCTTACAGAAAAGAAAATAGAGGCAAGGAGCATTAAGAAATTGCCCAAGTCATTCAAGAAAGTAAGTAGTGAAGCCAACAAAGAAGCTACAAACTTTTACCAGTGGGACCACGATACTCATGTTCTTAATAGATTTTTCCAATTACTCAGAACTTTTTTTCACTTGGTCAAAAAGAAGAGGTTCAGAAGAGAAAGGCTATCCAGTGGGAAGAAAGTTGTGCCCTCTTCCACCCTATAGAGCAATCTTTGAGGCATAGAAAG
Source organism: Homo sapiens (assembly GCF_000001405.40). Lineage (NCBI taxonomy): Eukaryota > Metazoa > Chordata > Mammalia > Primates > Hominidae > Homo > Homo sapiens. The sequence goes on from NC_000004.12 coordinate 125,283,704, forward strand.
AGCTCTTCATTGATGTCAAAATAGAACTCTGTCTTAGTACATAAAATTCTAAGTTTACGTTTTGAGACTATAAAGGTGTAAAATATAGTGCCTGTCCTGGATTTAATTTTGTAAACTTTTGGCTTTTACAAATCGCTTAAAATAAAATGATGAAGGGTTTTTAAGAAACACTGTCCTTGTTTGGTTGAAGTCTGCCACCATGTGGCCACTTTGAAAAATAACATTTTTAGAAGTGACTTCGTAAGAATTTAGATCTAGAAGGATATAGAATATGCAAATATGATATTTCATAATAGCCGAATTTAATCATTGTAGTCAGCCTATTTGTGGTAATGGTATTATTACACAAATCATTTCACAAGAGTCATTTATTTTCATTTATTTTTACTACCAGCTTTTGAGGTAGAAATGTAAGATCTCTCAGTCTGCAAGTACTATTTTTTAACCTTTCATGAAGTACTGACCTGAACAGGAATCCTTAGATTCTAGGTGGGATTCCAATGTCAACTAGCTGTATCTCTACAACATCATATGACTATGACATGGTAGATTTGGATTTTAAGCCCAGTTCAGTCTGACACTGAAACTGGACATATTAGGACCTAAACACGTTTTCCTTGCTTGAAGTTTGTAAGCTATTTTAGTATATCAATTATATTTGTCAAACAACTAAAATCTAAGCTTAACTTTGCACTAAGTTGACATAAAATTAATAGTAGAACTAGTAGTGGTATAGTATAGAATTTAGTAGTGACAGGCAAATATTCTTGTGATAGTTAATTTTAGGTGTCAACTTGACTGGATTAGATAATTCCTAGAGAGAAGGTATTTCCAGAAGAAATTAGCATGTTAATCTGAGTGGATTAAGTGGCAAAGATCTGCTGTCAATGTGGGCAGACACTATTCAGTCAGCTGGGGGCTTGGCTAGAACAAAACCAGAAAAGGCAATTAGGTCTCTCTTTCAAAGAGCTGAGATATACTCTTCTTCTCCTGTCTTGGACATCAAAACTTTAGGTTCACCAGCCGTGGGATTCTAGGACTTACACCAATATCCACGCCCCCTGCCATCTCCAGATTCTCAGGCTTTCAGTCTTAAACAGAGAGCTCACCATGAGGTTCCTTAGTTCTGAGGCCTTCAGACTTGGACTGAGCCATGCTACTAGCATCCCAGGGTCTCCGTCCCAGGGCTTGTCATGGGACTTCTCAATCCCCATAATTGCACGAGAGCTAATTCCTTTAATAAAATCCCCCTCATGTATCTATGTCTATACCTATATCTATTAATAATATCTCTCTCTGTATATATATGTATCCTATTGATTCTGTCTCTTTGGAAAACCCTGGATTGATAGAATTAGTATCTTGTTAAGAATTGGTGCCTAAGGATTTCAAAATTGTTTTCTCCACATTATGTCAAATGAAACAAAACAAAAACAAAATAACACCTTTGATATGCTTTGGCTCTGTGTCTCCACTGAAATATCATTTCCAATTGTAATTCTCCCCTGTCAGGGGAGAGGCCTGGTGGGAGGTGATTGAATCATGGGGGTGGACATCCCCCTTGCTGGTCTCCTGATAGTGAGTGAGTTCTCACAGGATCTGGTGGTTTAAAAGTGTGTGGTAGTTTCTCTCTCTCTCTCTACCCTGTCACCATGTAAGATGTGCCTTGCTTTCCCTTCCGCCATGTGTGTAAGTTTTCTGAGGCCTCTCCAGTCATGTGAACTGTGAATCAGTTAGACCTCTTTTCTTTGTAAATCTCCCAGTCTCAGGTAGTTCTTTATAGGAGTGTGAAAACTGACAAATACAATCTTCTATAAATTTATCAACAAATATGTAATGTATGCCTGTTTGTTTTATAAACTTCCTACTGTAAGGAGATGAGAAATTATCCCTATGTACTAAAGTGTACTAAAGTACCACTAATTTTATGAAATAGCAGTCTATAACAACACACTTTGATTAAACTTTATTACTATTAAGATTGACATTTTTGGCCAGGAGCGGTGGCTCACGCCTGTAATCCCAGCACTTTGGGAGGCTGAGGTGGGTGGATCACGAGGTCAGGAGATCCAGACCATTCTGGCTAACACGGTGAAACCCCACCTCTACTAAAAATACAAAAAATTAGCCAGGCGTGGTGGCGGGTGTCTGTAGTCCCAGATACTAGGGAGGCTGAGGCAAGAGAATGGCGTGAAACCAGGAGGCAGAGCTTGCAATGAGCCGAGATCGCGCCACTGCACTCCAGCCTGGGCGACAGAGCGAGACTCCATCTCAAAAAAAAAAAAAGAAGGTTTATATTTTTGATCCCCATCAAGTTTTATAAGATGCAGTTGCCAATTTCTTATCCTTAGAAGTATGCATACCATCTGTTACAATGTTTCCTCTCCTTTCATGAAGTCACATGATCAAAAGAATCTATTTCCTTAAGAGCTGATATTATATTATTCACTTCGCTTTTTTTTATTTATTTTTTTGAGATGGAGTTTCACTCGTGTTGCCCAGGCTGGAGTGCAGTGGTATAATCTCGGCTGACTGCAACCTCCACCTCCCGGGTTCAAGTAATTCTCCTGCCTCAGCCTCCTGAGTGGCTGGGCTTACAGGCATCCACCACCATGCTCAGCTAATGTTTTGTATTTTTAGTAGAGATGGGGTTTCGCCATGTTGGCCAGGCTAGCCTCAAACTCCTGACCTCAGGTGTTTCATCCAACTTGGCCTCCCAAAGTGCTGGGATTATAGGCATGAGCCACCATACCCGGCCATATTATTCACTTTTCATTGCAAAATCATTTCAATTGTCAGATAATTTAGGTAAAGTATCAGTTAGGGGAAAGTGATTTACTATTCCACATAATTCTTCTTACTTCTTCTTCATAATGTTATATAAGAAAGAAAGAATGAACAACCACCATCTTTCACTTCCTCTAAAAATTATAGGTAGAGGAAAGTCCAAAACTTTTTAAAAATAGTCTAGAGATGTTTTGTGAAATCCTGTCCTAAAAACATTGCTGCAATAACTGTGGACTGTATCTGCAAAGCAAAAACAAAGAAACTTTATTACATAATTTTCACAAGTCAAAACAAAAGAAAATCACTAAATTTGAGCCTACTGTTCTGGTTTTATCTTTCTCTAATATTTTAAAAATCTATGATATACAGCAATCCCCCCTTATGTGTGATTATGCTTTCTGTGGCTTCAGCTACCCATGTTCAACTCTGATTTGAAAATATTAAATAAAAAACTCCAGAAATAAACAATTCATCAGTTTTAAATTGCATGCTTTTCTGAGTAGTGTGATGGAATGTCACACTGTCCTGCTTCATCCCACTCTGTCCAGCCCAGGTCCAGAATCATCCCTTTGTCCAGCATATTCACACTACACTACCCAGCTGTTAGTCATTTAGCAGCAATTTTTCACTATCATATATATATATATATGTGTATATATATACACATACACACACACATACATATATATATATAAAAACATGGTATACATAGGGTTGGATACTTTCCAAGGCTTCAGACATGCATCAGGAATCTTGGAACTTGCCTCTGTAGATAAGGGGGGAAACTACTGTACCCTCAAAAGTTTAAGGTACAGCGCTACATGTGCTGTACTCAGGATTTAAGTTGATTTGGCACTAAAGAGATCCATTACTCGAACTTTTTAAAATTAAAAATATCTATTAATGTTGCATCTCTGCTTCTATTTAATATATACTGCAATCTTCCATAACTATTTGCAACCATCTTAGGAAAGAGATCTTGATAGCTGCTTAAAACTGCAGGTAAAGTAGGCTTTAGATAATTCAGGTGTAGAAAATACAACTACTAATAATGTTCCTTGAATTTCTTCAATTGACATATGTTTGTTGAATATTTACTACCAGGTAGGTTTTTTTCTAAGAACACATAGAACTTCAGTGAGTCAAGGGTTCTTACCCACATGAAGCTTACATTCTAGAGGACCAGACACTTTATGAACAAGTAAACAAATAACCAGCATAACTTCAGGTAGTGACTACTGCACTGAAGAAAATTAAGCAAAATACTCTAATAGTGAGTGACTGTTGGAAGTCAACATTAAATATAGAAATTGGACAAGAAATTTCTGAGAAGGGGACATCTAGCTGGACTTATATAAGAAAGAATGAGCCATGCAAACACCTGAAAGAAGAGCACTGAACCAAAAAGAATTAGAAAGTGAAGAGGTCCCATGGGGAAATCTAATCTGAATTTTTTTAAAAGGCAGGGTAATGGAATCAAATAAGTGATAATGACCGAGTTGGCTTAATGTAAAACATTTTTGTTTGCTTTAACAAAAAAAATGGTGTTTTTTGTTTTTGTTCTGTTTTTGTTTTTTTGGTTGTTTTTTTTTTTTGTCTTTACTGGTCACTTGGTCAGTTGTTCTAGGAAATTTGGTGCTGAAAAACTGGACTGTAACTTATTAAGGATGATGTAGATCAGTAAATCTCAAAGTGCTTCTGAAAGTATTTCTGAAACTTGAATTTACATAGTATTATGTAAAAAATGAAGCTTCTGGTTCAGTAATTACCAATATTCAAGAGGTGGGTTCAGGATTTTCTTTTTAAAAAATTTTGGGTTCAGCGGGTACATGTGCAGGTTTGTTACATGGATATATTGCATAGTGCTGAGATTTGGACTTTTATTGAACATAACATCCAAATAGTGCACATAGTACCCAATTGGTAGTTTTTCAACCCTTGCTTATCTCCCTCCCTCCCCACTTTGAGAGTACCCAGTGTCTATTATTGACATCTTTATGTCTGTACGTAACCATTGTTTAGCTCCTACATATAAGTGAGAACATGAAGTATTTAAATTTCTGTTTCTGCATTAATTCACTTTGGATAATGCCCTCCAGCGGTACCCGTGCTGCTGCAAAGGGTATAATTTTATTCTTTGTGTGACTGCATAGTATTCCATGGTGTATAAGTAGCATCTTTTCTTTATCCAATCCACCATTGATGGACACCTATGTTGATTCCATGTCATTACTATTGTGAATAGTGCTGTGATAAACATATGAGTGCAGGTATCTTTTTGGTAGAATGATTTATTTTCCTTAGTAATAATCATAGTAATGAGATGGATAGGTCAAATGGTAGTTCTGTTTTTAGGTCTTTGGGGAATCTCCAAACTGCTTTCCTCAGGGGCTGAAGCAGTTTACATTCCCTCCAACAATGTATAAGTGTTCCTGTTTCTCCACATCCTTACCAACATCTGTTATTTTTTCACTTTTTAATAATAGCCATTCTGACTGATGTGAGATGGTATCTCACTGTTGTTTTAATTTGCATTTCTGTAATGATTAGTGATATTGTGCATATTTTTCTATGTTTGTTGGCTGAGTGTATGCCTTTTGAGAAGTGCCTATTTTTGTCATTTGCCTACAGTTTAATGTTTTTTTTTTAAATTTAAGTTCCTTATAGATTCTGGATAGTTGTCCTTTGTCAGATGCAGAGTTTTCAAATATTTTCCCCCATTCTGTAGGTTGTCTGTTTACTCTGTTGATAGTTTCTTTTGCTGTGCAAAAGCTCTTTAGTGTAATGAGATCCCACTTGTCTATTATTGTTCTTGTCGCCATTGCTTTTGAGGTCTGGAAGAAGGAAGAAAAATCTTCCAGACATTGGCCTAGGCAAATAACTTATGACTAAGTTTCTTCTAAGATTTTTATCTTAAAAGGAAACTTATAACTAAGTTTCTTTCTATGATTTTTATTTTTCTTCTACGATTATGACTAGGTTTTCTTCTAAGATTTTTATCATTTGAAGTCTTATATTTATGTCTTTGATCCATCTTGAGTTAATTTTTGTATATGGTGACAGGTACCAGTTCAGTTTCATTCCTCTACAAATGGCTAGCCATCTATCCCAGCACCATTTATTAAATAGGATGTCCTTTCCTCATTGTTTATTTTTGTTGACTTTGTCAAAGATCAGTTGGCTGTAGGTGTGGAGCATGGTTTCTGGGTTCTCCATTATGCTCCATTGATTATGTGTCTATTTTTATACCAGTACTCTGCTGTTTTGTTTACTATAGCCTTATAGTATAGTTTGAAGTCAAATAATATTACCTCTAGCTTTGTTCTTTTTGCTCAGGGGTGCTTTGGCTATTTGGGCTCTTTTATGGTTCCATATGAATTTTTGAATAGTTTTTTTCTAATTCTGTGAAAAATGACATTGGTAATTTCATAAGGATTGTGTTGAATCTGGGAACAATGGACATTCTAATGACATTGACTCTTCCAATCCATGAGCATGGAATGTTTTGCCATTTGTTTGTGTTATCTGTAATTCCTTTCAGCAGTGTTTTATAGTTCTCCTTGAAGAGACCTTTCACTTCCTTGGTTAGATATATTCTTAGGTACTTTATTATTTTTTGTACTATTGTATATAAATAATAATAATTTTATTATTTTTGTGGCTATTGTACATGAGATTACATTCTTGATTTTGTTCTCTGCTTGAACATTATTGATGTATAGAAAATGCTACTGATTTTTGTCCATTTGTTTTGCATCTTGAAACTTTACTAAAGTCATATATTAGATTTAGGAGTGTTTTGGAGGAATCCTCATGGCTTTCCATGTATAGAAACACATAATCAACAAACAGAGATAATTTGACTTGCTTTTTCCTATTTGGACGCCTTTTGTTTCTTTCTCTTTGCTGACTGCTCTGGATAGGACATCCATTATTATGTTGAATAGGAGTGTTGAAAGTGAACACTCTTGTCATATTTCACTTCTTAGGGGGAATTCTTCTAACTTCTGCCCATTTAGCACAATGTTGGCTGTGGGTTTGTCATAGATAGCTCTTATTATTTTGAAGTATGTTCTTTTAATGCCTATATGGTTGAAGGTTTTTAATCACGAAGGAATATTGGATTTGATTACATAATTTTTCTGTGTCTATTGAGATGATCATATAGTTTTTGTTTTTAATTTTATTTACATGATGAATCACATTTATTGATATGCATATGTTGAACTAACCTTGCATCCCAACAATAAAGACTGCTTGATTTTGGTGAATTATCTTTTCGATATGCTGCTGGATTTGGTTTGCTAGTATTTTGTTGAGGATATTTTCATCTATGCTCATCAGATATATAAGCTTGTAGGTTTTTTATTGTTGTTGTTGTTGTTGTTGTTGTGTCCTTGCCAGATTTGGGTATCAAAGTAATACTGGTTTGTAGAAAGAGTTAGGGAGGAATCCCTACTCCTTGATTTTTTGGAATAGTTTCATTAGTATTGGTACCAGGTTTTCTTTGTAGGTCTGGTAGAATTTGCTTGTGAATCTCTCTGGTCCAGGGCTTTCTGTGATTGGTAACATTTTTATTACTGATTCAATTTTGTAATTTATTATTGGTCTGTTCAGTTTCATTTTCTCTCTGGTTCAATCTTGGAAGGTTGTATGTTTCCAGAAATTTATTCATTTCCTCTAGATTTTCTAGTTTGTTTGTATACAGATGTTCACAGTAGTCTCTGAGAATTTTTTGTATTTCTGTGTGATCAGTTGTAATGTCACCTTTGTCATTTCTGATTGTGCTTGTTTGTAACATTTCTTTTTTCTTTTTGAATGCAACTAATGGTTTATTGATCTTGTTTATCCTTTCAAAGAACGAACTTTATGTTTCATTGATCCTTTGTATGTTTTTTTTCCAATTTCCTTTAGTTCTGCTCTAATTTTAGTTATTTCTTTTTTTCTGCTAGTTTTGAGTTTCGTTTGTCTTGTTTTTGTAGTTTGTTATGTTGTTAGCTTGATATCTTTCTAACTTCTTGATGTAGGCTTTTAGCTCTATAAACTCTCCTCTTAACATTGATTTGGCCATATCCCAATATCACAAATGTTTTGGTATGTTGTGTTTTGATTTTCATTTGTTTCAAATTTTTTTTATTTCTGTGTTAATTTTGTTGTTTACCCAAAAGTCATTCAGGAGTGAGTTATTTAGTTTCCATGTATTTGTGTAGTTTTGAGAGTTCCTCTTGGTATTGACTTCTATTTTTATTCCACTCTTATATGACAAGATGATTCGTAAGATTTTTATTCTCTTGAATTTATTGAGACTTGCTTTATGACTGAACATGTGGTCAGTCTTAGAGTATGTTCCACGTGCAGATGAGAAGAAAGTATTTTCTGTGGTATTTGGGTGGAGTATTCTGTAGATGTCTATTATGTTCATTTGGTAAAATATCAAATTTAAGTCCAGAATTTCTTTTGAAGTTTTCTGCCTCTGTCTAATGTTGTCAGGGGGGTGTTGAAGTCACCCACTATTATTGAATGGCTGTCTGTCTCTTCTCTTAAGTCTAGTAGTAATTGTTTTATAAATCTGGGTACTCAAATGTTGGCTGCATGTGTATTTAGGATAATTAAATCTTCTTGTTTAATTGAGCTATTTATGCTCAACTTTAATATTGATATGTGAAGTTTTCGTTCAGTAATAGTGTTGTTATCCAGTTGCTTTGTAGTCTCAATTGTGTAGTTGCTCTATGAGATCTATGGGCTTTTTACCTTTATCATGGGAGTGGGTTAGTCATCTCACAAGTGGGCTGCTGATAAAAGTATAAAGATTAGGCCTCTTTCTCTCTGTCTCAAGCACACATTTCCTCATCATGTGGTGTCATCTGCCATGTTATGATGCATCAAGAAGGCCCTCACCATAAATGTATACCCTCAACTTTGGACTTTCTAGCCTCTAGAACAACTAGCTAAATAAAGCTCATTTCATAAATTACCCAGTCTGTGGTATTCTATGATAGCAGTAGGAAACAGACTAAGACACTGGTATAAATGCAAAATGGTACAGATATTTTGGAATACAATTTGATAATTTAATATACAAGCAAACACACTCTTCTAATACAATCCAGCAATCATACTCCCTGAGTTTATACAAAAGAGTTAAAGCTTATCTCCACATAAAAACCTGTGCATGATGTTTGTAACAGCTTTTTTTTTCATAATTTCCGAACTTGGAAGCAACCAATATGTCCTTCAGTAGGTGAATGGATAAGTAAACTGTGGTACATCCAGACAATGGAATATTATTCAATGCTAAAAAGAGATGCTCTATTAAGCCATTAAAAGACAACCAGAAAATGGAACATCATTTAGTTATAAAAATATATGATATAATAAGCCATGAAAGAACATAGAAAAAATTTAAAAGCATGTTACTGAGTGACATACCCTGAAAAGGTATATACTGTATGACTATGATTCCAACTGTTTGACATTCTAGGAAAAACGAAACTAGAGAGACAGTAAAAAGATTTGTGATTGTCAGGGGTTAAGGGGAAGGGGAGGATGAGTAGGCAGAACATAAAGGAATTTGGGGACAGTGAAACTATTCTGTATGATACTATAATGGTGGATGTATGTCAAAGCCCATAGAATATATAACACCAAGAGTGAACCCTATTGTAGCCTACACACTTTGGTGGACAATGGTATATCAATGTAGATTCATGGGTTGTAACAAATTTACCACTCTGGTGGAGGATATTAATAATGGAGGAGGCTATGCATGTGTAAGGGCAGGGGGTATATGTGAGATCTGTTTCTTTCTGATTTGCTGTGAACCTAAAACTGCTCTAAAAGGTTGTTAATTTAAAAAAAAAAACTCAAGAAACAACAGATGCTGGCAAAGTTAGGGAGAAATAGGAACACCTTTACACTGTTGGTGGAAATGTAAATTAGTTCAACCATTGTGGAAGACAGTGTGGTGATTAGTCAATGATCTAGAACCAGAAATACCATTTGCTCCAGCAATCCCATTACTGGGTATATATGCAAAGGAATGTAAATCATTCCATTATAAAGATACATGCACGTGTATATTCATTGCAGCACTGTTCACAATAGCAAAGACATGGAATCAACCACAGTGCTCATCAATGATAGACTCGATAAACAAAATGTGGTGCATATACACCATGGAATACTATGCAGCCTTAAAAAGGAATGAGGTCATGTCCTTTGCAGGGACATGGATGGAGCTGGAAGCTCTTATCCTCAACAAACTAACACAGGAGCAGAAAACCAAACACATCTTCTCATTTATAAGTGGGAGCTGAACAATGAGAACACATGGACAGAGGGAAGGGAACAACACACACTGGGGCTTGTTGGGAGGTGAGGCAGAGGGAGAGCATTAGGAAAATTAGCTAATGCATGCTTGGCTTAATACCTAGGTGATGGGTTGATAGATGTAGCAAACCACTGTGGCACACATTTCCCTATGTAACAAACCTGCACATCTTGCACATGTACCCCAGAACATTAAAAAAAAAGTCAATGACTTGAAAAGCACATTAAAGAGTTAGATGAGTGGCCAGGCATGGTGGCTTATGCCTGTAACCCCAGCACTTTGGGAAGCCTAGGTGGGCAGATCATCTGAGGTCAGGAGTTCGAGACCAGCCTGGCCAACATAGTGAAACCCCCATCTCTAGTAAAAATACAAAAAAAATTGCTGAGTGTGGTGGGCGCCTATAAACCCAGCTCCTCGGAAGGCTGAGGTAGGAGAATCACTTGAATCCAGGAGGAGGAGCTTGCAGTGAGCGGAGATAGTGCCATTGCACTCCAGCCTGGGCAACAAGAGTGAAACTCTGTCTCACTAAATTTTAAAAATTAAAACGATACAACTGAATTCAAGTGTGAACATTTTTTGATATGAAAATAAAACATTTGTAATAGAAATTTGAGGAACAATTTCAACATTAACTATAAACTAGTTAGTTGATAGGAAATTATTAATATTTTTGGTCTGAAAATATATTTTGGTTATGTATGAGAATGCCCTACATAGACATTTATGCATTTGCTCTTAATTCAAAGAATTAAAGTTTTAAGATGTTTCCAAGTTATTTGCAACTAAATCAGATAAATTATAACATTCATAAATGGAAAGCAAATATTTTAAAATATCAAGAATTATTGAATGTCGGTAAGTGAGGAGTAAACAGATGTTCATTGTGTGAAATTGTTTATAGTAAGAACTTGGAAAAAAACAAACAATAAGATGAAGCATTAATATGGAACAGTATTTTTAGTGGTGGAATTACAGGTACTTTATTTTTACTTTTCAGCACTGTTCATTTTTATAGTACTTTTAAATTATCATTCAATCACTTTAAATTTAGTTTATCTTCATTCAACATATTAGTCATTCAACATTTTAATACTTTTATCCCTTCCACCATAAATATACAATAAATAATTTGCTTTGAAAAGATGATGAATCAGTGCTCTCATTTTTTCTCATGCAACTAAGATGTGCTTCAGTGATACTAATTTGTAAATCAATATGACAGGAGACTTCAGGTAGATCCTAAAATAATTCTCTCCTTCAACATGGGTTTCTATTCTTTGGAATGTTAGCTAGATAATGACCCTAAAGACCTTCTAACAAAAATTATGCGTTACTTACAGAGATGTTACCAAAACCTGTTGTTAGAATTAAAAACCAAACATGGAAAAAAATGATTCTAATAATTGTCTACATAGTTTGACTCTTCAGGCAGACATTTGTCAGGTCAGCTTTAATTAGGCCAGAATCCAGCAGGAAATTACATGGTGCACCAGGTTTATCATTGCTTAAGTTGCTGTTGTCATCTTTATTTGAGGCTGTCTTCAGCCAGGCTTTCCCCATAACAAGCCAGCAACAAAAGCATCTTTTAAAGTAACTTTTTAAATATTTTGAAGTTGTTTCAGATTTTCAGAAAAATTGTGACACTAGTTCAGATTGTTCAAATGCATCCTACACCCAGCTCCTCATATTTTTAACATTTACATTACTATGGTATCTTTGTTGCAATTAATGAACCGATATTGATATATTATCATTAACTGAAGTCCATACTTTATTCAGATTTCCTAAGATTTAATCTAAAGTCCTTTTCTGTTCCAGGATCCCATACAGAATATCACGTTACATTTAGTCATCATCATGTTTCTTTATATTTCTTTGACTGTAACAGTTGATCAGAATTTTCTTATTTTTCATGAGCTTGGCAAAAGTACTGGTGAATTACTTTGCAGAATTACTTTGGAGTTGTCTAATGTTGTTCCTATTATTAGAGTGGGGTTATGGGTATTTTGGCAGAAGACCACAGAGGTCAGGTGTTATTTTATCATATCTTATCAAGAACAAATGCCATCGACATGAGTTTTTTGTTAACTTTTTGGATTTTTCACATATTCATGTCAATTATAAAGAAGGATGATTTCATTTTTTTCTTCCCAATCTGTATATCTTTTATTTCCTTTTCTTATGTTATTAAATAAGCTAGGACTTATATAATATATTGAATATGAAGTAGGGAGAGAGGACATTCTGGTTTTGCTCCTGATCTCAGAAACATATCCAGTTTCTTATACTTAAATATGATATAGTCTGTAGGCTTTTTGGTAGTTATTCTTTATCAGACTGAGGAAGTTCTTCTTCATTAGTTTGCTGGGACTTTTCATCATTAATGGGTGATGTATTCTGTCAATTACTTTATCTGCATCAATTGATAGGAATATATAATTTTCCTTCTTTATCCTGTTGATATGTTGGATTACATTGAGGGATATTTTGTTGTAGATCAAGCATTGCTAGTACTATTTTAGTAGGAATAAGTCTTACTTGGTAATGGCGTATAAATCACATTGTTGGATTTGATTTGGTAATATTTTGTTGAGGATTTTTGTGTTTGAGTTTATTAAATATATTGGTTTGGAGCTTTTTCTGTCTCGCAGTGTCTTTATCCAGTTTCGTGGGTGCCTAACAACCCACAGTGTCAATTAAAATGCTAGTGTGAAATTAAATAACAAAGAGGTGCTCTCTGAATGAAAAATATATTTATTTGGGAGTAGAACATTTCAATGGAAATAACTTCTGCTATAGTATACTATGTGCACATTTAGGTAAGTAAATTGAAACCTTTACCTTAACCAACAACTATAAAAAAGACTCACATCCCAATTATGTAAAATCATCTATCACATGCGCCTTTACCATCAACATTTTTTATTATTTATGGTTATTATTTTTATAATTTCAGCATTTATTTTAGATTCAGGGGGTACATATGCAGGTTTGTTATCTTGGTGTGTTGCATGATGTTGAGGTTTAGGGTACAATTGATCCTGTCTTCCAGGTAGTGAGCATAGTAACCAGTAGGCAGGTTTTCAATCCTTGCCTGCCCCTGCCCTCTGGTAGTTCTCAGTGTCTATTGTAGCCAACTTCATGTCTATGTGTATTGAATGTTTAGCTCCTACATATAATTGACAGCATGTGGTATTTGATTTTCTGTTTCTGTGTTAATTTTCTTAGAAAAATGACCTCCAGCTGCATCCATGTTGTTGCAAAGGACATGATTTCATTTTTTGTCACGGATAGTATTCCATGTATTCCATGGTATATATGTACCTCATTTTCTTTATCCAGTCCACTCTTGACGGGCATCTTGGTTGATTCCATGTCTTTACTATTGTGAAAAGTGCTGTGATAAGCATACAAGTACAAGTGTCTTTTTGGTAGAATTATTTATTTTCCTTTGGATATATTCCCAGCAACGGGATTTCTGGCTCATTTTGCTTTAAGTTATTTGAGAAGTCTCCAAACTGCTTTCCACAATGGCTAAACTAATTTACATTTCCACCAACAGTATGTAAGTGTTCTCTTTTCTCAGCAGCCTTGCCAGCATCTGATGTTTTTTGACTTTTTAATAGCCATTCTGACTGGTGTGAGATGGTATCCAGTAGTTATTTTTTGTTTTTGTTTTTGTTTTTTTCTTTGAGACAGAATCTGGCTCTGTTGCCCAGGCTGGAGTGCAGTAGTGCATTTCAGCTCACCGCAACCTCTGCCTCCTGGGTTCAAGTAATTCTCGTGCCTCAGCCTCCCAAGTGGCTGAGATTACAGATATGCACCACCATACCCAGCTAATGTTTTGTATTTTTAGTAGAGACAGGGTTTCACCATGTTGGCCTGGCTAGTCTCAAACTTCTGATCTCATGAGATCCACATGCCTTGGCCTCCAAAAGTGCTGGGATTACAGGCATGAGCCACTGTGCCCAGCCTAGTTTCTAGTAGTTTTGATTTGCATTTCTGTGATAATTCACGATGACAAGCGTGTCTTTCATTTGTGTTTTGCCACTTGTATGTCTTCTTTTGAAAAGTATATGTTCATGTATTTTACCCACTTTTTAATAGGGTTATTTGATTTTTGCTTGTTGAATTGTGTAAGTTCCTTTTATATCCTGGATATTAGACCTTTGTCAGTTTATAGTTTACAAATATTTTCTCCTATTCTGTAGGTTGTCTATTTACTTAGTTAATAGTTTCCTTTGCTGTGCAGAAGCACAGAAGCGGACATGCTTGCAGTGGTATTTTTTTGTGAAAGGTTGCAGTGGCCTCTGTGCAAAGTTAAGATTTTTGCAGAGTATTTTACAATACTTTTTGTTAATAGGCATATAAGCATAAGAATCTTCTCTTCGTAATCTTTCCTGGTTCTATCTGTCAGGTTTTTAAAAATTCCATGTTGATTCTGAAAATTTTCACACTAGAAAGACTCAAATAACTTAGAATAACTGTCATACTCACACTTATGGTTTATTACAGTAAAAAGGATACAGATTAAAATCAGCAAAGGAAAAACATGAATGGAGGAAGTCCAGGAGAAACAAGGCAGAAGCTTCCATGTTTCCTCTCCCAGTGAAGTCATGTGGAGAATACTTAATTCTCCCAACAATGATGTTTGATAACACATGAAATTTTGTCAACAAGGTAGCTCACTTGAGTCTTGATGTTCAGGGATTTTACTGGAAGGTGAGATATGTAGGCATGCAGCCCCTGTGTGACTACTTAGTCTCCACCCCTGAGAGGCAAGTCTTATACAGTGTGGCCCTGGACATCAGGCATATAAAAACAAACATTTACCATAAATTATAATAGTAGAATAAACCATCTGCCCAAACTCATACAGCATAACCAGGACTTCTACATCCAATCATACTCTTATCAGACAGGCTCAGAAATTATCTCCCAGTATCTGACAACAACCTGTCCTCCTGATGACAATCCTTTCTTTGGAATGTGCAAGGTTTGGGCAGTTCTGGCTTGCTGAGTTAACCCTTTACTGAACAGATGTTAGGGTAATACTGTTCTCATTGAATGTGTTAATGTTCCTCTGCTTTTATTTTGTAAAAGATATTACGGAGAATTAATATCGTTTGTTTTTAAAATATTTCTTATAATTGACCAATAAAATTATCTGGCTGTGGTGACTTCTTTTTTTGGAAGAATATCGATTATCAATTTTATTTCTTTAACAGATATAGGCCTATTTAGATTATTATTTTCCTTTTATAAATTCTAGTACTTTGTGTCTTTCAGGGAGTTGTTCTATTTTATCTAAGTTGTTAAATGCGTGGACATAGAGAAGCCAGGTATTATTTAATTATCCTTTAATGTCCACTGGATCAATATTAGTGAACTCTATTTTATTTCTGATATTGGCAATTTGTGTTCTCCTTTTTTTACTTGTTTATTGTGATTTATCAGTTTTATCTTTTCCAAAATAACAGCTTTTGATTATGTTGATATTCTCTATTGCCTTTCTTTTTTCAATTTTACTGATTACTGTGCTAAATTATATTATTTATTTCCTTCTACTTTCTTTAGTTATGAGTTGGTTCTCTTTAGTTTCTTAAAGTGGAAACTTAGGTTACTGGTTATAACTTTCTTATTTTCTTTTTTGTTGTTGTGCTCAACTTTTATTTTTTAATTTTATTTATTTATTTTTTAATTTTTTATTATTATACTTTAAGTTCTGGAGTACATGTGCAGAATGTGCAGTTTTGTTACATAGGTATACATGTGCCATGGTGGTTTGCTGCACCCATCAACCCATCACTTACATGATGTTAATGTTATAATATGTTGTTTGTTATATAATGTTATGTACATTATTCTCTAAGAAGTTATTTTACTGCATCCCACAAATTATGATGAGTTAAATTTTCATTTCTTTCAAAATGCTTTGAGTTTCTTCTGAGACACTTCTTTTATCTATCTTTTATTTTTAAAGTACTGTTCAATTAACAAATATTTGAAGATTTTCCAGCTATCTTTCTGTTATTGATTTCTAACTTACTTCCATTGTGATCAGAAAACAAACTTTGTATAACTTATATTATTTTAAATATGTTAAGGTGTATTTATAAGAATAAGGTCTATTTTTTGTTCTAAGTGAGCTTGGGAAGAATGTTTTGCAACTGTTGTTGAATAGATTTTGTAAATATCAACTAGAGTAAGTTGAATGTATTGTTCAAGCAAACTATCCTTAATGTTATTATGCTTCTCAGATCTATCAATCAGTAAAAGAGGACTATTAAATCTCTAATTACGAAAGTTTTAGCAATAGTTTGTCTATTGCTCCTTTCAATTTGTCAGTTTTTGCTTTACATATTTTGGTGCTTTGTTTGTTGGTGCATACTTACTTAGGATTGTTACATCTTCTTAAAGAATTAATCCCTTTATCATTATATAATGTCTCTCATAATTCTTCATAATTTTCTTTGTTTTGAAGTCAGTTCCCTCTGAAATTAATGTAGCTGCTCTGTTTTAAAACAATTAGTATCAGCATTGTATACATTTCTCCAGTCTTTTAAACTTTCTGAATATTTACTATTTTAAGGTTTTCTATAAAAAACACATAATTTTATGTGTTCTCTCTGTCTTTCAATTGGTGCATTTTGACAACTCTTGCTTGGAGATTACTGATAAGTGGAATTAATATCTACTATATATAACTTTTAAATAATTCTTGCATGTTGTTTTTTCTCTAATTTTTTCTGATTTCTCTTGATTTCCTTGGGCATTTAATATGATTTAGTTTTCTCTCCTCTATTAGCATATCAGTTATACTACTTTTTAAAATGTTAGTGGGTTCCACAGTGTTTGTAATATATATTTTAAACTGATGTAAGTCACTTTCAAGTAACTAATTACCACTTCCTGTGTAGTATAGGTTTGTTTAATATTCTCAATTCCTTAATGCATCCTTTATGACATTTTCTTTACTCATTTCACATATCCTTATGCTATACTTACCCAGTACACTATTACTATTATTACAGCTCTACATCACCATCCATTGAATAAATGAATATATATATTCATTTATATATATTCATATATATATTCATATATATATATATATGAATCTGAAAGAAGCCTATATCCAATGTACCTCCAGTACAGATAGCAAAAGAAAGCACTTAATTCTAAGAGCTCTTTAGTGGAATTAGGATTAGAATTTATCGAGCACAAAACTGGGTTATCAATGATACAAAATACTGAAATCAAGCAAGATTGTCACAAACTTTAGCAAAATTATTAAAGACATAAAAATTGGCTTTAAATCTGTATAATATATCATCTCAATCAACCTTCTTAATAGCATCAATTTAGTGTCTTGAATTATGTAATTGTATGATAAATGTAATCATCAAAAAGGGATTGAAAACTAAGGACAGACTTATCATTTGCAAGCAGTAGTCTACCATGAGGCATTAACCATCATATCTATGAAGCAAAGATGAAGCACAGATTATCAAAGCAAGATGGTTATTTTAAACCATATTGTTATTATAAAGAAAATCCTTAAAAAAGAAAAAACAAGTCCTAGACCTACTGGGGATGAGAGATGGTTTGCTCTATTCCCTTAAAATGTGTGATGTAAACCTGTTACTATCAATCTGCTGACTCAGTAGCAACAGAAACATTTTTATAAAATTAAATTCATTTTTTTCTTTTTGAGTCAGAGTTTCGCTCTGTGGCCCAGGCTGGAGTGCAGTGGCGCGATCTCGGCTCACAACAACTTCTGCCTCCTGGGTTCAAGAGATTCTTCTGCCTCAGCCTCCGCAGTAGCTGGGACTACAGGCATGCACCACTACGCCCAGCTAACTATTTTGTATTTTTAGTAGAGACAGGGTTTCGCCATGTTGGCCAGGCTGGTCTCTAACGCTTGATGTCTAGTGATCTGCCAGCCTCGGACTCCCGAAGTGCTGGATGAGGCACGGCGATTCAAACGTAATGTATATATTCCCAAAAGAATCAGGTGATATAACTGTACAGTAGTATTTATTGCCTATAGTAATATTCAGTGACATATTTGCTTTTACTAAGAGTATTAACATGACATTAGAATTTCCTGAAGTGAATTATTGTATTTGAAGATGATAAAACCTTTATTAGCTATGACTATCTATACAGGCTTATATTCAACTTTATATGATTTTGCTGTTTTCTTAGCACTTAATTTTATTAATATATTGTCCTGTTTGAATCTACTCCATTGGAATGTATTTAAACTTAGTTTAAAATAAATGCACTATTCATACTTTCTTTTATATAACCATATTATCGCATTTAACTTTACCTATATATATTTACTTTATATTATTTTTCTTGTTTTCCTCCAAAGTTTGTAGGAAATTACTATTTATCTCAAAATTCTATCTATCCAACTATTCAGTGTTGTTTTTACATGAATACAGTTATGTTTCTTTCCATAAAAATTGAAACTATATTTTCAAATTTTCCTCTCTCTCTATATATATATATGTTTATACCCAATGAACAGCATTTAACTTTTATCTAGAACTTTTTCTAATTAAATTAAGATGTGTCTCATACACTGGCAGGCAGCAATCAACTCAGTTAACATGTGAGTTGATTTCTCTCGTTTTACAAATGAAGAAAAATTCATTACAAATTTAATCATGGAATACTGAAATTACTTTCATGTAACCTTACAGAGAATAGGAAACAGGGTCAGGTTTAGATCCAAAGACTGTCAGATTCCAAAACTGATCTTTGTTTAATAGCATAAATTAAGAGTCTTAACTACAATAATATCCTATCTGTGATTTCTTATACTATTTTAGTTCAGCATTTTTTCGTAAATATTTGTCACTTTTTTTTTTTTCCTGAGATGGATTTTCACTCTGTCACCCAGGCTGAAGTGCAGTGGCATGATCTCAGCTCACTGCAACCTCTGCCTTCTGGATTCAAGCAATTCTCCTGCCTCAGCCTCCTGAGTAGCTAGGATTACAGGCGGGTGCCACCGCACCTGGCTAGTTTTTTTTTTTTTTTATTTTTAGTAGAAACGGGATTTCACCATTTGGCCAGGCTGGTCTCAAACTCCTGACCTCGTGATCCACCTGCCTTGGCCTTCCAAAGTACTGGGATTACAGGCGTGAGCCACTGTACCCAGCCATCACTTTTTGTTTATTTCTTCAGAAACATCTCCTTGTACAAACAGCAATTGAACTGAAAACTGTTCTATTTTTCTATGCTTTACTTTGTGTTTACTGTTTACCTGTACATTTCTGTGAATTCATAAGCAAGGTGGAGAGAAAGGGGTTAATATGTTCTGCCCCTGAGGAATTACTACCCACAACCAAAATCATAGCTTAGTTTCTTCTCAAAACACATGTTTGCCATTTTTAATCACAGACTCGGTGATTAAGAATGGAATGAAAAAGAGACATGACTAAGGAGCAATTCAAATAAACAAAGAATTAAGATGCTGTGATATGTTTACAAAGACTAGAAACATCTGCAATATTCCAACTAAGTACTACAGATAATGTACTCTTTCTTTTAACAAGGGTTGTGAGCACCACAAAATATCAAAAAATGTTTAAGTACTACAGAGATCCTCTGCTAGTTTTCCTTTGTCTTCTAGCATATGCTACGTTAAGGTTTTTCTTTATTTCAATGTGTGTGTGTTCACTATTTCTGACTCAGATGCTTGTCTTTACTAAAGAGAATCTATCTTGTATTCGAACAGTGTCATGTTAATCAAATCTTGATGAATTATACTTGTCATATAGGACTATTCACTTAGATTACTTTCTATTCAAAAGGAAAATATGCAATGTTATAGGGTCTGATACCAATCACAAAATTTCTCCTTTATTTGAAAGAGAAATGAAAATGGAATAACTGTCTTCAACTATGATTGTATCAGTCAAGATCCAGTTGCAGAAACTATAAGGCAGTATAGCTGTTTCAAAAAGGACACTTACTACAGGTAATCGAGTGATTTCTAAATTATTGGAAATGCTATAGAAATAGTAATACCTCACCATGGGCACTGTGACTTCTGCCATAGTCAGCAAGGTGAAAAGATTGGAGGCCTTCACTGGAATAATTAACTTCACCGACACACCAAAGTAACTGATCCAGCGATGAGGAATTTGCTGTAGCTGCAAATAGTATGACTGTGGCTTCTCAACACGTGGACAGGCCACTGGCATACCAGGGTGGACATGCATCCATGGCTCTGTCGACCAGCAGATAAACAGCTAACACAATAGGAAGTCAGCCTCCATAGTATGTTTGCCTGAGAAGTTCTAAGCAGAGGAACATTACATGAAGAAACAAGGATGAGAGGGTGTTTTGGAAAAACAAACAAACAAACAAACAAAAAACCTCTAAAATGCACATTAAAAGAGAGCTGTAAGATTTCAATGGAGGTTGAATGTCAAGCCACAGTATTGAATACTTTAAAAATTCTCATTTCTTGTACCATTCAAAATCCTCTTCTGAGCCCCCTGAAATCATCACCATTACATTTCAAATGCTGTTTCAGACTATGGAGTCTAAGCCATCTGTTACTGCTGTTTTTTTCTAATACATTTTTTAAATTTTAGGCACCGTATAAGGTATGACATTGAGTAAACATTCATTGAATACTATCTGAGTGCCAAGAAACATGCTAGACACAGAAAAAAACAAAAGTAATCATTTATTTTCCCGGCTCCTATGGTGTTATGTCAATTGTTACAAGGTAAGTACAAATTTAAAAGAAAGATAGATGTTCACAAAGGAAACCAAATAGATTTAACAACAATGCAGCAATGACCAAAAAAAAAAAAAAAAAAAAAAAAATATCTGAGACTTCAAATGATTAAAAGGGCAAAGACATGAATAATTTATGAGAAAGAGAAATACAAGTAGCTAATATAAAAATATAGTAGAAATTCATGTTAAAAGAAGGCACCTCTTTTAGCTCCCTTAAATGGGTCAGGATTTAAGACATTTTACACTTAAATGTGTGTGTCTCTCCTTTTTGCTGAAAAAAGAACCCTGATATACTTCTGTTTCTATTATATATTGGTACATCATTTATGGAAAGCAGCTTAACACTGTGTAATAAGGGTGATTAAATGTTTACATTCTTTTTCAAATTTCTGTAATCTGACTAAATATTATACAAGTTATATCTTTTGTTCACCACTGTATTCTCTGTAATATTAAAGTACTGGACATATATTTACCTTTCAAAAAATTTTGCTGGATGATTGAATGATGATTATCAAAGCATTACTTATAATAGCAAAATAACCTAGAAAAATCCTGAATGTCAGCATCAAAGGAACAATTACTTTTTGGCTTATTTTTGTGGCAAAATGTTACATAGCCAATAAAAGAATATTTATGTCAAATTATTGTAATGACAAGAGAATGCTCATTAAATACTAGTACAAAATAGTCTTACAGTAGTCTATACTTCATTATATCAAGTAAGTTTAAAATTAAAAATTAAAAAAGATAAAATGTTAGCTGTCAGTAAAGGTGATTACAGTTCCTAGATTCAACTCTTCTGGTAGAACTCTCCTATTGATAATGAAAGTTGTAGTGCAAATAGTTCTGTATTTTCAAAATTTGTTTATACATTAAAATTCTGGTGAATGTTGACTATTATTCTCCTTAATACTCCTCTGGCATGACGAATATACATCTTGCATATAAGTTAAAGGCATTTATTCTTCCTTTTCTCTTTATATTCTAGCATGAAATGCAATGTCAGGTTTATTTTATGTTTTGAATAGGATATACACAGTCTTTGATCACTACTCATGTTAGTATATTTTTAGTCTGAGATAAGCAGGATACATATATCTAATAAAGATTAAAATATGACTAACTCTTGACATATATTTCAACAAAATGTTAGCTTGTCACAAAACAGTTGTTGGACTGAGAAGTTTCTCCAAATTATGGTAGGTAATTACTAGTTTGTGGCAAATGCCACAATATTCAGAGACCTAGTCTCACATGTACTATTGCAATTTCCATTCCAGTGGGTTTGCTCACATACTCACATGTACTATATTATGAAGGACTTTAAAGCAAACCCTTCATTTTGTTTCTGCCATAAGTGTGATGTTAAAAAATATGATTCTAGTTTCCATCATGTAGTTTTAGGCTTATTTACATCCACACAGGTTTCACATAATCTTTGGAAATTAAATACTAGTCAGAAAAAATTATGTATATATGAATTATGAAAATTATGTATATATAATGAGTAATGGATAATGAAGGAAGAAAGCTAAGTACGAAATAATGAAATCCAGATAGTTTGTGTCAAAGGCTAGAAAGGATGAATATTTAGGGAAAAAAAAAGCTTTTCTCACTACACTGTGTTGCCTTGAAGCAAACATTGCTTGCCTTTCTGCAGATTTCAGCAGCAGCAACAAAGACACCAGTGCCCTCATTAAATAGGTGCAAACTGGCCAGCTGCCCTTAGGCACTGAGTATCCTAGTCCTAAAATCCCCAAGGCTGTATATTGCAATTTAGGGAGATTGTCTCCTTCTAATCATGCTTTACCTCCCAGTTTAAAATTCAAGGATACAAATGGGAGTGATTAACAGAAGTTCCTGGTAGGTTTTCCATACAAGGCTTATTTCCTATGCTCTAAAACAGAGTCAGCCTATGATAACCTGTGGGACAAACTGGCCTTGCTTCTTGTTTTTATAAATAATGTTTTATTGGAACACTACCATACCCAACCCATTATTTCTGTAGTATCTAAAGCTGCTGTTATAGTACAAGAGCAGGAATCACTAGTGTGACAGGGATTGCCTGGCTCTCAAAACCCAAAATATTTACTATCTTGTGTTTAGAGAAAAAGTTTGTTAACCCCTGCTCTAAACTCAGAGACTAACTCCTGGCCTTTGCACCCTCCTCAACACACATTGCCAGTAATGTGTAATGAGCTCCTGAACCAAAATAACTAAACATATAAAGAAAGCCATTCTTCAGAGAAAAACAAACTGGATAATACAGGCCATAAGAAGCTAAGCATTTTAACATATGAACAAGAATATACAATTAATAAGTGTGCTAAAGATAAACAAATGATTGGTATTGCCAATACAAAATAAAATAAAAATTTCTTTTTGAATAAAGTAGAAATATTAGGCATGAAAAAGTATGAGTCGAAATAAAGAAAACAAAACATTGTTCACTCGTAGTGTACCTAAGGGATGAATTAATAAGTTGGAGCATCAGATTCTGGAATTTTCCCGAAAGATAGCAAGAAAAGCTAAAGAGACATGGATGACAGATAACGATCAAATAAGATTTCCCAAAGGAGAGAAGAAAATTGAAGAGAGGAAAATATTTGAAAAAATAATGAAGATGGCGTTCCTATTCTGGTGATATATCAGGATATTATTTTACCACTAAAACAACTAAAATTACTGAATTTTAAAGTATTTTCTTAGGAGATCAAATAGCTGACATGATAGCAATTAGCATATGATCTAGAGAAAATTGAGAACCCACATAAATAAACTCAATGATGAATTAGTTGTTGCCCTGAGAACATTTACCAAAGTTTGCAAATCTGAGCTCTGACTATTAAGGTGTGGTAAGATGTGAAAGCTGAGAGAAAAAGGTCAGCTATCTCTGGAGGTATGAAGTCTAATAGGAAATTTTTCCTATTAAAGCTGGAGCCCTCAAATCCCAAGTTCTCCGTTAAGAGTTAACTAGACATATATATATATATGGACATATGTCTATATATATATATATACACACATACACACACACACCCACACTTAGTCACCCTGCCTTCTGCAAAAGACTGTAAATGAAGTTGCCTTGACACTGATTAGACAAGGGTTGTGGGAGTGGATAAATATGAGAAGTTTAAGCTATAAAGCAACTCTCAAAATCATATTACTAGGTAGGTACAGAAAAAACTAAAACAAAACAAAACCTTATGTTGCGAATTATCATATTTTATTGTTTTAATATTCACTTTTTCGAGTCCCATTTATTTCACAAAGTAATATTTAATAGGTGGAAATGTGTACTGATTTGTTAAAGGCTGGAAAGCAGTTGTGACTTAATTACTATTGAATGTACATGAGCGTCGAAGAGGCAGTGTCAGTATGTTAACACACAAACACAGTCAATGATACGGCACTCTTCCTTTCAATAAATGCTGCACCCCTTTCAGATGGATTTTCAATATGAAGATGATCTAAGGGTGCCTTGCCCAATTCATTTTTCTTATAGTTTCCTTTTTATAGATACAGAAAATGACACATAACATCAACTTAGATGAGTGTAAAATAATTTTTTAAATAAAAATTCAAAGAAAAGAGAGTATTTTATTATTTATTTAGCAGCATTACTTAGCAATTCATAAAATATTGTTGCTTTTTATTGTTGGCATCTTTGCTTCAATGAAAACAGTAGTGGTTGCAGATGAGTAGTATCCCACATGCACCTAATAGAAACATAATCAGATTTTCTTTATAGGGGCACACCTACCTTAAGCCTCAAGGAACACCCACAAATAATTTTTCAATTAAAATAAGTAGCTTACATTCAAGCATAACTAATCACACAACAAAACAATTTATGATCAGCTAAAATTAGTAATAACAATACAAAGCAGAAACAGACCATTAAATATTTCTGATATTGAAATTGTCAGACACAAATATAAAACAACAGGAAAACTATATTTAACATTCTTGAAGAAGTAGAAAATAAGTTTGAATATAACTGCAAAGGATAGTTATCTATGAAACAACATAGGATAACATTTATGTATAAGAATTCATTCATTAAATTGAAAATCAAATGGATGAGTTTAAAAGCAGATCAAAATAGCAGAATAAAGAACTTGTGAACTGGAAGACAAGTCAGAAGTTATTCAGAAGTATGCACAGAGAAAACTTAAAAAAAATCAAAGTGACATTCGATACATGGAAGACATGAGATGTCCTGGCAAATGTCAGATTTCTTCTAAAAGAAGAATTATATTCACAGTTAAAGCCAAATTTCCATGTAAAAAAAAACTGTGCTAATAAATATGGATAGTAATGATTTGAGCCAAAAAATTCATATGAATTGAACTATGTGTAGTATTAAAAATACCCAACTAAGCTATTTCCTTTATATTTCCTTTTTATGTATGTGCACAAGAATGGCACATGGCAAAAAAATTCTGTCTAAATAAGTCTAAAATTATTTTGAATTTAGAACTGTATTCTTAAAGGAAAAAAATATTTTGAGAGCAAGGGTACAATAAAATGTTCCTAACAACACCTGCCATTCTAAAGGAAATTCAGAAAGATATATATATACACACGCACACATATATATGACTGTGTGTATATATATATGACTTACAATATATGTAATTGCCTTACAATGTATAATGTAATTATAATCATATAATTATAATGTAATTAAAACCATACATTACAATTATAATGTAATTATAATTATACATTATAATGTATAATGTAAGGAATGACTTTACATATATACATATATATACACACACACATATATATGTACATACTTATATATAGCTCTTCTTCCTTCACATTGTAAGGCAATTATACGTGTGTGTGTACATATATAATTGCCTTACAACATAAAGCAAGAATAGCTACATAACTCTATAAGGAGAATTAAAACTGCAATCATAAATGCAGCTTGAACATACCTTTTTTAGTCATCAATATATGAAGCTAACAGAAAATCAGTAATGATACATAAGATTGTAATAGCATAGTTAACAAACAATCTAATGGATATGGATAGAATATTGCACCCAAGAACCACATAATTAATATTTTTTTCTGAGTTTTCTCAACTTGTTGGAAGTCTTGAGACAGAACAAGGTGACCATGGGACTGAGTGGGCATGGGAAAGAGAAGAAGGCAATTCCTCTCTTTAGCCCTGAGGCACGACATTATAAAATGCCTCAGACTGAAAAGCAGTGGTCCATGACTTAGGAGGATGTCCTGCAGTGCAAATGAGGAAAAGTGAATCAAGGAGAAGGAAGTAATCAGCTGTGACTCTGATAAGAAAAATTTTGGTGTAGTGCTCTGGGTACAACTCTAATTGGAGTGGATTAAAAAAACATGAGAGCAGAGAATTTGGAGACTTCTTTCTATCACAGATTACCTGCTTTTAATGTAACACAATAAATAATTAGTAACAAAGGGATGTAGATTCTATGTATCAAGGAAGGTGGGGAAAGGCAGCAGGTTTTGCTGAAGGAGAGGGCTCTTAGACTAGACTTATTCCGAACTGTAATCATATATTAATAAATAATCTTGTGCTATAGAGAAAACCAAAACATAAATTTTTTGTTTGTTTTTGTTTTTGTTTTTTGTTTGTTTTTTGAGGCGGAGTCTGGCACTGTGGCCCAGCCTGGAGTGCAGTGGTGCGATCTAGGCTCACTGCGAGCTCCGCCTCATGGGTTCACGCCCTTCTCCTGCCTCAGCGTCCCAACTAGCTGTGACTACAGGGGCCTGCCACCATACCTGGCTAACTTTTGGAATTTTCAGTAGAGACGGGGTTTCACCGTGTTAGCCAGGATGGTCTCGATCTCCTGACCTTGTGATCTGCCCTCCTCGGCTTCCCAAAGTGCTGGGATTACAGGCGTGAGCCACCGCTCCCAGCCCCAAACATAAATATTTAAAAGTGAATGTGTAATACTTTGTGGGACTAGGTTAATGTAGTATTTTGAGGAATATTTATAGCTTTCAAGATACTTATCAGGAAATAAGAAAATAAAATACTGAATTAAATATTTATCACAGGAAATTGGAAAATAACAGAGCTAGATCAAAGAAATAAAAGATAGAAATAATGAAATAATGAAAACTGATTAAGAAGACAAAAATAACAATAACAGATGAAGGCGACAAAAATCCTATCCACTTGTACTTACCAAACCAGTTTTAGAACCATTCCAAATCAACGTTGAATTTACATCAGTAACCAAACTTCTGAAATCCAGCCAATCTGCAAAAACTGCCCTCTACATAAGTTAACCTATCTCTAACCCCTCCTACTTCTGAAAGTTTGCCATCTATTAACTCCATGCTTCCCCAAATCTAAATAAGATGAGTTCTCTGTTTTGCTCAGAAAGACAGTCCTACAAACACAGCTCCCTCTTGTTTAGCAAGCAGTCCAGTCAGCTATTTGTTTCAGATACTGTGTAAAGTCTTTTTCCATTTACACTATATATCTGAAAAATATTTCTATTCCTTTCCATATGGGGACAGTTGCAAGGATGTTCAGTGCAGACTTACTGTGATGACAAAGGTTTGGAGGAAAACTGGATGTCTATAACTGTGTAAGTGGATATTTTGAAATGAATGGTTGTACACATTAAAGTAAACTGCAAAAGTCAGAAACAACAGTTCAGATATACACATAGCGATATGTATAAATCTTAAAAACATAGTGCTTGGTGAAAAGATAAGAAATAGGATGAGCTATATACACAATATAATGCAATATAATTTATTTCAAAAATACAAGGTAACTACATAATACACATTTTGTAAGAACACATAGAAACAAAAAGATACACATTTCACTCAGAATGTTTGCCTCTGGGGATGAGGTAAGGAGAGTGAAGAACAATAAGGAAGTACAGTAGAGTACAGGAAGGTAGAGTAAAGTGAGCAAAAGAGAGTCCAGCGTAAAATAATAGTATAAGGTGTAAATTAAGGGGGAAAGTGAGGGGAGAGGAGTGGAAGGGAGGACAGAAGAGCCTAGAGGAGGGAAGGGGAGAGAAGGGTGTAAAGAAGAAGGAATTGGAAGGAAAGAGAAAAAAAAGGAGAGGGAGAGAGGAAAGGAGAGGAAATGAGGGGAAGAAAGGGAGGAAAAGGGAGAGGAAGAGAAGGGAGTACAAGGGATGGAGAAGGAAGGGAAGGGAAGAGGAGAAGAAAGGAGAAGAGGGGAGGAAAGCAGGAAGTTGAGAGAATACCCTTTCCTGGAATAATGTTGCTAATGCCTTACGAATTGAGGAATATAATTAACCTAGCCTTTGCCACCTGGAGTCTAAAACATGACAAAAACATAATTTCATACATTTAATTAAATAATGATGGCAAATGTGTATAGATCATAACAAATTGTTACAGAGCTATTTGTTTTAACGTATGTTCTAAGGTTCAAATGAGGTATTCTCTGGTTTCTTTCATATTTGGACATAAAAATATGTCCCCCACAGTCTATTAACATCGGGGAATATCTTCCTCTTCAGAACTTTATTAAAAGCTTTGACTAAACAACACTTCTCACACAAGCCTTTGGTAGAAAAGCACAGATAAACTTAACTTTTTTTTTTTGAAAGGCAATTAATTAAAGAAAATGTACAATGAGAAATGATTCTTACACTAACTGTTTATTAATGTGTTCCATTATAATATCTACCTAGTAATGTATTCCATGGCTTTTTTGCATATTTCATGCATACAATGATCTCTATATGTCTTTACTTTCTTTCATTTACTTTTGGAGAGGGATCCATATTATTTATCATGCATGATTTACTTTTTGGGAGGGCATCCATTTTTTAACATGCATGATATTACAGGTTGAAATGCAAAAGAGAAAAGTAACAACAAAATACCTTTGTCTTTTATTAAAACCATGCTCTATATCTTACCTTAAATTGTGTACCTATCTATACATAGATTGTAAATTCATGTATAGGTTTTATCTATAAATGAATATGTTACTTTAAAGTAGTCATCATGCGAAAAGTTTCTACTTGTTAAAATAACCACACTATTGGCTAAATAATTTTCGATAATCCTCTTTTGAAATTGTCCAAAAAATTTTTATGTACTCTATCTCTCTATATATTTTCTGTATTAGTTTATTTTGCCATATCTTGTTTTGTAAAACTAAAATGTATACATATTGCACTGATTGAATACTTTCCATTTCACAGAATGAATGATCTTCACCTGTTTCCCAAATTAAATTCACTCATATATAATGCAAATGTAATACTATTGACACTAAATCTGAAGATTATCCCACAGGCAAAAAAAAACAAGCAAACCAACAAAAGTCCATGATCTCCTACAACAAGTATCTGAATGATTTCTTTCTGTTTATTTCTCTATAAATACTTGAATAATAGTGCATTAGGAAACAAAATAAAACAAAACAGTAATATTCTCTTAAAATCACACAGACATGATTTGTAAAAATTTGTAAAAATTTGTTTGCCACTTTAGTTAATCTACAAATATTTTTTGGCTAAATTATACCAAAAATAATGGTGTTAGGATTGTAACTTAAGAAAAATACGATTTTTGAAAAACAGGCTTAAATGTCTCTAAAAAGTCTAGAGTCTAATGTTTTCAAGTTTTAAAATACATAAATGGTTAAATTTAACTTTTTTGTCTGTTTCCAGTTAACTCATTACATTACAGTAGAGGAATATGTAGAAGTTAGCTTTTTAACCTAAACAGAGGAATTGGTGATAGCTTTAGAAATCATGTTTCCATAAATCAGTTTTGAGTTACAGGCTGCCTGCATCATCAAGACTTGAATTTGCTGTCTGTCCTACTATTCTTGATTTTTTTTTTTTTACTCTAAATAAGAAAGGCACTAGGAAAGTCTTAGAGATCGTTTTCTTTGCTGCTATCCCTAGGCAAGAAGCAGGAATTAGCCTTGTAATCCGATCCTTTTAGTCTCTGCATTTAATTTTAAGCAAGAAACCAGGAGACTAAAGATGTAAGACTGACGTAGAACAGCAGAGGGCAGTATTTACTCATGACTGAACCCTCTCTGGGCGCAGAAAGTTTTACGTTTGTGAGGGATCCTTGTGGCAGAAATGTATGACATATGCCCTGTATTTGCATTGTTTGGCTTGAATTCTTATTTTCTAGGTTGGTTCCCTTAAAGGGGAAAAATATCGATCTGATTCCTAGTAACGTTTTTCTTCTTTTAAAGAAACGATGCATGCCACCACAAAAATTAACTGCAGTGAATAGTGGGTGAGTTGATCTGAGTGCATTAAGTGGCATGTGGGTATTTTTAAAAACTTAAGCTTAAATATTATTTTATTTATTTCTACTTTCTCGTATCTATTTCTCCCAGACTGAAAAGCAAAATAAAACTTTATTAGGTTTCCTTTGACTAAAAAATGTGGAGGTGGAAATACTCCATCAGGGATCAAAATTCCAAACTAACTTTGCAACAGGAAAAGATCTCCCTCTTTTCAAAGGGCTGCCATTATTATTGTTGTTGAAACCCTAAGGTTTGGGCTACTGGCACCTGGAATCCAGTTGGGAAAGAAAACAAAACAAACACTGAGTTCCCCTGGCCTTTCCTATAGTAGGAAGTCCAAAGTGCCCTTGCTACGGAGGCCTCCTGCCCCCTAGTCACCTGGAAGGTGGGGGAGAGGGGCAAGTGAGTGAAGATTTAGAGTTTAGCTCGCCCTAGACAGCAGGGAGCCCACTGTGTAGAAAGAGGAGCAAAGGGGAGGATTTGATTTGGATTCTGTGGGATCACACTGTATGGCAGCTCTATCCCTTGCATAAAGAGAGAAGGGGCAGGAAATGGTTAAAGCAAATCTGCACTGTGCATTCCCAGACAGGCTTTGCTTAATCCTTCCTCCCCGCTTTAACAGACCCTCACCCCCCGCCTTTCTTTTATTTCTCTCGACCCCCTTACCCCTGAGTTATTACTAGCATAACAACCTAACGGTCTTCCCCCAGACCCTGCCACTAAAGTTATTTATCTGCAAACCTGACCCCACCCCCATCTATTCTGCGGCAGCCTTTTGCTGTTATTGCTCTGACGCCGGCCAAGATTTGGCCGAAAAGGAAAAAAAAAAAAAAAAAAGAAAAGAAAAAAAATCACCCCCCTTTTTAGCGCCTCCGCCTCGCTGTGCTCCCACACCAGACCGCCTACAGCCCTCCGGGAGGCTGAAGTGATTAGCATCCCGAGAAGCCAGTCGGAGGCCGGGCAAGGCGGAGGGCGCTCGCGGTAGGAGTGCCGGTCGGGGCTGCTTCAGCTCCGGCCCAATGGGGCTGGGGCGAGGGAGGGGCAGAAGGTGACAGGACTGGGAGCTAGGGGGAGTCCAGGCGAACTAAAGTGCGGGGATCAATGAGTGTCGAGCAAAGTTTCTGAGTGCTGCTCCAGCTCGCGGTCTTCCCTCCCCCTCTGTTTGTGTTTCGGCGACGCGCTGTGTGTGTGTGTGTGCGTGTGTATGTGTGTGTGTGTGCATGCCTGTGCGGCGGGGAAGGGGCGGGGAGAGTGTGAGGGACCAGGCGGGAGGTGGAGAAGGGCTCGCGGAGCCCTAGCTCCACCGCAGTCCAACCTTCGGCCCCGGCCGGCGAGAGGGAGAGCGCTGACAGGCGCCGTCCGGAGCTGCGGAGGGCGTCACTACAGCCCAGCGCCGACTTCGCCGCCTCCGCTGCCAACTGTGAAGGAGAGAGAGGCATCAACCACCCCCCGCCCCAAACAAAAAGCCTTGTGGATTACAAAGTGAAACTGACACGGGACAATAAAAGCAGAGATAGCGAGGGCAGGGGCGAGGCGCGCTAGAGTGGGCTTCTGACTGGGGCCGCCGGAGAACGACCCCCCCTGGCATGGTGAGGGGAGGGCGACTCGGGGACCGCACGCTGTTTCTGCCCGACCCCTGCGAGGCCGAGAAGAAAGGGGAAACTGCGTTCGATTTGGATGTACAAATAATGGGTCGGCAGGCGCCCCGGCAGAGGTGAAAAATGCCGAGGAGCCCTGGCTGTTGTTTGTGCCGGACCACGGGCTTGAAGCCGCAACAGGGGCGGCGGCGGCGGCGGCTGCAGGAGGGGAAGGGGCAGAGTTGAGCGCTCCCGGGTACGGGAGCCAGAGCGCGAACGCTAGCGCTTGGAACGCAGTTCCCGAACTGCCTGCGCGCAGACGCCGCCGCCTGGGCCTCAGCGGCCACTGCCGGCGCCCTGTTGGAGGGGCGTTGCAGCCTGGTTTTTGAGGAGTGGGGACTCCAGGAATTCCATCGCCTCCAGCTTTTGGGAAAGAAATTCGATTCTCCCGGTTCCCCACCACCCCTTCCCCGGTGCGCAGTTGTGCTTGGACGTTTGTTCCTCCCTCTTCACGTTCTTCGCTGCGGGTAAGTTCTAAAGTTTCTGAAGACCGTTCTTTGCAATGATTCCTCATATACCTTAGATACAGGCAACTTCTCCCAACTCTCATCCACCCGGGTGAAAACGCTCAGACTATCTGGATTCAAAAACAAAGTAAAAGGGGGCATATATAAGAGGCTTGAGAAACTTTTCTGGGAACTCAGCTCACAGGAGTGTCCCGCGGAATGCCCTGCCGCTTTTCGCCACAGCATCTCTCTTGCACTCCGCGTTCAACTGGCTACCTAGAGTCTTTTGCTGATGCTACTTGCTTTTGCCGGACTGGAGGTTCTTTGAAATAGCAGAGGTCTCAGACCAAGCCGTCAGCTGAATCTTTGCTGGCGCTCCTTAATCCCTGTAAATATCATTGCGTTTGCTTCACCCCTTCCTTCTCTTTATCACATCGTTTTAGGGAGCCAGGACCATGGACTTAGCACCAGACAGGGCTACTGGCCGCCCGTGGCTCCCGTTGCACACTCTATCAGTATCTCAGCTCCTTCGAGTGTTTTGGCTACTGTCATTGCTTCCGGGGCAGGCCTGGGTCCACGGGGCCGAGCCGCGCCAGGTGTTCCAAGTGCTGGAAGAGCAACCTCCAGGCACTCTGGTAGGCACCATCCAGACGCGCCCCGGCTTCACCTACAGGCTCAGCGAAAGCCACGCCCTGTTTGCCATAAACAGTAGCACCGGAGCCCTGTACACCACCTCCACCATCGACCGCGAGAGCCTGCCCAGCGACGTGATCAACCTGGTGGTCCTTTCCAGCGCGCCCACCTACCCCACCGAAGTGCGAGTGCTGGTGCGGGACCTCAATGACAACGCCCCCGTTTTCCCGGACCCCTCTATCGTGGTCACTTTCAAGGAAGACAGTAGCAGCGGACGCCAAGTCATCTTAGACACCGCCACCGACTCGGACATCGGCTCAAACGGTGTGGACCACCGCTCCTACCGCATCATCCGCGGCAATGAGGCGGGGCGCTTCCGTCTGGACATCACCCTGAACCCGAGCGGCGAGGGAGCGTTCCTGCATCTGGTGTCCAAGGGCGGACTGGACCGTGAGGTCACTCCGCAGTACCAGCTCCTGGTTGAGGTGGAGGACAAGGGTGAGCCTAAGCGGCGGGGCTACCTTCAGGTAAACGTGACTGTGCAAGACATTAATGACAACCCCCCGGTTTTTGGCAGTTCTCACTACCAGGCGGGGGTGCCTGAGGACGCGGTTGTGGGTTCCAGCGTCCTCCAGGTGGCGGCGGCGGACGCGGACGAGGGCACCAACGCGGACATCCGCTATCGCCTGCAGGACGAGGGGACCCCCTTCCAAATGGACCCTGAGACGGGACTTATCACGGTGCGGGAGCCCCTGGACTTCGAAGCTCGGCGCCAATACTCGCTTACGGTGCAGGCGATGGACAGAGGCGTGCCTTCCCTCACTGGGCGCGCCGAGGCGCTGATTCAGCTGCTGGACGTGAATGACAATGACCCGGTAGTGAAGTTCCGCTACTTCCCGGCCACCTCGCGCTACGCCTCGGTAGATGAGAATGCTCAAGTGGGCACCGTGGTGGCTCTGCTCACCGTGACGGACGCAGATTCTCCCGCGGCCAACGGGAACATCTCCGTGCAAATTCTCGGGGGCAATGAGCAGCGCCACTTTGAAGTGCAAAGCAGCAAAGTGCCGAACCTGAGCCTAATCAAGGTGGCCAGCGCCTTGGACCGCGAGCGCATCCCTTCCTACAACCTCACAGTTTCCGTCTCTGATAACTACGGGGCGCCCCCTGGCGCAGCAGTCCAGGCGCGCTCTTCTGTGGCAAGCCTGGTGATTTTTGTTAATGACATCAATGACCATCCTCCTGTCTTTTCACAGCAAGTGTACAGAGTGAACCTGAGCGAGGAGGCGCCTCCGGGAAGCTATGTGAGTGGGATATCTGCCACTGATGGCGACTCTGGTCTCAATGCTAATCTGCGTTACAGCATTGTCTCTGGCAATGGACTGGGATGGTTCCATATCAGTGAAC
The DNA here is from genome assembly GCF_000001405.40 of Homo sapiens. Classification (NCBI taxonomy): domain Eukaryota; kingdom Metazoa; phylum Chordata; class Mammalia; order Primates; family Hominidae; genus Homo; species Homo sapiens. Next base: position 125,317,994 of record NC_000004.12, read on the forward strand.
ATAGCGGCCTCGTGACCACTGGGTCCTCTGGGGGCCTGGACCGTGAACTTGCTTCCCAGATTGTTCTGAATATAAGTGCCCGGGACCAGGGAGTTCACCCCAAGGTGTCCTATGCCCAGCTTGTAGTAACTCTCCTAGATGTGAATGATGAAAAGCCAGTATTTAGCCAGCCAGAAGGGTATGATGTGTCTGTGGTTGAGAATGCCCCAACAGGGACAGAACTGTTGATGCTCAGGGCAACTGACGGGGACCTGGGTGACAACGGAACAGTGCGCTTCTCCTTACAAGAGGCAGAGACTGACCGGAGGTCCTTCCGTCTGGATCCTGTGTCTGGGAGGTTGAGTACTATTTCCTCCTTGGACAGAGAAGAGCAAGCCTTCTACTCCCTGTTGGTTCTGGCCACAGATCTGGGCTCCCCTCCCCAGTCATCAATGGCTCGCATAAATGTGAGTCTTCTGGATATAAATGATAACAGCCCTGTCTTCTACCCGGTCCAATACTTTGCTCACATTAAGGAGAATGAGCCTGGAGGTAGCTACATCACCACTGTGTCTGCCACTGACCCAGACTTGGGTACCAATGGTACTGTCAAATATAGCATATCTGCTGGGGACAGGTCTCGGTTTCAGGTCAATGCTCAGAGTGGGGTTATTTCTACAAGAATGGCCCTAGACAGAGAAGAAAAAACAGCTTATCAGTTGCAAATAGTAGCTACTGATGGTGGCAATTTACAATCTCCCAACCAGGCAATAGTAACCATCACTGTATTGGACACTCAAGACAACCCACCTGTATTCAGTCAGGTTGCCTACAGCTTTGTGGTTTTTGAGAACGTGGCGCTGGGATATCATGTGGGTAGTGTGTCTGCATCCACCATGGATCTCAATTCCAACATCAGTTATCTCATTACTACTGGGGATCAGAAAGGTATGTTTGCTATCAACCAGGTCACTGGGCAGCTTACCACAGCAAATGTGATTGATAGAGAAGAGCAATCCTTTTATCAGCTGAAGGTAGTGGCCAGTGGGGGCACAGTGACTGGAGACACTATGGTTAACATAACAGTTAAGGATTTGAATGACAACTCTCCCCATTTCCTTCAGGCAATAGAGAGTGTAAATGTGGTGGAGAATTGGCAGGCAGGTCACAGCATTTTCCAGGCCAAAGCTGTGGACCCTGATGAAGGTGTCAATGGCATGGTACTCTATAGTCTGAAGCAAAACCCCAAGAACCTGTTTGCTATCAATGAAAAGAATGGCACTATTAGTCTGCTTGGGCCCCTGGATGTTCATGCTGGCTCCTACCAAATAGAGATCTTGGCATCTGACATGGGTGTCCCACAGCTCTCCTCTAGTGTCATCTTAACAGTTTATGTCCATGATGTAAATGACAATTCACCAGTGTTTGACCAACTCTCTTATGAAGTCACCCTTTCTGAGTCAGAACCTGTGAATTCTCGATTCTTTAAAGTACAAGCTTCTGATAAGGATTCAGGAGCAAATGGTGAAATTGCATACACCATTGCTGAAGGAAATACAGGGGATGCTTTTGGCATATTCCCAGATGGTCAATTGTATATAAAAAGTGAACTGGACCGTGAACTTCAAGACAGATATGTTTTAATGGTTGTTGCTTCTGACAGAGCAGTGGAACCCCTTAGTGCTACTGTGAATGTTACTGTAATTTTAGAAGATGTAAATGATAACAGACCTCTTTTTAACAGTACCAATTACACATTTTACTTCGAAGAAGAGCAGAGGGCTGGGTCGTTTGTGGGCAAAGTAAGTGCTGTAGATAAAGACTTTGGGCCAAATGGAGAAGTAAGGTATTCTTTTGAAATGGTGCAGCCAGATTTTGAGTTGCATGCCATCAGTGGGGAAATTACAAATACTCATCAGTTTGACAGGGAGTCTCTTATGAGGCGGAGAGGGACTGCTGTGTTTAGCTTTACAGTCATAGCAACAGATCAGGGGATCCCTCAGCCTCTCAAGGATCAGGCCACTGTACATGTTTACATGAAGGATATAAATGATAATGCTCCCAAATTTTTAAAAGACTTTTACCAAGCTACAATATCAGAATCAGCAGCCAATCTGACACAAGTGTTAAGAGTATCTGCCTCAGATGTTGATGAAGGTAATAATGGACTTATTCACTATTCTATAATAAAAGGAAATGAAGAAAGACAGTTTGCTATAGACAGTACCTCTGGTCAGGTAACACTAATTGGCAAATTAGACTATGAAGCAACACCTGCCTATTCCCTTGTAATTCAAGCAGTGGATTCAGGGACAATCCCCCTCAATTCAACGTGTACTTTAAATATTGATATTTTAGATGAAAATGACAATACCCCTTCTTTCCCTAAATCAACACTCTTTGTTGATGTTTTGGAAAACATGAGAATTGGTGAACTCGTGTCCTCTGTTACTGCAACTGATTCCGATTCAGGTGACAATGCTGATTTATATTACAGTATTACTGGGACTAACAACCACGGAACTTTTAGCATTAGCCCAAACACTGGGAGTATTTTTCTTGCCAAAAAACTGGACTTTGAAACACAGTCTTTGTATAAATTAAATATAACAGCAAAAGACCAAGGAAGACCTCCTCGTTCATCTACAATGTCAGTGGTTATTCACGTGAGGGACTTTAATGACAATCCTCCTAGCTTTCCTCCTGGAGATATTTTCAAGTCTATTGTTGAGAACATTCCCATCGGTACATCTGTCATTTCAGTGACTGCACATGACCCTGATGCAGACATTAATGGTCAACTATCCTACACAATCATTCAACAGATGCCAAGAGGCAACCACTTTACCATAGATGAAGTCAAAGGGACTATATATACTAATGCTGAAATAGATCGGGAATTTGCTAATCTCTTTGAGTTGACTGTAAAAGCCAATGATCAAGCTGTGCCAATAGAAACTAGACGGTATGCTTTGAAGAACGTGACCATTTTGGTTACAGACCTCAATGACAATGTCCCAATGTTTATATCACAAAACGCCCTTGCTGCAGACCCATCAGCTGTGATTGGTTCCGTTCTGACAACAATTATGGCTGCTGACCCAGATGAAGGTGCTAATGGAGAAATAGAGTATGAGATCATCAATGGGGACACAGACACCTTCATTGTTGATCGTTATAGTGGAGACCTGAGAGTGGCTTCAGCGTTGGTGCCTTCACAGTTGATCTACAATCTCATAGTTTCAGCAACAGACCTTGGGCCTGAAAGGAGGAAATCGACCACTGAATTGACCATCATTCTTCAGGGCCTTGATGGACCTGTTTTTACTCAACCCAAATATATAACTATTTTGAAGGAAGGAGAACCCATTGGCACAAACGTGATATCAATAGAAGCAGCTAGCCCCAGAGGATCTGAGGCCCCAGTGGAGTATTATATTGTTTCAGTTCGTTGTGAAGAAAAAACTGTTGGACGCCTCTTTACTATTGGACGACATACTGGTATAATTCAGACCGCAGCCATTCTGGACCGGGAGCAAGGAGCATGTCTTTACCTGGTGGATGTTTATGCCATAGAAAAATCAACTGCTTTTCCCAGAACACAGAGAGCAGAGGTAATGATTTTGTAGTCATTTATTATTTGTTGATTTGCTTTTTAGAAAAATCATTCTCTTTATATTTACTCTCTATAATTGTTTACCTTCATTGTTTATTGTTAAATTTGTGAACAGGAACACCTAAAAATGTTCTGTCAAAGGCTAACAGAGAGTTACATAAACTTTAGTTTTAATCTTGGTTGCAACTAAACAACAAACTTTCTTTTCACTTTATATTTTACTTTATAGCAATCACATATATAAGGTTAAGGAGAAATCTTTAGCCATTTCAGAGGGGAAAAAATCCATATATCTAAGCTAAATTGCTGAGGTAATCTAAATACCACTCAATAAGGAAGGCTACCAGAAGATGGGCACTTTCAGAATTAAGAAGACCTATTCCAAAATGAAGAGCTTTGGTAGGAATCAGCATTGTACCATAGCTCTTCAGGAAGAGTGGCCATGGAGGATGGGCTGACAGTGTACACCAGGACAGTATTAACTTTCACATCCTCAGCAGTCTTGGCAGTTTCTTTATAGACAGTGACTAATTTTAATGTGCTGAGCCAAGTTTTGGAAGATTCCTGATTTCATCTGCCTTAACATTTTAGACACTGTCTTCTGACTTAGGATAATCCTTCCTTTTCCCTCTTAAATTAAGGCATGCAATGGGCTGTGAATAATCAGAGACTAGGGATTGTTTCTTGACAATACTGAGTTCAATGCCATGGGATAGATACACTCTGTTCTGTTTGTTGGTGAGTAAGAAATTAGTGTTTCATAGCATAAGCCAAAAGAATTCCAAGCTCAGCCTTCCCTGGAGTGTATTTTAGGCTACTGCCTCCTTGTATCGTTGATTTGCTTTTTAATTGAACTACTTTCAATGTTATTTTGATAATCAACTAGAAATGATATAGCTATACTCCAGAAAACTCTTGTTTGCTGTTTCTCAGTTCATTCTTTCCCTCCCCAGGCCCCTCAAAGACATTCTAGTGTCAGTCAGCCAAAAACACAAACATCAAATGTGGTTTGTGATACTTGGCAGTGACCCAGACACAACATGCAAGTGAAATTGAGGCTCATGTGCTTGTTTTCTTGCTTCTTTTCTTTTTTGGGGGGAGGAGGTGGGGATTTTCTTTATTTTAAATGATAATTTATTATTATTATTATATATTTTTGTATCCTCTGTGATTTTTTTTCATAGTAGTTGGTTATGTCTATCTATGGATGGGGAAGAATATTTATGGCTTAAAGGACCATATTAATTAGAGATATAATTCTAAGGGGAATTCAATTTTATCTTTACCTACATAGCACTGAAAGGATTTCTAAGCCAAATAACCTCTTTTACCTAATTATTTAAAAAATATTTTAATATAGGGCTTATATGTTGAGCTATTTGGTGTAGCTCAGGCCATGATTTATATGTAATTGAATTTTGATTTGAAGTTATCCATCTTCTAAACCCACAATCCTCTCTCTAACTTTCTTCTCTGGAATGAATACTTACATGAAAATATTTGATTAGTTTGAAAACCAAAATATTGATTGAAGGCAGGAAATTAAGTCATTCCAGACTTTAGATGAATTTGTTAAACTGTAAAACAGATTATGTTATTAGATGCTGTTGTTTGGTTCAGTGTAGTACATTTTATTAGAATACTATGGAGAATGAGAATAAATGCTCAGTTTTATCATTAGATTTATTGTGTCTTTTTTATTTACCCATTAGCTATGCAAAGATTGGCTTAGCATGAAAGTATTAAATAGTGCTGCCTCTGCAATAGGCAAGAAGATTAAAAATGTTTATAAGTAATTTTGTTATTAATAGGGGATGATTTGTTTATTACTTTTTATAAGTCAAGTAACACCAATATGAAAAGTTATCATATATACTATGTTCTATTCATTTAAAAATCTGGGGAGAATTCAATGTGATGATTTTTTTAATTAAAAAAAAGTCAGCATATCTTCTGTGAACTTAAGTGCTGAAATTGTAAACCCAATTTGAGTTCTCAAGATCCAACCACTTTGAAAATGAAAAGCAAATGTGTTTCTCCAAAGAATATTGAAAGCAGTGGTTGTGAGCTAGAATTTCATATTATTATTGGTTGGATTTTTCAAGTGTATACAATAAAGTGCTGTTTTCCTTCTGCTCAAACAATTAATTTACTGTGATTCTGCAAAAATAAGTTATACATTTCCTCTTGTTATCAAAGGCGATTTTTAAATTGTTTGTTTAATTGGACTTTGTCCAGCGCATTTTAAAAAATTATTCATGTACACTGATAAGAGTCTGGGTTGCTTACTCAGGTTTCTGGCAGAGTCATGCTGATCACATTCCATGGGCAGGCAGAGAGTCAGCGGGTAAAAGAGAAACAATTTCATCTGCATTCTTTTCCTAGCTCTGACATTTGGGGTAAGAGGCTAATGACTATGACTCTGATATTGTTCATTCCAAAGATGTGTCCAGTTATACACCTTTACTTACGCTACTTGTTATATCCAAAGATTTGGCATTGGTAGTAATGTCATTGAAAGATTGTGTTTGGGTTTCAGACACAAGATTAATTACCTTTTTATTTTGTCTCTTTATGTTCTCAGAAGAGCTTAGATAGTCTTGATTATGTTAGAATAGGCCATGTAAAGTTTGTGGCATTTTTCTAGGTTCACCAAAAAATAGATATATGTACTTCAGTAAGCATTTATCCTTTAATGTGTATTACATAGGAACATGCAACTTAGGAACGTGGTTAGACCTCATGATGGTCAGGGGCTTGTTTTATTGGTCTTTGTTATTTCAGACCGTGGCATATTACCTGATGTATAGTAGGTGCTCCATACATGTTTGCTGAATAAGATGGTAGAAGACCTAAGATCAGAACATATGTCTTTATAACTTGGGAATAAATCACCAGAGAAAAGCTGAGGAAATGAAGGAAGTTAATAAATCTGATGCTGCTCATTAATTGAACTCAGGTCAGAGCATAATAATTATCTCTGCTCTACAAATGAATTGATAACTGTCAGGAAACTCAACAAGGAAGAGGAATTTACGTGGGTGTTCTGATATGGAGCTTAGTGTTTAAATGGAAGGAAGCAATCTTATACATTCAGGTAGTCACCAGGCCATAGTTCCCAAACTTGCTACATTCAGGACCCCTTTATGCTCTTAAGAATTGTCAAGGACACCCCTGGAGACTTTGTGTAAGCATGTCTTGTCTATTGATATTTACCACTTTTAACAGTACAACTGAGGAAATTAAAAATATTTGTTAATTCATTTTAAAACTACATTATATTTTAAATATATAACATGTTTATTTTGTTTTAAAAAAGTTTATTTTTTCTAACTAAAAATTAAAGAGTGGCATTATCTTACATCTTTACAAATCTCTTTAATATCTAGCTCAATAGAATACAGCTGGATTCTCAAATCTTCTTGGGCAATATATTGCAATATGTTGTGTTTTTGGCTAAAATATACAAGCAGAATCCATCCTTACACAGATATTTTGAGTGGGATAATAGAGAAATAGTTTGCCTACTGCATCAGAAGTCCACAGTGGCAGTTTCTTAAGACTTACTTGCAGTGTGGAATATGAAACCCTGTCAGCAAACTTTTCATAGTCTGTTACATAAAAATACATTTATCTCGCATTCGTAATGATTTTTTTTTACCTATTCCTGATTTAGAAATATCAGGCATTGATCATTTCAAAATTATTGGTGTAACTGATAAGGAATTTATCATAAAAGTCTTTAATATATGACTCTCAACCTGTTGGTGATGGTTAGAAGTTTTCCAAATTTGAATTTTTACTCGAAAGCTCAAATTTCACTATTAGTAACATATATTGTTGTTTTCCTGGAAGTGTCAGGCTTCCTTTGTTCATGATAAAAAGAAAAGATTATGCATACTCAAATATTTAAAAAGAAACAGTTGCTCTTTCGAGTAAAAATCGTATTCCACAAATCAAGTGGCTAGTTCAGCTTACAATTCAATTACACATATGCATTTCTTTGAGAAAACCACAATACCTAGGTACAGAGTAATGGGTCTTTGTGCACATATTGCTTTGTGTCACACAGGATATTGAAAAGACATCAAAGTTGAGTCTAGATTTGATAAAATTAATACGTTTTTTGTTTTCTCAAGAAAACTTATTTACCTTTTTAAATGAAATAGTTTTGTTTGTTTGTTTGTTTTACTGTGAGTATGTGGTGGTGAAGAACACAATTACTGCTAAAGTACTTTGGATCTACTGCTTTGATTTGTGCTAAAGTACCACCAGTTTTACCCACCATTGCTTTTGCACCTCTAGCATAAATGCCAACACAGTGAACAAAGGCAGAGGATGGTTTGCATTATCATGTAAACAGTGTTGATTTCCCAGGACTCCTTAAACAGGTCTCTGGTTTGCATGGAGGTCCATGCATACTCCACAGTGAGAGAACCATTGGTGTGGGTAGTGAGATTTTGGCAGTTCAGTTAACAACCAGGAAAAAAAGAGCCACTCGAAATAATATATTAAAAGTATGTTTGGAATATTAGGTAAATGGACTATGATTCATTAATGATTACAAATGAGTTTTAGCAATCTGATAATAAATTAATTTATTTTCACAAGAAACTATTAAGATTTCCAAGAGAAATGATGGAGACATTTGTGAGGTCAGTTTTGGATACAAACGTTAGAAATGATTTTCTTTCACAGGGTTTTGAATCACAGTAGTGCACCTTAGATTAAATGTCTGTATATCTTGTGTATTGAACCTCACAAGCAGAATACAGGCAAGAGAGCTGGATATATAATAACTGTTATTATTATAAAATTTATTGAATATTGCTATGTTTAGACATAATGATAAGTGCATAGTGATAAGTGCATTTTTAGGGATTTTATTTAACCCATACAATACTAATATCATTTGCATTTTGTAGCTATGGAAACTGAGTCTCAGATAAGTTAATAAGTCGCTTAAGTTCATATAGATAGAAAGAAAACCATATCCAGACTTGAGTAACTTCACAATGCATCCTCATAACTACTCTTCTATCAAGCTGGATCAGTCTGTGGTTTTGGTTAAGAGAAAAGCTCTTTGCCCTATAGCTATGATGATATATGTATGCTTTTTAATAACTTTGTTTTCACTCTCTGATTTGTTGCTTAAAAAGCATTTAAGGCCAGGCAAAGTGGCTCACACCTTAAATGGGAGGCCAAGGCAGACAATTCCTTGAGGCCAGGATTTTGAGACCAGCCTGGGCAACATGGTAAAACCCCATCTCTACTAAAAATACAAAAATTTGCCGGGCATGGTGGTGCACGCCTGTAGTCCCAGCTACTTGGGAGGCTGAGATAGGAGAACCACTCAAACCCTGGGAGCAGAGGCTGCAGTGAGCTGAGATCATGCCATTGCACTCCAGGCTGGGTGACAGAATTAGACTTTATCTCAAAAAAAAATTCATAAGTATTTTTATGTATTGTGTAAAATAAAGGGAAACAATTTTTGCCTACCACAGCTAAGGCCCTCAGCAGATCGGTTACATCCCTAGGCATCATTAGTGGTGGTAGCAAGGAGCCTAAATTGAATTAGGAAGACTTCCAAGGGTTTCTAGAGCAGGGAAGAAGATGAGAATTTGAGAGAAGGGAGCTGAAGGCAAATGGAGAGCAAAGGTAGATGAGGGGCCTCTTCTAACCTACAGCACTATTCACTTTGGAAGCAGTCACTGGAGTTTAAGAAGGTGGAGAATTATTTTTGAATTTTTAGGTGATAAATCATCTTCTTTGGAATAATGATGGGGTTGGAGTGGATGGAGTGTGAAGATTATTTTAAATAGGAAAACATTTTACTGCTTCCTATGTGTTTGAAGTCAAGAGTGTTTCTTTAAAAAACAGCCTGGGATAAATTTTTTGATTTTGTTTCTTCCCTATTGGTATGTTTTTAAATGTATTGAACAAAATGCTGTGAATTAAAGGGCTTTATAAATTTTTAAGATGGGTACAAATGTGTATGACAAACAGGATTATTGATGGCTAATTATGTTCATGCTGCATATTTTATATATATCTTCAGGATGCTTGATTTACTCCTGCTGCTAGATTTCTATAGACATAACTCATCTTCCAATGAATTTACAATTTATTACTTTTTTATCTTTATTAAAACCCTAATGATTTTAATTCTTTTTTGTTTTATTCAATTTTGAGGAATCTGCTCTAGGAATAGTTTTGAAAAATAGTTATTTACTTAGAATTTTGTGGAATCAATTTTTCATTGCATTGTCTGCAGCTTGCACTTTGTCATCATTAGAGTGAAAAACTGCCTAAGAACCTCATTAGTTGTGAGGGACTGTTGCATTAGTGACTGTAGCAAACTGCATAGGCCCTGAGGTGGGTTCTGTATTTCAAGAATTAATAAATCTAGGCCCAGCGCTTTATAAAACCCATAAAAGTAGGTGGTATTCCGAATTAGGCACTCGTGAGTGGAAATAGGAAAAGAATAACTGGCAGGTAATGTGGGTCAAGATGAATATAAAGTGTCCAATATAGAATATGGTAAATATTTTCTAATAATTTCAAGCTTTATGTAGTCTGTGACAAAAGTAGCCATTTTAATAGTATGTTGACTGAGAAGGAGAGTATAGGGAATGCAGACAGGTGAAAATATTCTATTAAACAAACATTCTGTATAAAATACACACATGTAATTATATATTAACACGTATGCCCCCATTGTACAAAGACTGTTGGCTTTTCTTTGCTCTTAATATCCTGAGACAAAATTGGACAATTAAGTCATGAAGAGGAAACAATCTAATTGGCAGATAATTTATATGTGGTAATTAAACAGTGATTATAGGACCACAATCTTCTTCAGTTTCCAGACGTGTATGCATTTTTAAGAAACGATCAGTGAGTAAAAACCAAAGAATTTTAAGGCTTTGAAGAAATGTTGAAAGACATTTAGAAACATGCTTTGCTACTGGCAGGTGGGAGCAAGTGGCATTTTTGATGATTGTTACAGATTATTTGACATTTCTCTAAGGCTTTTTATCATTCACAGATTCTAACATATATAAATCGTTTATGTTATTGTTAGACACTGGTAAACAGTCTTGCCAGGTGCTGTCTTGCCTTTGCAATGGTTCTGGAGGTAGATACAACATATCATCATTTGACAAATGAGAATACTGAGGCTCATGGAGGTTGCTTATGGAGTTGGTTTATGGTGGAAGCAGGATTTAAACCCAGCAGTCTGCCTCTGAAGTCTGTGCATTTAGTTCCAACACAGCACTAACTAATGCTACTTGTAAGAATGATTATTTCTATACATTTGTAGACATAATTCTCACCATGTAAAAAGTTGTTTTCATATTTCTATACTTGTTCATGTTAATGATGAAAAAATATAAGATAAAATGAAATTTTGGTGATGAACCAGTAGTAGGATTACTTTAGGTCCCTATCAATCTTTGTTTAGGTCCCTATTAACCTTTATAATCTTTATTAACCTATAATCTGTTATTTCTTCATTTTGCTTTCTAAATCCCAAGGCAGGAATATATTTCCATTCTTTCAGTTGCTCATTTATTTTCTTCCCTTTGCAGCAAAACTTTTTGAAAGAGTTGCCTGTACCTGCATTTTTTCTTCTCATGATCTCTTAAATCTACTCCCATCAGACTTGGCCCCTGCCACTCCAGTGAAATTGCTCTTACTGAGGCCACTATGATGGACACATTGCTAGATCCAATGGCCTTTCTCAATGCTCATTGTAGCTAATCTAAAGAATATTTGACCTAGTGGATTTTACTTCCATTAAATGCTTTATTCGGTTGGCTTCCGAGTCATCATATTCTGTGACTTTTTACCCTTTTTTATTTCTTGGACCAATCACTTCTCAGCCTCGTTCGCAAGCATCTCACCATGTCCTCAAACTCTAAGTGTTGGAACATCCCTAAAGCCAGTTCTTGCAGTCTTTCTCTTTTTACTCTATACTCATTCCCTTGAGGATCTCAATCTCATAGCATTAAATGACATATATACACTGATGACTCCAAAATTTTGCCTCCAGCCCATATGTCTTTTCTGAACCCTACATTCGTATAACCAATCACTTATTCATTGATTAGCTTCCTAACTGATATTTTAAATTAACATTTTTAAATCTGAGCTGCTGATATTCTCCCCAATAAAAACATATTCCATCTTCACCCATCTTCTTTTCAGTTGATGGCAATTCCAACCTTCTGATTGATCAGGTCAAAAATCTTAGCGTTATCTTTGACTCCTAACTTTCTTTCTCACCCTACTTACAACCTTTCAGTTGATCTTGTTGGCTCTGTCTTCAAAATATTTCATTTCAATATGATCATTTCATGATAATTTCTCATCATGCTCACTGTTAGTAACTTGGTCTAAGACACCATCATTCTTCCCTTGGATTATTGAAGACATCTTCTTGTTGATTTCTGACAGTGTTCCTATTGTTCTCTTCTCTTACTTGGCTTTACCTACACTGGCTTCTTTCTATTCTCGGAACTTGCTAGGCACACATTAGCCTTCGGGCTTTTGCCTTGGCTCTTCCTTCTGCATAGAACACCCTTTCTCCAGACATCAGCCTGGACAACAACCTCCCATACTTCAAGTATTTTTTTTTATCTCACATTGCAAATTAGGCTAAATCTTCCTTTAATAACTTATTATTGTAACTATCCCCTCATGCTGCCTGATTTCCATTGCCTTGCGGCATTTCTTCATCTTCCTCTCCCATAAGGCTTACCAGCCTCCTTCACCAATTTCTACTTATCTCCTCACATGTTAAATGTTGGAATGCCCCTGGAACTAGTTGTTGAATTTTTTCTCTTTTTAATCAATTTCACTGAGGAGCTCAACCAATCTCATTCCTTTATATAAAATATGAACACTATATATGTATAGGGGTGGGTGTGAGTGATATAATTTATTGATTTATAATGTTGATTATTGTTTGATCTGTCTTCTTCCCACTGGAATTAATTTCTACGAGGGCAGATATATTGATCTGCTATGTTCCTTAACATATCTTAAGAGTCTAGAACATTACTTGGAACAAACATAGTAGACACAATATAAGTTTCTGTTGAATGACTAAGTGAATGAATGAATGAACTGGCATCTCAGCCTTTGTCCTTGTCCCCTTCAGTTTAGTCTAGCAACCAGAGTGAGAGTGATCTTTTAGATCATTTCATTTGCCCAAAAACTTCCTATTTCACTTATAGTAAAAGTCAAATTCTTACAATGACCCTGAAGACCCTAGTTGACTGCTCTTATTAGTTACTGTTTGGACCTCTTTTTTCCTGATTCCCCTTGCCTGAACTTGTTCAGCAACCATCAGAGCTCCAGGCCCCAGCCTCAGGCGCCCCTCCTTAGGGTCTTTGTGGCAGCTCTGGCCTGGACTGCTCCCTTCCTCACTTTCCCCACATCATTTCTGAGAGTCACCTTGCAAAGTCCTTCTTCCCTCCAGTTTTCGTTTTTCTCTTTCCTTCCTTTTGTTTCTGCTTTTTTCTTATCATCACCCGACATAACACATATGTTACTTGTTTATTCTGTTTATGGTGTGCCTTCCCTTTAGAATATATGTTTCATGAGGGGAAAGCTTTTCATCTGTTTCTGCTATATGCACAGCACCTACAGTGTGGCTGGCTCTAGGCAGATGCTCAGTAAATCATTGATAAGCTAAGGATTTACTGTTGATAATGCTGCAAATATGCTGCTTAAGCTTCAGGAGCTCAACCAGTGATGCATGCTGAAGTAGGGGAGTCATTTTTCATCTCTTAAGCCAAGACTTTAGAGCCTCTTCTGAAATTAGGGAAGTTAACTGATTGGAAAAGACTGGTTTTCCTTCATAAAAAGATAGTGGCTACATGACTTGATTGGCTAAGAACGTGTAACCCAAACTTCAGAAACATTTATGGTGTCTGTGAAGGAAAGTGGGACCACTAATGCTATAGATGTTTTGGTAAAGTAGAACATTTTAGAAAATATATATCACAGTGTATGCTACACCATCTCATGTCTTCTCATCTCCTTCAACCTTATCTAATTTTGCTTTAGAGAGCAGATCTTAAGTTATTGTTATCGTAAACCATGTTGTTCATCAGAAAACAGGTGAATACATAGAAACTTTGAAAACATTACTACTTTTAATATTGATAACTTTAATTACTGTCATTCCTTTTTTCTAATTTACCATCCTTGTTCAACATTTCACATCAATAATATCAGTAAACTTGATTTTAACACGCAGCAAAGAAAATACTGCTGGACAATCCCTCTTGCCTTAAGTTTAGTTGAAAGAATGCAGGCTTTTGATTTAAGAGAAGCTTGATTCAGATGTTGTCACAGCTACTCTCAGAATCTTATTTTCCTCATTTGTAAAATGGTAAGGATAGCCTACTTCATAGCTTCTTGTGAGAAAAACAATGGCACTCTATAAAGTTTATTAGTGCTCTTCCCCTTTTTCCTCAAAATATAGATCTGCACAGGACTATTAACATTTAAGAAAATGTCTTTCTATTTTTAAAGTATTTTAGAGTTCCGTTCCATTCTTTTTTTTTTTTTTTTTCCTTTCTCAATTTCCTCAACAAGCCTGTAAGGAAGTCAAGCATTTTTATGTTCATTTTAAGGAAAAGACACAAGGAATTTCATTATTTCTGTGTGGTCACAAATCTAGACTAGCACCCAGGTTTATATGACTTTGGTCAACATGCCTGACATTAAACAATACTGCCCAGTCTGGTGTTAATGCTATTTTTCATCCACTATTGTATTGTTGTTGACATAATTTAGTAATAGTTATAACCCCTTAAGTGAAGTTATTTATGAATTGTGAAACTTTTTTAAAGGTTTAGTTGCTCAGGAAACAAACAAGTTAGAATATTTGAATATTCAGTGTTTGTTTCATTTTCATTTGATTTAATTTGATTTGATTTCATTCAGTGTTTTGTTTCATTCAGAGAGAAGCCTTATCTCTGATTTAGATGAGGGATATTCATCTCTCAATTTTTAGTGATGGTAGTAAAATATTGACTATTATGGAATTGTGTGTGTTTGTTTGTGAGCCTATTTAGAAATCGTTTTTTGTCCATGACTTAATGCAGTTTTCTTAATTGAGGTCGACTTGGCTTCTCCAGTCCAAAAAAGGGAAAACTATCTATCTTTCGAAACTACTCTTTAACAAAACATATAAATTCTGGTAACTTTTTAAGTGAAGATTTTCTAACTAATGATTAAAACGTTTTCCTGGACAGAAAAGTATTTTCTTACTTCATAAAATATTCAAAATAAGCAAATACACAAAGAAGATGGGCTTTCTTCTGCTCGGGGTAGTGTTTTATGGTATATACATTTTTGTTCTTTGGTTAAAATACTTACTCTTATTTTTATTTATACATTGGCTTCATTCTACAATAGATTTGAAGCAGTTTACAAAAGTATATATACAACAAAGAGATACAATATTTAAATGAATCTCTAAGTAGTAAAAATAAGTGTTACTAAAAATAATCCTGAAATATATAAGATTAGCATACAGATATATGTAATTTAGGTAACTCATTGAGTTTATGTTTAGCTTTCTAAAGGCCAAGTCAAGCAGAGAAGCAAGATCAGATATGTAAGTCATGGTGCTCTTATACTAAACAAACACAGGGTAAACAAAGGAAATACAGATTTTCTAAACCCAAGGAACTTAATAGAATTCGTCCCACAGATGCTCAAAACAGACCTATTTTAAAGTGATGATTTTCTTAATGGCATCTTCACTAGTTCAATGACAGATTTTTAACATCATTTTAATGTGACGTCTTTTCGTGTGG
The DNA here is from genome assembly GCF_000001405.40 of Homo sapiens. Lineage (NCBI taxonomy): Eukaryota > Metazoa > Chordata > Mammalia > Primates > Hominidae > Homo > Homo sapiens. The sequence goes on from NC_000004.12 coordinate 125,333,429, forward strand.
ATTTGTGGCAAATTGTAAAAGTGCAGTTCTGGCAAATTATTTATTTATGGATCAAAAGAGATTCCCCATTGATAAGTGCTTTTGTTTAGCTTTATTTCATGAAGTGGATTAATATTTTATAACCAAAGCAAGAATATCCCTACTGGGTTTTTTCACATTAGCATATCTGTAGCACATCACAGGAAAAATCTAACTAGAGAGGTTTTCTGTAAAACTGTAGCTTAATCCTTAAGGAGACTTTATTTTAAGCTATGCTGCAGTGATTAAAATGCTTAGCACCAATTTCTAGTAATCTGTGTCTTAGATTGTTTCCATTTTTCAAGAAATAGAAACAATCATCCTGTGAGATAACAAAATTTGCTATTGAAAACATCGGTGCTGTTTAAAAATGTCATATATTTTCAAATATTAAAAATATAAAAGAATAACTATCACATACACTCTAACTTTTCCTCTGGTGGAGTCACTAATATCCTAAGGCTAGGAAGGTGAGGAATCAATACCAAGTAAAGGTCAGAGCTCTAGGATGGGAATGGGAGTCTCAGGTTTTTAATTCTAGGACAGTCATTTGACACCTCATTTTCAAATGATAAACTGAAACAATAGGGTTTATGTGGCCCACTCATATAACACACTTAGTTGGCAGAGGAGTCCCAGATTAGAATTTCTTACTTACTGAGTATAGTCAACCTATACTCAGTGTTGACTCCAGTCCTTAAACTCGGAGTGAGAAAAGGAGGCTACAGCTTCCTCATGATCTTCACATCTCCATCAGCATCCTCCCAAAGACATCTCCCAAAAACATGGAATTTAAAGTAAAAGAAAGATTTTTTGTTATGCAAATGCGGCTTCAAGATGAAGCCTTTGGACCCCGATTCTTGCTCTTTCCCACATGCCCCCTCACCTCTTCCCATGCACCTGTCCCCATCCCATCCATATTGTTGTCCCTAAATCCCATTTGCAAAGATCCTGGATCCACCAACAGCTATAACCTTTCTTTTTTCATGACACTGCTTCTAAATCCTTTGCACAATTCTGAGAAATTGCTTCCTATCAGGTGCTAATGGCATTTAACCTTTTAGGGATCTCCTGTCTTCAAATTAAAAAATAATAAAATGTATTCAATTCTATTGTCATGTTAATTTCAAATTTTTTAACAATTTTGAGATGTTTGACAGTTTCAGGAGATTTGCTTAAAACAAGACATGTATTTCATATATTACTTTAATACCAAAACCAATTGTGATTATGTCTATCTAATGGCAAATTTGAAACATAATTCAGAGTTATTAAATGTTACTTGAATTGATTATATTATATGGTCATAGAATTTTCCTCACCAGTAGCTGTATGGCAATCCTTTAATTGCACAAAAGTTAACCCATAGTCTCTTTTTTTTAAGATAGTACTTTAAAATTTCCACTAAAAACATTAAAATACCAATTCATGTATAGTATAGCTATGTGGAACAGAACAGCCTGTGTTGCAACGCCAGCTTAATATTTTATTACTTCACATAATAAAATAGGGAACGTATTTATCCACTGAGGTTGTAATTAGTTACAAGTAATGAATCTTTAGTGTTCTAATTCCAGAGCCTGGCAGATTTAGAACACCAGTTGACCCTGTCTTGCTGGAAAATGAAGGAAGTGGGAGTAGAATTTTCTCTGTAGGACAAGACAGCTTTGGATGGGAGGGACAATAGAAGCTTGCCAAAAACATGGGTCAAACTGAACACAGATGGCTGTAGCTGATAGAGGTGTCTATTATTGTGTTTTCTTCTCAGCAGTTTTCTCTTTGTTTGTCAGTATTTTTATACTTACATGAAGAAATTTTGTTGCTCAGCAACCAAGAGAAAATATACTAATAGAATCCATTTTTGTTGGAAAAAAAATGTTGGTGGTAGATGTTGATGATGGGGTTGAGGTAGTGTTGTGATTGAGCAGTATTAACGTAGGAGTAGAGGTGATTTTCTCGGAGTGCTGTTTATTATAAGTGTCTAAAATTAAATATATCACATTATCCATTTACTGCTTAGCTTGCCTCTGTCTTACACCTCCAATACTATTTGGGAAAAAAATGGCCTAAGTAAATGTATTCCATTAGTTAATAATATAATTTATAATACACGGAGGAAACATTTGAAGAAATAAAACTATAATTTACATATTTTTTATAACTTCAGTGTTTCCTAAAGTCAATTTTTTAAGCTTCATTAAAGGATTTCATGTGTATTTCATTTTTTTTTTCTGGAGGAGTTCTATTTATTATTCTTGAGTACATCTGTTTTCTGCATGGTGAAATATTAAAATAAATATATATTTGAAAGTCAGAATAGTTTTGTTCAAATACTGGCTTAACTTTTCATGCTGTGTGACTTTAAGGGAGAAGCCAAACTTCTCTGAACCACAGTACCTTTATCTGTTAAAAAAAGAGAATTCCAATCCCTTAATAAGTGTTGTGAGGAAAATGTGCAGTACACATAGCACTGCATATTTTCCTAAAAGACTGTTTGATTTACTTTTGTTGATGCTACATTCAGTTATTTACTTCTTGTGTGGTCCAGAAGGCAATGATAAAAAAATGTAAACAACTCCTGGTCATGTAAATAGCTACTGTTCATACAAAAATTGTGATGACATTTTTAATGATACCACATAAAGGGAAATCAAGACCAATCTTACAAATTCTGTTTCTTGGTTTTAAGGAAATTATTAAGGAACTGCATTAAAAATAACTCTGTGGTAATTTTCTTCATTGTACTGTATCAGGTAGAAAAATAATTTTTAAATGAGTGACTAGTGAGCCGCAAGACATAACCAAGAACAGAAGGGTTATTAGCTAACAAAGGGAAGCAGATGTAATTTTTAAACATTGATTTTGCATTTATTTATTTTAAGTAAACTACAGAATTTTTAAATTTTAATATAATGCAAAGGTAGAGTAGCATTTTCCAATTTATACACTATGTTTTGATAAGTGTCAGATACTGAAGTTATATTCTAAATATAATCCACCCGCCTAGGGAAACGAATAAAAATATAACCTTTGTTAAAAGATAGGGTAAGTGAATTGTTAATGACTATTCCAGAAGTGAGACTTCAGAACATAGTTTGGCTCTAAAAGACCTTTCTTTCATTTTAATATTATATTTGAAACACTTAGTAAAGATAAATTTTTAAATGTTCAATGTCTGATCATTGTAAGCAATGTCATTTTGTGAGCTCTATTTCTGGAACTAGAAAAATTACTTTGAAAACTGTCCATTCTGGTTGTGCTTTTTTGAGTAAGTGGTCTTAGTTGTATTTTAATAGAGGAAATGAAACAAGGTACCACTCTTTTAATGTATTTATTCTGATGTTGAGGCGATATGTTAGAACAAATTTAATTATACTATGACTATGAAAACAAAATTAGGCAGAACTAGAGTGATAGGCGGGAACTCATTGTTGATTTTCAACTTAAATATCATATACTTATTAATATATGCATTACAAATATATCATTTAATTATCTCAACAACTCTAGAAGGTAAGTAATGGTATTTCCATTTTGTAGATGGAGTATCAAGGATCATGAAATTGTCAGTATATTGTTTTGTGGTAGAGCGCCATTTGAGTTCATTTGGTTCCAAGGCTTTAGTTCTTTCCAGTACACTTCACTGGTCTTCAATTGTTATAAATCACAGCCTGCTAATTTCACAGAAAGGAGATTAAAAGCAAAAGCCATAAATATAAATACGAAGTATTTGAATGCTGATCTATATCATAACTAGATCTTTCTTTTTTGTTTGGATTATAGTGAATTTTTAAACTAGAAAATATAAGCAAACAGTATTTTTGAAGGATGTAATAACCACACTCCAAAGTACATCAATGAATCATATTAAATTAACCATTAATTAATCACATTAAAAGGAAAAGCATACTTAGGAAACACAGAAAATTTATTTTTTAAGGGTTGAACTTATAATTAACTGAATTAAATGAGATGTTAAATTAACTTTGAAAGGCACATTTCGATCACTGATATACCTAAACTTGCCTCCTAATTAAATACTTAAAAATAAATGAATCAACATTTGCTTTTAATAATGACCCTGAGAGAAGGAAAATATAGAATATTTAACTACAAGTTAATAACTAATAATTAGTGTAGATTTAGTAGTAGAAGAAAAGGTAAGATGGAGCCAATACTGTAACTACATTATATGTTAAAACACTTATGTAAACACAGCCAGATATAATTATATGGAGGTTGCTTTAAGGATTACTGTTATTACATATAAAATTTTCCTTACAAGAGTAGGTGAACATAAAAAGACTATTGAATTCAAATCTAGGGAACTTGGGAAGAAAAATAAAACTCTTTTAGAGAGTCTATGTAATACATGGGAAGAGTAAGGACTTTTGATTCAAACACACTTGGGTACAATCATGACTTGGGGAAGCTGTCTTCCCCAAGAGTATCACAGTATCAGTTGCCTCTTTTGTGAAATCTATTTCACAGAGCAGCTTTGAGAAACAAAACTTAAAAATGCACCCATGATACTCACCCAAAATAAGTATCCATTCACTTCTCTCTCATTTTCTTCATTTGCATAGATGCTGGTTTTGTCATTCATCAGACAAGATTGCCAGGATATAACATTGAGAACTATGTAAATGACACTACATCTTTTCATCCCTGTTCTTAGATGAAGATAAGTTTGAGAATTTTCTTGGGGTGTTTCAGTAGAGAATTAAACCTCCTTAGGATTTCTGGTTTTGTTCTGAAATGCAAGATGGACATGGAAGCAGAAGGGACATTAACCTGTTTCTCTGCCATTTGCCTGGATGTATATATTTACATTGCTAAGATCTTGGTTCTGCACACTGTCATTTAGACAATAACTAAGGATTTCCGAATTAGAAGGGATAAGTGTTAACTAGGACCTTGTTCTTATGTTTTATTGTGGATAATGTGTTGGCCTTTGTACTACCTTCCCATCCTCAACTATCATTCCAGTATTCAATATGCGAGCTACAGTGTTTCTTACTGGGGATTTAAATATGCATAGTTCAGGTCAGATACACATATTTCAAATATGCATGGTTCAAAGGTAAGCAGTTACCTTTAACAGGATAGCTTCTATTTATAGCTTTTATCCATGCCCTCAAGAGACTAGCAATCTAATAGGAAGACAAACATCACATAAACTATTATCAGAAAATCTAAAAGATTGCTGTGATGAAAAAGTTTCACCAGCTGATTACGGTAACTGGTTTCTGTAATCTCAACACAATTGAGATTATTTATCCTGTCTGAGCTTTTGGTTTTTGCATTTCATAAGGCTTTGTCTGCATATTTTAAACTATTGGAAATGAATTTTTTTTAATCTATGTGCAGAAAAAATATCAGGCAAATTATACCCACCTTTATTCTTCTGTTTTTAAAATACTGAATATGAAATATTACATTCCTATGTAATTAAATAGCGTTTGATTTAAAGCATGTGGACCTTGGGCCTCATCCAAGGGATACTCTAGTGTACCTTGGTCTGAGGCTGCTTATCAGTCCTGATGTGCTTTCCCTTTCCTTCCTGTTTGAATACAGGTCCATTCTGTGCTGTTACCATCTCTGTCCTTAAGAGCTTCCTTTGCCCTAAGATGCCCCGATGTATGTTTGTATTTGATGACATATTTTTACATCCTGGTCAGGAAATATAATTATTCATCTCTCTACAACATTATCAACATTATCTCCTTTTTTTTGAGACGGAGTCTTGCCCTGTCGCCCAGGCTGGAGTACAGTGGCACGATCTTGGCTCATTACAACCTCTGCCTCCCGGGTTCAAGCGATTCTCCTGCCTCAGCCTCCCGGGTTCAAGCGATTCTCCTGCCTCAGCCTCCCGAGTAGCTGGGATTACAGGCTCATGCCACCACGCCTGGCTAATTTTTTTGTATTTTTAGTAGAGACGGGGTTTCACCGTGTTAGCCAGGATGGTCTCGATCTTCTGACCTCGTGATCCGCCTGCCTCGGCCTCCCAAAGTGCTGGGATTATAGGAGTGAACCACCGCACCCAGCCTCCAACATTATTTCTATGGTAATAGTTATTAAACAATAATAGCATCATTATTAATAATTATGGAACATTAACAGCAACTACCTCTAAAACAACTAAAACTAACATTTATTTAAAACAAATGGCTATTTATGCTATTTTATTCAAACCTCAAAATAATGCTATGAAATAGTTATCGTTGTTATTACCATTTCACTGATGAGAAAACTGAGGCTCAGGGAAGATTAGTTAACTCCCTTTGGATCATACAATTAGGAAGACCTAGAGCCAAGATTTCAGCCTAAGCAAAATTCATCCTTAGCAATAGCACATCCTGACCTGGTCATATATAAGAATTTAATAGTAGTTTCTGATAAAGATATCGGTTTGGAAAATTTAAAAAAATAATATTTTATTGTACATCTATAATATAATTGTATAGTTAATTGTATAATTGTATAATTGTATATGTGTATATGAGATAGACAGTTTAAAAAATATTACTTTAAGTCCTTTTTGAAATGAATCGTGAATAAAAATAGTTTGAATATAGAAGCAGGATTTTAATCAAATGAATATAGAAAATATTCTTTAAAATCACTGACAGAAAATACAAGAATTTCAGAAAATGAACGTTCAACATATTTTTTCAAGGGCTCTTATTCTTTTCTATTTTGTGGATATTCAATATAAGCAAAATTTTAAATTCAAAAAATATTTAATTTTATATGTTGATATATTTTAGTTTGATTAATTCTCAAAACTTAATGTACATGAGACTCTCTTAGGTGGATATTTATTTAAAATGCATATTACTTTTCAGAAGATTTCATGAAAGTTCTTGAAACATATTTTAACAAGTCCCTCAAGGGATTCTGATGCAAATGTCTCGTAGAGCACATTGTAAGAAACAACTCTTTTTTTTTTTTTGAGACGGAGCCTCGCTCTGTCGCCCAGGCTGGAGTGCAGTGGCGTGATCTCGGCTAGCTGCAAGCTCCGCCTCCCGGGTTCACGCCATTCTCCTCCTGCCTCAGTCTCTGGAGAAGCTGGGACTACAGGCGCCCGCCACCACGCCCGGCTAATTTTTTGTGTTTTTAGTAGAGACGGGGTTTCACCGTGTTAGCCAGGATGGTCTCGATCTCTTTTTAATAGGTTAGGTCATATATAAGAATTTAATTACACATTTGCAAATTTAGAAGCTCTTCTCTAAAGTTTTCCAGTTTCACTAGTTCTTTGAAGTAGTAGTTGTGTAGCAGTTGCGGTGGCAATAGTAGTAGCAGCAGCAGTAGTAGTATTAGCAGTAATAGTAACAGCATAGTAACAGTAGTAGTAGTAGGATAATCAACACATGGAACACTAAGGGATAGTTATCTTTTCTAATGTGGTTGCTACTCAAACACATTACAAGATTTTGGCATTAGTTGACAAGCTATTGCAAGCAATCATTGAGATAATAAACTATAACTTAAGTAAAAATGTACACTGTCCTGTTTATTAAGTTTGTGTAAATGTGTTATGTGTTGTTATGTAGCTTTAGAATACCTTCACTGACTTTTCAGCAATTACCTTTAACAGAATAGTTTTTATTTATTTTTACATTTATTATACATTTAGAAAGAAGATGAGAGCAATAGTTTTTTATTAGTATAAGGCAAACTTAACTGATTAAACCTTCTTAGGAAAAGCAATAGTTCTGAAAGATATGCAAGAAAAAAAATGACAAAAGTGAAAGAACTCTAGTGTTTCAAGAACAAGGAATGGCTCTATGAGCTATCCCTAGGAAAGCATATTTAAAATGAACTAAAATAAGGATCTTTTGCTTAGCACAGAATGTATGAGGTGTTTTTAAAAGAGGTGGCCTGAGGCAGTGGTTATATGGGAATTCATACAAATGTTAGAGATTTGTTAGTTTTTACATTATACTTCTATTAACTGTAGAATTACTATTAGTATAGAGACCTCAAGTGTTTCTTATTTCTGAAGTCTTCTTAGTAGTGAAATGATGAGGGGTATAGTAATGTCCATTTGTAATAAAAATGATTAATGAAAAATAGAATTTTTTATTTTTTAACTTTTAGGATTCATCATATGCTGAACATCTTTTTAAAGTTCTGACTGTATTGTGCAATGTCTTTTAATTCATGTGTGTTCTTCCTTATCTAAAAATCATTTACATTTACAAATAAGAATATTTTTACCTGCACCAATCAAGATACAATTAGTAGCTATAAATGTAACATTCTATATGTAACAGAATAAGAAAACAAGAGAAAAAAATTGTAACTTAGCATAATTGAAACATGTGCCTAGCCATCTGGAGCACTTCTGCATAATATAAAGACATTTGACATTTTAAATAAAGGATTTTGAAATAAACAAGAATTCTTTTGTGTCTTCCAAAGACATTGATTTATTGAGACTATGTGTGGCTTTTCATCATATACAAAAGATTAATGATTTCCTAAAAGTCCTTGCATTTCTTCATTTTATAAAATGTATACACACAGTTAAGAAAAATGAATCCTTGAAGTCCTGTGAAGAAAGGTGACAGGAAATAGTTCAAAGTATTTCATTTTAAATAACATCAAATATTATAAAATATAAATTTTCTCAAAGTAAAAAAATGAGCTTGGCATTATTGAATGTTGGTTGAATGATAAATGCATAAGTTTATGATTATCCCAATACTATATATGTGATTTTTATCAAACATATTAAAGAGTACTATAAAATAATTTTAACTTTTGATCTATAAATTTCTAAAATTTCAGCACGGTGATTGGTGTTGATAAATTTAAAGCATCAAACAGATCTTGTCTTATCAATAAGAAGTAGTTTAAATAAACATTTTTGAAAGTAAAATTTTTATCAAGCTCAAATAATTTCAAAGCATAGTTCAAGAGATTAGAAAGCTTTTATGGTATAAAATATGAAATTGATACTGGTTTTGTTCAGAATCCCTTCATTGACTTTTCAGCACTTACCTTTAACAGGATTGTTTTATTTACATATTTTTACATTTATTATACATTTAGAAAGAAGATGAGAGCAATAGCTTTTTATTAGTATATGGCAAACTTAAACTGATTAAAGCTTCAGTTAAATTTTGCCTTATACACTCATATTTCCTGTTAAAAATACAATTTAAATTTAGATATGTTTACATTAAAACACTCAGCACATTATAAACTTAACTATTGACTTAAAAATTTTGTAGACGTCATCATATATGTTTGAATTTTATTTTTTTATTACAATAACAATATGGTCAAGAATGAAACACAATTTTATATTACTTTATAGCTAAGAATGTTAAAATGAGATAAAAATTCAGGTGTAAAATTTTGGTTCATTCTTTTTCACTACTACTTTTATTTCTTAGTTATTGCATTAAATCAGGATTTTAGAGAAATATTCCATCCAATGTACAGTTCTTTTGAGTAAATATTCCAATGCAAATAAATCAATGCAATATCATTTTGAAATTATAAATTGGGTTATAATTAACTATATTGGCTAATATTAGTTTTATAAGTGTTTTAATAACTACATAGCAAAAGTTCTGCCCAATTTTAATGTAATTTAGAAGCTGTGTAAATTTTAAGTAATCATTTACGCTTTTAAAATCATATTCATATTCATATATTTTGGTTTCCAAAATAGTGGTTTTTATAAGGCCTCAATTTTTTTCCCATGTAAATTGAGGTATGCTATTGAGTTCTCTGAATCTGCTCTTGTCCATAAAGATAGCTTATTCTCCTTCAGACAGGGCGGATGATATTTCCAGAAGCAAGTCAGTGTATTAACCTAGTTACGTTAAACCATATCTCTGCTATTTTAGAAACAATGATGAATTAAGCAGCTTCAGTTCTTGGGGCAGCATCCAGGGCTAGAACCCATAGCACCAAGTCCATGGGCTCCTCCCACTTCACCTCCTGTGCATGTTACCAGCCATTTAATCTGTTTTGGCCCCTAAATCAGTCAGGAATTTCCATATGATTTACAACTCCATTTGCTAAGAAGAAAAAAAAAATGAAGAAACTTAAATTTCATCTCTTAATATAGTTTTAATAGCACTTAATAATTTTATCTTAGAATTTTGAACACATTTTTAAAACTCTGAGTTCGAGTATTGACTACCTACTATGTGAAGAACTTTACTGCTCAAGAATATACGTTAAAAATACATATTGACCCAGCTCTGAGAGAAAATTTGAGAATCCACACTACAGAATAAAAGAAATACAGTAGAAATTGTGGAAGAGGATACAAAGTAAATTAGTTAAGCATATTATTAGGCAGGTTGATTCGAAAGGGCTTTCTGAAAAAAAGTTTGATCTTAGATTTACATGAATTGTTAAATATAAATAAAAAGAGATAAAGCATGAGATATTTCCAAAAGCATATTTAATCCAGGCCTGTGCAAAAGGAGGGTGAAGAACAGTAATGAATTGGTCTCTGGATCATGTTGTGTTCTAATAGATGATTTGATAAAGACTTGGTATGGGATGTGAGTTAGAGGAATTGAGCAGGAGGAGTGTATTAGGAGAGAGAGCCTTTATTGCTAGGTTAAGTAATTTACATTTTTGAAGTTGTGGGAACATCTTATAACTCAATTACTAGAATGCAAAAAGTTGCTGATGAATGTTGAGCAATGCTGTAAGTTTTCCAAAGCATATCCAAGAGAGATTGCATTTGGATTTCGAATAAGATTATCTCCTTTATACATCTATTCTTTTAATGTATTCTACTATATTCTACTCTTGATTCCCCTTTTCTGTGGTGTATGGATTTCCCAACTACCTTGAAGAATTGAGAAGCAAATTTATTAGGTGAATTATTCCAATTTCCTAGTAATTAAACAGCATGAACATAGTTAGTCTAGGAGGCCTGGTGTTATTTTAATTCACTTTTCCTTGTGAGTTTACTGAAGTGGAGATTATCCATTACAGCCAGAGGCTTTAACGACCAGAAAATTCTTCAGCATACCTTAAACACCAATTCCCCATGTTGAAATACTTAATCACCACTCTTGCTTCTTTGGGTGCTGAAAAGAAGTTTGATCTTAGATTACCTGAATTGCTAAATATAAATAAAAAGAGAGAAAACGAGATATTTTCATAACCAAATAGTATCTGTGATGCCAATGGGCGTTATTCTGCTTTCCTATGTGGAAGATTCCTTCTCATCATTCACTGTTTTGGTCAAGAACACCCTGATGAAAAAAATCTTTGGTTGCCTTCCAGGTAGAGTTAGTCTCTTCTAAGTTCCACCATTTTTATTCACACCATAATTGTAATGCTTACCCCATTGATAAATTACTTGCATTTCTAACTGTCCCCCCTGCCCCCCACCACCATGACTATGATCTCTTTGTGCCTGGTGTATTTCTCACTCATCCCTGGGTCCTCCATGTCTTACAGTGGTGCCTGGCACATGGCAATAATCAATAAATGCCAAGAGAATGAATACATTGAAATGAATTTGTGAATGGATGAGTTTTGCTTTCTTTGGTACTGTAGTGATTGTTATTTGCAGATTATTTCTGTCTTTTACCTAATTTAGAAGGTCCATGTGTAATTTGGTCATGGTTTGAACTGCTAGTAAAAACAAAGGTCATCCTTTATTTAAATTCCCACAGTAGCTGCTGCTTCCATTTACACATTGTAGATGGTCAACGATTGTTTAAAATTGGTGAGCAGATGAATATCCAGGTGCTTCCTGGAGGAAAAGTGAATGGAGCAGATCATCCTCCAACTTAATCACTGCAATGTAATTTTTCATATGGGAATAGAACAGCGAAAATATTCTCTGCAAACGAAAAATATTGGACAATTAAGGTGCTAAGATTGCCTTTTTTGTGTTTTTGGTTTGGGGTCTCTGTTTGAAATGACACTAGTGAGCTTCAGGTTTCTTTCCTTGTTAACTTTTGCTGAAGGCCAAAGAGGAATGATTAAGGACTTCTAAAGAAGTATTGAAAAAAAAAACACACAAAAAGTGGTGACAAAAATACTTATTATTTTCCTTTAATTTTTTTCTGCAATTTTGTTGATGTTGTTATTACTACCATTTAAATATAGTTAATATTAATGATTACTTTTAGTAGCATTTAAGGATTTTCATCTTTCAAATTACTACTCTGGCATGTATTATTTATGCACTTTGAATTGCTTTGCATGTTGAAATTTTCTTTTGGCCTCTAATTCAATTAGAATGCCCTTAGAGTTTTGAAGGTTGCAGTTTATATAACTTACCTTATTAGCTATAAATGGAATACAGATTTACCCTTAAAATGATCTAGTTGTCTATATTTTAATCACATATATACATGTAGTGCTATAAATGTTAACCAGGTAGATTTTTCCCAGCTGCCTAGCCAAAGAGAACGGTATTAGTGTCACAGTTCAGTTGAGCTGTTGTTATCTGTATGAGATCAATCTTTTGGAGAAGGCAGTGAAGGTTTTCTTATTTAATTTGCTTTCAGCAAGTCCTCCCCCTCTTTTTTTTTATATATAATTTTAAGTACTGCTCTTAGTGGGTCATTAGACTTTGAGAATTATTCACTTTGTTAGCCCAAACACTAAAACCTTGTGTCTTTTAACTCTGATTAGTGACACTTTAATAAAGTCATTTGAAGTTCAGTGGACTGAATTTTCCAACTTTTCTGATGTTTCTATGGTCACGGTAGAGCAACCTGTATTGAAGCTTGTACACAAACTTTTAAATGCAAATCTTGGAAAGCTGTGTGTAATTTTGTATATCTGACTTCAACAGGGACTGCAAAATGTGAGGGATTAAAAATAAAAGCGGTAGCAGTGTTTTCCTTCTTTTTGTTTTTCAAGTTGGGGTACAGTAAGCTTTGGGAAATAGAGAAGTTGTCACTTGACTAAACTTGATTCTCTGAGAAAAAAAAACTTGCAGATTAAAACTTTTATGGCTATACTTTTTTTTTGACAAACCAATGAGCACAAAACCTCATTTTCTTCCACATGATTAGACAATAAGGGTAATGCAAACTATTGAATCATAAATTTCTTAGAGATAGAGCCTTGAATTTTTTTTTGAAAAAGTAAAGAAAAAGTATATTCAATGGCTATAATTAAATCATGCACGGTGAACCCACTTTGGAGGAATTACTTCATTTTGTATTGCATTGCGACTTGAGTGAACATTTACAACACGTGAGAATGGAAAGGATGAAAAATTATGGTTGTCTTTCGGTTCACAAGAATTCAAGGAGGCAGGTCATTGAGTTAATTTTCATGGGAAGACTAACTCTGGCCTGCTCGCATATTCAGAGGCCAAACAACCTGGTATTGACAGCCTCAATTTGGGAGGGGAACATGCAGCAGCATTGTGCCATGGTTTGTTGAGGAAAAACAAGGGAAGATTTAAAACAAAGCTGTGAATAGGAACAGTAGCCCTTGTGTCTTGAAGCTGATTGACTTTTCCTTTTTAGACCTTTGTGAAAGTGTTACCCTCTCCTTTAAATAAGGGCTATACTGTGGTAAGAGAAATATTTAAGATATAATTCAGTGACTCTAGGAATGGGAGCATTTACACTTCTTGAAAGAAATCAGGTGAGAGCTATTAATTGCAAATGCCATATGAAAGCATCAGCCTGAGCGGTAGGCTCAGTGCTAGGCAAGGCATATATAAGAATACTAATACTAATAGGCATTTTTTCCAAACCATAGATATATATTACCAATCATATGTTATAAATTATATATTATCATAATATATAATATATGGCATATATTATGTCTATGTATTTCAATCATATAACCTATTTACATATTTTATATACAGAAACATACACATGTAGATAAAAAGACCAATCAATTAATGGTACTAACAAAAGAAAGAAGATAAGAAAAATCTGTATAGTCATATTTACAGATATTTTTAGAAGTAAAAATAAATGTCAACAGTACATCCAGTGGAAAAATAGTTTTCTAGAACTGCCCTTCTTTTTCCAGTACCTCTTCAGTTTATTGACCTTTGAAGAGATGGCTGCTAACACTTAACTACCAACATTTGTTTAAAAAAGAAAAATTAGTTTGTACTTTTGAATATATATTTGATATATAATTTGAATATTGTATTTAAAATATAAAGCATAAATATAAATCATAAATAAAAATTACTAATAAATTACAATTTGTAAGTGTGCTCACTGTGTTATATTTCCATTTGGATTTGAATCCACTTATCAGACTACAATAGAAATTACATTTATTTTTAAAAATTAATACAGATTACATAAAATACTAAGATGATTTCAGTACATACTTACTAAAATTTTAAGAAGACCCAAGACTTTATAGTAGGACCTCTGAGTTATATGTCTGAAAATTAATTGACTTTTGGATTTGAATATATTACTAATTCACTTAGCCAGTTTAATTGGATTTATCAGTTGTTAAGAGTTAGCAGTTTATCATAATAATCATATTGATGCTTAATACCCTCTGCATCTATTATTTGGGATGTCTGGAGTTGAAAAACTCCAGACACAATTTAAATGAACTAGAAAAAATCATAAGGTTTAGGATCAGAAGGCCCAGAGTTCAAATTTCACATCACTCAGTCCCTGAACTAGCTCATGATGCTGTAAAAGTTGCACAATATTTCTGAACCTCGATTTCTTTATCCATAAAACAATGATGTTAATATTTACATTGTTTAGTTATTGTGTGTCCTAATTAGTTAATGTACCAAAACACCTAACATTGTAGTTTCTATACGAAGCATATTTAAGGAAATAATGTTTATCACATAAATTGGAACGTATTCTTTTATATATAAAATGCCCAATTAATATACAACTTTAGAGTTCAGAGAACACAACAAAATAGTAGGGTGCCCACATCTGCAATATGAAGAACAATGAAGTTTTTTATGTAGGGTGTAAACTTCAGAAAGTTGAAGGATCCTTTCTGATCTCATGTGTCCTGCTCATCAGTGTATCCCCAGCGCTGATCCTGATGCCTGATACCTAGAGAGCAATCAATAATTAATGCTATATTGAGGAAGTGAACCAACACCCAGGATTAGAGTGGAGAAAACTAATTTTTCTCCACTCTAGGTATGACCACTCAAGGTAGTACACTAGAGTAGTTCTTCTTTTTTTAATATGAATACACAAATTAATAATCCTGGAAAATATGTTCAGATTAAGTAAATAGTCAAACTTGGAGCAATTATCCAAGACAGCCATATAAGGCTGTCTGCATGGATAATAGCCATAATAATGTTGATAATTCTATGTTTAATTGTGATCGAAGCCGACATCTTTTTCCTAAAAGGGTGTGCTGAGTTTATTATGAAATTAAATTTAGGATAATTTATATTTTAGTGATCACATCTTAGAGAAAACTGCAGGCATATTTTATGATGCTAAGGTTGGAGAAATCTAAGAGTTCTCTATAGTTAATTTCCTGAAAATAGAAGTTAGTTTTCAAAAGTCCAAACAAATCAGGAAGATTAGAAACTAAAATAAATTGTCATATAAGAAATAATGAATCTATGCATTGGGGATGTTGCATTTAGTTTTCGTTACCACGATTAGGAAAGATTCTGAAAAAGGATTAAATTATCCAGAGGGGTTTAGAAGAGTATACTAAAAATATGAAAATTAGGACTCTTAAGTCTATGGAAGAAAATATAAAAGGCATTTTTGTTGAAGTTTATTAAATGATGTAAATTATTACTGAAACTGCATTTGTTTTGAATTTTCCAGTATATTAAAACAATGGCTAACAATTATAGTTGAGAGAAATATATTTAGGAAAAGTAATGCATTATTCAGCATTCTATTATCTATACTATATTAACACATGTGTTATGGGCTGAAATTACACCAGTATCACATGAGGGTAAATGGGTTGAAAGTGTAAGTTTAAAAGAGTTTCAAATGAGTTTGTGAATGGATATCATACCCTTCCACAAATGACAGAGATGGACTATTAAATCAGAGTTGGTAGTTTTTGCTTTTGTTTACTGTGTTTCTCATTCACCCTAAATGGTCCTATCTATAACAAGCTTTGGAAAAGCACCATGCACCTGAAATTCTTGCATTCTGATGTTCATACCTAGAGAGATTTATGGTGACATAAGCAGCCAAATAGCACAAGTGAAATTTTATATGAAGTATATGACATGCATGATTCAATATATATGCCCACTTTTAAATATACCAATAGTATATTTGGACTATAATAATGAATTCATTTCAAATATTGTCATTTTGCTTGACATTCGTATCATCACATAAGCTAGATTCCCGTTATATAAAGATGCACAAAGGCTCATTTCAGAAATAAAAACAAATAACTGTTATTATTTTTTACAAAGGTGAAGGACAATAAAAATTGACTAAAATCCTGAAAAAACAATTCAGAGTGCTTCAGTTGGGCCCTAAACTCAATGCGCAATCTTGACACATATATTGAGTTATAATTATTTACTACATTATATTTATTTTGTAACTGTCGTCAGTTTTTTATGTATGGATCTATTAATTTCAATGAAATTTGGATCCAGTAAATTTCTATACAATGGAGTTTGGTTATTTGGCACTTCATAAAAATGTACCTTTCACATAATGAATGAATAATTTATATTATGATTTCTCTTGTGTAGGACAGTTCTTGCAGGAATACAAAGTAATGGTAAATTTTGATTTAAAGTGCAGCAATTCATGCACTTTAGAGCCAGTTGGATGCCAAAGTAACTTGGTTGGTGTTTATTTCTAGTTACAGTCAGTGTTTTCTTTCTTTCTACCAATGAGATGAGATATTTGAAGGCTTTTTTTCTTCTTAGGCCATATCAATTCAAAGAAAATGAGAAACCATAGATTTTGGGTTGGCCTTACAATGTGCTGTCATTTCATCTTTCCAAATATAAAAATCAAAACTTCATCCTACTTCACTTAATCTTTTCAAAGCTGTGTTCCTTAATGCTGATTTTTTTAAATCAATTTCAATGACTTCGTTTCTTGTATACAGCAGAAAGAATCCAGTTTGGTCTTTGTAAGGAGTGAAAGACTAGGAAGGAAGTATGTGTTGTATAGTCAGTGCTTCAGAGTTGGTAGATTTTGCTTTTGTTTACTGAGTTTCTCATTCAGTCCGAATGTTCCTATCTATAACAAGCTTTGGAGAAGCACCTTTGTCCCCAGAGCTGGCCTCCAGGAAGGCTTGGATCCTTACAAGTTTGGAAAAATGGTTACTGGCGGTCATCCATAGGAAAACAGAGCAAGTTTACAAAGTTCCTGCTGATTTCCTTGAAAGTACTCCCTCCTCATTCTCTACAGTAAGCCATTGAATGTTACTAGGGATGGACACTAAGCAGAAAGATTTCTGAGTATCTATTCATCTTCCCCAATCAGACAGTCCTTTAAATTTAAAGAAGAATGCCTGACCCTTAAGACAGGGAGGTTCATCATATTTCCCATTCTGACAGTTTGGAATGAAAGGACACATAAATTATTATTATTATTATTGAATTAGAGGTATGGGTATGATGACTGAGGTTTCTCAGCAGAAGATTTCTGATTCCATGCTTTGCATCATTAGACAGCCAACAGAAGCTGCACTTAGTGGCCGCGTGATGTGATTGATTGGTTAGATTGGAATAAAACTTTTTTGTTGTTTTTTAAATCCAATATTACTTTATTTTTATTTAATTAACTTACATTCAAATGCAATTGATCATATGATTTTCTAATTTTAGGATTAAAATATATATGAAGATAAGTTTGGTGCCACCAATTTGAAATTAAATGTACAGATAAAACAATAGAACAATTACTGATACAGGCCATCACTGATACAGTAACTACTTTAGAATGCATCATAAATTTCATTTTCATATGGATTTGGTAAATGTGCTTTTAGTTACAGAATTGTTAGTCATAAATCAACTAGCAAAACAGAATTTCAAATTTTTGAGAAACCATGAACCATGTGATGCATGTTATTTTGTTATCCTCTGCTGTCTCTTAAGAAATTATTTTTTTCTAGTCACATTATTTGTATCAGCCTGTCTGCAAAACTGAGTCTGTGCATTTCTCTCTGTCTTCACAATAAATTCAGTTCCATTGTATGTGCAAGAGTTCTTGTTCATACCATAAGCTTTTTAGCTGTTTCATGATAGCTTAGTTTTGTTAATATATAGAACCAAACTCCCATATGAAGTGAGGAAATAAATGTGTAATGAGTAAGAAGGCAGAATTTTGTTTTGATTTTTCAAAACTTGTTACTGAAAGTCAGAAATGTTTGTACACATGTTCTCCTGATTATGATCAGTGATTAAACTTTTGTATTAAGAACTCTTCCTACCAGAAATACTCATCCTAAGAAAGATGAATTCTTCAGAATTTTCCCATTTATTACTAAATTCTAGACACTTCCAACTCAGAACAAACTTGGTTTTGAGGAATACCAAGTAGGCACAGGATTTAAGGCAGAAATTCAGCTAATTCCAGAACGGTTGATGCTACCTGTTGAAGCATTTTATAGTGGAATTTCAATAAACAGTAGATATATTATGCCCTTTGATTTATTGTAGTATAACTTTTATTTTCCCCAACAAATCCTTTTTTTAAAAAGGGATTTAGGTTGTTTCAAGTATATACTAATTTAATTGTCATGATTTGTCTAGCTTATAGAATACTACTTATGAAGACTATTATACATTGAAGTTCTGTGCTTAAATAGAATATAGCTCTAAGTAATTACGTTAGTGGTAATTAAAATATTCTGGAAACATTTTTTGGTCACCTGGTGCTGTGATTTTCAAACTAGAGCTGAAAAAAACCTCAAGGGCCAGGGAAAACTTTGTCACTAGTACTTCTCACCCTCTTCACCATTTCAATCAGTATAGCTCCAAGTGTAACAGCTTTAAATGATTTCTTCCATGTAACATTAGTTATTTTTAATATAATAATTTATTGTTCTCAAAAAAATGTTTACACAGAATAGGTAATCACTAAATGTTTTGTCTGAAAATGCACTAGCATGCAGGCCACCAACATATTTGGGAAATACATCTCCTGTGCTTGACTGTTCCTCTTTTAAGTAAAAACTTCTTTTTCCATTGTTACTTTTTAAGCCTATTGATCAGTGTTTTCTGCACTTCATTTGTGTACATCACAATGAGGACATTTAAAAAATGGGCTTCCCTAATTTCAGAGACAAGTTCTTCAGATTGCTTCCCCATATGTGCAATACTTTCCTCTCTGAGAGCTGCCAGTCTTCTTTGTAGGGCTAGCACGCATACATTGCCCTTTTCTGAAATGAAACTAGGGCTTTCTTCTGCTTCTTCAGCATATTGCAGCCTTGGCTTTAAAAGAAAAAATGCCAGAGTCAACTGTATAAGCCATAAGACTACACTGAATTCTACTGGATGCAGTGATGTATTAAAAAAATGATTTATTTCCATATTGCTGTTTCCTCAGCAGAATGCCTTGGACATAATAGGACCTTGATGAATGTGTTTTTAATTCCTGGTTAGCCCTCTTCTGTATGGAAATCTTAAAAATATTATTTCACTCTAATTTGAAGATATTGTCAAATCTTTGTGAAATTTTAGCAGATTGTAAATTTTAGAAAGATCCAAAGGAAACATTGTTAATACTAATAAAGATTTTATGTGACCAAAATCGGATCTTATTTTTCAAGAAATACTCAGTTCTATAGAAAGTTTGGCCTTCAGTCAGAATGACTTCTTCATTCAATCAGTTTTATAATAATTTGAAAATGAAAACCAGCCAGCATTTACTGATGATAGTTTACAGAAGTTTCACCAAAACATTACTTCATCACAAACAAAGAAACTATTCATTGCCTGTTAGGCATCATCTCAACATCTGTCCACTATTGGCTTGTCCATTTTTATATTGTTTTAGAATATGATATAAATAATTTTTTATTATTTTCTCTTTAGTTTAAAATTGTACTGTGCCCCAAATTGGTATTGGCTCAGAAATGAGATGAATATGTTTTAAAGTAAGTCCTTTTCATAATATGTTTAGTATTCTTTGTCAATCTTTTAGTTGGCTTAGAGCTTGATATTATCTTTAAAAACAGAAATTAATACTTGTCATTAGAGTAAAACAGTGCTGTAGCAGAGCTCACGGTTACATTGATAAACTATACATACATATATGTATTATATATTTATCTTAAGTAGAAACTATCAGTGCTGGTATTGTTGTAAGGGAGATCTGTGGTTTCTATAATATGACTTATATGCATACATACTTTATTAAAAGTGAACATTTGTTACATTTTAATCGTTAGAGTAAAATATTTAGTGACTGAAAAATTCCAAATGAAGACTAAGTAAAATATGTTTTGGTTGAATTGTGAAGTTTGAGAATTTGCAAAGCCATAATGATAGAATCAACCCAAAGGTCCCAGAAATTTTCAATAATCTATCATCCTTATTTAAAATTATTATACAATAAAAAATTGTGTTTTAATCGCATGAGTAGACAGATGTTTATGCTGTTATTCAGCGAATCTTGCAAAAGTGAGTGTAATTCATAGAATAAAACAATGTTGGAAATATGCTTTCTTAAAGGCAATAAAAGTTGAAGTCTATGTATCAAAGACAAAGGTGGGAAATTGTATTGCATTTTATAATATTTTGGAAAAATTCTGTAAACTGCTATTACTAAGATTATTTTATAAGATTTTACCCCAGATTTTCATAGGTAATAAATGGGCAAATAACTTATCGTTTTCCCTAGTCAGATCGCTGGTGTTAAATTAATATAAAGTTTTAATATAAGGGATTTTTATTAATAAAGTATTTTGGTAACACTCAACATGTACTTTATTTGCTTTTGGATATGTTTTTGATTCAAATATAGAAAAGAATAACTAAGATACTTTGGTGTTATATATGGATATAGTCAACTTAGAAAATTATACACATTGAATCTTTTTATTGTGCTTACTCAAAAATGAATTGGTTTCATTTCTTTGCTGATGGAATATTGAACACGCTCTCACTCTGATGTACAGTTATAGTGTATACTAGGTAAGAAAAGAGAGTCCCAGGCCAATTTAAACAATGATAGGGTTTGCTTTTCTGAATTCTGAGAAGCTAGTTCAGGGGAAGAAATGAAACCACAGTGTAGAGGGTCGAATGGTGAAGGTGAAAAATTAGTATCAAGCCTCAGTTCAACAGGAAAATGTGTGTGGAAATGGAAGAATGAAGGTAATATTGGTAGATGGGAGAATAGTAAACAAGCCTTTCAGAGTTTAATGAAAAAAAAAAAAAAAACTGGTTAGAACAGTTGGGTAAGAAGGAAAATAAATCTAAAGTTTAGTTTTTAACTTGATCAGAGTCCTGGATCAAACAGTGGACCTCAAAGGAACTGTTCAAAGCAGTACTCCTAGTATGGTTTCTGAGACTTTCTGAATTTTAAGATTCAGAAACGTGGGAGGAAGTCATACTAGCTTAGCTTCAACTGCACATTTATATTATGACAGTTTTTCCTGTTATCCACATATTTTTTAAATTTAGACATGAATATAGAGAAATTTAGTATAGCCTCTACTTATTAAAATGTTAGTACTTTACTTTTACCAAATAATTCCCTGCATATCATCAAAAATTTATATTTTTAGCCAATTTAATTTTAGAGAACCTTCATATGAGGTATTGACACCGGATAGAAAATTAAAGGAATTTTAAAATATATATTTCTTTCCAAGAAAATGATTTATACATTCATGTAATAATTTGTATTACCCTAAAACATATTTACATCTCTAAAGTAAAATTAGTTTCTAAGGTGGATATGAGAGTTGGCTAGTTATAACAGAAAATTTGGATATCCTCCACATATTTTAATGTAACAAAAAAACAAATTCTTTTGATCCATCTCATTACAGAATGTGTTCCAGATATAATTCCAAATGCATGTAGGTAAATGGAAAGAAAAATTGGATCCTGGAGTTGTACTGATCTGATGGAAATAATATTACGAACTTGGTTTGAGTGTCAGCTCTTTTTACTAGCTTTGTGCCCTTGGTCAAGTTACTTGATTTTTGTTAACTTACGCTTTCTTATCTGTGAATGAGGAAACACCTATGTTTGGGGTTTTGTAAAGATTAGAGAATGTAATTTATGCATGGTACACATGCCTTTTATGATACAGGTAAAATATTTCACATCTTCATCTCATTTGTTTCTGGTGATGTAGAGGTGGTAGGTCAATCTTTTTTTCTTTTTTTTCCTCCAATAATCAGTGGACTCAATTGAATTGGAGAAGGGGTTGCTTGGTGGAAGAGAAAAAACATATGGCACTGATGATGATGATGATGACAAAGTTGATTTGCAATTTTTTAACAGATTATCTTTCTATAGGGCCAGAAGCCATATTGTCTCTTCCTTCCCCAGATATTCTTACATTAGAGGATTTTTTCTATCACAGTTGCACCCCTTGATTGACATAGCAATATCCTATAAGTAGCAGCCCTGCTGTTTGGATCATGTTTTTTTTCTGTCGGCAGTGTATCACAAGTATTTTCCTCAGTGGCCTAAACAGACCCTGAGTGGAAGGCTGGTAAAAGCAACCTCGTCTGCATGCATCACTTTGAATGATTTCAAAGAGGAAAGAAGCAGCTGTGACAATGTTCACATGAACCACTCAGAGTGGCCTTATCTTTGTAGTCTAACAATAATAGTACACCCTGGCTGCATTCCTCTGCTTGAGAAGAGCAAAGTTGCCTAAGAGCCATCCATACATTTGTATTCCTTGACATGTCTTAAAGTTGGATGTATGATAAAGCTAATGACATCTTTACATCCCTGAGTAATTTGTCTTGAAAGTAAATGTAGAGAAATGCTCTTTATGGATTTATTGCATGTGTGGTCAATATTTATTTTATGCAGATATATGAACTAATATGTAACAGATTGTTATTTACAAAAGAAATTTGAAGTTTTATTTATTTGACTAGCTAAAGAAATATAAAAAGAAGTTTTCTACATATGCAGATCATTATAGAAATAATATTCTTCTCTAAATTTGTAGATATAGGGTGTTTTGTTTTTTGTTTTTTTTTTTTTTTTGCCATTTATAGGTTACAAGCTATGTTTAGGTATTTCAGAGTGCCCCATATATGAGTTATTTTAAAAAGTGACAATATTACAGGTGACAAGACTAATATAAGTAGAATATAGTTGAGTTACAGAATATGTTGTAATAGTCTTTACAATGCACATCCAATGAACATCATATAGACAGATATTAATATCAATATATCTACACATAATTGATATATAGTATATATTATAATAAATATAAGATATGATAATATAACAGATAATATAATAGAAATCATAGATATCTGTATATCAATAGATACAGACTATAAGTCAATGGCGGGATACTGCACATTGCATTAAATCTCCACTAGTTCTTTGTTGAACATTCATGAATCTAAAAATGTAAAAATTAAGTCCCCTGAGGGAGTAACTATGTCTTTGCATGCCTTCTATTTTAATATCTCAGTATAGCTCCCCCAACACTTCCCATTATGTGCTTTTATACAAAGCAACCAGTAATAATGCTGAATGAATAAAAGTGAACATAGCATATAATGTATTCCATATGTATAAAACAATATTCACATGAATGAAATTGATCCATCAGTGTGTTCAACTATGAGTCTGTGTTTCTGAGTACCTGTAAACAAAAAGAAGCGTTGAAACCTTTTAGGGAGTTATGAGAAATAATAGAGTAAAATGATAAATACATTTTTACTGAATAAATATACCTGAATGAGTTATTCCAGTTTTTTCATGAATTTAGGCAAATGTACAGTCTCTCGATTGATAATAAAATTTGTCATTTTCTCAGTTAAATTGATACAGATTCTTGTAGAGCAAAAAGACCTAAAGATAAGATTTGGGATAGATTTATACCTTAACCCAGGTAATAAATAGATTATTCGGGTACTTTAATAGTAACAAAGGAATCAAATGGAATTTTAATTGAAATGATTTTACTAATATGGTCATTAGCATTAAGTAAATGAGATACATTTGCCATTTCAGCTGTATTTGTTAACATTAGATTTTCATACAAATACAAGAGATGTTATTTTAACTGCTCATTCTTATGGATTTTACTGCTTTCACTAAAGAGAAACAAAATATTTTATCTCCTCATTGCAATTTAGGCTTAGGGAGTAACAACTAAGCATATACATTGTTGAACACTGCTGGCATGTGCTTTGTGAATATGTTTGAATCAAGGGCCTTTACAAAGGGCTCAGACCTTCCTCCTAGGGGGTTGTCATTTACCGTGGATGCTCTCGTTTGTTGTGGTAAACAGCCTCAGAAAACGTCTTGACATTGTCAATTCCAACAGATTAATGAAGTAACTGGGCCATACATCCCTTCCCCTTTACATATGAAAGGAAAAGCTAACTACTTCATAGAGCTGTAAGATTGTTTCCTTTTACCCCTTGGTATTAGTTTCCTTTGTAGTCAGTTAAGTATGGTTCTTTTAAGTAAGCCAGACCAGAATTCTTTTAAGTAAGCCAGCTTGGGCGGGGGAACTCCAGTGTGATTATAAGTGAGTATATAGGAAAAAAAGAAATGAAATTAACCTTTTTTTCTTTAGAAATCTTGTGTTTAATTTTATGTTCCAGTGTTTTAAATAACTGAAACCTTATTATGGACAAATTTACCTGTTATGTTAGGAGAAATGAGTTTCATTTACCATCTTCATCAGCGATCCCCAACCTTTTTGGCACCAGGGACCGGTTTCATGGAAGACAATTTTTCCATGGACCCAGGTGGAGGGATAGTTTCAGGATGATTCAAGTGCATTACATTTATCGTGCACTTTATTTCTATTATTATTATATTGTAATATCTAATGAAATAGTTATACAACTCATCATAATGCAGAATTAGTGGGAGTCCTGAACTCGTTTTCCTGCAACTAGATGTTCCCATCTGGGTATAAAGGGATACAGTGACAGATCATCACCATTGGATTCTCATAAGGAGCGTGCAACTTAGATCCCTCACATGCGCACTTCACAATAGGGTTTGTGCTCCTATGAGAATCTAATGCTGTGGCTGATCTGACAGGAGGCAGAGCTCAGGTGATAAAGTGAGTGATGGGAAGATGGGAAGCGGCTATAAATAGAGATGAAGCTTCACTCCCTTGCTCACTGCTCACCGCTCACCTCCTGCTGTGTGGCCCAGTTCATATCAGGCCGGTTTCCTATCAGGTAATGGTCTGTGGCCCAGGGGTTGGGGACCCCTTATCTACATCCACGTTTTCTATGTTTGTGAAGATTTGATGTGGGGTTATGGGTTTGAGGAGCTAAAAATTATAGTTAGTAGAAGGAAAGACAGCTAGAAGTGGAAAGTAAAATCACTTACATTGTACTTTTACTAGGACCTATATTGTAGGTATTATAAATCATACAAACAAGTTTGTTATACAAAACATGATTACCTTATCATTGTTTTATTAAGTATTTAATTGTGCATGAGTAATCATTGCCATTATTGATTTGTCCATATTAAACTTATGATCAGACTTAGTGGACAAATTTTCAACAAATAATAGAAGCAGCAGCATAAATATCTATATAGAATTAGCCAGGTTCTAGTCTGGCACATCATCACATAGTAGCACATTTAATGCCCCCAATTATTCTATGATATAGATACTACTAGTTTCCCCATTTTCCTAATGAGAAAAGTGAGTCATAGTCAGGTGGAGATAATTCACCCCACGTCTTAAGGCCAAATGGAAAAAATCTTCTTACTCTGGAATTAGGTGGTTAAGTATCTTGATTTTAATGGATGTTGTTGTTTTCCTAATAATTGAGTTATTTGTATTAAAATGCTAAACTGGCAATATATGCCGATGGCCAATTTACCTCCAAATATATTGAGTTCATACATATTCATTAAGTGGGATATTTTGGAGAATATACTGCTTATATGTTCAAATGCAAATAATTTAATTCGCTGTGATTTATAATACTGTTACTCAGTAAATGGACTAAAGGCAGGGTAAGATTTATCAGTCTTAAAAATGTAACTATGAGATCATTATAATCCTATTATCTTCTAATTATCCTTTTAAATCAAAAACATACTTTCATGTTGGTATGAGTATCATAACCAAAAGAGAAGAGAAACTTCAAAGAGAAAACTGAATTAGTGGAGAGTAACTTAATTTCAGAAGAAAATCGTACTTTCATATAAATTCATAGTGAAAGGTAACTATGTGATACCAGCATTCAGGGAACAAATGCCCTTACGTTTTTGCCTGTGTGTTTGTGGGGAGGGAGGTTGTTTCATTTTGTTTTTATTTCTTGCCTGTTTAAATTTCTTTTACTCACAGGCTCCAGCCTGGATCTCTGGGAGGGAGAAGTAGTTCCAAAGATTACAGTGCTTAATCTTAACTCTGAAAACACTACTTATTGACTCTCCACTGGATTCCACTCGCCCAAATTCCCTAGATGGATTTTCCCTCAGGATGAAACAACCTAAATTCAAGTGTCCTAAACTGTCTTCCTCTCCCTCCTGCCATTGCCTTTCCTTGTTTCTCTAGTCTAATCCATCTTATCTTTTGTTCTTTTCTGTTAATCTATTAATCAGGTCTCTGACATTCTAAAAGCTCTCATGCCCCTTCGCAATATTTCCTCCTTTACGCATTGCTAGCACCAGCACTTCCACTACTCCAGGAATTAACACCTCTTTCTCTCTTTCCTCAATGGCTAAGAGATCTGGAGTCATCATGTCTGGGTTCATATTCCACTTTCCCAATTTACTGACTTCGTGACCTTACCAAGTCAGTTAACTTCATTAAATTTTCATTTCTTCATTTTCAAAACATTTTCATCACGTTTCCCACACAGGCTTGTAAGGAGGACACAATTATGTCATGAATATAAAGTTCTTAGCGGGGAGTTTGGCACATAGATCACAGATTAGCCGTTCTTATTATTGCTCCCTCGGTAGAGTCCCACTGTGAAGTCATTATTTCTCACATAACTCACTAATTCAGGAACTCTTTAATCAAACCTATTATGTCTAAGGACCTGAGTAAACAGTTACTGTTCTCAAGGAACTCACTGTCTAGAAGAAGAAGAGGCTGACCAGCAAAGCCATAATTACAATAAACCTATGCTATTTGTACTGAACAATAATACATATGCACTTAATTGTAGTCATCCCCCTGACTATACTCACAAAACTTAACATGTCTTTAGGGGAGGAGGATGGATTGCAGATATGCTATTAGAGGCATAGCCATCTTTACTTCATTAAAAGTTTAGTTTACTAAAATTTGCAAATGTTTAAAATATGGTCTTGCTTAATTTCACAAATTCTGGGATAAATATTTAAGGATTTAATATTTATTAAATTTTTTATTTATTTATTATTTATTTTATTTATTTATTTTATTATTTTTATTTTATTTTATTTATATTTTTATTATTATTTATTTTATTTATTTATTATTTATAAATATTTATTAAATATTTATTAAATGAGTGCACTGATGTGTATTGTTTCAAATACATTTTATTAAATTTAGTGTCAAATTGCTAGCTACTGTATGGCTAAATATTACATTTTTCCCCAGTGGGGCAAAGTTCAATTCAATTAGCTGCAATGAATATGTATTAGATCTCAATTCTCTCCTGTGATAAGTGTTGGAGGGAATTCAGAAATAATAAAAATATATCTCTGTTCTTTGGGATTTCAGTCTATTATTAACTAAGCATCTGGAGCAGTTACACCTATGAAACAGTTTGGTATGGCATGACAGTGAAAGCAGTAACAAGGTACAAGGGGAATAAAAAGAATGAGATCCATCAAATTGTTAATCCGGAAGGCACAGGGAGTGAGATGGCATGTGACAGTCAATGGTTAGTGATGGGGTAGAGGCCCATATGCTCATGAGAGATTTGAGAAATATAAAGTCATTGTCTTTGTTTAAAAGGATGGTGTGCAGGTGGTAAATACTGAGAGGTGATCTGACAAGTGTTCATTCAAACTCTGCAACCTTGATTGAGACTGTGCTAGATGATATAAAAATACATATGCCCTAACAGGGAGGATAGGCAACCAAACAATTAATTTTAAAATTGTGAATTTACAAACTGTGGGTTATTATATGCTACAGAAGCCACACAGAGAAAGAGTTATTTGCTCTGTTTCAGAAAATAGAATAGAGGAGATGTGGGAAGGCAAGATAGTCCTTATAGAAAAGTGGTCGTTTTATTACCTGCAACCGTTCTGACCCGCTTGTCATTCTATGTCTTCCTACGTCAGTCATGAGCTCTATTTGTTCTCATGTGCAAATCCCAGCCTCACTAGGATGCACTCCAGTTATCCATTAAGCACGGAGATTCCCATGAGCAATGGGACAAAATGACTATTGGACTTCTATCTCAACTGCTTGTGTAGAATGTTGCCTTGTTTATTTTAAGTCCCAGATTCTATTATTTTCCCTACTAACCATGGGTAGACTCTGGATCAGACTTCTCATTGAAAGACCTTTGAAATTTGCTTATACTCAATTGCCATTTCAGTCCCCTCTCTCACTAGATGTTCTTGACTGCTGTACCACTCTTCAGATTCATGATGTGCTGATAATACAATGTTTCCTTGCATTGTTATTTTGTTATATTTACCCTTATATTATCATGGTTTTTGATTAAAAGCGTATGTGTGTGTTTACACATAAACATTTTTTTTTCCTTTCTCAACTTTTTAGGGATATGCAGACTATATATTTCTTTTCAAGAGGGCAAGACTGTAAATAGATTGAGGGCAAGCATCATGTTCTGTCCAGTGTAAGAGAACATTCTGAGAACCTAGCCGGACATCAGGTATACATTGAAAGATATTAGTTGAAATTATAGGTAGAGCTGTCATGATGACATGAGTAGGTAATATTTTGAGAAGTTTGGTGGTATGATATTAGAAGAGAAATGATTCTTCTCTTCTGATGCAGGGAAAAAGATTCCCAAAATCTGCAAGCGAAGAATTGGGTAGAGGAATTATTCAGTTTAGGATCTGGTCTAGAGATATACAGATTTACATTTACTGTTTGGCCTTTTTTACATGGTTGAATACCATATGAATTTTAAATATTAGTAAAATATCCAAAATTACTTTTGATAGAGGAAAATGTATTGCACTATATATTCTTCTTTGAATAGAGAACTTTGTCAAGTAAGAGAATAAAAAATACAGGATGATTTCTATTAAACATACAGTATTCAAAAGCTATGTGAGGGAATCCAGCTAGTGTGATTATGTCAAAAGGGAAGATAGCTGGTCTGAAGGTAATGAGTTATCTCAACTGATTGGTCATGGCCAATTACAGACAGAACTCCTTATTTTACTTCCCCACCCCCCGACTACTGCACTTGACTAGTCAAAAAATAAAACAAACACCAAAACCAAACTAAAGGGAAGACAGTCTTTTCCTAGCTTGGCATTAGTTGGATGGTTTATATAAATGTGAAACTTTTAGAACTCATTTGAAAAAAAAAATTTAGTAAAGCAAAAAGAAGTTTTTCAAATAGTTAAAAAATTTAAAAGACTGAAATTATCAAATCATTTTTCACAACAATAAAAATTGTATACAAGGCAAACTATGTACATATATGTGGGTGTCCTTAGGAATAAATGCATAATTTCAAAGACATGGAATTTGTAAGTGTTAGTCATGTTCTCACCTGTAATAAAGCAATGTGTTAATGAAATTGGGTGCTTATATATATTTATATATAATTTCTTAGTTTGAGAGAAGCAAATAGAAGTGAATATATGTAGCCACTTTTTAATATTTGTATTCAGCTATAATTCCTCCTGATTTGCTCCTCGTTTTAGAGTGATGTACTGGGAATGGAATCCTAAAATTAAACTTATTTTAGATTAAATCATACCATGTTAGTTTAATTTTTTTTATTTTTTCAATTCTATATCAATATAGCTTTTTTTTAATTTATATATATATTTTTTTGAGAAAGAATCTTGCTGTATTGCCAGCCTGGAGTGCAGTGGTATGATCTCGGCTCACTAAAACCTCCGCCTCCTGGGTTCAAGCGATTCCCCTGCCTCAGCCTCCCAAGTAGCTGGGACAACAGGCGCATGCCACCACTCCTGGCTAATTTTTTGTATTTTAGTAGAGACGGGGTTTCACTATGTTGGCCAGGATGGGCTCGATCTCCTGACCTCATGATCCGTCCACCTTGGCCTCTCAAAGTACTGGGATTGCAGGTGTGAGCCACCGTGCCTGGCCTGTAGCTTATTTTTTAAAACTAGATTTGATTTTGGAATTGCAACGATTATGGATTATTATATTCACTACTTATTATCTCATCACTGTTTAGTTTGCAGAAAGGCTTACTTAATATTTCATTTATATGTTCCCCTATTGATAGTTCCTGGAAAACTTTTAATGCTGGCCATTAATTTAACATATATTTGCTTAGAGTCTACTGTGCATTACAATCATTCTAGATTTCAAGGATGCAAAAGTGAGCAGAAACAGTTGTCCGTTGTTGATGGACTGATGGAGGTTCTTGAAACTTGCTTATTTTTTGCTTACTTTTGTGGATGTTCCTATTCCTTCTCTCTCTCTCTCTCTCTTTCTCTCTTCTCTCCACCCCATGTGTGCCCTCACTCTAGCTTCCCCTCTTTCATCCTCCCTCTTGCTACAAATTAAATGTAGTTTTTTTCAAATACCTTTTCTTGGACTTTTTTCTCTCTATAGTGATTCTTGTAGTAATCTTATAGCATCATCTGTCACATTTATGTTGATCTCTTTTTACTTCTGTCTCTTCTTCAGCATCACAATCTGTTTATGTGCTGGACCTAGAAATTTAGCCCCCCGTGAATTTCAACTTCACCCTGTCTATTAAGAAAGCCAGTTATTAATAACGTATTTTAATAAATTATGATAAGCATATGATAAGGAGAAAGAATAGGGGACTTTCAGAATATATTAGAAGGGAACCCAAACTAGACTGTGGATCACCAGAGGAGTCACTAAAGGAGTCTCGGTGGAAGTGATATTTAAACTGCGATACGAAGGATCGCTTGAATTAACTAGGCCATCTTCAGTGGTCAGGAGTCAGTTTTCTGAGCAGAAAGAGTAGTATGCATAAATGCCATGAGCTGGAAACGCATACAACTCTGTATAACTGAAGGAAGTGAGGTTTTTTCAGCTGGTGCATGGAGTGCTGAAAGGAAACTGAGAAGAGACCCTGGAAGGTCAGCTTGGGTGTGAGAGTGAAGAGCACCCAAAGTAAGACTAAAAGTTTGGTAGTTCTCATACCAAAATGAGAAGCCATCAAGAGTTTTTATCAAATTATTGACTTTATCTTATTTGTGTTTCATAAAAAGCTTTCTGGCTACATGAAAAGAAAACAGTTAGAGGTTGGGGGCATTGCGGATTTAGAAATTGAGCATGGAGAACTTGGGGCCCTGGACTAACAGTTGATAGTAGAGTTGGAGGTACATGCATTGAGTGGAGATGTGTTGAAGATGTGGTCCTGGTATTTCTTGATGACGAATTGAATGTAGATGTGGAAGATGATGGAAGAACCAAGGAAGATGGCTTAGTTTCTGCCTTGAGCAACTAAGTGGATGATGAGTTAGGGAATACCGGATGAGGAGTCATAACAAGAAGACAATAAATTAGTTCAGGACCTTGTTAAATGTGAGGTCACTCTGAGATACCAGTGGAAATATCCAGCAGGCAGATGGATATGTGAACTGGAGCACAACAGAGAAGTCTAGATTAAAATTTGCATTTGGAGTGTAGTATCCATGAAAGTAGCCACGAGCTTGGATATGTTGTCCAAAAGAATGTGGACTCTCTTCTCATCATTCAAGCTGAAAACCTCAACTTTATTCCTTGACTCCTCTTTCTCTTTTTTTCTTGCTTCCTATATGTAAATAAATGGTGAAGTCTTATCAGTTTTGCTCTCTATTGTCTTTCCTATTCATACCACCATTTCTGTTTCCAATAGTCTAATTAGGTTCTTGTTATTTCTGACGAGAGAGCTATTATATACTTGAGGATAGCAAGACTGGTTGCCAGGAGATTCATAGACTATTGCAGTAAGCTGGAGAGTTATGACTGCTGTTTAAACAAGATCATTAGCTGTAGGAAAAGAGGAAAGTATATTTAAGAAATAAAGTATATGATAAAGTAATAGAAAATGAATATTTGACTAAAACTAGTATGGGAAACAGAAACGCCTTGAATATAACTAAATTAGAATTATCCTCCTTTATAGATTTAACTTTTATTTTAAGTTCAGAGCTAAATGTACAGGTTCGTTATATAGGTCAGGAGTTCCCAACCCCGGGGCCACTGACCAGTACGGGTCTGTGGTCTGTTAGGAACCGGGACGCACAGCAGGAGGTGAGCGGCAGGCTAACGAGCATTACCACCTGAGCTCTGCCTTCTGTCAGATCAGCCCCTGCTTTGGATTCTCGTGGGAGCGTGAACCCTATTGTGAAGTGAGCATGTGAGAGATCTAGATTGCGTGCCCTTATGAGACCTGCCCCACCCTGCTCTGTGGAACAATTGTCTTCCACAAAACTGGTCCCTGGTGCCAAAAAGGTTGGGGACTGCTGATATAGGTAAACTTCTGTCATGGGGTTTGTTGTACAGATTATTTCATCACCCAGGTATTAATTAAGGCTAGTACCCATTAGTTATTTTTCCTGATGCTCTCCCTCCTCCCATCCTCTGCCCTCTAATAGACCCCAGTATGTGTTGTTCCCTTCTATGTGTTTATATGTTCTCCTCATTTAGCTCCCACTTATTAGTAAGAACATGGAATATTTGGTTTTCTGTTCCCAGGTTAGTTGGGTAAGGAAATGGTCTCCAGCTCCATCCATGTTCCTGCAAAGGACATGATCTTGTTCTTTTAATGGCTGCGTAGTATTCCATGGTGTGTATGTACTATATATATATTTTTAATCTGGTCTACCATTGATGGGTATTTGGGTTGATTCCACGTCTTTGCCATTGTGAATAGTGTTGCAATGAACATAACATGTGCATCTTTACAATAGAATGATGCATATTCCTTTGGGTATATACCCAGTAATGGGATTGCTGGGTTGAATGGTATTTCTGTTTTAGGTCTTGGAAGAATTGCCACACTGTCTTTCACAATGGTTGAACTAATTTACAGTCCCACCTACGGTGTACACATGTTATTTTTTCTCTGAAAGCTTGCCAGCATCTGTTATTTTTTTGACTTTTTAGTAATAGCCATTCTGCTTGTATGAGATGGTATCTCATTGTGGTTTTGACTTGCATTTCTCTAATGATCAGTGATATTGAGCTTTTTGTCATATGCTTGTTGGCCATATGTATGTCTTTTTTTTGAAAAGTGTCTGTTCATGTCCTTTGCCCACTTTTTAATGGTATTTGTTATTTTTATGTGTAAATGTGTTTAAGTTCCTTGTAGATGCTGGATATTAGACCTTTGTCAGATGCATAGTTTGCAAATTTTTTTTGCATTCTGTAGGATGTTTGTTCACTCTGTTGATAGTTTCTTTTGCCATACAGAAGCTTTTCTTTAGTTTAGTTAGAATATAAATAAACCAGAAGTTTCCCTTTTAATTTTAGCATCGCAAATATGCATCAAATGTTATCAATTTATTTTACCACATTGCTCCACAAAGTCTCATCCACCAATTATAATTCTTCCAGGTAAAATTTACTGGAAGCAATTATTGGTAGAGCTGGAAATAGCATTTGCCAGACATTTTTCTACACACTGTACATATATTAAATCATTTAATATTTATAAACATTCTATGAAACATCACATTTTACAGGTGAGGAAATGAAGAACACAAAGGTTATAGAGGGTATTTTTCAAGGTCATACAATTTGTAACTGTCAGCAATAGACTTGAACCCAAGTATTCTGGTTCCAGAATCTACACACTAATCCAGGAAAGTAAAGGACTGCGTATGTTTTAAGCACCTATTAACGTGCCAAGAACTGTGGAATATATGAAAAATACATAGGAGTCAATATGTAAATACACATAGTTTAAATAGCAGGTTGGGGGAAAAAATAACATACTCTGTAACTAGTTTTTTCAACCGTATATCATAGAAAGTTAAGTTATTCAGTTGTTCAAAGTCAGTCAGTTTCCATGAGAGATGGTTAAAATGAAAAACCTTCCTTATAGGTGAAATTTAGGGTGACCATTGCCATTTTTAATCAGATATCCCCAAAATTCACCTTTCCTTGACTAGCATTTAAGAAAGTACTGCAAAATAGTATATGCAAACATTGGCTTTGGTAACTTTTGCCAACTAACTTACCATAGTTTTAATCAGGGAAAATGGTGAGTTCATGTGTGGAAGTTCTACTCTGACTCAGGTAGGTAGAGATTATGAACAAAAAGGGAAAAGGCAATTTCCTACCTGATGGTGTGGAACTCTCTAAATCTGCCAGTCCAGTTTTTTTCCCCCTTCCGTTTAAGGTTTTATAAGACTTTCTAAATAGGCAATTTAGTATTTGTTACTAGTTTGGAAATTATTTTTCTGGAGCCATATGAAGTACTAAGTATTTATAGACAAAAATGTTGGCAAAGAATATAGAGGTTCTTGAAATGGCCTTTCACTGTGGCAGAAGAACTTGAATACATTCAAGTGCAAATCCAGATTTGTAGAGAGTACTGTGGGTTTATGGAAATAAAGCATTTGATTGAAAAAGTCATTTTTTCCAGTATGACTTAGTGATTATTAAATAACCATGTTTTTAATCTGACTCACTGGAGGGAAGCTCCATAGCATTAGTGGTAAACAGTTTATGCAGTTAGAATATGAAAAAGACAAAGAAAAGCAAACTAAAAAGACATTTTAGAGTAGAGTGGGAATTGAGCCAATGTGCCTGACTGGTAAAGTCTTTGGAGGGAAGCCAGGAAGTCTGTGATATTTCTCTAGTTAGGATATATATATATATGTATGTATATATTATATATATGTATATATATATATATATAAAAATCATATTGGATAAAAAATGTTAACCCTTTCTATCAAATTTCAGACTTTCCTGATTCTGAAACTCAAAACTGAATGCAAATTAAGATTTTTAAAAAGTATGATTAAAAAAAATACCGCATACACACATGACATCTGGCAATGCCTTAGATCTCTCTAAAATGTCAAGATGGGAAAATATCCAAAACTTTTTTTTTTTGAGAGAGAGAGAGAGAAAGAGAAAGTTGGCTTCTAGCCATAAGCCTGCCGAGGAATTCTTACGAGAATTTCTGGAAACTGTACTTTTTAAGGCAATCATGTTCTCCATGCTTTCGTGGCCTCAGATGTTACTTGAAGGAATTTAAAGTTTCATCTATTTGTGCTTTGTTGCTGTACACCCTTTAGACTTCAGTGGTCAAGTTTCACTTTGGAGAACTGACAAAAGAAAAATATTGTGTTTGGCACTACACAATCTTAGAATACTTTAAGAATGAATATGCCAAGGGAGAGTCATATTATATAGCTTGAATTGTATTTTTCATGCATGATATGTACATCACCTTATGTCACACAAATCTCTATCAGCCTTTTGCTTTTCCATTAAAATAAATACCCATCAGATACTTGATATAGATATTCTGTGGTTGGAGGGCTTAAGTGAGATGCAGTTTCAGGTAAATAACATAAAATCAGCAGACCTCTAATCTGAATTGAATGTGTTAAATCTTATCAACCTAGAGTTTTAAGGAAGAGGGAACAACTGTCTTCAGTGAGTAATGGCGCGTGCATTAATACCAGTTACTCAGGAGGCTGAGGCAGGAGAATCACTTTAACCCAGGAGATGGAGGTTGCAGTGAGCTGAGATTGCCTCATTGCACTCCATCCTGCCTGGGTGATACAGTGAGACTCCATCTCACAAAACAAGCAAACAAATAAATAAAAAAACAAAAGAAATGGCCAAGAAGAAAAATGCCTAGCTTTCCTGCAACAATTTGGGAGATTACCATCATCTGTATTAATTCATTCATTCTGTTGTTTAATGAAAATGGCTAAAGTCTGGCCTTGCCATTGAGGTTTTTAAAAATTCTGGTAAAATATGCATAACATATAATTTGCCATTTTAATATTTTTAAGTGTATTATTCTGAGTCATTGAATAATTTCAAATTGCTCTGCAACTGTAGCCGTCATCTATCTCCAGAATGTTTTTGTTTCCCAAACTGAAACTCTCTACCCATTAAACACTAACTTTCCATTTCCTCCAATCGGCAAGCTCCAGGCCACCACTGTTCTGCTTTCTGTTCCCATGAAGTTGACTACTTTTGCTAACTGATATAAATGGAATCATACATATTTGTTTTTCTGTGTCTGGCTTATTTTACTTAGCATAATGTCCTCCAGGTAGATCCAAGTTGTAGTAAATGTCAGAATTTCCTTTTTTTTTAAAGACCGAATAGTATTCCATTGTATGTATATACTACATTTTGTTTATCAAAAATGGACACTTGGGTTCCTTTCTCCTTTTTCCATTGGGCGTATTGGGTTTTAATATTACACGTTTGTTATAAAGGCAGATATAGGGTGATAGAATTCATACTAGATTTGGAAATAATCAAACTAGGCTTTGTTCTGCCACAACTAGGTAAAAATGTTACTTCTTTCTGACTTTTTGTAAAATCAGGATGGAAATATATTTCATATCATTGTTATAGCTAATAGCTATTAAGCACTTGTATGTTTCATACTGTGTTAAGGGCTTTTATATATTTCTCATTGTATTCCGACAGGAACCCTACAAAGTAGAGACAGTTCCAAATTTCCAGAATGAATGTGAGATTGTGATACATATGACAAACTGCTTATTAAACTGTACAGCACCTAACAACATGAGGGATTATGCCTAATTCCCTACACAGTGCATGGCATACACAAGGACTCATGAGATGCTGTTGAAGAATAAAAGCAGCTCTACTTTACAGCCATAGGAAGCACATACATATTCAGCCATTTGAAAACAGTGTGTCTTGATGAAAGAGGATTGCAGTTGGATTAATATGAACAGTCACTAAAAAATAAATGAAAACCAAACCTCTAAATCACGTATACAGACAATATTCGCAATATTGATAATATTCAAATTGTGTAAGGTAAACCTGATTACTCAGCAGAATTAAAGTTTCACTGGTGATATGGGGTGCAGGCAGTGTCATCTCTCTGACAAAATTTTTCAAATTTTCAAAATTTTCAAAGTTTGAAAATTTCAAATTGACAAAAATTTTCAAAAAATTTCAAAATTTTATAGAAATCATCACAGTTCTCTTTATTAATCAGAGTTTAAATGTTAGGCCAGCCTGGGTGGCTCACGCCTGTAATCCCAGCACTTTGGGAGGCCAAGGCAGGCGGGTCACCTGAGGTCAGGAGTTCGAAACCAGCCTGGCCAACGTGGTGAAACCTCGTCTCTACTAAAACTACAAAAAAATTAGCCAGGCCTGGTGGTGCATGCCTGTAATCCCAGCTACTTGGGAGACTGAGGCAGGCAAATCGCTTAAATCTGGGAGGCAGAGGTTGCAGTGAGCTGAGATCGCGCCATTGCACTTCAGCCTGGGCAATGAGAGCTAAACTCCATCTCAAAAAAAAAAAAAAAAAAGAAGAAGTTTAAATGTCTACTGATAGGCATTATTTTATAGGGTTATTTTATAGGGACTTAAAAATTTCTACATATCAAATATCTAACATAAATATTGGATCACATGGATATATATTAATTCTGCAAATAATTATACAAATAATATTAAATATACAAATAATTAGTTATACAAATAATATTATACTGTGTATGCCTTTTTATAGAATTTCTTCCAAAAAGCAACAGTGGATAAGTTGGAGAGAGCCATGAAATTCCCCAGGAGAGTGGCTGTGAAGGGTGGCCAGGGATTGAGACATAGGGTATCTTCCTAGAGTCTATCCATGAGAAACTGACATGATTTCATGCCATCTGCTATAAGTGCTATAAGTAATAATATAGAAATAGTTGACC
The DNA here is from genome assembly GCF_000001405.40 of Homo sapiens. Classification (NCBI taxonomy): domain Eukaryota; kingdom Metazoa; phylum Chordata; class Mammalia; order Primates; family Hominidae; genus Homo; species Homo sapiens. The sequence goes on from NC_000004.12 coordinate 125,371,557, forward strand.
TCACAGTTAATTTATTAAGCAAATAGTGGAGAAGATGCTAGTAATTTCTAGACCTTGCCTCAGGGGCTGTGAATATAGGAGGGGATAAGATAAAAAGTGGCTCTTTCATTGGAGTATCAATTGTGGGGAGAGATTGAATATCCTCAATAATATCTTAATTAATATATAAATATATATAAGAAATATATAAATTGAATAATTACAGATAGAGTTTTTTGTGAATAAAACTGAACAAAGTGATGTAATGGAGAATGATAGCAGTATATGGGGCATATTCTTTAGATGGGGTCATTTAGGGAATGTCTTCCTGTGACGGGGGCATCATAAACAACAATTGTTCAACTGCTCTATTCCATCAGGGTGGGAATCACATACTCATTGTTGGCTAGCGTGTCTGCAGTGCCTAGGACAGAACCTGGCACTTGATAGGCATTTACTGAATATTTTTTGAATAAAAGAAGAACGAAATGGATGACAGTAAATAAGTCTTTTAAAAACGTTGAATCAAGGCTGGGCATAGTGGCTCATACCTGTAATCCCAACACTTTGGAAGGCAGAGGTGGGAGGGTTGCATGTGCTTAGGAGTTCAAAACCATCCTGAGCAATGTAGTGAGACCTCGTCTCCACCAAAAAAAAGAAAAAAGAAAAAAGGAAAATTATCCAGCTGTGGTGGTACACACCTGCAGTTCCAGCTAATCAGGAGGCTGAGGTGGGAGGATCGCTTGAACCCAGAAGATTCAGAATGCAATGAGTTATGCTTATGCCACTGCCCTCCAGCCTGGATGGCATAGAGTGAGACCCTGTTTCAAAAAAAAAAAAAAAAGATGGATCAACAAAAGTGATATCAATAGTAATGACACTAATAACAAAAAAAATAGTGAAATCATGACTTGCAAGTATAAATCACTTTAAAAGATTATTTTAATAGAAAACATGTTAATCTTTAGAACTACCTGAGGTAGTGTGATAGGAACTATTAACTACATTTGATGAATTTGAGGTACTTAGAACATATTACTGGTGAATGGGGAAGCTGGCTTAAAAAAAAGGGAGGGTCTTCTCAGACAGTTCTCTTTTTACATACGTGGCACAATGATTCATGATTTGTTATATTGTGAATGTTGAATGTGGAATATTTATAGGAATGCAAATCACATTTCCTTTACACAATAGTATTAAACTGATTTCAAAGTGTTTTGATATATGCTTCTATCCTTACAATGGTCCAGTGAGAAAGAAAATATGATATTCATCATTGTAGACATGGAAATAAAAGTTAAGAAAAGTTGTCTTGATCAATATCATATGCAATAGCAAGTGGAAAACCCATGTTTTTAATTTAGAATTTAATACTAACAGTCTATGCTCTCATGGATGTTTTATGTAGTTTAATGTTTTTAAAAAACTCTAAGCCCGACAACTTCGCTGTTTAAAATATTTGAAATAAAAATAGCTTTGCCATTTTTTAAATAAAACATTACCTTTTATTATAACAAAATTCAGAAAATACACAAAATAACAAAACAGGAATGACCACCAGTTATCATTTAATGTGAATCATTGAACTCCTTTCTTTCTATAAAATTACAAAGTTGAAATATGTTTTAAAATTTGTGTAAAAGTTAGAGGATGATTTGATTTAAATCTATTATTTAAATTTATTTTTAGTCAAGTAATAATAATTCAGTGAATTGTTCAAATCAGAATTGCCATGATGCAGGTTTCACATACATGAAACAAGTTAATATGAGGAATATTCTTTCCTATACTTTCCTTTTTATGTTGTTTTTATCTTAATTACTCTAACAGAGACAAATTTCATCTAAAGAGGTGATATCTAAAGGAAATGTAGAGATCAGAATATAGGACAGATTGTTTTAAAAAGTTTGATATTTATTATTAGGTGCCTAATAAATGCTCCTTCTAGTTTATGAAGCTTTATTTCTAAAACTATAATCTATGTTTATGTGTGTTTATTGAATATTTGTGTTCCGTTGGTAACAAATGAAATTTAAGTGTACTATTAAGTAATGCTAATACTAATATCAGTTCTATTTTGACAAACACTGTGCTGGCCACTATTCCATGTGCCTCACACACTTTTATCTCATTTAAATTTCATAAAAACCCTATGACTGAGGTACTTTTCTTATCTAGAGATTACTTGATTGAAGAAACAGGGGCACAGGGAGGCAAAACAATTTTCCAGGGTCATACAGGTGAACATGAAAAAGCCAAAAGTAACACCCATCAATAGGGCTACGGCATTCATGCCTTCCTTTAAAAATTAATTGAGGGCAAGAAACCATTGTTTAATATGTAATTTCAAACATCTAGATGAAGAAAATATCTGTATTAGAAAATAATAAGGACTATGTATATATGATTTCAGACGATTTCCTATTTAAATAAATTAGGATAAATGACATATTTGTTATAGGGTGAAATGTTAGGGAAAATCTCAGTTTTAGTCACAGATCTCTACTAACCTTGAAATCAGATATACCAATTTAACTCTTTGGCTTGGGATTTTTTTATTCAAAGGCATCAGATGAAATGAGCTCAACAGTCTGCCGGTTCTAAAGTTCTTTGTCACCTTCTGTGTTATCACGTGGTGGTCTGTGAATCTTACAGAGATTGATGGCTTCAGTCTTCTCCAAATATTTCTCCTACATCCCTCGTTGTAAAAGGAAACTGAGTGTAAGGAAAGAATGTAAATCCGTAATCACATTTGGATATCTTTGAAGTTGCAACACTCCAGAAATTTGGTGACAAGCAAATGCCCCTATTTTTAAAATGATGAAGCATCAGTGTATTAGTGTAAGTTGATAAGCTTGGAGATATTCCATAAGAGATTATTATATTCTTTGGAAAAAACTCAGGAGGAGAGGTGCTATCAATAAGAAGCCATCTTGGCTTCAACAGAAATAAATTATTTGAATAGGATTCACGTCCTTATTCTACAGACATTAATTGCAAAACGACCCTTACTTATTTTTAAAGAAATTTGAAAAATATAATTCACATGCCACAAAGTTTTCCCTTTAAAGGGTACAATGTAGTTGTCCCACGTATATTCACAGAGCTGTTCAGATTGTCCCTTATTGAATCATTTTGCTTATTCAAGAGCATCTAACCCAGTGAAGTATGCAGTGATAGTATTGCATCAATATTTGCTGAATTCTCCACTCAATGAATACAAGGTACAGCAAAAGAGACCAGATAATTCTAGCTAAACTCAGATGAAATAATTGTAAAATCCAGAATAATTAAGTATTCAGATATATTCAGATAAAGATTCCAGAAGGATACAAGTAAATGATAAAAAGAGCACATTTATTTCTAATATTAGCTGTCATATTAACACATAGAAAAAAATGTAGGCTTGTTAGCATCAAGTAAGTTGCCAAATATGATATTGCCCCTTATATAACTTGAATAACTTTAGGTGTTACTTAAATTCATAGGCACATATTGGCATCTTCAGAGCAAGATGAATTAACACTCTGGAGTTTTTATTTTATTTATTTAAAAATAGATTATCACTTGAGAAAAGACAGCATCATAACATTTAGTGACAAAGTGTGAAATTTTCCTACAGGTCTTAGTGATTTAGCAACCACAAAACCAAAGAAAGGAGAGTTTAATCATTATTTTAGGTTCCCTCATGGTGACTCTAAATTGTAAGTAAGAATAGCAAGAACGTTTTCACTGGCAACCTTCTTTATCTTAAAATTTAATGTCATAACACGTTTGGTAAAGCAGCTAAATTATTTCTAATGTATATGTTTGGCTGAGGCAGTTAATACAAAGTAAAAGGCAAAAAGTCATGAAGCTTTTATTTTCTATCTTGTTTCACTTGTGCCTCCAATGAGCATTGGCTTGGAGTGCTTATCGTCATGTCACTGACATTCTTGCCCAGGCCTTGGCAAACTACTTGGATACCCTGGTGAGAGAGGTTTCTGGGACTTTGGCCTGGAAATATGCATTTTGAAAATTATATCCAGTGATTCTAATTTGTAACTAGTTAGACATCACTGCACTAAGAGTAAACTTTCAGCTCTCTGGCCTAGTTCAGTAATTTTCTTTATCACAAACACGTCTTTCATAACTTGGTTCCAAAGGCATTCATGACTTTTGATGTCATCCGTAAATGCATTTTAAGGAATTAATTTCTGCTTTTAACCAATTACAAGATTTTATTAACAATCTGTTTACTGTTTGACAAGTATTAGTCAGCTTTTATTTTATGTCATTACTGAGATTTGAAGTCACCTGCACTACGTTTAAACAAAACCTATTCTTATGATTACAATATATTTACCTGACATTATGCAAAACTGCATTTTTTTTGCATTTGGGAACACCATTTTATATATGAAGTTGTTGAGGCTTATAAAAGGTCACAAGTAACTGACTAATAGCGTCAAGACTAGAACCCATGTAGTGTTGGCATCTGTTTAGGAACCTGTGTCAGATCCCACACTTGTAATGGAGAGCTTAATTTCAGAGAACATTAGCCATATCTAGCTATTGCTGTGAATTTAAATTGTTTTGAGTGTGCATTTAATTTGCAAATTTGTATTGGTTTGTTATTTGTGTAAGAATTATACACCTACAAAGATTTTACCAAGTTTATATTTTTACATTTTAAAGTAGTGTTTTAAAACAAATAAATTAAATTGACACTTGGTGATGCAAGATTTTATTTTTCCTTTTAGAAAAGGTCTTTACAATATTTAAATTTAAATCAAACAGTTCTCACTGAAATAATTAGGGGTAAAATGGACCTCTGTTGATGCTATTTGAAAAAACTATTTGAACAATGAGAACACTTGGACACAGGGTGGGAAACATCACACACCGGGGCCTGTCGTGACCGGGGCCTGTCGTGGGGTGAGGGGAGGGGAGAGGAATAGCATTAGGAGAAATACCTAATGTAAATGACGAGTTAATGGGTGCAGTAAACCAACATGGCATATGTATACATATGTAACAAACCTGCACGTTGTGCACGTGAACCCTAGATCTTAAGTATAATTAAAAATAAATAAATAAATAGGCCTGGCGCGGTGGCTCATGCCTGTAATCCCAGTACTTTGGGAGGCTGAGATAGGCGGATCACCTGAGGTCGGGAGTTCGAAACCAGACTGACCAACATAGAGAAACCCGGTCTCTACTAAAAATACAAAATTAGTGGGGCGTGGTGGCGCATGCCTGCAATGGGCTGAGGCAGGAGAATCACTTGAACCCAGGAGGTGGAGGTTCCGGTGAGCCGAGATCATGCCATTGCACTCCAGCCTGGGCAACAAGAGTGAAACTCTATCTCAAAAATAAATAAATAAATAACAATAAAATAACAAAATAGAAGAAATTGGTTGGATGCCACGATTAAATATAGATTTGTTTTTGCATTTGTAGGCAGTCAGAGCAAAATGGGAGCATAGTAAATTTTCTCTTATCATAAGGGAAGAAAAATCTGGCTCCTGAGGTGGTTGTTATTTTCTTTGTGTTTTTCTTCTTCTAAATTCTAAAAGAAAGTGTCATGTGGGGTTTCATATAAATGACACAGATGTCATAGACCTTTTTTCAATATTTTTATGGCAATTACAGGCACAAATTACCAACGACTATTTGTTATAGAACTTTTTGATCAAAAACTTACTTCATTTTTTCTCTAGAGGATTTTCAATGAGGAAAAGAAGCCTTTACTATTTACTTTTATATTTCATATGTAGCTACAAAGTTGCTTAAATAAAATGAGCATTCTTTATCAAAAAAAAACAAAAAGCTATTCACTGAAACTTTGGGGATACTCATCTTCATGTACAGTTTCCAACTCTGATTAGACCACAGCTCCTCCCTATATTTATGATTTGCTTGCTTTATAATCAATATTATTTCTGAAACTAGACCCCAAACAAGTCAGTTTTGGTTTTGCTAAGATTTGCTTAAATGTAAACCTTTAGAAAATCTTATGTATATTATTTTATGACTCTTAACTGAGTACATACTTGAGTGGTTATTCTGCTGTTACATTTGTTCTGAAGAATCATGCACATTTTAATAGGCAAGTTATTAATGCAACCAAACCTTTAAGTTTTGGAGTTTTATAGGTAAAATATGTTTTTCTAGAGGTCTGTTTCTAAAGTTAAAAGCTGTTCTAATAAATAATAAACAGATTCAAAAACCTTGGCAAACTCTCACAAACCAAAACAAAATTAGGACATTTTGATTGATTTTAATATTACTTTATCTAATAAAAAATAAGTTAGATGCTATAAAAATATTTTTAAATGTGGAGGTAATTTAGTTCAGTTATCACACAAACATTCTCTCCAATATACACTTGAGTGTAAATTATATGTTGTTATTTACTTTAATAACAGTTTGCTCAAGCAGAAAACCTGAAAAAACTATTGCACGTATGCCCAGGGTTGTATTGCATATTAACACCTGCAAAATAAGGCACAATTACCTTTCTATTTAGACAATTAAAAACTTCGATAACATAAGCTTAGTTATTGCCTGATAAAAAATATGCCAATCCTGCTCCAGATTAACAGATGTCTTATTGATTCTATGTATGTACCAAGTTAGACATATAAACCAATGGGTTTAGGAATGGTTAGTCTTCTAAAATCTAAACTGTTTGTAGCAAAATGTCATTGTAAAAGCCCAATATAAAGAATAGCTTTAAGAATTCATTAAAATGTAAGGTACATGAAAGCGGAGTACGTGGTTGGTTTTGTTCATTGCTATATATTTATCACCTATAACAGACACATAGTAACTCCTATAGAAATATTTATTGGATAAGTTAATGAAGTATAATTATGGAGGCATAGTTATTTTTCAGAAAAGTAACTATACATCACATATCAACCATTGTTTATATAAAAATCAGATGTAATTTCATATGATTTGGTGAGCTAAGTATGGTCAAGAAGCATGTGTTCTTATCACAGATAATCATAAAACTAATTTGAAAATTATAGAAAATCTCAAATTATATCCCAAAATGGACAATTATTACTTGTACTATATTTTCTCTTAGTAAGATAATATTTGTTTTGTTATAGAATATTTGTTGTCATTCCTACTCATCAATGTTAGTACAATTTCTCAAATAGATGTAAGCATAACTTCTAAATTTAACAATCAAAATATGGTCTAATAAACTAAGATGAATTCCATACTCAATATTTGTCTTTGTAACCTAGAATATTTTCTCAATTGCTACTATGAAAATTAAGAATAAAAAGAAAATTTTAAATGTAGGAAGTGCACTGAACTGAGAAGATTATTTTCCTAAAGGGAAATTCCACTGGCTATGGAGTAACTGGGAACTCTGTCCTTTATTGTAAAACATTTATGAAAATTGCTTGACTTGCAACTTCATTGGTTGCCTTGGAGAGTTCATTCTATAAAAAAAGGTGCATCACGTGAACAAGAAATGTATCTACACAATGCTCAACAGAAAACCCTTGATTAATTGAAGTATAGTAAATGGTTATTGGTCCATTCCAATTTCCTTTAATTTGCAGTTGCTTGGAAGCATAAAGCTTTTTAATGTCTTTGTTTTGACAAAGAATTCACTTAAAAGTGAGAACAAATTTAATTTATTAATATAATTTAAAAACATGTTAAAGCAAATTAAAAAATTAACATGCGGAACAATCTTTTAAAAAGTTTTTTTTTTTTTAAAGTAGGAAGTACACTGAACTGAGAAGATTATTTTCCTAAAGGGAAATTCCATTGGCTATTGACTAACTGGGAACTCTGTCTTTTATTGTAACACATTTATGAAAATTGCTTGACTTGCAACTTCATTGGTTGCCTTGGAGAGTTTATAAAAAAGTTATTTATTAAGTTAGAACTTTAATAAAAGACTTTTTATTTTTATTTATTTATTTTTTTTGAGATGGAGTCTTGCTCTGTCACCCAGGCTGGAGTACAGTTGTGCAATCTCGGCTCACTGTAACCTTGGCCTCCTGGCTTCAAGCAATTCTTTTGCCTCAGACTACCCAGTAGCTGGGATTACAGGCTCATGCCACCATGTCCAGCTAATTTTTGTATTTTTAGTGGAGACATGGTTTCACCATGTTGGCCAGGCTGGTATTGAACTCGTGACCTCAGGTAATCCACCCACCTCGGCCTCCCAAAGTGCTTGGATTACAGGTATGAGCCACCGCGCTTGGCCAGACATTGATATTTAACTCTTTCTTAATCAAATTTTGAACTTATTTCATACCTTGTATATTCTAAAAAAAAAAACACACACATATATATGTATACATATTTCTAGCTTATATGCCCACGTGTTTATGGAGTTCACTCTTTTGTTTTGTTTTGAGATGGAGTTTTGCTCTTGTTGCCCAGGCTGGAGTGCAGTGGCGCGATCTGGGCTCACCGCAACCTCCACCTCCAGAGTTCAAGTGATTCTCCTGCCTCAGCCTCCTGAGTAGCTGGGATTACAGGCATATGCCACCACATCCGGCTAATTTTGTATTTTTAGTAGAGACAGGGTTTCTCCATGTTGGTCAGGATGGTCTCGAACTCCCAACATCAGGTGATCCACCTGCCTCGGCCTCCCAAAGTGCTGGGATTACAGGCGTGAGCCACCGCGCCTGGTGTTCACTCTTAGGGAATTTAGGTGAATGCAGATAGTTACCTACTAAAAAGATATAAATCGAAAGAGATAAACTTTGGCTGTTGGGAAAATGGTTGAATCAATCAAGCAGCAATATTAACCTGCGAAGGGTAAGTCACTTTTGTCAAAATAAAAAGGCTATGTTGAGGTTCTTACAGAAAATACTTTTAAAAATAGGGACCTACACAATGTAATGTAGAGGTGTTTTGGCAGTTTAAGGGAAATGTAATGTAAAAATTTGCATAATGCTTTTACATATGTAATCCATACAATATTAAAAACCGTCAATAAAAACATGTTGAAAGTCCTTAATCTCTCTTTAGTATTAGTTTAACAGTTAACAGAGACTATTAAGATTGTAATTTATTCTCTTATTAAAAATTATTATCTGATTTACTGAAAAAACAATCACAGGTTTTGAATATCTAAAAACAACCACTAGAGGAAAGCAATTGATTTCCTGTAACATTTATTAATGTAAGCAGACTGCGAGAATTCTATTAATCTAGACAGGAGAACTGTAATGTTTCTGTTGTCTTCTTTATTAAATTTGACAAATTTGAAATGCTTGCAATTCTGCACTAACAGGATTTCATAAATACTCTTTGCTGACACATTTTAATTTTTGTGCATTTACTGGATATTCTTAAAATGCAATCATTTATTATATTTCAGGGCAGGAAAACCTAATTAGTAGTAAACGATTATATCAAACATTTGCTTTTTTAATAAACTTGGCTTTATATTACCTTATTTAGATATCATGAATTCATATTAGTACAGACTTCTGATTACCTATTACAGAAACATTCCAATTTCAATAAAACTAACGTTAGTAGTCAAGTAGTTTCTCTAAGCAACTGAAATAAATTTGCAAGTGATGGACTATGCATTCTTAGTATTAACTGCAGTCATATAAGGCCATCAGTAACATGGTATTAAGAGAAAACCAATAAATTTACCCAGTTAGTCAGTCTCTTGGTATGTGAGTAGAAGAGACAAAAAGAAAAAACTAATAATACAGTTGTCACATATTATTGACCATTTTCTGCCCTTCTATACTTTTCTAAGCCCATAGGCTGTGGTTATATTGCTATGATCAGTTTGGGTAGCTACTTGAATTTTTGATCTTTAAATGCAGGTATACCTCTGAGACATTTCAGATTTAGTTCTAGACAACTGCAATAAAGTGAATATCACAATAAAGCAAGTCATACAGTTTTTTTGGTGTTTCATTGCATATAAAATTATGTTTATTCTATACTGTAGTCTGTTAAGTGTGCAATAACATTACATTTTTAAAAAACAATGTATATACCTTAATTTAAAAATACTTTATGCTAATACATGCTAACAGCTACCTGAGCCTTCAGCAAGTTGTCCTCTTCTTGCTGGTGGAGGATCCTACCTTAATGTTGATGGCTGCTGACTGATCAGGGTGGTAATTGCTGAAGGTTGTGGTGGCTGTGGCAATTTTGTGAAATAAGACAACAATGAAGTTTGCGGCTTTGATTGAGTCTGACTGTCATGAAAGATTTCTCTGTAGCATTCAATACTGTTTGAGAGCATTTTACACATAGTAGAATGTCATTCAAAACTGGAGTCAATCCTCTCAAACCCTGCCACTCTTTTATCAGCTAAGTTGATTTATTATTCTAAATATTTTGTTGTCATTTCAACGGTATTTACAGCATCTTCACCAGGAATAGGTTCCATCTCAAGAAACCACTTTCTTTGCTAATCCATAAGAAGCAAATCTTCATCTGTTCTAGTTTTATCTTGTGACTGTGGAAATTCAGTCACATCTTTTGGCTCTACTTCTAATTCTAGTTTTCTTGCTATGTCTACCACATCCGTGGTTACTTTCAGTACTGAAGTTTTGAACCCTTCAAAGTCATCCTTAAGGGTTGGAAACAATTTCTTCCAAACTCCTGTTGACGTTGGTATTTTTACCTCCTCCCATGAATCACAAATGTCTTTAATGGCATCTAGAATGGTGAATTCTTTCCAAGTTTTCAATTACTTTGCCCAGATTCATCAGAGAAATCACTATCTATGGCAGCTATAGCCTTACAAGATGTATTTCTTCGATCATAAGACTTGAAAGTTTAGATTACTCCTTGATCCATTGGCTGCAGAATGGATGCTGTGTTACCAGGAATGTAAACATTAATCTCTTTGCACATCTTTTTCAGAGCTCTTGGATGACCAGGTAGATTGTCAATGATCAGTAATATTTTGAAAATAATCTTTTTTACTGAGCAGTAATTGTCAACAGCGGGCTTAAGATATTCAGCAAATCATGCTGTAAACATTTGCTGTCATCCAGGGTTTGTTGTTTCATTGGTAGGGAGCAGGTAGAGTAGACATAGCATACTTCTGTGGGGCTTCAGGATTTTCAGAATGGTAAAAGATCAGTGGCTTCAGCTTAAAGTCACCAACTGTACTAGTCCCTGACAAGAAACTCAACCTGTCCTTTGAAGCTTCAAAGCCAGGCATTGATTTCTCCTCTATAGCTATGAATGTCTCATGTGGCATCTACCAGTAGAAGGCTGTTCATCTACATTGAAAATCTGTTTTTTAATGAAGCCACCTTTATCAATTATCTTTGCTAGATCTTCTGGATATCTTCTTGCAGCTTGTACATCAGCATTTGCTGCTTCACCTTGTGCTTTTATGTTATGGAGATGCCTTCTTCCCTTAAACCTTATGAACCAAGCCCTGCTAGCTTCCAACTTTTCTTCTGTGGCTTCCTCAGCTCTCTCAGCCTTCAAAGAATTGCAGAATTAGGGTCTTGCTCTGTATTAGGCTTTGCTTTAAGGGAATGTTGTGGTTAGTTTTCTTCGTGTCAGCAATAAGGCTGTTTTGTTTTCTTATCTTTTGTGTGTTCTCTGGAGCAGCACTTTTAATTTCCTTCAGTATCATTTCCTTTGCATTTACAACTTGGCTAGCTATTTGGCACAAGAGACCTAGCTTTTGATTTACCTTGGCTTTCAACTTATCTACTTCACTAAGCTTAATTATTTATAGCTTTTGATTTAAAATAAGAGATGTGCAGCTACTCCTTTCACATGAACACTTAGAGGCCATTGGAGGGTTATTTCAATATTGTGCTTCAGGTCTTGTTTCCATATTGTTGTTCTCAGGAATAGGGAGGCCCTAGGAGAAGGTGAGAAATGGAAGAATGGCTGGACAGTAGAGGACTCTGAACACACACAATATTTATCCATCCAGTTCACTGTCTTATATGGGTGCAGCTTGTAATTCTCCCAAGAAAATAGTAACCTCAGTAATCGCTGATCATAGATCACCTTAATAATGAAAAAGTTTGATGTATTGTAAGAATTACCAAAATGTGACACAGACACAAAGGGAGCACATGCTACTGGAAAAATAATGCTGATAGAAACTTGCTCAATGCAGGGATGTCACAAACTTCTAATTTGTAACAATATGCAAATATCTGTGAAGCATGATAAAGGCAAGTGCAATGAAACATGGTTTTCCAGTACGTGATATTAAACCATATCATGAAATTCTAGACTCTGAGATTTACAAGGGACTGACAACTCAATCAGTTCAGCTTCTCATTTCCACTCTTAAGAGGTACCTCTTTAAATAAAAAAGCCTATTAAGATCATTAAAATAAATCCATGGAAATCCTTTTTATTAAGCAAAATGTGACAAAATTGTTGGAATAACCAGAATGAAAAAGTCTATCATTGTCACTGCCCTATCAGACTGACATACTTCATTGAGCATAAGAGGGATACTATAAACTGTACTAATATGACTTTATTTCTTTTTACTGCTGAATATGATTCCATTGTATGAATATATCACATTTTGTGTATTCATGCATCAGCTGATGGACATTTGGGTTGTTTTCACCTTTTGAATATTATAAATAATGCTGCTCTGAACATTTGTGTACAAGTTTTTGTGCAAACATGTTTCATTTCTCTATGGTAGAATTCCTATGACTGGAATTACAAGTCATGTGATAGCTATATTTAACATATTGAGGAACTGCCAAAGTATTTTCCAAAGTGGTTGCACCATCTTATATTCTCACCAACAACATATGAGTGTTTTGATTTTTGTATGTACTCACCAACACTTGTTATTATCTGTTGTTTTTAATATAGCCATTTTTATGTGTGACATATTGTATTTTTAATTTTCATATCTCAAATGACTAATGAATTTAACATCTTTTTATGTGTTGTTTAACTATTCTTACATTTTCTTTGGAGGATTGTATATTCAAATTCTTTTCCCATTTTAAATTGGGTTATTTATTTTTATTATTGAATTGTATTAGTTCTTTATATATTTTGGATATAAGTCCCTTTCAGATATATGACTTGCAAATGTTTTCTCCCATTCTGTGAGGTTTTCTTTCACTTAATAATGTCCTTCAAAGCAAAAAAGGTTTAAATTGTGATGAAGTCTAAATTTCCAGTCTTCTATCACTTGTGCTTTTCCTTTAGACTCTCTGTAATTTTTTACTTAGAGCAACATGTAGTGTAATTTTGGTTTAGGTGACTGTGCTTCTACTAGACAGTAAATGTGAACACCTGGGTATTTTGTATCCTAAGCAACAAGCAAAGGGCCTGAGCTCTAGTAAGATATCAATGAATGTTTGTTGGATTCATTAATGGATTTTTTGATACTCCTTTTCAATAAGTAAATTTAACACTACTCAGTAACAAAATAATTTTTACTAAGGAATGACAATATTTGATCTTTGAATAATTAATTTTAGAAACACACACATATATATATATACATATATATATATATATATATATATTTTTTTTTTTTTTGAGATGGAGTGTTGCTCTTGATGCCCAGGCTGGAGTGCAATGGCATGATCTCCACTCACTGCAACCTCTGCTTCCCGGGTTCAAGCAATTCTTCTGCCTCAGCCTCCTGAGTAGCTGGAACTACAGGCTCCCGCCACCACACCTGGCTAATTTTTTGTATATTTAGTAGAGATGGAGTTTCACCATGTTGGTCAGGCTGGTCTCAAATTCCTGACCTCAGGTGATCTACCTGCCTCGGCCTCCCAAAGTGCTGGGATTACAGGCATGAGCCACTGCGCCCTGCCAATTTTAGAAACTTCTTGGTCATCCTCACACAAAATTCAGATATTGATTCCTTAAATTAAATTTTAGTGTGCATATTTAAAAGCATGTTTCAATGATAATATTAAGTAGTTAATTGCCTTATTTTATCTTGGAAAAAGCAGAATGAGTGATGAAGTGTCATCTGTTTTATTTTTCCAGTTTTTTTCCATAGAACATACCTTTATTTGAAAACTAAAATCAAAGTATCCCTTGATGTCATAGGATACTTTGAAATTATAGATAATCATAGTTATATAGTCATAAATTGAGGAAGAGTGAGAGAGTAGTAGAAAAAAATCATCAAACCGTATTATTTCATGGAGATGGTTAGTTGTAGTCAGTATTTATAATTGATGGCTTTTTCCATTACTCTGGAGTCTAATTTCAAATCTTTCATAAGTGTACAGATGTTTTATCTGATTTTGCACATTATTTTCTTTCTACATTTCCATAGTAGTTCAGACTTCTTAAAAGTCAATTTTTAAAAAAAATTCAGCTTTTCGTCCAGCTTTTTGTCATACTCTTATTCCACTAAAAATGTTGGTACTTTGGTTTTGACAATGAAAAATAGAAAACAAATAGCCTTTTATGCTGAAACATCTTATTAAAGAAAATTTATTTTGTGATTTATTTCTTTATTTTTCATATTGAAAAATTTTTCCTTCTGTTAATTAGTTTTAACTCTGATGATCATCAGGGGATAATTCTTAGGACTTTCATTACTCAATGTAATTGTAATAGTTGGTTCACCTCCTTCTTAATTTGCGTGTGTGTGTAACAATAAAATGTACTAGTGCAATGAACAAACTGGTTTTTACATCATTGAATAAATGTACATTAAATGCCTTCTGTACCCTAGGCGTTATATTGAAACTGATCTAAATGTTTCACTGTTTGAAACTTAGAAAAGAAGCAGGCTTTCTGAGTTTTGTTTTGTTTTGTTTTGATTTTTTTGAGGCGGATTCTCACTCTGTTGCCCAGGCTTGAGTGCAGTGGCACCATCTCGGCTTACTGCAACCTCCACCTCTGGGGTTCAAGTGATTCTCCTGCCTCAGCCTCCTGAGTAGCTGGGATTACAGGTGCACACCTGGCTAATTTTTGTATTTTTAGTAGAGACAGGGTTTCATCATGTTGGCCTGGCTGGTCTCAAACTCCTGACCTCAAGTAATCCACCTACCTTGGCCTCCCAAAGTGCTGGGATTATAGGTGTGAGCCACTGCACCTGGCCCTGAGTTTAGAAAAATAGGATGTCTAAATAGAATTAAAGAACAATGCATTTCCAAAAAATTGATTTTGATAAGTTGAATTTCTTTAGAACATATACTTTACAATTTATATCACATAAAATTTTATTCATTACTGTTTATTAGTGAGCTAAAGCTGTTTCATATAAATTAAATTTGTTATTGTTTTGAAGTAAAAATACAACACAAGACTCTAGAAAGAGACTTTAATTTTATAGTTTAAGATAGCTGTTTAAAAGATATAAGGACATATAACTATTATAGACCAGTGGTCCCCAAACTTTTTGGTACCAGGGACCAGTTTGGTGAAAGACATTTTTCCACATACTGGGTGGGAGGGTGGTTTTGGGATGAAAGTGTTCCACCTCAGGCCATCAGGCATTAGATTCTCATAAAGAGCGTGCAACCTAGATCCTTCGCATGCACCATTCACAATAGGGTCCACCCTTCTTTGAGAATCTAATGCCGCAGCTGATCTGACAGGAGGCAGAGCTCAGGCAGTAACGCTCACTTGCCCGCCCCTCACCTGCTGCTATGGGCCGGGTTCCTAACAGGCCACAAACCAGTACCGGTCTGTGCCCAGGGGTTGGAGACCCCTGTTATAGACTAATAACCAACTGAAATAGAATAGCATAGCTATGAGTCAAAGGTTTGTGTCTTTTGCATCAAAGAATAGAAATGTCTGCAAAGGTGAAGACTACTATGCAAATGTGAAATGAGGAAGAGTGATTATTTTGACATTGCAGTCATTCCATAAAAGAACTATAGCCAAGTCTCGTGTAGGTTCTAGAAAACCACTAAAGATGGCGACCATGTTATCATGGGGGCTGCATTGTTTCTTATTGTACTTGTGCCATTATTTTGTTCTTGCAATGTTCTTTGTGTTTTTGTTTTGTTTTTGTTTGTTTAAATTTTCTATTCTTAAAAAAACACAATCTGATGAACTCTCCCCAATCTATGATTCGTTCCTCTTGGATCATGTATTCCCACCACTCCTCTAATCTTTGGATTGTTGGAGGGGGAGGAAGAACTTGATATGTATTATTTTGAGTTGCCCCTGACAGATAGCAGTATGGCATGGTAAGTGAGAATGTGTAGCTATATAGGGTAGGAAAAGGTATTAATAGATTCAGAGAAATAAAACTCCCAGTACAAGCCATACAACAGATCAATATACATTAGCTTTTTACTCTTCTTTGTGCTGCTCATGTTAGACCAGTAATTATTTAGAACATGGAAACAAAGTAAAATAACCAGTTAATGAATTCATTGTTTTGGCTTTTGTATCTGTTAGCTACTGCCAGAATAATGTTGCATAATAAAGAGCCACAAAAATCTCAAAGGCCTACAAAAATTCACTTTTATCCTCACACATTTCTGGATAACTGCAGTTGGGCTTCTCTAGGCTAGACTCAACTAGGAAGCTTGGCTTCAGTCTAAAAACCTTCCAGCTGAGATTCCTCTACTCAGTATCTCTAGTCTTTCTGGTAGTAGTGGGCTAGCAGAAACATACTGTTCTAGTGACCATGGCAGAGGTAGAAAAGAATAAGTGTATTTTAAGCCCCTTCTTGTGCTATTTTTATAGATAGCCCATTGTCCAATCCAAATATTATGAAAGAGCCCAAAAAAGGCAAGGAGAAAAATCTCACCTTTAGTGGGAGGGACTGCAAAGTTGTTTATGGGGAGGGGTAACGGGACCAATAATTCAGTCTACCGTAGTTTGTACCTTTAATAGAAATCAAACCACTTCTTTATTTTTCAGTAGTTTGAATAGAAGCCTTCTTTATTTCATAGTATCCAGTACACATTAGGCAAAAAAAGAGAAGAAAAAATTTAGTGGCATTTTTTGTTTGTTTGTTTTATACTAAAATTTCCCTTTGATATGTGTCTACCACATTCAGATTAACATCTATTGAAAAATATACTACAGGACGCATTTGTAGGGTGTTTGTTTTGAAGAATAGTATAAAAATTTCCATAAGTTTCTTATGCAACCACACATATTTTAACTTGATGTTTTATTCTGCATTTACTTTTGAGCATCCTTAAGAATTTGTTAAAATGCAGAAATTATGCAGTATTGATTTCAGGAAAAATTGAAGTGGTTACACATGGTTGCCTTTGCCTTAAAATAAATCCTTATTTGGTTCTAACTTGAACAATATTGAAAGCACAACAAAACTAGCTTTTTATTATGTCACCACACATTTAGTGAGTTATGGAAAGCATTTTGTTTTAAGAATGGAGTTAACTATGTGTTATCCACGCTTCTAGCCATTCTTGTCACTCCTGGCTACTCTCCAAGCCTGCCTGTTATTCATACATATTTCTTCTTAGTAAGAAATGCATCAAAATCCCAGGAACATGTGCTGCTGACTGTTAGAAGAGTTTTAGTGGTGAGAGATTAATGTAATTACTTTTGTTTGAGAAATATAATTGGTCACAGTTATATACATGTAGCTTATATGAGAAGTACATTCAGTTTTAAAACTCATTATGATTAATTTTACTTTCCTTAAAAAATGAAACCAAAGAGAATCTAAAATGTGTATGCTTCTTTCATTCCTAATATTCCAGAATACTTAGATATTTTTATGTGAAGTAAATGCCCAGATATCTAAATAGATATAATATTATTTAAATTTAAGGTATAAACTTTTACATGACAAAATGCTTAATAGCCTATAATCTTAAAAACAGAATTATTCCAATTCCCATATTGTATGTTACTTCATCAAATATTACCATTATATCATGTTTCTTGTACTAAAGTGTTTCCTGTGAAATAACGTAATAAAATGGCCTTTAGTATGCATGATAATATTTAAATACGCATTTTCTAGTAAAATATAATGCTTATTCATTTTTTTCTTCTAGTTCTAAAGAAAAAAATGCACCAAATGCATACACTTACTTTATGATAATTTCTGAAACTTAAGTAGAGTTTGGGCCTGCAACAGACTTGTGTTTTCTAGTAGTTATGTTTCATTCATGCAGGTGGTAGTGGTCCTATTAGTTTTCCTTAATAAGTCCCATATAGCTCTGGCCAGTCTTTCATAGAATGAGTTGGTAGGTCTTTCCTCCAAAGTTTGATTTCTCCCATTTTTTTCACATTGCAATTTCAAACTTTCAGTAATACCATCAAGATGAGACAGTAAACTATTATTAGAGTTACCACAAGTTTGAACAAAGTTGATTATACATCGCAAACAAATAAATACTTAAAACCTTGTTCATAGAGATCAGGCCTTGCATACCTACATAGTCCAAACATTACATTCCTGACATTTAGAACATTTAAATGCAAACTGTTCTTTGTTAGGGCTTTCTCATAACTGAAATATGAGTCACTTGCAAACCATAATAGATTTTGGCTCTGCTACATGATGAAGTGTTCTGGATGTCGTGAAACATTTCACCCAGACTTATGGCAGTAGAATTCCCAGTGGTCACCCAAAATAGGGAAAAAAATGAAGAACAAACTTAAAGGAAATATGCAGACTCTGGCACCATCCTTTCGTGGCAATACAGCTCTTTATTGTTGTTAAGAAATGGAAATATTTAGAGCCTAAACCCATAAACTATAGTACAATTAGGCGTTGAATTTTTTTTTTGTTCCTAATTACGAAATTTAACTCTATACTTGATTCTCATGTTTAAGGTCAGGTCATAGAGTGTTTCTTTACACATCACCCTGATGCGGTCATACTGAGTTGTCTCCCAGCACTGAGCTTCTCACTGCATTGTGGGCAAACTCATATTCCACACTCTACACTCATCTCAGGCAGGAAAGGTGGAGTTTTCCTTTTCAGGGCCAAAGGAAGCAACAGCTGAGGCGTGATGGTTGTACTGATATTGGTGTGGGTTTCAATTTGGTTAGTTTGCTTTCAATTTCAACTCCTCACTTGAGATTCCATACAGAAAAGTAAATGGTAGGCTTCCAGCATCTTGTTTCACTCTGGTGAATAAAAATTGTTTTGAATGTAAGATTAGAGTTTTTCCTTGCTTAATTTTAGTAGTACCTACACAGCATAAACTGAGGCATCATTTAGCAAAATGTTATTGAGTTGACATCATAATGACCTATTAAGGGCAATACACATTTGAATGAGCTCAGTTATTCTTCCAGGTTTACACGTGCCTTTCATGGTGTTTAGTGTAGCAGCTTTTGAAGCAGAGATGGGCAATGTGTAGGACCTTTTATTCCAGTCTCCTAAGTGGGAGATATTCTGAACAAAACATATTAAGGATATTTTTTCTGAAGTTTTTGAAATTTTAAGTCATGATTCACTTTTCAAAAGAAGACATTTATGTGGCCAACAAACATGAAAAAAAGCTCAACATCACTGATAATCAGAGAGATGCAAATCAAAACCACATGGAGATACCATCTCATGCCAGTCAGAATGGCAATTATTAAAAAGTCAGGAAACAATAGATGCTTCTGAGGCTGTGGAGAAATAAGAACACTTTTACACTGTTGGGGGTAATGTAAGTAAGTTTGACCATTGTAGAAGACAATGGCAATTCCTCAAGGATCTAGAATCAGAAGTACCATTTGACCCAGCAATCCCATTACTGGGTATATACCCAAAGGAATATAAATCATTCTGCTATAAAGACATATGCACATGTATGTTTACTGCAGCTCTATTTACAATAGCAAAGAAATGGATCCAACCCAAATGCCCATCAATGATAGACTAGACAAAGAAAATGTGGTACATATACACCATGGAATACTATGCAGCCATAAAAAGGAATGAGATCATGTCCTTTTCAGGGAAATGGATGAAGCTGGAAGCCGTCATCCTCAGCAAACTAACACAGGAACAGAAAACCATATTCTGCATGCTCTCACTCATAAGTGGAAGTTGAACAATGAGAACACGTGGACACAGAGAAGGGAACAACACACACCAAGGCTTGTTGGGGGCAGTGGGAGGCAAGGGGAGGGAAGTTGGAGGTTGGTTCAATCAGTGCAGCAAACCACCATGGCACATGTATACCTATGCAACAAACCTACACATTCTGCCCATGTATCCTGTTTTTCTTTTTTAGAAGAAATGTTTTGTTTTAAAAGAAAAAAATAGTAAGTCATTATTATGAGTAGTTACTGAATTATCATAAAATATCATTTCATAACATAAAAATTATATATGATAGCATGTTCCCACACAAAAACTAGGAAATCAATAGGTTTGAATTGCTTTAAAATATCATTGTAATAGTGGATAACTTTGATTAATACATCTTTATATGCCAGTAGAATGCCTATGTTATTATTACATTTGCTGAATATGGGACTTTAATAAAAATGTAAAAATGACCTGGATTTGCTTAAAAACAGAAATATTTCTAGAGGAGAATTTACATGCTAGACATGGATAAGTTGTCAGAATGAGCAGGACACATTATTGCTCTTGGAATCTCAGAATATAGAAGTCTCTAATTTAAGTAATATAAATGATCTTCAGTATCCTGAAGATATTTGCAATTACCTATGTTGGTAATATATAAACTTAAATCAGAGCTACAAAATACTATTATTGAAATAAATATTTCTGACAAAACTGTTACTTGCTTGTATTTAAAAGCAATCTTGATGGCATTATCTTAATATCTTTAGAGATAACACTTGTGAACTCTAAACATTATTTTTAGTGCAAAGTTTGTCATAATTTATGTGGTTTAAGTGACAATATTACATGAGACAATTAATTTTGGAGTGTCAGTTCCACAAATCCAAAAAGTCAATAAAGTAAATAATTATTTTTGCCACTAAACAAAACAAAAAATTAAGCACTATTTGCCTTGATGCATCAGGTGTTACTATTTTATAGTTTGTACAGTTTCTGTCTATCCTGCCAACTATTTAAATGTAAGCCATTCTGAAAATGGGTATTTATATGTTGCATCTTTTAAGAAAAAGAAATAGCTTTTTGTATACGTTTTAATAGTAATCACTTTCACTGATATTTACAGAGAATTTAACTATAGTTTCTTTAGTTGTAATACATACCTATTGTCTTTCTGCTGAATGTCTGTTTTCCAGTGGCATTGATAAGACGAACTCTCACAGATTATTTTATCTTAATATAAATATAAAAGAACCTAAAAATAGGCAAGAAGTGAATAAAATGTTTTTTAAAGTAGCCCATCAAATATTATTTTCATCAGAAATTATTTTCTTGTTGACATAAAATGCATATTTTTTATGAAAGATCATTCTCTCTGTGCAAAGATCAGAGACATTGTGTCTTAGGCACATCATTCAGCTTGCTCCACAGCCCTGGCTGTCTCCACTACTCTGGAAAAATCAGTGCCCTCGAGTAGGAGGCTTAACATTGTTTTTCTTAGATAAATCACTTGACATTTCAGTGCCTTAATTTTGACTCTCTGTAAAATAACAGAAATGGAATGGAAATGGACTTGATGATATTTAACATTCCTACAAAAAGTATTAGTATGTTGACTTGCAAATGAATGGATTTCTGAACTTTCAGTGTACTACAAATCCTACGGTCTCCCAAAAGAAAACAAAAGATTGTTTTTCTTCTTTATTTGAGAACCATTTTATGTAGATTGCAGGAAGGTTGTGAATTAAAATATGTTTAGATTTTTTCATTCCGTTCATTAAGAAACATTTGATTTAAGCTGCAGAGAGGATATGCATTTAAGAATATGTTTAGAATTGTGGTTGAGGTGGCAACCACCATGCAATTATCAGTTTATTAACAGGGGAATGAACTCATAATGGACTTTGCTATTTTAGTCATTTCCTTTAACTTGAATATAATCTTCTACTTTCATAATATCAATTTAAATTGGGGAAATAGCATGTTTTATCATTAGATCCACAAATATATAATGGTTTGATATTAGCGATTGTTAGGTAATGATTGTTCCTTAGTTATGTAGTTGTATGCTGAAACATTTAAAAAATTAATCCCCATGTATAATAACATTCTTGATGTAGAGCAAAATAAAATGATAGACTGCATATTATAAAAAAAAGAGAAAAGCATTATATTATTTTATGCACTATTCCCACAGAAATATTTTTTAGTTTTAAAATATCCATTTGACCCTTCAGCAAGCTGAATACCAGGGATTTTATTCCTTCAGCATAAAGTAATTTGGTAACAATATTTAAAGGCATATTTCTAACTTAAATTTTACTTTTATAAAATTACCAAAAGACAGATCATTTGTGAACTAATTGGTTATTAGCTCCTTTAATCTCAGTCATGTGTTTGTCTCTAAATAAAATTATTTCATTTACCAGAGTTTTACTGCTCAGGGCTCAGGTGACTCAGTCAAGAAAGTCATTCTTGTGAAGCTACCTAAATGGTAACAACGGTAGTGGCAGTGGGTGATACCTTAGCTCAACCATTAGCTGCAGCTGAAGTGTTTATTGTAAGTCAAGCACAGATCTACCAACTACATTTCTTCTAATTGTAGCAGATGAAACCACACACATTTTTAAAGGACCAGATATCTAAGCACAAAGGTCAACATTTGGTAGGCATGCAGAAAACATGGAAGTGCCTTATCTTAACGGGATCATGAATCTTCATCTTTAAAGGGCAGTTTTTACAGATTTTCAGAATTGATACCTTAAGTTGTTCTGAACTTCAATTACAAAAGCTATTGCCAGATTGTGTTTTGTTTTTATTCAAAATGTAGCCACTCATGAAGAGAAACTTCTGAGTTTGAAATGTGATTTGTGTTTTTGCAAAATGTTTATTTGAATGCAATTTTACCTCCAGTCTAAACAAATGTAAAGATAAATGTAAAACACTAAGAGGGGCAATGCTGGCACTGAAAGCTTAACTATGTAGTAGTATTGGGTTTGTCCTTTAATTTTTACAACATATGCTTTTTTAGTTTAGAAATAATATTGTAGACTTTTAAGATCTCAGAATTTTAAGCTAAACCACTAATAACAACTGTCTTCATTATTTAAAGTGATCTAAATTGTATAGAAATAAAAGGGTTTTAAGAATTATAAAAATGTAGTTATTGTTTCCTGCTTTTTTCTCTAAACTTCTAATGTTCAATTCTTGTGTTTTATATAACGTTTTAAAATAAATCACACCAAACCTTAGTCTAAAGAAGGTATAGTAATGGTTGGTGTCAGATCTGAGAGTGAACCAAGCACATGTTAGGATTTAGAATCATCAAGATAAATAGTAACACCAATGGCAACAAGGAAGCAATTTAAAGACAAATTTCTGGAATCAAGATGTCAACAGTGTATTTTCCCAGGGATGACTGCTTCTGTTTGTAAATATTGCTATTAAAGTACATCACCTATTTTCTACAAGGGATGCTGACTTGTCTTATTTTCTTTTATATATTTTGGTGACTAATACATACTTGTTATGTGACAGATTCTAAAATATTCAATGAATAAATGTTAGATTTAGTGACCACATCACATGTAAATGGGTTCAGAATCTTGCAATTCTTGGTAGATAAAACCATGGCACTAAGGATCTGGATAAGTGAAGAAATGGCAGGATAACACTTATCTATGCTAATGAGTTCAGATCTTCTCTCCTAGATAATTAAAACCGCAGGCTACTGAGATAACTTTGCCAAACCATGCTGAAAGCTTTTCAGTTATATCTAAGGAACTGTGGAGTAGAGAAAAGGGAATGGGCAATTAAGGAAAAATATCTAGATTTTCAAGAAATGGAATATGAAGTTATTCACTTTTCTTTTTTATTCTTTTTTGAGACAGAGTCTCACTCTGTCGCTGAGGCTGGAGTGCAGTGATGCCATCTTGGCTCACTGCAACCTCTGCATCCTGGGTTCAAGCGATTCTCCTGTCTCAGCCTCCTGAGTAGCTGGGATTACAGGTGCACGCCACCACGCCCAACTAATTTTTGTATTTTCAGTAGTGATGGGGTTTTGCCATGTTGGCCAGGCTGGTATTGAACTCAGGCTTGTCCTGACCTCAGGTGATTCCCCTGCCTAGGCCTCCCAAAGCGTTGGGATTACAGGTGTGAACCACCGCGCCCGGCCATTATTCACTTTTAGAATGACAAGATGACACTAATTTTGGGAAAGAGGATAGCCTGATTTATTAAATAAATGACCTATGGAATTCTTACTAAAAATATAACTTTGCATATATCAGAATATAATGATGATGAAATGGTCTAGATCTGTATATACAACTGGTCTATATAGATTCATTCAAAAAGGTGTCGTTTTGAACTCAATAATATTTAACTAAATTTACTATCTCTACTAAAGCAAAAAGAAAGACTTTTCCGTATTTGAAATGACCAAAATCTCACAGAGCATACGGGATCACAGACTTCTAGAGCACTATGTAGTGATCCCCTAGTTTAGTTTTTTAAAAAATTTTGACAGAGAGAGATTGATTAATAGTTAGTTAGTTCTTATGTAAGTGATCCAGATTCCAGATGTGAATGAAATGCACATTTATGAAAATATATTTGTATAGCTGTAGCATATATTTTAAAAACATGATTCATTATGTTTTTTTAACACACACGCATGAGACTGTGTAAGTTTTCTTTACTGACTGATTAGCTCTGTGGCACTAGGTCGTTCCTTACCACTGGACTTTCATTAACTCACCTATCCAATGGGAGATAAAGTTCTTAGGTCATAGGGCTCTGCTGAGGTTTTTATATGTATATATGTGTGTGTAGGTGTGTATGTATCTACATACACATATAACCTAAAAAAATCAGGTATGTTTATTAGTTATTTTATTAAAACTATTAAAATATAGAATTGGCTTGCTGAATTCATGGACCCACCAGTTACACTGAGACATCTTTTAGGTATACTCAACTTGTTCCTAGTGTGTGACTCTGTTTCCTGATGTGCCTTTGATGGTCATATTTAATTGGTGTCAATCTAGACCTTCCTTACGCTCAATTTGATGTTCTTCCCTGCACATACACACTTACATGCACACATTTACACACACCCACACATACTTACATAAACACACGTACATTTTTTCACAAAGACATTTACAAAATCATACATGCACACGCATGCATGCGAGCACACATGCACACACACACACCCCTAGCATGCACAAGGGTGGCTTGTTGCTTTCCCAATAAAGTCATAAGATTACAGATGAAAGACAATTTAGAATTTTTTAAAATTCTATGAATCTAAAAGTTCAGAGTTGAATTATGATGCATTCAGTTACCTTTTATTTGTTATTTTTTCTTGTTTTAAGGACTATGCATATATATGCAAAAAATTTACGTGTATAAAGTGAAGATATTTAGTAATTTCTGAAGAACATTCATTACATATATGTATGTGTATGTGTGTGTGTATATATATATATATATATATATATATATATATATATATAAAATATGTATGTGTGTGTGTATTTCAAAGCTCTTCCCACATGAAAACTCAGTGTACATTCAGTATGTGCCAGTTGAACCTGTATGTGGGACTGGAATTCTGATTTTTAAAAATACCTTTTCTCAAAGCCTTTCTCTGGCTCTAAGAAGCTTCCAGATCTGTCCTAACAGCTTGAAAACCAAGATCTTGACTTTTTATAGAATACTTCACTCTGTGCCAGAAACTGTGTTAAGCATTTTCTTTACCTATATCATCAGGATTTAGTCTTCACAAAATACTCTAGGACACATATTATTATACTGATTTTAAAAGGATGGACTGAGGCTAAGAGAAATTAAGTGCCCGAGTTCATCTAGCTAATAAGTGTCAGACAGGAATTTGAAGTCTGGTCTCTCTAATTCTAAAACCCATGATATTTACAACCCTGCAAGGAAGTTGGAAATGCATCTTCCAGGCTGCAGTTGTAGTTATTGTGGGCATTTCCTTAAAGGAAATGGTGTCGAGAATGGTTGTTGCTAGCCAAAATCAGAAGTGTCAGATTTCTAACTGCTGAGACTTGCCTGTCTTCACCATTCTCTGGACTCATTTGAGCCATTTGTTTTATGATCCACTCTTCTACTAAAAGGTGGAACTAGAGGTATAACAATTATTTAGTACTTAATTTTATATATTGTTTTCTATTTTTATAAATTGCTCATTTATTTGTCTAGCTCTTGTATATTTCCCATTCATTCCTTTTCAGATAATGATGACAGTCCTACTTACTGCCTCTCCCCTTCCCACAGCTTCCATTCTTCCTGGGAAAGGAGAAATCAGAATTATTTTGCTCTCCCCACTTCCTTCAGATTCATCCTTATCACTCATCACTGATGGAGTTTTTACAGCATAATTATAAAAGATGACATTTTATCCTATGACAAACATGCCCTGGTTATATCCTAACTAAATGGATGGGTGGGTTTTTTAATTAAATGGATGACTTAATTTTGTGATCCAGCTGGGAAGATTTCAGTTTTATTAGCAGCTGTCTTTCCCCTTTTCTTACCAGAACTTGAGCTATTAGCACCTAACTCAAAAGAGAAAATACAGAGTTTGAAGTTATTATTTTATACTTCACAAATCCTTTCTTCTAAACATTTTTTCTTAGGTGAGGAAGCAAACAAATAACTCTGGCTAGGATCTTTTAAACAAAGCTGTTAATATTTGCAACCTATATCCACATGACATCTGAAAGAAATGATGGCTTAGCTTTAGTCACAAATAGAGAGTGCTGATACGAGTGGAAATAGAAAGAAAAGATGTATTTTTCTTCCCATTAAAGGTTGAGCGTGGACTTTAAAGGGGGAAATTCTGAGTGATTCTTAAAACAACATGTGAACTTTTTTATTTCCCCCAGACATTAGTTGCCAATATGTAAACATTTCAGCAAGAAATTTTATACCACCTCCTCTGTTTGTCAGGCAGCATTTAATGGTTGAATGACAGACAGTGCTGAGCCTTGGCAGTTCCATAGTGATGTGCAAATCTGGGGATTAAAATGACAGTTAATCAGTGGACCTTTTCTAGTATAAACTCCATGGCCACTATTTAAAATCAGTTACTTATCAACAAGGCAGACGATTTTTATTTCGACTTTATGTTTTCGTGTAAAGATTTCACAACTTTTCCCTAGGGGTAGTTTCTGTTGTTTGGATGTTAGATGCAAAGGTTCCAATTCATTTTGGCAGTCTTGATTGCGTGGATTCCTGGTAGTCATTTTAATTGGTATCTTGCAGACACGTGGGAGTCATTCACACATTGTTTCCTTTTTCTTTGTAGGTAGAAATAACACTTCAGGATATCAATGACAATCCACCAGTATTTCCAACGGACATGCTGGATCTCACGGTAGAGGAGAACATTGGAGATGGCTCTAAGATTATGCAGCTGACAGCCATGGATGCTGATGAGGTAGCTCAAGCATGTCTCTGAATTTGTGAAACTTCGTAGTGCAGTGATTTATCAAATTTCTAGGATATGTTGACTACTTTTATTACCCAATAATTAAGGTTAAGCATGTGTGCTCCTTTCCAAAGAACATTAATTCTTGAAATGTAACATAAAAATGTTAAAAAAGAGATTACTATCAAGAGGTAATTTTCCTCTGATCAGCAATCCACAACTCACTTGCTGCTTGCACTTTAGGTTACTTAGCCAAATTATTTTTTTTCTTTAATAATAAAAATATCTAAAGAGGTATCTCTATTTTATGCCATTATTATTCCCCTTTGCTATCTTATAGCAGCTAAGGATTGGTTTTTATTTTATTTGTAATTGTTAAAAGCAAATAATTTAAAACTACAGAATTTTAAGGTTTAGATTACTATTTTCTATATTTATATATTAAGTTCAGCTATGTAATTATTATGTTTCAAATGGCATGGAAACAAATACTTTGTGATTTGTATTTTTCTTATGAAAAAAACTCCATAGCTTATTTTCTCTTTACTGGGTAAGGAGTTTAACTAATGTTCTGGAGTTTAAGGAAGAGAAGTAACTTTCCAGACACCAGTATCTCCTTACCTCTTTCCCCTTAAGCCAAGCCGAACACAGAACAGAGAATTTAATTTTCTTCCTCTCATCTAAACTCAGAAATATCAGAAACTTGATTCCTGGCATATGAATCAGTGCTTTATAAATGTATTTCTGTAACCTTAAAAATTTAAATAAATAAATAATAAAATAATTTTAACTGCCAATACAGAAAGGTAATGACTTAGTCATTTATACATTTTGCCAAAATCTAACTATTACAAATGAACAAAATAAAGCATACACATTTAGGTAATTGCAATTTGCTATTAGAAAAGATACGATGTTTTATGTTTAGTACATTCTACTCAATTTTACAATGTGAAGTTCACACTTATTTCAAATTTAGCTAGCTTTAAAAGAGTTATCTGACTTAATATTTCTATTGTTGATAGATATGTGATATCATTAGCCATAATTCAGTAAATATTTCATTTTCTTAAAGTTTATCATTGATAATATACATTTTGATTTATCAATTCATAAAATTTCATTAACTCTTATTTGAAAGTAGCAGCAATAACAAAAAACTCATGTAATTGGCATAGGACAATTGACATCAAATAATTGAAATTGTAATGACTATTTCATTGGTTATACTCTAAGAATAGAGCAAATAAAACTCATTTATTTGAAGTGATTTATTCTAATCACTTTAAAAGAATGAAGTAATAATCATGTTAATTATAATAGATATTCTAATGGGATGGCTATTTACTCCATGGAATATTATAATTAGAGTGGGATTATTTAATAGGAATTACAGGAATCACAGGTAGAATTGCATTTGGAAATTTAGTTGTTTTAATCATCATACTGCTCTCTTAAGAAATGGTTATTTCAGAGATTCCAACACTCACCCCTTTTAATACTGTTCTCTTGATACTGTTATAATTTTATTTCCTTCCCAATATTTTCTCTTTAAGAATATTTCATGTAAGTATTAGTATAAATGCAATGCTGCCAGCATTCTTATTTTTCTCCATCTGACTTCCGTGTGTGTGTTTGTGTATGTGTGCACACACTTGCATTGCCTCCAAGTTCATCTTTTAAGCTATGTTTACCTTTATGATGAGACTAGAGGAAGCCTAGGAAGGTCCTTATACATCTAGGTATTTAGACCAACACTGGTTTTTGTGAATTTTTATTTTATTTCTACTGAGCTTTGTTTTTTAAGTTTAAAAAAAAATGTAAGTAACCTTGCAGATGTTATCACTTAGACATGCTAGTTAAGAAAAATACAGAATGTAAAGTGATGATAGCTAGGATATATAAGAAGTACTTTTGAGATGAGACAGAGTCGGGTATTAGGGCCAGAAAAGTATAAGGCTATAATGTTGGAATGAACAAGAGAATTGGAGGGAAGGCTGTTAGCAATTCAAGGGTAGAGAGGGATGCTGACAATATGTATGAGGTGTGACTGTGCCTGAAGGCATAAAAATCACCACATTCTTATAACTCGATTTGTTTGTGTGCGAGTGTAGAAAGGCAGAGAGGATGGAAGGGAGTAACTAGGTGCACCTACAACATTAAAGGAAAGGGGGGCATTTCAGGAAAACTACAACCATTGTTTTTTAAAGAAAAAGCTCACAAAGTTGTTTGTCTTCTTAAATGCATTTTTCTCTTAAACAATTTAATAACGTTTTAATAACTGCTGACTGACTATAACTCTTGACACGAGGAACTCACATGTCTTTGGTTTCATATTAAGTAGAATGGCTGCCTATGGCATTTAGAATTTTGGGCTGTTTTCTTTTTGTTGTTGTTTTTAGTTGCTTATAATAAATATTAATGCTTTTAGATAAACCTTTGTTTTATTTTCTACTTTATTCTCAGCTCCTTACCTCTTAGCCAAATTTTGGGGAAAATATTTTAAAAATTTTCTCTCTTTTCAAATCCTGGCTCTGTTTTCTTTCTTCATCTAGTTTGAGTAAGACTCGAGATTATGTAGGTCATCAGCCAATTGTGTAGATTTTTAAAAATTATTTATATACTTTTCATTAATTACTTTACCTAACATATAAGTGTTAGTATGCTATAGGAACTCTTGTAGGGCACTGTAGAACAAAGCCTGGGTAAAGGAATTACAATTTTATAAAACAACATGTACATGTTGAACTTAATTTAGATATCATTTGAAATGTGTTGGATCAAGATTTACATGTTTCAGAAGCACATGATTCCGTTTGTCTCTTGTTCCCTTTTATAAATTATGCTAGTAATGGGCTAGGATACTCAAACTTTGCTTCGTGGTACCATACATGTTTTTGAAAATACTATTTAAGGTTCTAATATGCATTTGAAATTTATAGCTATTTACTTTTAGAATTCCTTCTATGTGCTTTTGTCTCTGTGGTTCATCCGGAGAGCAGAATATTTTTAACCAGCATTATTTCCACTGCAGTGAAGCTGAAACATGATATTTGTTTCTTGTTTTGTTGCTGATATGGCATATTTTGAATATTTAGTAAATAGACTTTTCAAAAGACCTAATTAAATCATTACTCTTGGCCAGATATTTTCAGACATTCACTAATATTATGAATTCACCACATCAGCTGATTTTGAATATGAAAAAGATTGTTTTTTATCAACACAGCCTGATATGTTTACCTCTTTTCAGAAAAATTATTACAACTTTAGGAATATTATTATTTATTACAGCCCATTTGTAGACAGGGCATTTCTAAATATCAAACCATTTTTGTAATAGCATTAAATAGGTTTTTGTTTCTTTTCTTTACCTTAATTTCCAAGTACTTACTATTTTCATGGGTCTGAATTGAATGTAGCTACTTCCATACCTCACCCACTTTACTAAAATAATGGAATTCCTAGTGAAACAGAACAAATGTACAGAGTGTGGTCAGATGAGAATTCTCACATGCTTATTGAAAGTTTTTGTTAAACCATAAAATTACAATAAATACGTTAGATATTCAATGTACACCTGAATATACAAGGTAAATGTGGGTAATGTCTTAGACTCAGCTGTTCCATTATTAAATTTAAATGTGCTTTGAGGCATTCATTTTACTAAATGTTAAGACTGGCCTGAAGAATGCAGTACAAACTAACACTAAATATAGCGGGAATATTTTTGCTTTAGACTGTTAGAAATCATCTCCTTATATGTTTGACCATGAAGGAAAAAATGTATGTAAGCTATGATGGAAAAGATGTATGGAAACTGTGGATGCTGTAATCCCCCACTGTGTCAGCTTTACATGCCTATACACTCCAAACTTACCTTCTTCCTAATATTCTCATTGAGAGCTCTGTGTCTTTATATTTTAATAAATACATTCTTTGAGGTTAATTACAATAAATGGTATATTTGTTTTAGGTAAGTATATTAAATTAAAGAGTAATTTTTGAAGTCAACATTTCTAGCACTACTTATACCTAGTGTCAAGGTCAATAATAACATATAATAGGAAATCTGATACTGTATTTTCCCATGGATATATGGCAACTCTAGTTATATTTTGATTTAAATTATTCATTTGCAGAAGTCTAAGTCATCAAATAAATTTAAGCCATCATGTTTCTCTTATAAGAAAATAGTAAGAATAAGAATAAAATAACAACTATCATTTTCCTGTGCTTACTATCTGTCAAGGGTTGTTCTAGGTTTTTAAAATATATGTTCACTAAATTAACCTCCAAAACAATCCTTTTTGGCAGGTAATATTATCATCCCAGTGTACAGATGAGGAAACATGGGCTTGGAGAGGTTAAGTATGTGGTCCAATGCCACATGACTAATAAATGGAGCACAAATTCAACCACAAAATATGGCCCCAGAGCATCATATCTCAATCAGCACAGGGTATATTAAACGCAGTATTTTGATTGTAATATACAGAATTAAGAAATATCTCTCTTCCTTCTTCTTCTGCCGATCCTTGCTTCTCTTCTTTTTTCCCATTCCTTCACCATCATTCAGTCCTTATATGAGTGTTCCTATCTCTATCTATTCTAATTTAATTTCTGAACGACTCTTGTGGCTTCAACTGACACCCACATAAAATGACCCTCAGATATTTATTTTAAACCTCATTCCCAAATCTCTAATTGCCAGATAACCATTTCTATGATGCTATTCTTTAATCCCTAAATACACCGCAAATAAAATTTCACTTCCTATTTATCCTGCATCAAAGCAGGTCCTATTCTTGAAATGTCCTCAGTAAGAGTACTCTCTTAATTGCCAGCCAAAGTAACTTGAAATTTAAAAAGACTTTTTTTTCTTTTTTGCTTTTACTTTGCACATGGGGTTGTTAAAAAAGTGAGAATATATATGGAAATGTTGAGCAAATGAGAGAGCTATTAGTATTATTTCTATTTTCAATAATCTGTCAAATTTTACTAATTTGTCCCATGAATTGATTCAGAGCAAGACGGCCAGGATTCCAATCCCTTAATTTCTTTTAAAATGGGCATTCTAATAGTACTTACCTTGCTAGTTTGCCTTTAACAAATTAATTAGTGCCCTGGAATTGATGTGCTCAAGGTGGCGTTTAGCAGCTAGCAAACACTATGAATATTCTATTTTTCTCTCCGCCATCTCTCTAGTTCAGAATTTTGAGGGTCACAGCTCAAAGACCTGAGAGTACGTAGGAAATCACCCCCATTTTCATTTTCCAGAACAGGGACTTTCATTTTACAGAACTGTTTCAGCAACTTGGGGGAAATGAAGCCTCAGTCTCTTGGGCCCCAACTGTATTCACAATCTGCCTTCTCTGGCCTCTCCCTACACTAGTCCATACTGCAATATCAATATCCTTAAAAGATTGCTTCCAATTAAAACAATATTGGGGTTCCTTGGCTGTAGAATTGAGGCAAAGTTGTGTTATATTTGAAGTTCTCAAAAAATATACCGATACTCTAACATTTTAGCTTGACTTTCTTCTTTTGTTCTATATTAAAATTGTCCACTCTAACACACTGTTCAACAGTAAGCCAAGTCCATGAATAGTGAATGACTGTAAAATATTGTATTCATTTGATACGCTTTTATTTTTATTTTATTGTGATAAGAACATTAATGTGAGATCTGCCCTTTTAAAAGATTTCTAAATGTACAATACAGTATTGTTAACTATAGGCACGATGTTGTACAGTAGATCTAGAAATTATTCCTCTTGCATAAGTGAAGATGTATACCCATGGCTTATAAGCTCCTGATTTCTCCCTACTGTCTGTCCTGGAAAACCACCATTCTACTCCCTGCTTCTATGTGTTTGACCATTTTAGATACTTCATATATATAAATACCTACCAAGCAGCATTTGTCCTTCTGTGACTATCTAATATAACATCCTTAAGGCTCATCCATGTAGTCACATATGGCAGGATTTCGTTTTGTTTTTGAGCTGAATAATATTCCTTTGTATGTATATACAGGTTGAGTATTTCTTATCCGAAATACTTGGGACCAGAAGTGTCTCAAATTCCTTTTTTTTTTTTTTAAATTTTGGAAGTTGCATTATACATGCTGATTTAGCATCCCTAATCTGAAATGTCAAAATCTGAAATGTTCCAATAAGCATTTCCTTTGAACATCATATTGGCACTTGGAAATGTTTGGATTTTGGGGCATTTGGATTTTGGATTAGTTTTGATTAGGGATGCTAAACCTATATCACCTTTTTTTATCTATTCGTTTGTTAATGGCTATTTAGTTTGTTTCCAAATCATGACCATTGTGAAAAAAGGATTGCTGGATCATACGGTGATTCTATTTGTTATTTTTTTGAGGACCTCCATACTGTTTTTCCACAACAGCTGTATCATTTTGCATTCCCACCAACAGTGTACAAGGGTTCCAATTTCCCCACTTCTTCACCAACACTTGTTTTGGTTTATTTGTTATGATAGCCATGCCAACAGGTGTGAGGTGATTTCTCATTGTGGTTTTGATTTGCATTTCCCTGATGATTAGTGACACTGAGTATTTTTTATATACTTGTTGGCCTTTTTTTTTTTGAGACAAGAGTCTCGCTCTGTTACCTAGGCTACAGTACAGTGGTGCGATCTTGGCTCACTGCAAGCTCTGCCTCCCGAGTTCATGCCATTCTCCTGCATCAGCCTCCCGAGTAGCTGGGACTCCAGGCTACTGGCTAATGTTTTGAATTTTTTTTTAGTAGAGACGGGGTTTCACTATGTTGGCCAGGATGGTCTCGATCTCCTGACCTCATGATCCGCCCACCTTAGCCTCCCAAAGTGCTGGGATTACAGGTGTGAGCCACCACGCCTGGCCACTTGTTGGCCATTTTTATGTATTCTTTTAAAGAAACATCTATATAAGACCTTAACCATTTTTTTATTGGATTACCAAACTTAATAGCTATTATGTTGTAGGACTTATTTATATATTTTGAAAATTAACTTTCTATCAGATATACAGTTTGCAAATATTTTCTCACATCCCATAGATTGCCTTTTCATTTTCTCGACTGTTTACTGTAGAGAAACTTTAGTTTGATATACTTTCACTTGTCTGCTTTTGCTTATGTTGCTTGTTTTGGGAGTCATATACATGAAATAATTGCCCAGGCTGTCTTTTAGCAATTTTCAACTAGGAGTTCTATAGTTTCAGGTCTTAATTTTAAGTCTTTAATCCATTTTAAATTGATATTTGTGTATAATGTATATTTACATTCTTTTGCATATGGATATCCAGTTTTCCCAACACCCCTTGTTGAAGTGACTATCCTTTCCCCATTATATATCCTTGGCACCCTTATGGAATATCAATTGACTATCATGCATGGATTTATTTATAGGCGTTCTAGTCTGTTTGGTTTGTCTGTATGTGTGTCTTTATGCCAGCACAATACTTTATTCATTACTGTAACTTTGTAGTATATTTTAAAATCAGGAAGCACAATACCTCTAACTTTGTTTATCTTTCTCAAGATTGTTTTGGCTATTTAGGCTCCTTTGTGGTTTCGTATGAATTTTGGAATTGCTTTACCTATTTGTATAAAAAATGCTGTTAGGATTTTGATATAAATTGTATTGAATTTGTAAATTGCATAGATAACATGGACATTTTAACAATATTAAGTCTTCCAATGCATGAACTTGGGATGTCTTTCCATTTGTTTGTATCTTTGTTGATTTCTTTCAGCAATGTTTTGTAATTTGGGGCATACAAAGCTTTTACCGCCTTCGTTAGTTAGTAAGTTTATCTCTCATTACCTGTTTAAGTCTTATAATATCATATGAACTTAAAGCCAAAAAGCCTTCCTTTGTCAAATACATGTTCAAAAGAAAATATAAGGAGCAATGCTTTTCTACTTCCAATAGCTCAGATGCTTGGTCTCTTTTTTTAGGGTGCAAATGCTCTCGTCACATACACTATCATTAGTGGAGCTGATGATAGTTTTCGCATCGACCCAGAATCCGGAGATCTGATAGCAACCAGGCGGTTGGACAGGGAACGCCGCTCCAAATATTCACTGCTAGTTCGTGCTGATGATGGTCTTCAGTCCTCGGATATGAGAATTAATATCACTGTCAGTGATGTGAATGACCATACACCCAAATTTTCCAGACCCGTGTACTCTTTTGACATTCCTGAGGACACAATCCCTGGTAGGTGATGGGTCTCTTATGTGTATTTTGCAAGAATCGCTTTTGAACCAAAATTACATACTATGTTTCGGCTGCTCTTAATCAATGATTAGTTTTTAATCATATACTACTAGTTATAAAAATATATATGCTGGATTGTTGGATCTTTTCATTAACGATCTTTGGTAAAATTCTCAAGCAAATGGCTAAATTTTTTAGGATGAATGAGGTTAGCCATTTATGTGTCTGAAAGTATTTGTGACATGGGTTATTAATTTTCTGTCAATCACAGTTTTGGTACTCTTTCTGCTTTAAAAACGTCTAATGTGATTTGGGGGCTATGTATAAAAAGAACAGCAAAAAAAAAATACATGAAAAACTGTGAATATTGATTCTAACGCTCACTAGCTGTGTGACCAACGGCAAGTTAATTCATTTCTCTTAGTTTCAATTCTCTATCCTGTAAATGGAAACAGTAATTCCTGTTAGAGTTAAGGTAAAGGATAATTTAGAAAGTACATTGAGTTTGCTAACACAGGGCTTGGGTATTAGCAAATGCCCATTAAGTGTTATAAGAAACTGAATCTTTAATTATAATCTTGCTTCTTTGAACATATTATATTGTGATTTTTTTTAGTCTGAGTACTCAATATCCATGTTTCTGGTGTGTGTGTGTATGCTTCATTCCCATTATTGGAAATTTTTATGTAAAATTAAAATTTTATTCTGAATTACATTTGGAATGATTATTCATGATAAGCCATACATTTTAGAAACTCCATTTGGCAAAGGAATTAAACATCTACAGGAGACTCCTTCTACCTGAAGTTTTTTCTTCACTCCTCAAGATATCTTGTGCAAGTCCTTTATGGAAATCCCATCACACTTATTTCTTGACTTAGTTATTGCAATGACCACATAAGTTCTAGAGTAGTATCACCAGGGCATAAGTCTATATATTTTTTGGAATCCTCAGTTCCTGACACTAGCAATATGCTACCTTAAATGTTGATTGAATTCATCAGTATATTTATGGATAGGTACTGCTAGATGGAAACATAACATCAGATATATTATTAATTCCTCAGGAAATTTATGCTGAAACCTGAGGTCCACTGGATATCTGATATGTCACATACTGTATTCAAATAGGGAAATGGTAATATCAAAATCTGCAGAATGTTATGTTCACTGTATTTTCATAGCGGTTTTCAGTTAAGATATTTTACTGTACAAATACATTTTTTGGTCTCTTTCTATATGTTCTCTTAGTAATACTTCTTACTTCCTTGATTTTATACTATTAATTTATTCTTTTGATAGGTTCTTTGGTAGCAGCCATTTTAGCCACGGATGATGACTCTGGTGTGAATGGAGAAATTACATATATTGTGAATGAAGATGATGAAGATGGCATCTTTTTCCTGAATCCTATTACTGGGGTCTTTAATTTGACTCGATTATTAGATTATGAAGTACAGCAATATTATATCCTCACTGTTCGAGCAGAAGATGGTGGGGGACAATTTACTACCATCAGAGTTTATTTCAATATTCTAGATGTAAATGATAATCCACCTATTTTCAGCTTGAATTCATACAGCACATCTTTAATGGAGAATCTACCTGTGGGATCTACTGTTCTTGTGTTTAATGTTACTGATGCAGATGATGGTATGTATTTTATTTAATATAATTTTTAAAACATCTATAAACTGTCATCAGATTTATATTACATTTATTTATTGTGTTGAGCTGTCACAAAAATGCATTTTGTGAATATAGGTTGGAAGTTGAGGAATAGAATTATAACTGAACTGTAGAGGATTTTAAAAATTAAGTACTTTATCGGTTAAATTCTTATTTATAACAGAAAACATACCTTGTATTGTTTTATAAACTTTATCTTATTTTTCCCCCTAAATGTAGGGTCGTGTTTCAATTTAGCAATGTAGAAGTCATAAGACCACTTTTTTTTGTATAATTTTGTTAGATAAATAAAAATATTAGGTTTACATATGTTATTTTAACTTGAAAAGGATAGAATTTCAAAGCAAAATGAAACCAAAGACTTAAGTAAAAATACTTACGAATGCAAAAACTAAGTTTCACATTTTTGGCTGACAAATAGCTAATAATTTTTTTTTTTTTTTGAGACAGAGTTTCACTCTTGTTGCCCAGGCTGGAGTGCAATGATGCAATCTCAGCTCACTGCAACCTCCACCTCCCAGGTTCAAGCAATTCTCCTGCCTCAGCCTCCCGAGTAGCTAGGATTATAGGCATGCACCACCACGCCTGGCTAATTTTGTATTTTTAGTAGAGACGGGGTTTCTCCATGTTGGTCAGGCTAATCTCCAACTCCTGACCTCAGATGACCCGCCTGCCTTGGCCTCCCAAAGTACTGGGATTGCAGGCGTGAGCCACTGCACCCAGCCCAGCTAATAATATTTTAACTAGGTTTCATTTCAGCTCGAACAGTCTCAGATCTGTTTAATTTATGCTAATGATCAAGTTAAAATTTTGCATTAAATTTATACTTTACATGTGTTTGATTTGTATTTATTGCAAAAGCAATTGGCAAACTTTATTTTAATAGCTGACTCCTTTGGCCTTTCTTCTAACACCTGTTTTGTAAGTATACATATCATATAATATAGCATTAGAGAAAACATTGTATGGATTATCAACCTTTAACTGAATTGTCTGGAAAATTAGTACGTGTTTTTCCCTTATGTTGGATGCAACTAAATTGTCTCATCAATATATAAAACAAGGGACAGTACTTTGAAGAAGAAATAGGTCTCTATTGACAGGCATATCTATCTCAATTTAGAATTGCCTTATTCTTATGACTTGGATGATTTGTGAAATCTCAGAATACTATTCTATTTTAACATTCTATTCTATACTTACTTTCCTTCTCATAGTGTCTATAAATGGCACTTGGAACGATATGAGAAGCAAAAAGGACAGTATTTTATATATGTTTCAATAAGTAAAATGGGAAATACTTTCTTTAGAATTCATTGAGTAAGAGCATTTTGATGTTTCCTCCTCTAATTTAAGTGCAGTTAAAATTGGGCACAAAGATATATCTAAAATAGATACAGCTGTAATGCTAGTACTACTACTATTACTACTACTGTTGCTAGTAACAATACTTTAATGTTAACGATGTTAATAAGAATCTCAAGAACTGACATCTGCCAAGTGTTTTGCATGTACCCAGTCCTGGCCTAAGAACATTGCACACTCTATTTCATGTACCTCATCCCAGGTCTGTGGATTGGCTCCAGTTAGATATCTGTATATAATTGAGGTTAGTCCCTATTTTGGAGATTGGTTTATCTGCTATAACTTTTAGTTAGTCTACCTATTCCATAGATAAGAATATTTTCAAAGCTAATCATGTATTCTTATTTGTCCTGTGACTGTGCTCAACTTTTCTACAGAGAAGAATTTTCCACCATGTTTCTTTTTGATTTATTAGTTATGTATTAGAGAGAGCCCATTGTTTCATAGAATTGTATGTTTTCCTGGAATAAGTTTTATTTACCATCATAACTTAAAATATAGGGAAACTGCGAAGATACCAAAAAATTAAAAAGAAAAAGAAAAGAATTTTGTTTGTCAAAAACCTGCTGGAATATTCCATGCACATGTAAGCACAGAAATACATTGACCATTGTCTCTAAGTAAGTTTTTGTGATATTTTTTCTTTAATTGCATTGAGTAAAAGTTTCAAGCTATATTTATTCATTGTTTTAGTTTTGAATACGTTTATCAGTGTAATTTCCTGCACCTTGACATAAAATATATGACACAATTCCTATTCTTTCTGAATTTCAAGGACAGTGATAAGGCTATACAAAGGTAAGCTTGTTTGTAAAACTTTCCAGCTCAGTTACACAAAAGGGTCTCAAGTGTTTCACAGACAATATTAGTCAGACATTTTTTAAAAATAACAAATTAACAAATAAATCTCAATCACTGATCAGAAGGTTCCAATGAGGTAATATTGTCATCTTTTTAGATGAAGGAATTTTATATGAAAATAAATGTCACAATCTGTTATCTGTCTATGGATTCTGTCAGAGTTTAAAATTTAGCTTACATGATGATTTCATAAACATAAATCAGATCTTTTACTGTTTTCACAAGAAGGGTAATACCTCTGTTAGCATCAAGACTACTAAGCATGCGGTATTACATTGAGGAAATATCGGAGCATCACGGAAATATTCTGGCTTTGATGGTTATTTCGTTATCCTATAAATTATTTACACTTTAAATATTGGGAAGTCATATTAAAATGTTTTGCTAATAATACAATTGGAATTTTTGCTGAATAAATGTAGCTATATAATATTGGTGTACAATACAGACCATTGAGTTTCATATATTCCAGTGACCTGATGACCTTGTTGAAACTGCTTTATAAAGATGGGTGTTATTCAAAACACTTCTATGTGTTGCAGCTATGTGAAAAGTTGACAAATATTAGTTCTTTATAGAAATTAGAAGATAACATTTATAGATTGTGAGTAAATATACATATTTTATAGCATGAAACTATACACCTATACTTTTAAAATATATTTTACTATTTATATATATTTTTATATATTTATAATATATATTTTATGTGCTGTGCTTCTTAGAACAAAATTATTCATGAGACTGAAATACTATATATAGATATCTACATATCTATATATAGTGTGTGTGTATGTGTGTATATATATATATATATGACGAAACCATAAAACCATATGTATGCAATAAAACTGCCAGGAAGAGTCATGTAACTAAATGACTTGGAGAACATTGAACACAAATGGTTCACAGTGGGCTGTTTGAAGTTTAAAGATCTGGTGGGCCATTAAAGCCCACTAAATTTAAATTGCAACACTTATGGCTAAAGCTTAGAATTCAAAACAATGTAAAAATAATAATTTTACAATAATGTGTTTACTGTCTCATGGTTCAGATATTTGTTGAAAAAATAGAAAAAAATGGTCTGAGCTTAGTATTTTTCAGTATACTTCAAATATTCCGGGAGAAATTTGAGTTTTGCTATGTCTGCATGTATTTTTTAGATGTAGTGTATGTGGCCAAAGTCACTTTTTAGACTTGTCAGAAATGAAAAGTTATTTTCTTTACAGTAAAGTAAATGCAGATGGATTCCATGACCTGTAATTGCAGCAATTAATTTTCAGTTCCTGAGATGAGAGCTACTTCTTCTATAATATGGCAATATTTTATGTAAAAATAGTTATATTTTTTATTTGTTTCATCAACAATAATCTTCAGTTTATTTTTAATGTTGTTACTTAATATATTTGTCATTATGTATTTGAATATAAAAGCAAATTTTTCTTTTGTTATACTTTTAGTTAGCTTAAAATTTATTACTTCCCTTACCCATTCATCTACCAAACTTTTTGCCTTTATAAAAGAGGCTGTTCTGCTGTTTACAACAACGCTATAAAATTTTGGGATCGTGTTCTCTTTTTGCCTCTGCAATTTAGCTGTTTACTCAAGGAAGTAGCATACATGATGGACTAAGGATGATCAGATACTTGATTTAATTGCTCCCATTCCTGTTGATTTATGTAGAAATGTTAGGCCATGTAAAATGTCAGTATTTTTAATGTATTTTGATCTTAGATATGAAAGATTTTATATGCTTCTCTAGAATTAAATTTTATATCTTTGCTTGTTGGTATTTATTTTCATTCATGTGTTTTCATAACTGCATTTCTCAATAATAGTCATGTCCCCAAAAGAATGGGGATTCAATATTTACTGATGAACTTTTTTGTAGGAAATGCAGAAAATTTTCTTAAAAAGTAATTAAACGTAACTATATATGTAGATGTTAATAGAAACACACGTATACACATAATTAAAAATAAATTCTGTGTGTATATATAGATACTCAAATATGTATATGTTATAATGTTTGAGTAAATATATATACACACACAATATAATGTATATACGTATATTTACGTTGTAATGAAAGTCCTAAAAGCTTTATATATATATATGTGAAGATAGTGGAAATTTTTATCCTCTAAAGCCTGTGGAATTTTAAGACAAGGGGTTGAAATAAGCTGTTAACCTTGTTCTAGTCAGATTCTACAATTCTGTTTCTTTCCTGCGGGTGAATTGACCTCTGACACCTATTAGCTTTATTTATTCATATTTTTCCTGATCTTCAGACTCCTAAGTATTCTGAACTTTGTAATCTCTTCCTTGTTCACTTGTGAGTAGTCTTAAATAAACTATAAAGATTAAAAGTCACAACTCATAATGAGGGGGAAAAAATAAACTACGCTTTCAACGATTTACTCAATCATTGTTTATCCTAGAAATTTTTGTTAATAAGTCATTGTCTGAAAGTTATATTCATAAATATTTTTCCCATGTTTCAAATTAGGCAAAGGATATTAGAGACAGTAAAGTCACAGAATAAGAGTAAGTGTGGCGTTTTTAAAAACATTGAGTTCTACATGGTAGAAAAAAATCTCATACTCAAGTTAAATTTGACTTCTTAAAGAACTTGATGAAGTTCAAAAAAAGGCAAAAGTTAACTGAAGTATTGATAGAATAATGAGAAAGAATTTTTTTAAAGAAAAGAGTAAAAGGGTGATTAAATTGTTCTAGACGACTTTTGCCAAAAGTGAACATCACTTCTCATAGGTAGAATTCAGAAACCTGGATAGTTGAAATTAATGTTAGAAATATAGAAGCTAATTGTAGGTAATTCAGGTTAGTCAGTAGATATTTGCTAGTCCCAGAATATACATCTTTATTAAAGATAGATTACCTGGATGTACAGTACGTTTTTATCATAATATCCTGTAATTTTTCCAATGTCATTAGGATAAGATATAAAAATGCACATCGTTACAGGCCAGAGAAGAAAACATCACTCTGAGGCAGAAACTGACTTCTTTCTGTTTTCACTGCTTATTTGTTATTTACCTTTAGTTACTAAAACAGTAAGATGATGTATATGCTCCACATCATTTTTGTTATAAGACTCTCTGCAATCATTTTCTGAAGTGAGGATTTAGAAACAATTTTTAAACTAAAAAATGACACATGATCCTAAGAAAAATCAACAGTATCTAAATACAGTTCAATAATAGCATGAGCATTTATATTTGGAAAGTTTTATGTATAATTTTACTGCTAACAATTTCTTTAAAAATACTTTTTAGAAACTTTAAATATGTTTAATAAAATTTGAAAGAGAACTATTGTCTCAAAGGTCCATTACTTAGCTAGACACTTAATAGGAATTAATAAGTATTTATTGATTTTGACACGAAATATAGAAGTACACTTACAGCATTCATGACTAATGCCATACATCAGAACATTTTATTACCCTTTCTTGAAAATTGGTGTCAGCCTCCCTAAATTACTAAAGTTACAAATGTTTGACTAATAGTATAGCGTGTGGCACTGTTAGTGTTGGACCATCAGGAATTATGTGATAGAAACAAGGAAATATATAGAAAAATATCTGCTCTCTGGAATATTTTTCTCCTCTTTACTTTTGTAATTTAACATTTCAACACCCTAGTAAATAGCAAGCAGTATATAGATCATTTGTTCACAGGATTTCCTAAAGTGTGTTTGGATGCACGGCATATCAAACATGCCAAATTACTTGCTAAAAGTTTTGGTATAGCTTGTTCTGCAATCAGCATATGTTTAAGAAAATTTTTTCTTCCCTTTAATTTCAGGCATCAACTCTCAATTGACTTATAGCATTGCTTCAGGTGATAGCCTTGGGCAGTTTACTGTTGACAAGAATGGTGTACTCAAAGTCCTAAAAGCTTTGGATCGGGAAAGTCAGTCCTTCTA
The DNA here is from genome assembly GCF_000001405.40 of Homo sapiens. Classification (NCBI taxonomy): domain Eukaryota; kingdom Metazoa; phylum Chordata; class Mammalia; order Primates; family Hominidae; genus Homo; species Homo sapiens. The sequence goes on from NC_000004.12 coordinate 125,415,005, forward strand.
CAACTTGGTTGTTCAAGTGCATGACCTGCCACAGATTCCAGCCTCCAGATTCACAAGCACTGCTCAAGTCTCCATTATTTTGTTGGATGTAAATGATAACCCACCGACATTTCTTTCCCCTAAATTGACATACATTCCAGAAAATACACCTATTGATACTGTTGTTTTCAAAGCTCAAGCAACTGACCCAGATAGTGGCCCAAACAGCTATATTGAGTACACTCTGCTGAACCCTTTGGGAAACAAGTTCAGTATTGGGACCATTGATGGTGAAGTGAGGCTCACTGGAGAACTGGACAGAGAAGAAGTTTCTAATTATACTCTAACAGTGGTGGCTACAGACAAAGGTCAACCATCTCTCTCTTCATCTACAGAGGTTGTAGTTATGGTACTTGACATCAATGATAACAACCCCATCTTTGCACAAGCTTTGTATAAAGTGGAGATTAATGAAAACACACTTACTGGAACAGATATAATACAAGTGTTCGCAGCAGATGGAGATGAAGGCACAAATGGACAGGTTCGCTATGGCATTGTTAATGGTAATACCAATCAGGAATTTCGGATAGACTCTGTCACAGGTGCCATCACTGTCGCTAAACCTTTGGATAGAGAAAAGACCCCTACCTACCATTTAACTGTTCAGGCAACAGATCGAGGCAGCACACCCAGAACTGATACCTCCACGGTCAGCATTGTTCTACTGGATATTAATGACTTTGTTCCTGTATTTGAGCTATCTCCATATTCTGTAAATGTCCCTGAGAATTTAGGGACACTACCCAGAACAATTCTTCAGGTCAGTATATTTAAATAAAGCAAGTATTGTCTTAATTATAAGACATCTATTTGAAAACCTCCCCTCTTCTACAGCGTTTACGCTTCCCCTGTTCTCTCCTCATTCTCATCCATAAATGCTCAATTGCAGATACAGCAAATTTTGAAAAGGAAAGGTTTATAAACATCATACCTAAGAACCTCTTAATTTCCTCATTGATGAAACTTTTGTATTTTACTAGCTTTCTTTTGTGTATACTCATGTTGCACACATTTATGTATTTGTGTTTTTGAATTTTGTTCCACAAGGATAATATCTGCACATAGTAAAAAACTAAAATGATGGAAATGTTTGAAACTTCGTTATAAATATTGTTCTACTCTTTTCCTTCATATATTTAACTACCTAGGTGAAACTGCTCTTAAAAATTTTTATGAAGCCTTCCAAAAATGCTGTGCATTAGCTTTACACATATTTTTACACAAATAGACTCGGGTGATATATACTATAGTGTGCCATTTTTATTTTTTACTTGAAAATCTAAAAATATATCTTTGGAATCTCTTAACATAGTTTTACCTCATTTTTTTTTAATGGAGGCATTTTATTTCATGAGATGCATTGTTTGTTTTACTCACATCTTGGTATGTACTGTTCTACAGGTGGTGGCAAGAGATGATGATCGAGGATCTAACAGCAAACTCTCATATGTTCTGTTTGGTGGTAATGAAGACAATGCTTTTACTCTCTCAGCCAGTGGAGAACTTGGAGTAACACAGAGTCTGGATCGGGAAACAAAAGAGCGCTTTGTCTTAATGATTACAGCTACAGATTCAGGTAAGTCCATTACACCCTTGTTCATTTGTAGATAATTTCTAGGCCAGGCACGGTGGCTCATGCCTGTAACCCCAGCACTTTGGGAGGCCAAGGTGGATGGATTACTTGAGGTCGGGAGTTCAAGACCAGCCTGACCAACATGGTGAAACCCCATCACTACTAAAAATACAAACATTAGCTGGACATGGTGGTGCGTGCCTGTAATCCCAGCTACTCAGAAGGCTGAGGCAGGAGAATCGCTTGAAACCAGGAGGCGGAGGTTGCAGTGAGCCGAGATCACACCACTGTTCTCCAGCCTGGGCAACAAGAACGAAACTCGTCTCAAAATAAACAAATAAATTAAATAATAATAATTTCTTCATAATATGAGTATGAAGTATTTTCTGTTTGCCATTAAATGAAATATTTGTTCACTTTTACTAATGCTTGAAATTCTGATTGCCTCTATGTTATTGATGGCACATCATTCACTTTATGACATTTATATATAAGTGGCAAGGGCTTAAGGACATCGCCACCTAAGCCCTATTCCCATAAAACAGAATGAATTGTTGCCCTATAAGCTTATTGAGTACCTCTGGATGTGACCTTACACTCTACTTCCTGAGCTAGGGGCATTTAAAGTACTTTAGCTTTGGAAACATGTAGATGGTTCCAACCACTTCTCTTCTGATAGACATGGGTGAGTGAGTCTGTTAGGAGGAGCTTTCACTAGAAGGTGGCTCAGTATTCAGTGAAGCATTGGTCTAAATGTGCAGGCTGCTCAAGAACAAAGTCCTGGTTCCAGGGAGCCAAACTATAAGTTCCTGATGCCATCAGCCTTGAAAATCAGGGTCAGGGGGAAACCAGGACTTGGAATTATTAGTATAAGTATAAATAACAGAAGTCTAACCCTAATTTCTATTAAATAAGAAATATGCAGATCAGATGTGTGAAGATTCTGCCCAATAGAGTTATGGAGGATTCTAAGTTATGGAGGGTGAGCAATCAGATTATCAGTAACATTATGATATGTGGAAGCCTGTCACTCAAAGCTTTAAAAATGATGCTGAAGACCATGATGGGAGGCACAAATGAGTTTCAGTGACATTAGTGTCCTAAGTCATGGTGTTTTGGCAGCTCTAAAAATGAAAGCATTAATTAAACCTTGTTTCAAAGCACAGCTCTCTATGGGCACTGTTTTTCGAGTCGCTCTGAAATAGACTGGCATTTCTGAGGCCACTGGTGGATAAATACTCAATTAGATGTCTGAAGTTCACTTTTATGAGTGATACAGAAAACAGAAGTTGTGAGGAAAGTTGAACTGGGTGATCTTGAAATTAATTCCCTTGGATACTCTTGATATGAATAACCACTTTTTTCAGGAGAATGTGAGTTTTAGACATCCGGTTTTAGAATCTACAGTTTAATCTTATTTTCCAAGAATGAGATCTTTGACAGAGGACTTAAATTACATATTCACTGTTTTCATTCAAAAGTCAAACTTGTAGATGACATGAGAAATTTCGGAAAAATATGGCAGCTATTAGATCCCAGATGCAATGTTTTTCTCAAATCTGTAGTGTTCTAAGGGCCTGGAAAATATCAAAGTGTTTCAAAAAAATTTTGAGAGTTTAATTCTTTATCTCACAAATCACCTTTCCTTTGCATTTTTTTTGAACTATTACCTTAGCCCAGAGATAGGTCAACTTCATCAGTATGGCACAGATTGCAGTGGCAGTTTTTAATCATGCAAACCACTAAATGTTTCAATGTGGGAGGGAGAAAACATTACCATTTAAACTCTCATCATATTTTTATTTACTGACTGCATGGTTACAGAGTAGCACATTTGGAAACTCTAACTACTCCTGTCTACTGCTCCAGTAAGCTACAACCACAGTATCATATGTATGCAGTGCTAAAAGTTACATTACTAAATTACAAAACCGGAAGAGGGTATAATAATTATATCTCATTTTTCCTGTAGATAATTAAATTGCTAAACAGACTACAATTCCATTACTGATGATATGTTGCTTAGCTATAACAGAAAGTATGGATATTCGGCCTTCATTATGCATTACTTATAGTTATTTCTTCTGGAAATATTTACTGTACCAAGTAGAAACTCATAGGAGGCTAACACATCCACCTGGTATAGTAATGCAGGTACTACTACATGGTTTAAAGGAGAATTTGCTCAAAAGCAGTTATGTCCTTCATATGGGTTAGGCATTCTACTCCTAAGTAGCCTTTCTTACAAGAGTTTGCCTTACCATTTTCTCATATGTGCAATAAATAAAATAATGTTTTAAATGGAGCAAGTAGCAGGAAATTATCAGGGAAACTAGAAGAGTATACTTTAAAAAATGAATTCAGATAATTAATTTAGAAATGGAAGTATATCATGTAGTTAAATACATAGACTTTATAGTTAAACCCCAGTTCACATCCTACCTCTGACATTCCCAGCTATATGACCTTCAACAACTTTACTATTCCTTCATGTTTGTATCTATGATTGGAAATACTAATATCTATATGAAAGTTTATTGATCAAATAGATAAAAAGGAATACTTATTCTAGCTATTAATGTCAGTCAGCATGTTTACTAGACATTTCAAGCTTAGTAAGGCCAAAGTAACACTTTTGACTTCTATTCACCTCCCTACCTTAAATGAATTGCTTCATAGATCATTTCACAATTGCTGAAGGCAAACCTTGTTATTATTCTTCATTCCTCTTCCTCTGTACACCATATCCAACAAATTCATTAACAAGGAGACTCAGCTTCAAAAATGTCCAAAAGTGTCCTGAATTTATCCACTTTTCTTTACCTCCAAAACGACCTCCTTAGTCTAAGCTGGGGTAGTATGATAGCTTGCTAACTGCCTATCTTTTCTCCTGCATGGTGCATTATTCAACAGGCAACCCAAGAACATTTAAAACTATAAATTAGATAATCATACCCTATCTCTTGCATAGACAGCATGCAGTGATTTCTAAGAATAAAATTTAAATGTCTTACCATTGACTACATGGGATTCAATAACTTGGTCTCTGTCCATTTATCTGAACCCCTCCACCACCACCAGCTGCCACCTTTATTTTGAGCCAGAGTCGTGCACTGGCCCCAGCTCACCCTTTGTCTCCTGTCAGTTCTGCATTTAGTATCATCACATTATTAGATTGTAATTGGCCAACATGGAAGTATTTACACCCTGGAAATCAGTAAGTGCTTTGAATGTAGTTGGCCTGTTTCTTGAAAGCAGTTGCTAAACATTTACTGAATACTGCCAATGCCAACCAATCAATCAGGCTTCCTTAAAAATGCCAACCTTTCTGCCATGTTGGCCTTTTGCACTTGTAGTTCTCTCTGCCTGGAATTTTCTATTCTACAGCGAGCTGTTTGGTTTGGTTTGGTGAGGGAGAAGGGCATCCATGTCATGGTCATTTTGTCATTATTTTAGATAAAATGTCAACTTCTCAGAGAGGACTTGTCTGACCAGTAATGTTATGTTTGCCCTTTCCCTTTTCCCAGTGTCACTCTATCAACTTCCTCTTTATGATTTCTTAACACAAATTCCTATCTAAAATTGTGTTCTTCTACATAAAATATATGAGTATATAGAGTTTGTTTACCTTATCCTTCTCTATCAGATTTCCAGAGAAAGTAAACTTCCTAAGTCTTATTCAAAATGGGATTCTCAGAAACACTTAGAAAAGGACCTGCAACATAATAGGTGCTTAATAAATATTTGTTGAATGAGTAAGTTATATATGTTGAATAATGATAGTTGTCATTTGAAAGACAACCTATTATTTTAATATGCAACTGTTATTTATATTTATTTAACATACTTATATTTAGTTTATTGTTATATATTCATTGTTTGCAGATTTTTTTAAAGAAACTTCCAAAAGAAAAAAGTGCAAATCATTTTTAATTCATGGCTGAAATTCCAGAAGTTTTTGCTACATTGGCTGTGGTCATTCAAAGTGACCTCTCTTTTGAAAAGCAGCACAAGTGTTTAAAGCTTTGTGGTGTTTAGTGTGATGTGACAAATTGCAGTCACATGTAAGGACCCAGTGAAGCATTTTATGGCTTTAATTCAGTTTCAAGTGCTTAAAATACTGCTTGAGCTATATTCTCATGACTTTCCCCTGAACCTTCTGGCTCTGATTCAATTCTGTTATCTATTAGACGTTTCTAGACAGGTCGTATTGCTACTCTGTGCTTTACTATCCACCTTTTCTTACTCTGGTTCATAAGATTTAATTCAAAACCTGCATGAGCAGAAACTACATGCTTCTGAATAGTTTTTGTTTGTTTGTTTGTTTTGGAGAGGGAGTCTCACTCTGTTGTGCAGGCTGGTGTGTAGTGGCATGATCTTGGCTCACTGCAACCTTCGCCTCCCGGGTTCAAACAATTCTCCTGCCTCAGCCTCCCAAGTAACTGGGACTACAGGCACATGCCTGGCTAATTTTTTTTTATTTTAGTAGAGACAGGGTTTCACCATGTTGCCAGGCTGGTCTCGAACCCCTGAGCACAGACAATCCATCTGCCTTGGCCTCCCAAAGTGCTAGGCGTGAGCCACTGCGCCTGGCCTGAATAGTTTCACCATTCGACAATTCTTTTATACCTGGTTTTCCCAAAGCAAACAATTGTGAATCTTCCATATCTCCCACATATCTAAGCACTTTCTAAGCACACGTGGCAATTGGTTTCACATAGCTTAAATATAAGGGCCCATCATTTCACACCAACTTAATATGAAAAATTTGCTTGTTTTAAATTTTATTATGGAAATTTTGGTGTTCACATAAATTATTCCAACAGATATATACTTACGCAAGTAATTTGTCCAGACCTTTTAGAATTTTTTTAACTCAAGATGAGATTATACCCTCAAAAATAAATTTAAATGCTGTGAGGCATTAATATCTGCCACTACTCTTTCAGGGAACTGAATTAATGTGCGAGAAAGCAGTAAAACAAACTGGTATGACACTTTGGGGATGCTACAGTTATACTCAGAGGAGTTTTTAAAGAAAGCTACATATGAAAAAATTCTAAGTTAGAGAAATCTGACATTAAGTGATGGTTTTTTTTTGGCCAGGAGGTTTCTTGGAGATGAGCCAGTCCACTTCCTTTATTTTCCAGATAAGAAAATTGAAGGCTGGGATAGATAAGCAGTGTGCTAGAACTTGCAGACCCAGGTAGTAGCAAAGTCAGGTATAATATTTAGAATTTCTGCCTTTCAACTAAATTCTTGCTCATCCATATCATATTTATTAAATTTTTTTAAGGAAATCAGGATATTCCTTAAAATATATTGCTGACTCTCTCCATGAAATAAATTTATAAATATGCAATTTAAAAAATATTTTCTTTTTTACTTTATTCATTTCACTTTAATAAATGAAACATTCAACTGCTATTTTTCTTTCCCCAAATAAATAAATGTTTGAAAACATTTTTAAATGAAGCCAAATTAAGTGGAATCAGTAATTTCAATATTGGTATTTTGAAAATAAGCTTAAATTTAGACATTGTTTAAATTTAATTGTTAAATAAAGAAGATATAAAGAATTTGTTAGGCTTTATGCCTAGAAGATGATAATATTGGTAATTATCACTGCCAATTATCATTTTGCATTAATTAAAATCAAACTATGGTGCTAATTTAATGCACTTTATAAATAAGTTCTGATTACAGTTAGTGATATGGTTTGCCTGTGTGTCCACCAAATCGCATCTTGAATTGTGGTTCCCATAATCCCCATGTGTCATGGGAGGGACCTGGTGGAAAGTTATTGAATCATGGGGGCAGTTACCTCCATGCTGTTCTCCTGATAGTGAGTGAGTTCTTATGAGATCTAATGGTTTTATAAGGGGATTTTCCCCCTTTGCTCAGCACTTCTCTCTCCTGCCACCATGTGAAGAAAGACGTGATTGCTTCCCCCTCCGCTGTGATTGTAAGTTTCTTGAGGCCTTCCCAGCCATGCCAAACTGTGGGTCAATTAAACCTCTTTCCTTTATAAATTACCCAGTCTTGGGTATGTCTTTATTAGCTGCATGACAGCAGACTAATACAGGTTACTGATATCAGAGAGAGTAGGGCACTGCTGTAAAAATACCAAAGTGACTTTGGAACTGGGTAACTGGCAGAGACTGGAACAGTTTGGAGGGTTCAGAATAAGAGAGAAAAATGTTGGAAAGTTTGGAACTTCCTACAGACTTTTTGAATGGCTTTGACCAAAATGCTGAGGTGTTATGGAAAATGAAGTCCAGGCTGAGGTGGTCACAGATGGAGATGAGGAACTTCTTGGAAACTGGAGCAAAGGTCACTCTTGCTATGCAAAGAGACTGGCAACATTTTGCCCCTGCCCTAGAGATCTGTGGAACTTTGAACTGGAGAGAGATGATTTAAGGTATCTGGCAGAGGAAATTTCTAAATGACAAAGGATTTAAGATGAAGCAGAGCATAAAAGTTTGGAAAATTTGCAGCCTGAGATTGCAATATAAAAGAAAAACCCATTTTCTGGGGAGAAATTCAAGCCCACTGCAGAAATTTGCATGAGTAACCAAGAGCTGAATGATAATCACCAAGACAGTGGGAAAAATGTCTCCAAGGCATGTCAGAGACCTTCTCGACAGCCTCTCCCATCACAGGCCTGGAAGTCCAGGAGGAAAAAATGGTTTCCTTGGGTGGGCCCAGGGCACCCCTGCTGTGTAAAACCTAGGGATGTGGTGCCCCACATCATAGTCACTCTAGCCATGGCTAAAAGGGGCCAAGGTTCAGCTCAGGCTGTTGCTTCAGAGGGTACAAACCCTAAGCCTTGGAAGTTTCCACATGGTGTTGAGCCTGCAGGTGCACAGAGGTCAAGAAGTAAGGTTTGGGAACCTCCGCCTGAATTTCAGAGGATGAAAATAAGCTTAAATTTATACATTGTTTAAATTTAATTGTTAAATAAAGAAGATATATGCCTGCTGGGGCATTGCCTCATGGAGCTGTGAGAAGAAGGCCAGCATCCTCCAGACCCTAGAATGGTAGCTCCACTGACAACTTGCAGCTATGCACCTGGCAAAGCTGCAGGCACTCACCACCAGCCTGTGAAGGCAGCTGGGAGTGGGACTGTACCCTGCAAAGCCACAGGGGCAGAGCTGCCCAAGACCATGGGAGCCCATGTCTTGCATCAGCATGCCCTGGATGTGAGACATGGAGTCAAAGGAGATCAATTTGGAGCTTTAAGCTTTAACTGCCCCTCTGCATTTTGGACTTTCAGGGGCCTGTAGCCCCTTCATTTTGGCCAATTTCTCCCATTTGGAATGGGTGTATTTACCTAATGCCTGTACCGTATTATATCTATGAAGTAACTGCTTTGCTTTTGATTTTACAGGCTCATAGGTGGAAGGAATGTACCTTTTCTCAGATAAGACTTTGGACTTGGACTTTTGAGTTAATGCTGAAATAAGTTAAGACTTTGGGAGACTGTTGGGAAGGCATGATTGTGTTTTGAAATGTGAGGACATGAGATTTGAGAGGGGCCAGGGACAGAATGATATGATTTGGCTGTGTGCCCAGCCAAATCTCATCGTGAATTGTAGTTCCCTTAATCCCCATGTGTCCTGAGAGGGACCTAGTGGGTGGTAATTAAATCATGGGGGCAGTTACCTCCATGCTGTTCTCCTAATAGTGAGTGAGTTCTCAGGAGATGTGATGGTTCTATAAGGGCTTCACCCCACTTCACTCTGCACATCTCATTTTTCTCTCTCCTGCTGCCTTGTGAATAAGGACATGTTTGCTTCTGATTCTGCCACGATTATAAGTTTCCTGAGGCCTCCCCAGCTCTGGGTTAATTGTGAGTCAATTAAACCTCTTTCCTTTATAAATTGCCCAGTCCCAGGTATGGCCTTATAGCAGTGTGAGAAGGGATTAACACAGTCAGTGAGACTATTATACTTCTATGGGCTTATTGATATTTAACAAGTCTCTTAATATTGCTTTTTCACAAAATGTTTATAGAGCACTCTACTCCAGATATTCTTCTAGGTGCTGAAGATAGGCTGGTGAAGAGGTCTCTGTCTTTATACAGCTTAAATTACAATCACAAAAATAGACAGTAAAAAATAAACAATATAGTATATAGATTGGGAGTGTTATGAAACATGATGCGGTTAAATTAACTGGCGAGAGAGTGTTAAGTACTTACGTATTTTACCCATTTTGAAAGTTGAATCTTTGGACTTGATGGTAGAATCGGAAGGATAGGAAGCTGCAAAAAGGCACGAATCAGGCATGAGTCCTAGAATATTTGGATGAACAATTTGGAGATGGGGAGAAAAAAGATTTTAGGGCAAATTACCAAGACTTAGTTTTTGGACATATTACGTTTGAAATATTATAACTAATTGAGATGTCACGTAGAAAGTTAAATATAAAAGTTTAGTTCTCAGGGAAGACATTCAAGTAGAGATACATCTTAGAAAGTCATAAACATTAGATGATATTCATTATATGCACACTTAGTGCTTGTAAGTTCCAGAATATGTATTATATTATCTCATTTAATCTCACAATAGCCCTGAAAGTTAGGGACTAGTATCTCAATTTTATTGATTTATAAAACAACCAACAAAAATTTGTGTTATAAAAACTAAACAACTTGTACTGCCCATTCAGCTGTTTGTCAGTGACTACAGGATTTGAGGCCAACCCACTTAACAGGTGATGATTTCTTAACAATTATTTACCAATTCCCAAATGTCAGCCTGTCTACCATATTCTGTTTTATATAGACTATGTTTATACGAATTTCTTCCCTTTGGATTAAATTTTATTTTTATATTAAAGAGAACATTGGTTTAGGAAGCAAAAAATCTTGTGGTTCTCTCTAAGTAAAATAGCTGGTAAAGTCATAATATTCATGAATTAGAAATCACAGCATTATTCCCCTCAATAAATAAAAAATATGTATCCAAGGGTTTTATTAAGTATAAAGTACAAAGCGAATCTTAGATATTATACTATGAACGTACAATACATATGATATGCTCATACCTGCATAGACAATGCAGTTAGTTGGGCTGTATGTTTGCATTGAATTTGGGGGTAGGAGATTAATCTGCGCACAAATTAAATATGTTATCCTTTATCCTTTATAGATAATTCTCAGTCTGTTGTACTAAAGGGATATAGAGATTCTGTCTCTAGATTTGGCACAAAAGTTTAGTTATAAAGTATTTGTGTGTCAGCATAAATAGTAGGTCTTCAGGGAACAGTTCAGTTATTAGCATTTCTAATTAAGGGCATTTATCATCCAACTGAAAGGGAATATATTTCATTCTTATGCAGGGATTGAAAATTGCTTTTTAATGGAGGGAAACATGCTGTTTTTGCAAAGTTAATGCTAAAAGCTAAAAGGAGTGATCATCATGCTTTATTTTATTGGTGAGCACCTGGTAACATTTTGAATTGTTGTCTGTCACATTATTTAGTTGAAGCTGGTCATTGCATTATAAATGGCTCTGTAATCAAAAGAGAGGTCAGAATTGTGTAATATGACATTTTACATCCGAAGATAATTGTTTTTAAATATTCCAGAAAGATCACATTTTGTCAATATTATTTGTGGGAATGTATGATAGAAAAGTTTGCCTTGTCTGTTATGATCAACATTTTTAATAATGAAAATTGCTTGAAAACTTTTAAGGCCCCAATAATTCTATAAATCAAATCATGCTAGAGTTGCCTTCAATTACCAGACATGAAATGCATTTGACTTAATTTTATTTTTGAGTCTCGGGCAGCTTTTGTTATTTCCATTGGCATATTTGTCATAGATGGGAATCTTGTTTCCAAAGTTGATAACTGGTTATTGTTTTAATTCCTCTTATTTGTAGCAGACTTTCTATGAAGTTTGTTAGTGATCTAAATATTATTCTAAATCATTTATTTAAATAGCATTCTTTTAAATCAGCTACTCTTTAGTCAGAAAAAAATATTTCTACATAGAATTTTATTTGTGTTTTCTTAAGATAAAACTCCAGAAACATTTAATTTCCAAAATTCCATTGAATAAGAGCTAAAGTTGCCATCAGGTTCCATAGAATTGAAATTTGATAAAACAGTTTCAATCTATTATCCATTTACTCCATGTGAGCTACAAATCTGAGTATACAAAGTAAATTAAACTTTGAAATGGCAATAAACTATGATTAATATTTATGATAAAATTTATAGAAACTGAATGATAAAGATTATATAAAATCAAAACCAACATGATTTCATTATGAGGATTTCATTATTTTCAAAAAAGTTTTCTAATTCTATCTTTTTGAAACAAACCTTTTTTAAAGCTTATTTTGATAAGTATTCTTAAATATATAATTTGATATTTTCACTCAGGAGGCAGGCAGAGGTAGGTTGAGTTTAAAATTAGGTGGTAGCCTCTAGTGTTTCAGAGTTTCAATAACTGTGTTGAAATTTTTGGGTTTCTTTAATGTCCTCCAAATAGTAATTCCTCATATGTGCTTTTTGCAGGCATAAAATATTTGGTTATTATTATTTTTTATTTTATAATTTTTAAAAATTATGATAAGATGTACTTATCATTACATTTCTCATTTTAACGATTTTTTAAGTGTATGGTTTAGTGATTAAGTATATTCACTTTGTTGTGCAATTTTTCAGTGGCATTGTCATAACTTTACTAAAGTAATTATTTTAGTTTTACTTCATGCCTTTATTTAGTATGTAATTTATCTTAAGGAAATATAGTGTTTTTGATAGATTCCTATGCAAAAATAATGAAAAAAATATTAAGTGTGTATATATCTAATTTATATAAGCATATATGTAGAACTAATTAGCAGCAATACATTATTTTATAAAACAGAATTTTTAAAATACAGAAGTGTTGTTAATATTTAAATTGTTACATACCTTTTGTTTTATGTATTTTTTGTATTCAAATTTTAATCTAACCACATAATCTTCAATGCTAATATAGGATGACTGAATTTCAATACATTTTTTAGTGGATGGCTTACTTACTGTGAGAAAAATGAGTTTACTTCATGGGGAAAAAAAGAAGCTAATACTTTATTACAACAAACACACCGCTAGTCAGGGGACCCATTTACCAAATATTTGATGTCAAGAAAGAAAATGGCTTTGTTGCAAAGCAACAGAATTAAGTTAAGCAGAATTCTATTTCTGCTGAATAGCCTTTTATGTTTCAGAGAAGTATTTTTGATTTATAGTTGCTATTATAAAAAATATAATCTTCCTGACATTTGAACTTCAATCGTTTAAACTCATTCATTACACTTATTATCTGTGTATATTCTGATAGAGCAGTGACCTGAAACTTTTTTCTTTTTTCAAATCTTATTTTAAGTTTTAGGCCAGGTGCGGTGGCTCACACCTGTAATCTCAGCACTTTTGGAGGCTGAGGCAGGAGATCACTTGAGGTCAGGAGTTCGAGACTAGCCTGACCGACAAGGTGAAACCCCGTCTCTACTAAAAACACAAAAATTAGCCAAGTATGGTGACACATGCCTGTAATCCCAGCTACTTGGAAGGTTGAGCCAGGAGAATCGCTTGAACCCGGGAGGCGGAGGTTGCAGTGAGCCGAGATCACACCGCTGCTCTTCAGCCTGGGCAACAAGAGCGAAACTCCGTCTCAAAAAAAAAAGTCTTATTTTAAATTTTCTTGAACTTCATTTGATATATTTGAGCTGACTAAGCTACCAGTCTTAAAGGCAATGCTAGTTATTAGTTTAATGGTTTTTCATACTTAAGAGTATAAAATGTGACTCACACAAGGCCCAGGGTTAACTGTGGTATCATAAATAATTGGAAGATTAACCTGTGCACAGTCTCTCTCTCTCTCTGTCTCTCTTCCCATGAGTGTGTGCATGTGCACAATTTGGTTTGTGTAAATTTTAAGATATGCCATTCAGAATTTGGGTTTTCTTTTTTGGCTATTTTATGTGAAAACTGAAGAAGAATTTTATCACTTTTTCCATGTTTATGTTATATTTATGTTTATATGAATACATATGTGCATACATATGTACACACACTACATACAACTTTACAAATTTAAATTTGAAATTTTTTCATCTGACTACTAATTGTAATTAGGTTTTTGACTTTTCACTGGAGTTCTGACTTCTAATTCAAATATCCACTGCATCTTCTTAACCTCTACAATTACAAGTTTCTGAGACCTTCACTTTTAATTTTATTTGTATATTTTACCCCTTTCATTGGCTCACTGTCCTCTATCAGGAGCCCGTGTCATTATATCCTGCCTCTTTGTGATTGCATCTGGTTTTCATAAATCAATCCCAGGTGGAATTGAACAATTTTGCCCTATTACACCACTACCTATATAATTCATCATTATCAGATCTATTTGAGCTAAACATTGGCCCTAGTATTCTGACTCTTCTCATGGGATTCACGTTTAATTGGGACCTTCTGTTTCTAAGTAGTACACTATCTGCAAAACTTTGACCTTTGTCTGTAGTCTTGTTCTCTGACCCCAGCCTTAGGCTAAGTCCCAGACTATAAAAGTATAGTCCTAGATTGTATATTTCTAGAAGTGTTCAATTATGTGAACTTTCATCCATGTAGACCAGGTTTTCATATAGAAAATTAGAGAAAGAGTTAATACAGACAGAGCACAAGACCTAATGGTATGCATTATGGGCTAATATAAAAATTAATTAAACATAATTATTCCTGTTTTCAATTAACTTATAACTTAATAGGACGTGACTGGAGTACGTTGATAATTATAATAATATAGAGCAAAACATCTGCAATAAGAGTGGCAGAGTTTTATCTGAGCTTAATTAACTTAGAAAAGATTTTTTTTAAGAATTCAAAACTGGCTCTCTGTCTATTCTGGCTAAATGGAAATTGGTTCAGTTCTTTGGGTCTTAAGTTGTTTAACAAAATCAAACAAGAATACCTACTTTATGGAATCTGTGCATTAAATGAGCAATACATGTATAAAATATGTATAGATCTGGTATCAAATGTGTTCAATGAAATATGTATAACACATGCATGTATGTATATGCACCTATATTTCAATTTAGATATAAATATATGAGCAAGGTTTACAGATAATGACTCTGATTTCAGTTTTTGACACACTAATGTTGAGACTCTTCAGTAACTTGCAAGAGCAGACCAACAAATGGGCAGTTGGATCTGACAGCCCAGAGGCAGCAGAAAGCTTTGGACGGAAGATAAAGTAATAGTAAACATTATGCAGCACTTCAAATAGGATGTATCCACTACACGGTGGGAAACAGTAATACTCCGGAGAACCTCTCCACACAGTTAAAAGGAAGGGTTACATCACACACCGGGTTCTGTCCTGGGGTGGGATGAGGGGGGAGGGAAAGCATTAGGAGATATACCTAATGTAAATGATGAGTTAATGGGTGCAGCACACCAACATGGCACATGTATACATATGTAACAAACCTGCACGTTGTGCACATGTACCCTAGAACTTAAAGTATAAAAAAAAAAAAAAAAGCAAACACACAGACACAGAAAAGCAACAACAAAAACACAGCGTCTTCATTCAATTAGCACATAAAAGAAGTGCCAAGATCTGTGGTCGCCAAGGACTAGGGAGTTTGTGTCACTCATCTGGCACAAATGCAGTGAAAATAAGATTCACTTGAAATTAAGAGACATTCCATTTTTCTCCCTTGATTTCATTTTTCTGTGTAAAGCTGATTTGGAGGTTATGCTATCAGTCAACAAGCAAGATGTTGTAGTGGGATGGAGGGTTGGTAAGCCCCATTCACAGGAATAATAGTCAAACACATTGGAGGCACGATTCAAATTTCAGGTTAATTAAATCTCAGTAAAAGGCTTAGAAATGTAGAACAAAATTTCTGTAAGGTTTCCTATGAAAAAAAATTTTTAAAACTAACAAGACTTGTGTGCACATTTCCTGGGGTAATAAGAAAGTTGAGACAGTTGAAGAAATTGTACTTCACTTTTCTTGAGGTGGGAAAAAAAAATAAGAAGAGAACTCCAAGTGCTTATGAAGTGGGTTGTGGCTGATAATAAGGGGAGAAAAGGGATACTCTGGAGAAAGTTCTTGGCTTGAAAACAGACTCATATAGATGTAGAATCACCTATGGGGCTGATCGTGGCTTAAGGATCATCTGCCAGTCTTGAGAATCATTTACTAATCTCAAGGATCAACAAATGATCCTCAAGCCAGAATTGTCTGTTGTCACCTGAGTGCTTTGAAAATCATCTGGAAAAATAAGTTGATATTCTTTGGTATGAACACAGTGAGACTGAACTTGCTGTAAGCTTTCCTTGATAAACAGGGCTCATTTTTTACTCCCCCCAGCATTTGCTTTCTACAGTATCTACAGTAATGTATCAACAGTAGTAATGTATCTACAGTAATATATGGTTTACAGACAAAGAAAGAAATCACATATTCTTGTCCAAATGAGTCAGTCATAATTTAATGTGGTTTTCCATATGTGTATCACCAGACACTTTAGAATACCAAATATTAATGTAAAGACTTTGACTGGCGGTTACTTATTTTCTAATTGTGAATTACAGCACAATGTGTATATCAGAAATATTCAGATCTTTCTTGAAATCTCACTGTAAGTCTTAAAATACCACATTTAAAAATGTCCAATTTACTATGTCTTCCATAAAGCTGTGAATTTTTAGAGAGCTAAATGTCTCATGTATTTTTACCACAAGTGAATCATTGAGATGAATTATTATTCAAAATATTTTCCTGAATAATATGAGACTGAATTGAAAGGTTTGGGGAGGGGGCAGAATCCTGAGAGCTGTAATACAGAAAACTATATAATAAAAAATGACTTTTTATAGTCAATTTCTGTGAGTTTTTTGGTCTCTAAAACAAGTACAAGAAGAACAATGGGTAACATAGAATATAATTTATGTGCTAGGTAGTGTCCTAAGCACATTACATTTTTCTCAATACCCCTTTGGGGTAGAGTCTATTATAATTCTCATTTTATGGATGAAGATTGATTTTTAGTGAGTAGAGTGAAATATCAGTAAAAGAGATTAAAGAACCCTGCATCTCCTCCCATCCTTTGCCTCTCTGGAACCTTGATTAATGTATCCCCTCTTTCAGTTTCTCTCTCTCTTCCATGACACCTCCTTTTGCTCACACAAATGCACACATATTCCCTAGGTAATTTTTTTTTTATGCAACTGGTGGGAATTCTACTAACATTATTCAGAGCATTAACTTCCATTTCATAAAATTGTATATAGTGAAACACACATTCAAGAAATTTAAGCCAAACATTGGTACTCAACAATACACTCCAAACTGTTTATTTTAGCCTTAATATATTGCTTGTGAGAAATTTAAAATCTATGCCAAGATTATTGTGCTCAAATGTCCCACAAACTTAAGCTGGCCAGTAGTGAAGGTCCCTCCCTGTTGGGCCTCTTCACCTCCTGCCTGGTGCTCTTCTAGGCTCAGCGACAGAGCTGCTTGTCCAGACCCCCAAAGCAGCGCAGGAAGCAGCACTGTTCCCCCTACTGGCAGTACCTTCCAGCTTCTTGTCAGTGGTAAAGACTCCAGGGCTGCTTTACATGGGTCACATCTCAGTGACATTCCTCACTAGGTCTGTGGCCTTGAAAAAGCTACTTAAACTTTCTAAACTTGAGCTTACTCATATACCAAATGGAGATGACAGCAGTGCTGATTTATGGGGATTAGATAAGACAGTTTATGTAAACTTCTTAAACCAGTGCATGCATATCTAAGGACTAAACAAATATTTACTGTTATTGATATTTCTTTCAATATGTTGCATGGAATTTTGACAGTCTTATTTGATGTGTTTCTTATCGTATCCTACATTCATATCTATTTTGTGTGTGTGAAATATTTGTTGCATAATTTTACCATTGCTTACAGTAAGCAAGTACTAAAAAGGCATTTACATTTTTTTTTAGTTTATAGTTCATTATGCATATTACCAATAGATTGAGGGCTATTTTTCCCTTTAGTGTAAAATCAAACACTAATAGGTAAGATTTCTGAAGTCATAAACTTTATGTTAAATTTTTAGATATTTCTTAGACGTCAAAATTTTTTGACTTTGTATGTTAATTTAAATGAAACACTTAATATAAAATATCTTATGATATATATATATATATGGCAACAATGATCAGTGTGCAGTCTAAATTTAATTGCATCATTTTCTGGGAGGTATCATGCTTCTTTATTGTGCTCTGCTCAACTGGGTATACACATTCTTTCATCTAACCTAGAATTCACAAAAATAACAGATCTCCAAAACCATTTCATTCCATAATTTCCCCATCTGTTGATTTTGGTTCCTATACACACATCTGAGCATAAAAGCTCATTGGTACTAGGCCACGAGTAATTACAATCTAAGAACATAGAAGAATGATTGAATAGTGGTAAAGGAAATACCAGCAAATCACTTGACTATTAGAAAATAATATGGTAAGGTTGTGAATCTCAATACCATTCTGTGATAATGAGGGCACTCCATAAACATTTTACAAATAAATGAATGAGTGGCTTTATTTACAGAATATTGAATGGTAAAGTTAAGTAGAATTTAAATGTCATATTAAGGGAAATAACTTTATTGAAGGTAAAGTAGTATCTTAAGCAGAAAAGGAGAGTATCTGGGGTTTTATTTTATTTTACATAAATGCAGTTAAATGGATCTTCATTGTTTCTATTTAGAAGAGTTTGAGTTTGAAAAACGGTTTTGAAAACACAACCAACAGCAGATAATTTGTCTTTCAGTTATGGGGACAGCCCACAGAATTCCAACACATATGGCATCTAGCCTTCACCACAAAATTAGTCTAGTACAGATAGTGTGGCCCAAGTGTTTGGCAAATGTTGGGTTTTCACCATATATTGATAGCAGCTGGAACAGGAAATAAAAATGAATCATTTCACGTTACATTGAATTTTAAGTAGAAGCAGCACACATGATTCTGAGTTAGCTCATCATTATGAAGTTATTCTAGCACGTAGAAGATAACACTTTTGAGATATAACTTGAAGCTATTTTTTGTTTCCCACAGACAGTATGGGAAAGGGATTTAAATACCTCAGAGACTCTGGAATTTGTGATAGTAACAATGATAGTCACAGCTGAGAGTCCAGTTTTTAACATTGCCTTGTTAGTTGGCCAGCTCTTCCATGCCTGTGGGTATTCTTCAAATCTGGTTTTGTGCTATTTTAATGTAATTTCAGAGAAATTACCGGCAGTGCCTCTTTTGTGGCATTCAAATGATATTGTTGTGTTCTACATTGTTGAATCAGCACCTTTAAAATAGAATAAGAGCATGACATATACTTTTCGTGCAGAGTTACTAGGAAAGAGTTGAAATTCTAGTTCACAAATGAAAACATTTGTCTTGTAACAAAATTAAAAATCACTCAATCACTTATGTGTTCAGAAATTTTACTTTGATGTTTCCTAAATTCTCTTTAGTAATTCTGTCTACAGCTAATTTTTGTTAAATTTGTTATTTTTTGTTTATAAACATTGAGACTTGATTTTCTTTTCTTTTTAGGATCCCCTGCCTTGACTGGAACTGGAACAATCAACGTCATAGTAGATGATGTCAATGACAATGTCCCCACATTTGCCAGTAAAGCGTATTTCACAACAATTCCTGAGGATGCACCAACTGGAACAGATGTTTTATTGGTAAATGCCTCAGATGCTGATGCTTCAAAGAATGCAGTTATAAGGTCAGTACATTTTCCTTTGTAAAGTTTGTCTGTTTTCTCATTAAACATTAGTTTTTGAACTACATGAATATAATGTTTAATTTAAATGAACGTCATATTAACACATATCCTCTTCTTGTTATCCATTGCTGATAGCCAACAATTCATTAAATGAAGATTCAAACAGTAAACATTTTACTTATTACTCTAAGATTTTATTTAATTTTTATTTTATTTATATTTTTATCATATCTCATGGTTTTGTGGTTTGGGACTACACTGGGTGCTTCTGTCTCATGAGGTTGACTGGTGGCACTTCACAGTATTTACATGGTGACTGAATGATCTGGAGGGGCCAAGATGACTTTGCATGCCTGCTGCCTTGGCAGGGTTGGTTGGAAGGTTCAGGATCATCTTGGCCCCCTCTGTCCTCAAGTAGTCTCAGAACTTCCTGATGTGGTTCTTTAGCAAAGTAGTTGGACTTTTTAGTTGGTGGTTCTCAACTCCAAGAGCCACAAGTGAAAGCTCCCAGAACTCTCAAAGGTCAGACTCAGATGTGCCATAGCAGCACTTCTATAATACTCTGTTGGTCAAAGCAGTGGTGACCAGCTCAGATTCACTGTGAGGAGAAACATGCATCACTCGTTGATTGGAGAAATGTCAAAGAATTTTGACCATTTTTATTCCACTACTAGCTCTAATAAGAATATTTGTGTATTCTTCATTTAGTAAATGTATTTTACTTTGCTTAAATCCTCTTAAAATTGAGAACACAAATATGATAACTTGTTCAGAGAGGATGTGAAAGAAATTTGAGTTGCAACATTTTATCAACCTAGATTGTCCCCTTCTTCCATATCTATTCTAAACTACAAGAAATGAAGATTTCCAAAGGTTCTAGAGAAAAACTCACACACATAAATATTTTATACCCCTCCTCCACTTTCTATAGGCTGGTATTAGGTAAATTAGAGTTGGTTAGATGGCTATGAAAGTAATGGAGCAGAAGATAAAATTTGAGACATTAAGAATTATCAGCTATGGGTACCAGATATACGGATATGGTAATGAGCTGATTCATGTCTTATTTTGTTGTTTGTTACCAATTTTCTTTTAACAAAATCATTTTGGAAAACTGGTTTTCACCACACAAATTTTAAGAAACACATTCAGACCACAATACTTGGTCTCTCTAAGAAATGACCTTTAAGCTGAAAGGACTGAGCTATGGAATGGAATTAATCTCGTTGTTTTATCTAAGAAGGTCAGCATGTCTGGACCAGAGTGAGAAAGGAGTCAGAGAGGTAGGCAGGGGCTAAATCATGCAGGCCATATACAGGCCATATATGTCACGATACAGAATTGGGGTTTTCCAATTTACCTTTAGGTGAGAAACTACTGGGGAGTTTTAAACAGAAGAGACACATAAACTGGTCTACATTTGGATAGAATCTGATGAGAGAGGATTTACGGAGAGAAACCAGTGCACCATTTAGGCACTAATTAATATAGTTATCCAAGTAGAGTAACTTTGTACTTACGTGGAGAAATGAAAATTGAGTAAATAGATTTGGGGCATACCTTTGAAATTGGATGTGAGACAGGAAGGGGAACATCACACACCGGGGCCTGTCATGGGGTCGGGGGAGGGGGGGAGGGATAGCATTAGGAGATATACCTAATGTAAATGATGAGTTAATGGGTGCAGCACACCAACATGGCACATGTATACATATGTAACAAACCTGCACATTGTGCACATGTACCCTAGAACTTAAAGTATAATAATAAAAAAAAAACAAAGAAATTGGACGTGAGATCAAATGAAAGAGAGAAATCAGAATCATCTAAGTTTTCCACTCAAACACCTAGGCAGATCATGATATGATATCATTTACTGAAATGGGTAGCATTGAAGGAGGAACAGTTTTGTGAGAAGTCAGAAGTATTCTATTTGAATACAGTTTCAAATGACTGTTACTCATTCATTTAGAGATACCAGTTAGGAAGCTGGAGATATGAGTGTGGAGCTTAGGGTTGGGGTTAGGGCTGGATATACACATTTGAGAGTCATCAGTGTTTAGAGGACATTTAAAACCAATAAACTGAATGAGAACACGTTTGCGGAGTGTATTAGTCTGTTCTCATGCTGCTAATAAAGACATACCTGAGACTGGGTAATTTATAAAGAAAAAGAAGTTTAATGGGCATATAGTTCCACATTGGCTGGGGAGGCCTCAAAATCATGGCCGAAGGTGAGGAAGAGCAAAATCACGTCTTACATGGTAGCAGGCAAGAGAGCTTGTACAGGGGAACTCCCATTTATAAAACCATCAGTTCTTGTGAGACTTATTCACTACCACAAGAACAGTATGCTCGAAGCTGCCCCCATGATTCAATTATCTCCACCTGACCCTGCCCTTGACACATGGGGATTATTTTTATTTATTTATCTATGTATTTTTTTTGAGATGGAGTCTTGCTTTGTCACCCAGGCTGGAGTGCAGTGGCACAATCTCAGCTCACTGCAGCCTCTGCTTCCCAGGTTCCAGTGATTCTCCTGCCTCAGCCTCCTGGGTAGCTGGGATTACAGGTGCACGCCACCACACTCGGCTAATTTTTGTATTTTTAGTTGAGATGGGGTTTCACCATGTTGGCCACACTGGTCTCCAACTCCTGATCTCAGGTGATCTGCCCACTTCCGCCTTCCAAAGTGCTGGGATTACAGGCATGAGCCACCATGCCTGGCCGACACATGGGGATTATTACAATTCAGGGTGAGATTTGAGTGAGGACACAGCCAAACCATATCAGAGAGAGTATAGCAGGATAAGGAAAGAGGCACTAGAACCAGTCACTGGGAATTCTCCAACACTTTAAAGGTAGGTTTAGGAGGAAAGGTCTCCAAGGAGACTAGGAGTTAAGGTAGGAGTTAAGAAGGTCTGAAGTTAAGGAGGCCTGGCTAGAGACAACAGAGGAAATGCAGGACAGAATGAATTATTTGCATGCATTGCAAAAGGATGGAAAGCTATATACAAATTTCTTTCAGTGAGCTACATACAGATTTCTTTCAGTGGACCAAGACTTATTCCAAGAGAAGAGTTGAGTTCTCAGAGTCCTGTAAAGTCAAATCATAGAGGACTGAGAAATTTCTGTCCAGGGTCATAACCCGTTTGAGTCATTGTACTTAGCACCAACCAGAGAGAGGCAGGTACAACTGAACTTCTTCCAGGTTATGAGCTTCAAAAGGCCACTAAATACCCTTTCTTTTACTTGTCTTATACCAAAGCATAGAAATAATAAAAATCATATCATAAGATTCAATCCAAAGTCTTTAGCTTAACATTAAGAGTAGAACCTTGGGAATTAAGTTGTGTGGAATTGAATCCTGACTCTACTATTACTATTGCATTAGTATGGGCAAATTAACATTTCTGGACCCGGTTTTCAGTGGATTAAGCAGAGTAATAATGAAACTAACTTTAAAGAGAGTAAGTAAAATAATTTAAGTGAGCTGGTTAGAATAGCACCAGGAACAAAAAACAATGCTCAATAAATGTCAACCCATATTGTTCTAATCATGCAAAGCACCTAGCCCTCTACCTGTCTATCATTTGTTAGTGCTAAATAAGTTTCTGATAATGATTTTGGAAGAGATGCCCTATCTATTGTAATGTTATAATCTAATAATTCTTTATCTGCCATGCAGATGCTGTTTCTTAGACAGTATATAGAATATTACCAATCAGATATAGGGAAATTCTCTTGTATGAGATGTATAAATTCCTGAATATGAAGTTGAATGTTTACAAACTTGATCCTGTCTTCCATTGAGTCATTCATTTATTTCTATAATAAAGTAAATGCTGTGATGACCTGCTGTTTTTTTCTAGTGCATGTTAAAGATTCATTGCAAAATGCTATCCTATGCTTGTGAATTATGCTTGTAAATTTGGTCTAGAAAAATTGTATTCATACTCTCAAACTGTTTTACAAAGCTGTACTGGTAGGTCTGATGGGATTGTTTTGCTTTGGTAGTATGTATTTTGGTTATTTGATTGGTTGATTAAATTTTCTTCTTTTAACATGAGAATTAACATTATACTTTTACATACATTGAAATCCAAAAACCCCATCAGTGAAAATCTTAAAATGACTCTACAGACTATCATATATTCAGTTAAAATGAAAATTGAAGCTATTTTTGTCTTGTGAATAAAAAACATTCAATTCACTTGCAAATTAACAGGGCAAACAATTATTGCAGCTTAAATAGAAAATATTTTCACAGACAAAGTAAATAGTTATTATAACCTCAACTTTATTTACTCTGGTTTGATAAAATCTTAATGGAATATAATGTATTTTATGGTTGGTGTTAATAACTCCTTGCTATTCATGGTATCCTGAAGAAAATCTATTCTTTCTTCAGATTAAAAGAGCTATTGGTTTAATTATTTATCTCCCATTTAAATTTTACATGGTTCGGTTATTTACTGAACTACTGTTGGGATCTCCAGGAGCATAAACTTTTATGTGTCTTATAAGTTAATTTTTTTCCAATGATCTAGCATGATTTTGCATATAGCATCCAGCCAACAATGTTTCTTTTTTACTTCTACCTATTTGATCAAACTTTGTATTTCTACAAATGGTGTACTTACTTTATGTTATACATTTTACTTCACCTTTAGTATTTTCCCTTATAGAAAATCAGACTGTATTAATTCTTAGTCTTTCTCTATCCAGATTATGTCTTTGCCTTCCACATATCTATTCCAGAGCTTAGCTTTTACAGATATGTATCCCCTTTTCTCCCAACTGGACCAAATCTCTATTCAAGCCCCACTTCTAATTCTTCTGTATCACAACCCTGGAGACAGCCACAAACTCCACTGACAAAGTCAACATTCTAAGGAAGATTTCTTTTCTTTTTTTTTTTTTTTGAGATGGAGTCTCGCTCTGTCACCCAGGCTGGCGTGCTGCGTCGTGATCTCAGCTCACTGCAACCTCCGCCTTCCAGGTTCACGCCATTCTCCTGTCTCAGCCTCCTGAGTAGCTGGGACTACAGGCACCCACCACCATGCCCGGCTAATTTTTTTTTTTTTGTATTTTTAGTAGAGATGGGGTTTCACCGTGTTAGCCAGGATGGTCTCGATCTTCTGATCTCGTGATCTGCCTGCCTTGGCCTCCCAAAGTGCTGGGATTACAGGCGTGAGCCACCGCGCCCCGGCCAGGAAAATTTCTTAATATGTGCTATTAATCTCTTCCCATTCAATTTCCTCCAACTCTTTAATTCAAAAGTTACTCATTTTTCTTGTGTTTCTTCAAGTTCTCTCTCTTCCTTGAACCATGTAGATATCTATATAAATGCTCATTTACATAAGTTAGCGTATCTACAGAAATGCTCAGAATTTCTGTTGAATTCTGGTTCTTTTATTTGCCTCCCATGGCCTAGGAAAGTCATTTTAGTGCCTCAAAGGCTTAGTTTCTGCATCAATAAAAATGAACATAAAAATTTATACTTTACAGTTTGTGAGACAAACATTTACTAACCACCTACTATGTATCAAACAGTATGTATGGAATCAGTTAATATCCATAAATGTCTCTGGCATAATTATTAGGACATAGAAGTCACTAAATTAATTCAAGGTTTCTTTTTTCTTTTTATTCTTCTCATATCATCTTTTTTACTCCTAATATATTCTTTCTTTTACAATATCTGGTACATAACAGTGGTTGTCACTTAAATAAATGCATTGAATGAACGATTTTAATATTCTCTGGAATGGCTGCTTTTACTCATTCTATTTTTACTACAACATTCTTGAAAGCTTCACAACCTGTTTTCTCTGACCATTTATTCCTGAAAATCTTTAGTCTGATTTTTTTTTTCCTTCATTGCTTTACTAAAAAAAGGCCCTGTCAGAAGACTACTGAAATTTTTCAAGTCCAGTGACTTTTCTAAGTCCTTATTCTCCTTTACTTTTTGCAATGTTCACACTACAGGCCAGGCCATCTTTTCTTTTTGGCATTTTTTCCTGCTCAATGTCTATATAAATATTATTTCTTATCATCCTGCATCTCTGATCACACACAGTTTGTTTTCTGTTTCTCTTTTCTCTCTCTGGAAAGTAATTTGAATACTTCTCACTGCATTATTTTCTCAGTACTTGTGTGTGTGTGTGTGTGTGTGTGTGTGTGAGAGAGAGAGAGAGAGAGAGAGAGAGAGAGAGAATTTATTCCATTGCTGCAAGCATCAATTCTGTGAACAAAACCTCCAAATCTGTACTATCAACTCTGATTCCACTCCAAAATTTTGCACCCATATTTATAACTCGCTGATAGACATATTACACTGGAGGTTCTGTTGGCATCATAAACACAGTGTACCTAAAATTCTTTGCTTTTCCTGTTTCTCATTTTGGTTTTCTGCTTTGTTTTAATAATATTGTCTTGGTTTGTTTTTTACCACACCTTGCAGCTAAGGGTCATCCCCTCTCTTATACTCAATCAGTGGACAAATTCTCATGTTTCTTCTTTTCTAATGCATCTGGCACCCATTCTTTTCAGTGCATCCCTTCTGCCAAGATCCTAGTTCAGTTCATAATTACATCATGCCTGTACTATTATAATAAGAATTAACTCACTTCCACGCCTCTAGTTTCTAATCCTTCCAATCTATGTAGTACACTGTCCTGTAAAATTATGAAGCCCTGACTATGCACCAAAAATTTATTAAACTCTCAGGAGTTTGGAACTCTAGGGCCCATAAGAAGTGCAATTTAATAGAAGAGATAATTTTGTAATTTCTTAAGTGTAGTACCGTATAACAAGTATAGTTTAAGCACAGAATAGGTGGAAAGAATAGTATGGCCAATGATCCTTCAATGATACTAAGTAGAAGTAGTTTATGGAGAAATAAAGGAATGAAAGATATTCTAGGCAAAGACAGTATCAGGTACTAAGGCAAAGAGCTATGCAAAAAACATGGCATTAGAGAAAGAAAGTATTTCCATATGGTTGGTGTGGGTTAGGAATGGACTTTGTATACCATATAAAAAATTCAAAATTTCTTTCTGCATCTAAGGAGAGAAACAATGGAAATGTTTTAAGCAGCAAGCACAAAAACATGCCTAGTTATATTTCATAATTATTTCTTTCCCAGCATTATAGGAAATAATTTGTACAAAGCAAAGCTGGAGTCAGTGAATTAAAGGGCAATGGCAGAAGTATGCATCAACATGAGCATCTCTTGGCTCTGCTTTAACAATTATACTTCCTTCCTCAAAATCTTTCAATTCCAGTTTGCCTATGGTATAACCCCCAGTCTTCAAATTCTAGTCACCCCATAAATGGCCCCAGCTAATTCTGCAAAACTCTGCAACATATGGCCAAAAGTTCAGTATTACTGGATCATTTTCTGCTCATGGGACAAGGATCTGTGCTTTCCCAAGCCTTATAGGTTTGCTCAATTTATTCTATATCTTTGACCAGGGCTTGGCAAACTACTACCTGCAGGCCAAATTGGGCCTAGTGCCTGTTTTTGTAAATAAAGTGTTATTGGAACACAGCCATGCCCATTCATGTACCTATTGTCTTTGGCTGCTCTTGCCATATGATGGTAAGCTGAGTATTGCAACAGAGAATATATGACCTGTAAAACTGAATATCTTTACAATCTGGCCCATTATATAAAAGGTTTGCTGACCACTAGCCTAGACCTTCTTTTGTTTCTGCCTTTTTGAACACTATTGAAAGATGGGTAGCCCCTTTACAACTTATGTTAAATTTACCTTTCTCTGAGGAAGCTTTATTTTAATCATTCCAGTCAAGAGTGTTCTGTCTTCTGAATACCTACAGTGACACCTCTTTACTGTTTCATAGCACTTTACTGTTTTGTAATTACCTTTTTTTTATATCTTTCTGTCATAAAGGACATAAACTTGAAACCAGGATTTTTTTTAACCTACTTAACCGTGTCTCTGTTTTGAATTTTTAGTCCCTTTATCCATTTAACTATCTAAATATAGGTTGAGCATCCCTAATCTGAAAGTCCAAAATCTAAAATGCACCAAAATCCTAAACTTTTTGAGCATGAACATGATGCCACAGGTGGAAAATTCCACACCTGATACCTTTGCTTTCTGATGTTTCAATGTTCACAAACCTTGTTTCAAGCAATTATCAAAAATATTAGATAAAATTATCTTCTGGCTATGTATATGAGGTATATGAAACATAAATGAATTTTGTGTTCAGACTTGAGACCCATCCCCTAGATCTCTCATTATGTATATGCAAATATTCTATCCAGAGAAATCCAAACACCCCTGGTTCCAAGAATTTTGGATAATGGATACTCAACCTATGTATAGATAGATATGGATAGATTGTATGTAATAGACTATTACGTTATACATATATATTATATAGGTCCTATTATGTTGGTAAACTTAGACTTTTAAAGGCTCACCATTTATCAATTACAATGCCAAGTGCTCTTTATACAAAATATTTTTAATAGTCAAAACTACCAAATAAAAAGTAAAATATGACCTCCACTTTACAGATAAAGAAAGAAGGCTTAAAAATGTTAAGAAATTTTTGTGAATTTAAGTGCTATTCATGGGGTTTAAATTTATGTCCAAGTGAACTATGTTCTAAAGTCCAGTCTCTTAACTAAATGATCATATTCTCCCAGCAGACAGTATAATGCCTATAACCCTAGTAGATCTCAGGAAGAGGCAAAGAAGTTTTACAAAATCAAATGGGGATATTTTAACTTTACAAAAGCAATAGTTGATTTAGGGTTCAGATCACAGTGGTCTCTGTTTATGCAAATAATTTGAAATAGTAATGTATTCTCAAATTAGAAAATAATTTAACGTGTTTATTGATTTTCATTGAACTAAATGTGAACAAATTCTATATTGACACAACTTGAGCAAGAGTCCATGTTGGCCTTCGCAATTGGTACATTTTCCGTCTTCACTACATTCCCTCAGTTGAGTTTTACCTTCCTTCTACTGTGGAATAATGGGAAAAGTGCATGGTGAAGTCATAAAGACAGAAATTCAAACTCTAGATCTGCTATTTATAGATTGTATGTTTCTTTGTGCAACTACTTTAGTCTCTGTTAGATTCAGATTCATTATCCCTAAACAGTCAAAACTAAAACTAAACTATAAGGATAGTTTTGGGATTTAAATAAGAGCATATATAAATTGCCCAGTAGTGTGCTTGACATGCACTAAGAAATCAATAAGCTCCTGGAAATATTTAAGTAACAGCATAAATGTTTAACTGTTAAGAAGATACCACAAGACACAATCTAATAAAGTTTTTAACTTTACAAAAATTAATGCAGGCCAGAGAAGCAAGAGAGGTCATCAGGAGGGATGAGAATAGAACCAAGCCTCAAGTAAGAGATGTGGCAAAAATCTAGACATATTATCTTAACTGTCGATCTACGTACAGAGCTTATTGTGTTTCTTCTATTTTTAAAATTAGAAGTATAAATTTTCATCCAACTGGTGTTATAGAACATCTCATATTTAAAATATACTTTTATATGCTTTAGAATCTAGTGAAGTCTAGAAAAAATTAATTAGATATTAATGACTATTTGCTCATTCATTTTAAAAAATACTAAATATATTACCTACTTTAAAATAGACAGTCATACGGGCAATAGCATGTGCAATAGCATAAAATTAAAAAATCAGAATTTATACCATAGGTTTCTTTGTCTGTTTTGTGCTGCTATAGCTACAGACTGGGTAATTTATAAAGAATAGAAGTGTATTTGGCTCACAGTTCTGGAGGCTGGGAAGTCTAAGGGCATGGGGCCTGCTTTTGGTGAGTGCTTCCTGTGTGTTATTTCATGGCAGAAGGGCAGAAGGCATCACATGGTGAGCAATCATGTGAGACAGAGAGAGGGAATCAGGCTGAACTCATTCTTTTATCAGAAGCTCACTCCCTCAATAACTAACTCCCACTTCCGTGATAATGGCATTAATCCACTCATAATGATGGAACCCTGATGGTCTAATTCACCTCTTAAAGGCCCTACTTCTCAACATTGTTACAACACTGTTACAATGACTAATTTCAAGGAACATTTAAATGATAGCAAGTCTTTTTGAATGGATCATTTAGTGAAACTGGACTAAAGGCCACACCATTTGCCTATCAACACATTACGCTTAATAATACACCATGGTCTTGGCATATACAAAACATCCAGATGAAAATTTATGTTTTTTATCAATCTCATTTTATTTTTATTTGTGAATATTTATAGGAATAAATATTTGATTGAACCTTGATCCTTGCCATTATAAAACTAAAAAAGTTTATGGCAGCATGGCTTACTTTATTTTCCTATTAAATTATTTGATTATTTCTACATCCACTGACAGCAACAAGGTTCCAAAAATAAAATTACACAATTCTCAAATCCAGTTTTCTACACTTTGTAAAACGTTAAGGTATTTTGATTATTTTGTGAGTCCTGAATTTTCAAGTTTTAAGAATTCATGTATAAAACTTGATATTTATATTTTGATAAAGAGAATATATATTATCTACTGTAAAGGGCAATAATTATACCTAATAGTCACTTCTGGCCCAATAACTATAGTTAATGCTATTTTCACACATGCCTGATTCTGTCGTGTGATTTGCCAAGCATATTAAAAATCTGAGTGACACAAAGTATTTTATCAATACTGAAGCCATTTCTCAACCAAACCACTTCTCTATTCTTTCCCTGTTTTGCTATCATTTTATAAGACTTCTAATAGTTTTAAATATAAGGTCCTCAACAGTTGATTATTTCACTAAAGTAGGATAAAAAATGCTGAAATATTTGTTTTAAGCTGTGAGCATAATAGGAGAATGAACATACTACTGGCTGCAATATAGTTTTTTCCCCTGCAGTTTATATTAGATATATGCTGTTGCTATGTTTATATAGACACAAAGCAAACTGTAGAAACATGCAGCCAACTCCAACAAGGGTATCTATTTGTTGGTATAAAAGAAGAAAACTTTTAAAGATATCTATTTCCATGCTATCTTTCAACTTTAAAAATTACGGACCATAGCCAATTTCTGAACCTTCAAGCTTAGCTACTTCTTTCCTGGCTGATCTTTGGGACCTCACCTTATACACAAAATCAGGAATATATGCAGACAACTGTACTCTTCAGAAAGAAGAGAGAAGCTTTTCTCAGTGGAAACTCTTGCCCGTTAACCTATCTGGTTAGCATCAAAACATCCATGAAGATGTCATACCTCTCCTGACAAGAAAGCAACAAAACCATATGAGGAATGACAAAGACAGAATTAATCACTAGAAAGGTCTTTGTATAAATAATCAGTCCTTGAGTTGTTCTGAGAAGCAGATACATGTCAAATACAGGTTTTGTCTTAAAAGAATACAATTTTCAACTGATCTTCTCTGGTTTATTATGGTATACAGCAGAAAAATAATTTTTAGTTTCATTTAAAAGATATTCATTTGTAATCCTGGCTACTAACCACAATATTAGAGCAAGTCCCCTGATTTATGCTTTTAGGCTCATTTATTTAAAGCCTTAGGGGTTTGTTTGGTGGCCTTGCACAACTTAAGAGTCCTAAAAACCTTGTGAAGACTTCCTTGACATCACTGGACATCTCACGATAAAGACTGTCAATGTGATGTTCACAGAAAATTTGAAATATTTATTAGCTAGACTAGTTGTATTCTTTCCAACATTGTTGTATGATCTTTCTTGTAACGTTTTCTTGCATTTCTACCTCAGTTTTTTAATTATAGTAAATAGAAGTTACGATATTAAAACTATATGACATATCCCTATTTCTGCTTTCTGCTTTAGTTATAGGATCATCGGTGGAAACTCTCAGTTCACGATCAACCCATCGACAGGACAAATCATCACCAGCGCATTGTTAGATAGGGAAACAAAAGATAATTATACTTTGGTAGTGGTCTGCAGTGATGCGGGATCCCCAGAGCCTCTTTCCAGTTCCACCAGTGTGCTTGTCACTGTGACTGATGTCAATGACAATCCACCAAGATTTCAGCATCACCCATATGTCACTCACATCCCATCTCCTACTCTTCCAGGTAATCAACCAAATTCTGAGGCCACATGGATATAAACAAACTATGTATCAGACATTTCTATAAAAATATTTATGATATTTTACATACATATTTCTGATATAGCCTAATTTTGCAAATCCTCTAAAATTCAGGTTGTTTTGTCTGATGGAAATGAAAAAATGCTTGAAACTTGAAAATTAACCCTTTCTTGCTAGACTAATTGTGTATAATGTTTTATAATTGTTATGTATTATTATTTCTTAATATTACTTGAATATTATAAATAATTAACATATATATTACATCATCGTTAATGATGTTTATGGCCTGAGGTATAACTTTGTGTAAGTTTGCTAAGAGGAGGGGCATTGTCTCTATTTTGCATGCCATATGCCACTACCTGAAACATGATATGGGAGATAATAGGCATTCAACTATGTTTGTCAGTGGAAAATGAATATTTGACTTCAATTTTTCATAGATATGTTTTCAAAAAGTTTAATAAATGGATAATTCTTGTTAATATTTATTTTATTCCAGGTTTTACAAATGAAAACTGTTCTGTTAGCAAGTTTATGGATCCATTTATGAATCATTTTCATATTGACAATATGCATTTATCCTTCTGTATCTCTTTAAATTTAGTTTGACATTTGCTAAGAAAGGCATACTCTAAGAACTGCACAAATCTGCCATTTTAATTTTTAAAATGAGTTTTCAAAGAGGAAAATATAGAAATATAGCTCATTATTGATTTAATCTTCCTTGCTCGGAAATATTTTTAATTATTAGAAGAAAAACTTAACAGATAGAGTTAACAGATCCTCCTTTCAGTGATCTTTGATCTTCTATTAATCTGAGAATGATACCAATCTAAAATATAGGATTCATAAATTTATGTGCCAACTTTCTATCAAAGGAAATGTCAGTATCAAAATGATAAATACCTGCTAAAGGTCTTCAGATGAAATGATGTTGGCAGGCATGGTTCTAATTACATCCAATGTGTGGTGGTGCAAGATAAAATTTCCTATGTAAAATGAGGTATGCTTAAGCATCTTTTCCTCATTGGACTTATAACCACTGGCCTTTTTAAAATTAAAGATATTTTACTTTTGTTACCGTTTCTTCTGTAGGGGTGAGAGTGCAGGTTTGGGAATGGTTTCTGAATGAGTAGATTGAAAATATGTCCTTATGGCAGCTTTTCTGCATATTTTTACGACAATCTGTTTCATTGGCACTCAGTCTAAGCACTAACTTTTGGAGTCCAAGTTGAGTCCATTATCCCTCAATTCTTATTTCTTACTACTTTACAATTATTTTAATTGGCTTATGTATATATCTGTGTATGTATATACACACACATATAAACATACACATATGCACTTTTTTTTCCATCTGATAATAGTTCACGTATAAAGGAATTTTGTCATAAAACAGTGGGGACAAGGAATAAATGGTAATGAACATGATTTTTGTTGACAAGATTACATATAAAGTGATTGGAAGATATTTTAAGACACACTAGAGCAACGGTATCATTGCATTGGGTAGAGGCATAGCACTTTGCAGAGCTCGCATATTATGTTTCTTGGAATGTTGTTTTATGTGCAGATTTTTCTCCTAGAAACTATGATTTTTGAACGATTAGCAAGTTCTTTTCCCTAGGCTTCTCTCAAAGGCATACTGAAAAGTATTAAATCCAACAGACTGTATAAATTTTAGTTAGAAAATGGCAGGTTAGTCTCTGAAGACAATCATAGAGCAGATTTGACTTGTGAACCTCGGAGAAAATATAGGAGATACTGTTCTCCCTAGTAATCATGAGAAAATAAGGTCACATCAAGCAGCAATAGAGTGTCTTATATGCACTTATCTGCTACCAAATATTTTATTTAAATTCCACGTGAGTATAACTGCACACTTTCTCTTTTATAGGTTCCTTTGTCTTTGCGGTTACAGTCACAGATGCTGATATTGGACCAAATTCTGAACTGCATTATTCTCTTTCGGGTAGAAATTCTGAAAAATTTCACATTGACCCACTGAGGGGAGCCATTATGGCCGCCGGACCACTAAACGGAGCTTCAGAAGTGACATTTTCTGTGCATGTAAAAGATGGTGGCTCATTTCCAAAGACAGATTCTACAACAGTGACTGTTAGATTCGTGAATAAGGCCGATTTCCCTAAAGTGAGAGCCAAAGAACAAACGTTCATGTTTCCTGAAAACCAACCAGTCAGCTCTCTTGTCACCACCATCACAGGATCCTCTTTAAGAGGAGAACCTATGTCATATTATATCGCAAGTGGGAATCTTGGCAATACTTTCCAGATTGATCAGTTAACAGGGCAGGTGTCTATTAGTCAACCTCTGGATTTTGAAAAGATACAAAAATATGTTGTATGGATAGAGGCCAGAGACGGTGGTTTCCCTCCTTTCTCCTCTTACGAGAAACTTGATATAACAGTATTAGATGTCAATGATAATGCCCCAATTTTTAAGGAAGACCCATTTATATCTGAAATATTGGAAAACCTTTCCCCTCGAAAAATACTTACTGTTTCGGCAATGGACAAGGACAGTGGACCCAATGGACAGTTAGATTATGAAATTGTTAATGGCAACATGGAAAATAGTTTCAGTATCAATCATGCTACTGGTGAAATTAGAAGCGTTAGACCTTTGGACAGGGAAAAAGTATCTCATTATGTCCTAACCATAAAATCATCAGACAAAGGGTCCCCGTCTCAGAGTACTTCAGTAAAAGTCATGATTAACATTTTAGATGAAAATGATAATGCCCCTAGGTTTTCTCAGATATTTAGTGCCCATGTTCCTGAAAATTCCCCCTTAGGATACACAGTTACCCGTGTCACAACTTCTGATGAAGACATTGGGATCAATGCAATTAGTAGATATTCTATAATGGATGCAAGTCTTCCATTTACAATTAATCCCAGCACAGGGGATATTGTCATAAGCAGACCTTTAAATAGGGAAGATACAGACCGTTACAGAATTCGAGTTTCCGCACATGATTCTGGGTGGACTGTAAGTACAGATGTCACAATATTTGTGACAGACATCAATGACAATGCTCCAAGATTTAGCAGAACTTCCTATTATTTAGATTGCCCTGAACTTACTGAGATTGGCTCCAAAGTAACTCAGGTATTTGCAACAGATCCTGATGAGGGATCAAATGGACAAGTGTTTTATTTCATAAAATCCCAATCAGAATATTTCAGGATTAATGCCACCACTGGAGAGATTTTCAATAAACAGATCTTAAAATACCAAAATGTCACTGGCTTCAGTAATGTGAATATCAACAGGCATAGTTTTATAGTGACATCTTCAGATCGAGGTAAACCTTCCTTAATTAGTGAGACAACAGTTACCATCAATATAGTGGACAGTAATGACAATGCACCTCAATTTCTTAAAAGTAAATATTTCACTCCAGTCACCAAAAATGTTAAGGTTGGTACGAAGTTAATCAGAGTTACAGCAATAGATGACAAAGATTTTGGACTGAATTCAGAAGTGGAGTATTTCATTTCTAATGATAACCATTTAGGAAAATTTAAGTTGGACAATGATACGGGGTGGATTTCAGTAGCATCCTCCCTGATTTCTGACTTGAACCAAAACTTTTTTATCACAGTCACTGCAAAGGATAAGGGAAACCCTCCACTTTCTTCCCAAGCAACTGTTCACATAACTGTCACTGAGGAAAACTACCATACACCTGAATTCTCTCAAAGCCACATGAGTGCAACCATCCCTGAGAGCCATAGCATTGGGTCCATTGTCAGAACTGTTTCTGCAAGAGATAGAGATGCAGCGATGAATGGCTTGATTAAGTACAGCATTTCTTCAGGAAATGAAGAAGGCATTTTTGCAATCAATTCTTCTACAGGTATATTAACACTAGCCAAAGCTCTTGATTATGAGCTATGCCAGAAACACGAAATGACGATTAGTGCTATAGATGGAGGATGGGTTGCAAGAACTGGTTACTGCAGTGTGACCGTAAATGTGATTGATGTGAATGATAATTCTCCAGTATTCCTCTCTGATGACTATTTCCCTACTGTTTTGGAAAATGCCCCAAGTGGAACAACAGTTATCCACCTAAATGCAACAGATGCTGACTCTGGAACAAATGCTGTGATTGCGTATACTGTACAGTCATCTGACAGTGACCTCTTTGTCATTGACCCTAACACAGGAGTCATAACCACTCAAGGCTTCTTGGATTTTGAAACCAAGCAGAGCTACCATCTTACTGTGAAAGCCTTCAATGTCCCCGATGAGGAAAGGTGTAGCTTTGCCACTGTTAATATACAATTAAAAGGGACAAATGAATATGTGCCCCGTTTTGTTTCCAAACTTTACTATTTTGAAATCTCAGAAGCAGCTCCTAAAGGTACTATTGTTGGAGAAGTGTTTGCTAGCGACCGTGATTTGGGCACTGATGGGGAGGTACACTATTTGATTTTTGGTAATAGTCGAAAGAAGGGTTTCCAGATCAATAAGAAGACTGGACAGATTTATGTTTCTGGAATTCTTGATCGAGAAAAAGAAGAAAGGGTGTCTTTGAAGGTATTGGCCAAGAACTTTGGCAGCATTAGAGGTGCAGATATAGATGAGGTCACTGTAAATGTCACCGTGCTTGATGCAAATGACCCACCCATTTTTACTCTAAACATCTACAGTGTGCAGATCAGTGAAGGGGTCCCAATAGGAACTCATGTGACCTTTGTCAGTGCCTTTGACTCAGACTCCATCCCCAGCTGGAGCAGGTTTTCTTACTTCATCGGATCAGGGAATGAAAATGGTGCCTTTTCTATTAATCCGCAGACAGGACAGATCACCGTTACTGCAGAATTAGATCGAGAAACCCTTCCCATCTATAATCTCTCAGTTTTGGCTGTTGATTCAGGGACCCCCTCAGCTACAGGTAGTGCCTCTTTATTAGTCACCCTGGAAGATATAAATGATAACGGGCCCATGCTGACTGTCAGTGAAGGAGAAGTCATGGAAAACAAACGGCCAGGCACTTTGGTGATGACCCTTCAGTCCACTGACCCTGATCTCCCTCCAAATCAAGGTCCCTTTACTTATTACTTGCTGAGCACAGGTCCTGCCACCAGTTATTTCAGTCTGAGCACTGCTGGAGTTCTGAGCACAACCAGAGAGATTGACAGAGAGCAGATTGCAGACTTCTATCTGTCTGTGGTTACCAAGGATTCTGGTGTTCCTCAAATGTCTTCCACAGGAACTGTGCATATCACAGTTATAGACCAAAATGACAATCCTTCACAGTCTCGGACGGTGGAGATATTTGTTAATTATTATGGTAACTTGTTTCCCGGTGGGATTTTAGGCTCTGTGAAGCCACAGGATCCAGATGTGTTAGACAGCTTCCACTGCTCCCTTACTTCAGGAGTTACCAGCCTCTTCAGTATTCCAGGGGGTACTTGTGATCTGAATTCCCAGCCAAGGTCCACAGATGGCACGTTTGATCTGACTGTCCTTAGCAATGATGGAGTTCACAGCACAGTCACGAGCAACATCCGAGTTTTCTTTGCTGGATTTTCCAATGCCACAGTGGATAACAGCATCTTACTTCGTCTCGGCGTACCAACAGTAAAGGACTTCTTGACCAACCACTATCTTCATTTTTTACGCATTGCCAGCTCACAGCTGACAGGCTTAGGGACTGCTGTGCAACTGTACAGTGCATATGAAGAGAACAATAGAACGTTTCTTTTGGCAGCTGTGAAGCGAAATCATAATCAGTATGTGAATCCCAGTGGCGTAGCCACCTTCTTTGAAAGCATCAAAGAGATCCTTCTCCGGCAGAGTGGAGTAAAGGTGGAATCTGTGGATCATGACTCCTGTGTGCATGGCCCATGTCAGAATGGAGGGAGCTGTCTACGAAGATTGGCTGTGAGCTCCGTATTAAAAAGCCGTGAGAGTCTTCCAGTCATCATCGTGGCAAATGAACCTCTGCAGCCTTTCTTATGCAAGTGTCTGCCAGGATATGCGGGTAGCTGGTGTGAAATAGATATAGATGAATGTCTTCCATCACCTTGCCACAGTGGTGGAACCTGTCACAATTTAGTGGGAGGATTTTCATGCAGCTGCCCAGATGGCTTCACTGGTAGGGCGTGTGAGAGAGATATCAATGAGTGCCTGCAGAGTCCTTGCAAGAATGGTGCCATCTGCCAGAATTTTCCAGGAAGCTTCAACTGTGTTTGCAAAACTGGATACACAGGTATGACAACGTTTGTACTTTTCTCACTAAGACTTTAGCCATGTCAAGTATATTGAAACGAAATAATTTTATCATTTTCCAATGATTTTCATATAAATGAGCATAATAGTAACAAATGTTTTTAAACATTTACTGTTGGTCAAATACTGTTCTAAGCACTTTTTATGTATTTGTTTTGTTTACTTCTTACAAGAAAACTTATGAGGTAGGAATATTTTCCAGTTTCTATAGGCAAGGAAGTTGAAGTAGAGAGTAAGTAATTAGGTTTTCTCAGGTGATTCAGTTACTTTGCTGTAATGTCACTATTCAAGTCTACACAGTTAAATCCAGAACTTAAGTGCTTAATCTCGTAGCGTCTCTTACAAGAGCAAAAAAGAGAATAATATCTACTTAAAAGAGTATTCTAGATATTAAAGGATAAAATATATACAAAACATAAGATTTGGACCATTTTGTGTGTTAAATAATTGTTAACAATGATTGTTGTTGATTCTTTATCATCATCGTTTTTGTGACCTTTTAAAATCATAGTCGTCATTATTATCGAAATGTGATCCACATCGTGAGAAGAGCGAGAATCATGTTTTCAGATTTAGATTAAAATGATGTGTTATTGGGCCAGGCAAGGTGGCTCATGCCTGTAATCCCAGCACTTTGGAAGGCCAAGGCGGGCAGATCACGAGGCTGAGAGATCGAGACCATCCTGGCCAACATGTGAAAACCCATCTCTACTAAAAATGCAAAAATTAACTGGGCGCGGTGTTGTGCGCCTGTAGTCCCAGCTACTCGGGAGGCTGAGGCAGAAGAATCACTTAAATTCGGGAGGCAGAGGTTGCAGTGAGCCGAGATCGCGTCACTGCACTCCAGCCTGGCAACAGAGCAAGACTCTGTCTTAAAAAAAAAAAAAAAATGGTGTGTTATTCCTAATGGTTGGGTAGAAAGCACAATAGGCTTATTTCTCAAGAAAGCTAGAACACAACTGAGCCACAGCTTATCTTGACAGACTAGAAAGCAGCATTAAACATAGCAGTAAAAATTTTGAACTAGTCTTTGGCACCCTAGTGGGATATGATGTCCATATATACATAGATCTCTACCTATTTCTACTCCATGTCTATATCATTATTATCTATCAACCTATCTATTAGTTAATCAGTGGTTGATGTTCCTTCAAATGTGAATAAATGTTATGCTATTGATAAGTTCGAGGAGAGCAAAATTCTATCTTATAACTTGCACATTATACATTTGTAAAGCATGCATATTACATTGAGTTACTCTGCAGTATTTATAAACATAATTTACAGTACTAGTAGTATAGGTAGAATCAAGATAGATTGCTTTAACTTTTGTAGATGTATTACAGAATAATATTTTAAGCAAATGCATTTCTATGTTATATTTTCAAAAGTGTCCATTATGTGTATACTGATGGTTTTATATTTGGAGAATTGAATCACTTGAGGAAAATATAGAGCAAGTTTGAAAATGTTGAAACAGAACATGCAGTCTTTGCCTTCTAATGAAATAACTTTGAAATGTAAATGAAGAAAAAGTGGCAGAAAACATGTGTAATAGAAAAAGTGATAGATTTCACAGAATCTGATTTAGCTATAGCTTTTGGGAAGTCACCTAACCTTAGCTGATTCTTCATTTCTCTGTCCACAAAATGGGAATAATCATAAGTACTTTCAGGGTTTTTGTAATGAGTAAATATAATGTTTGTAAAACACCTAGTACAGGCCAGGTGCAGTGGCTCACGCCTGTAATCCCAGGACTTTGGGAGGCTGAGGCAGGTGGATCACCTGAGGTCAGGAGTTCAAGACCAGCCTGTCCAACATGGTGAAACCCATCTCTACTAAAAATACAAAAATTAGCTGGGCGTGGTGGCAGGTGCCTGTAATCTCAGCTACTCAGGAGACTGAGGCAGAGGAATTGCTGGAACCCGGGAGATGGAGGTTG
The DNA here is from genome assembly GCF_000001405.40 of Homo sapiens. Lineage (NCBI taxonomy): Eukaryota > Metazoa > Chordata > Mammalia > Primates > Hominidae > Homo > Homo sapiens. The sequence continues at coordinate 125,454,773 of NC_000004.12, forward strand.
CAGTGAGCTGAGGTCGCGCCATTGCACTCCAGCCCAGGCCGACAACAGTAAGACTCCATTTCAAAACAAACAAACAAAACCCACGTGGTACACTGTGCAGTATTCAGTAATTGCAGTCTAATTAGTAGTAGTAATAATGGTATTAGTATAGTGGTAGTAATAGAGGAGTACCACAGAATTTTTAAAAAGACATGAAACCTGTGTAGCGGAAGTTAACTGTGAGTCTTATGAGAGTTATTTATATGCTAAGATCATGAATAATAGAGCTATATACATGCTGAGGTCAGGATTTCTAGAACACTTCCCTCACTCTTTCTTACCCATCCCCAAAATTACTTTATCGGCTGGGAATTCAACAATAAGAGTTTTTATATTCTACATTAGTCTAATGCATTTATTCACACTTAGGTTTAGATTGAGTTTACATTTAGTCCTAGAATGAAGAAAGTGCAAATGTATTAGGTATGGATAAGAAACATGGAAAGTACTACTGGTGTGAACAAAGGCACCATTTGCTGATTTTAGCATAAATGATGAGTAAGTTACTTCTGTCTGGCTTGTTTATTTCTTTGTTTCATTTCATTTAAATATACATTGCATACTTTTCTAAACGTGATAGTTGAAACTCTTAAAAATGCCTTTCCTTACATCATAAAATATTAATAACATTTATCAAGCAGTTATGTAAAGCACTTTTTAAATCTCCTTGCATTATAGACATTATTACATTTAGTTCTTACAACTCTGTAAGATGGATATTATGATTATTGTTCCAATTTTGAAGACCAAAAAATTAAGTCTTCGAGTCATTAAAAGAGATTAGACAACTTGCCTCCAGCCATGGCACAGAAAGTGTTCTAACTAGTTTTTTACTAGAAACTTGGCTCTGGTGCCTCTGCTATTTATATACATGTCGCACTCATCACACTTTGATTTGCACTTGCTATGGAGTGTTATGGTGAGTTCTATGGTGATATTATTTAAGAATGTTTTGTCCATCATTCTATTAATACTTAATCCTCACAGAAAGCCTATAAGACAGTGTATTGTCTGAGACTGATCAGAAATCGGAACTACTCTCAGACTTTGAGGCAGGAAAGTATTTGCTACAAGGAAACAGCTTACAAAATCTTCAAACTGGCTAAGAATACAGGTCAGGAACATTCACCAATGGGCGCAGCAATAAAGACATGGCAGGCATTGCAAGACACCGCTGCTGATCCTCTTGCCCACCTGCAGTGCTGCACCAAGTGATCTGAGGAGAATGGTTCCTGCTTTGCTTTTACCATTCAGATATCATCACAGTCTTTTTTGCTGGCAGAATATAAACTTGAACCCCGCTGGAAGGGAGTCTGGAAAAGGTAGTTTTCAGACTTCCAGCCCTTGCAATATGGAAAGGTAGGAACGATGCTGAATGTCAGCAGATGATATGTGGCTCAGGAAGATGTTATTATTCTTCCTGTTTTACACTGTAGGAAATTGAGCCTACAGTCTGGTGACTCCAGGGCCAGAGCTGCCAAAGTCTATATCATAAACTCTTTCTAGGGAAGGTTGTTTGAAGTTATACATTAACGTTACATACTTCTCCTCAGAGTTCACTTCAGTCTTCATTTGCATAGTAGGAGATAATCCAACTGATCAGGAATGATATAAACAAACATAAAATTGAATGATTAAGATGAATCTTACATTTTTTAAATCAAGTTTCAAATTCTGTATGAAAAAAACCATCCAGTAAAACTGGCAGATAATTAATGTCTGACAGTTTTATTTCCTTTTTGTATTTTGTAGGAAACAATATGAAAAAAGCATAGTGAGTGGCAAATGTTAATCCATACTTTAAATTAGAAATGTATTGCTTAAATTTCTATAGTTTGTTAATTTTTTTTGTAGAGGTAATCTCTGAAGGATCATTCTGAGTTATTCTTTTTACCTAGTCTCTGCCAGATAGCCTGGCTCAGGAAGACAGAGCTAATATACCAAAACATCTTAACATCTAACCTAGTCAGAGCTAATAAACCATAAGACAAAATTTACACATAACTGTATGTGTGCCTCATAGAATGATTTTTTAAAAAATTACTCATAATAGCTAGATTTTACTTCAGTTAACATGAATTAAATTGTAGTGCCTTAGTAAAGCTTCACTTCTTCAAGGTCTGTATATAATTTTTGGCCATCAGAATTATTTTAAATTACTGTATTTTTCATACTCTACTTTTGTGGGCTTCCACCTGCATTTTATCAATAGGTTTCAAAGTCTGTGAAATTACAAATTGGAGCTGCACAATTTTCTGAACTTTCTGCTTAAAATAATCCTCAGCCACTACCCATACCCAGTTTCTCTCATACACACACACACACACACACACACACACACACACCACTGAGTATTTTATGTGGATTTAGAAATTGTGTTAAGGATTAGAAGAGTAAGTGGCTTATGAGTTGATGCAAACTAAGAGACTTTATCCCCAGAATCCCCTAGGGTGTGATTAAATGTTAGCTGAATGGAGATTTTATGTAGAGAACAACTTATAAGGACGCAAGTATGAAAATGATAATCATGGAACAAAAAATAGGAAGGGATATAGTTATTATCATACTGTCACAAGTTTATTTCTGAAATATTCTTAAAGTTTATTTTCAAGTCTGTAACCATGCACATAAGTATAAAACAACTATATTTTTTAATGAATGAGTGATTTAGAGGGAATGAATTTGTATAACATGTATTTCTTATCTCTTTTCCTTAGTTACTGGAAAAAGAACCAAAAGAAAATTGAAAAAAAGTAACATATTCAGTTATAATCACTTCATATGTTTCATTATTAAGAAAATTTTCTTATAATTTTTATATTAATATCACCATATGAAGCTTTGATTAACTGTAACATAAATTATTAGAAAAGATGGATAAAGTTTATTATAGTATAGGCCATGTGAAAAATTAATTTCTAAATTTTCACAAAATGTAATGACACCAAAAATTAACATCAGTTGTCAGTATGCCTCAGTGAATAAAAACTATTATTCCTGCCACATAAGTCTAGGGGTTCCTAGAGGAAAACTTTAGCCTAATAACGACACATGTAGTATTTATTTTCATATACAAATGAAAATGTCTTGCACTTAATAGAACACTAATTAGAAAGTACAGTAATAGTAACCACATCAACATTTGTCTACTGCTGCCAGGTTTTCGCTGTTTGCATCACATTCCTGGCATTAAATCCTTCATGGGAATGGATGGTGTTATAAAATGCAGCATTTTGATAGAGCTTATTTATAAATCTGGCTATCTTATAACATAATTAGTTCATAGTCTCTTTAACCTTTTCCATTCACTTTCACACATCTGGATGCATTTCAGGTGTAGTATTTGGAATAATGCCGGGGGTTTATTACCTTATGGAGAAGTTTTCCTATGTTCTCAATTAAGTCCCGATATTTCAGGAAAGATGAGGTTTGTTCATTCATCACTTTTATGTCATTTGACAGTATAAACAGTAAAATTTTTTCAGACATACCAACTTATATACAGAATATGCATAGTAATTTTACTGAGAAACTTGCCAGATATTTGCTTTCATAAAGATGGAAAGAGTTACTAAGAGTGATTCTTTTAAAATTACTACGGTCATGTATTGGTGTTGTTGATGATCATGTGACCGGAAAACCATATAATATAAAAGAAATTTAGTAAATATATATGAAATTAAATTTTGTTTGAGATAAAGAAGAGTGGCTCATGTAAGAGACAATAAAGAGTGCAATTATTTTTATTTAATTTGATTCCTGAAAGCAGAATTAGGCAGTTTACATTAGGTAATACATTAACTTATAAAAGCATTAATAACGTATGTTTCTAAGAAGTAGCTTAAATGCTTATTTCTGTAGAAAATAAGCATATATTTATAAGCTTATGAACATTATGTGTGTAATCATATGTAATCATTTGTAGTCTCATTGAGGTTGTGTTTGTGCTTGTTTTACAAGACAAAGGTAAAAACTTTTTTTGGTTGTTGCTTTTGTTACTGGCAGCCCTTATTAAAACATGGTATTTTTGCTTTTGTTTCAATGCAAAAAAGCCATAAGGCTATTGAACAGGATACTTAGACTATCTTCATAGCTCCTTAACAATAATGGGAAACATTTGCATACTGTGCAAAAGACAGCTACTTTTTGCTAAAATAATTTGGAAAATATATAAGATAAATGCCTAGAATGAATAGCATATATTTATTATAGAATTTCTTTATTAATAACATAATCAATTTAGACCTAAAATGGATTTTTAGAGTTGCACATATTCTCCCATCTCCTCTGTGTAGAAATACAGGAGATTTAAAAATAATATTTATGGTAGTCTAATATGTATATATAATCTAAGATCTTAAATTGAAGGCTACATGTATCATAGGGTATCAAAAATTATCGTATCTTCATGGAGTGGTCCAATTTAGCAGTTGAGAATAAATTTAGCTCTATTTCACATAATCCAACATTAAAATGTGCTTGGACAAGTGAAACTTGAATATACATTCTTGTTGAAAAGACCATAGGTGATTACAATAGATTCAGTTTATGTTCAACACGTCATCACATCTTCTGCCCCCAAACATGAAAATAGACACAAAATTTCTCCTGTAAGTTTAGGAAAGTCTGCGGATACCATGGATTCCTATTATGCATTTATTTTCACCTTAAGCTATTCCCACTTTCCATGTGCTAAGAATTTACACTTCTTCAAGCACATCTCCTTCTAGTTATGATAAATAGTGTATGGCAACACAATTAATTGATGGATGTCAAAGCAATGAGATCAATTTATTCTTCTAAACAGCTGCTATGGCAGTAAACATATCTTAATGGAAGGAGGCCTCTTGAGTTCAAGAGGAATAAATGCCTGTCTTTGTGCAAGTCCTATCAGCATACTTCCAAGCCTGAAGGCGTTTGGCAAGTATTGTTAATTGACTTGTAGCATTAATTAAGTTAATGATCCAAGATTTTGTTTCACAGTGCTTCAACACATCAGATTATTGTACCAAGAGCATGTTAGAGTAATTCAAACTACTGCATTCTCTGATACTCATTATGCTATTAACACTACAATTTAAGTAGATAGACTTGCACAAAACAATTCAGAATTTTGTTAATTTCTAATTGGGTAAAAAAGCATAAACTTTCCAAACCTGAGAAATATGCATTTAGAAGCTTTCTTTTGATTCTAAGTAAAATTATGGAATCCTTTTCTCACACAAAAGACACAGGTGTTTTAAATAATAATTTAAATTTAAATCTGTTTTCCTACTATGTCTTTGAATTCAAGTATCTGCTATGGCAACCTCTGAGTTCATGAATTGTAAAAAATTTTTACTCTTTAAATGGAGAACTCAATTTTTAAATAGTAAATAATTTACATACTCTACCACCAACAGATAAGACTATTTTTTCCAAACTCAACAACAAATTCCTTTATTTAACCCCAAACAAAGCCATTTTATCTATTTTTTTAACTTATATTTTAGGTTCTGGGTACATGTGAAGGTTTGGTACATAGGTAAACTCATGTCACAGGGTTCGTTATACAGATTATTTCATCAACTAGGAATTAAGCCCAATACCAAATAGTGATCTTTCCTGCTCCCCTCCCTCCTCCCACCCTCCACCCTCCAGTAGACCCCAGTGTCTGTTGTTTCCTTCTCTGTGTCCATGTGTTCTCATCATTTAGCTCCCACTTATAAGTGAGAACAGGTGGTATTTGGTTTTCTGTTCCTATGTTAGTTTGCTGAGGATAATAGCCTCCAGCTCCATCCATGTTCCCACAAAAGACATAATCTTGTTCTTTTTTATGACTGCATAGTATTCCATGATGTGTATGTACCACATTTTCTTTATCCAATCTGTCATTTATCAGCATTTAGGTTAATTCCATGTCTTTGCTATTGTGAATAGTGCTGCATTGCACATTCATTTGTATGTGTCTGTATGGTAAAATGATTTATATTCCTCTGGGTATATACCCAGTAATGGGATTGTTGGGTCAAACAGTAGTTCTGCTTTTAGCTCTTGAGGAATAGCCATTATTAATTATTTGTAATTATCCACTAAGACAAAGTAAAAAGGAACAACCTTATTTTTAAACTGAAATACTGAATGCAAGGTTGAATTTGTTTTTTCTTAACAATTTCTATTTCTATTTGTGTATACTTGAAGAATCAGATTCTATTGAGAATTTAAGTTTTATAGGAAATTCGTTCTCAAAATTAGTATTTTATTGGTTTGTAACATCTTCTGCCACTTTGTAATCACTGTATGTTTTAATAAATGAATAAGTCTTATTTGTGTTAGGATATATTTCCACTCCTCACTCTGGAGTAACTGCAATAGCCTGTATTTTATATTTAAATTAAACTCAGATGTCTATGTTAAAATATTTTATACAGGGTTAAATAAGAATTGATTCATATAATTATACACAAAAAGAACAACACGTAAATTTCATTTGTTGCTATTTAACTCAAGATTTATAAAGGTAGTATTTGTAAATGAAATTCAAAAAACATATAGTAGCTTTATAGGAACAATGACTTGGGATTTATACTCATATATTTTTGTCAGAGAGCACATATGTCCAATTATTTGAGTAAGTATACATAGCAGTACCCTCTACATTTGTTACTTCTTATTTGTTCCTCATTTCCAGTCGTTAAGAAGTGAAGGTGGCAATTTTGTAACCCACTAACATGTTTTCATGATAACAAGGCTATATTGAACACACTTATAAATACATATATAAGTCTATGTATTTTATACATGTTACTTTTAACACAACTCTAAAATAATTTTTTGGATAAAGAAAGGAATGAAAGAAAGTAAAACTGTACCTAGTCAAAAAGCACAAGTGAAAATTATGTGTGCTTTTACAGTGAAAACCAAATGGAAAGAGTAGAATATTACTTTATTGATGACAACTAATCAAAAATATGGCCAGTAGACCTTATGTATTTGCAACTGGGAAATACTGTGCTGTAAGAAAAAAAAATCTACATCACTAAAATGGCCTTCACATAATCAGTTGAAAAACAAAACAGGAAAGAGTTCTGTGAAACCGCAACTCTCTGGTGAGAAATCAAGCACTATTTGAAGTTTTCCTGCCTATTTCTCCAATGTAGTACACTGCTACAATACTTAAAACCTGATTTCTGTGCCCATAAATTTGTAACTTGTTTATTTTCATGCCCTTGCCTTAACAATACAAAGGTATTCTGAAATTGTTAGCTCAATGTTTTGCCTTATAAGGAGGTTCCCAATTTATTTATAAGGGAAAAAATGTTGTGTTTATGATTCTGTGATGTACAGAAATGGGCTTAGTTAGCATCATGAGATCTGACTCACACTTATAATTTCAGACCAGAATAAGTGTGGCTCCGTAATCAAGCCACAAAAACAGAACCAATTTAAACAAAATTTTGACTGTGTTTTAAGCAAAGTTAGTATGATGAAATGAAGTATCTATGCTCAGCAGTAGGTCTCGTTGTGCATATAGAATGCATATCATTTCCTGAGCTATCTAATAAATGCATTAGTGAAATTGGGCTGGGAAGTAGAAAGTAACTTCCAGAAACAAATGATGTAGTATTTACAATCCTACTCTCAATGAAAAGAAATTAACTAAGAATTCTGTAACATCTCACTGCATTATGAAATTTGAAAATTAGATCCTAACGAATGTATCAAATGATTGCAATACTTTAAAGTTATAGAACAGTGGTATTAGAACATGTTTAAGTTTAGGTAAAAATAAGTAACAACAACAAAAACAAGTGGGACTTATACTCCAAGTTTTATACACCACGTGATCAACTACCATAGTTTTGTGAAACCTGGATATGGGAGCAGAAGCCCTAAATTGGTCTGTGTCATAGTTTTACAGTTTCACAGACAATATATTAGCCTCCAAGAGGCTTTTATTCTTCACTTTTGAAATGTAAATATTTCCTTTGTATGGATTAATACTCCCTACTGAAATGGAAACACAGTCTGAAGACACTTGTTTGCTTTCTTCACTGCCATATCCCCCTCCATTATCATGTCTGGCCCATAATAAGCACTCACTCAATATTAGTTGATTCAATTTAACAAGATCATGTATGAGAAAAGTCTTTATAAACTGAAAAATATGCTGTTTAGGTATTATCGCTTCAGACAAAAGACAAAGTATACATAATCTGTAGTCAAGAATAAATTTTCATAAGCATTTGAAAATATGATGTGTTTTCTTATTTCTTATTCTGCTTTACAACAGATATGTGTAATTCAAGTGATATTTCTTAGTAGTAGAAAGAGTGTAGTTTGATAAATAAGATAAGTTATTATCTTTGAAATACCTAAGTCAAGAAAATCTCTGCAGTGAAAAGAATACTGTAAGTTTCAACTTTCTATCTATAAAATATAAAAGATGAAGGGACATTGACACAGAAAATAAATTCAGTGAAAGCATTTAAATATGTTTATCATGTCATTTCTCTGCAAACAGTATTTTCTTCCAAGATGATTATGTAAATTATTTCCTAAGTATTATAATGCACATTTTACAATAGGACAACTAAACAAGATTTTAAATTCTAAGATATTATTCTAATTTCCTTATGTCAAGTAAAACGTTTTTATATTTCTTTTCTCCGTGATATGCCTTAGGAAAGATTTTTACGTATGGTAATGGTGTAACGGTGTTAATATATTTATGTATGAGATTTAAAAAAAACTGAATTTGATATATTTTAGGGAAAATGTGTGAATCTTCAGTCAATTACTGTGAATGCAACCCCTGCTTTAATGGTGGTTCCTGCCAAAGTGGTGTGGATTCTTATTATTGTCATTGTCCATTTGGTGAGTAAAACTTATTTGTTGATATAAAATATAAGTTTATTTTTGCACACAGTTTAGCAATTTTGTTTTATTATGAGTATGAAAGACCAAAAAATTATTGTTTTACATGGAAGGTTTTATTAAAATAAAATCTTAAATGTTTAACATTTGTAAAAGTTATGGAAATCCCATTGAATACATTGCATTGGTCATTACTAGAAAAAGAGTCAACTCAAGATAATTGAATTAATATTGTTTCCATAGGATATTTCCCCCCAAAGATTTATGGATATCTTCTTTTCAGCTGAGAAGTTATGAAATAAAAAAATTCTGTAAGCACTCTTTCACGTCACTCTCTATTTCAAATCTTTAAGAGTAGTCAAAGTAAGGTTTTTTGTTTGTTTCACTTTTGTGAATTTTGCTTTATTTTTTATTTTTGTTTTTTACATTAGTTTTTAATTTTGTTTTTTATGTTAATTCAGCCACTTTTATTAGAAGGACTTAGTAACTATACCTGACGTTTTCATAATAGGCTTTTTGTAGCTGATACTACCTGACTAATAAAATTTCAGACTAATCTGTCTTTTGGATAAGAAAAATTGTTAAAAAGAACTTTTTTGTATACATACATATTTATTCACCCTAGTGGAATGAACTAAAAGATTCCTTCCAGGTCTTATCCAGCTGTTACCCATTACTGTGCCAGCCAAAAACCATGAGATTCAGAGGAAGCATTTGTATTAGCTTGGCTTGTTTCATAAGTTTGTGATTATTCCATTCTTTTTAAAGGCTGCTTTACACCACAGCATAGAATCCATCTCCAAATGACTCTGTCTCTTTTCTTTTTTTTTTTGTCCCCTTTGTATATCTATTTATTTATTTTTTTATTATACTTTAAGTTCTAGGGTAATGTGCACAACGTGCAGGTTTGTTACATATGTATACATGTGCCATGTTGGTTTGCTGCACCCATCAACTCGTCATTTACATTAGGTATTTCTCCTAATGCTATCCCTCCCCCCTTCCCCACCCCATGACAGGTCACGGTGTGTGAAGATCCCCTTCCTGTGTCCAAGTGTTCTCATTGTTCAATTCCCACCTATGAGTGAGAACATGCGGTGTTTGGTTTTTTGTCCTTGCGATAGTTTGCTGAGAATGATGGTTTCCAGCTTCATCTATGTCTCTTTTCTTAAGCAAGAAAGAGCAAGGATATTTTTCTAGTCTTCCTTTGGGCATATAACTGTGCTATATGGACCTGAACAGTAAAGCTCAATCTATAGTAGATAATAGAATTTAAAAGACATACGCAGTTCCTAATAACCTGTATAATTTACTAGGTATTTTTAATTTCCAAACAACTTCATGACTATCTGTTTTTATTAAGCACATCCATAGAATGATAAAGACAAACAAAATAGAAAAATATCTAATTTTGAGGAATGTATTTTACCAATGGTTTTGAGGCCCAGAAATTGGCTGATTTGCCCAAAGTCAAAAAATGAAGTTGAGGCAAAACTACCCCAAGACGATGTAGCAACTAGAACACAATTTTTTATTTTCAGTCCAGTATGACATTCACAGAACCCCTTTTTATACAATTTCTTTGAAATTCTAACAATGCCTGTGAAGTAATGAAAGGTATATCAAGGTCAAAATAACCACAACTTGAGATGTCCAAAAACTTTTTCTTTCTTTCAATGGTGTCTCATCATTTTAAGTGGTGCTGCTTTCTACAGATAACCACAGTCAAATTTCATGGTTTAACTTAACATTTTGAGATAAAAGATAAGGGGATTAGAGTGTAAACTAGAAATGATTTTCAAGTGACTGAACAGAGATGTTCATATTTTTAGGGATCCCTTTGCAAATTTTAAGGATTTAAGTTTTGAGGATTTTGAGTTGCAAATTTGGGGATTTAAGAAAATTGATACACAATAAAAACAAGTTGCTGCTGCAGTGTAGTGGTACAACTGTCGTTGCCTATTAAGTGGAACTACTTGAGGGGCCAAATGTACCTTCTTGTCACTCTGTAGACATCGCCAGGGGAAGAGGAATAGCACAATGTAAATTAAAATAGACACAAATCACACATAGCCGGCAGTGCAAATTTCTCCCCCTATTCCTTCCAGGGGCAAAGACAAAAAACATTATCTAAACTTAGATATTGTCAGTTGACAACATAAGCACTTACAAAAGAAAACAAAAATCACTGAAACACTGCTATGTAATTTGAAACTAAAGAGATAGAAGCAGAAACAAAAATGATTTTTGTTCTCAAATGGAATGTGGATGAAAGGTACAAATAACCATGTCAGATGGCATGCCTCAAATAAATAGCCAGAGGTAGGTAGTTACACTTGCATCCTTTAAAACAAAACTTTATCATTTTGAAGTTAGAAAAAAGTTTTTTGCACTGTTTAGCTTCTCATCAATAAAAGATTGGCTATTTGGATTTCAAAAAATTTTTTCGATACTTAGATTTTTTAATTTAAATTACATCTTAGGAAAAACATAGTGCTTCAGACATTATAAAGGCGACATGTATAATTATAACTTCTTAGAATTAAGATGCGACCTTTCTGTGAAAACAGTACCAAAACCTTTTAAGAATAAATATTTTAAATTCCATAAAGAAATATTTTCATGTTTGAAAATACAGTATCAATTTGAATTAAAATGTAAGTATCTATATACTTTCTCCATATATTTACACTCAAATATTCAGCACATTGTTATAGATTTATTGAAGTTTATTCAGAAGAGACCTAAGTGAACACATAATACAAATTTTTTCAGTAGTATTTTTATTTCATTTATATGCTTTATTTTTCCTTTTACTTTAACTTCACTTACTCTTTCTGCATAGATAGCATATTTATATACAAATTATTAATACATACAAATTATAAATATTAAATATAGATGCCACAGAAATGTATAAAATACAAATACAAATTCTACAGGATAGATATAAGTATATAATGTATAAGATTATACTATGTATAAAATATTATCTCTATATATCATATATATGACATAACATATATATCAATAAATATCATTTCTATAATTCCTTTGCCTTTTCTTCAACTTTGGTTAAAGATTAAAAATTAAAAATTATGTATAATTTCTTTTTTTTTTTTTTTGAGACGGAGTCTCGCTCTGTCGCCCAGGCTGGAGTGCAGTGGCATGTTCTAGGCTCACTGCAAGCTCAGCCTCCCAGGTTCACGCCATTCTCCTGCCTCAGCCTCCCGAGTAGCTGTGACTGCAGGTGCCTGCCACCATGCCCGGCTAATTTTTTTTTGTATTTTTAGTAGAAACGGGGTTTCACCGTGTTAGCCAGGATGGTCTTGATCTCCTGACCTCGTGATCCGCCCACCTCGGCCTCCCAAAGTGCTGGGATTACAGGCGTGAGCCACCATGCCTGGCCAAAATGATGTTTAATTTCTACTCATTTATAATAAATATTATTTCAGTCTGGACAGAAAAGGAAAAGATAAATAACACAAACTTTTATAGCAACTTCTAGGCTGTTTTAATTTTAAAAATGTTCTGATATAACATGTGGTAGTCAAAATAGCTAGACAATCAGTAGATCTGGCCTCAAATTTTGGCTGTTTCTCTTGGTTCTGTGACCTTAGGCAAGTTTTAAATACTCTATAAAATAATGGCATTGGTTCCTTCTAGCTGAACAATTCTCTCACTCTAAATTTTATGCATTTATGGGACATATAAAGCCAAAATTAAGAAATGAAACTTTTGCAAGTTAATAAGAATCATGAGGTATTGGCATGGGTTAATTTTCCAATCATTTGCCACAGTCTACTAATATTTGTGGGAAAAGAATTTTGGCATAACATTGTAACATCAATAAAACTCATTTTTCAAGTTTGAAAAAGAACCAGCACAAACAAATGGGAATGCTGACTTTCAGAAAAACAGACAGCTATTTTAAAGTAGCCTGCTATAAATCATACCCACAGAGGGTATAAAACAAGAAAGAGATAAAAACTTAAAAGACAGTTATTTCCTTTCCTAAACCAATGATTCCACTTGTCAGATTTTGTGGCCCTTGAAAATAACATGAATATAGGTACTGATTTTAAAAAAATCAAAACAAATGCATTTGCCATCTTCAATTGAGTTGAAATAGTTTTTAAGAACTATATATTATGAAGGAAGTATGTTGGCTGAAAATTGTAGCATAATACAACTTTTAAAAGATCAACAAATTTGGGCCGCTTGCGGTAGCTCATGCCTGTAATCCCAACACTTTGGGAGGCTGAGGCAGGCGGATCACCTGAGGTCAGGAGTTCAAGACCAGCCTGACCAACAAGGTGAAATCTCGTCTCTATTAAAAATACAAAATTAGCCAGGCATGGTTCCCGGCACCTATAATCCCAGCTTCTCGGGAAGCTGAGACAAGAGAATCGCTTGAACCCAGTAGGCAGAGGTTGCAGTGAGCAGGCACTCTAGTCTAGGCAACAAGAGCAAAACTCTGTCCCAAAATAAAAAAAATAAAAAAAAAATCAATGAATTTTGAAACGTTTCTGGGAAAGAAATCTCTTCAGACATACTCCATTCCACTAAGCCTTTCATTTTGAGAAACAAAACATACTTAGATATGTTCCCTAATTAGACAATGAAAAATAATTACATCAGTTAATCATTTCTGCCATGTTTTAAAGATCATTCATTCATAAAGATCATTAACTATTTTAATTTTAGTTTAGATGAAATTTTTTGGAAAGTAAAAAAAGTTGTTAAAAGATATCTCATTTTATAATTCAAAAATATTTTAATCAAAATATATAATAAAATTTTCATGAAATTTTATGCCAGTTTGTCAATTTTCCCTCCAACAGGTGTCTTTGGAAAACACTGCGAGTTGAACAGTTATGGATTTGAGGAGTTATCATACATGGAATTTCCAAGCTTGGACCCCAATAACAACTATATTTATGTCAAATTTGCCACGATTAAAAGTCATGCCTTATTGCTTTACAACTATGACAACCAGACAGGCGACCGGGCTGAGTTTTTGGCCCTTGAAATTGCCGAAGAAAGACTAAGATTCTCTTATAATTTAGGCAGTGGTACATATAAGCTCACCACCATGAAGAAGGTGTCAGATGGACATTTTCACACTGTGATTGCCAGGAGAGCAGGAATGGTAAGATATTTCATTTTATTGTTGTTGTATATCCAACTGGATCTTCAAATAAAGTATGAATTGGGGTGCAAATCATGTTAAATTAGGTTTATTCATTAAATGAACACTTTAGTTATGAAAAACTTAGACATAATATTTTTCTTTTGCTCATGACAACTCTGTTCAAAAACAATAAAAAGGAGAACAATTGAGAATATAGCCTAGTGCGTGAAATAATTTCATTGATATTTTTTGTATGTTTTTAAGGCCATGTCAGGACTATACTTAAAATAACTACCTTTCTTTCCTAAGTATTTCTGCCTTGACTAAGTATTTCTGCCTTGACTGAAGAAACAATTTAGGAACAGAGGAGACTTTTCTACAAAATCTACATAAAATAACTTAATCAAAAACACTTTATTGTTAAAAAATGGTAACAATAGTCTTAGCTAGTCATAGTCTTTTTGCTGGTGGAGGGTCTTGCCTTGATATTGGTGGCTCCTGACTGAGCCAGGTAGTAGTGGCTGAAGATTCGTGGTGGGGGCTATGGAAATGTCTTAAAATAAAACAACAGGAAACGTTGTCACATTGATTAACTCCTTTTTCATGAAAGATTTCTCTGTAGCATTTGAGGCTATTTGATTGATACCATTTTACCCACAGATGAAATTGTTTCAAACTTGAAGTCAAGCCTCTCTCAAACCTTGATGCTAATTTATTAATTAAGCCTATGGAATATTCTAAATCCTCTGTTGTCATTTCAACAATGTTCACAGCATCTTCACCTGGAGTAAGTTGTATCTTAATAAACCGCTTCCTTTGTTTATCCCTAAGAAGCAGCTTCTCATCCTTTCATGTTTGTTTTGCAAGATTGTAGCAGCTCAATCACATCTTCGGGCTTCACTTCAAATTCTAGTTCTCCCACTGTGTCTACCACATTGGCAATTACTTCCTCCATTGAAGTCTGGAAGCCCTCAAGCTCATCCATGAGAGTCAAAAATCAACTTCCTCCGAACTCCTTTTAATATTTGATATTTTGACCTCCTTCCATTAATCATGAATGTTCTTCATGGCATCTAGAATGGTGACTCCTTTCCAGAAGGTTTTTAATTTACTTTGCCCAGACCTATCAGAGGAATCATCATCTGTGGCAGCTATAGCCTTATGAAATGTATTTTTTAAATAATAGGACTTGAAAGTCCAAGTGACTCTTTGATCCATAGGCTGTAGTCTGGATGCTGTGTTAGCAAGCATGAAAACAACACTAATCTCCTTATACATCATTGTCAGAGCTTTTGGGTGACCAGGTGCATTGTCAGTGAGCAGTAATATTTTGAAAGGAATCTTTTTTTCCGAGTAGTAGATCTTAACAGTAGGCTAAAAAATATTCAATAAACCATGCTGTAAACAGATGCACTGTCATCCAGGCATTTCTGTTTACTGATAGAGCACAGATGCAGTAGATTTAGCATAATTCTTAAAGACCCTAGGATTTTTAATATGGAAAAGGAGCACTGGTTTCAATTTCAAGACACCAGCTATATTCACCCCTGATGAGAGAGTCAGCCTATCCTTTGAAGCTTTTAACCCAGGCATTCACTTCTTTTCTCTAGCTATGAAAATCCTAGATGACATCTTCTAATAAAAGGCTGTTTTTTTACATTGAAAGTCTGTTCTTTAGTGTAACCACCTTCATCAATGACCTTAGCTAGATCTTCTGGATAACTTGCTGCAGCTTCTATATCACCATTCACTGCTTTGCTTTGTCCTACTACCTTACAGAGATGACTTCTTTCCTTAAACCTCATGAGCCAACCTCTGCTACATTCCAACTTTTCTTCTGTACTTTCCTCACCTCTCTCAGCCTTCATGCAATGGAAGAGAGTTAGTGCCTTTTTCTAGATTAGATGTTGGCTTAAGGGAATGTTGTAACAGGTTTGATCTTCTATCCAGACTGCTAAAACTTTCTCCATATCAGCAATAAGGCTGTCTTGCTTTCTTATCATTTGTATATTCACTGGAGTAGCACCTTTAATTTCCTTCAAGAACTTTTACTTTGCATTTACAGCTCGGCTAACTATTTGGCACAAGAAGCCTATTTGGCCTATCTTGACTTTCGAAATGCCTTCGTCACTAAGCTTATTCATTTTTACATTTTCATATAAAGTGAGAGAAATGCAACTCTTCCTTTCACTTGAGCACTTAGAGGCCATTGTAGGGTTATTCGTTGGCATAATTTCAGTAGTGTTTTATCTCAAGGTACAAGGAAGCCTGAGGATAGGTAGAGAGACCAGAGACAGATAATTGCTGGAACAGCCAGAACATAAATAACATTTATCAATTAAGCTTGCCATCGTATATGGCACGGTTCATGTTGCCACAAAATAATTATAATAGTAACATCCAAGGACACTTCACTCATCACAGATCACCATACCACATAAAATAATAATGAAATATTTGAAATATTGTGAGAATTATTCAAATGTGACTCACAGTCACAAAGTAAGCACATGCTGTTGGAAAAATGGTGCTGATAGACTTGCTGGATGCAGGATTACCAGAAACCTTCAATTGGTAAAAAATAAAATATCTGCAAAGTGCAATAAAGTGAAGAGCAATAAAATGAGGCATGCATGTATTTATAGATTATATTGATTTTATTATGTGGCTTTCATGTTACAAGAATGACATATCTATTTAGGACTTGTGTTTATTAAATAAATACTTTTCTTTATAAAGGAAAATGCATCACATCTTTTCTTTATTAATGTTTGAAAATATTTGACATAGTATAATAGAATGGAATGGCTTATTTATTTTTTATTCTTTATTTATCTTCACAACTATCTCTCCATATTTCCCCCATCTCTAACAGCTATCAAGGATTTTTAATAAGAAAATGCTAACAAATCTGTCTTAAAGTATTTTTGCACTTTAACTTTGAGCCTTTAAAAGTGTAGTTACTGGTGGCCAGGCGGGGTGGCTCACGCCTGTAATCCCAGCACTTTGGGAGGCCGAGGCGGGCGGATCACGAGGTCAGGAGATCGAGACCATCCTGGCTAACACAGTGAAACCCTGTCTCTACTAAAAATACAAAAAAAAAAAAAAAAAAAAAAAAAAAAAAAATTAGCCCGGCATAGCGGTGTGCGCCTGTAGTCCCAGCTGCTGGGGATAGGCAGGAGAATGGCGTGAACCTGGGAGGCGGAGCTTGCAGTGAGCCGAGATCTCGCCACTGCACGCCAGCCTGGGTGACAGAGCAAGACTCTGTCTCAAAAAAAAAAAAAAAAAGGGTAGTTACTGGTAAGATTTATAATTCACCCTAGATAAAGGAATTGTGTAAAATGTTAAATTGTCTGTTAAAAAGAAAGCCTAGCCAAAACAACAAAATAAGTGCCCTTAAATCATTTTAAATGAAAAAACTTGGTATGTAAATGATTATAATTGTATTTCTGACTTCATGGCAATCTTTAAAATATATGACAACTTATATAGTCCTTAGACTGATCATATGAATCATACATTTGTGTGACTATAGAGAAATTTTTGCCACTAAATGTATGGAATATGTTATATTGCTGAATGCATATCAGCAATATTCAGAAGTAATATTTAAAATGTTTTTAACCAAGCTTTTGCTAGTTTTTTTCCCTATGACACGTAGTTAATTTTAAAGGCTAAAATTTATGCAATCTATAATTACCAATTTCATAAGGGCATAAGACAGAAACTACCTTATAATATTAATTATTTTTGACCAGTACACATAACAGACAATCTATTATGAAAGAACAAAATTTGTCATTTGATCTCAGGAATATTTTATAAATCCATGTTTATTTTGAATTGGCATCAGATACAATGACATTTCTCTCCTCCACTCTAATTTACTACAACATTAAAGGAAATTTAAGCAAGTTTTAAAATACAGAACTATTTTTAATTATGAGGGGGAAAAAGAATAATGATTAGCTTTAAATATAACCAATTGATTGTGTCAACATGGTCAAGGGTAGCTGCTCAGACATGTCATTCACGGATATCGCCACATCCATCAAACTGCATTCAGGGTCCTACCAGGTTATTAAATGTATGTTACTTGAAATATTGGTGAGAAAACAACAGAAGTATTGTATGGTTTTTATCAATCATTTTAGTTATAGATGGTTTTCCATTTCCTTTTGAACTTAGTGTTAATATTTTCCAGCTGGAACATTTTTCTAATATATTTAATTTATATAGTGTTTACTTAATAAAATTACCCCCAACATTCCAAAAATGTTGTCAAGACATAATGTTATATTTTATATTTTAATTCTAATATGCCCACATTTCCATATTATTGTAAAGGTTAATATTAATCATAATTAAAATTTTATTTCTGTGAATTAGGTGCTTAAACAGGTGTTGGTCACCCTGAATTATCACCAACACAACCCACATATAACCTTTTGAAGTAAAATAATGGAATATTTTACTTGATCTTGGTCTCAATGAAGTTTACATTATGAGTAGTGCCTAAAAATCCACCTGACTTTAATGAACATTAGTAGAGGTATAACAAACAAATCTTGGATAAAATATATTTTCTGATTAGTATAGGTTACTGCACTGATTTTTGCTTGAGATTTTAAAAATCCAGCATTCTCTGGAAGAATATAGATTTAATCAATTCTAGTATTCCTGATGATTGATGTAACCAGAAATATTGGGCCTTAAAGAATTAGAAAAACATTTAGAGATTGATATATATAGATTGGGCTCACATTAGCCATAATAATATCCTAAAACTGATGAGTAATAGTAGACATCACCTCACCCCCATTCTCCACACATATGTAAGATAACCATATTTCTGATATGTTGTCAAGTATACTATAATGTAAAATAAACGATTTTACCTGATGACCTCCAAGGTCTCTTTAAACTTCATGAGCATTTGATTCTATCAGACAAGGACATGGGATCAAGAGGTGAGTGGAGAAGGATGCAGTTTCATTTGTATTATTGTGACCATAGTCATCAATTTTTAATAATACCAAATGTGAAAAAAACTCTGTCATTATTACTTGAGTCATAGGAAAAATGTCTTCCTGTTTCAGAAAACATCCAAAATAAGGCCCCTACTGGATTCTGAATTTGTCATTTTCTACATTTCAAAATAATTTTGGTTGGAAACTGGCAAAATCATTAACCTCTAAGCTTTAAGTCATTGCATAGTTGGGATAAAACATTTTAATTTATGGTGGTAAAGCTATAAAAATTCAACAGTAAAAGAGAATTTAACTCTGAAGATTAAATTGCATAAGCTTACTATTAAAATAAAACATCTCCTCCATTATTCTTTCTTTGAGTTGTATCAGCAAGCTTTTAGATGTATACGAAATATTAACAATGACTAAAATATAATTATGTTATCCAAGGTTATTTTTCTAATTGAGGCATTTATAAATATCCATGTGGTACTTTCTAGTTTATGATACTTTTAGGGATCTCTACAAGGATACTTGCATAATATATGTGGAGAGATGTGTTCAATCAAGTAGTCACCTAAGCAGCAGAAGTTGAATTATAAAAACCTAATACTGCTTTTGAGATTGGATGTCACCGCATTTTACAGATAACTGAAAATAATCATAACTATCAAAAGAGTAAACTAAATGGGGCATGAATGACTTGCCAGAGAATTGGAAGTATAAATTTTTCCTACAAATGTTAGTATTTATTATAATTTACTTGAAAAAAATGGCAAAAAAAATTCCATGTGGCTCACAAGAGTTTACTGTATAGAGCTTATAATAATTAACTTAGAAACATTTAAGAATATGTTAGCCAGTAATATTTGATAAACAATTAATAAATGGATTATACATTCACCTCAGTCTTTGTTTTTAAAATGTGAGATACTTCAGATAAATTTTTACAAGTCTCCCATTTAAATATATGTTTTATGGATACTGCCTAAAAATCATAAGCAATATTGATAAAAGTAGGATATTAAGGAAATTAATCATTTTCATTCCTAATGAAAGTGGCCTGATTTTTTAATACAGAAAATTTGATATCCAAAACTTTGCATTTAAGTTTGGCATGTTATTAGTCAACTTGCTTAACTTCCTGCACTGTTTTCTACATTTGCTTTGCTCTTATTAAACTGAAATGATAAGCATCCTGATAAATGAATAGTTGCATTGTATTTATATTTCTCTGCTACATATGTAACAAATTTGGATTAACCCTGTCTGTGGCATTCGTAAATTTAGAATAACGCTTTATTGTCTGCATTGGGAGAAACCTTTCAACCTCTTGTCCATTTGGATAATGAATTATTGCTATTCCTGTGATATACTGGCACTACACTCCATCCTTCTTACAATTTCAGCAAGTAAAGTGTGCAAAGTTTGTCATTTGTCAAATTTTAATGAAGTTTGGGGAACAAAGGAGGTGTATCACAATAGCATTGGAGATTACACAATAATATAGATATACAACTTTGGTCTTAGACTGCACTGCAGCCATCCTCACTTGCTGGTACTCATTATACAGGACTCTGACTTGTATGGTTATCATGTTCTGAGGCCTTTTAACCATAAATTTATGACTTTGTTTATCAATCAAAAGGAGTATTCATATGTTCTACTAAACAGAAGGCTTTTGTCTCAAGGGAATACGCATCCCTTAGAATGCAAAAATACTACTTAGTCATTATTTAAATACTATTGGGGATTTTTTACTGTAAAGTGATCTACAGTAATACATCCTGATTATACAGAAATATGCTGTAATGTTATTTATAAATAATTATTCTTAACAAAAATGAGAGGAGCACTTACTTGATTTAACAAATTTCAAATTTTAATCCAAATATTTAAATTTTCATAGATTGCTATATAGTATTTATATTGTATTTTCCTAATCTTTTTGTAAATGTGGCTGAAATCATATTAGAATAAGACTTTTGAAAATCAAAAATTAAGTGTCTTTTGTTAACATAGCTTGACAGTACAATAAACACGTTTCTTAAGATTGTAATCTACAGGAAGATGTTTCAGACCTATTGTGTATTATTCTAAAAAAGATTAACGGCATTTTTATCTTTTTTCACCTATAAAACAGGGGAGCAGGAGAGGATTTTTAAAGGTACCCTTTTACCTCTCATAGGTATAGATAGTCATAATTTTAGTTTGAGATATCAAAGAAACATGTGCCCATGATTCAATATTATAATTATGTGATTTATACATTAAATCAAGATGTTATCATAGTTTCTAAGTCATGTTCACATAGAAGCAAGTCATGGGTAGTGTTGGCTGGAAAGGCTAATAGGGACGGTAGAACTCAAAGTTGAATGTTTCTTTCTCTTGCTTCGTAGGCAGCCTCCTTAACTGTGGACTCCTGTTCTGAGAACCAAGAGCCAGGATATTGTACTGTCAGTAATGTGGCAGTTTCAGATGACTGGTAAGGAATAGGATTAGTTTAATTTTTATTATTACTTAAAATTTTTTAAAATAAACTTTATACCTAAAAATAATTATAGGATGCTAAGTAGTACATAAAGCTTAAGATATTTTATTTCCCTCTCCAAATTTTCATAATATAAAATAGTCAATAATTACTGTGCAAAATGTGTTAAAATGTGTGAAATGAAGTGGTAGAAATAAGGATAAAATTGGAGAAAAGGAAATTAAATATAGCCAGTAGTCTTTGGAAAGATTCATGAAATAATTGCATATGACCTTCATTCTGAAAAACATGTAGGATAAAGACCTCAGTTCTTTCAAATGCGTTTCTAAAAGTTTACGTGAAAATTATTAACAGATATTTTTCCATAGCACTTAAAGCTGAGCACAGCAGTAATCTACCAGAAAATAAGTGATTTTAATAGGAAAAATGATAAACAGAGAAAAATAAGTAGTCACGCATCATGATGCATCATTCATTGCCTCAATCAACTTATTGGCATCCCTTGCATTGATCAACTTACTGATATTCTTTATCATCTCTTCAGGGAAGGAGCAGTGTAATCTAACGTAAATATTAGAGTTGTCACTAATTCTACAGCATTTTATTTTCCCTCTGAGAGTATGCTCCTTCTTGTTGACTCAGTATTGTGATAATATACATCTAACTTGACTAATTGAAAACATAATTTCCATAAATATTATTATTTTTCATAATTCGGAAGTCTAACAACTCTGTGTGTGTATTGGACACTCTTCTACATATTTTCCATTGAAATTTATCACACTATAATAAATGTCAAAAAAAAGCTATATTCACTCTTTTTCGAACTAAACATTATACTAAAAATGTAATCTTTTGACACTAATATTTATATCTTCCATTATTTATTTAGGACTCTTGATGTTCAGCCAAATAGAGTTACAGTTGGAGGTATCAGATCTCTAGAACCAATCCTTCAGAGAAGAGGACACGTGGAAAGCCATGATTTTGTTGGGTGTATAATGGAGTTTGCAGTCAATGGAAGGCCTCTGGAACCCAGCCAAGCTTTGGCAGCACAAGGCATCCTAGATCAGTATGGCGATTTTATTTCTTACTGTTTTAAAGAAAAAAAATGCAAAAAAGTATGCTTCAGTGAGCATCAAAAGATGAAATTATTATGCTCAAATCTCTAAAAATACCAAATGATTTACATTGTTTTGAATTTTAAATACTATACCTTTGAAATTTTGGCATAAAGTATGATATTTAATTAGAAAATTAATATGTTTCTAGATTCTTATACATATATATATATATATATATGCATGTGGGCATGTATATGTTTTATCCTCTTACAGAGAGTTGTGAAGATTAAATTAGTTAAGTTGGTAAATTATATAAAAAAGGGTTCCAGCACAGAGAGATATGTAGATGTTAGCCATCATGGACACATAGAACTTTATTTCACATTAAATAGTTTTACTTATAGACATACATATTCCTAAAAACTTGATACAGCTTTAAAAACAGGCAATAACTTGATTAATTATGAACTGTAAGGCTTTTTTATTTGATTATTAATTAGGTTTCTAGCAATAACTTAGGGATGTTAGAAATTACATATTTTATTTTAAAATTCCTTTTGTTCATTATCGAAGTTTGAAAAATTCTGAAAAAATACAAGGAAGAAAACAAAATTAACCTATAATCTAACCACCCAGAGACAACTACTCTTAGGTTATTGTCATGTTTTGACTGCTTAGTATCCCAAGATGTGAATGTGCTATATTTTAACTGTTGCTATACACTTTAGTTATTTCCAATTTTATTAATATACCAATTACCCTGTGATGAACACATTTTCACAAAAATCTTTGCTCACATTATTTTTTGGATGAGATTACCAGAAATAAAACTATTAAAGGCAAAGCTAGGAATACTTTCTAATGTTTGTAACTTAAGTATTTTAATAACATTTTCTATTTGCCTTTCTTTTCCTACATGTTGTTACTGTTTTGTTACAAAGTCACACTAGTTCGTTATTATTATTAATCAAACAGTACAGAAAAACAAAGGATTGGGATTGCCACCATTGTTAATACTTCGGTGTGCATCCTTTTATATCTCCGTGTTCACACAAGTACTTTTTTAAATATCAATTTTTTTTTTCATTTAGAGATATTTTGTGAACATCTTTTTAGGTCAAAACCTACTGAAACAAAACTTTTAGACTTACCTTTAACTCCTCTGTTTCTGTTAGACCTTATGTCCAGAATGATGTTTCTGTTTGTTTGTTTGTTTGCTTTTTGAGACAGAGTCTTGTTCTGTCGCCCAGGCTGGAGTGCAATGGCGGGATCTCGGCCCCCTGCAACCTCCACCTCCTGGGTTCAAGCAATTATCTGCCTCAGCCTCCGGAGTAGCTGGGATTACAGGTGCCTGCCACCACGCACAGCTAATTTTTGTATTTTTAGTAGAGACGGGGTTTCACCATGTTGACCAGGCTGGTCTTGAACTCCTGACCTCATGATCCACCACCTCAGCCTCCCAAAGTGCTGGGATTATAGAGGAGAGCCACTGCACCCAGCCTAGAATGGTTTTTAAAACATAAGTCAGTTAACTTTTCACTTCTTGGCTCAAAGTGCTTCAATAGCTTCCCATCTCACCCAGCTTCAAAGCCAAAATCCTGACCCTGAATGAAAACATTTTTATGATCTGCCATCTCCCTTCACTTCCTGAACATATCTAACTATTCTTCTTCTTGTGCCCTGAGCTCCAACCATGTTGGGCCTCGGTGTTTCTCAAACATGGCAGTACGCTTTCACTTCAAGGCTTTCTCACTGGCTGTTTCCTCTAGCTGAAAAGATATTCTACCAGATATACTTCATTCCCTTATTTTATTTAGGTCTTAACAAAGATTAAGATTAATTCACTGCCTAATCTAAAGATTCAGCAAACCCGCAAACTCACTATACCCTTTCTCACCTTGATTTTCTCTATAGCTATTTTTTTCTTTATTTTCTGCCTCTTCCACAAGAAAAAATAAGTACTTCCTCAGTACACGGTTATTTTTTCATTACTTTACTTCCATGCTTAGAACAGTGCTTAGCATATGGTAGGCATTCAATAAACATTAGTTGCATGAGTATCCTGATAGACATGTGTCAAAAAATATGTGGTCCCTGGATCATATGTATTAACCAAAGTGTTTATTTGACCAAGGTATTTTATTCAAGTAAGAATTAATTTAAAGAAGAAATTGTCACAGCTTTCTCATTATTATATAAGACATAATTTTTTTTGAATCTTCTTTAGTGTGAGGCAGACTATGTTTTCTAGGAAAACTTCTGGTTTGATTAGTTTCTCCAAATGTAGTTGTAACTTGAGCTTCAAATAATGGAGTGCTTGAAATTAAACAAGCTAATAAAAGTGTATATTGAGTTTTAGCAAACTTCTCCTCATCTTTTATGTGCGTTATTGTTCTCATTATGATTTATTTTAGATGCCCTAGGCTGGAAGGCGCTTGTACTCGCAGCCCATGCCAACATGGTGGCACATGTATGGATTACTGGTCATGGCAGCAGTGTCATTGCAAAGAGGGACTCACTGGGAAATACTGTGAAAAATGTATGTAAGGTCTTCCGTCTTCCCCTGGAAATTTTAATAACTATGAAAAGTAAAATATATGCACCCAAGTATGTAATCAAATTAAAAATTATGCTTTCATTCTAAATATTAAAATATTAAATGGACAATAATTGGTAAAATACAGTGACATTTTAAAAATTATTTTTGTAACCTGAAGAAGAATGATATCCTTTTAAAAAATCGTTTACTAACTAAATCTCTAGCTTCCACTTTAAAGGTATTTTATTCACTTATTTTTGTTTGTTTTATTTCTTAGAATTCTAGGCAATCTAAAAGATCAAAGGTTATAGTTAGGCTTTTTTTCATATTATCTGCCTTTGGGGGATATTTTTCTGGTGAATTTTTGTGCATAAAAAGGTATACACACTAAATCACTCAACACTGAGATCAAAACATCATACAGAGCCATCATAATATGTTAAAATTAATGTTGATACTTTCATTTTAATGTACAAGTAGTAGAATTAATTTTGAATATTACTTTTTAAAATCCTTTCATCATTGTCTTCTAAGCCTAATGTTATTATTTAGACATTAATGATGTTCATATCATCATTAGAAAATGGTGCTCTCTAATTTCGAGCTGCACATCTCACTAACTAACCCTAATGGTTCCTCTTTTGTAAAAATTCTTCATTTTCAAACAAGTGGTTACTACTTAACTCCATTGCAGGTATCTGACTACATTTAAGGAGTCATTTGATTAAATTATATTATGAAAACAAATAGAAATGCATAATAAAATTGAGGATATAATATAATCTAAAAGGTCTTAGCAGAAAGTGTAATTGTGTGTAATAATATTAGATATAATGAAAACATAGAAAATATATACTGTCATGTGATTTTCAATGTAATAAATATTTATTAAGGAGCCTAATTATATCTGAAATATGAGTCATTGGCTAGATAAATACCAGAGACACTTTTTCTTAAATCATGATATAACTCACATACTATAAAATGTATTCTTTTAAAGTGTATCTTTCAGGGCTGAAATCCATTTGAGCTCATTTTCTTAATATTCTTTCTTTAGCTATATTATTTGTTTCTATAACTTAAGCTTCAATATTTCTGGAATGTGGATTTTTTTCAGATTACAATAAACTATAATATACATACTGATTATACATGATGATAAATTATATGTGATGATTACTGAAAATAAAGTTAGTTACCGATGTAAATACTTGATTGAACACTTCTTTGTCCTAATTTATAGCATACTAGAGACTAAAGATTACAAATCATTTTAACCATGCAAACGTATATTTTGGAAACACAGTGAAAATGATTACAAACAAATTTTTCAAGTACATATTACCAACAAGTGCCTGTCTTTAGATATTCATAATTTACGTAATGTGGCAAATAGTTTAGTAAAATATTTCCCAAATGGTTAATGACTGTCATAGAGTATTTTAAGTTCATGGTTCTGAAATGCATTTAAACATGTGAAATCAACTTATATAATGATTCATAAATGGAAATTATTTTTTAAGAGTAGAGTTGGGGGACATTAATTCCCAAAACGACATTTTCATTGTCCTTTTTATATTTTTGTCACTATAGAAAACACTCCAAGAAATGCCAAATGAATGCATTCATTTTCCCTTTTTTCCTTTGACTTCCAGCTGTTACTCCTGACACTGCCTTATCATTAGAAGGCAAAGGGCGCTTGGACTACCACATGAGTCAGAATGAGAAGCGGGAATATTTGTTAAGGCAAAGCTTACGAGGTGCCATGTTGGAGCCTTTTGGTGTGAACAGTCTGGAAGTAAAATTTAGGACCAGAAGCGAGAATGGCGTTTTAATCCATATCCAAGAAAGCAGCAATTACACTACTGTGAAGGTGAGATAAAAGCTAATGGTGACTTCATTTGATTAGACCGCCTGCCGTGTAGTGGTTTAAATCACTTCCCCCATAATTTCTGTCCTTTTCTTTACAACCCATTAGAGTTCCGACTAATGCTGGGCACTATTCCAATGTCATCTATCTTAACTATTCCCCAGGCATTGGCCAGAGTAACAAAGATCTGAATGGTTTGGTTTCTACACACTTTTGTGTTGCTTTAGAGTAGAGAACCCTGCCAGGTAGGCCAGCACACAAAGAATTAGTTGCAATCTATTTTTCTGGTAAGAATTTATATCACTTCTTTTCTTACTTTTAGACAAAGCAAACCAAAAATATAATGTTTGTTTGAAATACAAAAATATTTTTCTCCAACAATTATTTCAAATATTGATATGTATATGTCAATTGACAGGATTAGAATAAGGAAAAACATTTTGAAATAAGCAAAAACATTTTGAAATTATATGATTTCTGGAGCATATATTCAATTCTCTATATAAACTCTGTGGAGTAAAGTATATTTGGAATTCATTATAATTTTACTTAACCTTTCCAAATAATTTTTAAATAATCTTAAAAATTATGCTTCATGAGAACAATGGATTTATCATTAGGCTTTTACATAATTTGTTTTTTCTTATCTGTAAATAAGATACTAGACTTATATACAGATGAATAATTTCATTAGATATCCATTTTTGCATCGGCCCTTAGCTTTCTGAAGTTTTAAACCTATGTTCTGCTTTCTTTCCCACAAATAAGTCATCTCCTAGACCAACAGTTTCTTTAGTTTAGTTATATTTACTGCCTTCCATTAATATTACTTTGTATCATTCTACTGATAATTTTTTATATAAATTTTAGTAAATTCTTAAGATAACAAATCCAGATTTCCTGAATTATTTTCATCTATTAGTCAATATTTAATAACTACTCCAGGGATAGTTCACAGAGAAAAAGAGCAATTTGTTCAGAAAAATTATTTGGTTTAATTCACATATAATACTAAAAATAAAAATAGATGTTCACTTCTAAACTTCAGCCTCTTTCATCCTCAAAATTTTTCTCTGTGCAAGCCAACCATGATTATGTTGCATATAAATATATTTAATAAGTAGTACAAAAACCAATATTTCTTACCTTCTCAAATGATAATTCCTCTAGTCCAGTCATTTCCAACTAGGATAGATTTTACCCCCATGGGACATTTGGCAATATCTGGAGACATTTTCAATTGTCACGGTTAGGAGTTGGGAGAGTACTTCTGGCGTCTAGCGGTAGAGGTCAAGAATGCTGCTAAACAGTAGCACTTCACAACAAAGAGTTATCTGGCCCCAAATATCATTAGTGCCAAATGGCAGACACTCTACCCTTTTCCCTTACAAGAGAACATCTTCAGGTTTTAACTTTACCTCTATTGAAGCAAAGGACCCAGTTCCAGAGTTAATAAAACAACTGTAAAAGAGAACACATAAGCCATTGTATTACATTATTATCTGGTACTTATAATTTTCATTGAAAATGGTATTAGAAGTAAACAAAGTAAAGAAGCAAAAAAAGAAATAGATCCTCATCTTCTATAAGAAACATATTTTATATGGTTTGAGAGGCTTTGACATTGAGGTCTGTGTGTTATCTGTTAAGTTGCTTCCAAGTCTTCGTGCCATTTAAATGACATATGAAATATTTCTGTACTAACGTACACTTAAAGCCAAGGAATTCAGTCAAAATACAATGTGGTTGAAAAAAATCAGAGACACATTTTTTTCTTCACTAAGGAAAAAGCTGAATGTCAGGATCCATTTTTGTCACCATAAATTCTTCTACTTCCAACAGGACAGCGCATACAACTCCAGATTTTGTTAGCTTGGTAGCAATAACTTAATTTTTTTCCTGAAAGGAAAGTAAGTGCAAATTAATAAAAAAATGAATAATACAGACCAAAATGCATAGTTTTATATGAAAATTTTGAAAAGAAGCTTTTCAAAGGGGCTTGGCAGGTAAAGAGAATAGGTAAGAAAAAATAACAACAGTGAATTAAGAATAACTAAGTAAACCAAAAGAAAGTGGCTGTTGTAAGCAGGCAAATTATTTGGATGATAGGAGTATCAAGTGCTTATACAGACTAGGAAGCTAGTTAGGATGGACTTTTACTTATCAATTAGCTTATTGGTCACCAAGACCCCAGGGTTCCGTTTTTTTTTTTTTTTTTTTTGGCTCCTTTTCTGATCCTTTCTTTAACTCTTTCTTATGGTTTGCATTCTCTCTCTCTCATTCTCTTTTCTATCATTCTTTCTCTCTCTCTCTACAGACACACATACACACACACACACACACACACACACACACACACACGCAGACAGAAGATGAGGACATTTTGTGAAAAATGAGGAAGGGTGTTGGGTAAATGGGATTCCATGTGGCTAGAAGAGAGAGAGGGTGTCAGTGTCAGGTGTGGGCAGCAATAGTGATGAGAGGAGAGAGAAGAATATGTAGAATCAATTGGGTCTATTCAGAAAAAGAAAAAATTAAGAAAAGAAAGTTTCAGAGAGAAAGGCAAAAGGAAAGCATAATTGTGTAAAACTTTGTAGGCCAATATTTAACTCATTTCACAAATCTCTCTTCATTCATGGCATGCCCTATAGCTCCATATTTGATGTTCTGTAATAATAGTAATGTGATGGACTTTATTTCTACTCTAAATCAGTTCTTTTGTGTTTGTCTGGTTTTTTTAAGTGGGCAACATAGGTGATACAGAATAATTGGAATAAGGAATTCAAAGCTCTATAGATTCAAATTAAATAAATGAACAAATAAATGCAGTCATGAGTTGCATAATGACAGGAATGCATTTCGATAAATGCATTGTTAGGTGATTTCATTCTTGTGCAAACATCATAGAGTGAACTTGCTCAAACCTAGATGGTACAACCTACTATACACCTAGGCTATATGGAATAGTCTATTGCTCCTGTGCTATAAACCTGTATGGCATGTTTACTGTACTAAATACTGTAGGCAATTGTGACACAGTGGAAAGTATTTGTGTATATAATCATATCCAAAAATAAAAAAGGTACAGTAAAAAGGCTGCATTGAAGATTTTTGGGGGGATGGGGGACAGCCTGGGCAACAGGGTCTTGCTCTGTTGCCCAGGCTGGAGTGCAGTGGCATGATCTCGGCTCACTGCAGCCTCTGCCTCCTGGGCTCAATGTATCCTCCCACCTCAGCCTCCCAAGTAGATGGGACTACAGGTGTGCGTAACCATGCCGGGCTAACTTTTGTATTTTTTTGTAGGGATGAGGTTTCACATGTTGCCTAAATTGCACTTACTGTGACTGAAGCTTGTAGGACTGAAAGTTGCTCTGAGTCAGAGAGTCATTAAGCAAGTGGTGGGTCAATGTGAAGGCCTAAGACATTATTATACACTTCTGCAGACTTTATAAACACTGTATGCTTAGGTTACATTAAATTTATCAAAAATATTTTTCTTCAATAATAAATTAACTTTAGCTTACTGTAACTCTTTTAGTTTATAAACTTAAAATTTTTAACTTTTTTCTCTTTTGTAATAACAATTAAAACACAAATACATTGTACAGCTGTACAAAAATATTTTCTTTCCTTATACCCTTATTCCATAAGCTTTTTTTCTATTTTAAAAGTTTTTTATTTCATTTTATTTTTACTTTTAAACTTTTGCATTAGTAACTAAGAAACAAAAAAACACATTAGCCTCAGCCTACACAGGGTCAGTATCATCAAATCCCTGTCTTCCACCTCCACATCTTGTCCCAGTGGAAGGTCTTCAGGGACAATAACACAGATGGAACTGTCATCTCCTATGATAACAATGCCTTCTTCTGGAATCCCACCTAAAGGACCTGGATGAGGCTGGTTTACAGCTATTTTTTATATCATTAGAAGCAGTACCCTCTAAAATAATGATTAAAAAAACGGTGTAGTAAATGCATAAACCACTAATATAGTCATTTATTATCAAATTGCATGTGATATACTTTTATACAACTGGCAGCTCAGTAGGCTTGCTTACACCTGTATCCCCGCAATGAGTAATTCGTTGTGCTATGACATTACAATGGCTACTAGGTCACTAGGCAATAATAATTTTTCAGCTCCTATGGTTCATCATTGACTGTTTATTAATAAATAAAACCAAGCAAAAATTAGCATGATGTTTTAAAAGTGAAGAATTATATAAGTGTTAAGTACAGTACTGCCAGGGAGAAGGAAAACATTAAGAATGTTATAATGGGAACTTATATTCTTATCCACCCCAATTTGTGGTATATTCCAAGTGCTCTTTCATCAAAAATTTATTGAATAAAAGGATGACATGATGAAATCAATTAGGAGGAAAGAGCTGGGAGAAGGCTTTTCCTTTTTTTTTTTTTCAAAAAGGACTCCAGCTATAACCAAAGAAAGTTGCTGTTTTTACTGTGTGTCATGAGATGTTGCCCATTTGATGAAATGTTATTGTCATTTAGCTAGAATTTTCTGTTTTTTTTTTTTAGTTTGGTACTGAAATATATTATTATCTGGAAAAATTGGCTTTAATAAAATATTGCTATATGAATAACATATGTAAATGTGTTAGACATCTTTTCGGTAAAGTACAAATGAACTGATTTTTAGTTTTACCAGATGTGTTTGTTACATGTAGAAATAGCATTTGATCTGAGTGACAAAATAAACTGATCCATCTTTTCATTCCCGTTATTTGAGGAACAGTGCCACTGCATCCCCCTGCCAACACACCAGCTCTGTCTGGCAGTGGTAACAGGATTATGCTCCCTGAACCAAATGTTCATCTTGCCTCATAAATTATCTCATTTTCTAAAATGGTCTACTCAGGATACTGGAAACTCGGTAGCTGGAAACTGGAGTGGGAGCACCCTGTTACCCAATGTTCTCCTGGACAAAATAAAATAAACCAAATATCCTTTAGATAAATTGTAAAAGACAGCCAAAGTGAAGGCTTGCCCAGACACCTCATTAAGAATTCACTCTTTGTTCATCATAGTTTTTGATCTCAATAAATGATATAAACAATAGGCATCATTTTTTCCTAAAATTTGTGTGTAAAAGATGAGAGGTAAAACAATTATTTTCATCTTTATTTTTAAACTATGCTTCCCTTTTAGCTGAGCATTCTTTTTCTTTTTGCAAGTGGTTTTCACAATTTTTTAGTACTATGGGCCTTTTACTAAACGAACCAGCATAACACACTCCAATGGCAGGTTGTCATTGGAATACAAATAATTTAAAAAGGTATAATTTAATTATCTTAAATGGACATTCGCCCCTTTATTATTTCAATTGTGTTCTGGAAAATAATTCATCAAGTTTTGAGAAATTAGGTATACATATAAGAATACGTTGAAAACCATTGAAACTTAAATGTAAAAGTACATGTTGCCTAAAATTAGAGACAAAGTGTGTAAGTATATTCTAATACAACCAGATTCTTCAGCTATTCTATCTGCTGTGGACTGGTCAAAAATTTAAGTTTAGTTTTGTTAATGATTTTTATTTAAGCATACCATATTTTAATTGCATACTATTTTTAATATGTTTTACAGATTAAGAATGGCAAAGTATATTTTACATCCGATGCAGGAATTGCTGGGAAAGTGGAGAGAAATATTCCTGAAGTATATGTTGCAGACGGCCACTGGCACACTTTTCTAATTGGGAAAAATGGAACAGCAACAGTATTGTCTGTTGACAGAATATATAACAGAGATATTATCCACCCTACTCAGGACTTCGGTGGCCTTGATGTGCTTACTATATCACTTGGAGGAATTCCACCCAATCAAGCACATCGAGATGCCCAAACAGGTAAATGCCTTTATTAAGTAGAGTCACAAGGGAAGTAAAATTGTTCTTCAAAAAGTAATTGCTTTTTCTTGTGGCAAGACTACACATTTAACATGAATCTCATATACAGAACAATTTCATTCAATAAAATTTATGTTTAAAAAAGTAGTTTGATGTCTGATAATATCAATTATAAATATCCTAAGAATGTCATAACTATCTTCAGAAAGTTTGTAATAAACTATTAGCCACCACTTTCTCGAGAGCTTGCATCTTTCTTACCAAGGTTGTAATTCAGTCCATAGTGTTTTGATGCTTTGCTTGTCCACCAAGCATTTCATATACATTTGTTCATTTATTTATTCATTCACAGCCACTCTCTTCATAGACCATTAATGGAGACAAACATTAATCAAATTCTTACACAAGTAACTGCATTATTCTAATGTGTGATAAATAATACAAATGAAGAATGTAGAATTCTAAAATATAGTGAAAAAAGAGAAAGGAAGGGGAATTTTGCTGTGGAATTGACATGTATACATAAATCTGAATGATGAGGAGGATGAAAGTGTACGAAAGGTTAATTTATGTTGATAGGAATTTTTTTAAAGAAATCGTTTAAGCCAAAGTTATAGAAGACAACACATTGGAGGCTAACATCATAGGCAAATGATGAAGTTGGAGAATGAAGCAACTTCCTGACCATGTTGCAGTTTTGGTCTTATTTACAGAGCAATGGGAAGTAATTGAAAACTTTAATCACAGTAGGATCAAGTTAGATATGCAGTAATATTACAGATCATTCAGGCTACAGCATGGAGAATGAATTGGAGGAGGACACGAGTGGATCTACAGAAATGAGTTGGGATCTGGGCAAGATGTCTTCTGAGCTCCTACTAGTGTGGTGGCTGAGGAGTTAGAAAGAAATGGATAGGCAAGAAATATTCTGGGAACTAAAATCAACCAAACTGTTAGTGATTATGGTAAAATTCAAGGAGGTTTCTACTTCTCAACTCAAAGAAGGGTAGGTCAGCAAGAGAGGAAACTGCAGAACCCTCCAAAAGCAGCATATGTCTGAGAAATATTAGATTTGGTTTGGGACATTTTGGATTTGAAGCATCTTTGAGAAAATCCTTTGGATGGATGGGCTGGAAATCAGAAATAGACTTTAGCTGGAAATATATATTTAAGAGTGGTCAGTGTCAAGCAGGTAACTGAAGTACTGGACATGGATGTGATCACCTAACATGAGGGCGTAGAGTGAAAAGAAAGCCTGGGACGTCATCTTGATTAACCGTAAGAGTTAATGGTTATGTAGAGGAGAATAAGTCGGAAAAGAAGACTAAGTAATAGGAAGAAAATCAGGAGTATAGGAACAAAAAGAAAAGATGTCACAAAAGCTCATGGAAAAAATATATCAAGAATGAGAATGTCACTATGGTAGAATGATGCATTAAATAAGAGGAAAAAAATGCATGTGAGACTAATAGATTTAAGGCATAAAAGTTAAAGTCCAGGTCATAAGTCCTTTTTATATGGTTATTATAGAATGTTGTGAGAAAACAAACCAATGGAAATTACGCTTTTTGTAGTGTCAAAATAGATTGTTGGGCCCTGAGATAGGAATATCAGCACTGTTAACACACTCAAGTGTAATGAAGTGTTTCTTAACTTTGCATTTTATCTTTATCATTCCCCTAAGGAGACACTTAATATAGTCTAAACTTTGCCATCCCCAAGTCATAAAATGTTAACACCAGAGGTATGTTTTTATCTGCCTTTTAGAGGCCCACAAACCATTGTAATAGCTAAGATTTTTTTGTTTTGCTCCCCAAGAACCTATGTTCCACACCTTTGGTGTATTATCACCTTCAATGGGAATGCATGATTTAGTAGTTGAAGCCATTGGCCTATTTCATGTTCTTTACAAATTTAAAAAATATATATTTTATTTGTATGTATGCAATTTTTGGTATATGGGATGTAAAAAGGAAGGAAATTGATAAATAAATGAGTAAGAAAAAGAAAATTCAGCCTGCCCAAGTCATTCATAAATCTTCAGAATGAGTGGGATTCAAGCAATCTGACCCATGTTTGGTCATGGTAATCTTAACGCACCTTGCTAAGTTATAAGATGCACAGCTTAATTATCTTTCAGCTGGATGATGGTTCTGAGACTGAGGTTTCTGTATTCATGTATTCATATGAGGTGATTGTGGAGCTTCTCTTTACAAGAACCCAGCAGTGTAGTATAAGCTCTTTTTTTTTTTTTTTTTTTTTGTAAAAAGCCTTACTCCTTCTTCTTCTCCCAGCAGGTTTTGATGGCTGCATTGCTTCTATGTGGTATGGTGGAGAAAGTCTTCCTTTCAGCGGGAAGCATAGCTTGGCCTCCATCTCAAAAACAGATCCCTCAGTGAAGATTGGCTGCCGTGGCCCGAACATTTGTGCCAGCAACCCCTGCTGGGGTGATTTGCTGTGCATTAATCAGTGGTATGCCTACAGGTGTGTCCCTCCTGGGGACTGTGCCTCCCACCCGTGCCAGAATGGTGGCAGCTGTGAGCCAGGCCTGCACTCCGGCTTCACCTGTAGCTGCCCAGACTCGCACACGGGAAGGACCTGTGAGATGGTGGTGGCCTGTCTTGGCGTCCTCTGTCCTCAGGGGAAGGTGTGCAAAGCTGGAAGTCCTGCGGGGCATGTCTGTGTTCTGAGTCAGGGCCCTGAAGAGATCTCTCTGCCTTTGTGGGCTGTGCCTGCCATCGTGGGCAGCTGCGCAACCGTCTTGGCCCTCCTGGTCCTTAGCCTGATCCTGTGTAACCAGTGCAGGGGGAAGAAGGCCAAAAATCCCAAAGAGGAGAAGAAACCGAAGGAGAAGAAGAAAAAGGGAAGTGAGAACGTTGCTTTTGATGACCCTGACAATATCCCTCCCTATGGGGATGACATGACTGTGAGGAAGCAGCCTGAAGGGAACCCAAAACCAGATATCATTGAAAGGGAAAACCCCTACCTTATCTATGATGAAACTGATATTCCTCACAACTCAGAAACCATCCCCAGCGCCCCTTTGGCATCTCCAGAGCAGGAGATAGAGCACTATGACATTGACAACGCCAGCAGCATCGCCCCTTCGGATGCAGACATCATTCAACACTACAAGCAGTTCCGCAGCCACACACCAAAATTTTCAATCCAGAGGCACAGTCCCCTAGGCTTTGCAAGGCAATCCCCCATGCCCTTAGGAGCAAGCAGTTTGACTTACCAGCCTTCATATGGTCAAGGTTTGAGAACCAGCTCCCTAAGCCACTCAGCATGCCCAACTCCCAACCCTCTGTCTCGACACAGTCCAGCCCCTTTCTCCAAATCTTCTACGTTCTATAGAAACAGCCCAGCAAGGGAATTGCATCTTCCTATAAGGGATGGTAATACTTTGGAAATGCATGGTGACACCTGCCAACCTGGCATTTTCAACTATGCCACAAGGCTGGGAAGGAGAAGCAAGAGTCCTCAGGCCATGGCATCACATGGTTCTAGACCAGGGAGTCGCCTAAAGCAGCCGATTGGGCAGATTCCACTGGAATCTTCTCCTCCAGTCGGACTTTCTATTGAAGAAGTGGAGAGGCTCAACACACCTCGCCCTAGAAACCCAAGTATCTGCAGTGCAGACCATGGGAGGTCTTCTTCAGAGGAGGACTGCAGAAGGCCACTGTCTAGAACAAGGAATCCAGCGGATGGCATTCCAGCTCCAGAATCCTCTTCTGATAGTGACTCCCATGAATCTTTCACTTGCTCAGAAATGGAATATGACAGGGAGAAGCCAATGGTATATACTTCCAGAAT
Organism: Homo sapiens; assembly: GCF_000001405.40. Lineage (NCBI taxonomy): Eukaryota > Metazoa > Chordata > Mammalia > Primates > Hominidae > Homo > Homo sapiens. The sequence continues at coordinate 125,491,423 of NC_000004.12, forward strand.
GCCCAAATTATCTCAAGTCAATGAATCTGATGCAGATGATGAAGATAATTATGGAGCCAGACTGAAGCCTCGAAGGTACCACGGTCGCAGGGCCGAGGGAGGACCTGTGGGCACCCAGGCAGCAGCACCAGGCACTGCTGACAACACACTGCCCATGAAGCTAGGGCAGCAAGCAGGGACTTTCAACTGGGACAACCTTTTGAACTGGGGCCCTGGCTTTGGCCATTATGTAGATGTTTTTAAAGATTTGGCATCTCTTCCAGAAAAAGCAGCAGCAAATGAAGAAGGCAAAGCTGGGACAACTAAACCAGTCCCCAAAGATGGGGAAGCAGAACAGTATGTGTGAAGTTTATGTACTGGCACTATAAAATATAAAAACAAGAAATAATACTCAAACCATTGTAAAGTTGCTGACTAGGTTGGGTCACATTTGAAAAACAGGCCAGTATGGACTAGTGGTGGAGGGAAAACTTTAAAAATAATAACCACAATGCTGCTGAAACAGACTCACAACAACTCTTAATTTAAACATGTGTGGTTGAATTTATTTCCCTGCATGCATTGTGTTTTGTAACTAGTTATGTGGCATGCAGCATTTGGAAAATTTTTCTTATTTACCAGTGTTTGATTTGTGATTTTTAAAAATTGATACCTTTACCATTGCAGAAAAGAACTTGTGCTTTCCCAGTGGCGTATGTGTATTGTTTCAACTGTATTATTATAATTATATTTTGCATTGCAAGATTCTTGATGTTAAACCAATCCTTGTAAAGTGTAAAAAGGAACCCTCCTATCGTGGAATGAAAGATTAAGTATATTAACACTTTTCAGAATGATAGTTTCTGTATTTGATGTTGCTCAGAAATGTCTCAGTATTTGAGTAAGTTTTACATGACAGTGGGTACTGAAATTAAGTCATTTTGTTCAGCACTTTAACGCTTTCTTATAGAATTGTCTTAAAACTTCTGGATCCTTGAGCAAATGATTATAGTCTCCTGACTTTCATGAGGCTTCCATTAGGAACAGAATGATTGCATGTTGTCCCCAGAACACTGCCACCTTGCTATGCGAATGATGTTCTCAGCAGCACTTCTAAGAAACACTCTTAAAAGTTATTTATTGAAAATTTTTCGTATGCTTTTAATATTTTAAAGAATTGACCTAAGGAAAGCTTATGATTGGACTTATTTTCCAACCAGATAACATTTACTCTAAGTACCCAGTTTTTATAATTTATATGAAATCAGATTTCAACACTTACTTTGTCATTTTGTAGATCATTTTTTTAAAATACTGTGTAAAAACTTTTTTTACACCTAAGCTGTGTTTTTGATACTGATATTTTCCTATGCTGAATAGTTTTCTTACTTTCAGGGAAGGTAAGAAAATACTTTTTTTATATTTGTTACTTATGTAACATTCATATTTTTCTCATTTTGATATTTGTAACATACTGTATGCTTTCTACTTGTAAATGTCAACAATAGAATTAAAATATTTATTTAAAATATTTTGTATTCATAGTGTAATATTAATTTTTATCTTTCTATACTCTTTGTATGCCCAATTGAGAATAGTCTCTACTTGTCAATAGGGTATGGCTACTTGAACTGTATATGAGCAGCATCATTTTCTTTTAAAAAAATGTGAATATGGATCATTGCCAGAAGAGATATTTTAAAGTCACTTCAGTGCATTCCTACCTGTCAGAGTTCTTGGCCTTCCCTGGAGTATAATGAGTCTAGACTAGGTTGATCTTAGGGGACTAACTTTGTTAGGAAGCTGGTTTAAGCATTCTGGCAAGAAATGTTTGGAAATTCCCAGTAGAATGTGTTCACTGAAGACCAGCTTTAGATCAGTCTTACAGCTATAGAAGCAGCAATGAATTAGAGCTAATTACGGAAAAATGTCTGGGACTAATCTTCTCCAAAGACCCAGCCCAAAATTCTCTAAGTCCAAGGGCGGGTAGAAAGAATGATAGTGAAAGCTCCACTCTACATATGTGTCTTTAATTTATTGATTACTCTGCTGCATAATTCTAAAGAAACTATACATGCTGTCTTAGCCAAGACAAACCTCTGTTTTCAGGAGTCATAGTTATGTCTTAAATAACAGGACTTTAAAAAATTACCTCACAATCTCAGCACATTTGTAATTAAATATCCGCCCCAAACCTAATATTCATTGAGAATACTCTCCTTTAATACTGACTCTACAATATTGAATAGGAATTTTAACAATACATAAATTAACACCCACAGATTGAGGCATATGCCAGAATTATTTTGTCATTTAATAATGTTGACTTTATTATTTTTTTGTTTCAGATTAGGAAATGTAATGTGGATTTAATCTAAATCATGATATTCCTTTAGGTTTAAACACTGAATGTAAGATAATGATCTGATTTTCTCTTTTTTTGTCACCTGCAATGAGCCAACATGTTTTAATATTTCTCTATGAATTTTATAAATTTCTTCTCCAAATATGGAAACATGTTCATTGCTTTGTGTAACTCAAAACAGAATACATTTTTTAAAAAACTCTGAAGCATCTCAATGTCCTCAAGAATATAAACTCTATAATTTAGAACAGAGCTAAATGTAAGATGATAAACATGATTATAGTTAAGAGTAAAGGGGAAGGAACTTGGTGCCAAGATTTTGTATTCTTATTCTCTAAGAATTCTTTGTGAGATACAGAATTACTAATCCCTTGACTAATCAATCCCAGTTTAGGAACATGATAGGATTCTCATAGGACAATTTCTAATCTTTGGTTCTTCTTGGAAATCTCTTCTACTGAAGCAAAGCCAATATTTATATCAAAATAAATCAGAAATCTCTGAAATGAAGGTCTCACTTTAAAATGGACAGTAATAATTTATTGAAATATTGAAGTGACATATGGTGTACTATGAGGAGGAGGGATTATAGGCAAATTAACAGATTTACAATCCCCACAAATTGAATGGTTGGTAGTGACTTGCATGTTCACACATAAAATTATGACCTGAGAATTTTAATCCATCCCCTGTCAAGTTTTATTGGATTTCCTGGAATACAGTTACTCTACTCTGTAGAGGGCAGAGCAACTCCATCTTGGATGCTCATCTTCCATGTCTACTTCTGATTAACCCCAGTTCTGGGAATGCCTCTAATATTTCCAGTATATCTATAGTTCCTTATGTAAGAGCTTGTACTAACTGCAAATCCTGACCTTAGGCAGATTCACATAGCAGTCTTGCATTTCCATAAGGGGTCAACTTCAATTGTCCTACATTTTTTTTCCTATGATATATAATGCCTGGGCTGGGGGTTAATGGTGCAGAGATCCGCCATTTTGTCTCTCCACTGCCTGAGGCACAAGCATGGCTTCTGTTCATAAGTCCCCATTGAATGATTCTTTCTGAGCAGCTGGATATGTCAACTTCTTTCTTCAACCTGTCAGATTTTGAGGGTAGAGTTGCATAGACTCACTGCAGAACAGACTCCTTTAGGCTCTTCTGCATCTGTGTTGTGGGGAAAATATTACTTTCTTTCTGGTGCATATTGAAAATACCCTTGCAGTTATGCTGTCATAACTGCATGTGATCACCCAGCCACAAGTTCTGTGAACATGATGTGGCAGCATGACACAGGACTTTGCTTACTCAGTTCTAAGGAGTACATTATTGTTGCTTTCAATGTCATCTCTAGAATTTTCTAAATTACTTGATTTTATCAATAGCTTAAGATAAATTAAAATCACTTTAAGAGAATGGAAGCTGCTCTGCCAGTGGATAGCCTTTTTTTTTTTCTTATCAAATAAACTTGCTTTCACTTTACTCTAAAAAGAAAAAAAACAAATGAAAAGAAAATGGAGCAGCAGAAGGTCCTGGAGCACAACTCCCCATTGCATGTTGCTAGCAAAATACTTAACAATATCAAGGCTGATGAGAAATAGAACTGGCTTACACTATTGAAAGTCATGTCCCTTATAGATATTTATAAGGGAAATAGAATATATCACCAAGTGGCTTTATTACTTCAGGCATTCCATATCAGAACAAATCACTATTGTCAAGCAAATGCATTTTTATTTTATTAAAATTTAATATTATGGTAAAATACAACTGAGAAAAGTGAAATATTTTTAAATTATGAATAAATAATACAGCAATGCAATTATTCTTTTTCTATTTTATGTCATAGATTCCATTTTAAAGGACTAACATTTCAAGATGACTGAACTTATCTTCACTTAGGAAAATAAACCTAGAAATAAAATACACTTTACACATTATTAGGCCATTCAGTGTGAAGTAAAACATTAAAGACTATGATTAGTATATGTCCCTTAAAATATTTAAAATGAAATGCCATATTATTAATAATTTACATGTCTATTACTACTGAGCCAACCAGCAGTTTTATGGGTTTGTCAGTCCAAGTGTTATAGGTCAGTGTTACACATGAATTCTATATTTTTATTTATTCTTAATGAGGGAAAAGGCAGTAGGATCTAATAAATTTGGGTGCATGCAATTTTGGTACCTACAAATACATATCAAGGATTGAATCCTAACAAAACCTATGCATCTCTGATAATCATTGCAAATAAATATATTCTGACCTAAAGACCATGAAGTAGAATAATCTTTTTTTTTTTTGAGACGGAGTCTCCCTCTGTCGCCCAGGCTGGAGTGCAGTGGCGCTATCTCGGCTCGCTGCAAGCTCCGCCTCCTGGGTTCACGCCATTCTCCTGCCTCAGCCTCCAGAGTAGCTGGGACTACAGGTGCCCGTCACCACGCCCGGCTAATGTTTTTTTTTTGTGTGTGTGTTTTTAGTAGAGATGGGGTTTCACCGTGTTAGCCAGGATGGTCTTGATATCCTGACATCGTGATCCCCCCGCCTCAGCATCCCAAAGTGCTGGGATTACAGGCGTGAGCCACCGCGCCCGGCCATGAAGTAGAATAATCTTTAACAGAGAAATATATTAAAATACAAAGAAATTTAGTGTCCTGGGTTAAATTTGATCACAGACATAATTACTGCCCTTTACATGTCAAGTACCCCCCTAGGTCGTGGAATAAAGTAGTGAAAAACAGGCATAACACTAGCATTAATAGAACTTACATTCCAGTAGAGGAGATAAATAAATATAATGCTAATTATGTAGTGTAATATCTAGTGGAGGCAAGTGCTATCAAGCCAACTAAAACAGGCTAAGGGTAAGAGGTTGACTTGAGAATGTGTATGCTAGTTTGAATCAGAAAATCAGAAAGACCTTTCTGGGGAGGAAACATTTGAGCAGAGAGCTGAATGAGGCAGAGAGTGAGCCTCAGACATATGTGTGACACTTTTGCAGTCAGAGAGAGTGACATGGGGAAGCCCAGATTCAAACAGGTCATGTTAGAGGAACAGCAAGAGAATCAATTAGGCTACATAATTATCAACACATTAGCAAAGACTGAACCACAAAAAGCTTAAGGATAAATGTATGTAAAGAATATTTCAAAAAGAATAATTCAAAACTGATCTAGAAACAGAATTACTGTTGAAGTAACTCTCCTGATGCAAAGTAAATCCTGAGAAGGTGGACATGCATTCACTTAGCCCTGATGGCTAAGATCCATGTATAATCAAGGCAACTAAGGGTTGCCCATATAGCTGTTAATGAGGTTTTTTGTTGTTGTTGTTGTTGTTTATAATGAGTATAGTTACCTAAATCTTTGCATCACTAATACACTTTTCAAAGTATGCTAGAATTTCAATAAGTATCCAAGTGAAGCATGCTGAAATAGAATTGATATATAAATACATATTTTTGGCATTGACCATGAAAAGGCTTGGGTAAGTCTTTTTATTAACTGTATAATGTATATGTTGAACCCATAGTTGTATCATGATTCACACAATTCTGAAAATGTGTAATTGACATCTATATATAATATAAAGACTGTTTATACTTATGAAAGGAATATGTTGAATTAATGACAGATTCATCAAATACTCATATAGTGTATGATATATTCAAAATAGACATATTTGTGAGAGACTCTCCATATCTGTCAAAATGGAAAGACCCATGGAATGTTTTAAAACACACTACCTAAAGGCAGATGATTTTCAGGTGATCCATTTGAATACTTCTAACTTTATTAGTTTATGAATCAGTCTGCCAAACTCTCAAATCAGGTTGCAAACTACAAAATACAGTCATCATGGTATTCTGGCAAAAAGTTGGGATTTTAATCTGTGTACCATTCTAGCCCAAATAAAATTACCTACAGTGTACAAAGTTCTTTGGCAAGGTCACTAAGTTCCCCATTTCAAATTGAAAACATATTTCATGTGGTACAAATGTTGATCAAAATAAGATTCTGTTTTGCCAGAGCAGTCTTCTTACTCAAACCATCCTTCCCCTACTCTATTTGCACAGTTCTGGGCCAGAATGTTGCTGAAAACAGTTGTTGATCCTTGATTTTTAAGTAAAAAATTAAAACAGTCTAAGAAAATATCTTTTTAGAGAAATGGTATGATTGAGACAAAGAGCAGCATAACCTATGCCAAAAATGTGTAAATTCTTTTATAGCTATGAGTCTGAGAAAATAGAAAGATACCATCTACTGAATCTGGAGTAATGCTACGCAGAATGTCAGATGACTCTTTATGGAAAACTGATGAATTTGAGAAATGGCTTTGGATAAAAAAAGTGAAAAGAGAATTGTCCTCTTGGCAGAATCATCATCAAGAAACTTCAATTGACAGTCATATACTATTTAACAGAAAACCATGTCTTAAAAATATGTTATCTAATCCAGGCAAAAAGCCTACTGTAGCACATGATGCAAAGACTGACACATAGATCTTGGGAGTGAACCTCAACAAGATTTTCTTTTTTCATTTAAGCTTTATAGACAGTGAGCATTGGATAGTGTTCTAAGAAAGAGGATGGTTTTGGTTTTCATTATTATAGGACAGAGCAGGTTAGTATATTGTTATTTGAAACTATCTTATGCAGCTTCAGATCAAGGACAGAATAAGCCCAAGAAATGCTCAATAGATTTTAAAGCAGCAAAGACAATTATTTATAATTCATAGTTTTCTATTCTAATTAGAGTACAATTCCTGGCTATTCAACATTTAATAGTCACTTTTAAACAGATATTTGTCGAACATTGCATGAGAAAAAAACGTCTTATAAGTTAGCCTGTAAGTCTTGCTATTGCATCCACTTTTTAAATTTGTTCAACACCAGAGCTACTGTGTGCCAAGCACCATATTTAGATAAGTGAGAGATGACTCTTGCCTTCAAGAGGTTTGCAGTTTTTGGTGACTAGACTTTCCCTTTTCCAAAGTAGTTTAAGATTTGCATAGCTCTGTTTGCAGAGAATTATTTAAATATGTCTAAGGTATTCATACGAATGTGTGCTCCACATGCAGTCTTCTGAACAATCAATTACATCCCAAGATTTAGTAATCTACTAAATTTTCAAAAGAAACAAAATAATAGGTTCAGTGTGATTTAAAGAACATTTTGGGCAATTTACTAATATTTTTCAGCAGTTCCTGCATTGTATAATTATGTAAGACAATTAAAATTCTTATATTTAAAGCTATTACCATGAACTAACTACTATCAGGTTTGTTCTACCATGTGCTACTTACTTTGAAGCTGGTTCAGTTGGTTTTGGAAATATACTTTTTCACAAAATTGGTGTCATCTCTAGTAAAAAGTATGTGAGGTTATCCAGATTGATCATGTTCTGCTGAGTTTGCAGTAAATAGAGCTGAAGCTTAGTTTGGGTAAAATTACTGAAGAATTACTTCTGACAGTTGTCTAGCTATCCTCAGAGTTTCTTTGCTTTCCAATCCCAACGGTGTTAATTTTCCACTTTAATTTCCTAGCCCTCATTCAGATTGTTATAGGACTCATTTGTGACTATATTTTGTGGAAAGGAGACATTCAAAACTGTGAAGAAAAAAAAAAGACACAACAAAATGACACGTTTTTCTGAAATTTTTGTTTTTCTAACCATATTTTTTCTGATTATTCTGCTGAAACTGAATAAAATATCTGTATGTGTCCTAGTTTTGCTGTAAATTTCCTCTATAATATTAATTTCATATTACATCTTAAGACTTTCATTTAAGCAAATTACATAACTCCTAAAAGGTGCTGCATTGAGGCCAGGCACGGTGGCTCATGCCTGTAATCCCAGCACTTTGGGAGGCCGAGACAGGTGGATCACCTGAGGTCAGGAGTTTCAGACCAGCCTGGCTAACATGGTGAAACCCCATTTGTACTAAAAATACAAAAAAATTGGACAGGCATGGTGGCACACACCTGTAATCCCAGCTGCTCAGGAAGCTGAGGCAGGACAATCGCTTGAACCCAGGAGGCAGAGGTTGCAGTGAGCCAAGATCGCGCCATTGCACTCCAGCTTGGGCAACAAGAGCAAAACTCCTTCTCAAAAACAAACAAACAAACAAATAGAAGGTGCTGCATTGAGCAGCTGGCAAAAATACTTTATGGACTCCATAATTATCATGAGATAATTGGAAATAGAATCTTGTTTTATCATTATATACATATTATTATCATTAATGTCTAAACCAAATTAAATACACATTTAGATATTAAATTCTGCTAATACAGTTTAGAATATCAACTCATTGTTACCATTTTTTTTTGATAGTACTAATCAGATAACTTAACTTTATTTTACGATAATACCATCCTTAAATTTTGTTTAGTAAGTAGCAAATTCTAATAACAAAGTCAAAAACTGTAATAGTTTTATTAATAACACTGTATAACAAAGATAACACACAAAATAGTGAATGGGGTGTCCATGGCTGCCTGAAGAAAGGAAGCATTTTGCCTGTAATATCAAACATGGAGGAATTTTTGAAAATACTAAAAATTTTGGCTTTCACAACATGTCCTAGTAAAGTTGTTCAACTTTTGGAATAATTGAGACTTGAGGGGCAATTTCAGAGACCAGTACCAAAAAAAAAATGAATTTCAAATTTTAGTAAGCTAACATGACCTCTTTAACATTCCCTTAAAATTGTTTTTTAGAATATCCGTATTCAAACAAGATTAGTTAATGAAAGAAAGTAAAGTTAACAGTATATCTAACAGTTTAGATTCATATCCTATGATGGCAACTCCTTGATATCACATATAGACAAATATACACATATAAACAAAGCATATGATGACATTGTCTTTTAAATCGAAGCTTCTTGAGTATTTTTGACAATTTGATGGCATTGAAAGTTGTAAAAATATTCTAATATTCTTAAAACAAAGACAAAATGAATTTGCATTTAGTATACTAAGTGTTGTCTTTAGTTCTAAAAGGATGCGTTGTGATTCTGGGATTTGGCACAAGAGAAGAAAAAAGGAGGAAGTTACTGATAAGGATGGTTAAAGAAGTCCCCTCTGCAGAGCGAATATTGAAGCTGAGATTTAGAAGAGAGTCGACCAGGTAGAGAGCTGGGAAAGAGCATCTTTCACAAAGGGAAGGGAATGAGCAAAGCCACCACAGTGGGAAGAGTCACTATCTTCCAGAAATGAAAAGGGGCCAGGGTGTTTGAAACATGGTGAGCAAATGAGAGAGCAGGTCAAAATGGGGACAGAGGAGAAGTAGCGTTTGAATCACACACACAACGTTCAAATGTGATGAGGCATGTGGATCTTATTCTTAACTATGATGAGTGTTCTTTACAAAACAGACCATTGAATCTCAACTGCATTTTTAGTTGCTTCAAGTCACATTTAACAAAAATCTACGCAGATATAAGGTTTGTTAGGAGAGACTTGTGGCATTATACTTACAAAATACGTAACAGGCATAAATCAAGGTTATTTATGTATATCTGTTTTGAAGAATGAGCACTAGGAACTCTTACTGCCAGCATCTTTCTTTGACACACCCAGTGAATATTCATGAAGCATTTAATTTGTGTAATCCACAACACTATGAAATTCCCCATCTAAATAAGAAATTAGTATCTAACACTAGGTTTCTATTATAACATTTTATAGACGTGTGAAGTTAAAATATATCTATGAAATTATATTTTATTGTCAATTGGCATTTGTAATTTAATTTGTTTCAATAGTTGAAATACATTATCTCTTAGCAATTGCAATAGACATACCAACATGGTAGCTAAAATCTGGGCAAATAACTCATACAATTCACTTTAAGCTGTTTCTTTGATATGCAATTCTTAGCCATTACTCTTTGAGCCTGTCGTACTACTGTCATTATTATCATTATTTGTGACCCTGCCTTTTGCATTCCGCATCATTACACATTCTTTAGTTCAAAGTGGAGAACTAATGTCTTCCTGCTTCAAGCGAGGCTGTCTTGTCAGCTCTTTATATTTCTCTGCAGTCTAAAGCTAAGCCAGTGTTTGATGCTTGCCCTCACTGCTGGCAGCTAACCTGTTTCTTCCCTTCTTATGACAGCTGTCTAACCCTCCCTGTCATCCATTCTCTACCCACATTGAATGCAATGAAATCGTGTCATGATAAACACAATTTCATTCCCTATAGTTTCATAATTAAATCGTCATGGACTACAAGAGAATCTCCCTTCAATTTTTATTCTTAGACTCCAATAAATTTGTTACCTTTATATTCAGAAACCTAATTGAATCGGAGTAGACGAGGACTAAAAGCATAAGGAATAATAATCACTAATCTTCACTATTTTTCCTTGTTTGTGTTGCAAATATTGTGTGTTGGCTGGTGTTAGGCATGGTGAAATATATGAAAATGATATTAATATAAAACAATGTCCAAGTCCTAGAGGCAACCTATAGATTTATAGGTAAGATAAACTTCCGTCAAAAACCAAAGTAGCATTATCCAGCAGCAAGATTTTATTTTTTGAAAGTAAATATTATTCTTCCCAATTCTAGTTATAAATACTGAGAATCAAAGAGTCAGTGACTTCCACAAGGCTGGTAAGGGCCAAGGGCAGAATTTAAACTGGTTTGTACTAGATTTCAAAGCTTATTATTTTTCCATTACTACCTAACACTTGTGTATCTCTTCTTCAGCTTTCAAAGAGTTTTCAGGTGAGTTATCTAATTTGAACATTACGTTACATCTGTGAGGTTGATTACAGAAAAGTAATTAACACATTTTAGAGAAAGGAAAACATAAATGAAAAGAGACTTACTCAAAGTCACAAAGTAACGGTGAATAGCTGGTGAAGTTCTTAATGCTTTCCTTTGAATATAATCACTAACCCCACATGCAGTGTTCTTTCTGCTATATCACAATAAAATGTGAAAAAGGTGGAATGCCAAAGTGATATCTTTGATGTTAAACTTCAGGCATTTAAGGAATATTGAGCCAGGAATGATCATACACAAAATAATGGAATGTTAATCAGGCAATAGTGCATGTTATTAAAAATTAGGAACCAATATTAAAGAAGCTATAAAGAAAATATGACATTGTATTAGTTCGTTCTCATGAGGCTAATAAAGACATACCTGAGACTTGGTAATTTATAGAGGAAAGAGGTTTAATGGACTTACAGTTCCACAGGGCTAGGGAGGCCCCACAATCATGGCAGAAGACGAGGGAAGGGCAAAGGGACATTCTGGTAGGCAGAAGAGAGCATGTGCAGGAGAACTCCCCTTTATAAAACCATCAGATCTTGCGAGACTTATTCACTATCATGAGAACAACACAGGAAAGACATGCCCTCATGATTCAATTACCTCCCACTGGGTCCCTTCCACAACACGTGGGAATTATGGGAGCTACAATTCAAGATGAGAATTGGATGAGTACGTAGCCAAACCATATCAGACATCAGAAAGCAGTGTATAGAGAAAATACTCAGACCATGCTAAGCATCTTATGTACACTATTCTACTTAACTCAATTAGTTGGTTTTGTTTAAGTCTCAGAACCATAAGAAGTAATAATTTTACTATATGATTTGCATATGAAGAAGTTTAGGGTCTTATTCAAAGTCATGTAACAAATGAAGAGTAGAACTGGAATTTAAACTCTGGTCTCTGAGTTCAGTCAACTTTTCTACTAAGTACATCAATAACTTTAAAGCTGTCACAGTTTTCTCTTGCTTACTAGGTCCTTTAACTTTTGCCTACAATGTATACCATGTTATATTTTTGCTATGTCTTCCCACAACATGTCTTCTATATCTGGCTCTTATCCTCCACTTCTCTTTACTTAGAGTGTGGATTCTGAATCAATATGCTTATGTCATTACATTCTATTTGCTATTCCTTCATGAGCATAACGATGATGATAATATCAACCTCATAGGGTGGTATGAAGATTAAATGGACTGATTTACATGAAGTTCTTAAAACGTAATATGCCTTCCACATAATCAGCTCCATTAGCAATGAGGAGGATGAAGCTGATCATTTTTCTTGAGACATTTAGTAAGCACCTGTAATGATTTTAATCCTGAGGCCAGGGATTCTATTTTCAGACTAGTAGAATCTGATTTGATCTCTAGTCAAATGAATTGGAAAGATACCAGACTAATCCCTTAATACCCTTGGTATAACAGTATAAGAACTTTACTCCAGAGAAGAGGCAAATGAATTTGAAAGACCTTTCTGATATCATATGAGTGTCAAAGACAGTTCATATATAAGGTTCTAAATGGACAAGCTCAGGAATTTATATTTAGAGTATAATATGAGTACCTGAGACATATTGGTCACTGGACTTGAGGTAATGAATTCAAATTTTCAAGTATTTCTAATTGAAAGTACATTCTTTTCAGAAAGGCATTGCGTTTGCATTGTTTTACCTTTTTAAAGCTAAGATTTCTCTTGTATTGATTATTTTCCCTTGCCATTTGCAGCTAGAAAAGCTGCACTTAAGGCAGAAATGACAAGGCAGTTCAGTTAACACAGTGATTTCTAGAGCAGTCAATTTATTATCTTTATCATGTGCCAGGTTTATAAATCATCATATGGTCTCTGGGAGAATGATTGCTCCTGTGAAGGGGAATAATGTGCATATATTATTATTGCTTATCTATTTTCATTGCGAATAATAGAATGCTTAAAAAGAAGTCAGTTTATTACACAGTGTAGCTTATTTAGAGAGCTATATTGTTATAAAATCCTAAACTTTCTTGTGCCCAAAGCTGATAATCTAAAAAGTCATCATCTTATACTAACATCAGTGGAAGCTGAATTTTTTTTGATACAAAGAAGCATTTATCTTCTGTTAATTCTTATAATGATAGTAAAATATTATACTACAATTCTCCTTTCTTCCTTCATTATTTGATTGCACATGGAATTATTGTGTTTATTTCTTTTATTCTTATTTCCTACTGAGCATAGTTTAGTCCTTTGACATTTCAAAATAATTATAACTACACCTGAAAAACCCACTGACAGGAAAGAAAAAAGAGAACACTTGGTTCAAATGGCATTTGAAACACAATATCTAAAACACATTAACAAAAAATGTCAGAGCTTCTACTGTTGAAGCGTCTCTGTTTTGTGTGTGTTCTGTGTGGGTGTGTGTTATGTGTGTGTGTTCTGTGTGTGTGTGTTCTGTGTGTGTGTGTTCTGTGTGTGTTCTGTGTGGGTGTGTTTTGTGTGTGTGGGGGGGGTGTTGTGTGTGTGTATGTGTTCTATGTGTGGACTCGAGAGGCTGAAGGTGTGCTCTCTTGGCTAGGGTTAGAGTAAGCCCTCACCTTGAATTTCTGTGTTATTCTCATCTTCCTTTAAAAAGTTCTTTGCCACTACAGTAAGTTGTTCAGTTTTCTGAATTACTGTGCCTTCAATCCTCCCGAAGATTGAGAGGCATAGTTATATAGAATACATGAAAGCACATACGTAGCCAGTAAAGCAAAATACAAATAGATTTAAAATTAAGTCACAGGTGCCTTATTTTCAGCACTCAATTCTTGCATGTGTAGATTCTTTCTTCCAAATCTGTCTGAAGGCTATTTAAATTATTTCTTAGTTGAAGAGACAATAATTTAAGACATCAAATTAGAAGTTGCTTCAAAGTAATACATTACATTTTCCTATTTTGGATTTCTAGTCCCAAAATACAAAAGGAAGAATATATTTTGAAGTGTAATTACTGTATTTCTCTCTCTCTCTTTTTGGCTAGGGACTATGGATCATTAGAGTCTAGTATCCTCAAACAAGAAATAAAGCAGATAGAGATAGGATATGATACAGAGACGAAGATTTACTCAAGTATTAAACTTTGTTGCAAATGACATATCAGTTAAAACACATGTACATTTTACTCTTTTTCTTCTGAGTTTAAAGACTCAAAAACATTTCCTTCAGGCACTGGGAATGAGCTCCTGGAGCCACGTCCTAACTTTAGCAATAGCCGGTTGCCAGCCCTAGTTCTCTATTTTGGAGCTTCGTTCCTAGTCTTCATTGTGTTGAGTGACAAATTTGCAGGCTGTATGGATGACTTCATAGTTGGAGCAATGTCTTTTTGTGCTAACACTGCTTTGGTATTTAGTAAACAGTGAGATGCTCTTAAAATATTGCCAATGATTCTAAAGGAGTCCATCCTAGGATTAAAACATGGGTTTAATACAGACATTTCTTATTCTTACCTATTTATGTACAATTTTGGGGCAACTATACCATTTCCCCATTTCTAAAACTTTTCATTCATTTATTCAAAATTAAATACACTTATTTATATAATTTATCCATGTATTTATCAATGTGACTGAGTAAAAAAAAATCAGAATAGGAAGTGAACTGATGCTCATTAAACTCTTCTAAATGTAGTCATGTAAGTATTAGACCAGAGCTGTAAGCAGAGTAATAGTCTAACAAAAATACCTATTCTTACCTCAATCTTATGGAGAGTATTAGAATGATAATGTCAGTTTCTTATGACTTTAAGCCAGATTAAGGGACATAAATATATGACAGTATTTTTTCATAACCTACTGTAATATTTTCTAATTTTTTGCTGTATTTACTCAAAATTTTTCTGAGCTTCTTATGAACTTTATTTCAGGACTGGGGGAAAAGTTTTATAAATCGGTTTTAGAAAAATGCTTAAAGAATTGACCACATTATAATACAGATTTTTGCTATATGTTCTTGCACAAACTATTCCTGTAGGGAAATGTTACTTCTCATCACACTGACATCAAGTTTGGCCATGTGAATTTCTTTAGCTAGTTAAATGTGTATGGAAGTAATATGTGACACTTCTGAGCAAATATTTTCAGAGCATCCTCTAGATCCTCCGTCATTACTTTCTTTCTGCCATCAGAACCACTTTAGTAGAGATTTCCCCCTTCCAATGGGGTATTGGAATGATGAGGATGTGGAGCAGAGCTGCAATGGGCATGAACATGAGTGACAAAGAAACCTTCCTTGTTTAAGCCATTGAGATCTTGGAATGATTTGCTACTATAGCATGCCGTTGTAACCTGCCTGATACAAATAAGCTAATAAAACAAAGATTTAATTGCTCTGAATTTCAAGTTTAATACTATAAGATGGTGTTAGAACTATACCAAAATGGAGATGCTTTGTGGTATCAAAATGTTAGAATAATCCTTTATACTCTTTTACTACTTCAGATTATTTCACTAAAATATCTTGGTGTATAAATTATATAAATATATTGAGATGGAAACTAATAATTCTACTTTGATCTCCCAATAGATGAGAGCAAGTGAGAATTAATTTATTTGCATTTTTCAGTGGTACAATTAGCCATCTGTTGATTGGCTTATTAATACTCCCATTGAATCCATGAGTTTTTGCTAGGTTTCCTTTGGCAACAATTAAGAAGCACCAGTGTGTAGATTCTCCTTCTTCCTGTAATATAAATTTAATTTATTCTCTATCATTAAAAAATGTATTACAGAGGAGCATATTAAAATATTCAACAGAGGGTAATTAGCTGTCTATGTTTTATATGCAGTAATAATGCTTGAGACTGCTTCTAAATTTAGTAAGTAAACTCAGGCTAGAGCAACACAAACTGGTTGTCTGAAGATAACAATTAATTCAGACAAACCAAGTGACTGATGGTCCCTTGTAGACTTGAGTTTTCTCCTGTTTCTCATATTGCTCAGTTTTATAATCAATAACAGAAGCAAAATTACAGAATTTTCTTTTGGTGAGATATAAATTTCCCCAGTGACTCTCACTGAAAGGCAGAGCAATCAGCAATGCACCAGATAATCTGATAGCAAGTATAAATTTGCTATATTTACATAAACATATTTATAAAACATATATTTATATAAACATATTTATATAGACATATATTTATATAAATATCAATAAATAAAATAAAATTTAAGTTAGCTAGTTTATTGTGTTATTTAAAAAGTCAAGGACATGAAGTTATCAAAACTAAAAGACTCAGAGCAAAACTTCTCCAAAAGAGTCACTTCATGATTAATCGGTCTCTAACCAGATTTTTTTAAAATTGTACTTCTTGGGGTAAAAGACAATTTAATCCTGATATCAGCTGATCTTTTGATTCTCCTACTTTAATGGCTAATTAATCACCTATTTTATTTCCAAGGCACAGATATAATTTGAGTCTGTTGAAATTTTACAGGTTGGGAGCAATCTAGATAGTTTAAAAATGCATACGTATACATTTGGTATAATCTTTGCAGGCTTTGAATTCTAGTGTCTTCAACTAATCTGGACTTCTTGTACGGAAATGTAATCTTTTCTGCCTCTAAACAATTGACAAAGGGCAAGAGTTTCTAAGGAGGAAGAAAAGAAAGTTGAAGAAAACCTGACATTTTGCACAACACTGGTTGAGAATAGGCAAAAAAAGAAAAAAAAAAAAAACATTTAGAACAGAACTGAAAACCCATTAAGTGTTCTGGGTCCTAGGGGATACCCATTGCTAGCCTGCTCAGCAGAAGTTTTTCCATTACAATTTTTTGTAGATAAGTACTTTAATAGTAAAATAGGTCGTTGTTTTCCTGCGACTCTCATTAAGCTATTCAAAGAAAACACTTATTCATTTTCCTTTATCATTACCTTCCTTAGTTAGAAAAGTCTGGATTTCAGTTTTTTTTGGTTGCTTGTTTATTTTTGATTTATATTAATTTTCCCTTATGAAGAAATCAATATAAGTCCCCCGTGATTTCTTGAAAGAATATATCTAAAGACATAGCATTTTGTTTTTAGGTGGGAAGTTTCAGTAAAATTGTTTTGTTTGCAAAACTACATCAAGTAAAAAGAGGTTCTGGAATTTTACATTTCATAGCAGTTTTCCTAAATAATCTAGAGAAAATGATTCCTAACTTTTACTTCATTAATAAGAAATAGTCTCACTTTAAGAAATAAAAAGATTTTAAAGCTAGACAAAAACAGATATTTTTGTAAAAATTCAAGTCAATATAAAAGCAATCCTTTCAAGAAATGAAATATTTTTCATACATTATTGTGAAAGAAAAAAATTCCTACACATTTAAACCAAGCATATGTATCACTCATTAAACAAAATAATGTAACTTCACTATATTTATACATTGCTGAAATATATTTAAATATTGAAATATTTTCTTTGAGCAAATATAGCCCACATTTTAAAAATAACCAAATGAATCTATAAAATCATAATTTAAAAAGTAACAACAAATGAAAATTAGATGTCAAGTTATTTTTTAAGAAAAAAGCAACATCCAAAAGCTTGGGTCTTCCTAATGTACTGCACAGAAAAACATCATATGCATTTTTATATGGTGCTCATATTATGATATGTTAACACGTGGTCTGCAAAATAAGATAAGCTCAAATTCATTACCTTCTGATAGTACCTGCCAGCAAGGTTGCTATGAACAATTTTGAATAAAAAAGTAATAAGACAGGCAGTAATATTGTTTGCTGAAACTAATTGAACAATAGGATGTTATTGGATCAGATGTAATTAATCTAATTGACTCTTGTAGAATTAAGTATAAGAAAAGACCCTTGGCACAAGTTGGTCAGTTGGTCAAAAATGACACACTAAGATCAATTTGTAACACTTCCAAAAAATATTAAATAATTCCTCCTTGTAATATTGTGTTAGTCTGTTCACACACTGCTATGAAAAAATCCCAAAGATTGGGTAATTTATAAAGAAAAGAGGTTTAACTGACTCACACTTCTGCATGGCTGCGAAGGCCTCAGGAAACTTACAATCATGGCAGAAGGGGAATCAAACATGTTCTTCTCCACATGGCAGCAGGAGAGAGAAGTGCTGAGCAAAAGGGGAAAAGCCCCTTATAAAACAATCAGATCACGTGAGAACTCACTCACTATCAAGAGAGCAGCATGAGGGTAACCACCCCATGATTCAGTTACCTCCCACCTGGTCCCTCCCATGGCATGTGGGGATTATGGGAACTATAATTCAAGATGAGATTTGGGTAGGGACACAGCCAAACCATATCAAATATTTTTCCTCATCAAATATATAGATGGTAGCATAATAATCACTCAATCTCCTGAGAGTTCAGCAGTTGGTGGTAACACAGTTCGTGGTATGGGTGGGTTGGTCATGTTTGAAGTAATCCATGACTTAATTAGCACTTACTAATAAAGGTGAATGATTTATACCCTTTTGCGTTCATCACTTCCTTTCTATATTCCTTCAGTAAAGGGCATTCTGTGTAAAAACAGAGAAAAGAGATAAAGCTGAAAAAGCCTGCATGAATCATATATTGTGGGTACTTCCTAGTTTCTTGTTTATACATTAACAATCCTAAGTAAGACAAGAAGAGTCACTCTCCTAAACCATTCCCCAAGTAAATACATTTGCCTTCCCAGATTCTAATCTGATCATTCATTTATTCAACAAATATTTATTCAGTGCCTCATTTATCCAGAAGACCAGGGTGAAGAAGACATAGAGACCCTACTTCACACATCTTAGAGTGCGGAGACATAGCAAATCTCTGAGTTATGCAGGAGTTTTGTGTATGCCAGCAAATGAAAGACAGCAGTGTGTCTACCTACATTTCCTATTGCTGCTTTAACTGTTTACCATGAATTTAGGGGCTTAAAATGACAAAACTTTATTATTTTACATTTCTGCAGGTCATAAGTCCAAAATCTGTTTTACTGAGCTAAAATCAAGGTGTCAGCAGGCCTGCATTCCTTCTGAAGGCTCTAGGGGAGAATCCATCTCCCTGCCTTTTCCAGCTTCTAGAAACCACCTGTAATCCTGGGCTCAAGGTGCCTTACTCCATCTTCAAAGTCAGCAGAGATCAAACCTTCTCTCTGATCTCTGCTTCCATGTTTACATCTCTCTCTGACTCTAATCCTCCTCCATCTCTCTTATAAGGTTGCATGTTTTTATATTAGGCCCAACTGGATAATCCAGAATAATTTCCTATCTCAAGATGCTTAATCACATCTGCAAAATCCCTTTCACATGTAAGGTATTACACTCACAGGTCCTTGGGATTTGGATATGGACATCTTTGGGGACTATTATTCAGACTACTGTAATGGCCAGTGATCTGTGATTGAAGAGTGAACAGTGGCAGAGCTTCATGAGTGAGGCAGACATCAGTTCTAGCTTGTTCAGGCTCTTGTATTAAGAATCGGTTTTTTACTAATGCAATGAAGAATCCTGGAAATGTTGGTTGTTTGTTCTGCTTAAATTTAAGAAACAGATTTACATGACCTAATTTTTGATATGATTTATTGTTTTATTAACAATAGATTAGAGTGAAGCAAATTGAAGAAAAAGGCTTATTTGTTTTCTAGATTTTAATATATTCATTTGGGAATGAAAGTGTTTGGAAAATGAAATAGGCAATTATTAAACTGGTGTTTGAGAGGTAAAATATTTTATTTAGTATGCTGTAAAAAGGAGCATTGACTTTTAGCCTCTATACTAGAAAAGTTACTAACTGTGAAGTTTGGAAAATTAAGGTCATAGTGCACATTAGATTTTTCATGAGTTTAGAGTTCATGATAAACTCTAAAATTATAGGTTGCTGCAGACAGTTAATTAAAAAAATAGTTCCAACATTATATAACTAATACAAATTACTCTAAGACACAATAGTCACAGCAGCGGTTCTCTGCCATAATTTGAATTGCCTCTTGAATTTGAATATGATTGTCTCAATTCCTTTATTTAGTTAAATTCTCATAAAATTTTGAAATGCCCTTCTAACTCTTCTGCGCTTGGTTTTATGACGAAATATAATCATCACATAAGTTACAAGTTGACAATCCTAAATATCTAGGTCATACATTTTCTTCATGTGATTTATTTGGAAAACATTTTGCCTAAAATTCTGGGATACAGTAAATCCCTGAGATGATTATCACTGGTTGTCAATGTCCTAAATTCATCTACTGAGAAAGAGCACCACTAGGTAGTAGCAATATTTACTGAAAGATCCTGTGCTGCAAACTCAGTGTGATTCCTGCCATTTCAAAGAGCAATCCTCTCCACAGCTGTAATGATTCTCTCACCTTGTAGCCCGCTGCCAGGTGATTTCTCACAGGAGAAGTTACGTTCACTTCTAGGGCATGGGTTCAGCTCTGATCTATGTTGACTAATTTGAACCATCTGAAGGCTGATTGTTGACCTCTGCTTAAAAGAAAATAAAAACTCAGTGGTTTCGAAACAATTTTAGACAACTGAAACTGAGGAAACTGGAAAAAAAAGGCAAGGCATGTTCTACCATAAAACTGTGGATGGTATCATGAATGCCACACACCTGCCCTCTGAAAATTCTTACCAGACTCTTATGGCTTGCAGTGTCTAATTAAATTCCTTAAGGGGCACAGCAATGGAAGTTCGTTTGCCTGTCTTGATGTACCTGAAGCAGCATTAATGTAGCTACTTAATGCATATGACATAGTTAGATTGGGTATTCAGTCCTAGATGAATGATCATCCACATTAAAAATCTACGTTATGAAATAAACACATGCTTAAAAATAATGCTTAGATATAAAGACGCTTCAAAACAAACATAATATTGGAAGTGTGCTGTGCCTTTCTGGCCACAGTCAACTTTTGTTTGCATTCCAAGTTACCCTCACTGCATTGAATACTTAGACAGGAAAAAGGTTGGGCATGAGCAGAGGCATTTTCAAGTGCATCAGGACAATTTTCCTTTGGTCGGCTTTTAAGAAAATCAAAACAATTAATAAGGAGGCCCACAGGAACAGTTTTTTGACATTTTGAAAATTTCACGAATGTTAAGCCCCACGATGCAATTTCTTTTTTCTACCTCTCAACAAAATTTAAGGATCTCTTACAGAAAGAGGGTGCTTAAGAATATGCAACTTCTCTGGGTAATCAGTCCTTACCTAGTGATTAAATAGTCTGGCTCCAAACCACCCAGCTCATTGTTTTTTTACCCACAGTGTGAAAGAAAAATCATCTTTGTGCCAACCCCACATCATAAAAAACCCTAACAATGTGTTGAGTGTGACTTAAGAACCCATAATGCATTTTTCATGAAGGTAAGGAAAATCCATTAAGGAGATTAATTTGTGTTTGGAGAGCCTATCCCTCTACAGCCAAAAATATTTGTTCTGTTAACTGCAGTTTGCTGATACACTATGATAGTGCTGCAGCCTAGTAAAGACATTGCTATCTATACCATTATATTTTCTGCAGATGGATTGTTTATGAATTATTAAATAGCTATTTCTTGAAGGAAACTGTAGGTTATAAAACTGTCTTTTTTCCTTTTGCTAATTATTATAGTTAATGGTGTTAAAAAGGCTAATTGAGGCCTAATGTTTTCTTCAGTAACATTTATGTTAGGGAAACCTCCTCTTTCATACCCAGGTAATGTTCATTTGCTACTATTCAGAAAGAACTTTCTAGGAAAAAGAAATATACTATCTATAATGCATTTTATAATTGGTTACCAACATTGTGCATTTAGCCATTTGATAACCTTGAAGAGAGGGACTTAAACGACTTGAGTTAAATTCTATAGTTAAACTTTTTGAAATAATAAGATAGACCTTTTATGTTATAAATAAATCACTTGAGTCACACAAACTCATTATGGTGAGATGTGATCCAAGGAAGGAAGAAGATTGTACAGTTTTATTCTTACACCACCTCCCAATGATTCAAATCATCAGTGGTTCTCAGCTTTGCTCATGGCTATTATCTGAAGCTCTTAAAGAATACAGATGCTTAGGTTCTGTCCTCTTAGTTTCTGATCTCACTGGTCTGGGATAGAGCCCAATGATTAAGAGTTTTCAAGTTTCTCCAGGTAATTCCAGTATTCAACCAAAGTTGAGAACCATTACACTGGAAAAAGAATAAAAGATTCTATGGGATTTATTTTCTAGTAATGGACAGAGGGAATACAAAAAAAGCAAAGTCAGTTGTTTCTTTTTTCAACATTTCTATCAACCAGCCTGGTTTCATAATTTTCTTCTTAAGGCTCTTCTAACTATGGATTATTAAGGAGGAATATTGTTGTTAACCAGGAATAGGAAGCATATGAGATCTGAGACTCTCAATTTTATAGCTGCTTTGTGCCTCAGAACTCTGAGAAGGAATAAGGACTATTACAAACTTTTTGACCAAGATGTTTACTGTACAATGACACACACCTGGTCAATCTAACCTAAGCTCCCCTCTTCGGGCTATATTCTGATGCAGGGATTTTTCTCCCACAGAAAGGGTGACCTTTAATTCATGCCAAGGTGGCACAGAAGATAGTGATAGACCTCCATGAAAGGGAAGACTCATGTTGTAGATTCAGTTATTAGGTTAGCCAAGAGAAGGTGCAGTTTCACCAACTTATATGCAGGAATACCTCAGAGATATTGTAGGTTCAGTTCCAGAGCACCACAATAAAACAAGTAATAGAAACTTTTTGACCCCCAAGTGCATATAAAAGTTATGTGTACACTATATTGTAGCCTATTGTGCAAAAGCATTATGTCTAAGAAAAAATAATTTGCATATGTTAGTTGAAAAATACTTTATTGCTATAAGATGCTAATGATCATCTGAGCCTTCAATGAATCATAATCTTTTTGCCAGTGAAGGATCTTGCCTCCATGTAGATGGCTGCTGACCAATCAGAGTGATGATTCCTTAAGTTGGAGTGGCTGTGAAAAAATTTAAAAATAAGACAAGTTTCTCACATCAATTGACTTTTCCTTTCATGGAAGATTTCTCTGTAGCATTTGATGCTGTTTGATAGGTAGCATTTTATGCACAGTAGAAATTCTTTCAAAACTAGAATCAATCCTCTGAAACCCTGCTACTTTTTATCAACCAAATTGATATAATACTCTAAATCCATTGTCAGCATTTCAAAAAGTTCACACCATCTTCAGCGGGAGTAGATTTTATTTCAATAAACCAACTTCTTTGCTCATCCGTAAGAAGCAATTCTTCATCTGTTCAAGTTTTATAATGAAATTACGGCAACCCAGTATCATCAGGTTCCACTTCTAATTCCAGTCCTCTTGCTATTTCCACCACATCTGCAGTTACTTCCTTCACTGAAGTCTTGATCTCCTCAGAATAATCCATCAGGGTTGGAATAAACTTCTTCCAAACACCTTTTAATATTGATATTTTGTCCTCCTCTAATGAATCATGAATGTTTTTCATAGAAGCTAGAATGGTCAATCCTTTCCAGAAGGTTTTTAATTTACTTTGTCCACATTCATCAGAGGTATCATTATCTATGGAATTTAGAGCTTTATAAAATGTGCTTCTTAAATAAAAAAACTTGAATGTCAAAATGACTCATTGATCCATGGGCTGCAGAATAGATGTTGTGTTACCAGGCATGGAAACAATGTTAGTCTTCTTGCACATCATTTTCAGAGCTCTTGAGTGTCTAGGCACATTGCCTATAATAATATTTTGAAAGGAATCTTTTTTTTCTGGCAGTAGGTCTCAACAGTGGGCTTAAAATAATCAGTAAACCACACTATAAACAATTGTGCTTTCATACAGTCTTTGTTGTTGCATTTATAGAGCACAGGTACGGTCAATTTGGCATAATTCTTGAAGGCACTAGAGTTTTTGAAATGATAAATGAGCATTGGCTTCAACTGCAAGTCACCAGCTGCATTAGCCCTAACAAGAGAGTCAGCCTGTCCTTTGAAGCATTGAACCCAGGCATGGATTTCTCCTTTATAGCTATGGAAGTCCTAGATGGCTTCCTCTTCCAAGTCAGTTTTTTCTATGTTAAAAATCCATTGTTTAGCGTAGCTACATTTAACAATTACCTTATCTAGATATTCTAAATAACTTATAGAAGCTACAGCTTCTATAACAGCACTTTCTTCTTCACCTTGCACTTTTATATTAAGATGGCTTTTTCTTAAACCTCATAAACCAAGCTCTACTAGCTTCAAACTTTTATTTTGACATTTCTTACCTCTTTCAACCTTCACAGAATTGAAGAAAGTTGGGGTCTTGCACTAGATTAGGCTTTGGTTTAAGAGAATGTTATGCCCAATTTGGTCTTTTATCCAAATCGCTAAAACTTTCTCCATCAGCAATAAGGCTGTGTTGCTTTCTTATCACTTGTGTGTTCACTGGAGTAGCACTTTTACTTTTCTTTGGGAATGTTACTTTTGTATTCAGAACTTGGCTGTTTGGCACAAGAGGTCTAGTTTTCAGCCTATCATGGCTTTTGACATGCCTTCCTCACAAAACTTAATATTTTCTAGCTTTTTATTTAAAGAGAGATATGCGGCTCTTCCTTTCATTTGAACACTTACAGGTCATTGCAGAGTTATTAATTGGCCTAATTTCAACAGTGTTGTGTCACAGGGAATAGGGAGGCCTGAGAAGAGAGAGAGAGAGATGAGGAATGGTCAGTCCCAGGGCAGTCAGAACACACACAACATTCATCAATTAAGTTTGCCGTCTTATTTGGGTGTGGTGCATGGTGACAGTTACCATATTAACATATTAATTAAAAGAGTTGCCATATTAACATCAAAGACCACTCATCACAGATCACTATGACAGATATAATAATAAGAGCTTGAGATATTGTGAGTGTATTAGTCTTTTTTCAAACTGCTATAAAGAACTACCTGAGACTGGGTGATTTATGAAGAACAGAGGTTTAATTGACTCAGTTCTGCAGGCTTAACAGGAAGCATGACTGGGAGTCTTCAGGAAACTTACAATCATGGGAGAAGGTGAAGGGGAAGCAAGTACTTCTTACTATGGCAGCAAGAGAGAGAGTAAGCGAAGGTGGAAGTGCCACACTTTTAAACCATGAGATCTCCTGAGAACTCACTATCACAAGAACAGCATGGGGAAAATCTGCCCCCATGATCCAATCGCCTCTCACTGGGTCCCTCTCCTGACATGTGACGATTACAATTAGACATGAGATTTAGGTGGGGACACAGGGCTGAACCATATCAGTGATAATTACTAAAGTGTGACACAGGGACACAAAATGAGCACACGCTATTGGAAAAATAGTGCAAATATACTTGCTAGACACAGGGTTGCCACAAACCTTCAATTTGTAAAAAGTGCAGTATCTGCAAAGCATAATAAAGCAAAGTGCAACAAAATGAGACTTGCCTGTAGTTTGGACTCCGAAGGAAAGATGCAACCCAAGCAAATAGCAGATGCAACAAATTTAGTGTAGCCTTGGGCATCTACATATAGTCCTCACACCCATTCTGCAGCCATTCTTGACTGAGCTCTGGAGGCCAGAAGTAGGAATGCAGCAACAGCAAGAAAAAAATAAAAGAAGTTTAAGAAAGCACCCAAAGTTTTCTGACACAGCACAAGCTGAGATGTGATCTTACTAAATGGGATATCTTTGTAATTATCATTTTATATATGAGGAATAAATTCCATGTTTAACAGACAGGTGTTTGAAGTGGCTACTTTTTCATTGGGTAAACTCATAAAGAAGAAATGTGATCCTATAGAGTCTTAATGGAAAGGATTACATTAGATATGTAGAATTCTTTAAGATTTATGGAAACACACACACATGCACCCTACAAAAACACACAATGTGTACTCAAACTCATACAACAAGTGTGTGTTTATTTTATTAGTATTTCTGGATGTTCCAACCATCTCATGTTTGTAATGTGGGAAAGTGAAGGAGATAATGCA
Organism: Homo sapiens; assembly: GCF_000001405.40. Taxonomy (NCBI): domain Eukaryota; kingdom Metazoa; phylum Chordata; class Mammalia; order Primates; family Hominidae; genus Homo; species Homo sapiens. Next base: position 125,517,522 of record NC_000004.12, read on the forward strand.
ACAAAATTATTAAGAACATGGAGTTTGGTGTCAGATTAAATAAAATTTTAATGTGTGTAACTTTGAGAAATTTACATAACTTTTTGCATTCTAGTATTCCTATTAAGTAAGCAGGATGAGAATTTCAAGGGTGCCTACAATATATGGTAGTTGTAAGGGCTAAATGGGATAATCCACGTGAGAAGCTGAGCTCAGAGTTTGGCACATAGTAAGTGCTTAATAAGAATTGGTTATGATACTTTTTATTAATCAGTCCTCAATCTAAGTTTTAAAAAGAATAATAACCCATTAACATTAATTCATTGCCAACATATTACAAAATACTCCAGAAGTGTCTGCATTACAAAGTAGCCTTCCCCACCAAGGGAGTGCTTCCTTTTCAATGTTTTGCAGTTAAATAAAATCATAAGGTTTGAGAGAGATGGTTTTTTAAAAATATTGGCAGGGGGCCTGGAATTTTTAAAAAAATAATAATAATTCTTATCGTCCTTTCAATCATCTGTGCCTCTCCAATCACTGCCAAAACACTTCTTTGTTACCATAGAGACCCATAGCGATTATTCATATATTAAATAACAAAAGTTGTTCAACAAGAATAGAATTGAGGACAAGGCACTCCTGTTTAAATTCCTTAGTTAGATTTAGTTTTGCCAGAATATAGTCCTGAAGATTTGAACATATGGAGTCTTCTGCAAGTTTAATCAGAAAGCAAATTTTGGTCCTTGAAATACACTATAACCAGTATATTGCATAAGTGGGATTCATCGGGTATGATTAGAAATTATATTTTCTTCTTTAATGATTGCCCCAGCATAGCCATTCTCTATTAGATAGTTCTTGCTTACATTGGTGCATACAATCAAGAGATTTTTCTAGATGCTCTCAGATAATAAAATACTCTTTGGTGGTGTTAATCTCTCAGACAGTCTCAATTCATAATGTTCTTTTATTATGTTAATGTGCTTAGTACTATAAAGTAGTAAAAATCCTATACTCCTTTTAAAGGAAAATCTCCTGGTCTCTACTGGTTTTCTGTGTGTATTTGTGGTGGATGAGTTTCCAGTATGCACAGTAAACCCACTCTAAAGAATTCCTCCAAATTCCAACATTCCTACCTCCTCAATTTTACCATCTAAACAGGTGAAAGGGTTAAGAGCCAAGACCACAAAGGTGTTAACCCCCACCCTTGGCACACACCGCATAGGTGTTTTATTGAACTTTATTTTAAAATTAGGGAGAAACTGGGGTTTAATGTTTTGGAAACTTAGTTGAAATGCTTTGCTTTTTAACATTCTGTTGTATAGACTAATAAACTGTGCAGTATATCTTCTTATAATAGATAGGACAAGGGCCAGATATTTTAAGGCAGTTTTTTTCTAGTTCTCCTGTTTAGTTTGGCTATACTAACTTTTGTTTGCATGCTTTCTAATTAGTAAATTATCATTTAATTCCATGCAGCCATTCTTTAAGACAGTAATGTGAGATGTTACCAGAAAAAAATTAATACAGCTTCTCTAAATTACCGAATGCTGTAGATACTGTATTTCTTCTACTTTCCCTTCCTTCCTCTTTTTCTTTCTCTCCTTCTTCAACAAAAATAATAAGAACAACTATTAACTTAAAACTTTCTCTTTCTCAGGCAAAGTATTGAAGTGTATATATTAACCCTTGAAATTTGACTTAAGCATAATATTCAGCAACACTAAATATCCCACTATAATGTATATCCAGAGAGTGAAGTCCAAGAAGCAAACGTCGTAAGTTTCTGCCAATGCTTCAGAAAATTAATTCCTCTAAGCACAATTATTTATCAGTTTCTATTTTCTGATAAAACTCTGGACTACTTTTGCAAAGTTGCCATGGGTAATTCTTATTACTTTGAGAAGAGAGGAAGGCATTTTGTTCATGTAAGAATCCGGGAAATTTTTGTCCAGCGGAAAATATTCCATTCTTTCTTTACAAACTGCAACAGCAACACCTCCCACCTGTCAGAGTTATATATTCACCAACAAGAGAGTTTAATCATTTTCCCAAGCTTGTATGGTAGGCTCAGGCCCCTCCTCATGCAGCGTACAATGTGGAGGAAAGTACATATGCATGAGGAAGAGACTCATTAACTCTATGGCAAGTCGTGGTTCAAAGTACCTATTTTGTGGAGGATCAAAAAGGTTATGTAACTCTCATTTTAATCAACATTTCCAAAATTAGACTTGTTTTCTTTTAAAAAGGACGGGGGAATAAAAGCAGAGATTATTCCTGTTAATAGTGTCAAATACACTTACAGGCAGACATTTGAAAATAAAAAATCTTACGTGCAGATTTTCAAGGCCTTAAAGCTTTTCAAATAAATGTATGCACCATTAGCATTCACTCAGCTATACAGGCTTTGATCTTCCTTTAAAAGAAGTGAGGGGAAGAAAGAAGGGAGCAAAATAAAGAAGTGAGAAGTGAAGCTGTCAGCAATCTGAATGCTGCCAATTATTACACTGCTTATAAAGAGCTAATTAAACTCAACTGCTTCCAAGAAGAATCATTTTTACTCTTTTTTGTGATCTCATTTTATTTGCACTGTAAAGAAACTTAATTATTGATAAGACCCATGTTGCAAGCTGAAATGTTAATGTCTTTCTACAATAATGGTACCATTCCTTTAGTACACTCCAGTTCAGGCTATCTGGTATTTCTGGGTTAAGAATTCGAGTCTAATGACATAAGCCTTAAGCTCAGTTTCAACAGTTTGCAAATAAAATGTAGAATTACTGAATTTATATCTGCTTCTCCAGTTCTCTCTCGGTATTCTTAGCAGGACATAAATATAACCTATTCATTAATATTTCCAGCAAATGAATAATTTTCCAGCAATACACTCAAGACCTGTGAGTCATTCTAAATAAATTCTTTCCTCTACCTTATCTCCCCACTTTAATGGTCAAGCCGTGTTTATAACTTCGTACTATCACTGAAATGGTTTCCTTTCTTCCTGTTTCTACTGGCTCTCTCTTTGTTCAGGCCCTTATTTCTTCTTGGAAATTATTGAAATTTACCCTCAATTGCTGGTTTTGATTTCCACATTGAAGAGTCTCCTCAACAATTCTTTTATTACTGGAAGTGAAATAATCTTGCTTTTAGAACATTTAATAATTATAAAAAATAAAGTACAGAAAACTTTGCAGATTGAAATTGTGCAGATTTTGTACAGATGCATTCTTTCACGAAGTGAACATCTGTGGAACTACGACTACCCAGGTCAAGAAGTCAACACTGACAGACCACAGAATTTCCCTTCATGCCAACACAGATAGAACACAAAATTTCCCTTCATGCCACCAATTCCATAAACCCAGTGCCTATCCAAATATCTTGTTCACTTTCTATGGGATCACCTTTTTCTTACTTATGTATATTATGATAAGCTATTTGTTTGTCACATGTGTGATAAATACCTTATCCCTCTCCTTAGCTTGTCTTTTTATCCTCTTTATACTCTTAATGAACAGAAGTCTAAAATTTTGAGTGCATGACTTTTTAATGATTGCCATTCTAACTGGTGTGAGATGGTATCTCATTGTGGTTTTGATTTGCATTTCTCTGATGGCCAGTGATGATGAGCATTTTTTCATGTGTCTTTTGGCTGCATAAATGTCTTCTTTTGAGGAGTGTCTGCTCATATCCTTCACCCACTTTTTGATGGGGTTGTTTTTTTTTTTTCTTGTAAATTTGTTTGAGTTCTTTGTAGATTCTGGATATTAGCCCTTTGTCAGATGAGTAGATTGTAAAAATTTTCTCCCATTCTGTAGGTTGCCTGTTCACTCTGATGGTAGTTTCTTTTGCCATGCAGAAGCTCTTTAGTTTAATTAGATTTGTCAATTTTGGCTTTTGTTGCCATTGCTTTTGGTGTTTTAGTCATGAATTCCTTGCCCATGCCTATGTCCTGAATGGTATTGCCTAGGTTTTCTTCTAGGGTTTTTATGGTCTTAGGTCTAACATTTAAGTCTTAGTCCATCTTGAATTAATTTTTGTATAAGGTGTAAGGAAGGGATCCAGTTTTTCAGCTTTCTGCTTATGGCTAGCCAGTTTTCCCAGCACCATTTATTACATAGAGAATCCTTTCTTATATCATAGTAAATGACTTAATGCTTAATGTAACTTCATAATAGCTTTTAAAATTAATTAGAATAAGTCTTTCCAATTTGTTTTTCTTTTTCAATTTTTTTTGGTTATTCTAACTGCTTTGCTGTATACTAACTTTAGATCAACTTATCAAGTTTTAATTGGGATTGCATTGGTTATATAAACATTTGGGAGAGAATCTATTTTGTACTAGTCTTTTAAAACATGAAGATATTTTTAATCCACTTATTTAGGTTTCAAACATTTCTACTAATAACTTTTTATTCCTTTGCATAGAGGTCATAAAGGTCTTCCACATCTTTCATAATATCAAGTTATATTTATTTGAAATATTTTAAAACTATTGTTGCTATATATATAGATTGATAGCCATTTAATTATTCAGACGTTTATGTTTAGAAATAAAACAGACACTTTATATTAAACTCTGGCCACATTTTACAAATAACATCTTAATTCCAGTAATGTATTTGTAAACTTTTGAATTTTTAAGGTACATGCTTGTAAAATCTTCCAATAATGATATATTTACTTATGCATTTCAATTATATAACTTTTATTTCTTTTTCTTGCTATGCTGTGCTGGCAATAACATCTGTTACATTTGTAAAAAGCAGGGAGATATAGTAGTAGACGTCTATTTTTTTTCCTGCTCTCAAAGGAAACGTTTTCACCATTAAATACCAGGCTCATAGAATGCTATAGACACACTTTGTCATAAGGAAGCTCCTGTGTAATATTTGTCTTGTAATATGTTTTTTCTTTAGCATGAGCAGTTGTTGAATTTATCAAATCCTTTTTCTGTATCTTCTGTTGATTGTGTGATTTTTTTGTTATGTTAATGCAGTACATTTCATCAATTGACATTTCAATACTAAAATAAACTTGTAATTCTGTAATAAACCCAAAATAGTAAAAACAAACAAACAAACAAACAAACAAAAAAACAGTATTGGTATGGACAGGAGGCAGAAGGTGGGGTCCCTGGTGAGGGCTCCACCCTCAAGCCTGGAGCTATGGCTCTAAATGAGAACAGGCATTCCTGTTTTTCCGCCCAAATGTTGCCTTTTCCAAGACCACTCTGGCCTGCCCTACTCACTATGCTGTGCGCATAAGAACCTCAAACTCCAGGCTCCAAGAGCAGAATCGCGGCAGAGTGGCGTGGCAGAGAAGGAGAGAAGAGAAGGATATGAAAGTCGAAGAAGCAGCTGGACGGTGGGAGAGGAGTTCGGCCATTTCCCAACTCCAGGGAAGATTATCGTCCCACTCCATCAGCTTTCCAGCATCCCATCCCACTGAGAACCACTTCCACACTCAATAAAATCTCTGCATTCACTGTCCGTTAAGTCCCTGTGACCTGATTCTTCCTGGATGTCAGACAAGAACCCAGGTACCAAGAGGGCAGGGTGTATGTCACCCTGACTCTCCACTGGGCTGGTTAACACTTAAGCTATTTGCCGACCGCAACTGCATTGTTTGTAACACATGCCCTCTGGGGCTCCAGAGGTTGCAGACAACCGCTAGACACTGCTGCTGGCTGGTACAGGTGTCATTCCTGCCGGAGCCTAAAGGCACTCACTCCGGCTCCCTCACCCGCCCACTCCCTGGGTGCGCCTGCTGCCACAAAAGGTTTGAGCTCGACCTATGATCAAAACCAGCCACCCCCTCCCCTCACGAGGGGGTCAGAGAACTCTCCTGTCTCAGCATCATTTTTTAATGTTTATTGTATTTGATTCAATATATATTTTTAAACGTTTGCATCTAATTAATGAATAGGTTGACGTGTAAACATTATTTTTTATAATATCTTTCAGGTTTTGCTGTCAAGGGCTAACTTTATAAAGTGACTTGAGAGCGTTCTCTCTTTTTTTATTTACTCCTAGAGTCTGTGGGAAAATCCATTATTTCTTTTTAAATATTTCAGGTGCAATTGCTGGTCAAATAACCTAAGCATAGGGTTTTCTTTGTGAAAATATGTTACTAATGCTTTTATTTCAATGGAACTGTTCATATTTTCATTTTTAATTGGTCAGTATTGGTTGTCAGTATGGATTTTGATTTCAGAATCATTCAGTTTCATCTAAATTTGGAAATTAACCTGCATAAGATTAACCGTACTATTATCATATTATTTATTATATATAATATATACATCAGTGATATAATAATATAATATTTGCTGTTATATTATATCGTTATTTTATTATCTGGTTGATTTTTAGTATTCTCTCCTATTTATTACTGATATTGCTTAATTATGACCTCTTCTTTTATTCTTCTAAAGTTTTACCAATATTTTATTGTCTTTAAAAATCTTTTCATCAAATCATTCTTGCCTTTGTTAATCCTTTTGTCCCACGACTGTTTTCTGTTTCACCATGTTCTGTTGTTTTCATTATCTTTTTTCTTTTACTTTTATTTTGGATTGGCAGTGCTGTTTATTTGCTTTGTTCTAAATTTCCAATTGAATTTTAGTGTTTCTTCTTTCCCAATACATATGGCTAAGGACATAATTGCCTTTAAGTATGCCAAAAAATGTTAATATGTAGCATGTAAGCACTAATAATCATTTGTTTATGAATAGTTTCCAATATTGACTGTGATTTCTTCTCTGACCTCTGAGTTATCTAGAAATATATTGTCTCATTTAAGAACATATGATTTTCTCTAGTTACTTTTGTATATTCATCTTGTTTTATTATATTATGGTCAGATTAAATCTTCTATATTATTTTAAGTTTCTGAAGTTTAATGAAACAAACTTTAGGCCTAAAACATGGTTATTATTTTGTTTATGTTCTGTGTGTTTGAAAATAATGCACTTATTGCAATTTGAGAAATTAGAGTCCTTTCTATATCCATTAATTTAAGTTTGCAATCATGTTGTTCAAATTGACACAGTAATGGAGGAAGCTAGAAGAAAAAAAGAATAGTCAGGAATTATAAGCTGGGCATGGTGGCTCACACCTATAATCCCAGCACTTTAGAAGGCTGAGGTGGGAGGATAGTTTGACCCCAAGAGTTCAAGACCAGCCTGGGCAACATAGCAAGACCCCATCTCAAAATAAATAAATAAATAAATAAATATAAAACAAAAAAGAAAAAGGAATTGTTGCAATCACTCATGGAGAGGTGAGGTTAGCCTAAACTAGCCTGTTACTGGAGGATGGCGTGGGAAATGATTGTTGGAGTCTAGTAGACTTTTCTACTTTAAACTTAAATCCCCCAAACCAGGCTCCTCATATTGTATCCCACTGCGCTACCTACCCCTGTAATAACTTCTTTAATGATCTTCCTCATCTCAGTAAATAGAACTCCATTCCTTCCATTGTTTAGTTCAAATATCTTGAAATCATCCCTGACTGCTCTCTTTCTTTAACACCTCAGATCACACTGTCAGTGAATCACATTATTATATCTTTAAAATATATCTTCCTGTCCACCTCTTTATGACCTCCTGCATCTAATACTCCATTATTTTTTGCCTACATTATTATACTAACATCCTTAGAAATCTCCCTTCTCCAGTCCTTCTCTCATAAACCTTTTGTCAATAAAATAGGCAGAAAAAGAGAGCCTGTTTACATACCGTGGATTGTATCGGTCCTGTGTTCAAAACTCTACATCAGCCCCCTACCTCTCTGGGAAGTGAAGATGAATCCTGCTGATGGGCTCCAAGGCTGTTACCTATTCATCTCTTGTACTTTGTCTTCTCCTCCTCTCAAGTTCATCACCCTCACATTCTATTTTTCTTTGGCAATTTCAAACACACAACCACCTCCAACTTTGGTATTTCTTTCTCCTCTGCTTGCAATATTCTGTCCTAAGAAATCTATGTGATTGGATTGTGTACATCTTTCATATTCTTATTCTAAGTTTTCTCCATGAAGTTCTACCTGGCAAGTCAATCTAAAGCTCCACACCTCTGCGCATACTCTACTTTATCCCTTCTCTGCTTTTCTTCTAAGTATTCATCACTACAGTTGTCTAACAGTATACATTTTGCTTATTTATGTTGTTTATTGTGTGTCTCCTCTATTAGAATCTAGATTCCATAAGGCCAAGGAATTTTTTGCTTTAGAAATGTCACTGCTGTCTCCCCAGAAACTACAAGAGTATCTGAAATATTATAGATACTTAATAACTATTTATTAAAACAATCAAAATGTAATTTTAATGGATCAAATTTCTTAGAATAATTCCAGACAGTAGTTGAAAAAAAGTGTCAATAAATCCAAACTGTGGCTGAAAAAAAGTACCTTTCATATTAAAATAAATGTTCTTTTTTGTTTCTAGGTGGGGAAAAGAGATTAAAAATTTGTAAAGAAAAAAAGTGTGAGTATGTTTGTGTCTGGTGTATGAAGGACAAAATAATTGCTCAATTAAGAAAGCGTTTATTGAACATTTATATGTCCTATGTCTTTTGCTGGGAGATGTTAGATAGAGAAATCAACAAGCAATGCTTCTGCACACAAGGAATTCAGAATTTGTATTTTGAATTTTGTATTTTGTATTTTGAACTTGGCATTTAATGCATGCCAAGAAGGGAGCTATTTCAGTTACTACACAATCCCATTTTATATTCTCAACCATGTCACGTGCTATGTTAAAACATAGGCTTGAAGTGCAACCACATCACTTTGCTAGTCTTGTACATTTGGGATATTATCTTCCTAGACTGCATTTTTCTCGTTTGTATAATCAAACCAAGTTGCTGAGGATATTCAATGAATTAGTACATGTAAACTATTTAGTTATGGTGGTTGTACTATAGCAAATTATATATTTTAATTATATTAATAATTATTTTACATCTATTCTTAACAAGTTAATATTGTTATTAACTGTCTTACAAACTTAGCAACTTCTGAAGACAACTATTATATGAATACATAATTATAAAATGCTATTATTGAAAACACAAAATTATGGAGTTTTGGAAATGACGTATGGAAACACTTATACCCTGCTGGCAGGAATGTTAATTGTTATAACAGTTTAGGAAAAATTAGGCCATAGTTATCAAGAGGCTTAAAACTGTAGAAGATGCGTGTGCAGGTCAGATAAAGTCTAAGAACAGATGATTTGTTCAGAGAAGAAATTCAAAATAAATTTAGTAGCTGAAACTAAGACTAGTTTGAGGAATAGTTTTAATATGAAACTAAAAGCTATGGACTTGAACTTCTAGATAACAGAGAGTTGTTAGGAATTTTTAAGGATTTAATCTCTTAGGACTATGTAATTTGTATTGGAAGAAGAGGGCACTTCAGGAAAGTAGAGCCTATGAAGAATTTTAGCAATTGCACAAGTGTCTGGTGACATGGCCTTGAACTAGTGATTATGACAATTTTAAAAAAGTAAACATTTTGAGAACTATTACAAAAGAATTGACAAAAAAATCAAGAATGATTAGATTATATACAAAAACAAAAAGCAAAGATGCTTAATATTTTGAACACAGAGTTACTGAAATCTTGAGACATTTTTAATTACAAGGGATTAGAAAGGTCAGTGTCTTTTTAATTAAGGGCATATAATCATAAGCTTAACAGCAACAAAAACTCATAGATCTTGCAGAAAATTGTGTTAAATTTCAATGTAAATTTTAAAAGTAAAAAATAAAATGATTAATGCAATCTAGAACAGACAGATGAATCAAAGCCATTAATTTAATTTTGAGAAACTAAATTATTAAATTCACTAAATTAATTCAGAAATGGCTTCTCTTGACATAAAGAAGTTATCATTCCTTTTGAATAATATAAATATTGATGTCTTTCAATATTATATGCATGTAAAAATTTTATAATGTTCAAAATATTTGGAAATTTTAATTGTTATTTATTACTGGTAGCAAGTAATTAAATGTAAAATAAACATTTGTTTGGCACACTGGGGATTCCTTATTACAAATGAGAACGTTTAACAAAGCTTATTCTTGTAAGTTTCTTCACTTTAATTTTTTAGTTTAATCAAATACAGATGACTTATCCAAGACTAAAATGTTTATCTTTTAATCTTTGGTGTTTGTTAAAAATTAAACTAACTACTTATCAGTTTGATGTTCTTCTTTCACAGTATGCATTTGAATAATAAACTGTTATAACATAATAGGGACAGATGGATGTTTACACCTAAACTGAATGATACATAATTTTCATGGTCATCTTTTTCCCTTTTCAAAAGTCTATTTTGGCATTTTTCCCACTTCCATCTACTTCATTAGTACTACAAGCATTGTCCAACATGACAGTTATTTGATTTAACCAATTCAAAGGCATCCTACTGAGTAAGTAATCAAGGCCTTGCTGATTCAAGATTATACTGTGGAAAACTATTTCAAGCTATATTATCTCTCAGTATATAATTAAGGACACTTGCATTTTAAAATTTGATAAAATCTGACAATTTTTTAACTGAAACGTCAAAGTAGTTAAAGATTTATACACTTACGATTTAAATGCTAACCCCTAACAATTTTCTTTGGAAACAAACGAACATTCTCTGTATGCAATGACTATGTTTTATGCAACTTGAATTTTGTTTCAGGAAAAGACATCCTAGATAATTTATCAAACTGATACCCTGAAATGGCATCAATATTTAATAACTATTAATCTTTAAATTAGGTTTTATTTCTTGGTTTTTTGTTTGTTTCACTTGAGATACTAGGCTTGGAGCCACAGTTCTACACATTTTTAGGAAGAATATGTGAAAGTTGAGATATTTTCAAAGCAGCGACTACATGCACATTATCCTTTTTTTCGAAACCAAAGAAGATGTTAGAAATGATCTACATATAAAAGTGCCATCTTCCTATTCAAGCAACATTTAAAAAAAATATAGAATGTCATAAAAATACCCTTTCCTATATCTTGGCACCCAGTACATGATGTATAATTTCATCTCTGAATTTATTACATGTATTATCCGGTTTCCTCTAAGATTTCATTCAAGTCATTGTCCATAGGCTTGATCAGTAGAAAGGAGATTTGAGAGTATTATTCAAGGAGCAACAAGTCTCCTTTTAGGGTCTGGTACAGTTTGGAAACCGCTCTTCCAAATAGTAAACCTATTTCTACACTCTAATATACTCAGAAATATACAGAGAAAGACAAAGAGGTGGCAGCACCAAGAATTATCAGGAATAGTATCTCTAGATAATAATAAAAACCTGCCTGGCATTTTTAGTGCGAAGTTGCAATGTAATGCAATTTGTATTGAAACTGTAACATGAAAAATAAATTTTTCTGACCTATATGAACCAAAGCTATTGTAATTAAAAGTTTTAACAGAATATGACCAAGAAAATGAGAGAATTAGGAACAAATGTAGACAGAGAAAATGATGTTACCCATAATATGTCTTAGGAATGTACCAGTTCTTTGAGAGCTGAGATATAGTAATTGTATTTATATATTTATAGAAAATTAAATTTAATTATTATTCCAGAAAGTACATTTTGTCACTTATTTTATCTGCTCTTTTTATAAAGTCATAAGGAGTCCTACAGATACAAAAATCTTCAGCAGAGTAAAAGCAAACCAAACCCAATAACATACTAAAAAGATCATTTCACATGATCAAATGAGTTTCAGCCCAGTGAGTCAAGGCTGTTTCAACATATGCAAATCAAAAAACATGACATGTTATATTCGCAGATTCAAGGATGAAAACCATATGACCATTTCATTAGATGCAGAAAAAGCACTCAATACAATTTAACATCCCTTTATGATGAAAACTCTCAATAAACTGGGTTTAAAAAGAGCGTACCTCAATCAACAAAGACCACATATGACAAACCTACAGCTAATATCATACTGAATGAGGAAAAATTGAAAGCCTTTTCCCTAAGGTCTGAAACAAGACAAGGATGCCCATTTTCACCTCTTTTTACTTTCATTTTAGAGTACTAGAAAACCCAGAGAAAGCAATTAGGCAAGAGACTGAAATAAAAGACATACAAATTGAAAAGAAAGAAGTCAAATTGTGCTTGTTTGCAAATGACATGGTCTTATATTTAGAAAATCTCCCCCCAGAAACTTTTAGAACTGATCAATAAATTCAAGAACATTGCAGGATACAAAATCAACACACAAAAATCAGTATCAATTCTATATGTCAATCTGTAAAAGAATTCAAGAAAGCAATTTCATTTACAATAGCTACAAAAAATCCCCAGGAATAAATTTAAGCAAAGAAGTGAAAGATATCTGAAATGAAAATTATAAAACACTGATGACAGAAATTGAAGAAGGCACAAAAAATTAAAAGACATCTCATATTTATAGACTAAAAAATATAATGGTGTTAAAATGTTTATATTATCCAAAGTAATATACAGATTCAATGCAATCCCTAACAAAATGCCAGTGAAGTTCTTTACAGAAACAGAAAAAAAAATCCTAAAATTCATATGTAATGACAGAAGACCTAGGACAGCCAAAGCAATCTGGAGCAAAAACAAAATACAAACAACAAAAAAAAACCCCAAAACCGACAGCATCCCACCACCTTACTTCAAACTATACTGCAAAGCTATAGTAACCAAAAGAACATGATACTGAGATTAAAACAGACAAATAGACCAATGGAACAGAGTAAGAAATTCAGAAATAAATTTACACATTTAAGCCAAGCCATTTTGAGAAAGTCACCAAGAACATACATTGAGGATAGTGCTGGGAAACTGGATATCCATAAACAGAAGAATAAAACCAATGAAACTGCATACCAAGAAAGGGGCCACCACTAAGAACCAAATCCACTAATACGTTTATCATGGACTTCCCAGCCTCTACAATTATGAGAAATAAATATTTGTTGTTTAAGTCACTGTCTATGGGATTCTTTATAGCAACCCAACCTAATTAAGGGAGCACCTTAAGGTGATAAAGAGATTAAGCAAATTTGGTCTCTCCTTTGAAGTTATCCTAACAGCACTGTGATTTCCCCATATATGTGCTACTTACAAATGGATTTAAAAGAGAAACAATATTTCAAATTAGCTTGTTTCTTTCATGAAAACTTTTGGTACATAAATGGAATTACAGACTGAACTGGCAAATATTACTCTATTGTTAAATATAAATATATTTCCTTATGCTTGAAATTTCCTTTCTCTGTCTTCCACATAAAATTGTGCTGACAATCTCAAAGTATACGAAATAGGAGATATAATTAGCTCTAAAGAAGTGAAATGTATTCAGCCTGAAGTAATGACAAGATAGAGATAATTCTCTGCCAAGAATTAGTGTTAATATCTTAATGTTTTTTAATCTCACAACTGATAGTAGTATGGCTTAAAAAATCCATATTAAAATAATAATTTATAAATTGTTTGGTATTATTTTAAATGCTTTGGGACATTGATGAAATAATATTTTTGGATAATTTAAGTGAATTTATTTTAAGGTAAGTTTCTCAATTGATACTTTTTATCTATTTGACTTATATCTACCTACAGCAATAAAAGACAAATTTTTTTCAACTTTGTTGTATATAGAGAAGCATCAAAGCATTATTTTATGTGGGGAAATAAGTTATAAAACATAGTATCTGAAATCATTTATTTATTTATTCATTCATTCATTCATTCATTTTTTGAAATAAGGTCTCACTCTGTCACCCAGGCTGGAGTGTGGTGGTAAGACCTCAGCTCACTGCAACCTCTGCCTCCCAGGCTCAAGGGCTCCTTCCAACTTCTCAGCCTCCTGAGTAGCTGGGACTACAGTCACGCACCACCACGTCTGGCTAATTTTTGTATTTTTTTGTAGAGACGGAGTTTCGCCATGTTGCCCAGGCTGGTCTCAAACTCCTGGACTCAAGCCATCCACCCACCTCCACCTCCCAAAGTGCTAGGATTACAGACATGAGCCCCAACACCTGGCCTAGAATTTTACTTTTTTAATTTAACTTTGTAATAGATTTTAAGGAATTTAAGTAAAGAATGTAGCTAATTAATGTATTTTTTTAATTTTTAATTTTTGTGGATACATAGTAGGCATACGTATTTATGGGTTACATGAGACATTTTGATACAGGCATACATGTGTAATAATCACATCAGGGAAAATGAGGTATCCACTACCTCAAGCATTTATGCTTTGTGTTACAGACAATCCAATTATACTCATTTATTTTTAAAATGTATAATTATATTATTTTTAATATAGTCACACTTGTACTATCAAATACTTATTCATTCTTTTTAACTATTTTTTAATAGTTATAATAACTAATAACCATTAGTCATCCCTACCCTCTACCCCCACTCCACTACCCTTCCCAGCCTCTGGTAACCATCCTTCTACTCTCTATCTCCATGAGTTCAATGTTTTAATTTTTAGCTCCCAGAAATAAATGAGAATATGCAAAGTTTGTCTTTCTGTGCCTGGCTTATTTCACTTAACATAATGACCTACAGTTTCATCCATGTTGTTGAAAATGACAGGGTCTTATTCTTTTTTGTAGCTTAATAGTACTCCATTGTGTATAAATACCACATTTTATTAATCTATTCATCTTTTGATGGACACGTAGGTCACTTCCAAATATTAGCTATTGTGACTAGTGCTGCAACAAACATGAGAGTACAGATATCTTTTCAATATAGTGATTTTCATTCTTTTGCATATATACTTAGGAGTGGGATTGCTGGATTGTATGGTAGCTCTATTTTCAGTTTTTTGAGGAGCCCCCAAACCGTCCTCCATAGTTGTACTAATTTGCATTCCCACCAACAGTGTACAAGGATTCCCTTTTCTTCACATCCTCACCAGCATTTGTTATTGCCTGACTTTTGGTTATCAGCCATTTTAACTGGAATGAGATGACTACTTACTATAGTTTTGATGTGCATTTCTCTGATTATCATTGATGTTGGGCACTTTTTCATATACCTGTTTGTCATTTGAATGTCTTCTTTGGAGAAATATCTATTCAGATCTTTTGCTCATTTTTAAATTGAGCTATTAAATTTTTCCTATAGAGTTGTTAGAGCTCCTTATATATTCTTGTTATTAATCCCTTGTCAGATGGATAGTTTGAAAATATTTTCTCCCATGCTGTGGGTTGTCTCTTCACTTCGTTGATTGTATTCTTTGCTGTATAGAAGCTTTTTAACTTGATGTGATTCCATTTGTCCATTTTTGCTTTGGTTGTTTGTGCTATGGGGTATTATTCAAGATATCTTTGCCCATTCCAATGTCCTGAAGAGTTTCCCCAGTGTTTCCTTTTGTAGTTTCATAGTTTGAAGGCATAAGTTTAAGTCCTTAATTCATTTTGATATTTGATTTTTGTATATGGTGAGAGATACGGATTTAGTTTCATTCTTCTGCATATGGATATCCGGTTTTCCAGCACCATTTATTGAAGAGACTGCCCTTTTCTCAATGTATGATTCCAGCACCATTTTCCAGCACCATTTATTGAAGAGACTGCCCTTTTCTCAATGTATAATCTTGGCAACTTTGTCAAAAATGAGTTCACTGTAGAGGTATTGGTTTATCTCTGGGTTTGCTATTCTGTTTCACTGATCTACGTGTCTGTTTTTATGTCAGTACCATACCATTTTGGTTACTATAGCTCTGTAGTACAATTTAAAGTCTAGTAATGTGATTCCTCTAATTTTGTTCTTTTTGCTTAGGATAGTTTTGGCTATTCTGAAAATAAAGTGGTGAAAAAAGACATTCCAAGCCAATGGAAATGAAAAAACAGCAGAAGTAGCTGTACTTATTTCAGACAAAATAGATTTCAAGACAAAGGCCGTAAGAAGAGAGATTAAGTCTGATGTTTCTTTGTTGATTTTCTGTCTGGAAGATTTGTCCAATGATGAAAGTAGAGTGTTAAAATCTTTAGCTATTATGGTATTTGGGTGTGTCTTTCTCTTTTTCTCTAATAATATTTGCTTTATATATCTGGGTGCTCCAGTGTTGAGTGTATATATATTTATAATTGTTATATTATCTTGCTGAATTTACCCCTTTATCATTTCTCCTCATGCTAAATATATTAACTCTATCCTCAGACCTTTAAAGCTTTCTCCCAATACAGCATTAACTCAGATTCCTGAATCTTGTAATTCAAATTAGATGTAGGTGTTCTGATGCTCCTTAGATATCATTTTTTGAGCATGATCTCTCTCATCCTATAAATGTGTGAACTAAATTGGTAAGTTGCCTGCTGATTCCTGCTCCAGGGAAAACAAAACATAACACAAAACAATATACAACAATAAGACAGAGGCAGTGTAACCACAATAGCCATTCCCATTCAAAAAGGAAATTCATAGGCACGTAACAGTCACTATTTCATAGAAACTTTGAAACCCAGTCTGGAAGATGTCACCAATTTCATGATTAGAGCTGAGTTCTGCTCCCTGGAAATGTATGCTCTGACTTTTAGCTCTAGTTCATGGGTTTTGTCCTTTGAATCATTGTTTTGGCCCATGTTTGTGACTACACGGGCCTCCTATGGTTGTTTAGAAGACTAGGTGGCTGTAAGATCTTTTTATTTTGTGCTCTCTGTGGTCCTTTTATTCTAAGTTATTGTTGTTTGTGAGTGACATAGTTATCATAAAAATTTTACAGGTTTCATTAATATTGTTAGGTTATTTGATTGGATAGGCTCTTCTCTCTCGTAAAAAAATGTGTGGGTCTTCTGTAAAATAATGTCTTTAAGATTCTTATAAGCGCTTGATTTTTAAAAGAGATTAACAAAGTAATGTCTTAAAACCTGTTGGCTTTTGACTAGTTGAAAGGTTATGTGTGGCAGCACTTTCACTTTTATATCTAAAACCTTGTCAAAGATGAGGGGAAGGATGGACTAAGCTTGGACTATTGACTGTAGCAACAATGCATGGCATCCAAGCATAGTCGGGATACCCAGCCTCCCCACATGGTAGATGAGAGCTCCTGGAGAGAGTTAGCAGAGACAGATGTGGATGCTGCCAGTTTGTTCTGTTAAGGCCTTATCCTGGACACTGGCAGAGGATGACTTCATCATATTGGCAAAGTAATCATCCAGCCTCCTCGTATTAAATGGAAGGATATTATAAAGGAATCACCGCTCCTGTTTAATCCATCACATGCATTTTGGGGAGAATTAGGTCACAGTAGTATATCATGAGAAGAAACCAGAATCACAAATAGAAATTACAATGAAGCAATCTTTAATGTTATGACAAACAGCCTGAACTTTCATTCTAAAAGCAACTGGGAGGCATCAGAGATATCTTAATGAAGAATTATAAATGTTGATGTAATTAAGAAATTTGGGAATGAAAGAAAAGAGAAATGGAGCAGAATCTTTATGGCAAGAAAATTTGAATGAAGACTGAAAGTTTTTTGCTTTTGTTTTTGAGAGCATTAAAGGTAGTGAAGGTATATTTATACATTCTTTTAGTCTGTAGGAAAGGAGTCCATATAAAAGGAGAGACTAATGCAAAAGAAAGAGTAAGGGAATAATTGATGGGAAAAGGTCATGAAATAAAACCACAAGAAATGAGATCCCCACTACAGGTGTTGCAATTAGTCTGGCAAGGAAGGAGAATTTCTCCTTTCCTGGAGTCCAAAGAATGTGGTGAAAATGGATAAAATATTAATAATTTTGAGTTATAGTATGTGGTGGGCTGAAATATATGCCTCTCCCTCCAAAGGATATCCTATTTCTAATCCGTGGAACTTGTGAATGTTTCCTTATATGTCAATAATAATGACAAAGCCAAACCTTGGCAGATGTGATTCAATTAAGGATCTTAAGATGAGGCGATTGTTCTGTATTATCTGGCTGGGCCTT
Organism: Homo sapiens; assembly: GCF_000001405.40. Lineage (NCBI taxonomy): Eukaryota > Metazoa > Chordata > Mammalia > Primates > Hominidae > Homo > Homo sapiens. The sequence continues at coordinate 125,535,453 of NC_000004.12, forward strand.
AAAAGGAATTACTTGTATCCTTATAAGAAGGAGACCGAGCGATCTTACTACACACAAAGGGGTAGGTGATATGAAAAAAAAAAAAAAGAAAGAAAAAAAAACCGGACACTTGAAGATTCTGGCCTTGAAGATTAGAGGGAAGACACAAGGCAAAGAATGTTGACAGCCACCAGAAGATGAAAAAGGCAAGAAAAGGATATTTCCCTAGAGCCTCGGTAGTGAGTGTGGCCTGCCAACACCTTCATTTTGGTCCTCTGTGCTTCAGTATTGTGGGAGGATACATTTCTGCTGTTTTAAAACATAAATTTGGTGGTACTTTGTTACAGCAGCCACAGCAAACTGATACAGAGTGGATGAGAACTCTATAAACCATCACACTTTGGCATTATAGTTTTGGAAATCCCCTAGGTAGAGTCCTGTATAGTTCTTATTAAGAAACATACAGATAGAGTCTTCATGTTTAGTCGAGAATGAAGTAATGGCACATTAGTTTACTTGGGCTACTATAACTAAATACCACAGACTGACTGGCTTAAACAACAGAAATTTATTTCTCACAGTTCTGCAGGTGCAAAAGTCCAAGATTAAGGTGCTGGCTAATTTGGTTTCTGGTGAAGGCTCTCTTTCTAACTTGCAGATGGCTGCCTTCTCACATGTCCTCATTTAGTAGAGAGAGGGCTTTGTTGTATCTTCCTCTTCTTATAAGGCCACAAGTCCTATTGAATTAGGGACCCATGCTTATTACCTTATTTAATCTCTATCACCTCCTCATAGGCCTTCTCTCCAAATAACAGTCTTGCCAAGGATTAGGGGTCCAATATATGAATTTTGGAAGGAACACAATTTAGTTCCTAGCAGGCATCCAAGATAAAGCCCTGTTTTGGAATCAGAAAGCACTGGGATTATAAAATGGAAAAATATATAATACACATTTTATAGTATTACTGAGAAGATAAAAAAATACGTGTATGTAATTCCAGAAATATATTAGTAAGAATAACTAAACAATTGGCTCTCTCTATCCATGGCTTCCACTTCTGTAGATTTAACCAACCATAGATCAGAAATATTAGAAAAAAATTGCATCTGTACTGCACATGTACAAACTTTTTTCTTGTCATCATTTCCTAACAATATAATACCTACAGACATAGCATTTACATTGTATTAGTTATTATAAATAATCTAGAGATTATTTAAAGCATACGGAAGAATCTACATAAACTATATGCAAATGTTATGCAATTTTATGTCAATTCAAATCTATTATTTTTGTATTCGTGGGAGATTCTGGAACATATCCCCCATGAATAATGAGAAATAATTGTATGTGCTTCTGTGTATGTAAGGGTGTGCATGGAAGTGGGGGTGGAGTGCATATAGCCTGTACTCAGTGTACAGAAGATCATGGTTGATTTTGGTCTTTGGAATCAAATTCTATATTTTCAATGTCTAAGAACACTACTTTTTTTAACTTTAGACAAGTTATTTAACTTCTCTATACCTCAGTTTTAGTCTTTGAGAAATGGTGATAATTACAGAATCTATTTTATGGAATTGTTTTGTTTGATTAATCAGTCTATAACTATAAAACATAAAGTGCCTACAGCCTTGTACAAATATTATCTATGCAATATTCTACTGTAGTTCAACAAAGGCATAAATGTTGGTTAATTTTCATGAAGATTCTCTTTGTCCATTTAATATTTTTTTTTACTTAAGTGATTTATCATCTCTATATTAATTATATTTGTTTTGGCTCATGCACCAGTTAATAGATCTAGCCCAAGTCTGAGAATATAGTGTTATTATTTATAGGAGCTGAATAAAGCAATTACTACAGCCAATGTGGAAAGTTAATTAATTAAATAACCACTAGGTATGCTATAAAATGATCTTCATCAAAATGTATATTTATAGCTTGTGAGTTGAAAGGTCTGAAACCAATGCCAAGTTTAGGTTTTTTTGTGGTTAATTTTTCAAAAACTGGGAGTATTGGAGCATTAAATTCTAAATTACTCACTTCACTGAGGATAATTTCTCTTATTTTTATCTTCAATCAAACTCATAATGATTGAAAGATTAGGAAATACTTAAAGAACATGTGGCTTTTCTTATATTTTCCCCTTAAATACCCAGTTCATTAGAAGATTTCATTTGAAATGAACGTCAACAAATGGCCATATTATGATCATTTTATCAAAACTATTAGCACATAATTTAAAATATGAATGCTACATCTGGAATGTGTGTCTTTCTTCTTAATGAAAGCAATGAAACTTCAGAGATGTTGAAAGACAGCTATAAGTTTGTTTAAAAAAAAAAATCTGCAGGCTGGGTGCGGTGGCTTTATGCCTCTAATCCCAGCACTTTGGGAGGCCGAGGCGGGCAGATCATCTGAGGTCGGGAGTTCAAGACCAGCCTGACCAACATGAAGAAACCCCGTCTCTACTAAAAAAAAATACAGAAAAAATCAGCCGGGCGTGGTGGTGCATGCCTGTAATCCCAGCTACTCCGGAGACTAAGGCAGGAGAATCGTTTGAACCTGGGAGGCGGAGGTTGTGGTGAGCCAAGATGGTGCCTTTGCACTCCAGCCTCGGCAACAAAAGCGAAACTCCATCTCAAAAAAATAAAAATAAAATAATAAAAATAAAATAATAAATCTGCAAAAATTTAAGCTAAAGTTTTGATATTTTGCAGCTTACACTGATCAGATTTATTCTTTTGGGACACTTGGTTTCATTGGAGGAAGAGAATTAAAGTTAGCAACAAACTCAGAGATAATTATATAAATCAAACAGTAAATTTAAACCTCTCATTTTTGGAAGAGATCAGGAATTACAGAAAAAAGTAATATTAAAAAGAGGTGTGAAAGAAAGTTGGGTTTGAGGTTTTGATAATAACACAGATATAAATAAATGAATAGAAGAGGGACTTCAGCAAAATGGTGGAATAAAAAGTTTTAGACTTTTTTTCCCACAGAGACCCTTACTACTAAACAATATAAAGTCTAAAAAGCCTTTATGAAAACTCCAGAAACTTGTTAAGAAGTCACAGTACTTCAGACAAAGTCAAGAACAGCCACACTGCCAAGAAGAGCTGCAATAAAATGTGTAAGAAAAGCCATTTCATTTCACAAATTGTAGCTTGTTTCCCAAGCCAGCACATGCTAGCCCGATTAGGAGAAAACTCTTAACTAGCAGCTTTTCCTTGGGAGAAAGAGAGAGAAGAGTGAAATATATGTCCAATGGTTCAGCTTTTGAGGGAACTTTTTAAAAGAGTCTGGTTTCTGTCTTTCCTGACTTGAAGTGCTAACTAGGAAACAGTGTACTTTAGATACCTAGGAATGTCTAAGAGCAAAGGAGAGCTAGGAGGGTTGTTGCAGGACCAGAAAACCTGTGGTACTGTAGACAGACACCAGAGAGAGCATGAGAGTATGGGCTATTTAAAAAGAAGCTGGCCTAGGAGATGGAGTTTGCAGTGAGCTGAGATTGTGCCATTGCACTCCAGCCTGGGCAACAACAGTGAGACTCGATTTCAAAAAAAAAAAAAAAGAAAGAAAAGAAACTGGCAAACCTTTATCAATGGGAAATTACATGTACAAACAAAAAGAAGATGCATTCCCAGAAAATGTTTGAGAGGCCTTGAGAATCTGCAGCTGGGCTGATAGATGTAGGTCTTTCCCTGTATAAAGACAGTTCTTAAAGATTGGAAGAAGTGGCTGCTTTTTCAAATGCACAAATCCCTGAAAAAAATAATAAAGCATATGAAGATATAGAAAAAAAAGTCCAACAAAGGAAAACATAAATCTCCATATGTGACCCTAAAAATAAAGTTCTATTAATTCCCTGAAAAAGAATTCAAAATAATTGTGTTAGAGAAACTCACTGAGCTACAAAAGAACACAGAAAAATAAATGAAACAAGGAAAATGATGCATGAACAAAATGGGAATATCAACAAAGAGATGAAAAGTATAAAATAGAACCAAATAGAAATTCTGGGTTAAAATTTCAATAGCAGGGTTCAACAGAAGACTTGATCAAACAGAAAAATCAATCAGGGAACTTGAAGACAGGTAATTTGCAATTATTAAATCAGAGAAACAAAGACAAAAAGTAATGAAGAAAAGTGAAGAAAGACTGGGGGATTTATGGAACACCATCAAGTGGAAAACATATGTACTATGGGAGTCTCAGAATGAGAAGAGAAAAGAAAGGGTCAGAGAGCTTGTTTGAAAAGGTAAGGGCCGAAAACTTTCAAAATCTCAAGAAGGAAAAAACGTCCAAACTCAGGAAGTTCAAAAGACTCCAGTAGAATGAACCCAAAAAGGCACATACCAAGACATATTACAACTGGACTGTCAGAACTCAAAAGCAGAGGATCTTGAAAGATGCAAGATAAAAGCAACTTTTCATATACAAGGAAGCTGTCATTAGATTATCAGCAGATTTCTCAGCAGAAACATTGTAGAGCAGAAGGAAGTGGATGTTATATTCAAAGTACTGAAAGGAAAAATTACCTGTCAACTAAGAATACTACAGCAAGCATAACCATTCTTCAAAAATGAAAGAGGAATAAAGACCCAAAAATGAAAGAGGAATGAAAACTTTTCTAAATAAACTAAACCTGATAGAGTTCATCAGTGCTAGACTTACATTAGAAGAAATGCCAAAGGAAGTATTTCAAGGTGTAGTGAAAGTGTGCTAGAGAGCAACCCAAAAGTATTTGAACACAGAAAGCTCGCTGGTAAGTTAAATACATAAACAAATACAGAATCCTCTAATACTATAATTGTGATGCATAAATCACTTTTAATTTGGGGACAGAATTTAAAAGACAAAAGAATAAAAACTATAACTGTAAAACTAGTTTAATAGACTTCAAATCTAAAAAGATTTAATTTATAATATTGATAATACAATATGGGGGAGGCAGGATATAAAGGAATAGAGTTTTTCTATGTAATATAAATTAAGTTGTTATCAGTTTAAAATAGATTGTTATAAGTATTAGATTTTCTATAATCTTCATGGTAAACATGAAGAAAATACCTATAGGTGATATATAAAAGAAAATGAGAAAGAAATCACTGCACATTACTACCAAAAATTCAATAATAGGCAAAAGAAAACAACAAAAGGAAAAAAAGATGGACAAACTACAAGACATACAATAAACAATTAACATAACAATAGTGAGTCCTTCCATATCAGTAATTACTTTAAATGTCAATTATACTCCCCAATCAAAAGACACAGTGTCAGTGGCTGAATGAACATAAAAACAAGATACAACTATATGCTTTCTACAAAAGACTAACTTCGAATATTAAGGAAACACACAGGTTGAACACGAAGGCATTCACCTTAAGGATATTATGCTTCCTGAAATAAACCATTCACAAAAAGACAAATGTTTCATGATTCAACTTATATGAGGTATCTAAAGCAGTCAAACTCTTAGAACATAATAGAACAGTGGCTGCTAGGGGTTAAAGGGGAGAGGAAAAAGGAATTTATTAAATAGGGAGTTTCAGCTTCACAAGATGAAAAAGTTCTAGAGATCTGTTGCACAATAATTTGCATATAGTGAACACTACTGTACACTTAAAACGATTAAGATGGTAAATCTTATGTTATATATGTTTTATCATAATAAAAAAAAGAAATCCACCTAGGCTAAGAGGGGTAACACCAAAACCATCTGTCAAGAAACATTTGTTTAGCACTTCTTTCAGGTGTGAGAGCCTGAGGAGTTACCACGGGATTTTCTTACAGTTGTTTTGAGCTCCCTTGGAGAAATGAACATAACCACATGAAAAGATAATAATATACATAAGGTAGTAGATAGTAAGTGCCACGTGAACAATTCAGATCGTGAGGACAGACACTGAGTTGCATCTGAGGGTTCCAATCAAGATTCTGGGCTCAGATGTTAGATTTAGATTTAAATTCTGGTCTTTCTTCTTATCATCTATAAAATATAGGGCAAGTTTATATTAGTCTTATTTTCTAAAAAAAAAAAAAAAAAGGAGCAACAAAACCTACTTCACAGGATTGTTGTGTGGAGTAAATGAAATGCTTATGTAAAATGTCTAGCATAGAATAAAACTTCAGAATGCTTAATAGTTCAGGACATTCTTATAAATTAAAAAAAAAAGAAGGAAACGAGAGAAAATACCCCATAAGATGGAGTCATTATAAACATTGCAGTTTATTAATTGCAGTAAAAGAGGAAAAGCACACAGTTCAGTCTCCTAAGCTACTGGGCCTCCCACTGCCAGAAGGAGATGGAGAAGTTGTCTAAGAAGGAAAACTGGGTTGCCAGAGCCCCATAGGAAGCCTTAACAGTGCGGGTGGGTTGGAGATTAATACAAAGGAACTGCTTTAACTAACACCACTGCCTTTTGAAATATCCTGATAAAAGGAAGACTAAACAAAAGACTTGCAAGCTTCAGAGATCTTATGATGAAGAACAAAGAATAAAAGTGCCAGAAACATATGCCCTTTATTTCCTCAGCACTAAAGTTATATTGAAGATATGATTTGTTAAATACATGTGAAATATCATAAAACAAAGTAAGCTTTAGCATTCATTGTGAAGAGTAACAAGTCACTTAGGCTTAATTCTCCTAAAGGAAGAAAGGAAATAAAACAGTGCATAATGATATCCCACCAAAACTAAGCCCTTAATTTGTCCACTTCTTTGGTTGGAAGATGAAAAAAAGTAAAGGGGCTGGGAAGGGTGCTTGGTTTTAATACAACACTCTGCTAAATGCAAATGCAAATCATTTCTAAAGAATAAGATTATGGGGGCATGAAAATCCCAGCTCCTGACTGAAAATGAAAATGCTAATGTCTCCAGCTTTGAAAAATATGACTTCCTTCTCTAATTTCCCACTTCATCCTATAACCAGTGCTCTTTCTTAATGTGTCATCTTTTCCAAGCAAAAGAAAGCCTAAGAAGTATGTGAGCATGTTTTTGGCTGGAAGAGATTAATATGTGTGGTGATTTATTGAAAAGCTACATACTGCTTAGTACTTTTCTCTTTTTTATCATATTATTTTTCTAAGTTTATGGTTAAAATTAATGCCCAAGGTTGGTCCTTTCAAGATAAAAGAATCAGAAATTCAGTTTTAAGGATTTTGCAATTCCACTTATACAGAGGTTTTATGTTGTGAGTAGCAACTGGTTATCCTTAGAATGTAAATTATATGTGCATATATATATATATATATATATACACACACACACACACACAGAGGCTAGTATTCATTCAGTAAAAAATGTTTCCTAATCACCTAGGTGTCACGCACCCACCTGGGCTTGGCACTTATTATAAGGCATGCAAGTTTCTTGGTCTCACAAATTCTATATTCTGAAGACGGAGAAGCAATAAACAAGTAAGTTAATTGAAAAAATAGACATTATGATTAATGTTATGCAGGCAATGGCATGTTGTGATGGGAAAATAAGGCACAAGTTTGGGGGTAGCTACTTAAATAAGGTAATTAAAGAACACCCTTCAGAAGAACTGATATTTCTAGTGGGACTTGAGGACAGACACCGAGAATCAAGCATGAGAGGAGCTTGGATAAGGCTTCAAGGGAATGTCACAAATTGACAAAGGGGCCTCCAGGAAAAGGTATTGTTTGACAAGCTTGTGGTAGGCAGAACCCTAAGGTGGCCCACAGCCAAGACTTCCTGTTGCCCATCTATTCCTGGGTACTGCTGGAAAGGGATTTTTCAGATTTAATGAAAGTTCCCAGTCATTTCAACTTAAAATGCAGAAATCATCTGGGTGGACCTGACATCATCTGTTGAGTCCTTTAAAGGCAGAGTTTTCTGTGGCTAGTGGGAGAAGTCAGAGGGGTGAGTTTTGCTGGCCTTGAGGAAGAAAGCAAACAGGCAACTTCTGAACTGTTGGTAAACAGGGAAAGGCCTCTGAAAGCTGAGAATGACTCCTTGCCCATGATGAAGATGAAAATAAGGAGGAAAACTGGTCCTACTACCACACGCACACACACACACACACACACACACACACACAAACCCACACAGATCAATTCTTCCAACAACCAGTGAGCTTGGAAAATGACCAATAGCTTCAGATGAGGTTTGCACATCTGATAGACACTCTGACTTAAGCCCGTGAGATCTGAACAGAAGATCCAGCTAAACCGTGCCTCGGCTCCTAACACATGGAGAATGTGTAATAGTAAGTGTATAGTGTTTTAATCCACTAAGTGTGTGGTGATTTGTTACAAGAGTAATAGAAAGACTACTAAAGCTGTAGAGACCTATCAGGAGGCTGCGGTGACTGGTGCTTCCTGAGCACAGAGGTATAACCTGTACTCAGGAAGTATTGGTTGGGCTACATAACTCTGTTAAGTATTATATGTATGTAACCTAATATTTAAAACAACTTTTCATCCCAAACATATCAGGCCTTGTGGTGTGTAATGTCCATTATCAGACATTGAAGATACAAATATGGTAAAAGCATGGTCACTAGGGTGGAAACATTTACATTCAAGGACAGCAGAATACACACACACACACACACACACACACACACAACTTTAATTGGTAGAAATATTGATTAGGAGCCATGTGTGTTCAGAGGAGTAGTGGGGAAATTCAGTAATGTGTCCTAGAGAAGTAAGATAAGGACTGGGCCTTGAAAAGTGAGTTGAAGTGGTTCAGACAGAAGTTTCTTCTGCCTGATAGAAATATAACAGGAAGTACAGAGCACCATCTTTTGAATACCCTCACCAACAACAACAAAAAAGCACAACTATGGTCAAAATATAAGGGCTATCAGTGTGCCAGAAATAAAAAAGATGGAAGAACACATTAAATGACACGAGAACACATTTAGACTCATGCAGAATGTGAAAATTTTCCAGGACAAATGAGGCTGATAACAACAACAACAAAAAAAGAATAGGAATAGATTTTGAAGATATACTGAAATGGTTTGGCTGTGACCCTACCCAAAATCTCATCTTGAATTATAATCCCTATAATCTCCATAATCCCCACATGTCAAGGGCAGGACCAGGTGAAGGTACTGGATCATGGGGGTGGTTTCCCCTATGCTGTTCTCGTGATACTGAGTGAGTCCATGAGATATGATGGTTTTATAAGCATCTGGCATCTCCACTACTTGCAGTCACTCTGTCCTGCTGCCCTGTGAAGAAGATGCCTGCTTCTCCTTTGCCTTCCGCCATTATTATAAATTTCCTCAGGCCTCCCCAGCCACACAGAACTGTGAGTCAATTAAACCTCTTTCCTTTATAAATTACCCACTCTCGGGTATTTCTTCATAGCAGTGTGAGAACAAACTAATACATATACATTTCAAAATAGGCCTTGTTGACATCTTAATTCAAAATATCACTGTCCAAAGTTATTTTTAAGGTAATTGTAGAAAAATTAAAACAGAATAGCTGTTAAATGATACTGAGAGGCCATTTTTAATTTTGATGTGTAAGATGATCTTTAAAATATCATTATCTGTTAAAGACACTGTTGTAGTTTGTTTGGGCTGCTATAACAAACTACCATAAACTGGGTGGTTTGCAAACAACAGAAATCCATTTCTCTCACAATTCTGAAGATTGGGTGCCAGCAGATTTGTTTTCTCATGAGGGTCTGCTTCCCTGTTTATGGATAGCCATCTTTTCACCATGTCCTGTGAACCCCGAATATCTGAGACAGGTCTCAGTCAATTTAGAAAGTTAATTTTGCCAAAGTTAAAGACATGCACCTGTGACACAGCCTCAGGCGATCCTGAAGACATGTGCCTAAAGTGGTCTGAGCACAGCTTGATTTTATACATTTTAGAGAGACAGGAGACATCAGTCAGTATATGTAAAGTGAACATTGTTTTGGTCCAGGAAGGCAGGACAACTCAAAGCAAAGGTGGGACAACTCAAAGTGGGGAAGGGGCTTGTGGGTCATAGGTAGATAAGGGAAAAATAGTTGCATTCTTTTGAGTTTCTGATTAGCCTTTCCAAAGGAGGAAAGCAGATAGGCACTTTTTTTCAGTGAGCAGAGGGATGACTTGGAATAGAATGGGAAAAGTAATGCTGGGAACTTGCCCAGGCAGTTCCCAAATTGACTTTTCCCTTTAGCTTAGTTTTGGGGCCCCAAGATTTAGATAAATTTGGGGGCTCCAAGATTTGTTTTCCTTTCACAGTCCTCACATGGTAGAAGAGTGAGACCTCCCAGCTTCCAGAACTGTGAGAAATAGATTTCTGTTGTTATGATCCACCCAGTCTATGGTAGTTTATTTTAGAAGCCCAAAGTAGAAGAGTGTCAGATAACAGTTTAAAGATTGTCTTATCATCAATTTTGGTGAATCTTTAATAGTCAAAAAGCTTCCACTAGTATACAATCTATATTTTGATTATTAGACTATTAATATTAGTATTATTTTGTGATTTACCTATCCACAGATTTTTATTTTTATGTATTGCATAAAAATTAACACTGGATAATTTTTGTGACCTTAAGCATGCTACGTTAGGTCTATTCCTCAGCTTCCTCCTCTATAATATGTGAATACTATTATCTGTCCCACTGTATCAGTGTGAAGAACAAGCAAATTAATGGTGTTAAATCCTTAATGTGATTCTTACTACATAAACTGTCAACAAATCTTAGCTATTATTATATATTCTATTGTAAATAATAGAAAACATGTGTGCATCTTCAATTACATACAGTTATGTTTTGAATGACTGTCTTCTCTGCTGGATAGAAAATTCTTGGAGAAATGTTCATATTGTTTAAGTAATTTTAGAATCTCCTGGACTAGCACAGCCACTGGCACGAAAGAAACTCAAAAATGACACAGGAATCGTCTCTCGGCCCCTTTCACCAGTGTGCCGCCGGGGTGTGCCATCTTCTCGGCCCAACGTGCTCAGCCCCTGTGGGAAGGAGCATGTGAGCTAGCGAGTGCAGGATCCTTCCAGCCACTCTAGGTACCAACACAGGAACAATCTCCATGTGGGGCCCGTGGCCAGACCAGGCATATCACCTTGAGGGGAACACGACGGCACCCAGGCAAGTGTGCCCGTGACCTCAAAGCCCTAGGCGGGTATTAATGAGCCAATTACCCCTTTTAGTTATGCCTTCCACAGCCTGATGGACTGCGGCATGTTCGCAGCTCAGTCAGCCCCTGGCTGCTTTCCTGGTGAGGGCAAAAGGCCAGTGTGACTGCCATTCTCGGTACCTGCACTCAGTGAGTTGCAAGCTTTTGTCCAGTGTCCAAGAAGAATGAGAATATGCTGACAATCAAAGAGTGAGCAAGGTGGGGAGTTTTATTGAGTGACAGAACAGGTTTCCTCAGAGAGGGGACACAGGAGGATCTCCTACTAAAGGCAGGAAAGTCCTCCCCAATGTGGCTGATTGCAGGGCTTTTATGGGCTCACAGTTAGGGAGGAGCAGGCTGTAGGTAGTACTGGAAAAGGCAACATTCAATTGGTTAAAAGGTATTATTCAGAAAGAATCAATTGGGAAAGGGCAGGCAAACAGGAACGGAAGTTTTCACTCTGAGTAGCTGGTTTGACCTGGGACCAGCAGTCCAGTCTTTCAGACTTCAGGCTGTTTTTTGGCTTGAAGGTGGAGTTTCACCAGAGACCCTCTCCCATCTGCCTAGGCATTTGACTGCCTCCTGTCACTATCAAAATGACCATTTACTGAGTCAATGAATGGTTTAGAGACTAAATTGCTCATAGTATGAGATTGTATGACTTAATAGAAAGTCACCTTTCATTTGCTATGAATCCATACCCAACATTATATATTGATATAAAATTAGTATTATATTTAATCAATTAAAATTGGGGCTTAAAAATTTAAGAGTAGTTTTCTAAACTTTGATTTTGTTTAACGATTATAAACAACCAAAAATTAAAATAACTGCATTTCACTGAAATTTTTTATTATGCAATTTGATGACAATCTGCAAGCCATTTAAATAGTTATGTTCAATGTGTATTTTATATTTTTGGTGGGTATTTATATTTTTATCATTAAATAAATAAGCAACCATAAAATATCATTAATTGTTAAATTTATTTTAAATAGACATTATTATACACAAAAAAATAAGAAGTTTAAATGTCTATGTCTAAGACTCTGCATTCATTTTTTTTCAGGCTCTTCCCTTGGCCTATTGTATTCTAAGTATGTAACTTTTCATGAGACTATAAACTAAAAACAAAACATTTTTTATGAACAAAGAGATGTTATTGTTTACCAAATGTATGCTTCATTTATCACTTATGATTATTAAGTACTCTTTTAACATTTGTTCATTTTGTTGACATTACAAATACATTGTTAAACCAAACATTGTCTTATAAAGGGCAATCTTTCATATTGTTATGCCTTCAAATTAATGCTATGTCTCGTGTAAAATATTTACGTATAATGTACAAAACTAAGAACTTTCATTTTTAGTGTTACTCGCATTATAGAAGCCATTTATATAACATGACACAGTAATGTATGTTTACAAAGTGAAGATATGCCAAACATTTATGTCATGTTTACAGGGTTATCTGACTATGTAATGGAAAAACCCTGTCATAGCACATAATACCAGTGCTAGTTTCACTTTGCTATGAGGACCCAATTTCTGAATCTCCTGATTTATGTAAGCTTAAATATCTCAGCTTAACACTACCCTGATATAACTTTGTTACATTTAAATTTATATGCATGTTATCTTCGTGGGGGTATGTGTGTGTGAATACATAGGTGTGTGCTTGCATTTGTAGGAGACCCATGATGCATACACAGCTGTGCACACCCATGCAAATCCACGTGTGGATTATCACCAGCAATTGCAGGGAAGATGATCTTATGAGAGTACTTGGATCCAAAGGTAGGTATGAAAGCTAAAATAACATGATTTTAAGAGAAGAATACCCTTATATGATGTTTTTACATATGGAACAGATTAATTATAGTAAGTTGGCAATAAATATATTCTTGGAATCGACTGTCAATCTACCAAATTTTTATTAGCTTCATTAGACTTTGGTTTCAATTAGGATGCTTTGAGGGGGTACAGAGCCATAGCACCCCCCCAAAACTCAATTTTTTATCAAATATTTCAATATCTTCCAAAATTTGAACATTAATTCTAAAACTGTGTTTCAGTGATTGAATATGCCCTTGAATTAGAAATGTAATTTGTGAATCAGAGCCATGTGCTTCATTTTCCATCTAGTCACCAGCAAAGTATTGATAAAGAATTATAAAATTATAAGAAATCAATTTTTTTCTTAAGCAAATGTGTCATCATTTAACTTTCTAAATGCCAATATGAACACAGCCTGGTGGGGAAAAATGCATTAGCATTAAGATTTTTATTTCAAATAACTTGCTTGTAGAACTGAAAAGTAAAATCTATATTGTTATTCTGAAAAAGTAATAAAATTAGGCAATTTTTTAAAAAATGAAATTTGAACAAAAGCAGACTGAAGACCAGATTTTTTGATAAGGACATTGCTTATGCAGTTTATTTCGACAAACATAGCCTGAGAGCCTACCAGAGTTAAGACTGCTCAAGTGGTGTCCAATCCAGGAGAGCACTTTATTACAAAGCTGAAGGAGAGAAAGAGAGTTTGGGGAGACTGAAATGGTCAAAAAATCACATACTCCTGGGGACTAAGAACTGATCTTGAAAACCAGTAGAGCAGCAATTCCCAACTTTTGATGTGTTTCAAAACCCTCCGGGGGACTTATACCAATAGAGAGGCCCCAGCCCTATCCACTTTAAGGAGTATGGGACTAGGTTCTTTATTAGTTCTCCGAGTGATTTTGTTACACAACAACTTTGTCCACTTTAAGGTGTACGGGACTAGGTTCTTTTTGGTTCTCCAAGTGATTTTGTCACACAACAACTTTGAAGAATGAATTCATTGGAGTGCATGTGCCCCATAAGAAGGTGGAGCAGAAATACCAGCATGAGAGTCTAAGAAGTGATTCGGTGGTTGACAGAGCACAATCAGCAATCTAGACAGGTCTTTAGACATGGGCACCAGTAAATATTTAGAGAAGGAGGAAGGATGCAATGGCAAAGTAGTCTAGTCAAAGATCAGGGAAGATATGGTAAAAAGAAAAGAAGGATTCAAGGCAGAGAATGGTCTAAGTACTAGAAAAGCTAAGGAGATCAGATCCACAGCTCCACTGCAAAAGCTAACTTGAGAAAGAAGGCAATTTCTTCCATTGAGGAAGAACAAGAAGAGGATAAATAAAGACAGCAAGTTTGAGAAGGCAGGTAGAGAATATTAAGGGAATTGTGTAAATTATTTTTCTTATCTGCTGAAGGTGAAAGTAGAAGTGTGTCAATTGTTAAGAGACAGTAGAAGCAGAATATGAGTGTATGTGCAAGAAGTTGCAACAAGAATAGTGAAAACAATATAAAAATTTGAGGGATCCTATTCTTTGTGATAGTGAAAAAATTACATTAAACATTTTATGCCATGTCTAAAATTTACTGAAATGGAAGGGACATTCAATAAATTTAGCTTTGTTCTCAGTTATAAAGAATCGAAATTGAAACTTTTCATCCTGATTGATTTTTGGAGTCATCATCTTAGATTTGTTCTCAGATAATTAACTCTTACAGTTGTTGGATGCCAACCCTATGGTTTTATGCATAAGTTTCATAAAATGAGCAAGAAAAGGAAGTATTGGTTAGAATTTGTATATTAAGTTCAAGTAAATAGCAATAATAGGGATAAGAGTTAAGGAATAACATATATATATATATATATATATATATATATATATATATATATACACACACACACACACATATATTTCTTATTTCATATTCCTTAGTGGCAGTTGACCATCAAAGCTGATATAAGCATTTTGTTTGCTTAGGTCTCACCTGGGGAGAGGAGGAGATGGAAATTTCAATAATCAGCTTTGGAGTCTCAAAATGAGGATTTCCATATAAAGGAAAATTTTCATCAAAATGATAGTGTCCCAGTTGCTTTGAGAAAATAATAGTTTTTCAATATTGTTTGCCTGTTACTTTAACATAAGAAAAGCTGGGATAGAATTCTGCTCTATGGTAGTGGAAGAGAGAACTCAGGTTTTGATATGAACATGAAGTAATGTGGAAATCTCCAACTTCAAGTCCCAGGGAACAATGTGAAGAAAAAAAGGACAGAAAATGGAAACAGGAGTAAAAAGGGGATAAGTACGTGAACAGAAGAATGAAACTTCTGTGTTCTTCATTCTCAGGCTGGAATTTTAGAGTTGGACTGAGAAAGTTTAAAGGGAAACCAAAAAGCAAAGCAGAATTTCTCATTTGGGAATCTACGAGGTGTCTGCTTTACACGATTCTCTGTTTATTAACAGATAAAGCAAAATTTCAGTAAAATTGACAGCTCTACGTAATCGGGCAGATGCAGTGCATATGATTATTTCCTAATACACACACACTCTTGAGTGGCACAGAAAAGTCCAAAGGCCACAAATGTCCTGAGGTAATAGCTGGGCTTGTGAGTTTAGAAGGGGGCCAGGAGATAGAGCAACCAGCTTGAAATGATCCTGTCGAAAAGGTACACAGCAGCACAGCAGAAGCCCAAAATAATCACACTAGAACCTCAGAACTAGAATTTATTCTGTCCAGAATTAAGATGGGGCTAATATTGACTAATATTAGTATTAATTAAGATGGAGCTAATACTGACTAATGGGGGTAACTAATGAGTTCTAACCAAATACTCAGTAAATATTTATTGGTTATGTACTATGTACCATGAATTATTCTAAAATTGGGGATACAGCAATAAACAAATCAAAGTCTTCCTCCAACCATGGAACTTACATGCCAGTGGTAGGAAACAGACAATTTACATTATTGTGTATGTGTTACTAAAATTTTGTAAGAAAAAGTGATGATTGAGGAGTGGAGCTTTCAATCTAACAAGAAAGACATCTGCAATAATGTTACATTTGACTGTATACTTTCAGGAGATAAGAAAGTCACAATGGTAACTGTGGCAAAATCATTTTAGGCAGAGAAAAAAGCAAAATCTCTTAGACAATAACTTCTTGGCCTATTGGAGGAGTAGCAGGAGACTTAATGTGCCCAGAGATTAGAGAGATTATGAGGGGAAGTGGTGAGAACTGAAGTCAGAAATGTATCAGAGGACCAGATGGTGCAAGCCTCTGTAGGCGTCTGTAAGGGTATTAGCTTCTATGCTGGAGTGAAGTGGGAAGCCATTAGAGGATTTTGATCAGAAAAGCGGTATAAATTTACATACATTTTAAAACAATCATTCTGGCTACTCTGTAAGAATAACCTGTGGTGACAGTGGAAATAAGGAGACTGGTCATATTGTAATTATTAGTCAATAGATGACAGTGGCTTGGATCACATTGGTAGGGGTAGAGGTAGTGAGAAGCTATCAGAGTTTTGACAAATTTTAATAGTAAAGCCAACTGGATTTGATGACAGATTGGATATGATGTGTAAGGAAAATGCAGAAATCAATATGACTCCAATGTTTTTGGCACAAGCAACTGGGGAAGTATGTTAGTTCATTCTATGTTGCTGTAACATAATATCCAAGACTGGGTAATTTATAGTGAACAAAAATATTATTTTTCAAGGCTATAGAGGCTGGGAAGTCAAGATTGAAGGACCCACATCTACTGAGAGCCTTTTTGCTGTGTCATCAAATGGCAGAAAGCAGAAGGGCAAGAGAACAGGTGCGCATGAGAGAGAAAGAAGGGAAAGAAAGTGGGGCAGACTCATCCTTTTATCAGGAATCTATTCCTGTGATAACTAACTCTCTCTAACAATAATGGCATTACTCCATTCATGAGGGCAGGACCCTCATGATTCAATCACCTCTTAAAGCTCCCACCTCTCAAGACTATTACATTGGAGATTACGTTTCCAACACATGACCTTTGGGAACCATATTCAAACCATAGCAGGGAGATTATGATAGGAATATATTTCAGAGAGGGTGAGTGGGTGTAGGGGAAGTAAGAGTTTACAGTGTATATTTATCCTTTGATATCAGTAGCTACATATTCATCATTTGACACCAAAAAGAGGCAAAGCTAATAATTGTACAAGGGATATTTTGATGAAGTTGGAAGGAGCCAGAATATATATAAGGATGTATTGTAGATTTGATGGTCTAATTCATCTCAAACATACAAAGTGAAATAGATATGTCTCCCTGATTTTTTCAGATACTGTTTGATAGGAGCATAAGAGGTGTGGAAAATTAAAACAGTGGACATGTAGATATCCATAAGGTATTATACATTACATAGTATACATCCATATACCATTTAATAGTCTGAATAAATATTGGAGTAGACTGCATTTACCTTTAATGCCTTTGTAGGAACTTTTAGAAGTCACATGTTACATTCCATTCTGCAAAATAAAATTTAGCTTATGTATTTTCTGTAACAGACCTCATCTTTCTTTTGTACTTCCACACCAATAGATAGTAGGGAAAACTCACATTTTTTATATTAGCAAAATATTCCTATGTTATTGTATCTGCTTTCTGTTAGTTAGTAAATTAAGCCAAATGGGAAAGCCAGTATTTTTACTTTGACTAGCTAAAAATTATAAAATACTAGTAAAACCTGCTACTCAATATAAGAACATTTTTCTTGTTGCTAGTTCATGAATATACAGTGATAATACTGACAAGATTGAGAAGGACTAAAAGAGGAAAAGGAAGAGTGAAAGAATAGAAAAATAAAGCAAGATGGTAGGTTTCTTAGAATAAATTATTTTCATCTTCCATACATGCATCAATGTTTATTGAGAATGAACCATTTACAGTACAGATACTCAAATATTATGATAAATAAACTAGAGCCATTTCCTGCTTTCTTAGCACTGAGTTATTTTGCCAGTAAATACTAAGGTAAATACTAAGGAGGTAAATAAAGAATTATATCAGAGATGATTATTATGAAAATATAATTTAGTAAGGGTGATAGAGGAACTGTAAGGCAGAGAAGAAATTCTTTTAGATAAGATTGTTAGAGGCCGGGCGCGGTGGCTCACGCCTGTAATCCCAGCACTTTGGGAGGCCGAGGCGGGCGGATCACGACGTCAGGAGATCGAGACCATCCCGGCTAAAACGGTGAAACCCCGTCTCTACTAAAACTACAAAAAATAGCCGGGCGTAGTGGCGGGCGCCTGTAGTCCTAGCTACTTGGGAGGCTGAGGCAGGAGAATGGCGTGAACCCGGGAGGCGGAGCTTGCAGTGAGCCGAGATCCCGCCACTGCACTCCAGCCTGGGCGACAGAGCGAGACTCCGTCTCAAAAAAAAAAAAAAAAAAAAAAAAGATTGTTAGAATGTTTTGTTCTGAGGTAGTAGCATATGTAAAACGATGTCAGAAATAAGAAGAGAAACCCATAACCTATGACTTTATTCCTATTACAAATAAGTAAGTAGATGATAGAGATAGATAGATGATATATAGATATAAAAAAGTGATTAAATAAATTTTTCATCCATTACTTTATTGTCATTCAAAGAACATAAAAATTTACCTTCTCCATTATTATATTTTATATAAAGCTATATTATTAGTGATTTTTCTGAAATGAGTATCTTTCTTTAGTCATGAAGGAAAATATTTTCTAAAACTCGTTCATGAATAAGACAAACGCCAATTGTTTGAATTATAAACAAATACATGTTAAATTAATAAAGGTTTTTAAAACTTTTTGATATAGCTTTGGATTCTGCTCATTAATTTATTTAACAGTGAAAATTATTGAATTCATAAAAATTAGGTTATATTTATGAATATTTATTTATTTGTTTAATCATTATTTAATTATGTTTAGCGATAAGGTTTCAGTCTATCATCTGGGTTGGCATGCAGGCACATGCCACCATACCCAGCTAATTTTATGGAGATCAGGTCTTGCTATGTTGCCCAGGATGCTATGGAACTCAAGTTATTCTCTTGTCTTGGCCTCCTAAAGTGCTGGGATTACAGGTATGAGTCACTGTATTTATAATTATAACCTTTATTTACAATTTCGTTGTTCTAGGCTATGTTGGGGAAATACAGTGACAATGACAATAATTACTAAAAGTAAAGGGATTATACAAATCATTATCATAACTAAGACTTGATAGTCAAATAAGGCATTATTATTACACTGGGACAACAGGTAACAATTCTCAGCGTAGTTAACCTGAGAGGTAAGAGGGCTTTCCTCAGTGTGGTCAGCCTAGCTATAAAAGTATAGAAGTATTCAGATATGAGCAATTATTTTCAAAGAGATTTGTAGCTGAATCAATATATATTTTCTATCAGGTATTAAGTCACTATAATGGGAATCTGTCACAGTCTGAATAAAACTGTATTATTGAAAATTCTATAAAATAACATAAATTGCTGTGAAATGTTATCTTAGTTAACACAACACCACAGACCAGGAAATTGATAATGAACAGAAATGTATTAGCTCATGGTCTGGAGGCTGGGAAGTCCAACATCAAGTGATTGGCATATGGTGAGAGCCTTCTTGCTGTGTCATTCCATGACAAAGGGAAAAGAGAAGGTGAGAGAGAGGCAAAAGCAGGCCAAATTCATCCTTTTATTAGGAATCCACTTCTTTTTTTGTTTTTTTGTTTGTTTTTTGAGACAGAGTTTCGCTCAGTTGCCCAGGTTAGAGTGAAGTGGTGTGATCTTGGCTCACTGCAACCTCTGCCCTCTGGGTTCAAGTGATTCTCCTGCCTCAGTCTCCCAAGTAGCTGGGATTTTAGGAGCCACCACCATGCCTGGCTAATTTTCATAATTTTAGTAAAGATTGTGGTTTCACCATCTTGGCCAGTCTGGCCTTGAACTCCTGACCTCAGGTGATCTACCTGCCTTGGGCTCCCAAAGTGCTAGGATTACAGGCATAAGCCACCGTGCCTGGCCTAAGGAATCCACTTCTGTGATAACTGCATTAATCCTTTCATGACAGCAGAGACCTCATGGCCAGGCCATGAGGCCATGATTGGCATGAATGAATGCCCATCTCTTAATGCTGTCACAATGGAAATAAAACTTCAACATAAGTTTTGGAGGTGACATTCAAACCACAGCATTCTGTCCCTAGATCCTAAAAATGAATGTCCTTTTCATACAAATTCAGTTTTCCCATTCCAATAGCCCCCCAAAGTATTAACTAGTTCTAGCATCAACTCAAAAGACCAGTCAAGTCCAAAGTTTCGTCTAAAGCAGATATGGGTGAGACTCAAGGCACAATTCATCCTGAAGCAAATTCCTCTCTTGCTGTGAGTCTGTGAAATTAAAAGAAGTTATCTACCTGCAAAATACAATGATGGGACAGGCATAGGACAGATATTCCTATTCCAAAAGGGAGTAATAGACAAAAAAAAGGAGGAAACAGGCCACAAGTAGGTCTAAAACACAAGAGGGTAAACAATATCAAAACTTAAGTCTCCAGAATAATTTTTCTTGACTCCATGTCCTGCGTCCTGGACACACTGGGGCAGGGGTTGGGATCCCATGACCTTGGATAGCCCCATGCCTATGGCTTTGCTATAGTCAGCCCATGCAGCAGTTCTAGAGTTGGAGTCATATTCCTGTAGCTTTTCCACGCTGATGTTGCACATGGGTAGCTCTAAAGTTTTAGGGACTCTGTTGCAGCTGTAATCCCAGAGTTCTTGGACATTGTCATAATCAGGGCTGTCCGTTGTGGCCCCAACCCTATAGTTCCTTTGGGTATTGCCCTAGTTGGGGCTTTCTGTTGTGGCTCTGCCCTTGCAAAAAGTCTCTGCCTGGGCCACTAAGGTTTTGGAGCATCCTTTGAAATCTAGGTGGAGGAAGTCATGCCACATAGCTCTTGCCTTCTGTGCACCTGCATAATTAGCACTATGTGCATGTCACCAAAGCTTATCCTTTGCACCCTCTGGAGCAATGCACTGATCTGCAACTGTGTTGGCTTGAGCCTTGTCTGGGACATTGAGGTACACTGCACCGGAATGCAGAGAGCAGAGTTGTGAGGTGGCTCTGGGAATCCCTGAAAACGATTCTGGCTTCCCCTGAAACTATTCTGCTTCTTACAACTCTGGGTTTGTGATGAGAGGGGAACTTTAAAAATCTCTAAAATGTGTTCAGGGTAATTATCTCATAGTTTTGATGACTAGCATCTGGCTTTATTCTATCTATACTAATTCCCTTATGAAAGGGTTGCTTGGTCACACCCTTGGTATTTTTTCTCAAACAGGGATTTTTATTGTTTAGATGGTGTATTAGTCCATTCTGATGCTGCCAATAAAGATATACCTGAGGCTGGGTAATTTATAAAGGAAAGAGGTTTAATTGACACATAGTTCAGCATGTCTGGGGAGGCCTCAGGACACTTACAATCATGGCAGAAGGGGAAGCAAACATGTCCTTCTTCACATGGTGGCAGGAAGGAGAAGTGCCAAGCAAAAGGGGGAAGTGCTCCTTATAAAATCATCAGATCTCATGAGAACTCACTCACTATCACACAAATAGCACGAAGGTAAACACCCCCGTGATTCAATTACCTCCCACCGGGTACCTCTCATGACACATGGGGATTATGGGAACTATAATTCGAGATGAGATTTAGATGGGGACACAGCCAAACCATATCAGATGGCCAGGCTGGGGAAGTTCTAAATTTTTACATTTTGCTTCCCCATTAATTGCAAATTCTGTTTTTAAATTTCTTCTTGCATGTTACTATATACAGTTAAAATAAGTCATACAGCATGCTTACTGCTTTGCTACTTAGATATGTCTTCTGCCAGAAACTCTAGTTTATCATTCTTAAATTCTGTCTTCTATAAAGCCCTCAGGCATGAACACAATTCAGTTAAATTCTTTGCCAGTTTATAAAAAAGGATGCCTTTTACTCTATTTTCCAATACCTTGTTACTCATTTCCTTCTGAGATTTCATCAGAATTGTTTTTATCATCCATATATATATGTATATATGTGGATGAATAAATAGAATAAATATATATTTATATACTATATTATATAAAATTATATATCACATTATCAAATTATATATATATACAGATTTTTAGAGACAGAGTCTCACTGTGTCACTCAGGCTGGAGTGCAGTGGTGCAATCATAGCTCACTCTAACCTCAAACTCCTGGGCTCAAGTGATCCTCCTGCCTCAGCCTCCTGAATAGTAGGACTACAGGTGTGTGCCACAATACCCAGCTATTTTTTTTTAATTTGTAGAGAGGGAGACTCACTATGTTGCCCAGATTGGACTTGAACTCCTGGCCTCAAAGACACCTCCTGCCTCAGCCTCCTAAAGTGCTGTGATTACAGGGGTGAACCACTGTGCCCAGCCTAACATTTATATTTCTACCAGTATTTTGATGATAGCAACTTAAATGATCCCTAAGAAGTTTCACACTTTTCCTACAGTTCTCTTCCGAGCCTTCATCAGAATCATCCTTAATGCTCCATTAATGGCAATCTAGGCTTTTTCTAGCCTGCTCCTCCAAATTCTTTTAGCTTCCACTCATTACCCAGTTTCATAGCCACTTGCACATTTTCAGGTATTTATTACAGTACTTTCCCACTTCCTTTGTAACAATTTTCTGTATTTGTCCATTTTGTGCAGCTATAAAAGAATACCATTGAGCAGGTCATTTATAGTGAACATAAATGTATTGCCTCATGGTTCTGAAGCTGGGAAGTCCAAGCTCAAAGGGCTGGCATCAGGTGAGGGCCTGCTTGTTGTATCATCCCATGACGATGATAGAAGAGCAAGGAGAGGGTGACAGAGAGATAAAAAGGGGGCAAACTCTTCTTTTTATATTTAACCCACTCCTGCAATGAGGAACACATACCTGCAATAACAGCATTAATTCATTCATGACGGCAGAGCCCTCATGACCTAATCACCTCTTAAAGGTTTCACCTCTTAATACTATTAAAATGGCAATTAAATTTTAACATGAATTTTAGAGGAGACATTTAAATCATAGCATACGTATAAAATGGGAGTTATATGTCCTCATATAAAAATGACCTTGCCTTTAAAATCTTAGAGACACAATTTACTTATTTGATTGACTTGGATGTTGATTATTTATAGTTTCTATGTGTAATTAACAATTTCTGTTCCAGAATTATTGCCAACTTCCAAAGAGCACAACTGTGTGTTTTAAACCTCTAAAATTATATTTGTTTTGTGTAGAAATATTTTTTACTAGAAAAAACATCTTGAAAAGTTTCAGCCTCTTTCACACCTTCTGAATGATAAAATAGAGATTCAGTAGATGTGTTGGAATATAGCTTTATATAATCAGCAGTCATTTTGTTTCTGGCTTATTATAAAAGTAAGGCTATTGCAGATGGACTAACACTATTTCTTAACCAAGCCAGATTGGGGAAAATGAAATTTGGCTGATGATCAGAACCAGTGAAAGAAGAATTTTTATTAATTAGGCCAGATGGAAACCAATAATAGCAATATTGTGGAAAAGAGTTAAATTGAATAAATAGTTGCTAATTAACATGACTCTAATGTTTCTGAGATTAGAATACTTTTACTGTATAAAAAGTTTACTTCTTGAAATCAAGTTCTTTCTGTGATTTTGCTGCTAGATTAATTTTCTTTGGTGTAAGGATATCAAACCATTTAATTTTCTCAAATTTTGTGGCAGCCATAATGGAATGATTCCTTTAGTTTTAAAATACAATAAAAAATATGTATTAAGTATGTACTGGGTGCCAGGTAATTACTGCAAACAACGCTAACTTAAATGTTCTCCAGGAGCTTAGAACTGTAGGTTACTGCAAATTTTAAGAGACAGAGAATTTAGACTCTTTTTTAAAAAGTAATTGCTACTATTCATAATTATTTTTAATATAGAAACAATTGATCTATGTAGAATATGTATATTATATATTAATTAACTCAATATATGGCTTGGTGTACACAGCAAAAGCACCTGTACAAGTCTAATTTGTTGTTCTGAAAGCTTTAGTTTCTTTCTTTCTTTTCCCCTCCCTCCCTTCCTTCCTTCTTTCTTTTTTCTTCCCCCCCACTCCCTTCCTTCCATCCTTCCTTCCTTCCTTCCTTTTCCCTCCCTCCCTCCCTCCCTTCCTTCCTTCCTTCTCTCCTCCCTCTTTAAACTACCTTTGCAAAAAATTGAAACAGAAAATTAAGACAGTGAAAGAAATCTGACCAAACCAACTCCATCTTGGTTTTAATCTACAAACTGTCCTTGTTCATTTCTGGGCGTAGGCCAAATTAGTTTTGGGAGGAACATAGTTTATAGTTCAACAAACAAAATTGAAAACAGCCCTTTCCAAAACAAATCCCCTTCTTGGCTGGGGACTAGTCTGCCTTTTTAAGACTAACAAATTAGCTGCAAGATTAGAAATTATGGTTTGAAGTCAGGCAGTTGGAGGCTGCAAGATTCTGAACCTCACCAGTTGCTCCTGGGGATAACACCACTGTTGTAAAACCTGAGACCAGTGTTCGAGATATCTTGCAGTTCCCGTGTTTGGGAGCATCAGCTGACACCACCTGAATGGTAATCTGGCTCAACCAATTCTGTGATCCCACCAGGAACAGAATACAGCAAGAAAAACCCACTCTGAACCCCTATAATTTCATCTCCAACCTGACTAATCAGCACTCTCCACTTCCTGACCCCCTACCCACCAGATTATCCTGAAAAAACCCAATTCCCAAATCAGGGAGACTGATTGGAGTAATAATAAAACTCTGACCTCCTTACAGCTGGCTGTGTGTGAATTAAACTCTTTTTCTATTGCAATTCCCTTCTTTTTTTTTTTTTTTTTTGAGATGGAGTCTCCCTCTGTTGCCCATGCTGGAGTGCAGTGACCCGATCTCGGCTCACTGCAAACTCTGCCTCCTGGGTTCACGCCATTCTCCCCCTCAGCCTCTCTAGTAGCTGGGACTACAGGCCCCCGCCACCATGCCCAGCTAGTTTTGTTTTTGTATTTTTAGTAGAGACGGGGTTTCACCGTGTTAGCCAGGATGGTCTCGATCTCCTGACCTCGTGATCCTCCCACCTCGTCCTCCCAAAGCGCTGGGATTGCAGGTGTGAGTCACCGTGCCCGGACTGCAATTCGCTTCTTAATAAATCAGCTCTGTCTAGACAGCTGGGAGGGAGAGTATGTTGGGCAATTAAACTTCCTTCCTCCCTCCTTTCTTTCCTTTCTTCCTCCCTCACTCCTTTCCTTTCTCCCTTCCTATCTTCCTTCTTTCCCTTTTTCCTTTTTCTTTCCTTCTTTCTTTTCTCTTTCTATTCATTTATTTTTCTAAAGAAAATCGAGTGTCTGCAGAACGAAAAAAAGATTTCTTGAAATACTGGCAATAAGGGTCCTATCTGCATGAGAACTACAGGTCACACAAGAGGAATTCTAATGATAATTTTAGAATTCGTGGTTAAGTCCTCTGTTACCAGGAAGAAGGTGTTTCAGCCAAAAGGGAAGTTGATTACTGTTACTCTAGTTCTGAGAAGATTTATCTGGAGGTGAAAGAAGATGAGAGATACAATGCATTCTGAGGCAGGTGTGGGAGTAGGAATGGATATCTAGTAATATACAAGCTGGTGCTACCCTAATAGAGGCAGCTGTAGAATGAAATAATGTTCGAGAGCCAAACATGTATATTCACTCAAAGACCAGCCCATCTGAGGTGAGCTGGAAACCTGGTTTAAAAAAGAAATTGTTGTCCTCATTAGTGAAACCAACCATTCCTTGCTGTAGTTTGTCTCTTCAGTTTGTTGACTGTATCCTTTGCCGTGCAGAAGCTTTTCAACTTGATGTAATCCAATTTGTATATTTTTGCTTTGGTTCCCTGTGCTTATGGGGTATTACTCCAAGAAATTTTTGCCTAAACCAATGCCCTGAAGTGTTTCCACAGTGTTTTATTTTAGTAGTTTCATAGTTTAAGTTCTCAGATTTAAGTCTTTGTTCTTGATTTTTGTTTATATAGAAAGATAGAGGTCTAGTTTCATCATTCTGCATATGGATATTGAGCTTTCCCAGCACCATTTATTAAAGACATTTTTCCCCAGGGTATGGTCTTGGTACCTTTGTTGAAAATGAGTTCGTTGCAGGTGTGTGGTTTCACGTGCATCCGTGTGAAGAGACCACCAAACAGGCTTTGTGTGAGCAACATGGCTGTTTATTTCACCTGGGTGCAGGCGGGCTGAGTCTGAAAAGAGAGTCAGTGAAGGGAGATAGGGGTGGGGCCATTTTATAGGATTTGGGTAGGTAAAGGAAAATTACAGTCAAAGGGGGGTTGTTCTCTGGCGGGCAGGAGTGGGGGTCGCAAGGTGCTCAGTGGGGGTGCTTTTTGAGCCAGGATGAGCCAGGAAAAGGTCTTTCACAAGGTAATGTCATCAGTTAAGGCAAGGACCGGCCATTTACACTTCTTTTGTGGTGGAATGTCATCAGTTAAGGTGGGGCAGGGCATATTCACTTCTTTTGTGATTCTTCAGTTACTTCAGGCCATCTGGGCGTATACGTGCCAGTCACAGGGGATGCGATGGCTTGGCTTGGGCTCAGAGGCCTGACATTCCTGCCTTCTTATATTAATAAGAAAAATAAAACAAAATAGTGTTGAAGTGTTGGGGCGGCGAAAATTTTTTGGGGGTGGTATGGAGAGAGAATGGGCGATGTTTCGCAGGGGTGCTTCAAGCGGGATTAGGGGTGGCGTGGGAACCTAGAGTGGGAGAGATTAAGCTGAAGGGAGGTATTGTGGTAAGGGGTGATATGGTGAGGATGTTAGAAGAAACATTTGTCGTATAGAATGATTGGTGATGGCCTGGATATGGTTTTGGATGAATTGAGAAACTAAGTGGAATAACAGAAGGAGAAAAACAGGTATAAAAGGTCTAAGAATTGGGACGACTCAGGATATCTGATTAGAGAGTGCCTAAGGAGATTCAGCATAGTCCTGCCAGCAAAGATTATTTACTTCAAGAGTTAAGAGTGGCAGTTTGGGGATAGCACCAGGAGATATCAGCTGTGATGGCTTGGAGAAACAGTGTAAACCGGCAGTGTAAACAAGAGCAGGTCATATATGAGTAGTTGAGAACGGTGAATAGGAGTATGACTAGACAGAAGATAGTAGGGATGACAAGTTTTTTGGGGCACAGTCTAAGTTGGTCTGGTGTCTGGAATGAGACTGGGGCCTAATAAAAAGGGGCGTCTATACAGGAGCTTAAATGGGCTGTACCCTGTAGCATTCTGAGGACAGGCCTGAATTATGAGAAGGGAAAGTGGTAAAAGTATTGTGCAGTCCTTTTTAAGTTGGTGGCTGAGCTTGGTGAGGTGTGTTTTTAAAAGACCTTTAGTCCATTCTACTTTTCTTGAAGACGGAGGACCATAAGGGATATAAAGGTTTCACTGAATACTAAGAGCCTGAAAAACTGCTTGGCTGATTTGACTAATAAAGGCTCGTCTGTTATTAGACTGTATTGAGGTGGGAAGGCTAAACCGAGGAATTATGTCTGACAGAAGGGAAGAAATGACTGCAGTGGCCTTCTCAGACCCTGTAGGAAAGGCCTCTACCTATCCAGTGAAAGCATCTACCTAGACTAAGAGGTATTTTAGTTATCTGACTCAGGGCATGTTGAGTAAAGCTAATTTGCCAGTCCTGGGTGGGGCAAATCCTTGAGCTTGATGTGTAGGGAAGGGAAGGGGCCTGAATAATCCCTGAGGAGTAGTAGAAAAGCAGATGGAACACTGAGAAGTTATTTACTTGAGGATAGATTTCCATGATGGAAAGGAAATGAGAGGTTCTAAGAGGCGGGCTAGTGGCTTGTACTATAGTATAACCTGCCTTTGCTGGTGTGTGGCGATTCGGCCTGGTGGAACTGCCATCAATAAATCAAGCGTGATCAGGGTGAGGAACAGGAAAGAAGGAAATGTGGGGAAATGGGGTGAATGTCAGGTGGATCAGAGAGATACAGTCATGGGGGTCAGGTGTGGTATCAGGAATAATGTGGGAGGCCGGATTGAAGTCTGGGCCAGGAACAACGGTAATTGTGGGAGACTCAACAAAGAGTGAGTACAGCTGAAGGAGCCGGGGAGCAGAAAGTATATGCGTCAGGTGTGAGGAAGAAAATAGATTTTGGAAGTTATGAGAACTGTAGAGTGTGAGTTGAGCATAGTTTGTGATTTTGAGGGCCTCTAAAAGTATTAAAGCAGCGGCAGCCACTGCATGCAGACATGAGGGCTAGGCTAAAACAGTAAGGTCAAGTTGTTTGGACAGAAACACTACAGGGTGTGGTCCTGGCTCTTGTGTAAGAATTCTGACCGAACTAACCATGCCTAGGAAGGAAAGGAGTTGTTTTGTAGAAGGTGCTTGGGTTTGAGAGATCAGTTGGACACGATTGGCAGGGAGAGCATGTGTGTTTTTATGAGAATTATGCCGAGATAGGTAACAGATGAGGAAGAAATTTGGGCTTGATTGAAGTAATGGGGGCTGTCTGTGAAGCTTTGCAGGAGTACAGCCCAGGTAATTTGCTGAGCTTGATGGGTGTCAGGGTCAGTCCAAGTGAAAGCGAAGAGAGGCTGGGATTAAGGGTGCAAGGGAATAGTAAAGAAAGCATGTTTGAGATCTAGAACAGAATAATGGGTTTTGGAGGCAGGTATTGAGGATAGGAGAGTATATGGGTTTGGCACCATGGGGTGGATAGGCAAAACAATTTGGTTGATAAGGCGCAGATCCTGAACTAACTTGTAAGGCTTGTCTGGTTTTAGTACAGGTAAAATGGGGGAATCATAAGGAGAGTTTATAGGCTTTAAAAGGCCATGCTGTAGCAGGTGAATGATAACAGGCTTTAATATTTTTAAAGCGTGCTGCAGGATGGGATACTGGCATTGAGTGGGGTAAGGGTGATTAGGTTTTAATGAGATGGTAAGGGGTGCATGATCGGTCGCCAAGGAGGGAGTAAAGGTATCTTATACTTGTGGGTTAAGGTGGGGGGATACAAGAGGAGGACACAAAGGAGGCTTTGGATTGGGAAGAAGGGCGACAATGAGATATAGCTGTAGTCCAGGAATAGTCAGGGAAGCAGATAATTTAGTTAAAGTGTCTCAGCCTAATAAGGGAACTGGCAGGTGGGGATAACCAAAAAGGAGTGCTTAAAAAAGTATTGTCTAAGTTGGCACCAGAGTTGGGGAGTTTTAAGAGGTTTAGAAGCCTGGCCGTCAAGTCAATACCCACAACAGTTATGGAGGCAAGGGAAACAGACCCTTGAAAAGAAGGTAATTGGAGTGGGTAGCCTCTGTATTGATTAAGAAGGGGACGGGCTTACCCTCCACTGTGAGAGTTACCCGAAGCTCGGCGTCCGTGATGGTCTAGGGGGCTTCCGAGGTGATCGGGCAGTGTCAGTCTTCAGCCGCTAAGCCAAGAAGATCTGGGAAGGAGTCAGTCAGAGAGCCTTGGGCCAGAGTTCCAGGGGCTCTGGGAGTGGCTGCCAGGTGAGTTGAACAGTCCGATTTTCAGTGGGGTCCCACACAGATGGGACGCGGCTTAGGAGGAATCCCGGGCTGCGGGCATTCCTTGGCCCATTGGCCAGATTTACGGCACATGTAGCAAGCTCCTGTGCTAGGAGATTCTGGAGGAACGCCTGGCCGCTGCAGTTCAGGCATTTGGAAGTTCTTGTGTGCTGGAGATGTGGCTGGGGTTTGTCTCACAATGGAGGCAAGGAATTGCAACTTTTTTCTATTATTGTACATCTTGAAGGCAAGGTTAATTAAATCCTGTTGTGGGGTTTGAGGGCCGGAATTTAATTTTTGGAGTTTTATTTAATGTCGGGAGCAGATTGGGTAATAAAATGTATTTTAGAATAAGACGGCCTTTTGACCTTTTAGGGTCTAGGGCTGTAAAATGTCTCAGGGTTGCTGCCAAACAAGTCATGAACTGGGCTGGATTTTTATATTTGATGAAAAAGAGCCTAAATGCTATCTGATTTGGGATAAAGAAAAAGGAGTATTAACCTTGACTATGCCTTTAGCTCCAGCCACCTTTTTAAGAGTAAATTGCTGGGCAGGAGGGGGAGGGCTAGTCAGGGAACGAAATTGTAAGCCAGACCAGGTGTGAGGAGGGGAGGTGATAAAAAGATTATAGGGTGGAGGAGCAGAGGCTGAGGAAGAATTGGGACCTAGCTCGGCCTGGCAAGGAGCAGCCTGGGGAGGAAGGGAGAGGTCAGATGGGTCTGTAGAAAAGGAAGATTAGAAAGACTCAGTGATGCTTGGGGTTGGTACTGAGGGGACAGGCAGGAGGGAAAGAAGGAAGATTTGGGACGAGTTGCACTGCACACAGAGACTAGGAAGGGACTGATGTGTAAAAGAATGCCTGGACGTCAGGCACCTCAGACCGTTTGCCTATTTTACGACAAGAATTATTTAGATCTTGCAGGATGGAAAAATTCAAAGTGCCATTTTCTGGCTATTTGGAACTACTGTCGAGTTTGTACTGGGGTCAAGCGGCATTGCAGAAGAAAATAAGGCATTTAGGTTTTAGGTCAGGTGTGAGTTGAAGAGGTTTTAAGTTTTTGAGAACACAGGCAAAGGGGGTAGAAGGAGGAATGGAGGGTGGAAGTTTGCCTATAGTGAAGGAAGCAAGCCTAGAGAAAAGAGAGAGTAGAGAAATGGAGGGAAGGAGTTCGGGGGTTCTTACCTTCCAGAAAAGTGGGAAAAGGGGTTGGGGCACAGAGATAAGAGGTCGGGGTGCAGAAATAAGGGATGGGGCACAGAAATAAGGGGTAGGGGCATGGAAATAAGGGGTAGGGGCACAGAAATAAGGGGTCGGGGCACGGAAATAAGGGATTGGGGCACAGAGATATAAGAGGTTGGGGTGCAGAAATAAGGGATTGGGGCACAGAGATACAAGGTTGGGGTACTTGCCCCTCCTCTAGAAAAGCGGGACTTGCCGCCAAGAGTGAAGGAGAAGGGGTTGAGGGGTACTTGCCCCTCCCCCAGAAAAGCAGAGAAGGGGTAGAGACAAGGAGAGAAGGGGTTGGGGTACTTGCCCCTTTCCCAGAAAAGCGGGACTTGCCGCTAAGGGTGAAGGACCAAGGCAGGCGTCCCTGCGTGGTCTGACACCTTTGAAACGTGGGTGAATAATCAGAGAGGCATCCCTGCAATAATTAAACACCAAGGGAAGGCTGCCTTCCCAGTCCATGACCGGCACCGGAGTTCTGTGTCCACGGATAAAATGTGTCTCCTTTGTCTCTCCCAGAAAATGAAAGGAATTGAAATTAAGAGAAGGGAGAGATTGAAGAGTGGAAAGGAGAAAGTGGTTGAGGGACAGTGAGAGAGGTTGGAGAAGAGAGTAAGAAGAGGCTGCTTACCTGATTTAAAATTGGTGAGATGTTCCTTGGGCTGGTCGGTCTGAGGACCTGAGGTCGTAGGTGGATCTTTCTCACGGAGCAAAGAACAGGAGGACAGGGGATTGATCTCCCAAGGGAGGTTCCCCGATCCAACTCACGGCACCAAATTTCATGCGCGTCTGTGTGAAGAGACCACCAAACAGGCTTTGTGTGAGCAATAAAGCTTTTAATCACCTGGGTGCAGGTGGGCTGAGTCCGAAAAGAGAGTCAGCAAAGGGAGATAGGGGTGGGGCCGTTTTATAGGATTTGGGTAGGTAAAGGAAAATTACAGTCAAAGGGGGGTTGTTCTCTGGCGGGCAGGAGTGGGGGTCGCAAGGTGCTCAGTGGGGGTGCTTTTTGAGCCAGGATGAGCCAGGAAAAGGACTTTCACAAGGTAATGTCATCAGTTAAGGCAAGGACCGGCCATTTACACTTCTTTTGTGGTGGAATGTCATCAGTTAAGGTGGGGCAGGGCATATTCACTTCTTTTGTGATTCTTCAGTTACTTCAGGCCATCTGGGCGTATACGTGCCAGTCACAGGGGATGCGATGGCTTGGCTTGGGCTCAGAGGCCAAACATGTGGATTTGTTTCTGGGTTCTGTATTCTGTTCCATGGGTGAATATGTCTGTTTTTCTTGAGACAGAGTCTCTCTCTGTTGCCCAGGCTGGAGTGCAGTGGCACGATCTTGGCTCACTGCAACCTCTGCCTCGCAGGTTCAAGCGATTCTCCTGCCTCAGCCCCCTGAGTAGCTGAGATTACAGGTGTGCACCACCATGCCTGGCTAATTTTTGTATTTTTAGTAGAGACAGGGTTTCACCATGTTTGACAGGCTGGTCTCGAACTCCTGACCTTGTGATCCACCTGCCTTGGCCTCCCAAAGTGCTGGGATTACAGGTGTGAGCCACTGTGCCTGGCCAATATGTCTGTTTTTATGCCAGTGTCATGTTGATTTGGTTACAATCTCTGTAGTATACTACAAGCTCTGTAGTATTATTTATTACAGTCTCTGTAGTATACAGTATTACAATCTCTGTAGTATACCACAAGCTCTGTAGTATAATTTGAAGTCAGATAATGTGATTCCTCCAGTTTTGCTCTTTTTGATTAGGATAGCTTTGGTTATGCTGGAGAGTGTGTTTGTGTGTGTGTGATTCCATATAAACTTAAGACTTGTTTTTTCTATTACTGTGAAAAATGTCATTGGTATTTTGACAGGGATTGCATTGAATCTGCAGGTTGCTTTGGGTAGTATAGACATTTTAACAATATTGATTCTTCCAATACCTGAACATGGAATCTTTTTCAAATTTTTGATGTTCTCTTCAATTTATATCATCAGTGTTTTATTGTTTTCATCACAGAGTTCTTTCACTTCTTTGGTAAAGTTAATTCCATTACAGAATTGTTTCACTTCTTTGGTAAAGTTAATTCCTAGGTATTTAATTTTATTTGTTGCTATTGTAAATGGGATTACGTTTTTATTTCCTTTTCAGATAGTTCACTGTTAACATGTAGAAATACTACTGATTTTTGGTTGTTGATTTTGTAGTCTGCAACTTTACTGAATTTGCTTATCAGTTCTAATAGTTTTCGTATAGAGTCATTAGGTTTTTCCAAATATAAAGATCATATCATCTGCAAACAAAGGTACTTTGATTTCTTCCTTTCCAATTTGGATGCCTTCTATTTCTTTCTCTTTTCTGATTGCTCTAGCAAGGACTTCTAGTACTATGTTGAATAACAGTGGTGAAACTGGGCATCCTTGTTGTGTTCCAGATCTCAGAGGAAAGGCTTGCAGTTTTTCCTCATTCAGTATGATACTAGCTATAGGTCTCTCATATATGGCTTTTATTATGTTGAGATATGTTCCTTTTATACCAAATTTTTTGAGTTTTGTTTCCATGAAAAGATGTTGAATGTTGTCAAGTGCTTTTTCAGCATCAATTGAAATGATCATATGGTTTTTGTCCTTCATTCTGTTCATATGATGTATCACATTGATTGATTTGCATATAGTGAACCATCCTTGCATCCCTGGGATGAATTTCACTTGGTCATGATTAATGATCTTTTCAATATCTTGTTGAATTTAGTTTGCTAGTATTTTGTTTAAGATTTTTACATCAATATTCATCCAATATACTAGCAGGTAGTTTTATTTTTCTTTTCTTTTTGTGTGTATTTGTCTCGTTTTGGTATCAGGTTAATACTGGCCTTGTAAAATGAATTTTGAAGCATTCCCTCTTGTTCTGTCTTTCAGAATAACCCGAGTATGATTAGTATTAGTTCTTTGTTGAAAATTTGGTAGAATTCAACAGCAAAGCCATTGGATCCCGGGCTTTTCTTTACTGGGAAACATTTTATTTGTTACAACTTTGATATAGATAGTTGTTATTGGTCTGTTCAAGTTTTGGATTTCTTCCTATTTCAATCTTATAAGCTTTTCTGTGTCTCGAAATTTGTTCATTTATTCTGTATCTTTCAATTTTTGGCATACAGTTGCTCATAGTAGCCACTAATAATCCTTTGAATTTCTGCAGTATCAGTTGTAATGTCTCCTTTTTCATCTTTGATTTTATTTATTTGGATCTTCTCTTTTTTTTCCTTAGTCTGGGTAAAGATTTTTTCAATTTTGTTTAACTTAAAAAAGAAAAACTTTTGTCTGATTGATCTTTTATATTATTTTCTTCCTTTCAATTTTATTTATTTCTGCTCTGATCTTTATTATTTTCTTCTACTAAATTTTGATTTGGGCTGGGTGCAGTATCTCACACCTGTAACCCCAGCACTTTGGGAGGCCAATGCTGGAGTATCACTTGAGCTGAGGAATTTGAGACCAGCCTGGCCAACACAGGGAGACCCTGTTTCTACCAAAAAAAAAACACAAAAAACAAAAAAAACAACAGGACATGTTTGAACACACCTGTTGTCCCAGCTACTTGGGAGGCTGAGGCCCACTTGAGACTAGGATATCAAGGCTGCAGTGAGCCATAATTGGATCACTGCATTCCAGCCTGTGCAACAGAGTGAGCCTCTATCTCAAAAAAAAAAAAAAAAATGTGTTTGGTTTGCTCTTGCCATTCTACTTTTTAAAGATGTATTGTTCTATTGGTCTATATCTCTGTTTTGGTATCAGTACCTGCTGTTTTGGTTACTGTAGCCTTGTAGTATAGTTTGAAGTCAGGCAGCATGATGCCACCAGCTTTGTTCTTTTGGCTTAGGATTGTCTTGGCAATGCAGTCTCTTTTTTGGTTTCATATGAATTTTAAATGAGCTTTTTCCAATTCTGTGAAGAAAGTCATTGGTAGCTTGATGGAGGTGGCATTGAATCTATAAATTACCTTGGGCTGTATGGCTGTTTTCACAATATTGATCCTTGCTATCCATGAGCATGGAATGTTCTTCCATTTGTTTGTGTCCTCTTTTATTTCATTGAGCAATGGTGTGTAGTTCTCCTTGAAGAGGTCCTTCACATCCCTTACAAGTTGGATTCCTAGGTATTTAATTCTCTTTGAAGCAATTGTGAATGGGAGTTTACTCATGATTTGGCTCTCTGTTTGTCTGTTATTGGTGTATAGGAATGCTTGTGATTTTTGCACATTGATTTTGTATCCTGAGACTTTGCTGAAGTTGCTTATCAGCTTAAGAAGATTTTGAGCTGAGACAGTGGGGTTTTCTAGATATACAATAATGTCATCTGCAAACAGGGACAATTTGACTTCCTCTTTTCCTAATTGAATAAGCTTTATTTCTTTCTGCCCCAGCCAGAACTTTAAACACCGTGTTGAATAGGAGTGGTGAGACAGGGCATCCCTGTCTTGCACCAGTTTTCAAAGAGAATGCTTCCAGTTTTTGCCCATTCAGTATGATATTGGCTCTGGGTTGGTCATAAATAGCTCTTATTATTTTGGGATACATCCCATCAATACCTAATTTATTGAGAGTTTTTAGCATGAAGGGCTGTTGAATTTTGTCGAAGGCCTTTCCTGCATCTATTGAGATAATCATGTGGTTTTTGTCTTTGGTTATGTTTATGATGGATTACGTTCATTGATTTGCATATATTGAACCAGCCTTGCATCCCAGGGATGAAGCCAACTTGATTGTGTTGGATAAGCTTTTTGATGTGCTGCTGGATTCGGTTTGCCAGTATTTTATTGAGGATTTTTGCATCAGTACCACACATCTACAACCATCTGATCTTTGACAAACCTGAAAAACAAGAAATGGCAAAAGGATTCCCAACTTAATAAATTGTGCTGGGAAAACTGGCTAGCCATATGTAGAAACCTGAAACTGGGTCCCTTCCTTACACCTTACAGAAAAATTAATTCAAGATGGATTAAAGACTTAAATATTAGACCTAAAATCATAAAAACCCTAGAAGAAAACCTAGGCAATACCATTCAGGATGTAGGCATGGGCGAGGACTTCATGACTAAAACACCAAAAGCAATGGCAACAAAAGCAAAAATTGACAAATGGGATCTAATTAAATTAAAGAGCTTTGGCACAGCAAAAGAAACTACCATCAGAGTGAACAGGCAACCTACAGAATGGGAGAAAATTTTTACAATCTACACATCTGACAGAGGGCTAATATCCAGGATCTACAAAGAACTTA
Organism: Homo sapiens; assembly: GCF_000001405.40. Lineage (NCBI taxonomy): Eukaryota > Metazoa > Chordata > Mammalia > Primates > Hominidae > Homo > Homo sapiens. Next base: position 125,571,504 of record NC_000004.12, read on the forward strand.
AACAAATTTACAAGAAAAAATCAAACAATCCCATCAAAAAGTGGGTGAAGGATATGAACAGACACTTCTCAAAAGAAGACATTTATGCAGCCAAAAGACACATGAAAAAATGCTCATCATCACTGGCCATCAGAGAAATGCAAATCAAAACTACAATGAGATACCATCTCACACCAGTTAGAATGGTGATCATTAAAAAGTCAGGAAACAACAGGTGCTGGAGAGGATGTGGAGAAATAGGAACACTTTTACACTGTTGGTGGGAGTGTAAACTAGTTCAACCCTTGTGGAAGACAGTGTGGTGATTCCTCAGGGATCTAGAACTAGAAATACCATTTGACCCAGCCATCACATTACTGGGTATATACCCAAAGGATTATAAATCATGCTGCTATAAAGACACATGCACACGTATATTTATTGTGGCACTATTCACAATAGCAAAGACCTGGAACCAACCCAAATGTCCATCAATGATAGACTGGATTAAGAAAATGTGGCACATATACACCATGGAATACTATGCAGCCATAAAAAAAGATGAGTTCGTGTCCTTTGTAGGGACATGGATGAAGCTGGAAACCATCATTCTGAACAAAGTATCACAAGGACAAAAAACCAAACACTCCATGTTGTCACTCATAGGTGGGAATTGAACAATGAGAACACTTGGACACAGTGTCCTCACTGTGACATCACACACCGGTGCCTGTCATGGGGTAGAGGGAGGGGGGAGGGATTGCATTAGTAGATATACCTAATGTAAAGGATGAGTTAATGGGTGCAGCACACCAACATGGCACATGTATACATATGTAACAAATCTGCACGTTGTGCACATGAATCCTAGAACTTAAAGTATAATTAAAAAAGAAAAGATGCATTGTTGTTTATTTCTAGTTTCTCTTCTTTTTTGATGTAAGTGCTTATAGCTATAAACTCCCCTCTTAGGACTGGTTTTGCTGTATCCCATAAAGTTTAATATGTTCTTTCTATTATCATTTATTTTAATAAATTTTTCAGTTTCCTCTTTATTTATTGACTCACTGGTCATTCAGGAGCATGTTGTTTGATTTGCATGTATTTGTGTAATTTTCCAAATTCCTCTTGTTATTAATTTATAGTTTTCTTCCATTGTGGTCAGAGAATATGCTTGATGTTATTTTAGTTACTTGGAATGTTTTAAGGGCTTGTTTTCTGACCCAAGATATGGTCTGTCTTTGAGAATGACTTACGTGCTGAGGGAAAGAATGTGTATCATGCATCCATTGGATGGAGCTGGGAGTAGAGTGACACAAACAACCTCACGGCTACCATTACTAGGAATGTGCTGGGTCAGACCTGAAGCTGGTACAGCACTCGGTGTCAACTAAGGCCTGATGTAACCACTTCCTGGCTACTACCTATGTTTGCTCAAGGCCCCAGGGCTCTACAGTCAGCAGATGGCAAGCCAACCAGGCCTGTGTCCTTCATTTTAGGGTAGTGAGTTCCCCAAGCCCCAGGCAGGTCCAGATTGCCATCCAGGAGTCAGGGACTGGAGTTAAAAACTTAGAAGTCTACCTGGTGTTCTACTGTACTGTGGTTGAGCTGATACTGAAATGACCAGATGCAGTCCTTCCCCCTTTTTCCTCCCCTTTCCAAAGGCAGAGTGTAAGGTTAGCCGAGAGAAGGAACGAGTAGACCCCAAAGTCAGGCAAGCAAGTTTGTATTAACCTGCCGGGCTGCTCCACTGTAAACAGAGGAGGCAGCCCCGCTTACAGGCTGCTGTGGGGTTTTATAGGGCAAGGGGCTACGCTGGGGTAGGGGAAACTGAGTAGGGTTGCAGATGTTTCAGCCGTTTCCTGGAAATGTTTTTGCCTGCTTGGCTAGGCAAGCTCAGCTAGGCAAGGTGGGCAGATGTCTTAACCGCATCCTGGAACTGTTTACCAGTTCTACTGAAAGTCTTGCACAAGACTGTAGGAAAGGTGAGGGGAGGTTGTTTGTAGGTGGTCACAAATTACTGTATTGCGAAGGACATGGAGGAGGAGGAGGCGTAGCCTGGATCTCTAACACAGAGGAGCCTCTTCCTGTGGCCACTGCCACCACAGTCTCATGAGGAGTACTGCCAGACTACCACTGATGTTCTCTTAAGTTCCAAGGGCTCTTCAGTCAGCTTGTAGTAAATTCTGCCTGGCCTTGGACTCATCCTTCAGAGAAGTAAGCTCCCCTCTGGTTCAGGGAGGGTCTAGAAATGCTGTCCAAGATCCAAGTCCTGGAATGGTCTGAGCTGGTACCTAAGATGCAAGACAAAGTCTCCCTTACTTTTCCCTCCACTGTTCTTAAGCAGAAGATATGTTGTCCCATAGTCAAGACAGCTGAGAATGTAGTGAGTCTTACCTGAAGCCAGCAAGTTTCAGAATCACACCCAGGGCCCTTGAGGTACTACCTGGGCATTATTGCTGCTTATTCAGGGTGCAAAGGCTATTCAGTTAGGAGGTAATAAATCCTGACAGGGTTGACTCCTTCCCTTCAAGGCAGCAGGTTCCATTCTAGCTCAGGGTGTGTCTAGAAATGTCATCTAGGAGCTAGGGCCTGGAAAGGGGGCCTCAAACTCTTACTGGTGCCCTATCTCGCTGTGGCTGAGCTTGTATCCAAGATGTAAGGCAAAGTCCTCCCCATTCTTCCTTCTTCTCTCCTCAAGCATAGGGAAGGTGTCTCTGTCAGAGAAGCGAGCTATGCAGTCTGGGGTTAGGAGAGGGATAATGCCAGCACTCTCTTAGCTGCCCTGGATGGTGTCTCAGTAGGTTATAAGCTCCCCCAGTCCACTGGCTCTTGGCCCAGTTCAGCACTGGGGCTCACCTATGAGTTGCAGTTTTTGTAGCCTAGACTGCTTTTCAAGTTTAGTTTGGATCCAGAGCACTTTAGCCAACAATAGCAAGGCTTGTGGGAACTCAAGTTTGGACCTTTGGGACTGGCAATTCCCTTCTGGCTAGGGCTGGTTTAAGTGTTCCCTCTGTGTTTGAGTGTTAGCTGAGTTTGATCCTGTTTTGTTTTTCGCTATAACAGGGTGGCACTGAGTTCAATGCCTGACAATTGCTGTACTCTCCCTCTCCCCAGCACAAAAAAACCACTCTTCTCACCGTGCCACTGTTGCTGGGGAATGGGGGATTCAAGACCGTTGTTGATTCAAGACTGATCCTCTGACCTCTTCAGTGCCTCTTTCAGTGATAAAAAGTTAAAACCAGGTACTATGAATTTTGGTTTTTATGAGGTGCATTTATAAAGATAGTTGTTAAATTGATGTCCTTTATGGAGGGATGATCTGTAGAGCCTTCTATTCCCCTATTCTGTTCCATCCCAACTGATCATCTTTATAGTTACATGGAAATATGTATTTATTTCACAAAATTTCTGAAAGTTTATTCAAAACAAAAACTAAGAATTTACTATTTTTTAATAAAAAACTGTAATTAAAGTATAAATGCAGCCTCTAAATAATTAAGAAATGTATAACACAATTATTCATAATCATATTGGTGTTATCTATGATCATAATAGTCCAGTTATAATATTTTCATTTCAATTAAATCATTGATAAGAAATTCTTATAACCAGACCGAACTTCTTGAGAAACAACCATGTTTGCTTTCCTTCAAGACCTATCATAGTATCACACTCATAGTTGGCACTCAATAAATGTTTAGTAGAAAGTAACAGTGCATGTTGATGGGAATGTAAATTAGTACAACCACTATGGAGAACACTGTGGATGTTTCTCAAAAACTAAAAATAGTGCTACCATATGATCCAGCAATCCCACTGCTAGGTATATACCCAAAAGAAAGGAAATCAGGATATCAAAGAGATATCTGCACTCCCATAACTATTGCTGCACTATTCACAATAGCCAAGATTTAGAAGCAACCTAAGTGTCTATCAACAGATGAATGGATAAAGAAATGTGGTACATATATACAATGGAATATTATCCAGCCATAAAAAGAATGAGATCCTGTCATCTGCAACAACATGGATAGAAGTGGAGGTCATGTCAAGTGAAATAAGCCAAGCACAGAAAGACTAAGTTCACATTTCTCACTTATTTGTGTGAGTTTAAAATTTAAAATAATTGAACTCATAGAGAGATTGAGTAGAAGGAGGATTACTAGAGTCTGGAAAGGGCAGTGAGGGGGGTTAATGGGTACAAAAAGTGGTTAGAATGAATGAATAAGATCTATACAGCATATGACTATAGTCAATAATTTAATTGTACATTTAAAAATAACTAAAAGGTTTTTTTTCATTGGATTGTTTGTAACACAGGGATAAATGCTCAAAGTAATGGATATGCCAATACCCTGATGGAATTATTACATATTGTATACCTGTATCAAAATATCTCATGTACCTCATAAATATACATACCCACTATGTACCTACCAAAATTAAAAAGTAAGTAAATAAGTAAAATAAACAGTGTAGAGAAGAAGAAAAAAATAGACATAAAGAAAAGAGGCATGTAGTGAACATTCGAGTAGCAACCAGAAGGTTTTTATGCCAAATGCCAAGATCAGTAAGATATTATATATAGATGGTGTTTGAATCTAATTTACAATTTATTCTGGAAGAAAAGGCCAGTCAGGCAGTAAAACCATAATTTAGTTTTTTTAACATCGTGACAGAATTGATGGTCTAGTGAGCCTTTAAAATACTTTTAATAATAAAACTAGTTCTTGGCTTTTCTTTCATTGTATACAATTTTGATTTATTGAGCTGACTTCTACAGTTCTAAGTAGAAAACTTTATGAACAGAACTATTGCCTTTGGCATTTATATTCTCTTCTGGTAACAGGTGCTTTTATTTCATTGCAAAAGAACACAGTTTTCCCTATAAATCAATACAGCATTTTTTCATTCTTTGTTACCATCTCAGCTTCTGGGTTTACTACATTCTATTGGATTATACTCAGCACAGATGCCAAACATTTATAGTATTGGTGAATCAGTTCATAGCATTTTTTTTTCTTAATGAGGTAAATACAGTCCATATTCTGTTTTCAAACTGACAGTGTAAGTAATCTCACATGACTTATCAAAGGCCTTGCATCTTTAACAAGTTTTCAATTTCATTTAAGAGAACCAGATTCTTTTAATATGCTTCTTCATTGACTTAAATTACTACATATCTTTGTGAAACTAATTTATTATTCTTATGAATAAATGAGAGAAATTAATTGAGTATGACATATCTAGTTTAATTGCTTTGGAGACATCTATTTTAGATTAATTAAACCATGCTTAACATGTTGTAGTAGTAACTGTGACATTCATGGAAAATTCCTTTATTCTTAGAAACATTAATACTTTGAGCTTTAATCAGAAGAAATCTTAATACCGAGTGATAGAACTGGGAAATAAAATCTCCAGCCTTATAAGTTAAAGAGCTGTGCTCTTTTATTTTATAATAATAATATATGATATTTATTGATGGTAATATGATATATGCCTCTGGGACTTATAAGGCACAATGATGCTTCATATAGCTTATTGGAAAGTATTATTTTAGCCAGGCACAGTGGCTCACACCTGTAATCCCAGCACTTTGGGAGGCCGAGGCAGGTGGATCACCCGAGGTCAGGAGTTCGAGACCAGCCTGACTAACATGGTGAAACCCCATCTCTACTAAAAATACAAAAATTAGCCGGGCTTGGTGGTGCATGCCTGTAATCCCAGCTACTGGGGAGGCTGAGGCAGGAGAATCGCTTGAACCTGGGAGACGGAGGTTGTGGTGAGCCAAGATCACACCATTGCACTCCAGCAAAACTCCATCTCAAAAAAAAAAAGAAAAAATAAAAGAAAGAAAGTATTGTTTTAACTTACTTCTAAATAACATTATACTTGGAAAATGCAGTTATTAAAAGAAGAATATATACTTGAGAAAACCACTTTGATTTCACATTTACAATAAAGTGACCTAAAAAAGACTTTTGTAATGTAATATATGGTGTCACCATCAGTGACTCTCCCTACTGCTTTCCAATCATTTTCTCTTCATTGTTTATGTAGAAAATAATGATATTGTCTATAGCGCACATATGGTAAACTGACAAAGCTACTGCTTGAAGTGGAAGGGGAGGAGCTCTTTTGTTTCCCAAGAAAAACCATACTCAGCATGAATGGGATATTCTACTCTCTAAAATACAAACTCAAGTTGAGTATAACTATGTTTTAAGGCAATTCTCCAAAAAACATTATAAGCAAATAATATTTGTTAAGTATATGCAAAGTATGCATCATTTTCACAGGTCATCTGACTTAAGAGTTTCATTATGGTTTCTTTCTCTTGTTCTCTTACAATTCATATTTCTTTCTATCACTATCTAGGTCTTCTGATGTTCACTATTTTCCTTACTTTGTATTGTCTCCAGGATTCTCATATTCCTTGAGCTCAGGTGCAGCATTTTGTTTTTATTCATGTAAACCTTGGCAAAATCGTCTATGGCATACTGCACTATGATTTGTGAAGTTGTATATGTATTAGGCTTATCAAACAGCTGAGATATATAAAAAAATAAGAGATTTTAATGATCATGACCCATGACATGTAAATATGTCTATTTCTATTTGATCATCACTCACATACCTATCGATTATCACTTAAATTTACTAAGGTTTTCTAATCGGTGGAATTCTTTAGCTACTACTAAAACTTGTAGTCTTTAAATAGATTCAAAAGAAAGAGTAGAGACATGAAAAATCCATTTATTATTATTTTAGTGTATTTTTGAAACTTTAAAAATAATTTTGGGACAAATTTTTATATATATAAAATAATTTTAAAATCCAAAATTTTGCTCAAGGTACTTTATTTTACTTAATAAATAACTCAAAATTGATTGCCTACAATTTAGTACACAAATTCAGTCTCAAGAGGAATCCCTCAACAATTTTTGCAAGTAAAACTTACCATTTATATTTAGCCCATATTACTAAGGATATTTAATATTTTTCCTGCAGAAACCGACTTGCAGCTTTTTACACACACGCAGACACACACACACCCCATATACACACACATAAAATAATTTTTGTATAAAAATAATTGTATGAGGACAGGGAAACATGTATAGTATTGTTTCTTGAAGTATTCTTCAGAGTTGCTCTATAAAACTGTAAAAAAAATTCATCAATATTGTGAGGCTTGGATAAATTATGGCTAATTCACATCATGACATTTTACACAACCAACAAAAAAGAAGAAAATTTAATCTGACAACTTGAAGTGATTTTCATGCTTTATATTAAGTAAGTAAAACAAGATACAGTAAATGTGTATAATGTTTTTATTTATGTAAAATTAACTAATGACAAAACAGTCTATATAGGTATGTGTGATTATAAAAGATTGAACTAGAATATGGAATAATATTAATATATAATAGGTTGCCCCTGAGGGTTACCAGGTGGAGCAGGAATAAAATGAGGGGGAAATTAAGAGGGAAAAGGGGGATAAACTGAACTTTAAAACACATGATTGAAGATAATTGTAAGACAAACTTCAGGCTGGCAGAAAATATTTGCAAAAGCCATGTATAATACAGGACCATCATACAAAATGTACAAAGAACTTTTTAAAATTTAACAATAAGAAAATGAACAACTTAATTTAAAAATGGACAAAATAGCTAAACAGTACACTCACCAAAGAAGATCCATAGATGGCAAATAAGTATATGAAAAGATGATCCACATCATATGTGCTATGGACTGAATTGTGTCCCCCCAAAAATTCATATGTTGAAATCCTAACTTCCGATGTTACTGCATTTGGAGAAAGGATCTTTAGGACTGGTGCCTTTAAGGAGATAATTAAGTTAAATGAGGTCATAAGAATGAGGCTCTAATCTGATAAAACTGGTTTTCTAATAAGAAAACCAATGTACACAGAGAAAAGCTCATGTGGGGACACAATGAGAAGGCAGCTGTCTGCAAGTCAGAAAATGGAGCATTACCAAAACTCATCTCTACTGGCATCTTAATCATGGACTTTCAGCCTTCAGACTGTAAGAAAATAAATATCTGTTGTTTAAGCTACCCAGTCTATGTTATCTTGTTGTGGCAGACCTAGTAGTCTAATACAATATATCATCAGGAAATTTTAAATTAAAACGATTTTAATTTTTTAAAAGAGATACCACTATACAACTATCAAAATGGTCAAAATCCAAAACACTGACAACATCAAATGCTGGTGAGGATGTGGAGCAATGGGAGCTCATTCATTTTTGATGGAAATGTAGAATGGTATAGCCACATTAAAAGATCATTTGGTAGTTTATTTTAAAACTAAATGTGTTGCCATATTCCAGCAATTATACTTCTTGGTATTTACTCAAATGAGTTGAAGACATATGTCTATATAAAAACCTGCACGCAGTGCTTATAGCAGTTTTATTCATAATTTCCCATATTTGGAAGCAAGAAGATATCCTTCAGGAGGTAAATGGATAAGTACATTGTAGTAGACACAGAAAATGGAATATCATTCAGTGCTAAAGAGAAATGAGCTATCAAGCCGTGAAAAGACATGATGGAAACTCAATGGCACTAAGTGAATAAAATGGTTACATACTGTATAATTCCAACTATATGACATAATGGAAAAGGCCAAACTATGGAAACAGTAAAATGATCAGTGGTTCCCAGGGTTTGGAGGGAGGGAAGGATGAATAGGTAGTGTGCAGAGGATTTGTTGGGCAATGAACCTATTCAGTATGATACTATGATGTTGGATACATGGTCATCATATGTTTGTTAAAAACCATAGAATGCCTGGGAGCAGTGGCTCATGCCTGTAATCCCAGCACTTTGGGAGGCCAAGGTGGGTGGATCACATGAGGTCAGGAGTTCGAGACCAGGCTGGCCAACATGGCGAAACCCCATCTCTACTAAAAATACAAAAATTAGCCAGGCATGGTGGCGCCGGCCTATAATCCCAGCTACTCGGGAGGCTAAGGCAGGAGAATTGCTTGAACCCGGGAGGCAGAGGTTGCAGTGGGTCGAGATCACACCACTGCACTCCAGCCTGGGCGACAAAGACTCTGTGTTAATAAATACACACATACATACATACATACCATAGAATGTACACTACTGAGTGAACCCTAATGTAAACTATGGACTTGGGGTAATAATGATTATAGATTCAGTGACTGTAATAAATATACAATTCTGTTGTGTAATGTTCTCCATGTTTAAGGGCTGGGGGTATTTGAAAATCTCTAAACTTTCTACTCAATTTTGTTGTGAGCCTCAGAAAATTGCTCTAAAAATAGTGTATTGTAAAAAGAACATTGTTACATTTATGTATTTATTTGCCTGTTAAATAAAAAAAAAAAGAATCTCTAGTGCTTATGTATGTAGAAGTTACTTTTCCTATACTGGGTCTGCTTCCTACAAATTATTTTTTGTGATGACTACTAAGTTATTCCCTTTGTGGCTTAATAAGTTTCCTATTCTTCTCCGCTCTCTCTCTCCCTCTTTTCCTCATTCCTTCTATAAATATATATAAACTATCTCTATGTGTAGTTTTTTTCTTCCCACATTTTCAGTTTTCAGTTTTTCAGTAAATAAAAAACACTTGCTTTATTATTTCAGTCAGTGCCTTTACAATGCAATAGATTTTGAGTAAAAGATAATAAAAAAGGGATAGAGTAAAAATAATGAAAATTGAATGGGTATAAAATCTCTTCCTTTTTTTAAACAAAATAATTATTTTAAAACAAACCTGCAGTATTTCATTTATTTTTACATAAATAATTCATTAATAGTCAAATTAAAGTGTGAATACTGTCGTGTGTAAGCATTTTGTGAAAAATAATCTGTTTACTCACCTAATTGTATGGTTTGTATTTATTCTTTTTAAAAACACTAAAGACTGGTAGTTACTCATACTAGAGTGTTCTTTCTTAAAATGCCTTTTACTTACATTCAGTTTTATATAGTTGAGTTTATTATTACATAGGAAAATGTGCAGCATGGTAAGTAGTGTAAAAGAGATATTAATTGCTTCTAACTGGATCTGATAGAGAGATGATCTAATAGCAATGAAGTATTTAAAGAGATTGAGTTTGGGGCCCAATCTCAGGGTCACTGAAGACTGGGAGAATGTCAGGATCATTCATGTATTGTAATAGACTTATTTTCTGTTTTTCCTGTGTGTGTGTATGTATATATATATTAGCAATAACTTTTGAAAAAATACAGGCTCTGTATCTACTGGTTTTGGAACAAGTAGGCTTTTGTGGATTCTGGAAATCTAAGACAAATTGAGAAAAATCAGACAAAGAATAGAAGTGAGAATAGGGAGGAAGCAAAATGTTCTATGGATGTTGGCACTTGGAGGGAGAAGGCTGTGTTGCATAGACCAGGTGTGCATTGTGCTCAAGATGAGCAGGTGGAGGATGATATCCTGGAAATCAGGTAACAGGTATAGGGACCAAGAAATAACCCAGGGAAAAAAAGGTGGGAGACCCAGTTCCATAAGGAGCAGGATATTCCTATTGGAAACAGAAGCCAGAAAAAGATTGGGCCAAACACTATGCCTATGCTACCAGAAATAGTAACACTGGGAATTATTGTTCCAGTGTTTCTTAGATACTGCTCTGTCTGCCTCTTTCACATTTATCTGTTCTTTCTAGCCAGCTATAGAGTTTCTCTAGAATCCCAAATGGACTGGGAAGTCAGACCTGGCAGCTTCCATTCCTCTACCACTATCCTAAACTCCCACCCTCCAAGAGATGTCAGGAACATAAAAACATGAAACCTGATGCTGCCTGTGCAAGTTAAGTTCTGATTTCTGAATTTAGAGTGATAATGAAATGTTCCTGATGACCGTGATGATGATGAATAAGAAAAGAACAAACAAGACAAAATCTTAATGTTGGAAGGCTACTTGAAGTTAAAATTGTTTGTACAACTTCTGACTCTATTTGTTACATCCTAAGAGACAGCATTTGGCTGAACAAGGTTTATGGAATGTGTTAGTGAAGGAATATGCTATAGGGATAAGCTCATTTCCTGTCAATCAGGATGTGGCTTCTATTTCACTTGGAATTTATTGCTTTAGCATTATTCTAGAGCATCTTAAAAAGATCATGTATTTTTGTTTTTTTGTTTTGTTTTGTTTTTATATAAAACAGGGACAACATATACAACAACCCTAAAGGATGTTATCAAGAATCTGTCAACATTTAACTTATTTCAGTTTAGTGCAGATGAAATTTTTTTTTTTTTTTATGGAGGTCAAGTCTATTTACATCCTCTATCAACTGGTACTAGGTCTCTTTTTGAGAGTTATAAATAAATAATATATATATTTTTATTATTATTTATATATATTAATATATAAAACATATAAATAAATATAAATGATACCCTTTGCATATTTTTATTATATATATAAATAATATATATAAAAATATATAAATAAATATAAATGATACCCTTTTGCATATTTTAAACTTTCTTCCTATCATCCCTGCTATAAAACATACTGATCTTTAGTGTTTTTATGCTCCAATTCTGCTGCACACACACACATACATGCCCTTATTTACATGTGTGTTCCTTTCCAATCTAAGCATGGCAGAGGCTACCAACTATCCACTGGATTGTTCAACTGGAATAATATCAAGCTTATAGTCAACTAAGGCTCTGCCTCTGTTCTCCTTCTCCAGTTTTGCCTTTAAATAAACAAAGTTTTTCTCAACTAGATATACCATCTCTTTTGAGATGTGCCTGAACAAGCTGTTGTAAGCCTTACCTTATTTCACTTTATGACATTCTTGATTCTATTAATCAGTTACCTGGTGTTTAATTCTCCTGCTACAACACTAAGTATATAAAATGTCTCTTAGTCATAGATTTTATTTTCCCTTCCAGCTTGACCCTGAGTCTCTTTCCTGGCAAAACCAATTTGCTTGACTTAAAAAAAATGAAGTGTAGCTGGGTCCCTTATACTGTTTAAGTTTGAAAGATGTGTTCCCAAATTGTGGCAGAGGGATCCTATTGGTGATAACAGAATCCAAGTAGCTAGGAATTGTTTTTAAGTAAAATATTTCTTATGCTTTAGTGGAACATATGATGCTATGATGTGCCTCCAGAAAGAAGAACATAATATCATCCTAAAGTAGCCTTGAAATAAACAAACAAACAAACAATTCTTATTAAGCCTGTAGACCTGAATAGCAATAGAAAGGTAACACAGGGAGAAGAAACAGTGTATTGCGTGAAATTCAGCTAGTTAAAAACTCGAACGGAAAAACAAATAAATTGCAAGACAAAAGATATGGGCCAAAAATCTACACATTAAAAGCTGAAACACATTTACTGCACTTAAATTTGAAAATTTAAACAATGATTACGTATTTTATATTAAGAAATAATTTTTATTTTTGGTAATGGCATTGTGGTTACATTTTTAAAAAGAGTTCTTAACTTTTAGAAATCATAATTAAATATTTCAGATAAAAATATATGATTTCTGGGATTGACTTCAAAATAATCCATGAAGGGAGAATAGTGTGGGTAGAGATGGAGCAAGATCAAAAGTGAATTGACAATTGTTAAAGTTGTTTGATGAGTATATGGTAGTTCGTTACATTATTCAGTGTAATATTAAGTTGGTCTTTCATATAATAAAAATTACATAAATGTAAGATGTTTTTAAAAGACTCTTTTTGGATAAATATAAAAGCATGCATGCATACACACACACACACACACACACACACACATATACATAGGGATCACACAAGAAACTGGTTTTTTTGACTTTGAGTTATAAAGTACACTATTTCTACTTCTGAAGGATTCAAGCAATATTTGGAGAAAATTATTCTGAAAATAAAATGCAGTACTAGAGTTCTAGAACAAGTGCCGGAAAGTATAAAGTATGAGTTACATAAGGTCACTGTCTCTGACAAATTTATAATATAATGAAGGGGGCAGATAGCAGACATCCACAAAATAATGTGATTAGTGTTCTAATTAATGCAAATTAATTATGTGATGGAAACCAAAGAAAAATCATGTCCTATTCTGTCCAGTTGGATAGAGTATGAGATACATGGAGGAAAAGGTGAACCAAGAGGACAACAAAGTGAATTGACACTCGATTTTGAAAAATTTTGAATGAAGTGCCAAAAAATTTTGAATAATATAGGGAAGTCTGAATTCTATATTAGCAAATTATGTTAAAATTTGAATAAGCAAATTCCCTGAAAAATAATGTTAAAACTCATTTTTCTGGTGATATTGGTGGGCATTAATAGGAAAAGGAAGGATTTCGTTACCGGAGACTTGGTTGGAAGGCTAGTCCAAATACACAAACATGCATGCGTGCACACACACATACGATATAAATGTATTATTACTGGATTTTTACTTTTGGCCCTGGTATAGTGCTAGACATAGTAACAATTAAATAATGCATGTCTACTAGAAATTGGAAGGATAAGATCAACACCACTCTGTTGAAACTTCTCTGTGGAGTAATGAATTTGAAATTGAGAATTTTGATTTGTATATTACTGTAATCATACTACTGAGATTTGACAAATACGTGTCTTGAGTACTTTTCTGTGTGATTAAAATAAGGATACATAGAAACACTCTGTATGTTGTGAAATTGTAATTAATATTTTGCCAAATAAATCTCAAATGTTCTTTTTTAAACTAATAAGTAGTTTCATTTTATAAGAAAAATTCTCTTTAAGAAGAATTATTAGTTATCAATATTAGTTGAGTACAAGATAAGTCCCAGAAGCACAGATATTCCAAATTTCAGTGGTCACGCAAGATGAAAGTTTATTTCTCTCTTAGGTAACAAGTCAGTGGTCAGCAGACATCCGGGGCTGGTAGGTGGCTCTGTCATCCTTTTTACATGGTAAATGTGAGACTCAACATGGCTGTTCTACTTCTGGCATCTCCACATTAGTGAAAAGGGGTAAGAAACTTGCGGAGTGATGCCTAGTTGTTTCAGAACAGGACCTGGAAGTGATGTATATATTTTTAACTCATGTTCTCCCTCTTCCTAAAATGCAAATAGTGCTTATCATCTACCAGGCATAATTTTAAGCCTTTACAAGATTTTACAGATAAAAACAGGAAGCATGCAGCATGTGAGTGGCCATAACTAGTAGCAAAAAAAAAAAAAAAAAGTTAGGAAATGTACCCGTTAGTTTGGTGAACACCTGCTCATCTGAAATTCTTACTATAAAAGGAGAGAAGAATGAATATTGAGGAATCACTAGGAGTTCACTACATGGACTAAAACAATTTTATATGAAAAAACAAGTGAATAATGAGGTTGACAAAATGCCTTATTATAGTACTTAAATAAATAAAATAGAGCACCTGGTATGTGTAGTGATGGTTTACAAAATTTCTTTCTATTATTTTCTAAATTTAATCCTGGAATGTTCTATTGCATAAATAGATTATAGTTCATTGGAGCACAAAAATGGAGAAAAATAAATGGGGGACAACTATTTTTTCTCTAATACTAATTTTTCACTTTTTAAGATAAATCTAAATAACTCAATTCAATTCCCTTAAAATATTCATGCGTATTCAATTTCTTTCTCAAAATATTTTGAAAGAATCAAAATATAACAAAGCATATATTTTTCCTGTTTTAGGATTCAGCCAAATTCAGTGTCATGAGTTATTATAAAAACAGTCTTAAAGAAAAGTGCTCAAATGGTATTGTCAAATTTAAGAGTATAAAATAAAAATATCTCGGCTGAAATGAATGTAAATGTATATGGACTTTAAAATTAAAAAAACAATTAAAAGGCTTGCTTATAGTATACATTCTAGGAACTAAACTGCAAAACTCGTTTGATTGACTATGTCTGTGGCTTCAAAGCAGATAGACCAAGAGAAGGAAAAGAGAACTATCAAATTGCAAATAACTGCCAACTTTACAGCAGTGTCTATGAGAGGTTCTTTCTTAATTACCACCGCCTGTCCTGACATTGGGTGTACAAATTACTCAATATGTTAAACCACTCCTGCCTTTCAGCTAAATAGATATGAAACACATAGAAATGGAAACAAAGGCAGACTTTGAACTTTTGATACTTCATGTGAACCTCCATTTTAAATATACATTTCTCAGCTGTTAGTTCTCACTTCAGTTTCAGAACAATGTTTTTGACCTAACCTTCCTACCAAATCCTGTTATATGAAGCAAGTAAGTGTATTCCCCCTCGGGATCCTTGAAAAATGACTTAATTTGACAAAGAAATAATCTCTCTCTCTCACTCTCTCTTTTTTTTTTTTTTTTTTGACTATGGGCCAATGTCAAACCTGAAAAATGATACTGTACCCTTCCCAAAGCTAAATAACTGGAAAAGAGCTACTAAATAAACTACTTAGAGACATGCTAACATTGTTTTATGGTACTTTTGGCTGTCTAATTAGGTAGGTACAGTAAATCCTAGTGTGCAATATCAGCAACTATAATAATATAGATGTCTATTTTGGTTCACAAAATTAAGAAAAATTTGTTAATGCATCAAAAGTTGAATTTAGAATGTAACATAAATCTCAAATCAGTCTGGCATGTCTTGGCAAATAAAAATTATAAAATATAAAAAGCAAAATTGCTTTAATCAAAGTATTTGGATTTTTACTAGTATTTATTGTACAGTTTTTCTTTTTGCTATAACTAAAACAAATGTTTGTTATAGTCCATCTTCTTTTCAGATTCTAACTCATAAGAAAATAATTCTCCAGTTTTTATTTGTTTATTTCTCTTGGTAAGGAACATCACAAACAATTGATTTATATATTCAATTGACAGTACATACACATATATTTTTCCAGGAAGTTGACTTGGAGGTGAGGGGTAATGGTAGAGGAATGTTTTGTATTTGATCTATTTTCTGCTTATATACTGACATCAGAATTCATTTCCTTTTATATTATCTATTCACATCTCACCTTTGATTATTTTCACTGGAGATTAAAAAATGCCAATATCCAATGGGGGAAAGTCCTAAAACTAACTCAAACTGTAATGTACTGGATTTTTGTTTTTGCTTTTAATTGAATGCTACAAATCTTTATAGGTCATAAGCCCGTTTCAATGAGTTCTGAATGGTATATTTTTATGAAATAGAATTGAATGGTTAAAAAAAAAATCACCAAAGGGCCAGGTGTGGTGGCTCACGCCTGTAATCCCAGCACTTTGTGAGGCCAAGGCAGGCGGATCATTTGAGGTCAGGAGTTTAAGACCATCCTGACCGACATGGTGAAATTCTGTCTTTACTAAAAAAAAAAAAAAAGAAAAAAGAAAATTAGCCAGGTGTGGTGGTGCATGCCTGTAGTCCCAGCTACTCGGGAGGCTAAGGCAGGAGGATTGCTTGAACTGGGAGGCAGAGGTTGCAGTGAGCCGAGATCGTGCCATTGCACTCCAGCCTGGACAACAGAGTGAGACTCTGTCTCAAAAAAAAAAAAAAAAAAAAAAAATCAAATCAACAGAAACAGTGCATCACAGATAGTAAAATTAAATAGGGCTTTAGTAAAATTTTATTTCAGTTTGTGTGTGTGTGTGTGAGTGCACGTTTGTGTATGTACTGAGTAAAATGCATTTCTTTCTATAGGGAATAATCAAGGGTTTTATAAAACTAAACTATGTAAAAGTCAGAGGCCCCTCCCTACACTCAAGTTGCCCTCTTCTGATCTTAGCTGGTCCCTTTCCAGCCTGCCATGAAGGGTTGAAAGCTTCATATGTAAAATCTCTGCTCTGGTAACCTGGCAAAAGGAAAGGATACTGTTTTCTCTCAGAAGAATCACAGACCCGGCCTCCATTGCAGCCCAGGAAAACTGCTGCTGGATTCCATACCTGGATAAAGAAACCATAATAAATAAAGCAGCAGTTTCTACCAACTTTCCCTTAAAATTCCTATGAAAAATAATCAAAGTAAAAAAATTAATATCAAAAATTGATTCTGTTAAACAAAGTTACGGCAGAATCCAGGAGAGTTCTCCATTAACTATAAAGCAGATGGAGTTAAACAGAGAAAATCATGTCTTAGTTTTTAGCTCTTGTTAAAGAAACTGCCTGAAAGAAGGTAGAACTTCTCTTTGTAATTTGACCCATTTTTAAAGGAACTTAGTCTTAATCAGAGAACCTGGCAGCCATTTTCATGTTCTTTTTGAATGAGTCTTGACTTTTTTTTAAAGAAAGCCAGAGTAATTAACAATATTGACAGCTAACATTTAATAAACAAGTAATAAGTGCAATGGCCAGCACTTTATAGCAATTAGTATTGTCCTCATTTTGTCAATGAGGAAACTGGGCATAGGGAATTAGAGTAACTTGGCCAAAATCACATTGCTATTAAACTGACCCTTAGCTTGCATGTCAAATAACTACACTACACTGCTAGTGAATATTACCTTGAAAACGATCAACTAGAGTACTCAGAGTAAATTTCAGGAAAATATTTAATATTTTCAAAGGATTTCAAGAACTCTGTGAAATATAATCTATTGGCTAAAATGTGTTTTAATATTTTGAAAACCAAAGGTATTATATAAAATATCTTCAATAAACTAACAATCCTATGGAATCAAAACATTGTAAAGGGAGAATATCCAAGACAAAATGTCAATAGAATAAGATGAAAAAGAAAATGAATAAATGGAAGAGGTATTTAAGAAAATCTAAAGGCAAAGGAAATAGAATTAAAGTATAAACCAGTGGATGTGAAAGCGAGTTTTATTGAAAAACCTAAAATGTAGAACAAATGTCAAGTAGATTTAAACAATAAGATAGTATTTGATAGATCTGAAGAAAAAAAAAAAAAGCAGAGATACCAGATATTCTTGAAGCACAGATAACATGGGAGCAAAAAAGCTTGAAACAATAGAAGAAATCTTTCCTTGGCTGTTACCAAATCAACAAAAAAGGTAGGTCATATTTTAGGGAAAACTAAGGTGTAAAGACCTTTAACAAGATAAATGCTGGCAAACACTTTTAATCATGAGAAATAAGAAAACTATTATTGGAGCATATCAGCAGGAAAAACAGTTCTACTGAAAAGCAAAAAGCTTTCATTTACTTATCCTGTGCAACTTTAAATGACAGAGAACACTATGCTAGCATGCAGACAGTGCTTTGCAAAAAATAAAAAAAATGCGAGCTGAAAATTTTATATCAAACATTTAATTTATGAATGTAAACACGTATATCCTTAGCTATCCAAATCTGATTAAAAATATCACATATGGATCATTTTAAAATTACTTTATTTAAAACATTTGTAATTTCCCAAGAAAAATTAGAAGTGCAGGACCACTGAAGATCCTGTATTATCTCTTTAATAATTATATATATATATAATATACACACATACCTATATAATGTCCATAAAACATATTAAAAATATGAAACATATTTATTTTTAAACTTAGCACTTAATAGTATGTACATTTTAGTCAGGATATTATATTTCTATGCAGTTTTAAATCAATATGTTTGATTATATCATGTAAATATTCTATATTTCAAAAGAACATGGTAAAAAAATGCCCCAAAATATCAAGAATATTTATCTGTATAGCAACCCTATAGATATATTTTTCCACTTTTTTAGATATTCTAAATATCCTGTTGGGCATTATTTATGTCATAAAATGAGGAATTAAAGTATATTGATAAATCATTAGAAAGTAAGTTCTCTTTGTTCCACCCGCCTTCCAAAAGCTGCAATTTAGAGGGCTGACCAATGGTCACAGGCAGCTATTAACATAGTCCAAAGTGTAAAAGATGGAAAGCCTTACTCCCTTGCTTTTAACCTCAGTTAATAATTAGTCATAAAATAGTCCTGACTTTCCCTGCAATACTCCTTGGAAGAAGGTACAGAGGGGTGTGTGTGTGTGTGTGTGTGTGTGTGTGTGTGCATATCTCAGTGTAATATTATCTCTAGAATATAAACCTTATGAAGCAGGGATTTTTGTTCTGAGATGCATAAACCCAGATGTTTGTATTTTGTTCATTGATGTCCAAATATTTAGAACAGTGCCTGATATATATTAGATATTAAATAAGTATTTGTTGACTAAATAGAAATAATAAAGGGAAAAATACTTTAAGAGTAATGGTGTTTAATTTTTTTAGTACAATGCTGTTTCAAATGAAGTGTCTATGTACTATGAAAGTACTCTAAGTACAAATTCAATATATTTATGAATAGAAAAGAATACCTGTTATCAAATAAAATTTTTTTAGAAAGTTAATTGTGTAAAAAAGATTGAAAACAACAAAAGCTAAATGAAGTTGCTATAATTGACATAGAGTTGGAGAGGCAGAGGCCTACCTGCCCTGTTCTTTTCTTCCCCATGTGACTCTGTGGAGGATTCTAGAACACACTGAAACAAAGTTTCAAAGTCAGGGACACAGCTAAGACTATGACATAATTTTTACTTAATTAATAACAATTAATTGGGTACAGTTGTATTAGTCTGTTCTCACACTGCTACGAAGAAATACCTGAAACTGGGTAATTTATAAAGAAAAGATGTTTAATTGGCTCACGGTTATGCAGGCTGTACAGCAGTGGTCCCCACCTTTCTGACACCAGGGACCGGTTTTGTGGAAGACAATTTTTCAGGGATTGGGACAGGGATGGTTCCCAGATGATTCAAGCACATTACATTTATTGAGTACTTTATTTCTATTATTATTACATTGCAATATATAATGAAATAATTATACAATTCACCATAACATAGAATCAGAGCTTGTTTTCCTCCAACTAGATGGGTCGCATCTGAGGGTGATAGGAGACAGTGAGAGATCATCAGGCATTAGATTCTCATAAAGAGCGAATAACCTAGATCCTTTGCATGTGCAGTTCACAGTAGGGTTCGTGCTCCTATGAGAATCTAATGCCGCCGTTGATCTGACAGGAGGCAAACTCAGGTGGTAATGAGAGCAATGGGGAGCAGCTGTAAATACAGATGGTGCTTTGCTTGCTGCTCACCTCCTGATGTGCGGCCTAGTTCCTAACAGGTCACAGACTGGTACTGGTACCGGGATTTGGGGACTCCTGCTGTATAGGAAGTAAGGCTGGGAGGCCTCAGGGAACTCACAAGAATGGCAGAAGGCAAAAGGGAAGAAGGCTCGTCTTACATGGCTGGAGCAGGAGGAAGACAGAGCGAAGCGGGAGGTGATACACAGTTTTAAACAACCAGATCTTGTGAGAACTCACTCACTGTCACCAGAACAACAAGGGGGAAATCCAACCCCATGATCCAATCACGTCCTAGGAGGCCTCTCCTCCAACACTGGGGATTACAATTAGACATGTGATTTGGGCAGGGACGCAAATTCAAATCACATTAATGGTGGTGCTTGAATTGTTAAAAGAAGGAGTTGAAACCTTCCCCAGGCTCAAGAGAAAAAAAGTGCAGTGATAGGTTAATGACGTCTTGTAGGCATGGTACTTGGGAGGAGTACACATTTAAAACAAAAACATGGATTTTTAATTTTGGTATTCAGCATGTTTGAGGTTTTATGTTTAAAAAACTAAACATTTTATAAAGTGAAATATGCATCAAATACTTATAAAAATCCTTTACGCAACCCAACTGATACTGCTGTTTCAGAAAACAGGGTTTAAAAACCATAGCACTGGCTGAGTGTGCCGGGTGTGATGGCTCACACCTGTAATCAAAGTACTTTGGGAGGCCAAGGCAGGAGGATCACTTTAGGTCAGGAGGACCAGCCTGGCCAAGATGGTGAAACCCCGTCTCTCCTAAAAATACAAAATTAGCTGGGCATGGTGGCATGCACCTGTAAACCCAGCTACTCAGGAGGCTGGGACAGGAGAATCACTTGAACCCGGGAGGCAGAGTTTGCAATGAACCAAGATTGTGCCACTGCACTCCAGCCTGGGCAACAGAGCAAGACTCCATCTCAAAACAAAAAAGAAAACCATAGCACCTGACTAAATCTGGTCAAAATGATTCATTTTTGTATAAAGATAGGATTCCACGTTTTTCCTTAATGTTCAATTAATTCCAATTCCCTCCTCTTAAAACATCTTAGAAGTCATTAGTGACTTGCATTATACTTAACAGTCTTACTATGATAGGGATAGAAGTAGTTACATGTTTTTTGTTTGTTTGTTTGTTTGTTTTTGAGATGGAGTCTCGTTCCATCACCCTGGATGGAGTGCAGTGGCGTGATCTCGGCTCACTGCAAGCTCTGCCTCCCGGGTTCACACCATTCTCCTGCCTCAGCCTCCCCAATAGCTGAGACTACAGGTGCCCGCCACCATGCCCAGCTAGTTTTTGTGTGTGTGTATTTTTAGTAGAGATGGGGTTTCACCATGTTAGCCAGGATGGTCTCGATCTGCCTGCCTTGGCCTCCCAAAGTGCTGGGATTAAAGGCGTGAGCCACCATGCCCAGCCGTTACATGTTCTTTATATCAACTAAAGAGAGTCCATATATACTTTCACCATCAGGGCCTAATTAAAATCCCCAAACACAGCAAGAAGAAGCATATTATCCCAGCTTCCCCAAAACCTATCATAAGGAGCCTGCTTTCCCTTTGCCTTCTGCCATGATTATAAGTTATCATTAAGGTAGCTCATGCTGTGTTCTCTTAAAAAGGAAAAAAAAAAAGTCCTAAAAAAGAAAGATTTGAATTTCAGAAAAAGACACAGATCGGACTGTGGAATATAAGGTTCTAAACAGAATAAACTAATATCTATTTCATTAGATTCAATTGTTAAATAATTTCTAGCTGGGCGTGGTGGCTCACACTTGTAATCCCAG
This sequence comes from Homo sapiens, assembly GCF_000001405.40. Lineage (NCBI taxonomy): Eukaryota > Metazoa > Chordata > Mammalia > Primates > Hominidae > Homo > Homo sapiens. The sequence continues at coordinate 125,593,342 of NC_000004.12, forward strand.
AATTTTGGGAGGCTGAGGTGGGTGGATCACAAGGTCAAGAGATCAAGACCATCTTGGCCAACATGGTGAAACCCTGTCTCTACTAAAAATACAAAAATTAGCTGGGCATGGTGGTACACGCCTGTAGTCCCAGCTGCTCGGGAGGCTGAGGCAGGAGAACAGCTTGAACCCGAGAGGTGGAGGTTGAAATGAGCTGAAATCATGCCACTGCACTCCAGCCTGGTGACAGAGTTAGGCTCCAGCTGAAAAAAAAAAATTAAATAATTTCTTTTTTTTTATTATTATACTTTAAGTTTTAGGGTACATGTGCACAATGTGCAGGTTAGTTACATATGTATACATGTGACATGCTGGTGCGCTGCACCCACTAACTTGTCATCTAGCAAAAGGAATATAAAGCTAGGCAAAGTGAACACAACAAAATAAAACATAAACAAATAAGCAAAAGCATGAAAAAGACCTGATGAGTTAGTTCTCCTGGAAATGAATGGAGGGCAAAGAGAACAGCTGTGTCTGTAAGAGGCAATTGCAAACAATTTCAGTTCTCCCGATGGGGCAAAGCACCCAAATGACACTTAGAATAAGAAATCATTGGGAGATATACCAAATTGTTGGGAGATGTCAGTTGGGTGCTTTGCCCCATTGGGAGAACTGAAATTGTTTGCAATTGCCTCTTATAGACACAGCTGTTCTCTTTGCCCTCCATTCATTTCCAGGAGCACTAACTCGTCAGGTCTTTTTCATGCTTTCGCTTATTTGTTTATGTTTTGTTTTGTTGTGTTCACTTTGCCTAGCTTTATATTCCTTAGGCTGCCTGGTCCAAAAATCCTCCTACAATTAGGAACTTTAAATGAAAATGTTCCTTAACCCGGGTGAATCTTCAATCCTTATTTCTAATCTAATCTAGGCAACAATGAAATCATATAACTGCAACTGCCTGAAGTCATATGATTGCACTTTTTTGACCCTTAAATACATTGTAAAACTTACTCAGGATGCCTAAAAGAATTCTCCTCTGGCATGTGGCAGGAAGAGTTTTAAAAGGCCTTTGTTAGTTAACCTTTCTCTTGGGCTAAGCTTACAAGCATCCTAGTTTATAGAAAGCAAATTATCTCATGTTTAAGGCTTTGGGCCCTTTTTTTGTGGTTGTGCCGGACACATGGCATATAACTGAAGTAAACAAATGGTGAGGAAGTCTTAAGTGATATTCAAGAAAAAATGATAAAATGCCTGAGATAACAAACTTTTATGTTTGTTAACATGTCAAAATTAGATTTGAATACAATGTAATTTCTGATTTAAAAAAATTCTTTTAATGTGCGTTTAGTACCTCAGATTGGAGGTCACCTTGATAGCTTTTAAAATGTTATATAATCATCCATTAGCTAGTAATAATTCATAGAAGTTTGAATAATTAGTTTTATTGCCAAAGGATATCTGAATAAAGGAAGAAATGCACATATCCTGGGGCCTCGCGTTTGAGCTAGGTGTCACAAATCTATGCTTTTTACAAATTCCAAAAGTGAGCATTTCAAATGAAAATTATGCACAAAATTTAAGTAGAAACTTCAGACATAGAAAAGGCCAAAGTAGACAAGATCTCTTTACTATTTCATAAGTAATACTAAATTCTAAATAGCATTTTATAATTCTAAATATTAACAGTTTAACCACAAGTTTGCAAAATTACCCTAAAGATGAAGAGTGCCCCATTCAAAAAGGAAATACAATGTAGGATGCTCTCATCATGTAATTTACCTCATTTAGCCTGCAAGCCATTGTGTGCAGTAGGGAGATACATCAAAATTCTAATTTCTATATATGTAGTCAATTGAGACATTGTATTAGTCAGGGTTCTCTAGAGGGACAGAATAATGGAATATATAAAAGGGGAGTTTATTAAGTATTAACTCACACAGTCACAGGGGCCTGCAGTAGGCTGTCTGCAGGCTGAGGAGCAAGGAGAGCCAGTCCAAGTCCCAGAACTGAAGAACTTAGAGTCTGATGTTCGAGGGCAGGAAGCGTCCAGCACTGGAGAAAGATGTAGGCTGGGAGGCTAGGGCAGTCTCATTTTTCACATTTTTCTGCGTGCTTATATTCTAGCCATAGTGGCAGCTAAGATTAGATTGTGCCCACTCAGATTAAGGGTGGGTCTGCCTTTCCCAGCACACTGACTCAAATGTTAATCACCTTTGGCAACACCCTCACAGACACATCCAGGATCAATACTTTGTATCATTCAATCCAATCAAGTTGACACTCAGTATTAACTATCACAGACATTAATAACTTGCCCAAGGCTGTGCAGTTGTCAAGTTACTGAACTATCTTGTCAGACCTGGGCCTATCCAATTCCAGAGTACATTCTACATTTTTATTTTGTGGAAGGTAAAACAAAATGTGAAAATATATTAATTTTCAATATGCTTTTACTTGTGATATTGTCAATAATAAACAGGACTGGCTACAGTGCTACATGGAGAAACAGGGGCTTTGGATGAGAAAATCCATCTTTGCACCCTTGTTGTCATTTTCTAGCTGTGTACTTTTTCATTGATTTCACAAATATTTATGTAGCACCTACTATGTACCTGACACTTTTCCAAATGGTAAAGATATATCAAAACAGAACAAAACAGAAAACTTCAATAGGTATGCATTCCAGAAAGATGGGGGTGGGAGATAGGGGTGAATGCTATCCAGGCCAAGAAAAGAGTAAATGCAGAGACTTTGAGGTTGGATGAAGCCCATTGTTTCAGGGTCTGGAAACAGTATACTAGCTGGTAAAAAATATACTAGGCTGTGGCTGTCACTGGCAGGAAATATTTAACTTTTTATTTGACATCTCAGTAGATGGCCAGTGGAAAGTCAGAACAACATAGTGGTTAAGAGTTTGGCTTCTGGCATTCAATGGAAAGATTTGGTATTGATTGATATATTTACTAACTCTGTGTCATTTATGAAATTTTTTAACTTTTCCCTAAGTCTCAGATAATTCTTGTGTAATGTAAGGATAATAAAGTGACGGCCTCATAGAGGTGACATGAGTGCAGAAGGGGATTAGCTGTATAAAAGTTCTATTTTTTTCACATGTTCTGGCATGCGGTGAATGTTTATTGAATAATAAACTTAATGAACTATGTGCACACATCAAAAATTATGCAACATTTCTGAGAGAATTCAAGAAGATCCAAGTAAATGGAGAGAGATATATGTCTGTGGATTAGAAGAATAAATATTGTTAAAATGTTAATTTTATAAAATTTGATGTAAAGGTTTGACAATCTCAATCCAAATCTCAGCAAGAATTTTTTTGAATGAAAATCAACAAACTGATTTTAATATTTTAATATGAAAATCCAAAGGACTGGGAATAACCAAAACTGTTTTTTAAAAAGATTAAAGTTGGAGGATATGTTCTACCTAATTACAAGAGTTAGTATAAAGCTATAGTGAATGAGACAGTGTAGTTGTGAGTTAAAATTAGACAAGTGATCAAAGGAAAATAATAAAGCAACCAGAAATAGATCCACACATATATGGTCAACTGATTTTCACGAGGATGCAAGGCTTCTTTTTACAAAGGATGCTGGAACAATTGAATATCTTTATGCAAAATTAAATTTGAAGGTTACTTCACATCTTACAGAAAAACTAACTCAAAATCGATGATAGATCCAAAAGTTACAGCTAAAATTAGAAAACTTTTAGAAGAAAACAGAAGAAAAATCTTTGCAATCTTGGGTTCTGGATAGATTTCTTGGCTAGGACCCCAAAATTATATAATATCCTAAAATAAATTGGTAAATTGGACCTCATACATATTAAAATATAATAGAGAAAAGTCTTGCTATGTTGCCCAGACTTCTCTCACACTCGGGGCCTCAAGTGATTCTCCTGTCTTGGCCTCCCAAAATCTTTTGCTCTTCCAGAGATGCTGTTAAGAAAATGAATAGGCAAATCACAGACTAGGCAAAAAGTATATCAGACTAAAAAATTGGATTCAAAATCTATGCAATATTTTTACAATTTAAGACAAGAGACAACTTGATAAACAGATGGTGTAAGATTGACATCAAAAAGGCTGGAGGGACACTTTAGGGTAAGAGAAATGTTCTATATTATGATTGCAGTGATGGTTTCACCACATCTACATATATCAGCCAAAATTATTAAAATTGTATGTTTAAATTGCTAAGTATTATTATATTATATTTTAACTGTTTCAACTGTTAAGCAAAAAGAAAAACAACATTGTCCATGGGTTGTTACTGTTGACACTGAGTGGTGATGGGCATGTGGAAATTCACCATATTATTTTTTCTATGTTTCTGTATTAAAAAGTCAAAGATTATATGTTGTTAAATGGCATGTAGGAAAGTTATATGATTCTGCCAGAATATATAACATTACAAATCCAACTTAAACTGAAGGGCGTGGTGCTGAAGGAACACTCTATGTGAAGAATGAATTGGAGTTAACTAAATGAAAAGGCATGCTGGGGTATTAGAGGAGAAATTATTTCAGCACGAGGCATAGATTTTTAGCAGGATTGAGAATAGCATAATTGAGGGACACTTATAAGACTTGTATGGTTAAAGTTCCCAAAGTAAATTTTGTTATAAAAGTTTCAAATAGATTTTATTATTGAAAGAGTCAAGGAATAAATTTCAGGTGACATATCATGATACAAAGAGTGGAGAGGAAGCCAGTCTCCTTAGTCTGAAGAGGATATAAAATCAGTGTCCTCAGCCTTTTTGACTTTAAATCTGATAGAATAATTTAAAAAAACCTTTAAATTAAAAAAACAAGCAAAATTTAATAGAATCAAAGGATAATTCAAGAACTGAAAAATTACAGGTTTAAATTACAAATAAAATCATGCAAGTATTGATGCATTTAGCTTCTCCCTAGATAAAATGTGAAGTTGAAGTTAATTTTCAAGGAGGAGGATAGTAGAGTCTTCAAAAGGGTCCTTTATTAAAAAGAGAAAACAATTTTACAACTTCCTCCTACTGACTTTTGAAGAAATTTCTTTTCAGGCAAATAGACAGCTACCAGTGAGTCTCATAGGTTTAGGGAAAGAGGAAAGACATCTACCCTCCACTCTACACTTCAGGCTTAAGGCTCTGCACATTGAGGAAGAAAACCAAGACAGACTCTTATTAACTGGTTACAGCCACATTCTTCAGCAGGTGATCAGCAAGGACAGAGAAGAGGGCCAAGTCAGTTTTCCCTCTTTCCCCATGTTAAAGGTTAGCGTACATGGTACACTAACCAGTGCAATCAGGGACCTTTACTTTCTTATAGACTTCAGCCTCCATCCCCTATTTGGTTGGGCACCGAGGGAAATCATCCCAAAATATGTATATTTTTGGTCAATTTTTCCTTTTTGTATCTCTAGTGCCTAGATAAGTACCTGGTATATATCAGGTACCAATGAATATTTGTTGGATACATGAATAAAATCCTTAACCTGAAATAATTATTACATTTAACTCGTGTACAGAAGACACTGAACCACGTTTCACCCCTCATTATAATCTCTTATCTTCTCAGTAGCATTTTTCCTATTCTAAATCACTTCTAACATGAATCTACTTAATAAAGCTCCATTTGAATTATTTTATACATTCTTGAAGGAAAGCGGCTCACATCTCTGCTCCCTATGCATTGCTACAGTTTACTCATGTGCGTGTTTCCATAACATTGCACTCTGGATTTTTCTAAAACAAAATGTTAATGTACTTTTAACTAAAATATTTCCAGCCCATACATAGCAATTAATAGATATTAGTTTCACTATAGCCAAGGCAGTTTCTAGATCCATTCATATTATTTAGTTAAAAAGTTATAAAATGCATAAAAATGGTAAAGTTTTCATTTTCTTTGAACATCACGTATGTTTTAGTATAGTGTCATATGACAGGGCTGACAGAAAAATGTTGGAGGATTGAATAACTTTGAGCACTGTATAAAAATGTCAGTCTGAGAGGAAAATATTATAGACCCTTTCCAAATGAAAATGGGTTGTGATTTAGGGAAATATCCAGTTTTTATTATTTTCTGGCATCAGAGGCTAATGTAATAACTGTTATAAACTACAGAGAGTTGGGATAACTGGCTTGGCTTTGGAGCCAGCAGTCATTACTCAGTATCATGTCGTCTAAATCTTTGGGACTATGAAAACCTGAGGCTTTTCCCTATTGTCCAAGGAAGTCTGTGTGGGGTCTGGAAATTGCCCACTTTTCTATAAGCCTTTACCGTCCTCCCTTTTTCTCCCCTCCAGGCAACCCTCATGCTATTTTTTTTTAAACTTTGTGTTTTCCTGTCTTTAGTCTCACTCCCTGCCCCACTGTCTATTCACTTGTCACATAGGGCATTACACAGAGGATCCACAAACTGTTATTTTCTGTAAAAAGATAAAGCACAGGAGGTCTGGAGAATAAACAAAGTCATTTTTGAGTGGTCTTTTAATTCACTTATACTAATTTCACTTGATAAAAGGAACTCCCACCCTTTGCTTCTGGAACAAGTCTTTCATCTTTTATCTCTGAATTCTCTATGGCCAGATAAACTATATATACCATTGCAGTACATTTCATTTCCTTCCTTTAATTTCCTCAGCACTAATTTTTTTTTGAAGATTTGACATTGGTCAGTACTCTTTAAAAAAGAATAAAAACAACATTATAATTGTGTATCTACTCACAGAGCATCTTACATGATGTGATTTCTTACTACTGTATTTTCCATGAAAGGGCTAATATAGAATCTGCCCTCTGGGTCACGGGTCTGCTGCTGTAAGGACACTGCTGTGTCTGTGGTTGTGGCTGTGACTACAGTAGTCAGAATGTGCGTTTGATCTGTGCAAGACTCTGGTTTGGTTTTATCCATAGGGAGACCAAACAATTGGATCTTAGCCTTCTAGAAGCCATTTCATGAATCCAATAATTCAAGCTTTTAAAACATAAAACTCAACTTTCACTTAATTAGAAATCTCTAAATCCTAGGATTCTTAAAGAATGTCATATGTGATGGGGCTCTTCAGTGCTAAAGATACAGTGGCCACGGTGTGTGGATGAATATTTAACAACCGGCTCTTAGGGGAGGGGAAGCCCCAGTTATAGTATTTGCTGATTTCTGTGGTGTAAATACTCCAATTATTGTCAATTTTGAGCTACCTTGGAAACATCAATAAATGTGGAGTTGGGAATTAATGGATGCAATTTGTTCTTGGGAATGTGCCTGAGCAGTTTCAGCATCCCCTGTGAGATGAACAAAAGAATGTATTTGAATCAGGCCATAGATATTAATTTGAAATCACTACTTTAGAAAACATAAATATCAAGTGTTACGTGTTTTTGCTACTAAAAGAAAAGAAAAAGCGTTAAGTGTGCTTCAGGGTGAAATGTTTTAAATCAAATAAACTAGAAAGAGAAGTCTGGGTTGAGGAAGCAACATTTCTGGTGCAGATTTAAACACAGCCCATGTAAACAATATAACTTTTTTTTTTTTTTTTGGTATTTTCGTTTAGTAGAGACAGAGTTTCACCATGTTGGTCAGGCTGGTCTCAAACTCCTGACCTCAAATGATCCACCCACCTCAGCCTCCCAAAGTGCTGGAATTACAGGTATGAGCCACCGCACCCGGCCTAAAAAATATGATTTGTTCGTAGTTTCTGTAACTCAACTTATTTTTTTTCTCCTCCATTCTTTTGTGGTGCTGGTAACAATCCTCAATCAATTTGGAATCAATTGTTTTTCTCAAGTTGCATATAATATTAGGGAGGCTTATGTCATAGTAAACCATTAGCAAGCAGTAAGCCATCCTTGTCAGTGCTATGTGTCCACTTTGGCATCTGCTGAGATGGTTATAGAACACTGATAGTCATTGATCCATGCAGTAGATATGTCCTCTCTTCCTAACTATATGACTTCCAAGTCTTCTCAGTTATAACTCACTATTTTCTTGACATTGAGAGAACATGGTAGGGGATCTGTTGCTCCCACATCTTTCTGTTGTAATAGGAACTAAGGCTGAACTTGTCTAGATACAGCATTTACACACTTCTATCATAGGATGATTCATTATCACCCTCTACTCTCAGGGACCCACAAACTTATATATGCGTGCTGCTCTTTCCTGAAGTTTTCATTCCAAGTACTGGAGAGCAGACTTCTCCTTCCTTGAGACCCACCTTTATCCACATAATCAAAATTTCTCTTCCAACTATTTCTCAACCTCTACCACTATTAGCTTGGGGCACCTGTCTTGTGTCCTAGACTGAATGATGGCACAAAGAAAGCCTCAGTTTAATTCATGATGCTTTATTTCAAATTGTTTTCTAGGTTGTGAGCATTTTGTTTTCCTTTAAAGGTTTAGCCTTCTGGAATTCTAGAGTTGGGGAGAGAGTCCTCCATTTTCTCCTTGATAGTTTTACTTTCCTCTTTAAGTAGAAGAGCACTAAATGGTCTAGCATTTAAATTTAGGGAAGGGAGGATGAGGGAAAGGAAATATCAGGGAAAAAAACTTCCTTAATATCACAGAAATAGCATACCATGCTGGATTTATTGGAGCATTAATTTTTTTGTATTTTTATTAAATGTTTCTGCTACAAATATAGAAGAGCTAGTGGCCTAACCACAAACATGTTTTTTCTTCACTATTAGATTCTGAGAAACATTGAAATTATAAACAAAATTAAAATTTGAAAGAACCCATGAGAAGAAGATTTAAATTACTGAGGAAATCCAGGGGAGTTTAATACCACAGCAGCCAACAATATAATGAATTGAGCTAATAAACTGTGATTCCCAGTACAAACACCTAGAAAGATTGCATTTTTAACAAACGCACAATCTCAGAAGTCCCCAGAAGCCAAAAATAAAGAGGCAACTTAAACTTTGGGCAATAATCTTGAAGTAAGTTTGCAATATGCTTTTGAATGAATAGAGTAGAGGCTGAAAGGGCATCAGAGCAGAGATGAGACCTTAGAGCTAGGGCCTGAGATAGTAATGTCTGTGCTGGAAACTGAAACATGGGATATGGCTTCCAGGCACAAAAATAAAAAAAAAAAAACAGAACTGTTATCACTGCATAAAGCTGGAAACTGCCACCATCCCAGGACAATGAAATATAGACTTTTTATATACATGAATTATCTATCAATCAATCAATATCAATAATCTATCTATTTCATAAAAATTCCAAACCCCTAGGGCCCGTTTGTGACATGTAGTATGAATTCAGAGTTAACATTGTCTGTATACAGAAGAAATAAATAAGCCAAGGAGTGAACAGAAATTTGAGACTGATGAAAAGACAACACAATATTCCTCGTAGGAAACAATTTTCTCTCCCTTGTCCTGTGCTATTTTTTCTTCATGCAATTCTTGCCAATTGACACAGTGTTTGATTTTATATTTGTCTATTATATTTTCTGTCTCCTCAAATAACAATGTAATCTACTGGAAATCAGAAGCTTGTTTTATCCTCATCCTAGAGGAAAGGGCCTGGTATGCAGTAAATAGATGTCCATTAAGCTTTTGGCAGCCACAGTATCGTAACTGTGCATACTGCACAGGATTTTTATTCTGATAATTGCAATAATAAAGAGATTTTAAATTCATTTCTTAAGAGTCTCTTTTAAAAGAATTAACAGTTAATAAAAGCAGATATGGAAAGTGATTTTTAAAATGTTCTAAAATTACACATACACACTCACATTCACACACACGCATATTATTTGGATTAAAAGCATCATCCAACACGATGAGAGCATTATTATAAACCCATTTGCTATGTCTTTGAGGTTACAGATGGAAAGATATGTAAATCACACAATGCAGTTATACATGAGGGGCCAATAATGTGGGCTCTGGAATCATACTCTAGAGCTTCAATTGAGCAAATGTTCATTAATGCTTTTTAACACAAGCTAAGAGAGACAGACAAAGATGCGGCGGAGCGGGGGAAGAATTGCAATAGATTGCAATAGAGGGAGGAAGAGGAAAAGAGAGAGATGCAAGAGAGAGGGGAAAAGGAAAGGAGAAAGGGAAGAAGGCAGGAAGGGAGGAAGACAATGATAGAGAAAATGGAAGGAATGGAGGGAAGAGAGTCTTAACATTAAGGGGACAGCTGTTTTCAACGTTCTCTGCCAATGGTCAGTGATTCTCCATAGCAGAGAAGAAGATTTAACAGTTTGCTTCAATTTTAGCTTTTTAAAAGTAAATGTCCTCAGTTTTAACATCGGTTTTCCAATGACTCTTGTTTTTCCTTTGCCCTTTGTATTTTCCAATATGCTATCCTTTAGCACAGTCTTCTAACCTTTCAGTCGTGGAGTTCCTGTTCAACTCTCCTTCACTTTAACAGTATGTATTTGTATGGATGTGTGTTTGTGCGAGTCTACCTGATTCCCTGAATACAAGGAAATCGAAGAAAATTGAATGATAGGTCTCTTTTCTTTTATTAATATAAACTCTTTTATTGTATGCATATTTTAATATAATCTCCTAGCTATTTTCATTGGAAAGAGATAGGCCAAAAATATACACTTTTAGGAAAGAGATAGACCAAAAATATACATTTTTTTAGCGTGTATATATTTCAAAATCCCATTTAGATTATCGTTTGGCATACCTACCAAGGACAGCATGAGTGCACACAGTGCTGTGATTATGCCTTTTGTCAAAATGTGGGTGAAGAGTGTGGCTTGAATCTGTAGCAGAAAATATGTTTATTAAATCCATTAATCCAACCATTCTCTATATGTTTAGCCTCAGGATAATTTCTTTGATTAGTTTATCTCCATGGATTTGAACTTTGAGAATAGAAAAGATTTCTGAGCTTTGGCCCTGGCACAAGATGCAAGATATGTGATATTTGAATAGAATTATCAAATATGATTCATCAAATAGAGCTCCTTATAAAGTAAAATTATTTAAGAAACACTCAGAATATAGTGGAGAAATTCTAACAAAAGAATAATTTGTGATATTATACAGTGTTTAGTTTGAAATTGCTAAATATAGTATACGTGCATATATATATTTGATAGTATTATTGTTAAGCTTAAACACTGATATCTTATTTAAATATTTAAAATCAGAAGGAACAAATGAAATATAAATAATAGATGAGAATAATGTTTTTACATTCTTCAAAATGCTAGCGTTTGTTACCAAGCAATAAATAAATAATTGGAAACAAAACTATCCATTTGAAATATTAATTTTTAGGAACTATCCTACAATATATTCCATACTAATTTGAAAGTTTAACCTTGAGACTACCTCCCTAATGTGCAGAGCTTCCTCTAGCATTTTATAAATAGTTATTTATGCCACTATAATTGAAACTTCAATAAATTTTTAATACTATCAATGTGTTATATTCCTTCATTTAAATATTCGTCATCTTGTATACAGTGGTAACCACTGACTAGGTAAATAGCTAAAGAAACAGTCAATGAGTGGTACTAGGCCATCTTTTAAAACAGAATTCTTACCATGCCTCTAAATGGTCCCAGTATATTGAAGAGTTTTTCATAAAAGCCCCACCAGCACCACTAGTTCACTTGGTATGTGTCCTAGAAATTGAATATTTTGACAGTCTTTGAAGATAGAGAGGTGTGGTCGTTTTCTAGACATGAAAGTAAAAGGAAGAGATTTTAAAGCTGTTATATAATAATTGTATTTTTATAACTATTTGTAGAGTTTTTTCCCCAATTTGTAGAAAGGCTATTTTTTTTCTCTTTTTGCTTTCCAAAATTTAATATCTTTGTTAATTAGAATGACTAGATACGTTAAACTAGTTTCCTGACTTCTTAGGTTCCACAAAGGCTGATTTGTAGGAGTGAATCTTCTCAAACAACAGAGGGGTTTTTTGGGGTTTCTTTTTGTGTATGAATTTGGAACTTGCCTCAGGACATCCATTCACTTACTCACTCAATAATTCACTGAGTAGATGTTTATCACCCATCATGTTGTCTGACAGGCCAAGGGATACTATTTAAGAATACAAAGATGGACAGCAGAGGACTCCTAACTTTATGAAGACAATACTGTAGCGATAGACAAACATGTTATCTGCTCATTTTGTTCCTGTGTGTTTTAATGTGGATGCATAGAATACTTAACCAAATATGTAAGTTTAACTTTTGCTAACCACAAATTTTTTTATTTTATTTTAATTTCTGGGGTACATGTGCAGGATGTGCAGGTTTGTTATGTAGGTAAACATGTGCCATGGTGGTTTGTTGCACCTGTAAACCCATCACCTAGGTATTGAGCCCAGCATGCATTAACTATTTTTCCTGATTCTCTCCTTCCCCTTACATCCTGCCAGCAGGCCCCAGTGTGTGTTGTTCTCCTCCCTGTGTCCATATAGTCTCATTGTTCAGCTCCCACTTATAAATGAGAACATGGAATATGCAGTGTTTGGTTTTCTGTTCCTGCATTAGTTTGCTGAGGATAATGACCTCCAGCTCCATCCATGTCCCTGAAAAAGACATTATCTCATTCCTGCATAGTATTCCATGGTGTATATATGTCATATTTTCTTTATCCAATCTATCTTTGATGGACATTTGTGTTGATTCCATGTCTTTGCTATTGTGACTAGTGCTGAAATGAATATATACGTGCATGTGTCATTATAATAGAATGATTTATATTCGTTTGGGTATGTATCCAGTAATGGGATTGCTGGGTCAAATGGAATTTCTGTTTCTAGGTCTTTAAGGAATCTCCACCCTGTCTTCCACAATGGTTGAACTAATTTACATTCCCAACAGTGCAGCCTCACTAGCATCTGTTGTTTCTTGACTTTTTAATAATTGCCATTCTGAGTGACATGAGATGGTATCTCATTGTGGTTTTGATTTGCATTTCTCTAATGATCAGTGATGTTAAGCTTTTTTTCATGTTTGTTGGTTGCATAAATATCTTCTTTTGAGAAGTGTCTATTCATGTCCTTTGCCCACTTGAACTCAGTTCTAACCACAAATCTTAAACAAAGATTAAGATCAGGAACGTCAATATATTTTGGAAGAGCTTTCATAAGAAAAAAAGTGGAATAAATTTAGAGAAACAAATTAGAATATTACCCAAAATACACAAGTTCAGAAATGCTGAAAAATGACAGATATTTCCAAAATAAAACCTAGTAACATAAGAAATTGGAGGCAGATCACAGAGGAATGGAGGAACCAGAAAAAATTTCTAAATTATTGATGCAAATATAAGCTGAAATTGTTTCTCGACCTCTTAGCTAGGAAACCAAACTTGGAGTAAATGCTAGGCTGAAAATTTTACTTATCTTTTCAGATGGAAAGTGTAGATAAGAGACCTGAAAACTTCAGCAGTTCTTGAAAATTAGCTGGCCCGGGCTAAAGAATAGTTTATGTAAGTTTTCTGAGTTTGCTCCACTAGATTCAAATACTTTAATCAAATTAAAATGACCTGCCAAAATTGGTGGAAAAGTACTTAGGCAAGTCTTGAGAGGTAGTTTCTTCCATTTTTTAGCAGACAAGACACCTAAGGGTTTTCATGGGAAAGTAGGACACTTGGTCTTACACTATGAGGGTCTCATAGCTCTGAGGCTACACTTTCCTACTAGCAAATGCTAGTGTTCCATAGTGTGGAGCACTGCTGCTGTTATCTTCTCAAATGAAACCTTAGCTTCTCTTTAATGTGCCTAGTATCAAGAACTATCCTACAACTACCCACCCCACTGCTTCCCATCCACTGCATGCAGGATGGACCTCTTCCATGCAAAACCTCACAAATACCTGTCTCCTAGTCAGTTCTAGAAGCTGCCTTTAGAAACAGGTCTAGCAGCCGCTTTCATGAAACTACTGCACCCCTCTCCCAATAGTCCAATTTTTTTGTCAGGAGCCTAGCTCTTGGGAAATATAAGCTTCAGCTCTCCCCCACAGGAAGAATATCCTCAGGCTTCCTGGAGCTAAGCCCTACTGGCTCTCTTTAAAGGGGAAAGAGAAAAAAGTATCTCATTCTTTCTTATTTAGAAAACACAATTAAATTATCCTCCCAGAGAGTTATGGGCAGGCCACTTAGTTAACCTAATTTCTCCCTCTTAGGTAACATTTTTTCTTTTTACAATAAAAGCTAAGGATAAATAGTAAATTTTCAATACTTAGAGGCAAGTTGAAAGTTGTGTTATGACTTTGGAATATAGAAGTTAGAACACCAAACACAAAAAAGGGAAGAATAACAAAAACAAGTAGCCGAAATGACTTTCGAAATGTTTTAAGAAAAATATGACTATGAAATTCAGTTTTTCCAAGGACAGTTTTCTGAACAAAAGTTTACCAGACATTATAATCCTTAAGGGCTATTTGTTGTTTGATTTCAGTATCAGAGTGTTGCTGCTGTTTCACACCAATGTCATGTGATTATACTGAGAAAGCTATGTAGTAGGTCGCTACGAAAGTGATCAGTAGCTTATGTGTTGAATATTTCTCAATAGATTTAGAATTTTTACTTTTCATCTAAAAGGAAACCTGTTGCAATCCAAAGAGGTCACAGTTGAAAGACCAGATCATTCAGTTTTTACATATTATTTTTGTTTCGTTAGAAAATTGTAAATAATCATTATGCTGACGATATTGTTTTGATCAATTGAGGTGTTTTGTTTTTTAGAACAGAAAAGTGTCAAGTAGAAAATGTTCCATTTCTTTTTCTTATTGCCTTTACAAAATCACTCAACCAAATCAAGTAATTGAAAAAATGGCACTCTTTTTATGTGAACCAAAACTTCTTCACATACACAGAAACAAATGCTAAATTCCATTTTAATCAGGGCAGATCAGCTTACTTGGATGGATTACTATCAAAGTGATCTCTGAGGGTACTAATAATTTGATTCTGTTATTAAATTTGTAGGGTTGTTCCCCTATATTTCATTGCTAAACTTCACATATATTTGTGTTATGATCTTATAAATCACAGAACAATCACAGTTTAAAAGAAGAAACCAACAACAAAGCAAAAAATATGTGCTACTTCATCTATATAATATTTTATTCTTATATGTTTAAACCAAAAAAATCCAGGAATGAATGGCTCCCAAAGGATACTGGTTGACCAATATGTTTTGAATTTTGGGGTGAAGATCTCCTCTTCTAAATGTAGAGTTGGCTTCACAAATAGAGGATTCAGTTTTGTCTTTGCCTCTGCTGGTGTTCCCAACATCTCTTCTGTGAATCAGTTATATTTAGTGATTCCTATTTCTATGGTGACAAGAAATGGCTGACAGTAAATATAAAGAAGCTAAATATTTTCCTTATCCACATTTTATCTTCTCATGTAATAACTTATTTTTTACAACATGTTGATATATTGAGAAATGTTTTAGGGATTAAATTTCTACATATTTGTATTAAAAGTTTAGTATACGTTTTTAAAATGACTTTAGATAATCTACCTCTATTTACAGTTCAGAATTTAATCATCCATTAAAATATATTTAAAAAGTATTCATTATAAGTAGATGCCTTGTTACAGTCTGCAAATTTAGGGACTGTGAAGGAATGTAATTGCAAGGTTCTTACTCCTATCTACTGGGATGTATGTCTTCATGGATTCAGCCGGAGTTGATGTCTAGTTAGAGAAGCTGTTCTGGGGGATGTTTGGAAACTCTGGACACAAGAGTGTGGCTTCATAATCCAAGGACAGCTGTGGCATGAAATTACATAGAAGTCTATCCCCTTCCCCACCTCCACACAAGACTTACATCTCCTCTGGAATGCTAATTAATTACCGAGAATAATTTGGGGCATCTGGAGACAATAATCTGACATGGATGCTAAGATTCTTTTAAGAGGCCCTGTTAATAATATCAATGTGGAAATTTCTTCAGGTGTTGTGGACAGTAGTTGAGAAATTGATACAAGAGAAGAAAAACATGATGGATATGCCTTGTGATAACTGTGGCAAAGCTCCCCTTAGAGGACTCCCTTGGTGGACGTTCTTTATATGGAAGCTTTGTAGAAGATACTATGGATAATCTATCACAATCAAGTGGATCCATTGTATAAACTAGTTGTCTATATTAATGTAACTATATTTGTTTCAACATATGAGAAAGGCCCAATGATAGATATACACAGCCTACTTACATGTGAACATGAGATGATCTCTTATAGATAATTTCAGTTTTTAAGTGAACTAGCAATTCTATTATTTTCGCCAACTATATATCTACAACCACTATAATATGAATCACTTTTTGGTCAATTTATCTAGGATTTTGCAAGAGAGCTCAACATTAAATGGAGGACATACTGATTCTATCACAAGCTTGATTGGTTCAATGCTCAATTTAATTTAACCCGCTGCTAGACTGAACTTCCACTGGAATGTCACCCCCATGAGAGCAGCACCTGGTTTGTATTGTTCACCACTACCATACCTTTAGTATAGAAGACAAAACTAGATACAGAGTAAGCATGCAGTGAATATTTTTGGAATGAAGGAATGGGTTTTCTTTGACCATAGTTTATCTAAGATTTATTTCAGAACAAAGGTGTTTATTTATTTATTAATAAAAGATAAGTATTATCTCTCAATTCTTTGGCCCCTCACTTGCAAGATCTTGTCCTTCCTAATCCAGCTGATATGGTTTGGCTCTGTGTCCCCACCCAAATCTCATCCTGAATTGTACTCCCATAATTCCCGTGTGTTGTGGGTGGGACCCGGTGTGAGATAATTTGAATCATGGAGGTGGTTTCCCCACACTGTTCTCATGGTAGTGAATAAGTCTCACAAGATCTGATGGTTTTATCAGGTATTTCCGCTTTTTCATCTTCCACATTTTTCTCTTGCCACTGCCACGTAAGAAGTGTTGTTTGTGTCCCGCTATGATTCTGAGGCCTCCCTAACCATGTGGAACTGTAAGCCCAATTAAATCTCTTTTTCTTCCCAGTCTCGGTTATGTCTTTATCAGCAGTGCAAAAACAGACTAATACAGTAAATTGGTACCAGTAAAGTGGGGCGTTGCTGAAAAGATACCCGAAAATGTGGAAGCGACTTTGGCACTGGGTAACAGGCAGAGGTTGGAACAGTTTTGAAGGCCCAGAAGAAGACAGGGAGATGTGGGAAAGTTTGGAACTTCTTAGAGACTTGTTGAATGTCTTTGACCAAAAGGCTGATAGTGATATGGACAATAAGGTCCAGGCTAAGGTGGTCACAGATGAAGATGAGGAACTAGTTGCGACTGGAGCAAACATGACTCTTGTTATGTTTTAGCAAAGAGACTGGTGACATTTTGCCCCTGCCCTAGAAATTTGTGGAACTTTGAACTTGAGAGAGATGATTCAAGGTATCTGGCAGAACAAATTTCTAAGCAGCAAAGCATTCAAGAGGTGACTTGGATGCTGCTAAAGGCATTCAGCTTTATAAGGAAAGAGGAGCATAAAAGTTCAGAAAATCTGCAGCCTGACAATGCGATAGAAAAGAAAATCCCATTTTCTGAGGAGAAATTAATTGGTTGCAGGAATTTGTGTAACTAACAAGGATGTTAATCCTCAAGACAATGGGGAAAATGTCTGCAGGACGTGTCATAGGTCTTCATGGCAGCTCTTCCCATCACAGACCTGGAAACCTAGGAGGAAAAAGTGGTTTTGTGGGCTGGACCCAGGGTCCCTGTGCTGTGTGCAGCCAGAGTCTTGGTGCCCTGCGTCCACTCAAGCCACTCCAGCCATTGCAAAAGGGGGCCTAGGTACAGCTCAGCCCATGGTTTCAGAGGGTGCAATCCCCAAACCTTGGCAGCTTCCATGTGGTGTTAAGCCTGAGGGTGCATAGAATTCAAGAATTGAGGTTTGGGAATCTCTGCCTAGATTTCAGAAGATGAAACACCTGGATGCCCAGGCAGAAGTTTGCTGCAGGAGCAGGGCTGTCATGGATAACCTGTGCTAGGGCAGTGCGGAAGGGAAATGTAGGGTTGAAGCCCCACACAGAATCCCTACTAGGACACTGCTTAGTGGAGCTATGAGAAGAGGACCACCTTCTTCCAGACCCCAGAATGGTAGATCCACCGACAGCGTGAACCATGTGCCTGGAAAAGCTGCAGACACTCAATGCCTGCCCATGAAAGCAGCCAAGAGGGGGCTATACCCTGCAAAGCCACAGAGGTGGAGTTGCCCAAGACTATGGAAACCCACCCCTTGCATCAGTGTTACCTGGATGTGAGACCTGGAGTCAAAGGAGATCATTTTGTAGCTTTAAAATTTGACTGCCCCGCTGGATTTCGGACTTGCATGGGCCTTGTAACCCCTTTATATTTTGCCAATTGGAATTGATGTATTTACCCAATACCTGTACCTCCATTTTATCTAGGAAGTAACTAGCCTACTTTTGATTTTACAGGCTCATAGGTGGAAAGAACTTGCCTTGTCTCAGATGAGACATTGGACTGTGGACTTTTGAGTTAATGCTGAAATGAGTTAAGACTTCGGGGGACTGTTGGAAAGGCATGATTGGTTTTGAAATGTGAGGTCATGAGATTTAGAGGGGCCAGGAGTGGAATGATATGGTTTGGCTCTGTATCTCCACCCAAATCTCATCTTGAATTGTACTCCCATAATTTCCATGTGTTGTGGGAGGGACCTGGTGGGAGATAATATGAATCCTGGGGGCGGTTTCCCCCATACTGTTCTCATGGTAGTGAATAAGTCTCACGAGATCTGATGGTTTTATCAGGGGTTTCCGCTTTTGCATCTTCTTCATTTTTCTCTTGCTGCTGGCATGTAAGAGGTGCCTTTTGCCTCCCACTATGATTCTGAGGCCTCTGCAGCCATGTAAGTCCAATTAAACCTCTTTTTCTTCCCAGTCTCAGGTATGTCTTTCTCAGCTGCATGAAAACAGACTAATACACTAGCCGTACACTCTCATCATCATACACTTTAACTACATCTTCCCTAAACCCTCGATATCTAGCATCTGCTCTTCATGTACTACCTCTAAACCTTCAAGTTTATTTCTTCCAACAATTTGTTAACCCAATAGGGACTTCCCATTCAATTTTTCCACCGTCTTTCCCTGTTTGTCCCTCACAAAAGGGGTGACTAAGGGTATTATATAAAGGCATTAGAGTAATTGTAACTGTCATAATTGCAAAAATGACCCTGCCTCTTCATCCTTCCCATTGACCTTCACACTATATTTCTGGACTTAACCATGTTATTTCTTTTGGCTCATGGGGAGGTCACAATTATATTCAGAGATTTGAAAAAGTACTTGCCTGTTGCTTTTTAGACTCTTGCAATTCTGCTTTTTCCATAAATTGTCTGGTCTCACCTTATGGAGAAATGTAAGACAGAGATGGAGAAGAGCTAAGTTGTCCCAGCCAACGGCCAGCATAGCCCCAGATGTATGAGCAAGTCTAGCTTTAACCAGAGGAACCATGCAGCCTAAATCACTGACCCATATATTCATGAACTAAATTAATATTTATTGTTTTAAACATTAAATTAGGAGTGATTTTTAAAATCCAGCTTAATTGTGGCATTAAAACCAATACTGCAAATATTTAAAAAATACAAACCTTTATAAATGCCAAAAGATATACTGATTACACACTGCTAAGGTTTGAATGTTTGTGCCCTCCAAAACCAATATTGAAACATAATCTCTGATATGGCAATATAGAAAGGCGGGATCTTTAAGAAGTGCCTCGGTCGTGAGGGCTCTGCCCTCATCAATAAAGTAATCTATACCTAAATTAATAGATTAATGAGTTAATGAATTAATGGATCATCCCAAGAGTGAGACTGGTGGCTTTCTTGGAAGTAGAAGAGGGACTTGAACTAGCGCACTCAGCCTCCTCACATGTAATGCCCTGCCTGGACTCAGGACCCTATAGAGGGTACGTACCAGTAAGAAGTCCTTCTTGAGATGCACCCCCTTGTCCTTGGACTTTTCAGACTCTAGAACTATTAGAAAAACCCTGTTTTTTTAAAAATAAATTACCCAGATTCAGATATTCTGTTATAAACAACATAAATGGACTAAAGCATACCCACATACACATACACACACAGAGAGAAAGAGAAAATATGAAACAAGCTACATAAATGAAAATCTATGTGGATGTGTATAACATAAAAATATTAAATGACTGAGGCCAAAGTTATTCATATGAACAGTTGTACTACAGCTTGTATTACCTATTGATAGAAAAAGAATTTCAAATTGCCTAACAAAGCCAAAGTCAGTATTCTGCTACATTCACAAGACAGACCTGAAACAGATTAAGGGGTGACCAACTATACAATATATTTATCTCGTTATTGTTCTAAGCAAGCATATGAAAGTCTCTAAGAAGTCCTGATAAACAAATAGACAAACAAAACCTCTCAAATATTGTTTAACCCAGAATTCCCATATTTATTTGGCCACTCCTCCCTGCACACATACCCTTGTTTTTTGGCACCTATGATCATCTAAATCTAGTGGTTGGAATACTCTTTGGGAAGTTCTTTCTCGGATTTATCATCCAATTCATATGTGCTTTTGTTCCCAACATCCCTTCTGCTTGTCACCTGCATTCTGCCTGGTCTTTGTCTGTCATGATTTATAGCTCAGTCTATGATCATCCAAGTTCTGCTATAACACAATCTTTTCTCTGATACTTTTAATAGGCAATATTTTCAAATACCCTACTTTATTCTCTTGTTTTTATTTTGCTATCAGTGAATATTCCAGTTGGATTAACTTTTCAGAATGTTCCAGTTGTGAAGTTTTATGTTTTTCTAATTTTATAAAAAAGTGTTACTTCATAGGAGCAAAATGATGCTGTAGAGAGTGCTCCCTGGAAGAACAGGAAGGATTATTTAAATAGCACAAAAACTATGCTACTACAACTAGATTTATAACTCAAGTAATTCAGGGTATGTCCTTCACTAAATTGTCTTGGAAAATTATTTTTAAAATAGCAGTAGGAAAGCTGGTACTATGTCATTCAAGAAGCTGGAGTAACACTTTGATGACTTTATAGCTTCAGCTCAAGCATGCAGACGCCTGGATCACAATATTTGAATGTCCACAGTCTCAGGAACCATGGTGATCCTTTCATAGTTTTAGGGTGATTGCTGTTCTGCAAACTGAAACGTTTAACTTGGATATTTCAGTTAGGTCCTTTTTTTTTTTTTCAAGACTTGGTGGAAAGATTTAGTAAGAGGAGAATATGGATAGAGTGGGCATATTTTCCTAAATTGGAAAAGGTGAGCATACTGCTTCTAAAAAATTTTTTTAATGTAAAAAATGAGGAAGAATATGATGGTTCCACAAAATTGAGCCATTCATGTATGCTTTATTTGCTGCCTTGTATTAGTAGTCATATTTTTGTATATGGTTTTGCACTTTCCTAACTAAACTGTAATAACCTGAGAACAAGAATCACATTTGATATGGCTTTGCATCCACCAAATGGTCCAAAGCAGAGTACAATAAATTTTAAAACAAATAGTTAATGACTGAAAGAATGAAGATGAGTTTTCAAAAATAAAGACAAATCAACTGAGTTAATATGCACCTAAGGGCCAGAGAATCATAAGACAATTATTAGGCAAAAGTTATACCAAGAAGTATATGAACAAGAGCCCAAAAGACATGAAAGTGATTAAAAAGCTATAAAAGGGGGACGCCTTTGGATCTTAACAAAAGAGGAACAATGGTAATTTCAATGAAAGTCATGTAAGTGAAGAGAGGTATAAAAGGTATGTTTAGGGTCAGGATGATGTGAGAAGGAGAAAACACACAATTGTTCAAGAATATCAAAAAAAGAGGAAAAGTAATATAAAGGATAATAAAATGAGGTTACTGAAAAGCATATAAAAATGAACTATGTCAAAAGTTGAATACTTGGTGTTATTTAAAATAAAAGAAGAAAAAACTGATAAGAAGTTGAAGTTATCTTAAGAGCTAGTTCAATTATTAGAGATTACGAAGGTAATTCAGAGTTTGTTGAGGTTTAAATTTAGTGGCTGATAGTCTACCTTTTTCTGAGACATGGTAAGAAGAAAGGCATATTTAGAATAAAAGTCTGAGTTCTTGGTCATTGTAGTAAACTTTAGTCTACAAACGATGTTGACAAGCCCATTGTAGTTAGGTAATTGAAACCAGCCATTCCCACAAATTCTTTCCTTGTTATCCCATTATACAATTGGCTTTTTCCTTAATTGAGCCGGAAATTAGAGTCATTTCTTCAAGTTAGACAAGAAAACTGAAGGCGTAATTTCCAAGGACACAATTCTAAGTTTGTGACTTCCCTTCAAAAGTATTTATGCAAAATATTATCTATTTGTTAATTTTTATATATGTTATACTCTTCTTTTCCTAAGATAATTTATTTTGGATAAAGTTGATGTGGAAATCCAGAATGAAATTAGAATGAGAAAAGATAGGAGTTGAAATATTTGAGTTGTTGATAAATAAACTTGGTGGAGCCAGAGACTAGACTCAAACATAAAATTATGATAGATGAAAGAGTCCATATGGGATTTATTGAAAATCATATTAACTACCTTATATCTATAAACATTTTAATTGTACACGGATGTAGCACATTCCACAGGCTGAGAATGATGCTGGGAAAGCATTTTCCTTACAATCTGATTGCAGAACTTCTGTGACAACACAGCGTTTTCATACTCAATCTGAAGTGAGTATATGATCATTTTTGTCTTTTCTAAAGTTATATACTTGTGTCTGGATGGAGGTAGAAATTCTACAAGAAATTTTGGAATGGATGCAAAAGGAAAGAAAACAAAAAAATTAAAATATCATTTAAAAATAATTCAGGACTCCATATTCTGGTACTGATTGTATTTTTTTAATTCATGATTCTATTTTTTTGTACATATTATTATATCATCCCAGTATTAAGCTCAGTACCCAATAGTTACCTTTTCTGCTTCTCTCCCTCTTCCCAACCTCCCCCATCAAGTAGACCCCAGCGTCTGTTGTTTCCTTCTTTGCATTCGAAAGTTCTCATCATTTATCCCCCACTTACAAAGGACAACTTGCTATATTTGGTTTTCTGCTCCTGTGCTAGTTTCCTAAGGATGACAGCCTCCAGCTCCATCCATGTTCCCGCAAAAGACATGATCTTGTTCTGTTTTATGGCTGCATAGTATTCCATGGTGTATATGTACCAAATTTACTTTAATCAGTTCGTCACTGATGGACATTTAGGTTGATTCCATGTCTTTGCTATTGTGAAGAGTGCTGCTGCAATGAACATTCGCATGCATGTATCTTTATAGTAGAAAGCTTTGTATTCCTCTGGGTATATACCCAGGAATGAGATTGCTGGATCGAATGGCAGTTCTGCTTTTAGCTCTTTTAGAAACTGCTTATTTCCTATGTAATATATTAGTAGGATAATCTTGCTATACTCATTACTAACCACTGCCTGAGCTATTAAATACAACTTTGATCATTTAGCACCTATAGTGTGAATTACCAAACTCATTAACATTTCTGATTAAAATGTAAAGTTTTAGAGGAATATTTGCTTTATAAACTGACTAATTAGTCTATGGATAGTTTACAGAATATAGCAGTTGGAAAAAACATTTAATTACTTAGAAATGTATGTTTCTTGTAATTAAATATAGGACATCCATAAAAGTTTAATAAAGATTAATAATTTTGAATTTTTATTTTCTTTTCATCACTAATTTTTTAAACCTCTACTTATAAAACAAATTTAAAACAAATTATTAAGTAATTATAATTCTTAGAACAATAAGAACAACGGTAGCAGGAACTAACTCTAAATAACTATCGCAAATAGATAAGTTATTTAGCTTTAGCATGGCATTGACCAAAATTTAAGTTATATTATAGGTACATGCTTTTTTTAAAGTTCTAATATGTGATAATTGCATTTGAAATGTATCACTTGATCCAAAGATTACCATTTAATCCAACTTAAATGAAACAGAGATTTAGAAAACAGAGATGTGAGTAGACAAGAGGGTTTCTAATTTTCCTCATCTCCATCCTCTAACCCTCTCACTGTGGGCCTTAGTCTCAGGCTCAGCACCTTTACCATCAGCCTCAGTAACTGTACCTACTACCACAGCCATAGTGCAGCAGTTCAGCATCTCTAGCTTTAACCTAAGCCTTGGCATGCTGTCATGTGTATTTAACTAACTAGTGGACATTTTCAAAAAATGACCACAAATAGGCCAGGCACGGTGGCTCATGCCTGTAATCCCAGCACTTTGGGAGGCCAAGACGGGTGGATCACCTGAGGTCAGGAGTTCTAGACCAGCCTGGCCAACATGGTAAAACCCCATCTCTACTAAAAATACAAAAATTAGCTGGGCGTAGTTGTATGCGCCTGTAATCCCAGCTACTCGGGAGGCTAGGGTAGGAGAATCCTTTGAACCTGGGAGGCGGAGGTTGCAGTAAGCCAAGATTGTGCCATTGCACTCCAGCCTGGGGGACAAGAGAGAGACTTTATGTCAAAAAAAAAAAAAAAGACCACAAATAAAATTCTAAATTTCATCTGATGATCTCCCTCCCGAGAACACAAATAAGTCCTGTCACCACTTAACTTTTTGAAAAAAATAAGATGTCAATATATTTCTAAAGTGTTGTTCTCTTAGTCCAGATAACTTTGGAAATATCAATCTGTCCACTGCCCAACTGCAGAACTTCATGTGCAAAAGGACACATGGCTGTGGCCTGGCATGAGGTGGAATGGAAATAGCCCTTTTATAAAGAGGCTGAGATTGCACTGAAGGATCTGACTAGGGAAAGGAAGAAACACCATAGTTTTCAGATAAATATTACAACTTCCATTTTACTTTTACTTAAAAAAATGGCAACAGAAGGCCAGGCACGGTGGCTTATGCCTGTAATCCCAGCAGTTTGGGAGGCCAAGGCCGGCGGATCACGAGGTTAAGAGATTGAGATGATCCTGGCAAACATGGTGAAACCCTGACTCTACTAAAAATACAAAAATTAGCCAGGAGTGGT
This sequence comes from Homo sapiens, assembly GCF_000001405.40. Taxonomy (NCBI): domain Eukaryota; kingdom Metazoa; phylum Chordata; class Mammalia; order Primates; family Hominidae; genus Homo; species Homo sapiens. Next base: position 125,618,355 of record NC_000004.12, read on the forward strand.
GACACACACCTGTAATCCCAGCTACTTGGGAGGCTAGTGTAGGAGAATCCTTTGAACCCGGGAGGTGGAGGTCACAGTGAGCCGAGATCGCACGGCTGCACTCCAACCTGGTGACAGAGCGAGATTCCGTATTAAAAAAAAAAAAAAAAAGCAACAGAATCTATTTTAAAAATCACTGAAGTCAATATTTCCATGGTAAGAAAAAAATCTATAAAAATAATTCCATAGAAGGAGACTCTAAGCAAGCAGCCCCAAATTTACAAAAATGTTATGTTTCTATTTTGATAGTATTTCATGTCAGGAAAGTCCTACACTGTCCCTATTGGGGATTATCTACTTTTAAAATTGTCATTTAATAGCAAAGAAATGCCTTTTGCATGTTCTTGATGTTAAGAAAATAGCTCATATCCAATCCTCCTTCAGAAACATCCTCAGATGCAGATGTAAATGTTGTAAAAGAATATTCCTTTAAAATAGAGTTATAAATATTTATAGCTCATTGCAACGTAGATAACATGATGATAAATAAAGCTGCATTTTTTTCTGATTTGAGGAGGCATTTTTCTTCTAATGCTGATGATATAAAATATTAATTCATTTGTTTTTTAAAAAGAAAATCAAAACACTTGACTTTCTTAAATTAAAAACAATCTATATTTGATCTTGCAAATACACACAAACTTTGCTACCCAGTTACCTAATATTTTCCTTGTCAATCACATGTGAAATCATTCAAATATTTGTAGATCCCTTTATGAAAAGTTTAGAAATTCCAGCAGCACCAGTATCACCCGGAAACTTATTGTAAATGCAGATGCTTAGGGTCCAGCTCAGAGAGATTAAATCGGAATCTGCACTTTACCAAGATTACCTGGTGATTCTTATGAACATTAAAGTGTGAGAAGCCATGGTGTAGAACATAATGGTGGCAGCAAGAAGGAGTCTGGTTGGGGTAATTTTAAAAATTTGATTAAGTAAGTGGGTTTCAAATGAAATTGCTGGAAATAAGTCATTTCTGGATATAAGTCAGTTTATTCTGGCTCAAATCTTATTATGTTATTAACTGCTTTCTCAATTTTACCATACTATCTAGCTTGTAAAATGTTTTCTATATTATTTGGCCTTCATTTGTTCATAGTTGGGGTTGGAAAATCACAAAATATCTTTCCAATTGTGAAGAACATTCAAAATCTTAGATAAAAATGGTCTCAAATTTATTGTTTGTTCGCCTTCAGTAATTATGTAAGACATTGGGGAAAGGAACTAACTAGGAGAAATATGAATTATCATCTCTTTTGATTTTTATTATGTTCATGACTCCTGCCCTGCAGTCCCCACCCTGATGCATAGACACAATTCCCCAAAATCATGAAATACTATTATTATTATTTGTTAACACATTTTTGTAGTCACAGAAGTAGAGTTATATATGGGTGGGTGGGAGACCAAAAAATGTCCACCTCAAACCCGTTTCTAGCCTCAATGCACAGTGCTGCAATGTAGTATAATTTCCCACTCTTTGATCAGCTGTGTGTCATACCAAGAAAAAATTGCTTTCTCAGCTTTGGATATCCTGATCTTAAAATCTCTTCAGTCTCTTGCCAGATCTAAAATGGAATGGGTTTGAGTGTGAGTGACATGAGTGAGAAGTGACTAATCTCTGCCACCCATCATTTTCAGGGTTGCAAAATTAACTCACTTTCTCTTTGTTAATGTAGATGGAAAGAATGAGACAATTAAAGAAATACATGTTATTTCACTATAAAGTTTGTTAATTATGCTCGCCTCTATTTTCTATTTGTAAAGATATTTGATAGTCGTTTCTGTTAAGAATTATCCCAGTTTTCATTAGTGAGTTTTGCAGCTGCTTGGAGTTCCTGGCAGGCAACACTGTTTAAGACTGGGTAAGTCTAAAATGTTTTCCCTAAAGTTTCGGTTCATATTGAAAACAGACACACACTCTTGAATGTTTAAAACAGAATTGTTTCTGGCCAGATTTTCAGTGTCAACACAAAATACTGCAGAAGAAGTTACATTTTAGTTTTCATTTTTTTGAGAAACTCAAACATCAAGTGAAAAGTTTGAGGATAAAAAAGAAGAGAAATAGATAGAGGAAAAAGAGAAGTCAAGAAAGGAGAAATTCCACTACATCTTTTAACCCAAGTTTACAAAGATTAATTTTAAGGAAATCATTACTAGTAATCTGTTACATTTTTTCCAAGGAGGGTTCATAGAAACTTAACATTTCAAGAGCTTTCATTCTAAGAATGTGAAACTCAAAACCAAAAGAAAACAAAACAAAACAAAAAATCTTTATGGAAACAAGTTAATCCTTATATATTATGATTCATTTTCTACTGTCTAACTGATTACATCAGACAGTTTTCTTTCACAGAAAAATTAGAGTGGATTGACTGTCAAGAAGAATAAATTGATCTTGAAACTATATTACTATTGCTTATATTGTTGTATACAACTATCTATATAATGGAGGCTTAAAAGCTTAAAAGATACCTTTTACATTTTAAGACTAATTTTATGCTGATGATAGAATTTTTTCAGACTAATTACATTTATATACATAATGCTTCTCAATAAAATTACCTTGGAAGGAAGATCTCATTCACTAATTGTTTAAAAGGTGTTGAAGTGCATATTCATGAAAGAATGGAACAGAGAAATATTTACTAGGAGGAAAAAGTTCTTACTGAAGACAAAGAGAATTTCTAAAAATTTTATATTTCGAATTTGCACTATCTCAAAAGGCTTAGGGCTGGTAAAATTTGTTAATAAAATATTTCATAATAAAAATGATTCTTTTTAAGAATAATGTTTTTCATATTGCACACCACAGAGTAAGACTGTATCTGGTTAGTACCATAAGCTATATAATCATTTTATAATAATATAGGCAATGGGCCTTTGAAAATCACAATGAACCCTTCCCATTGTTTTGAAAAAAATGCCTTCCCATATGTTTTTAGAAAACAATGAACTAGCCAACTTAGAATACATGTGGTTGTTATTCTCTTTAGCCATAAGCAGCAATTTGTTTGTTACAAAAATGTAATGAGTTTGAAACTACAAAGTAAATGAAAACCTAGGATGGTATAGGTTAAGCACAAAAGAGACCAAACTGACACATGATGGGCATGAGAATTATGGAAGACATTTAACTATCACCTGAGAGTAATGGCCACATGCATATTGGGGTACGAGGGCTTAAATAAATGGAGGCTAGTGAGGAAAAGAGAAACCGATCAGGAACTTACCAAGTAAAACCATGATCATTGAAAATGTTACACCTTCAGTTAGAGGGGAGCTAGAAAAAGTCCACATAATGAAACCAAAAAGCCCCTGTCTTTCTTTGCTGTGCCTCTGGGTAGAAAACCATTATTCTCATTTTCTTCCTCTTCCTTTATTCCCATACCCTAAGCTTTGTCACTATAGGACCGCTGTCAGATAAACCAGGGACTCTAATTTTTATTATCTACCTCACCACCACCCTTTGGGGAAACCCTAACCAAGAAATGACATTGAAGTAGTTCTAGGTGTGTAGTGCCTCTTAATGAGAGGAAGAAACAAATCTGGAACTTTCCTGAGGAAAGCATGCTCAACTGTAGCTCCTTAAAATTACCAAAAGTTCTCAAGGATTACTATTTAGTTCAATTACATATGAACAAAAAGAATATTATATGTAAAACAAAAAATAATAGGCTGCCATGCCAGAAAGTCAATAAAAAATGTATTTAAACCATCTCTAAGACATAAAATGTTAAAAATAAATGATTACAAAAATACATAAGGAAAGTTGGGAAGAGTTGTTACTATCAAACAAAATAGACTTTAAGAAAAAAGTTATTAGGAAAAAATAAAGTCATTATAAAAGAACATAAGTTTTGCCGGGCGCGGTGGCTCACGCCTGTAATCCCAGCACTTTGGGAGGCCGAGACGGGCGGATCACGAGGTCAGGAGATCGAGACCATCCTGGCTAACACGGTGAAACCCCGTCTCTACTAAAAAATACAAAAATTAGCCGGGCATGGTGGCGCGCGCCTGTAGTCCCAGCTACACGGGAGGCTGAGGCAGGAGAATGGCGTGAACCCGGGAGGCGGAGCTTGCAGTGAGTCCAGATCGCGCCACTGCACTCCAGCCTGGGCGACAGAGCGAAACTCCGTCTCAAAAAAAAAAAAAAAAAAAAAAAAAAAAGAACATAAGTTTTAATAGAAGAGTTAAGTGCAATTCAAAATTTGTGCATATCAAATTAAAGAGATTTAAAGTATTTAAGAAGCCACAAGAGGAAATTGAAAAACCCAGGGTGAAGTTATTATTAAGCTCTATTACCTTATAATATAATTACTTTGCAATATAGAATATATACTATCTCAGTTTTTCTCATACTTTAATAATGTTCGTATGAAAATCAACTACAGGTATCTTAAAATGCAGATTCTGATGGAATAGAACTGGTGGGGGGTCCTGAGTTTCTGTAGTTCTAACAAGCTCTTTCCTGATGCTGATGCTGCTAATCAGTGGTTCGCATTTTCACAAGTAACGAATGTTTCTGAAGGACAATGGGGGTGGGGTGAATGAATCATCTCTGTAAGAAGAGTCTCAAGGATTCCACATCAATATTACTTTTGTATCAATACTTATGGATTCCTGGGCGTGAATGAAATACACAGCTGATCCTGGAAGGAGCAGAATTGGTGACAAGAGATTTTGAGGGAAGTGTGTGGATAGCTTTAGGTGAGTGAACATAAAGTGTGTCGTGAGTGCCAACAGAAAGCATCCACTGCAGAGGAGGCATTTAACAACCAGGTGGAAAATATAGTATATGGTGAATGTCAGTGAGTCTCTGTTCTTGACCACCTCAGTGTTTGCACAAGTCTATAAATGGAGTGATCAAAGATATGGAGACCATGCATAGGCCCAACCACAGGGATTCTCTTGTAATAAGGCCAACCGAACTATTGTCACTACAGAATAATTAACCTATCAGTAGCAAAAACTGATGCTGAGCTCTTGATACAGAACCATCCCACAAGGAGACCAGGTAACTCCTTACATGTTAAATTAATGAGACTGCCTTCTAACCTGAAGGAGACAGCAATATAAATTCACTGGAGTTTACGTCTACTCTAGATATAAATTTCTGTCCCTGTTTGCAATGATCCTGCCAGCATTACCATTTAACAATTTGGAAAAAACCTGATTTATTTATAGATGATAGATAACTCATAATATCCCCTGAGTGGAGGGGGGGGTTAATAGTGAAATAGGTGCATCATTAGCTGCATGACCAAAGACCAACTAGAGTGCTATAGAGGATACATTTTATTAAAGGGTCCCATGATAATTTAGACTTTGTATGCCGCAAGGTCATGTCACACCTACAAATTCTGCAGTAAGATTGGAAAAGCAGCCACAGACAATACATAAATGAATCATAGTATATGTGCTGCAAGAAAACTATTTACAAAAATAGGTGGTGGACCAGATTTGGCCCTTTGCTGTAGTTCACTGATCTTTGAGCTTCAGCATCATCTTAGGAATAGCATTCTTTCATTGGTGTGTTGTCCTTTAGGATATGGCATATGAACAAAACCAGAACTACGAATCTAATAGTATCACCCAGGAACCAAGTGGTGAAAATATAACTGATGCTTCTCACCTTCATTCAAGCAATTTACTTGTGGAGTTCATGCTTCCAACACACTGCTGAATTTAAGGTGATCGTTCTTAAGGTGGTGAATGCTTCCAAAAGGACACAGTAATGGTTCCATTGAACTGAAGCTATGGTTATCATTTCTATTGAACTGAAACTATGGAAATCTGGTTCTTTGGACTCATCATGTTGGTGAACTAGCAGGCAAAGAACACAGTTACTGTATTGGCAGGGATAATTAAACCTGATTATCATAAGGAGCAATGGTTTCTGCTAGGTAATAGAGGCGCTGCAGTATATACAGTACTTTCTTCCATTCCCTGTGAAAACACTGGACAGGCAATTTTTAGCAATTATGGCTTGATCAGGAGAAGGTAATTAAGAGCTCAGACTTTACTGGCATGAAAGTCTGGGTCATGCACAGGAATGCAACCTGAATCTCCATAAGTTCTAAGGAAAGCATTATCTAGAATGAATATTAGAGAAAGGAAATTATAAATATCAATTGTGGCCATATAAATAATTATAGTTGCAGGAACAAAAACTTGTTACAAAAACCTTCATGTATTATGTAACTTGGAAAGATTATAGACTGATATTACTATAAATATGCAGCAATAAGAAAAAGTTAATTTAGAGCATAAATGGATTTGATTGATGCAAAGAGTGGACTATAACAGACGCTTTTGTTTATTCTGAGTATCACCTCTGATTTTAGCTATGATGGTGGTGGATAGTTCTGTATGAGTATTGATAACTTCCTGCCAAATTGACTTAAAGAGCATGTTACATGGCTACATTTTTGGCCTGCATTGCCTTTAAAAGAAGAGAGGGGATTGAAGATTATTATAGATAATTGATAGGAAAGGATAATAAATGAAAGGAAAAATAAGATGTGGAAGAAAACTGTCAAAGTAAAAATGGTGACTAAAGTATTAGAGGAAAGAAATTGTGCTGTGGTTAATGGAGCACAGTTTTCCCATAACCATGCTATGTCTCTTGTAGCAAGTACAAGTATTTTCTCATCTCCATGCTACACCTCTTCTAGCAAGTACATCTCCCAAATGCCCTTAGGGATGGAGTTCTGGTTATGAATTACTCACACTTGTGCCAAGATTGGCAGGTGAAAGTCAGACATAGGCCATCTGTGACAGGTCATGGCAATGACAGGACTCTGTGGCTGCCTGGCCCATGTGGCTGGTGTTGTCACCAGCATCATTGGGGATGAGGTGCAGTTGTGGTCATAGAGATATCGGGGATACCAGGAGCATTGACTTGACCACTGAATTGTAGAATTGTAGATGTGCACTGTGGCCTTTAATTCAATAGTTCAATGTCACTCCAGCTTCTGATTCTCTGGAATCGTTTAATGTATTTGTATGCTTGTATTTAAGGTATTTGTATACTTTATATATCACTACATCTATCTTGAGTGGGTGTGTCTTTTGTCTGCTACATCTTGGCTGCTTCAAGGAGAGGATGCCATCCTACTGGCTTGTTTAATTTCCCTTTAAGTAGTCATGTCTCAACTTTCCCACTGAAACTGGGGCACCCCTTTTACAATTGAAGACAATATTTCTCAATAATGTAATACAATTGTTTCTTGGAGAAGACTTCTGTTAATGCTGAATTCTACAACACCGCAGCTTCCTTATATTGTAACTTTCCTTGTCTTATTTAAACACAATTAAATACAAAGCCCAATTTAGGTAAAAGAAAAACAATTGTATCTCAGGCATCAAGTCATCTCCTGGTTTGGTGATATGCCAGACTTAAGCACTCATCTGCCAATTATTCATCTCTCTGTGTGCCACAGCTAATGCATTTGCCAAACATTCCAGGTGTCAATTGCTTTACTTATGCTTTGTTGGAAAGGATAAAAAGAAACTCCCTAGGAAATATTGCCAATTAAGAAGAATAGCTTTTTTAATGGGGATGTATTATTTTCTCCTTAAATTCCATTAGGTACTTAGCTTTCAGATTTTCACATGTTTTACAGATTTGCAGATGATTTTCCAGTTTGGCATGTTTATAGTTGGCCGTATTTAAATATATGCATAAGAAAATGTATTTATTGGACAGATCAATCTTGGTTTCTGCTATATCCTTACTGTTCTCTGGGAAACTCCTCCATTTCCATTACTAGTTGAGCAAAGCTGCAGGCATGGCCCTGTTCTGTACCTCATAAACCACCCCCAAAACCACATGTAGTAGTAGGTTCACAGCGGGCCGATGACCCAATGACAGGTAACCTACAAGATGGTAGGATCTATAAAACTGGTATTTAAAAATCTTCCCCAACAAGGATCATAATGTTTACCTTGGCCTATCAGATACTCTTTCTTGGGAATTTGAACGGTTACCAGTTTACTAGTACTTGGAAAAATAAGAAAACCTACAACCTGAAGTGGAGAAAGCTGAAGATTTACACATTTTCAATTATTTTTTAACAAGTATGTGATTTGAAAATGGCTATTAAAACCATCTAAACAATACAGATTTCAACTGGGATAGATACTAAATATAATAGACATTTTAAAAATGTCATTTTATCTGAAACAGGCCTAGGACATGGCTTTTGTATTCAGGATTTCAAAAACCTCTAATAATTCAGTTCACAATATTTACAGCTCATTTTAAATCGCTACAATTTATTGGCACAAGATCTGAAATCCATATCCTGAATCCATCATACTGTCTTAATTATTCCACTAGATGGTGCATAATAATATAACATTTTTCATATGTGTAAAATTTACTAATTAGAAATTGTATTTGTGTGCAAATATTAGATATAGCTTGCATATATTTATCTAAGATAAAATGCCTAGACAGATGCACGAGAAATTAAGCCTGTATTGGCATTGTTTTGGGCTGTACCACGTCTTCATGTAATACCCATATTCTTAGTATATTGCAGGATATACATCCTGTATAGCTCACACTGCAATTAATTACAGGCTATGACATAATTATCATTCGAATGAAATAAACTTTATTAAAATATATACTGTATGTCTCTCTGGAAAGTTTGCCTATTCATCTAAGCATGCATAACAAAGGGTTTTGTGGAAGCAACAGGATCCCAGATTAGGCTGCCAGATCAGTTTAATCAACTCTGGAAGGAAATGGAGTGACAGTTGTCCAAACCAGATCACACTTATATTCTCATCAAGTCAGTTAATCCTGTTCAACCAACTGTTATTTTGGAAGAGTAAAAAGGATCCTACCTTCTGGCATCTTGCAATATGGTTTGGAAAACAAAAACATATATAATCTGAAAGAGGCTATGATAAAAATTCAAATAGAATTACAGACAAATTGCAAAGAAAGAACAAAGGAAAGAAAGATTATTTTTTACTGTTAATGAATGCCAAAGGCTTAGAAGATATATTGAGTTTGCCTGTACAGGATGTGGAGAACTTCATTGTTTTAGACTTTGCAAACAGATAATGTGGTTTAACTCTGCTGACATGTACTATCGCACTATTTCAGTTTTCACTTAACTCATTTATGGCTGGTCTCCCTCCTGCATCCTTCATATATTTACATATAATAAAAAATTTTTCCAAATATCAGTTTTTCCTCACATCTCTCTCATTGCATAGTATCCCTCTTCATTTGATAGTTAGTTTGCACATTCCAAAAGGGGTTTTAAGATATTTATGCTCTGCTTCCTTCACATTTGTATGGTTCAATTCAATGTTTTGATAGAGAAAATTATTTTCATTTCCTCTAATTTGCTATTAACAAAATGGCTTATGTGCTAAACAACTTATATTTAGCTGTCATTCCCAACTTTGATAAGTTATATTTGACTTACATTTACTAGATCTGCTTTACATATGTACTATATATATTTTTTGTAATTTTTAAATTCTGCAGGTTGTTAGGAGTGAATAATTCTATTCTAATCACAAGAGAACATTCCTTCTGTGCTGTCACCTGTGCTGATCTGTACTGAGGAAAAAAAAATAAATGAAAGGCAAAAATTGAGATCATTCTAGCTTTGTTTCAGTTATTTGATATTTCAGTCAAAAGAATTATAGATCTGAAATATTCAGATAATTGCTCAAATAGTAACATTTTAGAGTGAAGCAAAACTTCACATTCTAATATATGCAGAAATAGTCCCTTACTCCTCGTATTATTTATTAGGTGCTGAACAATACCACTGATTCTTCCAAGATATAATGATACCATTTAGCCAATTATTGTTGCAGTACATCAGGGACAACAGAAATAAAAAAGAATTATCCTAAACTATATTGAATTGAATTTTAAATTCAATTATGCTTCAAGTTTTATTATCACAGATAAAATACTAATTTTCTTTAACTGTGTATTGCAATCTTTTTATGGAAGTTCTAAGGCATTGTTTTGTGCCCCTTGGGCATCTTGTCTTATTATATTTGTACAGTCTTTCCCACCAATCCTATTTTTTATTATTATTAATACTATTTAATATATTCTGAATGATAATCTAGTGCCTTAATAAATTTTAGAAACCTCCCTGGGCTCCTGTTTACAACCAGAGAGGAGTTGTTGCATAGAAGTATAATGCTTATTGAAGTGTACTCCAGGCTAGAAGGCCCCTAACGACGTATAAAACTAAAAACTAAGGTCTAAAAATATTATAAACACAAAATAAATGCTTTGACTTTAAGAAAAGTCCTATCTAGATTTATTATGAATAATTCTAGCTTTATTCATGCAAATTATATAAGGACATTTTAGTAAACAGCTCACTGAATAATCTGCACTGGTGTATGGTGTATTTGAGAAAGTTAAATATACACTCTTTTGGTGGTATTGGAAAATGGTTCTGTGCTAATCTTGATTTGTCATGATTTGAAATGCCCCTATGATACTGATAAAGTCAGGAAATAAATCGTTTTTGACCATAATCTGGCTCACAGCTAGGCCCAATTAGATTCCAAACTATCTTGAAAATACTTCCTTCATTCCTTAGTATAATTGAACTAAATTTCCTCAGCATTAGCAGAATTCTCATAGAAACTCCCTATGTAGAGACACTTATAAGTCGACCACTATAAGAAAATTGTAAATCAAAACTAAATGAAGTGCCCAGTTTATATAGCAAAAATGTTTTAAAAAGGAGATAAAAAGACTATAACAAAACAGAAAAAGTATGAAAAATATGACAAAATTAATGATTTTATAATATTGTATATATAATTTTAAAATGAAGTTATATTTATGATACTGAGATATCACTTTATATTTTGTGTAAAAAATAATAATTGCCGAATATGCTTCTTGGAAAAGAATAAATCCTAGAATTTATAAATTTAAAGATTTAATCTATATTCAGTTAAATCTGTAAATTTAAATCTATATTCAACTAAATTTATACATTTAACTGAATATAGATTAAAACTGAAAACATATTTGGAGTTTTATATAATAAATATTTTAGAATTTAGAATAATTCAGTGGGAGCATTTGTGTTTCATTGAAATTGTACATAAAGCCATACAACGTGAGAAATGATAGTGACCTTAGAGTTTATCTAGATTATTTTTAAGACTTTGGGGAGTAGAGGAAAGACTAGATTTGTATCTCCTAAATCTCAGCCCAGTTTTCTTCCGTTCCATTTTAATGCTCTTTAGGAGGTAAGTGTAAGACACATCAGAGGCAAAATGTGATATACGTGTAGATACAAAATACACATATAAGTATAGGTTTTTGTACACACATGCACACAATTGAAATGGTTCCATATAGTCATCACGGAATAGAAGCAGTTCTATATGGTTAATGGTTATTGATAGATAAAGCTATGTTGATACTCTGTTCCTCCAAGTTCCCCCAGGTGTCATGAAAATTACTGCGCGCGCGTGTGTGTATGTTTGCGCGTGTGTACTCATGTTGTTTAGAACGTACATATGATTTATATTAATCAGTGGTCCATCGAGTTGATATTGGCTCACATAAAAGGCTACATTTTCATATGATTGTGAATTCATTGAATATAAGAGATAGAACATATACAAGGATACAAATTCAAATGCTGAAATACAGTTCTACAATTGACCATGGTATTTTGATTTTTCTTACTTAAAGTTGACTTCGTAGAGAACCAGTTATCAGAGTAAATTTATAGAACAAAAAACGCGGATGTGACAACAGCAGATAATTCTCCCGGCAGTGGTTGCTGCTAGTCATGACATTGCTTTCAACTGTCAGGACTTATTCATGTGTACCAATATTGAAGACTTTCAACACACCAAACAACTTTTGACAGTTCTGCCGACATGTTTCATCTGGTTTAATCAAATATATCAGAATAATCTAGCCACTACCTGGTTTCTGTATTTCACAAATATGAAAATTTTTTCATAGAGTATAGAAAGGTACAGAACTTAGACTGCTCTGAGGAAAAGCATGCCACCTGATAATGTAAAATTACAGTATTTTGATCCATAGGTTATAGTATTTAGAAAAACAATCTTCTTTGTTTAATTCCCTCTAAATTTAATATGTGATATAATAACTTTGTTGTTTCTAGAGCATGGAAACCAAATTATATTGCATATTTAATCCAATTTTATTTTCCATGTTTATCCTTTTCTGTAGAGCAACTCTTGTTATTGAAAAGAAGAAGTGAAATAATTGAAATATATTTGTAAATTTTCTCTGCTTACCCCAAAATATTTCAATAATGATTTTTTAATTTTAATTTCTGCTTTGTAATTCTTTAGTGACAAAACATGCTTTTTCTAGTTATAACACATATGTTTTTAATGTAAATTATAAAATTAAATTGTACATTATTTGTTCAATCCATTTTGATCAATAAGTGATGCTGTTTGAAACAATAGCATCTTAGCTGTTGGTTTTATTTTAAGGAGAATAATATTTTGTTTTAAGGAGAACAAATAGCTATTTAAAATTACTCTTTTGTTCTTTATAATTCTAAGGTCCCAAATTAGTATTTTAATAGTCTCTAAAAAATAATTACCTTTCATGTTCTTTATCTTTCCAATGTAAGATGGCTGGACATAGGGGTAAGATGAAAATTTCAATAATGCATAAGCTTTAAAGAATAAATAATTTGTGGGGTAAAAACAGAGTGGACAATAGGTGCAAGCTGGAAAAATGACTTTAGATGTTAATCAAAAGTCTGGTTCAAAATGAGAAATTCAATACACATTTTTACCTTTTTTTCTCCTGATTTATACATAGTTTAACTCAAGTTTTTTTAACCAGTTAAAAGAACATTTCCTGACAATTAGACTCTGTTTAAAAAAAAGACAATACTGAAGTCAGGTTATTTTTATCAACAGGCTATTTTCAGTGTCCTAGGAAATGTCTCCTCAACTATAATGACTGGTATTAGAAAGGTTGACAAGACAACTTAAACAAACATACTTATGTGTGTACTAAGGCTCTACAGAACAGGAATTTTCCTGAAATTAAGGGCAGTAAAAAATTCAGGCTGTCCCTCTACAACAGGGGTTCTCATCCTCAGCAGCAATGACATTTGGGATTAGAGAGTCTTCGTTGTGTGTGGACGGGAGTTGGGAGGCAGGGTTTGTCCCATGCATTGTTTAGAAGCATCCCTGGCCTCTACCCGCTAGATGCCAGTAGTACTTGCCAAGTGATGACAACCAAAAATGTTTCCAGACCTTACCAGATATCCTCTTGAGACAAATCACCCCATTGATATTTGCTGAGAACTGTGTTCCAGTGCCTTAAAGACATCCTTTAATTGTCCTTACTACAATATGCCTAGGACCAGAGTTTTTCCTCGACTATACAACAATTACACATTTAAGAAGAAGATGGACATTTTAAGAACAAAGTAAACTCTTCCTATTTTCTAGGGACCTTTGTAGCCAGCTTCCAATTTTCTATATGGTTATAAAAGAGAGAGAAAAATAATTCACTGTGTTTCAGTGACCACAAGTATTTACTTCAGAAGAGTCTAAAAGAAAGACTTCTCCCTTCCCCAGAATCAGACCTGTGCAGACCTTGTTAACAACACTCATCTGCAATGTTTTAAGGGACCTCAGGATTAAAGCCTACACCCAGGAAAATACTCAGTAGTGATTTTATTTTTAGTTTGAAATAGGAAAAAATGGTGCTTCCCTTATTCAAGAAATCAGATATTTTTAAAGAAGGTCATATTTAAGAGAGTCATAGTAGTAGTGGCAATCATATATGTACATATAAATATGTGTGTATATACGTGTATATATATAGAAATATAAATATATATAACAAGCATTTAAACAATGCTTAAGTACAATTCAAATATTAACTCATTTATTTATTCCTCACAATAAATCTATAAAGTACTATTATTATTCCATTTTACAAGTGAGCAAACTGAAACATAAGAGACTAACCTGTGGTGCCAGGATTCAAACCTGGGCATTTTGGCTCTAGAATCAGTGTGCAATGAGTCTTCCATTTAGCCAGTCACTGTGTTATGATTCTTTTCAATAAAAAATATCCATTCTTGGCAGATGATGGTAAATAAGAATACTGAAGCTGCAACTGAACATAGCCTGACTGGTGGGTTCCCTGGGCCAGCCCAGTTTGTATGGATTCTGGCTACACCAGAGAACCAGGAGCCCACCTGCCTGGGATGGCCCTGTGCTATCACTTAGCTGTTCTTTGATCAATTTATTATAGATTTGATGCTCATTTCTAGCTCCCTTTTAGCTTCAACAGGACAGAAGCCTTTTCGAGATGTATGCAACTTATTTCTGAGTAGTGAGAATAGCTGAAGGACAGATAATTTCTTCCAAGGATCAAGCCTTGGGATTCTAGGAATAAGCACAAAGCCAGTAACATCCTTCTGTCTGCTATAGATAGATAATTTTCCTATGGTTCCCCTCATTTCCTGGTGTGCTTTTGGGGCTGGATTAAATATTCTCCTGTTTTATTAAAAAATAAAATATTCCAAGCAACATGGAAAAATGCTTTGTATGTATTATCTTATTTAATCTTCATGAGAACTGCAAGAGATAGGTATTGTTATTTTCCAAGTGTTTGCAGAGGAGGAATTAAAAGCTCAAGAAGTTAAGCTCCTTGTCTAGTCACACATTCAGAACATGGTGGAACTCAAGACTCAAATCCAGGTCTCTGTGGCTCCAAAACCATTGAATATTTATGCATCTTCATTTTTCTCTAAATTTAAGAAGTTTGATTAGATTGCCTTTAAGACTTTGTGCAGCTACAGATGCTTGCACATCTATATTCTAGAATGTTTTTTCTTAAAATTTTAACCTCAATTTTAGGATTGTCTTAAAAAGTAGTTCGTTTAAACATAATTTTACAGGTAAAGCTATGGTATTAGCCTATACTCCATTGGACATTAATATCTAATATTTTATTATAGCTATCATACTTTATCTTATTGATGTCAAAAGGGAAACTGCAATTAGGTGAACACAAAATTAGGCAGAAAAGGAGAAAATATCTCAAATACTGATTAACTCAGTTTATATGAGAAATAGTATGGAGAAATGAGGCATAATAAACCTGAGAACGGATTTACCAAATTTCAGTTACAACAGTATATGGATTCCTTTTATTTCCTTGTGATTATTATTGGTTAAGAATAACGTGAGGTGGTTTTAGTTCATAAAATATCGGTACTGCTACTGCTTATGTTAGTAATAACAGATAATATTGAGAGATTTGTGGAATTATATAGATTTAATATTCCATGCTTGAAGAATATACTTAATATTTTGTAATTTTCAGTTTATTATACAAAAAGGAATTTACCCTCAGCCCAAATTATTACTAATCTGAAGTACTGAGTGTTCACTAGAAAGACAGAGGGTTTATAGGACCAGAACACTGAAGGTTCACAATATTATAATATGATGAATAGTTTCAAAAGAGAATGCTTAAGCCAAAGAGAATCTTTAGACTGCCCAAAAGCAACTTGTTGACACAGGTATTCAAAGAAAGAGGTGGGGAGCACTGGCCTTGGGTGCAAGCAATAACGGGGTGCACAGTTGGTGGAGGATTTAAAAATGATAATAAAACTGACAAAACGTTGGTTCTAACTTTTATTATCATTTTATGATGGAAATTCTAAGTAATGTCAATAAGAAAATACTCTTCCCTGAAGAGAAATCTCTGTTAGTCTAAATTCTAAACAGTTCTTATTCCTGCTAAACTATATATATATATATACACATGTATATATACACACATATTTATATACATATATATACACACATATATATACACACACATATATATATACACACTTTTTTTTTAAGAAAGCATACTTGAAGAAACATTGACTACTACTCAAAATTATTTAGAAAATTTCCAACCATATCATTGTCCTGAAAAATGTAGTCTCAAGTATATATGATCTTTTTGAAAAAATTTATTAAGGGTTCAGAATCATTGGATATTGCATCTGGTACAGTCTGTGTCCCTAATCCCTGTGACAGTAATTTTACATGAGTAATGATAGCAAAGTAATTGCAAAACTAAGAAACAGAAATTGAGTCACTTCAGATCTGTCATTCTATATGACAACTTGAAGTTTTTATTTGCCTTTAAACATTTTGGACATTTGAAAGCTGCTAGAAAAAATGTAAAGGAACAAAAGCCTGAACAGTATTTTGATTTCTGGAATTTAACATGACATTGGATTTTTATAAATCTCTGCCAAACTCATCCTTGTGTTTTAGACATTTCCTAAGTATTTGTATATTTGAGGCTTCATGCAAAAGAACTTTTCAAAATTGAAATTAATAAAGTGTGTTCTTTTATCCCTGTGAGTGATAGGTTGGCATATCTATATACACTGTCTATTGAATTTATGTATGTGAAGAACATCAATTTTGACAGAGATAATGAAAGATGTGCAAATGTCAAAACCCCAAAACAGAAGTCATGTAGTTTTTATTCATTAATGAAACAGACTAATATATAGATGTAAATTTTACTACCTGAGTCAAAGCATATAATCAGGTTAGGTACAGTGGCTCACACCTGTAATCTCAGGACTTTGGAAGGCCAGGGCAGGAAGATCACTTGAGCCTAGAAGTTGGAGACCAGCCTGGGCAACATTTGTGATACTCTGTTTCTCCAAAAAAGAAAAAAAAAAAACATTAGCTGGGCATGGTGGCACACACATGTAGTCCTGACTACTTAGGAGGCTGAGGTGGGAGGATCACTTGAGTCCAGGAGGTCAAAGCTACAGTGAGCTATGATTACACAACTGCACTCCAGCCTGAGTTACACAGTGAGACCTTGTGTCAAAAAAAAAAAATAAAAATAAAAAGCATACATTCATATAGTTAAAAAAGTACTAGCCAAATATTCCTTTTCCTTCTTGATGCTGTAGTATTTTAATGTATATGTAATTCCATATATGAAGTTCAATAAAAGAAGCTTTTCACTGGCTATGTTTCTTCTCTGCCTATTTTTTCACATCCTGATTGCTACTAAAAATAGTTTTGTCATATAAATTCAGGGGTATTAAAAATGATCCATTCTGAGTGTTAAATATATGAGAAAAGCCACTACTGGAGAAAAAAATAAGGTAGTTTATAATATATTTTGGAGACAAATTTGATTCAATTTGGAAAAAACAAAGTTTGCAACCTATATTGAATCTGAAAAAGATATGGGTACCCTATGAAAAGGACATTTCCTTTCCCTGGATGAGGCTGTGATCACTTCGGTGAATCAGTATGAGGGAATTCATACATGGACAAAAAAATCGGACTAAATGGTCTTCTAACTCTGCTTCAACCCCTAAGGCAGTATTTTTCCTTCTCAAGTAAGAGAAAAGTATAATTGTGTGTCCAATACAAAAGGGGTATACCTCTTGTCAGGTAAATCTTGCTAACTCTTTTTCTTTTAGTTTCATAAAACAACTAGACACATTTCTCAGAAGGACTCTAATAAGCCTTATATATATCCAAGGGCATCTAGAAAGTAAGTTTGCAGTTTTATTGCATGATGCTTAATTCAATGCATCAACTTGCCTGAGGCAACTCTATTAAAAATTATTTCTGGCTCTGTTGATGAGAGTGTTTCTGATAGTGACAGGAGACAGACAAATTCCTAAGCAGACAGGATGGGTCCCCTGTGAAACCCAACTGTATTAGTCAGTTTTCACGCTGCTGATAAAGACATACCTGAGACTGGGTAATGTATAAAGGAAAGAGGTTTAATGGAATCACAGTTCTACATGGCTGGGGAGGTCTCACAATCATGGCAGAAGGCAAAAGCTATGTCTTACATGGCAGCAGGCAAGGGAAGAGAATGAGAGCCAAGTGAACGGGGAAACTGCTTGTAAACCATCAGATCTCGTGAGACTTATTCACTACTATGAGAACAGTATGGGGGGAACAGCCCGCATGATTCAATTATCTCCCAACAGGTTCCTCCCACAAGATGTGGGAATTATGGGAACTACAATTCAAGATGAGATTCGGATGGGGGCACAGCCAAATTATATCATTCTGCCTCTGGCCCCTCCCAAATCTCATGTCCTCACATTTTAAAACCAATCATGCCTTCCCAAGGTCCCCCAGAGTCTTAACTCATTTCAGCATTAGCTCAAAAGTCCACAGTCCAAATCTCATCTGAGACAAAGCAAGTTCTTTTTGCCTATGAGCCTATAAAATCAAAAGCAAGCTAGTTACTTCCTAGATACAATGGGGATACAAGCATTGGATAAATACACTCATTATAAATGGGAGAAATTGGCAAAACTGAAGAGGCTAAAGTCCCCATGCAAGTGCTAAATTCAGCAGGGCAGTCAAATCTTAAAGCTCCAAAATGATCTTTTTTGACTCCATGTCTCACATCCAGGCCACACTGATGCAAGAGGTGAGTTCCCATGGTCTTGGGCAGCTCCACTCCTGTGGCTTTGCAGGGTACGGCCTCCCTCCTGGCTGCTTTCACAGGCTGGTGTTGAGTGTCTATGGATTTTCCAGGTACACAGTGCAAGCTGTGGGTGGATCTACCATTCTGGGGTCTGGAGGATGGTGTCCCTCTTCTCACATCTCCACCAGGCAGTACCCCAGTGAAGACTCTTTGTTGAGGCTTTGACTTCACATTTTCCTTCCTCACTGCCCTAGCAGAGGTTCTCCATGAGGGCCCTGCCCCTGCAGCAAACTTCTGCCTGAATATCCAGGCATTTCCATACATCCTCTGAAATCTAGGCCGAGGTTCCCAAACATCAATTCTTGACTTCTGTGCACCCGCAGCGTCAACACCATGTGGAAGCTGCCAAGGCTTGGGGCTTGCACCCTCTGAAGTCACGGCCCAAGTTGTACCTTGGCCCCTTTTAGCCATGGTTAGAGTGACTGGGGTGCAGGGCACCAAGTCTCTAGGCTGCACACAGCATGGGGTCCTGGGCCCGGCCCATGAAACCATATTTTCCTTCTAGGCCTCCAGGCCTATGATTGGGTGAGCTGCTACCAAGGTCTCTGACATGCCCTGGAGACATTTTCCCCATTGTCTTGGTGAATAACATTTGTTACTTATGCAAATTTCTGCAGCCAGCTTGAATTTCTCCCCAAAAAATTGGATTTTCTTTTCTACCACATCATCAGGCTACAAATTTTCCAAACTTTTATGCTTGGTTTCCCTTTTAAAATGGAATGTTTTTAACAACACCCAAGTCACCCCTTGAATGCTTTGCTGCTTAGAAATTTCTTCTGCCAGATACCTTAAATCATCTCCCTCAAGTTCAAAGTTCCACAAATCTCTAGGGGAGGGTCAAAATGCCACCACACAGTCTCTGCTTAAACATAACATGAGTGACCTTTACTCTGGTTCCCAACAAGTTCCTCAATTCCATCTGAGATCACCTCAGCCCGGATTTCACTGGAATTCATTATCAGCATTTTGCTCAAAGTCATTAAAAAAGTCTCTAAGATGTTCCAAACTTTCCCACATTTTCCTATCTTCTTCTGAGCCCTCCAAACTGTTCCAACCTCTTCCTGTTACCCAGTTCCAAAGTTGCTTTCACATTTTTGGGTATCTTGACAGCAGCACCCCATTCCCAGTACCAGTTTACTTTATTAGTCCATTTTCACACTACTGATAAAGACATACCTGGCACTGGGTAATTTATAAAGCAAAAAGGTTTCATGGACTCACAGTTCCACATGGTTGGGGAGGCCTCACAATCATGGCGGAAGGCAAAAGGCATGTCTTACAAGGTGACAGGCAAGAGAGAATGAGAGCCAAGCAAAATGGAGAACCCCTTATAAAACCATCAGATCTCATGAGACTTATTCACTACCACAAGAACAGTATGGGGGAAACCATCCCCATAATTCAGTTATCTCTCACTGGTTCCCTCCCACAACACTTAGGAATTACAGGAGCTACAATTTAAGATGAGATTTGGGTGAGGACACAGCCAAACCATGTCACTGACCTTAAGCCAAAGACAGCCTGAAGCCTGAAAAGCAAGCTGCCAGTGCCACGTGAAGTCCATGACCAGAGTGAGAACTGCCTTGATGCCTTTTAGCCAATCGAATGGTGTTTTTCCAGGCCTTCCCATGGACCAATCAGCATGCACTCCCTCATTCTGAGCCCGTAAAGACCCTCGACTCAGCCTTACAGATGGCTATGATTTGCAGCCCCCTCTCACACACAGGACTACCCACTTTGGGTTCCCTTTCATGTGGAGAGCTTTTCTGTGGCTCAGTAAAATTCTTCTCTCCCTTGCTTACTCTCTGGTGTCCACACACCTCATTCTTCTCAGTTATGTAAAAGAACCCAGGCCCGCAGAATGGTGAGTGCAAAAAGAGGTATAACACCTGCTCCTGCTTGCTGAGCTGCAGGAGTAAAAAGACTGCTAGGTACCACACGCCCCTGTCCACCAAGCTGAGGGTGACAGGGAGAGCAATAACATGCCCCTGTCTGCTGAGCTGCAGGCAACAAGGAGAACTGTAGCACACCCCCATTGTCCTAGCTGCAGGCATGAAGAAGTGAAGCAGTTTGGCACCATTCCCTCCTGGCTGGCTGGCTGAACTACAAGATCTACAACATTTCTTGGGGGCTCAGATCTCAGGATTCCCCCAGCGAGAGCTGTAACACCCCTTGGGACTCTGCAGTTGCTGGAATTTCTGAGTTTTTAGGTGCCATCACATTCCCCCTCATCTAGACTCCAGTGCCCAAGGTGAAAACCTCCCGTGGCATGTCCAGTCCAGCTGTGGGCTGAGTGCAGAGTCCCTTTGCATGTGTGGGATCTGGGGCAGGGTGTGAGCCAAGTGCAGCCTGCCAGGCTGAGTGGGTGGAGTGAGCCCAGCGGGCCAAACAAGGCTGCAGGCAGAGGTCACGGTGGCCACAGAGATTTCCCGCTGACAAAGCAGCACCGAAGGAATCCTGTAACATTTCAGATGAGATCAGCATCTGAATTAGTGGGTTCAGTAAAGCAGATTGTCCCTCACTCCCAGTGTGGGCAGGCATCCTGCAATCCATTAAGTGTCTGTATAAAACAAAAGGAGGAGGAGGAGCTTGCCCCCCTTCTCCCCTTCCTTACTGCTTGAGCTGCAACATCTCATCTCACCTTACCTGCCCTCAAACAGGGATTTACATCATCACCTACCCGTTCTCAGGCCTTCAAACTCACACTGAATTACATCAATGGCTTTCCTGGATCGCTGGCTTGCAGACAGCAAATCCCAGGACTTTTCAGCTTCCCATAACCACATGAACAAATTCCTCATAATACCTCTCTCTCCCCTACTCTCTCACGCTCACTCTCTTTCTCTTCTCTTGGTTCTTTTTCTCTGAAGAAATTACATAGTACACGTTGTAACCCAAATTAATGGAGGAAACACCAGAATCTGTTTGATTGGACCTCACACCAACAGCTCCTACCACACAGTTGTTGCTTTTGCTATAGTTTTTCTGTTTTATGTTGCTATTCTTATTCCATGGAGGTTTTTACAAATATCCATTTAATTACAATAGTTTATCACCTGCTATCTCTGATTTTGATTTTAGCATTTGCTAAAACAATTATATGATACAAAGAATGTATTGTAAAGCCTGAAATTAAGGTCCAGTATTATATGCTACCTTAATATGTGGTGAAATTGGAATCGCCTTACCTGGCCTAACATATTTTTCCTCAATCTGCTCCCTCAGATAAAGTCCCCTCACCAAACAAACCTGTTTATCAAGGGGACCAGGCACAGCCCCTTCTTCTTCTTGAGTAGTGGATTTTAGTTCCCTGACAGCCTGTGAAATTACTCAGACAAGCCAATCACATCCTCCTGCAGGAATCAGGGGGCACTTCACCCTCTCTATACTATAAGCTTGACTCCACAGCCCCTGGTTGTTAGCTCTGTTCTCAAGGTCAACTGTCATGGGGCCCTGGGTGGCAAGCAGGTACCTCCTTCCCAAGCTGTGAGTGTAAGAGACTAATAAATTGCTATCTCATCTGCCCAGTAATGGGTGTTCTGTGTTCAACCATTCCCATAACTCTGGGGTGGGAATCCTTTCCTCACCAATGGAGCAAATAGGAAGTGATTAAACAAAAAGAAAACATGGTAGCATTAAATATAAATTTCTTTGTTTTATTGAACTGTCGTGTCACAGACATGTTAGTCTGTTCATAATTGGCCATTCATTATTTTTTTAGAAATTGAAAATCACTCAAAATATGCCAAGATATCTTCTTAGGTTTTACAAAAACTACTCTGTTATTGTGAAAGTTGTACCTGTTTTCTCCTTAAAAACAGAAAAGAGAAAGAAAATATGCATTCTTCAGGAGTATAAAAAGCCACATTTGGATACCGATCACTTTTAGGTAATAAAAGTTTGTGTGTCTATTCATTTTCTCACTGTTTCAACATTTTTATTTTTCTGTGTCAACTAAATAGTAATACTTTCTTACATATTTATGTTATTTCTCTATAATTTTATTCTATACCACTAATACATTATTCTCATTATTATATTGGAAATAGGCTCATATATAATCCACAATGTATCTTCCATAAATATTTAGGTTTTTTAAAAAATTATTTTTAAAGCAATAAATAGTTGTTAATATAAACCTAGATATATATTTACATGTGTAAGTATGTGTGTGTGTATGAGCGTGTGTGTTCGAGTGTTATATCTTAAATGTTTCTAATTTTTTTAATTGTCATTTTTTGGGGGGGATGCAAACAATTCCCAATACTTATTTTTCTACAATAGCAATAAGTCTCACATAAAAAGACAACCCTTTGTAAACTTTGTGAGTCAATCTGTGTTCTATACTGAGTGTTACTTGTTTTATTATGTGTGACCTGATCAGAGGCACAATAATTTGTGGCACCTCAGTCATGTGCAATAACCATTTCACATCAAAAAGCAAACAACCAATCTGACTTTTACTATTACACGGTTCATATGAAATGTGGTTACTTAGACCTGAAGCAGCAAGCAAGCATGAAATGCAATATTATTTAACATTAGATGTAAAACTTATTTGAGGGAGAAAAAGAAAAAGAAAATTTTAATAGAAGAGATAGTGAAAATTGCTAGAAAGAAAAATCCTGGAAGAAATAAAGCCTCTGACAAGCTGAATTGTTGAAGGCTTAGGTCCTGCTGATGATTGCCTGTGATCCTGGTACATGCAATTGAGCAAATAGTAATTAATAAACTAAAGAGAATAACTCTTCTGATCATTCAGTTTTCTTCAAAAAAGGTGGGGAAGCTTTGATGTGAGAGAATCTCTTTTATTAGGAGGGAGTCTTGAGAATCTGTACACAAGCACTGTATTTTGATCAAGTTTCTCTAAGGGCCATAAATATCTCCTGACATGCAAGTTAAAGCAGTTTGAAATTGCATAAAATCCTTGAGGAGAGTAAGGTTTAATATTACCTAACCCTTTGAAGAAATACACAAGACAGAGAATTAGAATTAGAGAATTGTTTAGTGAAAAGAACTTCTGAAACTCTGTAAAGAAATGAAAGGAAGACAACGGGCAAAAGCTTTTCTTTTCTAATGTTTGTAAAGTGTATGAAATATAATTAAGATATAACTTCCTCCATTCTGGAAGGATGGCTGAAAGGAAGAGGACCATATTTGAAGTGAAAGTAAGTGTATGCAAATAATTTTCTGCATGAGTTATTTTTAAAATAGCAGTTCAATAATTACAAAAGAAGTTAAGAGTTGTTTCTAGTGTGAAAGTTGTCAATTCTGAAGTAAATAATTTTTGATGACTGTCATCGTTTCATGACTGATAAATAAGCTAGATGAGTATGTATTTAAGTTTGAAGCTGCCTCCAAAACAGTAATTCATTCAATAAATAAGGCACAGACATTTGCTTGTGCTAAACTTGGAATTGCATTGTTTTCTACTAAACCACATAATATATTTAATTCAACAAATACTGCACAACTTCTACTGTCAAAATGCAGTTATGTTTGATAAAGTCTGTAGTTTAATATTTGGAATGGAAAACAGAATAATTGCAATTAAAAATTTGAAATGTTCATGGCCAAATTAATTTATGTGGATTAACACAGGAGGAAAACAGTAAGAGTATAATAGAGGAATTCTTTAAACATCAGGAAGGGTGGTGCATTTGGGCAGCAATTTGAGGATTATGTACAATAGGCACAATCTTGTTCTGGGTGAGTTAGGCATTGGTGGAGGCACGGGTGGAGGGACTGGCGAAGGGAGGTCAAGCTAGTGAGCATGGTGGCAGTCTAGTTTGACAGGAGGACGGGATTCTCGTAAGATATGGGAAAAAGTAAGTATTGAAGAAGTAACTTAAGTGGCAGATGATGAATGCCAGGCTGGGATTTTATATTAATCTGCAAAGCAAAAGAACCCCACTGAGAGCTTGAGTAGAGAGGGATTATGCGAAGTGCTAATGCTCTGAGGATTTTAGTTCTTTACTTAACTTTTCCTACTGGAGGGCCTCTGTCTTATCTAGAATTGTATTTGTTGGTGTGTCTGTGTGTAATTATGTGTGGGTGTGCAATGGTTTCAGGTTGAAATGTAAGAATATTCTAAACTAGATTATTCCACTCAGGACTTCTGATGGATATCTCAGACTTGGAAGCTGATCTTTTGAAATTCTTTCCTGAAAAGATATTAACTTTTGTTACTTAAGAGGCTCAGCTCATTCATCAAGCTACTTTGAACAACTTAAAATATAAAGTATTTAATTTATATTTATACTATATTAAATTATTTTATAATACATAAAATATACATATAATAAATATTATAAAAGTAATATTATATACACATAATAAATATAAAAGACAATACTTTGCTTGTTACTCAAGTTATTATTGTATTATTACTCTGTCATCTACTTTGCCATCATATTAGAATGTATTTAGGTTTTTCTGGTTTCTATATAGGCATAGTTTTTTTTTTACATTTTAATTCACACAAGACATTAATAATGTTAGGGGCTGTCTGTGCCCCAAACATAGAGGATAAAGAATTTTTCCCCAGTTTTCTCCCTGAAGTCCCTTTATTATGTCCCTAAAAACAGATCTCTAGAAATGATTTTTCAGTTTTTCATGTATTTGTTGCTTTGGTAACTCAACATTTGAAAGCAGAAACCTCTTGTTATCTCATTTAATGAACTAGGAAGTTAACAGTCAAAAAAGGCTCAATGGTTAGTGAGCATTGTTGATTTGTTTTGATAAGCAATGTTTAGTAGAAATAGTGTGCTTTGGATGAACTTTCTAATTTTCTAGTAGCCACATTATAAAAAAAGAAACGGGTGAAAATAATTGTAATAATATATTTTGTTTAATCTAATATACCTAAAATATTTTCATACAACATGTATTTGATAATAAAATTATTAATGAGATACGTTTTTTGTTCATACTAAGTCTTTGTAATCAGGTCTGTATTTTAAACTGCACATCCTAACTCAAAGCAGTTCTCCATAACCAGGTGCGGCTCATGACTACCATCTTGGACAGTGTGGCTCTAGACCATTGTTACCTATTCTTAGTGGAATGAAATTCATGTAATCATTGAAGTATCAGTGATTTTCATTATATAAATGAGGAAGTTACTAATTTAATATTCCTGACTTTAAATCTACATGTTGGATAGTTATGCTGAAGGAAAACTGCTATAATCCTTCTACAGATTCAAGTCCTATGAAAATCCAGACAATTGTGAACTTTTGTAAAGACTCTAGGTGGATATATCATTAAGTTATTGGAATGCTACTTTTTCTGGTCTCTTTGTAGAAAAAAAGACACAAATTATCCACCTACCATCTTGGAAGATTGGTATTTGTGCTTCACAACTTTAGACAAAGAGAAGCTGGTTGTCCTAGGGACAATTCACAGGAGACGAGCTAAGAAATGTCATACCCTGGATACTTCATGTCTCATTCTGCTTGGACTGCCATAACAAAATACCATAGAAGGGGTGACTTAACAGAAATTTTTCTCAAAGCTCTGGATGCTAGAATCCAAGAGCAAGGTCCTAGACAATTTGGTTCCTCTTGAGGGCTCTCTTCCAGACTTGCAGGTGGCCCCCATCTCACTGTGTTCTCACAGGGCAGAGAGAGAGGGATCAAGCTCTCTGGTCTCTTCTTATAAGAGAACTATTCCCATCAGGAAGACCCACCCGCACAACTTCATCTCAACCTAATGACTTCCCAAAGGTGCAAGCTCCAAATACCATCATATTACCATATTTAATGCTTCAACATATGAATTTTGGAGGGACACATTCTGAGTATAGCTCTCTCTGCCTTCTATCAATTAGATTTCGCAGAGAACTGAATTCCTTCTAATCCTTTCTTTGTCAAACATTCATCACAGATCCAGGCAGAGGGCTCTTTTATTTATTTAGCTAGCTAATTCATTATTTTAAATAATCTAATGACAATTCATGAACCCACCTCTGTGCATAAAATATAAGGCGTTGACAATAACCTACATCTAACCATAGGTTCTACCTCTCCTTTTTTCCAAGTAAGCACCTCATCCTACTCGAGTTAAACATGATTTTGAATCCTGTGTTTATTCTTTCTTCACTTTTCATATTTGTGTAGTTTTATTGAATGTATACAAATTTCTAAAAATATATGCTTTCCTTGTTTCAAGTATATAATATAGTATGCTATGTATGGTAGTTTGAAAATAATAATTATATTATTATGATACATTCTTATTGTATATCACTATAGATCATTTGTTTCAAATGCTATATATTTCACTATGTAAGTCTTTACAGTTTTATTTACCCACTCTCTACTTGATGCATATTCTTTCTAGTTTAGTGGTATTGTGACTAGTGCTGCTATGAATATTCTTGTATGTCTTCTGCTGTGCATAATATACATCGTATTCCTTTTCTCCCAATAACTCAACACATTTAAATCATCCTGTATCATGTGTCAAGTACATGTGCTTGTTATGCTATCCTTTTTTTCTTGACTTTTCTTTTTTTATAAGCAAAGATGTGATCCACAATGTCCTCCTTGATAACTAGGGTCTACCTAGAGCTTAAGAGCTCCTTCAAAATATATAACTTATGATTGTTTGTTCTGCTGATATTTAGGTTTCCATGAATTTATTGAATACCAAAGGGATAGTGACAAGTAGTTTTTGCCCTGTTTGGATAACTTCTTAAGCATGGACTGAAATTTTTAGTTAGGAAGAACAAGGCGTTATAATTATATGGAACAGTGTATGTGTCTGATATTCTTAGCATCTATTCTTCTAATTTAATAATATTTTTGATGCCTAACATTTTAATTAATCTCTCTTCCATTTATCATTTAAGTACTTCCCTAACTCTGACTTTACTCAGTATTATACTCTGAGAGACTAAAAATACGACTCATCCTATCTCTAGATACGCTTTCCTTTCAAATATTTCTTCTGCTGCTAATTTAGTCTCAGACAGATTATTGCATAGGGTCTATTTAGATGAAGATTTGTATTCATTAGGCAGGATGAAATAATCACAACATCACTGAATTTGGGACAAGAAGACCAGATCTGTGTCATGGTTCTGGTAAAATAACCAAATTCCTACACACCATCCATTCCTCCAACCCCAGGCAGGGATTGGCCCAACCAATGAGTTTACCAATTGTCAATGGTCAGAGAATAGTTTTCTGGGGCCTCAAATTTGCATAAGTATTATTTCTCTGGGCGGTAAAGGTACTGAGATCCAAAGAGATAACTGCTTCAAAGTCAGTTAAGGAAAACCAAATAAAGTTTAAAAACAATAAGGGGGCAGGGTGGGTTAAAGTGAAAGCAAACTGGGAATAAAGGAAGAGGACTAGGGAATTATAAAATGCAATCCCTTTAGGTATGAACGCAAATGTTATAACTTCCATGGTGTTTTCAAAAAGACAGAAAAACAGGTCTTGCTGGGCACAGTGGTTCACACCTGTAATCCCAGCATTTTTGGAGGCCAAGGTGGGAGGAACACTTGAGACCAAGAGTTAGAGACCAGCCCGGGCAACATAGTGAGACCTCATTTTTACTAAATCTTTTAAAAAGTTATTTAAAAATAAAAACATTTAAAAAGAATTTAAAAAACAAAAAAAATTGCTTTTAACAAGAACAATATATTCTATCACCAACTGCTTAAGAACACATTCAGAAGCTAGAGAACAGGAAAAAATATTCTTAACTTTCCTCTTTGGACCTCCAGAGGACAGTCATTCTACAGTGGCTTTGTAAGCTTCTTCCTTGCTTAAATTCTCTATTCCACCTTCTTATTTTCCCAAAGCATTACTCACAATCATCCCAAGAACCCAACTGTACCTTGTGGCCAGCAACTGATTCAAACCTAAGATGACTCTTTATTTTGGTCTGTTCTACAAAGGACAGTGTGGCTTGCTTGTGGACAGCAGACTGTAAGAGCTTCCAGAGCAAAACATCAAAATAAAACATGTTTTTCTATATAAAATGTATTTTTAAAAAATCCTTTTCCATCCATGTAAGAAAGAAAAAATGGTGAATGTGACAAAGAAACTCCTTCTTCCCTGTGTCTGTTAGTTTTTCATTAAGAACCCTAAACAGGACTGACATCATTTTTAGTCAAGTCATATGGCCTTGTTAAATCCTAGCATTGTCATTTATAGAAACACTGAACTGTGACTATGTATAAGCATTAAGGTAAATATCAGATTATTTAGATATATGAAAAAACATAAAAAGAATCAGCAAAAATAAATAAAAGTGATTGTTACTGAGGAAAGGGAATATTTGGAAGGAAGTGGTGAAACAACTGCCAATTTCATACAAGCTCTGTAGTGTTATTTATTTATTTTGTTACATACTGTTAAAAATAAAAATTAAAATATGCAATCAGTGTAATTGGGAAAATGTATATGAACCAAACATGATCAAATTGTTATTGTTATACTTCCAAAGGAAAAAATTGACCTAAAAATCCATTTGGAACAATTATATATGAAGATTTTATGAAGAATGAACAAAATGGATCTTTTTCACTGTCCTACACAAAAATGTGATTATGACTACACTCAATGCAATTATCTCTGAAAAGTTATATTTTAATGGAAATTTACCAATATTCACATAATGCTGTAGAAAATAATTGTATATGTAAATAATAATGAAAACATCTATTGAGTTGAATGATACAAGTAATCAGAAGGAAAAATAACTTTTACTCATTAGTGTTATTTTGATGGAGGAACTATTATTTGAGATGGCACTCAAGCTGACGTAGCGGAAAAGATACACTTTTTAAACAGAAAAAAAATGGCATTGGCAAAAGCAGCAGCTTTAGAAAATAAAAAATTCAAAATGAAACCTGGGATTAGACCATTTTTCTAGTACAGATTTTGTGTAGAGGGTTATTGTATGATAACCGTTAAAAAGTGGCTAATAGTTAATATTGTGTGGTTTCTTAAAAATTCGGCTATAGTGTGTTCTCTTCCCACTGCATTGTTAAAAGAAACAAACAAACAAAAAACCCTGCATGTACTCAGCATAGGCAATACTGTTACCTCATTGTAAGAACTAATTGGAGAGGAGCAACCTTACAGGATTCCCTTTGCTATTCCATAACAGAAGATTTAGAGTAAAGCTAGCTTATTCAGCTTTACAAGTTACACAGTAAAAATGTTACTCCATAGGCTTGGTGAAATAACTTCAGGACTTATTGTTCTCGGGAGTCTAACAGATCCACTTCAAACTGCAGAATTTATATCATTCAGTATCAGTTTTGCTGATAAATATACTAAAGGAACATAACTAATTTTGGATGCAAATTTTGTGCATCCTGTTTGGATAGAATGCAGTAAATATGTATCAGAGCCCAAATGATAAATGTCAAGTTGTTCAGATGATTAGAAAGGTATCTCCAGAGCTTGAATTTAAAAACTAGATGAAAAGGGCTACCTTAACAAGGTATTTAATTTAGAGATCATTTGTAGTGACAAATAAAGTTATTTATTAGTAGGAGCTGATTTTTCACAAGAGAAGATTTGGTAACATTTAAGCAAAGAGCATGATATTATATATTTACCTTTACCTGGACAGAAAAGTTTAAGTTGTTTTAAAGAAAATACACAAGGATTAGCTCACTCATGTTCCTATTATGCAACAATAGTGAATTTAACATATTTCAGTTTTTTTCTATAAAATTTGTAGAATTGTTTTTCTATTATAACCTTTATGTCTTATTCCAAATTTTCTATCTAAAAGTAATGAACACCATTATGCAAAAAAAGCTAAAACATTTTGTGTCGTTTCTCAAAATTAGTAATCCCATTTGAAAAAAAAATTTAAATGATATTTGCAAATGAGTTCCTCTAAAACCTTAATTTTTCTTTTCAGTAAATCACAGCTACTCCATCTAAAATAAATTCATTTCCCCTGCATTATCTCCCACTACTCCTTATGTATTTTTTTCTTACCATTTACCAAAATCACTGCCAACATTTGGATGTGTTTTCTTTCATGGTTATTGTTTTACTGAAAATACAATTTTTCAGGAAATGTTGGTATTTTATATTTATTCTGAAAAGTATTTGAAAAATGAGATTACTCTATCAAAAGAATTAGACTTTAAAATAAGAATACATATTTTCTTAGTCCATTGTATAAATTTGAAAAATATGCAATATAGTAAAATATAAAAATTCGTTTGCAATGTATTTTTATCAGCTGATCTCCTGCAAGAGAACTTCCTTGACTTCTCCACCTAAAATAAGTCCTTTTCCCTGTATTATCTCTCACTTCTCCTTGTTTCCTTCTTATATTTACCAAAATTACTGCCAACATTTGGGTTTTGATAAAAGGAAAACTTCCGCCGAATTAAATTTAAAGGAGTTTAATTGAGCAATGAATGATTCGTGAATGGGACAGCCCCCAGAATCACAGCAGATTCACAGAGGCTCCCGCACAGCCACGTGGTGGAAGAAGATTTATAGACAAAAAAGGGAAAATGATGTACAGAAGTCTACAATCAGTTACAGAAACAGCTAGATTGGTTACAGGTTGGCGTTTGCCTCATTTGAACACAGGTTGAACACTTAGCTATGAATGGTTGAAGTACGGCCGCTGGGATTGGCCAAACCTCAGTTATTGTTACAGGCTTATACTGCTAAGTTAGGTTTTCGATGTCGTCTGACTATTTAAGCTAGGTTAGTTCATCCAGAAGGACTCAAATATAGAAGTACAGAGTCCTTCTCAGGCCGTATTTACTTTAATAGTGTATTGCCTTTAATGCTTATTGTTCTACTTCAGATACAATTTATTTTTAGGAAACTTTGATATTTTATATTTATTCTAAAAACTATTCTTTTCATTTGGGTTGTCAAATTAACCAGCATATATGAATATATCTAATTTTACCAGGTCCTCTACCTTACTGTTTTAATCAAATTTCTGTGTTTTTCTACTTTTTTTTTTTTTTTGAGATGATTTTGCTTTAGTACAAGATAGTTTTCCTAAATGGTTCATTGTTGCTTTGGACAGAATTATTCTTTTTCTTCAAAAACATTTAAAATTCATTAGTTCACTTTCAATTTTGTATTTTTCTTATATATAAGTTTATGTCTGACAATGTATGTAAATTCTGGGTTTGTAGCCTTCAAGGTTGATATTGTTGCATAGTTTACTAGCAATTCATCTTTATTTCACCTCTTTTCCTTTTCAGTTGCTCTGTGTAATATAAATTTTGGATTGATTCTCTCCCCCCGCCTTTTTTTTTTTTTTTCTGAGATGTAGTCTCGCTTTGTCACCCAGGCTGGAGCACAGTGGCACGATCTCAGCTCACTGCAACCTCCACCTCCCAGGTTCAAGAGAGTCCCCTGCCTCAGCCTCCTGAGTAACTGGGACTACAGGCGCATGCTACCAAGCCCAGCTAATTTTTTGTAGTTTTAGTAGAAACAGGGTTTTACCGTATTAGCCAGGATGGTCTCCATCTCCTGCCCACCTCGTGATCTGCCCACCTCGGCCTCCCAAAGTGCTGGGATTACAGGCGTGAGCCACCACGCCCCTCTCCCTTTTTCAAAAAAGAAGTCCACGTTACTCACAATGCTTAGAGGTTTCAATATTTTCTTCTGTTGCCTGAAGCAGATTATTTTCAGTCTGGTTCTTTGAATATTCAAAATGATATTTCCTATTTCCCTGTTTATTAGCTTTCAATATTTATTCACTCAGTTAATTATTATTTTTCTGTTACTCATGCATGAACAAAGATATTCATTTAGACTCTGTTTATTTGTTAAGAACTATGTTGGTGGATTGTTTAGTCCTTACTCACTCCCCTGGCTTAAGTCAAACCCTCTTCTCACATATACACTGGGCAAAATTAGCATGTAATCAGATTTTCAATGCTACAATCTATTACTGCTTGATAAAAGCTGACTTCTTCATTCTCCAATTCCTAGGTGCCTGAAAAACAAGACTAGCTAAAGCTTCTGGAAAAATAGAATTAGACCTGGTGTCTTTCAGCACCTGTACTTGTGTGTCCGGAATTGGTGGGTTCTTGGTCTCCCTGACTTCCAGGCGGTATGTCCGCCTCAAGGTTCTTAAAGGCGGTATGTCAGGAGTTTGTTCCTTATGATGTTCGGATGTGTTGGCAGTTTTTTCCTTCTGGTGGGTTTCGCGGTCTCCGCCGGCTCAGGAACAAAGCTGCGGACCTTCACGGTTAGTGTTAGGGCTCTTAAGGCGGCACGTCTGGAGTTGTTCATTCCTCCCGGTGGGTTCGTGGTCTCTCTGGCTTCAAGAGCGAAGCTACAGACCTTCACGGTGAGTGTTACAGCTCATAAAGGCAGCGTGGACCCAAAGAGTGAGCAGCAGCAAGATTTATTGCAAAGAGAAAAAGTACAAAGCTTCCACAGCATGGAAAGGTACCCGAGGGGGTTGACACTGCTGGCTCGTGCAGCCTGCTTTTATTCTGTTATCTGGCCCCACCCACATCCTGCTGATTGGTAGAGCCCAGTTGTCTGTTTTGACAGGGCGCTGATTGGTGCCTTTACAATCCCTGAGCTAAACACAAAGGTTCTCCAAGTCCCCACCAGATTAGCTAGATACAGAGTGTCGATTGGTGCATTCACAAACCCTGAGCTAGACACAGGGTGCCAATTGGTGTGTTTACAAACTTTGAGCTAGATACAGAGTGCCAATTGGTGCATTTATAATCCCTGAGCTAGACATAAATGTTCTCCACGTCCCCACCAGGCTCAGGAGCCTAGCTGGCTTCACCCAGTGGATCCCACACCGGGGGTGCAGGTGGAGCTGCCTGCCAGTCCCTTGCAGTGCGCCCACACTCCTCAGCCCTTGGGTGGTTGATGGGACTGGGCGCCGTGGAGCAGGAGGCAGTGCTTGTCGGGGAGGCTCAAGGCCACACAGGAGCCCATGGAGGTGGGGGAGGCTCAGGCATGGCGGGCTGCAGGTCCCGAGCCCGAGCCCTGCACCGAAGGAAGGCAGCTAAGGCCCCCCAGGGAGAAATTGAGCACAGCAGCTGCTGGCCCAGGTGCTAAGCCCCTCACTGCCCAGGGCCAGCGGAGCCGGCTGGCCACTCCGAGTGCTGGGCCTGCCGAGCCCACGCCCACCGGGAACTCGCGCTGGCCCGCAAGCGCCCCGTGCAGCCCCGGTTCCCGTCGGCGCTTCTCCCTCCACACGTCCCTGCAAGCTGAGGGAGCCAGCTCCGGCCTTGGCCAGCCCAGAAAGGGGCTCCCACAGTGCAGTGGCGGGCTGAAGGGCTCCTCAAGTGCCGCCCAAGTGGGAGGCCAGGCAGAGGAGGTGCCGAGAGCGAGCGAAGGCTGTGAGGACTGCCAGCACGCTGTCACCTCTCACTTGCTTTAAGATTGCCATACTTTAGATGTTCTTCTATGAACGGTCCTGTCTCCATCTCCCTATTCCTTGTGAGCTTTTTCTGGACGTGGTAGTTTGTCTACATGTAGGGAAAGACGCACTTTTACAATTTGAACAGAGTATTTAAGAGCACCCATAAAATAATTTAGTTACATAATTTGTAGTTTTCTGTAGCTCTTGCGTTTCTAAATTAGAGAGAGGCCAGTTGAGAAAGAGGCAACTTCTCCCTACACATTTCATACGGACTTGTGCTGTTTCTTTTAGTATAGCATAAGGTAACAATAATCAGTTGAAATTTATTGAAATTATTTTTATTCATTTTTATCAGCCGTACCATTAGTCTGATTTTCTTCAAGATTATGAAAACTGATTGACTGTTGGTCCTAATTTTCAACGTCTGTGTGTGTGTGTGTGTGTTTGTGTGTATATCTCTGTGTGTTTTTCTTTTTTTATCCTGTCTTGGTAATTGTTTTGGTAGGAATTTAGAAAAGGGAGCCAGTGGATGCTGGCCAGATGCCATATTAAACTTAAATTTGCAGGCACTAGGTTTTAAAGTCTAGAGTAACCATTGCCAAATTCCTTTCACAAATATTCTCCCTGCAATACAACTCAACCAGTGATATGTTAATGTGGCTGATATTACCATCTTTTGGTTTTACTAATTTTATCTGTGAAATAGTAATTTAGTTTTGAGTTTTTCATACATGTGTGTCTAGACTAGTGGGATTAGACATTGTACAATATTAAATCGATTTTGTTTGTTTTTATTATATGTTAAGGCATAGAAACTGATGATATAAAAAGACACAGTTCTTAATAGTTTCTTAGAGGAAATATGATCAGACATCTCTCAAAGTTGTCTATAATGTGTTGTATGAATTCCATAAATAAGGTACAAGTAGAGATCAGAGGACATTGGAAAACATTTATGTCTGGGCTCTTAGAGAAGACTTCATAAAAGCATATTATCAGAACAAGGCACTGCAAAAGTGATAGGATTATAAAATGGATTGTGAGAGGCATTTCAAGGGAAAAAACTGCTGTGAGCAAATTTTCAGAGTTGAGATAATGCAAGTCATTCCACTTCTGGATACTGGGTTGTGTAAAAGAAATAAGGGAGATGTTCAGAAAATGTGAACAACAATGTTTTGTGACTAGATAATTGTATTGGATAAATAGTTGTAGATAAACTTGTAAATACAGAACTGGATAGATTTTGGATGATATTAAATTTGGACTTTTTTTATGGACATATGCCATGTAAAGTGTTCAACTAAGCTATGTAACCAAAGATAAAAAAGTATAATTCTAGAATGAGGGTAAAGGGCCAGCTAACTAGGGATCAAATGGAAGTAAAGGGACCATTCAAAGGATATTTCATGATCAAGGTATTATGTTAAAAAATAAAGCAACTAAATTAATAAAATAGCTGAAGTGGAAAGAAAAAATTAAGTGCAGGAAGTATTTTTAAGCAAGAAGCAACAAGACATTGTACATAATTGGATGTGGGGAAAAATACAGGGGGCTATAGGCTTCAAACCTAGATATGTGGAAGTGCAGTGGTGCAATTAGCAAAATAAATACAAAATGAAGGTTATATGAAAATAGATTTACATTTTATAAGATAATCAATTCCTTTATTATTGTGCTTGGAAAAAATTGATTTAGTTAAATTAGGAAATATTCAATAGAGCTGTCCAATTGTTGGTGAATGAATGCAAACATCATTTTAAATGTTTTCATTATCTATATTGGAAAGAAATAATATAGTAATGATGATGTGACATTTAAAGTTGTCATTTAATAAATGACTAAGTGATGGGCATAAATATTTGTTCATAGCTCTATAAAACAGATATACAATATTTTTAAAATAATTGTGTTCTGTTGGCATTCAAAACTATTATAAAAGTGAAATGGAATTTTATTCAAGGAAACAAAATGATTTCTTATTCTCAGGTCTTAGAAAATACTAGCAGCTATGCTCCCTGTTAAGTATTTCAGTGAGAAAAGTAAAAATAAACAGGCCACTCTTTTAACACTATGTTTTATTATAGTAAATAGGATTATGTGCAGCTTTTCCCAGTTTCTTTTTTCATCTTTAACTTTTTCATCTGTTATTTTTTAGATTTCACACCTATCGAGTGTGAGGAAATTAGATCAAAACTAGAGTGATCAAATTAACTTTATTTTGGCAAAGATGTATATTTATACAGTGTTTTGTTCTGAAATGAATACAAATTGAAAAAAATTACTCAATATTTTGTATGATCTCTAATTTATGGAAAGTAAAAATTACCTCATAATAAAATTAATTAGTCACTTGCCTAGATGAACAATTGTGAGTTGTAAACATCATTTTCCTAATATGCTTTTCCCTAGGTATTGAGTGGAATGAAATAACATGTTGGTACTGCCATTAGCATGTCTATATTAGTTAATTAACTTTATAATTTTTTATGGGTAAAATGAGAAAAATATAGATTCACCTTTATAAATTAAATTTTATATAAATGTAATATATGAAACATTACTGTTCAACTTGGATAATTTTAATATATACCTAATATATATATAATTACATTTTAAAATATATGTTTCCTCTAGGAAAATGGTAAAAAATTGCTTAGTAATATTAAGTGAGTGAGTGTATCTAACAAGCATTTTAGAAGTATTACCATGTATTACAAACTAGAAAATACAAAGAGTAATTAAAGACTGTACTTGATATTGGAGGGCTTCTGGAAAAGTGCAGAGAAGTGTGTAATGAAATTAATGAACTGTGTGTTAAAAGTGCTATAGAGGTATAAGCTGGGAGATGTGGCAATAGAAATGCATAACATTTGTGAAGTCTGAGAAATGTCAACATGGCATTTATATTTGAATGGTCTTGAGGTTGAGCAAATGTGGAGGAAGTAATGTCATGTGGCCCCTGAACCATCTTCATTGCCCACACCTTACTGTCACATAGGAAGAACCTACTTCCCAGACTCCTAGCAACTAGATGTGTCTGTGTGAATACATCTGGTGGTGATGTGTGAGCTGGAGCCATTTAAGCCACTTCCAGACTTGGTCTTTAAAAGTCTCACAATCTTCTTTTGTGTTTGTTCTTTTCTTGGACAGCTGGAAGCGAAGGCCTCGCCTATGGAGGATTACACAACGTAAGGAACTAGTATTCTTAAGCCTGTAGTAAGACTATTGCTGTCTAGCAGAATCTCTCTACCTGACTAGAGCTGGGAAGCAAGGAAGACATGAGTGTGTGATGTGTTAGGGCACTGAGCTATTGTTTACAGTTACTATCATCTGTTTTTTTAATCTTCCTCTTCTCCTGTTTTATTTTAAAGATATCTTTGAGGTAGAATTGGCAAGACTTTGTGACAGATTAGATATGGTGGAGGAAATTAAATAAGGGAAAAACATTAGTGCAAGTTTTTTGATTTGGGACAGCCAACATCATAAACTGAAATAAGACATTGAAAAACTAGGACAAATATTTTCTTGTGAGTGGCAGAAGCTGGTAGAGATGGGGATTTTGTGTGTGTCTGTGATAATGGTGGGGGAAGAGATTACCAAATAGAAATGAAGCTCTTGAGCTCAGGAGAGAATTTGCCACCAAAATATGAGATTATCCATAAATACTACTTTGCAGAGCAGGCCTTATACTGGACTTTCATTGGCCTTTCTATACAGTGATCAAATTTATGAACCATCTCCCATGTAAATACGCAGTCACCCTCAAGAGTGTTCATAGACTCTCTGAAATCTTGTAACATAAAACCCAAGTTAAAAAAATAACAAAAACAGAATACATGGAAAAACAACAGGAAAGACAGATGGATAGCTTTTACTAAGACAGAAAAACAGAATATTTCAGGAGAAAATTAGGATTAACAATAGTGTTGCTATAGCAAGGCCACATATGGTGATGACTCAAAACAAATGATTAGGCTAGTGTTTTAGGAAGAGCCTTTCTTTTCTTGCTTTTTTTTTGTTGTTGTTTAATTTACCATGCTGCCTCCCAAATAATATTCTATAAGCAATCTGACTTTTGGCATGGGGCTACAGTGTGATGAGTGGTGATGAGGTATTGAGTATCTGTAAGAGCAAAACATCTTCTCAGAAGTATTTGCAGTGACAGAAGAGAGAAATGGGTTAAAGAATAGAATTCAGTGTCAGTGGACTAATAATTACGAGTAAGGATATCAACAGAGCAAGATTCTGGAGGACTTTGGAAGGAGTGCACTTAACTTCACAGGGAAAGGAAAAGCCTTATAGAAGAGTTAAATATAGACGCTTGTACAAGGGTACAGGAAAGCTTGTGAGAGCAAAGTCATGTAATCGTATCTAACTATCTCAGTTTTCTCTGTAAAGAAGGAGGATCATCATTCTAGTTTGTGAACTACACTGAAGATCAAATGCAAGACCAATTTTTCTATATAGCACCTCAGTTCCAATTTAAATGTATTTGCTCTATCAGTATCAATTATAAGAAAAGATGTATACACCACCTGTGCTTTCAAATCTTCAGATTTTTTCAGTGCACTACATATAGATTACAAACTTATTCTGGCAGTATATATCACAAAAAGGATGATACACTCTGCAATTTCCCTGCCACAGATAGTGGCTCTGGGAAAATACCCAAGATCCTAATTAGTTATATTGGGTCTACATAAGATGTCAAAGACAAAAAAAATTCAGATATTAGTTGAAGTGGTAAGGACAGGTTTTAATCCGTAATATACTATTGCAATAGGAAAGGAATTCCAGCATTAACAGAACTTAACTTGGATTTGTATGGAAGTCACTCAGCATTTCAAAGGTTGAACAGGGTAATAGAAAGGGGGTAAGCAGCAGCCTAGTAGAGTCAGGGAAGTAAAAATTACAAAAATTAGGAAGGGATATTGGTCCATGTGAAACCCATTTGGGTTTGTTGTCTGGTTCTTACAGAAATTAGGCTCCTACTCTCTCACAGAAACTGGGAGACTGGAGCCCTATCTTCAGGTGCTAGTGAAAACAAATAGTAAATGCTTCTGACAGCCTTTAGTTTTCTCAGGCAGACACATTAAGTGGAACTCGGGTCATCCTAGAGATGCGACCTTGAGCTGCTAGAAATCATGTTAGTGTTTTGTTCAAATCTTTATAGGTCAAGATTGAGGCTGAGAAAGGGCTCCAAGGAGTCTGGCTAGAGTTTGATCAAGGAGAAAACCTGTCAATGGTGATTACTGGTTCTATCAGTGAAAAACAACCATTATCAATATTTGTATTTTCCCTTCAATGCCAATAATAGGACCTACACACTGACGAACCAGACTATTCAGTGCTCCTATTTGTTTGAAAATGCTATAGTATCTCTCTTCTCATCTTTATAATGTTTGAATTGAATCTTCAGTACTCGATTCTACCTGTTTTTCTTCTTACATTTAAAAGATTTTTTCTTATATTAAAAAATAATATAATACATTCTCTTTAGAAGCTCCTTATTCATCTTAATAAGTTTAAAAGTATGGCCATTTTGCATGGATAGTCAAATAATTGGAGATGACTGCGAATGGGAAGACAAAAATACTCATGAGAGGTCGGAAGGCAGAGAAGGGTGGTAACTTGCAACTGTGTAAACAATGTGCTAGGTACTGTGCTAGCTTCTTTATCAATTGTTTAGTTTGTTTCCAATAACAAATAATATTCCAGACAAAGAAACTAACTCTTAGAGAACTAATTAATCTGTAAAAATTGCACAATTTATAAGCACCAAATGTTTGGCTTTAAATCTTTTTTTTTTTTTTTTTGGTAGAATCCAATTTATTGCACTATCTTCTAAATAATATTCTACAACCTGTATTGATTTCCAGATTCCCTTTGTCTGCAGTTGATTGAAATATATTTGTCTGATTCTGAGAGAGGCAGTGGGTTATAAGTGAAGTGGTTGGGATTCTTCTTTGTGGTCAATTTCAGATCCTGCATCTGAAAAGGAAAGAATCTTGTAGTCTGTAGACACTCTGCCCCAATCTTTCCT
This sequence comes from Homo sapiens, assembly GCF_000001405.40. Lineage (NCBI taxonomy): Eukaryota > Metazoa > Chordata > Mammalia > Primates > Hominidae > Homo > Homo sapiens. Next base: position 125,658,329 of record NC_000004.12, read on the forward strand.
CAACAGCAAATGTTCAGAAATACTTACCTGCATATTCCTCTATTTAGCATATTTTTAACCATTAAATCTTTTAATTAATCATACAAGTCTGCTGTTATTTTCATCATCAGTATCATTAAGATTAAAAAGAAATTAACGAGAACAGAATTTAAATTGAGGATTAGCTCCACATTCTATACTTAGAATAGGTTGCTGCTTCCAAACTAACAGGTTCTCAGCTTGTTAAAAGTTAAATTACTCATATGATTCTCATCTGTATAGGAAAAATTTTAACGTACTCCCTTTTATTATCCTTGGGAATAAGCCTAAGTAATTCTGACTGAATAATAACAGCAGAACTGTTTGTTTTGGAATTCCGCTTATTTCAACAAATATTTATTGAATACCTATACTTGGAAGTCAGTGTGATTAACATTTAGAAGGTAGTGGTCTGTTCTGAAATTTCATTTGAAGTTTTCTTATTTCTAGTTTTATCATTTGTTTCAAAGGTTAGATTTCAAAGCTTTGTTACAATGCTTAGCAGCTTCATATACAAACTGAGAATCAGCTTTGATCCCTGTCAAGGTTTTGATAGTAGGGAATTACATGGCAACAGCACATATGCTAGTGCACCAAGTATTAAGTACTATACAATGATTACTTGATACAGAATACACAATAGGGACTGCCACAGATATGAATGATACATTGGCATTCACCTCTCTCTAGTGTTTGGGTTTCTTTTCCTACTTATGTATTTTCCATGTAGCTCAGCTGCCAAGTCTGACACCTAAAGGGTCAATCCCTCACTATACATAGTTTAAGTAAAATTCCACATTTACCTCCAAACTGATGCCTATACCAAGGGATTTCCAACCATTTGGAAAAAAAAAAAAAAAAAAAGCTATAGGGTAGACATATCATTTGGTACTGTCTCACTTACAAATTACTCATGCAGGCTTATGGAGACTTCCCTCACTTAGCTAATGACCAGCGCAGACCTCAAATGGTTGTTGCAAGCTTTTCATTATGTGATCCATGTGACTAACTACAGCATTTGTGAAATGGGAACACAAGTCTCCAAACTAGAATATTTTTTCCAGCATTGCTAGATTTTTCTTCAGGGATGGTTTCCTGCTGTGGCTGTTGTGTATTGTTAGGAAAGTGATACCAAGTTAAATAGCTCGAGTAGTCAATGCAAATTCACAGAGCCACCCAACATTGACTTTGGTTCAATCCCTTGAAATAACAGGGAGATATAAATCCAGCACCAACATAATGCTAAGCAAAGCAAATTCAAAAAGATAATGTATGCTTTCCACTTTATTATTGTTATGCTTTTAGAGTGCTTGTGAAAAGATATAGGTCAGGAGGCTCAGTCTTGAGGTTCTGTCCACACTTATGCACATTCAATGATTTGTGTGTAGCAATGACCCATTTTAATTGTAATTTTTTCTTTATCCAAATAATTATATATCCTGCCCCAACAAATGATAGAGAATTTTATAGGAGTTCTATTTATAAGAAAAAATAATAAACAATGACTAGAAACCCTACCCAGGTATCCTTAGAGTTTTTTAGGGGCTGATGAATTCCTAGATAAAATTCCTGAGACCTATGCAAACTATTGGATTGAATGCAAAAAGAATGATTATTAAAGTGTGAAATAAAAGATTAATGGTGACTGGGCACCTCCAACTTGCCAGAGATTGTGTTGTGTACTTGATAGACATTATCTGACATAGTCATAGAAACTAGAAACTTATCAATTGTTTCTAGCTGATGTATGAATAGAATGTGAGTGACTGGGAAAATTAACAATTAAAATTTGTTTTACTTAAATATAGCAGTTGGAGAGGGGCCCAGGGAAGTTCAAAGGATGAAACTAATGACTCTTTTTTTTTTCCCCCATAAAGATAAAGAGATGAGAAGAAAAGAAGCATAGAGAAGAGAAAGGAGAAAAATAACACACATTGCCATATATTTTTTAATGCTTTGCCAATCAACCAAAACCACCTAAGGGAGGGACAACTTACTTACTCCCAGGTGGTTCTTGGCTTTGCTGGATGATTAGCTTAAATGGAAAAGACTGCAGTTCTTGCCCAGGTTCTGTTTGTTCTTGAACCACATAAAGACTATATAGGTCAGCCTATATTCTGGGTTTTCTATTTTATTTTTGACTGCTTGTTTTGGTTTTTTTGTTTGTTTGTTTTTGTCTTATTTATTTTTAACCAATCATGTCATATGTTTTAGGAAGTTGAGTTATTTAAAGAATATAGGCTAGATGCGGTGGCTAACGCCTGTAATCCCAGCACTTTTGGAGGCCGAGGTGGGTGGATCACAAGGTCAAGAGATAGAGACCATCCTGGCTAACACGGTGAAACCCCGTCTGTACTAAAAATACAAAAAATTAGCCGGGCATTGTGGCACATGCCTGTAGTCCCAGCTACTTGGGAGGCTGAGGCAGGAGAATCACTTGAACCCAGGAGGCAGAGGTTGCAGTAAGCTGAGATCGTACCACTGCACCCCAGCCTGGGCAACAGAGCGAGACTGTCTCAAAAAAATATACATATGTATAAAAATATGTATTATATATTAATACTAGAAGTTTTCTATGAAGATTCTGTAGTCGTACTTGTGTTATGTTTTTCCACAGAATTTTACTTGCTGCCAGTATTTTAGGTAACTTATGATAATTATAGTGCAGTTTTAAGTAAACTCTTTCAGGAATTATTTGCCAGTTGAGGATTCTTCCTTCTTCAGGTGATTTTGGAGAAGAAATACCTTCAGCCTAAACAAAAGCTGAAATGAAAATATTCTGTGATAATAACCATGAAATAATTATTCAGAGTTTGTGGTAATTTTTACCTACAGTAGAGTTACTTTGATTTTAAAAGCAGTGTCTGGAAGAGAAAGAGGAGGAGGTGAAGCAAAAGAAACAGAAATACACCAGCCAGGCAACGGTGTCTCACGCTTGTAATCCCAGCACTTTGGGAGGCCGAGGTGGGTGGATCATGAAGTCAGGAGATCGAGACCATCCTGGCTAACACGGTGAAACTCCGTATCTACTAAAAACACAAACAATTAATCGGGTGTGGTGGCAGGCGCCTGTAGTCCCAGCTACCTGGGAGGCTGAGGCAGGAGAATGGCATGAACCCGGGAGGTGGAGGTTGCAGTAAGCCAAGATCGTGCCACTGCACTCCAACCTGGGCGACAGAGGGAGACTCCGTCTCAAAAAAAAATAAAAAAATAAAAAAAAAAAAAAGAAATACACCACAATATGTATGGTGATGCCCAAAGTTAATGCAATTTTTCTCTGCAGTTATCACAATGGAAAATAGGATGAAAATAACCAGAATATTTCACCCCTCAACTATACTTCTTTGGCATATTTTGAGATGGCTATTCAGAGGCGTTGCCACTGGAAGAATAGCCTTGAAGACCTACCTTCTGTGAGGGAGATTCACATCTGTAGAGGAAATCTACATTAGTGAAATGAAGTAAATAGTAGACGCAAACAGGCTTTCTCTGGAGTCCCTCTTTATCCAGAGCTAGGAAATATTAACTCATAGGAAAAGGAGACTAAAATCTGACACTTTTAAAGGTCTTACAGAGACATTCTTACCATGTGCTATCATCTTTTCTTCTGAGGGTAGGTCTGAGAGATTACGTGGAAATCGTCATCTGGTAATAAGACAACCTTTGTTTACAGCAAAGTTCAGTTCCTCACCTTCCTGCCATGCACCCCAGAACTCAGAGAAACTTGGGCCCAGGCAGCAATTGTTCTTTGGGCTCATTCATTTCCCTGAAAATAATTTACTCCTGCACCTCCATCTCCTCTCTCCTCAATGAAGAGGGCATTTAAACATCAACCATCTTTTTTTTTTTTTTTTGACTTTTATATTTCGCATGACTTCTGTGCACATTTGGGCACATAACAAATTTGTTATGCTTTTCTGTCATTAACCTGTCATTTGTTATAGGCATGTAGAGTGTGACCTTTCATAATGGGAAAGAAAGGAATTACTTCCTTTCTGGCACTACAAATGAGAGTAATCCACGAGTGGTATTCATTTTGGAAATTCTTAAAATATATTTCTCACTGTTCAGAACCTCTGACAGCAGAATTTCATGACCGAGTTCCTAAGAATGACTTGTATCTGCAAGATAACCATTTTTCCCCAAAAAACAAAAGGATAACTTAATGTTCAAGTGTAAAACCAATTCAGAGATTTAAATTATATTTTTTGGTAAACTATCAGACCAAATCTGATTACTTTAGATGACAAATGCAGTCTAAGTTTTCTGTTATTGTTTTTGATGAAACATACCTTACATAAATTAGGACAGCATATACAACTTCAACAACAATAGTATAAAAATACTGATTGGCCAAACAGGTTAAAAACTAAAATTTATTAGTAATTTTAAAGGTCCAGTAGATAAGTCCTTGATCAAGTTCCCTCTCTTTTTCTCCTCAAGTTAATATAGTCTTGAATAGCATAGGGTCAAAGAGGAGAAGCTGTTTCTTTCCCTCTGAAGTTTCACTGAATTTGAACTGACAAAAGGTATATTAATAGGAAAAAGGCGTATAAAATTGAGTGAATGTGCACTTGGGCAAGTCATAAGCATGTGACTACTCAATAGTCCAATGAGGTGCAATTGTTTATATGTACCCTTCTTCATAGGGAGAGGGGAGAAGGGAATGTAGGCAATTATTTTGACTTTACCAATGTCACAGAGCCTAGTGAGAGAAGCAGAGGAACAAGTCATCTCATTATCTTTAACCCTTGTGAATTCAAAAGTGTCTGAGACATATCTCAATCAACTGAGACAGTTTATTTTGGCAAGGTTAAGGACACACCTTAAGGACCTCAGGAGGTTCTGATGATATGTGCCGAACGTGGTCAGGGTACAGCTTACCCTTATACATTTTAGGGAGACATGAGACATGAATGTACATCTTATACATATGGATTGATGTCTAGTCTCATGTCTCCTTAAAATGTATAAGAGCAAGCTGTAAGGAGTTGCAGGGAGCTTCCAGATCATAGGTAGATAAGACACAAAAGGTTGCATTTTCTTTTGAGTCATTGATCAACCTTCACTAAATACACAATTTAGTTTGGCTCAGTGAATCTGCATTTTTGCATAAATGATAGGGCAGAAGAAGAAATCAGATATGCATTTTTCTCAGGTGAGGGGAGGGAAGATTTTGGCATCTGTGAAGATAAGCTATCAGTTTACATTGCTAGGGTGAAATTCAAAAAAACTATTTTAGGGTAAAGATCTTCAGACCAACAAAGAATTTTCTTGTGGGTAAATTATAAGGGAAGTATGTAGCTTTTTTATCTTTGTAGCTATCTTATTTAGGAATAAAATGGGAGGTAGACTTGCCTGACATAGTTCCCAGCTTGATCTTTCCCTTAGCTTAGTGATTTTGAGGTCCTGAGATTTATTTTCCTTTCACACCCTTTTGCATTTACCCTACTACATAATCAGTTTTTCCATATGTTTCATTCTAGATTCAAATGTCAGCTTTTCTTACAGAAAGAAAAGATACCAATTGAATTTTCACCCAAATCTGCCATCTAAAATGACAAATTGATTAATGTGATTAAAATGGGTTTCTGCAATATTTTATAGAATGCTTTTAATATAAGTACTTACATCCTTTACCATTTATTATCCAAGGCATTTGTTTAAAATTTAAAATTTTCTCTCAAGTTTCTCTTGATGTAAACTGTGCCAAAATTTGTCACTTCATTGAGCTAAAATTCTCTTACACTCTGCAACTCAGATCTGAGAAACAGCTTGCCATCGTAAACAAGAGAAGCAAAATTTTCTGTGTGATTCCTGACTAACTTGTTCTGGGAAATGCCTAATCAGTTTGTCAGTCACTTTAATCCTGCTGTATCAGTGAAGCAGGATATTTCCCTGACCCTCTCGTGGGACTCACAACAGGGGTGCCTGGCTTACTCAGTCCGCAGCTCTCAACTCTTTGTGGGAGGTGGTGCATGAACGAACAAGGTGGAAACTGGAGTGTGTGAAGGCCAGAATCAGCTGGCCACTCCTTCGCCTGTAAGAGTGAACTCCACTCATTCAAACTGACTACATTCCACCCACTATGGGAGACAGCACAAGGGTGAACAGATGCAGAAGCTAGGGCAAGCACTTTTGGGCACCAGCAGGAACCAACTCTGTGCTGGCCCCACGGCAGCTTCTAGAGGAGGTGCCTGTGACCTCTGAAGCCCCAGAGAGAGTGTTACAATAATCTTTTAGCTCTGCCATTGTGGAGGGCTTAAGTGTTAACAGCTCAGTGGACCGTCTGCCTTTTCCCATGAGGTGGCTACCTTCCCCCAGCCAGGGCAAAGGGTCAGTGGAACAGACTTTTGCATCTGCACTTGTGACACCTGAGCTCTTGTCTGGTGTCCAGGAGAAATGAGGTTGCATGAATGAATTGAAGGATGGTAAATGTAGGGGATTTTATTGCTGATGAAAGTGGCTGTCAGTGGGAAGGGGAGCTGGAAAGGGTATGGGGCTGGAAGGTAGTCTTACCCTGAAGTCCAGCTGTCTCTGGCCAGATTCTTCTCCAAAGTTACACCATCAGGCTGTCCCTCTAAAGTCAAGCCACTTCCCTATGATGTCCAGCTGTAGTCTCCAGTGTCCCACTGCTTCTACTCTGTGCCAGCTGAGTCTGGTGATGGGGAGTGGGGTGGGCCATGGGTTGTTTTGGAAAAGGCAACATTCAAATGGGAAAACAGGGATGTAAGTTCTCACTTTGGGATGTGGTATCAAGCTTGAGGGTGGGGTTTTGTTGGGGAGGCTGCCCTTTTCTGCCTAGAATTTCTCTGCCTCCTGTCCCTATCATCAGGCTGAAATTTGTCCAATCAGATCACACTCTGCAGGCCATCAGCTGGCAAACTCTTCTGCCTACTCCGTTTTAATACTTGTGCATTACTGAGAGATTTGATATGGCCTAAAAATATATTGTATTGTCCATCTTTAATTATTTTTCTCATGGAATCTGTTTATCCATCCATTTGATCGTAGGGACACTGCTCATTGTAGGGAAACCAAAATGAACTATTTCAAAGCTCTTTTTATACTTTAAAATAAATAGTATATCAAATAGTAAGTCAAAATAGTAATATCTTCATTATAATTACATATTCATACAAAATAAAGTATCATTATATGTTATTGCATATTGTTAATATTGCTATTGTCAAATTTATCCAACTATAATCACATCTTCCAGAGCTAGCAATTGACTATAGGTTGGTTATCTATCAACTCTTACTTGTTTAACATTTTAAACTGATGCTTTATGTTAATATTGTTCTTAATTGAACATCATTTTATTTTAACCGTATAATATTTTTAACATAGTACAGAACTTTACCTTTTAACATGTTTTTCATAAAGTTTTTTTCTATAGACTGGTACAGTTTAGACAGACTAATATGGATGTGTTGGTTGCTGCTGCAGGTGCCAAGGATATAGAGATACTCACGTGGTTTGAATGAGGGTTCACAGCTGAGAGGAAGAGGGAGCACAGAATCTTTCTATAGTGGTTCAGAAGCACTTAGAGCACAAAATCCTTCTATAGTGGTTCAGAAGCACTTAGAGCACAGAATCTTTCTATAGTGGTTCAGAAGCACTGCCCTGGTATCTGAAAAACAGTGCATTCATATGACCTATATGCTCATCTAAAACAACATTTAAAAGAACCTTTCCATTTTTTTTCATGTTCAAATTGTGTTTTTATCTGTGTGTGTTTGTTTCTGGCCTGAGAGCAGCTCACTAACAGGGATATTGTCGGGATTTTGGAAGGCCTACTTTTTATAAAAATCAATTTTAGAGATGCTCTTAAGTGCCAGGCTTTAATTTCACAAGATATATCTAAACTTTTAAAGGTTCGTTTTGCAGTAATTGAAGATCTAGGAATATTTCTTTTTCAGTTCTTCATTATCATTTCTTCATTATTAAGCAGAAGCAAATGGGTATTAATTAATGACCATAACAACAAATAGAGATTAATTGAACCACACATTTTTTTAGTTTTAAAGTTTTTGTTCATGACTTGAACACAAACACAGAAGAGCAAGTTCTTAGATGACCTTCTAAATGGTTTACTTGGAGATCTGAGATGTATATTTTTAAGGTTGAGTATTTTAGCCAGGAGGATACACACACAAAAATGTGTTCTTTCCTTGATACGTATCCTCCAGAGCCCAGCAGGCATCAGGAAAAGGACTCCAGGGAACATTGCTGAAAGGACTGAATTGGCTTAAGAGGCAGACAACCAAACCTAGCTAGGGAGTTTTGGGCTACATCTCAGACAGTTTATTAAAAAAGCAAAGGGGATAAAAGTTCCCCAAAGATAACATGCTAGCTATGCCTTAAAACTGTGATTTTAATTCTGTGGTGCTGAAACTGTGTCAAATAGCCTATGGCAAGATATGTCCTATGTGTTGCAAAATGATGCAAAATAAATACTCACTGTGTTTTGAGAACAAACTCATTAGTAGAGGAAACACTGTACTTTACACACCCTAAGGATATTTGAGTGTTCACATAGGCACATAAATGTTGATGTGAAGTGTCATTCATAGGTGACGGTAGCTATTTATTTTTTCATTAACATAGCTATTGGATTTCTATTAAATTGAGTAAGGATTTATGAGATCTGTTGGTTTAGGAAAAAACACCTAGGTAAAACTAATTATAAAAATGGCCATAATTTTAATTTTCAATGACATTTTCACTTTCAAAAATATTTTTACTTTTTCATTTGAAAAACAAAACTCTGTTAAATAAGTAATATTATTTTTATCCCAATTTCACAGGTAGAGGAATTAAGGATATCAAAATTGGAATTTCTCAGGACTCTGACATGAAGATTTGTATGCATGGCATTTATTAAGAAGTATAGGCTGGGCACAGTGGCTCAAGCCTGTATTCCTGGTACTTTGGGAGGCTGAGGCAGGTGGGTCACCTGAAGTCAGGAGTTTGAGACCAGCCTGGCCAACATGGTGAAACCCCATCTCTAGCAAACATACAAAAATCAGCTGGGCATGGTGGCATGCACCTGTAATCCCAGCTACTTGAGAGGCTGAGGCAGGAGAATCCCTTGAACCCAGGAGAGGGAGGTTGCAGTGTGCCGAGATTGCGCCACTGCACTCCAGTCTGGGGGACAGTGAGACTCCATCTCGAAACAAAAACCAAAAAAAAAAAAAAAAAAGAGAAGGAAGTATACTTGGGATCCACATCTGTAGAAGGGAGGAGAGAGAAGCAAGATCAGCAGAGAAGTTGATATGCAAGCTGATGCAATGAAGTTCTCAGTAGACATCATGTAGGGGAAGCGGGTTCTAGATCTGGCATAACCCTTCAGAGGTCAGATCCCAAGGGCATTAGACTTGTATATATCTCCCCACCATGATTAGTCATGTAAAGAGGCGGGAAGGCAGTTTTATTTTCAGCTGCATTGATCCCCAAAGAGACTGACAGCTAAGGATGGTTGCATGGTAGCATTCCTAGCAACCAGGAAATAAGTCCTTTATTCTTAAAGGATTACCTGGATGTCACAAAACAGCATGCAGTACAGAGGGTATGGAGTTACAGAGACAAAAAGTGTATGTACCAAGATGATGTAGTTTGAATGTATGCCTCTGCCTAATCTCATCTTGAATGTTGGAGGTAGGGCTTGGTGGAAGGTGTTTGGATCATGAGGGTGGATCCCTTAGGAACGGCTTGGGCTGCTGTCCCCTTGGTGATAAGTGAGCTCTCACTCTGAGTTCACATGAGATCTGGTGGTTTAAAGGTGTGTGGCACCCCTGCCCCACCCCCGCTCACTTGCTTCTTTCATCATGGAATGTGCCTGCTCCCTCTTCACCTTCCACCATGAGTGTAAGCTTCCTGAAGTCTCCCTAGAAGCCAAGCAGATGCCAGTACAGTGTTTCCTGTAAAGTCTGCAGAACTATGAGCCAATTAATCCTCTTTTCTTTATAAATTACCCAGTCTCAGATTGTTATAGCAATGCAAGAACAGCCTAATAAATAAGACAAATTAGATTTTATAACTCTAATTTCTATTTCTGTGTTACTACACCCTGAAAACTCCATGTTAGCTTTTTGTAAATTGTTCTATCATTTTTACCAATCTACATGACTTCACCTTCCATTCATAAATTCATCTAGAACTGAGCTTTTAAACATCTAACTGTAAGCAAAGAAGTTTGCATTACAAAAATGAAGCAATATTAGCACAATTTATATTTAGCATTTTCATTTTCTGAGTTGATGAATGTGCTCAAATATGGTTAGAAAAGTATTATATATGCATCTATTTAAGAACAAGGGCATATAAAACTGCAAATAGTGATATTTTTAATTTGAAGCACCTCTGCATACCAACAGGAGGTCTGAGGATTATAAAAAAAAGAGAATATAACCCTGACAAGGGACTAACCTATTATGCATCCCCAAGCTTCTTTTTCCCCCGACTACATAGTAGTGATTAAATCATGAACTATACACTTATTCTTGAACCCAGAATAACAGGATAATACAAAGAGCAAGCATTTAAGAGAAATATTCGTTTTCTAAAGGAGTATAAATAGTTTGGTTTACAGTGGATTTTTCAATGCAGGAGCTTGAGTAGGATTGGATAAGTTAAGTGGTTTAAGATGAGTGAAACAGCAAGGTGAACATTTTGGGGCAAGAGGTTCAGATAGTCTTAGGGCATAAACCTCAGTGAATGTTGTCTACTGAAAAGCTGATAAGATTTCAAGGAAGTTCCTAAATTGAACACTCAAGTTCTTTGGACAATAGTCTCCTGAAATTATAGCAAAGTCATGTAAATGTAGACAGCTGTGTTTGAGGGAAGATGATTTCTTTCTCATGGTGGAGAGAGTATCAGCCAGTTAAAATGCCAGCCCTTGGATCTTAGCTGCTCCACAACTAGCTGTGGGCTTTGGATATGTCTGTTAATTTCTCCATAAGTCAGTTTTCTTGTTTGTGCTTATCTTACATCAGAAGTTAGTCATGAGGATTAAATAGACAACACTAGAAACAATTGGAAGTGTTCCTAATATATAGTAAGTAGGTTATTACTATTTTCCTCACTCCCCTTACCACTCATTTGTATCATATGCACAATCCCACACATATCTGGTTCTTTTTGGCAAGTGCTAAGGACTAAGGAAAAATAAATGATGAAGTTGATTTAGAGGTATATAGTATTGAAGCATTTACATCATTGACTATGTGACTTATATATGTGCGTGTGTGTACATATCAAGAAAGTTATTCTTCATGGCTCCGCTAACTCTATAGAAGTAAAATGGCACATAACAGATTGCCAAAAAGAAGAAAACACTGGAAAGTATCTAAGTTTCTGCTTAGCACACCTGTCAAAAATTATCCCAGTATCCTGATATTTTCATGAATACTAATTCATGATTGCTGACATGTTTCCTGTTTTCCTATGAAAGATGTGGCAATTAACTGTCACTATGATTATCAAAATAATCAAGGGTCAAGTTACAGTAGAACCAGAAAACAAGGTTCATAATATCCAGATTGTTTATTCCTTTATTCTTCCAAGAAATATTTATTGAGTATTAGGAGTCAAGCAAGGTTTATATGCTGGGGAGAAAATGGCCAGTGAAACAGACTATGTTCTTGTTTTGATGGAGTTTAGGTCTCATGGAAGAGGAAAATAGGAATCACGTAATCACACAAATAAATACATTTGTACTATGTAGGAAATAATAATCTTAGAGAACTTCCTGGAAGAAATGCCAGATTAGGTTAGATTAGATTAGATTAAGATCTAAAGGATGAGGAGTTGTCTTCTAAATCAAAAAGGATGAGGGTCCAGGAATGATTGTTCCAAGTGTAGAACATAGAACCTGGTGTGGCACCTGCTGTACTGGGAAGAAACCTGATGCAGTAAATGGTCTGAAAAAAGGCCAGTGTGATCAGAATGCTGAGAGGTAGAGAAAGTGTTGAATGAAATCGAGCTGTGGAAATCGCAGAGGTCAGACTACTTAGAATCTGGAAGTCCACCTGGAATCTTGCAAGTCATGTGAAGGATACTGACTTTTTCTAAAAGTCACTAGGGGATTTCAAAAAGTTTTGAGAAAAGAGGATGGAGAGCAAGAACCCACATGATATTCAAGGAAGGTAAGGGTAAAGTTGGTGAGGGTACCCTTTGGGGAAGTAATTAAAATATATCAAACTTCTTAAAGGGTAATTCTTCCTTCTTTGACTTTCCCGTTTTATGTCTTCAGTTGACTTACTGCTGCATTCACATTTATAAAATTGTGACTGTGTTTATCATATGAGCTGGGAGTTAAAGAACTGAGGATCAATGTGAAAATACCACATCAGGGTACATTTACACAAATGTAATAGTACTAGAATTTAATTCACTGTGAAAACTGTAAATAAAAATATAGAGCAATAAGAAACAAGTAATTAGAGAAAGTTACAATCCTTTTTTTGCTGGATATTTGATATACTTTGACTCATTTGTACTCTTAGTTTATTTTCAGCTGCTTGTAAACAAAACACTGTTAACAATTGAAGCCGAACTCCAACTAACTTCATTTTTTTTTTTGAATTTGAAAAAGCCCTACTAAAGAAAAGGGCCATTAGTGAAGAATAAGTGGAGACAGCAGTTTTCGATTGTTCATAGGGTTGTCATGTCAAAGAGGCAATGGACTCACGTGGTCAATTTCTAAAATATAAATGTAGAGTGCATAGGTTAAATGTATAGACGAGCAAACTGAATTTGAAATGAGGAATGGTTTTAAATACTTAGTCCTATTTAACAGTGAAGATTCTAGTCTCTAAAAAATAGTCTAGCAGAAGCAACATTTTCATCTCAAATTTTAAAAGGAATTCCAAGTCAAGATTTTTAATTTTTCCTGAAGCAAACCCCCACTTATATTGCTGCCTCTTCCAAAACAATTCTTTTTTTCTCACATATTTTTCTAAAAACTTCTGCCTCTGAATTCTGTCTCCTCTTTCAGGTGGGAGCCTGTGATGATATAAAATTCTTTTACTGTTTTGCAACAGAGGTCTCAGAGTGAGTATCTCAACCAACTTTCTTTTAGAAGAATTAAGGTGAATTACTGTGACTGTTAGAACAGAAAATTTTTAAAACTTTATCAAATGATGTTAAAGTATGATACAAAATTGAAAATAAACTAGCTAATTTATTTTTGACTACTGCTGGTTAAGATTGAGGGAAGTCAGAACATTATTAGCATTTACTTTTTCTTTTTTTTGTTTTTTGAGATGGAGTCTCACTCTGTTGCCCAAGCTGGAGTGCAGTGGCGCGATCTCAGCTCACACAACCTCCGCCTCCCTGGGTTCAAGCCATTCTCCTGCCTCAGCCTCCCACGTAGCTGGGACTACAGGTGCATGCCACCACACCCGGCTAATTTTTTTGTAATTTTTGGTAGAGACAGGGTTTCACCGTGTCATCCAGGATGGTCTCGATCTCCTGACGTCGTGATCCTCCCACCTCTGCCTCCCAAAGTGCTGGTATTACAGGTGTGAGTCACCGCGCCCGGCCAGCATTCACTTTTACTCAGTCCAGTTGCTGCATTTTTATTTACCTAGTTTGTCCATTCCCTCCCACTTAAAACATGAGGCTATAAGTAGATGCAGCAGAGGTAGTACCAGAGATAATCGACCATAAATCCAGGAGGTCTAACAGTTAATTTGGCAGTAGCTGAATTTGTCATAGACTTCGATAAGGTCAAACTACGAAGTTTGTTAACTCTCAGTTCAAAACCTGGCTCTGGACACTGTCTAGGGTAAGCATGAACGAGTTACATGACCTTTACGTCTCAGTTTTTTGATCAGTAAAGTGAGCACAGTAACAGTACCCAATGCATGGAGATTTTGTGAAGATTAAATAAAATAAGTTATATTTAAGCATACCACCTGGTATATATGAACACAACACATTTTCTGTGTTAATATTATTTTAAAATATATTTAAAAATATTTTGAATAGACAGTTAAGTATTTAGAAGAAAGTAACTAACCGTGTAAATATTGAAAGAACAATGTTCCAGGCAGAGGGAATAACAAGTACAATATCTGAGATGGAAAAAAAAACAAAAAAAAACTTGCAAGTTTGAGTAATGACACAAAGGTCAGTTTGTATCTTAAATGAGAGGGAGACGGACAGGAGGTAATACCAGAGAGATGGTGGGTTCAGGTTTCAGGTCTTAGAGAGTCTTGTTGACCATTGTGCAAAGTATAAATTTCATTCTAAATGTAACTGGAAACTATTAGAAAGTTTTAAACAGAAAAATCTGATGGTTCTTCTCCTTTCATGTTCTAGCCGCTTTTCGGAGAGTGAAAAGACATTGGGATGAGTTAGGTGGCTTTTTAAAAAAATCTAGGAAATAATAATAGCTTTAATCAGGGTGGTAATGGAAGAAGTAGGAGATTTCTCTGTAAATCAAATAGTTTTACTGTCAAGGCGGAGTTGGGGACTTGCTGAAGACATGTGGGTGGTAAGGAAAAAAGATCTTATAAATAACTTTTTGATGAGCGGGTAGCATACACACATGCACCTACTCTTGCACATACATACAAAATTTCTGGGCTTAATATTGCCTTTCTTAGTCCTTCCTTGGTGTAAAAATAAAAATTTGATTACTCTGTGAAAGTTTTCCAAAGAGAATTCCATAGGAGAAGGAAGACCTCCAAAGAGAGTCCTCTGAGACTTAAAACAAAATATGGAAATAAAAATTACAATCAAATCAGCTAGAGAAGTGTGTTTATGATTTTTTATACTTTTCTTGCAGCATTTTAATAGCATTTAATATGTTGCTTTGCAATATGAGTTTTATAAAATGAATATTATAAGTAATATCAACTATGCATAATTAATCTCAGAAAATGTTAAATATATAGGGCGCATTAATGTTCAGGAAGCCCTCTTTGGGAAAAGCTGCAACAAAATTATAAAGTGTCATGCTGTAATGTTTCATATTTATAAATCTGAAATAAAATATACATAAACTACACTTTCAATATGTAATGTGACAATTAGGGATAAGCATAGTGGTAATATCATAACACCTTTTGGAAAACATGAATATTTCTTTATGTATACAGGTGAGCACTCTAATACTGATTTCATTCCTGAGAGCAATATTAATAAGTAAAGGCATGATTGCTCTTTGTAAACTCCAATGCAATTTAAGTGATCCATTTAATGTAATAGATTTCGTAGAATTATCTGTTTGGACAACATCTGTTAAATAAGCTTTATTTAATGTTAGATTCCCTGAGGATAGTCAAAATAAAGAAGATAGAATATTCCCCTTTCCTTAACAATTTCAATGATGTTAGCATCCCAACTAGTGGGTTAATATCTATTAAGTGGGTTTCAGCATCTGTCCCTTCTTGAAGGATCCCACAAACTGCTGCTAGAGTAATTTTACAAACATAAAATTAAAAATAAAATTACAAAAAACCCCACAGAACTTGCCTCTTTTTGTTGTTTAATAGAAGTTTTATTTATCTTGCTATATAATAAAGGACATTAATAATTTTATGTGAACTCTGGCTTTTAGATATAACTAGTGACACAGCAGGGGCAGAAATGGCTCAGAATCATTAGTTAACTATAAAGATGTATCATGTGACCCCCAGTTGAAAAATCAGTAGGAGGTGGAGCATAGGGGGCATGATTTATTTAAATTTAGGGGAAAAACCTACAACTAGTGGGTAATAGAAGACATTATTCTGAGAAACCAAAAGAAAATAGCATCTATTCAGATAGCCAGTTTGCTGTTGCCCATTTATGGAGATGTAAAGAAGAGGGCAGCTGTCAACAGTTTATAGTTTTTGTTTGCTTAGTTGTGAAGTTTTGGCCATTCTGTCTTAACATAACCTGTAGATACTGTTTTTTAGGGATATTTTCCCTTAAAAATAATTTAAAAGGTACACCTTACACACGTTTGTGTTCTCAGGCTAAATCAATACACTTGTTGTTAACAATCCTGAAGAAAAAAAAATGCCACAATGCTGGACAAAGCCATGTCATTTGGATACATCTATATTAAAAATGGTCTGTTTTTTGCCATAGAATAAAATAATTAGTGGAAAAGTAAAGGACAAGATATTTTCTTAAATTATGTATTTTGTTCTGAATTAATTGTAGATTCTTACGCAGTTGTAAAAAAATAATACAGCGAGATCATGCATACTTTTTACTCAGCTTTCTTAAAAGGTAACATCTTGGTGACTATAGCATAATATCTCATCCAGTATATTGACATTGATACAAACAACATACAGAACAGTTTTGTCACCAAAAGGATCCCTTTGATAGCCGCTTCTACCTCCTTCCCCTCTCCTCAGCGACCTAACCACTGGCAACCACTAGTCTGGTCTCTATTTTTAAATGTTGTTATATCAGTAATGTTACATAAATGAATTTTACAGTACACAACCTTTTGGGATTGGCTTTTTCACTCATCACAATAGCCTAGAAATTCATCCAAACTGTTTTATGTATGAATAGTTCATTTTTTTTTATTGCTGAGTAATATTCCACAGTATGGATATGTCACAGTTTGTTAACCATTCACTTGTCAAAGAAAAACCATGCTGTTTCTAGTTTAGAGCACTTATAAATAAAGCTCCTTAGCCATTCATGGACAAATTTTTCTGTGAAAATAAGTTTTCATGTTTTTAGGAACCAATCTCAAGTGTACATGCAAGTTGCATGGTAGCTGCCTGTTTAGTTTTATAAGAAAGTGTCAAATTGTTTTCTAAAGTAGCTGTATCATTCTTTATTTCCATCAGCAGTGTGTGAGTGATCCATTTTGTCTGCACCATTGACAGAATTTGGAATTATCACTATTTTTTTTTCTTTTTTTGAGACTGAGTCTCGCTCTGTCGCCCAGGCTGGAGTGTAGTGGCACAATCTTGGCTCACTGCAACCTCTGCCTTCCAGGTTCAAGCAATTCTCCTGCCTCAGCCTCCCGAGTAGCTGGGATTACAGGTGTGCACCACCACGCCTAGCTAATTTTTGTATTTTTAGTAGAGGTGAGGTTTCATCATGTTGGCCAGGCTGGTTTCGAACTCCTGACCTCGTGACCCGCCTGCCTCGGCCTCCCAAAGTGCTAAGATTACAGGCATGAGCCACCGTGCCTTGCCACTATTTTTTATTTAAATCATTCTAATAAGTGTATAGTTATATTTCATGGTGGCTTTAATTTGCATTTGACTAATGATGTGATTGTTTCAGGTGTTTGTTTGCTATCTGTATTTGTTAGGGTTTTCCAGAGGGAAGAAAAACAGTAGAATGCATGTAGATATATAAGAAGCTATTTATTATGGGAAGTGACACATATGAGAATTGAGAAGCCCCAGGATATGCCATTGGCAAGCTGGAGAAGCAGGGAAGCCAGTGGCATAATTCCATCTGAGTCTGAAGGCGTGAGAAATTTGGAGGAAGGGGATGCTGATCTAAAACCTGGAGTCAGAAGGCCTGAGAAGCATGTGCATCAGAGTCTGAATGCAGAATATGGATGTCTGAGCTCAAGAAGAGAGAAAGATAATTTATCCTTCTTCTGCTTTTTTGTTCTGTTCTGACCCTCAGTGGACTGGATGATGGCTGTTCACATTGGTAAGGGCAGATCTTCTTTACTCAGTCTATAGATTCAAATGGTATTTTTTTCTGGAAACATCCTCACAGACATACCTAGTTGTGATACAGGATGGGGGCAGGGAAGTGCTGGGTAGAGAAAGTCAGCTTCCCTGACGAGGGATCCACCCTCAGGCCTGTGCCCGTGGACCTAGGTGAGGACAGGCACTCCTGTTTTCATGCCCAACTGTTGCAATATCTAAGACCACCCTGACCTGCCACGCCCACATCCTGTGCCTATAAAAACCCTGAGACCCTAGCGGGCACAAACACAAGCGGCTGGATGTCGAGAAGAACACACCAGCGGAAGAACACACCAGCGGAAGAATACACCAGCAGACATTCGCAGACACTGGCAGGCCATCTATGGCGGGACAACGCGGGGTTCGGCCAAGGGCGGTTGGAGACGAGCCTGGCCACTGGGCGGCCCAACTCCAGGAGAAGACCACCTTCTCACTCCATCACACTTCTGGCCTCCCCATCCACCTCTCTGAGAGCTACCACCACTCAATTTAAAACCTTGCACCCATCCTCCAAGCCCACATGTGATACAATTTTTTCCATTAGGCTAAGGCAAGAACCTCGGGATACAGAAAGCCCTCTGTCCTTGTGATAAGGCAGAGGGTCTAACTGAGCTGATGAACACAAGCTGCCTGAGGACGGCTAAACTGAATGATACACTGTAACACATGTCCACTGGAGCTTCAGGAGCTGTGAACACTCAACCCTAGACGCTGCCGTGGGGTCAGAGCCCATGCTCCCAACGACCTGCCCGTCTGCATGCTCCTCCCCTAGGGGTTTGAGCTGCTGCAGCAGAGCGCCAAAGAAGCAAGCCACACGCCATCACACGCCCTGCCAGGGGGATAAGGGAACTTTTCCTGTTTCAACTGGGACCTCGCCCAGGATCCCGGAAGGTGAGTGCGAATGTGAAACTGCTGGGTTTGCCTCTTTTCCAAAACCTTGCCACCTGCCTCTCTTTCCTCCAGGTAAGAGGCTCGGTTTCCCTTGGAGTTTTAAAAACTACGCCCAAACTGGTCAAAATCCCCAGACTTCGTCTCTTTTCTCTCACAGTTTGAAATGGTTCTTATCTCTTCCTTTATAATGTTGAGTTTTGCTACAGTTTTGAAAACCGCTGTAGCTACTTCAATTGTAGCCAGTGAGGAACTAAATGGGATATATTTATTACCTCATAATATAAAAAGACTGATAGAAAAGTGATAAAAGGATAATAAAGCACTCAAGGACAAAAATCTTCCACATGTCAGGATATAGAAATTCTAGAGAAATTGTAAATAAACAGAAAATAGATTTAAAAAGGGAAATATGCTACTAAAAATGCAAAAAAGAAATTAGCCAGGTGTGGTGGCAGGCGGCTGTAATCCCAGCTACTGGGGAGGCTAAGGCAGGAGAATCGCTTGAACCTGGGAGGCAGAGGTTGCAGTGAGCCGAGATAGCACCACTGAACTGCAGCCTGGGCAACAGAGCGAGATTCCACCCCAACAAAAAAAAAAAAGAAAAGAAAAGAAAACTCAGGTCCCCTATATTACCCTAAAACCTACTGAATCAGAATCTGCATCTAAATGAAATCTTCAGGTGATTCACACACATTAATGATTAAGAAGCATTGATACATTATTTAGAAAAGGAAAAATAATGTGGATGTTATCAAATTTAAAAAATTATTTACCAATGACAAAACATTTATTATAGTGACATATTCAACAGCTCTGATATCCACGTATTAACATAATTTTAAAATAATAGAAAGTGAATATTTGTGGAATGAATGAATGAACAGATAAGAAGAAGGCTGGTTACAGAGAAAATAGAATAGGGAAGCAATGACTTCCCTGTTTACCCAGCAGGTTTACTCACCCCTGACCCAGCTCTCCATAGTTAGTCTCCAGTCAGACTCTGCTCCATTTCTCTTGTAACATAAATTGCAAAGTCCTTCTACTTTCTCTAATCAAAACCTATCTGTGCACCTGAGTCCTGATGCTCTGGCAGGAGAAAACCCCATTTTATCTGTCTTTATCAGGATTTAGCAGAGGAAGGTATGCTAGGCACTGCTTTCTGGTTCCCTTGATCATTGCTAATTGAAAGTGAAACTTTGCATATATTGAGACTGACTTCAGATGGAAATGGGAGAACTATTCTGGACAGCAGGAATCTGGAGGCCAAGCTGCTTTGGGTAATTTCTTCACCATGATTATGCAGAACTAGACCATGTTACAGCTTTCTGTCACCTTGCAAGTTGTTATCTGTTAAACGGGGAAGAGAGGGACACATCCCTTGATAACCCATACTCATTTTGTCACAGGTTATTTTGAATTGATCAGCTCATATGGAGAAGTTATATAAATGTTGACACAAGGGAAAATGGAGCAATACCCTCTGGAACAGATGTCATAGTGAATGTCAGAAGATGTCAAGAGCCCTTGAGGGTTGTAGAATTTGTAATGGAAATTAGGTGCTTCTGTGTGAAATGATATACCCCTTTGAGATAAGTATAGTTTTCTGAACTATAGAATTCTTTGACTCTTCTGTGGTACACCAGTGCTAAAAGTTCATAGTAATGGTAAAGGGATCTGAGGTGCTGGTAGTAGAATATTGTGGTAAATTGAATTGCTCAAGTATTCAGCCCCAAAAGTCCTTTGGCCATTGAGATACATCATTATGATGAGTTCTACATTACCAGAAAGTGAGGATACTGAAGCCATTTTGAGGTAGCAGAATTTATCTCAATAACTTTTAAATCCTTTAATAGGTCTGCTCTAAATATACCAATTTTATTTTTTAAAGGCAATTGACATACTAAATTTTATTGTTTACATAATAGTAGACTCTGGACAAAGTGAAGAAAATTAGGACAATGACAACCCATTTAAACTCATTCACAAACATTGATTTCTAGTGGTTTGACACATCAAAATGCAAATTATCTGAAGATGAAAAGGCAGAAAATATATTTGGATTTATGCCTACCAATGCAATGTTCTTTTAAAAAACGTTGATGTGACAATTTACTTAATTTTCACAGTAATCCACAAAACACAAAATCACACTTTTTTGGTGCGATTTTCTGGAATCTGGATTTGGGGGTGGTGATAATTGAGAAGTATTTAAAAAAAAAAGTTCAGTGGTCAGAAACATATCTTTTCTTATTTTAATGCATCAAGCAAAAAAAATTCATTTAAAAAAGACAATCATTGCTCTAAGCAGATAAATAAAACAGAATTTTACCACACTTTTATAATAAAAAACAGCTAATGTTTTATGCATGTGAAATGTAAAAAATGTATAAGCATGCACAATATCTCTTAGAAAAATAGGGCCTTAGAGAAAATGATATTGAAAGTATTTACCTGATAAATATTATATATGAAACCTATGTTAAAAAATTAAACCACTTCCAATGACGTTCTATGGTGAAATTACATCTGGAAACTGAACTTGAAAGGTAAATAGATCGATTTAATTGCTTCTCTCTTAACTCAAAGGTAAGGCAGTTCTCTTTGAAAGGGCTCTCTTTTCTAGCCACTCTCCTCTTATTAATGCTTTTTGTAGGCATATTACACAGATGCAGCCTGACGTGTCTGCACATTATTATCTGGCTCTCTAATCACTGGTAACACTTGGAAAAGTTTATAGTTGGCACAATAGATAGGTTTTTTACATGTATTGCTTCTCTATTCTGTATCAATTAAGATATTAAGAGACAGATAAGCCACTATCCTTGGTGTCAATCTTAATAACCACATAAGAAATAACTCTGCACTGGAAGAGCTTGTAAAACTTCCACTAAATAGTGTATTCTTTAACTGCATTGAGTTAATTTGAGTAGACCAGATAAACTGAAAGTTCACCTTCAGGATAAGAAAGTATAGTTTTCTGAATTATATAAATCTTTGACTTTTCTAAGATACACCAATGCTAAAAGTTCATGGTAATGGTAAAGGGATCTGGGATACTGGTAGTAGAATATCGTGATAAATTGAAGAGCAGAAGCACATTGACCCCAAAGGCCCTTTGGCTTTTAACATAAATGGAAATAAATAAATAACTTCATATACATGTTCTAAAGTTGATCAATGCAGGATAAAAAAAGTTTATTTGACAAGATTCACAGCATTTGGAGAGACTGCCACAGGTCAAAGTGGAAACACAAATGGAATAGAGTAGACACAATGCAGCTGAGTCAGCCAAACATTTAGGCCAATAACTATTTCAACACCATTTTAAGCAACCAACTTCAATGACTTGGTGCCTCTAGTTCATCATTCTACATGCAATGAAGATTTAAAGTTTAAAATGTAAAAAAAATGAAATACTCTCAGAAGAGGAAAATAGGTTGTAGAAAGTGTTTTTATAAATATATATTTTATATGCCTGCATAAACGTGGATATTATTCTGTATGAAAGATGCCCATTAGTGTAGTTCAAGAAGTCTTTATATTAAAGAACAAATTGATTCTGCTGTAAACACTAGAGGTCATCTCATCTGTACAAGAAACACATATGCATATATTTATGTAGCAGTGCCACTTTTATCAACAAAAACACAGCTATTAACACTAGGTTAAAAAATAGGTTTTACTGGTGAGAGATGTTATTAGAATATATTTTGCAAAATGAAAAATACACAACTAGGTTTTATATTCACAAGAAAAAAGTTGTTCAGCATGCAAATGTGAATAGAGTTTGAATTCTAGAGTAAGGGAAAATATCAAAACTTTATAAATTTTCTGGGATGCAATTTAATTACTGTGTCAATTTAGAAAAACAGACTCAGGGCAGGCGCGGTGGCTCACGCCTGTAATCCTAGCACTTTGGGAGGCTGAGGCGGGTGGATCACGAGGTCAGGAGATTGAGACCATCCTGGCTAAGATGGTGAAACCCCGTCTCCACTAAAAAAATTAAAAAAAAAAAAAAAAAAAAAAAAGCCGGGTGTGGTGGCACGCGCCAGTAGTCCCAGCTACTCAGGAAAGAGAATCCGTAGAACCCAGGAGGCGAGGCGGAGCTTGCAGTGAGCGGAGATCACGCCGCTGCACTCCAGCCTGGGCGAGCCAGCGAGACTCCTTCTCAAAAAAAAAAACAAAAAAAAACGAAAAAAGAAAAACAGACTCGCAGAATGAACAGTTACATCGGATTCTCATAATACATCAACTCAAGTATTTACCATTTTTCTTGTTTTGTTTCCAGTTGGAGGTTTCTTCAACTGAAAGAGCTGCCCTCCTGTTCCAAAACCTACAGAGACAGGATTAGACATCCTGTATGTCCAACCAACGGGTACTGTGATGCCAGAATTGCTGAAGTTAAATGCAGATGTTATTTGAGCTGCCAAAGCTTGCACTAAGATTTCTGAAGGTTTATTTATTTTTCCAAATCCAAATGTGGCCTTGCTGGTACTTTTTCTGCCAATAGCTGAGTTGAATGTGTACCAAACTAAGCCCTAGAAACAGCTGAAACCCTGCTACCAGCTGAGGCTGCTAAGTGTTGAGGTGAAGGCTGCTTCATTTGCATGTTGCTGAAAGGGGTGGGTCTGGTAATAACTGCATGCATTCTGCCACCTCTTGGCTTCTGTTTTCTGGCTTCAAACACATTTATAGCATTTCCCAACAACATTTTTCTGTGCTGAAGACATTGTTCTTTGAATACCTTTACCTGTTTAATAATGGACCAAGGTCGCACAGCCAAAGCTACAAATGTTCATGTATTTTCTGTGCAACTCTTGATAAATCTTGCAGGGTTATACGAGAACTAATTGCTTGAGTGGCAAGAAGGTTCTTTTGCTAGTTATTCAATCTGTTGTCTGTACTTTTGAAGCTACCCCTGAAACTTCTGAGCCATGATTGTGAAGTAGTGTGCGGAAGTTGTATCTTCGTTTTGAAGTCCTGGTAATAGTTTCCAGGTTCTGAGAGCTATGGCTGCTTCATTTAACTCCTGAGCAATTTCTATTTTCAAATTGTTGAGATTGAGGAATTTTTCTCTCATCCACTGGCAGTCAATGGCAGAAGCTGCTCTGCTACCTTAATATCTTCTTACACTTTTATCATTGCTTTAATATTTTCCTTTTAAAATCTATTTTCTGTTTATTTACAATTTCTTGAGAATTTCTATATCCTGACATGTGGACGATTTTTGTCCTTAAGCGGTTTATTATCCTTTTATCACTTTTCTATCAGTCTTTTTATATTATGAGGTAATAAGTATACCCCACCTAGTTCCTCACTGGCTACAGCTGAAGTAGCTACAGCAGTTTTCAAAGTCATACCTATAACCTCCTGCCCATGTCTTGATGTTGTGTCTGTACTTTGGAAGAGCAAGCTGACCAAGCCAGCAATGGCTTTTCTTAGAGAGACATTTGCTGATATGTTTGTAGTTGTTATTTTCTACCCAAATTATTTGGAGTAAATCCCTTGGGAGCTGCTAGAGTTGTTGTTGAAACGGGAAAGTTTCCCTTGTCCCCCCACTGTACGATGGGGGTGTGACTCGCTTCTTCAATGCCTCCCTGCTCACATCTGTAGGGGAGCAAACAGACAGCAGGCTGTGGGGCTCTGACCCCAAGGCAGTGTCTAGGGGTGAATGTTTACAGCTGAAGCCCCAGTGGGCGTGTGTTACAGGGCGCTCTTTTAGGTCTATAGGCGGCTTGTGTTAACCAGATAAGTTAGACCCTCTACCTTGTCGCAAGGACAGAAAGGCTTTCTGTATCTCAGGGTTTCTTGCCTTGGTGTACTGGGAGAATCCGATCACACGTGGGCTTGGAGAATGAGTGCAAGGTTTTATTGAGTGGAAGTAGCTCTCAGAAGATGGGGAAGCCAGAGGGGAGATGGTTTTCACCTGGAGTCGGGCCACCCCCGTGCTTGGCAGCCCCGGCTCTCCTCCGACTGCCCTGGAAATCTCCGCCTCATCCCACCGGTGGATGGCCTGCCAGCGTGCCCGTGCCTGTCGGTGTGCTCTTCTGCCAGCGTGCTCCTCTGGATGATCAGCTGCTTGTGTGTTGGCCAGCGAGGGTCTCGGGTTTTTATAGGCCCAGGATTGGGGCGTGGTGGGCTAGAGTGGTCTTAGGAAACGCAACAAAAATGCCTGTCCTCACCTTCGGTGGGGGTGGAGCCCTAGCCGGGGACCACACCCTCCCTTACCAAGCACTTGCCTTCCCCCTTCTTTATCACACTTTTCCCATCCCAGCACTCCCGTATCAATGTCAGAGTAGATGAAACAAGATCACCAACTAAGTAGAAGTAAGAGTTAAAGTAAATGGTGCAGCATTTGCTATAGGCCCATTGAATCCTAAACTGGCACCTGTTAACAGCTGTAGACACTGGCTGGCATTCCCAGAGTTAATCCAGCAGTTACAGTTATCGCCATTCTTGTATTTGTTCCTTCTAGAGTGAAACGAGTAGCAGGCTTATATACAACAAATCCAGTTCAAAAACCTCTGAAGGAGCAAATGCAGATGCTGAAATTGCAGCTGTAGAGTTCCATCATAAGCCCCTTTGAGGAGACTGAAACAGAGCTTAAAACAGAGCTTGGCACTTAGTCTGTTCAATAGATATTTACTCTTTGAATGATTATACTTTGGAGAAGAGGTATTGGCAACCACCTCTGTCCTAGTTGTGCCCATCACATGAATGGCTATGGTAGTGGAGCCTATGTCTGGGTCCTGACTGAGCTGACTGTGGACTTTGCTGGATTCTGGGCCTGATACTACTAGCCAGCTGCAAGAGGATTGAGATGTTTGAACACCTCGAAGCTCAAACATCACCTGTTTCTAGACCCAGCCTATCAGGATCTTCTCACCCCAGCACAATCTGGAGCACATCTTAATTTTATTTTGTATCATACTTTACAAGTAAAAATTTAATTTAACAGGTATTGTCTAAACTTTAGTATTTTTGTATCTCCAATGCTGAGTTACTATTAGACATAAATAATGTCTTTGTTTTGTTGAAGCTATATAGAGTTCTCTTTTTTAGTTCACAGTATTTTTTCTATTATCACATAATGTTTAGGGAAAAGTTTTCTTACTGGTTGGTAATTTTCTTCCTTTTCTTCCTCCATGCTTATATTTTGGTGTGAGAAAGCATTTTCTTTGATGTTTCAGTCTTTATAGAAGTATGCTAACGGTCTTAAAGTTCCCTTTAGTCATAGTTTACTATAAATATCACTATTGTGTCTTGTGTTCTTATATTTTTCTCTCTATCCTCTGTTATAATTTATTTTAACAAGTGGCTTTAGCACTTGCTAATGCAGATTAATACGCAAGTATCATTTCCTATTATTAGTCTCCTTGTTTATATAAACTACATACATTTTTAAGTAATTAGAGCAGAGCTAACATTGTTCATCTGTAAAACATCAGTGAGCTAGTTTTTCCAATAAACAATTAAAGTTTGACTTGATAGACTGATAACCACAATAAGCATTTTAATATTTTGGGGACCTTATTTTCCAAACAAAGGCTTTTCAGACAATACTTTAACTATGTTTGTGTGCATACCAATAGCTTTACATATTTATCGGAAAGAACCTGTTTTTTTTAATGAGTTTGGATGCTTGAAGCCTTAGCTTTGGTTGTCAAGTACTAGTTTTATGCTCTCAGGAAAATAAATACTTTTCCTGAACCTCAGTTTTATTCTCAGCAAAAATAGTAACTGGAATATTCATCAGAAAAGAGTATTAAAATATGAAATTAGATAATATTTGTAAAACATCCAGCAAAGAGTTTGACATTCAAGGTGACTGATGTAAATTTGTGATATCTCTGTTCCCAGTTTTTATGTAAACTGAATCCCTCTTAAATCATACACTTGATTTTATTTGTTGTGAAATATAAGACCAGACTACACTATTATACTATTCTCAGATTAGTATAGTAAAATTCTTTTTTTTTAGTATTTTTTTTTAATTTCTACAATGGGATACATTTCACTCTTTGCTATTTTTCATTTTCCAGTAAAAATAGATTAAATGAACTGATATTTCAATGTTTCTTAGCTATATAATAGGTATTTCTTTTAATGGAACACAGTAAATATAAAGAGTTAACTTTAAATTACAGTTTCATAATTTGAAAGAAATTCTTTCCATCTGGAACACATTGTGTTTTCTTCACTAAATGTTAGTAAAGATTAATGAAATTAGCATTTATCTAATAAAAGTGATCTTAGTTGCAAAGCACTAATAACAAAAATAAGAATAAGTTCAGTTGGCTTGAAGAATAGTTTGATTCAATTTAAGAACATCTATTGGCCAGGTGCGGGGGCATATGCCTGTAATCCCAGCACTTTGGGAGGCTGAGGCAGGTGAATCACAAGGTCAGGAGATGGAGACTAGCCTGGCCAACATGGTGAAACACTGTCTCCACTAAAAATACAAAAATTAACCAGGCATGGTGGCGTACACCTGTAATCCCAGCTACTGGGGAGGCTGAGGCAGGAGAATCACTTGAACCTAGGAGGCGGAGGTTGCAATGAGCCGAGATTGCGCCACTGCACCCCAGCCTGTATAACCGAACGAGACTGTCTCAAATAAATAAATAAATAAATAAATAAACATCTATTGAGCATCTAATATGTATACCTGCCCTGCACCAGGTTCTAGGGATATCAATAGAGAAAACAAAATCTGTCTTGTGAGGCTTCCAACCTAGTTGTGGTAGGTGGAATAGAAAATCAGCAAATAAACAATGTATCAAATCGTAACAAGAGCTTTGAAGCAAAATAAAGCTGGACAACGAAAGAAAATATATCTAATGTGAGTGGGGACAGGGTATTGATTGTATATGGAAGCTAATTCCTCTCTATAAGGAGAGTGAATTAAGTGAGAGAATAAGACATGAAAATATTTTCTGAAACTGATTCGGTCAATGGAAGCAGCAAGTGCAAAAGCCCTAAAATGAAAAGTATTTTTTTGTGTGTGTTGGTGAAACAGATAAGAAGGAACAATGGCAGGGGAAACATGGTGTCTCAGTCTGTTTTATGCTGCTGTAACAGAATACTATGGAATGATTAATTTTTAAAGAAACGTATTTCACTCATGCTTCTGGATGCTGTAAAATCCAAGAATGATGGACCACATATGGCAAGGGCCTTCTTGCTGTGTCATCCGATGGTGAAAGGCAGAAGGGCAAAAGAGCATGCATGGGTAGGGGAAGAATAGGGGGGGCTAAACTCATTCTTTTATCAGAAATGTACTCCTGTGATAATGGCATTTATCCATTCACCTCTAAAAAGTCCTACCTCCCAACACTGTTTTATTGGGAATTAAGCTTCCAATACATGAACTTTGGGAAACACCTTCAGTCCATAGCATTCTGCCCAGATCCCCAAAATTTATGTCTTTCTCGCATGCAAAATACACTAATTCTTCCCAATAAACCCAAAGTCTTCGTTCCAGCACCAGCTCAAAAGTTCAAAGTCTAAAGTCTCATCTAAACTAGATGTAGGTGAGACCCAAGACATGATTTTCCCTGAGACAAATTATCCTCAACCAAGAGCCTGTGAAATCATAAAAAATTATTGACTTTCAAAATATAGTGATGAAGTAATAGGACCCAGCTAAGTCCAAAATCCAACAGGAAAGGTGATATTAAATCTTAAAGCTGAAAAAGAATCTCCTTTGAGATTTTATTATCTCCATATCCCACATCCTGGGCACACTAGGGCTGGGGTTGGGTGCTCCAGATCTCAGGCAGCTCTGCTTCTATTGTTTTGCTGGGCATAGTCTACCCAGAAGCTCTCACAGGTTGGAGTTTCATGATTGTGGCCTTTTCAAGCTAGAGCTGCATGCTGATAGTACTATGGTTTTGTGATTTCACGGACTTCCCTACTGCCACAACTTCACTAGACATTGTCTTCACAGGGGCTCTCTGCAATGGCTCCACCCCTGTGACAAGTCTCTGCCTGAGGCCCCAGACTGTTTGAAACACTTTTGAAACCTTGGTAGAAGCTGACATGCCCCACAGCTCTTGCAGTCCGTGTGCCTGCAGAATTAGCACCATGTGAACTGTCTTAGTTCATTCATGTTTCTATAAAGGAATACTTGAGACTGAGTTATTTATAAAGAAGAGAGGTTTTTTGGCCTATGGCTCTGCAGACTGTACAAGAGCATAGCTCTGGCATCTGTTTAGCTTCTGGTGAGGGGTTCAGGCTGCCACAATTCATGGTGGAAGGTGAAAGGGAAGTGAAGGGGAGCCAGCATGGTGAGAGGGAAAATGAACGAGCAAGTGGGAAGGTGCAAGGCTCTTTTAAACAACCAACTCTTGGCAGAACTTTTGCAGAGTGAAAACTAAGTCATAACCATGAAGATAGTGCCAAGCAGATCCACTCTTATGACCCAAACACCTCACATTAGGCCCATTTCTAACGTTGGGGATAAAATTTCAACATGAGGGTTAGAGGGTCAAATATCCAAGCTATAACATGGACCCAACTAAGCATTACTTTTGGAGCAGTAGGTCAAGCCACACCTGAGCTCACTTGGGCTACAGCTGGGAAAGCTAAAAGTGCTGTGCTATACTTTGAAGAGCAGAGTGACTTTTGATGTGGCACAGGGCAGTGAAACCTGAGGTCCCATGGGTACCCCCCTGGAATCCTTGTCCTCAAGGTTCTAGCTTGCTTCAAAGATCTCTGAAATGCCTTTGGGATCTTTCTCCCATTGTCTCATGAATGAAACCTAGCTCCTTTCCATCCATATAAGTCTCTTTAGCAAAATGGTTGCTTGACTACACACTTAGTGTATCTGCCAAACATACATTTTTATTTTTTGCAAGTCTAGTCTGAGACTTGTAGTGGTAATAAATTAGAGTTGAAGTCATCAGTATAAAATCATGTTTAGTTTAACAGAAACACAGATGATTACATATAGAAACAGATATGTATAGATACTGAGGTTAGCATAAATACATACACACATTTCCTTGCTCTGTCAGCTGAGAGGACCTAGAATCAATGATACACCACTAGCAATGAGTACATATGGCACCCAGATTTTGGTTTCTAATACTGTTCTCCAATAAAAGGAGCCAGGGTGGACACGGTGGCTCATGCCTGTAATCCCAGCACTTTAGGAGGCCGAGGCAGGCAGATCACGAGGTCAGGAGTTCGAGACCAGCCTGACCAACATGGTGAAACCCCATCTCTACTAAAAATACAAAAATTAGCTGGGCATAGTGGCACGCACCTGTGGTCCCAGCTACTTGGGAGGCTGAGGCAGAAGAATTGCTTGAACCCGGGAGGTGGAGGTTGCAGTGAGCCAAGATTGTGCCATTGCACTCCAGCCTGGGTGACAGTGACGTTCCATCTCAAAATAAAAAATAATAATAATAAAAAAAAGAAGCTAGGGCTCCTTGGAGAAATACCTGATTCTAGGCCTGGAACAGGACTGGAACAGGAAACACAGAAGATAAAGCTGAAGTATTTTGTTGTACCAGAAAGTAAGAAAATATTCAATACACACACACACACACACACACACACACACACACACACACACACACACGGTATATAAAAGTGAAACGGAAGCCAACTGAAGAATTACCAGGGGCTATCGTGAAACATTTTAAATTAAATAAATAAAGTAATATTGTATTATAACACAGTACCTGAAATGAATGCTAATGAGTCCATACTTATTTTAAAAATAAATAAATGGGGAGAAGAGACAAATATCTTATACAGAGAAATTCCAAATTGTGTAAATAATTTGGCCAAATTGTGTAAATAATTGGAGGCAGAGGTTAACTGCCCATCGTGACTTTTTTTTCCAAATAGCACAATATGAAAAGGTAAAGAAAAGAGTATATTTTCAGTGAAGAAACCTGAAAAGCACTAAGTCAAGAGATCAACGTCAACCTCAGAAGTGATGAGTCACATTTATAATATATATCTTTGACAAAATGAGATAAAGATAAGAATCCATCACCTTGGTCTTCTTCTCCCAAACCTATGACCCCAGTCTACCCATGAGAAAAATATCAGACAGATTCCAATTGATTAGCATTTTTCAGAATATCTGATCAGGGCTCATCTCATCAAAACTGTCAAGGTCGTCAAAATAAGGAAAGTCAGAGAAACTGTCACAGCCATAAGAAACCTAAGGATACACAATGCCTATAGTTAATGTGGCGGGATCATGGAACTTAAAAAGGACATTAGATAAAAATTAAGGAAATCTGAATAAAGCATGAACTTTAGTTAATAATAATGCATCAATATTTGTTCATTAGTTGTAAAAATGTACCATACTAACGTAAGATGTTAATAATAATAGCAGAAACTGGTTGCAGGTTATATGGGAATTCTCTGTATTACCTTGAAATTTTTTTCTGTAAATCTAAAACTGTTCTGAAATTTAAAATTTATTCTAAAATAATTTAAATCCCTATGCCTAAGTAAAACAAAACAAAACATTATTGTCCCTTCAAATTTGAGTCAGGGGGTCTAAGCCAATTCATTGTAATGACAGGATATTCAATGCATATTAATGCTGAAAGAGAACATTGTACAAGTAGTTCACCCCTTTAACCTAAACTAATTTCTTAAGAATCCAGAACAGACTGTCTGGATGGCAATGCAATGACAGTCTTGGAATGTAGAAACATCTGGATGATCATTTTCTATCTTTTTATATTCTGCCTCTGTAAGTCCCTGACTTTGAAGATTTGAAGTAAAATAGCATTAAAATGTTCTGAAGAAAAATACATTCATAATATATTAAAATAGAAAGTTTATCGTTCACTTGGAAGAAAGCATTTGTCATTAACCTAGCAATTGCAATATTTACTATTGAAATCTAATCTTTAATGATTAAACAAAACTTTTATAATTCAGGCCTGTAGATATTTCTTTCATTAGTGAAATCCTTTGAATGCCCTAAATAATTGAGTGTTCAGAAGCCAGCCACTCAAACTGAAGTTAGAAGTGTTGTTTGTACAGGTGGTTTGCCTACTGGGAGTCTAAATTCTTACTGTTGTCCATATCAATTATTCTGAGACTATGTCTGTTTAGTGTCTGCCAGTTTTTATAACAACAGAAGACTCTATTCAAAAACTGCTGACATGACATTTATCAAATTATCCTAAGAGTGACATTCTGTTTCTAAATAAAAGAACCATGAGTGAAAGTAAATGCTTGGATGGTTAAATATTAAGTCACAGAAATAAATTTCTCAGATTTAAACATTTAATATGTATTAACTAAAATCAGTAGTAATATGCTATTTGCAGATAGTCCTTTCAGAAACACTCATTTTTAAATAAGGAACAACATTTTAAAACACTTTTCCAGATTTCAAATTTTATTTTTTTGCCTCTCGTTTGAGAAATTTTGATTCTTCTGAATCCTGAATTCAAACAAACAGCAAAAGTATTTTTCTTTGAAATGTATGTTTATCACTTAGTTTTAAAGTGTAATTATCAAATTAGATCTCATACACACAGAAGAACATACAGAAGACTAATATTTAGAGGAGAATTATTGAATACTTCTTAAGTAGAGATTCTTTAACGTTTGGCTTCGAGGATGAAATTGACACAAACTGACAGAAGTCTGTCATTTTCACTGGTTTTTACACTGGCCTCTCAAGGGCTAAATAGCTGAGTGCCTACATCAGTATCCTTCTTTATACTTGTTCATAATCAATGATAATTGTGATCACTATCATCTCTAATTTCTATTAATGATATTAATATTTTATGATGCTATTTGGACTTATTTTTAATAATGTGTATTTTCAAAAGTTGAAACTTTTCTTGGTGTAACAAAGTGAAAATAGCATTATGTGTTTTATATGTTGAAATCTTGATATGGTTTATCTCTGTGTTACCACCCAAATTTTATCTCGAGTTCTAATTCCCACAGGTTGGGGGAGGGGCCTGGTGGGAGGTGATTGGATCATGGGGTCGGACTCTCCCCTTGCTGTTTGTGAGATAGTGAGTGAGTTTTCACAAGATCTGGTTGTTTGAAAGTGTGTGGCACTTCCCTCTTTGCTCTCTCTCTCAATCTGTCTCCTGCTCTGCCATGGTAAGACATGATTGTTTCCTTTTCACCTTCTGCCAGGATTTAAGTTTCCTAAGGCCTCCCCAATCCATGCTTCCTGTACAGCCTGTGGTACTGTGAGTCCATTAAACCTCTTTTTTTCATAAATTACCCAGTCTCAGGTAGTTCTTTATAGCAGTGTGAGAATGGCTTAATACAAATCCAATCAGTTATTTTAAGTATAACGGCATGTTTTTACAAAAAAAATTGTCATATTTGGTGATGATTGTAATGTTGTGAACCTTTTTTTAAAAAAATAAGAAATTTAAAATGGAGAAGCATTTTAATAATTGATTTCACTATTGATCATGTGTTCATAGAAAATGAGGTAAAATATTTTGATTCATTTTTTGCTTTAACATAAATCCCACAGTGTAATAATACTGAATATATTTTATCATAATTTTAATCTTTGAGAATAATTTGGTGTAATAATTTTATAGTTGGAAAAAATAACTTTTAAAATATGTTTTTAGTATATTGTCATTTTATACTTTTTTGATCTTGAGATTTTCAAGAACAAATCCCATTTAAAGATGTTTCACATATTGTTAGGATAAATTTAATGTAAAATGCCCATTTTATTATTTATTTATTTATTTATTTTGAGACTGAGTCTTTCTCTGTTGCCCAGGCTGGAGTGCAATGGCACAATCTCGGCTAGCTGTAACCTCCGTCTCCTGGGTTCGAGCGATTCTCCTGCCTCAGCCTCCCAAGTAGCTAGGATTACAGGTGTCTGCCACCACATCTGGCTAATTTTTGTATTCTTAGTACAAGACGGGGTTTCACCATGTTGGCCAGACTGGTTTCGAACTGCTGACCTCAAGTGATCAGCCCTCCTTGGCTTCTCAAAGTGCTGGGATTATAGGTGTGAGCCATCACACCTGGCTCAAAATACCCATTTTAATGCCTCAAAAATTCATAAAGAGAAAAAAAACCCAAAATCACAAAAATAACAATTGATTTTCAATGTTAAGTCTTTTGAATTTCACCAAAGTTTTAGTTTTGGAGCACTTCATAAATAGTGTCAGATACTGTCCTAAGTGCTTTGCATTTATTATTTCAATAAATCATCACATAATCCCATTTCACAAATGATATCAATGAAGGTCATAGAGACTATGAGGTTCATCCAGAATAGAGGAGAATTATTGTTAGTTTTTATGCTCAATTATGAGCTGTAACCCCATAAATGTAGAATCAACATGTCTCAATTCAGACATTAAAATATCACTTTAATTGTTTTAATAAAGGGTTTGAATTCTTCCACAAATACACAAGAATTTATTGATTGAAAATATTAACATTATTAAAGAAATGATTTGGTTAGGGGTTAGCGGTGGGGTGAGAATGGCTCAACCAGAAAATCATAGAACAGCATAAGACAGAGGTTATAGAAAGTAGTGGTCATCATTCATCAGAGCACTGGGCATGCAAAGTGCCCACAGCATTATACCACAAAGTTAGTGTGTTGAACACAAACACACAAAGGGTCATTGATAAGTGTGTTGCTTTTAGATGTATGTTTAGAAATAGGTTTAGACTGTAATGTTTTTAAGAATTGCTTTGTTTTGTCAAAGCAAAAGTGCTTTGCTTTGTTTTGTCCACGAAGTCTCTGGATCCTATATCAAATTGAGGGCATGATGGTCAGTATTTAATTCGGAAGTACAAGCTTCCAACTCAGTTGCTTGCATAACTCTGCCAAAGAAACATGGAAGAGAAGGCAAAGAAAATAGAATGGACTTTGGGGGCTCAAGCCAGATGTAGAAGGAGGTACTGGGTCAGGATCAGTGCACTGGGTTGCATTGCAGGTGAGCCCAGATAGACCTTATAAACCAGTTTTTAAACTGGAGGCCTGAAGTGCTGTATGGGTCTTGTCCTCACTGACCTTTGTGACAATAATAATGTATACATAGGTTTTCTGAGGGTGTAAAAGTTCATGTGATTCACGTCTTGGAAAGTGGAGGCTGAAGAATGCTTTCCCATTGGGTTAGCAGCTGAATTGGTCTGAAGAGGATAGTCAAGGGAAAGGCTTGCATCCATACAAAAGAAAAAGTAATAAACCGAGATCACAAAGTATATGAGGGGCTTCCTGACACCTAATATTTCTTAATCTAAAACCATGTTCACAGAGTTAGCTAATGAAGATAGTGTGGCTTCCCCAAAGGAGTATCAGCAGAGAGAGAATGTTCTGGCCAGAAGACTCAAGTGCCTGGTCCCCTTATTGTAAATTAATACATCAGGACTTTGATTTTTAAAATCAATCCCTTGAGCTTATTTAATATCACTAGGCCCCTTAGAAATAGACAGCTAGCTTTCAGAGTCTGGAAAGGCTGAGGGCCAGATTTGGAGCCAGGCAAATCTACTAAGGTAATGAGATTCTAAGAGGTCTTTTGGAAGGCAGCCTGCTGGCATTCCCTAGCAACACTCCCTTTTCTTCATGGTTTGAGCCAAGCCTGATCATTTTTCCAAGGTGAACTCTGCAATGGGTACTTTGTAGTGATAGAAAATTAAAATAATACTGTTTATTTGTGCAGGCTGCTATGTTTTAAAACATTTCTGTAGAGCTTATCACATTTTAATAGAGCAGTTTTCCAGTATACTTATTGTTCCACTCATTTATAGATGAAGAAAATCAGTCAAAAGGGTGTTATGTACCCCCATATTTTCCCCCACATTAGATGTTTTGTTTTTCCTTCAAAAGTACTAACCTTTGAAAGGCAGCATGAGCAGGAGGTGTTCCCAATGCTGGCAGTCTTCCCTTTGTTGATTCTAGTACTGGTTACAGAGGTGTATCCAGTTTGTAAAAGTTCACCAAGATATACAGTGATGAAATGTATACTTTTATGTAGTCATGTTATACTACCAGAAAAGTTAGTATATCTTTAAACAATACTGGCTTCAAAAGAAAAAAAAAATAGTAATGTTTCCATGATTGTTTTCTTTAGCCATCTTTACATTTATTTAAAATTCCTAAGTTTAATACAGTTATTAACCTCTTCAACTATTTCAGCTAGAACTGGACCAATTTGGTAATTTCTTTCTTCTAAGTAACTTTAAACCTCAAAATATACAGGTGTCACCAAATAATTGGTTCTTGGCTATTTAAAGATTCATGAAAAAGATTAGGAGAAATAAATGCGGTACTGTATCCAAAATTAAAAATTATATATTTGAAGTATTTGAAAAACCTTATAAATAAATGAAGGTAATAAATCAAGTTAAAAATTTTAAAATTTCATTAGACTAAACCAATTGTGCCTCGGAGTGATAAGTGCATTATTCACAGAAATATTTTCAAGAGTTAGATGACCTTGCAGATTAAGGCTTGTATGTGAGGATGGGTAGTGGGCTTGTGGAGAGTAGGATAGAGTCAATTGAATACATATGTGACTGAATTTGAATAGAAAGAAAGTATCTAGGGTTATAATGGGAAGATAATCCACACACCCACTTCTGATGTTTGAGGAATCTCATAAAGGGGAATTGCGAATTCTCTCATTGTTTCCATTTCATTTGTAAAGACTAGTCTAGTAATGCCCTATCTAGAGAGGTGATTTGACTTCATATAGTCAAAACCATATATGTGTCTACCGAGTCTTTTTAAAGTAGCAATTGAATACCAGATTGTGAATGTAGGAGAAAGTAGTATTCCATTAGGAAGTCAGAGACTGTTGCACACAAACACACAAAGGGTCATTGACAAGTGTGTTGCTTTTAGATGTATGTTTAGAAACGGGTTTAGACTATACTATCTTTAAGAATTGCTTTGTTTTGTCAATGCACATATATTCACTTTTTAACATTCTGAAATTTGGACTAATCTTACAATCATTTCCGCATGTGTTGCAGAAGTATCCTACAAAGAAGTTCTTACTAAATTCATAGTGTGTTATGGTGTCCTCTAAGAAATGAAGTAAAACGGTAATATTTGTCTCTGGGAAATAGGAGTTTGATTCAACATCTGGCAACTGGTAGTTCAGGAGGAATACACAGTTTACAAACTATAGAGAGGTCTTGAGTACAGGAGACTTTGATTGCTAGAGACCATTATGGATTGTCCTGCTGAATTATGTATCCCAGCCTAGTCAAAGCCACTGGTTCTCAATGAGGGGTGATCCTCTCCCCACCCCAACAGGGGCCATTTGGCAATAGAGACATTTTTGATTAACACAATGTTATGGGAAGAGTGCTACTGGTATCTAGTTGGTAGAGGTTAGGAATGTTGCTAAATATCTACGACGCACAGAACAGCAAGCCCCATTCTGAACAACAACAGAAAGTTATCTGGTCCAAAATGTCAGTAGTATTGAGGTTAAGAAACTGTAGTCTAATCTTAGTACCTCAAATTCAGGGATATTTTTTATTAGGAAATGATACAAGCTCCTTATTAGAAAAAGGGATACTTCATCATTAGATTGAATGTTTAAGAATCTATTCATGACAAGATGTTGTGCTAAGTAGAATGCTCACAGTGGGGAGCAAAGCAGCCAATACTCTTCCCTTCTCTAGAATTTAGTCAGATTAGAGGGCAGACTAGTAAATAAGTTATATAGCATCATACTCAAATTGTTATAAAGGTTATATTTGCTAAGGATTAAGTTTGTTTATGTGGTTCAGAATAAACCCAATAAAAAGGACTTAACAGGCTGGGCGTGGTGGCTCATACTTGTAATCCCAGCATTTTGGGAGGCCAAGGCGGGTGGATCATTAGGTCAGGAGATTGAGACCATCCTGGCCAACGTGGTGAAACCCCGTCTCTATTAAAAATGCAGAAATTAGCCGGGTGTGGTGGTGGGGTGCCTGTAGCCCCACCTACTCAGGAGGCTGTGGCAGGAGAAATTGCTTGAACCCAGTAGCGGGAGGTTGCAGTGAGCCGAGATCATACCACTGCACTCCAGCCTGGCAACAGAGCACGACTCTGTCAAAAAAAAGGACTTAACAAAACAAAATTATTTTTTCTCATATAATGAGGCCTCTGGAAATAAATGATTCCTCACACTGGTGAAGAGTTTCAAGGGCCAAGTCGCTGTGATCTTCTTGGCCTCTTCCTCAATGTTGCAAGATGCTATTTCCGCTTTTGCCATTACATTCCTATTCCGGGCTGCAGGAAGGAGGAAGAGAAAAGGACAAAAGGAGATTGCTTCCTTACTATACCTTTTTATAAATGAATTTTTCTGGAAGCCCACGTATTAATGTCCGTTTTCATCTGATTGAACAGAAATCATCTGGTCACTCAGCTACAAGGGGGACTAAGAAATGCATTAGTTTTAAACCCTCCAAGAAAACCCAGTTAAAATAGCCCACTGAACCCACCTACTATTTTAACCTAAGTCCTTGGTTCTGGTTTATTTTTCTAACCAACTGGTGTTCCAACACTCTCATCAGGACATTCCTGTCCTCAACAAAATTGAGCTCTCATTAGAATGTAGGAGGGGAATGTAGATATTGGGAAAGAAACTAGAAGTGTCTGACACAAAGATTATGAAGAAAAACCCCAGAGACAATGAACTCAGTTAACAGGGAGTAGGAAGGACTTTTCTGAGGAAGTAACATTTTGGATAACCTTGGAAATGAATAGGACTAGCAATTGAATAAAGGACAATAACACATTTTATGCCTACAAATAGGAGGTGAAGCTGCTCTAAAAGCAAATTACATTTCTAAAGGGGCAAACCCTGATTCCAAAGAAGCAAGATTGTAAATAAGGCTGTTTATGAAAACAACCTCTTGTAAAATGTCTGATTTTTTGGATACTTTCCTTTGGTGACACTTGTACAAAATACATTTTTTAAAAGTTTATCCCTCTTCCATCTTATTTTTAGAAAGAATTGTCTCCTAGTCACAGATGCCTTGACAGCCAGCCACCATAAAAAAATTCAGACAAAGCTCCCATAAGAATCTCCAGGAAAGAAAACGACTTCTCCCAGCTTCGTAACTCTAGTCCATGCTAAAAAAAAAAAAACAAAAGCTAACATAATAAACTCTGTAACCTTCCAAGAAACATGAATTCAAATAGCCCATTGAACCCACCTACCCTACTATTTGATCCTAAGTCCCTGATGCTGATTTATTTTTCTAACCAATGGTATTCAAACAGTCATCAGGAACTTGGCCTGAGCTTCACAAGGATTACATAAATGCATTTTTTTGCCTCTTCTTCTTATATGTGATAACCCCACAGGATTAATATCAAGTCATGTTCCTCCTCCTCTTATATCTTATTAGTACAAAAACAGTGCAAATACCTAAGAAGAGACTTGAGATCATGTTTCTGTTCCACACAGTGTGTACTCAATGTGCTGGTTCTTTTGTCCAAACTTTTGTACCCAATTATGAATAGTTACTTGTTTGAATCTGTAAAGACTAATTTCCTTCTATTAATATTTGAATATGGAAGAGCCCAAATAGCCAAGGCAATCCTAAGCAAAAAGAACAAAGCTGGGCCGGGCGCGGTGGCTCACGCCTGTAATCCCAGCACTTTGGGAGGCCGAGGTGGGTGGATCATGAGGTCAGGAGATCGAGACCATCCTGGCTAAGAAGGTGAAACCCCGTCTCTACTTAAAATACAAAAAATTAGCCAGGCGTGGTGGCAGGCGCCTGTAGTCCCAGCTACTTGGGAGGCTGAGGCAGGAGAATGGCATGAACCCAGGAGGCGGAGCTTGCAGTGAGCCGAGATTGCGCCACTGCACTTCAGCCTGGGCGACAGAGCGAGACTCCGTGTCGAAAAAAAAAAAAGAACAAAGCTGGAGGCATGTTACCCTTGTAGTATAGGCTTCAAACTATACCACAGAGCTACAGTAACTAAAACTGCATGGTACTGGTACACAAACAGGCACATAGACTAAAGGAACAGAATAGAGAGCCCAGAGATAAGGCCTCACACCTATAACCATCAGATCTTTGACAAACCTGACAAAAACAAGCAATGGCGAAAGGTTTTTTATATTTGCTAAGGAGTAAGTTTTAAATATAAAGGTTTTTTATATTTAAAACCTTAGCAAATATAAAGGTTTTTTATATTTGCTAAGGATTATTATTTATTCAATAAATGGTGCTGGGATAACTGGCTAGCCATATGCAGAAAATTGAAACTGGACTCCTTCCTTACACCATATACAAAAATCAACTCAAGGTAGACTAAAGACTTAAATATAAAACCCAAATCCTGGAAGACAACCTAGCAATACCATCCTGGACATAGAAACGGGCAAAGATTTCATGACAAAGACACAAAAGCAATCACAATAAAAACAAAAATTGACAAATGGGATCTAATTAAACTTAAGAGCTTCTGCACAGCAAAAGAAACTATCAACAGAGTAAACAGACAACGTACAGAATGGGAGAAAGTATCTGCAAACTATGCATCTGACAAAGATCTAATATCCAGCATCTATAAGGAACGTAAACAAATTTGCAAGAGAAAAACAACCCCATTAAAAAGTGGGCAAAGGACTGGGCACAGTGGCTCATGCCTGTAATCCCAGCAATCTTGAGGCTGAGGTGGGAAGATTGCTTGAGGTCAGGAGTTCGAGACCAGCTTGGCCAACATGATGAAACCCCATCTCTACAAGAATACAAAAATTAGCGAGCATGGTGGTGCACACCTGTAGTCCCAGCTACTTGTGAGGCTGAGGCATGAGAATCAGTTGGACCTGGGAAGACAGAGGTTGCAGTGGCCAAAAATCATATGAAAAAAGTTCAACATCACTGATCATTAGAGAAATGCAAATCAAAACCACAATGAGATATCTCACAGCAGTCATAATGGCTATTCTTAAAATGTCAAAAAACAACAGATGCTGGTGAGGTTGTGGAGAACAGGGAACATTTGTACACTGTTGGTGAGAGTGTAAATTAATTCAACCGTTGTGGAAAGCAGTATGGCCATTCCTCAAAGAGCTACCATTTAACCCAGCAATCCCATTACTGGGTGTCTATGCAGAGGAATATAAATAATTCTATCATAAAGACACATGTATGCAAATGCTCACTGCAGCACTATTCATAATAGAAAAGACATGGAATCAACCTAAATGACCATTAATAACACACTGTATAAAGAAAATATGGTACATATATACCATGGAATACTATACAGCCATTGAAAAGAATGAGATAATGTCTTTTGTGGGAACATGGATGGAGCTGGAGGCTATTATCCTTAGCAAACTAACTCAGAACAGAAAATGAAACACCGTATAGTCTCACTTATAAGTGGAAGCTAAATGATGAGAACCTATGAATAAAAAGAAAGGAACAAGAGACACTGAGGGCTACTTGAGGGTGGAGGGTGGGAAAAGGGATAGGAGCAGAAAAAATAACTATTGGGTACTAGGCTTAGTACCTGGGTGATGAATTAATCTGTAAAATGAACCCCTATGACATGAGTTTACCTATATAAGAAACCTGCACATGTATCCCCAAACCTAAAATAAAAGTTAAAACAAAAATCAACCAACCAAAAAACAAAAGAAAACTAAAAATACAAAACAACATAGTAAAATTGTATGACCTAGTATTTCTTATTCCATTGACTCCATGCAAAAGATAATAAAGTCCTAAAAAGGGCAAGTGCAAAAAAAAAAAAAAAAAGGCATTCAAGAAGTAACTAGTAATAAAATAAGGAGCATCCCAAAGCAGAACTAAGGGCAGAGAGGAGGATCCCAAAATATAGAGGAAGAGCTTTTAGGTGGATCACTTAGGAAAAGATTAAAAAAGACACCTTCCTCCCAAACTTATACTAAAAAAGGATGACCTTTGATTTACCTGGATTTATATTTCCTTGGTTATTTGGCATGTCCTTTCCCTAATTCTCTATCTAAAGTATAATCTTCACCAGTGCTAATCACCCACTGTGGGTATTTCATCATCAATTTATCATTATTAAATTGTTAGGACTGTAAAAGATTTTTAAAATTCTTTTGTCCATAATATATTCAGATTTGAAGACCATTAGCAAATAATTGTCTGGTTGTATGCTTTGTACACCTGTATAGTCTGTATACCAAAAGCTTCTTTGTTTTTTTTTTTTTTTGAGACCGAATTTTGCTCTTGTTGCCCAGGCTGGAGTGCAATGACGTGATCTTGGCTCACCGCAACCTCCACCTCCCGGGTTCAAGCGATTCTCTTGCCTCAGCCTCCAGAGTAGCTGAGATTACAGGCATACGCCACCATGCCTGGCTAATTTTTTTGTATTTTTAGTAGAGACAGGATTTCTCCATGTTGGTCAGGCTGGTCTTGAACTCCCGACCTCAGGTGATCCGCCCGCCCCAAAAGCTTCTTAAAATTTTATTATACATTTTATGATTATCTTATCAAGAGAAAGGAATTATTTATTCACTCTTTAAGTCTGATCTGGGTTGCCTTCATTAAAATACTGTGAGAGAAGCTATGGAGTTATAGTTCCCGGTCTATCAAGAAAACTTGCATGCTTCCAACTCATTTTTTTTTTTGGAATGCTACCACCAACATGTAAATAAGCACAGGGTCACCTGCTTGAGGAAGAGAGGCCCATTACTCAGCCATTCCTGCCATCCCAGCCAACAGCCAGCCAACTAAGAGATATGTGAAAGAGGTCATTCTAGACCATCCCATCTACCCTTCACCCAATCTATAAGTTAATTTCAGGCACATGAGCAAGCATAGGCAGGAGAAGTGGTATTATCCAGGTGACCCACAGACTTAGGAGCAATAATAAATGCTTATTTATTTAGGCCACAGAGTTTTGTGTTTATTTCTTATACTGAAAGAGGTAACTAATATAGGAATTGATGCATAGAACTAGAGTGCCACTGACCTAAAATGTGAGACTCTGGTTTGAGAGTGAAGCAGCAAGCAGGCAATGGGAAACATGGTGAGCAAATATTTAGTAGAAACTGGAGAAACGGTGAGAGCTTGCAATTAGAGTCTGGGAAAATAGAGCCTCATGTTACAAAATAACAAACAATAGGCACGACTATACCAATATACATGTTTCTAATAAACTTTTGGACTTTGGCAAAATGATTTTCAGACAAAAAGTTGAAAGTAGATGTTTACTTCTTTTAGCTGCATATGGTAAATGCTGCATATAGTAAATGCAGCTGCTATATGCAGACCATATAGTAAATATTTTTTGCTTTGTGACTTTACTGTCTCTTTCTCAACTATTGAAATTTCCTGTCCTAAATGCAGAAACAGCCAGGGCCAACATGTAAATAAATAAGTGTAGCTGTGTTTCAAAAAAATATTTATGGACATTAGCATTTGAATATAAAATAATTTGCATGCACTACAAAATATTATCCTTCTTTTGATTTTTAAATCATTAAAAATGTAGAAAACAGTAACAGTTCACAGCCCATAGTTAAACAGGTAGTAAGCTGAATTTGTCCTGCAGGCTTAGCTTGAAAACTTTGAGCTAGACAAAGAACTTGCTAGTTTTCAAGGAGAATTTAAAGGAATATAAATAAATAAAATTATTTCTCATCTTCCATCTTCTCAAACAATAAGAGTTCTAACAAAAAAGTTCTGAGGACAAGATCTAATCAAATGTGCCCAGGTTTTGCTTTCAGCTACATTAAAGGGTTTCTAAGAAACTTCAGGTTCTTGTCCCGTAACAGCTTGACATAGACAAAGAATCTGTGAGTAAGAAAGAGACACATGTTTCCCAAATAATGGTGGATTTGGTTGTTAGAATGGACTTGAGTCTGATTCATCAGAGCAAGCCAATGAAGTTTTAAAGTGAGTTATACTTTCAAAAGAACTTGCTTCTCTTAAATCCTGCTCAGTTACCAGATGAACAAACCCAAACTTGGCATGGGGGAGAACTAAAGCACCATCATGAACATCAAGCAAGCTTCTAGAAGCAGAGCTGCCAAGGTGATTCACAGATAATCACAGGTGATGAGGGAACTCTAGACTGGAACAACTACTCAATTGACTTGTAGACTCGTGAGCAAAAACACATTTATTTTTAGTCCACTAAATTTTGGAACGACTTTTTGTGTAGGAATATCTAGCTGATGCAGAATATTTCATTATTCAATTGTTTGTGTTAGCACATTGTTGGAGAGGGCTTGAGTTGGTAAAACACACAGTATTGAAATATTCCTTATGGCATAATGTATTTGGAATGGAAGCATCTGAGCAGTTATTAATTAGCATTGTATATGCTGCGCACAATGAAGATTAATTTTATCTTCTTAAAATCAAATAATAGTTTAGTTTTTACTAACTAGATGTATGCAGTATACTTTACTGAATTGCTTTTAAGTCTAATCCGGTGGAGCAAGGCTCATCAGTGAAACTAGGCCAAGTGTACAGTGTATAGTTTTCCAGATCATGAGATCTGCATTCTCATTTTCACAAAAGAATCTATATATTGCTTTTTATTATTGAGTTATAGGTCTCAGAATACTGTTCAAGCAAAATAATCAAGAGGCCATTAGCCTGGGGTTGTTATCTGTACCAGGAGTTCTTTTCTAAGAAAACAGAAACTTAACTTGGAAACATTTTTTGTAACTGACTTAAGAAAAAAATGTGCCTCAGCCATTCACAAACAGCCAACCAGCTCTTGGTCTGATCATTCATCAGATGTAACCAAATAGGCAAATGCTTCATCACAGCTCACCAAAATGCCTAGCTGTAGCCAATCAGGTAATTACTTTGTTTCCTTTATTGGTCTATAAAAGCTCCCTGCTCACTTTGTGAAGCAGAACTTTCTGGACCTCCTCTGGTTCTGAATGCTGTCCATTCATGAATTGTTCTT
Source organism: Homo sapiens (assembly GCF_000001405.40). Classification (NCBI taxonomy): domain Eukaryota; kingdom Metazoa; phylum Chordata; class Mammalia; order Primates; family Hominidae; genus Homo; species Homo sapiens. The sequence goes on from NC_000004.12 coordinate 125,702,795, forward strand.
TGCTCAAATAAACTGTGTTACATTTAATTTGTCTGAAGTTTTTCTTTTAAGAGTGCTTTTGAATGTCGATGTCTATATGCTTTGCTTAATCACATTTATTTTTACCCTAAAACATAAATTGAAGAACAATGCAAAACATACACACACCCAAAACAAAGATACATGCAACTATTTTGGTATTTAAGAGTAGGTAGGACATGCACTGAAACAAAAAAATCTCTGAGGAGGGTAAACTTAATATTCAGTCTGCATGATTACAGCAGCTCTGGAGGGATATGGCTCATACAGTTTTCACACACATTGTAAAACACAACATTTTCAGACACTATTAATTTTGTAGCTAAAATCTGTGAGAAGAAAATCAGTGTTGACTCAACATGTCAATTAAACAATCTCTAATTGAACTTTAGTCCATTCTTACCCTTATTTTCATTGCTGATGAGAGAGAGAGAGAGAGGGAAGCTTATATTCCATTTGCTCATAAAATACCCAGTGCAAGAATATCATTGTCTGTACCTACGGGTCCTTTAAAATCACTGTCAACAGCAGAAGAGAAGTGTAACTTTCTTAGATATTTGGTTAGCCTGTGGGTTTCTGTAAAATTTAAACTGTTTCTCTAAAATAAGCAGAACCAATGAAAAGGAAAAGGAATTTGTTTTAAATGATCAAACTGGAAAAATGACCAGAAAACCCCTCTGGCCATTTTCTTCTTTTAGTTCTATGTTCTTCTAACCATCATTTATGGGCCACTTGAGACACGAAGGAAAGGATGTTAAAGGCCCTGGAGATAATGTAGCTGCATTAGCAAAGTACCAGAACACATGTAAAAGGCTTGTAAAGCATTTGGCACTACAGCTCTGACATATAAACTGTGCTACAATTGTCTTCATTTCCTCTTGTCTCTGACTCATTCATGGTTTCTTATTCTGATGATAGAAATGCTGACCTGAAGGAAAATTATAAAATGTTCTAACATGGAAACTTATGCACTTCAAAATAATTGCAGTAGGTAAAATTTAAAAATGGGAAAATAAGCATACTGTATGTATCTTCATTGAAGTTACTACACATAATGTTTTATTATGGCTTCTATAATAAATTACTTTACCCTTGATTATGACTTTTACACATTACTATGAATTCCTTTCTGCAATCCAGAGAATAACATGCAATAATGATTAAAAGATGTGTCAAGGAATACTTCACTTGGTAATTTTAAGAAGTGTTGAAAAATTGGCTAGTAGAAAATTTATCACGATTGATATTGTCCTGTGTGAATGAAGTTTAAACAGATTATTATTAATGTAAACTGAATTTTGATATACTCAGTCTTCATCAACATTAAATAACTTTATTAAGAAAAAGTCATGCAAAATTGTGAGGAATAATAAAAAAGGAAAAGGAAAAGAGAAAGAACAACAAATGAAATGAAAGAAACTAAGGGAATAATTAGAAAACAAAATTGAGGTATGAACTTTACTTTTGTAAAATGAAGATATGATAGAAAATCATACCAGCAGGGAGCATTATATCATGGATGATTAACTTTGCTACACTCAACATTTCTCTATAATCTACGTACTTTCCCCCAATGTTACTTGAACAAGTATTAGAATATGAATACAGTTAATTCTGGAATATTGAGGTTAATTGCTACAAATTTATATATATTTTAAAGTTTTCAGATAGGTATGTGAAAACTAAAAAATTATTGGCCAGGCGCGATGACTCAACGCCAACATGGTGAAACCCCCTCTCTACTAAAAATACAAAAATTAGCCTGGTGTGGCGGCAGGCGCCTGTAGTCCCAGCTACTCAGGAGGCTGAGGCAGGAGAATCCCTTGAAACTGGAAGGCGGAGGTTGCAGTGAGCAGAGATCGGGCCACTGCACTCCACCTTGGGCAACAAGAGCGAAACTCTGTCTCAAAAAAAAAAAAAAAAAAAAAAAAAAAAAATATATATATATATATATATATATATATATATGAGACATTTTTATGACTGAGAATAAAGTGATTGCCAAATTTATATGTCTTATTTGTAACAAAATAAACCAACTTGTACTTTTTCACAATTATTCTTGGCAAATTACTTTCTTAGGTTCATACAAATATTTCAAATTCCTCAAATTCCCAGATGCTCTAGCAATTACTTTTTTGTAAACCACAAAGTACTATTGAAGAAAGACACACAAGACTAAAATGCTCATAGTGTTGCTGTTTCCTCGATATTATACTTACGTAAATATTCGTATTGATATAAATCTATATAATATATTTGATATTTATATTTAGATATGTATAGAGATCTCCCAAAGAAATCACAAAAAAGGAATAAAACAAACAAACATAAACATTATTTTCAAATGTTTGATATTGCAAACAAGCCTCACTCTTAACAGTCATTTTAAAAAGCAATCCAGTTAAAAGGCGGTAGAGTTCACAAATGTGAATGGCTATTTGTAGTATGGGATAAAATTATATTACGACATACAGAGATTTCAAAAGTGTCATATTCCAAACGTGTTAGAATGAAAAGAAGATAAGGCACATTAAAGAAAAATGTTGTGTTTTATGTTCCACAAAGAGGCTCTAGATATGACCATGGCCTATGGCAAAGAAAGAAATCAAAATTTGAATAGGTTAATTCATACAATGTAAAAACAGAAAAAAATTTTATTTTCTAATTTAATGTATTATTTTATATAAGGTAAAATTTAAACATGAGTAAAATAACAATCCATCTAAAGATTTTTCCTTAGGTCTTCTTTTTGGCAAAATGAATAAATATTATAACTTGATCTTGGAATAAAACAGTTATTGTTAAAATGGTTTAGTGATTATGGCTAGCATATTATGAAGCAGAATGTGATGGGAAATTAATTGGAAGAAGAGTGTTGAAATGAAAAATTACTTTTAAATTCTGGAAAATAGGCAGACATTATGGAAAATGCAACTTTTTTGGTGAAGAAGAGTGAATTCCAGAAGTAAAGAATAGGAAAACTTGGACTTATTTGAGGGTAATGTAAAAATGAACTAAAGGAGGAAAGGTTAGCAAAACTGTGAGTCATTGTGATGTTTTTATCACTAAAATAGAATTCAAGGGCTTGACATTTTGCTTTATATTATTCCTCTTAGTAAGTGACATGTATTAATTTTTGGTCGTTATTTTGAAGATATGATAAGTTATGGTCTTCTTCCCTGTGTTTACATAAATGCACTAGTTAGCTAATAAATTCTGAGAGTCTCTAAGCACAACATAAGAACTCTTGCTTTATTTCAGAAATTTTGCCTTCAAGTAATTAACGTCCACTGGAGAACAAGATGACTTGCCTCCCAATCAAAAAATTAATTCTCTCTATTGGTACTGCAAACTGAGAAGCAAGGATGCCAGCATGGCCTTATATAAATAGACAAACCAAAAATATTCTTTAATACGTTAGCATAATTACTAATTATATTCTTGAATAGATTTTTAGAAATTAAACATGTAAGAAATTTTAAAAAATCAAACACTTGCAAAAACCCAACTTTAGTTAAAACAACTTTATCTCTTTTAAAAAATAGTTTAGGCCGGGCACGGTGGCTCACGCCTGTAATCCCAGCACTTTGGGAGGCCGAGGCGGGCGGATCACGAGGTCAGGAGATCGAGACCATCTTGGCTAACACGGTGAAACCCCGTCTCTACTAAAAATACAAAAAATTAGCCGGGCGCCGGGCGCAGTGGCGGGTGCCTATAGTCCCAGCTACTCGGGAGGCTGAGGCAGGAGAATGGCGTGAACCCGGGAGGCGGAGCTTGCGGTGAGCCTAGAGAGCGCCACTGCACTCCCGCTTGGGCTACAGAGCGAGACTCCCTCTCAAAAAAAAAAATAGTTTAAATATATATATGTATATATGTGTATATATATATAAACTTCTGGTGCCCTCCTATTGCTTTTTCAATATTACTGTCTTATTTTTGAGCAACTGTTAAAGTCTTGAAAGGCAAAAACTGTATTAATTGCTGTAGCCCAACAATGAACGCAAATGAACTAAACTAATGTCTGGTAAGTGTTTGCTACGCTGAAACATATACATGGTTGCAAACATCTTCCACACCTACTGTAAGTCTGATACTGAAACAGAAAAGGTTCCCTTGTCCCCCCTTGAAGGGCATGCAATGGGGGTGTGGCTCACTTTCAGTGCCCCGCTGCTCAGACCTCCAGGGGAGGATATATAGACCAGCAGGCTATGGGGCTCCGACCCCACGGCAGTGTCTAGGGGTGAATGTTTACAGCTCCTGAAGTCCCGGTGGACGTGTGTTACAGGGTTCTCTCTTAGTTTACAGTGTTCTTTCTTAGTTTGTCGTCTGTAGTCTATAGGCGGCTTGTGTTAACCAGCTCAATTAGACCCCCTTCCTTATCACAAGGACACAGGGCTTTCTGTATTCCAGGGTTTCTTGCCTTGGTGTTCCGGAAGAACTGGATCACACGTGGGCTTGGAGAATGAGTGTAAAGTTTTATTGAGTGGAATAGCTCTCAGCTGATGGGGGAGCCAGAAGGGAGATGTTCTTCCCCAGGAGGAGTTGGGCCACTCCGCGGCCCCGGCTATCCTGACTGCCCCTGCCAAACTCTGCCTTCTCCCGCCGGCGTGCGGGTGCCTGTGTGTGTGCTCTTCTGCCAGGGTGCTCTTCTAGACACCTGGCCGCCTGTTTATCTGCCTGCTAGGTTCTCGGGTTTCTGTAGGCCCAGGATGGGAACATGGTGGGCCAAGGTTGTCTTGGGAAATGCAACATTTGAGCGGGAAATGCAATATTTGGGCGGGAAATGTCCGTCCTCACCTAGGTCCATGGGAGTGGCGCCCTAGCCAGGGACCATGCCCTCCTCTACCCAGCACTTCCCTCCCTGACTTCCTTATTATTTAAAGAGAACACGCAGCCACGTGCGGTGGTTCACGCCTGTAATCCTAGCACTTTGGGACGCCGAGGCGGGTGGATCACCTGAGGTCAGGAGTTTGAGACCAGCCTGACCAATATGGTGAAACTTTGTCTCTACTAAAAATACGAAAATTAGCCAGGCGTGGTTGCTTGCACCCCAACTCCCAGCTACTAAGGAGGTTGAGACAGGAGAATTGCTTGAACCTGGGAGGCGGAGGTTGGAGGTTGCAGTGAGCTGAGATCGCGCCACTTTACTCCAGCCTGGGAGACAGAGTGAGACTCTTTCTCGAAAAATAATAAATAAATAAATAAATAAATAAATGGGACCACACTCTTCCCTTCCCAGCACTCCCGTATCAATACCATCATAGAGGTTTCCTTGGCCTTTCAAAGACTTCACCCTGCATGCACAAAGGGTTTAAGATTACACAGGAGAGATGTCTCTCTCCCTACTGCTGCTTTTTCTGGAGATTGGCTCTCACTAGCTAATAGCAGAGAGGCAGCAGTATTAGGCTTCTTGGGCGCTATCAGAAATTACCTTCCCAGAGTTTACCTGAAAGTCTCCATGTGATTTCCAGAGCCTCTCATCATCCATCCATAGGGCAAGCCTAAATTAACATGAAGTACACCTTAGATGGAAGTCTTTGATAAATTGGGTCCCTTTACTATGCGAGCTAGTAGATAAAACAATCCTGTTACTTCATTTACTATTAAAATATAATTTAAAATAATGGATATAGAATAAACTGCAGTAAGAAAACAGTAATACAGTCTAAAAGGAGGATAACCTTCTAGTGTCAGGCAAAATGCTAATGCTTTATATGCACTATTTCATTCAACCCACTAAGCATCCTTTCACATAACACAGGATAAGTAACTTGCTTACAAATTGCACAAGTAACTAATGGGAAAGAGCTGTCTAAGTCAAATGCCTATTTTAATAGAATATTCTAATTTTAATTGCTATACTATATGCCCTCCCTCTGGATTACTATTGTTTAAGGGTAAAACAGATAGCATCAGGGAGAATACTATTGTTTAAGGGTAAAAAAGATAGCATCAGGGAGAATTAGGAAGAAGCCTCTCACTGTATTTAGGAAAACTTCATTCAAATAAGGGTCTCCTTCAAATCCTAAAATTTGTTTAAATTGAAAACACTTTTGAGAAAGCCAAAGTAAAAGCATCAAAAATTACTAAAGCATTTGGAAATACGCTTGTAAGAGCAGGTTTGTGAGGGCTATTTAGAATTTTGACAGCAAAATGATGGTGTGGGATTGGCTAATATATTTATTTTGAATGATGGAAGAGTAGTATCAGAATTCTAGTCTTCACTTTATGTATTTAAAATACCCCCCTTCCATTTATTTTTTTTCAAATGACTGAGCCTAATCTTGAGCATTTCAATGCATTTGACTTTATTTGTAATGATTCATTTAGACAGTATCAACAGGAAGAGAGGTTTTTGAAAACCTAAAACAAAAGAAATAGATTTAGTAAAAGGGTTTGTGCTTCTGTGTCAGTATGAGTTAAAAAGCTAGTCTCAATTAATATATTTAAATAGATATTTTGTTTAATGTCCCATTCCAACTTTTCTCATTTCCACACCTTCATCCTGCCTTCCATCCTCTAATCCACCAACAGATATTCCTCAACAAACTCTTAACCAAACTCTCAGCCACGTCCACTCCCACCACCAAACTCATTCACTCAGATATGCTGTGTTAATACTTCATTCTTTCTTCTTACCAAACTTATCCTAAAAAAATAAATCACATGGCAGAAAGTAGCCTAAATTTTTATCCTCAGGAGTTTTTTCCAATTTAATATAGGTCAACGTAATCATTTAAAAAATTAAACTTTATAATTTTACTGCCCCAAACCTCCCCCTATAAATAGTAGAGACATTTGGGAGGAAAATGTCACTACTCCTCTTCTTTTACTGTGTCCTCAAAAATGTTCCTAATTCTTAAGAGTAAATTTTAACTTTTAGAGAATGTGTTTCCTTTTCTTTGAGTTGTATATTGAAGAGAATAATCATTGATATGAAAATAGCTCAAGTAATTGTGACTCGTTATGGATTATACAAAGAATGAATACTTCTCTGAATATGGGGAAAGAAAGAAATTACTTAAATAATACTACATGATATTTTAAAAGTCCTTTGTATATGCAAACAAGTGCCACACATTTGGTAGGTTTTAGAAATTCCATTTTATAAAAATTCAAAATATAAAAAATCATTTTTAAATATTGGATTCTTTATTAGTTTTGGAATTTTTTCAGAAAAAATTATTAGGCTAGTTAAACTAGTCTGCTAGAAATCTTGAAACCTGACTAAATTGGGTATTTTAGAAAGTTTTATTTTGCCTTTTATATTTGATCTGCATATTTAGTTTTACATTTTAGCTGCTAACTTTAACTATCCAAAGATTTTTGAATGTTTAAGTTACACCTTAGTTATGGACTGCTGAATTGTGTCCCCTAAAATATATATGCATTGAACTTCTGACCTCTCATACCTCAGAATTTGACTATATTTGGAGACATGACCTTTACAGAGGTAATTAAGTTACAATGAGGCCATTAGGGAGGGCAGTAATCCAGTATGGCTGGGATCATTATAAGAAGAGGAGATTAGGACATAGACAACACAGACAGAGGGAAGACCTTGTGAAGACAGAAGAAGGTAGCCATTGGCAAGCCAAAGAGAGAGAGGCCTTAGAAGAAGCCAAACATGCCTGTACTTTGATCTGGGACATCCTGCATCCAGAATTATGAGAAAATAAATTTCTGTTATTTAAGCCACTCATTCTGTTGTATTTTGTTATTGCGGCCTAGCAAACTCAATAACAACCTTTCAGTCTAAGAGTAATTTAAAATGTACACTCTGACTTATTATGGTCTTTATTTAAAAGTATAAATCATTAAGTCTTTAATTCCTAGAAATGTAGCTAATTTCAGACTGGTTAATATGACCAGTTTCAGATGGAAAGATCCTATAAGGACCAAATGCAAACAATCTAAAATATAAGGAGTAAAAGATGAATTTAGTTATAACTTTGATAAAAGATACAAATTATAAGTGTTTGTGAACATTGCATGTTATCATCCATAGTTTTACTAAAAAGCCACTAAGCACATGCTTGGTAACATTTACTGTGGTTGCAGTTCATAGTAGTCTGTACATCTCCTTTATCATGTGGAAGGATGTGTCACCTGCCCTTATCTCCCAGATCTGTTAATTCCAGACAGAGAATAGCTTTTAGAGAAGACATGGACAGGGGAAGATTGCCTGGGAAAAGGCAGCCACCAGGGAAGCTGTGAACCATCTGTTTACATTTACAGGGGTTGTCTTGTCTGATCCTATAAAGCCTGTTGAATGAATACAAGTTCCCTTTGTTGCCTTATATTCCTATTTTTTTCTAATGCCTTATATAAGTATCAGAACTTAATAAATGATTTAATATGTGTGAAGGGAATTCATACTACTCTCGTTATTCTTTTTGGGAGAGTAAATCAGTAAGGATTAAGAGAGAGAATTATATAAGGAAATGTATTTGGCAAACCATATTAACAATATAGATGCTATACTCTTACTTTGTCTTCTGAAATCTGATGTGAAATATTTATTTATATTAAACAAATCAGAAAATAGCATCTTTTCACTAGATTTATGTGATATTCTACGTATTTCTTTTTAGAATTTTTTTGTAACATTCATTTCTAAAGGTTAGTGTGCCTGGTTTATGTTCAAATGGTTTATTATTATTACAAAATCTGAACTTATATCTGAGAAAAAATTAGAGTAATATTCCACTTTTCATTAAAAAGACAACATTGCTTTGCTAGCAGATTGTTTTTTTCTGGATGGCACAAATAAACTTCTAATACTGATTTTGGAATTACCTAATAGTGTGCATATAGGAACAAATACACGTGCTGTACAAACCTAAGCAAATTGTCTTTCTCTTCTTTACAAGAATTAAAATTTTGGTGTAAGGGTGTTTAGATTTAAAGGCAAAATTCAAAGAAATACAACTCACAATAGAAATATAAAATACTCAGATCAATGTCTCTGTCTTTTTTGTTTCTTATTCTAGTTGTCTGCATATCATCTATTTTGCTTGATGTAATGACTGACTGAGAATATCAATGGGTGTGTTTTTTAGGATAGAATAAGTACCATAAAATATATCCCCAAAACATACACTGGCTCAAACATAATGGAAGGGTACAGTAACCTCTGCTACATAACATGAAAGATGTTTCTCTTTATTCTTCCACATGGATGAAATACTTTTGTTTTGCCATGGCCCAAAAAGAGAACATGAACTCATTCTCAGGTCCATATTGCCTGCAGTCATCTCATCTGGTAGATCAATTTAAAAACTAATATTTAATTTACCATATTAAAATTAAGTAAAAGTGATTAAGTCTGGTTAGTTGCCTCATCTCTGGGAGTGAGCAGCAGAAAACACATTCTTTTTTTTTTTTTTAATTATACTTTAAGTTTTAGGGTACATGCGCACAAGCTAAATGTCCAACAATGATAGACTGGATTAAGAAAATGTGGCACATATACACCATAGAATACTATGCAACCATAAAAAATGATGAGTTCATGTCCTTCGTGGGGACATGGATGAAGCTGGAAACCATCATTCTCAGCAAACTATTGCAAGGACGAAAACACATTGATATGTGGATAGGAGAATAAATCTTTAAAATAATTTAACCAGAAAAAAAACACAAGTAATAAAATGATTTTCAGGACCTCAAAATGGCTTTATCTTCCAGAAATATATGCTGAATTCCTATTAGTTCAATTCTTTAAGTGATTCCTGAAGTTGATATAGACTGACAATTGCCGTTTGTGGCATGTGATATGGGAAGCAGCATAAAATATTGGTACCAACACTACCTGGTGATGTTCTTGAACAACTTCAAATTCATAAACTTCACTTTCACTTCCAAATATTACATTTTGATTCCCAAGTACTTACTCAAGGCTTATAATGAATAGATATTATTTAAACAAATATATTTTAGCTGTGTAATTTGAGACTAGCGTAATGTCTGACATATCATAGTTAATAGACTTTTGTTGACTGAACTAACAGATTTCCACTTGGGGCTAAGTAATAATACTGCTTTAAAATTTCAATTTGAGAAGTTTATATTAAAATTTCATTCTCTAATGTTTTACAAGCCATTTTACCAAGGTAAATACATTAAACTTCACAGCTGTATATATTTTTGCTGTGTACTATAAATATAATTCAAGAGTTTGCTAACAGCATTTATTACTTTTCTTCTTTCCTCTTTCCCTTTTAATAGTTTTCATTATGAGCTCTTGAGGTATACATAGGGCAGGAGCATTCCAAATAGCCTCTTTACTTTCTCTTTCTTCCCCCATTTGGTGATGGCTTATTGATCTCATGTAAGTTAGAATTTTATTGACTGGTATTCTTAAGAATGCATACATACATTTGTATATATGTATGTATATACACACACATATATATACACATACACATACATTTATACACACACATGCATATATATGTGTGTATCTATATATGTGTGTGTGATATGGTTTGACTGTCCCCACCCACATCTCATTTTGAATTGTAATCCCCATGTGTTGGGAGTGGGACCTCGTGGGAAGTGATTAGATCATGGGGGCGGTTCCTTCATGCTGTTCTCATGATGACAGCCAGTGAGTTCTCACAAGAGCTAATGGTTTTATAAGGGGCTTTTCCTCGCTTTGCTCTCCACTTCTCTGTCCTGCCACCATGTGAAGAAGGACGTGTTTTCTTCCCCTTTTGCCATGATTGTAAGTTTCCTGAGGCCTCCCCAGCCATGATGAACTGTGAGTCAATTAAACTTCTTTCCTTTGTAAATTACCGAGTCTCAAGTGTGTTCTTACAGCAGTGTGAGAATGGACTAATGCCAATGCAATGGACCTTAAGGATACAAACGCATAAGAATACACACACACACACACACACACACACACACATATACACACTTTTACTACTGGATAGTTAAATTGTACATAGAGTAAAGTTATGACAGTCAAAGAGCACTGTATTTGTTATTGTGATGGTTAATTTTATGTGTCCACTTGTCAGGGCCACTGAGTTCAGATATGTGGTCAAATCTGGATATTTCTGTGATGGTGTTTTCAGATAAGATTAATATTTAAATTGATGGACTTGGAGTAAAGCAGATTGCTCTCCATAATGTGGGTGGGCCTCATCCAATCAATTGAAGGACTTAATAGAACAAAAGACTGGCCATCTCCTGGGCAAGAGGACATTCTACAGCATATAACCTCCAGAGATGAACTACAGAACTGGCTTATTTTGTGTTTCCATCCTGCCAGCGAGTCCTTCAGATTTTGCACTTAGTGCTTGGTGATCTCTGTAGTCACATGAGCCAATTTCTTAAAATAAATTTCTTTCTCTCTCTCTCTGTCTCTCTCTCTCTCCAAACACACACACACATGTGCGCGCACACACACACACACACACCCATGTGCTGTTGGCCCTGTTTCTCAGTTGTGGTTTGAAAACTAAAGAAAATGCATGTTCTGTTGGTTAAATGATATATACATTAGAATAAATTCATGTGAAATTGTGAAAAATAGAAATGCAATTACAGCTGGGACTCTTAATTGACTTCAGATCTCTCTCTCTCTCTCTCTCCTTCCTGTATCTTAACAGACTCAAGTCTTTAACAGAGAATAACACCACTCCTATAAAGACAGGCTTTTCTGGCCTCCAATGCAGATAATTACATAAGCATGCGATAGACTGCTGGTGCCTTCTGCTACTTTATGATATGATGTCTAGGGTTAGAGTTTGTTTAACTAACTTGAACCACAAGCTAACTTAGAAATGAATAAAACAAGTACATTTATGTTGTAATAATAAGGTAGAAGGAGCCTGGGTTTCCAAGGACATTTTGCACAGAGCCACCGTACCAATCTTGGATTGCTTACTGTTGGACTTTTTACACATGATAAAATATACTTCAAATGTATCTAAACTACTGCTGTTTTGTATTTCTATTGCTCATAGTTTAACCAAATACTGATACAAAAGTATGATCAAAATAACTTAAAATGGTTATATAATAGCCTAGATATTGCATTTTACACTATGAAATTCAGAGTTCATTAAGACACTGTAGAGGACATCTACTCTTTGTTCCTTTTCATTGCCTGTGCTTTTTCTTTGGTAACAGCATCCTGACTTTGCTTTGTGAATGGTATAGAGTCTTGCTGTGATGCTCATTCAAGGTGTCCTAGCATGCAATGTCTTTAGCCCTCCCTGGTAACTTAAATCCTAAGTAAAGAGTGAAGAATAGAAAGTATTTACTTCTGATGCAAAGTGGGAACACCCTAAGGAATTCCCCATCATGTTCCTGGTATTCACAGCCCTGGCATTGCTAAGCTTGCAGAAATTTCTGAGCCTATTTCAATTTTATCTTTAATTCTATTGAGCTTCTAAGAGCTATCATATAACTTTTTTTCTGTTTTGATGATTTTATTCAGAGTTTGTTTGTTATTGTTCATAAGAGAAAAAGAAAAAAAATAAAGAAAAAAGGCAGGCAGGAAGGAAGGGAGTAAGGAAAGAAGGTAGGAAGGGCAATATTAAAACAACAAATTTAAAACTCAATAAGATACTGCAGTGGATGTATATCTGTGTCCCCTCAAAATGTATATGTTGAAATCCTAATGCTTGGCCGGGCGTGGTGGCTCATGCCTGTAATCCCAGCACTTTGGGAGGCCAAGGCGTGCAAATCACCTGAGGTCAGGAGTTCAAGACCAGCCTGGCCAACATGGTAAAACCCCGCCTCTACTAAAAATACAAAAAAAAATAGCTGGGCATGGTGGCGGGCACCTGTAAGTAATTCCAGCTACTTGGGAGGCTGAGGCAGGAGAATCACTTGAACCAGGGAGGTGGAGGTTGCAGTGAGCCAAGACTGCGCCATTGGACTCCAGCCTGGGGAACAAGAGCAAAACTCCATCTCAAAAAACAAAAAACAAAAAAAAAAAAGAAAAGAAATCCTAATCCCCAATGTGAGTGATCCTTTTAGGTGGTATGGCCTTTAAGAGGTGATTAGATCATGAGGAAAGAGACCTGATGAACGAGATTAGTGTCCTTATAAAAGAGGCCCAAGAGCACTCCCTTTTCCCTTCACCATGTGAAGACACAGTAAAAAGATGGTTGTCTATAATCCAGTAAGAGGCTCCTCACCAGACAGTTCGTCTGTTGGCATCTCACTTTTGGACTTCTTAGCCTCCAGAACTGTGAGAAATACATTTCTGTTGTTTATTAGCCATGCAGTCTACAGTATCTTCTTTTTTCCCTCAGCCTCCCGAGTAGCTGGGATTACAGGTGCCCACCACCACGCCTGGCTAGTTTTTATATTTTTAGTAGATACGGGGTTTTACCATGTTGGCCAGGCTGGCCTCGAACTCCTGACCTCAAGTGATCCACTAGGATTACAGGCGTAAGCCACTGTGCCTGGCCGTCTACAGTATTTTATTACAGAAGCCCCAAAAGTCTAAGATGGATACCTTAAACATTAAGCACCAGGTTACACCAATTACTTTGTAATTTGCTTATACTTTTCCTTCTAAATTTGGAGAAAAGAATGTTTTTTCTAATTTTCTCTATAACTTTCATAGTTTCCAGAATTAGTCTATGGCTCACAGATAATAGACTCTGTCTTTAGTATTGAAAACCCTTTTATATAACCTCTTAGTAAAACTCATCTATTAGGGTTACTTTGAAGGTCAAAAAGAAATATTTTAAAACATTTCCTAAGATATAAAATGTTTCAAATTAAAAGGTGATTATTGTTTTTCTAGAACAAGAGGACAGTATACTTCTAAAGTATTATTTTCTTATTCATTTATTAGAAGACATTCATCAAAAACTAATCTCTGGAAAGTATTTGGAGTTTTTTTAAAACTATCTGTATGTGCCATCTTAAAGTTATGGTAAGAACAAATTAGAATTTTGCCTGACATTTTGTCACTTACAAGAATTTTGTTAACCAAAAAAATGTAGGAAACTATAAAATCCCTAAATCTTTCGATCATGACAAACAAGGTTTATATATTAAGCAGTGTCCTGTTCAAGAGGAATTGTACAGTTGTACAGAAATGTGCTTTTTGGTATTATTGGTTATTGCTCTAGATCAAGTGCAATACTTCTTACCCATCGCTCTGAGTGAAAGATGTAACATACGTTTTTCTTGGCTTCACAAAGACTGCTTCTTGCTCTTATATGGAGAATCTTAATACCAGAAAATGAGATGGACACATTTTGTAGAAAACAGAGTATTTAATGTGAGGTGAAAAAGACTCAAGCCCATACAAGTTAAAGGAATATATAACTAGGTTTATTCCTGTCAGTTATATGCCCTCCCTACCTTTGCCTTCCACATTTTGTAGAAGTGAGAAGGAAGTATTAAAGTCCTAGGTGTTCTTAAGTTGGAGTTTCATAGAATTTTGGCCCATGAACTTGGATGAAGAGATTACTTAAAATAAGCTGGGCACAGTGGCTCACACCTGTAATCCCAGCAATTTGGGAGGCCAAGGCAAGCAGATCACCTGAGGTCAGGAGTTTGAGACCAGCCTAGCCAATGTGGTGAAACCCAGCCAGGCATGGTGGTGCACACCTGTAGTCCTACCTACTCGGGAGGCTGACGCAGGAGAATGGCTTGAACCAGAGAGGTGGAGGTTTCAGTGAGCTGAGATCATGCCATTGTGCTCCAGCCTGGGCAACAAGAGCGAAACTCCATCTCAAAAAAATAAAAATAAATAAATAAAAAAAATAGAATTAGCATTAATTAAAGAAACTAAAGAAGACCAAATAAATGGAGGGCTATCCCATGTTCAAGACTGGAAGAATTAATATTTTTAAAATGTTCATACTGCCCAAAGAGATTTACAGATTCAATGCAATTCCTAGCAAAATTCCAATGTCATTCATCACAGAAATAGAAAAAAAATCCTAAAATTTCTGTACAACTAAAAAGACCCAGAAAAGCTAAAGCAATCTAGAAAAAAAAGAACAAAGCTACAGGCACTACCTGACTTCAAAATATATTACAAAGCTATAGTAATCAAAACAACATAGTATTGGCAAAAAACAGACACACACACAATTGTGTGTCAAGAACACACAATAGGGAAAAGTCAGCCTGTTCAATAAAGGATGTTGGAAAACTAAATATTCACATGGAGAAAATGAAAACAGACCTTTATCTTACTCCTTATACAAGAATAAATTCAAACTGGATGAAACCGTAAATGTAAGACTAGAGACTGTAGAATTACTAGAAGAAAACAGGAGAAAATCTCCAGGGCATTAGTTTGGATGGACCATAAGCTCCCTGAAAGAAAATGTCATTCTGTTCACTCTTTTGGTTACCAATTAGTTGAATAAGCATATTTGAATGGATGAATGAATGACTACTATAAATGCTGTAAATTCATAACATCGCTTTGCTATTCACTCCCTTCACAACAATCCTGTTACACTTATATAGGCTTATTTCCAAAGTTGCTAGGTGAGCTGAATTCAGTCACTTGTTTATTACAGATTGCAATGACTAGAGTCATTGTTTAGTTCTGTGGAGCTGCTGTAACAAATTGCCACAAACTACATGGCTTAAAACAATAGAAATTAAGTCTCACAGTTTTGGTGGCTTAGAAGTCCAAATGCAAGGTGTCAGCAGGGCCACCTTCCCTCTGATGGAAGGATCCTTGCTTGCCTCCTCCTAGCTTCTGGCTTGCAATGGGCTCCTTGGTGTTCCTTAGCTTGTGGCAGCATGACCCCAATCTCTGTCTCTGTCATCACACAGCCTTCCTCTGTGCATCTCTCCATATTTACAAATTTCTCTCTCCTTATATGGACATCAGTATTGGATTTAGGGCTCACACTAATCCAGTATGACTTCATCTTTATTTGATTACATCTGCAAATACCCTATTTCCAAATAAGTTCACATTCACTGGAAATTGAACATCCAACACTTATAATCCTAAGTTGTACTTATATAGTTCTTCCTAAGTGCCAGGCACTACTTTAAGCACTTTACCTATATTGGTTTATTTAATTATCACAAAGGTTCTATGAGTTAGGTACTATCATTATCTCCATATTGTAGAATAGCCAACTGAGACAGAAAGAGATTATATAACCTTCATGGTCACACTGTGACATGGTCACATGGTCAAATAGGACTGGCCTTTCCCTATAGTCACATTTTAGATTCAAAACCTGGACAATTGGCTAAAATGTTCATGCTTTTAATCATTACAGACTACAGTCTCTCAGATAAGATGGGACTCATTCAATGAAGCAAATATTTTTGAGGATCTCTTTTGTTATGGAACCTGTGCTTAATGATAAAGCTAGAGGGATGAAGATAAAACTCTAACATTTTAAGATATATATCTATATATAACTATATAGATATATATCTTATTTTCGTTAACTTGCACAGTTAACGAAATATGTAACACAGTCATCTTCCTTAGGAAGCGTGTACTTCTGGAATTCCTTGTGGTATCCCTGGGAATCCCTTTACCGTGTATCCGTGGCATTCTGCCTTTACTGGGCTCATTTCTTCCTACTCCCTGGAATATTTATCAAGGGAAGTTTTTCCTTTTCTCCTCTACTCTATAATATATATATAGCTATATAACTATATATATATACACACACATATATATACACACACATATATATACACACATATATACACATATATATACACACACACACACACACACATATATATATATATATATATATATATATATATATATATATATGTAACTTGGGAGATGGTTTGGATCTGGAGACAGACTGCTTCTCCTCTCGGTGTGACCTTGGACAAATTATTTTATATGTGTGTATATATATATATATACACACACACATATATATATTTGCTTCAGACTTGTGAAGTGTTGAAGATTAAACAAGTTTATTGTGTATAAATTGCTTAGAATAGTGCCTGGCAAATATATTATTTTTATGCCATTAATTATTAACAGTACCATTATTGACATTACCATTACTATTGAAAATAAATTCTAAATTATTTATTTTACATAGATGAACTATTAGGAGAAAATAAACCTTTAAGTCAAAATGAATATTATTTTAATGTATGTTTCACTTCTTAAACCTAAACTTGATGAGAATTGCTTATTTGCTTCAAAATACCCATAAACATCTGGACTTGAAAAAATATTCTTCTCTCTCCTGCTGTCTGGTGTGGATCTTCTCACTCCAAAAGTGGGGCAGAAGAAACCAGAAGGATAGGTATATACAGCATAACTTATGAGCGCCTAAGTGTTAGGTCTGTGGCTGTCATCCCTCCCACCTTCTGTGAAATTCCTCCAGTTGGCGTAGGAAGTGACAAAGGTTCAGGAATCCTTGGATAAATATAAACACAAGTTTGAAAACTGTAACTGTGAGTTTGTTTGTTATAATGACTCATCCAGATGTAAGCAAACAATCTCATCAAGCTCTACACTTACTGGATTTCTAGAGTCACTTTCTTTTATGCTTAGGTATCAAAGTATGCCATACACCCTCAGAAGTTTTTGTTCTTTCTAGGTGGCAAACTTCCTGAATAAATTTGTATTTAAATTAATATGTAACAATTGAATTTCACTTAGAATTGTTTTATTCTGATGTCTCACCTTTGTTACTAGCTTGGTGCAACAATTGTGAGTTTTGCAATTACTTTTAATGGATATTAAATATTAATGTTTTTCCCAGTACAAACACAAATAAGGGCTTGTTTGATTTTTATATTTCAAAAGAAATAGGTCATTTGCCTTCAAAATGAACACATTGATGGCTTTCAGCTAGTGAAGTAGAAAATTTGGAAATGATACGCATTTGGGACATGAATTTTACTTTGACTAAAAAGAAACCTTATTAATTATATATTATCTGTCTGGCCCACTACTGTCAATGTGATTTAAAAGATGAATGGTTAAGCTAGAATAGTGAAGAGAAAAACCACTGTACATATGTTATCTGATGTTTACACAAGCGTATTTATAAAGTAATGTTTAAATGTCGGGGCACATTTGCATTTATTTTTTCGGGAATAACATAATTAAAGAATGTGGGAAAAAGGTTTTCAGATAAACTATTTTTAAGTTCATATGTAGACTGTATGCCTTGTAGCAGAGAATAGAAGTGCATACAAAAATAATTATTCCCCTTCCATATTCACTATGGTGAATAGGTATGAATGATGAAATTTCCCTACTTGGAAAATATTTGCTTTCTTTGTTCTGCTACTTTGGGCCTTAACCTAGGTCTAAACTACAGAAGTTTGGGGGTAAAGATGAGAGAAGAAAACTTCTGTTTCTGCCTTTAAGTAAGAAAACAGATACTGTGCAGTAATTTCTAGTAGTGTTAGATTCTTTCCTCAAATATATTGTTCTTTGCCTTTGCTTTCAGTTCAAAAATGGTAGCTTGGGGACAAAAAGCAAAACCTTATAGTAGGAAAGGAAAAACTTCCTTTGATAAATATTCCAGGGAGTAGGAAGAAATGAGCCCAGTAAAGGCAGAATGCCATGGATACACGGTAAAGGGATTCCCAGGGATACCACAAAGAATTCCACAAGTATACGCTTCCTAAGGAAGAAGACTGTGTTACATATTGAAGCATTTAATGCAATTTAATGAAAATAAGCAGATACTATATACTGAAATGCACATATGCGTTACAGATTGGAGCTTTTCATCAGTAACATAATAACTCCCCTTAGGTTTCATAGGCCTTTCCCAAACAGGCAGACAGACACATGTGATACTTGTGGAAAAAGATGGCTTTGCTTTTGTGAGATATGTAGTTGGATTAAGCTGATCAGAACAGAGGTTGTTCATTTTGTTTCTGCTCAATAATTTCTGGCCTCTTGACAAACCTAATTTACTTTTTTTAAAAAAAACAGAAAAGTACCATAAATATATGAACTACAGAATGTATGAATCTATTAGGAAAATGGGACATTTTCCCCACGTATGTGTAATTTGTTTTGTTATATAACACATTTATCATATATTGTCTGGCTATTTACCCCACAAAAATAGGCATGTGAGTTAAGTTTGCACACAATCTCTAAAATATAACTATCCCTGATGTGCAAGTATTTTTGAACTCAGAGGACTGTGTTGTAATTAATACTGATGGAGAAACCAGAGTTAGAAATGTCTTTAGCAGACACTATAACACATTTCCAGCTTGGGCCTGGACTCACTGTAGGTGGCACTACACATGTGCAACACTGGTTGAAAATAACTGAGCAGATTTAACACAATCATCTAGAGCAGGTATCAGCAAACTTTTTCTGTAATGGGACGGATAGTAAACATTGGGATTTGCAGGACATGCGCTCTCTGTACAACTCTTTAACTCTGCCACTATAGGCAAAAAGCAGCCACAGACAATGTGTAAATGAATGAATGTAGCTGTGTTCCAATAAAACTTTATTTAGATTTGGCTTATCAAGGCCTGATCTAAACATGGTAGTTTTTTTAAAAAAATTGTGAGCTTGGGATGAATTTGGCCATAAATGTGAGTGTCCTTTTGGATTTACATTTATTTCTACTTACTTGATGTTGTTCTTTCTTTTTTTACATTTTAAAGTGTTGATATGACTGCATTTTTTTGTTTTAAAATGCAACTATTTTATTTTTTCTTCAAAAGAAAAAAACTTAGGTTTTTTTGCAAGCAAAATGGGAAAAAAAGGTATTATTTTTACTGTAATTATTAAGCCATAGACATGTAAAATCCACAAAATGGATTGATGACTTTTTCCTTAATTCCACCAGCAATGAAACGTGTCTGTGGCCTTGGTAGAAACATCATGACTTGCTCTAACATGGCAAGATCCACAAATCCTCTCTAGTGCTATGTGGAAATATCCCACCAGGTCCCCAAGTCCAGAGGTGAGGTGGAAGACTCTGGTTGCACCCAGTGCAAAGCATTTGCATCATTGGACCAACTTCCAAATTGATTTTTATAAAGATGTACAAATAGGCTAGGCGCAGTGGCTCACACCTGTAATCCTAGCACTTTGGGAGGCCGAGGCAGGCGGATCACGAGGTCAGGAGTTTGAGACAAGCCTGACCAACATGGTGAAACCCCATCTCTACTAAAAATAAAAAAATTAGCCGGGTATGGTGTCACACACCTGTAATCCCAGCTACTCAGGAGGCTGAGACAGGAGAATGGCTTGAACCCCGGAGGCTGAGGTTGCAGTGAGCTGTGATCGCGCCACTGCACTCCAGCCTGGGAGACAGAGTGAGACTCCGTCTCAAAATAAATAAATAAATACATACATACATACAAATAAGTTACAGGCACTTTAAATGTCTTTGGTTGGAATAACCCAACATTGTAAGATAATGTATTACAGAGTGTCCAGGCCCAGGCTGGGTTCAACAGGCAAGGATTATGGTTCTCTCAGTCTCTCTCAGAAAACAAGAAACTGTGGGATTAGGTGTCAGCCAAAGCTGTCTTCTCAGGACAATATTTAGGATTGCTCTGACACAATTTGTTGGGTCTGCCTTTGATAACAGTATAGCAAAACACTATTATCACCATCATGAGGAGGAAGTAACTGGTATGCATTAGATGCAAATTTATTAATGAACAGTCATCATCTGGAGCAATAACTGTATGCTTGGGATTAAAAACATGATAGTCTTTTTCAATGGGCCTTTTCTAACACCAGAAAAGACTGTAATCTTGAGCGTATTCTGTGTTGGCCTTTCTGTCAGTTCTAAAGATCTTGCACCAGAGGGTGGCATTGCTGTATGTGTCAGAAACACGGTGCGGTGGCTGCACAGTGATGGGGAACACACCCGGGCTGTCCGTGAGGATCATGCAGGCTGTGAACACCATCTGCTCATGGTGACCATCAAGAGCACAGCTATCTGATGTCCAAGCTGCAGGCAGAGTAAAGGTAATATTTACCTCTTCGTGGGCTTCTCTGTCGGAAAGTCCAATCTGATGACCTAAAATGACTGAATACAGATGAGTGATGCCATGAGAGTACCCTCCAAATAATTTGAGTGGGTCCAGGGTTAGGGTGATTTTGACTGAGATGTTAACTGGGCCTGAATCCTCCAGGGCCTGGGAAGACCTGGTGGATGTTCTGGCGATGCTCTGGCCTGCATGGTCATTATGCTTCCCAAAGTTTTGGTGTCATTTTTGAGATGCCTTAATGTTTCATTTTCTGGTGCACACAAGTCCAAATCATTAAACCATAGCGGAAAAGTATTCCAATCTTCTGCCATTTCTGGTGACTTAATCTCCTTGATTTTGAAGAAACAGTCCAGGGTTGGGAAAGCTATGCCATGGTGCCCACAATGATCATAAAGACCAACAAGGAGGCTGACCGATGATGTATACCTTCAGATTCTCCTGGGAGTTGATGTTAAAAATTATTCTGATAAGCTCCACCCAAACTTGGCTGGCACCTGTGTGCCTGCAGGCCCAGCCAGCCAGCTGCTCGATGGTGTGCACCAGTCCCAGGGCCACTGGGCACCAGGCTCCCCACTGTGCTGGGGGCAATGTCCAGCCGGGTCCATAGGGCCAAGGTGAGGACCAGAGACCAGCTGAGTTCCTGAAGCTGCAACACGGGGTCTGCTTGACTCTTGTAACCACATTTAAATATTCTTAAAAATTGCTCAATCTTGAACTTTCCCACAGAAGTTCCTTTGTTGAATGTCTTTAATTAAATGTAATGAATATAACCTGTTATATTTTAGAAAGTTTTAATAGAGGCTAAGATGTCTGCAGGACAAGATAAAGTTAAATTAAGTAAGGAATATGAGACATAGAGTTACAGTAGGATAGAAAATAGTAGGATAGAAAATTAAGAGGTAATATGATGAGGTGCATAAAAGACAGTATTCACGTGCTAGATGTAGATCACGTTTTTATCTCAAAGCCTTCTAAACAGGTAATGTGAAAAAAGAAACATGATTTATGTCAGAATGTTCAAAAGTTGAAATCTTATTTGTGCCACCAGCAAAATACAATGTGGGATTACTAATTCCAAGATATGAGAGAAATTTTTCTTGTGGTCTCCATCACTAAAACAATAGTAACGTCCTTGCAATTTATAAAATCTTTGTAAAAGGAGATTTTTGGTAAACACGTTGGTTGCTTAGGGTACCTTAACTGAAACTTTTGGTTAAAATATTGGTTATATAATTGCTTCAATATTACTTTACAGTTGACCCTTGAAAAACATAGGGGTTAGAGATGCTGACCCTCTGCTCAGTTGAAAATTCATGAACAACTTTTGACTCCCCCAAACCTAATTACTAATAGTCTACTATTAACCAGAAGTCTTACTGATAACACAAATAGTCAATTAACACATATGATGTGTATGTATTATATAATGTATTCTCACAATAAATTAAGTTAGAGAAAGGAAAATGGTATTAAGAAAATCATAAGGAAGAGAAAATATATTTACTATACAATAAGTGGAAATTGATCATCATAAAGGTCTTTCGTCCTGGTTGTGTTCACACTGAATAGGCTGAGGAAGAGAAGGAAAAGAAAGGGTTGGTCTTGCTGTCTCACGGGTGGCAGAGGTGGATGAGGTGAAGGAGGTGGAAGAAGAGGCAGGAGAATTAGGTATACTATGTGTAACCTTAAAGAAATACATTGTAATTTCTAACTTTTTTCTTTTTCATTTCTCTAAAAATGTTTCTCATGGTACCAATAATCTTTACACCATTTTACTTTAGTTTTAGCACTCACACAGAAAAGTCCGTGTGGTAAAAGAAGTCCAAAGCAGCCCTAAATAATCAACCCTCTGCCAAGTTGTCCAATGTCAATTTGTTTTCTGGCACTGCTTCTTCTATGACTTCTTTCTCATCACCTGGGACTGGGTCGGAAATACTGATCTCCATCAAGTTCCTTCTGTTAATACCTCCAGTGTGATGTTTATTAGCTCTTGAATTTATGTAAGATCCACATCTTGAAACCCTTTCCTCCCTACTTTTTTTTTAGATATATCCAGAAGCTCTTTCATGATTTCCTTGATTGGCTATGTTGTAAATCTTGTGATGTTACAGAATTTTCTCCAGCAGAAATTTATTGTTTTGATCTTGATAACTTTCATGACTTTTTCTATCACAAATGTGGGCATCTTCACTGGTGTAATTTTCCAGACTCGTGGTCTCTCAATCGTGTTTCTCTTCCACAGCTTGGACAATCTTTTTTATAGAGTACCATTTATTATGAGCCTTAATAATCCTTATGACCCCTTGATCTAGAAGCTGAATTAGAGATATCTTTGGCAGCAAATAGACTTCTTTGATGCCTTTGATGTTGAACTCATGGGATTCTGAGTGGCCAAGGGTTTGTCTAATCAAAAGAATGCTAAAAGGCAGCCCTTTACTAGAAAGGTACCTTCTGGCATCAAGGACAAAGCATCAATTGAACCAATCCAGAAAAATGGTTCTTGTCCAGGTCTGCTTGTTGTAAAACCAAAAGACTAGCAGCTGGTGTTTATCTTTCCCTTCAAGGCTTGGGGGTTTGCAGCTTTATACAAAAGGTCAGTCCTGATCGTAAACTCAACTTCATTTACATAAAACAGTAGAGTTAGCCTATCCCTTTCTGCCTTAAATCCTAGTGCTCACTTCTCTTCATTATTAATATCCTTTAAGACATTTTTTTCCAGAATAGGGTACTTTTGTCTACATTAAAATCCCCTTCAGGTCGATATCTTTTCTCCTCAATACTTTTCTTTGTGGGAATTCATCTGCTATCTCTTGGTCAATAGAAAGTGCTTCTGCTGTTATTTTGATATTTTTTAAGCCAAACTTATTTCTAAAACTATTAAATCATCCTTTGCTGGCATTAAATCCTCCAGCTTTAGATTCTGCACTTTCCTTTTGCTTGTCATAAAATGACTTCGTTTTTTATCAAATCATGTTAGAGTCCATCTAGGCTTTAACCATATTAAAGTCTAAAGACTCTATCTTATTGCTATAAAGAAAGAGCATTTCCTATTGCAATCTTGTGTCCACATAAAAGCTACATTTTCAATATAAGATAATAAGATATCTTGCAAAAAGTACAAGGTTTGTTCACCTGCTGGCATAGTTGTAGAAAGGGCTTCATGTATCTTTTTTTTTTTTTAACAATGATCCTTACCCTGCATTCATTTATCTTGAAATGGCAGGCAAACACAACTGCAGACCTCAATTTAAAGTATATGTCAAGCAATTAACCTTTTTTCTTGCAATTTCATGACTTTCCTCTGCTTTTGGGAGCAGTTCCTGCATCACTAATGGCACTTTATTTTGAGTCCTATCATGTTATTCAAGGTTTATGATATTGCACTAAACATGGCAAATATATGACTATAATGAGAGATCTCTTTTTACTGTGATAAACAGTTTACTGTAGTGAGGAACTGCTCACATAGAGACGATTAACATCACAAGGTATTTTCAGCAGATACTCACAACACTTCGACTCACTGCAATAGCAACAAGATGTGGCTACAAAATTATTACAGTAGTACAGTATGTATTGCAGTTAATTTTATGTGGTTTTGATTTAATACTGGATCTTTACATTTGTTTACATTTCTCTGGACTGTGAATGAGGTCATGTATTGTCAATAAGTGTGTGTATAAATTTTGATAAATTTTAACTTTTGTAATAGATTTGTGCGTATTTTATGGTAGTAAAGGATAAAATAGAATAATATCTACATATATTTTACTCATTCATGACATATCTAACTTTTTATTTTTTTAGTTATTTCTAGGCTATGAGGTTTATCTGTGAGTTTTTTCAAATTTTCTCAAGTCTCCTGAAAATTTTCTAATATATTTGTTGAAAAAGATCTGTGTATAAATGGTCCTGCGCCATGAAAATCCCTGTTATTCAAGGGTCAACTGTATTTTGAAGAAAACCTTAGTGTTAATATAACAGATCTCTAAAGGGGCAATGATAAAATGTGTTAAATAAAGTAAAAGGGAAGATTGGACATTAAAATAGTAATTGGAATTAAACCCATCTTCAATGTACTGAGAACTGTGGCTCAGAAAACACCGGAAGTCACAATCTTTGGAAAAGAATAGACGGAAAAACCTTAACAAGTTATTTCTTATGGCATAGGTAGCCTTTTGCCCAAATCATAAGGCAGAGGAATGTTCTCCTGGGAGCCCACTTAGGGAGCGAGAAAAAGACAGAGCTGAGAATCAGGCTGGGACAGATACGAAGATAATACTGTACTTGGGGTTTATACCTCAAAAACATGTAGGGAGGAATAAAGGCAGCCAGAAACCAGAATTTAGTGCAACACTGGGAAACTGAAAGCAACAGGAGTGGAGTCATGGGATTTCTGTATAAGCAGAGACAGCCAGCTACAACTTAGTTTTACAGTATAGTAAGTGAATAGGTAAAGCCAAGGAGACAACAAAGCAGTGGAATGGAAACAGTAGCAGCAAAATTCCTTGAATTAGAAAAAGAACTCAAATCTAAAGGAAGTCTTAAAAACATTTTCAAGAATTACCTTTTTAGAGTTATTTCTCTCAGAATATGATCACCTTGGCAGTAACAAGCTTGGAATCCCCAAAAAGGATGAATAAAAAGCACCTGAGTACATAAATGCATAAATATGAAACAAAAGGAAAATAGGCAGAGGTCAGATTTCTATTGTAAAATATTAACCTATAATTGAATCTTAATATTTGTCTATTTATAGGTAGCTTGGGTGAAATTATACAAGTCACTTTGTGTAGGGAAGAGCTAGCATTTACTAGGAGAAAAAAAACACTTCATTTTACGTTTGCAATTTCATTTAAACTTTGGAAGAATGCTGATTCTGCATCTAAATCGCAGGACTATTAAACAGCTTTCCTAAGGCCTCATATCTATGTGAGTCAGTCTTGAATCTTACTTCCACTTCCCTGGCTGACTCCTCTCCAGGGCACTCCTTCCCATCACAAGTTGACTTTGGGTCTGGACACAGCATTGTTGCAACAAGAATGTAAACTAGAGCAACTGCTGTGCTTTGAATCCTGACTCAGCCACTCATGCCTCTCTAGGACTTGAGGCATGTTAGTTACTTTTCCTGCATGTCAGTTTCTGCATCTGTAGAGTGGGATGACAGAACCTGCCTCACAGTCACAGAGGGAGGATGAAATGAGATAGTGAAAGTCCAGCACTTCTTTGGAGCTCGCAGGACTACCATATCTTAAAGTTCCCATTAAATAACTGGACAGGGGCAAAGCTGCAGCACAGTATTACAAGCACATAGTAAGCACTCAATGTGAAGTTACTGTGATTCAAACAAAGCAAAATGGATATTTTTGACAATATTTATTGGCTACATATGACATTATTATAGCTCCTTCTACAAAAAAATGCAAGAAATCTTTGCATCCCACCAAAAAATAGCTAAAATGGGAATTTCTTATCATTATAATTCTTCATTTCAACTTTGTTTAATTATATCCTAGACAACAAGGGATTTAGTTTATTTTCTTTAGCTATTCTAGTAAAAGCTTCACATACAAATGTTCAGTTTCATTCACAGCTAATATTTTTTTCAATAAATAACATAATACTTCTTTTACAAAATACAGTTAGAATCTATATTTGTCTGGCTTATCATAAGTAGTCACAATTCTTGCTCCACATTCATTGAAGTTAATACAAAAACTTGTCAGAAAACCAACAATCTAACCACAGTAAGTTATGTAGATTTTAAAGTCATGTAGATTTTACCAAATATTTCAACCCCCCTTAACATAAACTTTTATAAAATACATTCCGGGCTGAGCATAGTGGCTCATGCCTATAATCCCAACACTTTGGGAGACTGAGGAGGGCAGATAACTTGAGCCCAGGAGTTCGAGATCAGCCTGGGCAACATAGGGAGACCCTGTCTCTACAAATATACAAAAATTAGTCAGGCATGGTGGTGCGTGACTGTAGTCACAGGTATTTGGGAGGCTGAGGTGGGAAGAATGCCAGCACCCAGGAAGTTGAGGTTGCAGTGAGCTTTGATTCACGCCACTGCATTCCAGTCCAGCCAGGGCAAGGAGAGTGAGACTGTTTCCAACACACACACACACACACACACACACACACACACACACACACACACACTCTTAAATTCTTTTAGTTTTACCCCTTTAAGATCTCCCTGCAACTGCAACCTCTTTCTTCTGTCTTCCCCACACAGTCACATCCAATCCTTCCTATTTTGCACAGATTCTCTCCTTAGTTTAAATTACCTACTCAGGAAAACAAACTCAAAAATTAGCTAATTTTTAACGAAAGCCACTGAGAAAACAGCTCAACTGAAAGAAAGAGCTGAGTCCCTTGTTTCTTAAACGTTGCCTTCCTGTTCTCACCCTGAGAGAGGTCATCTACCCCAGTGAAATCTTTGTCAGAAATAGTTTCAATGCTTGAGAGATACTTGAAGCTACCTATTTGTACGTTTTGACCACTCTGTGCCCTTTCTCTCTACCTGAGTGTTCCTCTAGACTAAAGTAGTCTCAGAGTGGGGCTAGCAGGCCCTCCATGATGTCTATGCAACCCTCTGTCCCTGACCTACCAGCAGCCAGCACAGACTGAGGCAACAGTATTCAAATAGGATGAAAAGATGTTCATAGCTTATTTGAATGTTAAGTGTCTTTCTTTATGCAGTTGCTTTGTTGTTTATGTTGTCATAGAATAAATAGTATGGTGGTTTATTTTTGTTTCTTTTGAAAAGTGCATAGTTGATTTAATGTATATTCATGTTTCATAATGTATTCTCTGATATGTCTCTCTATACATGTATTCTCTAGTCTCTCTCTATATATTCTCTCTCTCTCTCTCCATATATATATATATGCCCTTCTGGCACATGTGGAGGTTACTTTATGATCTTGGTATAGGGGAGATGTTACAATGTCATGTTTCTTAAGGCTTTGATGCTGTCTCATTATTTTTACCTAGACAATATATACTCTTTTCCAGAAACATATGCAAATGCAGGCTTCTTTATGAACCCTTCCTTTCCCTTCCTGAGACAAGTTAATCAGCCTCTTCTGAATTGCTTCTATTGTTTGCTCCTCAAAGGCATTCCATATTGTTCTAATATAAATTTTCTTCTCCCTGACTCTTACAGAGGTATTCCTGTTGCATAGAAAACTACTTGCCATATAGAACATGAAGTATTTATGTTAATTGAATATATTGAAGCCAGTGAGGCAGATTACTGGTTTGATTTTTCAGATATTAATTTTGATAAGCAGTGGTTTTGCAGTTGGTTTTTAACCAGATAAACAAAAATGTATTTAATGCAGATGGGCACAAGTGAACAACACTCATGATTGGATTTGCAAAACAAAAATCTCTATGTGCACTTTTTTTGAAATCAAGGCAAACCAAAGGATTTTTTATAAATATTGTTATTCTACTAGAAATTACATCACTTTTCCCCTATTGCTATGAAATTTAGTGGTTTATATTGTTCAGTGTAGATATGTTATCGTAGAAATTATTGTTCTGACTTTCCTCAAAACTAGCTTTGTGAACCCATGTGTGTGTGCGTGTGTGTGAGGGAGTATACAGAATAGAATTAATTCTTGTTCAGTGATCGCATTATAGAAAGTGCATTGAACAACGGCTAGTGGCAATTATATGTGTGCATGTAAACACAGCAACACACCAGCCCTGGCCTCCTTCTGGTGCAACAGGCAGTGTCATGACTTTACTATGTCCAGTGGAATTAATATTGGACATGTGTAATTCTATCATTCATCACTGTTTCTCTTTCTTAGATATGGTAATAGAGTATATTATTTACTATAAAAAAATTTAAATTAACACCTACAAACTGTTGCAAAATAATTGAAGAGTACACCAATTAACCTTCCTCCCATTTTGGAGTAATTTCTTTAAGATAATTTCTGTCTTCTAAGTGGTTTAATTCATTTTGCTCGCAACCATTTCAAGAGCAGGCTGTTGTCTTTATAAAGCTCTCTAAACGGGCTCCAAATTTGTGAAAAGAAGAAAATGTCTTTACAATTATGAATATTTCTGTAACTTTCAAGAGATTCTTGTGTTATTTGCCTCATTTCCCAAAGTGTTAGATGGAAGTGAAAATTACTCCCTACTAATAATGCCAACACTATAATTCAGTTACTTTTCTATGCTCGAATAATTATCTGACATTAAAATTAAGAATAACCGACTTGATCTCACTTAACTTTATGTTCGGGTCTTTCATCTTGTGCACTGATGACAGCTGGAGTCCTGAACTACTCTGCAATATTTCCTTCAAAATACCAGCACTGAGGTATAGTCTTCTGACAGTTAATAAAGACAGGAACATGGCATAAAAATCCTCTAAGACTTAATCACAATTGGATAGATAGCAATAAAGTATTCTAAAAATGTAATAAAATGTCTGTATTGATGATAACGAACCTGGAGGTATTTTCTGGAGAGAAGAATTGTGTTCATAATTACTCCTCAAATGTATTAACTTTTACTTCTTGGGGATTCTAATGGTATTGCTGATTTTGTTAGCTTGGTTTGACTTTGGGTTTTACAATTTTTTCCTTAACTCCCTTGTCTGTATTGAATATTCTTCACTCCATCCTCATCATCACTGTCCATCATCATCATCACTGTCCATCATCACTGTCCTAACCAACATCACTGTCCTAACCATGATTGTAAACAGTAGGACTAAAGAGAAGGAAAATATCCTTCCTTTCATTTACACTGCTTACTTTTATATGCAACATATCTCTTACATAGTATTTTGTTTACTGAAAATGGGCAGTTTTAAGATAATATGAAAGAACTTATTTCCCTTAAGATTAAATTATATGAAACTGTTGAATCTAAATTCAGGCTTTATAATCAAGCTAGAGGGAAAAATACTCCTTCTGGAGTTCAAGTTTTTGGCAGCACTTTAGGATGGGACTGGTGGCTGTGATACTGGATAGCTACTGAACAAGAAATAACATCACTTAGAGTTTGGAACCCAGTGCTAGTTTGTGCCAAATTCTTTGTCTTCATAAATATTTATGAGTGATTTCTGCCATCTCGTTAGAATGTAATTCAAAGACAACAGGTGCAAGCAATGATTGCTCAAGCTAGGCCAACTAACTTTGTTATTGTGTTCCAAGTTTTACATTTAGAAGAATCTGTAGAGAGTTGTCTCTGTGACATCTTTGCTTTATTGATTTCATTTAAAAGATGTTGGTTGGGCACTTCTAAATTTCAGTGACCTGCTTCCAGTGAGCTGCAGTCTAGTTTGAAAAACAAATGCTAAAGGAAAAATTATACAAGTAATCCTTTAGTTACATTTGGGAAGAGTGTCATGGAAGAAATATAGAGTGAACTGTGAGAGTCTGCCTCATGCAGACTGTTAAAGAAGGTGTACTGGGACTTGCAGAATGAGTCGGAGTTCACTAGGCCAAGTGGAGCTGAAAAGGAATGGAGGGAGACCACTCAGGAGAGATTCAGATGCCTGGGTTAGGGTCTTGAGGCAGAATGGCACTTGCTCCTCCTAAAAGCAGAAAGAAGACAACAGTGGCTGGGGCACAGTGAGTCAAGGAGGGAAGGTGAGACTAGCAAAATAATCAGAAATGAGATCTTAAAAAGTTTTGTAAGTCATGCTAAACAATCATATTCATCCAAGGCATTGGACAAATATCTATTGATGGCTTACTGTTACTGTGTGCCAAGCACTTTTCTAGGTGCTGGAAATATGGCAGTGATTGAAAGAAAAAAAAACACTCTTGCACTTAAACGACATTAGGGAGACAGGAAATATGTAAGTGAGTAAATATATGGTAGGTCAATAAGGGTTATGGAGAAAAATAAAATAATGAGGATATAAAATCGCAAACATGGCCGGGCGCGGTGGCTCACGTCTGTAATCCCAGCACTTTGGGAGGCCAAGGCAGGCGGATCACGAGGTCAGGAGATGAAGACCATCTGGCTAATATGGCGAAACCCTGTCTCTACTAAAAATACAAAAAATTAGCTGGGCATGGTGGCACACACCTGTAGTCCCAGCTACTCCAGAGGCTGAGGCAGGAGACTCGCTTGAACCCAGGACAGGAGGTGGAGGTTGCAGTGAGCTGTGATCGTGCCACTGCACTGCAGCCTGGGTGACAGAGAGACACTCCATCTAAAAGAAAAAAAAATTGCAAACAAAGGGGTGCTATTTTACTAGGATGCTCAGAGAAAACCTTATTATAAAGAGACACGTAGGTAGATAATTGAAGAATGTGAAAACTGAGTAACATAGATATCTTGGAAAATGATGATTCATTAAGCAGGAGTTTTCAGTCTGGCCTCCCTCCTAGAATTCAGGTAGCCTATGAACTTGATTTGGAAAAAAATATGGAAATATTCCTCCCAATAACCTGTATGTGAAATTTAGTGTTCCCTTCAATTTTGAATTTTATCAGTAATCCACAAGAGTCCTAGCAGCACCTGTAATGTTGGTACTTAATTTACAGATATTGTATTTTATATAACAGTGTTAAGATACCCTGAAATATCATTTACTGTCATCTCTATTTTGGCATTATGATTATTCTTAGATGTGCTGCTAGATCTCAGTTTGATGAATTAATTAAAAAGCATATATGTTACTATAAAAATTTGCTTTAAAATCTTTTTGATACTTTTGTTTCAATAGAATTGATTACATTTGTAATTCTGTGAATTTTGTATGCATTATGAAACATCTTTCTGAGAAACCTCTATCTGCTTTACCTCCTTCCAGGAAGGGTCCGTGGTGCAGAAAATATGAAGAGTCTCCATGTTAGAGGGAATAAGGAGAAAAGCCCTGATATAAAAGTATACTTGATATGTTCAAGAGACAGCTCCGAGAACAGTGAGGAGGAAGCAGAGGGGTAGGGCAGGAGTGGTGAAAAAAGAGAGCAGGAGGTAGAAGGCAGATCAGCCGATCGTGGCAGGGCTTTGCACCTGCACAGTGAGAGGTTATTAAAGGGTTTAAAGTTAGGGAGCCAAATTAAAAACATTCAGAAAGCCTAGTGATAAAGAGAAATATTAAAAACTAATTAATACCAATAACATTTTACCTAACTGAGCTAATCGCCTTGCTCCCTATGAGAGCTATGAAAATACATTGCTTTCCTCCAAAGCACTTTGCTTGTTAAATCAAATGTTTCAGGGTCAAGGCTGTGCTATATTTTATCAGTTGAAAATTAAACCTTGTGAATTAGAATACTATCTAGAAACAATTTCCTTCTCTGTTTTCAATTTTCTACATGCTGAGCTTTCTAAATTTGCATTTGCTTTTTTTTTAACCAATAAAGTCACATCCTTTTCTCTTAATTTATGTTACATCTGCAATATCAGGGTTTTCAAGTGTAAGACTTGAAGTTAAATGGCAGCATTTACTGTCTTACGTACTAGGAGAGAAAACACATGTGTTTTTATCAGCTCTGCCACTGTGTGATTTTTAACACTGCATTTGTCTGGCCAGGCCTGCCCGTACTTCTCAGTGTTGCTCTGTGACATCTCATCCTCCCGCTCACATTCCAATCGAGCTGCTCATTACCCTCAGAGTGGATTCCAATGGATGTTTCTTTCTTGTGACATGTGAAAAATCATTTTCATTCCTATTACACAAACCTTTCTAAGTTACCTCTTCAGGTTTATTTACCAGCCTCTTATTTTCTCCCTCCAGTCAAGAAGAGCCTGGTTTTAACTGCTTTTTTTAAAAAATTATAAATCTGATGTTATTTCCGTTATTGTTCCAATAGAAAATTTATTCTTTTAGACTTTTCATAGATTCAAATTTCAATACATTTTCTTAAATCACAATTTATACTTTTTTCTTTCCATGATATGTTTGATTTGTTTATCTTCCTCAATTTACTTTCTTGATACATTATTTTCTTTTTTCTTAGCTGATATTTACAGAACTGCTAATGACATTTTTTTCTAGGATAAAGAAATAGCTTTTAAACACAGAGAGAAATGAAAGAGTATAATGATTTGCAAAGAGACATTACTCAAGTTTTCTCTTGGCAGCTAAGAATTTTGAATGGGCTTCTTAAAATTGAAACAGCAGCTTGGGGACCACAAACTTGGCCATAATAATGATTATTTTTGTTCGCTCACTTATCAAATATTGAATGAGTCTTTACTATATATTAGGCATTGTGACAGATATTTTGGGACACAGAAATGACCATGCTTGGCATGATTTCTTGCCTTCATGGTACTTGTAGTAAAAAGGAAAAGGTAAGCATTAAGAGAAATTATATTATGCTCAATTATTACAAGTTTAAAAAATTTTTCAAGCCCTAAAAGCTTGGTGGAAATGCATGTAAGAGGAAATCAGCATGACTTCTCTAAGGAGATGATGTTTACAGTGACCCCTGAAGAATGCATGCTGGTAACCTAGGTGATGGGAGTGGGGAACATTTCGGGCACATGAATTGGCATTTTTATGCATTATGACTAAAGCTGAGAGACTGCAGGGGGCAGTGTTAAGAAATGAGACTGAAGCATTAGGCAAAGCCAGATCATGGAGGTCATTGTAGGCCATATTAAGCATTTTGGATCATGTTTCCATGGGAAGTGGGAAGAAAATAAAGAATTTATAGCATAAATTTGAAGCTTATGACTTGCATTTTATAAAAGCAATGTATTGAAAATAATATGTGAAATAAATTTAAGAAATAAAAGAGTAAACCCTGGCATATTTTTGAAGGAAATAATTTCAGTGGTAGCTTTTAAATGAGACAAGAATGAATTGTACTTACTTAGGCAATATAAGGGAAGCATAAACAATAGAAACCAGTAATAGATTGTGTATGAGATGAGGAAAAGAAAGGAAATAAGGATGGCCTAGAATATTGGACTAAACAGTTGTATGGGCAATAGTGCTTAGTACTGAGCAAGGATACACTGGAGGAAAGCAGTTTTGAGTCGTGTTGAGCTTGAGACGTTGGTGAGAAACTCAAATGGAGATCTCAAGTGGTCATTTAGGTATATGAACCCGGAGCTGACTTGTCTGGGTTTAACACAACAAGGAAACATAGAACATAGAGACAATGAATGAACAAAGCCATGGCTTTGAAGACAGTGAGCCCAGGAAAGGGCCCAGAAAATGGTTATAGGCATTTAACATTCAAAGTTGGTGAATGTGTGGATGAATGAAAAATGTTCGTTTTGTCAGGTTCAGTTGAATCTGGCGTCTTACACAGGGATCAGATACAGGCAGGGGCATGTGACTTTGCTCTGCATTAAGACTAAATAGAGTATTGTCAGAGAGTTTCAAGTTCTTGAACTGTCCAGTAACCACATGTCTGGGGTGCAAACCTGAGAGGGGTGGAGGCCCATGTGAGCCACATGAGAGTGCTAGTTCCTGGAGATTCAGTTCTGTCAATCTAAGACCCAGATGGGGAAGGCTCGTGAAAAACACTGGAAAAGTTTACCTCATTATTGAATCTTTTCTTCCTACTGGATGACTGATTTGGGGAGGCCTTCTCTAAGTTGTCCAAGTCTCTAATGCAGAAAAAAAATGTGGTAAGGAAAGTAGAAGAACAAACTCACTGTCCTTTCTGCTGCACCACAATGCATATTAAACTCTGGCTGGAGGCTGGGCACGGTGGCTCACGCCTGTAATCCCAGCACTTTGGGAGGCGGAGGCAGGCGGATCATGAGGTCAGGAGATCAAGACCATCCTGGCTAATACGGTGAAAACCCATCTCTACTGAAAATACAAAAAATTAGCCAGGTGTGGTGCCACGCGCCTGTAGTCTCAGCCACTCAGGAGGCTGAGGCAGGAGAATCGCTTGAACCCAGGAGGCAGAGGTTTCAGTGAGCCAAGGTCATGCCACTGTACTCCAGCCTGGGCGACAGAGAGAGACTCTGTCTCAAAAGAGCAAGCAAAAAAACAAACAAAAAAGAAACTCTGGCTTGCTTTGATATCCAGAATGACAGAGGAACCAGAGTCAACCAATGTACTAGCAACTTCATGTGTTGAAATAAGCAAAATTGCCTGATCAATCTTTCTTCCCCTTAACCTGTAAAACCCAATTGAGGGCTTAAAATTTAAATAGAAATTCAATTTTAATAAAATTGTACCTCTTTGATACTTATTTATCATTTCTATGTTTCTTTCTTCTATTTTTTAAGATATTCTGAAAGCATTAAATGTTGGCCGAAGGGAGCGATATCTGAAATATTCTAAATACCAATCAACTTAAAATCCATTAGTACTTATAACTGACTTCTAAAGAATGAACAAAAGGCCACATGGTGGCTCACGCCTGTAATCCCAGAACTTTGGGAGGCAAAAGAAGGCGGTTCACTTGAGGCCAGGAGTTCAAATTCAGCCTGGCCAACATGGTGAAACCCCATCTCTACTAAAAATACACAAATTAGCTGGGCGTGGTGGCATGCATCTGTAATCCCAGCTACTCTGGAGGCTGAGGCAGGAGAATCACTTGAACCTGGGAGGCAGAGGCTGCAGTGAGCAGAGATCACACCACTGCACTCCAGCCTGGGTGACAGAGTGAGATTTGGTCTCCAAAAAAAAAAAAAAAAAAGAATGAACAAAAAACACTGCCAAAAATTGATGAATAAATCTGGGATAGATACTGGAGGCTTTTCGTAGGCATTGAGGGAAACTACATATTAGTAAAGTTTGTGGGGTTGAAAGGGTATTGGCTCTTTGGTATGCAGTTGCAAATGTTTGCATGATTAAATTCATGATCATTTAATGTTAAATTATTAGGGAAAATAAAGAATGGATGAGGGAAAGAATAACAATGATAAATTAATTATATCTCAGCTCCTTTCTTAGTGTTTAGTAGTTGGTTATCTTCGTGGGCACATACTAATTTTTTTTTTCTTGTGACTTTCATGGACTTGTATTAATAATATCTAGGGAAAATCTTTCATATACATTAGAATATATTGCTATAATTTCAATTTATTTGAACTATTTAGATGAATAAGAGGAAAGAAAACTGGAATTAAGTGTACTCCATGACCAACTAAGAAGTATCTAGAAATTAACTTATTCAACCATTCCACATTTTCTTATTGAGCGTCTGCCACTTGCCATGGCCGGCTCTCTCCTCATGCTTGGAGTGCCATAGTAAACAAAACAAAGTCTCTGCTCACATGGGCCTTACGTTCCTTTGAGGAGAAATTGTTAATAAATAAGCACAGGAGAAACAAGTAAATGTATAGAGTGTATCAGTGATGCTAAGGGCTATGAAAAACATAAAGTGGGGAAGTCCATGAAGATAGAGTAGTGTGTGTGATTTGATAGTCATCAAAAGTTACATTTGAGCAGAAGCCTGATTAAAGGAGAGAGGGAGACTTGCCAGTCTTGGGGAAGAGCATTCTAGGGAGAACATCAAGAACAAAACATCTAAGGCAGAAACATGCTTTGTTTGAGATGAGCAAGGCAAAGTGCCCTTCATACTCATCACGCCCTTGGTCAATTTTTGTTTTCTTAACACTGACCTGTCCTTAAGCAAACACTTAGAGGAAAAAATGAATTATTTAAGTAATGAAATCATTTTTATAGACACAGATATGATAGATTGAATATGTAATACTCTTTCTGACATAGGTGAGTATGAGAGTGTGTTTCTTTTTCAAATTATGCAATTATGCTTTTCAGTATAATGTTCCATTGAATGTTGGTTCAACATTCAGCAATCATCATGATATAAAATGTGTCTCTATTTCTGTGGTTCTCTTTAGAGTGATTTATTCTCAGAGCTGCTCTGCAAAATGAAACACATTCTTTAATCCATGTAAATACAGAACAATGAAGTTCTATACACCTTCAGTACAGTTTGTGTCTGAATTTTTCAGTCCACAGAGCCTGCAAAATGTATTGGGCTATGGAATGGTGGACTTACTACTGATTCCAAACTGTTTGGAACTGGAGATTTTTCTCACAGCTGTGGCTAGGTATCTGGTAAGTGGTTTTAAGATCTGATCAGCCTCAATTCCTGAAACAGTTTCTTGCTTTACTGCCTTCCCCTGCCTGCCTCCATATCATGAAAAGAAGTACAACTTTCTCTTCCTGTTAGTCTAGCTGCTTAAAAATAACACATTCCAGCAAGGAGGGAGGGAGATTACAAGCAACAGGACATATGAGACTTGCCAAGGGGCCAGCATTTCCTGGCTCACAATTGCAGGAAAGGCTTTGCTCCGTTATCAATGGGACCTGGATGCTTTGATAGGCAATTGTTTTAAAAGCTGAACAACATTTGCAGTTGAAATATTGTGTGTGTGATACAAGTCTTGTGTGGAGGAAATATAGCACCAGATGGATCGGACAATAGTCTTGTCTGATGTTTTGTTCTTTTTACTGGTAATAAAATTAAAAACTCAAGAAATGGCCGTATGCAACTTTGCTTTTAATAAAGTCTCTGTTGTTTTAGAAAAGAATGGTGTAACTGTCATGAACAATACAGATTTCCTTTTCAATAATTGTTGATTTTAAAATGTACTGAGTTAAAATAGAAATTGACCAGAAACAATAGAATGGTTGTGACACCATGATCATTTTGAGTAAGGACATTCCTTATGAAGCACATTGACTCCATCATCTCCAGCTAGATTAGAAAAAAAGATTGACTACTTAGAAATATACTCCCCCTTTAAATAAAATAGAACCATGACATCCAAACAATTCCTGCTATTTAAAGAATATCTTGACTAAGAGTGTTTTGTTCTTGATTCTGGCTCCTAGGGAAGTTATATAAATAAATAAATATATATATTTATATATGTTATATTTACATTATATAGATAGTTATATAGAGAATGTAAATTATTAAATTTTATTTTTATTAAATATATGTATACACATATATGTTCTCCCTTTCCCATAAAATTCATTAGTTGTGAGGCTCTTTCTGGAGTATGGATCAGGAAAATAAACTGTAGGTGTATGGTAAATAGTAGGTGCTAAATAAGTATCCATGGCTTCCACCTCCTCTCCATTGTTGTTGATTATACTGAGAATTCTGATAGTGAAATTGCTTCATGAATCAGTATATATAATGTATACTAGCAGAAAGTGACATTATGATATCCCAAAATAAAGCAAATCATCCTGTAGAAGCTAGTGTTTGAGAAAGTCTGTCTATATTTTTTGTTTTGGAAATTTGATCCGGTGTATGTATAAATCTCCTTTTGCCCAAATCTTTCAGAACATCCTGAATTCTGAAGATCCTACTTAAGTAGCAAAACTTCACATTTATAATATGCTTAAGTAAATGTATAGAAAATCATTCTATAGTCCTGCCATAATTCTTCTTTGATATATCCTGGAGCCCTTAGAGGTTAAACGTGGTAGGTAGAATCATGAGGGTAGTTTAAAGAACCTTATTTCCAGGGAGAAACATACTATCTGACATACAAAAGAAGAAAAAATATTTTATAATCAAGTCGAAGAAGTTAAAATTAAAAAGAGAATCAAGCAAAGTATTTAAAAAATTGACAATATTTATAAAATAGAATTAGATTCAGACTTAATATTTACTTTTATTTTAATACTGACTCCTGATGGAACTTAAAAACAGCTGGCTTTGTTGATCTAATGGTTCCATGTAAGGCTACATAGGCACAGTCAGAATCATTAAAGTTCCATTCTCATCAGATTTATGCTTGAGAAAACAGTATTCTCTTATAGTAATTTATTGTAGACACTTCTTTGTTTGGCTTAGATATATTACTAAAATGACAGAAAAGGATGAAATGAAATAGTACAGCAATTACACAGTTTAAAACTTTTCATTAATAGAGAAGGATTGAACTGCATCTTTCATTACCACCATCTGTGTTGTATATAGCATTTTAAGATTAATAACCAGGCGGGGTTTTGTTTGTTTCTTTGTTTATAGGGAATTCAGACCAAGATAGGTTTTCTCATTTCTGAAGAACATTGTTTAAAAAAGGACAATTATCTTTCTTGCACTGCAGGGACATTCTCAAGGCCTTCCCCAGACTATCCCTTCCCCAATAAACCTACACTGGTGCCTCAGCACTGACATATTTTTATTCAAAATAAAGAATACATTATCGTTTTACCTAACCTAGTAAAAGATCTTTTTTTCTTTAGTGATGGCCTGTTTTCATCTTCTCGAATGCCAACTACAACATTGGTTTAAATTTCAATACCTAAATAAGACTCAGGGTGGAGAAAAGATGTCATCTGTGGTTTCCCAGCAATAATTTAATATTCTAAATTGCATCTCCTCCTAGTGGTCTCATAGAGTAAATACAGTTTCCAGTGTGGGTGGATCACTTGATTCGATTCAATTCAATTCAATTCAATTCACTTTTGTTCAATTCAGTTTCACAAGTATTCATTGAATACTTTGGAACAGATGATCACTCTTTGAGATGCAGATTGAAAAGTACAAGGAACTCCTATCATTACCTCAAATAAATTAATATTATGAGCCAATGATTTTAATAACCAGTTGTGGCACTTTTATTTAGTTCTTTTGATCTTTTAAATTAAGTAGTAATACAGCAGTGGCTCACGCCTCTAATCTCACCACTCTGGGAGGCTGAGGTGGGCAGCTCGCTTGAGCTCATGAGTTCGAGACCAGAGTGGGCAACATGGCGAAACCCCATCTCTACTAGAAATACGACAATTCTCCGGGCATGGTGGCATGTGCCTGTAATCCCAGCTACTTGGGAGGCTGAGGTAGGAGGATGGCTTGAACCTAGAAGGCAGAGGTTGCAGTGAGCTGAGATCATGTTTCTGCATGCTGCACTCCTGCGTGGGCAGTAGAGCCAGACCTTGTCTCAAAAAAAAAAGTAATACAATTCTGCATTTCAATACTAATAGTTACAGAAACTCTCCTGTGCAAAGATGGCAATACTGCTGAAACTAAACCAATGTTTGGCAGATAGAATCACTGTGCTAAGGTATCAAAGTCTAAATTCAGAGTGTTTTGGGGGTGATTGAATGTAGTGAAAAGCATGGTGCAATGAAAGGCTTCTAGGAAGGCACAATGTTGGACCGGAAACACATTAGTTTTTTGACTGGGAGAGGGAATACTGCTTTCTAGTGCTGACTTTGCTACAATTGCGAGATCTCAGATAGTTACCCAAACACCTCAGTCAGTCTCCTCAATCAAAAAGTGACGGGAAAGACCAAGTTCTCCCTAGGGTTCCTTCTTGTACTGGATTTATACAATTCTGGTTTTTAAATTTCTACAGGATAATACCCAACTTGTTGTCAAACAGTGACGGGCTTCAAATTGTCTTTTGATTGCTATATGATTTAATAGGACTAGAATCCCATTCCTTAGTGATTTTTCCATTATAGAAATCTCTTTCAGTTTTTAGTATGATTTTTCAAATGCAAAGTAAAATAATGTACAATACAGATTAATAGTGATATATGAAATAAATGTATAGTAGATAAAAACCAGCATATCTGCTTACCTCTCAATTATTAATTTAAACAGCAATAATTACTTAAAATAGTCACTAATAAATTAATATAAGCACTTAAATGGTACTTTGTTAAATTATTAGCAAATGCAAATTTATGTAACTCTCTAAACAACTTGTCCGAGTTAAGTATTATTTTTTATTTCTCTTTTATAAAAACAGAAAATGAAGTAACTTTCTCAAGGTCTGAAAGTGAATAAATAAACAAAGCTAGAATTTGAAGTAAAGAAGTGTCACTACAGAGTTCATGTTCTTAATACCTACAACTTACTGCCTGGATGCAATGCTTCTAGCCCAATGGCCATGTCTGCCAATGTTACCTTCCATCACCTCCACCCCAGTGTATCCCTGACCCCAAACTGACCAATCAATCTCTCTTTCAGGAAATTGGAATAAAAGCTCATAGCTACATGTGCTTGCAGTCAGATTAGATTAATGGCAGACCCCAGAGGACAAACACTCAAAAATAAGTCATAAGGGATCTTGTTCAAGTCTTTCTGGGGCATAGTACTTGAGATTGTTCTCCAAGTCTATGAGGTATTGCACTATCTTCCTTTAAATTTTCGATGTTTAATTTAGTTTTGGTTGCTTGTCATCTACAAGCATAAACTAATATAAACAAAATAGAAAACAAATACATTGAACCAGAATACCACAATTAAAAAAAATATATTACAGGTACTCATCAAGACATTGGTACTGTATTTTGTTTTTAGAATATATTTCACAATATAAGGTGAAAACTATGTTACATAAGTACTTTCTTAAGTTTCTTTCTTCATTCTCACTCTAGCCTTGAGCTTTTGGTCTAAATAATCCACCATGGAAAGATAGAATGAAGAAGGAAGAAAGGAAAAAAAGGGAGGGAGGGAGGGAAGTGGGGAGGGAGGAAGGAAGGGAGGCAAGTAGATACCCAGTTGGAAAGATGAAATTTGTACTAGCCTTTTCAGATAATTGTAGGTATTGTTTTTAGATGTTAGACAAAACTCAATGTGTGTAATTTATTAAAGGTAATTTGTAATGTGGAGCCTGAATATATATTTATCTTTTAGTGCTATTACATTAAAACCCCATTATTTTCGCTTCTACTTTGGGTGTTTTATCCCTGGATGACAAACTAATACCATGCATTGGTCAATTGGAAGATATTGGTTCACTAAGTTGTAGCAATCTCTTTTTTTTTTTTTTTTTTTTTTGAGATGGAGTCTCACTCTATCACCCAGCCTGGAGTGCAGTGGTGCCATCTTGGCTCACTGCAACTTCTGCCAAGCAATTCTCTGCCTCAGCCTCCTGAGTAGCTGGGACTACAGGCACCCGCCATCACGCTAGGCTATTTTTTGTATTTTTAGTAGAGAGGGGGTTTCACCATCTCGGCCAGGCTGGTCTCAAACTCCAGACCTCGTGATCCACCTGCCTCGGTCTCCCAAAGTGCTGGGATTACAGGTTTGAGCCACCACTCCCGACCCTTGAAGCAATTATCTTAAATCTGAACACAGTGTACTACCCAGTAGCTAAAAGTTGAGTTTATAAATATTGCTGCCAAACTCATCTCATAATGAGAGGTGACAGTGTGCTAGCAGCCCTTGCTTGCTCTCCGCACCTCCTCAGGCCAAGGCGTCCACTCTGGCCACACTTGAGGAACCCATCAGCCCCCCGCTGCACTGTGGGAGCCCCTCTCTGGGCTGGCCGAGGCCGGAGCTGGCTCTCTCTGCTTGTGGGGAGGTGTGGAGGGAGAGGTGTGGGCGGGAACCAGGGCTGTGCGCCTTGCTCATGGGCCAGCGCGAGTTCTGGGTGGGTGCGGGCTCGGCGGGTCCCACACTAGGAGCGGCCGGCTGGTTCTGCCAGCCCTGGGCAGTGAGGGGCTTAGCACCCAGGCCAGCAGCTGTGGAGGGGGTGCCGGGTCCCCCTGCACTGCCAGCCGGCCCACGCCATGCTCGAATTCTCTCCGGGCCTCAGCTGCCTCCCCACAGGGCAGGGCTTGGGACCTGCAGCCGGCCATGCCGGAGCCCCTCCAGCAGTGGGCTCCTGTGCGGCTGGAGTCTCCCAGATGGGCGCTGACCCCTGCTCTGCAGCGCCTAGTCCCATCGACTGCCCAAGGGCTGAGGAGTGCAGGCACGCGGTGAGGGACTGGCAGGCAGCTCTGCCCATGGTCCTGGAGCAGGATTAACTAGGCAAAGCCAGCTGGGCTCCTGAGTCAGGTGGGGACTTGGAGAACTTTTATGTCTAGCTGGGGATTGTAAATGCACCAATCAGCACTTTGTGTCTAGCTCAAGGTTTATAAATGCACCAATCAGCACCCTGTGTCTAGCTCAAGATTTGTAAATGCACCAATCAGTGCTCTGTGTCTAGCTAATCTGGTGGGGACTTGGAGAACTTTTATGTCTAGCTAAAGGATTGTAAATACACCAATCAGCACTCTATGTCTAGCTCAGGGATTGTAAATGCGCCAATCAGCACTCTGTCAAAACGGACCAATCAGCTCTGTAAAACGGACCAATCAGCTCTCTGTAAAAATGGGCCGCTCAGCAGGATGTGGGTGGGGTCAGATAAGGGAATAAAATCAGGCTGCGAGCCAGCAGTGGCAACCTGCTCCGGTCCCCTTCCA
The DNA here is from genome assembly GCF_000001405.40 of Homo sapiens. Lineage (NCBI taxonomy): Eukaryota > Metazoa > Chordata > Mammalia > Primates > Hominidae > Homo > Homo sapiens. The sequence continues at coordinate 125,745,867 of NC_000004.12, forward strand.
TTCTGTAGAAGCTTTGTTCTCACTCTTTGCAATAAATCTTGCTGCTGCTTACTTTTTGGGTTGGTGCCGCCTTTATGAGCTGTAACACTGCGAAGTTCTGCAGCTTCACTCCTGAGGCCAGCGAGACCACCAACCCACTGGGAGGAATGAACAACTCCAGACAAGCCGCCTTAAGAGCTGTAACACTCATCGCGAAGGTCTGCAGCTTCGCTCCTGAGGCCAGCGAGACCACGAACCCACCAGAAGGAAGAAACTCTGAACACGTCAGAACATCAGAAGGAACAAACTCCAGACACACCATCTTTAAGAACTGTAACACTCACCATGAGGATCCGTGGCTTCATTCTTGAAGTCAGTGAGACCAAGAACCCACAAATTCTGGACACAATAAGACTTGAAACATTGGGAAACTGTCAGGCTTATGGTAGCAAATACAAATCTTCCAAACCCGATTTTTTTGCTTATAATCTTGACTTGGTTGTTGGAAACAAATGTTGTCAGTTGTTTTAACATTAAGTTGTTTAACATTACATTTCATTCATTTTTGAGAAAATGTCTGACAAATACGCAAGTCTCAATAACTATTTTTTTCTGTCAGTCATTCTTTAAAGCTAAAATGGTGTCCATTAAAAAAAGTAGCTGGTTCAGCTCACAACTCCACTGTGCAAGGGGCTCTTCTCATTTCTCACTTTTGCAATGTGAGAAAAACATTACACATTTTATCATAAAAAATATTAAATACGTGTGTGCTCAATTTAAATGTAACAATATGATCGATATTTACTGCTTCATCAAAGATACATTAAAGAAAAACTGGATTAAAAAATCTGAGTGGCAATGAAGAACGAAAGGACCAAGAAGAGTATAGCATATTTGGGTTTCACTGCCTTGGTCCATAATAAAACACCAGTAGTTTTACTCAGCATTATTTTTATACCTTCAGGGCAAATGTTAAAACAGTGAAATAGGTAAATCCTATCTATTACTATGATTAAGTTACTATGAAAACAGTTTCGATTTCATTAAGCCCAGTAAAATCTGTTGGAGTCCTCCAGACCACCATGATCTGTATTTTGAGAACAACTGACAAAGAGGAAGGGCATAGCTCTGAATAGGATCAACCATATGACCTTGTGTTAATAAATAGACAAATAGATAAAATTAAAGTGACTTATTGACATTTCTAATAGTAATTATCAACCACAGGCGCATGACTTGATTCTTAGGAAAGACGGTATTGTGGGTAAAACTGAGATCTAAAAATATCTCTAAATGATTTTCATGTATTGAGAGTTTTTGCTTCTTCTCCCGAAAAAGGAACAAAAAAGCTTTTTCCCCCCAAAAAAGAAAGTGGTAAATTACATTACTTACAAATGTCAAAATATTTAGTCTTCGCCATAGAAGAATTATATATTCTGACTCTATTGATATCAGACTTAACCACATGATTTGCTTAGCTAATGAAATGTGAGAGGTAATGGGTGCTATTTCTAAAAAGATTTAATATATTTCATATTTCCCGTTTCTTTTGCTGTAAGCCTAGTAATTTCCCAGAGTGAAGATTATGTGGCTTCAAACACAGCCAAATGATCATGTAACATGAGTGTAGGCAACAACACATGGATTGTTGAAAGCCATTGATATTTTGGGTTTGCGTTTTACTGTTGCATAATTCAACCTGCACAGGTACAGTCTCAGTGAAATGTGATGCAACAGTCATAAGAAAAGCAGGCTAATGTAGAGATGCAAGGATAAAAGGAAGAGACCTCACTATGAGACAATATTAGGGGTTTCTGAGATAAGAAAAATGATAAGGGAATTACAATTCAATAGATAAACGTAATTATCATTGGAAGAAATAAAGGACAGAATTCATGCTGCAAAAAAATGAAGTTAGAAAACTAAGTAACAACCATTACAGTTTACACTTATGAACTGCTTATTATCTGTACCATATCTGTGCTAACTCTTTATTTTATTTTATTATTATTATACTTTAAGTTTTAGGGTACATGTGCACAACGTGCAGGTTAGTTACATAAGTATACATGTGCCATGCTGGTGTGCTGCACCCATTAACTTGTCATTTAGCATTAGGTATATCTCCTAAAGCTATCCCTCCCCCCTCCCCCCACCCCACAACAGTCCCCAGAGTGTGATGTTCCCCTTCCTGTATCCATGTGTTCTCATTGTTCAATTGCCACCTATGAGTGAGAATATGCGGTGTTTGGTTTTTTGTTCTTGCGATAGTTTACTGAGAATGATGATTTCCAATTTCATCCATGTCCCTACAAAGGACATGAACTCATCATTTTTTATGGCTGCATAGTATTCCATGGTGTATATGTGCCACAGTTTCTTAATCCAGTCTATCATTGTTGGACATTTGGGTTGGTTCCAAGTCTTTGCTATTGTGAATAGTGCCGCAATAAACATACATGTGCATGTGTCTTTATAGCAGCATGATTTATAGTCCTTTGGGTATATACCCAGTAGTGGGATGGCTGGGTCAAATGGTATTTCTAGTTCTAGATCCCTGAGGAATCGCCACACTGACTTCCACAATGGTTGAACTAGTTTACAGTCCCACCAACAGTGTCAAAGTGTTCCTATTTCTCCACATCCTCTCCAGCACCTGTTGTTTCCTGACTTTTTAATGATTGCCATTGTAACTGGTGTGAGATGGTATCTCATTGTGGTTTTCATTTGCATTTCTCTGATGGCCAGTGATGGTGAGCATTTTTTCATGTGTTTTTTGGCTGCATAAGGTTTTAAACGTTAGGCATGTTTAAGTCTTTAATCCACCTTGAATTAATTTTTGTATAAGGTGTAAGGAAGGGATCCAGTTTCAGCTTTCTACATATGGCTAGCCAGTTTTCCCAGCACCATTTATTAAATAGGGAATCCTTTCCCCATTGCTTGTTTTTCTCAGGTTTGTCAAAGATCAGATAGTTGTAGATATGCGGCGTTATTTCTGAGGGCTCTGTTCTGTTCCATTGATCTATATCTCTGTTTTGGTACCAGTACCATGCTGTTTTGGTTACTGTAGCATTGTAGTATAGTTTGAAGTCAGATAGCGTGATGCCTCCAGCTTTGTTCTTTTGGCTTATGATTGACTTGGCGATGCGGGCTCTTTTTTGGTTCCATATGAACTTTAAAGTAGTTTTTTCCAATTCTGTGAAGAAAGACATTGGTAGCTTGATGGGGATGACATTGAATCTATAGATTACCTTGGGCAATATGGCCATTTTCACGATATTGATTCTTCCTACCCATGAGCATGGAATGTTCTTCCATATGTTTGTATCCTCTTTTATTTCATTGAGCAGTGTAGTTCTCATTTGTAGTTCTCCTTGAAGAGGTCCTTCACGTCCCTTGTAAATTGGATTCCTAGGCATTTTATTCTCTTTGAAGCAATTGATTGTGTCACCAAATCTTCAAATGATTTTGAGCTATTAGTACTGTTATTGTTATTCAACTCATGAAGAAAAAATATCTATAGAGATGAAAACATTTTCTTGTTTGGACCAGGATTTAATCCCATGCAGTCTGAGTTAGCAAGCCTTATCCCTTAATCACTCTACTGCTTCTTTTTCTTCCTTTCTTTCTCTCTTTCTTTCTTGCCTTCTTTCTTTCTTTCTTTTCTTTCTTTCTTTCTTTCCTTCCTTCTTTCCTTCCTTCCTTCTTTCTTCTTTCTTTCTTTTTCTTTCCTTTCTCTTTTCTTTTTCCTTCCTTCCTTTCTTTTTCTTTCTTTCTTTCCTTCTTTCTTCTTTCTTTTCTTTCTTTCCTTTCTTTCTCTTTTCTTTTTTCCTTTCTTTCTTTCTTTTCTTTCTTTTCTTTCCTTCCTTCATTTTTGTCACTCAGCATTGATTTCCTCTTCATAACAATTCTAGAAATTTCCTGTGGAGTAATATCCGTCACTCATTTTCAATCATTTGATTGGGGTAGAGTTCACCAGATGCACAGTAGTTGGTTCAATTGTGGGCACATTTAAATTAAACTATTTTGCAGTAACGATGGTACAGGCCAGTTCCAACATTTGAGAAACCACAGCTGTGAAACAGAATAAGAAAACCCAAGTTCAAGGCACATTACTTGAGCCTTGAACCAAACCATACCTGAAGTCAGATTGTCCCTGGATGCTTTGAGTTTGTGAAACTGAATTCCTTTTTTATGCTTACATTAATTTAGTTCAACTTTTCTTTCACTTCCATCTGAATTGTTCCTACTGTAAGTCATTTGTCTTTTTGTTTATGAGTGTGTCACTCATTAGATGATAAACTCTTTGATAGCAGAGGCCATTTCTACCTGGCTCTTCTTTTTCAAGACCCAGGACAAGATAAAGTCTACAGCAAATTTTCAATAAGTAACAGAATAATCTCATTTTGTTTTGCTTGATGTAATAGTAATAAAATGAACACAATGCACTTAATTCTACTGTTTAGTCATTTGCCGGAGTAACATTTATACATTTATGATTATAGTCAATGGAATGATCCCTCATCTTTAGCCAAATTGTCTGTAAAAACTTCAGAAGAATTTGAAATCTTGGAAGCAGTCTATAGGCATACCACCCTGAACATGCCAGATCTCATCCCAAATTATGGAAGCAAAGTTGTGAGTTCGTGTGTATGTAAAAGAGAAATAATTTGTTTCTTTTCCATTTAAATATTAAATATGAGTAAGATTCAACACATATAAAGTGAGTCAGCCTGTTGTGTGAAGGATTAGGCTGGAGTGCCTGTGCCTGTCTCATTACCAACTGCTCTGTACACTCCAGGGAGTTGAACAGTGGTGGAGTGCAGTTGGAGGGAATTCCAACAAAAGAAAAGGAAAGATTATTTGGCATTTTGTTTCACAAATTGGTCTGAAAGGATTAAATTAAATTTTTGCTGATTTACTGTTAACTCACACCTTCTGCCATGTGCAAACTAAGGAAGATTTAGAGATCTTCTTTAGTAAAATCCCTTGTCATATGTGGCTTTCATTGTCAAATAATTCAGCTAAATGCAGGTGGAATGCAGGGACTGAGTCAATTGTTGAGGTCTTGTGAACATATAAGAGAAGAAAGGGAGAGTCTTTAGAGCCATCTATCAGAAACTTACTGGTTTGCAGACCACTGGAGAGTGGGTGCTCTCTGTCTGCTGCAGGATTTTGTTTGGCCTAGTCCCTTCTCAGGATGTTCTGCTGGCATCTGCCGCTGACATCTGGGGCTGATGAACATAAAATATAATTTTTCTCGACTCAGTCAGTGGTTCTGTCCTGACTCAGTTCTTGCTGTGTTGCCCATTCTCTGCCACTTTCTCCATCGGGATCCTTGGCCTAATCACTCCACTCTCTGTAGCCACATGGGAACCAGGAGAAACTTGGCAGATCGTTCCGGACCCTATTTATCTGTGGTCATTTTACTCCATTTCCAGTGTTACTGCTCCACCCAATGGACACACAAGGTCCTTTGCTCCAGTCTCTTCCAAGCGTCCCAAATGGAGAAGTGGACAAGAGCTCCTTGTCCTCAGCCTCCTTATCAAACTAAGTGACACCTCCCCTCCTCAATGCCAAACCCAGAAAAGAGAAATGAGACATATCTGAAAGCTTCCCTGCCTGGTATTTTCTCTATACTCCCCTAGGACTTGGAGTGTCCGCTTATTTCTTCCTGTCAGCCTAGAATTTCCCTCTGTCATCTAGTTCATAGAGCTGAAATTATGATTGGTAATTTCTTCTTCAGAAATGCTTCACATTCAAGTCTAATGACTTGTTGAAAAATCATATTTGTATTATCTTAATCTGAATATTGGTATTTGATTTTCCTCTTGCACTCGTACTCTAACTTTAATTAATTTGAAGTAGACAAGTACCTGGGGCTGACTAAGGAGAAGGTAATATTATTAAAATGCAAATGATAGCAGCCCTTTAAAACTTTGTTCAAATATGATTTCTATTACATGCACCAAACTACTGATTCCTTTCTATTTAAATTTATTATATTTATGATAGCATATCAACTATGTAAGAACTCAATACCCAAACCATATTACATGACCCTAGTTCAAGCCATTTTGTTTCTATTAATTTCTATCAGTTAAAGTATTACCCTTTGTCAAACAAGAAAAACACATATTTTGATACTCTATGAAAATAATCTTTTGCTATAGCTTGTATAACAATAAAAAGCAAGGACAGGCATGGTGGTTCACTCCTGTAATCCTAGCACTTTGGGAAGCTGAGATGGGCAGATTACCTGAGCCTAGGAGTTTGAGACCAGCCTAAGCAACATGGCAAAATCTCATCTCTACAAAAAAATCCAAAAATTAGCCCGGCATGGTGGCACATGCCTGTAGTCTCAGCTACTTAGGAGTCTGAGGTGGAAGGATCACTTGAGCCCAGTAGGTTGTAGTGAGCTGAGCGATCGAGCCATTGCACTCCAGCCTGGGTGAATGAGACCCCTATCTCAAAAAAACAAAAAACAAAAAACAAAAAATGATGGTTCTTAAATTGCTTGTGACATTGAGTAGAATTTTTAATGAGTATATAATATTTTAAGTTAAAATAATTGAAATGCTAAGTGTAATATATTTAAGTGCCATTCAAATTAGTGATCAATTTACATTTATTAATGTAAGTAGTGGGTGAGCATTCTTTCTCCCAATCTCTCCTTCCTTCTTTCATTCTTTTCTTTTTTTTGTCTTTCTCTCTCCCTTTTTTCTTTCTTGATCCATTTTATTCTTTCTCCAGGGATTCCAGCATTTGTCCCAGCATGTTTTATGCAGAAAGAAGTGATCAAGGAAAGTGTCCAAGACATGGTAAGCCAAATGTAGAATGAGGCAGTCATAGTGAGAGGATTGTCCACTCTGTTATGCATGATTGAGAGTCATATTTATTCCTAAACTACATTCTTTTATTATTACTGTTAACTTTTCTCTGAAGTCCACATTATTTAAAATTTACTTACATGCTTTTCTTTCACAGTTAAATGCTCTTGCACTTAAGTTCCTGAAATAAAGCACTGCCTCCTTAAACAGAAATACTAATTTATTATAAATATGCATATTAAATCCTGAAAAAAGTATAGAATTCCGGTTACCATTAAAATAAAGGAGATAACTTGCCTGGCCATATGAAAATCTCTTGTCCAGAGGGCAGTAGCAAGGTCATAGCTATTTCATATTTTCTTATTGATATTACATACATCTTCTTTGAAGATGTTATCCATTGTATAAAATTTCATTTCCATGTGTTTAAATTTTTTCCTTAATACATTTAATATAATTAATAAAGTTTAAACGAATATGTTTAATTTTTATAGGTCACGTTTTTTCTGAATTGAATTCTCTTTCTTTATAATGGTATTAAAATTTGATGAAATAAAACTGGTACAAAAATTGTGATACTAATCAATAGGTTCTCATAAGTTCTTGAACAACTGGAGATGAAAAATGTCATGTTTAAAAATGAAGAGTCAAAAACGACAAAAATATGGAAAACCTTGGGATTTTAATTTGTATTTTATTAAAGTTTAGATGACATTAATAACTTGAAATAGTTGGTTTTATAATTATATATATGCTATCTACAACCTAACTATTCATAATGAATGCATGTATTTTACATATTTAATAATCTAAGATAAAATGTAGTAGTAATGACTGAAGTGTTCTTTATAACTAATAATGTAACACATTTTCTTTTTGTAGAGGAAGCAGTGAGATAGGAAGAAAATAAAATCAATAAATCAAAAATGGTAAAACAAATAATGCCAAAATGAAATCAAATATAGAATTTTCACACTGCTGTACAAATTTAAGACATAAAACTACTTGTGCGTTTTTTCTGTTTCAGCACATGGAAATCCATGATTGGTTGATTACTTTTGTTTTTATCATTTTCCAATTTATAAAAACATTTATTAAGTATTTTCCACAGAAAAAAAACAGTATGTGCTCTTTAAGTGTTGGTTAAGAAAATTCTCTTGGATAAAATAAATATTAACACTTTGGCATAAAATGTAAGTTGTGACCGTATTTTGCTCAAACTATCTCAGTATTTTCAAGTTGTTGGAGGAATATTATAACTTCTAAATTTAATTTTTGTGAAAGTTAAGAGCAAATCCACAAGTGAATAGCGAATGATCTCTTGTTCTCAAGCCTCAAGAGCTTAGTCTGTAAAATTGTGTGCTGTGTTCTTTGAAGGCATTCTTCTTGATTCAATTTCTGGCTATTAGGCGCTTATTAGAGTAAAGCAGAATACTACTCCAGTCTTGTTTTCCACTAAGGAAATACTGTGTCTCATCTCTATGCCAGAAGTCAGTATACTTCCAGTCTAAGTGGGAATTTGCAGAGTTCTGGAATGCTTCTGTATTGTTAAGTTACATGGATAGATGGCTTGAAGGTTTGGGTCAATGGAAACTTTCAGGTTCTTTCTTTTTTGTTTGTTTGTTTGTTTGTTTGTTTGTTTGTTTTGAGACAGAGTCTCCCCCTGTCCCCCAGGCTGGAGTGCAATGGTGCGATCTCGGCTCACTGCAACCTCCACCTCCCAGGTTCTAGCAATTCTCCTGCCTTAGCCTCCCAAGTAGCTGGGATTACAGGTGTCTGCCACCACGTCTGGCTAATTTTTGTTTTTTGTTTTTTTTTTTTTTTTTTTTGAGACGGAGTCTCGCTCTGTCGCCCAGGCTGGAGTGCAGTGGCGCGATCTCGGCTCACTGCAAGCTCCGCCTCCCGGGTTCACGCCATTCTCCTGCCTCAGCCTCCCGAGTAGCTGGGACTACAGGCGCCCGCTACCACGCCCGGCTAATTTTTTGTATTTTTAGTAGAGACGGGGTTTCACCGTGTTAGCCAGGATGGTCTCGATCTCCTGACCTCGTGATCCGCCCGCCTCGGCCTCCCAAAGTGCTGGGATTACAGGCGTGAGCCACCGCGCCCGGCTTCTGGCTAATTTTTGTATTTTTAGTGCAGACAGGGTTTCACCATGTTGGTCAGGCTGGTCTCGAACTCCTGACCTCAGGTGATCCACCGGCCTTGGCCTCCCAAAGTGCTGGGATTACAGGCATGAGCCACGGTGCCCCACCAAGTTTCAGTTTTATATGAATGCCATAGGCTTATCATATATACCCCTCCCATACACACAGAGAGAGACACTGAATTAGGGAGCCAATTAGCAAACAGATACTTGGTAAGCAAGGCATCCTCTAGCAAACTCATGCAACTAATACCTTTCTCTGCAAAATTTGAGCTCATGCTGTTCTGATGGTTAATATAATAAAAGAAATGATTGAGCTATAAGCATTGCAAAATCAGCTCAAAGAATCAAGTAATATGTAAGTTAGATTATGTCAAATCCCTGTTCAAAACCTTGTAGAAGCTTCCAATTTCACTCACAGTATAAACCAACACATTAAAATTGTCTTTTAAAGCCTGCATGGTGTACATCCCCTTCTCAGGAGCACTTACAGACAATGAAATCAGGTATTGACAGTGATGTTATTTTTATTTATTCTATTTTTAAGTAGTCTATTAACAGGAAGACATGATTTTTTAATATATTTAACATAAAAATATATTTTACTGATCTATTTATTATCCTCTACTAACCACTATATACTGATCATGACGCTAATATATATGCATGCAAATATATATATATATCTGACACATAAAAGGTTGATTATGTTTATATAGTACCATTATGCATTGTGTCTTTAGTGTATAAATTTATCCCAAAGAGTCTTATACTGAACTAAAATCTTAAGTAAACAAAAAGAAGCAAGAGCATATTTAATAATAAATAACATGCTATATTCATATGACATGATTATATTGTCACTAAAAGTGCTTTCTATGCTCATTCATATTGGTGTAGAAAATGTTTATGATAAAAGTTTTAGTAAAAGCAACAGGATCAGTGACATATGATTACGAGTAGGTAAAAACAAACAACCTTAGAACAGCAAAGCCAAAAATAAGAACAAACATAAATCAGGTATAGACAAGAGACTGGAAAAAGTAGGTCACATTTTTATGATTTTTTTTTTTGGATAATGATTTTAAAAGTTTGAAAATGTTTCTGATCTAAATTTTATTTTATGGTCATATGTTATATTAATAATGGAAAAGTGATTAGATTATTTATTTAATTAAACACAGCTTGCATTGATGATTTGATTTAATTTATAATTGTACTTAGAGTAAGCAATTCATGCTTCCCAGATTATTATATTATTTTATCTCCTTTAGGATAGACATGATTTTTAAATCATGATTAAATAATACATAATTTTAACGTAATTTACTTATATTCACATAATTTCTTATTAACTTAAGTAGCTAATGTGGAGAATTATTCAACAACTCTTGAAATACATTTTCATAGATGTAATAATCTATATATTTAGTAAAAAATATGTGTAGAAGTTACAATTCTGCCCCCTTCCCTCATTAAACTAGTTTCCAGCATTTCTTTATAATGGAATAAAACAGATAAGGTAATATATGTTACCTTATATATTTGTTTATGTTTTCCTTTCATAAAATGAAATATTGTATGCTATGAAAAATTAATTTCAAACATTCATATTGTTATTAAATACATTTTTTACTTCTGGTTTTTAATATTATATATATTTATCTTAATGCTCTCATTTCTTTCTTAATATAATAAACCAACTTGCCTTGCTTCGCTTTCTCTCTTCTGCTTCTAATTGGCTTCATTTTTCTTTGTTTAACATCTATTTTTCTGCTTAGTTATGTCTCTGAGGGAATGCTTGTCAGATTCCTCTACAAAGGAAATATACTCCTGTGACGACCCAAATTGGAGGTCTGGACTGATTCTCTTTCAGCACATTTTTTTTTCCATCCTATTTGTCATATGGCATTTTGTAAAATACTTCCTATCCAGAGTTCTTCAAAAGGACACATTTTATCTGTGGTAGAGAACAAAAGTTGTTTATTTTTTAGAAATATACATAAAGAACAAGTATTAAAAAGCATTTAATTTTGGTAGTGGATAGAATCTGAGGTTTTTTTCTTTTGCAACACGTAACCTGGAAACATACCAGACAAGATGTTTGGGGAACATTAGTTGTAAGACTGTAACAAATCTTAAGATCAGAAAAAGGAAACATCCTTTGGTGTAGAGCTATGTCTATATTACAATATTTTTGCTTTTGATGCCTCTTCTTTCCATGTGGATGCACTCATTATCACCTCTAGTTTTTATCTGCCTTTGAAGGGAACTCTCTCGTTAAAGTACTCACAGAACTTCACAAAATAAACTAAATTACTGTGAATTCTCTAAGGAGAAAATGCATTTTTGAAATATCAATAAGAGGTTTGCTTAGCAAGATTACCTAATAGCTATAAAAGAAAGAGCATTTAACACCACCACCCATGGAAAACAGATCCATGGATTCTAAGCAAAACACTATATCACATATACTAATAATACAGGAAACTTGAAAAAATGTTCATAGAATAATGAAATAGAATTGTTTCCAGTTATTAAATCAATTATAATATACTAATGTATGTTGTTTAATACTTTCAAATACAGATTCTTTAAGTGAAATTGTTCCATTATGTCTTTCAATTTCAGTGTTAAAGGTACAAATTAAGACTTAGTTTAACTCCACTTTATAAAAGAGGAAGGGAGATCGATTTTAGGCAGAGAGTGAATGTAGAAAACAAAGAGAGTAATTAAAAAAACAACTACTTTCAGTTCCAAGATTCAGTTAGGTTTTCAGAAAACATTAAAGATGAAGAAAGGGGTGGGGTTGAAAAACATAGGTTTACTTTTAACTGTAGTTTTGTTTAAAGTGCTAAGTTGCTGAGAAATCTCAAATAATAGATAGCAACTGCTGTTGTGGCATTTTATTGGGTGCAGGAATTTATGGTCAAAGTAAAATTTAAGGGCATTTGGACAAGCACTATAATTATTATTGGTGTTTCTTTCATAATCTCCTACCACTGATTTTACAGCTAAATTGGAAGCATTATCTGAATTAGGTATGTGATTAGCACCTTGCTGACCAACACATGAGAAGCTGCTGGATTGTTTCTTTCCTTCTTCCTAGTAATTGTTTCCCATTCTTCATTTTGCTATAACTTTAAATGATAAAAATCACATTTTCAGGGTGGGGAGGGAAGGACCTCAAATTTAGAAAACCCCAAAAACTATGTGTCCGTGTGTGGTGGAATTGAGCGTAGGTGGTCTAAGGGGTCATTTGGCCTACCAAAAGGGTCAGTGGAAGAAAAATAGTGTGTGAACCATTAATTTTGCACTTGTTTACACAAGTGTAATTTTGTTTTGCTTGTTTATTGCCACTCTGATGACAGAAACAGTTCTTCCTTGTCTTAGCAGCAGGCTTCTGGTCCTCTTCCCTAAAAAATACTTTGTGGTAATGAACTTGATGATTATGTTTAATAGAGCTGTCATTAATCTGATACTTTTAAGTATGGAATGACCTGTGACTATTTTGAAGTCTTCAAAGATTAACTCTAACAGATAGGTATTGTGGATTTAGTGTAACAGATAGGTATTGTGGATTTAGTGTTTACTTTTCCATAAAGGCATCCACTTAAATTTGAAGCAAATAATATGTTTCTGCAATCTAGAAATAAGTACTTTTGGAGAATAGGTTTTCAATAATAGAAGATTATTGGTTTAATATATATCTTTAAGATCTTTTATATGCATTTTATTCATTATCAGTGTTACAAGATCTTGGGTATTATTACCATACTATTTCAATTTGATAGCTATCTCCTACTGAGGTCTGTTTTAAAGAAATATAATTAGGTTAAATTGTCCTTCTGGCAAAGTAAGTTGGCAGAGTTTCTGCATAATGTTATTATTTTGTAATATAAATAAAGTTCAAAATGAATTGAGAAGATCTCTTTTTCACCCAATAAACGTCTTTCATTTAAAAGTTTCATTGAATGTTTATAATGTACCAATCACTATGCTGAGGATGGAACATCAGACATAAACAATCTCTAGACTCCTAAAGCTTATAGTGTATTGGGAAGACTAGCATTGAACAAATAAAATCATTCCATAATATGAGTATGACATACTATGTTGAGAAAATAATTTAAAATGTTTAAAATTCTAACAAAGATAATTCATCCCTAGAAGTTTCCTTGAAAATATTCATGTAATAGTTTAAGATGAATATGAAGTTTGAATAAATATTTCACTGTACCCCCCAAAATGTGTTGTGAATACAAAAAAAATTACTTTTTAAAATATTTTATTTAATAATTGCTAAACAACTAGCTTAACACTCTTTACTTTCCTGATTTATTGATGGTTCTCAATCTTTTGGCCATCTAAATACACTTGAGGAATAAAATATATATATTTCTGGCAGTAAACTGCCTCAATTAGGTATGATCCTTAAAATATGGAAGGTTTATATCAGAATCGTATGTTGGTTTTGGAGTTGGCATAAGTAGGTTGAAAAAAAATCCCATTTCTTTATTTATTTTTATTTTTTATTTTGAGACAGAGTCTCGCTCTGCCGCCCAGGCTGGAGTGCAGTGGTGCGATATCTGCTCACTGAAACCTCCACCTCCTGGGTTCAAGTGATTCTCCTGCCACAGCCTCACAAGTAGCTGGGACTATAGGAATATGCCACCATGCCCGGCTAATTTTTTTTGTGTTTTTAGTAGAGACAGGGTTGCACCATGTTGCCCACACTGGTCTCGAACTCCTGACCTCAAGTGATCCACCCACCTCAGCCTCCCAAAGTGGTGGGATTACAGGCGTGAGCCAGCGTGCCCAGCCAAAGATCCCATTTCTTAATTCACTTTGGCACCTCCTACTAATAGGCAGAAAAACTTGTTCCCTTATTTTTCCTTGCTATCCTTTCCACTAGTGACAGGCTCACAGGTTTAGAAATTCTTACATACATGGTAGGGAGTTCAGATAATTCATAGCTAACTACAAGTAGTCTCTCAGTGGAGCTGACGTGACAGATACAGCAAGAACCTGATAAAATTAATAATACAGTATGTGTAAATGACTACAAATATTTAATCACATAACATTTATTCTCTAGAAGTAATCACTACTGTTTACAGGATGAGAAAAAAGCACAATTTTTCCTGAAATTAGACTTTTTTCCATTGAAAAAGTAATCACATGATATACCACTTATCTGACCCTTCAATTAGCTTTTAAAAAAATGAATATATACATATATATGTGTATGTATAAAGGATCTTCAAACAATCTTAAATGTTTCTATTATTAATGAAAAGCCATAAGAGTTACTTTAAAAATCTCCAAAATTTTCTAAAACTCAGCCAATATCTTAACAACGCTGAAAAACATCCTTTAAAAATAAATAAGCTTTTGGAAACAGAATCTGTTGCTTGAAAGGCATAGTTTACTTTTTGGAAGGCAGATTTTCCAGCTCATGTGGAATTAAAAATTAGGTCACATACAAAAGTAGTTTCAATGTCATGCATAGTCCCTTACTGCCATGTACTCAGTTAATGTGGAAAGAAAGGGATCTATGGTAAAAGTGGGGAGGAAGTGAGGGAAGAGGGAAGAAATGGGATCCAAAATCTCTCTGTCACTGACAGAAATCCAGCAATAGCAGTGTTCTCACTCACATAAAGGCTGGAAGCCAGGCTGACCCCAAATGATTCTCACTGGAAAAGGATAGCTACTTGCAGTAGTAACTACTCATTGAGTTTAAAATGTTAAGCCTTACCCCTAGACATCTGCAATGATTGCACATACAGAGCAGCTGGAGGAAACTGACTGAGGATGTCACTGATAACAGAGGGAAAGAAGGGTGGGCAGAAGGCATCAAGGGGAACTAGGCTAATGCATAAGTGTATATGCCTACAACAAGCATTTCAGTATTACAGCCATCATCTGCCCATTTAGTTTTTTTCTTTTATATTGCTATTCTTAATTGTTCTCAAAAATAGAAAAAACGAAATCGATTTCTGTGAAAATGAAAGCTGTGAATTCAACCTCCTACAGTCAAATAAAACAAAATTACAGCTTCTTCCTCTATCCCAGCATTTCTTCTTTTTTTATTTTTATTTGTAAACCATTATTCTATTGCTATATACATTTTGTTAATGTGAAGAAAAGAGAATTACCCGTGATTTTTAAAGCAAAGTGTCTGTGTTACGTTTACCCTCCCAAGAGAGCCTCTATAATTTTATTTATATTAACTGAAATGACATTAAGTTTAGTCTGTTCAGACTGTTTTGCCCTCCCCACCTGTTGGATATGTTAATTCAATAGTCTCACTTCCCTTGTAACCACCATAATAATGCTGGGCACATGGCTTAGGGCACCAGAGTGCTATATTGCCTGTTTCACAGATAAGCATGTGACCTATGCTTAGCCAGTGTTACTGCTGTTCATTAAAAATAGTTCAGAATTGCCTATTTATTTCCTCAGAAGAGGGATACTAACCTTTGGTAACAACTTACATACAAATAAGCATAAGACTAGAGACTGAAACGAATTAAAATGTAAATTAAAATGAAAAATCAGTTGATAGTAGAGAACTCGTTACTTCTCTGAGGACAGGCAGGAAATCATTAGGCTTATTTTGTTTTCATTAATTGTACCTTGAAAAGTACATGACTATGCAGAAATATGTTAAGATTTGTTTCAGGAAAATGTAATCATGTCACAATATAGTCAATCATAAAAATCCATTGGTTCATTACTCTTAAAAGTCTTCCTATTCCTGAGAAAACTCCATTGATTATGTCTGGGAGTTCCCAAATGTCACACATATTGAAGAATCCATCATTTCCACTAAGTTAAAGTCATTCTGCAAGTCACTTTCATTGTCACTTTCATCACCAGTGAGGACACTAGGGCACTTTTAGCTGCTCAACAGAAATTCGTGGATTTCCATATTATAGCAGTTCTCCAGTGGTGGATACCCCTAACCCTGGAGAGGTAAAAGCAGTAACGCAGTCTATGGTGGACTGGATGTGAGGGAATGAACACTCTCTTTTGTGAGACAGAGAGGCTGATATTTTTTGATAAGGCATCAATGTATTTTAGAATTCTTAAGTTCAAGGAAATAGGACAGAAATTGATTTGAAAAATATGATCCTCTAGAATTAGCATTTCTATTCATTTCCAATGATAAAGTTTTAGTTATTGAGTGAAACTCAGCATATCCAGTTTATTTTTCTTTTAACATGTGATAGCCTTCACAAAGCTCCTAGGCCACTCTGCCTATATTTTATTTAGTCTGTACATCTAAGGGGTTTTCAAAAGCAAGTTATTTTATTAAATGACTTAATTTCAAGTCAAATAATTTTACAGTCACTTTAAGTTTTAGATTATATTTTATTTAATTTCAAATGTAACACATAATCATGGTAAACAAGAAAATTCAAACAATAAATGAATGCACACAAGGAAAACTAAGTTGTTTGTCCATGCCAGGATTACGAATTTCTCCTTCTTATGGAGGAAAACAAAACAAAACAAAAACTCAGTAATTTCTTGCCTATCCTTTTAGATAATGTCCATATTGAAACAAATACAAGAAGCTGTCTGCAGTGGGTTGAATGGTGACCCCCAACAAAAGATATTTCCATGACCTAATTTCCTGAAGCTGTGAGTGTTATCATATTTGGAAAAATGAATTTTGCAGGCATAATTAAATTAAGGATCTTACCTTGAGGAGATCATCCTGCACTGTTTGAGCCGTAAATCCAGGGACAAGTGTATTTACAAGCTACACACAGAGGGCAAGATAGACACAGAAGAGAAGGAGATGTGACAATAGAGGCTGAGATTGGAATGATTTGACCACAAGCCAAAGAAGTTGGCGAACACCAGAAGGTAAAAGAGAGATGGAACGGATTATTCAATAGAGCCTGTAGAGGGAGCACAGACAGCCCTGCTGACCCCTTGATTTCAAACTTCTGGCCTCCAGAGCTGTAAGAGTATAAATTTCTGTTGTTTTATACCATCAAGTTAGTGGTAATTTGTTACATCAGCCCTAAGAATTCAATATACTGGTCTTTCATTAAAATAGTAACACAGTATAGGCACTGATTTTTACTATTCATTTTGCACTTTGATTCCCTTGGATTTTTTTTCATGTCAACATATATAAATGCACCAAATTTTATTAATCTCTTAAAAATATTTTATTATTTCTCTGTATCATAATTGATCTAACCAGTATTCTATTAATAAATATTTATAGTGTTTATTATTGATTGGTACCTATCTTAGTCCATTTACTATTGCTATTGGCAACCGAAGATAACCAAAAAGGCCAGAATCTAGTTCGAAGAGGGTTTTTTCATTTGAGAGGGTTGAAGATGGTCACATAAGAACATAGATTCAATTTGTCCTGAATATGTACGAGGATTAGCAGCAGTAATAAGTCAGTTTTTAAAGAAGAAAAGAGGCAGTTCCTAAACTTTTTATCAAGAATTTGAAGAAAAATAACATAAGCTATTAATTGGTTGTATATTGGTCTTTGTCTCACAAATTCCAGAAACATGATGATGCTGGGTGAAGCAGGTAGGTGGGAAAAAAAGTCTTTAAAAAATTGCCCCTGGGTATGGGTGCCTGGCCATGACTGAAGTCCCATACTCAATTTCATGTCTCTCTGGGCCTGATAAATTTGGCTCCCTCACATAGTTAAGACAGCTCTGTACTATTTTTCTTTTCTCACTGCAAGGGAATAGTTGAGGCTGGGTAAAGAGAGAATTGTGATAAAGCAAAACAATTTATCAGTGTATCAGTTTGTAAATAAATTGCTGTCTTGCTTGGTATGATTCAAGAAAATTCAAACTCATTATGTTAAAAATTGAGATTTTATTTCTATTTAGTGATCTTATTGCTTTCTATATCTCAGTTAAGAGAACCCCAAATTTTTCATGTAAACAGGTAGAATCTAAGTGATTCCTTCCACTGCTCTCATACCTCATATCAATTTGTCGTCAATTATTAGAGAATCCCAGCTATGTCTTAAATTTCCGGTTTTGCCTCTTCATCCTTATTTCCACTGAACTTTAGTTCAGATGCATATCATGTCTTATAAGGCCTGCTTCAAATCTCTCTCCTCTGGTCACTCACTTCTGCTCTTTTCATTACCTGTATTTCATTTTCCACATTTCCAAAAGAGCTGCCTGTCAACAAAATAAATCCGATTACCTCATTTCCCAGCTTCAGACCTCCCTTGGCTTTCTCTTGCCCACAGGATTGAGTCAAGCCCTTCAGTCTTACTGTAGTCTACCCTCCCAGCCTCTTTGGCACCTGTTTGAACAATTTCTCAAGTCCAGTTACAGAATTTCCATCATTCCCTGAGTACAGCACGTTTTGCCATGGCTTTATGCCATTTTTTGAGCTGTTCCTCTGCCTGAAAACCTTATCTCCTTCTTTACCTGAAGGCTCCAATGATTTTTTTAAAGGCTGAACTTGTTGCATCCTCTTGGAGAATTACCTCATAATCCATGGCAGAGCAATTGGCTCCATCCTCAGTGTGCTGTGACCACATTTTATTCTTACCTACATAGTGGCACTTCCCTTGCTTTATTATAATTTGTGTTTTTATTATAACACAATGTTATAATAAAACATTGTCTGTCTCCACTGGCTTTCATGTTTACGGTGAGCACAGAGCCTAGCCCATTACCTGACACATTTTAGTCACAATTTTGTGATTCTTGAATAAATAACTAGCTAAAATTATACTTCTCCTATGAGAACATACCTGTTGTCAGTGAGGAAAATGCACTCTGATATAGTTGAGGTTTACAAAGGCCATGATGTTCTCTGTGAATAACTGAGGCAGTGGTAAGCAGTTTATTTCAAAACCAGAATTGATTATATATATTGTTTGAAGAATTGTCAACCTTTATTAAATTTGCTTTTAATTTAAATTTGATCTTAATGTCAGCAGAAGACTAAATACTGTTTATATAACACATATGACATATTTTAGAAAATATTTAAATTTTGCATGGTGTTTGAATGAAATCCTAATCTGATATATTTATGAAAGTGTTAAATACTAGTAAAACTAGTATTTAACTAGTAGTTAACTACTAGTAAAACTAGTAGCACAAAATTTTTAAAAGCCTAATATTATGTTGCCCTATTTTCAACTTCAGTGTAAGAACTCAATAGAAATTAGCAAGAAAAAGCTGTGTACTAGATTGACCTGAGGCTTTAGACTACCAGAAAAGAGGATAGCCACCTAATGAAGACAAAAAACACATTCTGTTTAACTTCGAAGTAACAGTTAAATTTGGGTGGCATTTTATGACTTCCCACAGCCTAATTAAGAAGGGTCATTAGGCTTTCAAAACACAATGTGACATTGAAATATGAATAATACATTTTTTTCTTGTTTAAATGACATTAACTTAACAAATGTTTTCCATCTTTAGTACCCATTATGCTATATCCCCAAGGACCTCTAGTAAATTTAGGCATCACTTTCCAAATATTTCTTAACACAGATGTAAATATAGTCAAAGCACACTCAGAAGTTCAATGCAGGTTCCAATGACTTACTATGTTTTTGTGCACTGAACTCTTATTCCATTTTCCTGCAAACTGGTATGTATTGAGTACAGAGAACACTGTGTGTAAACTCTTAGCTTCCTACTCTTTACATTTTTATAATTCTGTTTCTCTTTTCTACTAGGGTGTAATCTCTTTAAGAGACAATCCTGTGACTTTATTTTCCCATGAATTTTATCCTACCACCTCATACAACGCCAATGTTTAATAGACATAATTTGAATGAATGAGTACATGAATGAATGAACAATTGTATACCTTGCCTAAAAATAAAATTTGTTAGGAGAAAATAGAATATACATCTATCCTATTATCTATATAGATATCCTATCTATATCCTATTATATCCTATCTATATCCTATTATCTATCTAGATAGATAGATAGATATCCTATAAGAAAAATGTATATATTTGTAATGCCTAAATGAGTATATATGTATATTCAAATTTCTCTCTATATATTCATTTAGGGCTTAAAATTTATCCAATTTGAGAGATGCGCTTACTTAAGATCTATAATAAACAAAATTAATATGAAATTGATAGGGTCTTCTTAGTGTTGTGGAAGGAGTCCATGCAAGTGAGGGTCTCTGAACCTCAACTTTATTAATTTTATGCTAATTCTGCTTCTGCATTTGGTACTGAAGTAGTACAGAAGTCTTCTTAGTGGCTGGATTTTGAATCTTTAAGTCATCATTATCTGAGGCAACTCTCCTTGCTCTGGATGAACTCCAGAGAGATTACATCACAGGGTTTCATGGAGGAGATAGGCCCTGAAGGAATTCTGTTTCCATTAAATGCAATAGAACTTACTTTGAGAATAATTTTAAAACTGTATAGGAACTATTGTCATTTTTAGGTATATTTCTTTAGTTGTCTTGCATACAATATAATTCATCTAATTATTTAATAGAGATATGCTGATTATTAAGATTAATCTGAGAGTCAACTTTATGGATACATATATAAAGTGTGAGGATGAAATAAGAGTGAGAGGTATATGCATAAATGTATGTATAGTCAGAGTGAGCCTGGGAGAGTTCAAATACACATATATGCCTTCTATTCACTCAGTAGTGAGAATTATTTTTCCCAGCACACCTAGTCACCCTCACACAAAATGGTCTCACCTTCATTTACTTCAGGGCACAGCTGGTCATTTGAACTCCAAGGCCTAATATTACATCTGGGAAATCTGTTTTTTTTCCAGTTGGTTTCATCAGAGGTCTAAACCACCCAATCTCCATTCTTAATTCCTGTCTTGCTTATATCCAATTTAATGACTGTCTGGATTCTGTTGCTGGCAAAAGGATGTTACAAATCCCAGTGGTCATTGGTGCAGGTTTTAGCCACAGCTATAGAGGCAAGAGAGGACTGGAAAGACTCGATTTGGCTGCTATTCATGCTATTTATATTGAAACTGTCTCATAAAGTCCGACAAGTGTATAACGGTTACTTCTGTTCACTGCCAGCCTGGCTGCTGATCCCATGTCGCACTGCTCTCAGGCTTCATACTTGAGCCCCCTGAGACTTTAGTTCTCTTGAATTTATTCATCATTCTGTAAACCAATTCCTCTCAGAGGTCAGCATATTAGGTTCGCCAGTGCTTGAGAAGTATGCTCTGATAGAGCAAGTATATATAAATACAAGGCTTAGCGGCCACCTAGGTCTAATAACTGCAGTGTAAATCAAGATATTTACAAGTTTTCTACCCGTGTTATATCTTTTCCAAATTTGTCATCCAAATTTGTCTAACTCTTCTGTGACAATGATAGCATGTTAGTCAATTACTTTGAATTATCGGTGTCTTAAACTGTGAAAATAATCCCCTCTGTAAACCTCACACACAGATTCTGGTATCAGCATAAAAACTTAAAAAATTAAACACTTACTCATATCTCCAATCTTTTATCCATTGTCCTGTAACAGAGTTGTCATAAGTCATTTGGCATTTAAAACTTAACTTGGTCTAAACCAATGAAAGGCTCTGTTTAGTTGTTTTTGTTGTTTTTTTGTCCATGTGTTTATTTTTTTTTTCGTTTTTTCCACTGTTAATTCCAGGAAGCCAGGAGTGGGGCCTCATTCAAATTTGCATACCACAATTTATGGAATGAAAATGAATTTTATAAAATGCATGAATCCACTCTGGATGTTTGGTTTTTCAATAGAAAACATCTTTATTACTTTTGTGGATCATTTACAAGTAAAACAGTGTAGTGAAAAGCATCCTGGATTTTAGATCAGTTTAGCACAACAAGCACAAAATGAGCTTGGACCATTTGTACTGTCAAAAGAGCTCAAAGGATGATGGAAAAAGCCCCAGAAGTCAGCTTGAATGGGGACTCACTGACTGAATAAAGAATAATTTGATCATCAAAGTAAATACTAATATTAATGAATTTAATCTATTAAATACAATAGCAAATAATGATCAATACAGATATAAAACAAGTAGATTGAAAGTTTGGTGAGCAATAGGATATTTATTGTTTCAAACTACTTCCTTACAAAAGATATGTTAATCACAAAGGGGTATGGCATAATTTAACGGTGGAAAAGCTTGGCTCATATTGCCTTAAACAGTCAAAGCAAACATCATCAGCAAAGGGACAGATTAAAACCTGATGTTACTTGATAAGGCACAATAAGAAGACCATAGTACCACTTCTGTGATGTTACTGCTCAACACCTAAAACCCAAATCTAATCTAATCCAAATTGGAATACATTGTACCAAATAATTAGCTTATGATCTTAAAAATGTCAAGGTCATGGAAAGTAAGGAAAGACTAAGGAAACGTCACAGAGTTAAGAAATATAAAGTCATGGCAATTAATGCAATGTGATTGTGAACTGGATTTTTTTTTATAAGCCATTATTGGGACATTGGAAGAAATTTGAATGTGATCTGAAGAATTAATGGTAATGAAGTATAAATGTTAATTCATGGTTTTGGTGGTATATGGTGATTATATAGAATAATGGCCTTATTTGTAGGAAATATGCCTGAAAATATTGCAGGGTAATGAAGTATCATATTGACAACTTACTACCCAAAATATTCCGGGAGGAGCCCAGGAGTTTGAGACCAGCCTGGGCAACATAGTGAGACCCCATGTCTAAAAAAAAGATAAAGAAAAAAAATAGCCAGATATGGTGGCAGGTGCCTGTAGTCCCTGCTAGTGGCCAGGTTGGAGGGCCTGAGATGAGAGGATTGCTTGAGCCCAGGAGGTCCAGGCTGCAGTGAGCCATAGCCATAATCACATCACTGCACTCCAGCCTGGGTGACAGAGTGAGACCTTGTCTCAAAAAAAAAAAAAAAATGAACTTTTATTCCAAATTTAGTATAAGTGGGTAACATTTTGTCAAAATAAAAAAGTTAAAAACTAAAAAGTAATTTTAGCATGATGATGAATTTATGAGAAATTGCACTATATTATTTCTACAATCTTAACCTGCAAAGTACACACACACAAAAGCCTAAGACCAACCTTCAAAATAATGTGAAATTAATCATTGAATTTTTAAATATTAAAGAAAAAGATTTTAGAAAGTAGACACAAATTGCAGTAGGTACTATTGATTTCAGTAGGATGTAATTCCAGGAATATTACTTTCTCAGTGTGACTGTTGCTTCTTGGTCTCAGAAATTTTTATTTTTGCTATTATTTTTATATACTGGAATGTACTTTTTGGCATTTAGAGTACATATATTTAACTGGAAAAAAATATTATGAAAGATTCATACAGTTTGTGTTTATTGACCTCATTAAAAACCTAAACTATAATTGGCAAATAGAAAATCCATCTGTTTTATAGAATGTAATAGATTTTGACTCTCAGACAGGGTAACTGAGTTATGTTTGGTATTGATATACATTAGTACCCACTTGTTCTTTCTCCATTTTTATTAGGTTATTCTTTCAAAACAAGCTCTCTAATGTTAGTTGTAGGCGTTATGTAAAAATATGATCTATTCACTTAGTTGCATATTACCATATTTTTCTTCTGGTAAGATAATGAAAATATGTTACTCATTAAACATTAATATCTTTTTTATTAAATCATGTAACTTGAGCTCTAAAATTGTATATGGGGTCTAATTATTAAGTTTAAGAGCTTGTAATAATTAAAATATTGAAGTATTGAACTATTACTTTATCATTTCTGTTCTTAATTAACTTTTGCCTGATTTTCAGACTTCTATTGAAGAGAATATTTCAAGAATATTTCATGTTTTAAGATAAAATAATTGCTTACAGGATTATTACTTACTATTCACTGTGATCCAAGTTTAGCACACAATTTTCAAAGAAGATCATCAATTTAATCATCCATGAAAAGGGAGAGGACTCCAATACAATGACAGCTGGTGATTAAAATGTCAAAATCAGAAAAAGATACGATGAAAATCAACCAAAGGACTGTCAGATTATCAAACTATTTCCAAAGTTTGTCCTCCCTATGCAGAGCCAAGGTAGAGAAACCTTTCCATGGGGTGTGAAGGTCTGAGATATAACAACATGGAAGTACTGCCAGTAACTATAGATGCTGGGAGAAGGCCCACATCAAACTGAGTCCTCCCAGCATGCTATATAGGTTGCTTGCCAGTACACTGTTGAGTATAAATGCACTCAATTATTCTGGGCCAAGCTGGTGGAAATGTTTTCTGCTAATGGCGCACATGGACACTGATTTAAACAAACCCATATTAAACATACACGTTGGCAACTATAATACTTGAAGTGTATATTTTTCTGTGTATCAATGATCATGTGAGCATGTAATAGGATCCTTCATTCACAAGTTCCTAAGTGAAAGAAAATATTGTTTATCTCCTTTTTTTTTTTTTTTTGAGTCAGAGTGGTGCCCAGGCTGGAGTGCAGTGACACAATTTCAGCTCACTGCAACCTCCACCTCCTGGGTTCAAGAAATTCCCCTGCCTCAGCCTCCTGAGTAGCTGGGACTACAGGCACGCACCACCACACCTGGCTAATTTTTTTTTTTTTTTTGTATTTTAGTAGAGACAGGGTTTCACCATGTTGGCCAGGATGGTCTCGATCTCCTGACCTTATGATCTGCCTGCCTTGGCCTCCCAAAGTGCTGGGATTACAGGCGTGAGCCACTGCGTCCGGCCTGTTTATCTCTCATTTTATAAAAGTCTTGCAATGATAAGTAATTGTTTTTCCAAATATGACATACCAACTAAAGTACCGTCAACACACCATGAGTAAATCAGCCATAGCACAGCTGATATTATTTGTGTCATGTCTAGAGTCTCTTCCCTGGATTGAACATACTATTGACTTTTTGTGTGTTTTTTGTTTGTTTGTTTTTGGCTATAATTATCTCCTTTTCTTATTCTATATATTCCTATTTTCTATATTCAAAAGAAGTGCAACTATTAATCTTGACCTTCGTTTTCTTGACCGTTCATTTTCTTTTCTCAAGTTTGATCTTGATTCTTTCCTTGTAATGCTTACAGAATGATAGAGAAAATAACTCAGAATTCCTAGAAAATAACTAATCTTTACTCATGTAGCTGTCAAATAAAATAGAACGTGATCCCTACTTGTCACCTTGGAATGTGACAACACACCACACCACCAATTCATCACTACAACCATCAATCTGAAGGCTGATAAGATAGGAGAGGAGAAAAGAGAAGCAGTGTCTGAACAAGTCGTAATCAAGGTTGAGAGTCTTTGTTGAGACAGGCTTGAATTGGAAAGGTTATGATTTAGAAATGAGATAAGGTCTCTGACAAGACACAGGAAATTAGATGTCCCCATTGCAGGCAAAGATAGTCATCTGGAAAGCACAGTGGTAATAATTCAGACAAAAATGAAACTCAGGGAGGTCTAGTAAAAAAGTCGCAGTGAGTGACCTGACACTGGGAAATCGGGTACTCAAAAAAGAGGCTTAGTTATTAGAACTGGTAGATAAAGTAAGGATATGGTCACAGTAACAATTTTGAGATGCACTTTATAAACCTAAACTCACTGTAGAAAAAATTAGCCATGCAGTTAATTAGATTGCGTTGCTTAAGCTTTTAAATTAGGTATTTTTTTCATTGTCTCTGGGATAAAATAAATTCTGATATCATGAGTGAAAGAGTGTAGAATAAGACTGCACATTAAACACAATGGAAGGAAACTACAGAAGCAGGGAAACATGTTGGTTATTATAGAGTTAATGTACTATTGCGTGTTGTTTGTGATCCTCTGAAAAGCGGTGAAATAGATTTTTTTTTTTTTTTTGAGACAGAGTCTCACTCTGTTGCCCAGGCTGCAACCTCTGCCTCCCAGGTTCAAGTGATTCTTCTGCCACAGCCTCCCAGCTACAGGTACACACCACCACGCCCGGCTAATTTTTGTATTTTTTTGGGAGAGAGGGACAGGGTCTCACTCTGTCACCCAGGCTGGAGTGCAGTGGCACTGTCTTGGCTCACTGCAACCCCTGCCTCCCGGGTTCAAGTGATTCTCTTGCCTCAGCCTCCTGAGTAGCTGGGATTACAGGCGCGTGCCACTACTGCCTGGCTAATGTTTGTATTTTTAGCAGAGACAGAGTTTCACCATGTTGGCCAGGCTGGTCTCGAACTCCTGACCTCGTGAACCGCCCACCGCCCTCCCAGAGTGCTGGGATTACAGGTGTGAGCCACTGCACTGGGCCGGTGAAATCGATTTTCATCTTATGACTATCAAACAAGACCACGGAATTAATTTCTGTTGGAAACCTCATTCTTTCTATATTCTATCTGGATAAGGTAAATTTTCAGTTTCTGTTTCCAAAAATAATACCATCTCTCTTTCTTTTTTTTCTAAATTCTCCTAGAACAAAACTGGTGAGTGCCCAAGTCACCCTTTTTCATACCCAATATTCTCAAAAATATAGTCTATAATCTGAGTCTTCACTTCCTCAAGAACTTTGTGCAATTTAGTCTTATTTGGTCTCTCTGTAAGGTAATATTGAGCCCTCCTATTTTCTAAAGTGCATTCCTCTTGTGGCGTCAGATTTACACTTCTCTTCTGGGTTTTCTTTTATCGTGTCTCTCTGAACGGTCCTTCTCAGGCTTCTTTCCTTAACCTGCTCTTTGAATGTTTGTATCTCCTATGGTTACGTATTGAATCTTCTTTTTTATTTTATTTTATATGCTTTTCTTTTAAATACATCATTCACTTGTTTGTTTGAGAACCCATTTGTTCACTGAAGACATTTTCTGGTTTTTTTTTTTTTGCAGCTAATTTTCCACTGATGAACTCTCTTGAGCTTAATCAAATTCCTAACTACCAATTTATATCTTTGGTAGGACATTAATCAGAAAAATTCATAGATCCCACATGGAATTTGTTTTCTTCTGTGAAGAATTTGCTCCTCCTCATTATCTTCTTATACATCCTATGTTAATTAACAGCATCAACCACATAGTCATTTCCAAGAGTTAAACTTTAAGCGATTACCTTCAGTTAGTGCCTCTTCTTGAGGTTTCAGGTGTAATAAGTTAATATTTCACAACTGTGTCTAAATTGTATCTACTTGTTTGTTCTCATTACTACTGTCCTAGACCAGGTCATCATCATTTCATGGATCTTTCTTGTTGTTTCTAAAACACAAATGTTCTCCCACTTCAGATGCCCTGTTTTTAGAATAATTTAATTTTTTTGCCCAGTAACATAACCTGTATATCACAGGGGTCAGCAGTCTAATCAAAGTTGCTTTAATCTTAAAGCCTAAATTGAAATGCATATAATGTTCCATCTAACATTCAAGAAATTAAATTCTGCTCCATGTCTGCCCTCCTTCATTCTACTCCCATTATATTTGAGAGTATTCAGAATGAAGTGTCTCTATAGATCCAAGTAAAAATCTGGCTTGGTCTTTCCTATGTCTCTCCAGCACATAAGCTCTCTGTGATAATGCTAATATCATGATATGTTTTAATGGCAAAGACAGTCAGGTTGCTGTCTCTCTGTGTACATACATTAGTCAACTGATGGAGTGATGGAGAAATTCTGGTTTCAACATAGAGATGGTAAATATCTCCATTCTCCAACTTAGTGAGACGCTTTGATAGCTTGATGTTGAAGTGACACTGCTTGTGACCTTAGTCTTACAAAAGTCTGAACATCAGCTTCTTTCCTCATAAATAAGTGTTCAAACAATAGAAAGATTAACTCATCCACATGTTCCACTAAGACAAGTGGGGCTGAATTTTATTTTAAAAATTGCTTTATAGTTTTCTGTTTTTTGTTTTGTTTTGTTTTGTTTTACCTTCCTTCTGTTTAACAAGATGGAAAGTGCTGAGTTTGCTTTCTGCTTGTTAGGTTTGTGGAATAATGGGTTGGTTTTATTTTAAATCTTGAGTCCATTGATATTAAGCAAAATGCTCCAAAAAGAAATATCAAGAGAAGAGGATGTGAGTATACTGGAAAGCAATATTTGGAGAAACTCAGTAGTTTCCGAGTAATGAAGGTAGAGATTAAGTCTGTCCTGTACATAGGAGATTAAAAAAAAAAAAAAAACATTTCCCCAGTCTATTGAGAAACAATGAGATGCCTATGGTTTTGCTTAGGACCAGACCCCAGTCCAGCTTCTCAGCAGTGTGCCAGGATATGTGACAGAGAGACAGATATTCTGGATGGAAATCGCTTGTAGTATGTCTGGGCCTTGTCCCAAAGTGGAATGAATATTTAATTTGAAGCAATGGGAATTTGAAAGATTAAGCACAAAGAGATGCTGAGGATGTCAGTGGAAGCCTTGGGCCCAATGAGACTAAGGATTATGACACAAACCTTTAACAGCTTGAAATAGGGCTACAAGCCCAGACCCGAAACCTAGGAGGAGGGGAGATCATGCTTTCTGTCATTATAGTAGGATGTGATCTCAGTCAGAGAGTAAACTGAATAATAGAAAACAAGTATTTATTCTGTATCTGAGTTTTGGACTCAATCAGACTTTATAACACGTAGAGGCTCATCAAGAATGGCTGAGTCTTTTGAACAGGAATGTTTCTGAACCAGTAATGGATTAAAACCCTTGGAACTCGAGTTCATTACCTTAGGAAAAAATGTAATTAAAGCTCTTGGAGAATTACTCCCAGTCGTCATTGCTGATTTCAGGTATATGAGAGGCCTATGAAGAGACTGAGCTTAAGAGAACATTGAAGATGATTTTTAACCTCAGATGTGTAGAAACTGCAGAAAGAAGAGAGTGCAAAATGTCAGGTTGTTGTAGTCACTGAGGAGATTAAGTTTTCTGATACTCTGTAGAATTCTTAGAAGGAAATGCATCAAAGCTGCCTTTCAAAGTCCCCTTTCTACTCTGAATTCTTAATAGCTACGACCTTTCGTTGGAACAGAGAAACATTCAGTAGAACCAGCATAGTTCCTTCCAAGTAGCATTATTGAAAGTGCTAATTCATTCATTGATGACATTTTGCATATTAGTGGTCACTCTTTCTGTGTCTCCAGCAACTAGGTAAAGGGATCACAGTACAATGACAAATGGGAATATCTCCTCAATATTCCATTCAAAAGAAACTTGCTGTTAGAAGACGAGACTATAATAAGTCAGCAAGAGAGGATACTACCTGACTAGAGAAGGGGAGCATTTTCACAACATTACAAATAATTTGGAAGAGAAAAAATGAGCCACCCTTTAACTCACTCATGGACTTTCTAGTTTTGTACCTGTCTGGACCCAGTTGGAGCCCGGTTTTTTTTCTCTTTAATGGACAGCTGAGATTAAGTTTTTTTAAATGAAGTCATAGAGACCCCACCTGGTGAAGGTAGTAACTGAGTACATAGTGGGAACCTCTGGTTGGCTTCCTAATGATGACAAACTTGTTCAGGAGGCCAGCTCTCAATCAACAGGACACAGTCTGAATGATGCATGTTTGCTCCGAGGAGCACAGGACATAATCAAAAATTCTGATTGGAGATTAAACCCACTTGTTCTGCCAAAGTGAAGTCCTCACAGAGCAGGCTAATAATTAAAGATGACTGAGTGTCTTATCAGGACTCAGAGGAAATTATTTGATATGGTTTGACTGTGTCCCCACCAAATGTCATCTTGAATTGTAGCTTCCATAATTCCCACATGTTGTGGGAGGGACCTGATGTGAGGTAATTGAATCATGGGGGTGAGATTTTCCCTTCCTGTCCTCGTGATAGTGAATAAGTTTCATGAGAGCTGATGGTTTTACAAATGGGAGTTCCCCTGCACAAGCTCTCTTGCCTGCTGCCATATAAGATGTGACTTTGCTCCTCATTTGCTTTCTGCCATGATTGTGAGGCCTCTACAGCCATCTGGAACTGTGAGTCAATCAAACCTCTTTTCTTGTAAATTACCCAGTCTCAGGTATGTTTTTATTAGCAGTGTGAGAACAGATTAATACAGTAAATTTGTACCCAGAATGGGGCACTGCTGTAAAGATACCTGAAAATGTGGAAGCAACTTTGGAACTGGGTAATGGGCAGAGGTCAGAACAGTTTGGAGGACTCAGAAGAAGACAGGAAGATGAGGGAAAGTTTGGAATTTCCTAGAGACTTGTTTAATGGCTTTGACCAAATGCTTCCCATCTCAGATGGAGATGAAGAATTGTTGGGAACTGCAATAATGGCAACTCTTGCTATATTTTAGCAAAGAGACTGAGACATTTTGCCCCTGCTTTAGATATCTGTGGAACTTTGAACTTGAGAGAGTTGATTTAGGGTATCAAAGATATCATCATACAAGTTTGGAAAATTTGCAGCCTAATGATGCAATAGAAATAAAAACCCATTTTCTTAGGAGAAATTCAAGCCGGCTGCAGAAATTCGTATTACTAATGAGGAGCCAAATGTTAATTGCCAAGACAATGGGGAAAACGTTTCCAGGGCATGTCAGAGACGTTCACAGCAGCCCCTCTAATCAAAGGCCTGGAGGTCTAGGAGGAAAAAATGGTTTTGTGGGCAGGGCTCAGGGCCCCCCTGCTGTGTGCAGCCTAGGGACTTGGTGCCCTGAGTTACCCAACTGCTCCAGCCATGGCTAAAATGGACTAAGGTAAAGCTCAGTCTGTAGCTTCAGAGGGTGGAAGCCCCAAGCCTTGAGCTTCCACATGGTGTTGAGCCTGTGGGTACATAGAAGTCAAGAATTAAGGTTTGGGAACCTCTGCCCAGATTTCAGAGGATGTACAGGAACACTTGGATGTCCAGGAAGAAGTTTGCTGCAGGGGCAGTGTCCTCATAGAGAACATCTAGGGCAGTGCCGAAGGGAAATGTGGGGCTGGAGCCCCTACAGAGTCCTTGCTGGGGCACTGCCTACTGGAGCTGTGAGAAGAGAACCAGAGTGCTCCAGACCCTAGAATGGTAGAGCCACTGACAGACAGCTTTCATCATGCTCCTGGAAAAGCTACGAACACCAAACACCAACCCATGAAAGCAGCCAGGAGGCAGGCTGTACCCTGCAATGCCACAGGGGTGGAGCTGCCCAAGGCTATGGGAACACACCTCTTGCATCAGCATATGAGACATGGCGTCAAAGGAGATTATTTTGGAGCTTTAAGATTTGACTCCCCCACTGGATTTGCATGTAGCCTTTAGCCTCTTCATTTTGGCCAATTTCTCCCATTTGGAATGGGGACATTTACCCAATTCTTGTATCTCCATTATATCTAGAAAGTAACTAACTTGCTTTTGATTTTACAGACTCATAGATGGAAGGTACTTGCATTGTCTCAGATGAAACTTTGGACTGTGGACTTTTGAGTTAATGCTGAAATGAGTTAAAACTTTGGGGGACTGTTGGGAAGGCATGATTGAATTTTAAATGTGAGGACATAAGATTTGGGAGGTGCCAGGAGCAGAATGATATGATGTGGCTGTGTCTGCACCAAAATTTCGTCTTGAATTGTAGCTCCCATAATCCCCACTTATCATGGGACCCAGTGGGAGGTAATTGAACCTTGAGGGTGGGTTTTTTTCTGTGCTGTTCTCATGATAGTGAATAAGTCTTGTGAGATCTCATGGTTTTATAAATGGGAGCTCTCCTGCACAAGTTCTCTTGCCTGCCACCATGTAAGATGTGACTTTGCTCCTCATTTGCCTTTTGCCATGATTGTGAAGCCTTGCTAGCCATGTGGAACTGTGAGTCAATTGAACCTCTTTCCTTTCTAAATTACCCAATCTCGGGTATGTCTTTATTAGCAGATGAGAACAGACTACTACATTCTTCCTATTCTTCTATTCTATCTCTGGTTGCCTAAAAAAGAGAGGAGTGTGATATATTGGCACAGCATATTGATTAAGAGCATGGGCTCAGGACTGGGTGTGATGGCTTACACACTTTGGGAGGCTAAGGCAGGAGCTTTGCTTGAGTGTAGGAGTTCAAGACCAGCTTGG
This sequence comes from Homo sapiens, assembly GCF_000001405.40. Lineage (NCBI taxonomy): Eukaryota > Metazoa > Chordata > Mammalia > Primates > Hominidae > Homo > Homo sapiens. Next base: position 125,777,780 of record NC_000004.12, read on the forward strand.
CTGACAGAGTAAGACTCTGTCTCTAAAAATAAAAAAGGAGCATGGGCTATGGACACAGATCAGACTGCCTTCCTACTTCCTAGTGCTGGACCTTGAAAAATCATGTAAACTCTCTATGCCTTAGTTTCTTATCTGATATAAAAAAGAATAATATTACCTTTATCATATAGAAAAATAGTGTAACAATTAAATGGGATTACACATGGAAAAGGCTCAGAAGAGCACATGAGTACAAAGTGAACATTGAATATGATAGTATTAGTATCCCCCATTGCCAGCTCCACCCTGCATGCCAGGTGAGCACATTGAATAACTTACCCTGTGAACAGCCTCGACTTTCCATCCCAGATGATGCTGTACAAGTAGGATATAGTTTCCTAAATAACTCATTTAATTAAGGAATATAGGTTACTCCTTCCACTTCAGGGTTAGGGGTGGGAGAGAAAGCATTCATTTTGGTTTTGAGGAAACGTGGATTTTACTAGGGGATGAGCTGTCAAAATAACATTTTGAGACATTAATTCATTGTCCCCTCCTCAAGCAGGTTTCTCCCTTTCTCTCTTCCCCATTCAAACATGAAGCAGACAGGCTACTTTATTTTTTCTTTTTTTTTTGTCTTTAATTTTTATTTTAAGTTTAGGGATGCATGTGCACGATGTGCTGGTTTGTTACATAGGAAAAAGTGTGCCATGGTGATTTGCTGTACAGATCATCCCTTCCCCAAGGAATTAAGCCCATCATCCATTAGCTATTCTTCCTGATGCTCTTTCTGCCCACTGACAGGCCCCAGTGTGTGTGTTGTTCCCCTCTCTGTGTCCATGTGTTCTCATTGTTCAGCTCCCACTTAGGAGTGAGAACATGTGGTGTTTGGTTTTCTGTTCCTGCATTAGATTGCTGAAGATAACCGCTTCCAGCTCCATCCATGTCCCTGCAAAGGACATGAACTCGTTCCTTTTTATGGTTGCATAGTATTCGACGGTGTACATATACCACATTTTTTTTATTCAGTCTATCATAGATGGGCATTTGGGTTGATTCTGTGTCTTTGCTATTGTAAATAGTGCTACAATTAACATATGTGTGCATGTATCTTTGTAATAGAATGATTTATATTTTGGGGGGTACATACTCAGTAATAGAATTGCTGGGTCAGACGGTATTTCTGCTTTTAGATCTTTGAGGAATTGCCACACTGTCGTCCACAGTATTTGAACTGATTTACACTCCCACCAACAGTGTAAAAACGTTCTTTTTTCTCCGCAACCTCACCAGCATCCAGACAGGCTACTTTCTTCCCCAAGGGAGAGTGTATGGTGGGATGTTAATTCCCAAAATAAATGATCTAAGTAGATCTAAGTTTTCTCTCATAGATGCTTCTGAGATAAATCACAAAAGAAAAGTACTTAGAGTTATAGTGTGTGCTGTAGAAGGTGAATTGTGTGTGAAGCTTCCCAACTGAACAAGAAAGGAAGTTTCCCCAGGACGGGAAGAGCCTGAGACAGGAAGATTTCAGGAGCCTTAAAAGCCGGAGCTTGGCCCCAGTCAATCACGAGGAAGTTGTAAGACTCTGGAGGAAAAAGGTTTTATGGTGAAGCTAGATAGAATCTGAGTGTATCATAGAATGTGACAACGAATCCACCAAGGACATGGCAAGATCTGAGAAATGGTTTTACGCTATGGCTATACAGAAGGACTTAAAGGACTATAGAGTGAACATTTCAGGCCTCCAGCATGACCCAGAAGCATGAGGGTGCCACTGTACCTGATGAAATTCTGTGGACCTAGGTAGCAGGCATCTCAAAAATCACGTATAAAACAGTAACTAAAGACTAGAGGAACTCTAGTAACTGCACGTCCTCCTATATGTGGATGCCCACGTCTGCTCCTACTACAGATGTAGACTCCAGAAATTATCATTGGTGAGGGCCCAAGAAATGAAGTCTGGAGTTGTAGGGAGGGATCTCACAAAGAAGACAAATGTTTGGCTTTCTGACATCTCAATGGAATGAGAGCTAAGAGTCTGAAATTAATTTGAGTTATACAAATAAAATAAAGTGTTTGGAATGAGAGTGATACTTATTTAAAAAACAACAGGTTTTCAATATACTTAGAAAAAAGCATTTTAGAGAATAACCTCTGCCTTCCACATAGACACATCACCCCTTACACTTTCCAGGTAAAATGCTCCCTGGATTTACACAGTCTCAAACAATTGAATTTTAGTTTGTGGTCTTTGCTTTTCATTTGCAGAACTAATGTCTTGGTTAATTGATTTTACCACAAAAGAACATTTTGCTCCAAGGGTATAGACAAGTCTCTCCTCTTTCAAATAATCAAACCAAACCAGAAACTTCTGACAGCTTTGAAAAAAATATTTTGACTTTTATTTTTTCCACTAAATTATCAGGCATTTTGGGATCAAGATTCCATTGACACACAAGCTTCAAAAGTAGTAATGTTTGTAAAAAGAAAGATTTTCTTAACTGTGAGGCTTGGGCATGAAAGCCAGATCTGAAGACAATGGCAACAGCATGTCTTCTTGCCTCTTTCACATCTCCTTTTATGGTCTGTGATCTCTGGTACATTAGTAATCTCTGCCAAGTCATTCAAAAGAATGCTCCATCCAACTTTTATTTAGCAATTCCATCTCTGTAAACTTCTCTTCACATCCTAGCCATGCTAAACACATTAAAACATATCTTCAGTAGAGCTATCTCCTTTACCCACAACTTTCTATATCTGTGCCTACTACCATTGTTTTCTATCAGCAAGACCTCTCTTCCTTCTCTAAGAACCTATGCAAGACTTTATTTCCCTCAGATAAATGTGTTATCTGGTCTTTTGGATTCCCATAAAACTTCCCAGTGACTTCATGATAGCACTTACTCCAGTAACTATAATTAGTTATGTGTCTATCTCTCTCAATAAATCATAAACTTCTTAAGGAAAAAAGCATGATCTGTTTTTCTTTGACTCTTCAAAGGTAAGTTAGGGATGTTCACTGTCAATGAATGAATAGCTGCATGAACTGGTACACACGTTATAATCTACTGCCCAATTTTTATGAAGCAATTGTATTAGCCCAAGTTTTTGTATGTTTGAAAGCTCCATGAGAAATGGGTCACAGAAATATTCATTATGTTGCATTCCAACATATATTTTTTGTAGGGTCAGCAAAATACTTTCTATAAACGGCACTAAATATTTTATCCCATAAAGTATTTAAATTCTGTGTGTTGTCTGACTTCTGACTTTAATGACAATGAAAAATGTGGTGCCCACAATTGTATAGGTAATTAGAAGGTTATTGCCCAAGTAATATTTATCTGTTTGTTAGGTAATCCCGCATTTTTAATTTGAAAAAAAAAAAGTGTCAGGAGAGGGCTGTTCCTCCTGGAAATTGCTTGCAGTATTGGCTTTTTTGGTACTATTGAAAATCCTGTGGTTCTAATGAAAAAATCCATTTAAGCAGTTTCCCTCACTAAATGTTTCTTGAAGTTGTAGTTTACAACTGCTCCTCACTCCTGGAAAAATATCTTCTCTAATAACTAGAAAACAATGGGAAGAGAATATTTTACATTCAGGTTTTTTTCTAAACATTTTCAGTATAAACTGGTTAAGTCAAATGACTAGCAGAACATGGCTTATATAATTTAGATTACATTTAAATTGCTGACTTTAAAGAACCAGAGAAAAATATATATGTTAAGGAGGAAAAATGAAAAGAATGGAGCTTAATTTCTGTCTCTAAAAGCTAAAGAGGATTTTTAATTCATTTCTTCCCCCTAAATGAGGAAGAAATGCATGAAAAGCAAAAAGAGCATGCAGCCTTAACACAATGGTAAAGAGACAGGAATTGTCCTCATGTAATAGAAGAGACAGATGCCCTGAACAGGCAGATTTGGTTTCTGGATGTTGGGGGTTGGGGGGTGGGGGTGGGAGGAGGGAATTATAGAGCCTGGCATTTCTAGCTCTAATGAGGGATGATTTAGGAAGTAAAGCCAACCCCAGTCATCTCGCACTTTCACACTCCAAGAGCTGCCAATGTCTTCGGTTAATGAGGTAGACTTGGAGCCATGCCCTTAATTAACTTGACCCTGTGAAACTGTTTCTCAAACGTTTTAAACCCATGACCCTTTAAAGTATTCTTGTTCTGTGTATTTACATCAGTTAAAAAGAGTCTGTCTTGCTTTTCTAAATGTACTTTGAATTACAAAAAATAATAAGTGTGCTATAGACACTTTTTCAATATATTTGGCCTACGGGTGATTTTGACATGTGCCTTTAGTGTGGAATTTGTACCATGTGCCACCCTCCCCTTATTGAAAAGCGGGGTTAAAATATGGAAGCTGTTCACTTGTAGGTGAGTGTAGTATATATAGTCTAGTGTATGGTATTGTATGTCCTTCACAACCAGGTTCCCATCATGAATGTTGTTGGAAGAACTCAGTGACATCAAATATAGAGAAAGCAGGAGGGAAGGTTTTAAACTTATCTTTAAATTTAATTTTATTTGTCTATCGCATATATTTATTATACATATTTTTCAAATGTCATTCACTGAAGTTTTAATAAGCAAAACATTATTTTATAAGCTTATGTGTATGGGAGAGAATATTTCTACCATGGAACACAATCATAATTTTAATTTTATAGTTCAGTGAATTTAGAGAAATGCTTTTTATCACTCAGAATGTTATATTATCAAAAATAGGACTGAGTGTGGGGCAAATTATTAGGAAAGTATATGAAACTGAAAGGAAGAAAATTTTATTTGAGAAATAGAGATTAACTTTTATTTTCACTACATTCTAGGTTTTGGCTTACATGCCATCAGGATATACAATCCTTTTATTTCAAAATATAACCAATATAAGTGAGACACACTCAATCAGGGGTTTGGTTAGACATTTTAAAATCCAATTAGATTTGCTGAATGCTTCACAAATTTTCTGAATATTACTGGGCCAATTTTGAGGAGACCTGTGTTAATTGATTACTTGGGATGGAAGCCACTACAACTTCATGGTTTCAAATAGAATTGATGGAAAAGAGACACATTCCAGCAATTCTACAAATGTTTGCTTCTGAGAGTAATAGCGATCAATTGAGGTAGTTATGTGAAACAAAACAAAAAAAAAAAAGAAAAGAAGAAAACTTATTTAAAATAAAAACTTATTTCCTGTTTTGGATATTTGTAAGATAAGAAACGATTTCCATTTGTTTCTATGTTGGCATTGAATACAATTTTCTGATCTAACTCTTTAGGTATCTGAGGACACATACGTTCCAAAGGTGTGTACATTTTGCTACCATCCAATATATGCTAGATGCAGGCAATTGCTAGATGGATAATTGCACTTTAGGTGATACCAAAAACTTGGTGTATCATTTCACTTTCTATTGAGGTGCTTGGCCTGGCATATGTCAAGAACCAGGATATATCATTTGATCTTTCCTGGGACTAGCTTTCCAAGCATGTAAGAATTATCTAGGGAATGTATTAAAATGCAGATTTCTTTGCTGCACCCTCAAAATTTATGACTCAGTACTTCTAGGGTAGCACAGAGGAATCTGCATTTTTACCTATTAAAACATTCTGATGAAGGTGATGTTGATATGTTCTGAGAATCTCAGCCTTCAGAGGAATTCTAGGCAATTTATGCTTGCAGCTCATGTAAGAACCACACATATTACACAATGCACAGTACTAATGGTAGTGCAATAATGAAATGATGTCTTTATAAAAATTCAAATATTAGCTAAAGGATAATCTCTTATTTCCATTATTTATAAAGAAAATTTGTCCATGTGTTGAATGGGATTGAAAATACACAGTTTTATCATATGACTATTCTAACTTGAAGGATATTATATAGTAGAAATAAATTTACCTCAGTGTTTCTGAGTTCTTTTAGTGTGTGTTTTTCTCAAAAGCACTCACCTTAGCCTTTCATATATCTGGTCCTAAGTGTCTTCTTTGCTAGCAATTCATCTCTTCAGGGGTAATCTTTTAAGGATTTAACAACTTATAAGGAAAGGGCAACTGCCAATCCACATAGACTCTAGAACCAGGTGGAGTGGATGAAATCTATTAAAATTTAATTAGAAACAGAAGGACCGTCCTGGTGTCGGCCAGCTAAAAATCAACCCTTTCCTGTCGCAACTATACTTCTCCACCTAACCTTGAGAGGTTTTTTTTAGTTGTTGTTTAGTTTCCCACGAATCAATATTTTTGTTTCTTTGTCAAAATGAATCTCACTCATGAATTATGCCCTTCCAGGAATACATCTACGTTTTGATAGATGTATCCTGAGAATAAATAAGCAAAATAAACCTTAAGGAGGGTATTCTTCTCATCAAAATGTTGAGTACTGTACTGTGATCTGCTAATGGAAATATAGGATAGAAATATTGGGTTTTTCATGGGATTATTTATTTATTTAAAAGAAAAATCATTATATACTTGTTTTATGCCAGAAACTGTGTAAGAGATGTGAATGTGATTATCAACAGCTTCATATAAATGCAATTTTGTATTAAAAAGAAACTATCTTTACCTAGTTAACCTGGATATTATTTGGGCAGGGATTAGATTGCTGGGGGTGGGTATGGGGTGGAAAGGAGTGAAAGAAAAATTTTATCTCAGTATTTTCCCAGCTGTTGCAGAGACAGAGAAAGTCAAGATGGTATTTTATTTCAAGTATGAGTATCCTTTCAGTACAAGGTATTCCCAGGTCTCCTCCTATTCCCCATCCATAAGCCTACATATTAAATATCCTAGTGCTGCTAAGGACAAGTACCTCCTTCTGTAACACAATGTGCCAATCTCCTTTCCCTTAAAATATGCAATATGAAATTCTAATGTCCCAGAGAGCAGAAAATGTAGCCATGCAAAATATAATATAACATCATGTTATGTGAAATTAGATATTTATTTGTGAAACATAAGTCATAGTACTTTTTGCTCTTTTATATGGTAAATGTATTCTATATCTCTCAGGATAAAGACAATAACAATGAATAATAACCACATTTTATCTTCCCATGGAGAGATCTGTTACATTAGAATGTGCTTCTAACTTGCAGACATCACATGCACACAATAATGGATAGATTTAAAAGTTTGCCACCCACAAAATAAGGGGGGAAGAGAAAGTATGGTCATCATGAAAGTGTTAACTCATAACTAGAAATTCTCTTTATGCCTTCTTTTTATTTTCAACCAGTGCTTCATTTATATCAGACTTGCTGGCACTGAAAAAAGAAACAATGGTATACAATGGGACATTTTCATTACCAATTATTAATGGAGTACAAAAATTAGAAGCAGGGAGAATATGACACATTTGTTTATGTGCATATCTTTAGATATAGTTACATACACATGTATAGATAGATAAACAGTACAGTAAAAGTATTTGAAAATTTCAGAAAATAGTTCATAATTCCTAACTGTGAAAGTAGTAAAGGGCTATGAATATCTTGAGCTTCAGAGTCAGTTGGTATAGTGTTTACCCCTAAAAATGTATAGTTTGGCTATTATTTATTCAAAAATGTCTGCTCTTTCATAATCGCAACCTAGCATATCTCATTTTCTTTTATCTACTGCTCAACAAGCCCTATGATCTAATGAGATTTTAGTTCATCCATGGGTTGGAACATGAGTAATAATTTTTTTTTTGAGACAGATTCTTGCTCTGTTGCCCAGGATGGAGGCAGTGGGGGATCTCAGCTCACTGCGGCCTCTGCCTTCTGGGTTCAAGTGATTCTCCTGCCTCAGCCCCCTGAGTAGCTGGGACTACAGGCACATGCCACCATGCCCAGCTAATTTTTGTATTTTTAGTAGAGAAGGGGTTTCACCATATGGCCAGGATGGTCATGATCTCCTGACTTCGTGATCCGCCCACCTTGGCCTTCCAAAGTGCTGGGATTACAGGCCTGAGCCACCACGCCTGGCTAAGTAATAATTTTCTAGGTGAGGCCATTTCTCTAGCCAACAGGTGTTACTGTCTTGTTGCATTAATGATAGACATGGTGACTTTTTTTTGCAACCCACTACTATGGAGTTATTACTGTCAGGAGTAGAAATATGTATTTAAAAAACATAACTTGAAATGATAACCAATAAAGAAGATTGCCAATTTACATGATGCTGAGAACATCAAATAAATTAAATCATTATATTGGGGTTGAAATATGCAGGCATATGAAGAAGGTAAATCTTTTTTCACTTATCTATTTAAGTATGAAACAATTTTAATAAAAATAATACCTCTAACATTATACCTATATTTATACTTGTGCATTTTCAAATGTTTGCATACATTGTGGTGGTATCATCTATTCTACACAAACAAACATTAATATTTTTCCAACACTTTAAATGTTTTATGTCAGATACTAGTACTACTCTTCCAGTAAAGTATTGTTCATGATTAAGATGACATTAATTCCAGCTCACTAATGTGAGGAAAAAAAGTGCTGAATTTTAACTACAGGAATATATATTTAAACATACCCTCCTCAGAGCTGCCTGATTTGTGTACTTTAAAAGACTTCTCCCTCCCCTCACTGTTCCTTCTTTCCCCCAACCTCACATAAATTGTTTTTTTTTTTTTTTTTTTTCTGATCTTGGGTTGTCTCACTCACAAATAAAAACTTTTTACAGCTTTACAGATTTTAATGCTAGACAAGTGGCAATGATATCCTCCAAATAAACTAGTTTGGCTTTGATAGACCCCAAAATACATATTACTTAATCAATTATGGGGAAGCATATTGTTGCAATTTTTCAGTTAAAAAGTTTTCACTTCAAGGACATTTAACTCTCTAGGACACATGTATATTAAAAGTTGTTTCTGGCCGGGCACGGTGGCTCACACATGTAATACCAGCACTTTGGGATGCCAAGGTGGGCAGATCACTTGAGGTCAGGAGTTTGAGACCAGCCTTCTGGCCAACATTGTGAAACCCTGTCTCTATTAAAGAAAAAAAAAAAATACAAAAATTAGCCAGGCCTGATGGCTTGCGCCTGTAGTCCCAGCTACTCAGGAGGCTAAAGCATGAAAAACTTGAACCTGGGAGGGGGCGGTTGCAGTGAGTCGAGATGGCGCCACTGCACTCCAGCCTGGGCGACAGAGCCAGACTTCATCTAAAAAAAAAAAAAAAAAAAAAAAAAAAAAAAAAAAAAAAATTGTTATTTCTGTCTAATTTACATTAAAAGGACAATCATTTTAATTTTCACAATTATGCTCCGTGCATGTTAACTTTTTTATTTGCCTGGGTTCTGGTGCCGGACTGTCTGGATTTAAATCCCAGGTTTATCACCTTTACCTTTAGCTGTGTAAAATGTGAAAATTGTGTAAACGCTTTGTGACTCAGTTTCCTCATCTGTGAAAATAAGGACAATAGTAATTTTCCATGTTAGGTAGTTATGAGAGATTAACTACTTAGAACATATCATGCTTTTAGAGGGGTACCTGGCATATAATAACCATTTTTATAGAGTTACAGTATTCTATAACTCTGAAAGAATTATTTAACTCTAGAATTAACTCTAAAATTTAACTCTAGAAGTCTCTTAAACTCCTAGTATGTAGAAAAAGCGAAAAGACTGAAATTTACTATTCGTCATTACAAAGTAAATTTTATCATTTTTAGTTTTAAATTTAATATAAAATTGGTAAAATTCACTTAGAATGACTTTATAAAATCTTAAATATAAATTTATACATTTCAGAAATATTTATATTTTCTTGTGGCAGTAAAATATAAGTATATGAAAAAGCAGCTATAAAGTCATTATCAGTATAAATGAAAAGGCCAAGTTTTAATTTAAAAAAAAAAAGAGAATAAAAAACTGTAGATTCACAGTTCAACTTAGTGTCTATAGGTTGGAGTACTGCTGTGTAATTATAACACATCCTAAAGCAACAGTTCATCCTTTACATGCTGACTAGATTTAAAATGTGTAATCTAAGACATATTTTTCTTTTTCTATGAATTCATAGACCCAATGAGCTGCTTATCAAACCTGGAAAGTTCAGCAGGCCTAAAGGACAGTTCATGGAAATTTCTCTGGAAAATAAATCAGAGACCCATAGGAAGGAACCACTAGAGGTCATTCAATCTAACTTTTTGGATATCCCTATAAATATACTTAGATTATGCCCACTTTGAAGCACATATTGTCTAATGTAGTTTATAAAGATATTAAAATGCTCTCTCAAGTTTGAGTAGACCATTTGCTTCAGTTGCCTCTATTTACAGAGCATGTGTGATATCAATATCAATGTATATTGGAAAAACATGTCATTTGGCTCAATGGAAATTATTCTAATATAATATTTTTCTTAGTACAAGTGTAAACTTTTAAAATTCACTCCCAATTCAATAATATTTTGCAATATAATTTTACAGGTCAAGTAACATGATAACAGTTTTGTAAGCATTGTTTGTAATATAACCATGAGATAAGTGTTATTACTTCTATTTAACAGATGATATAATAGAATCATAAAAGCAAGCTTCTTGGCCATATAACAAAACAAAGTACGGGAGGGAATTAGTGATTGAACCAAAACATGTCTGGCTCTGCAATTCAAGCTTTTATCTCAGTGTGCTATCTTTTGCAAATTAGATCCAAGTACACCCTCAAAATGTGTTCCTAAAATTACAACTGAGTTTCACACTAGATGCATGCCGCACATTTTTTCATCAATGAAATGTTTGAATTTTACAAATTTCACCATTTTCTTTTAGAAATAAAAAATGTACTCCCTCTTTGTCCTGATATGGATTACTATAGTAATAATACTTGTTTGTTGAATTTTATGACAAGGCTGATCAACCATTTCAAATGTTACTATGCTTAACCTTGGCAATAGCACCATCAAATATTATCTTCACATTTTAGGAGATAAAGATAATATAGTTTAGACTGGTTAAGTGAATTGTAGAATTGGTGAATGGTAAGAGATTTGAACCAAGTCAATCAATTTCAAATTTCACGTTCTCACTCAAACATCTACAAAAACGAAGAAAGATGTGTAAGGAAAAATCATGGTAAGGTGGTCTGTAGACCAATGATTAAAACAAGGAAGGCTAAAACACTTATTTCACAATGTATTTTAGAATAACTCCAAAAGACCGTAAACAGGCTAGAAGACAGAAAGATTTAAAATAATATGAAAGAAAAAAAGATAAATGAAAAGTTCCATAAACAACTAAACTAAAAGAAGAAAAGTGAGGAGAAACTGAAATATTGGAATCTCTTAATGAATACAATAGTTTGGGAATTTAAGATAGGATGGGGCAATGTGGGAGCAAAAAGAGCAGAGAGTTTAATAGAAACACAGGAACTTTCCACATGGAGGTAACAGAGATGCTGAAAGACTACAAGGCTGCCAGGAGGAGAGCCTGGTGCAATACAAGACACAAAGGAAAAAGGGAAGAAGGAGAGAACATGTCAGTGGTTTCATGTTTCTTTTGGCAACAAGAAGCTTCAGAATTACATCTGTTTTTCCCTTCTCCTTTACTTCAAGTGCTGCTGAATTTGAAACTCCAAACCTCCAGTAAATTATATTCTATGCCTTGGTAATCCTGCATAAAACAGAAAAGTGGGGGTATGATCATCTGAAGCAGTCATTCTGTCCTGTCCTCCAAAATGGAGAAATTGTATTTTGAAGATTTCATCATTTGGAATGATACAATTTGTCACCTCCTGTTCATTCAAAGTAAATGAAGGCGAGATGGATACTTAGGAGCCAAAGGCAACAACATTGACCTGAATATAAGAAACATTTAAGCTGAAACTGGTTATTTTCTACGTGTGTGTATATATATTTGCACCTGGGAGTCTTAGGTGATAAATTTGGCGAGTAGAACTATGACTTTAAAGAAAATCCTGGGGCCCTACTTCACAGCACAAAATGGGCACTGGGACAGTAACACCTGCATTTTGGTCTTCATATGAATGTCTTTGGGTCAGGAGAACAGTATTTTTTTTTTTTGCCCCAGTCTTTTTAACATTCTCTTAGACATGGCTCTGAAAACCTTGCGCAGATAATGTACACTGCTCCAGAAGTCAAAATAAATTAGAAAAGCCTTGCCTCATGAACTTCATTTATTTAATGCTACTAGGCTCCCTACATTTGGGCAAATTGCTTTCCATGGTCCTCTCTATTTTCAATCTATAGATGTAATGTCTAAGAAGAGATAATGTAAAAATTCCCTTTAATGTTTATATTATTAAATTATTCTATTTTAATATATGGCTATTATATTTGCTTATCATAATGTGGTTGAAAATAATGGTGACAGAATAAGCATTAAGTACATTTTAAATAGCTGTACTATTTAGAGAATAAATGTGCTTCAATTATTTAATAGCCTCATGTTAGTTATGTGTTACATAATTGATCATGGCAAATTATTTACATGACAACCAAAGTACAAGTCATTAAAGATATTCTTGTCTTTCTGTTGCTAAATCCAGGAAGCCTCCAATATTGGTTTCCCATTTTGGTGAAGGACCTGCAAAGGCAAGTTTGCTCTCCTTTTCTCTTCCCTTTCTCAGCCACTGCTGCCCCAGAAGATAAAGGGACATGATGCTCACCACATTTAGATGTTTACTGGCACTCTGGAGTTTCCTTGCAATTTACACCTTAGAAAGCACAGTGCACTTGTAAATTGCAGAACTTACAAGTGTCCCTTTACCCACAGGAATCACTAATATCCCAGGAAGGGAGGGAAGTGGAATCTCACACAGTTTAGGGATTTACAAGTCTGTAGTGAAGTTTGGGGTGTAAATTGCTGAGAAACCCAAGAGTGTATTTAAATATTTAAAGGTAAGGGCACCTAGATGTTTCTCCTGTTTGAAACTTAGTTAGACTGGAGTTGGAAAGGAGAGTAACAAGATGCCTGTCCTCATCCCCAAGGTTAAGTCCTCTGCCTGACAGAGGAGAGAGGGGTTTGACTGACTTGCCCAAGTTTCATTTTGTATCACAGAGTTAAGTTAGAGAGCCAGAAGATTCTCAGAGCATGTAGAAGTTCTAAATTATATCAATAATTAGTAAGAGCTAGTGCCTTGCTTCTAGAATTTAATAATCTTCAATATTTAAGTGTTGTGGTTGCAGCTTCCATAAGGGGTCAATGTAGATTACCTTCTGTATTGGGACACTATTGAGAGTAGATGGGAGTACCATTAATAAGTATGTTGGGACATCAAAATTATTATACCTATTAATAATGATGATACCTAAAGGGCATAAAATGGGAATGCCCAGTGAAAATTGAGATATAAGGTCACGCTATTAGGTTACACTTGGGAATAAACAGAAAGAATATTTATTAGTTATGTTTTTCCAAAGGCAAAGAATGATGATTAGGTATTTTATAATCTCACATTCAACGTGGAAATTGACTTAAATTGTATAGCATAACAATTTATGGCTTTAAAATCTTTGGCCAGGTTTGGTGGCTCACACCTGTAATCCCAGAACTTTGGGAGGCCAAGGTGGGCAGATCACTTGAGGTCAGGAGTTTGAGATCAGACTGGCCAACATGGTGAAACTTAGGCTCTACTAAAAATACAAAAATTAGCCGAGAGTGGTGGTGGGAGTCTGTAATCCCCAGCTACTTGGGAGGCTGAGGCAGGAGAATCACTTGAACCTGGGAGGCAGAGGCTGCAGTCAGCCGAGATCGTACCACTGCACTCCAGCCTGGGCAACAGAGTGAAACTCTGTCTTACAAAAAAAAAAAAAAAAAAAAAAAAAAAAAAAAAAAAAAAAAAAAAGAGAAAGAAAAAGGCAGACAGAAAATATTGAAAACCCTATTGAGGTATTTTTTAAAGTGCGTGCTTTTGATATGCTTCTGAATTAAAACCAATTCATTACATATGCAAATATTCTGGGTATCTATACCCTTAAAGTGTATAGCAATACATTCCAGAAATAATATTTCAGATGCAAGATATGTCATGCTTAAATTTATCTAGAGGGAAAATGCTGATCTGTTTGATGAACTATGTTTATCATGAAATGAGGCTAATATTCAGATTAGACTTGCCATGATTTAGATATATTTTATCATAATTTTATATATAATATTTTCAGTTCTTCTCTTAAAATAAGTAAACACTTATTTCCTAATGCCTGAAACAATTTTAACTCTTACACAAAAAGCTGCTCTTGACCAGCTTATTCCAATTCCCATTCCCTCTGTCTATAGCAGAATGGAATGAAAGTAAATAATAAAACAAAACATAGAATGTGTGTGTAAGAATATTTTTACTCCAAGTTGGAAGAAAAAACTGTCAAATGAGAAACTGCCAAATCTTCTAAATTCCCATACATATTGTCTCATTTTAGTTCTTTTTTTATGTAACTTTTGCCACATTTCTTGAAATTCTACCATTTGGACATTAATTCGAGGCCAAGAAGGTGCTTCTCTGAAAAACGAAAATAGCTTTAGGAGGTGTAAATTGTTGAAAAATTTTCTCATATTAATGTAACTTAATTTAGCCAATCCTATGTTATTCATTCAATGCACATTTAATGTCCTACTATGCTCCACCCATTAGGGGAATGAAGAAGATAGAAAATGCCTTAGATGTAGAATAAGATTGGAACAGTGCGAGGAGGACCTGAAGCAGCACAGTGGTGCCTTGCACATCATAGTATTTTGGATCCTCTATTGTAATTTCCCAATATTTTTAGGTTTGTGACTATGATCACATGACAATTAAGATAGTTAATATATACATATAGTTTAGAAAACACTTTCAAACACATTTTCCCTCTTCTCCTTTTATCTTTCTTTAGAGCGTAGAACCTGTTTTAATATTAACTACATTTCATAGAGAGACACTATAAGGCTCAGGAAGATAGCTGATAAGTTTTGGTATCCTCAGTCAATTACTATAATATTTGTCTGAGTTCTTCCAAGTCTAAACTGTCCTCAGATCTGCGACTAGTCCTGTCTGTAGGCACAGAGAATAGTCAACTTTCAGAGACAGTAGCTCAAGAACTACATTGAGTTGGTCTTGCTGTGTTGCCTTTCAGTTCCTCCAAAGCTGAGTTCACATTTCTTTTCTCTGATTTCTCAACGTCTTGCTTACTGCTTTGCATCTCAAAGTCAGCTTGGAATTCCCGCCCCTCATATGTAGATACTGTACTTTGGAGGTTAATACCTGTTGCTTAACATTAATAATGGTATTTTCTCTTTCTTATCTCCCAATATCTGAATTGATACCTTTTTTTTTTTTAACTACTAATTGCTGACTCCTTCTGTGCCTGGATAGTAATGCTCATCTTGAACATAGACACATTTGGGTCTAAGTGTTTCTTTACTCTTTTTTTCTATTCATTTTCCCTTTGGTATTGAATAAAACATTAGACTCATGTCCCTTTTTAATGATCTTTAAAATAACCAATCTCTATTTTCTGTAGCCTGAAACTCTTTAATGCAAGCACGGTGCCTTGTTTACCATGTGTGTCCATCCCCTAGGATCATGCTTAATGCTCCAGTACATGTTGTTTTAAAATTAATACTAACAGCAACACAACATTAGCAGCTAAAAGTTCTATACTGTCCATACTGCTTATAATTTACCAGTCATTATTCTAAAAGCTTTAAATATACTATTCAGTTAATCTTCAAACAAACTTTATGAGCTAGTTACTAGCATTATCTCCATTTTACAGATAAGTGATATATGACACAGGGTGATTAAGTAAATTACTTAAGAGCGCTCAACTCACTTGTGGCAGATGCAGGATTTAGGTCTCAAAAGTCTGGTTCCACAGTCTGTGATCTTCAGCACTTTGCCAATGAATGAATGGATGTTTACATGTCAACGCTTCATTCAGTCCCAGGACTCTTACCACATTCAATAGACCATGCCTGTACACATTAGTAAATATATACTAGAAGGTTGAAAGGAGTGCAGAAGTAAAGAAGTTAACCTAAGGGAAAATTTTATCTGTCACAATATTTTGACTTGTGGTTGTACTTGACTCTATTTTCCCCTTCTTTCCTCTTAGTTCTGTAATCTTGGAATCCATAACTCAGGTTATATATTTCTATCACACATGAGATCCAAATTAGGCTAGCCTAGAAATCTAACATTGTTTAAAAAATCACTTGGGCCGGGCGCGGTGGCTCACGCCTGTAATCCCAGCACTTTGGGAGGCCGAGGCGGGCGGATCACGAGGTCAGGAGATCGAGACCATCCCGGCTAAAACGGTGAAACCCCGTCTCTACTAAAAATACAAAAAATTAGCCGGGCGTAGTGGCGGGTGCCTGTAGTCCCAGCTACTCGGGAGGCTGAGGCAGGAGAATGGCGTGAACCCGGGAGGCGGAGCTTGCAGTGAGCCGAGATCCCGCCACTGCACTCCAGCCTGGGCGACAGAGCGAGACTCCGTCTCAAAAAAAAAAAAAAAAAAAAAAAAAAAAAAAAATCACTTGAATTCCAAAACAAAAGTACTCCAATAAATTTTTACAATATGACGCTTCTCAAGTTCAGGTTCTGTCTATATTTACTCCTTCCTCTCTCTCTCTCTCACACATAATCTTTTAAAATTAGCAAGTCCCTTATTGAATTCTATGAACATAGTTTCTCTTTTCTAAACAAAAAATGCTATTATACAGATTGACTCTAAAAGTCTATAGCTAATAAATTGATGTATTACTGAGCTATTTATAGAAAGATTTGTCCTAACTAAAGTCCAGCAAAAAGAAGGGAAGCAAATTTTTTGAAAGTGAAATGAGATAGTGAACATCATCCTTATAAACATTAATTAGGACAATGAATGGGAATGTGATATTTGGACCATCTGGTGAAATACTGAGGACTTATTAAATTTGTTTGCTATAGCAGAGAAATGAAACTACTAATATTAGGCCAATAGTGCTGGTGTCTATGGGCAAAATTGGCTTGGTTGGTTTTCATTTAAAAAAATTGAGTGACAGTGATGTTGGTAATAATTTTGATTTTTTAAATCCTTTGTTAGCATTTATAATATAATCTGTTTGTTACAGTGAATAAGCAGTCAAGAGAATTATACTAGACACACATTTGGGTGATTTTCATATGCATACCTTGTTCTGTAATGCATACTAGGAATTAAAATTAATTATGCATTTTGCATATTAACATAATAATCTATAACTAGTATGTTTTATCATTAAAATGTATACACCAGACATGGAAGCAGAAATCTTCAAAAGTCTATAAATCAACTGTTATGTAAGCAATTGATAACAAACAAAAGTCATTTGGAAAGGAAAAAAAAAAGAATGTAACAGGAAAACAGCTAATTCCATAGCCATACAAAGACATGAAATCAGTCATTATGTTATGGTATCTAATGAAGGCTGTTTGAAAGTAAAACAAGCAAAGCTATATCATATCTTCTTTCTGGAGCCAGACTGCCAAGGGTTGCTTCTGAGGCACCAGTTATTACGTGTTACATTATCAGCAAGTAATTATCTGTCTGTGCCTTAGCTTTTGTGAAAATCAGGAAACCATAACTACTTCATAGCTGTGTAAGGATTAATGAAGATAAAATTTTTTAAATGCATAAAACAATGCTTAGAACAAAATAAGTTCTTAATAAATATAAGTTGTTATGAAGTGGATTTTTTTAGGATTAGAAATGGTATAAAAATTATAAGATGATTTTAATCCATTATTTAAACAATCTGAACATAGAATTAGACTCTAATAACAGCTTGACACCTTGAATAGTCCTGGACTAAAAACTAGATCTTTTCAATATCTCCAAATTAACATGATACCCTATTATTCAAAAGGCTTACAGCATTTTTATACTGTCTTATAAATTTATCAACTTAAAAATTTTTCTACTTATTTTACATGTAAAATAATAAAAATATTTCAGAAAAATAATAAAACACATAATTCTCAGTTTTTAGAGATTTAGTGTCTTTCATTTATAGAAGGATCATGGGGATCATGATTAACATTAATTAATTTGTCATTGCAAGTGTGAACTACTGACAAAAACATGCAATGAGTTTTAAAAAGACTCAATAATCCAAATATACTAATCACACACACACCTATGTCTCTCTCTCTCTCTCTATATATATATATACTCATATTTGTACATGTATATCACATATACATATATTTTAGCTGAGATGCAAAGACATGATAAACATTTTTATAGATCAGAAATGAGCCCACAGAAATGCAAAGTAGTTTTGGGGACTATAGCCACTGGCCTGTTGGACTCCAGGGATTACAAGATAAGCATAGCAGCAAGGAGACTGGCTATTGAAGGGAAGAGCATTAAGAGCTCTCTGAGTGACATGGTTTTCAGTCAGTCTCAAAATTCAAATCCTGGGACTGGGAAAACATAAACCCTCTTTCTCTCAATTGTGCAAAGAGCCTGAAAAAAATGGCTATTTACTTGCTGCTTGGGATATGACATTACAGAAAGCCTGTTGACATATGGAAATGGATAATAAAAACACAACCTCTTGACCAAGTACTGAGCCAAGTTGCCAGCTGGCTCTGTGATTGGATCTGCAATATCCTGGATACCTTTATGAAACAGAAACTGCCAGAAGCCGTTCTAATGATGACATCTGGTTTGGACACCCACAGGCTAGAAGGAAGCAACGACAAAATGGCAGAGTTGCTAGAGAGTTGGGGGGTGGGTAGGAAAAATACAAAATAAAAAAAAAAAGTAAAACACACACACAGACACACACTATAACACACCCCAATAACAGCAAAACAAAATCAAAATCTCTAAAACTTTTCTATTCAAAACATGCCTACAATCTGATCTTACTAAAATATTCAAGAAATCAAATAATTTAAAAAAGTGTTGAATGAATCAATGAAATACACTTTCACTCCAAGAAAAATTAATTTTATAACATGTCTGAGGGTTTAAAGTAAATAATGTTTGGAGGATCAAAAAATAAAATACCATAATACTGATTAAAAATAAACAATAGATAAACAAAAATCAACCGTCACATAAGACTGGAAGATATGCAAAATAATAAATTAATACAATGGAAATATTTTCATAAAAATTGTGATAACTGAAAGGAAATACTATAGATAGGATAAGCTTGTATTATTCCAATATAAAAATTAAACCCAAATCAGCACAAAATAAAAGAATTTATTAAATTCAACATGGTGCATAATTTCAGAATTCCCACAGAAGTATAAAAAAGATTCAGATAAGAAAATAGCAAAGAATCAATATTTGAAGGGCAATACCCAAGATAGTCTTGACATTCATGAAAGTCCTTGAAATATAAAATTCATTAAAAACTCCAAGCAGAAAAAAAAGAGCATAGTTTTACATCTGGTCACATCAGAGTGAAAGTTAAAAACAGCAGGGATAAAAAGAATAAGTAAAAAACTTCATGATAGAAAAGGAACAGCCTACTTGGCACTACTGACAATGGTATCTGTAAAGAACTAAGAGGAAATCATAGTCAACTTAAAGTTTAATATTCAGTAGACCTATCACTCAAAGTGAGAGCAAACTAAAACTAAATCAATAAAAGAATTTAAAGCTTAAAAACATACTATACTATTTTAAAACAGTTTCTTTTATTTTTTTTTTCTTCTTTTTGAGATGGAGTTTTGCTCTTGTTGCCCAGGCTAGAATGCAAGAGTATGATCTCGGCTCACTGCAACCTCCACCTCCTGGGTTCAAGCAATTCTCCGGCTTCAGTCTCCTGAGTAGCTGGGATTACAGGTGTCTGCAACCAAGCCCAGCTAATTTTCTGTATTTTTAGTAGAGACAGGGTTTCATCATTTTGGCCAGGCTGGTCTTGAACTTCTGACTTCAAGTGATCCACCTGCCTTAGCCCCCCAAAGTGCTGGGATTACAGGCATGAGCCACTGCGCCCAGCCTTAAAACAGTTTCTTTTGCAAGAAGAGAGTAAGCTCAGGCCGGGTGCAGTGGCTCACACCTGTAATCCCAACACTTTGGGAGGCCACGCAGGAGGATAGCTTGAGCCCAGGAGATTGAGATCAGCCTCAGCAACAGAGTGAGACCCCATCTCTACAAATAATAATAACAAAAGAGCCGGGTATAACTTGAGCCTGGGAGATTGAGGCTGCAGTGAGCTGTGTTCATGCCACTGCACTCCAGCCTGAGTGACAGAGTAAGACTCTGTTTAAAAAAAAAGAAGCAAGAAAGCAAGCAAGTAAGTTCATAGATATGAAAATAAAAAATAAAGTTGAGCAAAATAATTGTTGAAATATGTTAACAAATTCAACTCTTTAATATAGAAATTAATATTTTTAGTGTGATTTTAAAAAGTAAAAAATCAAGACTCTATCATGTAAATAAGATGAATGTGAGAATAAGTAGTTAAACATGCTGAAGTCAGGTACATTAGTTATGTAATTATATTTTAGGTACAAAATGGGTAAAGATATTCAGAAAATAATAAAAATAAAGTCTGTTATTTCAAAATTGCTTGAGGAAAATAAAGGTGGGAAGGCAAGAAACTTTCTCAACACAGCAGAAGATACGACAATGGAAAAAGTGAAAAAAAGAAAATAAACAGCAATCAAACCCACAAAAAGATTACATAAATAAGTACAAATATATAAATAATTATAAAAACTATAGATGGATTTACATAATCTATAGAAAGAGATTAGTAGACTGAACAAATAAAAATCTAGCTGAATGCTTTGAGTATTCTGTTTTTATAAAGCAGTGCTGTAGAAAGAGGTTGAGGAGTAGAAAGATCAAAATCTATGGAACATTCAAAGCCTCCCGCAGAGAAAACTGGTACAATATTAGAACATCAGACAAGACATAGTTAATGAAAAATTTGCTACTATGTATAATAAGTAAAGCAAAGATAATCCATCAAGAAAATGTAAGGATTGTGAACTAGTTTGCATATAATAGCTTCCAGTGTATATACATGTGTATGCAAGTGTGTGTGTGTAAGCACAGAGATATGCACACATGTATACATTTAAAGGTGTAAAAAACGAAAAAGGAGAACCTAAATTACAAGCACGTATAGGAAAGTATTCAACACACTTATTTTAGAAACTAATAGATTCAATTAATAAAAATAATTTTGTAAACAAAAATATTACTTCTAATAATAAATTATTGGAATAGTCATAGTTAATGACTATAGCTGCACATAATTTTTACTTATATCCCATATCTTTTTTCTCTAATTACTTTCTTTCAGAAGATCATGCCTCGCAAGGGTCTCTTGACTGTACATTGTGTGATTGTTTTATATGTGAAAGTTCCCATTGTTCTCTTTCACTCTTAACTAATAGGTCTGCCTAATAGTAAACTTTAAAAACTAACTTTTAACCACAAAATTGTCAAGACAACCGTAATAGATACTCAATTATACATGGAACAACAAATAAATTGACTTTATTACTCATAAAGAACATTTTAACAAGTTTTGAAGAATAAACATAGTAAACATATTCATTAATTATAAGGGAATTAAATTAGAAAGAAACAATACAAATAATATGCACATATTAGAAAACTTTAAAATGCATTTCCAAACAACTCATGCATTCAAGAGGAAATATTAATTAAAATTACCATGTATCTAGAAGTGAATGGCAATTAAAAGACAATATATCTGGTTGTATTTACTTCAGATTTTGATAAACCTACTTTGCTAAGTCTATTTTTTAAATTTAACTTCAATTATTGGAGAATAAAGATAATTATCATGGATGTTTATAGCCAGGGTTCCCATATAATTTATTGACTATACTGGGGTGCTTTGAAAGTGAAAGCGAGAACTATTAATAATTACTCTGGGTGCACAGAAATGATCTAAGATCATTTTCAGAGCTAGAATTTAGAACAGTTTTAATATCTTCAGAAATTTATGTTGCTTTTTGTTTACTTATTTCAAATTGTGCCACATAGTTTAAGAATCAACTTTGAGTTTAAAATTCTATGTTTACAACAAAAGTGTTATTACCGTGTTTTATTTAGCATTTCTTACATTTTCATAGAGGTTAATTTACTTGAAATCTTTGAAATTACTTCTCCCCAAGTTATTGTCCACTTCTAAATGAGTTTCTTTTTATATGCTATTTTACGATTTTCATCTACAGTTAAAGATTGACCAGATAATAATACATACAGTCTTGTGAATGAATTTAATTTTTCACAGATAGCATAATAAATGTGTTCAAAATTAAGGATGCCTCAGGGTGATTTTGAAATTTCTAATATGAATAATAATAAGCTAAATTCAGACATTTCCTTAATACTGTGGAACTCACAGCAGCAAATAATTGGTGAAATTTTGCACCAGAGAAGTACAAGCAAAACTGTCATCATTGAGTAAAGTGTTTTTTCACCTTGTAAAATTGCCAGGTGGCCTACTCAATTCCCAAATTGCATAAATGCTTAACAATTAAATGTGACTTTGGATAGTCATTGTCTTTAATCTTTTTTTTTAAAACAGAGTTGCTAGGTTTGTTGAATGTTAAGATGTATGAGTAAGCTGATCTTGTGAATTTGGTATTACTGATACTCATGTACATGGGTGGAGAGTCTAATCAGTCCAGCCTTCATAGAATGTGTTCCATTCAAAAGGGTAAATGTTCCACAGATCCTCAGAGATTGCCAGCTCCCTACTCAGTTCTCTTGGGGAATTGCATTACTCTTTGGGATGTTGTGAGGCAGCATATTTTAAAATGATTCCTTAGGTCAGATATTTTAGAACATTTTGTTTTCCTTCAATATCCTTTCTTCAAATGTATATCAAAGAATCCTTTCTTCAAATGGATATCGAAGAAATGGAAGTTGAATCCTTTCTTCAAATGACATCAACAAATAATGTTTTAATGTTTTCCTTACTTTCAGTAGCACTGAGATTTAGCAAGCTGGGCCTCCTTAACAATCTACAACACTGCTTACAAGTATGAGTGCTTCATTTTACTGAAATGCTGCTAGTGTTCTACGCTTCCTTTCACAGCAAACAATTATGTTCCAGAACTGTAGCTTAGACAATGTCATTTTCCCTCTGCAATTCTTCTGACTTCCCAGAAAGAATTTGACAGTTTTTAGGAAGGCAAAAGGATAGGCTATAATCTGGCAGCAATCTACCATTTTCCTTTGGTTTCCTGCCACATCATCTCACCATCACCACCTGCTTCTGGCCAGTCATATTTTACATCATTGAAAAAGTTACTTGATTTTATTCTACTTGCATAATCTTTATCAGAAAGTAACTCAAACACTTTTTCATTACAGCCTCTGTAAGTTTCCGGGATCTTGGAATCTCTTATTTTCAGGGTATTATGATAGATACTTGTTCTAAATTGCACGTGGTTTCCAAATAGACATGATAGTTATTTATTGTGCCATCTATTCTGAGGTATTATAAAGATTATATATATTAGAAACAATTTAAATTATTTTAATAACCCCTCAATTAGAACTCAATCCCTGATTAAATTGAAGAATAAAAAAGATGCCACTTCCAGTGTTGAGGCCACTGAAAATAAAGGTTCCTTCAAGATTTTGTCAGGAACCAGGCTGTTAGAGCTGTTTCCAAACTGCCATATCTGGTCACTTACACAGACTTAAATCTTTTTACAATTAGTGTCAGGTGCTGAATCTCAATCAGCCATATAAAAATTGGTATCACTTACAACTGTTGTTGTGGCTTCATCATTTTCACTCTATATTCCTTGCCTCAGAGTCAGAATTCCAACAGTGACATGTAGGTTTTCAGGAATTTGGACTGGCAAAGAAGTGTGGTTTTAACGGAGTACATTTTCAAAAGCAAAGCGGCACATGTGTTCTGCAGCTGAACTTCACAGAGATCCTGGTTTAATGAAACAGTAGTAGCCACCTTGTCTATAGTCCCTCAGTAGCAACAAAATGGTGGCGACAAAGGGAGAAAAATGTAACCGTTCACACCTTTTTTCATTTTTAATATAGATGTATTACTTTTTGGGAAAAAAAGGAGTTGAGGACATTATACTTCCCTAAAACCACTGTAAAAGGAGAAAAAAGTAAAGTAATAAAATTAGAGCTTCTATTTAACTCTCTGACACAGTGTACCTCCACGTTAAATATGTGATTTTTCATGAAATAACACGTTAGTTTAAGCACAGGCTCCTACTGTCTATTCTTAATGTTACTTCAGCAGCCCCTATAAAAATAATGTCTTATTTCCTTGGGGACTAATTGGGCTGTGTCTACTTGTCTGGCTGCTGTAAGAGTAGGTTACATGTTTTGAACTGAGCTGTTCTTGTAGTTCTGTTTCATTGAGGAAGTTGGCTTTTTCTTCAGGTTTACTTATAGGAAGGTGTGGACAAATTAATAAGGACCCATAACTCATTGTCAGAATAGCTTGGGGTTTCAAGAAGCTAAGTAACTTTACTTCCTTCTCCAAATGTACTTGGGTATTCATTTGTCCATTTTAAAAACAAAACTAGCTAAATCAATAGATAATACTGCTACTGATTCTAATTTTATTCGTTTGTGAATAAGTGGGGAATGCATCAGAGTCAGTATTTGGATTTTCTACCAGCTTTAGGGGATAGCCTACATAGAGATGTGTGTCTTTTATATGTGTGCTGCCTGATACCCACTGCCATGTGACTAATATGTGGCTCCAAATGACCTATAATTGATCATTAATCATATATATTTCCCAGATCAATAATTATTTAGGTTTACATCCCAATTTTCTTGCAATTTTTTACATCAAACTTCAAGATGAGAGTAACCATAAAGAACAACATTGCATTAATGAATAGTCAGTGATTTTCCTCTTGCAGGTTATTAGTAATTTTTTTCCATACTCCTGCTAATTAGATGTGATAGAATAGACCTTTAGTAATGCCCTAAACAATAGAATTATTAAAATATACATATATTGAGGTTTCCCATTGCCATTGTCTAATTTAGTCATAATAGTTTCATATATATGTGTTTTTCAATGCTAAGATTTGTTGTTTAGCTATAAACAAGGCAAAGATTTGTTATATAAACTAAATTTGAATATTAAAAGAAAAACTTTCATGCAGATAAAGTTAGAGAATAGAAAATGTCTTGGAAACTTAGCAAATGAAATTGGCATGCTTTCCTGAAAGTAGTATGGTATTACTGTTTCAATCATTATCAAAATACTTAAAAATTAAAATATAAAATGAAAAACAATTAGTACCATAGTAACAAAGCTTTTAGCACTAAAATTAGAATATAAAATATAAAATTATCAAATTAAAATTATTATAAATAAATAATTATTTGTAACAAAAACTTTTAGCCTTAGTTACATCTGTTTACTTCCTGACAAATAGCATGATATTATTAAATTATCCACAAGTAAGAAAAAAGAGGCCAGGCGCGGTGGCTCATGCCTGTAATCCCAGCACTTTGAGAGGCTGAGGGGGGAATCACCAAGTCAGGAGATCAAGACCATCCTGGCCAACACGGTGAAACCCCATCTCTACTAAAATACAAACAATTAGTTGGACACGGTGGCACGTGCCTTTTGTCCCAGCTACTCTGGAGGCTGCGGAAGGGGAATCGCTTGTACCTGGGAGGCGAAGGTTGCATTAAGCCGAGATCGCGCCACTGCACTCCAGCCTGGCGACAAAGCAAGACTCCATCTCAAAACAAACAAATAAACAAAACACAAAGAAGAGGGGAAAGTCAGCATGTTTCCTCAATATCATAAAAGGTCATTGTCATAAATTATTTTGTTCTCTAGGAAAATTTACACGTTAACTCAAAAAAAAGAGACTTTGTTTTTTATATGTTGATTGGAGTCAACACATCATAAAGTTATTATGTTAAGCTGAAGAGTTTTGTTGAATAGAAAAGATAATCATTCCAAAGATTATAGTTTTATTGCCCTTACATAGTTTAGTATCTGACATAGACTCTCATTCTAACATTTTAAAAATGACTGTAAATACTGTTTATTTATTTATGTATTTATTTATTTATTATTATTATACATTAAGTTTTAGGGTACATGTGCACAATGTGCAGGTTAGTTACATATGTATACATGTGCCATGCGGGTGTGCTGCACCCATTAATTCGTCATTTAGCATTAGGTATATCTCCTAATGCTATCCCTCCCCCCTCCCCCCACCCCACAACAGTCCCCAGAGTGTGATGTTCCCCTTCCTGTGTCCATGTGTTCTCATTGTTCAATTCCCATCTATGAGTGAGAACATGCGGTGTTTGGTTTTTTGTCCTTGCAATAGTTTACTGAGAATGATGATTTCCAATTTCATCCATGTCCCTACAAAGGACATGAACTCGTCATTTTTTATGGCTGCATAGTATCCCATGGTGTACATGTGCCACATTTTCTGAATCCAGTCTATCATTGTTGGACATTTGGGTTGGTTCCAAGTCTTTGCTATTGTGAATAGTGCCGCAATAAACATACGTGTGCATGTGTCTTTATAGCAGCATGATTTATAGTCCTTTGGATATATACCCAGTAATGGGATGGCTGGGTCAAATGGTATTTCTAGTTCTAGATCCCTGAGGAATCACCACACTGACTTCCACAATGGTTGAACTAGTTTACAGTCCCACCAACAGTGTCAAAGTGTTCCTATTTCTCCACATCCTCTCCAGCACCTGTTGTTTCCTGACTTCTTAATGATTGCCATTGTAACTGGTATGAGATGGTATCTCATTGTGGTTTGGATTTGCATTTCTCTGATGGTCAGTGATGATGAGCATTTTTTCATGTGTCTTTTGGCTGCATAAATGTCTTCTTTTGAGAAGTGTCTGTTCATATCCTGCACCCACTTTTTGATGGGGTTGTTTGTTTTTCTCTTGTAAATTTGTTTGAGTTCATTGTAGATTCTGGATATTAGCCCTTTGTCAGATGAGTAGGTTGCGAAAATTTTCTCCCATTTTGTAGGTTGCCTGTTCACTCTGATGGTAGTTTCTTTTGCTGTGCAGAAGCTCTTTAGTTTAATAACATCCCATTTGTCAATTTTGGCTTTTGTTGCCATTGCTTTTGGTGTTTTAGACATGAAGTCCTTGCCCATGCCTATGTCCTGAATGGTAATGCCTAGGTTTTCTTCTAGGGTTTTTATGGTTTTAGGTCTAACATTTAAGTCTTTAATCCATCTTGAATTAATTTTTGTATAAGGTGTAAGGAAGAGATCCAGTTTCAGCTTTCTACATATGGCTAGCCAGTTTTCCCAGCACCATTTATTAAATAGGGAATCCTTTCCCCATTTCTTGTTTTTGTCAGGTTTGTCAAAGATCAGATAGTTGTAGATGTGCGGCGTCATTTCTGAGGGCTCTGTTCTGTTCCATTGATCTATATCTCTGTTTTGGTACCAGTACCATGCTGTTTTGGTTACTGTAGCCTTGTAGTATAGTTTGAAGTCAGGTAGCGTGATGCCTCCAGCTTTGTTCTTTTGGCTTAGGATTGACTTGGTGATGCAGGCTCTTTTTTGGTTCCACATGAACATTAAAGTAGTTTTTTCCAATTCTGTGAAGAAAGTCATTGGTAGCTTGATGGAGATGGCATTGAATCTATAAATTACCTTGGGCAGTATGGCCATTTTCACGATACTGATTCTTCCTACCCATGAGCATGGAATGTTCTTCCATATGTTTGTATCCTCTTTTATTTCATTGAGCAGTGGTTTGTAGTTCTCCTTGAAGAGGTCCTTCACGTCCCTTATAAGTTGGATTCCTAGGTATTTTATTCTCTTTGAAGCAATTGTGAATGGGAGTTCACTCATGATTTGGCTCTCTGTTTGTCTGTTACTGGTGTATAAGAATGCTTGTGATTTTTGTATATTGATTTTGTATCCTGAGACTTTGCTGAAGTCGCTTATCAGCTTAAGGAGATTTTGGGCTGAGACAATGGGGTTTTCTAGATATACAATCATGTCGTCTGCAAACAGGGACTATTTGACTTCCTCTTTTCCTAATTGAATACCCTTTATTTCCTTCTCCTGCCTAATTGCCCTGGCCAGAACTTCCAACACTATGTTGAATAGGAGTGTTGAGAGAGGGCATCCCTGTCTTGTGCCAGTTTTCAAAGGGAATGCTTCCAGTTTTTGCCCATTCAGTATGATATTGGCTGTGGGTTTGTCATAGATAGCTCTTATTATTTTGAGATACGTCCCATCAATACCTAATTTATTGAGAGTTTTTAGCATGAAGCATTGTTGAATTTTGTCAAAGGCCTTTTCTGCATCTATTGAGATAATCATGTGGTTTTTGTCTTTGGTTCTGTTTACATGCTGGATTACATTTATTGATTTGTGTATATTGAACCAGCCTTGCATCCCAGGGATGAAGCCCACTTGATCATGGTGGATAAGCTTTTTGATGTGCTGCTGGATTTGGTTTGCCAGTATTTTATTGAGGATTTTTGCATCACTGTTCATCAAGGATATTGGTCTAAAATTCTCTTTTTTGGTTGTGTCTCTGCCCGGCTTCAGTATCAGGATGATGCTGGCCTCATAAAATGAGTTAGGGAGGATTCCCTCTTTTTCTATTGATTGGAATAGTTTCAGAAGGAATGGTACCAGTTTCTCCTTCTACCTCTGGTAGAATTCAGCTGTGAATCCATCTGGTCCTGGTCTCTTTTTGGTTGGTAAGCTATTGATTATTGCCACAATTTCAGATCCTGTTGTTGGTCTATTCAGAGTGTAAATACTGTTTCTAAAATGCCCTTGGAACCAGTTTTACTATTTTCTTGTTAACTCATTTATGAGTTAATACAATTTTGACACATGCTAGTTTTATATTTGTATGAGAATAATGTTTTTCACTTTTCAAAAATTACACCTTGACACTATTAACTAACTGTAGGATTCAGAAAAATATTAGATCTTACCTTAAAAAAAATTAAGTTCTGTCCTGGGTGTGGTGGCTCTTGCTCTTGCCTATAGTCCCAGCTACTCTGGAGAGTGAGATGAAAGAATTGCTTAAACCAGGAGTCCAAGGCTGAAGTGATCTATGATTATGCCACTGCACTGCAGCATAGTTGACAGAGAGACCCTGTCTCAAAAAACAAAAACAAAAACAAAAAAGAAACAAAAAAAAAAAAAAGAAAAACCTGTGCTAAGTGAAAGAAGCCAGTCACAAAAGACCACCTAATTATATGATCCCATTTATGTGAAATGTCCAGAATAGACACACCTATAGAAACAGAAAGTACATTAGTGCTTGCCTGGGGTTTGGATGGGGATAGGAATGGGGAGTGACTGCTAATATGTATGAAGTTTCTTTGAGTGATCAAGAATATGTTCTAATATTAGATTTTGATGATGGTTATATAACTCATACTGTACTAAGATCCATTGACTTGTTTATTTAAATGAGTGAATATTATACTGTTTACATTACATCTCAAAAAATATTAAAAATAAAATATACTGCTATTGCTTGAGAGATTTTAATATATTACTCTATTCTCCAATATAAATTTCTGGAGTTTGAGTTATTCTTACTATTCTAATTAGGCCATTGAAAGAGTAAACAGGGTATATTAATGTAGTGTGATCAGCTGGGGCGGTGGCTCATGCCTGTAATCCCAGCACTTTGGGAGGCCGAAGCAGGCAGATCACCTTGGTCAGGAGTTGGAGACCAGTCTGACCAACATGGTGAAACCCTGTCTCTACTAAAAATACAAAATTAGCTGAGTGTGGTGGTGCGTGCCTATAATCTCAGCTACTCAGGAGGCTGAGGCAGGAGAATGACTTGAACCCAGGAGGCAGAGGTTGCAATGAGCTGAGGTGATGCCATTGCATTCCAGCATGAACAAAAAGAGCAAAACTCCATCTCAAAAAAAAGCAAAAAGCAAAAAGCAATAATGTTGTGTGGTCATCTTTACAGTTTTATGTGCATGTGAAGGGAATAAAATGAGCAATATTTAGGCTAATTGTAACGCATCTTGATAGTACTGAAGATTATATATATATATCAGATTTGGTCTGCTGTATTAGTCAAATTATATGAAGGGTTTGGTTTTATTTGCTATTTCAAGACACATTCAGCAGTTAACAGTATTTCTTGAGGTTACAGGATTACTAAATTACCTGGATTTTGGTAATAACCAGCATCTCAAATAAAAATGAAAAATAGTTGTCAGTAATCCTAATGGAAAAAGAGTCTTGTGTTAAAGTTTGCTATTTGCAAGCAAATATCTTCCTCCTTTTCTTCTGTCTTCCTTTTCCTTTATTTTTTCTCTTCAGAATCCTTCCCTCTTTCACTCCTGTTTGCCTCTAATCCTGTCGGTCCACATAATCACCACTTATTGAGACAAATTTTTAGTGGCTGATAGCAGCTTAAATCAACGGAATAAATAAATATGTCAAGATTGAAGAGGGAAGAGTAATTTCAGTTTCAGAGGAGATTGAATTAACTATGTGGTTGGGAAAGATTTTGTCTGGTTATCTATACTCTAATCCTAAAATAGTAGCAGTATGTGATTTTTATAGTCACAAAGCTGAAGTCACGAGAATGGAAAGGCAGTGGTATGCATATATACAGCTTTCCTTATTGAGAGAACTTTGAGACTGTATTTCTCTCAGAGGACTGCAAAGAACTTTGTACAAAGAAAAGGAAATAAAATAGATTCCAAAATATCTTCTAAAATTATGGAATATGTAAGTACTCAAGGCATATTTTTATAGATTTGGTATTAATTTATAAATGAAGATTTTTTTCATGTACTACTTTTCTTAAAGCTAAGTTACAAATTACCAAGTTTCTTGATCCCAATGCTGACGTTTAATTCCTTTTCCTAAAAGCCTGACCTTGGCAAAATAAAGCAGAGCCTGAATCAACAATAAATACACCTTCTCTATTTCCAGAACTCAAATAGTTTTACAGGTACCTTTTCAAAGACACAGCTTTGGAGTGAGAATTTGTTCCCTTCCTGTATTCAGAAGGCTGTGTTATTTACATGTTGAGATGCATATTTTGGCTGGTAAGGAGTGTGTGATAATGAAAAACTTGCAACTTCTTTGCAGACAGCTTTGTCATTTCAGACAATCCCCTCCCTTTCCTGTCTGGAGCATTTTTGTTTTTGTTTTTTAGTTTTAATCCTTGTTGAATCATGGACAATATTTTCTTTTAAACATGGTTTCTGTGTGTACTGACATTTCGTTCTCTTATTTTGTGGATCAAAAATATCATGTGTTTTTATTCATTTTTGGACTATTTTCACACTTTATAGGCCTTTTTTTTTTACGGAGTCTTGCTCTGTCACCCAGGCTGGAGTGCAGTGGTGTGATCTCAGCTCACTGCAACCTCCGCCTACCAGGTTCAAGCGATTGTCCTGCTTCAGCCTCCCAGCTAAGTTTTTGTATTTTTAATAGAGACGGGGTTTCACCATGTTGGCCAGGATGATCTCGATCTCTTGACCTCGTGATCCGCCTGCCTCGGCCTTCCAAAGTGCTGGGATTACAGGCATGACCCACCGCACCTGGCCGGGATTACTTTTTATTTTTTTAATGGAAAAGATTCTGGAGTCTTTTTATCTTTGTGACATCAGATTATTTACACCCTTCTCATTCACAAGTTATAGACTAATGAATTGTTAAACTTTAAGATTGTTTAAAGTACATTTTCTACATAGCAAAACATGTGCATACTGTGCAACACTTAAAAATAACCCTACTGCAATGTACTTATCTATACTGATCTTGTATTCATAAGCTGTGCTCATTAAGTTTGCTTTTTAAAAATGATGATTTGTAGTAATTTCTTAACTGTTACAAAAAATCACAGTTTACAAATAAATTACATAGCTCCAGAAACTTTGAATATTATATATCAGCCTTCTTTAATATTTTTACCCTGAAAGAAATACTTGGCCGGGCGTGGTGGCTCATGCCTATAATCCCAGCACTTTGGGAGGCCGAGGGGGGCAGATTACGAGGTCAGGAGTTCAAGACTAGCCTGGCCAACATGGTGAAACCCTGTCTCTGCTAAAAATGCAAAAATTAGCTGAGTATGGTGGTGCATGCCTGTGCTCCTAGCTACTCAGGAGGCTGAGGCAGGAGAATTGCTTGAACCAAGACCCGGGAGGTGGAGGTTGCAGTGAGCCGAGATTGCACTACTGCACTCCAGCCTGGGATATCAAACGAGAGTGAGACTCCATCTCAAAAAAAAAAAAAAAAAAAAAAAAAAAAGAAATACTTAAATATTATCACATTACTATGATCAATAAATTATAGAGATTATAATCCTTTAACAATTGTCAATGTGCTTTTGTAAAGAAAATATTTTTTCTGTGTATTTATTTATGTTGGTCAATGTATTGACCTACTCTATTTGCATTATTCCCCATCTTCATCTTGGATCTCAACTCCAATGAAAGTTACCATTGCAGTCAAAGGAAACTTCAATGTTTTAACTTTTTTTGTTTTCGTTGTTTTAAAATAAATTTTTTATTTATTTTCTTATTCATGTAGGCCTAAATTTCAAAAGATACTAAAGATACAAGGTATAGAGTATGTCCTATTTAAATTTTTTTTTTTTTTGAGGTGGAGTTTCGCTCGTGTTGCCAGGCTAAAGTGCAATGGCATGATCTCTGTTCACTGAAATCTCCACCTCCCAAGTTCAAGCGATTCTCCTGCCTCAGCCATCCAAGTAGCTGGGATTACAGGCACCTGCCACCATGCCCAGCTATTTTTTTTTTTTTTTTTGTATTTTTAGTAGAGATGGGGTTTCACCATGTTGGCCAGGCTGGTCTCGAACTCCCGACCTCAGGTGATCCGCCTGCCTAGGCCTCCCAAAGTGCTGGGATTAAAGGTGTGAGCCACCGTGCCCAGTCAAGTATGTCCTATTTAAAACAAACAAAAAAAGGATTTTAGTAAATTATTCAGGAAAACAAAAACCACAGCCACTCATACTTAATTTGTCCTTAAAAAATAACTTATTCTTTTCCTTTTCATAAATTTTATAAATTCAAAAGGCAAACAATATATTTTAGTTCAATAGCTTAGTAAAAATGAGATTATTTTTTGAAAGATAGACTTAGTAAAATTAATATAAACAAGTTGTAAATTGACATCAATGATTTATATTTGCAACATATTTTTTTATCATGTTGAATACCAGAGCTACTAAAACAAAACTAAATGAATTTTAATTGAAAGACATAAAACAGTATTTTCATACTAACTGATGTTTTCAAACTCAAATAGATATCTAGCAGTTATAAAATGATTATATACATATGTAGCTGTTTAGAGGCCTCTGTATTAATTAAATGGTTAGTTTTGAAACCAAAAATAAATATTAAATGTATTTCTTTAGTGTGAAACCTGTGCTTCCAACCGGGGTCAAATTTGAACTAAACACACACAGATTTCATTTGCAACTGAAATGCGATGATTTCTGGTTTTGCTCATGATGCTTGCTGAGCAAAATAAAAGCTGGCTCATCTATATAAAATATGGAAAATACAGCAAAATGTTCATTGCTAGGATACTCTTTTTCATAGAAATCTGGACCTGTAGAAGAGAAGATCAGCAAATTTCATCGAAGGTGAATGATCGGCATGAAGTTATTTTTTTCATTGCTAAAGTCAAGTTATTGGCCTAAAAAAAGATCAGATAACATTCCCTTACCCAGTCATCCAGTTGTACTAAAAAGGGAGTAAATTACTCTTCAATTTTGATCTGAAGTCCTTTCAGGTGGTTTTTAATAAGACAAGATATTATGATATTCTTTCTCTATCCCAAGTCCACAAAGTTGTGGAAACATTTCAACATTTCCTTTTACAAAATGATTTTTCCAAAGATTTTCCAAATATTTTTTCCAAATAACTTTCCTTTAAAAACCAGGACTTGTCACTCAACGGCAAAAAAAAAAAAAAAAAAAAAAAAAAAAATTCTACTGTGCAGAGTGGATTCCTGTTCAATAATTTCAGGTGATGAAAAATGTCTGTGAGGTAGTTTAGTTTTTGTAGTGATGTCTCATCTTTAAAGTACTCAATGAAACCTGACCAAGAGTTTTCTAGAAAATGATTTCTTCAACTTACCTTTCAGCTAAAACACCCTATTGAGAACTCTTCTTTGGGTAAGCAATGAAGTTTCCACATGCTTCACAAGATTTATTTACTCTTTGTTCAGGGTTTCACAAACTTCTTTAAATACTCTTGAGTGAACTGATCTTTATTTATTTATTTATTTATTTATTTATTTTGGTAATATTCTCAAAAAATTCTGTATTTCACATAGAAGAATTTTTTACACTGGGACTTCTCTGTGAAAAAAATGTGACATCATAATTTAAAAAAATAAGAGAAGTGAAACACTTCCTAAAGCCCATGATTGGTGAGGTACTATCTGTATAGGTACCAACATGTCCTTTATTTCCAGATATAAAGATCACATTTTAAAGAAATTGTGATCATGATTTATTTCCACTCTCTCTTCACAATAGGAAATACTTTATTGAATTTTGCCTTGATTTACAAATCTTGCAAATGCTACAGCACAATATTTCCTGCACAAATCAGTTTACTTCTCAACCTAAATATATACGTTCCTTTTACATGAACCTATTCAGCATGTAACATATATATAATAAATAGCATGTATTTATAACATACTATAAGTATACCACATTATAATGTTGTTAGAGGCTGGAACCCTTTCAGTTAACCAGGAAAGCTGACAGATATATATTACATAAGTTGCTTATTACTAGAATATCTTCTTCAAATAATATAATGTTTATTAAAATGATGCATGTAAATAGTATACAGTGTATAGGGACACTATTACCTACTCTACAAAAAATCAATTTCTTTTTATGTATTTCAACAGTTACTAGTAGCTACATGGAGAGTAGAACATGTTAATGTAAATGCAAACATGATATAACCATGATGTTGATGAAGG
Organism: Homo sapiens; assembly: GCF_000001405.40. NCBI lineage: Eukaryota > Metazoa > Chordata > Mammalia > Primates > Hominidae > Homo > Homo sapiens. The sequence goes on from NC_000004.12 coordinate 125,812,683, forward strand.
TCTTGGCAAGAGAATTCTCAGTGAGACTGGCATAGTAAAAAAATTGAAATACTTAAGAGAAATTTTCCCAAGTAAATTATGAAGGGTACAGTCGAAGCAGTTTTGTTTAAAATTACAAGAACAGGGAACAGTTAAGGAAGGGTGGTACTTTCTTGTTTTTACCTCTTGGTATGGTAATCATGCTATTAACTGAAGCAGGTATTACATTAGAGAGACCAAGTTTATGCACTGTGTTGCCTAGATTACTCTCATTCTTTTCAGGAGAAAAGCATTCATTTACTCAGTGACTTAGAAAGTTGTCAGTTGACGAATAACAATCAAGATTCACTCTAGAAATTATCCTGGTCTGAAGAGGACATCTTGACCAAAGTTACCTCATTTTCTTGATGGCAACCTGAGTTCAAACTCTGGTTGATGCCAGCGTATACATACCCAGACAGCTTTTCTGGATCTGGAACTATGCCAGCTCTGAGTTCCCTGTGGAATCAGTTGGGGATTTTCCTGTGACTGCATCACGTTAGAGCTTCTTCTTCGTCATTCATGCTTCTTTTACACTGAATAATTGCTGCCCTCCAGAGCACTCCTCATAAACTTCCTCTCAAACTCTGTCCCAGTGTCTCTTAGTTTAGTTTTACACATGTCAAGATTAAGGTAAATCTAGAACTTAAATAATTCCTTGAATGAGAGAAGTAATTTGAGTCAAAGGGCATAAAATGTCAGAGACATGAGATATATAATCTATAGATAATACACAATGAGAAGAAAGTAAGAAAAGGAAATATACAGAGAAATACAAATATTTCAAAATTTAGGCAGAAAAAAACAAACCAGGAGAGAGAAGTCAGAAAGGGACAGAAGCTGAAATGAGAAGAGAAATATTCATGGAAATGAAAAGCCACAAAATCCAAGGCAAGATCAAATATTAAGAAGGAAAGAATGGTCTCGAGATCAGATACTCTAAAGATGTCAAGTACGAGAATAGAAAAATACCTGATAGGGTTTATTTTAGGAATGCAATGCTTATTATGGTAGAAGTCATTTCAATGAAAGAGTGGCAAACAAGCCAGGCAAGAATGGGTTGAATAGGAAGTTGGAAGTGGAGAACAAATAAAAAAGTTAATTGAAGGGAATGACAGCTCATTTTACATATCAACTTGACTGGGACACAAGTGCACAGATACTTGGTCAAACATTGTTCTGGGTGTCTCTGTAGTGATGCTTCTGAATGAGATTATCGTTTGAATAGGTAGACTGAGTTAAGCAGACTGCTTTCTCTAATGATCAAATTTCATTTAATCAGTTGAAGACTTAAATAGGAAAAAAAAATGCTGAGTTAGAGGGAACTCCTCCTAACTAACCAATCAAGCTAGAACATTGGTCTTTTGGGCCTTTAGACTTTGACTAAAATATTCGCTTTTCTTGGATATATATGTAACAGAATATTTAGATAAACTTTTTTTTTTTTCTAATGGAATCTCTCTCTGTCACCCAGGCTGGAGTGCAATGGCGTGATCTCGGCTCACTGCAACCTCTGCCTCCAAGGTTCAAGCAATTCTCCTGCCTCAGCCTCCCAAGTAGCTGGGATTACAGGTGCCCGCCACCATGCCCAGCTAATTTTTGTGTTTTATAGTAGAGATGGGGTTTCTCCATGTTGATCAGGCTGGTCTCGAACTCCTGACTTCCGGTGATCCACCTGCCTCAGCCTCCCAAAGTGCTGGGATTACAGGTGTAAGCCACCACATGGGGCCCTAGATAAACATTTTTAAGAAGATTTAAAATAAGCACTCTGCCTAGTTTAAATAAAAGATATGAATTGTTGGATCATATTAATCAAATTGAATGTTTAATTTTCTTCTGTAGGCACAATATAAGGAATCGCAGGAACAAAGCTTTTCATTTGCTACATCATTCTTAATTTACATATATATGTATACCTTTACACACACACACACACACACACACACCACACACACACACACACACACACATATATATATATAGAGAGAGAGAGAGAGGGAGAGAGAGAGAGAGGATAAAGAATTGGTCATGTGAAGAAATCCCAGGATCTGCACTCAGTATGCTTGAAGAAATCCCAAGATCTAATTATGTATATACTTTCCTTTTGTTTCTCTGGAGAACCCTAACAAAATAGGAAGACTAAAAGTGAACAATTTTACTAATGGATGTATTTAAATTTCAGGTAATAATATGCCAATAGTAAAAATACCACTTCCTTGTTTTCCCTTGGGTTTCTTCCTATTTTCTTTACCCAAATATAAGATGCTAGCACTTCTCTATTGTTTTTTATGTAATGTTCCCGGGAACCATGATATTAAACAAAAGACTAAACCATATGTTCCAGAGGTTGAACCTTCCACCCAGATTGGGAATCCAGCACATTCTCTCCATATGTAGATCTGCCATTGGCAAGCTAGAGATCCAAGAGAGCAAGTGATACAATTCCAGTCCAAGCATACAGGTCTGAGAACAAGGAGAGCCAGTGGTATAAGTTCTAGCCCAAGTGCAGGAAAAGATTGATGTCTCAACTGGAAAACTGTCAGTCAGAGTGAGCAAATTCTCTCTCATCTTGCCTTTGTTTCTGTTTAGGCTTCAAACGGTTGATGAAGCCTGCCCCCATTTGGAAGGCCAATTTACTTTTTTACTTAGTCTGTTGATTCCAGGGTTAATCTCACAAGAAACATCCTTACAGACACAGCCATCGTAATGTTTAACCAGATATCTGGGAACCCCAAAATTCCATTCAGGTTGGCAAATAAAATTAACCATAACAAATAGAGACATGATCAGACATATTTTAAAAGGATTACTCAAACTATTATGTAAAGAATAGAATAGGCCGGGCGCGGTGGCTCACGCCTGTAATCCCAGCACTTTGGGAGGCGGAGGCGGGCGGATCACGAGGTCAGGAGATCGAGACCATCCTGGCTAACACGGTGAAACCCCGTCTCTACTAAAAATACAAAAAAAAAAGCCGGGCGTGGTGGCGGGCGCCTGTAGTCCCAGCTACTTGGGAGGCTGAGGCAGGAGAATGGCGTGAACCCGGGAGGCGGAGTTTGCAGTGAGCTGAGATCGCGCCACTGCCCTCCAGCCTGGGCGACAGAGCGAGACTCTGTCTCAAAAAAAAAAAAAAAAAAAAAAGTAGAATAGACTGCAGGTGGTTAAGGATAGACGAATGTTATATCTTTAGAGTTAAATTTTGTTGTGAAATCTTTTTAAAAATCTTATGTACCATCTTTTTACCTTACTTATTATTAGTATCTTATCTCATTTTCTTAAATGTGTGTTTTCATAAAACTGTATATTGAAAAGAGAAAAAATTTAAGTTTCTATTTTATTTTCACTTTTAACAAAGCTTCAGTTTCATGGTAACTCCTGTTAATCTCATGAGATTTGCTTTTGCTATATCTGAAACTTTCTGTAGGTTATTTTGGTAAACATACACTAACATGAATTCTTAGGCTCCATTGCAATTAAAATATGTCTTGTTTGATTCTTTGACTTAAAATATTTCTTGTTTGATTCATTTGGCTTTTAATAAATTATTCACACATCATTACAGTTAAATTGTAAACCCTTAAAAAACTAATCTTAAGCAGAGGTAAAAAATACATGTAACTAAGTCAGTTAACAATATTGTGATTTATTCATTTATTTGTATCAGACAAATATTTATTAGGCACTAACTTTGTGACAGAAGCTTTACTATTCACTAATGTGAAGTGATTAATAACTAATTTACTTTTCCTCATACATGCATAGGAAAAGAGAGAGGCAAGAACAAATAAGCAAGTAATCAACAATAAATAAATAAATAAATAAATAAATAAATAAAAACTATAAAAAGATGTAAAAAGAAATAGATAGACTACTAAGATAGAAATAAAAGGAGACCAAACTTAGATGATAAAAGAAGGATTTTCTACAGAAGTGATGTTTAAGCTGAGACCCAAGAATAAGAAACCGCCAAGCTTGCAAGAATGGAAAGAAATCTATTATAGACAGTAGGGACAATACAAATAAAGCCCCCAAGGTAAGAATGACTTTGATGAATTTGAGGAACTTAAATGCCAGTGTTGCCTGAGCATAACCGTTAAGGGCTAGATTGGAGGACTGCAGTTGCAGTGTACAAATAATATCTGTGGTTTCTAATGCTCAGGACATGTTTAAACCATTCCAGTAAATTTGGTGGAAAAAAACACAATATTTAGATAAACATTTTTAAGAAGATTTAAAATAAGCACTCTGCCTAGTTTAAATAAAATATATGAATTATTTGATTATATTAATCAAATTGGATGTTTAATTTTTTTCTGTAGGCACGATATAAGGAATCGCAGGAACAAAGCTTTTCATTTGCTACATCATCTTAATTTACATGCTTCATAGCAGGAAATCCGTTTCTCTGTGTGTGTGTTTGATCTTGCCATTTTATTTCATCTTACCAAATTCTTTATAAAGGGCTATCAAATATAAACCTTGGGAAATATATATATAAAATCTATTTCCATTTTTATCCTGTTACTGAGGTCTTTTATATTGAAAAAAAATCCCTAAGGTTGGTCTCATTTTGTATGCAGCTTGAAGATACAGTTTAATGTCTGCAGAGATACATTTATTTATTTTAACTTTGATCATAGTTGAAAACCTAATAGTGTGTTTTAGGCATATTTTCCCCTTAGGTTGTAAAATATTCTTTTTAAAATTTTGACCCAAAAGAATCTAATTTTAATGCTGTATATATAAATGTATATTTCTCCAATAAAAACGAATTGGAAATCCTTTTATCACATAAAAATATAACCAAGAGGGATTTATGCTTGTTGTAGTGTACAAGCTAAGGAATATAAATTGTTAGCCACATTATAAAGAATTTTAACAATGACTATAAGAATCTATGCATTTAAAACAGTAATTTATTTTAAAGTATTAATTTTTTCTAGCAATCTCATTTTCTGCATTTTAACATAAAAACATGGATAAGTTGACCTGTTATGTCTGAATGTCACATTTTAATGTAACAGAAATTACAAATTCAGGTTCAGATGTGCATAAATCAAATTTTCGTAATCAAATATCAGAATATCCCATTGAGTAAAAATACACTGTTACTTCTCATTTTTAATGGGAAAACCTAATGAACAATTAGGTTAAACTATTCAGAAACTAACATGGATGCATTTAATAGTTCTTTCATTGTCAGTTGACTGAAATAATTTGGCATGTGAAATATATTATGAGATTTTAAAAATACATTTTCTTTGTTAACTCATGTATACCACTATGTGTCAAACTCTGCTAGGACCAATCCCAGCTGTCACAAAACCAACACTAACTGGGTAAGTGTAAGGTATTCAGACAGGTCAGAATAATGGCAGCACTTAACACAGTGTACTGCTTGAAAAGGAATTAGTATCTACTCTGGTAATTCAATCAGTGGTGCATCAAAATTACCTAGAGAACACTTCAAAAATTCAAAAGCCCTATCTCAAATTGAAACAAAATGGGGGATGGTTTCTGCTGTAAATCAGGGAGTGATGTGATCAAATATACAAATAAGGGAGGTAATTCAAGCATCAGAATATAAAATAGATGAGGTGATACAGGAAGTAACTATACCATTGCAGTAGATGCTTCAGTCATTTGGCTGAGAATCATGGTGCATGAGAGTAGAAAAGGAAGAGAGGAACTTAATTATGTAGAGGAAAACAATTGTTTAAGAATCTGGAACAAATATGTGCTGAAATTGATATATGCTGTGCAATATGTTAGCCAGTAGCCGTGTATATTTATTGAACTCTTGAGATGTAGCTGGCTTAAGTTGAGATGTGTGTTATATGTAAAATATACTTTAGATTTTTGAAGACCTGCTAAGAATAAAAAAGAATGTCAAATATCTTATGAATAGTATTACATTGATTCACATTTTAAAATGACAATAATGTGGACATGTTGGAAAAATACAGTATTAATTTCCTTTTCACTTTTTAAAATGAGACTAATAAGAATTTGAAATTACACATGTGACTCTCACTTTGACTAGTATTATATATGTATCTACTGAACAACACTACCTTTGATAATTATCTAAACTTCATAATTTTAAATGTCACTTAATCTTTCTAAGATTCTGTTTCACTTCAGCAGAATGTAAATAACTACATTTTCTAAAAATTCCACAGGCTTATTTGGAAGAACAATTAAAACAATATATTAAAAACTGCATAAATAACAAAACATTATATAAATTACTTCAAAAGACATTAAGTGAATAAAATGCAAAATTTACCCTAGGTTTCTTTGAAAATAACTTATATGTAAATGTAACTTTCACGATGTGACAGCTATTTGATGGCTACAAATAAGCACAGACTATGACCCTATTTAGGAAGGGCAAATATTTCATTCTTGTAAATGCCTAGAGAAATATAAGACGTATCTAATGATAACATGTAATTACCACCTAATAACCTTCAAAACATCCAAATGGTCTCTATAACGTGCAATAATTTTTCTATATACCTAGAATTACCCCCTCCAAGTTTCATTACGCCCGAACTCCAGCATTCTAAACATTGAAGTTGTTGAATAAACAAATGTTTGTCCTATTTATACATTACAGTAATTCATTAATTCTTATCACTTTCTTTTTCAGTTTTTTAATTTTGCTTCTAGTCTCAGTTTTAAACTAATGATAATATATAGATAAATATATTTCTTGCAAACTCATTCTTTTAAATACTGTGAAAGATAATTTTTACAGCCTGAACTGAGCCAGTGGTAATTTTTAAAGTCATCTTCAGTTGAAAGTACCTGTTTTCACCTTTCACAATTGGCAGGGGTTTTGTTATTATATACAACACTCATAACTTGCTTGAGAGAATCGCTAAAGTGACTTTTCCCAAAAATAAATGAACATTTTCTTTTGGTTTTGTTTTCAAAATTAGTCAAAGTGGGAGTTGATCTCCCTTTAAATTGCAATAAAACATCAAAGACTTCAAGCCTTGCATACAGTGTTCATGACATAAAGGGAACATTAAACACTCAGTCTAATGTAAAATAATTATAAATCAGTTGGCAAATGTAACCACACATACTACTTCTTTTATGTATTTACACTATTAATTTGGATAAGAAGACTAAGATCATTTAATAATTTTTCTTGATATGTGAAATATGATATATTTAATGTTTCATTATAAATAGGATTATATGTTTTGTTCCCTATAGGAAATTTTTTAAGCCAGAAAACGTATTATTAATGCATAATAGCAGTAATAATTATTATTATAATTATAAAAACTCAGGAAACTCAGACAAGCACAGTTCCTATTGAATTCATGATCTTTATAAAAAATAATTTTCTTGTGAACAGCTTATGTTTCCTTAAAACACATAATAAATTTTTTATAAATAATTTTTACCTACATCTTAGAGAATCCTTTTCTCCAAACCATTCCATTTTCTTCCTAATACCCTCTTCCAAACGCCACCAAGGATGGCAAATGACCATGTTTCAGTTCTGCAGTTTGTAGAGGAAAGCTCAATGTAGTCACCCTTATTCCCTGAATAAAATTAGATGGTTTGGTTATGTTGCTTTTACAAAGAAGGTAATGATGAAGTGTAAAAAGTCATGTGTAATGTGATGTAGAAAAGTAGCAGAGGCCAGAAACACAGGATCTTGGTTACTATTCAATACCTGGTTCTTTCCATATTTTCTCTTATTTCCCCTTTGGAAATTTCCCTCTGGGTGGTATATATCCTGTGTTTTCCAATAACATAAAAATATTATCTTGCCTGCCATGAGGAAGATTTGGTATGTAAAAATACATTGAGGGCAATGTTATAGTGTGTTGGACCCTAAGAAATTGAAGGAAAATCAGAACACAATATTAATTTGTGAATACAATATTTAAGATGAGAGAAATAAAAAACACATTTTGATATTAGGAGGCCATGGATATTACCAAGGAAACATGCTATGGCATATAAAATATGGGTTTTTACAAGCATTTTAACAATACATTCAGATAATTCTATATTTCTTTTATTTAGCTCTTCAATAATTACACAGTGAGCTTCTATATGTGCTACTAGGCAATAAGGAATACCGTAGTGAAAAAAAATTTCTTACATTTGTAGACTGTAAAGTCATTTTTGAGCACAAATACATTGTTAAAATCCTATAAAGAATATCCTTACAATTTGGTATGTGTATGGAAGGAACACTTCAAGCGACTAGGAGACCATATGTTATGAAAGATAAGATACTTTGACATTACCATGTAATTATACATATATCAGTGGGAAAGCAAATGGAATTAACAAGGTCTGACTAATGACTATTGTTTGTATATTGTCCCAAATCTAAGTAATCTATCTCAAAAGAGAAAAAAGAAAAGGTAATATTTGTAGAAAATCTTTGGAGATCTTGTTAGTTGTCTATATTTTGGTTAATGATTCAGAACAAATGAAAGAAAGCAATACATTTCTTCTCACTGCCTAGTATATAAAACAAGTGCTGTAATTAGATGCTATGATTATGTTTGGTTTAAATTACTTGGAAGGAATTATAACTGAAGAACTTCTATTAATGACAATGGATTTAAGTGGCTCAGAATCTCTATGAATGATATAATCATAAAAGCTGTACTAAGAAAAAAACACATAAAGGTTTTACAAAGTGTTCCATTACAGATAGATAGCAGAAGAGAGCTGGTTCCTTAATACAACTCCAGCTGGAAGGAGTAAGATGAACACACAATAATCATACAAAATTTGTATATAAATAAATACTTAAAATAGCATTGTGCCTTAAACTGGAAATAACAAATTGTCTATGAACAATAATGTTATAGTCTCAATGCTATAATATTCAGCAATAAAAAGGAATGAATTATGTATACATATAACAAAAACAAATGTTAATACTGATATACTGAGTGAAAGAAGCAACACACAAAAGAATATATATTATGATTTTAGTTATATGAATTTCTGGACTCAACAAACTCATCTATAGTACAAATAGCAGATGAGTCATTGCCTGTGGTTGTGGGAGAGAAGTGATGTTATAGTCTACATGTGTCTCCCCAAAATTTATATATTGAAATCTTAACCCATCAATGTAATGGTATTAGGAGATGAGGCCTTTGGGAGCTGGCGTAGCTCATGAGGGTCAGGCCCTCATGAATGGGATTCATGTCCTTATAAAAGAGACCCCAGGAAGCTCTCTCACTCTATTTCCACCATGCAAGGGCCTTCATCAGAATCCAACCATGCCAGCACCCAAATTTCAAACTTCCAGCCTTCAGAACTATGAGAAATAAATTTCTATTTTTATGAGCCACCCAATCTATGGTACTTTGTTACAGCGCTGGAACTAAGAGAGGTGGTTAACTACAATGGACAATGAGAGAAAATTACAGAGCAATAAACGCTGTTTGTATGTTGATTTTGGTGGTGCTTATGTGTGCATGCATTTGACAAAAGTCATTGAACTGTAAATGTAAAATGTTTCTTATTTGTCCATGTTTTCTTAATAATGCTGTTTTTTTGGTTTGTTATTGTTGTTGTTGTTGTTGTTTTTTGGTTTTGTTTTGTTTCGTTTTTGAGACAAAGTCTCACCCTGTTGCCCAGGCCAGAGTGCAGTGGTACGCTTTTGGCTCACTGAAACCTTGGCCTCCCAGGTTGAAGCAATTCTCCTGCCTCAGCCTCCCAAGAAGCTTGGCTTACTGGCGTGCGCCACCATGCCTGGCTAATTTTTGTAGAGACTGGGTTTCACCATGTTGGCCAGGCTGGTCTCAAACTCCTGACCACCCGCCTCAGCCTCCCAAAGTGCTGGGATTACAGGCATGAGCCACCATGCCCAGTCAATAATGCTGATTCTTAAAAGATAAGAAAAAAGCATTATAGGTAGAATAGGCTTCTATTTCCAATTAAAATGCTGTAAAAAAGGACTGTATGTAGCCTCCTACCTAAAACAACTAAGAAAATTGACAAAATGTGTACAAGGGTATAACTACAATGTTATTGAGTATCAGACAACAAAAGATAATGATCTCTGAAAAAAAGGGAATCCAAAATGGTTCCACTTACTGACTAGAGAAAGTTTCTAGGCCACAGGGCAGTGAGAGAGAATGGATGCTTTCCCTTAGTGGAGGAGACAGAGCTGTGAGTCTGAGGGGCCCACGGTGACTTTAATTCACAGAATAGCATACCAGAGAGGAGAGAGCTGAGCAAAGAGAAAAACTCTGAATATCTACAGTGGACCCTTTTTAATATTCAGCTGAATCTGATCAGCATATTTGTATGAAGAAACTACCCGAGTGACTGTTCCCAAGAAACGAGTGAAAACCTTGTAATTCACGAGGGCATCAGGTAGTGTTTTTAAAAGGATCTTGCTTAGTCACAGGAAAAATTTACCTGAGAATAAACATTGACCAACAAAGCTTAAATGCAAGACCCAAAAGGATTAAACTGTTTCCCTTTAAAATTGCATCTTGGGTCAATGCTCAATAAAATATATCAAAATAAAACATATATGGCATCGATGAAGCAAAATTCACAATATCTGACATCCAATCAAAAATTATACGTTATAAAAAGAAGTACAAAAGTAGAACAGTATGCGAGAATAAAAATCAATCAATTAAAACTGACTTAGTCCATTTTATGTTATTATAACAGAATATCACAAGCTGGATAAGTTATAATAAATGGAAATTTATGGGCTCACAGTTCTGGAGGCTAGAAAATTTAATATCAAGGTGTTAGCATCTTGCAAGCACCTTCTTGCTGTGTAATCACATGGTGAAAGGCAAGGTGGTGAGAGAGCAGAGCAAGAAGGGGCTCAACTTACCCTTTTGTAATGGCCTAAATTTTACCAAGAGGAAAATCCCTGATGACCTAATCACCTCTCACATATCCCATCTCTTAATACTGTTACAATGGCAATAACATTTCAACATAATGATGGCAGGGGGCAAATATTCAAAGCATAGCAAAAACTGATCCAGAAATTACATTTGATAGAATTTGCAGACAAGTACATTAAAATAATTATAATAGTGTTTCATATGTTCAAGAAACTAGAGAAAAGATGGAAATTTTTAAGTAAAAATTTTTGAAGGAGAAAACTACACTGCCTGAGATAAAAAATCAAATACTATTTTAGGGTTGAACATTGTGGATATTTAATGCTCATTTTAAAATAAATATGGCCCAAACAGAATTTCAGATTTTACGGGTATTTCTTTGACTGTCTTATCCTCTAAGTTAATGGAAGTTACAATATATTAGCTGCTCAGTCATAAAAAAACTTCACATAGAAACATCCTCGACTCTTCCCTTTTGTTCTCACTTCATATCTAATCCATCGGCCAGTCTCTTACCTATATTTTCAAAATATAACTAGAATCCCATCATTTGTGTCTCAGTTTATGGCAATGTCCTCCTTACTGGTCTCCTTGCTTCATTTTGGTTCCTCTACAGATTACTTTTAAACGCAGCAGCCAGAGTGATTCTATATAACCTAAATCTAAATGTCATCTTTCTGCTAAATATTATCATATGATTTCCAAACTTACTAGAACATCCTTTACATGGCTTATACATTGCACTATGATTTGGCCTATAATTGCTTTTCTGATATCATAAGTTACTATTTTCCATCACTCATTATGGTCCAATTACACTGGCTTCCTTATTCTTCATTGAAAGCATCTCACATGCTTCACCTTGTGTTACACTTGCTTCCTCTGAATGAAGCCATCTTCTACCATATATCCAAATGGCTCACTCCTTCACTTCCTTCGGATTTTAGGTTATCAGTGAGACTTTTCTTTAACATCCTAATATAAAATAGGAGTTTTTCCATTATTTATTTTCCTAACCCAACTTGAATTTTCTTTATGTAACATCCAAACCTGATACAGCATATGCTTATTTGTGTTTATGAACTCTCTCTCATAGAATGCAAACATATTAGTAGAAACAGTAACAGAAAAAATACCCTTTTGTTGACTGTCATCTCACTAGCACCTATGACAGGGAATAGCACATAGTAGGCCCTCAAGTGTTGAATAAATTAACAAATAAATTAATAAAACCAAAAAAGATGAAGAGGTAATAATTCCTATTTACATGGTACAAGATTTGAGTATTATGATAGAACAAGCAAAGTAATATTTTAAAGGATTAAAATAGAATTAGAAGAATTAGAGGTAATGTTTATGTGGACTATTGTGGTTTCTGAACTGCTTTGTTTCTCTTGGATACCCTTTTCGTTCAAACAAATCTTTGTGTTGTAGCTATCATGATAATTCTAAATTAGAAGCCTAATCATTTAGCTTCCAATCCTTCAACGACCCCCCACATGTGCCCTATTATTGGAAGTTTCTATTAATCTGAGCCATCCTCCCTCATCACCTAGGCTGGAACATAAAGCTTGTATAAAGTGTGGGGAATTCTGACTTCACTCTACTCACTCAAATAGGCTTCTCTTACAGGAACTGCTCTGGATCTGAGATTCCAAACTTCATGGTCTTATTTTGAAAGCTGTTCCTGGCCCCTTTGGCTTTGATGTTGTATTTAGTCCCTCATTTTTTGACACACTTTAATAATATATAATTATAGGGTACACAGCAATGCTATATGTATATAGTATACAGTAATTAAATAAGTGAATTTACATATCCATCACCTTAAACACTTCCCATTTATTCCTCCTGATGGACTATCATATTTGGTTCGAATATCCCTTTCTCATAGCTCAATCAATTTCACCAGGATGTTCAGGATGTGCACCGTACTTTTGGGCTCACTACTTTCAGCCTGAGTTTAATTTGGGGGTGGTGAATGGATAGACTCTACATTTGATAAAACAAAAGTTGAAAGTCCAAGTGTAGCCTTTAATTTTCCTCTGTTTTCCTACTTCTTTAGCCTCATTTTATTCCATGCTCTCTTTAACAAGTTTTGGCTTTCCAGATAGAGTATAGTGTTTGCAACACACCATTGAAGATTTGTTGATTGGCCTACCCAGCCCCTATTTTAACCTCCTTTCACGTTTTATGTTTCTATTATAAAGTTTATGAAAGCTAAATACTCACATTTTTAACATTTGTTTTAGCCTGAAGTGTCAAGCGGCTATTGGATCTAGTCACAGTTAATCAGATATACAGTTAGCCCTCTGTATTCACAGATTCTATATCCATGGATTCAATCAACCACAAATCAAAAATATCATTTAAAAAAAGCAATGACAAAGTAATGCAACAACAAAAATTAGCACACATAAACAGTTAAACAATGATTTACATAGCATTTGTATTGTATTAGGTAGTATAAATAACCTAGAGATGATTTAAAGTATATAAGAGGATGTGCATAGGTTATAGGTATATACTATGCCATTTTGAATAAGGGACTTGAGTATCTATGGATTTCTGTATCTGTTGGGGGATCCTGGAACTAATCGCTTTTGAATACCAAAGGATGATGGTAAAGGAAAATCTATTGGTACCACCCATTTCTTACCTAACATAACAGCAAGATGGGTAGAGTTGCAGCAGCCCTCTTGTTACCATTAGAAAAAAAGAAAATAAAACAATAATAGTATTGCAACACATCATATAGCATCATCGAGCTACTGAATCAACACTAGCAACCATCTGTTTCTGGACTTCTTATTAAATGGGGACAGGGAAATGTTTATTTATTTAAAAATTAATTTAAATTATTTTAACTTCTTCAAAATTTATTGGGGTGTAATTGACAAAATTATGTATAGTTAAGGTGTATAATGTATAATTTTATAGGCATATATACTGTGAAATAATTACCACAATCAAATTAGTTAACACATGTTATCTCACATAGCTACCAATTTTAATTTTTGATGAGAACATTTAGTATCCACTTTTTTAGCAAATTTCAAGCATATATGATAGAGTATTATTAAATCTAGCCGGCAGCCTGCATATTAGCCCTATTTATTTAAATAATTGTGATGTTATCTTCAGCAAAAAACCTTCTTAAGTGACACATATGTATCTTTGGCTTCACATCTCTCTGGGTCTTGAACATTTCTCCCTGTACATTTCTACCTTATCTGTTTGGAAAACTTCCCTGTGACTTCAAAATTCAGTTTAGGTTTCGTTTGCCCTGTGGAATTTTCTTTGTTCTCCTCCTCTACATTTCTCCTCAGATTGCCGTTTGCATATAATTCTACCATTTCACTGAACAAACTCTAGAGTCATTGTTTCCATGAGTGTGATTCAGGAAATTATAAATTCCTCCTCTGTAGTACAGTACCTAGTATATTTTAGTCACTCAATACATTTTTGTGGGATTGAATGTCTTTGAATTAATTAAATTGTGTGGAATCTAATTCACTAGAATGACATTTGAATGGGACACTGCACAGTGAACAAAAATGTAGCTGGAGACTAAACAGATGTGAAAAAGTGCAATGTTTGAAAAAAAATGGCAGCATTTGACAAATCAGAAGATACTGAGCCTAAGAAATTGAACTTAACTGAAAAAACAAATGGAATGTTAACAGAAGAAAATAAAAAACAAGATTTAGATGTGGAGGGCAGTGATAAATTCTGATTTTATTGGTTCTTTTTGAAAAGCAAACTCAGCAAGTCACTTTTGGAAGAAAGTCACACTTTATATTTCATGCTAGTTGTGAAATGGCATTTGCTTAATTCATTTATCTTAACAGTGCACTGGTTAAGGCAAAGATTAATAAATAAGTAAAAGACTTAAAAACCATGCAAATAAAATCTGAAAATATACAAACTTATACAAAAGTGACATTTGTTTCCATCTGTTCTCTATTGGGAAACTGTTAAGTACTGCTAAGCCTATGCTCTGGGTATGTGCATACGCATGTGTGTGTACTTATTAAGGCAGTAGCAGAGCAGCATAATGCTTTTCTTCATGCATTTGTTTTTGAAAATTTTCTTTATGCTTATTTAATGCATATGTTTTTATTCTTTGAATTATCAAACTTTTTGACAGTAATTAAGATCATACAAGATTTCAGGCAGCACAAACATGAGTAAAGCTCTCAAAGTATGCTCTGCTATTTGCTAAAATGTAACTATCCTTTTCTGTGTTGTCTCCATAACCAGTAAAGCAATAGAAGAAACAAACATTACATGAGTGTAATTGTCTTTTTATGCAAGCAATTAGAACTAGGGATGGGAAGATTTGCAGCTAAAAATTTATTAGTAATTCCTATCTGTTCTTGATTAAACACACACACACACACACACACACACTACACAAAGGGAGGACACTGAAGAGTGTGATACTTCTGGAAAAATCATCTCTGTCCAGATACTAAATTAGAAAAGAAATAAAGAAAGGGGGAAGGAAGGAAGGAAGGAAGGAAGGAAGGAAGGAAGGAAGGAAGGAAGGAAGGAAGGAAGGCAGGCAGGCAGGCAGGCAGGCAGGCAGGCAGGCAGGCAGCCAGGCAGCCAGGCAGGCAGGCAGAGGGGTCATGGTCAGAACTGGCATTTGTGGCCAGACAACTCCTTAGAGAAGGAGATGCAAATGATAGTGGGAAGTTCAGCCTGCATCCACTGAAGTCGTGAAGACTAACTATAGGTGGGCAATGCACTGACAACATCTGCATGAGGATAGGTCCCCTGATGACCTTGGCTGACCCAAATATTCCCCCTTTTACTTTGAAATCTCATGCAGAATGTACTCTGTTTGCAGTACCCTGAGATAAGGAAGAAATGTCTAGAACAATCTAGGCTGGGTCTTTGCTCCTCCCAGAATAGAATGTTCTACAAAGCTTGAGCTCTGTGAGACAAGTGGTGCTCAGTCTATGCAAACCCAAAGCTGAGTGCTTTTGAGGTTTTTCAGCTGTCATGCAATGAACGGCACACACAGACTAAACTTCATTTTTCCTGGGCAGCTTTGCTAAGCCTTGGGGAACCAGCCCGCTATGGATGTTAAGCTTGGTTTATCCTTTCTGCCTTTCTGTGGGTAATAAATTTGCTTTGACTAACTTGTTCAGAGAATGTTCTGTCTCACTGGATTCATGCAATTGGTAGAGAATCTTTGCAATATCTGCTAGAAAAGTTGTATTAATACTGAAATTTGTGTATAATATATAACTAATGCATTTATAAGCCTCTTCTAAGAGGTAAACTTCCTGGTGGCTGAAATACAAAATTTCAACTTAAACTTGGTGAATTCTTCAGCATACAGGCTGGCTGGTTCCTTAATTAGGGTTAACATGTAAGGACTAGAAGATAATAAAAAGGATAGTTTCCAGTGTTAATACTAATATCCAACAAAATATAGGATACAAAATTATTAATTTACTTGTACTAATTGTACTAACATATATTCTGGTAAAGAAACTAGAAAATATGGCTTAATCCTTTCAGATAATGTTTTGGGAAGAGCCCAGAAACTACTCTTTTTAGCTGTCCATTTCATCACTTGTAAAGAAAAATTGGAATATGTTGGAGAAGAAGATCAAGGAGTTGAGAGAGGTGAAGAGAGATTAGGGGAGAAGAAGGAGGAAGTGGTAGAGCTGGGAAAGGAGGCCTGAAGAGGGGAGCAAAGGAGGGAGAAAGAAAAGATGGAGCAACACAAGAAAGGAAGTAAAGTGGGAGGACAGGATGATGATGAGGAGAGAGGAGGAAAGAAAAAGAGGTGGGAAGAAGTGGAAAGGAATAGAAATAGAATAAAAACTGGAAAAAGAAGAAGGGTGAAGGGAGGGAGTGGGAACAGCCATGCAAGGATAAAGGAAAAGATCACCCGGGTAGAAGCTCTCAGGAAGAACGGTCTTGACCTGTTTGGGAAATCATGGAAAGTCCATTTTGGCTGGAATATAGTGGACAAAGAGGGAGTAGGAGAAGTATGCAGGGCAGGGTGTTCTATATCATGCAATTCTCTAATCCCTAAGTAGCAGAAAGCAGATAATATTGTCTTATGTCTTTTAACCATTGTTTTAAAATATATTTATTTTTACAAACTCTGGCATTTTATTTAAGCTGCCAGGTCATTCAGATGTAGGTGAGTTTGAGAACCATGACCCTAATTTATTTTAATGTATAGCTTAAAGAATGAAGTGAATCTCAATCTAAAGCTAACAGCTGAGGCCCAGCATAGCTTCAGGATTCAGCTAGCCACCTTCTTGTTACAAATGCACCCCTCAAATCATGCTATTTTCATACACGCTTATTTAGCTTGCTCTTTATAATACTTTAACTCAACAATTAGAAATTACATAAATAAGCATAATGGTTAAGCATAACAGAATGAAATCCCAGCTCCAACATGTCTAGGTATCTGGCTAAAAGAGAACTATCTCACCTCTCTAAATTTCAATAAGTTAATTTGACAAGTTGAAGTATATATTTCACAGGATAATCATGAAGAGAACTTAAGTTGTACATTAAACACTCTGGCAGTTATACATTAAAATAAATTTAATGCAAATATTTAGTTATGGCAATTTTAGCATCAATATGTTTCAATAAAAGTATCATAATAAATGGCTATCACCTCTATCCAATTTTGAAAGAAAGTAAATCAGTGAAAAAAGGAGGCAAACATTGAGAAAAACAACATGAGTAAAATATGGCAATGTTTGTTTTAACTCAGTTTTATTTTAAGTTCACTTTAAACAATAGTTATATAAAAATTACCATTTATTAGGGGCTTTGTAATTTAAGAAATGTATAGAGAAATGAGAGGTCTTTTTTAAGCTTAAAAAATGTGTAGTTAAAGGTAGATATTCAGAATTCAACCTAATTCCACACATGTTGGGTCCTGTTTACTTCTATCTTGTTAGGAGCAAAGGTATACAATGAACTATTTAGTTTTCTTTTGTTTGGTTTATGAAACCTTTTGTGGTTTTCATTTAACATAAAGGAAATCTAATATGTTCCCATGAAAATCATTAAGATAGTGCTGTATATTTCCAGTGAAATGGAAAAGGCTGTTAATTGGTCAATATTGATTGTTTATTTATATAAATCATGACCCCGTTAGCTAAATATTCGCTTCTTAAATAGCAGTAATTTTAGACTTGAATTGTCTAAATAATTGACTCAATTTTTCATTTTAGCTTGCCATTATTCACACAACTTTTGAGTTAAAGATGAATATAAGCCTTTGTAAATTTAGCTGACATTACCAGATTACTTATTTTCCTAGTGATTTTTATCTAATTAGAGTCTTAATCTGAAATAACTTATTTTTCTTAACCCAACAGCAATCCCTTGCTGACTTCATGCTTTAAATTCCAAAATATACAATACGTATTAGTGAGCTGTTGGCTGGCTTATTAGAACTCACTTGAAAAATATAACGTGACATTTTTCAAAGGTAAAATGAGGTGGCAGAGAATCATGCTTTTTGAATGAACTAGAATTGAAGCAAATTTAAAGAGCTTGTTTGTAATGGCTTTGTGATTGGGATCAGTTTACTACTTTGTCATTATTGCTACTTCACCAACTAGTATAAGAGCAAACAAATTTTTAAAAAATATGTTTCTTATTAATTTATTTGCCAGAGAAAACTTCTGAGTTGCTTGTTTTCAGTTGATTTCTTAAATTTTTGCTTCCAATGATATTTTTTCAGTTCCACTGAAAGAGAAGGGGAGTGTTCTTTCCAGCTGTTTAATGGATAGCCTTCCTACTGACATTGACAGCAGTAATTAGTCAGAACAACAATAGTTATACTGTAATGTGAACTTTCCCAGCCAACAAAAAAGATTTGGAATTTTTTGCTTATCTGGAGTTTGAGCTCGAGTTTTTAATTTTTCTTCTCAACAACTCTCCATTGTGTGTACATCCCTAGAAAATAAATGTCATATTTGATGAATTGTATTATGTTTGCATTTATGATATATGCAATACATTTTTCCTATATTTGTAAATTCATTAACTCTGTGGCTCTTTGAGTTTATCATCTCTGGTGATTTGTGGAGCACCTCCTAGTAGCAGAATGTCCTAGGGTAGTTGGAAATATGGAGATTTTTATCCTATCACCCTCAAGCTGTGAAATAAACTGTGGGGTCTGTCTGAGAAATTTGCATTTATAAAGAAAATCAATGATTCTTTTATCTTCTAATATTTAGGATACACAGATTTTTAATAAATATATATATATACACACATATATGACTTACAGTTGAAGTGTTCCTTTGCATTCGAATTATATATTGCATAAGAATTTCAGTAATGCTTGCTATTTTCAGTTAGCTTTACAGTGACCAAGAAACCTAAGAGGATTTCTCATACCCACCAATCACTAAGGTTCAACATCATTCATTAGGGGGTGAGTGGTTGTCTCTATTAGTTTCCTGGGGTTGCTGTATTAAAGCACCACAAACCTGATGGCTTAAACAACAGAAATGTATTCTCGTATGGTTCTGGAAGATAGAAGTCCAAAATCAAAATGTGAGCAAGACCATGCTCTCTGAAGTCTCTGTGAGAGTATCCTTCTTTGCCTCTTCCAGCTGCTGGTGGTTGCCTGCAACCCTTGACATTACTTGTTTTTTAAATGCATCATTCTAATCTCTGCCTCTGTCTTCATGTTGCTTTCTACCCTGTTAGTTTCTGCGCCCAGATATCCACAAAGAAATGTGCAATATCATTAGTCATCAGATAAATGCAAATTAAAACCACACAGAGATACCATCTTATACCAGTTGGAATGGCTATTATTAAAAAGTAAAACAAACAGACACACAAAGCTATCATAAGTTGGTGTGTATGTGGAGAAAAAGGACCACTTGTTCGTTGTTGGTGGGAATGCAGATTGGTTCAACCTCGATGGAAAACAGTGTGGAGATAACTCAAGGAACTAAAAATAGAGCTACCACTCAAACCACCAATCCCACTACTGGTATCAACCCAAAGGAAAATAAATCATTACATAAAAAAGACACCTGCATTCACATGCTTATAGCAGCCCTATTCACAATAGCAAAGTCATGGAACCAACCTAAGTGTCCATCAATGGTTGATTAGATAAAGCAAATGTCCATCAATGGTTGACTGGATAAAGAAAATGTGGTATATATACACGATGAAATGCTATGAGTCCATGAAAAAAAATGAAATCATGCCCTTTGCAGCAACATGGATACTGCTGGAGGCCAATATCCCAAGTGAACTAACTCAGAAGCAGAAAATCAAGTAAGTGAAAGCTAAAAAATGGGTCCTCATGGACATGAAGATGGAAACAATAGACATTGGAGACTTCACAAAGAGGGTAGAAGGGAGGGAGTGAGGGTTAAAAAGTTACATGTTGAAAACAATGTTCATTATCTGGGTGATAGGTATACTAGAAGCCCATTTCCCATCATTACAAAATATACTCATGTAACAAATATGCACATGTACCCCATAAATATAAAATTAAAAAAAAATAATAATTTAAAAAAAAATTCAAAAACCACAAATATCGCTCTTATATGAGCAGTAATCATTACATTAGGGCCAACCCTAATTCAGTATGACTTCATCTTAATTTGATTACATTGGCAAAGACCCTATTTCTAAATAAGGTCACTTTCACAGGTACTGGGGGATAAGACTTAAATAAATATATTAATATTTTGGACAGAAACAGTTCAACCCACTACAGCATCTATGCACATCATATCAAATTAAATAAGGAGATTATAATCTTTTTCAGGAGTTTTTTTTTGTTGTTGTTTTTTGTTTGTGTTTTCTTTCTAACATCTGTCTAATAAGGTAGATAAACATTTTTTTCCAAAGATGAGAAGGAAGGATTTAAAAAAAATTATTATAGTTATTAATTGATAATTTTCTCTAATGATAGAATGTTGGAACCTAAGAGAAGTTTTTTAAAAAGTAGCAAACAAATACTACCCTCCAGTGATTTGTAGTTGAGTTGCCTGATGAAGCATTCATACATGAAATAGTTGAATGAACAAGCACAGTGGCATATGATTATCGATAAAACTGAGTGACAGAAAATTCCTTGGAAAGTGGGATGGAAATAGACAAGTTGAGGTGGTGGTATTCAGTGAGGAGAAGTGTGAAGATATAAGTTGGTGTTTGGAGTTAATGAGGAACACAATTTATTTTGGAAAAAATGAAGGCCTTTATGTAGCTGGAATAATTTTGGTATGCTTTGGACTGTGGTTGAGAGCACTGCTAAGAAGATACATCAGAATCAGTTATTGAAAATGGAATGCCCGGTTAATGAGTTCAGGGTTAATTATTTTCTCCAATACACTGAAGCTGTTAGGGTTTTTCTGTTCATTTTTTACAACCATAGCCACAATTCTTTCCCTAACCTTGTGATTAATTTTAAACATTGTTTTTCTACTTGTGACTCCATTAACCAGGTTGGTTTCTCTTGATGTTTTATTTCTTAAAATGGGGGCATTATTTTTATTTTTTTAGAAATCTGTTAATATTTCTGGTAATCTGGGTATCACTTAAAACCAGGAAGCTACATTGCTCTTTCCAGGCTCTTGCCTTAGACCTTAAGCCTTGATTTTAAGCCCAAGCCCAAATGACTAAGGCTTTGCTGATCAAGTTGGATGCCAAAAATGACCTGTAAGCCCACATTTCCATCATTACCTCTTGTATTCCACATTTCTGTGCCTTAACCTTTTTTGGAACATGATGCTACATTGTCTTGGTCACTGATACCCCATTGACAATGTACCTTATGTAACAGGCTAAATATTTTTTCAGGAACTGCTATTAGGAACCTCCTGAAACACTTATTTTGCCATGGGTTTTCAGGTTCTTACAAGCTCTTGCTGTTACTAACCAGGAAATGCTTTCCTTTTTTACACCTTGTCTATACTAATTAACATAATTACCAACTCTCTTATATCAATTACTCCTTACCTACCCACAATTGTCAGTGAGATTGATTATATTTCCCATGAGGTATTTAGAAATATAAAGTAAGCCTACCTACTTAAAGATCAGAGCATCTTAGCAAAGGAGCCACTGAGGAACCACTAATATTTTGAGTGTTCTCACCCTTGAACCAGAAGTAGTTGATGATAGAAACCATTTTAATTCATTTCCTGAGTTGTGGATTCACTGTCCTGCCCAGTTTTATTACTTGGCTTGTGCCCAGGGGTGTAGTTGAAGTTGCCTTGGATTTCAAAGCATCACATAGACCAGTGAGGCATATACTGCATCATCTTGTGTTTTGGTTGGCGCTCAGTGCCCTGGAAGACAGCCAAACTCTCTCTAATCCATTAGAAATGGGCTACTCCTGGCCGGGCGCGGTGGCTCACGCCTGTAATCCCAGCACTTTGGGAGGCGGAGGCGGGCGGATCACGAGGTCAGGAGATCGAGACCATCCTGGCTAACACGGTGAAACCCCATCTCTACTAAAAATACAAAAAATTAGCCTGGCATGGTGGTGGGCGCCTGTAGTCCCAGCTACGCGGGATGCTGAGGCAGGAGAACGGCGTGAACCCAGAAGGCGGAGCTTGCAGTGAGCCGAGATGGCACCACTGCACTTCCAGCCTGGGCGACAGAGCAAGACTCCTCTCAAAAAAAAAAAAAAAAAAAAAAAGGGCCACTTCTGACTGCTCCAACTGTTACAGGGCTATTAAAAGATTATTTTTCATGGAGTTATTTACCATTAAGGCTTTGTCAGAAGAATGGAAGGTTTAAAATTATTAAATCAAATGCATTTGCTTATTTAGGGGGAAGTGTCAAAACTCAGAATAGTCCTATACATTAACCTCTTTGGCCAAGGCAAATTAATTCTTAATTCTTCAATACATTTTGATGAAAAACCACTCACACTATAGACCTTAAACATAGTATAGTGTGATTTTGTCTCTTTTTCCCAAAAATATATTATATTGTTTGTTATGGGTTTAATCGTGTTCCCTCAAAAACTATATTGAAATGCTAACTTTCAGAACCTATAAATGTGAGATTATTGGTAAATAAGATTTTTACAGATGTAATCGATTTAAGATAAGGTCACTAGGGTGGACTTTAATACATTATGACTGGTATCCTTATAAGAAGAGATAAATTTGTATACATACAGCCACAGAGGAGAACTCCATGGGAAGATACACATTGAGAGAGAAGATATTCATGTGATGATGAAGGTAGAAACTAGAATGATGCATCTACAAGCCAAGGAATGCTAGAGATTGTAGGCAACTACCAGAAACTACAAGAGGTAAGAGGATTCTCTGCTGCAGGTTTCAGAGGGAGTGTGGTCCTACTCCTACCTCGATTTCAGACTTCTAGCTTCCAAAACTGTGTCACAATAAATTTTTGTCGTTTTCAGCTGCCAAGTTCTGTTACTTTGTTTTAGCAGTCCTAGGAAACAAATACCCTGTTCAAAAAAAAAAAAAAAGTCCTAAATATGGATTGATACCTCTGACTTCTTTTCGTTCCTCCAAAATGAATTAATTTCAAACACCAGTGTAAGAAAGTGGTAATAGAACTGTGAACTCCTAATATCAGATAGAAGATAGGAAGCCACGAAGAGTTTTTGAACAAGAAATTGGGGAACTTTGGGTTTTATAACTGATTAAAATTTTGTAAATTGATTTATTAAATACGACTAGAGGTATTATGAAATAAATGAAATGAATGAGGGAGAAAGGAAAGAAGAAGCAAAGGGTGAAAGGAAAAAAGGAATGAAAAGTGTTTTTCAAACAATTAGTAATAACACATAGAGCCATAAAAATGATGAGATTAGAAATTGAATGACATAAAATGGAATTGATGAAGCTTTTAATGTAAGAATTGACAGTTTATTCACAAACTACATATATAGATAGATAGAACGAAAAGTACAAAGTTTACCCTTGTGCTCCAAATTTGAGAGAGAAAAAAATGTTTAGTTGATAATGTATTGTCATGGCACTTGGAAGGAGAAGTTTATTTGAATGAGATACAAAGGAGAAAACAAAAAGTTATATTTTGATAGATTGGGTTTATGCTGGTTACGTTAACTAGATACTGAATTCGGAAAGTAGTTACACACACCTAGAAAAGGAGATATGAATGGGACAGAAGCTGGTGCTGCCTTGGACTGTCAGAATAGAAGTCACCCTAACTTATCCAGCACTTTGCTCTGTCATTCTCAGATTTTCGTTCTCATTCTCATAGTTTTAAGGTGCCATCTAGAGCCCTCAGTTTTCACATCCAAATTCTAGGCAGGATGAAGGATAAGAAGGAAGTAGCACAAGGGACACACAAACTGTGAATATTTAAACATTTTTCTGGGGAACTACATCTAACCCCTCCCCTTCACATTATCTGTCTGCAGAGGAGAGGAAACCTACATGTTAGCTGGACAGAGCAGAGGAAGTGGATGTTGGGTTTATGACTAGCAGTCTCTGCTGCTGGAATATCCCTGCCTATTCAGTTTATTTGATTGTTGAAATGTAATCTAATTCAGATTCCTTGCCAGTGAATTCGCTGCAGTGCTCTAATTATTTTCCTTTTCAGACAGTTTTAAGGAAAGTCTGCAGAATAAAGCTAGTAAATTATAAAGTACAGTAATTGTTTCTCTAAACATTTGCTTATTTATATGACTTTTTGTATATTTCTGCTTTCTGGAGATGGATAGAAATCATTTTTGTCATAGGAGTACACAATTCTGTTATATTTTACATTAACATGGGCAATTAAAAGTTAACTTTATCCTAAAGTTAGGAATACATAAAGTAAACTTACCTTTGAAGTTTATATCATTCATTTTTTCTTTACTATTCCACTTGTCAACACAGAGCAAATGGAGCAAACACTGACTTTTCAAAATGTGAATCATTTGGTTGTTTTGCTCAGAATATTATGGGACAGCACAATATCCTAAATTATATGTCAGCAACAGTTAACTGCATAATTTCCCATTGTACAGAAAAAAAAGCCTTTTCCCCTTTAAGCACTTTCAAATACAAGGAGACAGAATAGTTTAATCAACACTCAATCAAGAAATACAGAATTCTTTCTCAGTGCCAGACATTATGCTCAACTGTGAAGATAAGATTCGGTGGTAGATAAGACAAATTTAGAATCAATATTTTTCAAGCAGTTTGTACCAAGGCAAATCATTTCATCTACAGTGTCCAAAGTTATAGACATTTTTGTTCGTAATCTTCTTGGTGCTACATAAATATAGCATAAACATGGAGCCTGCATGGTGTGGAGCTGTATTTGCACTGTCCAGTACTTGTCTGGACCACCCATTTAGCTAGTGAGTGATTTCATACTGGGTGGTGGTTTGTTAAAAAAAAAAAAAAAAAGAAAGAAAGAAAAGAAAGAAAGGAAAAAACTTCAGTCAACTTAGAAAGTCAATACTTTCAGAACTATTTTCTAATGTAGAGGTCAGTGGTTTGCCCTCAAACTCATAATTCTTGATCTGTTTAAGCTAATGTCTTGTCTGTTATTCATCATGCTACTTCCAGGAGCACTTTTAACTTTCATCTAATTTTACTTGATGTAGCGTAGATTCAGTTAGCAAATGTTCAGAAACATGACAACTTCATTTGTAGTTTACTAAGTTGTCACAAAAGGTAAGATAAGGGGGCAAGTGCAGATTTATAGCCTTCCACCATAAGCCTCCATATTCATTTCAAATTTAATTCGAGAATAATTTTAAAGCATACGTGTATAAATATCTCCTTTATTTATTTATTTATTTATTTATTTATTTATTTATTTATTTATTTATTTGAGTCAGAGTCTTGCTCTGTCGCCCAAGCTGGAGAGCAGTGATGCAATCTCCGCTCACTGCAAGCTTTGCCTCCCGGACTCAAGTGCTTTTCTTGTCTCAGCCTCCCAAGTAGCTGGGATTACAGGCACTCACTACCATGCCTGGCTAATTTTGTATTTTTAGTAGCGATGGAATTTCACCATGTTTGCCAGGCTAGTCTTGAATTCCTGACCTCAGGTGATCGGCGCGCCTCAGCCTCCCAAAGTGCTGGGATTACAGGCATGAGCCACTGTGCCCAGCCTAAATATCTCCCTTTTATGTCAGATGTATAACGTTCTTTTAAAACTTTTAAAAGTTCGGCAATATGTCTTATTAGTCTTATTAAATATAAATAAAATGAGTAAGGCTATGATTTTAAATTATTTTCAGTTCTGAAAAAATAGCACTATATGCTGTGAATGAAATGTTAAAGTTTTCAAATATAGAGAATATTGTCTTATCAGTTTTCTACTGAATGTTGTATAAGGGCACAGATTCAATGTGATAAAATATATATAGCAAAATATGTTATAATTCAGATGCCCAGAAATTCTATTTTTACTTTATCCACATATAGTATTACAATTTAGTGTCTTCCAGTACATTAAATTGTTGGATTAGCAGTGTGCTATGGAGGCAGAAACATTTAATGAATGATGTATAACAAGGTCAGCTGTTTAAAGCATTCCCAGAGCACTGCAAAGCCATACAATGACAATGAATCATATCAGTCATCTGCAGATGAACAGAAGAGGCATTATCAGACAATAAAAACAAACCAGAAACATTCACAAAACAAAATAACAACCTTTTGTTTGAGCTATAATTTCAAAAATGCTATCTTTGTGACCACTAAATAAAATTAAACATGTGTCTTATTAATCAATTGATAGTATTTTTATAAGGCATGGTCAATGTGAGATCAGGTAAAGCGAAAAAAATATAAATAAGATTAGGTGTTTTGGTGGAGAGATGGTTTTGACTTCAGAAAGGCTCAATTTCTCTTACCCTCAACAGATTTTAATCTTCAAGATTTCAAACTTTATATCCTGACCTGACCTGAACCAGCCAAAATAAAAAAAATTATACTGACTGAGACATTGCTTACTCAAGAAGCATATGGGTGGAAAAGCTACACACATCCTTAGCTGTAAGACACACACACACACACACACACACAATATTCCAACATTTAGTTAATCAACAGAATATTGATTGAGTTCTATTTTCTTTCTCTTATTCTGAAACCTTTCTGAAGAGCAGCTGTGTGGCATTTCATAAGATGAGCAGTATGAATAAAAGCCTGGTTTGAAGCTCCTATCGACTGGTGACTTCTTTGAGTTTCAATTTTCTCCTCAATGAAATATAAACAGTAATACCCAATTGGAGAATTTTTAAAACGGTTTAAATGAGATGATGCATATAAAGCTTGTAACAAGGATTAACAAATGTTAGCTTTAATCAATATCATCATTATAAAACACAAGGTTACTTTTAAGAAAATAGTGTGGCTTACAAATAGTAACATGTTAGCTTATATGTGAGAGCTTCCAATCTAATGTCACATATAACAGTGGCCCTATTACAGTTTTCATAATTTCTAATACCCTTAATTTTAGTTAACATTATTTAATTTGGGAAAATTAGTAAAATAAAAATGACTGGATGTTTGAATTTACCTATGTTTAAACTATCTTCATTAAACTCAGTAAAAATGTCTTGGTAAAATCTGACCAACATCATACCTCTCATTGGCAAGAAAAAAATGGCTGTGTTTCATATCTTTTTAATTGCAACTTTTGTAAAATTACCAAATCTCTTATAGGCCGAATGACCACTGAAGGTTATATGGATGAGAAAATAGTTTAAGACAGAATGTTATAATCATAGTTATTGCTCTTATACATCTGTGAAGTAGTAGCTACCATATCATCAATTTTAAATACAAGATTAATTTGTAGGAAATAATGTGATTTACATGTTTTAAAATACGTTAGCTCAGTCCAGGGCTTCCAATTGTAGAATACCGTTAACAGTGGTCCTCATGCACTTTTGGTCTGTGAACAATTTGAATAAAGCCAAAGGTCCCAGGAATCATATCTTTCTGCTGTAGGGGATAACAAGTATTATCTTTTCCTCACCTGCTGCAAGGTTCATAGGTAAAAACCATAGAACAAAAGAAAGATTAACCAGAGAAAAGCATGACAAATTTATTTAATATAAGTTTAACATGACCCAAAGACCCAGGGAATACTGTGGGTTTTTTTGTTTGTCTGTTTGTTTTGGTTTGGTTTTTGTTTTTTGTGAGATGCAGTCTCATTCTGTTGCCCAGGCTGGAGTGCAGTGGCACGATCTCAACTCACTGCAACCTCCACCTTCTGGGTTCAAGCGGTTCTTCTGCCTCAGCCTCCTGAGTAGCTGGGATTACAGGCACTCGCCACCACATCTGGCTAATTTTTGTGTGTGTTTTTAGTGGAGATGGGGTTTCACCATGTTGGTCAGGCTGATCTCGAACTCCTGACCTTGTGATCTGCCCGCCTTGGCCTCCCAAAGTGCTGGGATTACAGGCGTGAGCCACTGCACCCGGCCAATACTGTGTATTTTTATGGACTACAGTCTTGCAGAGTATGATTGGAGGATAAAAGTTATGATCTAATGGTAATAAACTAGGGGGGAATTAGCAAGGGCTATTTTTTCAGATTGTTTTCGGCCTCCAGGTATAGTGTAGGACCCCTCTGGAATGAGGGCCTTATGAACCACTTTCAGGGAAGGTAGATCAAGATCAGAGAATTCTTTTATGATCTGCTTCTGTGGAAAAAGGTGAGAGAAGATCTGAAAGTAACCTTTCTGCTTCCAAATAAGAGTTGCCAAGTAACATTTCTCAATTTCCTTCAGCTTAAAAAATCCAATACAGCAAGTGTCATATTTTAGATATTGTATTCTGGTCACTGACATTGCCTAATAGGAACAAAAGACTAGTTGGTTAATTTGCATAATCTACAGAATGAAGTCCAGATTTAACAATAAAATATAAGAATTAGTTTCAACATTTCACTTGTTTCTGTTCTAATATAAACCCACTGAAGACATCAGTGACAAATCATAGATATTATCTCATAAGGTTGTAGAAGAATCAATTTTATTTGCTTGATCAAAGTTCAATCAATTTACAGTCAATATTTTTTCCCACCATATACAGTGAACTATTTAAAGCTAACTATAATTCCCTAGTTAATAACTAAAATTACAAAAATAGATGCAAAGAGTCAAGAAATATCATTTATGTGTTTTTTTCAAATGCATTATAATTGTGTTTGTTTTTTGTACAGTAAATACAATGGTATTTAAAATATAACAGTCAATAGACTGATATAATTATCAAGAAATTATAAGCAAACAGCTCCAGCTCTAGAGAGAGAATACAAGATATGAAGTGGAAAATAAATGGGAAACATTACCACTGAAAGGGACACAAGGGAGCAGATTCTAGAATAAAAAATAAGAGTTGCCAAATAAAATACAAGGCTAGTAGTTACATTTTAATTTTAGGTCAACAACAAATAATTGTTTATTATGAGTGTCCCACACAACATTTGTGACATATACGTGCTAAAAAGTTTTTGTTGTTTATATGAAATATAAATTTAATTGAACATCCCGTACTTTTATTTGCTAAATCTAGAACTTGTCCTCAAAATTATATTAGAAATGTAAAAAATGGAAACGGAAAATGCTTAATAAATTAACAAATATTAGATGAATGACATACATGCAAGCAATTTAAATGCTATGCCTTAATTTTTTTTTAGTATTATTTTTTAAAATGATTATTGGGGCAAAATATTCAAGTAAGACATGAGTATATTTTTACATCATGGAGAGACTGTCATGGGGAGCATTTACATTTTTATAAATATTTATACATTTTTTGCATATTTCATATGTCAACCATTTGAACTAGCAGTTTAGTATGATCAAATAATTGGTAAAGTAGTGTTTTTTATTCTTATTTTTTACTAAGAAGTTAGTTTCAAGAGAAATGTGATTTGTTTACACATTGTAGAAGCCCTTTTTATACTCAAATGTTCCTTATATATAGACCATTTTTCTTCATCAATCATAGCATTTGGAAATATTAATTGAATCATTTGCATAAGTAAATTTGCTACAGATATGCCAATAACTGATATGGCTGATAGAGTTCACAAGTAATTATAAATATTTAAATAAAAGCCCCAAACATAGCTGCTGTTTTAGTTTCTAACAGTCAAAAAGAAATATTTATATCAATTTTGTTTTAATCTGAAGCTATTTTATTCACAAAGATGAACAGAAAGTTGGCTGCCTTAAAAAGATCTATATATATTATTTCATAAGCGCTAGACAATTTCTCTAGAATAGAGTATGTAAATCACCTTAGGGTATTACAAATTTCAAATTGAGATAATTTTTTAAAATGCCTTCTAAGACTACACACACACACGAAAGACGGAGAGAAGGAGAGACATTCTGGACATCTTTGGAATGTCATTTTTGTTGACAAATGAGTTAACATATAACTTACTGCTAAAAATATAATGGCTTAAATAAAGTGTGGGCATAAAAGTGAATAACATATTAAACAGTTTATTGATGGATATATAGAGAGATTATATAAAATTAGTGTTAATTTTATTTTATGTTCATTTTTTAACTCTATTTTCCTTGTATTCTTCAGATGGGGTGATTGGGTGATTTGTCTGTCCACAAATTAACAAATTCTATCATTTGTCATCTCCACCCTAATACTGAGTCCATTCACTGAGATTTTATGTTACAGTATTTTTCAGTCCTATATTTCCCTTTGTTTTTCTTATAACTTCAATTTCTTGCTGAGTTTTTCTATTTTAAATTTCTTTTAAGATAATTTGTAATTATTGGAATTGATGATGGCTGCTTTAAAATCCTTGCCAGATAATTTCAACATCTGATTCATCTCAGTACTGGCATCAGTGAATTCTCTCTCTCTTTTTTTTTTTTTTTTGGCTCATCCTTTTTGTTACTTTTATTTTATTTATTTTACTTTAAGTTCTGGGATACATGTGCAGAACGTGCAGGTTTGTTACATAGGTAAACATCTACCTTTGTGGTTTGCTGTGCCTATCAACCTGTCATCTAGGTTTTAAGACCTGCATACATTAGGTATTTGTCCTAGTGCTCTCCCTCCCCTTGCCCCCACCTCCCAACAGGCCCCGGTGTGTGATGTTCCCCTCCCTGTGTCCACGTGTTCCATTATTCACCTCCCACTTACAAGTAAGAACATGCAGTATGTGGTTATCTGCTCCTGTGTTCGTTTGCTGAGAATGATGGCTTCCAGCTTCATCCATTTCCCTGCAAATGACATGAACTCATTCTTTTTTATGGCTGTATAGTGTGAATTGCCTTTTATAAAGAACATTTTGATTTTGTTTGTTCTTGGTAAAATAGGTGTTTTTTTATTGTTTCTTTGACATTTTGTCTATTCTGAATGGAAACTCAAATTGCTTTTTAAATCTTTTATTTCATGAACTAGTCATTTTGTTTAGGTTTAGCATATAGTTCCTTGCCTTTTGTGGGTTGTTCTAATTACAGTTAAAGGTTTGGAACTTTTGTAGAATGATTTTGACATACTTGGCTTATCTGGTACTCCTGGGGCTCCCATTGTTCCTCCTACTGTTCCTAAAGGGGCATTCTTGTGAGTCAATATCCTAATTAACATTTTTGCAGAAAAGCATTTATACATGATATGTAGAGAAGAGGTAAATGACATAATCTGAGGGTGGAGTAGGGAAACAAAATGTGGTTTAAAAATGTGTTTAAGTCTGCATTTATATAATTAGAAAGCATCATAATATAAAATAATATTTCCAGAAAACAAAATATGTTACTAATTATTTTAAGTATGAGTGAATGGTGATGCTTAAGGAAAACTAATTTTGTTAAGTAACAAAATTGCCTACAGACAGAAATTTAGTTGCCAGAAATGTATAATCTATAAACCTGTTACACAAATTTCTAGGATTTTAAAAGCTTGTAGCTAGTGTATTAAATTACTGCTACCCAATTACATGACTTTTTATTGCTTCATCAAAAGGAAAACTGATTCTAAATAGTATAAATGACTAAATAAATAAAGATAAAATTGTAATGAAATCTAAACACAAAACACCACCACAACAAGGTTCTTTAGAATTGAAAACAGGAAAATTCCTTAATCCATCTCTTTGCCCCTCCTGAATTGATATAAATGGCTCATATAAGAAATGGAGAAAAAATTGAAAATATTAATTAGTATTTGTTTCCAGGTGAATTGTGCACGTAAAAACAGCTAATAGCAGCAACAAAAAAAGAGAAGGGTCATCTTCACAATTAAAAATATAGAACCCAATACTTTTCAAATTATATGTAATGACGACTTTAATCTAGCAAGACCATTTCTTAATAGCACATATACACTTAAAAGAATGTAATTAATATTGTATAAATTCTTATGATGAATTTAATTATAGTCTTTAGGATATTGAAACATGAAATAAAGAAAAAGTAGAAATGCTTTGTCTAAAATTATGTTAGGAGAAAAAATAGTGTTGTTTAGGAATTACCTGACTTAAAGGGGCCTATAGAACTCCCTCAGGCTAAGTTACATTAAACTAATGCTCTATTATCGATTATCGTCTTCTTAAGCAAGATACAAAGTACAAATTATAGGTAAAGCCAAGTATTTACAGGTTTAAATTGACATTTGTAAATTAAAATTACAAATTTAAATTTAATCTACAGATTCTTCAGATTAAATTACAGGACTGGAAGATAAGAGATAGCTTTATTCATATATCTGATATATGACCTTGGATGTTTGTAATAATACGGGGTCTCTTTCTCTCTATCTAAGTTCTCAACCTTCAGAATTGTTTTTCTCTCTACATAGCCATTCTCTACCACAAAGTAGTTGGAGTTCTTTACCTGGCTATTATTTTCCATAATAACATTGAAAACTACAAAATCTTTTAAGGTATGGGTTCAGAAGTCCCTGATAATTACTTTTATTTCATTGTATTGTTCAGAGAAGTCACTTGTTCTGAGAAGATAAATGGGAAAGAAAATAGACTTCCAAAAAAATTATGGAAACATACACATGTGGGTGGGTTAAGGAACAGAAAGTTTAATTGGCAGAAGAAACGAGAAAGGAGAGCAGCTCCTTGCCAGAGAGAGACTTCCGAATAAAAGGGGCAAGGTGGTGGACGTCAGCAGATTTTATAGGCAGGCTTGAGGAGGTGGTGTCTGATTTATGTAGGGCTTACAGATTGGTTTGACCAGGTGTGATGTTTACATAGAACACAGAGAAGGCTGGTCCCTCTACCCTAATCTTATCATGCAAATGGGTTTCCACTTGGCCAGTGCCATCTTGTCTTGCTGCTTACTGTACACCTGGTTGGCAAAAAGAGAAGATGGAGCCGCCATTTTGAACATGCCTAGTCCCACGTAGTATATTCCTATGGGTGCAACTGCTGCCCTTCACCAGTGCAGGATTTCCGCTTGTTTATGTGGGCAGTTCGCTTTTACAGGTTACTCTTTGTTAGAAAAGAAAATGATTTGGGGGCTGCTTTTCGTTAAAAGGAAAACCTTAGCGAGGACTTCCAAACCCTCACCATCTGCGTAAGTAATTTCTTCTTGAATCCTGTATCACTTGAATATATGTGAGGATTACTTTTACTTTTTCGTTATTAAAGAAGGGACAAGTTAATGCTGAGATAACTGATTGCATATCTGAAAATAAATTTGGAGCACTGCCTCACGTTACAAAAAAGTTTATTTCTTATAAAGTAATGATTACTTTCAAGCAATTTTAAACTAATGACAGAGTATAATTTAAGATACTATTGTTCCATTTTCGTCTTCTAACAGAGAATATTTCTTAAGCAAGATGCAAA
Source organism: Homo sapiens (assembly GCF_000001405.40). Taxonomy (NCBI): domain Eukaryota; kingdom Metazoa; phylum Chordata; class Mammalia; order Primates; family Hominidae; genus Homo; species Homo sapiens. The sequence continues at coordinate 125,846,366 of NC_000004.12, forward strand.
GTACAAAAGCAATATATAGAGATAAAATCATAAATAATATAGCTGTTTAAACACGTATAAAACAAGCTGTGCATGGTGCCTTGAGCCTGTAGTCCCAGCTATTCTAGAGGTTGAGGCAGGAGGATAATTTTTTTTCTAGGAATTTGAGTCCAGACTGGGCAACACAGTGAGACCCTGTCTCAATAAAAGTATAAAACTCTGATTTGCAAATGAACAATGTATTTAAAAAATGACAGGTTGGGATGAAATTTTTGTGAAATACGTAAAAGAATGGGACTAAATATTTAATGAAAAATAAAGACAGTGACCCTATCAATCAGTATGAACATAGCATATAAGCCCTTAGAAATCAAGAGGGGCATGAGGAAAGCTATGAACAGGTGCACTTAAAAACAGTCCACAATCTCACTAGTGATGAGGTAATTCAATTATTAACAATAAAATGATACTATAATTAATACTATAATATTTGTATTCCTATTGAACAAGAGAAAATTTTAAATGGTAAGAATACTCTTTTTTAAAATATAACGTGTAGAAAATAGAATTGTTATGCATTGTTGTCACTGTAAGCTGATAGAAAGTTTTTTAGACTAATTTAATAATACTTATCAAAAATGATACTGGTAATAAAATAACATTGATCCAGAATGTCCACTTCTTGATAGCTGTTCTTTAAAATATTCCTAAGCACATATACATGTACAATTTGTGATATTGATATTTTGGTGAAAATTATGTAGAAATGGTTAAATAACATATGCTATATCCTGAGAAATAATATGTCATTACAATAATAGAATATTAAAATTTCAAAATAGTATGCATGGGATTAATCTATTTAAATACAATTATATGTATGCATATTTGTATATATAAATTTACGCACATGTATATATGTACATATGTATATGTGTGTATGCATATATGTGAAATGCAAGTGATTGCAACTGAATTTGTTATATGTTTTATATATATTTTCTTATTTCAATATTTTAATTACTAGCTATTTTGTGATTTAGGTAACTACAAAGGAAAAGCAAAATGGTATTAAGTTCTATTTGTGTCTCTGACCATAGCAAATCTCTTAAATATGAATGTGTCAGTTTTCTAGTCTGTAAAATAAGAATAATCAGTCTTAAATGGTTTTAGTGATAATTACATTAATTAACATATATGTAAATAACTATATATGTTAGTCGACTTGGTTCTCTTAAGCATTGCTGACTTTGTTTAGATAGACATTTGTTTCTTGGTTCATAAAGGCGGTTTACTTTGTGTCCCATGGAAAGCACCAAGAGCTGCTCTGTTGGCATTCAGATTCCTTATGGGCGAATTACTAGTGCTATATGCCTAAGAGGCATATTGTCCAGGAAAAAGAATGTCTATTACTTTAACCTTTGTATAGTTCTTGCTTTTGTTAACTACAAAAAATACTCAATTTAAAAATGTACAGCAGAGAAGATAAATGAATCTAACAAAATTATTTCTCAAAAGCTATCTCAAATTGCTTGATTTGTTATTTTTATGAGTCAGGTGTTATTATTTAATTAAAATCAAGATGCCGTCTAATTGCAATGTGACCTCAGGTCAGATTCTGGAGTTCTATTGAAAACTCACAGTGTTTATCTCTGTGTGAATATGTGTGTGTCCTGTGGATAAATCACTTAGGCAAATGAACAAATGCTCTGGTGCACTAATGACATCTACCTTTAAAATTCTCGAGGTCAGAACATGTACGGGCTCCTTTTGTGAAGCAGTCAAAGTAAATCATCAAAATTTAAAATGTAATAAAAAATAATCAAACAAAAGAGTAACTTGTAAATAGAAAAGAAAAATTATTTTAAAGTTTTTTTTGAAACAAAGAATAACAGAATCAAGTTTTTCCCAGTGAATTGAAGCATAAAAATTATTTTTAAAAGTGTCACAGAGCTACAGTTTTTTGGAGCAGCAAAAGAAATGAGAATAAGCAGATTAGGGAGGTGCAATAATTTTGTATGAATTAAGCTAATCATTCTTAGTTTTGCTCCTTGTCAGGATTATTAAGACTACTGGCTCTGGCTTTTTGTGCCGTGGGCCTTGTGGAATCTTCACATACTGTTGGGTCTCTTTGCTATCATATTTCCCATAAGCGGAAAATAAGGGGATGTAGTCTTACCTGCGTTTATCTAAGTATTTGCACAGGCATCTCATTAGGAACACATTGTACAAGGTTAAAAACAGAGAAAATAGAAGGAAAATAGAAGGAAAATAAAAATGACCAAAAAAGTTGAGTTTGTGATTTAATATAGCTGTAGCACTTCGGCGTTATTGACCTTACCCAAGGGTCAATACAGTCAGAAACATATCATATTGGAGAATAAATACAGGGGATAATGATTATTTAGGTTGATAAATTTGAATTTTAAAAATGTATATATATGGAGACTAAGAAAATGAGACTATGTTTGTTAAAAAGTAGGGGTAAAGGGGAAAGAGCCAGACCCAAATAAAGTGGGAAAACTCATGCCACGTGCATCTCATTCTCTGTGACAAGTTTTAATGATGGTGTCTTTGTTTTCTCATGTTCTCCAAATAGAAAACCCATTATACTCAGAAAATTTATATAGCCTACTTGGGATTTATGCTAAGGTTGACATGAAGCAGTTAAGGAGAACCACTGCTTATATATTGTCACAATAGAGAAAGGAATGCTATGCTGAATGAAGTTGGAAGGATCTGACTTGTTTAATACTAAATGATAAGTACAGTTAGCAGCTTCTGAGGGAAGTAGGGGCTAAGAGATAAAACTATCAATAATTGATTTTACATGCTAATTATAACTTAAAAATTTTAGAAAATGCTAACCTCTACAGATAATTAGATTTTATCTATTTAAAAAATGTTTAAATAGATTTTAGCTATTTTAAAATACATTTTCCATTCAGTATGAACTCATCGTTAATTGAAGCAACATTAATATAAAGTAAAATTGAGATTTAGCAATAATAATAATTTCTAGAAAATTGTTACTATGTAAAAGGCATGATAATAAGTTTTTAGCATATATTAATTCACTCTGTTCTCACCCCATATATATTTTAAAACAAGGAAACCAGGGGTAAGAGCAAGGCAAAGTAACTGGCCCAAGTCAGACAGACAGACCTGGTGATGAGAATTAAACAGCTAGAATATTTCAACATTGTATGTTGTTGCCTCTGAATTAACTATTTGATTAATCTGATTGTTCAAGATAACACATCTATTTCTTTGGCCATTTTTATCATCTGAAAATATCTGGTTTTCCATTGTAACTTGTAATGTTAAAGATACATTTGGATCTATTTTAATAATTTTATTACTACAATACCAGTAATAAATTGTTCTCTAATTCCACTCATCCTATTTCTATTTTACCAACTTTGTGGAATGTGGTCATTATTACAGGCCTATTTCTAGCTTTTCCACCTTCTTTATTCAGTCAGCACTCACTGGTGCATTATTGCAAATTACATTTTCCTAGTCCTGGAGTTACAGACATGAGTAGTTAAAAAATATTCCCAGCTGATTTTGATATTTTCCTCTTCTTTACCTTTTGAGAAGCACCAAATTAACTCAAAAATCTACCTCCTCTGCTTCAGACCTGCACCCATGTTATTGTGCACCACAAGAGAAAACCAGATGATCTTAAAGATTAGTACCACAGCAAATTTATGGTATTCAAACTCAGAGGTAACCACAATGACTTGGCAATCCTATTACATTTTTCTTATCTGGCCTATTTCCCATTCCCTTCAGCAATTACTCCAGCCCTTCTTCATTTTCTTTAAATCCCCAGCCCCAATAGAGTCTATCTTACCCTATCAATTATCCCCTCCCTAGGCTGTATTTTTAGGCTTCTCTAAGCACACATATACCACACACCTATACCACATTTATACAAATGTTCATATGTCAAAAGTTGAATACCCACACGTACACACAAACATGCATATATGCATAAATGCACAAGAACAAAAGTATACGTGTATATTAATATGTGTGTGCATTCAATTTTTGACACAATTGATTTCAGTTACCTTCTTAAAACTCACTTTTCCTTTTATTTCCAAATCACTGACTTTATATTCTCTTTCTTTTTTTTTTTTTTTGACAGTTTTTGCTCTTGTTGCCCAGGCTGCAGTGTAATGGCACGCGATATCAGCTCACTGCAACCTCCACCACCTGGGTTCAAGCGATTCCCCAGTCTCAGCCTCTCTATTAGCTGGGATTACAGGTGCCTGCAATCACGCCCAGCTAATTTTTGTATTTTTTTTTTAATAGAGACAGGGTTTCACCATGTTGGTCAGGCAAGTTTCGCACTCCTGACCTCAGGTGATCCACCCCCATCGGCCTCCCAAAGTGCTGGGATTACAGGTGTGAGCCCCCCGCGCCCGGCCCCTATAATTCTCTTTCTTTTACAGCCACTTCTCAGTATTTTTTTTTTTGAAGTCCTTTCCTTAAAATATGAAGGTCATTAGGACTGTTATTTAAATTCTGTGTCTTCCTCAGGAATCTGTATTAAACCTTCAAGTCTTTTTACTCTATATCAAAAAGGCTGAAACTATGGTCCTGAAGTGGGCTTTAAGGGCACAGTACAACTCCCGAGACTATGTATTTAATGATATGTATTATATTTAGTTATATATATAATTATAATAATTACAAACATTTTTCTTGAAGATATATACACACCTATTTCTAAGGATGACATCTGGAGTTTTAAAATTAGAATGTGACATACTAAAAATGAAGAACCATTGTTCTAAAACTCTTGTGCATTTAAATCTTGATCTGTAGTTCTAATCACTACCTATATGTAGATAACTTCTTTTTTTTTGTTTGTTTGGAGACAGAGTCTCACTCTGTTGCCCAGGCTAGAGTGTAGTGGTGTGATTTCAGCTCACTGCAACCTCTTCCTCCTGGGTTCAAGTGATTCTCCTGCCTCAGCCTCCCAAGTAGCTGGGACTAAAGGCCCACACCACCACGCTCAGGTGGTTGTATTTTTAGAGACGGGATTTCACTGTGTTGGCCAGGCTGGTCTCGAACTCCTGCCCTCAAGTGATCCATCCACCTTGGTCTCCCAAAGTGCTGGGATTACAAGTGGGTAAGCCACTGTACCCACCTGTCTGTAGATTACCTCTACATTTATATTCTGAACTTGGACTTCTGAGCTACATCTGTGTGCCCAGGAGACAAGTATACATCTTCACCTTTACATCTCACAGACAACTTAAATTGAACAAACCCAAACTACATTCACTAACTTTGTTAAGATTTTATCTCCTTTTTCTGTGTTTTTTTTGTTGTTGTTGTTGTTGTTTTCCGATGGTGGAGTCTCGCTCTGTCGCCCAGGCTGGAGTGCAGTGGCGCAATCTCAGCTCACTGCAAGCTCCGCCTCCCGGGTTCACGCCATTCTCCTGCCTCAGCCTCGAGAGTAGCTGAGACTACAGGCGCCCGCCACCACGCCCGGCTAATTTTTTTTTGTATTTTTTAGTAGAGACGGTGTTTCACCATGTTAGCGAGGATGGTCTTGATCTCCTGACCTCGTGATCCGCCCGCCTAGGCCTCCCAAAGTGCTGGGATTACACGCGTGAGCCACCGCGCCCGGCCGTCCTTTTTCTGTTTTTTATATCTCAGTGACTGCCATCATTACCCTGCATTTGTCCAAGTGATACAACTAGAAGCCATACTAGACATTTCCCTTTTTGTAATCTAGACATTTTATAAATCACCAAATCCAGCTGGACCATCCCTTTAATATCTCCAGGATTCCACTCCACTTCTCAGTCCTTTCAGTCATTGATTGAGCCCAAGTCCTCACTGTTTTCCGTATGAATAATATCTTCTTCTAGTCTCAAAATTCTCCATATTGTTACCAGAAACATCTTTCTGAGACAAAAGTTTAATTATGCCTTTGCTGCATCTAATATTTGTATACAAACCCAACATGACTTATTAGATTGTGAAAAAATATTATAATCCTATTTATATAAATAATAAGATTGATCATTAATAATACTCAATATCTAGATTGACAGCAGCATTCCTTGTCCATGTAGCTGACAATCAAGTGTCACATTTGTTGGATAAGATATACTAAGGCAAAAAAAAAAAAAAAAAGCCCCAGAAAAAAGGGAAATTGTGTTGTCAGTAACCAATTATTTAATTACCAGTGGACCGCCACCCATGTTATTGTGCATCACAAGAGAAAACCAGATAATCAAAGATTAGAACCACAGGAAATTTATGGTACTTTCAGTTCATTACACTGCGCTATAGATAACATAAACTAGGTAGATGTATTTGCTGATCATATTATTTAGTTTTGACTAAAATAACCATCAGTAAATAGACAAGAGATTGATTCACTTTTCCTCAAAGAAACCAGAATTGGGAAGATAATACAAAAAAAGAACCACCAAACAGTTTCACAATCATGTTTCTATTTGCGTACTTCATCTCTTCTTAATCCAAAAAATAGGTAAAAACAATAACAGTCTAAAACAATCAGCAAGACTTTGGTCAGAAAAACTGGAAAATCTTAAGAAGGATACACGAAATATGTATGTATATCCTTTGTTGTGAATAATGGACTTTACCTAAGTATATATTGTGCCTTGAAATAGAAGCTAATGATAACACAAAGCCATCAAAAGTAGCAAGACTTTCAAAAAATTATTAATAAAAATATTTATGGAGTAAAATAGTCATCTAAAATACTATTTAATTTATCTTTATCTCACTATATTTTTCTATTATGTATTTTTATAATATGTATATACTACAAAAGTAAAACAAGACATATTTCCTTTGCAAATAATAATATGTTTATATTAATGATTTTTGCATGAAAATATTTACATACAGAGGTGAATGAGCAAAACATTTTGAGGCCAATTGCTTATAGTATAATACAATTATACTTACTATAATTACTTATACTACAAGTACCTTTAATAAAGGGTACGAGGTCCCTCATAAGATGGCCCATTTTCAAATTCAGCTACAATTTGTATTACGTGCCCTTTGAATCTATCATTTCTAACTTCTTAAACTTCTCAGGATATATTACACACATCACATTATGTCTTTCTGAAGTCCAGTCCAGCTCATTGATCTCTTACAATGCATTGCCTGGTTAACTTGGACTTGACAATTACAACTAAGTTTGGTCATCTGTTCTTCTCAGGATAAGCTTCATTAGTACTGTTAACATGTCCATTTTGGTTTTTGCTTCTGCCATGAACATTTACTCTTTTGCTATCCAGCTCACTGCACCTCCTTGGGCAAATAATTTTCTCGGTTTATTTGGAGAACTCTAATACCCCTTTTCATCCATTTTCATTGGGATGAAAACGGAAATCTATTTTAAGTAACACCAACTTCATATGTTATAGAGATTTACTGAGAGTTGAGCTTCTGAACCAGGTTGGACTGATCATAGAACCTTAACCTCTTCATGTACAGCATGGGGACTATAGCTAATAATATTGTATTGTGTACTGGATGTTTGCTCAATTAGTAGAATTTAGGTATTTTCACCAAAAGTTTAGAAAGGTAACTATGTGAAATGAGGGATATGTCTATTTGTTTACTATAGTAATTTCACTATATCAAAACACTACATTGTACTCATAAAATATATAAATTTTTTAGAAGTACATAAGAAATTTTTGTCTGTAGATTTTTTTTCAAACTCAGATTCAGCAATTTTTTTTTATCAATACGTGGTAGAAAGGATTCCTGCATTGGTTGAGAAATGGGATTAAAATACTTTGTTCCCTGGCAAAACTAAAACTAAATATCAAGTATTTCATATAAGGATAAATTTAAGATTATTTTTCCTTGGGGAAAAAATCTGTGATGCAATTATTCCTTTATCTGGCTATAATAAAGAATAGCTAATATGCACAGTTAATACAAATGGAATGAATAAGAGTTTGGGATGTGAATAATAAAGGTTAGAATTGAAACTTATTAAAAAATCTCTTGCCTTCTTGTTTTTGTTGTTATTTTTCTCCACTTACTTCAACTGTATCTTAAGAGAAGCCACTGACACACTCAGAGATTAGTTGAAGCTATTTTACCGGTAGTGTTAGTGCCAATTCAATCCAGAATCTGAGATCAATTTAAATGTATTTTCATCATTTAATTTTATTTTTCTCCTGTGAATTTTCAAGCTGTTGCTTAACAGTTTCTTAAGTTTCACTAGGCTGTTTTAAAGTCTGAGGTAATACAGAAAACTGAAACTTTTAGAAGGGCCATTTGGAATGTTCCTTTTGCTATAAAATGTTTTAATACAGTATCATATGACTTTTGAAATTTGTTTTCTGTTAAAAATTCTGATAATCACCAGTCAGAGTGTAGAAAAAATTAGCTTTCCCATCTATTTTGTTCAGGTACGGAAGTAAGAAGAAGTATGATACATCTAAGATCTCTAAGTGAAGAAATCAACTATAGATTATTAGTTTTAACTCTTTTTTCATGTTACTTTACTAAAGATTTTCTGGTGTTTAGTATAAACTTTTGATAAAACATTTTTATTATGATTATGATCCATTAAATCAATGACTGGGTATATAAGAATGAAAGGCCCGTTTATTTGAAGCCATGTTATTCTGCACTGCCTGCTGTGGGTCTGTGCCTGAGAAATAGCTGACTAGCGAAGGAAGAAGGGAGGTAGACAAAGGATGGGGTGGTGAAATCAAGAAGATTTTATTTCAGAACCAAGACAAGGATTTGTGTGGAAACAAACCGAGGAAACCTGAGAAGCTATTTAGCTTTGATTTTTGAACTCCCCATAAGACTCGTTTGATAATAAAAGCTATTTAGGGTGGGATAATAAAAGCTATTTGGAGTTCTGACTATTTAAGTATAAAAGTACATATTGTTGTTCTCTTCTTCTCATCACTCCTACAGACGTTCTGAGGAGGTATGGGTGAAAATGCCCCAGGGCATGTCTTCTAATGATATCTCCTGGGCTGCCACCTCTGTTGAGGGATCTGGGCATTTCTAAGTGTCTTCAGGGTACACTAAATGTTTCTGCTGCCTTTCACTTTTTCTCACTGGGGCCACTGATGGAAAAATGTATTGATTTCCAAAGTCTTCAAGTTGTGAAGCTTCACGGTGCTCTCTGCAATGCTACAGAATTTGCACACTTCCACCTGGGTGCACAGGGGTGTTACTTGTGCTTAGGCATCCTACAAAATATTTTTTGCTAGTAATTTTTTTCAGCTTTTATTATCAGAAAAGTCTAAAGAAGGCTGAACCCATGGATAAATTGAGAGCAAACAACATACTGGACAAGTACTCTTCCTTCTTTGAAAATTAAGTTTGTAGTTTTGTTAACCAGACGTTTGGCAATGTCTGAAACATTGGCTGTCATAGCTGGGAAAAGGGTACAACTACTTTCTAGTGGTAAAGTTCTGAGGTGTTGCTAAACTCTAATAATGCAAAAGGAAGCCCCCGACACTAAAGAATTATCCACCCCACAATGTCAATAATGCTAAAGTTGAAAAACCCTGTTGTATTGGCTTGTTTGCCTAATAAATGCCCAGTTTCCCTTGATTTTTAAACCCCAGCACTGAATAGAAGTTAGGTTTAAGATAGTAAATACTTTGAGTCCTTACCCCATCCCCAACATATTTAAGCATATACACTTTTACATATATACACATGAACAAACACAAACATACATAATAGAACCACATTTTCTACAGATACAATTAATATGACTTTTGGAAGCAAATAAATGGACAAAATAAATTGATCATCAAGACCTGCACGACAGAAAAACTAATTATGAGTAAAGAGATAAAATAATATTCCTGAATATTCATTTATACAGTGGGCCTCAATCACAAACAGGATTTTCTTGGTATTTTTAGTATATATATTGCTTTCAAATGAAACAGCTTTCTGATTTGGAAGTAAAGACTTTCATGATGCTCTACAAAATTTCAAAAATTAAAGTCTTACGTATATTTAATAATAAATTCAATCACAGCTGAGTATATTTTCAGCATCATAAAAATGAGATATGACATATATTTTTATACTTTTACATTAAAAATTACTGAAATAGCTAACTTATTTAAACATTTACAATGTCTTAGGCTATAGTCAATCTTTGTAACCGCAAGTAAGGATTTCAGCAAAAAATGTTGAACTCTCTTAAGTAAATTAAATAAGCCACATCATAATAACAACCCTCAACCTTACTATGTTCAATGAATAAGACATGAAAAGGTTACATTTGATTATTAAAATATAATTAAAGATTTGAAGCAATTCATTAAATGCAATTAAGAGAAATTATCCAAGATTAATGCCCAAAATGAATTTAACAATTAAATTTTTTTCTAAGGCATGATTGGTCTATTTTCAAAGATTGATTTTATTAATCATAACATGTAATATGTGAAGAATGTACACGATGTGTTTGCTTCAGTAAACGTCCGTTTCTAAAAATGTTAATGCTAAAAAAGACTGAATGGCCTGTTACATAACATATTTATGATGTATAATTAGTTAGCTCTTAAAATTGTTTTCAACCAGTGATTCTCCAATGCATTCTTCCTATTCACTTGAAATTCTATAGGAAAAGGAAGTGAGAATGTGAGTTCTGAAAAATCTACATGTACAATATTTTTCACTCTGGAAAAAACACATAAAATTCTCCATATCAATCATTTTTAAGTATACATTTTTAGTTATGTTAAGTGTATTCACATTGTTGTCAGGTGGATCTCCAGGACTTTTTCCTCTTACAAACCTAAAACTCTATACCTATTCAACAACTTCCCATTCCTCCCTCTCTGCAGCCTCTCGTAGCCACCAGTCTACTCTGTATTTCTGTGAATTTAACTGCTTTATATACCTCAAGTAAATGGAATCACCCAGTATTTGTCCTTTTGTGACTGGCTTATTTCACTTAGTGTATTGTCCTCCAGGTTCATCAATGTCATCATATGTGACAAAATGTCCTTTCTTTTTATGACTGAATAATATTCCATTGTATATATTAACTATACTTTGTTTATCCACTCATTCATCAATAAACAGTTGGGTTGCTTCCACCTTTTGTATATTGTGAATAGTGCTGCTATGAACATGGGTGTACAAATATATCTTTGAGATTCGGTTTTTTTGTTTTTGTTTTTTTTTTTTGAGATGGAGTCTCGCTCGGTTGCCCAGGCTGGATGGAATGCAGTGGTGAGATCTTGGCTCACTGCAAGCTCCGCCATACTGCTTTTATTTTTTTTGGTTGTATACCCAGAAGTAGGAATGATGGGTTATATGGAAGTTCTATTATTAATTTTTTGAGGAAACTCCATACTGCTTTCCATAATGGCAGCACCAGTTTACAGTCCCACTAACAGTACCCAAGGGTTCCAATTTCTCCACATTTGCCCCAACACTTGTTATTTTCTGTTGTTGTTTCATAGTAGTCATCTTAATAAGTGTGAGGTGATTTCATTGTGGTTTTCATTTGCATTTCTCTGATGATTAGTGATGTTGAGCATCTTTTCATATGCTTATTAGCCATTCCTATAACAATTTTGGAGAAATGTCTATTCAAGTTTTTTGACAGTTTTTGTATCAGATTATCTGATTTTTTGTTGTCGAGTTGTAGAAATTCTTATATATTCTGGATATTAACCTCTTGTCAAATTTATGATTTGAAACGTTTTCTTTCCTTTGTAGTGTTTTCACCCTATTGATCATGTTTTTGGATGCACAACAGTTTTAAACTAATGTAGTTCTATTTGTCTACTTTTACTTTGTTGTCTAAGCTTTTAGTGCTGTTTCCAAGAAATCATTGCCAAGTCCAATGTCATGAAACTTTTCCCTTATATTTGGTATGTTTGTTAAAGATCATTTGATCGTACACACAGGATTTCTTTCTGGGTCCACTATTTTTTTCCAGCGGTCTATTTGTCTGTCTTCATGCCAGTAACACACGGTTTAGATTGCCATAGTTTTGTAATGTATTTTGGAATCAGGTAGGGTGTGTCCTCCAACTTGGTTCTTTTTCAAAACTGTTTTGGCTATTTGGAGTCTCTTGAGATTCTATATAAAGTTTTAAATAATTTTTTCTGCTTTTGCAATTAGGGATTACTTTGAATCTGTAGATAGCTTTGGGCAATATGGATCCATATATGATTTCAATAGATGTTTGAATATAATACTGAGATAATAATGAAGGAAGATATTTATTGTCATGAAATATGGTATATCCATTCAGGATACCATATTTGGCTCTCATGCCTTCACATAGCCTTCTTGTCTGTGACAGTTTCTCAGACTTGTTTTTGATGACCTTCACAGTTTTGAAGAGTACCAATCAGGTGTTTTATAGAATGTTCCTCAACTGATATTTGTCATTTTTCTTATTATTAGACTGAGGTATAGGGTTTCTCATTATTAGACTGAGGCTCAGGGTTTCTGGGAGGGAGACCGCAAGAGTAAAGTGCCATATCTCGAAATATTGTGGATACATACTGTCAACGTTAACCTTGATCACTGGGCTGAAGTAGTGTTTGTCAATGTAAAGTAAGTCTTCATACTCCTCTGCCCACTCTTGTACTTATCATTCTGTACTCTTTGGAAGAAAGTCCCTATGCACAGCTCATATCTAAGGAAAGAAAAGTTATGCTTCATTTCCTTAAGGGAGGAGTATTTATTGTATATGTATAAAATAAAATAAAATTTAGAATCCTTTCGCATCTACATGCTAAAGGATTTTTATAGATAATCATAAATTATATATATTATATATATTATAATTAAAATTATTTATAAATTTTAGAATCTTTTTGCATGTAGATTTCTTTAACTTCCCTTATTTATGTATTTATTAAATCATTTATTCTTATAATTTTAGGTCTATGAATTTTTGTATACTTTGAGCTAAATTCAGTATGACTTTACTAATTCTGTTACTTAGTTTGTTCCACTATTGGTCAAAGGGAGCTCATTCAGCTGGCTTCTATATAACTTTGACATATCTCCTTTAATGTGTGTGTGTGGACTTAGATTAGTTATAAGTTTATGTTGCAAACTCTAGAGCAATCTCCTAAAAAATCAGAGACAGAAGTATAATTGATATGCAAAATGGTATGAGAAAAATGCAAACACATAAAATGCTCAGTTAAAACCAGAAAAGGCAAAAATAACATGGTTATTAAATATTCAAGAAACAAATAAATACAAATAAAACTGTTACATACCTGATGGATATTAATCCAATAATATCAACAATTACTTTTGGTTTTAATGGTCTAATTACACTAATTTCCTCTCCCCTGATTTTCCCCTGAGTCCCTAATGTCCATTGTATCATTCTTATGCCTTTGCATTCTCATAGCTTAGCTCCCACTTATAAGTGGGAATATATGATGTTTGGTTTTGGGTACAGTGTATATAGTTCAGATTATGGGTGCTCCAAAATCTCAGAAATCACCACTAAAAAACTTATTTATGTAACCAAACACGATTTGTTTCCCTAAAATCTACGGAAATACAAAATAAAATAAAATAAATTAATTGAGACAGATAATCGAAAGCATAAAATTCATTAAAACGCCAGTAAATTATCACTTACAAATAAATAAATAAAAAATTCTAAAAAATAATTATGGTAATTAAAAGGCAGAATGTCAGAGTAGATAAAGAAAAAATAATACCAAGCTATATATGAATTTTAAGAAGCTCACTTTAAACATAAAAACAAGTTGAAAATAAATGGACAAAGATAAACTATGCTGTCTCTAATCAAAAGAAGCTGTAATAGCTATATTAATTTCAGACAAAGCAAACTTGATAGCAAGTCATCTTATAAGAGGAAAAAGAAACTAAATATTGATGAGAGTCCATTTTGCAAAAAATATAATTATCTTAAATGTGTATACACATAAAAAGAGTGTCAAAATATGTAGGTAAAAAATTGAAAGACTACAAAAGATTTAGGCAAATCCACTATAATAGCTGAAGATCTCAATACCTTTGTGTCAGTTAAGATATAAATTACCTGAATAGCATTATCAATCTATTTTATCTAATTGACAATGTAGAATACTTCAACAATAGCAGAGCGTGCATTCTCTTTGTTAACATTTGTTATTGTTTTCTATAGTTTACGTCTTTTCAATTACATTGAAAATAATAACAAATGTAAAAGTCTTCTTTTAAAAGTTCAATAAAATTGATATAAAGCTCTAGTCAGGCTAACAAAGAAAAAAAGAGAAAGCAGAAATTATGTTTCCTTCATATGAAAATTTTTGAATTTAATAAGATTGCATAAAAAATCATGTGCTTTAAAAAATGACTTTATTTACATATATATATATATGCAGAGATTCAGCAATTTGATTAGATTTGGGAAAAAAATAGTTGAAGTTCCAGAGCTAGAAGAAAGACAAGTCATTTTAGACAAAAGGAAGAACCTGTGCAAGGACAAGGGTATATGGCTATCCACAGCATGTTGAGGAAAAATTTATAAATTTGATGATGGGCATAGAAAGGAGGGAGTGGAGGTAATGTTAGAAAATGCATTTTTAGGTATGTTTTAAATAGAATTGCTTGCTATTTAAAAGACCTTAGAGTTTAATCTGTGTCATTCCAGTACCAGGAATGAGGGTATTCTATAACAGGAAAAGGTCATGGCAATACTTATGCATTATTTGGCCGATGAACTAGATATGAGAGAAAATATAGATGGGTAGAACATTCTAAAGGACAATATATAATTCTGATGAATTTAAAATAGGGTCTAAAGTTAAATATCAACAGTGGTAAAATGACAAAGAAGTTCTGGTAGAAGGGGCATTATGTAAACTGTGGAAACTAATATTAAGGACACCATGGAGAGTCATTGTAATTTTTTTAGTTTTTGTAGGTGTAGGAATTGTTTTATTCATGTTATTGGAGGATATGTAGGAAGGAATGGTGTGCTTGTGAAATAAGAATTCTATTCCATGTTTTATTTGGGTTATGGATAGTTTAATGAGCTTAAATAAGGCTTTATTATAAAGATTCACTGAGCTCAGGAGAACAATTAGAGGCAGTATAGAAAAGTGGTTATGAGCTCAGATTCTGGGACCAGACCTTCCATATTTTAACTCCAACTACACCTCTAGCAAATTGTAAAGTTCACAGTTTCCTCATCTGCAAAATAGAAATAATAAGAGCATCTAATTTAGATGAGTTTTGTAAGACTCAAATGGATAAATATAGGCAAAATACATATAACAATGCCTGACATATAGTAAGTACTTAATACATTTGAGATAGTACATACATATATAAGGAAGTCATTGAATTCTTTAGGGGTTTACTGAAGTAATGGGGTTAGCGCAATCAACCAAGAAGCATTTAATTCCTAGAAGAACTAGGGAGATGTCTGAGAAGTAGAAATAATAAATACTTGAAAAAGGAAGAGAAATCAGCAAAAGGTAAAGAGAAGAGAGTAGTGGTAGAAGAAGAAATAGAAGATAGTGTTGAGTGCTGTTAACATCATAGAAAAGAGAATAGAATTTCAAGAAAGAAGAGAAGACTGCCAGTATCAAATAATATAGATAGGAAACATAGCCTAAGGAGCATAAGCTTTGACAGTCTTTTGCAGTTAGAAGTTAGAAAATATTAGAATTCATAAGAGCAGTTTGCATTGAGAGATGAATAAAATAACAGATTTCACTGGGCCGGAGAATATTATAAATGTATAGTGATGGAAATGATGATTGTTCACTATGCAAAAAGAGTCATGGTACTCAGCTAAGAAATGTTTGTGCTATAGTGAAAAATATTCTAGCAAAAGATTGAAGTATTTACTTAAAGAAGATATACATAAAAATCTTATATTTTCATGGTAAAATGACTTTATTAATAATAGCAAAAAGAAAACTAAAATATTTAGAAATACCAAAGCATTTGCCAAATCTGTTTAAAGAGAATTTTATATAGACAAAATAAAGATGTGAAGAAATGAGGAGGCAAGCTGTTTTCCTCTATAATTTTAAAAAATCTCTATACACTTATAAATTTAATGTAATCTGAATAAAATTACCAGCTGGATGATTATACTAATAGATAAATAAATAAACAAGCAAAAGTAGCCAAAAATTTTTTTGAAAAAGACTAATGAGCATATGACCAGAAAACTTACCAGAAGATGTGGGTAGAACAGCACTGGTCTTTAAGAAATCACCTACTGAGTGCTGGGAAACTCTTTTTCTTTTTAAATTTTTTTTTTTATACTTTAAGTTTTAGGGTACATGTGCAAAATGTGCAAGTTAGTTACATATGTATACATGTGCCATGCTGGTGTGCTGCACCTACTAACTCGTCATCTATCATTAGGTATATCTCCCAATGCTATCGCTCCCCGCCCCCCACCCCAGAACAGTCCCCAGAGTGTGATGTTCCCCTTCCTGTGTCCATGTGTTCTCATTGTTCAATTCCCACCTATGAGTGAGAATATGCGGTGTTTGGTTTTTTGTTCTTGCGATAGTTTACTGAGAATGATGGTTTCCAATTTCATCCATGTCCCTACAAAGGACATGAACTCATCCTTTTTTATGGCTGCATAGTATTCCATGGTGTATATGTGCCACATTTTCTGAATCCAGTCTGTCATTGTTGGACATTTGGGTTGGTTCCAAGTCTTTGCTATTGTGAATAATGCTGCAATAAACATACGTGTGCATGTGTCCTTATAGCAGCATGATTTATAGTCCTTTGGGTATATAGCCAGTAATGGGATGGCTGGGTCAAATGGTATTTCTAGTTCTAGATCCCTGAGGAATCGCCACACTGACTTCCACAATGGTTGAACTAGTTTACAGTCCCATCAACAGTGTCAAAGTGTTCCTATTTCTCCACATCCTCTCCAGCACCTGTTGTTTCCTGACTTTTTAATGATTGCCATTGTAACTGGTGTGAGATGATATCTCATTGTGGTTTTCATTTGCATTTCTCTGATGGCCAGTGATGGTGAGCATTTTTTCATGTGTTTTTTGGCTGCATAAATGTCTTCTTTTGAGAAGTGTCTGTTCATGTCCTTTGCCCACTTTTTGATGGGGTTGTTTGTTTTTTTCTTGTAAATTTGTTTGTGTTCATTGTAGATTCTGGATATTAGCCCTTTGTCAGATGAGTAGGTTGCAAAAATTTTCTCCCATTTTGTAGGTTGCCTGTTCACTCTGATGGTAGTTTCTTTTGCTGTGCAGAGGCTCTTTAGTTTAATTAGATCCCGTTTGGCAATTTTGGCTTTTATTGTCATTGCTTTTGGTGTTTTAGACATGAAGTCCTTGCCCATGCCTATGTCCTGAATGGTAATGCCTAGGTTTTCTTCTAGGGTTTTTATGGTTTTAGGTCTAACGTTTAAGTCTTTAATCCATCTTGAATTGAATTTCGTATAAAGTGTAAGGAAGGGATCCAGTTTCAGCTTTCTACATATGGCTAGCCAGTTTTCCCAGTACCATTTATTAAATAGGGAATCCTTTCCCCAATGCTTGTTTTTCTCAGGTTTGTCAAAGATCAGATAGTTGTAGATATGCGGCGTTATTTCTGAGGGCTCTGTTCTGTTCCATTGATCTATATCTTTGTTTTGGTACCAGTACCATGCTGTTTTGATTACTGTAGCCTTGTAGTATAGTTTGAAGTCAGGTAGTGTGATGCCTCCAGCTTTGTTCTTTTGGCAAACTATTCCAATCAATAGAAAAAGAGGGAATCCTCCCTAACTCATTTTATGAGGCCAGCATCATCCTGATACCAAAGCCCGGCAGAGACACAACAAAAAAAGAGAATTTTAGACCAATATCCTTGAGGAACATTGATGCAAAAATCCTCAATAAAATACTGGCAAACCGAATCCAGCAGCACATCAAAAAGCTTATCCACCATGATCAAGCGGGCTTCATCCCTGGGATGCAAGGCTGGTTCAATATACGCAAATCAATAAGTGTAATCCAGCATATAAACAGAACCAAAGACAAAAACCACATGATTTTCTCAATAGATGCAGAAAAGGCCTTTGACAAAATTCAACAACTCTTCATGCTAAAAACTCTCAATAAATTAGGTATTGATGGGACGTATTTCAAAATAATAAGAGCTATCTATGACAAACCCCCAGCCAATATCATACTGAATGGGCAAAAACTGGAAGCATTCCCTTTGAAAACTGGCACATGACAGGGATGCCGTCTCTCACCACTCCTATTCAACATAGTGTTGGAAGTTCTGGCCAGGGCAATTAGGCAGGAGAAGGAAATAAAGGGTTTTCAGTTAGGAAAAGAGGAAGTCAAATTGTCCCTGTTTGCAGACGACATGATTGTATATCTAGTAAACTCCATTGTATCAGCCCAAAATCTCCTTAAGCTGATAAGCAACTTCAGCAAAGTCTCAGGATACAAAATCAATGTACAAAAATCACAAGCATTCTTATACACTAACAACAGACGAACAGAGAGCCAAATCATGAGTGAACTCCCATTCACAATTGCTTCAAAGGGAATAAAATACCTAGGAATCAAACTTACAAGGGATGTGAAGGACCTTTTCAAGGAGAACTACAAACCACTGCTCAGGGAAATAAAAGAGGATACAAACAAATGGAAGAACATTCCATGCTCATGGGTAGGAAGAATCAATATCGTGAAAATGGCCATACTGCCCAAGGTAATTTACAGATTCAGTGCCATCCCCATCAAGCTACCAATGACTTTCTTCACAGAATTGGAAAAAACTACTTTAAAGTTCATATGAAACCAAAAAAGAGCCCGCATCGCGGAGTGCTGGGAAACTTGCAGGAGGTTCACATGAACCAGAGCTCATCCATAGAAATGGGCACCCAAAAGGGTGGCTGAGAAAATTTCAGAAAAATATGAACCGTAACTTTCTACTGTGGCTTACTGCACCTTATCCACTCATGGCTGCACCAAAAAACAGCACACCAGTATCAGGATGAGAAGTGACTTCCTCTTGCCACAAGTCCTGTAATTCCTCCAGGACTTCTTATTGGCAGGGCCTAACATGAAGCCAAATGGAAAAGGATGATTCTTTACAGGGTACAACTCTTGTATCACAAAATAAACAAAGATGAGTGGATTTGATATGGAAATGTAATAATGAATAATTGGCAAAACATCCAAATACAAATGGAAGTTTAGTATGTTATAAATAATCAAAGATATTGTAAAACCACTAGAATAAATTATGAGAGATTTATTTTATAAAATCAAAGTGTAGATGTGCATTCTAGAAATTATTTTTAAAACATCAGAAAATTAAAACTTTGAGACATTCCCTTAAGTATTATGTATCACAAAATAACTATAAGCAACATCAAATACAAACAACAACCAGAGAAAAATACTAGCAATTCACATCTCAGAAAACTGTCAAATTATTCAGACACATAAAGAATTTGTCCATGTCAATTAAAAAATGCACCAACATGACAGATATATAAATATATAATCAGACATTGAGAAAATAGGAAATACAAAGGTCTCTTAAAATATAGAATAATGGGCTGGGCATGGTGGCTCACACCTGTAATCCCAGCACTTTGGGAGGCCGAGGTGTGAGAATCACGAGGTCAGGAGTTTGAGACCAGGCTGGCCAACATGGTAAAATCTCATCCCTACTAAAAAAATAAAAAAATTAGCTGGGCTTGGTGGTGAGCACCTGTAATCCCAGCTACTCGGGAGGCTGAGGCAGGAGAATCGCTTGAACCTGGGAGCCGGAGGTTGCAGTGAGCCGAGATCACTCCACTGCCCTCCAGATCAGGTGACAGTGCAAGACTCTGTCTCAAAATAAATAAATAAATAAATAAAATAATGATCAGCTTCACTCAAACTAAGAAAAAGGAAAATGTTAAGTACAATGAACTTTTTTCACCTACCAGATCACCAAAGAGCTAAAAATTTGATAATGTGCTGCATTGATAAAAACAACAAAGAAACTAGTAGGCTCATATATTGCTGGTGTGCAATCTGGCAATATCTACATCTGCGTACATACAGAGGTAGATATTGAAATGTACGTATTGAAATGTACATACTGAAATTATTTTCAGTTCTATGAATTTATTCTAGAATTATCTTTACATAAATGAAATCTGAAGTATGTACATGGATAAATATTGAGGCTTTTTCTTTATTGGAAAAGATTTTCAACAGCTGAAATTTCCATCAGCCATTGACTGATTAAAAAATATGGCACATTTACATCCACCACAGAAACACACTCAAGTGCATAGACCATCAACACTATAAAGCAAATACACAACAAAGGCTACATAAAAAACAGCTAACACAATCACAAAATTAAATTTGCACATATTAATATTAATCTTGAATCTAAATGGGCCAAAGACCCCACTTAAAAGGCACAGAGTGGCAAGTTGGATAAAAAAGACCCAACTATATCTGTCTTCAAGAGACCCATCTCGCATGAAAGGACACCCACAGGCTCAAAATAAATGGATGGAGAAAGATCTATCAAGCAAACAGAAAACAAATAAGAGTAGGATTTACTATATTTATTTCAGACAAAACAGACTTTAAACCAACAATGGAATAGGACAAAGAAGGGCATTACATAATGACAAAGGGTTCAATTCAACAAGCAGACTTAACCATTCTAAATATATATGCAACCAAAACCAGAAGACACGGATTCATAAAACATGTTCTAAGAGACCTGCAAAGAGACTTAGACGACCATACAATAATGGTGGGAGACTTCCACACCTCACTGACAGTATATGACAGATCATAAAGACAGAAAACTAATAAAAATACTCAGGACCTAAACTGGACACATGATCAAAGGACCTAAAATACATCTATAGAACATTCCATCCAACAAAAATTGAATATACATCCTTCTTATCAGCCCATGGCACATACACTACAATTGACTATATGCTCAGCCATAAAGCAATTGTCAACAAATTCAAAAACACTGAAATCATACCAGCCACACTCTCAGACCACAGTGTAATAAAAATAGAAATCAATACCAAGAAGATCTGTTAAAACCATAGAATTAATGGAAATTAAATCTGCTCCTGAATGACTTTGGGGTAAATAATGAAATTAAGGCAGAAATCAGGAATTATTTGAAATGAATAAACACAAAGATACAACCTACCAGAATTGCTCAGACACAGCTAAAGTAGTGTTAAGGGGAAAGTTTATAGCATTAAACACCCAGTGAAAAAGTTAGACAGATCTCAAATTAACAACCTAACCACACCTCAAGGAACTTGAAAAACAAGAGCAATTCAACCCCAAAGCTAACAAAAGAAACCAGAGCTGAACTGAATGAATGGAAATGAGGAAAACTATGCAAAAGATCAACAAAACCAAAACTTTGTTTTTTTGTCAGAATAAATAATATTAATAGACCACTAGCTATACTAATAAAGAAAAAAATCCAAATAAATACAATCAGAAATGACAAAGAGGACATTACCAATGACCCCACAGAAATTAAAAAAAAACAAACAAAAACAAGCTCAGAGACTATTACAAACACCTCTACGCACACTAACTAGAAAAACTAGGAAAAACAAAAAAGTTATTGGAAACATAAACCCTCCCAAAATTGAACCAAGAAGAAACTGAATCCCTGAACAGACCAATAATAGATCAGTAATACAAAACAAAAAACAAAAAACCTAACAACCAAAAAACCCCTGGTCTAGATGGATTCATAGCTGATTTCTACCAAACATACAAGGAAGAAATAGTACTAATTCTACTGAAATTTTTCCAAAAAAACTGAGGAGGAAGGACTCCTACCTAACATATTCTGTGAGCATCTTTCTGATACCAAAACTGGCAGAGACAGACACACAGTGAAAAAAGAGAACTTCAGGCCAATATCCCTGATAAATCTGGATGCAAAAACCTTCAACAAAATACCAGCAAACCAAATCCAGCAGCATATCAGAATGAGAATACACCACAATCAAGTAGGCTTTCTTCCTCGGATGCGAGGTTGGTTCAACATATGTGAATCAATAAATGTGATTAATCATATAGACAGAACTAAAAACAAAAACCACCTGATCATCTCAATAAATGGAGAAAAGACTTTCAATACAATTCAATATCGCTTCATGTTAAAAATCCTCAACAAATTAGGCACTGAAGGTACACACCTCAAAACAATAAAAGTCATCTATAAGAAACCCACAGCCAACATCAAACTGAATGGGCAAAATCTGGAAGCATTCCACTCGAGAACTGAAACGGCAAGGATGCCCACTCTTACCACTCCTATTTGGCATAGTACTGGAAGTCCTAACCAGAGCAACCAGGCAAAAAAAAGACGTAAAATGAAACAAAATATAAAGAAAGTCAAACTATCTCTCTTTGCAGATGATATGATTCTAGTCCTAGAAAACCCCATAGTCTCTGCCTAAAGGCTCCTAGATCTGATAAACAACTTCAGCAAAGTTTCAAGGTACCAAACCAATGTCCACAAATCTGGAGCATTTTGATACACCAATAATATCCAAGCTGAGAGCCAAATCAAGAATGCAGTCCAATTCACGATAGCCACAAAAAGAATAAAATACCTAGGAATACAGGTAACCAGGAAAGTGAAAGTTCTCTATAATGACAATTACAAAACACTGCTAAAAGAAATCCGAGGTGATGCATATAAATGGAAAAATATTCCATGCTCATGGATAGGAGGAATCAATATTGTTAAAATGACCATACTACCCAAAACAATTTACAGATTTAATGCTATTTCTATCAAACTGCCAATGACATTCTTCATGGAATTAGAAAAAAACTATTTTAGAATTAATATGAAACCAAAAAAGAGCCTGAATAACTAAGGCAATTCTAAGCAAAAAGAACAAAGCTGGAGGCATTAAATTCCACAACTTCAAACTATACTACAAAGCTACAGTAACTGAAACAGCATGCTACTGGTACAAAAACATACATAGACTAATAGAACAGAATAGAGAACCCAGAAATAATGCTGACCACATACAACTATCTAATCTTCAACAAAGTCGACAAAAACAAATAATGGGAAAAGTACTCACAATTTGTATATCTTTCAGATACATAAAAATAATGAGTTTTTTTTGCTTGAAAACTTTATTAAAATAAGGATTAAACTTGTAAAAAGAACAATCAGAATGCCAGCCCTTTGCATAAAGTCAGCAAAAAAAGGAAAGAGAGAAAGAAAATAAAAGAATAGATTTTAATACATAACTGCTACATTAGAGTTATATTTATTTTAGGAATAAAATACTTTATTAGTAATACACTGCTCTCCAGATTTGTATCCTTGAATCAATGAAGGCTTCTCAGAAGATGTCATCAACTTTGGTGGAGCTCATCATCTTAACTGGAATGACTTTCACCTTATTCTTTTTCTACTTGAACCCTGCCTAATTTCACTTTAATAATTATATTCTGGTAAGTACCGCCTGTGTTGAACTTCTCCCATATTTGGGACCCTATTATGTTTATTGTTATATGATCAATATGAGCACTTGCTATTCATTGATAATTAACTGTTTCATTATCTACATTATTCATCTCTGATGAACTTCAGTGCCTTAAAGTTCAGGAATAGAAAATACAAATATTTTGCAAGTGCCTATCACACCATTTTTCTAACAGTAAAAGCTTACGAAATTCTTTCTGGAAAAAAAATAAGTAAAATACTGCCTTTTTTCATATCCTTTGAGGCATATTTGGTGGCAGATTAAGAAAAGTTTCTGTTAAAACTCAGAAATATAAAAAACTACATCCACATCAGCCAATCGCAAGAAATAATAATAATGGGAAAAATACCTGTGGTGAACTGTTCACTAGTTAACGTCCTCCTGGGTTTACTATGCTACAATTTAAAAGAAATTCAATTCTATAAACTAGGAGAATAATGTAACAGGGACAAAAATCCATTTCAGTTGTCAGTGGCTACAAAGTCCAAATAGCATCAAGGTGTTTTTTGTTAAGCTTTTTTTATTACAGAAAAATATCAAGTTATGTCTACATAAGAAATATTTTTGGAAAAGTAAAATAATCTTGTAGGCAATATATCCATGATGATTTACCAGCCATCAATCTCTTTCCTCACCATATATAACAAAATCTTTCAGAGATCTAATTAAGGGAAAAATGGAACAAATGATTTATTATTTATATAGTTGATGCTAATAAATTTTACAAGATTATTTCCCCATACAAAGACAGTTGGACAGTTATATTCCACATATTAAGGAATTATATATATATATATATATATATATATATATATATATATGTTATAAACATGCAATATATCCAAGTCAACTAGCAACACATGTAAAGTAAAATACTAATGTCTACCTTTAATAAGTCACATGGGGTTCTTAGGACGGTACTTGGAAATGTATTATTAAAAGTCTAATTGAAAAGAAAGGAATCTTCATAAATTGAGAACTGATTGAATAAACCTAAGGCTGTTTCTATGTCTTACCCACCAGAAACCCACATCACCCATATCATCCTTGATAACACTCTGTACTTGCCCTTTTTTGTACCTCAACTCTCGGCCTTCTTCTATTCCTGAAACCTTCCACTGGGCTCTTTAAGGACTCCCACACCTCATCAGCAATATCTCCCAGATCTTTCATTTTTATCTGCGTGTTCTCTTCTACTCATTCTATCTAAAACATGACACTTCTCTAAGACTGTTTTTCAGCAGCTTTCCTGAGTAGATTCTGTTTTCTATCCCATACTCCTTCCTTTTCATTGCTGTTTTCAGACTATTCTCCTTTGCTTTTTCCTAAAAGCCCTTAGCATTGAATCTCTTCTGATTAGATAATACTCTTTATCAACACATCTTGCAGTCAGCAAAAATGATTTTACTTTTTATCTCTCTCTTTAATGTCTTAAATATTTTAGCTCCTAACTCATATTGCCTCTCTCCAAACATGTTATTTTATAAATACTCATTTCAGAATCCTTAGCTATGTGCTTTCCAACACCGTTCCCTTTCAGTAATAAATCTCAACTCTCCCAATATCAACTGCCAATCTCTCTCAGCCACACTCTCACAAAGTGACGCCCTAGACTTCAGCATTGCCAGTACGTTTATCCGCTTTGTAACCACCACTTCCATTATTTCATTCTCAGGTCACCAGTTCTGTCCCTTTAGTACCTGCCCTTTTATTTCACAGGGAACAGTGATCTTCCTGACCATTTTACATGTTTATTGTCTCTTTCACCAAGTTAAATTCCGTGGTTAATTCAACTATATATTACTTACACCCATAACTAGCTCTTTCTCATTTCAATATATTCTCGTTTTTTTGAGGTGGAGTCTCGCTCTTGTTGCCCAGGCTGGAGTGCAATGGCGTGATCTCGGCTCACTGCAAATCCCGCCTCCTGGGTTCAAGAGATTCTCCTGCCTCAGCCTCCCCAGTAGCTGGGATTACAGGCATGCACCACCATGCCCAGCTAATTTGTGTATTTTTAGTAGAGACGGGGTTTCACCATCTTGGCCAGGCTGGTCTCGAACTCCTGATCTCAGGTGATCCACCCGTCATGGCCTCCCAAAGTGTTGGGATTACAGGCTTGAGCTACTGTGCCTGGCCAGTTCAATATATTCTTGTGACAAAATACAAACTCTGGCTAAATTCAAAATACCACCTGCTTTATGTGTTTACCATGCAGCTTAACATTTCTAAATAAAAATAAAAAATAATTAGGACTTGTCTAACTCTAAAGTCACAATTACTAACTTCAGATGTAGAGGTCAGTGATGCCTAATGTTTATTCATATTTCCCCCATCAATTTACATGCTCACCATTTGGCTATTTTGTAACTTCTTTTTTATCAAACCATTAAAACCTCCTCCCTCATTCTCAATCTCTAAACTATTTTAGAATGAATATAGAAACAAAAAAGAGCCTGAATAACTAAGGTAGCTGATCACCTTGATTCTACTTTGCTAACCAATAGCCTTTGCAAGGCAAGATTACCTTCCCAAGTCTCCCTCTCACATCCACAGACTGGTGAGCATCTGTATCCAAATATCAGAACCCCACTCCTGGTACCCATCCCTGTCACCTCTTCAGGTTATTGTGGACCTAATATTTGCATCGTTGCAGTTTTTCCCTCTCTCCAGCACATTGAGTATCTCTCCTTTACTGGATCTTTTTCATCAAAATAAAAACGTGTTTATCTCCACATTAAGAAAACCACTTAGTCCTTTAGTTACTGCCATTTCTTTTCTTTCTTTTGCAGTGAACCTACTCCACAACGTATTCATTTTATCTTGAAACTATCTCATAATATGAACCCATTCTACTCAGGCTTTCACTCACATCTTTCCATTGAATTGCTCAGTTCTTATTCTACATAACCTAGTAGCAATAGCTTTGATATAGTTGATTATTTTTCCCTGAAATGTTTTTTTCCCAACATTGGACACGATGTATTCCCATTTATTACTATTTCATTTGCTATTCATTCTAATTTTCCTTTGCTGGGTCCTTCTCATCTCCTTGGCCTTTTAAAAATTGCAATGACTCAGCGCTCACTTCTTTCACCACTTGCTTTTTCTACCTGTACTGTTCTTCAATAACTTATTTAGCTTCATGGCTTTAAATACCTGTCCTAGACTCATAAGAGTAAAATATCTGTCTCTAGCTTAGATCACTCCCGTAAAGTCTGATTGCTATATTTATCTCCACATAGATATATAATACATATATCAAAATTCAGGTGTCCTAAAGTCAGCTCTTAAACTTTCCTTTGCTACACTGCATTATCTGAAGACTACTCCATCTCAGTTAATGTGAATGTAATGCTTTCAATAAAAATTAAAGGTAAGAAAGTAAATTAATACAAATAGAAAACAAGTAAAAAGCTAGTTCTGTAAAAAATATGATGTAATATGTATAAAATATAAACAAATATGTATATCTCTCTCTCTCACACACACACACCCAACAGTACATATGAACAATATTCTTTTTTTCTGTGAGACAGAGTTTTGCTCCTTCACTTAGGCTGGAGTGCAGTGGCAAGATCTCAGCTCACCTGCTGGGTTCAAGCTAGTCTCCTGCCTCAGCTTCCCAAGTAGCTGGGATTATAGGCGCCTGCCACCACACCCAGCTAATTTCTGTATATTTAGTAGAGATGGGGTTTCATCATGTTGGCCAGGCTGGTCTTGAACTCCTGACTTCAGGTGATCCACCCACCTAGAGCTCCCAAAGTGCTGAGATTACAGGGGTGAGCCACTGCGCCTGACTGAACAATATTCTTTTTATTTATTTTGAGATGGAGTTTTGCTTTGTCGCCGAGGTTGGAGTGCAGTGGCACCATCTTGGCTCACTGCAACCTCCGCCTGTCGGGTTCAAGTGATTCTCCTGCCTCAGCCTCCTGAGTAGCTGGGATTACAGGCCCATGCCACCACACCCAGCTAACTTTTGTATTTTTAGTAGAGATGGGGTTTCACCATGTTGGCCAGGCTGGTCTCGAACTCGTGACCTAAGGCAATCCATCTGCCTCGGCCTCCCAAAGTGCTGTAATTACAGGGGTGAGCCACAGTGCCCAGCTGAACAATATTCTCAAATGAAAAAAAGCTATCCCAAAAAGGCAAGAAAGCATTAAACTCTTAGCATGTTAATCATAACTTCATTTCAATTAATTTTCCAATTTAGAAAAAGTGGTTACTTTCTTTCTAGAAAACTTACAAAAAGTGGCACAAAATGGCATGAAAAATTTAAATAGTATTAACATTATTAGAATGAATAAGAAAACCTTTGAGCACGGAGGACTGCAACAGTAAATTATGTCACACGAGGTTCTTAGATTCACCATACTGAATACATTGTGACAAGGAACCATCACAGACCACATGAGAAAATAACCCACACCACCACAGAATTGTTTGGGTTTTTTTCTTTAGTCTATTGTTATTGATTTTATTTTGCTTAAATTTTAAGCAAATATACATTATTTTTTCCACAGTCCAAGTTGCCTTTTTAGTAGTATTGATATTTTCAGAAGAAATAGAATGATTGTACTGGAATGGTAGATGTTTTTCACATTTCAAAATGTGATGAAGAAACATAAAGTTAGAACTTCATTTCTTTGTCAGTGTTCTTATCAACTAAGACAAATATCTTCCCTAGAACTAATATAAACTATATTCATTGTGTGATAAACGTTTCTATATTTTTGAAGTATTTTGTGAATATTCATTTGTATAAACTTTACTTGGGCAAAGTGTTTTAGGAAACTTGGAAATAAGATATATGCCAAGGTACACATGACTATACAGATACAATATGGCATGTGTACATTTCTCTTACTATAGGGATATACATCTTTATTTTGGTGGCAGCAAAACATCTAATTTGCTGTATTTACTTGTGTTTTCCTACAATTATCTGAATGGTAAATGGACAGAAATAAAAATAAGGTAAGTCTTTTGGTCAAAGAAAAAAGTCTTCAAAGCTCCATGTTATTTTGACCTCATTACGATAAACTTCGTGTGAATATGTGATAAAACATTAAAGTGCCGTCGATACAACTAAGAGTCAGAAGTAATAAATGTGTTAGTAAGACATGTAATATTTTTCTTCCACCTTCAAAACTGAAACATGATTTAATCTGGTTTAGGCTATTTTTGAATTCCATATGTTCACAGAATAACTTTACTATCACCTTCTTAACCACCTCACTAGTTAAAGAAGTCAGCGACTGGTCACTTCAGATAACTGGTGTCACCAAGGGGTAGTTTCTTATGTAAGAAACTGGGTGTTTTTAAATGGTTTAAAGTCTGGCCTAGTGTTTACAGCATTAAAATTGTATGCAGTGTCATTCATTCAAAGTTCTAACATTTGAGGCAGCATATACCACCCTGTTGGACTGTACTTCTGTTGTGAATCTGCAGTAGAAAATATGTTTTTGGTATCCATTTTAAAAGGTAAAATTACAAAGGTCAAAAATTCATACCCTACCTGTTATGAACTACCCACCATCCTTAGATGATAGCTGAGAATAAACTTACACTGTAATCTGGTCAAATAGGATGTCAAATGAATTCTTTAATCAGGTGAAATGTGTGTATGTTGTGTGTGTGTGTATGTATGCATGCATGCAAAGAAAACTATTTTTTGTTTATGTTCTTGATTTTTCAATTTACATCAGGTACATAAAAATGTTTAAATGAATATCACTATCCAAAATATTGGAACTTGTCTTATCATATGTTTCAATTATTGTTTGTAATCTAAATATGTTAAATCAAAAAATCGTGTAAGCCTATTTTTTAGAAGGTAAAAGGTTAAAAAAGGTAATGTGTTTGAAATGCAACATTTTATTCTTATTGAATCTTAAATTAGAAAGCAATAGAAAATAAGAAGTAAGGAGGTACTAAACTCTATGATACCAGAAAAGATGGTTCAGAATGATAGGTCAATTGTGGGTCAGAGTTACTGAGAGAAAATTTCTATTGAAGGTGAGACTGAATAGAAAAAGAAGTGAGGGAAAAATGGGATAGTAGAAACAAAAATTTCAAAGTGGTAGTGAACGAAAGGTTAATACAAGTTAGTTTAAAGATCAACTGAATTGAAGTGTCAGCAGATGTATTAGACAGACTTAAAAAATCCATTTTAAAGATGCTCAAAGAACTAAAGAAAAATGTAAAGAAAGGCAAGAAAATGTTATGTGGACAAAATAAAAATATTGATAGA
Source organism: Homo sapiens (assembly GCF_000001405.40). Taxonomy (NCBI): domain Eukaryota; kingdom Metazoa; phylum Chordata; class Mammalia; order Primates; family Hominidae; genus Homo; species Homo sapiens. Next base: position 125,876,128 of record NC_000004.12, read on the forward strand.
AAAAAGAAACCCTAAAATAACCAAAAATATATCCTAAATTGCAATGTACAATAACTGAAATGAAAAATTTACCAGAGAAATTCAAGGCAGATTTGAGCAGGTAGAAAAAGAATCAGTAAACTTAACGACAACAAAAATTATAAAATTCATTTTTGAGAAACAGATTTTAAAAAAATTAGGCCGGGTGTGGTGGCTCATGCCTGTAATCCCAGCACTTTGGGAGGCCAAGGCGGGCGGATCACAGGGTCAGGAGGTTCAGACCATCCTGGCTAACACAGTGAAACCTCCACTCTGCTAAAAATACAAAAAAAAATTAGTTGGGCGTGCTGGCACGTGCCTGTAGTCCCAGCTACTTGGGAGGGGGAGGCAGGAGAATCACTTGAACCTGGGAGGCAGAGGTTGCAGTGAGCTGAGATCGCTCCACTATACTCCGGGCTGGGCTGCAGAGCGAGACTCTGTCTCAAAAAAAAAAAAAAGATTAAAGACAAGTGAACAGAGCTGAAACATCTATCAGACACCATCAAACAGAAAAACATATTCATTGTGGGAGTCTCAAAAGAAGAAGAGAAAGGAGTGGAGAGAATGTTTGAAGAAATAATGGCTGAAACCTTCCAAAATGTGATTAAGAATAAATATGAGCAACGAAGCAGCTCAGCAAAGTTCAAATAAGATAAACTCAGAGACCCACACTAAGACACATTATAATCAATTTTTTTTAAGCCAAAGACAAGACAGAATACTAAAAAGAACTAGACAGAAGCAAGTCATTACACACATGGGATCCTCAATAAGATTATTTGCAGGTATCTATCAAGAAACTATGAAGGCCAGAAGGCAGTAGGCTAATACAGCAAACATGCTAAGAAAAAAGAAAATACTGTCAACCCAGAATCTTATATTTAACAAAACTGTCCGCCAAAAATGTGGAATAAATAAAGACAAATAAAAGCTGATGGAATGTGTTACCACTTGACCTGCTCTGCCAAAAAATAATCAAGAAAGTACCACTGGGTGAAATAAGTAAACACTACACAGTAACTAAAAGATTATTAAAAAATAAAGATTACCACAAAGGCAAATGTATGGTTAATTATAGAGGCTAATCTTTTTGTAACAATTGTTTGTAACTCCACTTTTTGTTTTCTACATGTTGTAAGACAATAACACATTTTTTAAAGAAAAAATTAGTCTAAAAGCTAATATTATTGTAACTTTGGTTTGAAACTCCACATTTTATCTTCTACACAATTTAGAAGACCAATGTATTTATTTATTTATTTATTTGAGGATTTCAAAAATGATATTGATTTATTAATAGATATTTAACAAATATGATCATGCATTTGAAAAAAAACTAAGAAGGCTAAGTACTAGGAAAACTATCCAAATTTAAAGCAAAACACCTTTAAGCAGAGAGTGACACATTTAAAATAGATTTTAGTTTATGTTTTTGGACACACAATTTATAAAGATGTAATTTCATGACATCAGCTACAAAAAAGAGTGGGACCAGAGCTATAAAATAGTAGTTTTTGTATGTTACTGAAGTTAAACTGGTATAAATTTAAATTACAGTGTTATAACTTTAGGATGTTAAGCAAAAGCCCTACGGTAAATAAACAGAAAATAGCTACAGAATATACATAAAAAGAAATTGGAAAGGGATTTAAACATTTTGCTACAAAAAATTAACTAAACAAAAATGAACACAATAATGCACAAAATAAGGTGCACAAAAGTTATATGGCATATATAAAACAAACAGTAAAATATCATAAGTCAGTCCCTTTTTATCAGAATAACTTTAAATTACTAAGCGGAAGATAACTGATAAAATAGAGGACTTGATAACACAGTAAATTGACAAGATCTCACAGACATGTACAGAGTAATATACACATCAAATCAGCATACACATTATTTTCAAATGCATATGGGACATTTCCAGGATAGACCACATGTAAGGTCACAGATTAGTTTTAACAGATTAAGAAAATAGAGATCATGCAAAGTATCTTCTCTGACTACAATGGGATAAAATTAAAAATCAATAACAGAAATAAAAGTGGAACATTAAAAATTTGTGGAAATTAACACACTGTTAATCAACTCTTGCACCAAGAGCATGCTTTTGGGAAAGAATATACTGTTCAATAAATGGGGCTGGAAAAATTGGATATCCATATTCAGAAGAATAATACTAGACCCTTATATCTTACCATGTACAAAAATTAAAATAGATTAAAGACAAATGTAAAACCTGAAACTATAAAACTGTTAGAAGATACCATAGGATAAATGCTTCAGGACACTGGTGTAGGCAAAGATTTTATGAGTAAGAGTTAAAAAGCACAGGCAACAGAAAGAGACTACAACAAACTAAAAATCTTCTGCACAGCAAAAGAAGCAATTAACAGAGTGAAAAGATAACCTGTAGAATGGGTGAAAATATTTTCAAACTATTCATCTGACAAGGGACTAATATCCAGAATATATGGGTTGAGTATACCTGATCTGAAAATCTAAAATTAAAATGTTTCCAATTCTAAAACATTTTGAGTGCCTACATTACACACAAGGAAAATTCTCAGTGGAGCATTTTGGATATTAGATTTTTGAACTATGGATGTTTAATCTATAAGTATAATGCAAGTATTTCTAATATAATTATTCAAAATCTGAGTTCTAAGACTGTTGGTACCAAGATTTTCAGATAAGGGAAACTAAAGAAATTCAAACAACTCAACAGCAAAAAATAATAATAATCTGATAAAAAATAAATGAAATCCGAATAGCCATTTATCAAAAGAATATGTACAAATGACCTATAAGTATATGAAAATTTACTCAGCATCACTAATAATCAGGGAAATGCAAATCAAAACCACAATAAGATATAATTTCATCCTAATTAGAATGGCTATCAGCTAAAAGAAAAAAATAGCAACTGCTGCTCTAGGGATGTGGAAATTTCAGATACACTGTTGGTGGGAATGTAAGTTAGTAAGGTATTATGAAAAACTATATGTAGGTTTCTCAGAGAACTAAAAATAAAACTACCATGTGATCCAGCAATCCCGATACTGGGTATTGATCCAAAGAATGTGAAATAAGCCAAGCACAAAAAGATAAATGCTACGTATTATTGTTCATATGTGGGAGCTAAAAATGCGCTCATAAATGTAAAGTATAGAATTGTGGCTATTAGAGACTGGCGAGGGTATAGGAGTAGATAGGGGGAGATTGGCTAATGAATACATAGTTATAGCTAGATTGAAGAAATTAGTTCTAGTGTTCTCTATCATTGGAGGGGGAATAAGGTTTACAATAATTTAGTGTATATTTTCAAAAAGTTAGAAAATAGCATTTTGAATATTTACAACACAAAAATAATAAATATTCTAAGTTATGTATATGCTAATTATCCTTATTCTATTAATACACATTGTATAGCTGTATAAAAAATCATACTGTATCCCATAAATATGTACAATTATTACTTGTTAACTAGAAATAAAAGAAAATAATGTCGATAAACTGAAACCAGTAGCTTTTAACAATTCTCAAATAACAAATGGATCAAAGAAGAAATCACGATGAAAATTAGAAAATACCTACAGATGAATTAAAATGAAAACACACCATACCAAAACTTGTGATATGCAGTGAAAGCAGTGCTAAGGAAGAAAGGTAGAGCTATAAATGCTTACATTAAAAAGCAAGAAATATTTCAAATCAACAGCTTATCTTTGCAATTTAAGTACTAAAAAAAACTAAACCCAAAGACAGCAGAAGAAGGAAAACAATAAAGATTAGAATAGAGATAATTAAAATAGACTAGAAAAACAACAGAGAAATCAATGAAACCAAAAATTAGTTTTTTCAAAAATAAACACAAGTGACAAATCTTTCCTAGACTGACTAAGAAAAAATGAGAAAACTCGAATTACTAATAGCAGCAATGATAGTAAGAACATTGTTAACAATTCTACAGAAATAAAAAGGATTCTAAGAGACAAAGAAATGTATGTCAATGACTTGGATAACCTAAATGAAATGGAAAAATTCTTAGAAACTCATGATCTACCATGGACAAGTCATGAGAAATAGAAAAATCCTAATATATTTATAACTAGTAAAGAGATTGAATCAGCATTTAAGTCTTCCAACAGTGAAAAGCCCTGAATCTGATGTCTTCCCTGGTAAGTTCTACAAACCATTTAAAGAAAAACTAAAGAAGTCTTACTCACATTTCTAAAAATTTTCAGAAAAAGGAACACTTCCTAATGCATTCTATGAAGCCAGCACTGCCCTGATACCAAAGCCAAATAAAAAACACTACAAGGAAAGGTAACCACAGACAAATTTCCCTTATAAACAATGATGCAAAAATCCTCAACAAAATATGAGTGAACTAATTCAACAGCACATTAAACAGATTATAAACCAGGACCAAGTGGGTTTTATTCTTGGAGTGCAATAATGGTTTAAACATACAAATTTAATCAATGTAATATACCACATAAACATAAAGATGGGAAAAAAAGACACATGATTTCTCAATTGATGTATAGGAAACACTTGAAAAAATTCAATGCATTTTTATGATAAAAACTCTCAACAAAGAAGGAGTAGAAAGAAACTACCTTAACATTATATAAGCCATATTTGAAAAACACTCAGAAAGCATCATAATCAATGGTGAAAGACTGAGTCCTTTTCCTCCTCAATCAGGGATAAGACAGACAGCATGCACCTTTTCACCATTTCTATTCAGCATAGTACTGGAAGTTCTAGCCTGAGCAATTAGACAAGAAAAAAAGACATCCAAATTGGAAAAGGAGAAATAAAATTATTTCTATCCACAGATATTATAATTTAATATGCTAATCACCATGAGGTTAACTCTTAGTGGAGAATGGTTGCACCTCTGGAGTGACTCCCCGTATTTCATTTGTCAGTGATGACTGCTTATTGAGCCTTCCTATTGACTTCTTTGATGCCCAGCGGTCATTTATTTCTTAGAGATTTTCTCATCACTGGTAAAATCACTGTTTTAGGGTTGTTGTATTATGCCACATTTCTATCATTGCTATCTTCTGAAATAAAACTTTTAATTTTTTTTATTATACTTTAAGTTCTGGGGTACACGTGCAGAACATGCAGTTTTGTTAGGTATACACATGCCATGGTGATTTGCTGCACACATCAACCCATCACTTACATAAGGTATTTCTCCTAATGCTATCCCTTCCCGAGCCCCTCACCCACTGACAGGCCCTAGTGTGTGATGTTCCCCTCTGTATGTCCATGAGTTCTCATTGTTCAGCTCCCACTTATGAGTGAAAACATGCAGTGTTTGGTTTTCTGTTCTTGTGATAGTTTGTTGAGAATGATGGTTTACGGCTTCATCCATGTCCCTGCAAAGGACATGAAATCATCCTTTTTTATGGCTACACAGTATTCCATGGTATATATGTGCCACATTTTCTTTATCCAGTCTATCATTGATGGACGTTTGGGTTGGTTCCAAGTCTTTGCTATTGTGAATAGTGCTGCAATAAACATACATGTGCATTTGTCTTTATAATAGAATTATTTATAATCCTTTGGGTATATACCCAGTAATGGGATTGCTAGGTCAAAAGTATTTCTGGTTCTAGATCCTTGAGGAATCGCCACACTGTCTTCCACAATGGTTGAACTAATTTACACTCCCACCAACAGTTTAAAAGCATTCCTGTTTCTCCAAATCCTCTCTAGCATCTGTTGTTTCCTGACTTTTTAATGATAGCCATTCTAACTGGTGTGAGATGGTATCTCCTTGTGGTTTTGATTTGCATTTCTTTAATGACCAGTGATGATGAGTTATTCTTCATATGTTTGTTGGCTGCATAAATGTCTTCTTTTGAGATGTGTCTGTTCATATCCTTTGCCCACTTTTTCATGGGTTCTTTTTTTTTGTCAATTTGTTTAAGTTCTTTGTAGATTCTGGATATTAGCACTTTGTCAGATGGATAGATTGCAAAAATTTTCTCCCATACTGTATGTTGTCTGTTCACTCTGATAATACTTTCTTTTGCTGTACAGAAGCTTTTTAGTTTAATTAGATCCCATTTGTCAATGTTGGCTTTTGTTGCCATTGCTTTTGGTGTTTTAGACATGAAGTCTTTGTCCATTCCTGTGTCCTGAATTGTATTGCCCAGGTTTTCTTCTAGGGTTTTTATGGTTTTAGGTCTTCCATTTAAGTCTTCAATCCATCTTGAGCTGATTTTCGTATAAGGTGTAAAGAAGGGGTCCAGTTTCAGTTTTCTGCATATGGCTAGCCAGTTTTCCCAACACCATTTATTAAATAGGGAATCTTTTCCCCATTGCTTGTTTGTGTCAAGTTTGTCAAAGATCAGATGGTTGTAGACGTGTGGTGTTATTTCTGAGGTCTCTGTTCTGTTCCATTGGTCTATATATCTGTTTTGGTACCAGTAGCATGCTGTTTTTGTGTCTGTAACCTTGTAATATAGTTTGAAGTCAGGTAGCATGATCCCTCCAGCTTTGTTCTTTTTGCTTAGGATTGTCTTGGCTATGCAGGCTCTTTTTTGGTTCCATATGATGTTTAAAGTAGTTTTTTCCAGTTCTGTGAAGAAAGTCAGTGGTAGCTTGATGGTATCATTTGCACAATATTGATTCTTCCTATCCATGAGCATGGTATGTTTTTCCATTTGTTTGTGTCCTCTCTTATTTCCTTGAGCAGTGGTTTGTAGTTCTCCTTGAAGAGGTCCTTCACATCCCTTCTAAGTTGTATTCCTAGGTATTTTATTCTCTTAGTGAAATTGTGAATGGGTGTTCATTCATGATTTGGCTCTTTGTTTGTCTATTATTGGTGTATAGGAATGCTTGTGATTTTTGCATATTGATTTCCTATCCTGAGACTTTGCTGAAGTTGCTATTCAGCTTAAGGAGATTTGGGGCTGAGACAATGGGGTTTTCTAAATATACAGTCATGTCATCTGAAAACAGAGGCAATTTGGATTCTTCTCTTCCTGTTTGAACACCTTTATTTCTTTCTCTTGCCTGATTGCCTTGGCCAGAACTTCTAATACTATGTTGAATAGGAGTGGTGAGAGTGGGGATCCTTGTCTTGTACCAGTTTTCAAAGTAAATGCTTCCAGTTTTTGCCCATTCAGTATGATATTGGCTGTGGGTTTGTCATTAAAAAAACTTTTTAATTTTTAAGAGAAAAGTCATTATAGGCTGCTCATTTAAATTTTTAAAAAAATATTTGCAATTTATTTATGCTGCATTGATATTTCCCTGCATTATCACACACACAGTAACTAGATGACTTGACTGAAGTTTTCAACCATTGAATGACATCACTTTTTATAGGTTATAGAAAGGTCACATATACAAAGGTTTGTACTTCACACTTGCATGCTTGGTCTCCTGAGGAAGTACTCTGATCTTTCTGAGACTAGGTTCTGTATTTTATACTTATTAAAATAGTCTCCAAGGGCCTTACGCAGTTTGTATAACTGAAGACATTAATGAAACTTTTGTTGTATTGGTATTTAGAAGCAAGCCATTTTAATATAATTCAGCCTGGCCACAAAATAACAAATAAGACATGAAATGCTCTCATTGAACTTCACTGTTGACATGAATCCTATGAAGAAATGAGACATATAAAAGAAAACAGTTTTTTCTTCTTTCCAGTTTTTTTATATGTTCCACACAGCCTCTCAAATAACAGTCCCATTTGTTTATCAAGATATTTTAAACCCATGTTAAACATGGCAATGTGTCATATTAGAACTATGATTGGGCTTTGTGGGTGTAAACTATTGCTATAAAGCAGAAATGTTATGGTTAAAAAAATGTACTTTTATTCGAAAAAGTGTACTTTTATTCAAGTAATTTTAAATCTACTTCCTCATTAACTTTAAAGGCATGTGTTAAACTGAAGTTTATGGTTTTAAATTAAGCATGTCAGAGGGGAGAATAAGATGTGTGAAAGTGATGACATAAATTGACAATTTATTCAGATAATGAAAGACTTGAGATACTCAAGTACTTGGAATAATAGAAATCATAAAGTACTCACAAATACTCATAAAGATTTGTTGCACTTGCACCATGCCTCACATTTCTTATTGGTTCTTTTCACAAATCCCCAAATCCTCAACCCAATATTCTTCATGTCATTTCCCTTTGCTCATTTAAATTTATGTATATTTAAGATTTCCTACTAGCTTGACTCATGAGTATTTTTTTTTCAAATTTGCGGCCATTCTCATATTAATGTTATTGAAAATTTAGTTTTTAAATTATGTGTTATTTCAGTTAATTTAAGTTGCTGAATAAAGGGTAAGTATAATCTAAAATGAGACAAATTATAGATGATTCTAGGTTTTCAAAAATAAAACTTGACTAAGAAATTTAATAATTTTCTACCTTAATTGTTAGGGCCTTCAGTATGTGCTAGCCATGCACTAAGTAGACATTAATGTCAGGTGGTCTTCTTTTGCATTGTAGACAGACTGACATCACCATGAAGAATTGGCCCACATTTGAGAACTGCATTAATTGTGTCATTAAAAGTAATCTTACTGTTAAAGGTCAATAGGTTTTAAAATCTTAGCGATTCTGAACTGTTTCTAGGTTTAATTATGGCACTTCATATAGACTATAATTAGCAGACAGCCCTAAAAGAACAGAAAAAAAAATCCTACTCAAGTGCTTAGTTTTACATTGTAAACCATTTAGCGGTTACACTAGAGCCCATTTAAAGGTAGCTTTAAATGATCCATGGCTGGTTTCCAAAATACATAAATTAAAATTCAGCTGTTAGGGAAAATGAAGAGTTAAAAACAATTTTAATGAAAAGCAGTGATGGAGTCAGCACTACTGAGGGTATACTTTGTTTTGTTTTTAACTCTTTTAGTGAATTTGAATGTGATAATACTTTTGTAATAATTTAGATGCTGGAAACTGACAATTTTGGAGTTCATTTAGTTTAATTCACAATTATCTGTTTGTTTACATTTGTGTGGTTTTAAAAAGTCATAACAAATTAGTGTTATAACTGGAGACACAAAATAGTAACAAAGAACGAGTAGTTTCTTAAGTCTACCATTTTACCTCCTTTGGACCAAGATAGTTTTTACTGGGGGTCTTACCTTCCTGTTCCTGAGATCTCTTCCTGTTCCTGAGGTTGCAGTGGCATGATCTCAGCTCACTGCAACCTCTGCCTCCTAGGTTTAAGCAATTCTCCTGCCTAAGCTTCCCGAGTAGCTGGGACTACAGGTGCATGCCACCACGCTCGGCTAATTGTTGTATTTTCAGTAGAGATGGGGGTTTCACCATATTGGTCAGGCTGGTCTCGAACTCCTGACCTCAGGCAATCCACCCTCCTTGGCCTCCCAAAGTGCTGGGATTACAGGCATGAGCCACTACACCTGGCCAATAGTGTTCTCTTTACACAACTTGTACCAGCTAAAATACCATATGTTACCTTAATTCAGTTATTCCTACTCTCTTTCTCTTTCTGCTTTCTATTTCCTACTCTCTTTCTATTTCTGCTTTCCAAGAAAGGTGTTTGAACTGGGACCACTGGCCAGTCTTCCATTTTAAGGAAAATTGAACAGTAGTCTAATTTAGCACTCTGAACATTTAAGTTTCATAAAGAAATGTATTTCTAAGAAAGTATGAAGCACAAATATTTATGTTTGAACAGCTCATTGTTGAATAACTCCATTTTTAATTTTGGATGCTTATCATTCTAGCTAGTATCAGTCTTAAAAATCCATATTGATTAAGTATTTCACTATAATTTTAATAGAATTTGTAACTATTAAAGTCCTTACTAACTAGAGTATATTGTTCTGAAATTGTGTATAATAAAAATATTTTCGAATTTTAGTTGTTATTATGTAATAATAATGTATACAAGGATGCCATTTCTATAGGCAAAACCATTTTTATTGTAAATTAAAACCACTCTAGACTCAGGCATTATAATGTATTCAATCTTGTTTTTCATCCACTTTTTTATTGTATCACAGAAAATTATGGTTGTTTAACTGACTAACACAATTTTAAAGGTATGTCTTAATCAAACATTGCTCACTTTTGCGTTTGGGACTTGGGGGGATATCTTTGTTCAAAAACAAATGAATGGCCTCATTTAAACTCTCACTAAATGTTTTTGCCTCTGAATTTCTTCATTAGATCCAGATGTTACAATATTAACTGCCTGTAACCATTACACTAATAATCCACGAATTGACATTTTTGCTAATAATATAGCAAGCTAGGGTTTTTCTTTATCACTTTTACTTAGAATGGTGGGAGAGATGGAGAATGATGGCAATTCTCAGTCCCTGTAGTAGCCTGTTTCCAAATCGCTGTCTTTGAATGATACTATCCATTAGGCAGGTAACAGGCAAGATGTTGTTCTTACAAAATTCTATTCTGCAACAATTATGTGATTTTTAAATTAAAAATGAGGAACATATTTTACCTATGCAATTGATTAAAATGGCAGCAAATTTCCAATAACTTATTACTTAGTCACAAGACAAAATAAAGATTACATTATAATAGAGAAGGTTACTGAGTTAAAAAATTTATATTTATTTTCATACGTATATGTTCATAAGAGAAATATGTGGTATGACCCTTACAGAAGACTGAAGTTATTGTACTTCCCATGTTAATATAGCTATTTAGATAATACTGGATGGAAACAGGACTCATTTATCAAAACCAGTAGTGTCTTATGTTTTAATATATGCTTTTTGAAAATGACATCCTCCTGTGGTCTCTCCCATAATTTTTGTGAGTCAAAACCTACAGTATTCCTAAGACCTGCTGTCTCCATGGAGACTTTAATATGCTAAGATAATTTTCCGATTTTGTCTCAGACTTGGGAGTAATTATTTTTCTCCATTTTTGTTCCATTTTAATGACTGACATTTTATTTAATTTTCTGGCTACTCACATATATATATATTTGTAAGTTTGATGTCAACTGTTTCCTACTTATTTTTTTACCTCAGTGAAAATGGCACCAGTAAGAGCTTTTCACAGAACTTTTGCCATAAAGTGATACATTCTAATTTTTGTTTCCACTTGACACCTTTAAAAATAATTTCTATAATATTTCCTTCAATAATCTATAGTGCAATGAAAAAACTTATGAATATAGATATTTTTATATATTTTTAAAAATTTTTTAAATTATAAGTTATGTAGAAAAATCTCTATTTTTTAGCCTTAAGCTACCTGCCAGAGACTCGACTTCCATTTTCAACTTCCTTCCTAGTAAATACTTTCACCTCGATTTTCTTGTTTTGGGTCGGCAAGTAAATCTTAAAATATTGCAAATCAGAATTAAAAACTTGATCCTCTTCTTGACTTTTTTTTTTTTTTTTTGAGGCTGAGTCTCACTCTGTTGCCCAGACTAGAGTGCAATGGTGGGGTCTTGGCTCACTGCAACCTCTACCTCCTAGGTTCAAGCGATTCTCCTGCCTCAGCCTCCCGAGTATCTGGGATTACAAGTGCACACCACCACACCGGGCTACTTTTTGCATTTTTAGTAGAGTCGAAGTTTCACTGTGTTGGCCAGGCTGGTCTTGAACTCCTGACCCTTGTGATCTGCCTGCCTTGGCCTCCCAAAGTGCTGGGATTACAGGCGTGAGCCACAGTGCCCGGCCTTGACTTTTTATATCGTACATTTAGCAAAACAATTCTCCCATCCACTATCCTTGTAGACACCAGATCCCCAAGATTATCCTTAATTCTCCCTTTTCCTTCACTTCTTACAACTATTCTTCTCTCAAACCCTGAAAAGTTTTTCAGCTCCAGTGCTAATGCAGTCACCTAGATAGGACCTAAAAACAAATTATGCCTAAATTGTTATAATGGAATTTTAATAGATTTTCCTGCATTCACCATTTTCTTGTTCTGATTGGTCTGTTACAACTTTTCCAAATTATTTTTATACAGGTATTTTCCTGCTCAAAAACTCTCTCTGTTTCCCAAAAATCAAAAACAATCAAATTTGAGAGCCCAAAGACAGGATTACTCTGAATCTATGAATTAAGCACCCACGTCCCTCACCGGCAAGGTAACCTTTCAGCACTCTATACCCAACTTTATATGTGTAATTTTGTATTCTATTTTATTTAAATAAAGGCTTCCAAATTAAATATGTTTCAAGAATTAAGAGAAACTAGATCTACCCCAGGTTAAGCATCAAGATTAACATTTTAAGTCACACTATAAACCTATCAAATTAACTAAAATTCAAATATGGTTGCTCAGGTAGAATAATATGTGAGAGAAAAATTAACAACTTTAAATAGTATGGAACATCTTTGTAGGTTCCCAGAGAAGGCATGATAGAAAAGATATAAATCTGCAATTTCCTCAGTCTTATCCCTCTAGGTTCTCTTAGCGTGAAACTGTTTAACCCATGATTCTCAGTGAATGCTGGTTAAACCTCTGGGAATAATGAGGGGGCAATTTTGTGATCACTAATGAAGAAGCAAAATGTAATATTCATGGGGTCAAGAATAAGGAAGGATTTCATCTGCATCATTAAATACTACTGAATAGTCCATTGGTCCATTGAGTTCCTGTAGGAAAACTGAATCACCCTTATAAGACAAAGATATCCAGAACATGTCTTCCAACCTAAAAAAAGATAAATAAATAAATAAATTTTTTAAAAAAGCACAAAAACCTCCTGAATATTTTAATTACTGAATTCTGGACTATGGCCAAAACAATTTCTAAGTAGAATTTTGCCTAAACCCAAATTTTGTGTGATATGCTGACTTTATAATTTAATGAGTGTTTCCTGCACTATAAGATCTGTTTTTGTTTCAGCACTATAAGATCTGTTTTTGCTTTTTTGTTTTTTATTTTTCATCGAGATACGGATCCTGCTCTTCTCAAACCTGAATGAATTACATACTGCTCAGATTCTGTGGGAATACCACTGAAATGTTAATGTCCAAAATATGATCAAGTAATTATCATGCTTGTTTTTGAGGCTTAATTTCCAAAAAAAAGACTAACACGCTAAAGCTAAGTAACTATTCAAAACACTTAACAGTAAATTGTTTAAACACTCTCTTTGAAATCGTTGCTGTCACTAGATCTTCCAGCTTTTTCCTCCAAACCAGGAGATGTCCTGGCAACAATGTCTCTCCTGGATATTAAAGGAGTGGCATGTAATTGCCTCCTCTTCCTGATCAAGGAATTCTCATGTCTGCCATAAAACATATTTTTCATTTTCTTTTTCTTGAGTCTTATCAGTGAAGAATATTAGAACTATAGAAATATAGGCAGTTTTTAGTGTCAGCTTTTAATCATGGTCCCAAGGGAAAGTTAGCCATTGCATGCAATCTCTCTGGCCCATTATCTAGAACTTAATTTGTTTACATTGTATTTAGGTCATGATTAGGTGTGTCATCTGGTTAATTCACAATATATTTTCATTGTTTTCAATATGTAACATACATTATTTATGCCATCCCCCTGTCCCGTCAATACTTATCATTCCAGTGTATGCCAGTAGCATCTTACTAAAAATACCTGGAACTCTGCACCTCAGGACTTTCTGTTGACTAATGAGTGAGGGTGGAGGGAAGGCAGTCAGAAAGTGCTTAGAAGTGAATGCCCTTAAAGCAGCTTCCAGCCAATGAGAAACGTTAGTTGAAAGATAAATTTCCCAGGTTTCCCTCTGTTACAAAACAAACAAAGGCATTTCAAAACCAAAGAAAGACTGTTGAATGAATGACTTTTACTCTTAAGCAGAGAATCCCATTTGTGATAGGTTGAATAATGATCCCAAGATGTTCATATTCAAATCCCCAGACACTGTGAATCTTACCTTCTATAGCAAAAGGAACTTTGTAGATGTGACTGAAGAAAGGATTTTGAGATGAGGAGATTATGCTGAATTATCTGAGTAGGTCCAGTGGTTTTGCAAGTGACTTTATAAGGGGGACAGGAAAGGAGTTGGAACCAGAGAAAAAGTTAGATGATGATGGAGACAGAGACTGGCGTAATAGGCTTTGACGATGGAGGAAAGTGCCACCAGCCAAGGAATACAAGAGGCCACTAGAAGCTGAAAAGGTAAGGGACACAGATTCTCTCTTCTGTTTCTCTGCAGGAACCAGCCTTGCCAATACCTAGAAACTGTGTAGGGAAACTGGTGTTGGACTTCTGATTTCTTGAACTGTAAGAGGAAAATTTGTGTTCTTTTAAAGCTACTAAATTTATGGCAGTTAGTTATAGCATAAATAGAAGATTAATATACAGTTCAAGCACAGAGTCCAGATCGGTTCTTGGCAATAAAACTTAGAGCAGGAGAAAGAAGATAAGTATCTTTGAATGTGTTGATTTGATGTCAATATATGGGCATATTGATTAAGCAAGGACTAGGTGGCTGGAAGAAACTGCTGTGTAGGTGCAGTGCCCTTCTCAGGATGCAGCTGCCTCTGCTGTATGTGTAAGGTTCCTGGCTTAGAGTTACACTGATCATAATAGGCCACTTGGCCATATCATCTTCTCTTGGGTGAAGAGGGATAAGACTCAGACACATTCTACAGTTTCTCGGAGAGTTGTACAAAGAAATAAAATTGCCCAATAATACAATATGTATTGACATATTTCCCTTTCCTTTACTTCTCCACTCCCAAATGGGTATTTCCTGAAATCATTTCACAAATATACTACTTATATTCAAGTCCTTGTTTATGGGTCTACTTTTCGGAAACAATTTAAGATACTGTAATATATCACAACTTAAAAGGATATTAATATTATCTAGATTGTTTGTCTGTCATATGTGTTAGTTTCCAATGAAGTACAACCTCTGCCTGATGGCATTAGATAAGGAATTTATTAAATAGATGAAGAGCAGCTCATAGAATATTTGGAAAAACTAGAAAAGAATGTTTGCAATTAAATGTTCAGGAATAATTTTCCAAAACTAAGCTACAGAACTGGTCTAATAACAGAACTACTGAACTTGCCACTCACTAGAGTCCAGTTTCATGGCTATCACTTCTCTCTCTCTCTCTCTTTTTTTTTTTTTGCCCCAGAGATTTAATTGAGGTGCCACTGCTAGTGCTGCTAATATAACTGCCATTTCTGTACTAAGGATATATTCTTGCTTACCCCAGACCTCCACCATTGCTACCCAAGAGAAAAACAGTTTGACTGTATCCTGCTTTTTGGGTCACTAGCTCCTGAGTCAAGTATGAAGTGAAGTGTATCCAATTGGCAGGGCACAGGAAACATGTCTACTTTCTGGCAGCATGGGGAGCTGGAAAAGTGAGTGTCTGACATTCTGAACTTTCATAGTAAGAAGCAATTTCTGCTTTCCTCCAAAATTAATAATATGTAGGAATTCTTCTAACAAGAAGAGAGTCCTGATATTGTTCGACTGAAAGAAATGTCAATCATTAACTATGATGGTCATTACTACTTAAAAAACCACGTGACAATTTCTGTCATTCTTCAAATCATATACTTTTCTGAAAGTAAACTCAGAGTCACCAGCAATGACAGAAATTCTAATCATGTTACTAGACCTGGTTAGGGCTACATCATCTCCATAAAAGTAAATAACTCCAACTTTATATGGCAGAGCTGGTGGTCCTGCCATACTCCCTGCTAATGTCTCCTGAATCTGTCAAGTTGTTCCAAGAAAAACTTTCGGAGGGAACTAGGCTGGATTCATTTAATCCCCACCCTTGCACATACATAAACTTTAATTATCTGACCATTAAGTTGACTGCTGTGGATTGATTAATATACCAACCCCTAGTTTGTTAAACACAGAAATATTTAGAGCCCACAACAAATTCCATTTCATATACACTCTGAAAGACCATGCTTTTAGAAACCACAGAGTTTGATGGATTTTTGCCAGGAGCACGATCTCAGAAGATGATATTTAAGGAAGCTTGGGAAGAGTCAGCATTTCCTAACCTAAGTGTAATCCTCTAGACTAAACTGATGCCGTGTAAAATTCTAATTTACATTCCAGAGAAATCTTCAAGTAGGACACAGCTACTTTGTTGGTTAGTAATTTCCTCTTTCTTTGGATTGACTATTGGAAACTGTGTGGTATCCAGCTACAATTCCCTTCATCTTCTGTCCAAACATAAGAGGGTTTTTTGTTATTTTTTGTTTGTTTGTTTGTTTAGAAAAAAACCAATATTATTGTAACCGAGTTTTCTAAGTCTATATAAAATCTCTTAAATTTAATTATTTCTCACTTCCATAACTAATTTTCTACCTTCACGGGTAAGTTACAGAAACTATCTCAAAATCAAATATTATAATTATACATTTTAACGCATCCTGAAAATTCTCCTGGGGATTCTTGTCTAACTTTTCCATTGTCTTCTAGATAATTCCATCTCCAAACAAGATTTTGTTGTTTCCCTTACACTTTATGTATATCTTCAACTTAAATATATTCCCCAACAACCTATTTTAAGAGGTTTTCCATAGCCCCCTTTTGCTGTAATTTCTACCTGCTTTGTCCACTTTGTAAACACAATACAACCTTTAAAATGCCTTCTCAGAAATTTAGATCAGTCTCGGGTAAGTATGAGTATGATGTTCTCAAATTATTGTTCTTTATTTTTTCCTACAGATGAGTTATAAACAAGCCAGGTATTTTTTTCTTTTCTTTTCTTTTTTTTTTTTTTGAAACAGAGCCTCCCTCTGTCGCCAGGCTGGAGTGCAGTGGCGCAATCTCAGCTCACTGCAACCTCTGCCTCCCAGATTCAAGTGATTCTCCTGCCTCAGCCTCCTGCGTAGCTGGGACTGCAGGCATGTGCCACTATGCCCAGCAAATTTTTGTATTTTTAGTAGAGACGGGTTTCACCATGTTGGCCAGGATGGTCTCGATCTCTTGACCTCGTGATCTGCCCGCCTCAGCCTCCCAAAATGCTGAGATTATAGGTCTGAGCCACGGCGCCTGACCACAAGCCAAGTATTTTAAGCTGGGCAGCATGAGACATTTTCTGGACCAATCTATCTTCTCCCTGCCTAGTTGTAGAGTAGCTAATTATTTTTCTACTCTAATATACTGTTTTGTATGGCATACTGTGTACATTCGTCTCTATGGAAATACTCAAACAGGGCCAGATAAGAGATCAGCAGGCATGTCTCCTAAGCCAGGGTATGCCCTCTGATGGCTGATCATCTTTAAAAATCGCCTTTTCAATTCTTAATTTACATTGATAGCTCTTGGTTGAAAAGAGAGAGAATCCTGTTAACAGCTGCTCACAGTCACTTCATTCCATTGAGTGATTGTTACTTGACCAGTTAGGTTAGCAGCATGGCTCCTGCTATTCCTAAGAAATTATTATATAACTGTTTTGTTATATAATAATAGAATAAATCCCACATTTATTCTAGTAATCTTTGTATTGTGACTTTTTTCCTTAGGGTGTTTCTGTCACAGTTCTGCTCTTGCTGATAGCTAGCCTCTTCTCCCTTCAAGAGTGCATTGATAAATCATCACATTCTAGAACTGAATAGGATTTCCTTTATGCCTGTTCATAAGCTGATATTTAAATAAATGCCATAAAAACCTGCTTGAATGGAAATCTTCGTGAAACTCCATTGAGGGATGGACTCACTCTTAGAGTAAGACTGCATATAGACCTTGTATAGCTCTTTGTTTCACAGATGATATAATCATCTGTGTGGAAAACCATAAGGGACCAAAAACCAAAACAAAATAGAACAATACAAAAAACTACTAGTGCTAATAAATGAATTTAGCAAAGTCTCAGAATACCAAGTTATTAGTGTGTGTGTGTGTGTGTGTGTGTGTGTGTGTATTGCAGTTAAAATATCAGATATAGCAGTATGTTTTTAAAATTTGATATATTTCATAGTAAATTTAATAAAATATGTATAAGAACTATACACAGAATATTATAGATTAGAAATCAACACTAAAAAGGCAACTGGAAAATCCCCACATATTTGCAAACCAAGCAATCTATTTGTAAATAACCCACAGGTCAGAAGAATAAATTAAAATGGAAAATTTTAAAAAATATTTTGAACTGAATATGCCATATTGTAATTTGTGGAATGAAGTTGAACAAAACCATACTGAGATAAATTTTAAAATACTTAAACAAATAGGGATTTATATCAGTGCGATAGAGTGAGGGGAACAATATTTTTAAGCTGCCGATTCTTTCATGTTGATCTATAGTAGATTCGATACAATCCTAATGAAAATTTCAGAATATGTTTTGTAGAAATTGATCAGCTAATCATAAAATCTATGTATAAACTCAAAGAACTTGGAATAGATAAAAGAACGCTGAAAACTAACAATTTTGTAAGAGATACACACCATCTGAAATAAAAACTTTGCTCCCATCTGTAGTTACCAATGAGGTTGATATGGTACTAGTCTAAAAATAGATAATTAGATTAAGGTAACAGAATAGAGTCCAGAAATTGGCACACATTTGTACAGTTAATGTATTTTCAACCATGGCACCAAAATGACTCAACAGGGAAATGAAAGTGTTTTCAATGTATGCTGCTGGAACAACTTGCTGTTAAAGTGATTTAAAAAATGAACATCAGTTTTACAGATCAATGAGACAGAAAATTAACAAGGATATTCAGGACTTGAACTCAGCTCTGGACCAAGCAGACCTAATAGACATCTACAGAACTCTTCACCCCAAATCAACAGAACATATATTCTTCTCAGCACCACATTGCACTTATTCTAAAATTGACCGCATAATTGGAAATAAAACATTCCTCAGCAAATGCAAAGGAACGGAAATCATAACAAACAGTCTCTCAGATCACAGTGTAATCAAATTAGAACTCAGGATTAAGAAACTCACTCAAAACCGCACAACTACGTGGAAACTCAACAACCTGCTCCTAAATGACTGCTGGATAAATAACGAAATTAAGGCAGAAATAAATAAGTTCTTTGAAACTAATTAGAACAAAGACACAACATACTGAAATCCCTGGCACACAGGTAAAGCAGTGTTTAGAGGGAAATTTATAGTACTAAATACCCACAGGAGAAAGTGGGAAAGATCTAAAATCGACACCCTAACATCACAATTAAAAGAACTAGAGACGCAAGAGAAAACAAATTCAAAACTAGCAGAAGATAAGAAATAACTAAGATCAGAGCAGAACTGAAGGAGATAGAGACATGAAAAACCCTTCAAAAAATTAATGAATCCAGGAGCTGGTTTTTTGAAAAGATTAACAAAATAGACCACTATCCAGACTAATAAAGAAGAAAAGAGAGAAGAATTAAATAGACACAATAAAAATGAGAAAGGGGATATCACCACTGATCCCATAGAAATACAAACTACCATCAGAGAATACTATAAACACCTCTATGCAGATAAACTAGAAAATCTAGAAGAAATAGATAAATTCCTGGACACATACACCCTCCCAAGACTAAACCAGGAAGGAGTCGAATCACTGAATAGACCAATAACAAGTTCTGAAATTGAGGCAGTAATTAATAGCCTATCAATCGGCTGGGCACAGTGGCTCATGCCTGTAATCCCGGCACTTAGAGAGGCCGAGGCATGTGGACTGCCTGAGCTCAGGAGTTTGAGACCAGCCTGGGCAGCATGGTGAAACCCCGTCTCTACTAAAATACAAAAATTTAGCCAGGTCTGGTGGCATGCTCCTGTAGTCCCAGCTACTCGGGAAGCTGAGGCAGGAGAATTGCTTGAACCTGGGAGACGGAGGTTGCAGTTAGCTGAGATCGCACCACTGCACTCCAACCTGGGTGACAGAGAGAGACTCCTCCAAAAAAAAAAAAAAAAAAAAAAAGCCTACCAATAAAAAAAAATCCCAGTACCAGACGGATTCACAGCCGAATTCTACCAGACCTACAAAGAGGAGCTGGTACCATTCCTTCTGAAACGATTCCAGACAATAGAAAAAGAGGGACTCCTCACTAACTCATTTTATGAGGCCCGCATCATCCTAATACCAAAACCTGGCAGAGACACAACAAAAAAAAGAAAATTTCAGGCCAATATCCCTGATGAACATCGATGCGAAAATCTTCAATAAAATATTGAATATTGACAAACTGAATCCAGCAGCACATCAAAAAGCTTATCCACCACGATCAAGTCGGCTTCATCCCTGGGATGCAAGGCTGGTTCAACATACACAAACCAATAAACGTAATCCATTACATAAACAGAACCAATGACAAAAACCATGTGATTATCTCAATGGATGCAGAAAAGGCTTTCGATAAACTTCAACACCCTTTCATGCTAAAAACTCAATAAACTAGGTATTGATGGGATGTATCTCAAAATAAGAAGAGTTATTTACGACAAACCACAGCCAATATCATACTGAATAGGCAAAAGCTGGAAGCATTGCCTTTGAAAACCAGCACAAGACAAGGATGCCCTCTCTCTCCACTCCTAAACATAGTATTGGATGTTCTGGCCAGGTCAATCAGACAAGAGAATGAAATAAAGCGTACTCAAATAGGAAGAGAGGAAGTCAAATTGTCTCTGTGTGTAGATGACATGATTGTATTTTCAGAAAACCCCATCACCTCAGCCCCAAAGCTCCTTAAGCTGATAAGCAACTTCAGCAAAGTCTCAGGATAGAAAATCAATGTGCAAAAATCACAAGCATTCCTATACACCAATAATAGACAAACAGAGAGCCAAATCATGAGTGAACTCCCATTCACAATTGCTACAAAGAGAATAAAATACCTAGGAATAAAACTTACAAGGGATGTGGAGGACTTCTTTAAGGAGAACTACAAATCACTGCTCAAGGAAATAAGAGAGAACACAAACAAATGGAAAAACATTTCATGCTTATGGATAGGAAGAATCAATATCATGAAAATGGCCATACTGCCCAAAGTAATTTACAGATTCAATGCTATCCCCATCAAGCTACCACTGATTTTCTTCACAGAATTAGAAAATACTACTTTAAATTTCATGTGGAACAAAAAAGAGCCCCTACTACCAAGACAATCCTAAGCCAAAAGAACAAAGCTGGAGGCATCACGCTATCTAACTTCAAACTATACTACAAGGCTACAGTAACAAAAACAGCGTGCTACTGGTACCAAAACAGATATATAGACCAATGAAACAGAACAGAGGCCTCAGAAATAACACCACCCCTCTACAACAATCTGATCTTTGACAAACCTGACAAAATGCAGTGGGGAAAGGATTCCCTATTTAATAAATGGTGTTGGGAAAACTGGCTAGCCATGTGCAGAAAACTGAAACTGGACCCCTTCCTTACATCTTATACAAAAATTAACTCAAGATGGATTAAAGACTTAAGCATGAGACCTAAAACCATAAAAACCCTAGAAGAAAACCTAGGCAATACCATTTAGGGCATAGGTATGGGCAAACACCAAAAGCAAGGGCAACAAAAGCCAAAATTGACAAATGGGATCTAATCAAACTAAAGAGCTACTGCACAGCAAAAGAAACTATCATCAGAGTGAACAGACAACCTACAGAATTGGAGAAAATTTTTGCAACCTATCCATCTGACAAAGGGCTGATATCCAGAATCTATAAAGAACTTAAACAAATTTACAAAAATAAAAAATCAAAGAGTGGGCAAAGGATATGAACATACACTTCTCAAAAAAAGGCATTTATGCGACCAACAAACATATGAAAAAAAAAAAACTCATCATCACTGGTCATTAGAGAAATGCAAATCAAACCACAATGAGATACCATCTCACGCCAGTTAGAATGGCGATCATTAAAAAGTCAGGAGACAACAGATGCTGAAGAGGATGTGGAGAAATAGGAAAGCTTTTACACTGCTGATGGGAGTGTAAATCAGTTCAACCATTGTAAAAGACAGTGTGGTGATTCCTCAAGGATCCAGAACCAGAAATACCATTTGACCCAGCAATCTCATTACTGGGTATATACCCAAAGGATTATAAATCATTCTTCCCTAAAGACACATGCATATGTATGTTTATTGCAGCACTATTCACAATAGCAAAGACTTGGAACCAACCCAAATGTCCATCAATGACAGACTGGATAAAGAAAATGTGGCACAGATATACAATGGAATACTATGCAGCCATAAAAAAGGATGAGTTCATGTCCTTTGCAGGGACTTGGATGAAACTGGAAAACATTATTCTCAGCAAACTAACACAGGAACAGAAAAACAAATGCCGCATGTTTTCACTCATAAATGGGAGTAGAACAATGAGAGCACATGGACGCAGGGAGGGGAACATCAGACCCTGGGGCCTGTTGGGGGTGGGGGACTAGGGAAGGGATAGTATTAGGATAAATACCTAACGTAGATGACGGGTTGATTGGTGCAGCAAACCACCATGGTACATGTATACCTATGTAACAAACCTGCACGTTCTGCACATGTATCCCAGAACTTAAAGTATAATAAAAAAATGAATGTCAACTTATACCTCACACAGTATGTAGAGATTACTTTGAGATTGAACATAGGCTAAAAATATAAACTTCTACAAGAAAACATAAGTATCTTCCTAGTCTCATGGTAAGCAAACATCCTTCCTTCCTTTCTCTTTTTCTCCTTTTCTGTCTCTCTCTCTTTCTCTCTCCCTTCTCTTCTCCTTCCTTCCTTCCTGTCCTTTCCTTTCCTTTCCTTCTTTCCTTCTTTCCTTCCTCCCTCCCTCCCCCCGCCTCCCTCTCTTCCTCTCTCTCTCTTCCTTTCTCCCTTCTTCTTTCTCTTTCTTTCTTTCTCTTTCTTTTTCTTTCTTTCCTTCTCTTTCTTTCTTTCATTCTTTCTTTCTCTCTTTCTCCTTCTTTCTCCTTTCTCTGTCTTTCCCTTTCTTTCTTTTTTTGAGGACCCAAGAAACAAACTACAGACCAAAGGAACATATCTACAATTAATTTGACAAAGCCAAATAAAACCACAATGACATACCACTGCATACCCACTAGAATTTGAAAAGACTGGTAACACTCAATGTTTCTATGAATATGTGGAAGTTAGTGATGGAAGAATAAGATGGTAAAATCATTTTGCAAATTAGCCTCTCAGATTTTCTTAAAAGTAGACAAAGTTATTTTGAAATATGACCAAGTTATTTCATACCTAGATATTTAAACAGGAGACAGGAAAACATATATACACAAAAAAGTGCACAAGAATGTTGATATGATTTGGCTGTGACCCCATCCAAATCTCATCTTGAATTGTAGTTCCCATAATCCCTATGTGTCATGAGAGGGACCTGGTGGGAAGTAATTGAATAATAGGGTCGGTTCCTCCATGCTGTTCTCATGAAAGTTAGTGAGTTTTCACGAGATCTGATGGTTTTATAAGTTTCTGGCATTTCTCCTGCTGGCACCCATTATCTCTCTGGCCACCCTGCAAACAGATGCCTTCTACCATGATTTTAAGTTTCCTGAGGCTTCCCCAGCCATGTGCAACTGTGAGTCGATTAAACCTCTTTTCTTTATAAATTACCCAGTCTTGGGTATTTCTTCACAGCAATATAAGAACAGACTAATACAGATGATGTCCATAACAACTTTATTCATAATTGTTAAAGAGAGCAAACATTAAATATCTATCAACTAAGGATGGCTAGACAAATGGTTGTATATCCATATAGTCAAATAAGTCTTAGGAAATTAAAACAAAAATGTAATAAGCTACTAATACACACACAAATGATAAATCTCAAAAATATTAAGCTATTCAGCTGTTCAAAAGATGCCAGACACTCTGTAGTTAAATACAAATTTCTCTTACAGTCAAGTAATAAAGCAAATGATTTTAAGAGATCAGAACAGTGGTGGTTTCTTGATAGGTAGAATAGGGATAAGTATGCAGTTTAGGTAGAAGTATAATGAATCTTTTTTAAATGATGAAAATATTTTATATTTTGGTAGAAATCTGAGTTATTCAGGTGAACATATTTTCAAAATATTTTGAATTGTACACATAATTTTGTGCATTTCACTGGACCTAAAATATACCTCAAAAAAAAGACCACCCCCAGACATATATGTTAAATCTTTAGTGCAATTCTAGATACTTCAGTGAAACACTTTGAAAAGCACTTACCAGTTAATAGGACTGTTTAAAGCCTTTTAAGCATAGAATTTATATGCTCACAACATTTTAAGAATATATTTGCATTTTTGGTAACTCAATAAGTGGACTGTATAGATGGTGAATTAGGAATGAGCAATATTTCAGATAGATCAATTTAAATTTTTAAAAACTGGCCTTACATTTTCAAAAATAAACAAAATGAGGGGGTATTAGTCCAGTTGCATTGCTATAAAGAAATACTGAGACTGGGTAAGTTATAAAGAAGAGAGGTTTATTTAGCTCACAGTTCTGCAGGCTATTCACAAAGCAGAATGCTAACATCAGCTTCTGATGAGGGCCTCAGAAAGCTTCCAGTCGTGGTGGAAGGTGAACGGGAGCCAGCATGTCACATGGTAAGAGAGGGAGCAAGAGAGAGAGGAGGAAGTGCCAGGATCCTTTTAAACAAACAGTTCTCCTGTAAACTAACAGAGCAAGAATTCACTCATCATCGAGGGTATGGAGCTAAGCCATTCAGGAGCAATCCTTCCCCATTATCTAACACTTCCCACTAGGCCCCACCTCCAACACTGGGGAGCACATGAGATTTGGAAGGCACACACATCCAAACATAACAGGGTGATTTCGCTGGCAACAATTAGAAACCTATAGATATCTGTTACCAGATCTCAAGTTGACAGCTGGCTTCACAAAAGTGATAAGAATTTAGTAACAGTTTCCAGTGTATTTTTGTAAAAAGTCTACCGTATATGACCTAAGGCAGTATTTAGCATTCTTATGTAATCAAGAGATTCATACTTCTACATATTTCTGATCTCACCCTAATTTCATATTTTCCAAATATTATAGATACATGAATCATCTTTAAAATAGAAGCCTACCCTTTCCCTTGGGATTTTGTCATTTTTGGCATTATATGTGATAAAGTTGTTCAAAGAGACAAGGAAAAATACAATATTTTATATCACTATAGTGTCAAATTATATTAATTTTCACTTCGTATATGTAACAATCTTGGTGCTACTTTCCAAACATAAAAATAAATTTAAAGATTTTCCCTCCTTTTACAAGTGATACTTTTGCTTTTTAGTGTACTTAAGTATTAAAAGTATTCATTGAAGCATTTTATTTAATTTCAAATAAATGTTTTCAACATCACATTATGATATTATTAATTATTTTGAGATTGCATCTGTACTAGCTTAAATGTCATGTCCTTGGCTTAGCCTCTGCTGTGTGCTCTAATTAGAGATGCTCCTCATGTTCTCTTTGCCCTTGCCATACAAACATGTGCTTTTCTGCATTATTGTGTTTTATTTTCTCTCTGTTGATTATCCTTATCTGAAATAATTGTTGCTTACAAGTTTTTTTAATCTCTGCTTATTATCATCTGTTTTACAATGACAATGATTTATCTTGCTTATGCCATATCCCCAGTGCCTATGATATTGCCAGGTGCAGATTAGGCATTCTTTTAAGTATTTGAATGTGTGGATGAAACAAAGAAGGAATACACTTTGTAAAGGTATCTAAAATAGCAGGTATGTATTGCATTTATTCATTTATATTTCTTTATACTTGTCTTCCACTTCTTAAATGGCAAAGAGAAGAAATTTACATTGAGAAGACAAGAGTAGAAAGAGATCAGCGCTGTGGGATTGTAAAAATAATTGTGCAATTTGGTATGTTTAAATGATCATAACCATGCTCTGATTCACACCACAGTGGGAATAATTCTAGTCTCAAGAAATGGATTGAAAAAATCTCATGCTTCAGTTTTGTAATTTCGTATGTAAGTAGATAAGTAGATGTTTAAAAGGTCATTGAAATATAATTATAACCATTTACTAAAGAAAAAAAAGTGTTCAGTCCCAAAGCTTTTCACATCATGATAAGCAGAGTAAGAACAGTTAAATCTGGTCCAAGTTTGCCTTAGATAAATGGCTATCAAACTCCATTAGCCAGTGATTCTGCCTTCTTTCATCCTGTGCAATGAGGAGGGAAAAGTAAACCATTAAATCACAAAAGTCAGCACTGAAACACTTGGAAAGTGGTTCAAATATGGACAGATCTGTTGGGAAGAGCATCAATGTGATCTTCTAATTACTAACAGGCAAAATGATATGGATGAAGCCATCCTGGGTCAATTTCTGTAAAGCTTGAATGTTTCTTCATTACTTGGGTTATATTTCCCCTCACCATTTACTACTCCATCACAACCTGAAGTACCAGTTTAAATCATTCATTTAAACTTGATCATATGGGGCAATTTAAAGTTCTTACTTCCTCTTGCCAGCTTACAAACACATCAATTCTAGGAGTCTTTCAAATTCCAAAATGAAAGTCACTCACTTTATATTTAATTGTCATCATCATCGTCATCATCATCATAGTCATCATCAACATTGCTATCATCCCAGTAGTTTAATAATGCCTGGATAGTACAGAGATGAGCAAGCCTTTCAGGACTGTTAATATTGATTTCAGCATCAGCCATGACCTTGTTTGGCCCTCCTATGCATGTCCCTTGGATATGTAAAACAAGAATCAGGTAATGACATCAAATGATTTATGAAAGCTAGTTAGTAAAAATAACCAACTGACTAATTTTTATTACTGCTTATTTTTATGGTTGGTGATCCCCAAACATAGTCCTGATCGTTATTATTTCCATGCTTTTAGATTAAATCATTGAAAGTTAATGTGCTTTTGAAAATTTTCAATGTCATGCATTTATTCACTTTTCCTTTACTCATTTATTTGTAAAAGCATCTTTGGATTCATCAACCATATTTTTCTTGTCATTAGATACTGTTAGATGCCATTTCCTTGCAGAAAAGCATTGATGGAAGACACCCTGAAAGAATAGTAAAAGATAAGGATTTAACTAAGTAATGGATGGCAAGAAAACATTTAAAAGAAACAAAATGTAACAAGGTCAAAGACATCAAAGGAATAGAAAGAGAAATAATTTTAAAGATTACATTTAAGTGTGATCTCAAAATATACAATATCATGTACAAAGTTTCTTTATGATGTTTTGTTGATCTGAGCTAAGTACTTTTGGAATCTTCATTTTGTGGTTAATTATGCTACAAGAATCTCTATATGAGATTAGTGCCTGATTATACGGTGGAAAGATACATTTTTCCAAATGTTGTAGTACTTTAAAAAAATTGGATTGTATTACACATACAGTAATATAAAACATTTTATACTGATAATTTTATCTTCTTATCTGCAGTAGGGGTGTGGCTTGTCCTCTACTTATTTGGCAAAATACATTACCTCATGTAATTACAATTTATTTGATATCTTTAATAAAATATTTTAAGCTAGATCTATTGGAGTCTATCACATATCCTTTCCTAGTATAATTTTATACATGATCAGCAATTGTTTTATAGAATGAAAAGTTAAATAAAACCACATACCTTTATTCACATAGCTCCATGGTGGTCTTCATTAGCAAACTCTGATATTTTATTAGTAAGATGATTTTAAATAATCTATTTTTAAAACTTTCACATACAAATTAAAAAAATTAAAGGACAAAAATCAGGCAATTTTACTATGATTTATAATTTGCCACACATTATCAGTAGCTGGTCATTTTATTCAGTGTGTATTTGCTGTACTATTCTAAACCTATTTGTTATAATATTATATGGGAATTCCACAAATCTTGCAATGAGCTAGCAAGTTAATCTTCATAAAAAATATTTACTCAAATTATTAAAGTTGCATTTTTATAGATTTAATTCTAAACATTAAGTAGTGCATCTCAATAGTTTATTCTTTATTAATATTTAATATAATAAATATCACTCAATGTAAACTCCTCGAAAGGATGGATAGCTTTTTGACTGCCATTGGTGAATTTCTGAAACTGCAAAGTAAATATATAATTATCCAATAATAAGCAGACGTTTATTACCAAGTACATGTAAAGTATCTCAGTACCCAAAAGAAAAATGAAATTATTTTAATTAAATATCAGTGAAACAATTTGCCTTTTCTAACTGAAACCATGTGAAATTCACCTTTAACTGTCCTGTATGTTGTGGGCTCTACAAGCATCCTGTGAGTACTCCTCATGTATGAATGAATGTGTAGCCGGAGAGAAACATGCCTATATTTGTTTTGAATGAAAATCCCATTTCATAGATTAGCTAGTGCAATCACTTTTCAATTCAAAACATATCCAAATTCATACAACAGCATGATAGATCCTGATGTGAAAGGAGTTTTCTGTGCATAATTCGGATGTGATCATGTATTGAGGTAAGGGTTGCCAGGGAAGATTGTGTGTAATTTATAATAATAACACTTATTTTAGTGAATATTTATGACACAGAGTATGTCAGATTTCAGCTAGAAAAGCAAAACCAGTAAGACATATATATGAACAGATTAATTGCTAGAAATTGTCCCACAACAAATTGCTTCACACCTGTGACCCGATTTCCAACACAGCTCACATGATTCCTAATTGTTTTAAGCCAGCTGTGCTGGTTCAATTATCCTTGCAGTAATTCTGTTATGCTTAGTTCTCTGACACATTTCTGACCAATGAAAGCTGAGAGACCAGCTCTTTAAGTTCTTTAAAATATGCACAGCGATGCTTTTGTAGTCATAAGGGATGCTTAAAATGTAGTTATAAGGGATGCCACAACTATTTTGCAAACATGAAAGCAGAGGTAATAACAAAACAGAAAGTACAGGAAGAACTTGGCCCTCTACAGTATTATCCAGCCACTGAATTAACCACCTTTGCAAGCTCTGCCATATTTAGCCTTTATACACACACACACACACACACACACACACACACACAATTTATTTTTGATAACACCTTTTTCTTGTTTATTTTGTTTGGATAAGAAATTTTTGTTAAATCAGTTGTTAGCCTCTTAACTGATACAGAAACCAAATGGAATCAGAAGTAGCTAGGTAAATGGCAAAATCAGAGAAAGGGAATTTAAATGATTCAAATGCTTATTGGCATTAGAAAAACGTGGTCAGCAGCCACATCTCATCCTTTGAATGTGAACTGTGGAATCGCAGTAGTTGAAGCTGGGAGTCACAGTAATTCTTCCCACAGTGGTTCTCAGGCTTTAGCATGTGCCACAATCACCTGAAGTTGAGTTGTGAGATTTCAGGCTTCTCTTCTGACATGGACCTCTCAATTTTCTCTGAGTAATTATCTTATAACTACTCTCATTTGGCTTGAAGTAGAGAAAAGACAAGCCCTACCCCTCAAGCCTTTTCATCTCCTTCAATTTTCTCAATGAATCCTCTCTCAATAAATCTCTAGTCTTATTGATATGAGGTAGGAGGGGACTCTGCCTAAGCCTAGGCGTGGCAGGCAGAGAGGAGAAGGACTGCACTTTGTGATGCCTCCCTTAGGATATTGTCCCTCTCTGTTGCCTAGGACTGACTGAAGCCACCAGTGCCATCTAGGCAGGACCCTCCAAACCTGGATCTGGTCTCATAAATTCTAGTTTCAAGGAGACTACCTCAAGATGATCTATTTTCCCCATGGCACTGACATGCCGATTTTAGGTGACTCGGTCACATCAAAACACAGGAAAGGTTCAGGACTCCTGGCTACCAGTGGTCCACTGATGAGTTTTGAGCTTGAACCATGTGAGGCTGGGCATTAGCTCTCTCACCCCTACATTCTGACCATGATGCTGCCTCCAGTCTGCAGCACCCAAGGGCAATTGGAGTGGTAGCAGGCATCCTTTATTTTTTGCACTCCCAGCCATTGGCACTCAGGCAGTCACTCCACCCCTTCACAGTTCTATGTGTCAGGCAGTCCTCCAGGGCTGACCTTGCCAATCCAGGCTGAATTGTTTCAAGACTATGGGTCTGCAGCAACAACAGCCACTTCTTAATTATATCCCTCATGCTTCAATTGCTAAATCTTAAGCTGTACAATCCAAACATGGACATTTCTTACATAAATGGGACTTCTGCACACAGCACTCTATCCACTCTATTGGCGGTTCTATGTAGAAGGTACGTTTCTGGTTAACATTGAAACGTCTCACATTTTAATAATGTAGTGCTTACAACCTAAAGAGTTCAAGAGAGGTCATAATTGGAAGATATGTCATTCTGCATTTATGCTATTATATACCAAACAGTAAATTTAACAAGACGAGCAATTTATTATTCACATTTTCCTGCATACCCCGGTTAATACTTGCATTTGTGGGAAACTTCAACAGAATACAACAGCCATTGAGAGAGTCTTTGGAAGCTCATATTCACTGGCCGTTTGATGCAGTATCATGAGTGAAGATGTGAACAGATTTAAGTAAAAGTTAATGGAAAACTGCAAAAACAAGAAGATTGTAAATGTTTTTATATAATTGGGTTCTAAAGAGCCATGGCATTATGAGTAATACCCTTGTTTTTCATAGTAGGAGACATGAAATTAGCCATTAACAATCCTTTGGAGAATATAGATCACAGAGGGTTGGTTCTTGGACTGAAATAGAAAAGACAATGTGTAGCATTAGAAGATCCTTCCCGTGCATTCACTGAACATAAAATATCACCTCTTCTTCACTTCACTCCAAATTGTCATTGATAAATCCATATATTTCACGAGTCCTTATATTTTGTAAAGTATTTTAAATTTAAACATTTTCTATAAAGAGGGATCTTATGAAATATTATTTGCAGAATGCCTTGAAAACCCTGGAGTTAAATATGCTGGGCACCTTTGAGAACTGCTCATTTAGAATCTCTTCACTTATCATGCATGGTATTCAACTTTGAGTCCTTAGCCAATTTAGAAACAATAGGAATAATTCTATTTAATTCTATTCCACATTTATCTATGGATACATTAGTAAACACACACACACAAACAGACACATACATTATTTCAACATTCATTACCTTAAATCTTGCAACTCAAATTAAGGAACAATAAGAAAAAAATGTATATACCATTTATAACTTGACATGGTTTGAATGTGTGTCCCCTCCAAATCTCATGTTGAAATAAAAGCCCCAGTTTTGTAGGTAAGGCATAGTAGGAGGTGTTTGGATTATGGGGGCAGATCCCTTATGAACGTCTTAGTGCCATCCTTGTGATAATGAGTGAGCATTCACTCTGTGTTCATGTGGGATCTGGTTGTTTAAAAGAATGCGGAGAACATCTCCGCCTTCTCTCTTGCTCTCTCTCTTGCCATGTGACTTACCCGCTCCCATTTCGCCTTCTGCCATAATTATAAGCTTCCTGAGGCCCTCACCAGAAGCTAAGCAGATGCTGGCACCACATTTCCTGTACAGCCTTCAAAAGTATGAGCCAATTAAATCTCTTTTCTTAATAAATTACCCAGTTTCAGGCATTTCTTTATAGCAATGCAAAAATGGCCTAACACATAACTTAAATAATATATATTAATATCTAATGTGTATTTACTACATTATAAATTATCTTATTCTCTTATAAATATTAACACATTAATTCCCTACACCCTTCATGTGATGTAGTTATAATTTTTATCCAGACTTTGAAAATAAAAAAATTAAGGAAAAAGGAAGTTAAATAACTGCTTATAATCACAAAACTTGTAAATGCAAGATGGAGTTTTAACTCAGAAAGCCAAATTCTCAACCACTTTTTTTACTGCCTCTCATATGACTGATTTATTTTCTCTCTCTCTTGATTTTACATTCATGTGTAGTTTGTCCTGAATTTGTAAGTAATACATTCTTTAAAACAAAGTGTTTCACATGAAAATTTTGTTGTTAATGATGTTGAAATGAGAGATTGTGATTCTGGGACATTTTTAAAGCAGTGTATAATAAATTAATTCAGTAGAGATTATATTCGCCCAAAAACTTTAGCAATACAGAATTTCCATACTGCAAATTTTGGATAGCTATTCAACATGTGAAATGACATCATGAGAAAGACACCTGAAAACTCTGCATACACAATAACTGATTAGAGAATTACTGGTATTATGCATACATTTTTTTGTGAGCCAGCACAGCCATTATTTTTCTCTGAACTGCAGGACCAGAAGGGTCACAACTGACCACCCAGAAGTTTGATCAATTTAACAACTGCCTCTGAACTCTCCCTGGAGTCCGTGACTCCTCTATTTAGGGGAAAACCTCAATCTTAATTTTTAGTCTACAAAAAATGATCATTTTTATTTGATAGAACACTTGAAAGCAGTAAAAAAAATCACTATAGTCCACTGGTTTTTAAAGTGGGTTTTAGTTGTACTCTAAAACTAGAAAAAGTGTGTTGCTTATTAAAACCATATTTTCCAATTAAGTTCTTGCAAGGGTTCAGATTGCACACAGTACTATTATGCAGGGCTATTTAAGTAGGTGCTATAACTCTTAAGAAGGGGTGCGTGCTCAGTTCCAGACATGGGTTTCTATGACACTTTCACATTTTCATTTGATCATGTAGTAAATAATAACATAAAATCCCATACAATGGCCAAAACTAGAGTTATATAATCCTCTGAGTACTCTTAACTTGTAGAAGGGTGTGTTTTGATCATATTTAAAGAATGGATATATGTTTTTGTGTGTGTTTCTTATTAAAATATTTAGAATAAACTTGAGATGTTGTATACATTTTTGATGATGTATATAAGTAGTTAGTTGTGTCCCATAATTACATTTTGTATTTCAGACTATAATTTAAAATCATCTATTATTCTAAAGAGGAATTTTGAATTTGGAAACTCTAGATTTAGCCAAACCAAATAATTTATATTCTTATTTCCAAATCTCCACCCACACTACAACATATTCTAATATTCTCCCATTATCTCACTGAAACACCATCTATTAATGTAATCAATGAACTCTACAAAAATAAATACAATAGGGCTATTTGGTTTTTAAAAAAATAATTTAACCTTTCAGTAACATAAACTAGTGTGATCACAATCCTCTAAACCCCTCTTAAATCTTTTGTTTCTTGGATTAGTTAACACAGTAATCTTTCAGCTTTCCTATTACCTTATGGTTTCTTTTCTTGTCCTTTTCTTTTCTATAAAGTCATATATTGACATACTTCAAGGGTCAACCCTGGGCCTTTAGGAATATCATTCTTACTCAAGGCTTTAACCGCCACCAGGAGACAGATAATCTACATCTATTTATACCTTCCCACAAGCCTCTCATTGAATTCTTCAGTAAACTCACCATCAGTCTCCCATTCTTTTACCTAGTTTTCTTCCGATGTTTATCATTATTTAGTCCATTGCAAAAACAAAGAATAAAAATTATTCTTGACACCTTTCAAGATGCACTTCCCTAATCGAATCCATCAAAACTCTTAATGTCCACTTAGACATTTCTTCTGTATTTCTACTGCATATTTCAGTCTCTGTTACAATCACATATTTCTTGCATTCTTTTACCTTGGGTTGACCTACCCACACATACTTACTATATTGCAAATATATTCTCTGCATTTCTGCCAGAACAATACTGTGGAAATGTAAATCTGATAATCCCCTTTGTGTGAAACTCTCCAATCAGTTATTTTTATTCTTCTGACAAGTACCAGTTCCTTGACATATCCTAATTGACCCTACCTACTCTGTTCTCTACCTGCTTTTTTAGCTTTTCTTCTACTTATTTTCTCTTTGTTTTCTCTTCACTTTTCATATCCTATTTTAGTCTTCAGGGCCATGAGGTTTTCATTCAACATAGATATACTGAAAATGCTTTGTCTTCTTTATCAGACTGCTTTTGCTGCAATTAATGGACAACTCTAGATCTACTGGCACATTCAATAGTAATTTATTGTATCCTACAAAAAGTCAAGGGACATTTAGAAAGCATAATATCATCAAAGCTCTAGGCTTTCATAGTCTCTCTCTTCTATCATACTCACCTACAATGCCTCCCCTTGGGTTATCATCTTGTCACAGGACAACAGGCTCTCCTTGCCCACCATACTCCCATAACCAATGAGAACAGCAGTGCTGCAGGAAAGAAAATATTTAATAAGCACAGGGTCAGCCAAACAAGAACAGGGAGAAATTTCTCAAACCCATCTCCCCAAGAATTCAGAGGCTAGTGTTTTTTAAGGGTACTTTGGCAAGCAGAGGAGAGAGCTTAAATGATCGATTTTCTGGAGAAAAAAATCACGGAAGTATCTAAAACTATCTTTGCACAGCTGAGTTAGTTCCTGGAAGGGGGTCTCAGGACAAGGTTTTGTCTCTTGGTCTGCCAAAATCCTAAATCTGAAAAATATCTCAAAGACCCAGTGCTTTAGGTTTCACAGTAGTGATGTTATCTATAAGAGTAGTTAGGGGAGCTATAAATCTTGTGACCCTGGATTACATTCTCTGGACAGTAGGCAACTTATAGTAAAACAAGATAAGCAATGGTAGGTCATTGTTTAACTATTCCTATTCTTTAGCAAAGTTCAAGCCCCTTCTATAATTCTAACCTCACCTTATGAATGCAGCTTCAATCTCTGAATAAGGAGGAGGGTCAGTTTTCCTTACCTCAAAATTTAACTACAAACTAAATTTTTCTCACAATTATCTTGGCCTCCATGCTAGAATAAGCAAAAAAAAAAAAAATTAAAATTTATCTCTGAGGTTAGAAGCAAGACAGGGTCAGTCATTTTAGATTCCTCTTTTAGATTCCTCTTCTTACTTATAATTCTACAAAGGTGGTTTCAGTCTCTTAAGATTTAATCATGGATATAGTATCTCAGAGCATCATGTGCTTCATATAACATTTAAAGATAGTAGCGTGTTTTTTTCCTTTGTGTCCATTTAAAGATGTAGAAATCCCTGAATATTTCACAGATAATTTACCCCATATATAACTGGCCACAAAATGTTATATGCTTATGAGTGAAACAATAATACAAGTAATATGGAACACTCTGAGTCTTCTTGAATATTCTCAATTAAATAAAGCTCTCTCTCTCTCTCATAACGTCTCTGGAATCTATTTCTACATAATGCATTTCCAGCGGGGTGGGTCATTGTTCTTTGTACTGTCACATAATTCTTGAGAAATGATCACAATATTGGGCTTACATATGTATTGTAAACCAAAATGTATCTGAGGCTGCTTTCAATTAAGTTAAAGGCTTATTTTACCAAGATTAAGGACTGTGGCCCATGACACAGCCTCAGAAGATCCTGAGAATATGTGCCCAAGGTGGTTGAGTTACAGCTTGGTTTTATACATTTTAGGAAGACAAAGTTACAGGTAAAAAGAAAAATATACACTGGAGTGGCCCCAAAGGGTAGGACATCTCAAAGCAAGTCATTGGTGGATTCAAATATTTCCTGATTGGCAATTGGTTGAAAGAGTTAAGCTTTGCCTAAAGAGTTTGAAATTAGCCTAAAAAATGCTTGAGCTAAGATAAGGGGGGTTGTGGAAGCCAAGGTTCTTGTCATGTAGATGAAGTCTCCAGGTAGCAAGGTTCACAGCAAATGATGGTAAATGTCACTTATCTAACCTTAAAAGGTGTCAGACTCTCTGGAAAATTCTACAGAATGTAAATTTCCCTCACAAGAAACAGCTTTGCAGGGCCATGTAAAAATATGTCAAGGAAATATATTTTGAGGTAAAATATTTTAATTTCTTCAGAGCCTGCTCTCTCTCATGTGATGCTATACCAGAGTCAGGTTGGAATTTGGTATTTTATTGCTACAAAGAGCCGGTTTTGTCAGTCTTATGATCTATATTTTAATGTTAATGCTGGTCAGTTGTACCTAAACTCTAAAAGGAGGAGGATATAAAGAGGCTTGTTCAACGCCCCCTTTATAAAAGGGCCTTAACTAGTTTTCATGTTTCTTTGGAATGCCCTTGGCCAAGAGGGGAGTCCATTCAATCAGTTAGGTGGCTTATGATTTTATTTTTGGTTTACAGTGTGAACCTAATAATATGCATGAAGTAAAATTATCAATGACTGATTAAAAAAAAGAACATAAATCTATTTATTTATATTTTTATTTAGAGATCTACATTTAAACTCATTTTTGGGTCATCAAATTGAAGAGAAAGATTATTTCCAAAATGGCAGCATAAGGATATCTATGAATCCACTCCCCAGTGAAGCAAGCAAAACTTACAAAAACTGTAAAAGAACAACGATTTAAAATCTCTGGAAATTGTACCAATGTTATACATTAAATTAAAAAAAAATTATTCAAAACAATCTACTAAAATCCCATAAGAACATCATAAGTTTGTGGCATTTGAACCACAATTTGTTCACAATCCCATTTCTCCAACTCAATTTGATGAAAGCTATTTTTAGGGCAGGTGTGGCCAGAAGACACACTCTTGCTCTCCTCAGCTCTCAACCAAGGATCACCTCATCTCACTGGGCAGGTCAGCCTGCCAGCATTTCTCAGACCTTCCAACTGCAATTTGAAGAGACTAATTTCCTCTTAAACATGGCCAACCATTAAGGGAGTCCCTTTCCCAATCTGGCTCCTATTGATAAGTTTGAGTCTCTATTTATTTGTAAGGTATAGAGGTTACAGCCTATCTATGGTGGCTCTCTCTACCCTAGGCCCTACCCAGAGGCACAGCAGACCAAGAATAATGGGACCTAATTGCTTTTGCCCAAGCTCACTTGCTAGGGTCGAATTTCCACACTGGGAGAAATAAGCAGAGAAGACAAGAGGTTATCACCCCACTCAATGCCTAGAGTAGTAGATCAGAGATTTTTGTCTAGTGGGGAGAGGCGGTTGATAAGAAAGACAAAAAGCAAAAACAAAACACAAAACAAAACAAAACAAAAAAACACAGAGATTCCCCAAAGGAACTCATTTTAGTAGAAAAAGAGTATGAAAAATTTAAGCCTGAGAGTACTCTCAAAAACAGTAGATCATCTTAATTAAGAACAGCAAACTAAATCAAATGGGCAATTGTTAC
Organism: Homo sapiens; assembly: GCF_000001405.40. Taxonomy (NCBI): domain Eukaryota; kingdom Metazoa; phylum Chordata; class Mammalia; order Primates; family Hominidae; genus Homo; species Homo sapiens. Next base: position 125,913,190 of record NC_000004.12, read on the forward strand.
AGCCTCTAGCCCAGGCACAGTGGCTCAGAGACTTTGCCCAGAGGGTAAGAAGGCCATAAGAACACTGAAACTCCTCCCTAAAGAACTTAATTTATTTAGAACAGTTGGGGAAGTTCAAACATAATCATGCTCTGGAAAACAATAGAGATTTTGATTATAAATCATTAAGAGGAAGATGGCAACACAGGAGATTAACAAGCTAACCTGTAGGCAGGCTAGTTGACCAAAGAGAACCAAGGGAAAACACAGCTAAGTAGAGGTCTGGTGTCAGAATATACCTCAAAGATTGGCCTCAAAAACTACCCCTGCAAAGGAGCCCAGGTTTAGTTGAATCAGACTGGGGAGCACTTTATGTTTTAGGACATTGTCAAAAAAGAAATAGAGAAATCTATTAATTAGTGGAAGTAGGTGTAATTAGTGGAAGTTATTAGTGGAAGTGGGTGTAATACCAAATGGGACAGACAGCTTAACAGAGAAATCAGAGAGGGAAAGAGTAAAAGACATTCTTTCTAAAGCCATTGCCATCCCAGGGTGAATGCACACATGTCCAAGTTTACACACTCTGAGGTGCAATACCAAATGATGTACTCAGCTGACTTTTCTTTAAGAAATGTACAACCTGATCCTAAAATTCATATGGAAGTTTAAGGGATCCAGCATAAGCAAACAATCTGGAAAAAGGCAAACACATTTGGAGTGCTTATATTTACTGATTTTAAAACCTACTATAATAATACCATAGTCAAAATGGTATGGTGCTAGCATAAGCATAGTCACATAGAACAATGAAATAAAACTGAGAGTCCAGAAATAAAACATCATGGTTGTAGTAAATTGATTTTCAACAAGGGTGCCAAGATCAATTAATGAGGAAAAAAGTCCTTTCAACAAATGATGCTGGAACAACTGGATATCCACATGTAAAGAAATGAATTTGAGGCTGGGCACAGTGGCTCACACCTGTAATCCCAGCACTTTGTGAGGCAGAGGCCAGCAGATCATGAGGTCAGTAGATCGAGACCATCCTGGTTGACATGGCGAAACCCCATCTCTACTAAAAATACAAAAACTTAGCCGGGCATGGTAGCACATGCCTGTAGTTCCAGCTACTCAGGAGGCTGAGACAGGAGAATCCTTGAACCCGGAAGGCAGAGGTTGCAATGAGCTGAGATTGTGCCACTGCACTCCAGCCTGGGCAACAGGACAGAGTAAGACTCTGTCTCAAAAAAAAGAAAAAAGAAAAAAAAAAAAAGAAATGAACTTGAATCCCTATTTTATACCATAAAAAAAGATTAACTCAAAATATATCAAACACCTAAATGTAAGCACTAAAGTGATAAAACTATTAGCAGAAAACATAGGTGTACATATTTATAATTTTGGATTAGTTAGTAGTTTCTTAGATATAACACCAAAATTATAAGTAACAACAAAAAAAAAATTGGGTAAACTGGATATTGTCAAAATTAAAAACCTTTGTCCTTCAAAGGACACCACTAAGAAAATAAAAAGACAACCCATAAGTAATACAAATACTACATCTGATTTAAAAAATTTGTATCTAGAATATATAAGGAAATATTGTAACTCAAAAATAAAATGACAAATATTAAGAAGTTTTAAATGGGCAAAGTATCTAAATAGACAATTCCCCAAAGACGATAAACAAATGATTGATAAGCACAATAAATAATTAGCAATATAAATAATCAGAAATAATTAGCAATCAGAGAAATGTAACTCAACACTACAAGATACCACTTCATACCCACTAAGACAGCTATAAAGAAAAAGATAACAAAATATGTATGCAGAGAACTGGAATTCTCACGTACTACCTGTGGGATGTAAAGTGGTGTTGTCACTTTGGAAAACAATCTGGCAATTTCTGAAGTGGTTAAACATAGACTTACTACTAATTCAGCATTACTACTTCTAAGTATATTCCAACGATAAATGAGAACATATGTCCACACGAAAGCTTGCAAAAGAATGTTCACAGCAGTATTACTTAAAATAGTCAAAAAATAGAAGTAACACAAATGACCATCAACTGATGCATAGATAAATAAAATGCAATGTATCTATACAATGAAATATAATTCAGCAATACAAAGAAATGAAGTATCAATACATACTACAATATGGATGAATCTTGTTAACATTATACTTAGTGAAAGAAGTCAACTACTGATAAGTTGGATAATAACTATTATTAACACTGTACCTTCAATTGAACTTTTCACTAGTGAATTATGTTTCTATAAATGGTCATTGTACCTATTTAAATTTTCTTTTTTATTTATTTATTTATTTTTTTATTATACTTTAAGTTTTAGGGTACATGTGCACATTGTGCAGGTTAGTTACATATGTATACATGTGCCATGCTGGTGCGCTGCACCCACTAACTCGTCATCTAGCATTAGGTATATCTCCCAATGCTATCCCTCCCCCCTCCCCCCACCCCACCACAGTCCCCAGAGTGTGATATTCCCCTTCCTGTGTCCATGTGATCTCATTGTTCAATTCCCACCTATGAGTGAGAATATGCGGTGTTTGGTTTTTTGTTCTTGCGATAGTTTACTGAGAATGATGATTTCCAATTTCATCCATGTCCTTACTATTTTTAAAACAGAAAATATTTGTCTGGAGCAATTTAGATTACTATTGTTGCATAGACAAATTTGAGACATTATTAACATAGCGGTGAAAATCAGACATTTAAGTCAGAATGGTTGACATTTTAATTCTTACCTTATACCTTGGGGTTGTATAATCTGAGGAAATTGCAGCATTTCTCTGAGACTTGGACTTAAAGGGATTTAGTTCCCACTTGAAAAATATTTTAGTTTTAAAAATTACTCTGGGAATCAAAAATGTACTATTTGTGAATGGTTTACTCTGATTCAACCCATGAGAGAAAACACCTACTGTATATATCAAGGAAAAACAAAGGTAATACATTTTACCAATTTGGTAATAGAAATACAATTATGAACTATAAACATTATTTAGAAATCAATATAGTCCACAAAACTGGAACTTAGTTTCATGAAATCTTGAGAATTATTATTTAAAATTTGTCAAGAATTTTAATTTATAGTAGTTGAGAGCCAGTTCACCTTACTTAAAGACCTGTCCTGGAATACATTTTCTTGAGTGGTTTTATTTAAGTTGTAGACTCCTGCAAAGTATATACTTCCTCTATTCCCAATCCATACACCCCCTTTAAAAGACTTGGAGCTTAGACTTGTCTTCCTTTTTTTTTTTTTGGCTTTTCTTCTTTTTCCTTCCCTCCCTCCCCCTTTCTCTTCCTTCCTTCTTTCCTTCCTTTCTTCTTTCCATGCTTCCTTCCTTCTTTCTTTCCTTCCCTTCATTCTTTCTTTCTTACTTTCTTTTTTCTCCACATGCTCCATGCCATGGCTGAAATTATGCTGATTCCTGCCCACACGTGTCAATTGATACCCATCTATTTACTTATAGGCCTGTGTGGAAAAAGATTGGGAAATGTGTATCTTCTTGTATGGAGGTCGAATAGAAAAAACCCAAACAAAACTATTAAAATGGCATTCACCTAAAAAGGGCATGCTGTGAAAGACTCTAATGGTCTGGCTTCTGTATCTTCAGACAGCATAGCTGCCTAAGCACAAGAGTATGTGCTAATATTGAAACCCTCCTATCCTAGACACTCTAATGTTCTAAGCTAACCTAGGAAGTCACCAGATGAATTTTTGAATGAATTGAAAGAAATACAAACCAAAGAGTGCTACAACGGAGATCCCAGACCATGTCTGGCTTGGAGGACCATGGCTGAGCATGTTCTGTTTGGAGAAGTGCCCTCCTTTGCACGATGAATGGGAAATTTAAGAATTTCTACATTGAAAGAGCTTGATTATGGCTAGGAGATACAAATGGGTAGAAAATGTGACTGGAAATTTCATTTGCATAGCATTTTACATAGGAACAAAAAAAATTCTATCAATGGTTGGATGGAAGGACGGAGATGATGAAGGGGTTTGCTCTGATCTTCAGGACTGCCATTGCCACACAAGACTTGACTTTTGTGGGAAATCTACTCCCTTTGTCTTCCTTTTGTGAAAGGTCAAAACTGTATAACGAATCTTCATATTAACTGATGGTAATCTGGAGCATAAAACAGGTAGGGGTCAAAGGAAAGCAAATATCAGACTTTAAGATCATTTGAGTAGGTGAGACAGTATGTCATGATGGCTTTAAAAAAATAACTATTGTAAATAATGGCAAGTTTGAGGTGCTATTAAATTGCACTTGGCTAGGAAATCCAAAAAACAACCCCCCCGTCATCACTTACTACTCCCCAGGAGGTTTCTAAGGCAACTACAGCAAATGGGGAACAGTAATCAGCTAACCCAATGTCTCTGGTGAAGTGTGTGGCCTAAGCTGAAGGTCTTAATGGGACTTTTCCCACTCCAATAAGCACAAATTAAAATCTTACTATCAGCCACCTGCAAACAGAGAAGGAAGGGGTAGGCTGTAGCTGGTGCGTGACTACAGGAAAAGGTAGGACCAGATGTCTGGCACCATCCTTATGGGTTTGGGAACCACACCCTCTGCTGAACATTTTAGTGCACATTGACCCTACCCATTAGTAAATATAGACTCCCTCTTCTCAGGGAAGAGTAAGGAGGGTGGGAAAAGATGAAAGTGAAGGCTGCCTTGCTTCTAAAATAAAAAGGCAATCTTGTTTTTTAGTGCCAGATTTGGAGACAGCTGGGTCACATAAACAGATTATTTATTTGTATTTTTTAAATGCTTTTGTTGTTTTCCTTTATTTATGTTCACACTCGTTAATTTAAGAACCAGTAAGTGGTATGGTTAACAGCGTGTGCTTTAAGAGAAAGAGTCTCGGATTCAAATTCACTTTCATTTATTTGACTCCTGAGCCTGGCTATGATCTAAAGCCCCAAAAGCCACAGTCCCTCATTAGTAAAACAATGCAAATTCATCAAATATTCTTATGTAAGGTACTTATCACAATGTTTGGCACAGAAGAAATACTCAGTAATGCAGAGATAAACATGCAGAGGGAAACAGAATAAACTTATTCCCACTGAGAACTTACTTCTTACTGGTAAGACAGATACATGACCAGCTCTAATACAAGGTAAAAGGTGCCATGTGCTATATAAGACCTAGATATAGGTTTTATAGTTAAGAGCAAAGGAGAGTAATTAAGAACAAAATTTTAATTAATTATCAATTAATTAATTTTAACTTTTAAACTCAGGGATACAAGTGCAGGTTTTTTACATAGGTAAACTTGTGTCGTGGGTGTTTGCTGTATAGATTATTTCATCACCCAGATATTAAGCCTGGTTATTAGTTATTTTGAAGACTAATTGTTATATGGGAGTAGGTACAGGTAATATGAATGTACACATTTGGGTGAAGGGATAGATGCATGGGCAAAAGTGGATGATGAGCTGGAAACATAATTGAGAACAAATTTGAACATTATATAAGGAGTTTGTATGCATGGATATAGTAAATCGCCATCTGATGTAAGAATGCTCCCCAGATCTTATTTTTTATCATATCGAATAAAAAAATAACAATTCAATCTTTGCTTCAAACTGTTAGTAAAAACATGACCTCAGGAAAACCTGAAAATATAGTTTTATCTATCAGTGTGTGTGTAATAACACATGCTGTGCCTAGAAAGAGTGCTGTTGTAAGGAACAGATGACATTATGGCCCATAAAATATAATGTGTAATCCAGAAGAAATATTTTATTATAATATTTTGTTTTACATTAACAATAGGAAGGTATGCATGGTCCCATATTAATGCTACATTTTAAAGGAAAATTTGATTCAAGGTAGACAGGCATAGTTGAGAAAAACATAAGATTTTGTCAGTAACAATTCATGTGATGTTATTTTCATCTGTCATCCCTACTTTTATTATTGTTTCTATATTCCATGTTTACACATTCCAAAACCCACTCAGGGAAGAATGTATGTAAAATGATGAAGCCTAATCCCACCTGATTTATATTCCAACTCTGAAAGTCAGGTAGGTCCAAAGAGATTACAGAAAAAACATCTGAACTTGTGAACCTGGTTCAAATGAATCAAATATTTTATGTTGTAAACAAAAGACAGATGCTTATTTTATGACTAGGCCAGATGCTTACTGAATAATATTTTCACATTTGCTAAAATATTTAACAACCAAACACTAAATTCTTTCTCAAATGTAAAGATCAATAATATGCTTGATAATAACGACTTAATTTTTAAAAAGCCAATGTAAATAATGTAGATTTTTAGATGAAATGTAATCCTTCTTGTCTAAGTGATGCCTTTGTTCTGAAACAAAATGTGTATTACTAGCTTTCCCCATTTATATTTTATGCTTGTCTAAGAAAAGAAGTCATAAAGAAAACAATAAACAGAATGTTTGAATGTGTCCAGCTCACAGTTGTTAACAGGCCAGATAGAAACAAGACAACCATCTAAATGTTCCAAGTTATTAATGAGATGGGGTTTTCTTTGACTGTTTGATTCCAGCAGTAATTTTCAGAGGGTAAGTTGAAAAAGTCTGTGGCATTTTTATGGCATATAGCCATTTATAGTATCTCCCCTTCCTGCTGGCTCAAGTATAGGACATTTATTTAACAAATATCAGACCATCTCTTTTCTGGCCCAATTCTCATTCAGTATAGAAGACAGGCACTACTGTAGGCAAGCATTCATCTGGGAAATGTGTGGAAATAAGGCAAAAAGGGGAAGCATGATGGAAATTATATGTAATGATTTCCCTACTGTGTTTTTAGAAATTAAAGTTTGCATTGTGTTAATCTGGAATCATTAGGGATAGAACATATGCTTTCCCTAGCATCATAGGACTTAATATGTTCATAGGGCTCCACTTCTCATCACTTATCTATGCAACTGCATATTACATGCAGGGAGATCTTTCCCACTTTAATTTCTGTGTATATACAAACAAATGTAATATTTATGAGACCAAATGGGATCTATTCTGTGTAATGTATGATTGTCAGTAGAGAGAAATTCTGTTTTTAAGACTAAGAAAAGCAGTTTATGGCAGTACTAAGGAGTATTCTAAAGATCAGCATTATTTAATTTGCATGCAGGCTTCTTTTAAATGAATCCCATTTCTATTGCTTATTATTTATTTCCCACCACATTTAGTTTCATATTTGCACTAGATTTGTAAGGATGCAATTGTGAAAATACTACATAATTATCACAAGTGACAGCCAGAAGTACTGAAGTAGAATCTCTAAAACTGTGCATTTGAATGCCATTCTTTCATGCACCCATTTCTTCAAAGTAGAGTTTTTGTTTGTGTTATGTTTTGTACAATAGGCAGTAGATTCAGAGAGAAACAAAAATTATCCTTCCCTTCAAGAAACATATTGTCACTTAGGGATAGGCAATTAAACACCTTATTAAGATCAAGCATATTCAGCGCTGGGGAACTGATATATACAGGATTATATAGGTAATCCTTTGACAGAGGGGGACTTGGAGAAGCTATCCAGAGGTCTCAGCTGAACTGAGGTTGTAAGAATGAGAAGCAGTTTCCCTGGGAATTGAATAAGATCCCTAATATCAAAGTTGTGACACCGCCTTCATGCTGTCAGTCCTGAGGCATCTTTTGGAGAGTTTCAAAAAACAAACCCAAACCAAAACAGAATCAATTAGTTCATGACACCCAACACCAAGAGATTCTGATTGTTCTGGCTGGAGTGGACTCAGATAGGGGAAGTTCTTTCAGACTTCCCTAGGTAATTATAATTTGTACCTAGACTTCAAAACCACGTTATATCACATGAAAGGAGAAAAAAAATTATCTTTTTTTTGTACTTAAAAAATTTATTTTAGTCAATAATGTAACATAACTTCAGTCAGCAATGTAAAATAAAGTATTTTTAGATTCTGAATCTTGTCTTCTCTGTTGGTTGTACAAATTTAATTTCTCATCAAAATTACTTAGCTGTGTTATTTTTCTCCTTAGTTTGTGGTCAAACTGGATTCATGTAGAGACTTTCAGCTACATCTCATATCAGCCTCTAGGCTTGCATATAAGCCAATAAAAAAAGTCTGAGAAAATTGTAGTAGTGCAATTATTTTTTCCCTGGAGCTTTAACAGTAATTTTTCAAACGTTTGTTAATGCTTGCAAATTAAATATTTAGTTATATGAGTTCTTATTATAAAAAGAGAGAAAATGTTGACATTAGTATGTGTTCAAAAATTATTTGCTGGAAATTCAAAAAAGTCACAAGCTAATTTCATTATAAAACATTTTTAAAGCCTCATTTATTTTATGATTTATAGTGAAGACAACTTAATACCACTTGTATCATAAGAATAAATGGGGATTTTGATTTAAAGCAAGTGATCTTTTTTACACCATCGTATCCTTGAAACCTTCAGTGAAATAAAGTATTAAAAGAGTCCTTAAAATTAATATATATTTCAAGCTTCACACACATATAATAACAAATATGCACATGCACACACACACACACACATGTATACACACATACATGTATATATGTGTATATGTCCACTGTATAAGGTATACTATATACAAATACATATATTACTATCGACAAGGTGGTCAGGATAATTTTGAGTTTCACGATGTTGAGATAAATGAAGTGTTTAAGGAAGATGATAAATTTATCACTTAGATGTAAAAAGCGTTAAATAAGAAAAAAGACTTGGTGATAATCATTATTTTGATACTCCAGTCATCCTGTTTTCAGTAGGGCTATTGCTAATAATGGCAATGATACTCTGCTGGCTGAGAAGCTAAAAGGTACAGAGAATGCACAAAAGAATTAGTCTGACTTGTTAGATATCCACCTTATTTTAAGTCTTTTAGGGATTTTAAAAATGAAGCCTTTAAAAATTATTTATACTTTGTACATACAATTCTCATCAGGTTCTTCCAATTTTTTTTTCTCAGATTCACACTTTACTTTTTTTGTTTTAAGTGAAAGCAAATTTATTAGAGAAGTAAAGAAACAAAAGAAACAAAAGAAACAAAAGACTGCTACTCCATAGGCAGAGCAGTCCTGAGAGCTGCTCGTGGCCTATTTTTATGGTTTTTTTTTTAAATTTTTATTTTAGGTTTGGGGGTACATGTGAAGGTTTTACATCGGTAAACTTGTGCCACAGGGGTTTGTTGTACACATTGTTTCATTACCCAGGTATTAAGCCCAGTATCCGATAGTTGTTTTTCCTGCTCCTCTCCCTCCTCTAACCTCCCACCTCAAGTAGACCTCAGTGTCTGTTGTTTCTTTCTTTGTGTTCATAAGTTCTTATTATTTAGCTCTCACTTTTAAGTGAGAACATGTAATATTTGGTTTTCTGTTCCTGACTTAGTTTGCTAAGGATAATAGCCTCTAGCTCCATCCACGTTCCCATAAAAGACATGATCTCCTTCTTTTTACGGCTGCATAGTATTCCATGGTGTCTATGTACCACACTTTCTTTATCCAATCTGTCATTAATGGCCATTTAAGTTGATTCCATGTGTTTGCTATTGTGAATAGTGCTCCAGTGAACATTCGCATGCATGTGTCTTTACTGTAGAATGTTTTATATTCCTCTGGGTATATACCCAATAATGGGATTACTGAGTCAAATGGTATTTCTGCTTTTAGCTCTTAGAGGAATCACCATACTGCTGTCCACAGTGGTTGAACTAATTTACACTCCCACCAACAGTGTATAAGTGTTCCCTTTTCTCTACAACCTTGCCACCATCTGTTATTTTTTGACTTTTTAAGAATAGCCATTCTGACTGGTGTGAGGTGGTATCTCATTGTGGTTTTGATTTGCATTTCTCTAATGATCAGTGGTGTTGAGCTTTTTTCCATGTGCTTGTGGGCTGCATGAATGTCTTCTTTTGAAAAGTGTTGGCTCATGTCCTTTGCCACTTTGTAATGGGGTTGTTTGTTTTCCTCTTAGGAATTTGTTTAAGTTCCTTATAGATGCTGGATATTAGACCTTTGACAGATGCCTCCAGCTTTGTTATTTTAAGACATTCTTACGGTCCATCTTTATAATACTACGTCCTTGTGTAATTGTGATACACACAGATGGTGCCTTCAACTCCAGCTTTTCTTCCTGTTCCAAAGATTTCCTCATCAGGGTAGTAAAAACATCTTCCTCAAATACCCTTCTCCTCCTGACCCCTCATATCAGAATTATGCCCAACTTCCTACCGATTTATACCCAATTTCCTACTGAAAAACTATAGTCAAATTACATGCCACTACAACCCAGGTTAGCTAATAAACATATACACTTTTTTTTTTCTTAGCAGTGTGGTTGCAAGTGTATCAAGTTGGGAATGGTACAGACGTTAGGGAAATTCATTATCTGAATTTCTCTGGGCTTCAAACCGGTAAGTATAGACAATTCACATTTCACAACAAAATAAGGTACTATTAGATTATAACTCAAAGCATAAAATAAACATCTATGAGTGCAAACTGACCTAAAAAAGTTATTGAATAAATGAATGGGGAGAATAGACAAATCTATGAAGAAGAATTCCAAATAACTTATGTAGATAGAACCTTCTTGTTTTAGTCAGGGTTCTTCAGAGAAGCAAACCAACAAAATGTGTGTATGTGTGTGTGTGTATATGTACACACACACAAAAGCATATATACATGTATACATATATACATACATACATGTATACCCATATATGTATATATACATATAGACATATGTCTATATGCATATATGTGTATATGTGCATATAGACATGTATAGACATATGTATATGTATCTATACATGCATACACATATACATATATGCAGGTGTACATATATGCACATATATGTATACATACACACATTCATACACATATATGACAGGAGAGAGAGATTTTAAGAAATTAGTTCATGAGATTATGGAGCCTTGATAAATCCAAAATCTTCAGGGTAGGCTGGCAGTTTGGGGACTCAGGAAAGAGCTGCATTTTGAGTCTGCTGGCAGAATTCCTTTTTGCTCAGGAGAGGTCAGTCTTTTCCTGTTAAGGCTTTCAACTGATTGCATAAAAGTTCCACCTGCATTGTGGAAGGTACTATGCTTCACTCAAAGACCACTAATTTAAATGTTAATCTCATCTAAAAATCACTTTCACAGAAACATCCAGAATAATGTTTGACCAACTATCTGGGCCAGTCAAGTTGACTCATAAAATTAACCATCACATCCCTCAAGGATATCAGTGACAACTCCCCATCCCTTAAATGCAAGCTGTACATAGTGACTTCCTTCCAATGACTACAGTATGAAAAACTGAGAAAAAGAATAACTTTGCAACAGAGAAACGTGATAAAGCTAGCTCAGTCAGATGATGAGGGTTAACCTCAGCAGTGATAAGTTGTGTTCATAGTATGTACTCTTGATATGATGTGATGAAAAGGCACTTCATGTCTTTGTTCTTCCTCCACAAAACCCAAAATCCCAATCTAATCATGAAGAAACATCTCACAAACTACTATCGATGAGCATTCTACAAAATATCTGATCGATACTTTCTCGAAACAACCAAGGTCATCACAAACTTGAAGATCTTAGAAACTGTCACCGTTTAGATGTGCCTAAGGAGACATTATGACTGAATATATTGTGGTATTCTGGACAGGATTCTGGAACAGAAAAAAAAAAGTGGCATTATGTAAAAACTAATAAATCTAAATAAGGAATGGACTTTAATTCATAATAATAGAACAGGAATAATTCACTAATTGTGATGAAACTACCACATATACTTCACATGTGAATAGGGGAAATTGGGTGTGGGGTATTGGGAAAGTCCTTGCACTGCCTTCACAAAGTTTCTGTAAATCTAAAATTTCTCTAAAATAAGATACTTATTATAAAAAATCAAAACAAAAAAATGCACTGACTTTTTTTACATTAGACAGACTTTTAATCAAGAATGTCTAACTCTCACTATTTTATTTTTCTCATTTTTCAAGATGGTAGAGAAGATGAATTTTAAAATGAATATATAAAGTCAGAAGCAAATTGTCTGGCACATAGTATGTGTTCCATAATGTAAATTTCTGCACTGTACCAATACCTCTTCATCAAAAAGTGTTAGTTTTATTTTTATTATTATTACCATTATTTTAAGTAAAAATGCCAACAACTCATTGCAAAGTAACAATAGGTGATTGATTCATTGAGAAAATTAATTTTATTTAAATCTACAACTCTACTGTATATATTTATTATAATAATCTGCATTAAACATATAATTACTACTGGGAGGGAAGCAATACGTTTCTCCATGGAGAGTACAAATTTTTAATGTAGGTAATCAATATTCTTGGAACATCCTCAAAAGAAAAGGCTAAAAGGAAAAGAAATCAAATAACCTACCACTGGCAGCATATGCTGCTGTATACTTAAAAGAATCTTATGTTGAATCTGGCAGTCTCTATGTCATTTACCAGATAAATCTCTTTACCAGACCTCTCAGGTCAGGTAAAATGCACACCAGACACATTTAAGCCAGACTGCTTCAGTGGAGGAAACACTGTTGGTGGTCACAGACACCAAAGATCCAGGTATAGGAAATTCTGCATTAGGCAGTCTCCAATTTATTTCTCCCCTACAGCACCCTCCTCACTCTGCCCCCGTCTTTTGAATTCATGGCTAACATTTTGGATTGCAGACTGATTAGACTGTACCTATCCACTCATAAATTTTAAAATAACCACAGATTAAGTGTGTGTTTATAAGCTAGATGTGTTCTTACCTTTCAGACAGATGGCCATGAATTCAAATAATTTGCTTTGGGGAAATGTAAACATATTTTATCTGTTTGCATCCCAGTCAATGTGAAGCAGCACATACAGCTGGAGTCAGTGCCTACATTGCAAGCCATGAAATACCCTATGGTTCTTGTTAAAAGAAATTATTTCCAAGTATGTGCCATGTGGCTCATCCCCAAAAACCATTAGATGGTTGAAGTGATGTGCGAATAGAGGAGTTTGTATATATATAACAATACATACATGTACAAATAAAATCTTAAATGTGTATTAGAAATAAAAACATCCTAAAAAACTTTAAGAAGGAACAAAAAGAAGTATTAAGTGAAACATACATGAATGTCTCAACATTTTATCTTTAGTCCTGATTTTGTATCAAAATTTTTAATAATATAATTTATTTTTACAATTTACTTTCCAAAGCCAGTAAAGGATTTCTATATTATCCAACGTGACTTACTTCAAGCCAGTTATTTTTAAAATTTTGATGAATATTTCTTATAAGAGTAATATTAAGCATTCTCAGCTTAGTATTAATATCTATCTCTATACTTAAATGCATATCTCATCAATTTATATTTCTTTCCATTGGCATATAAATGTAAACAACTGATATAATAATATATTAAGTCATAAGACACTTTCCATTACATGAGACACATTAATGGCCACTAACGCATTTACTTATCTTCACAATTCTGTGAAATAATTGAAAACAGCCATCACCCTTTGCACTTCATAACCAATAATAACATACTTCTAGAGTTCTTAAGATGTTCTAAAAACTCTTTTAAGTATTTTAAAAATATTAAATATTTTAATCCTCATACAACCCCATAAGGTAGTATATTATCTTAGTTTTACGAATAGAAAAATTGAGGCACAGAGAATTGACATATTTTGTGCAAGTTCATGCAGAGAACAAACACAAGATCTGATGTTCAGATACAGGCAGTGTGGCTCCAAAGTTTGGGTCTGGAAATTATGTTATATTGTCTTTATAGGATAAAGTACAAAAACAATCAACAATGAAACAAACAAACACACAAAAAATGGTATTGAATAAACAGCTTAAACTCACAGCGCCAATTACTGATGTGTTTGGGGTTTTGTGCAATTCAACATTAGGGGTTTTTTTTTTTAATTAAAACAAATTTTGGGTTTAAATTCAGGTCCTATCATTTGAGAGCTGTGTGTATACTTGCGGAAGTTGCTTATTTCCTCCAATCTTATCCCCTATTTTCAAAATAAGGAGGACAATACCTATTTCATTAATTTCCATAATTAAATGTGTTAGCCTATGTAAAACACTTGGTACATAATAAATTGCCAAGAAATAATAGCTAAGTACACTCTTCTGGATTGGAAAAGCAGATTTAAGAAAATTTAATTGAGAATTAAAATATTTCACAGCAAGTCTTAATTTAGTTTTAGCTTTTTAACAAATAATATGCTTTCCCAATATATCTAAAGGTTCCAAGGTTGAATAAGTCCACAAATGTAGTGATATTGTTAGATATAATCACCTATATATAGTCACAATATTTTCACCATTAATAATTAAACACAGACTGGGAGGCAGAGCAAGATGGTGGAAGACAAAACTCCACCAATTATTCCCCCTGCAAGGACCCCAAGTTAGTAACTATCTACACAGATAAAACTCCTTCATAAGAACCAAAAATCAGGTGAGCATTCATGGTACCTTGTTTTAGCTTCATATTGCTGACAAAGATACTGAAGAGATAGAAAAAACTGTTCTGAATCGCTGACACCACCTTTCCATTACCCTGGCAGCAGATGGATTGTGCTGAGAGCATCTCTGAGCACTGGGAGAAGGAGAACACAGCAACTGTGAGGCATTGAACTCAGTGCTGTCCTGCTACAGCAGAAAGGAAACCAGAACCAAACTCAGCTGACTCTACCCACAGATGGGGCATTTAAACCAGCCATAGCCAGGGAGAATCACTGATCCAGCTGTCTGAAATTGAGTGACCACAATCCTTGCCACCAAGGGCCAAAGTGCTCTTGGTCTCTAAGTAAACTTGAAGGGCAGTCCAAGCCATAAGGACTACAACCCCTAGGCAAATCCTAGTGGTGAACTAGGCCCAGGGACAGTGGACTGGAGGGGCATGTGACATACTGAGACACCAGCCAGGGCAGCCAGGGAAGTACTAGCATCATGCCTCCCAGCTCATGGCTCCAAAAGAGACCCCTTCCTTTGGCTTGAGGAAAGGGAAGAGTGAGGAGGACTTTGTCTTGCATTTTGGATACCAACTCAGCCATAGCAGAATAGGGCACTGGTCAAAGTTGTGAAGCCTCTGTTTCAGGGCCTGGCTTCCAGATGACATTTCTAGACACACCCTGGAACAGAAGGAAAGCTGCTGTCTTGAAGGAAAGGACCCAGTCCTGCTGGTATTCATCACCTGCTAACTGAAGAGCACTTGAGCCCTGAATAACCAGCAGCGATACCCAGGTACTACATTGAGGGCCTTGGGAAGCTTCTGAGATTTGCTGGCTTCAGGTGAGACTCAGAACATTACCACCTATGGTGTCTACATGTCAAAACTCCTTCTGCCTGAGAAAAGCATAGAGAAAATTAAAGGGACTTTGTCTTGTACCTTAAGTACCAACACTGCCACAGGGGGCTAGAGCACCAAGTGGGCTCTTTGGGTTACTGATTTTAGGATTTGACTCTTGGACAGCATTTCTGGACCTGGCCTAGGCCAGAGGGAAGCCCACTGCCAGGGTGAGTCCCAGGCTGTGCAGCATTCACCACAAGCTGATTTAAGAGATCTTGGGCCTTAAAGAGACATCGATGGTATCCAGGCAGTGCCCTCCCTAGCCAGAGGTGGCAGTGGCTAGAGGGTGAGGATCCTCTGCCTTTGGAAAGGGAAAGAAAGAGTGGGAAGGACTGAGTCTTGTGGTATGAGTGTCAGCTCAGCCACAGCACAATAGAATACCAGGTAGGTTTCTAAGGTTTTTGACTCTAGTTCCTGAATCCCAGATGGAACTTATGAACCCATCCAGGGCCTGAGGACCTCATCGCCCTAAAGGCAGAAACACAGTGGCTTTGTCACCTGCTGATTGTAGAGCCGCAGGGTCTTGAGCAAACAAAGGCAGTAGCCAGGGAGTGTTTACAGCAGGCCTTGGGCAAGACCCAGCACTGTGCTGGTTTCAGGTCTTCTGACCCAAGGCATTCATAGTGGTGGTGGCACAAGGGTGCTTGTGTTACTCCAACCCCAGGTTTAGGTGGCCCAGAAAGGAGTCATACACAGATTCTGTATGTTTGGGAGAAAGTAAAGGAAGAGAACAAAAGAACTCTTCTGGATGTTGTCCAAGACCATCAAGGTGGTACCTCTATGGGTCTGCAA
Organism: Homo sapiens; assembly: GCF_000001405.40. Taxonomy (NCBI): domain Eukaryota; kingdom Metazoa; phylum Chordata; class Mammalia; order Primates; family Hominidae; genus Homo; species Homo sapiens. Next base: position 125,929,396 of record NC_000004.12, read on the forward strand.
GAACCACAGCATCACTTGGCTTGGGGTACCCCATAAAACAGAAACAGCTTATATCACAACAACCAAGTCCTTGCAAATGTCTGGAAAGCCATCCCGAAAAGGACAGCTACAAAAAGCCCCCAAAATAAAGACTACAATAAGTATCTAACTCTTTAATGCCCAGACACTGAATAACATTTATAAGGATCAACACCATCCAGGAAAACATGACCTCACCAAATGAACAAAATAATCATGCTGCTATAAAGACACATGCACACGTATGTTTATTGTGGCATTATTCACAATAGCAAAGACTTGGAACCAACCCAAATGTCCAACAATGATAGACTGGATTCAGAAAATGTGGCACATATACACCATGGAATACTATGCAGCCATAAAAAATGATGAGTTCGTGTCCTTTGTAGGGACATGGATGAAATTGGAAATCATCATTCTCAGTAAACTATCACAAGAACAAAAAACCAAACACGGCATATTCTCACTCATAGGTGGGAATTGAACAATGAGATCACATGGACACAGGAAGGGGAATATCACACTCTGGGGACTGTGGTGGGGTGGGGGGAGGGGGGAGGAATAGCATTGGGAGATATACCTAATGCTAGATGACACATTAGTGGGTGCAGCGCACCAGCATGGCACATGTATACATATGTAACTAACATGCACAATGTGCACATGTACCCTAAAACTTAAAGTATAATAAAAAAAAATAAATAAATAAAAAATAAAAAAATAAAACAAGAGGACCAAGAAAAAAAAAAAAAGAAAGAAACCAAGGACCAATCCTGGAGAAACAGAGATATGTGACCTTTCAGATAGGGAATTCAAAATAGCTATGTTGAAGAAACTCAGAGAAATTCAAGATAAGACAGAGAAGGAGTTTAGAATTCTGTCAGATACATTTAACAAAGAGATTGAAATAACTTAAAAGAATTAAGCAAAAATTCTGGAGCTGAAAAATGTAACTGGCATACTAAAGAAAATGCATCAGAGTCATTTAATAGCAGAATGGACCAAACAGAAGACAGAATTAGTGAGCTTGAAGATAGGCTATTTAAAAATATGCAGTCAGAGAAGACAAAAGAAAAAAGAATATAAAGCAATGAAGCACACCTACAAGAACTAGAAAATAGCTTTAAAGGGGCAAATCTAAGAGTTGTTGGCGTTAAAAAGGATATAGACAAGGAAATAGGAGTAGAAAGTTTATTCAAAGTGTTAATAACAAAGAACATTACAAAACTAGAGAAAAATATCAATATCCAAGTACAAGAAGGTTATAGAACAACAAGCAGATTTAACCGAAAGAAAACTACCTCAAGGCATTTTATAATCAGACTCCCAAAGGTCAAGGATAAAGAATAGATCCTAAAAGCAGCAGGAGAAAATAAACAAATATCATACAATGAAGCTCTAATACATCTGGCATCAGACTTTTCAGTGGATACCTTATGGGCCAGGAGAAAGTGGCATGACACATATAAAATGCTGAAAGAAAAAAAAAAAAAGACTTTTACCCTAGAATAGAATATCCAGCAAAAATATCCCTCACACATGAAAGAGAAATGAAGACTTCCAGGCAAACAAAAGCTGAGGGACTTCAGTATCAGGCATGTCCTACAAGAAATGCTAAAGGGGTACTTAGAAAGCAAATAAAATTAATGAACAATAAATACTCACCTGAAGGTACAAAACTTACTAGTAATAGCAACTACATAGAAAAACACAGGCTATTATAACACTGTAACTGTGGTGTTTAAACTGCTCTGATCTTAAGTAGGATGGCTAAACAATAAACAAATAAAAATAATAACTACAACTTTTCAAGACATAGTACAAAGAGATATGAATAGATAAGATAAAAAGTTAAAAAGCGAGGGTAGTGAGGGGATAAAATCACCCCCCTGCCCCCATGGGAAGAGCCAAAAAATATTTGACTGATAGCCCTAGTGATTTACCATAAAAGTTCTTAAGTTAAACAATCACATTCTTATCATGGTCACATTTTACCACTATTTTCATTCATAAGTTATTTTTTTACATGGATGTGATCTTTAAACCTAGCTAAAATGTCACTATACTGAATGATATTATTTGGAAACTTATGATTATTTTCATAGATTTAAGGTTTTATTTTTAAATAATACTGCATCTGTGTTTATCTTTTATTTCCAATGATCATGTTCACTTTATTTCTTTAATCTTTATTTTAGGTTTGGGGGTACATGTGTAGGTTTGTTACATAGGTAAGCATGTGTCATGGGGGTCTGTTGTACAGATTATTTCATCACCCACGTATTAAGCTCAGTACCCAATAGTTCCTCCCCTTCCTCCTACCCTTCACCCTCAAGTAGACCACAGGGTCTGTTGTTTCCTTCATTGTGGTTATAATTTCTTATTATTTAGTTCTCACTTATAAGTGAGAACATGTAATATTTGATTTTCTCTTCCTGACTTAGTTTGCTAAGGATGATAGCCTCCAGCGCAATCCATATTCCTACAAAAGACATGATCTCATTCTTTTTTAGTATTCCATGGTGCATATATACTACATTTTCTTTATCCAGCCTGTCACTGATGGGCATTTAGATTGATTCCATGTCTTTGTTATAGTGAATAGTGCTGCAATGAATATTTTTATGCACGTGCCTTTATGGTAAAATGATTTATATTTCTCTGAGTATATACCTAGTAATGGGATTGCTGAGCCAAATGGTATTTCTGCTTTTAGCTCTGAGCGATCACAATACTGTTTTCCACAATGGTTGAATTAATTTGCACTCCCATCAACAGTGAATAAATGTTCTCTTTTCTCCACAGCCTTGCCAGCATCTGTTATTTTCTGACTTTTTAAGAATAGCCATTCTGACTGGTGCGAGATGGTATCTCATTGTGGTTTTGATTTTCATTTCTCTAATAATCAGTGTTGTTGAATTTTTTATCATATGCTTGGTGGCCACATGTATGTCTTCAAAGGGAGTTTTTATTAATTTTATTTTTGCTTGTTTGTTTATGAAAATAGTGTTATATTGTTATCAGGCTAAAATAATAAATTAAAAGAATATTTGCAGGCCTCATGGTGACCTCAAATAAAAAAAATACAATGGATACACAAAAAATGAAAAGCAAGAAACTAAATTATATCACCAGAAAATATCATCTTCACTAGAGGAAGACAAGAATAAAAGAAAGAAGCAAGAGAATACCACAAAACAACCAGAAAACAAATAACAAAATATCAAGAATAAGTTCTTACTCATCCATAATAACACTGAACGTGAATGAACTACACTCACCAATCAAAAGACATAGACTGGCTGAAAGAATGGAACAACAAGAACCACTGATCTGTTGCCTACAAGAAACACGCTTCACATATGAAGACCCATATAGACTGAAAATAAAGGGATGGAAAAAGATACTCCATGCCAATAGAAACCAAAAAAGAGGAATAATAGCCATGCTTATATCAGACAAAATAGGTTTCAAGAAAAAAAAATTATAAGAGGAGATAAAGGTCGCTATATAGTAATAAAGGTGCCAATTCAGAAAGAGGATATAAGAATTTTAAATATATATGCACCCAATATGGGAGCACCCAGATATATAAAGAAAATATTATTAGAGTTAAAGAGAGAACCCCAATACAATAACAGTTGGAGACTTCAACATCCCACTTTCATCATTGGACAGATATTTCAGACAGAAAATCAACAAAGAAATATCAGACTTAATCTGCACTATAGACCAAATGGATCTAATGGATATGTGTAGATCATTCCATCCAAAAGCTGCAGAATACACATTATTTCCCTCAGCACGTGGATCATTCTCAAAAATGGAACATATGTTGGATCACAAAACAAGTCTTAAAACATTCAAAAAATTGAAACAGTTTCAAGCATCTTCTGTGACCACAATGGAATAAAACTAGAAAGTAATAACAAGAGGAATCTTGGAAACTATACAAATACCTAAAAATAAACAATATACTCCTGATGACCAGGGGTCAGTGAAGAAATTAAGAGGAAAATTGAAAAACTTCTTGAAACAAATGGTAATGGAAACACAGCATACCAAAACCTATAAGATACAGCAAAGGCAGTATTAAGAAGGAAGTTTATAGCTATAAGTGGCCTACATCAAAAAAGGAAAAACTTCAAATAAACAATTAGAAAAGCAAGAATAAACTAAACCCACAATTTTTAGAAGAAAGTAAATAATAAAGATCAGAGCAGAAATAAATGAAATTGAAATAAAAAAATACAAAAGGTCAAAGGAAAAAAATGTGTTTTTTTTTTATTTTTTGTAAAGTTAAACAAAATTGACAAATCTGTAGCCAGGCTAAGAAGAAAAGAGAGAAGATCCAAATAAATAAAGCTAGAAATGGAAAAATAGACAAGTGTTACTACAGAAATTCAAAAAAATCATTAATGCCTACTCTAAGAAACTATATGCCAATAAATTTAAAGTCTAGAAGAAATTGATAAATTCCTAGATACATAAAACATACCAAGATTGAATCACAAAGAAATCGAAAACCTAAACAGGCCAATTAAAAGTAACAAGATCAAAGACATAATAAAAAGTCTCTGGTAAAGAAAAGCCTGGAATCTGATGGCTTCACTGCTGAATTTTACCAGACATTTAAAGAAGAACTAATATCAAGCCTACTCAATCCATTCCAAAATATACAGAAGGGGAAAATACTTCCAAACTCATTCTACAAGGCCAGTATTACCCTGATACCAAAAGCAGACAAAGACACACTAAAAAAAAAGAAAACTATAGGCCAACATCTCTGAAGAGCTTTCATGCAGAAATCCTTAACAAAATACTAGCAAACGGAATTCAACAATACATTAGAAAGATCATTCATCATGACCAACTGGGATTTATTCCTAGAATGCAAGGATGGTTCAACATATACAAATCAATTAATGTGATACATCATATTAAAGAATGAAGAATAAACACCATATAATCATTTCAATTGATGCTAAGAAAGCATTTGATAAAATTTAACATCCCTTCAAGTTTAAAAAAAAAAACCCTCAAAAACTGGGTATAGAAGGAACAAATCTCAACATAATAAAAACCATATATGAAAGACCCACAGCTAGTATCATATTGAATGAAGAAAAACTGAAAGCCTTTCTGCTACGATCTGGAAAACTACAAGGATGCCCACTGTCACCACTCTTTTTCAAGATAGTACTGGAAGTACTATCTAGAGCAATCAGGTAAAAGAAAGATATAAATTGGAAAAGAAGAAATCAAATTATTCTTGTTTGCCGAAGCTATAACCTCATATTTAAAAAAAAAAAAAAAACAAAAAAAACTCAAGCCTCCAGAAGAAAACTATTAGAACTGCCAGGCATTGTGGCTCACGCCTGTAATCCCAGCATTTTTGGAGGTTAAGGCAGGCAGATCACGAGGTCAGGAATTCAAGATCAGCCTGATCAACATGGTGAAACCCCATCTCTACTAAAACTACAAAAATTAGCCAGGTGATGTGGCACATGCCTGTAATCCCTGCTACTCAAGAGGCTGAGGCAGGAGAATTGCTTGAATATGGGAGGCGGAGGTTGCAGTGAGCCAAGATCATGCCACTGCACTCCAGCCTGGGCAACAGAGTGCAACTATGTCTCAGAAAAAAAAAAAAGAAAGAAAGAAAACTATTAGAGCTAATAAACAAATTCACTAAGGTTACAGGATAAAAAAAACATCAAAATAAAAAATCAGTAGCATTTCCATATGCCAATGGTGAACAAGAAAAAACGAAATTTTAAAAGTAATCCCATTTATGATAGCCACACATAAAATTAAATACCTAGGAATTAAGTTAACCAAATTAGTGAAAGATCTCTCTAATGAAAACTGTAATATATTGATGAAAGAAATTGAAGAGAACACAAAAAAATGGAAAAACATTTCATATTCATGGATTTGAAGAATCAATATTATTAAAATATTCATTCTACCCCAAGCAATATACAGATTAAACACAATACCTATCAAAATATCAATGATATTCTTCACAGAAATACAAAACACCACCCTAAAATTTATGTGGAATCACACAAGACCCAGAATAGCCAAAGCTATTCTAAGCAAACATAACAAAACTGGAAGAATCACATTACCTGACTTACACTATAAAGTTATACTATACTCCACTATGTTATCCTACATACACTATATTTATTCTATACAGATCTATAGTATACTATACTATAGAGCTAGAGTATCCAAAACATCATGGTACTGGCATAAGATTACACTATAGAACTATAGTATCCAAAACATTATGATACTAGCATAAAAACAGACACATAGACCAATGGAACAGAACAAAGAACCCAGAAACAAATACACACAACTACAGTAAATTCATTTTTGACAAAATGCCAAGAACATACACTGGGGAAAAAAGAGTCTCTTCAAAAAATCGTGCTGGGAAAACTGAATATCCATGTGCAAAAGAATGAAACGAGAACACTATCTCTGGCCATATACAAAAATTAAATCAAAATGGATTAAAGACTTAAATCTAAGACCTCAAACTATAAAACTTCTAGAAGAAAACATTGGGGTAAATCTCCAGAACATCTGTATGGGTAAAGATTTCTTAAACAATACCCCACAAACACAGGCAACCAAATCAAAAATAGACAAATAGGGCTTCATCAAGTTAAAAAGATTCTGCACAGCAAAGAATACAATCAACAAAGGGAAGTGGCAATCCACAGAATGAGAGAAAATATTTGCAAACTACCTCTCTGACAAGTGATTAATAACGAGAATATATAAGGAACTCAAACAACTCTATAGGAAAAAAATTCATAATCTGATGAAAAATGGGCAAAATTTTGAATAGACATTTCTCAAAAGAAGACAAATGGCAAACATGCATAGGAAAAGGCGTTCAACATCATTGATCATCAGAGAAATGCAAATCAAAACTATAATGAGATATCATCTCACCGCAGTTAAAACAGCTTATATCCAAAAGACAGGCAATATCAAACGCTGGCGAGGATGTGGAGAAAAAGGAACCCTTGTACACTGTTGGTGGGAACGTAAATTAGTACAACTACTGCGGAGAACAATTTGGAGGTTCCTCAGAAAACTAAAAATTGAGTTACCATATGATCCAGCAATCCCACTGCTAGGTATACCCCAAAGAAAGGAAATCAGTATATGGAAGAGATACCTGCACTCCTATGTTTGTTGCAGCACTGTTTACAATTGCTAAAATTTGGAAGTAACCTAAGTGTCCAGAAAAAGTTTAATGGATAAAGAAACTGTGGTACATTTAGACATTGAAGTGCTATTCAGCCATTAAAAACAATGAGATCCAATCATTTGCAACAACATGGATGGAACTGGTAATCATTGCATTAAGTGAAATAAACCAGGAACAGAAAGACAAACATTGCATGTTTTCACTTATTTGTGGGATTTAAAAAATCAAAACAATTGAATTCATGGACATAGAGAGTAGAGGGATGGTTACCTGAGGCTGGGAAGAGTAGAAGGATGGTTACCAAAGGCTGGGGGTTAGGAAGGAGGTGGAGATGTTTAATGGGTACAAAAAAATAGAAAGAATAAATAAGACACATTATTTGATAGCACAATAGGATCACTATAGTCAATAATAACTTAATTGTATATTTTAAAATAACTTAAGGAATGTAATTGGATGTTTTTTTGCAACTGAAAGGATAAATGCTTGAGGGGATAGACACCTCATTCTCCATGATGTGTGTATTTCACATTGCATGCCTGTATTGAAACATTTCACATGCTTCATAAATATATACACCTACTATGTACCCACAAAGATTTTTTAAAAATACAAAATTTTTTTAAAATAATTCAAATCATCTCTCATTTGTATACAACACATATTCACATTTTCCTGAAATGTCACTGGTTTTCCTATTAAAGATATGAACATTCTAATTATTTTTAAAAAGCATATGTAAAAACAAATTTTACATTACAAAATGTGAACATTTATGATTGCATGTATAATGCTTCATAGCCTTTAGCTCACATTCCACATTCTTGAATGTGAATTGGAGGTGGAAGTTTTAAATTATACATAGAGAATTGAGACATAATTAACTTGGCCCCACTTTTCCTGACTTGTATTTGGTTTACCTTCCCAATAGAGTCATCTTCATATTTTTCCTTCTTGGAAATGGTGTCATGGGAAAGAAGAAAATCAAAATACCATTGCTCAGAGGGTATAAAAATGCTTTTTCATTTCTTTTTACCAGGATCATTAAACATGTCTTTTTCTCCATCTGTACTATTCCAAAGACAAATGTGATATGTCAACAACAAAACTAAAATATAGGTTGATCTTATTGCAACAGCTTTTATAATTTTCTACTTACTTCCATTAGTTATTTTATATGATTATTTCTTGAACAATCATATTGGTTTACGATTCCCAGTCCAATTTTCAGGTTCAGCATTTATGAAGCCTATTAGCATTTGTCTAGCACTTCTTATAAATTTAGCTGTAATAGAAATAGAAGTACAAACCATGAATTCTGTACTCCAGATTTTATAATATAGTTGGAAATATAACAACAATGCACATTAAACACTCATCAACAAAGCAATGCAATGTGCACATAATTTTTATAATAAAAGGGTTCAGAGAAGAGTAACAATGTAGTTAGTGATAATAAAATAACTACTAGCCTTTATTGTTTACTATTTGCCACATGCTTAATATGTTCTATCTCACCTAATACTTTCAACAACCATAAGTGGGTATGATTAGCAGCCTCATTTCATAATTTAAACAACTGAGTGAGAAACGCTAAGTAGTTGCCCATGATTACACAGATATTAAGTGGTGCAGTTAGGACTGCAAGTCAGGCAGGGGGACTCCAGAGTTAACATGGGAAGTTCCAATGCTGACTCTGTAGCTGCTTCATGACCAGATGACAGGACTAAGAAAATAGAAGAGAATAGGCTTTGTAATGCAGTAAAGGAAGGTAGGAAAAAGTATAGCAGAAGACAGGAGAAAGAAGGAAGAGTTTGGAAGTCTTGAAAATATAAAATATTTTTAAAATGGAATAATGGGACAAAACCCAGAAAACCAAACAGAGGCCATTTTATTTCATGAAGCTTTAGGAGATTTTGTGGAAATAAATCATTTAACAAAATAAATACTAAACAGGAGTCATTTTGGAAGGTAGTTAAAAATGTACCCAAAAGGAAAGAACTCAGGATTAGGAAAGCCTTGTGGGAGATGCTTTCAGGAATATGTGGGATGCAATTTAGAGCTGAACTTGCATAATGACTGTGGAAATAAGATGGGAGGGAAGCAAGAGCTCTTTGGAATAAAGTCAAGAATTTTTATAAACATCTGTTTATGACATAGCTTGGGCAACCACCTTCACCTCAATTCAAAATGTAATGATCTGTTTCTCATCTCCCCCAACCCACACTGATTTTCCTTCCAAAACCCCTTACCTCAGTCAATGGAGTGATTAAGAAGTTTTTTCATTGGCTCGTATATACAATCAGGGAGACCATGTCTTCTTAAACTTATTTAAAATAATCTCTCCATGTCCATAACTTTTCCTCCTTGAGCCCTTCAATGCCTTTGAAGAGCAATAATTGCAGTAATAATCCTGTATTATTTTCCTTTCCTTTCCAAATTTATAATCAACTTTTGAACTATTCCTAAATATATCCACATAAATATTACATTTACAATTTCATTTGTGTTCATTTATATCCAACAGTTCATCCATCTACCACTGGCATCCATAGAACTTCATCAAAAGTGTTCAATTCTTATACTTAAAACTGCAATAATGTGAATGGGGCCACAATTTGTCATATATGAGGCACTATGTTGAATCAGAAAGACAGATTTAGTTTAGTTAGTAAGCATTAAGCTGTGTACAATAGGAGATACACAAATGATAGAAAAGTTGGCCTTCAAAGGTTTTAAGATCTAAAGCATTATATATAACGCAAATATATTATATATATGTATATGTGTACCCATATATGTGTATATATACTTCCAAATGACCATAATAAATAGAAGTGCAAAAGCAGCAGACTGAAACAGTAGTAATACTTCAAGGTTGAGAAAAAATCAAACTCTTTAGGAAATAGAAATCTTTATGGCGAAAAGAGCATTTGGGTGGACTTTAAATCACAGGTAAGAGTTACACACTGAAATGAGGAAAGATATATAGTGGGATTTCAGGGTCATATTCAGGATGTTTGTACACTGTGTAGGAAATGCAAGGAGGAAAGATGTAAAAGAGTAATAGCTAGCATTTTATAAGATACATTCTATGTCCAAGACATCTTGTAAAGCACTCCACTTGAAATATCTCAAGGACTGGTTTACTATCTTAGTGAGGCAATTCCTATTATTAATCATAATTTACAACTAAGGAAACTGGGATTAGACAAGTAAAAGCAAGTGCTAAATCACTGAAGCGGGCTCTGCCAATGTCTCACTCACATAATCTCTGCTTACTTGGAGGAAGCCAAGATAATTCCCATACTCATGGAAATCTTTCCGTGTTTCTCTGCATTAGGCTGCTTTCTGGCTATAAAAGGTGCTTGGCTCACGCTGGAGCAATGCTCAATCCATCAGGGACAAGTGCTGGCACAATTCTGGGGCATATTCCTACACAGGTCTCCAGTGGGATTAAACTCCAGTTACCCACAAGTATAACCCACCTATTATCACACCCATTATGACTTTCTTCCCTCCTGTGTTTCATTCTCCCACTCCCTTCCATTGCTTCCTGGATTTACCTTCCAAAGCAACTTCCTCAGATACTGACTTCAGGCTCTGCTTTTAGCGTAGCTCCTCTTAAGTCATTTGGCATATGGAATGTGCCCAGAGGTCATAGCCTGAGAATAGAATTCTGGAATTGGACTACTTATCAGTCATTTATCAATGAGTATTATCATGCCAGTGGTATGCAGGATTCAAATACTTCTGGTATCACAATAATGTTTAGATTGTCACCTATGGTGGATTGGACTGATACACAGAGACATGCAATGTTTTATGCAAGAGCATAAGCTCTTGAATATTATTGAGGAGAAGTAATTATAGTAATTGTGGAGTTGTTTGGCTTGTGTTAAGTCCTGTAGAAACGATTAACAGAGAAAGAGAAAGAGAAACTCAGGTCAGCTAACTTCTATTCAAGACACTCTGTGAAAACTAGAGAGTCTCCATGGCAGCATTTAAAGATGTTATTATCTCATAATCAGAGGGCAGACTGGGCTGAAACTCTGGGGTAAGACTGATGCGAACAGTGAAAGATATACAAAGAAAAATTAATTCACAGTCTCAGTAAGCTATTATGTTAAAATCAGAGACCATGTAGGGAAAGAGAGACCCTGAGAGCTGGGATGGTACCATTTGAATGAATGTGCGTGAACAACTTGATTCCCCAGATTCCCCTGTCCTTTGCTAATGGAGAACAGCTTCCCATTTCCTTAAACAGGGCAGAACAATCACATATGACATTTGTCCTCATTAATATCTGCCACTACCTCCCCTTATTTCTTCTAGAGTCAGAAGAAATAAGGGGAGGTAGTGGCAGATACTAATTTCTCCGCATGAGCAGATAAAAGAGGTGTTATCCTGTTTGGGTGAAGAAGTGACTTCTGAAAGAGTTGCAGAAGGCTGCGAATATATACCAGCAGTAACTAGAAATGCATATGTGGAGATGAAATGTTAGAGTGCTGGGTCAGGTAAGGGACAGAAGTTAAGGTCAGAGAGGGAACAGTTTATTGACATGGTGGCATTTTGTCATGAATCCGTACTTAACATCATGACAAAGATGCCTGAACTTAGTACCTTTAAGGAAATATTTATTTCACTTTGTAGACGACTTAGAGTTAATGAGAGAGCAATGCTGAAATGCCTTGGCAAAATATTAAAGAAGAATACAGAAGGTTCACAAAGATAGTTCTATAATAGATTAATAATATAAGGCTAGATAGCCACCAGCTGTTTATGTTTCCCAAGAGAATACAGAAGCCAATCCCTTCCCTAAAATGTTGAGAAAGGGGGCAATGAAATCATTGAGAAGCTCAGTGGTAGCTGTCTACTGCAGTCCAACATAAATGGTAGGAGGTATTGTTGCTGATCTGGAGTTCCTATTCTGAATAGGGATGCTATGATTTTGAAAAATGAGAAGGCAAATGGTAGCATTTAATCACCAGCAGCAAAGTTTTATGATTGCCATAATGAACAGCAAGGCAAAAATGGGAATTAGGAAACTGATCTTTCGCATCCCTGGCAATGGTCATGATATTCACAAAGCTAGATGATGTTAATGCTTGGCTAACATAATAAAAAGTAATTGAGATCTGGAAAGCAGAAGAGTGAAATCAGCCACAGTTATAAAAAACCATTGTCCCTCATTCACTTTACTAAACTAAGCCAGTTCTCAGATCCAGAGGTTATATTGAAGTGGAGATCAGGGCCACTTGAGGGAGAACTCTGCAATTCTATAACAGGAGTATGAAATATATATTTTCCCTATCCTTTCACCAAAGCTCCCCTGACATTTACCTTAGTAACGGTACACTGGAGTAAAAGGTATATACATATTTCAAGGGCTCTTAGACATATAATCTCAACTGACATTTAATGCCAAGGGTGCCAAAACACCATTATCTCCTCTTTGTTAGAGTAGGGATATTCAGTCAGATGATAAATGGAATCCTGAACCATATTTATCTTGCAGTGAATTCAGTGGGTCCACCAGACCCATAGCTCACATTGTGGTTAATTTCCATAGTTCCTCAGTGCATGATTGGTATTGACGTAATTGGTTGTAGATAGAACTCTCATATTGTTTCCATGATATGTTACAGTCATGATTTTTTTTGGTTTGTTTTTATTGAGACCAGGTCTTGCTCTGTCACCCAGGCTGGAGTGCAGTGGCAGGATCACTGCTCGTTGCAGCCTCAACATCCTGGGCTCCAAGCGATCCTCTCACTTCAGCCTCCCCAGTAGCTGGGACTACAGGCACACACCACCATGCCTGACTAATTTCCTTTGTATTTCTTGTAGAGACAGTGTTTTACCATGTTGCCCAGGCTAGTCTCAAACTCCTGGGCACAAGGGATCCTCCCACCTTGGCCTCCCAAATTGCTGGAATTACAAGGAAAAGCCACCACGCCCTGCCAGCCATAATGATTTAAAAGCCAAGTAAGAAAAACAGAAACTTCTCTCTCTCTCTCTCCCCCTCTCTGTCTCTCTCTCTCTTACAAACACACACACACACACTCCAGCTAGTAAACTAGAGGCACTGTATCTCACAGTGAAATGGCCAAGATTGGTGTCCCATTCAAAGACATAAGAGAAGTAGAGATGGTTCTCTATTTTATTTCCATTTAATTTTACCTCTATGAATCCTACAATATATACATGAATCACAGTGGATGATATCATACTATTATAGTGCTACCATTGTAAACTCAATCCAAGATATTGTGGTGAATATTTTTTATCAGATCTACGCAGACTCTGGCACTTCTTATATTGTTCTTGATACGGTAAATGCATTATTCCAAATCAATAAAGAGAATCAAAAGCAGTTCAATTTCCTGGGATGCAGAGTTTTGCACACTCACTGTGATGCCCCAGAACTATGTTAATGTTTTTGCTTTTCCTCATGATATAGTTCTTGATATATTTTGAATTTTCCTTTCTAATACACCAGTGAACATCTATTTTATCCAATATTTTAAAAACATTGGCTATCTCTGTATTTGTAAATTTCCATTTCCTGTTTCCCAGAAAAGGATTTGTCTTTCTAAGTATATTAGGGCCTGATATCATTTTGGTATATTTACTTAGCTGGGACAGTATGTAAATATACCGGTTAACTAATTAAAAACCCCTAGAATATTAGCATCTCATTTTTCCTTAGAATTTAAAAGCCCTATGACTTACACAGTTCTGACTTTTCATGCTTATTTAGATAATTGTTTGTTTACCCAAAACTTATATTATCTCTTTTCCCTGAGTTGACCCCTAAAGCCATTTTCTGTTTCATCTTTTCTAGCTCTCTGCTTCGTTATCTACATCAGCTGTCAAGAACTGTCTACTGGCCTGAATCACATGCTCTATTTCCCATTCCTTTATTTCTTAGAGTCCAAATCACCTCTACTCCACACTATCTAGATCATTCTTAAAGTATGGTCTATGGACTCATAGCATAGGTATCATCTCGTAGTAGACATGCAGAATCTCAGGCCCTGTCCTAGACCTACTGAATCAGAATCTACATTTTAAACAAAATTAATTTTTGTTTAAACAAACTAGTTGATATTTGTCTACTAATGTTTAAGAAGCACTTACCTAATCTATCAATTGAATAGTGGGTAATGTGCCAATAATCAGCAGACAGAGATGCTTCTGGGTATGGATGTGGTGGATACATAGAAAACTTTTAAGTGCATGAACCTGGGGCATGCTACCTGTGTTCACCAGCTTCCAATCTAGCAAATTTCTGTTCATTTGCTGCCAGAAGATTTCTGCCCCATGGCAATTAACAAAATGTTGAGCAATTCTCAGCTTCTTATTGCTCAGAAGCTATAATCAGATGAAAGCACTGTCTCCTTGAGAGCCTGCTAATGGTTTTAAAGCTCCCTTGAATCATTAAGAATGTGGCCATTATTAGCCTAAATAACTAATAATCTTCTCAGAAGTCTTCACCAAGAGAATTATCCCAGAATTGAGTCCTTTAGATATTAGTTTTGGGTGGGTACTGCCTTTCTTACTTAATTAACCTTAAAGCAAAGAAGATAGTGCATACATTCTATTTATATAGAGAGCGTTCAAGTGTCATATTTTTAGTGAATTATTCTCTGCTTTTACTATGTAAAAGAGAATTCACCATCTATCTTATCTTTTCAAATTTTCTTCATAAAAATAATACTTATGGGCATTATATTACTTTTTTTTTTCATTTATTTTGTCGCCAATAACAGAGTTCATGCCACATGAGGGCAATAAATTGGTTTAGTTCACCGTTATGCTCTATTTTCTAAAGAAATGTGTGACACATTATTTGCACTTAATATATTACTTTTTGCCATTACTTTTAATGGCATAAGCTGTGATTACTTTTGCACCAAACTAATATAAATGTTAGAATTAAGAAACAATATCATTCAGCTTCCAAAGTTTAGAAGGAAGGAATCAGAAGCTTAACATTCTCCCTCGCATGAATAGTCCTCAGTCCGAACAGTAGTTTAGATAAAGATGATTCTTATCTCAAGAACTCTGTAAGGCTTTGTCTGGGCTTATAGGGATTATCTAGGGCAGTATCAGGTAGGTGTAATTGTTAGATGGTAAACCTATACTGTGGTACTATTCTTCAAAGCACTTGGTGTGTTTTCCCTCTTTTACATTCACTGAATTTCTCCACTTACGTTTTAACAGACTCCATTCTTCTATATCTGCAGGGGGCCATATATCATGCAAAAATTACAGTAAAAATGTTTAACTATTAATTGTTACATTAATACTCTAGGTAAAATTTTAAAATGATGTATATATTAAAGTAGTTACTTTCTATCCTAGCCTCAAAAGAAAAAAAAAGAGGCTATTGAAGGCAGAGAAAGAAACAAATCTGGAAGACAAGAGCAATACAAGATCAGTATATAAATTGTTGACTGATGTTGACTGCGGTTCACTTGGCAGTCATAAGCAGGACAACTAGGTGCTGTCTTAGAGTCCATGTGGCTCCCAGGCAATGATGTAATTTAAAGAATGATGTTTCAGTAAGTTTTTCCAAAGCATAGCTGCATATTCATGAGTTTGTTTTCTGTTACTCTATCATTTTAAGTTCTGAACCTGTTCATGTCTGCCTTCCTTAAGTTTATGAATATTTGAGCCAGGTTTACAAACGGTAAACTATCTCTTTATATGTATTTTTTATTTTATGCTTTCAAAACTAATTAACCAGCACCTGCAAAATTGTACTTATATTTATTCTAGTCAAAAGATTCCCATAAGATAAGATTAATTATAACCAACATCTGTTTACAAGGTATCTTCTTGAGCACTCAAATGCAGACATATAAAATCAGTTGACCAGAACTTTTGTCAAACATATAGTGCTATTCATTCAGCCAAAAAAATGACTTTGACATGTTAAACAATATTATCAATAAATGAATTTAATTCATAATGCACATTTTTTTTTAGATGGAGTTTCACTCTTGTTGCCCAGGCTGGAGTGCAATGGCGTGATCTAGGCTCACTACAACCTCTGCCTCCAGGATTCAAGGGATTCTCCTGCCTCAGCCTCCCAAGTGGCTGCGATTACAGGCGTGCGCCACCACACCTGGGTAATCTTTTTGTATTTTTCGTAGAGACAGTTTTCACCATGTTGGTCAGGCTGGTCTTGAACTCCTGACCTTATGTAATCCACCTGCCTCGGCCTCCCAAAGTGCTGGGATTACAGGCATGAGCCACCACGCCTGGCCAGTAATGCACATTTTAACACAGGCAATTATAGGGATCAATGTACTCATTTTAAACACTTAAAAATTCAGATTTATCAGCATTTAAAAGTTAATTCAGTGGTTAAGAATTTGTCCTTAGACCCGTCAGAATACAAAATGGTTTTCATTGTACCATTGCCCACACTCAAATCTTCTTGCGTATTGTCTCACTTCCCAAAACAATTTAAAAATAGTTTAATGTGTTTCAAATATGTAAGATGTTGCCTTATCTAGTACAACAAGTTCTTTCTCGCTATCAGTTCGACTAGTTAATTCATCTAGTTAACCCTTTAATGCCCTTGAACATAACTGAAAACAAAGACTTTGCCTTTTGTTTAGGAAAGAATTTCAAAGTCTTGGGTTTCTATTCAAACCAATATAATACATGAATTAGAATACAGGGTAGACAAAACTGTTGAGAAAAAAAATCACTCCCAAATCAAAATTCTCCATAAAGTTGGCTTTATTTTTTATGCAAAATTATAATCATAATCTCTTTATTCTCTAATAATTCTTGAGCGGAAAAGATTATGTCTGTCTCTTTGGAGTTGAAACAAAACCACATTTCAAAATCAGAAGTATTTAGTATGGTTTGATGAAATAAAGTTCAATGAGACTTCGGAAATTAACTTATTGAGACTGTTGGGCAATTAGAAGCTTCAGTGTTTTTTATATTCGTTTTCTTCTTTCACCTTAAGGTCATAGTAAATACTATAGCAATTTATAATCATTTTGACATTTCTTGGAGATACCAGATATTAAAGAAAAATCTATATAGCTATTTGAGTAGTTATTCCAATATTGGTTATAATAGCCAGAACAAATACCATTGTGTCAAGAACTTTACCATCTAATATGGTTTCAACTCATCTTAGGATCCGTAAAGAATTTGAACACTTTCACTTCCATGGAATATTGGTAGTTTATTTCTTTCTTGGCAGATTTATCCAAAATATACTAAAATAAGTTCGGATGATCATAGAAAATTCTTTCTGTATGTTTAGAAATTTTATATAAGCACTAGATCAAGCACATTTTTCAACATCATGATATCAGTAAGTAAGATGGGTGATGAGAGGCAATTGCCTGAAAAGTTCTAGGGCTAAGCACCCTGCCTACATATCAAATACATTTCCACACAGTTAAGAAAAAAGGTATGTGTGGACTACATTAACTTTCAAACATGACTGAAAACGAGGCATGAGGAATCAAAAGGAAAAAAAGGGGATGGAACCATTCAGAGTTCTATAACCGTAAAGGGTAATGTTAACTAGATGGCATATTCACTGCTACACAATGGTGAAGGATACTTAAGATAAGATCCAGCAAACATCAATGCTTACTTTAATGAGGCACTGCAGCTTTTTACCACAAACGCTAAAAAATATAGTTATTTAAGTGTCTTCATTCAAGCTGATACTTTAAGATTCAAATAAAATTCAAATACAATCTCCATTGGTGTAGGTTTAGATTCTAAGATCTGCCCACATAAAACATCTTGTATCATTTTTAAAACTTTTTTGATTAAAATTCATTAAAAGATACTGCAGGTATATTAATAGCCCATCATTTTACTGTTACTCATAGTAATTGATTCACTTATAATTTATTTTTGTCTTTTTAAACTGCTTATCATAAAATGTAGACATCATTTTGTGTCTGCAATATTTAAAAAGATTTGAATGTTTTTTCTTTAAATATATTACTAAAATACTCTCTAGTATGAAAAGTATTCTTGCAAACCAAAATATAAACAAATAACTCAGCTGTACTTTTTATATTATGTAGACTATGAACTATACTTAATGACGTGAAATGAGGAACATTATGTATTTAATTAAAACCATTTGCAAAAAAATGAGGCATTAGAATCTACTGTAGTGTCTATAACTTATATCACATTTTCAGTAAACATTTAACAAATAATTTCTTATAAATTTTCTGAAATATCTTTAAAAAAACATTTACATAAACATAGAAAGCTCTGCAAATAATACTGTCTCTAGAGTTTAAAACATACACCAGCATATTAGTGTTGCCAAATCCAGAGAAAATTATGTTTTTTTGACCCTTGTTTGACAGGTTTTAATTAAACATACAAACATGTTTTGTTTTTATTTATCCAGAAAAGACTAACTCACTTCTGATATTGGGTCTCAAGTCAAATGAATTCAAAAGTGTAATGTGCTATTTTCACTGCCAGGAATCATATAATTCAAGCATGTAAAATAAAGCAGTGTTGTAGTCAATATCAAAATAAGTCTACTCAAAACTCCCCGAAAAGAGCCATTTGCCAAAGCAGTTTCTGCTATAAACGATCCATCAATGCCAGGAAATAGAAAGGAAAACATGATTTTTCTCTTGAGAAGACTTCATCGGGAAAAGTCTGTTCAACGTTTTTGTGCATTGTCTTTTGAAAATGCATTCTACTTTTTGCCTTACTTTCCCAGCATTACAGATGCCCTGTTAATAACACTAATGATTTCATGCTGAAATTTTAAAAGTAGAAAGAATCTGAAAAACAATAATGTTGTATTTTTTCCTTCAGTGAGTTAATTTATGAACTACAGATGTCCTAAAATATTAGTTAAGATGAATAATATTGTTTTCATCACTTTCTCTCAGATAAGTCAGTAATTCCCTCTCAAACATTTCTGAGGATTGGTCTTCCAGGTAGTTTATGCCTGTAGTCATCTACAGTGTAAGCATCTCCACTCTTCAAAGTTGTTGGCCAATCTTCTTAAAACTGTTTCTTCCATTGTTTAATTCTTGTCATGATTAGAAAATCAATTTTTCTAAAATATTTTAGTGTGTGTTCTAACATAGCACTGGAGCATTAGAAAGTCTGATTATACTGTTCAAGGCAACAACTCCTAAAAGTATTTGGAACTTTTTTGGAATTTTTTTCAAAATTCTCTTCATAGATGTTCCCATTAAAGTGAAAAGGAGACTGTTTCTTCAGTTATTTTTTTATCTATAAAGGTTTCCAGCTCCTTTGCAACTCTGTCCACTCTCTTGTAATTAATCTAGTTTGCAATTGTGATAATCAGAAATTAAAATATTTCTCTTGGCAGAGTCTGACAAGAAAACAGTGTGGTTGCGATGGTTTGAATTTGTCCCCTCCAAAAATTCATATGTGAACTTTAAATGGCCAGTATGATGGTATTAATAGGTGAGGCCTATTGGGAAGTGTTAAGTCATGAGGAGTCTGACCTCATAAATGGGATTAAGTGCCTTTATAAAAGGGTTTTGATGGAGGGAATTGGACCCTTTATTTCACTTCCACCCCTTCAGCCTTCGGCCTTGTTAGGATGCAGCATTCCTCTCCTCCAGAAGACACAGCCACGGGTGTCATCTTGCAGGAGAGACTGGCCTCTCATCAGACACCAAATGTTCTGTCACCTTGATCTTGGACTCCCAGCCTCCAGAGCTGTGAGAAATATATTTCTATTGTTGATAAACTGCCCAGTCCATGGTATTCTGTTACAGCAGCACAAACGGGCTAAGACAATGGTTGAAATATGTCTTTCTTTATTTGAAAGCATACTTCTTTCTTATAAAGTGTACTATAGTTCTATTCCACTGTGTTTGAAATTAAGAATAAGAATATATCATCGTTGATATTAAATATCATCTCAACATTCACAATGCCTAGTAATTTTAAGTGTAAATCTGTTGGTGGTCATTGGTGATCTCAGCCTTTTGTATCACACCATATTAGATAAGTATGTTACAATTGTTGAAGAACAGACAGATTGTCATGTTTGAATGTAGGCTTCCCTGAACAATAGCAGCTTATAACATGTGCATATGCTGACTAATTTCAAGGAAAGTCACATAAACAGAAATTAGTGAAGACAGTAGTAGGGGAAAATGAGATGTTTACTGCTGGTTTAAAAATGATAAAATATTTCAATAAAAGCATCAACAAGGACACTTTTACCTATATCATTTCCAAATTCACAACAACTACTCACATGATTTTTTTTTCCTAAACTATGAAACTAATTATAAGACAGTATCCAAGTAAGCAACATGGGCAGTTTAACAATTAAAGCTTATCTTAGTGGTAATTTTCAGAAAGATTTTTGTCTAAAGCTCTTCAACTTTATCTGAACTATGTATACTTTCCTTAAATATGTAAAACATTAAGCTTTTATTTGTATTTCTCATCAAAATATAGCAACTAAAAAAGAAACAAATAATACATTTAAAAACATTTTATATGGCTTTTAGTTTTTACTTCCTTACAAATTATAAATATGTCTACAACTAACCAATTAGAAAATGATAGCAATGATAATTTCTAAGTGGTCAAATAAACTAATTTTACCATATTATTTATAAAATATATATTTTAATCTTTTTACTACAGTAAAATTTTATTATTTATGGTGTAAGAATGTTTTTAAGCTATTTTCAAAATATATCAAATAACTACTTTGATCTAAATTTTTCAGCTGTCCTTTTTTCTTCTTTATTAATATCATTGGTACAGAATCTTCAAAAAATTAATGGTAACTCAGTAGCTTTATTTACATTGTAACTGCTTATACATTAAAGTAAAATCAAAAAGTTAGATAATTCATATCTTAATCATTTAATACAACATTATAGATGAACTATTCAAAGTAATAATTGCCATCATTCTTCATTGCTAGTTTAAATTTGAATCTTACATTCTTTTAAGAAAGAAAATCTGTTTCTTTTTTCCCATCATAGGTAGAAATGGTCTAATTTCTACACTAACTTTCCTTGGATCTTCCATAAAAAGAATGACTGGTAGCTATATCTGTTAATCATTTAAAATTATTTTAAAAATTGTATTTTATACACCATTCTGTTTTAATGGTCCATAGCTACATGTGGGATGTATGAAAACCAGTCAACAGCTAATAGTGCATGTGTATCTCAGAAAATCAAAGCGAGTTACTTCCCTAAGTTGGCCAACAGGGAGAATCTATAAGCATTTAAATAGTACATAATATTCCATCGAGTATGATAAGGTTGAGCAAATAAGTAAAGAATAGTTTCACTAAATTCCTTTTAGGCGTATTGCAGTGGTTGAGCCATGTTAATTTCTAAAATATAACAGATAAGGGAAATAACAAGTCTTCATTCCAAAGAGTTCCAAAGAGTTAAAATGTACCATTTTTCTTGGTTAAATCTCCAGATGTGTAAATCAAGACAAAATTATAGTCCTATAAATAAAAATGAAACACCAAAATTATCATTATATGCACAAAAACACATGAATTATAATAAAATTTGTGCTATTTTAAAAAGCACTTTAAAGGCAATGTTGGACTGTGCCTGACACTAAAAAAAATCTATATTTTGAATCACAACCAACTTTATGCTATTAGAAATAAGTGTCCTCCAAACCAATGGAAACTGGCATTCTTGTCTGAACAGAAACCATCTGGAAAAAAAATTCTCATTTTATAATCATTTCAGTATATGCATGATGACATTTAAAAACATCTGGTTTTAATGATGTCCAGAGGACATTCCAGAATGGTGGAGTCTAGATGAGGAGATATGTAAAAAAGCACTTCTTAGTAATTGTAATAAGTAGAATGCATAAAAGGGATAAATTCAGGCTAAAGAAAATGGGAACTGTTATTTTAGGGGTTCTTTGGTAAATGAATCACAAAATAAATATAAATGCCTAAATTATATATTGCCTGATGAGTAATTACTTGACTGATCTGAAATCAAAGTCACAGTTGATTTTTAGCCAAGATTCTTGACAGGCTGAAATAAATGGAACCAATTCAAACCATTCTGGCTCAGCATAATTGAGAATCAGTCTCCAGAACAATAGTCTGCTAATCTACTATCACATGGGAGAAAAAGTAAACTTGGTTTCGGCTCCAATGACCTTAGGATTTTCAATTTTTTTAAGTCCTAATTTAGATAAGATCAATATCTCAAACTTTTACCAGTTTACATAAAACAGTTATTAGGTAATATAATAATTACCATGTAAGAATAATGAATTTAATTTATAATTAATTTATACTGGAACATAAGCCATAAGGGATTATATCAATTATATTCAGATTTGGTTATGAATGTCTACTAGTATTTACATGTTTCAAAAATTGTTACACAGGCTTGAAAAATCATTTCAGAATGTAGAACTGGTGGAAAGATTTTACTACCAAGCATATAGAATTCTTAGCTTTCCACCTTCTAGAAAAGGAAAGGTATCTAAAGTTTGATTTTCATGGATAATTTGATGTAGTTGGTGTCCTCAAAGTTGCTTTTCTTTTTATTTGAGGGCCACTACATAGCACTACCTATGAAGGGGGTCATGTCTTTTTATTACTTAGATATAAGATAATATTGTCTTCTCTTTTATATAAACTATATATTTATTTGAATAAGTTGGCAAAAATTGGAAGATCCTTTCCTTAAAACATAACAAAACTTTAATTACATATACTTGTTGACTATATGAAGAGAGTACAGATTGAGCTGCCACAAGAAACAGTTCAAAGTATATTTTTAATCTGATGTTGTTAGGGGAGATGGGTGAAGGAGCTGGTGGTGAGAGTTTTGAAAAATCAGCTCCTTGGGATGCTGAATGTGGCTGTGTATTGAATAAAAGTTATAAACAACAGCAAAAAAGTATTTGAGGGGAACTTCCCAATGATTGGTTCTTTAACTGAGACATATATTATTACTTATTATGTGCCAAGTACTATGTGCTTTACACATGCTAACTTTTCTGAATTTCATAACCACTCTGAGTCTGGTATTATTTCTACTTTACAGATGAAGAAGTGAGGAAAGAACAATCAGGTGACCTGATGAAATTTATGGAGCTAATAAATTGCAAAGCTAATACACTGTTCTTCATTTGGTGTTGACCAAGACTATTTTGAAACTGAAATCTACTCAGTGTTTTGGAGACACATTGATGAAGTCCAGATTTATTACATATGCTACTTTGGTCACCACCAACTTCTTGGAGTCAGTGTAATAATAAGCTCTAAGATTTATTCCAGAAAGTTATAAGAAATCTGATTGCATTAGATGCAAAAAGTAAAAATGGCTGTCTGAGTTATTACACCATCTTAACACAGAAGCCATGGCATTGAAAAGAGAGAGACTGTCTTTACAAACACTTTGAATAACTCGTAACTGTGAATGTGAAATTCTAGGGAGTTTCTGAGTTTGAGAAACTCAAATACACTCTTTAATATCTGACTCTGCTATAGTTTTCTCAACCATAAAAACACAATAATCTCTCAAGTTTCTAACAGACCATTCCTAGATTTCTTCCATCTATGTCAGAATTAGAAGCTCACATCTAGCTTTTAAAATTTTAATTTAATTGAAATTTCTATAATTATATTCTGTGGTAAGCAGGGTCTCTGGGTGAAGACAAAGTTTGAAACAGTTTCCTTTTGCACATAAACACATCGTACATATGATGCATATTTGTATATACATATATGAATGCTCAGGTATATATATATGTATATATATGTGTGTGTGTATATATATGTATATATATGTGTATATATATATGAGAAAGTAGAAAGTATGGTTTCTTTATTAACCAAATTCATAATTCATCTGAGAGACAAAAATAAGCCTATTGAGTAATTATTAGAGCAAAAAAAAATCAGTTATCAGTAATGTTAAAGGTGTTTAATTACATTTTCCCCCCAATCATTTTCTCAGTAAAGTTTTATTCAGAAACTAAATATGCCAAAGATATAAAACATAGCTTCTGTGGATGAAATGAATGTGGCGAGGCAAGGTTCTTCCACATGAACAATGCCATACCCCAACATAGTGGAGAGCAGAGCCATGAATGGAAGAAAGAATGAAAACCATTGTTAGAGATTCAGCTCAAGGACTGTAAAGTAACAGAAAGATCCTCTGGTATAAGATATGTTAGGCAAACTTTATAATGATGAGTTTTAATAAAAGCTTTAAAATTATTCAGAATTTCAGTTTACTTATTTATTCATTTATTCATATGTTTTTCACATTTGGACCAAAGAATTAAGATACTCAGTGCAAGGTATTCAATCTGGAAATTGTTTATAATTTCCAAGCTCAAGGCAAAAATGTCAAACCTCTCTTTCTTTTTGAAATTAACATTTCACAAGTTAATCCATTCTGTCGTATTCGAGAAAGCATAGTAAAGGTACCTAAGAAGCAATATTTTTATATAAATCAAAAATATTCTTTTTTTTCAAAAATAGGTTATGTGCATTTCTTATGAGGAAAGAGCTAAAAAAATAAAAAAACTATCAGGAGCAAAATTATACCAGTATATTCCATCTTTAAAACAAAAGCACTGTTTGGACAGATATTTAATAATATTACATGGTTTAAATTGAAAGCTGGTAAAAATAACATAAATTATTATCATAAATTAAAATCATTTAATGTCATTAAAGTGCGATGGAAAAACTTAATCTTTGCAATTTGACATATTTCTTCTAACAATACAACTTTATTTACAATAAAGATGTTACTCATTTCTTTGGGAGTACATCTTAGAGTAACTACATTGTAAAAAATAAAATTATGATGCTATACATAAATGAAACCAACATTTTTATACAAGCTATTTGTTTTATTTTTTAAAAAGAGAAGTAGTAAGTAGTATATATTGAGCATTGATTACATAGTTGTTTATATTACTACTTTTTAAGGAAGTACTGGTAATTAGTAACTGAATATTATGAAAGATCTATGCATTCTGCTAAGTCTGGTGCCAAGTTTGATTCGTAGCTATACACTGACTTAATATTTCAAAAATCAGTTTGAGTAACTGAGCCCTGGAGAGATTAAGAAACTTGTCCAGATTTACAAAATCATAAATGACAAAACTGACTTTACAAGCCTAGATCTCTCTTCCATCTGTTTTCAAAGAATCCACAATTCTGTATCCTGAGCCCTTAAAGAGTAATTTTAGAGAACTTGAAACTACTAAATTCCACTGAATATAAATAATAAATAAACAATAATTTCTTTATAATATTCATCTACTCCCTGCTAATTGAAGAATGATTAAAAACAAAGCAGTCATAACTCTTTACATCAATCCAAATGTTCCCATTCAGATGGGTATGTACAAAGTGAAATGAAATAGAAATAATTATAATGCAAAAATCAAAGATTCAAATTTATGAATTGTTTAAACATTTTGGGCAATTGTTAACTGTGCTCACTAAATGTATAACTATTCAAGTCTTTTTTTCCACCTGGTTAGTTTATATTTCTGTAATACTTACATTTTCCTTTTCTTTCTCATACTATTTATCTTTAAATTCTCA
This sequence comes from Homo sapiens, assembly GCF_000001405.40. Lineage (NCBI taxonomy): Eukaryota > Metazoa > Chordata > Mammalia > Primates > Hominidae > Homo > Homo sapiens. Next base: position 125,955,252 of record NC_000004.12, read on the forward strand.
TGAAAATTCCATGAAATACTTCATTATTATTCTCATTTTAAGATATTCCAGGGAGGTTAATTTATTTGGCCAGCAGCACACACAGACCAAACAACAGGACAAGGAAGCAAACAGCCTTTGGATTTATACCCTCTCGACCAAGCTGGCTGGACTGTTCTACCTTTGTGCTGTGCAGGGAGGTTATAAGTTTGCAGGTGTTCTTTTCACCATTTTTATTTAAAAATTATGTTTACCTTCAAACACATATTTACATTTTAAATAAAACATTTGTATTAATTTTAAATTATCTATCCAACTCAGTAAGTAATTTCAGAATTTCATTAGGAATAAAGATAAAAAAACTGTTTGATTTTATTTTAAAAAGTAAATATTTGACTTATAGAATTTTTCACTCAGCAATAATTCAATTTAACTGTGTATATACTGAGTAATAGTAAGAAATTTTTATAGTCATAATCACAAACAGTGTCATTAACACAATGCTCATATGCAAAATGTTCATTAATATTTGTATTTATACAGGAAAAACACCCACATTGGTATCAGTTGAGAAAACACTGTTATGACTCAGAATCACAAAAATGTAAAAGTCTATACATATAAAACCTGCCATTAACTTTATTGTCCATCTGTCTGTAGTCTGCAATTCATACTGATGATAATGGAAAATCTTAATATTTCAGTCATGTATTTGTTATGTAACAAAGTGGCTCCCTGAGTAATTTAAAGAAGAAAAGTTTATTTCTCTCTGATAGTCAATATATTCAGCCTAAATGGTGCGATAACTCTACACCAATAGATGATTAAGGGGCACCAGCTTCTTCCATTTTATGGCAACATCTCAAAAGGTCTCATTTTTTTAAATGGTCAAATTTCTATCACTGTATTTCTACCAGGATCTATGCTCCAAAGGGCAGGAAGAAAAAAGATTGTGGCTGAACATGCGTGTAGTATTGAAACTTAGATCCAAAAAACAGTAGATAACACTTCTGCTCATATTCTGTAGGTAAGAATAGCACATGGTTATTTCTAGTTGCAAGGGTATATGGCTGCTGGCTAATGGTTTGACCTGTGTAACTAGTAGTCTGCCATAGTCATATCTTTGATCATTCATCTGTATTCATTCTTCCTCCCATACGTAGATACAATGACTCTATCTCCAAGGAAGACAACCCAATACTACATCCAGAGAATATCTCTGGCTCAAGGTCTGGAATCTGTCCTGATTAATTCCAGATGAGTGAGGCTCCTTATGAATTAGTGACTTCCTAACTAAAATATATGTTATCTGATTCCTCCCTCCCCTAACATCTCTCTCTCTCTCTCTCTCTCTCTCTCTCTAATAAATGCATATTCAGCAACAGGAGAGGATCATCATAACAAAATCTTTCATTCAGAAATGGAAATAATGAGAAGTACCAAGTGGCCATGGGTTCATAAGAATAATAGAATCCCACAGGGCTGAAATTCCAGACACCTCCCTTGAACTGACAGTGAAGAATTTTCTTGATTTGAGCCTGGTGTTCTCTGGGAAGAATTGCCTTCACTGTTACAAGAAGGAAGGGCAATATATCATTGTGTCTTTAGCCTTGAAATTGAGGACAAGAGAAAGTACATAAACATGGAGGTGTGGAAAGTCCCTCTATGAAGGGATACTTAGGGAGACCATATAATTTGTTATAGAATAGAGATACATTTGAGACTGAAATGTGATACTCAAAATAATTAACAGCTTTTTACCTGAATGTTAGGCGCATTAGCCAGGATTTTTCCTAGACAACTTATAATGCATGTTCATTCTCTTTCAACCTAGAAAAAGTTGCAGCCATGGGAGAAGGCCTGTCTAGTGAGACCTGTGGCCATAGTTAGAGACCTCCTTCCATGGAGGAAGGAAGATTATGAAGGTTGGGAATAAATACTTCAGTCCATGGTCCTCTTTTTTATTCAGTCCTCTTTTTGCCAGTGCCTTCCATTTCTTCTCTAGTGTTGTAGTCTCTATCTGTGCGGCGGGTGAGGTATTGGGGAATTAACTAACACATATTTCCTACTAAAATATATATACACTTTCATCCACTATGTATTCATTGAACAAATATAGCACCTATATAGCTTCATCAACGTGTTTTTGGGCAGAAACTCTCTAGTGTTGTAAACTCCCCAGTTCACAGTAATTTCCACATGGGGCTCTTCATTTATTTTAATCACCTGCTTATTAGTCACTATTAGCATCCTTAAGCATATGATATTGTGACACAGATAGTGAAGGAAAGAATAATTTGGCAGAAAAGAATGTTCAACATAGAAAGGTAGAGAAATAATGGTTATTGTAATAAAATCTGGTGGTGTTTATTCAGCAAATTCTAGGAAAGAGTCATCTAATCAGCGACTTCACTCACTTAGTCCATTCGACAAGTATATTCTTAATATAGAAATAGGTGCATTAGATCAACTTAGCCTAAAGCCAGTAAACACTTGAATTATATAATTCATATTGCCCTATATTCATATGTAATATAATTATGTATGTAATTATAAGTTGTATAGTTGCCCTCAAATTATATAACTTATATTGCCCTGTATGAAATCACCAAGGAACTTAGTTCCTATATAAATCACTTCACTTGTCAAATGGATAAAATCGTCTAGTCCAGCACTGTCGGTAGAAACATAATGTAAGCCATATGTGTGATTTTACATTGTCTATGTACAATATTTAATAAAAGGAAAGAAAACAGGTATAATTAATGACTCATTTATATCATCTCAATCTATATAACAGTATTTTAATTTATAATAAAAATTAATAATATATTTGCATTTTTCTGGTACTAAATATCTGAAATTCAATGTCTATTTTTTACCTGTAAGTTTGCTATAACACATCTGACTTTGTAGTAGATGCATTTTAAGTGCTCGGTAGGCACATTTAGCTAGTGGCTATTGTATGAGATCAATAGACTTAGTCTACTTGAAACTTGTGTATATCATTGTAAATTTCAAACTGTGTATCTGTCAAAATCTTGCACATTTAGTTGTTGTTAGTTTTTCTTAGTCTATTGTAACATGTATCTCACATAATATGAACATTCTTGGTCTGTTAAACTAACAACAAGATCCTATTACCCAATAACTCCTTCTATAGATCGGCCTGAACTACCAGTTTATTGCTAATAAGCTACTTCACTCCTATCAGCAATTAGATCTGGAGATACTTTTCTTTTGGAATATTCTCTGATATTATACTTGACCTTTATTTTGTTCATTTGAGGTCATTAATCAAAGAATAACAAAACTGCTGACCATTTTCTCCAAATCCTACAAAAAAATATTCTGGGATCTTTTTTAAAGAGTCTTTCTTTGCCATGATATGTCTTTAAAAGGGTTATGAATTTGTTCCAGCTGTCTCTTTGACCATCATAGTTTGTTATGAAAGTTCAAGACAGATGTTTCACTCTCACCTGTCATTGGTCAAAAGCATTGCCCAGAGGTATTTTTCACTGCTTTCCTTATTTAACATTACCATGAAAGGGAAAAAGGCACCTGTTCACCAGCCTTCTTCCTGTCTTGAGTACTTTATGTCACTGATTCTCAAAAAACAACAATAAAAAAATACAGCCTGTTAAAAGTACATGGCAATATCTAAATTCTTCTGGTGAATAGCTGCATTTTATATGCTGAAATTGTCATTCATCTTGCATTATTTACTGCTTGTATAAATGGACTAGTTTCCAAGATGCTGTTGAAGCTTAAGCAATAGCAACAACAAAAAAAGTTCTATTAGGAAAAAGCCTTCTGGCAATGCTTGCTGCACAGGCCATTGCTTCCCACCATCAGTAAACTGTGGAGTTCACTAAAAGTAATTTAGACTAATGGTTTGCTGAAAGGCAATCCAAATAATGTGCCATTATAGAATAATGAAAACTGCCTTTATTTCTTGATTAGTCACTGGAAGATATCTTGCAGAGATGTTGGAAAGAACCTGTAAACACTTTTCAGGTCTTCCTCAAATAGGCAGCCTGTTGTCTTGAGTGAGGTAGCTAGGTTTCTGTATGAAAGAAAAGGCTTTGCTATCTAGTGAGAACTGCCATGCAGTAGGGATCACCAGATCTGTATTCCAAATAGATTTATAGTTCCCACTTTAAGGACTATGTTAATTATTAATGATAATTCAAGCAAACAGATATATAAATGCAAATGCCAAATACAGTGAGATATGACATTATAATAAATATAAACCTAGATTATCTAAAGCTATAAAAATTAATGGAGAAACAAACACAAATATCATGATATAAATAAAAAAACTCATACTGAATTATTCTAGAAATCTGTGGAAGATTTTACTTTTACTTACAATAAATCATATAATTAAATTATTTACTTAATTCTAATGAATTGAGTCATACAGAGTAAATCTATTTATTTGTCCCTTTACACTATTGTAAAAAGATCACTTTCATGATTTAAACATGATCAGCTGTTTATGCAAGCAATGATAAATAATTTTGATACAATCTGTGCCACCTAATAAAAAAAGTTATTGAAAGTGGTCTCATCTACATAATATAAAATATAATTGAATCAAATTTAGTGTCAATAATAATATATATTCAATTAGAGAAAACTCAATCATTTGTTATGTGGAATATAGACAAAATTATGCCATCAGGCTGATATCATGCTGACATGTTTTTTCTATCATAAAAATGAAACCTATCAAGTCCATTGCTGGTGGCTTGATAATTAATAGCTTCTGCCCTTCAACTGTATCCTTTTTTTCCCAGCTTTACTGAGAAACTGACAAATAAAATTGACAATTGCAAATTATAAATAAAAATTATATATATTAAAAGTGTACAATGAGATGTTTTAATATTTATGTACTCTGTGAAATGATTGGCACTATCAAGCTAATGAGCATCTTCATCACATCACATAATTATCTTCTTTTGCATGTGTGGTATGTATCCTTAAAATTACTCTCAGCAAATTTCAAATATGCAATACATTATTATTAATTATTATCACCATGCTATACATTAGGTCTTCAGACTTATTCATATAATAAATACGAGTTTTTAACCATTGACCAACATCTCTCCATTTCCCCCAACCCTGGTAATCACCCTCCTACTCTATGTTCTGTAAGTTCAACTTTTTTATATTCCACATATGAGTGAGATAATACAATATTTAAATTTCTGTTTCTGGCTTATTTCCTTTTGCAAAATGTCATTCAGTTTCATCCATGTTGTTGCAAATGGCAATATTTCCTTCTTTTGTAAGGTTGAATAATATTCCATTGTGTAGATATACCGCATATTCTTTCTCCTTTTACCCACTGATGGACTCTTAGGTTGATTCTATGTATTAGCTATCATGAATAATGCTGCAATGAACATGAGTGTGCAGTCATCTCTTTGAAATCTGTCTTTCAATTCTTAAGGATATATACGCCGAAGTGAAATTGCTGGTTCATATGGCAGTTCTATTTTTAACTTTTTGAAGAACCTCCATACCGTTGTCTATATGCTTGTGATAGTAGCAGGAGATTGACAAATGCCTAGGCAGATAGGGGTGGGTCCCCAGTGAAACCCTGCCTTCAAGCCAAAAACAACCTGATGTCTGAAAGACTGGATAGCTGGTTCCAGATGAAAGCTGCTACCCAGAGTGAGAGCTTCTGTTCCTGTTTGCCTGCCCTTTCCTGATTGATTCTTTCTGAATAATGCTTTTTAACCAATCAAATGTTGCCTTTTCACGGTCAGGCTTGGTGGCTCACGCCTGTAATCCAAGCACTTTGGGAGGCTGAGGTGGTTAGATCATGAGGTCAGGAGTGTGAGACCAGCCTGGCCAACATGGTGAAACCCCGTCTCTACTAAAAATACAAAAATTAGCTGGGTATGGAGGCACTTGCCTGTAATCCCAGCTACTGGGGAGGCTGAAGCAGGAGAATTACTTGAACCCAGGAGGTGGAGGTTGCAGTGAGCTGAGATCGTGCCATTGCACTCCAGCCGGGAAAACAGGGCAAGACTCCGTCTCAAAAACAAAAAAAAACAAAAAAAAACAAACCAAACCAAACAAAAAAATATTGCCTTTTTCGATACTACCTAAGGCCTGCCCTTCTCCCATCCTGTGCCTATAAAAGCTCCAGACTCAGCCACAATGAAGAGATACGCGACTTTGGGTGAAAGACCATCTTCCTGTCCCCTCTCCACTGAGAGCTGTTTTGTCACTCAATAAAATTCTCTGTCCTCATCACCCATCAATTGTCAGCATGACCTCATTCTTCTTGGATGTGGGAAAAGATATTCTTGAGTTCGGGCACACAGAAGGCTATAATACTGTGACTTTCTGCCCTCCATCATTGTAAGGCAGCTGCCCCAAGTGATGGGAAGCAGCAGCAGGGCTGAGCCGGCCACAGAGCTGTAGCCCAGAGTCGGGGAAGGGGCTGATTAAGCTGTTAACATGCTGCTGTCTGTTGGGCTGTGGGCAGATGGACTAAAAGAGCCAATTAGCACATTGTAACACCCCTTCTGGGGCTTTGAGGTCATGGACACTCTTGACTGGGGACCACCACATTTCCCTCAGGGTGACATGATTGGAGCCTGCATAGAGCCTGCCCCTGCCAGCATTTGGAATGGTAGCTGAACTCCACATTCACTCACTCACACACCGCCTCCTGCCAAGGGCTGAGTGCTCAGTCACTGTGGCCATGGGATTTGTACCAGAGCACAAGCCAGATGCGGCCCAGTGGGCCGAGTAGGCAGGGTGCCTCCTGCTGTGAGCCTGGAAAAAGAGCCAAGAAAAATCCTGTGTCAGCTGTACCAATTTATATTCCCACCAACAATTCATAAGGGTTTCTTTTTTCCTCCATATCTTCACCAACACTTTTTATGTTTTCAGTTTTTGATAATAGTGATCCTAACAGGTATGAGGTGATACCTCATTTTGATTTTGATTTGAGTTTTCCTGATGATTAGTGATGTTGAGCAGATTTTCAAATATATATTGCCTATCTGCATGTCTTCTTTGGAAAAATGTCTATCCACAGCCTTTGCCCATTATTCCTTAACATTACTAGTTTGTTTGTTTATTTTTGCTACTGCTTTATATGAGTTCCTTGTGTAGTTTGAATACTAATCCCTTATTAAATTTGTGATTTTCAAACATCTTCTCCAATTCTGTGAGTTTCCTTTTCATTATGTTGACTTATTTTCCTTTTTTAGTTGCTGTGCAGAAACTGTTTAGTTTGGTATAGTCTCATTGTTTAATTTGCTTTTGTTGCCTTTACTTTGGGTACCTGATATAGTTTGGATGTTTGTCCCCTCCAAATCTCATGTTGAAAATATACCCCCTGATGTTGGAAGTGGGGCCTAGTGGAAGGCTTCTGGGTTACAGGGGAGGATCTCTCATGAATGGCTTGGTTCTGTCTTAATAATAATGAATGAGTTTTTGTGAGCTCTGGTTATTTAAAAGTGTGTGGCACATCCCTCCTCTCTCTCTTGCACCTGCTATTGCCATATAAGATGCCTGCTCCCCCTTCACCTTCTGCCATGATTGTAATTTTCCTGAGGCCCTCATGAGAATCAGATGGTGGCACCACACTTCCTGCATAGCCTGCAGAACAGTGAGCCAAAATAAACTTTTCAATAAGTTACTTAGTCTCAGGTATTTCTTTACAGAAATGCAAACATAGCCTCACATAGAAAATTCATACAAGGAGTATGGGACAACACTGTCTCACTCCTGGTATGAAGGTGCTGAAGGATGTGGAAGCATCTTTGGAACTTGGTAATAGGCAGAGGTTGGCAGAGTTTGGAAGGCTCTGAAGAAGACAGGAAGATAAGGGAAATTTTGGAATTTCTTAGAGATGTGTTAAACAGTTGTGAGCAAAATATTGGTAGAAATACGAACAGCGAACATCAGACTGATAAAGTCTCAGATGGAAATGAGGAAGTTATTGGGAACTGGAGTGAGGGTCACCCTTGTTAAGCCCTAGAAAAAAAATTTGGCTGCATTGTTTTCATGTCCTAGGGATCTGTGGATATCTGAACTTAAGGGTGATGACAGGGTATCTGGGGAAGAGATTTCTAAGCAGCAAAGTGTTCAAAAAGTGACCTGGCTGCTTCTAACAACCTATGATCAGCTATGGGACTTAAAGCTGGAACTTAAAAGAGAAGCAGTGTAAAAATTTGGAAAATTTGCCACCTGACCATCTGGCAGAGAGAGAAGCCAAGCAGGCTGCAGAGGAATGACTTGCAAGCCAGATTAGCGTGGCTAAAAGGAAATCAATTGCTAAAATTCAAGAAAATAGGAAAAAGGCCTCAAAGCCATTTTAGAGATCTTTAAGATAGCCCATCGCATCACAGGCCCAGAGAATTAGGGGAAAATAACTCTTTTTTGGGCCAGGCCCAGGGCCCCACTGACCTGCACAACCTTAGGGACTGTTCCCTGCATCCCAGCTGCTCCAGCTTCAGGCTCAGTTCAAAGGATCCCAGATACTGCTTGACCCACTCTTGGAGAGTACAAACCACCATGATCCTTGGTGGTGTCCAGGTGGTGTTAAGTTTGCAGGGGCATGGAATGCAAGAGTGAAGGAGGCTTGGCAGCTTCCCCTTAGATTTCAGAGGGTGTACGAGAAAGCCTGGGTACCTAGACAGAGACTGCTGCAGGGGCAGAACCATCACAGAGAATTTCTACTAGGCTAGTGTGGAGGGAAAATGTGGGATTGGAGCCCCCACACAGAATCCCCACCAGGGCACTGCCTAGTGGAGCTGTGGAAATGGGGCCACCATCCTCCAGACTTGAGAATGATAGGTCCACTGGTAGCTTGCCTCCAGCATGAAGAAGCCACAGGAACTCAATTCCAACCCATGAGAGTAGCTGCAAGAGCTGAACCTTGCAAAGCCACAGTGTTGGAGCTGCCCAAGGGCATGGGAGCCTACTGCTTGCACCAGAGTGCCTTGCAGGTGGAACATGGAGTCAAAGGAGAATATTTTGGAGCTTTAAGATTTAGTGACTGCCCTGCTGGGTTTTGGACTTGTGTGGGGCCTACTGCCCCTTTCTTTTGTCCAACTTTTCCCCTTTGGAGCAGTAATGTTTACCAAATGTCTGCATATCTATTTTATCTTGGGAATAAATAACTTGTTTTGATTTCACAGACTCATGGTTAGAAGGAGATGAGTCTGAGATGAGACCTAGGATTTGGGACTTGATGCTGAAATAAATACTTTGGGGGACTATTAGCAGGGTATGATTATATTTTTCAATGTGAGAAGGACATAAGATTTGAGTGGCAACTCCCACTTCTCTCTTGCTCCTGGGCTCACCATATGAGATGCTTGCTCCCCCTTCATCATCCACCATAATTGTAAGCTTCGTTAGAAGCAGAGGCTGGTACCACACTTCCTGTATAGCTTACAGAACCAAGAGCCAAATTAAACCTCTTTTCTTTGTAAATTACCCAGTCGCAGGTATTTCTGTATAGCAATGCAAAAATAGCCTAATACAGTATCAGATCCAAAAAATCATCACCAAGACCACTGTCATAGAACTTTTCTCCTATGTTTTCTTCTAGAAGATTTACAGTTCCAGGTCTTACAATTAAGTCTTTGAAACAATTTTTAGTTTTTTGTTATTGTGTAAGAAGATCCAATTTCATTATATTTGTTTGTAAAAATTCAGTTTTCCCATCACCATTTATTGAAAAGATCTTCCTTTCATCCTTGTGTATTCTTGTCACATTACCAAAGATTACTTAATTATATATGCCTGGGTTAATTTCTGGGCTTTCTATTCTGCTCCCTTTGTTTTTTATCTCTGCTTTTATGCCAGTACAATATCATTTGATGACTGTATTTTTGTAATATAATTTGGATAGGAGGCTTCTAACTTTGTTCTTCTTTCTCAAAATTGCTTAACTATTCAGTCTTGTGGTTCTTCAATAATTTTACGATTGTACTTACTCTTTTTTCTTTCTAGGAACTGCAATTAGAAACAATTAAGTCTCACATAACTAGAGGTGCTGTTTACAGATTGGGTTGACTGAGGGAATGCTCTTAGGCTGAATCTGGGTTTTCTTTATTTTCCAAGGTGAGAAAAGTTTTACTCAAGTCCTGCATTGGGGAAGGGGATGCTAACCACAATTTATCTCCCCAGTCTGAGAGGTCTTTTTACTATCTCAGATGTAGCAGTCTGGACCTACTTATGGCCCCAGACACTGTTTCTCTCACTCACTTCTCTTCGTAAATAATATAGAGAAAAAAATTCTTCCTTTTCAATTGTATAGCTTTTCCAAAAAGAATACATAATAAAAAGATTGGAGTCTCTAGAGACAAAGTTTCATCAATTTATCATGTATTCATCTTTGCTATATTCACAAAAGAACTTTTTTTTTTTTTTTGAGACTGAGTCTCGCTCTGTCGCACAGGCTGGAGTGCAGTGGCAGCGATCTTGGCTCACTGCAACCTCCACCTCCCAAGTTCATGCCATTCTCCTGCCTCATCCTCCTGAGTAGCTGGGACTACAGGCACCCACCACCAAGCCCGGCTAATTTTTTGTATTTTTAGTAGAGACGGGGTTTCATCATGTTAGCCAGGGTGGTCTTGATCTCCTAACCTCGTGGTCCACCCACCTTGGCCTCCCAAGGTGCTGGGAAGGAACTTTCATGTGATATGAATCAAGTGGGATGTGTACCAGAACCAGAGCAGATGTCTCATACTGACTTTGAAATTGTTTTTGTACCATCCATGGTATTATTTTTTTCATTGATTCTTCATGGTTTCCACTAGATCGTCTCTATTTTCCCTCAATGTTTATATATTTCATGCAGTTAGATTTTATTTTAGCTTATTAAATTAAGAAGACTTTTTCAGCATTTTACTGTGAAAGTTTTCAAACGGAAAAGTTTTTAAAATTTTGCATTGACTGCCCAAATATCTATCACCAAGATTGTACAATTAGCATTTTAACTATTTTAGATTTATCACACATCTTTGCATCTATTCATTTGGCACTAGATATTTAACTTTGCCTTTTAAAAATTTAATATTAATAAATTTAATATGAATTTTTCTAAATTTGCTATAAGTTTCATTTTATATTTTGTCATTATTTATTTTCTATCTATTTCTAGGAGCATATTATTTTAATTTTTTATATCTGGCTTTAGAAGGTATACTGATTATAGCTCCTATTCCCCAAAATTATAAACAATATACTGAAAACTAATAATTCCACATTTATTTTTGTTAGTTAATAAATAATAACTTTTTAGTATAAAAGAGGAGAAAATTTGAACACCTATATTTCCATCTACCTCTGTTTGCCATCTTAACTTTAAATATACCTTGCTCTGGGTTGTAACATTTCTAAATTATTTTAATATTTCTCTCAATTATTTATTCTTAGGTTTTATTAGTGGAATTTGGTACTTACCACTATTTTTTTAACCTTTGCTTCTTTCTCTGTTATGGAGTTCTTCATTTTGATTCATCTCATCTTTGGCTGAATATTTTTGCCTATAGTTTGCCTTTTTGTTGTAATAGTTTTTCCAAGACTAATTTGTTGAGCTGTGATCTATGAATTCTTACATGAGAACATAAAACCCTTAGATCATATTTCTTTTTTTCTAGAACTTTACAGACATCATTATACTTTCTTTTGTCAGGGAATGATGCTCTGGATAATCTGAAGTCAGCCTGATTCCCTCTGTGTTAGGTGTCTCTTTACATCAACTGGAGATCTTTGTTGTTGTTTTCTTTAAGTTCGTAATATTTATCAAGGTAAAATGTATGAGAAGTAATTATTAGTAATTTTCCTAGTACACATTGTACATTGTGATTTAAATATTCCATTCTTTATTTAAGAAAACCATTATTGTAAATATTTTTCTTCAACACTGTTCTTTGGTGTAGAAATGCTAACTATACAGAATAGACCTCTTTTGACTTTTATATGTATCACTTTTATGCATTATTCCTCTGTTGTTTTCTATTTCATTAAATGTGACTTTACTTATCTGTGCCTAACTCAATTTTCAGCGAAATTTATTTTACTCCTTTTTCCTTCTAATGTGACATTAATTTTTGAAATGATTTAATTTTACTGTAAATTTTTTCCAAGTTCTTCTTACTCACTTTGTATTCCCTTTTGTGAAGAGTAATTATCTCTTCTTTCATTTATCATTAGTTATTTTTTAGTTTCTTTAAAATAATTTGTATATTGCTGTTGAGACTATGGGGAAGTATTTTTTAAAAAATTACAAGTGCAATTCATCTAATTGAAAAGCTTCATCTGTTTTTGGTTTATGTTTTATCCTATCTCTTTTCACACTCTAAGACTTCAAGGGAACTGTGAGGGGTTTTTTTTACTTTTACTACTTTTCTCTTAATTGAAATAATTTTAAAAGAGCCAGCTGATACTAAAGAGGAGAGTGAGGGTAAGCTAGGGAGGAAAATTTGGGCAGCAGATTACACGTTTATTATCTCTGTGTCCACCTGCACACGTTGCATTACCCTTTAAAGTTCAGCTCACATTTAGACAGTGCATGATTTGAAGGCAAGAGGTCATCATTTATCTTGTTGCAGTCCCAAGTTTTAAAACAGTGTCATTAATTGTACTTTACCTAAATTGGTCACATTGACAACCTGGCTCTCAAATCTCATTTTTGAATTCCAGACCCACAAAACCATTGATCCCTGGCCAGTAATTTCATTTTTTGGTGCATTCCTGTCTTTCCTTTAAACCTAGCTTGCCATAAATGTAAACGCTGTCATTGATCTTTTTATCTCATTGTGAGAATATCAGTAAGAAAATCATGATAAGTATAAATGTCCCTAAGTGAACATAACTACAACAGATTAGAACATAGTACAATCAATATATTAAAGGAAAAAAGACTGGTAATAAATATACCGATATGATACCAATAGTCATCAATAAGTTGAGAGATTACAGATATTTATATTTTGTTAATAATCATATTTTATAATTTTTGTGCATATTTGTAGTTTTATTAGTTATATAATAATCAAAATAAAACACATTTATTTTAAAAGTTCCTGAGAAATGAATGTCTCTTTCCTTTTTAAATTGCTTGAAAAAGATTTCATATGAATTTTCATTATTATCATTATGACAATTAGTGGACAAGTTTTTTGTCCTTTTTATATATTATCAGTACAAACTCTATTTAATTTCTATTTTCTCAGTCACTTTACCTCCTTGGTTAGATTCATTGCTCCTTTAAAAATTTTTCCATTTTTTTCCCCTTAATCTTTCTAGGTATAGCTAGCAATACTATACATGTAATCAATTTGGAAATAAATGGTGGTGGTTTTATTTTTGTGCCATTTTAAAATATACTTCAAAGTGGAGTTTATCATTAGTTGTATAATACTGTTTTGAAAATAAGATGTTCAGGATTATGTTTTATGTCTAAACCATTCAAAATAAATTACACACACAAGTTAAATATTCTATTTTATTAAAAGCTGTGGCTAACTTTGGTATTTATAACTCAAATGTAAGAAATGTCATTTAATTATTTGAAAATATTAAATACCAAGCCCTCTTGAGTTTTCTTAGTGAATTATATGATATTTTGCTGACCTTTTATTTGGTGGATAAGATCATAAATCAAAGTTTTTGCACATGGGCCATATTTAAAGTATTGGCATGGGGTGTGGTTGCCTGAAGTGGCTGTCTTCTTAGTCCCTATTTACAATTTTTCACCAGCTTTTAGTAGAAAACAAAAGTTTATAAATTCAGAGTCTTTGCTTTTTGGAATATTTGCAAATGGAAATGATTATAAGTGATCATTTGAAAAGTTAGACTATCAAATCAGCAGCTGTAAAAAATAATTTATCAAAGAAAGTCTGAAATAAAAATTAAAATGTGAGGCAAAATTAGAAAGTAAAATTGAACATATAAACCAAATAAAAACATATACCTAGAGTTTTCATGTGTTTATAGCATAAACACTCAAATTAAAGATGTGAAAAAAATTATACATGAAACTACTCTTTATAATACTATAATTAAGGATACATGTCATTATTAATTCACCCAAACTTATAGATTGTACAACACCAGGAGTGAATCCTAGTGTAAACAGTAGACTATGGGTTATAATGAGGTGTCAAAGTAGGTTGTTCATGAATGGTAACAAATGTACTACCTTTGTGGTAGATGTTGATAATGGTGAATAATAGGGGAGGCTCTGCATGTTAGGGGAGGAAGTATATGGGAAATCTTTGTACCATCTGCTCAATTTTGTTGGAAACATAAAACTGCTTTAAAAAGTCTGTGAAAATTATATGTAATAAAATTTACTATAGTATTTACTACAGTAAGAAAAGTATATGTAATGAAATTTACTGTAGTATTTATTACAGTGAAAATTTTATGTAATTAAATTTACTGTAGCATTTACTACACTGCTTCTAAATTCATGTGAAAATACATCAAGTACAAAAGGGTTATTATATTGTATCAGTCTGTTCTCATGCTGTTATAAAGAACTACTTGAGACTGGGTAATATATAAAGAAAAGAGGTTTAATTGACTCACAGTTCTACAGGCTGTACAGGAAGTATTGCTAGGAGGCCTCAGGAAATCTACAATCATGGCAAAAGGTGAAGAGCAAGCACATCTTACCATGGTGAAGCAGGAAAGAGAGTGAGCAAATGTGGAGATTCTACACACTTTTAAACAACCAGTTCTCAAGAGAACTCACTCATTATCATGAGAACAGCAAAAGGGAAATCTGCCCCCATGATCCAGTCACCTCTCACCAGGCTCCTCCTTCAACACTGGGAATTACAAATTGACATAAGATTTTAGTGAGGACAAAAACCAAATCATATCATTCTGCCCCCAGCCCCTCCAAATCTCATGTTCTTCTCACATTTCAAAACATAATCATACCATTCTAACAGTCCTCCAAATTCTTAACTCATTCAGTATTAACTCCAAAGTACAAGTCCAAAATCTCATCTGGGACAAGACAAGTCTCTTCCACCTATGACCCTGTAAAATAAAAACAAGTGAGTTAGCTCCAAGATACAATGGGGTACAGGCATTGGGTAAATGCTGTCATTCCAAAAGAGAGAAACTGGCCAAAACAAAGTGGCTACAGGCCCCATGCAAGTCTAAAACACAGCAGGGCAGTTGTTAAATGTTGAAACTCCAAAATAATTTTCTTTGACTCCATGTCTCACATCCAGAGCATGCTGATGCAAGAGGTGGGCTCCCAAGGCCTTGGGTAGCTCCACCCCTGTAACTCTTCAGGGTACAGCCCCAGTGGCTGCTTTCATGGTCTGGCATTGAGCGTACTGTTTCTCCAGGTGCACAATGCAAGCTGTTGGTGGATATACCATTCTGGGGTCTGGAGTATGGTGACCCTCTTCTCATAACTCCACCAGGCAGTGTTCCAATGGGGTTTCTGTGTGGGGGCTCCAACCCCAGATTTCCCTGCCACATTGTCCTAGTAAATGTTCTCCATGAGGGCTCTGCCACTGCATCAGACTTCTGCCTGGACATCCAGGCATTTCCATACATCCTCTGAAATCTAGGCAGAGGCTCCCAAGCCTCAACTCTTGCCCTCTGCACAACCTCAGGCCCAACATCACATGGAAGCCACTAAGGCTTGTGGCTTGCACCCTCTGAAGCAAGGCCCTTAGCTGTACCTTGGACCCTTTTAAACCTGGCTGGAGCTGGAGTGTCTGGGACTGAGAGTTCCATGTTCTGAGGCTGTGCAGAGCATTAGGGTCAGGGCCAGGCCCACAAAACCATTTTTCTTTCCTAGGCTTCCAGACCTGTAATGGGAGAGGCTGCTTCAAAAGTCTCTGACATGCCCTGGATGCATTTTTCCCATTGTTTTGGCTACTAACATTCGGCTCTTCTTTACTTATGCAGATTTCTGCAGCCTTCAATTCCTCCCAAGAAAGTGGGTTTTTCTTTTCTACTACATGGCTGGGCTGCAAATATTATAAAATTTTATGCTGTGCTTTCCTTTTAAATATGAGTTCAAATTTCAGACCATCTTTTTTCCAAACACACATGAGTGTATGTGTTTAGAAGCAGCCAGGCCAATTTGAATGCTTTACTGCGTAGAAATTTCTTCCACCAGGTACCTTAAATCATCTTTCTCAAGTTCAAAGTTCCACAGTTATCTAGTGCAGGGGCACAATGCAACCAGTCTCTTTGCTAAAGCATAGCAAGCCTGAGCTTTACTCCAGTTCCCAATAAGTTCCTCATCTCCATCTGAGACCACATCAATCTGGCTTCTCTGTCCATATCACTATCAGCATTTTGGTTGAAACCCTTCAACACACCTCTAGGAAGTTCCAAACCTTTCCTGACCTTCCTGCCTTCTTCTGAGCCCCCCAAACTGTTCCAACCTTAGCCAGTTACCCGGTTCCGAAGCTGCTTTCACATTTTCAAGTATCTTTATGGCAAAGCTCCCTTACTTATTAGTTCATTTTTGCACTGCTATAAAAAAACCTCCTGAGACTGGGTAATTTATGAAGAAAAGAGGTTTAATTGACTCACAGTTCCACAGGCTGTAGAGGAAGTATGTCTGGGAGAAAACTTATAATTATGGTGGAAGGTGAAGGGGAAGCAAGGACCTCTTACCATGGTGAAGCAGGAGAGAGAGAGAGAGAGCAAAGGGGGAGGTGCTGCACACTTTTAAACAACCACATCTTGGAGAACACACTCACTTTCACAAGAACAGCAAGGGGGAAATCTACCCACATGATCTAATCACCTTTCACTAGCCCCCTCCTCCAACACTAGAAATTAAAATTTGACATGAGAGTTAGGTGGAGACACAGAGCTAAACCATATTATATGTGAAGTCAAAGTTTCCTTGCATCATCAATTTTGACTCTTCTCCAAAGCCCTTAAGGCTTCTACTGCTTTAAACCTTAGTTTTCCCTTATCACTCTATACAAATATGCTTATCTTTCATGGCTCAACAAATTTGTTTATGTTTAGGCAGTGATTTGAATAAAAATGATGTATGCTATACAGTTTTGTTCATTATTGTGGGTTTTCTGATTTTCAATTATTTCTTTCAAATTTATTTTTATCGTACTTAATGTG
Organism: Homo sapiens; assembly: GCF_000001405.40. Lineage (NCBI taxonomy): Eukaryota > Metazoa > Chordata > Mammalia > Primates > Hominidae > Homo > Homo sapiens. The sequence goes on from NC_000004.12 coordinate 125,972,361, forward strand.
ATCCCTCCTAATGGTTAGCTCTTCTTTCCACATTCCTTTATCATAACGTACCAGAGGTCTATAAGAGTGCAACAAAATAATAATTATGTAGGCACTATTGTGATCACCTGACAACCAATAGTGTATTGCCTTGACTCTCACAGGCAACATTTTGATAAGATATTAAAAATACCCATCACCTATTTGTTATTTGACATATCTTTTACATAACATTCACTCAACCTTAAAAATTTTGTTCATTTCAAAACTCAATATAATTCCACTTCTTGGAACTTCTATAAGCCTGTGGATTAAAACAAATGCTTCTCCTTTATAATTCCACGTCTTAGAACTTTTATAATTCTGTGGATTAAAACAAGTGATTCTCCTTTATGTGTATACTGTGCCCTATCCTCACCTCTGTCACAATGAGTGTGGTTCAGAATATAAATTCACACTTCCAACTTAATTTAATTTTCAAGAAACTGTAAGTTTCTCATATAGTTAAGGACTAGACAAGGTGCTAAATATTAAGTGTGGATGAAATGAATATTTTTTGTAATTTCTAAGATATATTAGTAAATGGTGTTTTATAGATCAAATTTTTATATGGAAATTCTTTTGAATAAAATAAAACATTGATACTTGTATTTGAAAAATACTAATTTTAATTCTACTACTGTTTCTGATTGTTAGACATCCAGTTATCATATATAAAGGTTTAGTAGTGTTCATAAAAGGTTTAAATAGTGTTAATAAAGACAAGTAAAAATTAGATACTTATGCCAATAATTTTTCATAAAGATGAAAACAAAAAATATTGATATTTATTTTTAAAATAAAAGGTCAGATGTATGATCCTTCATACCTACAGTCTTAAAGGGATTATTCATAAACCTGAATTGATAATAAATGGTTGTTCTTTACAGGTTTCTATGAATGTCTGTCATGTAAGTAACGATGCAGATGGCTATTCAGTAAAAGTTATCCAGTAACACTTTTTTAGATCCTTTCATTTTTATCTGAATTACTGACAGTATTCTGTTGATGCTTTTCTTAGAATCTGATAAGATATTGCATTTCTGAGACAATCCTCAGTACGTAATGAAAATCAGGATAATTATAATGACATGTCTGTTACTATTAGAAATCATCAAGACTTCAGATCTACAGATATTCCAGATATGAAGAAGAAAAAAAGAAAGTAAGAAAAATGTATGAATATATTTGTATTCTGTAAAAATGCAGGTGTTATCTGTTGCCAAATCTGACATCACTAGATGTGGCTGAAGGTACCTAGAATCATGTTTTGTTTCCTGCATTCTCAGACAGTTAGATATGGCTTTAAACAACTTCGAAAATTTTCGGAGTAGTAGAAGCAAGGATTGTGATTGTTTTATGTTTATGTTGTATATTCCATAGAAAAATATCTTTTGTATAAATATTCTTTATGAGTTTTTAGTGATTTTAAAAGTGAGCAGGGTATATTTACAATCAAGAGATAATTTGAAAGTTCTGGAATTTTCCTCATCTTTTAACCTAATTGACAGTTTTATATCAATCCTGTTTTGTAAAATATTGCCATCTTTAGAAGGAGACATATGTATGAAAACATATTCAGCTTCCCTGAAAAGACATTAACTTAATCTAAGGGGATCCTAAACAAGTTCAAACAATGAGTATTCTGCTCCATCATATCTGAATTTTCTTTAATCAGAAATTATAATAATAAGGAAGAGCTGTCTGTTAAATATGAAAAGCATTGTGATTGACTACTTGATAGTTACAAAATGATTCTGATTTTATATACAGCCGAAATTTTAAAATTTTAAAAATTCTTATGAGGGGTCACTCATAAATTCTTATGAGTAGAAATTTATGTAGGATTTATGGGATATCAAGTGACATGTAATCTTTACTATTGGCTTGGATAATAAGGATGTAAAAAGAAATGTTATGAACTAACAAAGATCTGAAAAAGCAAGGTTCTATAAGTAGACATATTTGCATGAGTAGAAATTTTATAATATTTAAAAATTTCCGTTGATTTTTCTCCAGGAACAAATTAATTACATATATTCCTTAGAGATTCATAAATGTCTAAATCAATTAACTTAGTCTAACCATCTATTTATACATTCATAAGAAACATGGAAAAATTATAAAATATAATTTTATTGATCTCATAATCTAGTAATTATTTTGGAAATCTTCATATACATATCTAATATGTATTTTTTAATTGAGATATTTTTATTATAGTAGATACATTATTATTTGTGATATAGCAGAAATATTACAGAATTTGGTATCCTAAAACTTTTTCCAGTCCCAGCCATCAAATAATCACTTATTCATTGTGTTCCTTGACCTTAATTGGTCCTTCAGCCTAAAGCAATAACTTTTAGTAAATGGTCATAATATTCAGAAGAATGTTTTGCATTGATACAAGCCTCAATTAAATGCAAATGAATTAAGCGCACTGTATTCATGCAGGTGGAGAGTGTGTATCTTCAGTAATTGTATAGTTAACAGAGAAGAACACTTCAAAACACTTCTTGGAAGAATTCTTGACTATTTTTGGTGAAGTTTTATGTGTGTGCATGGGTATGAGTGTGTCGGAAATTTTCCTCAGATTGGTTGATGATCATTGCATAGAGAAATCAAAGAGAAATTATCATCTATTACAGAAAATGGCTAATTGTATTTTAAACTGTATTCTCATATTTGAACTCTTCATAGAGAACATTTTTGACATTAGTAACTACGTCATCACATAGGTCATTTTAAAATTAAGACTTAGTGAGATATCATGGGGAGTGCCTGAGTTATTATTAAATATTCTCCAAGGAAACAGTATAAAGGGGAAGCATATATTTACTATATTTTTTATTTATAGGAGAAAACTGTTTCCTCCCTTTTCAAGTCATTGCTTTCTTCATTATTTTTACTACATACAGCAGAAAAGTCATGCTGTGTATAGTTTTCTGACATCTAAACACATAATTTATGCGAACATAAAAAATAATTTTCTTCCTTTTTACTGATGGGTACAAGAGAAGGTTCATAGTAACATTTTCTTCTTTGGAGTTTACTTCATCTCCTAAGCTCCATTTACAGTGTTTTAACAAGTGAATTATCTAGTCACAGGTTTAGTGCACCACAACAGATGAAGTTAAAAGATGTATGAAATGTTCACAAGTATTTCTTTGTTTGCAGGTACAATAGAGAAGATGAAACAAATTTAAATGAGTTTCAAAGACTTTATGTACTTTCAGTTATATTTTTATCTTGCTTTTTCAGATATTTGTTACTTCATCACAACCTTTCTTTTTACACCCTTATTATCCAGTACAGTAGTAATTATTACAAGTCACTCGATGTCCTATAAATCCTACATAAAAGTATTGAATTAGGAAACAAAATTTGACTTGGAAGTAAATGACTCATCTAACTTAAATGTGTGAAGTTAACCATTTATGAGTGGTAATATTCAATTATTTTCTTTCTTTAAAGTCAGTTTACATTCATTAACGAAGACTTGAAAGGGTACAAAAAGGCTTAGGTAGACAGCGAAACAGGAACTTCAACTTATTTCTCGTTTCCCTTTAATAGGGATTATTTTAGTATTTGAATGTAATTGACTTCTTCCAGCTTTCATGTTTCTGGTCTGGTTGGGGTATTGCTTATGGTTGTCACATCTCCTACTGTGGCTTTAAAAGTGATTTGAAAAGTCTGTTGTTTAAACCTCTCAGGCAGATGTTACTTTTACCACCACAGTTAAGCATGGCTCCTGTGTGTTTGACTTTCAAAATCCCTGCTAAGACCCTTGCTGAGATCAGAAATGGTTTGTTTATTAAATCTATATCTTTACATTGTGTGTGGGGTCTAAAAAGAAATACCAGCTTTGTGACAGAATCCTAAGGGAATACACACTTACTTAATCTTTCATCCAACACCACTTTCCAGCAACAAAGATGTACGTCTAGAGTTATAAAAGGAGCAAGTAGTATTTTGGCTTTCATCAGTATCAAGTTGGTTTACACACTGTCAGAAATTTCCACATAGACTCTATTTTATGTATGAGGTTAGAATATCACAAATGCCAATTTTTGTTGAATATGTTTGGTAAAGTCTATTTTCTATTGAGTTTTATTATAAATACTTTTCATACCTCATATATGTGAAACAGTCTATCATTAATTTATGACTACATATTTAATTTTAACCCTGATTTCAGTATAATTTAATGATGGTTATTTGATGTTATTAAGATATTGATTTACATGCTTTGATCATAGTAAAATTATTCAATTACTTGGCACTGAATACAGAGACAATAAAAATCAAATTCCATGATATAATTCCACAGCCTGCTGTAAAATATATTGTGACCAATGGAATCAAGATGTAGGGAATGCTAGTTACATAAATAACTTATTTTCATTAATTGCTGGTAATAAAGATGTCATCCCTTAATTGATATTTACTTCAAAAATGTAGACAAGACATTCTTATTAGAATAAATATAAGGAGAAACAAGTAAAAAATCTGAAAAAAAACTTTAATCACACAAAATTTCATCTCTTAAAGATAATCACATTTTATTTTTTGGTACTCATCATGTTTCTCTTTAATGAAGTAAACTGATTTTTAAAATTAATATAGCTTTTATTTCAATTTATTAGCTATCAAAATCAAGTACTGTATCAAATTGATAATTGGCCTGATTGATTAATGCAATTAATGCATAATGTTTTCACCAATTGAACTGCCCAAAAGCACCTTAGTTCTAAGCTACTGTACTAGATTTTAGCAAGAATGTTTACATTGTTAATTAATTTTATCATTTGTAAAATGACTATGGTAACATTTTTATCTAGAGTCCTTATTTGTGATACATAAATGTTTGATGTATATATATATATTGCTTGAAACCAAGACTTTCTTTTTTTAAAAGTAATAGAGTATTGTTCACAGAGTAACCGTTTTTGTTTTTTGGGTTTTTTTTTTTTTTTTTTTTTTTTTGAGACATGGTTTTTTCCTGTAACCCAGGCTGGAGTGCAGTGGTGCCATCAAGGCCTGCTGCAGCCTCGAACTCTCAAGTCTCAAGCAATCCTCCCATCTCAGCCTCCCGAGTAGCTGAGACCACAGGTGTGTGACAGCATACCCAGCTAATTTTTTTTTAAATTCTTTGTAGAGAAAGTGCCCAGGCTGGTCTCGAATTCCAGGGCTTAAGTGATCCTTCCACCTCAGCCTCCCAAAGTGTTAGGATTAATAGGCGTGAGCCAATGTACCTGACCCACAGAGTAATCTTCTACTCTACATTGCATTTGTAAACTACAAACAAAAATCAATAATTTATTTTTCATGCTATATTACTTTCTATTCGCAGAGGGAAATCACCACAAAATTGTCTTCTTTACTTAAATAAATGGTATTCTGCCCCCAAGAACAATATGAAGATTTGTTCTTTATAAACTGCTTAACCTTCCAGTTGTAGTGTTGTGGACCTTTAATCCAGTATGACTGACATCCTTAAAAGAGAGGAGAGACACAGAGCGGGGCATGTGAAGATGGGCAGAGATTGGAATTATTCTGTCACAAATCAACAAATGTTTGAGGCTACCAGAAGCTGGAAGAGGCATGGATGGATTCTCTCCTAGAAGCTTTGGAGAGTATATGGCCCTGCCAACACCTTGATTTCAGACTCTAGACACCAGAAATGTGAGAGATATATTCCTGTTGCTTTACGCCACCTTATGGCAGTCCTAGGAAACCAACACAAATGCTTAATTTAGAAAAAAAAAAAGTTGCCTGGGAGCAGTGACTCACACCTGTAATCCCAGCACTTTGGGAGGCCAAGGTAGGAGGATTACTTGAGGTCAGGAGTTCGAGACCAACCTGGGCCACAAAGTGAGATCCCATATCTACAAAAATTTTAAAAACATAGCCAGGTATGGTGGTGTGCACCTGTGGTCCCAGCTACATGAGAGGCTGAGGCAGGAAGCTCTTCTGAGCCTAGGAGATGGAGGCTGCAGTGACCCATGTTTATATCACTTAACTCCAGCTAAGGCAACAGAGCAAGACACTGTCACAAAAACAAACAAACAAAATGTTTAAAATAAATTATTGAAGATTGAAGATTTCAACTTAAGAAACCAGAAAAAAGAGGCAACTCATGTAACAACCATGAAAAATAACAAAAATATGAGAAGATATTTTTCCACAAAGAAACTTTAGGCCTATATGATCTACTTGTGAATTTTATTAAGCATGTAAATAATAACACATTGTAGCATGTACTTATAAAGTGAGTAAAATTCTAATATTAAATCTGATACAGAAATTAAAGAAAACAATTACAGCAATAGCCCTAATGAACATATTCACAGAAATCATTTACAAAATGTTAGTGAATCAAATGCAGCAATATGTAAAATGGAACATAATTATCTTGCCAAAATGAGGCTTATCCCACTAATACAAGACTGTCAACATTTAAAAATGTATCAATGGTGTTTCACCGTATTAACAAAATAAAGAGAAAATTCACATATAATCACTTCAATAGATGTAATTCAACACCCGTTCCATAATAAAACACTCAGTAACTATGAATATGGCATACACTGTCCACAATCAGAAAGATGGGTGTGAAAATCTATGGGGAACATCAATCATATTGGTATAATATTAATAGTTTTCTCTTTAATTTGGGGGAAAATCATGATCACCTGCTCTTCCCATTTCTATTTAACATTGTTTGGAAGTCCTAGCCCAAAAAAAATAAAATAAAATAAATCAAGAAATATGAAAAATAAATAAAAACTAGAGAAAATAAAATTAAAATTAAAAACGTAAAAGTTAGGAAGAAATATGTAAAATGACTATTTACAGACACATGGTTTTTTACATAGAAAATTCTAAAATATCTACAGCTATAGAATTAATGATTCAAGTTTTCAACATTGAAGATGCGCTACATTATGTGAAATCAGGGAAATGCAAATTAAAATAACAAGGAGATACCACTGCACTATATTATTTATTTTTTCTATTGATCTATTTAACTTATTATCATGCCAACATAGTGATGTTTACCTTAGGTGTGTAGTTTATGGAAAGCCTTGAAGTGAGGCCTCGAGCAGCCAAAATCTGGAACACGGACCACAGCAACATTGGTGATGATATGGAGCATCAGGATCTCATGCACTACTGAGGAGAACGCAAAATGGTACAGCCACTTTGGAAGACAGATTGGCAGCTTTTTACAAAATTAAACATGCCGTTACCATAAGATCCATCAAATGCACTCCTTGGTTTTTAATGAAATAAAATGAAAACTTATGTCCACACAACAAACCTAAACATAGATGTTTAAAGCAGTTTTATTTGTAATTACCCAAATTAAAAGCAACAAGATGTCCTTCAGTAGGTGAACAGATAAACTATGAAGCATTCAGATAATGGAATATTATTCAGTGCTAAAAATAAATGACCTATCAAGTTATGGAAACCACAGAGGCAACTTACATTTCTAATACTAAGTGAAAGAAGCCAATCTAAATAGGCGATACACTGTATGATCCCAAATATATGAAATTCTGGGAAAAAAAATCAATAGAGACATTAAAACTGTCAGGCTAAGGGTTGGAAGGTGGAGGATGAATAGGCAAAGTACGAAGAGTCTGTGGGGTGTGAAAATACTTTGTATGATGCAATAATGATGGATAAGTCATTATACATTGTCCAAACCCACAGAACGTCCAACAAACACCAGGAGTGAATGCTCATGTGAACCACGGACTTTCAGTGATAATGATGTGTCGTGTAGGTTAACCAATGGTAAAAATGTACGACTCTGGTGACACATTTCACCCCATCCCCTTGGGAGATGCTGATAATGAGAAAGGCTACGCATGTGCATGTGTGTGGGGAGGAAATACAGGGGAAATCTCTGTACCTTCCTCTTAATTTTGCTGTTTATCTGAAACTGCTCTAAATATTTTTAATAATAATTTTAAAAATCAGCAAGTTTGCAAGATTTGTCATCTTATATAACATTCAATTACACTTAAATATGACAGTAAAAATATTGAAAAATGGAATTTAAAAATCCAATTACCAATAGCATCCAAAAATAAATGGCAAAAATTCATCTAGCAAATAATTTGAAACACCTTCCTGTACACTGAAAACTATAAGAGATTACCAAAAAAAGGTAATGAATACTTTAATAAATGGATAAATAAATGTATTCCCATGTTAGAAAACTCAATTTTGTTAAAATTTTCAATTTTGTTAGTAGAATTTTTATGGAAAATCACAAGTTTTTCTGCAATTCATTCTAACATATGTATGGAAATGTACAAGATCTACAATAGTCAAACAATCTTGAAAATTAAAACAATTTGGAGGACTTAAAATATCTCACTTCCAGCCAGGCACAGTGGCTCATGCCTTTAATCTCAGCACTTTGGGAGGCTGAGGCGGGTGGATCACTTGAGTGCAGGAGTTCGAGACCAGCCTCGCCAACATGGTGAAACACTGTCTCCACTAAAAATATGGAAATTAGCCAGGCGTGGCTGCACACACCTGTAATCACAGCTACTCGGGAGGCTGGGACAGGAAAATCCCTTGAACCCAGGAGGCAGAGGTTGCTGTGAGCCTAGATAGAGACACTGTACTCCAGCCTGGGCAAAGAGTGAGACTGGGCAAATAGCGACAACAACAAAAAACTCACTTCAAGGCTTTCCATAAACTACACACCTAAGGTAAATATCACTGTGTTGGCATGATAATAAGCTAAATAGATCAATAGAAAAAATAAAGAATTCAGAAACAGACCCAGATTGACAAGGTATATTGACTTTTGACAGAGGCTTCAAAGCAATTAAACAAAATAAGTCTTTTCAAGAAATTACACCAAAACAACTGTGTATCTAATTACTAAAAAATGAACTTCTTCTCATACCTGACAACGAAAATAAACCAATATTTTGTGATGGTTCACAAAACTATACATAAAAGGATTGATAAAATTTCTGGAAGAAAATGAGTACATTTTTATATTTTGAGAGGAGGCAAATATTTTAAAGAGAACACATAAATTAATAACCATCCAAGAAAAATGTATGGTCAATGAAGCTTTGTCAAATGACAATGCTAAGAAAATTATTAAGCTAACCAATTAGACCAGGAGAAAATAGCTGAGAAAAGATTCATATATTGATCAAACACACACACATACACACACACAAGTATACAATTAATAATTAAAATACAGACATCCCAATAAAGAAATAAGCCAGGAACAGAATGTTAAGGATTGCATGTTGTCACTTATGTGTGGAAGCTAAAATAAGTTGATCTTATAGAAGTACGAAGTAGAACAGAAAATACTAGAAGCTGGAAAGAGTAGCAGGAAGCAAGGTTGGAGGCAGATAGGAAAAGATTTATTAAAAGATAGGAAATTACAGCTAAATACAATGAATATACTCCAGTGTTTTATACCAATATAGGATTACTATTGTTAACAATAATATATTATTAATACATAAATATATGTAATATATAGTTTAATAGCTTTTAACAGAAAGGGTATATTGAATGTTCTCGACACAAAAATATAATAAGGTTGAGATGACAGGTATGCTAATTATACCCATCTAATCACTATGCATTACATGTATTGAAACATCACTATGCATCCCACAAATCTGTAATGATTATATTGCATCAGTTTAAAAAAAAATTTAAAAATGAAATAGTCATTTCAAGTAGAAATATTTTTGAATGATCAATTAGTATATTAAAAATTGCTCAATATCACTAGTCATCATGGAAGTACATATTAAAATCACAGGAATGTGCCGCTACACCTCCACTAGAATGGTAAAACTAAAATGATTCCTAAGACCAAATGGTAGTGAGAATGCTATAGTAACTTGTTGATGGGGCGTAACATGATACAATCGCTTTCTGGTAAAAGAGAAAAACATTCTCAGATGAACAGTAATTTAGAGAATTTTGTTGTCAGTAGACTTCCCATGCAAGAAATAAAATGATTTTTCATAAAGAAGAAAAACAGTATAGGTTAGAAACTGGGATTTACATAACAAAATGAGCCTTAGAGAAGAATAAATGAAGGCAAAATAAAATATTTTATTATTCTTGAGACAGATAATATTTTGTTCAAAATAATAGCAGCAATACATTCAGTAATTATAGCTTATGAATAAATAAAATAAAAGACAACAATGTTAAAAAGGATGGGTAGAAGTAACTGGGGATACTTTATTATGTGTCACTTGTACTACTTGTGGAGTGGTATAGTGTTATTTGAAAGAGAACTTGGGATCAGACGTAAGTATATAGTGTAAACTCAAGGGAACAACTAAAAAAATCTTTTAAGTGAAATACATTAAAATTTCAATGGGAAAAATTACTAAAAGTGGGTAGAAATATAAAAGAAGTAATGAATAAACAAATGACAAAGAGGGGGAGTCATATCTTACAGATGTGCTCAATAGAATAACGTAGCTATAAAATCATTAATGGATTCTAAATCTAATTTCTGAGAGATCAATTAGAAACAAGATATTTATAATGTCTCAAGGTATCTCCATAAAAATAAAATGTTAATTACAAAGAAAAAAATAACTTTATGGTGGAGAAATATGTTAGACATCATGACAATAAAATTTAAATAAGTTAACATCTGCTATTTGGCCAAATTGACACCACATATTTTCTGGTAATGATAGACTAAAAATAACAATATATCAAGTATGTCATATTTCAGACTGATTATAAATAAATTATAATTTCAGACAAACCCAAGTTGAGGAATATTCAAAAAAATAAATAACATGCACCCTTCAAATATGTCAAGGTAGAAAAAGGAAAGAAAGCAGAAAGAAGGAAGAGAGGGGAGGGGAGGGAAGGGGAGGGGAGGGGAGGGAAACGAGAAACCATTCTAAACTGGAAAAGGTAATGCAAAGTAGGATCTTGAATTGGATCTTGGAACTGCAGGAAACAACTATACAAGTTATTATAAAAATACCTATTTGTACAGTTAATGAAATATGAATTTCCATTGTAGATTAGGTAAAATCATTGTGTCAATGTAAAATTTTCTGATTTTCATAGTGGTATAATTGAAATATATAAAACAATGTCCTATTTCTAAGGAAATACACATAAAGGATTTAAGGGGTAAATAGGTGGAATGTCTTCAACTTGCTGTCAAAATATTTATACATGTGTATACATGTGTATACATGTATACATAAAACTCATACATATGTGTGTGTGTGTATATATATATACATGAAAAGAGAACAATGTGTTGGGCAAATGTAAACATTTGGTCAATCTAGGTAATGTGTTTATGGGAGTTCTTTGAATTCTTACACAACTTTTCTGTAAATTAGAAGATGGGTAAAAATTAAATGCTAAAACAAAAATTAAACTATGTTCTTATTTTTTTAATGTGGAAATATCAAGTTATACTGTTATTATTGATGTGAATAACTTTACTTATTACAAGAAAATGCAAAGCATATTAAGAATATAAAGAACTTTATTTTTCTAGAGAAAAAATAAATCTCCAGTTTCCAAATTTATCACTGATTTAACAGGTCTCCCAGTAGAAGACCCTATTATTATGGAATGAAAATGATGTGTTTTTTTAATTAAAAAAAAAAAGAGAGAAACAGAGAGAGCTAGACTAATTATCTGCCTTACCAATATAAACCTCCCAAAAATTCAGAAATGGTTTTGTTGACACAATTTTCAGCTAAAAATGAACTCATAAAGACTGAGAACATTAGCCACATCAATACAGTTTATAAATTATTTTGAAGCCAGAAATTTAATCCAAGTGTTTCTGACTCCAAAATCTATGCTCTACTCACCCAAAAGAATAAATTTTAGGCCAGGCATGGTGGCTCACACCTATAATCCCAGCACCCTGGGAGGCTGAGGCAGGCGGATCACCTGAGGTCAGGAATTTGAGACCAGCCTGACCAACATGGTGAAACCCCATCTCTAGTAAACATACAGAATTAGCTAGGTGTGGTGGCATGTGCCTGTAATCCCAGCTACTCGGGAGGCTGAGAATCGCTTAAACCTGGGGGGTGGAGGTTGCAGTGAGTGGAGATTGTGCCATTGCACTCCAGCCTGGGCAACAAGAGCAAAACTCTGTCTCGAAAAAAAAAAAAAAATGAAATTTTTAAACCAATTTTTAATTGGTATATTGATTTAAATAACATTTGTAAGTTTTATTTATTTGAATACACATTCTATGCCCATATTTTTTTCTCTAAAGTCAAAAGGTATAAAAATGTTTACAATGAAAAGTACATCTTATCTTTATCCTGGTCCATATTTCTTACCAATTTATGTCCCCAGTGATAATGTAATTATATGTAAACATACATACATACATCACTTTTATTTATTTACATAAAAGATAAATCACATAGTTGTTAATCTTATTTAATTTTTACTTAACCACATATCTTAACATGTATTTCAGTAGTGTATCTTATAATTTTTTATTAATACGTATTATAGACTACGTCTTAAAATAGCAGGTCTGTCCATTTTCGTTGTTCCCCATCTTTGAAATCGAACAATACTATAATCAATATCCTCATATTCACATGTATTTATATGTGTAGACCCATGAGTAGTTTCATAAAATATGTTCTACAATTGAAATTTCTTGTTCAAAATAGATTTGCCTTTATAAGTCTGATATTTTCAAAGGCCTGCTAAAGACAATACATTGACAATATCCAAAAATTAAATTTGAGGTAGGGTTTTACCACCACTGAAAACAAAATATTATTAAGCTTATTTTGATGAATTGATATGAATTTTTAATGTAGTTTTAATTTGCTATTATTTTAATTTCATAAGTAATGCTAATTTTATTTTATGAATTTAGGAGCTAACATTTCTGTTTTGTTTCAGGAGAATCTTCAGTCATGCCTTTCGCTCATTTTGCATTTTGCTGTTACTTTCTTATTTTCAAACTTTGTCTTTTAACTATGTTTTAAATATATTTTCCTATACCCATTTTATGATTTTCTTACTAGATTTATACCTGGTCATTTTTGCCTTTCTTTATGTTGTTTTTAATAGCAATAGGCTTAACAATTGCACCTTGAGTCAAATTGCATAGCTTTTTTAAACTTCAGTTCATGCTGTTGTACTTGAGTGTGGCATTTGGAAAAGACCCAAATCTCTCAATAGCCATATAAGGCAGATTAGAAGTAAGGAAATTTAGGTTTAGATGGAAGACTCAGTAGCAATGTACACAAAAGGTTCACTGCAGGAAAGTTTTTGTTTTGTTTTGTTTTAATGTAGCTTACTCCCATAACTAAGAATTAGTTGTGTGTTAAGGATTCAGCCAAAACGTTTGAGATCCTGAATACAGTTCTAGATTATTAGGCAGCAAGGGTTATAGGAGTTATTAAGAAATTATTTTAGGCAGATAGAGAGAAAAAAGGGTCCTTGGGAACTTTTCGTTTTTTTTTGAAGCAGCTCCAGAAACATTTCCTGTCTAGCAGGAAAGCCCCAGCTCTTAGAGCTGAGCTGGCAACCCTTGATATGCAAATGCCAGCCATTAGAAACTGGGTCCACCCAAACATGCGGATTCCCACCCTCCTCCTCTTGCCCTTGACCTCACTTGTGACTGGCAACATGGCCACCCCCACATATCCCCAAGTGTTTAGAGCATCATGGCTCCCTGCATTTGCATATTAAAAGACTAGGGTGGGAGGGGCGGGTTATGTGAATGACATGTCTGGTCAAACCAGTCCCCTGAGCCCTATGCAAATCAGACACCACCTCCTCCAGCCTCCTCATATAAGCAGCCACTTTTCCACTGCACACAGGGTTTCCTCCCTCAACTTTGGAGCCCAGCTCTCTCTGTACAGGGGAGCTTCTTCCTTCTTACTTGCCTATTAAATTCTCCGCTGCTTAAAACCATTCCACGTGTGTCCATGTTGTTTTATCCAATTTGATGCTAGACGAAGAACCCTGGCGTTCCTCCACTCATTGGAGCCGTATCACAAGGGGCATGAATTAAAGTGGCAGTGTTTAAGAAGAAGGCTTATCTAATGGGCTTTCACACAGTATCGTGAAAAGAGATCAAATAAACAGTCCTGAGTCAGCATTTGCACGGACACCAATCACTACATTACTAGGCAGTGGTTATGGATCTGGTTGAATGGTCCAGCAACAGACAGAAACCTGAGAAATCTCAGGTTGTTGTACTTGTTCTATACCCACACCCAAAGCAAGACTAATATTAAAATAAAAATAACAGTTTAGGCTCCCTTCCCCCACAAAAAGATTATATTAAAACCCCCAAAATGAGAGATTGGAGGCAAAGTAAGTGAAAACTATTAGCATAATTATTTTCTGTGGCATGTATTATACTGGCTTGAAAACTGGGACAGGCTAGCACCTGTTGGTCACTGAATCGAGATCTGAGAAACTAGGAAAAGCAGATGGAGGAGAAATAAACATATAGAACTACAGCTCAGTCTCTGTTACCTCATGTACTGGGGCTTCCCTAGGGGCCATTCTCTCCTAGGAACTACATATGCCTGCTTTGAAAATATTCAACTCTGCTTCAGTAGTCTCCACTATGATGACTTTGATTATGGCTCCAAAGGCAATCATGAAGGTTGTTTTGCTTGCATTTAATGGAGATTCCTGTTTAATAGATTAGGATTCTGGCATAAAGACAAAGAGAAAGAGAGAGAAACATATATATAATATATATTATATATCATATATTATATATTTAATATATGATATATAACATATCATATATATTATATGTAAAATATATGATATATAAAATATATACTATATATATATATATATACTATTGTGATGTTTAATATTAAGTGTCAACTTGTTTGGATTGAAGAATGTCAAGTATTGCTCTTGGGTCTGGCAATGAGGGTGTTGCCAAAGGAGAGTAACATTTGAGTCAGTGGACTGGGAGAGGCAGACCCACCCTCAGTGTTCAGTGTGGGTGTGGACCATCTAATAGCTGCCAGCGCGGCTAGAATAAAACAGGCAGAAGGAGGTGAGAGAAGCTGACCTTCTGAGTCTTCTGGCCTTGATCCTTCTCCCATGCTGGATGCTTCCTGCCCTTGAACATCAGACTCCAAGTTTCTCAGCTTTTGGACTCTTGGACTTACAACAGTGGTTCTTGGGCCTTTGGTCACAGACTGAAGGCTGCAGTGTCAGCTTCCCTACTTTTGAGGTTTTAGGACTTGCACTGAGCCACTACTGGCTTCCTTGCTCCTCAGCTTGCAGATGGCATATTGTGGGACTTCACCTTGTGATCGTGTAAGTCAATTCTCCTTAATAAACTCCCCTTCATATATACGTGGGTCCAATTAGTTCTGTTCCTCTAGAGAACCTTGACTAATACAAAAATATATAATATATATATATATAAAATATATATCTCTAAATTTCAAAATATGACCTCATTTAAACTTTTTTTTAATTTACAAAGATAACAAATTTCTCCACACAGAAGTAAATTGCATAGCTTATGCTATGTTTTCCAGCTTTCTATGGAAATTAGGTATTTTATTAATACCTAATTCTGACCTTCATGAATGAAGCCATCTGCATAACGCCCTTGAGAGGCCAATAGTAATAAGGGAGAATAATTTCAACAATATTCTAAACAAAGAACATAATTAATCCATTTAATAAGTATTTATTGATTGTCTATGATTGATTGTCTATCATTGATTGTACTCATCTGGATTCCAAAGATGCAGCATTAAAGAGCCAAATCTTCGACCCCATGAAGATACATTGTGGTTGGAGTACACATATAATAACATTTCAATAGTTTAAGTATATTATATGTAGGTTACTATGGAGACGAGGTTGGTCAAAGAAGGACTTGGGGGAAATTGATATTTTAATAAAATCTGAAGGAGGGGAAGGAGTCAGCCTGCAACTAATGAGTCTGTCCAATAGGGAGCCTCCAAAATTTTCTCCAGCAGTTTCATCACACCTCTGTTCTGATTGACTGATGCCCACGAATTACCAGTTGTTAAATATTTTGGATACTGTTCCTAAACAGAAATCTAGTGTTTTCCGAGAAAACATCACCCTCTCCTTTATTTTTCTAGGTATAGCAACCCTTCCCTCAGAATCCTAAATCCACCTTTCTGAGTCCAAAAATGATGGCCTAGGATTCATGGGCTGCCAAAAACTGCCAATCACAGGCCTTTCTAAGGCTGCCAATCAAAGGCCTTTCCAAGGCTGCCAATCATAGGCCTTCCCAAGGCACTTTTTTCTAACTTTTATTTTAGGTTCAGAGATACATGTGGAGGTTTGTTATGTTGGTAAATTGTGTGCCACAGGGGTTTGGTGTACAGATTCTTTTGTCACTCAGGTAAAAAACATAGTTGCTGATAGGTAGTTTTTTCCTTCTCACTCTCCTCTCAAACTCCACCCTGAAGTAAGCCCCAGTGGCCTACTTGAGGTGGGGACACAGCCAAAACCATAGCACTCTGTAATATGAATGAGAGTTTTCTTCAGTGTATAGAAGAAAATGTATTAACATATATATATATTTATTTAAATTATTACTTAAAGCCATTCAGCTGACAAGTGACAGAACGAGGACCATAACCCAAATATTATCTCAGCGTTATATTTCCTCTACCTAACTGGACACAAGTGTATTATATGTAAGAGTCTTGTAAACTGGCTACCTGTCTGTTTTGTTTGGTTTTAAAGTTGCTGTTTATTATTTGGCTACTCTTTCAGTAACTATCTTTGAGCAATAGGAGTAGAAAAGATTAGTTAAGAAAAGTTTAGTTAAGGGTCTGTTGTTTCAAGGAAAAGAAACTAAAACCACCCAGTTGTAGAATTTATTGACAGGACACTGAGAGTTTCACAGGAAAGATACTTGTGACTTTGGTGATACAGAACAAGGATTGAATGTGTTATCAGGATGGGAGGTGGCTATTCTGCATCTGTTCTTCTTGACTTACTATTGGAAGAAATACTGCCTCTCTTTTCTACTTGACTTTCTAATTCAGGAATTTGATGTCTCTGTTGGTTCATAGTCTCTGTTTCTCCTTAACTTTATTAGGCTTATTATGGTGCAGTTTCTGGCCTTGGCTCTAAATGAAACTTCAGTTCCAGAGGTTTCAGTATATGCCTCTTGAGTTGAACTGCTATAAAAGATGGGTCTGCTTCTTAGCTGGCAAATTAGTTGCCCATGTTTAAGTCAAATATATACTCTGGCCTAATTTGACATGGCCAGAAGCAAGAGTCCAATAATAGAAATACGAGTGTCCCAGCAGATGTACTAGAAATAACTTGATTTTTCAGAGGCAGTTATGTAAGCGATTATGAAATTTTGTTAGAGTTGCAGAAAATTTACTTTAGACTTTCATTTTCCATAAGAGAATACATTTCTACTTGCTATCTTCTCTTCACTTTTGCCTCAGTTGATATAGTCAATATGTCAAGATTTCCAGATGAAGGGGCTCAGGAAATATTTGGTAAATGTGTTCTTCTGGATAAGGTCAAACTATTTTGCACCCAAGGAATTTCTAATAAAATCAATAGTGAGAATAAAATTTTATGGAAACAAAAACATGTGAACCATGACTGACAAAATTATGTGAGGTGTGACTGACAAAAACATTAGGAATTCTTGGGAGCAAAATCAGCAATGTCTGAGCAAAACTACTATGACTATAGTAAATTTAAAAGTGTAGATCTGTCAGGATTCACTACCTATTTGTAATTATTATGAATTTTGAGACTGACTTTGTATTTATTCCCTTAACATTTTATTTTGAAACAATTAGACTTATGGCAATATCAGCACAAAGAATTCCTGTGTAAATTTCATGGCTCAGATTTCACAAATGTGAGGAACTTTCCACACAGAGTATACATATAAAGTATGTATATATGAAGTTATATATATATATAATTATATTTAATGGTTCAGAAAATTCTATATACATGTGTATGTGTATGCATATATGTGTGTATACATATATTACATATGTATGTGTATATATACACATATGTAAACTTTTCTGAAACTTTCGACAATAAGTTTCAAACATATGCCTTATGCCTTTCTAAATAACTTTCTTATACAAACACAGTATAATGATAAAAATCAGAAAGTCACCACTGATATAATAAAAATTACCTAACCTATAGCTCTTATCCAAATTTTCATGATCTCTCCTACAATATCTTTTATGTGGTCTAGGATTAAATCCAGTAGCACATGTTATATTTAGCTGTCAGATCTTTTTGATATCCTTTAATTTGAAATAGGTCTTTAGTCTTTCTTTGTCTTTCATAAACTTAATGCTTATGAAGGATACACAATGTCTCTCAGTTTGGCTTTGTATCATATTTTCTCATGGTTACATTCAGCATTTGTATTTTGATGATAATATCATAGAAGTGATTTTGTATTCTTCTCAGTATAACCTATCAGGAGGTACATGATGTTCATTTGTCCCTTTCCTAGATATATTAAATAAGTCACTTGGTAATAGTGGCACTGCAAGATTTCGCTATTGTAAAGTAACTGTATTTCTTTTGCAATAAATATATTGTTGGCCGCTGCTTTGAGACTTTGTAAAGGTCCTGTTTTTCATCAAGCATTCGTCACCTAATATTAAACATCCAATAATAAGAATCCATTATTGTGATGGTCACCAACAGTAATGATGCTAATTTTAGTAGATAAAGTGCTTTAAATGTTCTATACTAATCCTATAACCGGGGTAGAATAAATATTTTTAAACTTAAAATAATCAATTCAGCATTTTGTTCTAAGCAATTTGCCATTCTGCTTTCTCAGTGATGCATACTGCCTTAGTAAACTGCAAGTGAGTTTTTTCAAGGGAGGCATTAAAATGATTAAAGGTAATGAAATTCTTAGCTACAGTGTTTTTTGCATATTCTAGAATCTTAAAGATCAATGCATTTGGCATTTTTCTTTATACTTCATTTTGTGATTCTTGTTTGTTTGGTTCGGTTTGCTTTAGTTTTATTTTTTCTTTGGTGGGGGGTTGTTGTTTACTGCTTTCTTTTTTCCCCTTATAGTTCTTTCTCTTCTTAAGTGACAATTATAGTGCTAGATTTTATCTACTCACTCAAATATGTCACACCAAGCAATGCTATAGCAACCAGTTCTAAATATAGCAGAGACTTGTTTACTTTAACTATTCATTTTCCCCTGAAAAACATGCGGCTTTTGCATTTCTGAGCCTAAGTCTCATCCTTGTGTTTGGTCTAACATCATCTTCATGTGGGTTCCTTTGTCTCATCTATAGGTACAGATGAGAACATAATTTAAACAAGCCTCCTGAGTTATTATTTGATATTAATCTGACAATCTTTTGGTATAGAGCAAAACAATCTGTTTTTCTTGAATCACATTTTCCCTGATTCAAAGGCAGTAAACTCTTAAACTCATTATGTCTTTTGAGTCTTTATATTTCTTTTGTCAGTAATATGGCACCATCTTTAAAGATAGATGTAAGTAACATTTTAAGACCAAGATATGGCAACATGTATTTTAAAAAATATTGACCTAATTTGAGAATAAATATGATGTCTTAGAGAGATGTGTACTATCTGATTCTATCGTTGCAAATTTTCTAAGCCTATCCCTAGGGCACCACAACCCCTGTTTGAAAAGGTCAGGTACAGGGTATTCAGCATGTTCACCAACCTGCTCAGGTCAGCATATTTCTGGTGCGTTTGGGCTTGGTGTGCAGCAGCCAGGGGGTATTTCCATCTTGCTGGGGCTCTGAAGGGGGTCAAGACTGGAAACACACAGAAAATAGTGACAATTGGGTTAAGCAGGTAAGAGCTTACACACTGATGTATTGGACATTTTAGATATGCTTATTTGTAATTTTCACTGGAAAAATAAGAACTATGACTGGCTTATCCTCACTTTGTATGAATAAACAGTTATTTGTTTATTTAGGAAATAAAGCACAAGCAAAGTCAATTGTCAATTATGAATTTTGAGACTCACTTTGTATTTATTCTTTCAACATTTTATTTTGAGATAATTAGACTTATGGCAATATCAGCACAAAGAATTCCTGTGTAAATTTCATGGCTCGGATTCCACAAATGTGAGGAACTTTCCACACAGAGTATACATATAAAATATGTATATATGAAGTTTTATATATATATATAATTATATTTAATGGTTCAGAGAATTCTATATACGTGTGTATGTGTATGCATACGTGTGTATATGTATGTTACATACATGTGTATGTATATATACACATATGTAAAATTTTCTGAAACTTTTGACATAAGTTCCCTTGGTGTTCTTTGTATTAATCCACAGGGAACTATTAATAAAACCAAACCAAACAGAATAAACAAAAAAAAAACCTGTGTATCAAGTTGAGAATGTAATGGATTTATTGGTGTTCTTACTTGGCATAACAAAAGCCTATTATTCCTTATTAAGGCATTCAGTGTACTTTTAAAATCTAACTGGTCCATTAAAATTTGGAATGACTGGGCTAAGTAACATAGGCGCTCGAGCTGAAGGAGCTTCTTGAAAATAGACTATTTGTGAGCTAAATGTAGAGATTTCATTGACTTAAATCTTCTGAGTACAATGAGAAAATATGCATCTTGGGAAAAGAAATGGAAACATGCCAGTACCTGTTCTACCATGGCAGACTCAAGCAGATTTCTATTTCTCTGGTTTTGTTTCCTTGCCAATAAACAGACTCTTACTGTTTAGAAAATCACATATTTAAAATGCTGAAAGACTAGGAAATCTCTTGAGACTGATATTAAAATGTAAAATATTTTATCTACTGTCATCAAATCCTAAGAACATACATGATCAACACCCAAAGAGACACTGAAGGCCATTTACTTCCACCCCTCGGGTGGATATTCAGTTTCGTGCTGCATTACCACATATACTATTCTCCCGCTGCATTTATGTGTCCTTTTATTAGCATACTGTTTGCACATCTAAATCAGAATTATATTTTAAAGTGTCTAAACAGGCTTTTGTAGTATAACAGTTTTTCTCTGTGCTATTATACAGGAATATTTTGTATTTGTTTTCATTTCACCAGAAGGCCATCAGAATATCTACTTTGTACTGGTTGGAAAAAACAAAAGGTTACTAGCCCTTCTTGAATAAGCTAGTATCACCATATTCTTGTCCTAACTGCTTTCCACCTGCTCTTTATGAGTCTGCACACGTAGATCCCTAGACAAAACAAAGAGAAGAATTAATTCCTAGAACATCGATACTGTGATTATTAGTATAATTCCACTTAAACTCTCAGGATGCATTATTTGAATTGACATTGCTTGAAAATATGGTACAGAGAAGGAAAGAAGAATAAAACCAATATCCAGACTACAAAATTTTATCCTGGTAATGGATATTCTGTATCCATATACCTGCATACAGATACCCTGTATATTCTAATAACTATAAGATTCTAGAAAGAGCTTTATGAAATCCCTCACAATGAGGAAGGGCATCATTTGAAATCTGAAGGAGACTGATAATAAATAGCAAATTGGTCTAGGATGCATTATAAGATATGATAATTAATAATGACTTTCTATCTGTAATGTCTTAAGAAAATCTTTAGCAACCATGACTGACTTCCAGTACTTTTAAATATTTCTCAATCTACTAACTTTGACAGGGCATTAGTCTGCTGACCGTGTACAGTAAATAATCGAAAGCATGGAATGTATCATTGGAGGATCTACTGTTGATGAAATCATCGTGATTTTTATAGCCTAGCTCACTTTTACAAGCAAAGTGCTGCGAGGGTCAAAGCCCTGTTTCATGTCATACGGCAACAGAACAGAGCTGAACACCCACCGTGAGACACCGAGGTGGCCAGCTGGCATGGTGGCGGCTCTAAAATATTATTTTGCCCACCCACACAGTGTGTTTTAAGCCGGTAAATAAAGAACATACAGTAGTTTTAGAAAATTACCAACTATAAACAATTCATTAGATAAAATATTTATAATTAATAAAAAGAAAGGAGACAACACATGAAGTTTAAATATAATTGAAAAATGAACCCTTTCTGAATGTTATGAACAAGCCAGGAAAAAGAAAAAGTTCTAAAATGCTATACGAGACAATACAGTCTACTATTTCAAGTTTCAGCCAAGAAACTACAGATCAGAACTAAATTTAACTACTAGTTTCAGTCATAATATTAACATGTAACACACTGTAGAATATATCCAGTACTCTTCTTGGCATTCTAAAAAAACAAGTACTCTATGAAGTAGAACAGAGTGTATATTAAATGTTCTGATGTGGAACACTTATGTCATGTTCCAGTTTCAGAACCTAACAAAAAATCTAACATTCTGATAAATGAAAACTAGTAGACTAATTAGGATGACTTAAATAGGACCTCTGTAAGAGACAGTCATTGTTAAAGCAAAATTTTAATTCCACTTATGAAAGAACTTTATTTTCTAAATTGCTGGATAAATACACTAGAAAATTTTTTAGTCCATTATAATAAAGCAATTAAATTTTTGAAAAATATTCGAATGAAAATAATGAATATGGATTGAAAGAAAAATTGCATTGGATTATATCAAGGGTGTGTCAAATTTTCTCATACAGAGACTGCATGTTTACCTTGAATAAAATGTCTAGGTAATTTCAAAGATAACATGGTAAAAAATGCTTTTCTTTTGTTTTGCTTTTTACATAAAGAACTCTAATCTTTTACAACTTTAAGTCCCATTTGTTCTAGGGCTCTTTTTCAGCAATCTGTTTATTTTTCATTTGTGGGATATTTCATATGTATCGCTGCATGATATTTTTCCTGATTTACTTTGTAAACTATCTGCAGTTTTTTTTCAAATAAGCTAGAAACTGTTATTCCTGTTGGATGCATGTGAGTACTAAGATAAAAGATAATCAGAGAAAATATTATTTTAAAATGGGCCAGATTGTGCTGCAAGAATAAACTGTTATTGACTCATTTAGCCTTCCGTTTTGAGGTTTTGTAGATATCCATAAGGACCCAATGTAATCTGACAGTTTTTAAAATTGTTCTTCATTATAAATTTTTTTCTCTATAGCCTTCTTTCAACCAGCCCTTTTTAGGTTACTAGTTATAACGAGTACAGGAGGGTTACAAAAAAAAAAAAAAAAGGTAAAGCAAGCGTGTCTTCCATTATCACATTGTAACTATACTTAGGATGTTATTAAATTTTCTTTTTATAAAATTCCCTTGTAAACACTTTGAAAATGCCCCTTTTTCCCAGAAGTAGCCTAGACTTCTGGACTCTCACTTTTAAGGTACAATGGTTGGAACTTGCCTGTGGCTGTAGTGAAAGACAAAGGAGAAAGTGAAATGGAATTCCAGATGATGTGACTCCAGAAAGGAAGAAATAGATTGAAATTAGCTATGCTTGTGGGAGAAAGCATTGTCTGCAGAGAATCTTCTGAGAATTTCTTGTCCTCATAAGCAAGAGGATAAGAAAGTGGCTCTTAGAAAATTTTTCTGAGGAAAGGTTCACAGGGAACAGAAGATTTTGTGGTGTCCTACTTAAGGATTTAAAGAAAAAAATCTTTATACAAAATTTGGATTGATAAAGGTGAAACAGAAGGACTGAGATAATGACGAAGTATAGAAGAGTTAATGACTACAACCAGCTGAGCTGAAATGTTCGCATTATATAGAAGAAAAACCGAATTCTACAGAGCTGAGAGGAAATCTGAAAGTGAGGAATCGAATAAGACTGGGCAAGTTTGTGTAGGGTAGACCCAGCATGGTTGTGCTGAATGAGAACTCAGAAAATAATATTGGGACATTTGAATTTTAATCCAGACTTTTAGTTACCTAAAAATAATCTTGGAAAATTTACATCACTGGACTAAGATATCATCATTTGGAACTCTTATTATACATGAAAAGATAAATGCTAAGGCATCTGCAGAGGCCAGAGTGCTAACCATTGCACCATAGAACCCCTTTAGTAAGACTTTGTCCACCTCTACATTCAATGTCAATACAGTGGGGTACAGGAGAGGATGCCTATGTGAATAGCACCAGCTTCACAGTATTGCTGTGAATAATTGTGTATTTTGTATATACTTCCCATTTTTAAATCACCCCAACAAAGTACATCATATATTGACTGGCTTTAAACTATATTGTTTTAAAGCCCTTCTACTATCCTAGTGGAAACAAAGAGCACATTTTTTAAAAACTGCATAGCATTTGGAGCTGGGCTTTTTTCCCTTTTTTTTGTGATACATATCCTTAAGTGGTTTAAAACAATCATTAGTTCTGATTTATGCCTTGTATATATAGAGAGTAAACTATTCTCTCACTGTGGTAGTTTCCAAGATACCATTTTATAAATGACAAAGTATCTAGTTAACAAAAGAAACTGAAGTCATTAATAAGGAAAACTGCTTTTCTAGAAATCCAAACATCTGAGCAACCAAGCTCTGAATAGAAATAAGCAATTTAATATTTTATGATAAGACAAATATGTCACTGTGACACCACTGGAGGTACATATGTTGAACTTCATCTTTCCCCTGGCAGCAGAAATTGCCTACAGAGGGAATCCATCAGTCTGGGGTGTAGACTGGGAAGGAGGGTTGGGATGACAGAAAGAATGTTCTCTCCCACTTAGAGGGTAGGAGTTAGGAATGAATTCCATAGCCACTATAGAAATATTCTGTGGCTAAATAAAAGTTAGAATCATTTGCAATCTATGTTTTTGGAATCCTTCCAGCAGGGTCTCTCCATAGGGTAACCTTGCAGGACATTCCCCCCAAGAAAGAATAACCTTAAAGTATACAGGTGGCTTCACATAGGTGTCTTTATATTATTGTAAATAAGCTAATCAAAATCCTAGAGACACCTAAAATGTCCACAAAAATTAATTTAGGGAAGTCATCTCCTTCACGTACTTCCTGCCAGCTTCCAACAATCATGTTGAACTCAAGAGGTAAATATGTTGTTAAACAGATTTAAGAGATATGTGCAGAAATAAAATGAAGCTGGTATATGTATAATGTATAAAGCAATGCATCAGACACCAAATAACAATAAGAACATTGATTTTGGAATACGTTGATTATGTGAGATACTGCAATTATGACAGTATATTGCTCATTTGGTAAACTGGTTGAAATGATAGGATAATAATTCATCTATTTGATAATTTGCTTTTTCTAAATAATTTATATTTTTCCACAATAATAAGTGGAAATTTCTAATAGTGAAAGCCACATGATGTTAAAGAAATACTTAACAAATACTTGTAAAAAGCTCACACAATTTATTATAATTCTGTTCTTCTTTGTATCTGTTCCTTATAGGTGTTTAAATCTAAATTTAGAAAATGCATGTAGAAAAGTAGACAGTTTTTATCATATTCTCCTGTTTTAGATGTAGTTGGTTTTCCCTTCTGGTATGACATTGTAGCTATGCAAGCACGTTGGATTAAAAGAGGTAGCTGTAGGAAATAAAAATTTAGACCTTCAAACAAGAAGAAAACAATTAACTATTCTATTTGACAGTTTATTTTCAGAAATTTAAGCCCATGGGGTTTTTAATTATAATAGTTTGCAAGGAAGAAAAATTTACTGAACAAATAAGAGACAACCAAAATGCTTTATAATTTTTGAGACAACTTCAAATAATTTATGCAAATGAAGGTACTTGAATAATGATTTTTCAAACTGAAAATCATTTTACAAAACCATCACATGATATATTTCTATTGTTTTGTACTGATGAGTCTTTCAGAATTGCCAGAAAATAAAACTTCTAGGAATTACGGTAGCAGTGATATTTCTATTATTAGTGGTTACCATAAAATTTTCAAATAGTAGAATGCAATACAACACTAAAGTAAAATTAGCTTCTTGTTATAAACTTATGTACTCATGGAAGAAACTCACAAGAGACTATACAATACTCACACTCAACTTTCATTAGAATTTGGATAATATAGAGAACAAAAATGGGTACTTTACATTTCATTATTTATTATTCTACATATAGTCTAAGTAATAATGATCTGGAGTGCATATATCTAAGCATTCTGCATTAACATTAGAAGGCCAGATCTTTAGGCTTTATGCCCCCAACTTGCTCAGTCCACTGATAAGAATGTGAGCTGCTCTAGGAAGGGAGTATCTGTAAGGCAGTGGCTCACTGCAGCGGAGGTACACCCTGAAGCTCCTGACATAAATAGGCTGTCTGCTGATTGTCCTACCTGACATTAAGAAGAAGGTCTTTCCTTGAACTGGGTTCCATATGGTGGATCTAACATGTCTATAACTAGGATAGTAACACTGGAGAGGGTAGGGAAGTGGTCAGAATGTGGATATGTTTTGAAGGTAGAGCTGAGGGAATTTTCTGATCTTTAGCCATAAAGATGTGCAACTAGAAACAGTAGTTGACAGAAAATGTCCTCTTTTTTTTTTTAACCAGAATAAATGGGTGAATGGTGAACCATTTTTCTGAAGTGAAAAGAGTGAATTTGAAGGGTGGGGAACAGAAAAATTTTGTTTGGGCGTTAAGTTTGAGCTATACAATATTTCTGAGTAGATATCAAGTATAGAGTTAGATGTGTATGGTTAGTGGGGATATTAGGGCTGTAAAATTAAATTTGGAAATCTTTGCACTCGAAGAACTGGACAGAAGTGACAAGATAAAACAAGAAAGGTAAGGATGGAAACAATATTTAGAGTTAATCCAGTAATTAGATATTGAAATGTTGAAATGTTGGATCCACAAAGGATGCTAACCAAAATTTCCAGTGAGATGACAGAGAACAAGAGAGAGAACCAACTGAAGAAGATGTTTCAAGTTTTAGAGACAGAGATCAAGATATTTTCCAAATCTCTGAATCTGAATATTTTCATGTTATGATGGAAAAACTCCCTTTATTAAAAAGGAACACAGCTGACTTTTGAATAGTGCAATGTTGTTGAAGTAAGACGTTTTCTGTAGAAAAACAAATGACTAAGCAATAGCATTGACTTTCATAAAGTTGTATTTAACTATAAAGATGTTTTTTGAAGTGAAATAGAAATTAACTTTGACAAAAAAGGAGAAAGAGTTTAATATGCTTAATTTTAATGGTTGCCCAGAAAAACATTCCAAATCCAGTCAAAAATGTTTTCTCCTAAATACACAAAAGCTGTGCTCTCTGCATAAGTTTCTGCGTCGTCAGTAGCTAATTTTACACAGGTCTTTGCTTAGGAAGGAATTTTTTGGATTGGTATAACTAAAACATATTGTTAGCTTAGATTTCTCTTGTGCTTTCCTTTTGTTGTGTAACCGCATATGTAAAACTGAGTCTCAAAGCAAACTTGTAGACACAAATTATATTTTAAATAATAAATTGTTTTTACAGTTTATGTAAAAAATAAAAATGAACATGAAATTCATTTGAGATGTCAAGATAATTTAAGCTTTTGTTGCAAACATATTAAATAATTTACCCATTCAGTACCTGGGCAAATGTTGTAATGCAGTTCTATCACACCAATAATCAATGTTGTTTTATATATACTGAAAGTATAACAGCAGTTTACATTTGGAACAAAAATTTTAAATGTGGAACTAATACGTGATAAAAGAATAATAAGAAAATTTGTTTATGTAGAAAAAATACCCACCTGTATATTTCTTCTGTGCCCATTGGTTTATTTTCCTTTAATGAAGGATCTTCAAGGATAGAATTAAAGTTTTTATCATTCACTCTTCCATGCTGATATGTGGATTTAATATTTCTGAAGTTTATTTTTCAAATTCTCATATAAAATTAGATTTTTAAATTCTTGCTCTTCCAGTAATATATTTATTGAAAAGAAGTCCTCGTTATGAAGAACCGTGTTAAATGTTAATTACTATATGACCACATGTGCCCTGGAAAATATTTGTGAATTAAAATATTTGTTTAAGTAAACCAAAATTATATTTGGGTATATTCACTCAAACCAATGTTTGTTTCTGGTAGAAATACTTGCTTAACTTTCAATTTGTTAAAGGTTGTTTCAACCATTGTATTGTTTATGTCTAAGACATTCAGGATGATATGAAATTTTTGTAATTTGCAAAGACAGGATTGCAAGTTAAAACATAGCTTACCCATGAAATAAGCAGGTATTTCCAATGATTAAAATTTACTTTAAATTGGGTAAATGGTGAGACTCTGCCATAATTGAATAAGTTTCAAATATTCAATTGTACAAAATGTAGGGTAGTGGTATTACAAGGTTAACAAAAACCAATACTTTTTTAGTTGTTTTTTTAGTTACTATGTTGTAAAGGGAAAGGGGAAAATACGTTGTTTATTTGTTTTTATCTATCAGACCAAGCAGAAAGAGGACTGATCATTATAAAGAAAGTACACCCCTTATACTGAACTCAGAATTACTCACATGATCAGGAGACAGTCACTTCTTAATGCTTTTTTCTATCTCCCCCATCACTACCAAGAAGAAATTAGCTTTCACTTGCCCTGCCTCTTTTTGAGAACTTGAACTGGCCAGAATATTGGCACTATTTACCAATACCACATAACCTGTATTTTGGTACTGTGAGAGTTTTACTGTAATTTGAAATATCATCTACTCAATAAATTTTTATTCGTGGGTACATTCATCAACTTGTTTATTGTCAAAGGTAATTTAGTTTATCTAATCGAATAGTTGGTTATAATATTGCCTTCCTCATAGCCTTCCAGAGCATTTGTTTAATTAACAAGAACAGATGTAGAAGGGCTATTCCACATCTTAACTCTAAGAATAGTCATTCCAAAAAGAATTAAATGGAGTGGTTGCAGTTCTCTAAGAAAAATGCTAAACACCTTTTGTGTGTTTTTCAGTCATTTGTGGGCTTTATAAAACTGTATGTTTTGCTCAAAAGTAAATTTTATTTATAAAATTTTCTTTAAATGTGAGAGCTCTATCTCAACCCACAATTTATTTCTACATTTACATTTTCTTCAATATCTACCAGGGTTTGTGGTAGCTCATAAAGATACAAATATGAATAATTTACAGTTTTGTGCCTAAGCCATTGCAGTGAAAAACAAGTAAAGAAAAACCATAATATGTGTGATAAAAGCTATAAAGGAATACTCAAGAGGTTCAATAATACCACAAAGAAGCAAGCAGATTTGAAGGCCAAACATTCCTAAATATAGTGTTTTGAAAGAGTATGGAAAACTTAAAAGCTAAGAAGTAATAAAGTAGATTATAAATGTAGCATTCTTTTTTTAAGTTACATTCATACTAGAGCAGAAATTCTTTTCAAAGACTGGCAAAAGAGAATCCTTACCACCCTTACTGAAAAGAGATTAAGGAAGAGAGAGAAAGTTATCATGAGTAAAAAATATTCCAGTTAGTTATCTCTAATATAGGGCTCTAGAATTCTTATACTAGGGATCCAAAAGACATAAAACCTGAAACCCCATAATGAAAAGATGATTATATTTCATATATGCCTCCCTTAGGGAAGAAAAACTGTTATTTAAAATGAGGTTAGCCAGCAAATACAATTGTTCAATTTCAGCATGGGGTTGGATCCCAGGCACAGCTTTACAGCCATATTAGCAAGCATTAGTTTTCATGTGTTTTTATACTAAATCTTTTTAACATTACTTTTGAGAGATAAAAATAAAGATTATCAGAGTTCTTTTAATGCCTTTATCCACCATCACTATAACCAATTCCAAGATGAAAATACAAAAGAGACTTGACAATAAATAGCACTTTAGTGCTCTGGGGTATTATACCCCCAGCAGCTCCATTTTTTGTTACGGTAATTCTACTAGCCTCTAGCACTTAACACACTAAACAGAAGTGAATACAAGAGTGTCCAAAGGACTGAGACTATTGATAATTCCAATCTATTCAGGATTTTCTTATGTCTCAATGTTCAATTTGGAGACTTTTTTATTCAAGGGAAAAATCTTAAGTATTCAACATGCTCTTTTTAAACCATTTTGAACACAATATTACTGCATTATCTACATATGCTCTTGTTTCAAATCTATATTCTTTGCCTAAAAATATTTAATTATTATTCTATTTTATTTTTTTCCATTTAAATTATCCAATTGTACTATATACCATACAAATTCTCCTAATACAATTATAGTAAAGACTGCTGATAAAGATTTAAATTACTAATCGGATAGTTATTGGTTTTCTTGGAAGTTTGCTTCCTTATAATACTTAACACTTTATAATTCCTTCCTACAATTATCTTACCAGTTAGCGTGTAATTAACACCCTCTCCTGGTGCTTCTACCTTCTTAACTACCCTTTTTCATTGTGTTTTATAATTTCCCTTCTCTGCTCACCTTGTAAATATTAGTGTTCCCTGTGGTGTTTTGCTTTGCCTTGTAATTATATCTATGCTCTCATTTTGTCTGCTCCCATATTTTCAATATATTTCAGTATGTCAGCCTATCATCCCTATAATTCAACAGATTTCTCTCCTAAAATCTTACATTGCCATATAACTCAACTGATATTTAAATAAAATATTTTATAGCATAAGTTCGAAAAATGCTTTCTCCATTTTCCAATTTGATTTTCGAAATCGGTTGTCTATGTCTTATTGCCACTCATTAATTGAAATATGTTCTGAAGATATAAAATTAGGAAGCACTGAAGGAAAGAAATCTGGGTCCCAAAAGTATGTACTCTACCCCAGCCAAATGTCACCCATTTTAACCATCAGTCAATAACTGAGTTGTCAAACAATTTTTTTTGGTAGTTATTAACTTTAAGAAATATTGTTGCTTCTTTTATTGCATATTTGAAATACCAGACCAAGGTAAACTATGTATGTTTATTTCCTGGCAATTATAAAGGAGAGACTTAAAAAGTGAAAGATGGGTCGGGCGTAGTGGCTCACGCTTGTAATCCCAGAACTTTGGGAGGCTGAGGCAGGCGGTTCGCGAGGTCAGGATATCAAGACCAGCCTGGCTAACACGGTGAAACCCCGTCTCTACTAAAAATACAAAAAATTAGCTGGACCTGGTGGCGGGCGCCTGTAGTCCCAGCTACTCAGGAGGCTGAGGCAGGAGAATAGCATGAACCCGGGAGGCAAAGCCTGCAGTGAGCCGAGATCTCACCACTGCACTCCAGCCTGGGGGACAGAGTGAGACTCTGTCTCAAAAAAAAAAAAACAAAAAAAAAAGTGAAAGATGGTTTCATTTTTCCTAATGAATGCTTTCTGAACTATCACAAGGAGAAATGAAGTTAATTTATATATCAATATAGTTTATAAGTTGATATTGATGTAAGTTTTCCTTAACATAAGTATCTTTCAATGGGAATTAGCAAAGAACAAATCAGACATTAAAATCTTTTAGAATGATTTAATTTTATGGTATATTGGACATATTCTTCATAAGCAGATAGACTGTCATTGATCAGTGAAGATCATCCTTTGAACATACAGGAGGTGGTTACTTATTGAAAATTATTGAATGCATTAACCCAGAGAAATGTCATTGAAATGTAATTGCTTTTGAAACAGTAGAAGACAGAGATCTCTTACAAAGGAAGTGGGGACATTTTGAACTTCATTATTTTCTGCTGTATTCTTAATTGAACTTTCCCAGAATAAACTTTCAGATTCCTTTTAAGATGTTAATCATTTGGTTACAGATTCTTCTATCAAAAAATATTTTTTTGTGTGTGTTTCTGACTTTAATTAAGCCCTCTGGGTCAATATTGGAAAATGTATTCTTATGTAGTTTTACCTAGGAAAGAGCATAACCTAATTTCAGTTTATTTATTAAAACCGGTTTGTTCCAAGGGCGCTTTATCTATGATACTGATAGTGATATATACCATGTATATTATTGTTCTTCTATCTTCGCTCCTTCAGAGTAGATATTCAGAAATGAGTTTCTAGTTATATTTCAGCATGTAGTTGTGGAATGAGAATGAGAGAGACATATGAAATGTGAACACCGTGAAACAGGGTAAAACAATAAAGTACCATTTAATTTAGATATCCACTGTGAAAAGACGTATTGTTTCATTTTTTATAGTTATTACAAATTTAGAATAAATGTAATAAGTTACATAGTTGATGCTTACGGCTTATAATTTAAAAATAGATATAACTTTTATAGTCTAAAATGCAATAAAGATCACATAAAAATCTCATTGAGCAGGACACCAGAAAAGAGTGTTCTCCTGCTCTTTTGTCTGTCTATTCCTTTAAATATTGCTAAAGTTTATTATAATAATACCTTAAAGAGACATTCAGCAAAATCCAGAAAGAAGTAAAGAAGTTTACACGAAAGGACTCTCAGATCAGTCACACTCCAGTTAAGAGGTATCAATTACGCCAATTATTTTAACAAAGAGAACCTAACATAAAAAATATGTAAGTAGCTAGTAAAAATGGAAACATTATAAAAGAGAAAATAAGGAACCACGTTGGAAGTAACTGTTGGAAGCATATGTCACCCCTAGAACTTGGAGAACGAAAGGAAGAGGCTGGGAACACTAAAGCTTTAAAGTCTGGAGAAGGGGGCCCTGTCCTGGTAAATGGAACTCTAGCCTCCCAGAGTAATTTTGACTAGCAGGAATACCTCAGAGCTCGAGAGAGGGTGCCCTAAGGGGCTAGGACTCAGACTTTGGAGGAGGGAATGCTGGCTGGCTCGTGCCAGTGTCATTGAGAGGTCACCAGTGCAAGTACTGAAAAAACTCCAGATTGTTGTAACTGAAATGAATCACCACTGCTGATCTGAAGAAGCAAAGCCGTGCACCACTGAATGGAAAAGGAAGTCAGAGAGCAGAGAGAGGAATAATTTCAGCCCCCCATTCTCTTTTTAACTCTCTGTATTAGTAGATCCTAAGAGGAATCCAACTAACAATGGATTGTGGTTTACAGAGTCCCAGCTCCAGGATCATAAATCATTTTGTAGAAAGATGGGTTAAAAATGAATAAAAGTAGCTTAATAACTAATGTACACAACTAATCATAATTGATTCACAATTGAATCTTAAAGATGGCAATGTTTTGGAGGTGAATTTTAAAATCATAACATCAAATTTAATCAGCAAGTTTCGCTGATTTGTTTCAAATCCCAAAAGTGACAAAACATAGTGAGATTTAGAGAAACTTTAAGGAAGTTCCTGATTTCTCCTCTTAAATAACTCCTTGTGAGAGATAGGACAAAACTGAACATTACGGGGAGAAAGGAAAATATGAGCAAAACTATAAAAAATAGAACAATACTCATTCATACCTATCTCCATACAGAGTATAAAAATTACTTCTATGAACAAGGTAACCAAATGAATTACCAAAAGGATAGCTTTGCAATCTGACCATCAGAAAAAGAAAAAAGTCAGACTTCTCAAGAATTATATATACAAGGTATGTTTATGGTCCCAAGGAGAGTACCTTCTTGTTAAAATTGCTTATAAAGAGAAAAGTTATGTTATATAGAATAAGAACCAATTATTTATTTTGCCCACAACTCCCTAAAATTACTAGTTCTTATTTTCTGTATTTATCCAGAATATATTTGGTTTTTAACTTTTAAATCACATGCTAGAAAAGCAGTCACATTTGCTCATTAGCTATCAAAATGTCTTTTATACTTTTCACTTCTTATGTTTTTGGAAATAAACTCTCCCAGAAATTTTTACGAAAAATCATGGTTCTTAATTTTGAATGGAAGGAAACTAAATGAGAGAGAAAATGAGAATTGCTGCAGAGGAAATTGTTTTCAGTGCTTATCTTTGTGCTAAAAGGGGACTGATTATACTATACTCATCTCTAATGGCTAGTAAAAATTTAAACATAAATAACTGTTTCTAGTTTGTCCTGTTATAGCTAAAATAAAAGAGTGCATTCCCTAAGTGTGGATGCACCTCAATTTATCTCTTCTTGATATATATAATTATGAGAAATTCATTAAAATATCAAAGATACATATTATTTATATCAATTTTATTGCTCAGTATCATAAATCTGGAAAAAAATAAATTATTTTAGCAAAAGCTTTTAAAAAGTGGCTAACTTTTTTGTGTACCTTCTACATATCCTGAGCTATTGTATGAATTGCAGAAAAATTGGAAAAGAAATAGATATAATTCCATGCCCTCATGCAGCTTATATTCTAGTGAAGAGCAATAGTCAAAAAGCAGGTACAGTATGTGACATAATAATAAATTGCATGGTGAGAAATAAAACAGGAAAGAAGTATAGGATCTGTTAGCAGATGGAGAGGTTATTATAATCTAGAATTATGAAGGAAACCTCACTGAAAGAGTGCCTTAGAATACAGATAATAAGGGGAAAAATGATAGTGAACATTGATTATTTGGGCAACACCATTCAAGATAGTGAGAGGTAAGTGCAAAAAACCCCAAGACAGCAGCAAACCTGGATGTTCAAGTAACTGCAAGAAGACTAATGTAACAAAATTAGCAAGGGTAGAAGAAGTAAAACAAGAGATTATGTAAGTAAGGGAAAACAGAAGATATAGGACCTTGTAGAGACTTGCCTTGCTACTGTAGTTCAAGTGAGTTATAGCAACGGCAGCGTTAATGCTGGCACTAAAACTGAACTTCTTTACATTTTTTCACAACTTACTTTCTTAAATTTATTTTATCAATTATGATATCTGCAAACATAGCAATTTTGCAAGGGAGACAAATCAAAGAGCCCATCACAGCTATTCTGAGTTTAACTTGTAACAAAGAAGAATAGCTTACGTTAAACAGTTTTTAAGTTAAGCAGAATCGAAATCTTCATGCATAGGCTGATCCAATGGTACACAGGAATAGATCATAGAAAATATCAGTTAACTATAATCTATGCATCAAATAAAATACTATATTTTTCTCTCTTGATTACGTCACATACCTGCATTTTCCCTTCTCTAAAAGTTATTTTGTAAAAGTGGTAAGCAAATTTTACCCATGTCAATTTTCAGTAAAAGGGAAGAATCATCAGTAACAATAGTCTTAAAGCTTGGATGAGTAACTTACATGAAAAAGCAACATTTGCTCACTTATACTTTTGAAGCATATGCTATATAAATTAATTATTGAATAAATAAATATGGAAGAAGAGACAAATCTTTACAGATAAATATTTAACAGAGATAATTTTAAACTTTTCTTAAAGTACATAGAAAAAAATTTGAATAAGCAGAAATACATAAAATATTCATGAATAGAACAGTATTGTTAATACTTTATTTGAAAATTAATCTAGATATTAAGTACAAAAGCAGGAAACTGTTTACTTGGACATTTTGAGGAATGCTGAATCTTAAATAAGAACAGTTCACAGATATGTAAAATGTAGAAAAGCAGAGTAAAGAGGAGAAATTGACCTCTCATTTATGAAAATGTAACATTTATTATAACAGGACAGAAAACACAATAATTGAAACAAAAACAGCCCATGGAAGAGGCCCAGATTTATATGAAAATATGTCAATATTAATATGAAATGACAAATTAATGATGAAAAGATACACTGAAAACTAAGACTTAGCTCAACTGGCTTACTCAATAGAAAAAAATTAAAATATTTCTTAATACAACATACAGATTAGAAATCATGCTAGATTAAAAGCGTAAGTATTAAAAGTGAAGTGTTATGGTAAACCTTCTTAAATCAGTGATTTAAGATCACTGTGAAATGTGAAAAAGTACATTAAAAAGTGTTCAACATCATTAGCCATTAGAGAAATGCAAATATTAAGCCATGATGAGGTATTACTGTACACCTTCTAGAATAAACTTTAACAATGACAACACCACCTGGCTGTCAAGGACATGGAGAAAATATATCAATCTTACATTGCTGGTTGGTATGTGAAATTGTACAGTCATTCTGGATAAAAGCTTGCTAGTTTCTTATAGGACTAAACATGTAAATATCGTATAACTCAACAATTGCACTCTTGGGCAGTAGCTTTATTTGTAATAATCCAAACTGGAAATAACCTAAATGCTCTTCAGTGGATGAATAGTTCAATAAATTGTGGTACATCCCTATTATGGAATAATACCCAGCAATAAATAGGAATAAACTATTCATACATGTGGCAAATTGCATGAATCTCTTAACCATTATGCTGAGTGAAAAAACACAATCCTACAAAGTTACATACAGTATGATTCCACTAATATAACATTCATTTTTTATGTTGTTGGTGGTGAATATTTGGGTTGTTTCTGTCTTTTGGCTACTGTGACTAATACTGCTATGAACATTGATATACACATATTTTTTTGAGTCCTGTCTTTCAAATGCTTTGGGTATATATCTAGAAGTGGAATTTCTCGATTTTATAGTAACATCATGTTTAACTTTTTGTTTTGCTTTTATTAGCATTTTGATACATAATAATTATACATATTTATGGAGTACTGAGTGATATTTCAATATAGGTATACAATGGGTAATGATGAAATTGAGAGTATTAGCATATCCATCACCTCAAACATTTATAATTTCTTTGCACTGGGAACATTCAAAATCTGTGCTTCTAGCCATTTGAAAATGTACAATAAATTGTTATTAAATACAGTCACCCTATAGTGCAATAAAACACCAGAATTTCATGTATTTCCTATGTGAATAAAATAAAATACAATAAAAATGGGAGTGAAAATATTTTAACTGTTTGATATACTGATTTTCTTTCCTCTTGATTACTAATTTACATACCCACCAACAATGTATAAGGCTTTCCCTTTCTCTGCATCCACATCAGCATTTGTTATTTTTCATCATTTTAATAATAACCATTCTAACTGGAGTGAGAAGATACCTCATGGTTTTGATTTGAATTTCTCTCAGAATTAGTGATGTTGAGCATTTCTTCATAGACCTGTTGTCCACTTCTAAGTCTTTTTGAGAAATATCTGTTCAGATACTTTGCCCACTTTTTAATTTGATTATTTGCTTTTTGCTGTTTAGCTCTTTGAGTTCCTTGTGTATTCTGCATATTAGTCCTTTGTTGCATGAATAAATTGCAAATATTTTCTCCTACTTTATAGGTTGTCTCTTCACTCTGTTGATTTTTTCCCTTGCTGTGCAGAAGCTCTTAAGTTTGATATAATCTCTCTCATTCGTGTATTTTTGTTTTGTTGCTTGTACTGAGGTCTTCTCTATAAAATATTTGCCCAGATCAGTATCCTGAAGCATTTCCCCTATGATTTTTTTGGTAGTTTCAAATCTTACATTTACATCTTCAATCCATTTGATTTGATTTTTGTACATGGTGATAGATAGGGGTCTAGTTTCATTTGTATCCACATGGTTATTTGTTTTTTTCAGCACTATTTGTTGAAGATACTGTTTCTTTCTCAATGAAAGTTCTTGGCACCATTGTTGAAATTAGTTGGCTACAATACACACAAACATGTAAATTTATTTCTGAGTTTCCTATTTCATTTCATTGTCTACATGTCTGTTTTTAGGCCTGTAGCATGCTGTTTTGGTTACTATAGCTCTACAGCATAATTTTGAAGTCAGGTTATGTGATGACTCTTTGTTATTTTTGCTCAAGATTTCTTTGACTATCTGGGATCTTTACCATTACCATATGAATTTTAAGATTTTTTTCTTTTCTAAAAAGTTTCAACCTTTATTTTAAATTCAAGGATACATGTGTAGGGTACGCAGGTTTGTTACATAGGTAAATGTGTGCCATGGTGGTTTGCTACACAGATCATCCTATCACCCAGGTATTAAGCCCAGCATCTATTCTTCATGATCTTCTCCCTCCTCTCAACCCTCACCAAATCCTGCAGTTGAAAAATTTAATGAATGAAATAAAAAATACAATAGAGAGTTTCAACAACAGACTTGATCAAGCAGAAGAAAGAAGCTGTGAACTTGAAGATAGACCATTTGAAATTACCCACTGAGAGAAAGGATAAAATTGTATGAAGAAAGCCGACAAGTTTTATGAGACAACACAAACAACTATGCTTATTATGAGCATTACAGAAGAAGAAGATAAGGGAAAAGGCATAAAATGCATTTAATAAGATAATAGCTAAAAGCTTTCCAAGTCTGAGGCAAGATATTGAATTCCAGATGCAGTAATTGCAAAAGTTTCCAAATATATTTTACTCAGAAAGGTCCAACTCAAGGAACATTATAGTGAAATTGTCAGAAGTCAAAGATAAAGAGAAAATAACAAGAAGAAAATGCCCAGTCTCAAATAAGGGAATCCTCACTAGACTTATAGCGCATGTCTCTGCTGAATTCTTACAGGCCAGTAGAGAATGGGATGACATATTCAATGTACTAAAAATAAAAATTAGCCAAGAATACCATACTCAGCAAAACTTCAGTAATGAAGTCTTTTAGAAATGAGCAAGGAATACATTCTTTTCCATATAAGCAAAAGCTGAGGGAATTCATCTATGTAGCATTCTTAAAATGAGAAAATTACAGAAATGGAAAAAGACTAGTGGCTCCAGGGGTTAAGATTGTGGAAATGGGTGCAGCACTAAAAGGGCAACAGAATGGATCCTTCTGATGATGAAACTCTTTTGTAGATACAATGTTTTTACGTCAATATTCTGGTGGTTATTTTTAGTTATGCAAGATGTTATTGTCAAGTGAAACTAGATTACTTTGTATTATTTCTTTTTCTTTCTTTTTTTTTTTGTTTGAGACAGGATCTCACTTTATCACCCTGGCTGAAGTACACTGGCATGATCATAGCTAAATGAAGCTTTAACCTTCTGTTCTCAAGTGATCCTTTTGCCTCAGCCTAGGAGTGGCTAGGACTACACGTGCATAACTCCACTCCTGGCTAGTTTTTAAAGATTTCTGTAGAGATAGGATCTTCTATGTTGCCCAGGCTGGTCTTAAACTCCTGGCCTCAAGTGATCCTTCTGTGTCAGCCTCCCAATGTGCTGGGATTACAGACATGAGCCACTATGTCCAGTTTGATTATTTCTTTTCTTTTTTTTTTTTTTGAGACGGGGTCTCGTTCTGTTGCCCAGGCTGGAGTGCAGTTGTGCGATCTCGGTTCACTGAAACCTCCACCTCCCAGGTTCAAGCAATTCTCATGCCTCAGCCTCCTGAGTGGCTGGGATTACAGATGCGTGCCACCACGCTGGCAATTTTTTTGTATTTTTAGTAGAGACAGGGTTTCACCGTGTTAGCCAGAATGGTCTTGATCTCCTAACCTTGTGATCTACCCGCCACGGCCTCCCAAAGTGCTGGGATTACAGGCATGAGCCACTGTGCCCGGCCTGTATTATTTCTTAATATGACAGATGAATCTACAATCATCTCAAAAAGAGTTAAACTAAGAAATAAGCATATTTTTAAATATGACCATTGTAGATGTTAAGATTCAGCTGACATTATAAGATTCTTAACACTCTCTTAATCTGACAAAAGTTAATATATTTTACAAAAATCATTGTAATATATGGAAATAAGTAATCTATAGGTACATAAGCAGAATATTAACAGACAGTTCATAGAATACAATATTCAAAGGGGTAACAAGTATGTGGAGAGATAAGCAACTTTACTGGGAATCAGGTACAAGAACATAATAAAACTACCTACCAGGTCTGAAAATATTAAAAATGTAAACTTCAGTAAGAGTTTAGAGATGTGCAGAAACAAAATATCTGATGGATTTGTATTTTATAGGCAAGCATATTAGTACAGGCTTCCTAGAGAGCACTCTTAGAGTGCTTGGTCAAATTTAACATATACACATACATGTACCCATACCCATACACATCACAAACACGCACACTCACAGAACCTATGATCTTGCAATTCTTCTTCTTTGTACATAGCCCAGTATAATTCACACACTATTCCATTAGAAGACATATATACAGATGTTAATTTCCATGCATTCTGGGGTAAGGAAAAATTCAGGATAACTTGTAGGTCTGTTAATGCAGACATAGGTAAAACAATATGATGATATACAGTAAAGAATATTATGCAGCCATTGGAAGCATCAAACAAGATGTAGACACAGAAATGCAGACAAATTTTAATATTATGGAAAGAAAATGTTGCCACTAACAAGAAAAGTTTTCTGAATTTTTACAGAACGTATTTCTACAAATATACATGACCTAATCAGTGCTATGTATTTACAAGGACACATGTAATTATAAGGATATATATATATATAACATATTGAAAGCTTGCCAATGTGTGGAGAGGGGTTAAAGTAAATAAATAATAAAATAATATTATTAAAATATTAAAATTTTATATGATATACTAGGGCATTTTTTCTGGTTTTTTCCTCCTACCCTAATAATAATGAGCAGAGTCAAACTCCAAAAACAAAAAGGTCTTAATTACCTGGTATTCTAAAGAGACCTGCCAGTAACTGAGGCCAGTTATCTCTCTCAGGGCTTATTAAATATTAAGAAGTGACTGAACCAGCTGGACTACCTCCAATCATCACCCTGGCAACAACTTATCCCTCAATTCACAGTTCCTAAAATATTAAAAAAAAAAAAAACAAAAACAGATCCTCTGCCTAATACAGGCTGTAGTAACTCTTTCATGATTCACCCCACCATGTGATGAGACATTTCCACCCCATAAGCCATGTGCCTAATGAAAATCCCAAAATAATCACTTGTTGAGCTCGAAAGAGCTGAAGTATCTATACCACAAAATCTATAGGATTTATTTTTTACATGGCAGATTAGATCCAGAGGCAGAGATAGAGTGGAGACCCAGGGACAACTTTGGACCAGTCAGTCTGAATTTGCCAGGGTATCTTGGAGAAATGACTATGCATTTCTCAAATCGACACGCTGCATGAAGATTGGGGCTGAGCCACACATTTGTTCATGTGAAGTCCAGAATTGTGCAATGCGTGATCATATGGATCAAAGTGCCTTAAACATTATTCTGATCCTTCTTTTGTTGGAAGAGCCTTCATTGTGACAATTTCCTCGAAAGACGATAAGTATAACATCAAGTTGTCTAGTTGTCAAGTTTCTAAAAAGATACACTCACAATTTAAAACAGACTACCGAACAGGGGGGCTACCGTGGGATATCATTTCTGTTTTGCCATTGTGTTTCAAAAGTGATAGATACTTTTTAGTAATTTATAGAAAAAAAGGAAATGAAAACTTCCAGAAATTTAGGATTATGTAAGTTAGAAATCAAGGATACATCTTGGGCACCCTACTTTCTTTTACTTAGCTTATTTGATCACAATACCCTATTTATCTTATGGATTATTTATTGTTTTGAAACTGTCCATTTCTAATAATATCAACTTTCATCATCTTAAACTAAGCTGGCATCATCTCTAAACCTCATCTATGTAATTGTCTCTAGACTTCCATAATTCATCCTGACTCCAATCAGTTTATTACACTGAAGCTAGGGTGGTTATTTAAAAATACAATTCTAGTCATATTGCTATCCCAGTGCTACCCTCCATCTTCTAACTGAAAACATTTCACAAGTTTTATGTTGTGTACAAGTCAGGAGGTTGGACTAAAAATCAATAAAAAAGCTTCATCTGGCCTACAAGTCCCTGCATTTACTGCCTCCTCCTAAAATGGTCACTAACACAACATGTTGATCAAATTTAAGTTTCTTAGATATATTGGAAAGGTACCTCCTGAACAAGAGATCCAAGGGGAGATACCACCTTGACAGTCTTAGTAGTATTTCAGAAGAAAAAAGCTAGGGGACAATATTTATCGAGTTTTTAAATCTAAACTCAAATGGTGTAAGGACAGTATTTCAAGTTAGGAAAATTACTAGCATTGGGCACATTTTGTATCATAATAAAAGCTTAGCATTTAGAGACCCAGGTTAGAAGTGAATTTTGTTAAGTAAATTGTTGTTTGATAAATGCACTGGTTGTCCAAGATATCAATGGATTCTTCTGATCAATGAACTATTTTCCCAGAGGAGCAACTGATTATTCAGATAGATCGACATGTAGGAACTTCACAAAAGAACCAGAGATGGTATCTATTGGTTTACAGACTAATTTCCAAGGCAAGAATTCCTTTAAACCACTAGAAAAATCTGTTGAGTCACTGATTCATATAGTTGTCTCTGGTGGCTTCAATTCTTAGTCCTTAATAATTAAACTACCTGGATGAGGAAGGTCTCAGTTCTCATTCTTCAGCTTGAGGCTTATACTAACTCTTCTCTGTCTCCTCTAGCCATAGTCCCTTGTATCAGGGACTTGTAACAGGGATTTAAATATACTTTGGTCCTTCTTTCAGCAAAGTTTTCGAATATGCATTTTCCTCCACATGGAATGCTCTTAACGTAGTTTACTCCTATTTCTTTTTCACAGCGCTGTCATGACTTCCTAGAAGTCTTTCCTGACACCTCTGCCTAGGCGAAATCACCTTATGCTGTGCTTTCATAGTTCCATCAATTTCTTATTTGTAGCACTTGTTACAGTTGTAATTGTATTTTGTTGCTTGATTATTTGATGAAGAGGCACCTCCTCCACCAGACTAAATTTTAAGAGGTAAGGTTCCCAGCAGTTTGGGAGGCCGAGGCAGGCAGATCACGAGGTCAGGAGATTGAGACCATCCTGGCTAACACAGTAAAACCCCGCTTCTACTAAAAATACAAAAATTAGCGGGGCGTGGTGGCGGGTGCCTGTAGTCCCAGCTATTGGGGAGGCTGAGACAGGAGAATGGCTTGAACCTGGGAGGCGGAGCTTGCAGTGAGCTGAGATCGCGCACCACTGCACTCCAGCAGCCTGGGCAACAGAGCGAGACTCCGTCTCCGCCCCCCACCCCAAAAAAAAGAGGTAAGGTTCTATATTGCTCTGGCTCACTCTTAGACTCTCATTTTCTACTACAGCATCAGTCACATATTAGATACCCAAATATTTGGATGGAGAGATCAATGGAAAACAACTCCCTACCTAAACAATGTATCTGATTTTATTTGCTACAAAAAATAATATACAGAATATTTTCCCAACAAGCATGCCAGAGACTCAGTATCACATAATTTAAATATTTAAACAATATGACCCTTTTTAAAAAATCTAAAATTTCGGAATTAGGCATTATAATTTATGAAATATGTTAACCAAAGTGATTCATGGCAATTAGGATTATTCAAAGCACTTTAATACATGAGAAAAAAATTTTCAAAACAGCAAAACTTTTTCACTTTTTATTTTACAGTATTTTCTCAGAAGATATTATGTAACCAAACTTAAATATAGAAATTTGAGTTTTAACATCTGTGAACAATAAGAAAATGCTTTATTCATTATAATCATAGATGATGGGATTATTAAACATAAAACTAATATTTTAAATTAATGTATTTTTTCATATTTTTTCCTCAAATTAATTTTAGTTTTATGTCACAGGGGAAATGATCGATTGAGCATACATACACATTCTCTCACACACAGAGTTATGAGGGAAAATGAAAAAATAAATAATTTTAAAACAAGCCATTTACTTTTTTTTCTATCTCCACAGGCTATAGACTAAACTTAAGTGAATTGAAATTAAATAACATTTATTAAGCATCTACACAGGCCTCTCACTGGAAGGTAGTATGGGATAGAAATAGAGAATAAAATGGGTAAATTCCCTTTCTTGTTTCTAAACTAGAGGAGATAGATAAATAAGAAACTGAATTAAATATATTTATATGAGTCCAAATGGTAAAATAATATAATACATTTGGAGATTAGCATAACTGACATGCCAATGAAGTAGACAGATTTACAAAAGATTTGGATATCAAGGAAAACTTAAAAATAGATGAAGAAACACAATAGGGGACTTTATAATAACAGAGCTTAAAGAGATACTATAACACATTCGGTTATATTCACTTAAGCATTTTCTTTCTAGGTCAACTTGTTTGAATGTAGTCTCCTGAGAAGAATAATTCACTGTCAAGTCATACCGTACTGTTTATATGAATGTGCTGATTGTGAAGACTTAATTTGTGTAATTAAAGGAGCGGAACAAAAAAATAAGGATACATCAAAATTGCATTGATATGATGAAATGGCAAGAATGAATCTCATAATTAGGAGACCAGAAGCATCAGAGACCCAAGCACCAAAATTGGAAAACATTTTTTCACAGGGCCCTGTCATTTCTGCATATCTTGTGATAAGAGGTACTAAGGGCACTTTGTTGTAGATTATCTTTCCAAAGATATTTATAAAAGGAACAAGTTTGAACAACGTCTCCTTCTAGAGCAAAAGATAGGCATGCTTTCTTCCCATTATAAAAATGCAGATTCTTTTAACTCAAGGTTCCTTTTGTTTAATTTCAACCACACTGCATGTGCTAGCATCCATCTAGTCTATTCTGCACCATCCCATGGGATGGAGGGGTAAAGGAAACTGATGCAAATTTGTGCATGTTCATGTTGCTTGCTGTACACTGACACAGAAATCGTCTACCTTATAGTA
The DNA here is from genome assembly GCF_000001405.40 of Homo sapiens. Lineage (NCBI taxonomy): Eukaryota > Metazoa > Chordata > Mammalia > Primates > Hominidae > Homo > Homo sapiens. Next base: position 126,016,889 of record NC_000004.12, read on the forward strand.
GTATCCACAGAGCTTGTTAGATGTCAACTTAGGTAACATCTCAAACCTTTCATACTTCTGCACAGTTTTGGGAATGAAGATGGGATGCTGACAGAAATACAGCTTTCTGAAAAGAAAACATAAGGGCGTGGTAGGCCAATTAACCTAATTTGAAGGAACACCATCAGAATAAATAGCAAATGTGTTGAACAAACTGTATGGTAAATTGGGCAAAATAGTCCTCTTCTTTATTGCCTGTTGATGAGAAGAAAACAGGACAGTAGTTAGAAGATGAGTACTTGAAATAGTTTCAGAGACAAGTTCCTGAACAATATCCTTATTGTTTACTATCCTTTAGGCGGAGAATTTCTTAAAGAACTGGTGGTCAGCCTTGTTCCATTTGATTGCAACAACTAGTGCTAAGATATGTCCTCTTTCAGACAATAGTTAGAAAAGCATGTGCCTAAGCTGAATGAGAACAAAAAAAAAATTCACCAGTATGATGGGCCACTTTGAGTACTTTCTTTCTCTTGGAAGTTGAGGGAATATGGCACGTATTGCTTGTTAAAAGAAAATGGCAAAACTTGGATTGTCTTAGAGCTTAACTCTCCTGGAGCTATTATGCCAACCTCAGCTCTGTTGAAAGTCATCATGTTATAACCATGATGTTATCACACCTCTGTTATCAGGGACAATGTTTCAATACTTAAAATTCAGTTCACCGAGTAAAGTTTCTAGGAACTATGTCGACAGATTCACAATGCTGAACTCCTCTGGCATTCAATGAAATTTACAATTTATTTGGATGGCTGCCTGGCCAAAAAAAAAGGGTTAGCACCTTATTGGAGTCTTTAGATATTGAAGATAGTACATGGCAAATTTATGCATTCTTTTTGATCTTTTATATTGGCTGTCCTACAAAGAAGCATTCTTTCAGGGGTGCCTAAACTAATATACTCTTTTGGAAATTGTCCATCCAGTTGTGGCACGTTCTTTATCTTTGTGGTGCCCTAACAAAAATGACCATTTTGGGCTATAAGTCTCTGTGATTGATAATCTTGCTGACTAGAGTCTGAGCAAAGAGAGGCAGCTTCCCTACCCAAAGGTACTCCCTAGGATATTTGGACTTAATGCTTTGCTGACATGGCTCTCACATATACTCCTTTTGAAGACAACCATCAGATTGCTATGAGGCTCTCATCAAAACTGAATGCCTAACCAAGGGATCTGGCGACCGTCTTGCCAGATATTCCCATGTCGCAGTATGCACAATTGTACTAAATAACAAGGTAGAAAGAACCCAATAAGCCTTATTTGCCTATTGGAAATGATATATTCAAATAAATAATAAAATCATCTTAGCCCTAATAGCATTTTGGCATTACATGAAAAAGTTGCAGTAATCTTCCACTCTGCCACCTGGAGCAAAGCTTCTGGCTCATTAGGACCCTCGATCCACCAAGGCACCCATAATGCCTGGGCTTGATTCAGTGATGATTCAGCTAAACTAAAAGCCATTATTGTCATTGGACTAGTGAGGTGTTCAGAACTGAACTAAGTATAATCAAAAGCAAACATGGTCACTATGCTTACTGAGCAGAACTAAAAGCCATTCTCACAGCTCTGGCCAATCCCTTGATGGTCCTTTACATATTTTACTGACTCTTGGTCTGTTGCCAGTGCCCTAGGTGTTTCATCTGCCACTTTAAAAACTTTGGACTGGCAGGTTAGACACTCTTTTTGGAATTATTTAACTATGGAAACAAATATTGGCTGCTTATCAAAACATCTAGGTAACTTGAGAAGATACTCAGAGTAAGAGCCAGTTCTATGATAAGTCAAACAGAAAATAAGATGTTGCTCAAGGATATACTGCCCAGATTATTACCATTACTGTCAGAAACCATCATTATAGTGAATATGCAACATATTCTGGATTACATCTGTTTACAGTGTGAAGGACTCCATATATTTCTTTTGCTTTTGACCTCAGAGTCTTTTGTCTTCTACCAAGATCCATGGAACTTTAGCAGACTAACTTGTTCACTTGTAATTTGTGTAAAATTTCAGACCCTTCACAATTCTTGATGCTTATAGTTAAACATTTTAAAACTTGGGATTTAGGAGGTATAATACTTTTCATATGTAATATTTGAATTGTGGAATGTGTGTATATGAATGTTCATGTGCATATGAATATCTCCATTTCTCAGTTAATAAAATATATTTATAAAATTTCATCGTGTGTATGAAAATGGGAGGTTTTAGACGATTTTGAAGAATGGTTTTCCAGATATGCTTTGTAGAGACAATGGCAATTGAAGTGTTAACCTGAGTATTTTTCCAAGTAAAACTCCTACAGGAACAAATGCTGCATCTTTAAAATTATAATTATTTTAAAACCAAAATATTTCAACTACTCAATATTTATATCAGCAACAAATAGGGATAGGTTAAAAGTTGTGTTATTATAATATAGAGAACACTATGTTATTGCTATCTTTTACTTTTCAGACATGTATTTGTAGAAATGATCAATTTATTAGTTTTATTATGCACTAAATTCATTTTTTAATGAAAGAAACTCACCCAAAATACTGTAAGTAAATTAGTGAAAATAAAATATTGAATTCCAAGAATGAATGGTAGGATTTGAAAAGCAAATATTTAAATTATTATCAAGAACATGAAGCATTTTCCCCACAGTTGTATTTCTTTTTCCATGAGGAACTAGGTTTATTAGATCTATTGCCATGCAAGCTAATGCATTACATTCCACCAGAACAAATGATAACTGTGGGCTGGTTTTCATTGCCACAGAAAGCAGATATAAATTTCAAAGTTAGTTCTTTTGGATTGGCTCCTACATATACAGTACCAACTGAAAAATCCCCTCATCATTAAAAATGGGAAGATAAACATTCCCTGCACATTTGGTAGAGTTTTTTTTTTTTTTTTAATCAGTAAATACAGTCACGGATAAGAGAATAAGGGTTTTACAGACACAAATACTGTTTTTTTCCTAGCAGAGGATATGAACCACCCAACACAACCATCCATTCCGAGATTCAATGTCAGACAAACCGTTGCCAGTAAAGTCTTACCTAACAGAGTTTTATGAGAAAAAACTATCCTTTGACTTTTTTGTTAAATGTTTGGAAATCATTTTCTATTTTGGCCTCTTTACTCTCCCAGGAGCTGGTTACATAGAAAAGTATGTTCTCACATTGAGTGGTTCTAGCATTGCTAATTGAAAATTGTTTTTGCCATTATTTTGGTGCCTTGTTACTGCATTTTAGCAACCACCATATAAATTTGGACAACATAATAAAATTCCTTCTAGAAAAAGGACATGTCTGATATACTACAACTCTATTTCAACTTTGTATGAGAGAGTAGCAAAGTAGTGATTCAGTGCATAGCTCTCTGAAGTATATACTATTTTGTTTTCTGTGTATATCCAATATACCATGTGAAATGGCAAAATTATCTCTTTGTTTCTCATTCATTTAATAGAAACTTTTTTCACATGGGAGAATTTAAAGGCCTTACTGACACAAAGTCATTTTCAGGAAACCTTACAAAATTCCCAGTTATTATACCAAGTTCATGACCTACTCTACCTACTGTTAACCAAATGGCCATCACACCTTAAATAAGTTAATATTTGTAGATGTGTAGTTTAAATATGACTGAATATGCTGTGTTCCTTAGGGAAGTAATAGAAAAGTTTGGAAACACTGGACTGTCAAAACTTGATTATTTGGACTCTGTTTTTTATGCCCTTCACACACTGGAATGCAAGCTGCCTGAGGGCTGACTTTTCTCTACTAATTTAACTGAATTTCCAAATTTCCTAGAATTTCACATACAGTGTAGTAGATATACACGTATACAAGCACCTATACTTCGGAGTTCCCAAAGTATTAATCAGAATTATAATTGTTTTTCCCATTGCAATTCATTCCTAATATAGGTGAAGTAAATATTGACAAGGTAGGATGGTTACTATTTTGAGATATCAGAGTTCTGCTGAAAGAAATTGACATTTAAAAACCAATATTGATTCCCTCTTAATTTCAGAGGTATTAGAGTTATTAGTGAGGAATATTATTATGATATGTATACAATAAAACTCTTAACTTTTGTTGTCTAAAGAATGTAATCTTAATTCAATAAGCTTTATAAATTTTATAAATGGAACTTCTCTCCTAGAATATTTGCAGAGTCAGTTTTGAGCTTCACAAAATAATCAGTGGAGATTCAGCGTTAAGTAAAGAAAAAGTAAGTGAAACTAAAACCCATATAATAAATTAAGACCTTCTTGAACTTAAAATAATTGTTTTTTTCTCTTGAATATCCAAATACCTGTAATTATGTTTTTATAATTATTATTTTCTAAATCACTACATATTAATTCTTTTGAGTTTAAAGGGTCCAAAGAACACAGCTTTTTTTTTAGTTCTATATAAATTGTTGACATATAAAATAATGAGGTAGATGGAAGTTAAAACATCATCTTTATTTGAGATGAAATATGGTGTTAGATGTGTCTTTGTGGAAGAGTGAGCTTTCTTATAATTAGAATAACTACATTATTTAGCATCTAAACCAGAACACTTTTAAGAGAAAAAAAAGCAGCAATGTTAATAATTTCATTGTGAAAATAAGTGTAAACCAGGACTGTCCTAACAAACAGGGGCATTTATTTCCACTATTTGTAATAAACCACAGGTTTGATCAACCTCTCTTCCCTGTACCAGCCTGTGCTGAATGATCCCAGGCTTCTCCTTTGGAAGCAAACCATTTTGAATTCAAACTGGAAAGTAGAGAAGAACACGTATTTCAGTAGGCAGATTTGCTACCAAGAAGTAAAGGGAAGAATTGAGCCAAGCTCAAGTGATTAGTTTGTTCTCCCCAAATTTAACGCCAAGCCTTTAATGTTGGAAGAAGCTGACGGTGAGGGACAGCAAAAGGTCAAGGGTTTCATACCACTGGACATCTCTTTATATGGAAAAAATACATCAGAGTCAGAGATGTTTATTCGCTACCGCTCAAAGCTTGCACCAGTTTCTAAGCACAGTCTTACAATTGGGACATGGACATTCAGTTATTCAGATAATGTATGTTTTAGCAGAAAAGCAAAGTTAGTATAAGTTCTTAGCTCTTGTGTTTTCAAAGACTAACCTAGAAAGAAACAGTATAAAGTTTACGCCATAATTATTTTTAAATACATAGCCAGTTAGAGACTCTTTGTATAGCCCAGTGGCCACAAATTAGAAAGGTGGAATACTAACGTAACAAGATGGTTAGATGTTGATCTACGAACATGAGAAACTCAAGAAACATGTATAGAGTGTGATCCTGGTGTGAGAGTGAGAGATTAGACTAGGAGAGAAGAATGTTAAACCCCAGATAGGCTTATGTACATGAGGGCAGATAAGACTGTGTCTTACTTCTCAAATGAGGGATGGTGAATCCCTGTGCCCAGTATTTAAAATAAAAATAATGCATGATAAGTCTATGTTATGCATAATATAGGACTTAAAGTGGTATATATCTTTTTTTCTTTAAACTGCAATAATATATCACAGGGACCCAGTGGAGTTTATGTTTGGGAATAATGAGGTAAGGACAGTAGTGAGGAGACTGGATCAGAATGCAGATTAAGGTTCCATAGCCTTCTGTTGCTTCCCAAAATGCCAATATATTACATTAGTCCTTAGAACTTACAGCAATCTCAAAGAGGTGACAAACTACAAACTACTGAGACAACCTTTCTGGCTTTCAGAAAAAAAAAATAGGGTAAGGGAGAAATAGAGCCATAAAAACACAAATTTATATTCATAGATAGATGTATATTTATTGTATGAAAATTGTTAATGTTTTGGATGCTAGACACCTTTTGAACACTCTTCCTATGTTTGGATAATGCATTTGTTCAATTTTTATAATTCATACCAAGGAGAAGTTCAAGATTACAGTGTTGGCAGGGTTTGTTCCTTCTGAGCATTGTGAGGAAGAATCTGTTCCATGCCTCTCCTCTAGTTCCTGGTGGTTTAATAGCAGTCTTCAGGTTTCCTTGGCTTATAGACGCATCATCATTATCTTCGCCTTTGTCTACATATGGCGATCTCCTTGTGTGCTTTTCCAAATAAAGGCACTTTCTGTGTTATTGGGGGTTAGGACTTCAATACATGAAGTTGGGACACAACCCAATCCATAACACTAGTACACTGATATGTGTTGCACTGTCCATGTTACAAAGGCCGAAAAATTGACATTTCTGCTAATGATTCCCTGTGATGAAGTTGAGATATCGTTGGCAGTATAGTTTATGGACTTAATTCTGGGAGACTGTACATATACTCAGGCTTACTTAAATTATACTTTTCTTGTTACACTAGAATCCACCTTATATACTTATAAATATGCAAGTAAACATGACCAAAGATGCAAACATGCACACACACACACACACACACACACACACACCCCAATTCAACTTTGACATTTTTGAATGCAAATATCCAAATATAGCTTAAGTTTGTTTCCTTTCAATGTATCAGCTAAAGGAGTACTACATACTTTGTAGGGTTTCAATAAATATTTCTTGAATGAAAAAGTAAATATTTAGAATGTTGTGTTAGAATTAGTCAATACCTAAATAATCCTAAAAAATGTATTCACTAGCTGAGATCTGTAATTCGAGGACCAAGCCATTTTCTTAGACACATCTTTCTTTAAGATTTCCTTCACTTATGCAACCAATGAACTTTCCTTTTAGGAAGTTATAAACATGAAGATAATGTCATCTTTGTGCCCATATTCCTGCTTGCTCTCATCTGTTTTCACAGAGTAATGAACCTTTTCAGGTTACTTTAATAGTTCAATTTACCCAAATGAATCATTCCATATTTCAATTCTGCTTTTGGTTTATTTAAATTTGGGTAAAATCCTGGTTGATTTTGCCTGTTATTATACATGTTTAGTTTCAACCATTGTCAACTCAGTTTAACAACTGGTTTATTGATAGTTGTTCCACTTCTATTTAAAGATTGATTTGCAGTATCAGTCCAAGAAACATTTTTTCAGTTATATTAAACCACGTATGATGATTACATAAAACATCTGTTTATGTAATCATCATATATCATTTAGTTCAAATGTATTATAACAAGTGTGACCTTTACTCCAGTTCCCAATAAGTCTGGAAAATTTTCAGCCCGACCATGTGGTAGAAAAAAACAAAACAAAACATTTTCTTGGGAGGAATTCAAAGCTGCCAAAATATGCATAAGTAAAGAAGAGCCAAACGTTGTTAATAGACAAAACAATGGGGAAAATGTCTGCAGGACATGTCAGAGACCTTTGAAGCTGCCCCTCCTATTACAGGCCTAAAAGCCTAGCAAAGAAAAATGGTTTCATGGGCCAGGCCCAGGGCCCCACTGCTCTGTGCAGCCTCAGGACATGGTACCCTGTGTCCCAGCCACTCCAGCTCCAGTCATGCCTATGGTTCCAAGGCACAGATCCGGCCCTTGCTTCAGAGGATGCAAACACAAGTGTTGGTGGGTTCCACATGGCATTGGGCCTATGGTTGTGGAGAGGACAAGAGTTGAGGCTTGGGTGCCTCTAGAGGAGGACAAGCAATAATCCAGGACAAGTATATGCATACGTTTATGTATGTGTCTGTATATGTGGATGTATATGTACATGTGTATGTGAATCTGTATGTGTGGGTATATTGCATATCATTTTTTTTCTAGAGGAGGACAAGCAATAATCCTGGCTCTTTCTGGAAGCAGCTTCCTTGATTGGCTCTTATTTACTTGTTTATTTATTTATTTATTTATTTTCATATTTCTGAAGAGAATGATGTCCCTGAGTGGTCCTGGAGGTTCCTAAATAAAAAGGGTTTGGATAAAGTTAAAATAGTTTGTGTGAAAAAGTGTCAGGAATGTTGTCTTTTAAGTCAGGAATCCTGGGGGTAAATGCAAAGCAGAATTGAGTAAGGCAGGTATGTGTGAATGAAAGATTCTGGGTGTGGTCCAGAGTAGAGTGTGGTCCAGAGGATGTGTGGAAATGCCTGGATGTTTCTATGTATCCTCTGAATGTATACATTCAGAAGTCTGCTGCAGTGACACAGCCCTCATGGAGAACTTTTGCTAGGACAATTTGGAGGGGAAATGTAGGGTTGGAGCCCCCACAGAGAGGCCCCACTGGAGCACTGCCTAGTGGAGCTATGAGAAGAGGGCCACCATTCTCTAGACCCCAGAATGGTAGATCCACCAAGTAGCTTGCATCATGCACCTGGACAAGCCATAAGCACTCAATGCCAGCCTGTGAAAGCAGTCACGGGGGCTGCACCCTAAAGAGCCAGAGGGGTGGAGCTACCTAAGGTCTTGGAAGCCCACCTCTTGCATTAGCACACCCCAGATGTGAGACATGGAGTCAAATGAGATTATTTTGTTGTTTTAAGATTTAAAGTATTATAATTCCAAACCTGCTGGGTTTGGGAATTGTATGGGGTCTGTAGCCCCTGTCTTTTGTCTTTTGTCTGATTTCTGTCTTGTGGAAAGGGAATATTTACCCAATAATTATACCCCCAATGTATCTTGGAAGTTGCTAACTTGATTTTGATTTTACAGGCTCATAGGCCGAAAGGACTTGCCTTGTCTCAGTTGAGACTTTGGACTGTGGAATTTTGAGTTAATACTGAAATGAGTTAAGACTTGGGGGACTGCTGAAAAGGGATGATTGTGTTTTGCAATGTGAATAGGTTATAAGATTTGGGATGGGCCAGGGGGCAGAATAATATAGTTTGGATTTGTGTCCCCACCCAAATTTCATGTTGAATTGTAATCTCCAATTTTTGAGGAAGGTCCTGGTGGGAGGTGATTGGATCATGGGGATGACTTTCCTCCTTGCTGTTCCCATGATAGTGAGTGAGTTCGAATGAGTTCTGGTTTTTAACAATGTGTAGTACCCCCCACCTTTTCTCTTTATCCTGCTCTGGCCATGTGAGATGAGACGGCTTCCCCATCACCTTTTGCCATGATGGTAAGTTTCCTGAGGCTTTCCCAGCCACGCTTCCTATACACTTTGTGGAACCATGAGCCAATTAAACCTCCTTTATTTATAAATTACCCAGTCTCAGTTATTTCTTTATAGCAGTGTGAAAACGAACTAGTACTGGTACCAACATTCAAACCATAGCAATGACCCAGAGGCAAATCTAGCAAAAATAAAAATAAATAAAATAATCCATTGCTATGTTTGTAATAAATCAAAAATGAATGCTTTAGGGTTGAACAGATCTTCATCAATTTTAGCATGTATCTGACATTGGAGAGCTTGTTAGAAAACAAGTTATTGGGTATCACTTCCAGAGTTTCTGAATGGTTCTGGGGAAGGGCTGAGAATTTGTATTTCTAATAAGTCTCTAGATAATAATGGTGATGACTGGTCTGGAGATCACATTTTGACATTCATTGAGATAGAATAATTATTTTGCCTCTGTCCCCAGCACTGCCTTACATATTCATGTTAACTTTTTGATCACTAATGCATTTGAATTATCTTTTCATTATATATATAAACATTATAGAGAAAAATACATAGGATTTGTAATAATCATTTTAGGAGAAAGACCTCCAATGCAAACAAGGACAGTATCTGAGAAGTTGTTGGTTAGTCTGAAGAGAGAAAAGTTGTTTTGGATGAGAGTAGGATTCTATTTTTCATTTCTGAACTAGAGATCAAGACTTGGTCTGAACTAAGTTTCAACACAACAGACAGCAAAGGAGGCAGGAAAGAACAATATTATAGTATTGCTTGGGAACTTTACTACCCCCACTCAGAGTACCCATCTGAAGTTGGCCTTCCTTGTGTGAAACAATACCAGACAGAAATGACAGGAAAAAATCAAATTCTAAGTCTATAAAAGCTGGTGAGATGAATTAATCTGTGGTTTAGACTTCAGCTACCTTCAGAGAAGGGAATCTGCATGTAAACACATCTGTGTCTAGATTTTATATTTTAGTTTTTCTTCATTTTCCTTTTCTTAGTAAACTTGCTTTGGAATGTTGGTCCACTCTAAGCCAAGACATCTGAGGCAGGGAAGTTCCTTTAGAAACTAACTGTGGTACCAGCCATAAAATTCATCTGCCAAGAGGAAAGGAGATTTGGTAAAGCTGTGGTGTTTCATTCTGATAAATCTTAGGAACCTGGACAATTATGGCCATCTATAATAACTTTTCTTCTCCATATGGCAACTTATAGTGAAAATAATCTAGAAAAATCACTAAACATCTTATTTTTCAGAGGCAGGTTCACAGTATGTCAGATAGTAACATTACCATATAGATCCTTGTAAAATATTACAAACAATAAAATCTGTCTATTCTCCATAACAAATATTGCCAAGGTTACAGAATTAACTATGATTCAATGTCTCAGATATCAGATGCAAGAATGACTATTCTAGACGTCATTTGATATACATACACAGAAGAGGAGAAAAGAAGTATTTAACAATTGCTAAAATAATATCATGGCCTTTTTAAAACTTGAGATAATTTGAAGGAGAAAATGCTTCTTCAGAAATAAATTAATTCATCATTTGTAGAAGTGTTTTCTACAAAAAGACTCTGGTAAAAGGGCAAAAAAGAAAAGAAAGATAGCTTTGTTAAATGTCAGTGATATGTATCTGTTATTCTTCTGCTTTGCAGACTAATCAACAGAAAACCATTTGCTTTAGAAACAGAGTTGCTATTAGCTCTATATAGAAATTAATGCACTGTAGGGAATTTCTATTGCAAAAAAAAAAAAAGTGTTCTCAAGAATTTGGAGTCATCTGAGCCACCCAGATTGAGTGTTTTCTGGCACCTAAGGTGTTATGATTGCTATGGTTGTGTCACATGATGCTATTTTCTCTAGCAAATGTAGATTTTAAATGCCGTAAAGAACTTTGCTCAACTGATTCGGCTACAAGCCAAGGCATTTCCCCAGCTCAGCTTGTTGAGGACAGCATCTGCCATTAAAAATAAATAGATAAAAAGATTAATGTATTTCTACAATCTAAAAGTTAATTTGAAAAAAATAAAAGCCAGTTGTAGCCACATAATAATATTAAGGGCTGTGAAAGAATACCTCACAATTAGCAAAACCGATACTATCATTTTCCATTATAATTTTGTCATTAGAGTGAGATTTGCTGTATAGGAGAGTAAAGGGAAGTAAATCATTTATTCCTTATATTCTACCTACTTCTTCCTGAAATAGTATGAGGGGGTAGAGAGCTAGTAGAATTAAAAAAGGAGAGGATATGGAATGAGTTTTTAATTTACTGACTAGTAAAATCAAAGCTCTTCAAGGAATAATGTTTCCTAGTTATCTGTATATCAGTTGCATGCAGGAGTTAGAGGCAGTGGGGCTATAGATAAGCAACATTTAAAAAATGCAGATAGATAGATTTTATATATGCATGGATGTTAATACTTTGTGAATACATAGATATAGTTATAAAGAGATATAGATCAATTTTTTTCCAAATGGGTGTATATATTTTTTGTTCTTGGAATGCTGACCATAGGAGAATTAGAGAAATTCTAGAGGTAAAAGTAGAATAAAAAAGATATTTGTTATAATACTTATCTTTCTTTGTGCACTAAAAGATTAGGGAAGTGTTTTTGAAAGTATCTTATTTATCTGACTTCGTGATTCTCAGAATTCCACAATAGATAATTCAGTATTAAAATACATGCTGACCAACTTCAAAGTAGAAAAATAGAAGCATAGGCTTGTATATAATTTTAGGTTATTCTATGTTTCTGACTAGTCAGAAATAATTTCTAGTTAGAACAATGCATGGTTTACACCATCTTCATAAAATACAATTTTGTGTTAGAGCATAATGTTCTAACTAATTTCTTAGCACTGATGGTTTACATTACAACCCTGACGATTGCATATAAGGTCATTTAGCATGACAGACTTTACACTGTAACAGAGAGGAGCCCTGAGTTCCTTGACTGTAAGCATTAGTGTTAAACACTTTAGGGGAAGATGTATGCTGTCTACTTTAGTTGGCCAATCTAAGGTGAAACCCTTGGAATCAGCCCAACTTGGTTTGTATGCTTTAGTGAAATGCTTTAGATAAGTTGTTCAGCTCTGAAGCTGTTTCTTCACACAAAAAGTCATGGTTTGTTATAACTCTTAGACTTAGGAAGCAATTCCTGTGGCTTCTCAGAAGGCTGATCTTTCAAACTTTATATTTGGAATAACTGAGCATCTCTGACAGCTGTGCATTACTGGAAGGGAACTGTTAAAGATATGAAGATCACAGCTGTGCTTATTTTGGAAGACCCACAGTTCACAGTCAATTGTTGTGCTTAGATTAAAATGCATAGCTGATATTTCCAAATGTACAATGATGGACCAGCACTGGCTATCTTAAGAGCACATTGGCATCTATGAAATGAAATAATTGAAGAGAATAATCAAAATTAAAGTGTACCTATGCTTAAACAAGCTATTATATTGCCGCAGGGATCCAAGTCCTAGTTGTTAACCTCATCAATTGATTTGAAGGCAAAATACTTTCTCTATTTTTTTCTTTTTATCTTTCCCATTTATTAATGTAAAACAAAACAGAAAAAAAAAACAAATGGAAAAAGATAATTTGGGGGCCACATATAAATTATACTTCTTTAATTTCAGAAAATGTTATTTTGTTTTATGCAAAATTGTGATTTTTAAAATTAGGCTCATATTTTAAAAATAGAAATATTAAATAAACACTTATTTTTTCAATGAGATATGTTAGTGAAAAGCTTAAACCTTGAGGCCATTACTATTTTGTGTTAAATATAAATGATCTCAGTGGAGGCAAGATGGCCGAATAGGAACAGCTCCAGTCTAGAGTTCCCAGCGTGAGCGACGCTGAAGACGGGTGATTTCTGCATTTCCAACTGAGGTACCGGGCTCATCTCACTGGGGAATGTTGGAAAGTGGGTGCAGAACAGTGGGTGCAGTGCACCCAGCATGAGCTGAAGCAGGGCGAGGCATCGCCTCACCCAGGAAGCTCAAGGGGTCAGGGAATTCCCTTTCCTAGTCAAAGAAAGGGGTGACAGACGGCACCTGGAAAATCGGATCACTCCCACCTTAATACTGCACTTTTCAACAATCTTAGCAAACGGCACACCAGGAGATTATATCCTGTGCCTGGCTCGGAGGGTCCTATGCCCAAGGAGCCTTGCTCATTGCTAACACAGCAGTCTGAGATCAAACTGCAAGGTGGCAGCGAGGCTGGGGGAGGGGTGCCTGCCATTGCCGAGGCTTGAGTAGGTAAACAAAGAGGCCAGGAAGCTCGAACTGGGTGGAGCCCACCGCAGCTCAAGGAGGCCTGCCTGCCTCTGTAGACTCCACCTCTATGGGCAGGGAATAGCCAAACAAAAGGCAGCAAAATCCTCTGCAGACTTAAATGTCTCTGTCTGACAGCTTTGAAGAGAGTAGTGGTTCTCCCAGCATGCAGCTGGAGATCTGAGAACTGACAGACTGCCTCCTCAAGTGGGTCCCTGACCCCCGAGTAGCCTAACTGGGAGGCACCGCCCTGTAGGGGCAGACTGACACCTCACACAGCCGGGTACTCCTCTGAGACAAAACTTCCAGAGGAATGATCAGGCAGCAACAATTGCTGCTCACCAATATCCGCTGTTCTACAGCCTCCACTGCTGATACCCAGGCAAACAGGGTCTGGAGTGGACCTCCAGCAAACTCCAACACACCTGCAGCTGAGGGTCCTGACTGTTGGAAGGAAAACTAACAAACAGAAAGGACATCCACACCAAAACCCCATCTGTATGTCACCATCATCAAAGACCAAAGGTAGATAAAACCATGAAGATGGGGAAAAAACAGAGCAGAAAAACTGGAAACTCTAAAAATCAGAGCGCCTCTCCTCCTTCAAAGGAATGCAGCTCCTCACCAGCAACGGAATAAAGCTGGATGGAGAATGACTTTGACAAGTTGAGAGAAGAAGCCTTCAGATGATCAAACTACTCCGAGCTAAAGGAGGAAGTTCGAACCCATGGCAAAGAAGCTAAAAACCTTGAAAAAAAAAATAGACAAATGGCTAACTAGAATACCCAATGCAAAGAAGTCCTTAAAGGACCTGATGCAGCTGAAAACCAAGGCATGAGAACTATGTGATGAATGCACAAGCCTCAGTAGCCGATTCCATCAACTGGAAGAAAGGGTATCAGTGATGGAAGATCAAATGAATGAAATGAAGCAAGAAGAGAAGTTTAGAGAAAAAAGAATAAAAAGAAATGAACCAAAGCCTCCAAGAAATATGGGACTCCCCGTCTCTACTAAAAATACAAAAAAGTAGCTGGGTGTGGTGGCGGGCGCCTGTAGTCCCAGCAACTCGGGAGGCTGAGGCAGGAGAATGGCATGAACCTGGGAGGTGGAGCTTGCCGTGAGCTGAGATCACACCACTGCACTCCAGCCTGGGTGAGCGACAGAGCAAGACTCTGTCTCAAAAAAAAAAAAAAAAAAAAGAAATATGGGACTATGTGAAAAGAACAAATCTACGTCTGATTGGTGTACCTGAAAGTGACAGGGAGAATGGAACCAACTTGGAAAACACTCTGCAGGATATTATCCAGGAGAACTTCCCCAACCTGACAAGGCAGGCCAACATTCAAATTCAGGAAATACAGAGAACACCACAAAGATACTCCTCGAGAAGAGCAATTCCAAGACACATAATTGTCAGATTCACCAAAGTCGAAATGAAGGAAAAAATGTTAAGGGCAGCCAGAGAGAAAGGTCGGGTTACCAACAAAGGGAAGCCCATCAGACTAACAGCTGATCTCTCAGCAGAAACTCTACAAGCCAGAAGAGAGTGGGGGTCAATATTCAACACTCTTAAAGAAAAGAATTTTCAGCCCAGAATTTCATATCCAGCCAAACTAAGCTTATGAAGGAGAAATAAAATCCTTTACAGACAAGCAAATGCTGAGAGATTTTGTCACCGCCAGACCTGGCCTAAAGGAGCTCCTGAAGGAAGCACTAAACATGGAAAGGAACAACAGGTACCAGCCACTGCAAAAACATGCCAAATAGTAAAGACCATCAAGGCTAGGAAAAAACTTCATCAACTAACGAGCAAAATAACCAGCTAACATCTTAATCTTAATGACAGGATCAAATTCACACATAACAATATTAACCTTAAATATAAATGGGCTAAATGCTCCAATTAAAAGACACAGACTGGCAAATTGGATAAAGAGTCAAGACCCATCAGTGTGCTGTATTCAGGAAACCCATCTCACGTTCAGAGACACACATAGGCTCAAAATAAAGGGATGGAGGAAGATCCACCAAGCAAATGGAAAACAAAAAAAGTCAGGGGTTGCAACCCTAGTCTCTGATAAAACAGACTTTAAACCAATAAAGATCAAAAGAGACAAAGAAGGCCATTACATAATGGTAAAGGGATAAATTCAACAAGAAGAGCTAACTATCCTAAATATATATGCACCCAATACAGGAGCACCAAGATTCATAAAGCAAGTCCTTAAAGACCTACAAAGAAACTTAGACTCCCACACAATAATAATGGGAGACTTTAACACACCACTGTCAACATTAGACAGATCAATGAGACAGAAAGTTAACAAGGATATCCAAGAATTGAACTTAGCTCTGCAACAAGTGGACCTAATAGACATCTACAGAACTCTCCACCCCAAATCAACAGAATATACATTCTTCTCAGCACCACACCACACCTATTCCAAAATTGACCACATAGTTGGAAGTAAAGCACTCCTCAGCAAATGTAAAAGAACAGAAATTATAACAAACTGTCTCTCAGACCACAGTGCAATCAAACTAGAACTCAGGATTAAGAAACTCACTCAAAACTGTTCAAATACATGGAAACCGAACAACCTGCTCCTGAATGACTACTGGGTACAGAACAAAATGAAGGCAGAAATAAAGGTGTTCTTTGAAACCAATGAGAACAAAGACACAACATACCAGAATCTCTGGCACACATTCAAAGCAGTGTGTAGAGGGAAATTTATAGCACTAAATGCCCACAAGAGAAAGCAGGAAAGATCCAAAATTGAAGCCCTAACATCACAATTAAAAGAACTAGAGAAGCAAGAGCAAACACTTTCAAAAGCTAGCAGAAGGCAAGAAATAACTAAGATCAGAGCAGAACCGAAGGAAATAGAGACAGAAAAACCCTTCAAAAAATCAATGAATCCAGGAGCTGCTTTTTTGAAAATACCAACAAAATTGATGGCCCACTAGCAAGACTAGTAGGGAAGAAAAGAGACAAGAATCAAATAGATGCAATAAAAAATGATAAAGGGGATATCACCACCGATCCCACAGAAATACAAACCACCATCAGAGAATACTATAAACACCTCTACGCAAATAAACTAGAAAATCTAGAAGAAATGGGTAAATTCCTTGACACATACACCCTCCCAAGACTAAACCAGGAAGAATTTGAATCTCTGAATAGAACAATAACAGGATCTGAAATTGAGGCAATAATTAATAGCATACCAACCAAAAAAAGTCCAGGACCAGATGGATTCATGGCCGAATTCTACCAAAGGTACAAGGAAGAGCTGGTACTATTCCTTCTGAAACTATTCCAATCAATAGAAAAAGAGGGAATCCTCCCTAACTCATTTTATGAGGCCAGCATCATCCTGATACCAAAGCCTGGCAGAGACACAACAAAAAAAGAGAATTTTAGACCAATATCCCTGATGAACATCAATGCAAAAATCCTCAATAAAATACTGGCAAACTGAATCCAGCAGCACATCAAAAAGCTTATCCACCATGATCAAGTGGGCTTCATCGCTGGGATGCAAGGCTGGTTCAACATATGCAAATCAATAAATGTAATCCAGCATATAAATAGAACCAATGACAAAAAACCACATGATTATCTCAATAGATGAAGAAAAGGCCTTTGACAAAATTCAACAACCCTTCATGCTAAAAACTCTCAATAAATTAGGTATTGATGGGACGTATCTCAAAATAATAGGAGCTATTTATGACAAACCCACAGCCAATATCATACTGAATGGGCAAAAACTGGAAGCATTCCCTTTGGAAACTGGCACAAGACAGGGATGCCCTCTCTCACCACTCCTATTCAACATAGTGTTGGAAGTTCTGGTCAGGGCAATCAGGCAGGAGAAGGAAATAAAGGGTATTCAATTAGGAAAAGAGGAAGTTAAATTGTCCCTATTTGCAGATGCCATGATTGTATATCTAGAAAACCCCATCATCTCAGCCCAAAATCTCCTTAAGCTGATAGGCAACTTCAGCAAAGTCTCAGGATACAAAATCAATGTACAAAAATCACAAGCATTCTTATACACCAGTAACAGACAAACAGAGAGCCAAATCATGAGTGAACTCCCATTCACAATTGCTTCAAAGAGAATAAAATACCTAGGAATCCAACTTACAAGGGATGTGAAGGACGTCTTCAAGGAGAACTACAAACCACTGCTCAATGAAATAAAAGAGGATACAACAAATGGAAGAACATTCCATGCTCATGGGTAGGAAGAATCAATATCGTGAAAATGGCCATACTGCCCAAGGTAATTTATAGATTCAATGCCATCCCAATCAAGCTACCAATGACTTTCTTCACAGAATTGGAAAAAACTTCTTAAAGTTCATATGGAACCAAAAAAGACCCCACATTACCAAGTCAATCCTAAGCCAAAAGAACAAACTGGAGGCATCACACTACCTGACTTCAAACTATGCTACAAGGCTACAGTAACCAAAACAGCATGGTACCAAAAGAGAGATACAGACCAATGGAACAGAACAGAGCCCTCAGAAATAATGCCACATATCTACAACCATCTGATCTTTGACAAACCTGACAAAAACAAGAAATGGGGAAATGATTCCCTATTTAATAAATGGTGCTGGGAAAACTGGCTAGCTATATGTAGAAAGCTGAAATTGGATCCCTTCCTTACATTTTATACAAAAATTAATTCAAGTTGGATTAAAGACTTAAATGTTAGACCTGAAACCATAAAAACCCTAGAAGAAAACTTAGGCAATACCATTCAGGACATAGGCATGGGCAAGGACTTCATGTCTAAAACACCAAAAGCAATGGCAACAAAAGCCAAAATTGACAAATGGGATCTAATAAAACTAAAGAGCTTTTGCACAGCAAAAGAAACTACCATCAGAGTGAACAGGCAACCTACAGAATGGGAGAAAATTTTTGCAATCTATTCATCTGACAAAGGGCTAATATCCAGAATCTACAATGAACTCAAACAAATTTACAAGAAAAAAACAACCCCATCAAAAAGTGGGTGAAGGATATGAACAGACACTTCTCAAAAGAAGACATTTATGCAGCCAAAAGATACATGAAAAAATGCTCATCATCACTGGCCATCAGGGAAATGCAAATCAAAACCACAATGAGATACCATCTCACACCAGTTAAAATGGCAATCATTAAAAAGTCAGGAAACAACAGATGCTGGAGAAGATGTGGAGAAATAGGAACAGTTTTACACTGTTGGTGGGACTGTAAACTAGTTCCACCATTGTGGAAGTCAGTGTGGTGATTCCTCAGGGATCTAGAACTAGAAATACCATTTGACCCAGCAATCCCATTACTGGGTATATACCCAAAGGATTATAAATAATTCTATTATAAAGACAAATGCACATGTATGTTTATTGCAGCACTATTCACAATAGCAAAGACTTGGAACCAACCCAAATGTCCAACAATGATAGGCTGGATCAAGAAAACGTGGCACATATACACCATGGAATACTATGCAGCCATAAAAAATGATGAGCTCATGTCCTTTGTAGGGACATGGATGAAGCTGGAAACCATCATTCTCAGCAAACTATCGCAAGGACAAAAAAACCAAACACTGCATGTTCTCACTCATAGGTGGGAATTGAACAATGAGAACACATGGACACAGGAAGGGGAACATCACACACCAGGGCCTGTTGTGGGGTCGGGGGAAGGGGGAGGGATAGCACTAGGAGATATACCTAATGTTAAATGATGAGTTAATGGGTGTAGCACAACATGGCACATGTATACATATTTAACTAACCTGCACGTTGTGCACCTGTACCCTAAAACTTAAAGTATAATAAAAAAAGCAAAAAAAAATATATATATATATAAATGATCACATACTTCTAGCTCCCTATATGTAATTTTTATATTATTTTCAGAGAAAATGCTTAATAAAATAAAGCATAGTTTGAAAGATTTGCTTTTAGGTGGCTTCATTCCCTATCAGCAACCTGTAATATTTATAGCTTAATGAATACCCTAGACTTACTATTCTCTTAAATAGTTTGAGGAGTGAGGATATAAGCAAAGGAACAATTTATGTATTGCTCCCTAATATGTCCTTTTTCTACTGCTTCATGAAACCCAGAGCTATGAAAAACATTATTTAAAAATGAGAAGATCAATATGGAGTTTTTCACAATCAACGCAAAAACTCAAAGAATAAAATGAACAGAACAAGAGTTCAGAAAAAAGAAAGTCTTGGTGAATATTTAAAAATAATTGTAATATGGGTTAAAACTATGTTTTTAGCAAGACAGGAAATATAAACTAGAAACTGTAGTTTTAAGACATTTATAAAAAATATAATATTTTCATATTACTTATTTTTGATGATCCAGGCTATTTAGGCTAATCATTACTGATACATTTCTTAAATAAAACTGCTTGGGGCTAGCTTCCCAGAAAGTGTACACTCCAAAATTATTTTGTAAATGTGTGTGTGGGGAAGCTCCAGTTCACCAAATAATAGGGTAGGTGGTAATATCTGTGAAGAAAGGAAGGGAGTAAAAAAGGAAGAAAGGAAGGGAGGAAGCAAGGAAGGAAGGAAGGAACGAAGGGAGGGAGGGAGGGAAGGAAGGAAGGAAGGAGCAAGAAAAATAAAACTTCATGAAGATTACTTCTGCTTGTAAGTTGCTTTAAGATAAATTTTAAAAAGGGTCCTATATTTTTTAACATTCACTAGAATCTAAAATATATTTTGCTGAATACTGCTCTCTTGATTTTAAAAAACAAAATAAAGAGTTTAATGGACTATATAATGCATCTGTTTCTGATTATTTTGCACTTAAATCATTAAAATCTTGCTTTCTTAGTCTCTATTTGTTATGCAAAATCATTTCCCACAATTTCAATAATCATTTTAACTGCATTTTTTTTCTTAAACACAGGCCTATTTTCCAAGTACAAATAAATTTGAACAAAAGATTTGATTTTTGTTAGAAACTTCTGCAGATGGGAATGTTGAAATATTGCTCACGTTATTATCCTGGTTTGGAATAAAATATGGATTAGGGCAAAAAAATAAAATGCTTGGTAAATAAATACATATTTAAACTTTGTTTACCATTCCATTCACAGATTTTGATGTCTGCCAGAACATAATATTGGCTTGAAAGACGGGTTATTGGTTAAGCTGAAGCCAAACAATTCAAGATTTAGGAAAACAATAACTGAACTTAGTTGAAAAACAAGTTATTGCAGACTCCACTTAAGTCCCATTGCTACTTAAGTCCCATTGTCTTTTTGCATGTCTGGACCACATGATGTAATGATGCTAAGCTGAACTGCAGTATTTCAGCCTTATGTCTGTTCCTTAAACCATCTTCAGTCATAGATAAGCACTATGACCAAGTGAATCTGCTAAATAGTTCAAATTATAGTTTAAATTGAAGCAGCTCAAATTAAAAACACTTTTCATTGTTATATCAGCTTATTATAACTTCATATCATCAGACTGACACGATCCACATACCAATATTTTGTGTTATCATATTTTAAAACACAGCTAATTTCACACACACACTTATTGGTAAAATGTAAGTATCGATACATATATAGACAATATCTATCTATTATACATCCGAGTGGTTAAAATGAAATATCATCTAGATACCACTGCATCTTTGACACACTTCTGTTCCAGCAATACAGAATTTCCAATTAATATGTTACATTGATATTATTTTCATCCATCAGAATGGCAAGCGATTTAACATTTTTTAACATTCTGTGCAGAGATGAAGGGAACGGCACTCGCATGCTCTTGGTGAATGTAATATTTGCTAACAATCTTTCCTGGGAAAAAATTATCAGTGTACATTAAGTTTTAATTTTGCACAGGAAGCTGTTTTACAGAAGTTATTTGATGATACAGATGTTTGCAGCAGCAGCTAGTAAGAGTACAGCAATGAACATGACTTACTTTTCTATCAATAAAAGAACAGCTATAAAATGATAGACCTGTAAAAGTGAATACAGTGCAGCCATGAAAAAGAAAGAGGAGAAATATATTGAATGCTAAAGAAAGATGTGCGTTATATGTTTAATTTGTAAGGCAAAAAAGATGAATAATTTTTACAAGACTGTTCTATTTTCCTATAAATAATAACAGCTAAATATATTTCTGCATATCAGTAAGAAATACACCTGGAAGAATAATCACCAAACTAAGACAGATGGTTGGAAAGTGGACATTGGGAGGGTTTGATTTCATGCTTTTTATATTTATGCTTCCATATTTTCAGAGTTATTTTCCCAAAAGAATAAATAAAACCCTGAAACAAAGAAAACAGTGTAAGATAATACTTCCTAATAAAGATATAGGGCTAGAAAATGCTGCTAACATCCAGTTTCTGAAACCAGCACTTATTCCCCTTGGTCAGCATTTTTTTCTTTTCCTGAACACTACTCTCCATCCAAAGTAAATATTTCTACTGTGCCACAAAACAAATTATTCAGCCTTAAAACTACAGAGCCTTTGCCATATAGTGCTTTTCACTAAGCCACGGCAGAACTCCATATCTAATTCAGAAAACGTTTATGTTTGACCAGTGGGAATGATGATAAATTGTTTATGTTACTCTGTCTTCTGGACAAATGTTTTCATTAAGCCTGAATGCTATTTAATGATTAAGACAGGATAGTTTGAGAAAAGCAACTATTGTTATTCAATCACTACATACAGAACACATTAAGATAGAGTCATGCCAAGGAAGGAAAAAATGGCAATGCTCTTTGCTCCTGGGCTCCAGTCCTACCCATTCTCCTACTGCACTAAGTGGGAGTGAATCATCTTTCTCACTGACAAGTGACTTTCTCCCTCTCTTGCAGGAATATCTGTGACACTCTGTTGTTGAGTGGTTTTTTTTAGTGTTTTGAATGTGTGTGTGTGTGTGTGTGTGTGTGTGTTAATACTACTATTTACAAGGAATTGCAAGGCTTAGATAGATGTCTAAGAAATATGTGATTTTTGCTTCCCCTATTATTGTCCTATCTCAAATTAATTTAAATAATTTAATTGCTGCAAACAATTCTATCAAGTCTATTTCTTGCATAGCTTCAACATTTTAAAGTACTCTAAAAATTTAAAATATTAAAAATTATGAAATAGACATATAATTGCATATTCTGCTTTTTAAATTAACATGTTTATATACAAACATGGCTGAATAATATTGAATAAAAAAATGTGTTATTATATACTTAATCACAACCAATCTAACATTTAATGTACTTTAATTTTGAATATTTTCTACAATGCTGTGAGAATATGTTTTTATACCTGGATTTTCCCAATTTTAAATTATTATCTTTGAAGTCATTCCTGAAAATAAAATTACTATGTTGAACCATATGACTTGAGATATACAGCTAAATTGTCTTAAATTTAGCCTTGCATATTTAGCAAAATATTAATGATATGCTCAATCAGGTCTTGAATATTTACATGAACAATAGGTCAAATAGTAATATTGAGTAGCCAGTCTTAATCAATTTGAATTTGTTTTATGTTTTCAGTAAGCCATATGTGTTTTTTTTTTTCATAATAGCTTTGAGTTCCTATTTACCTGGCTGATGAAAAATTCAGTTTAGTTTTATTTTAAGGACATTTCCTCTCTCTAGCTTTCTATAACTTTATACAGTCCAGTAATTCAGGGTAAGTATCTCTGGTCTTTAGTCTATTATGGTCTCCACTGAATTGCTCATTATCTACATCAACTTGACTCTTTCAGATTTGCTAAATTCAACTAGATGTTGAATTAAGTCGAGCCTCGCCATCTTCTGAAATGTTGGATTTAACTACATAACTGTATCAAGGATCCTCAAGACCTCCTTTAGATTTAATGATTCACTAGAAGGACTCACAGGAATCAGAAAACCATTATACTTACAGTCATAATTTATTACAGCAGAAAAGGATGCAAATTAAAATTAGCAGAAGTAAGTGGGCTAAGGGCAGAGTCCCTAGTGGGACCAGGCACAAGTTTCCACGTGTCTTCTCCTGGTAGAATCTTAAAGACAGTGCTTAATTCTACCAAAAATGATGTGTAATAATGCTTACAAAGTATTGTCGTTCCAGGAAGCTCACTTGAACCTTGGTGTCCAGGGATTTTTTTTTTTGAGATGGAGTTTCTCTCTTGTTGACCAGGCTGGAGTGCAATGTCTCGATCTCAGTTCACCGCAACCTAATCCCCGTGGTTCAAGAGATTCTCCTACCTCAGTCTCCCAAGTAGCTGGAATTACAGGCATGCACCACCATGCTTGGCTAATTTTTTGTATTTTTGGTAGAGAAGGGGTTTCTCCATGGTGGTCAGGCTGGTCTCGAACTCCGGACCTCAGGTGATCCGCCTCCCAAAATGCTGGGATTACAGGCGTGAGCCACTGTGCCTGGTCAGTGTTCAGGGATTTTACTGGGGGTTGTTAGGTAGGCACGACTAAATATCTGCTTGGCTGACCTTAGTCACTCAGCCTCCGGAACCTAAAAAGGACAAACTGATAAAATGCAGCCAAAGACCTCAGTAAAACAAAGACACTCTTATCAGGCAGCACAGTCTTAAAGGCTTAGAGGTTACCTTCCAGGAGCCCTTCAAGGGGCAAACCTTTTATTAAAAATGTGCAAAGTATGGACAACCCACCCATCCTGAGTTAATCCTGTACTGCAAAGTTACTCACTGTATTTGTTGCACTTGAGTTTTTCAGTGTGATGTTAATATTGAGTGTCAACTTGATTGGATTGAAGGATATTGATCCTGGGTGTGTCTTTGAGGGTGTTGCCAAAGGAGATAAACATTTGAGTCAGTGGGCTGGGAAAGGCAGACCCACACTTAATCTGGGTGGGCACAATCAAATCAGCTGCCAGCATGACTAGAATATAAGCAGGTGGAAAATGTGAAAAGAGAGACTGGCCTAGCCTCCCAGCCTACATCTTTCTCCCTTGCTGGATGCTTCCTGCTCTTGAACATCGCGCTCTAAGTTCTTTAGTTTTGGAACTCAGACTGGCTCTCCTTGCTCCTCCGCCTGCAGACGGCCTATTGTGGGACGTTGTGACCATGTGAGTTAATACTTAATAAACTCCCCTTTATATAGATCTAGCTATTCCACTAGTTCTGTGGAACCCTGACTAATACATTTAGTATAGAATTATCCTATATTTTCTTAGTGTATGGCTACGCCCAACTCTTTAAAAGACTCCAGAATTTGAAAAGCTAGAACTTTTCTTTGAAAATGTGACCCTCAGTGCAGGGTATCTGAGATCTTCAGAAACAAACAATCAAAATGACTTCCTTGTTCTCTTTTGGAGAATCAAGAAAAAATACCTTTCCTTCTTTTCAGATACATTTAGAAGAAAAAATATAATTCTTTATGTGGTTACTCTGTGACAGATGCAATATATTCTCAGAGTCATTTTTATTGTTTTAAAATGCCAAGTTATGAGGGTAATTTGTTGCACAGCAAGAGTGATCAAAAGTTAAATTTACACATACAATTTGTCTGTTATAAGGAAATCAGTTTATGATTGTGCTGGGTTTCTATTTGGATAGTCAAATTCTGCTATATAAACTAAAATGTAAGTTGTTCAGAAAATTTTAGATGTAATAAGCAACATTGAAATTATTTATACAACAAAGATACAATTACACATTTTCTACTCATAGATTCTTAGGCTGAGCTCCTTTTATTTAGGTATGTCACAAAGCAGTGATTATTTTGTTACTCAAAATATATGCAAATAAATTTGGATATACACATGTTCAGTAATATGATATTTTTAAATGATGTATATAATAACTAAATGCAATATAAAACATTTTCAAACATCATTTTATTCATCTGCTTATGCTCCTCACATCTATAGCTACTTTAGCACATTTGTTTATTATTTGCATGCCTGCCTAATCACTGTGAAGCTTAAAATAGTTGTGCTTTTTTAACATTAAGAATAAAAACTATATTTTTTTGAATGACTTCAGATTGATGGAATAATATTCCACACACTATGACTTCCCTCCTCATAAAACTGATGAGTGGTGCTCCAGAGGCTAAACCCCTACTGTGCACTAGATTCCAAATCCCCCACTCACAGAGAATGATGCTCCTGCAATTATATCCTTTCTCTCCTAGGCCAGAATTCATTATGTACTGAATTATTTTTGTTGATGTCACACATTCTGAAACATGTCCCATCTTACAGCAAACAAAGAAACAAAAACTCTCTCTAGACTCTTATTACCCTTTCCAGTTACTACTCTATGTCTCTGCTATTAGTTATGAAGTATAAAGGGCAAATTGACTTAAATGAGTTATTTACATGTTTTTCTTTACTTTCTTCCCTCATATTTTTCTTGTATCTCTTTGAAACAAGAGTTTATCCCACCTTCAATTAAAGTTCCTCTTCTCAATGTCTCCAGTGACTTCTATTTAAAAAAAAAAACCAACAGTTTATTTATTTATTTATTTATCATACAGACAGAGTCTCACTATGTTGCTCAAGCTGGTCTTGAACTCCTGGGCTCAAATGATCTTCCTGCCTCAGCCTCAAAAAGTGCTGGAGTTACAAGTGTGAGCCACCATGCCCTGTCTCTGGTGACTTTTAATAGCAAAAGCTAATGGTCAGTTATCTGTCTTTACATTATTGGCTCTCCTATAAGGAATTTACACTGTCCATTATTATCTGATTTTAACAAGTACATTTTATTTATTACTTTGGAAATGTATATATGTGTAGTGTAAGTATTCCTAAAGAAAGAAAAAGGATATGCATAAAATTACTTCTTAATCAAAACCGGTGTTCTTGAACCATAGAATTCCCTTTGCGTAGATAACCACAGCTAGTTTCTTACGTATTCTTCTACAGATGATGTTTACACACGTATACATCTATTCTAACTATACTTCTTCAAAAATTTCAATAAACTACACACAGTAATCTGCTTGTTTTTTCCTAAATATGTATCTTGGAAATCACACAGAGAACAATCTTTTATTTTAATGACTACATGGAATTCTATTTATGAATGTACCAATTATACTGCCTTCAATTAAACAATATTTACATTGTTTTCTATATTTCAATATTATAATCACAGCTGCAATAAAAACATCCTTGTATACCTATAGTTTTTTCACATGTGCAAGAACATAAGCAGGGTAAACTCCTAGAAGTAAAACTGTTGGGTCCAAGGGTGTATATACTTTTGATACGGTATGCAATTGTCTTTCATAGAGGTTTTAATTTATTATATCGCAACAGTGTATAACAACCTCTATTTTTTCAAAAGTTTTAATAATTTTATTGTTGTTTCAGAATTTTTGATCAAAAAATAAAATGCAATTACAGGTTTGTAAATAGATAATAAATTTACATAATAATCAAAACATTAATATATTAATAAAATATAACGTATTTACTAAGAAGTTTTGCTTTTATTCATGACCTATATTTTTGTTTCTTATAGATTAACTGAGTTTTTGTTTGCCTTCCCAGTAATTTTTAAGTTTATCCAAGAAAATTTTTATATAATTCTATCTGATAAACTACATTTATAAATACACAATTATTCACCTTACTCTTTATCATTTAACACTCTATCCTGCATGTCTTTTCATGTTAGAACTTAGAAACTTCTTTATTCATTTTTTACAGTATATTTTCTGTATTGTATTTTATCATGTAGATGCAGCATATTTATTTAACCAGTTCACCATTGAGGGGAATGTGGGTTATTTGTAATCTTTTACTATTATAAATAGTTGCATAATAATTAGCATTGCAAACATCATTTCAAACAAATAATTGCATATCTATAGAATAAATTACAGTGACAGTATTATATGGGATAAGTATACATATATTTATAATTTTGTTAGATAATGTTAAACTGTCTCCATAGAGGTTGTGTAATTCTGCTTTAACATCTGCAATGTATTTAGAAGTCTATTTTCCAACAACTCTTTAAAAGAACATATTAGAAGGCTTTTGAACTTTTTGCCAATCTGATAGTGGAGAAATTACAATTTCATGTAGATTTAATTTGTATTAATCTTATTAATGGTAATATGGAGTACCTTTTTCCATATATTTAAAAGATGTTTAATTTATTTTACTGTGAACTTTCTGTTCATTCATTTAGCCCATTTTCTATTTGTTTCTTAGTTCTTTTTTTCCTCTAAATTAATAGTAGCTCTTGCTATATTAGACAGCATGATATGAGTTGCAGTTATGCTTCTGTGTCTTGGTTTATATTTTGATTTTGCTTATGGCATATCTAACCTTTGCAATTTTTTTTTACCATAAAATAGTATCAGTCTTTCCTTGAGTAGGAGTTCTAGGGGTTTTTATAATATGGTCTAAGAACTTCCTAGCTCTAATACAGAAATATTTAAATTTAAAGAAACTTTTATATTCTTATAGCTTGATTTTCCCCATACTTAATTATTCCCAATTTTTTAGAATAATTTTTGAGTGAGATATCCTAAGTTATTACAACGTCATTTGTTTAAAAATCCAGACTTTCCACTATATACACAGAGGTGATGTGAATACAAAGGCAGGCATTGGGCTGATACTGCTACAAGCCAAGAAACACCAAAGATTGTTAGAAAACTACCAGAATCTAGGAGGAAGGCACAGAACGGATTCTTCCTCTCAGCATCAGAAGGCAGCAATTGTGCTAATGCTCGATCTCAGATTCTCAGAGCTGAGAGAATATATTTCAGTCGTTTAAGCCACCAAGTTCATGGTACTTTGTCGTAGTAGCCTTAACAAAGTAATGCATTTGGGGAAAGAGTGAAATGGATATGTGGTGGTCAGAAAAGCGGAGACTGTTAGTTGAATACTGTGATCATTTACTTCATATGCCAACTGGACTAGATTAAGAGATGCCCAGGTAGCTGGTAGGACATTATTTCTGGGTGTCTCTGTGAGGGTGTTTCCAGAAGAGGATACTGCCTGAATTGGTACACTGAGTAAAGAACATGTCTTCATCATTTTAAATGGGTATCATCCAGCCCCTGAGAATCTGAATAGAGCAAAAAGATGGAGGAAGGGTGAATTTGCTCCCTCTCCTTGAGCTAGGACATTCATCTTCTCCTGCTGTGGACGGCAGTGCTCCTAGTTCTTAGGCCTTTCAGACTCAGACTGGGACTTACACCTTTGGCTTAATTGGTTCTCAGGCCTTCAGGCTTAGACTGGAACTACCCCAGGAGAGCTCCTGGGCCTCCAGCTTGCAGACAACAGATCATGGGACTTCTCAGCCTCAATAATCACATAAGCCAATCTCTCCTAATAAATCTCTCTCTCTCTCTTTTAATTCCTTCTCCCTGTATACAGAGGAAGGCATGGATTTTTAAATAAATGAGGTTGTGATAACTTAATAGGCATTGGGAGAATATTTAACTCAAAAATTATTCTAAAAAATTGGGAATAACTAAGTATGGGAAAACATCAAAACGTAAGAATATCAAAGTTTCTTTTAATTTAAATAAATCTCTCTCTCTCTAAAGTGTGTGTGTGTATATATATTATATATGTAAAATGGAAATGTAGTATGTGCATATATATACAGGCATGTATGTACACACACATACACACACACACACACATATATACACACACACACATTTAGTTAACTAAATGTAGTCTACATTTAAATACATTTTCCAGACCACCTTATATTTAGGTGGGGCATGCATCTGAGTTCTGGCTTCTGCAATACAGATAGAAAGGATAAAACTACCAGTTCCACCAGTGGTGGTGTTATTTGAGGAGAAGAAAACACAGTACCGGGCCCTGACCATCCTTGCCCAAAATGGTTTGTTGGGCAGAGATTTTCTGCAGAGAAAGGCAAATTGAGAAGACCAGAGGCAACTGGCTCACAAAGTACCTTGCTCACAAAGCACCTTGCTCACAAAGCAGGGTTGTCTCCATGAGAAGTGGGCTGCTGTCCCAACTCAGAACAGTGACTCAGAGATTCCTCCCAGAGGAATTCCCTTTGGAGCATAAAGAGAGATTATAAGAACAAAAAGCTCCAAAGCTCCCCAAAAGAAAATGACTATATTTAGAACAGTTTGTAGAAAAACTAAAGCCTAAGGTTAATCTGGAAAATCCATGGAGATTTGCATGGTAAGCAATTAAATAGAGGTGCATAAAACCAAAATAGCAAGAAACTAAATCACCGCCCAACCAGTCTATCAGAGAGAACCAGGGCAAAAGGCAGCTAAGAAGAGAAGAGCCTTCCTGTAGTCAGAGCAAGTCTTGAAGATTGACCTAAAAAACTACCCCTGCAAAGGGCCCAAGGTTTAGTTGGATCAGACGAGGAATCAATTTACATCCCATAGTGCAGTAAAAAATAACAGCACAATCAACTGGCAACTAGTGGAGCTTAAGTGCTCTGTGTGATACAAACATAGGCAGAGAGCCTAACAGAGAGATGAGTGAGACAGTTAAAGATGGCCCTGCTAACATCACTGCCATCTCAGGATACCTGTAAACATGCCCAGGCCTGGATATGCCCTCTGACGGTTGACATCAGAAGTCTCACAGTACAGGGGAAAGATTATTAACACAGTCCAGCAAAGTCTCTAAACAAATAAGCATGCAAGCAAACAAACAAAATAACAATGATAGTAACAACCCCCGGAGAAGCTTAATTAATATCTAAACTTGATAAAACATATTATTGAAAGTCCAGTTTTCAACAAAAGTTTATAATGCATGAAAAGAAACAGGAAGGTGTGACCCATACACAGAAAAAAAATCAGTCAACAGAAACTTCCTATGAGAGGGCTCAGATGTTAAAATTAACAGACAAAAACTTAAAACAACCTTTACAAATATGTTCAAAGAAATAAAGGAGACCATGCTGAAAGAAGTAAAGAATGATATCATGGCAATGTCTCATAAAATAAATAATGTTTATAAATGAATAGAAATGACAAAGAAGAACTAGATGGTGTTGAGCGTTTTTCATGTTTGTTTGCCATTTGTGTATCTTCTTTTGAGACTTGTGTATTCATGTCTTTCCCACTTTTTGGTGGGATTATTTGTTTTTACCTTGCTGATTTATTTGAATTCCTTGTAGATTCTGGATATTAGTCCTTTGTCAGATGAATAGCTTGTGAATATTTTCTCCTATTCTGTGGGTTGCCTGTTTACTCTGCTGATTATTTCTTTTGCTGTTCAGAAGCTTTTTAGTTTAATTAAGTCCCATCTATTTATCTTTGTTTTGGTTGCATTTGCATTTGCGTTCTTGGTCATGAACTCTTGCTTAAGGCAATATCTAAAATAGTTTTTCCGATGTTACCTTCTAGAATTTGTATGGTTTCAGGTCTTAAATTTAAGTCTTTAATCTATCTTGAGTTAATTTTTGTTTAAGGTGAAAGATGAAGTTCCAGTTTCATTCTCCTACATGTGGTTAGCCAATTATCCCAGCACCATTTGTTGAATAGGGTGTCGTTGCCCCACTTTATGTTTTTGTTTGCTTTGTTGAAAATCAGCTGGCTGTAAGTATTTGGCTTTATTTCTGGGTTCTCTATTCTGTTCCATTGGTCTATGTGCCTATTTTTATACCAGCACCATGTAGAATAAAGTCATTATATGAATAAGATACTTGCACACATGTTTATAGCAGCACAATTGCAAAAATATGGAACCAGCCTAAATACCCATCAACCAACGAGTGGATAAAGAAAAAAATATATATATATATGTATGTGAAAAAATATATATTCACATACATATATATATGTATATATATACATACACACACACACACACACCACGGAATACTGCTCAGCCATGAAAGGAATGGAATAATGGCATTTGCAGCAACCTGGATGGAGTTGAAGAGCATTTTTCTAAGCGAAGTAACTCAGGAATGGAAAACCAAACATCATATGTTCTCACTTATAAGTGGGAGCTAAGCTAGTAGGATGCAAATTCATAAAAATGATATAATGGACTCTGGGGACTTGGGGGATTGGGTGGGAGGTGGGTGAGGGATAAAAGAGTACACACTGGGTACAGTGTACACTGCTCGGGTGATGGCTGCACCAAAGTCTCAGAAATCACCACTAAAGAACTTATCCATGTAACCAAACGCCACCCGCTCCCCAAAACTACTTTGAAATAATAATAAATAAATAAATTTAATTTAATAAAAGAACTAGAAGGAAATTCTGAAATTGAAAGGTACAATAACTGAAAGAAAACTTTCACTACAGGAGCACAACAGTAGACTTGAACAGGCGGAAGAAAGCTAGTAAACTTGAAAGTAAGTTCATAGCGATTATGCAACACAAATAACAAGAGAAAAATCATTAGGAAAAATATACAAAGCTTCAGATAAATGTGGAACATCAACATGCACCTTAGAGTACCAGAAGTGGAGGGGAGAGTGAGAAAAGGACAGAAATATATTTGAAGAAATAATGCCTGAAAACATACCATATTTGATGAAAAACACTAACCTACACATCCAAGAAACTCAAGGAACTCCAACTAGTATTTAGGCAAGAAAGACTCAAACCCAGACACATCTTGTTAAAAACAGTGAAAGAAAGAATGAAGAGAAAATTTTTAAAGTACCAAAAAAAGATACTCATAACAGAAAATAAAATTACAATAAAAGTAACTGATACTGCATTAAAAATAATGAAGGCCATTTATTGAAGAGACTGTCCTTTCCCAGTATACATTCCTGGCAACTTTGTTGAAAATGAGTTGACAGGGAAAACTATATATCCGTATGCAGATGAATGAAACTAGGCACCTATCTCTCACCATATACAAAAAATAAAAAATCAAAATAGATTGAAAACTTACATATAAGATCTGAAACTATAAAATTACTAGAAGAAAATATTGAGGAAACATTCCAGGACATTGATTTGGACACAGATTTCTCAAGTAAGACCTCAAAAGCACAGACAATCAAAGCAAAAATGGACAAATGGGATTACATAAAGGTAAAACTTCTTCTGCACAGCAATCAACCAAGTGAAGAGACAATACACAGAATGGGAGAAAAACTATCACTCTGACAAGTGATTAATAATCTGAATATATAAAAAGCTTAAACAACTGAATAGAAAAAACAAAAAACAAATAATCTGATTAAAAATGGGCAAAAGATCTGAATATACATTTCTCAAAAGAAGACATACAAATGCCCAACAAGTATGTAAAAAATTCTCAACATCACTAATCATCAGAGAAATGCAAATCCAAACTACAAGATATGAGCTCACTCCAGTTAAAACGTCTTTTATTTAAAAACAGGCAATAATAAATGCTGGTGAGGTTGTGAAGGAAGGGGAACCCTCATACACTGTTGGTGGGAATGTAAATTAGAACATGGAGCATTCTCCAGGATAGATTTTATGCTAGACCATAAAACAAGTTTCAATACATTTAAATGGATTGAAATAGTACAAAATATGTTCTCTAACCTCATTGAAATGAAAATAACAGAAACAAATTTAGGGTATTTCCAGATGGGTTTAAATTAAATAACCTACTAATAACCAATTAGTGAAGGAGAAATCACAAGAAATTAGAAATTTTTAGATTAATGAAAATAAACACACAATATACTCAAGCTTATGGATGCTGTTAAAGCAGTTCATGGAGGATTTCATGGCTGTTACTGCCTATATTAAATATATATAATCTTAAATAATAATATTACTTTCCACTTAAGACATTAGAAAAAAGAACAAATTAAACCTGAAACAAGCAGAAAGGAAGAAAGGATAATTATTAACAAGCAGAAAGGAAAAAAGGATAACTATATAAAGTGAAATTAAGAAAATGGGGAATAGATGATAGATAATATTAGCAAAACCAAAAGTTTAAATGTGGCCATCCAGTCATCCTAGCCCCAGTTGTTGAAAACACTATTCAATCTTTCCCCCATTGAATTATCTCAGCACTCTTGTCGAAAACTAATTGACTTTAATGAGAGGGCTTATTTTTGAACTTTTTATTTTATTCCATTGATCTGTATGTCTGTCTCTAGGCCAGTACCCCACTGTGTTGATTACAGTAGCTTGGACGACTGCATAAATGCAGGCAAAAGAGTAAATATGAACTCCTTTCTTATTCATTATACAAAAATGAACTCAAAATAAATCAAATCACCTAAATATGAGAGCTAAAGCTATAAAACTCTTAGAAGAAAATATAAGAACAAATTATGGCTTTGGGTTAGACAAAGCCTTCTTAGATGTGACACTAACAACACAGGGACAAAATAAAGCAAATAAATAAATCAATGAAAAAGAAAGGATAAATTAAAAGCTTTTATGCTACAAAGGTTACCATCAAGACAATGAAAAGAAAACTCACAGAATGAGAGAAAAGATTTATAAATTATATATCTTGACATGGGACTTCTCTCTAGAATATAGGAAAACTTTTAAAACTCAAAAATATAACTCAGTGATAGGCAAAATTTTGAATAGGCATTTCTTAAAAGAAGGTATACAAATAGTCATTAGGCACATAAAAATGCTCAATATTGTTAGCCATCAGAGAAATCTAAATCTGAACCATAATGTGATACCACTTACACCCACCAGTATGATTGTTATTAAAATGACAGACATGTTAGGGAGATGTGGAAAGTTTGGAGCCCTTACACATGAATGTTGGGAATGTAATTTGGTATAGCCACTTTGGACATGGTCTAGCCATTCCTCAAAGGTTTAAATTTGTAGTTACATTATGACCCAACAATTCCACTCTTACGTATAGAATAAAAAGAATTAAAACTACATCTCTACAAAAAGGCTTGTACAAAAAAAGTTCACAGCAGCATTACTTATAATAGTCCAAAAGTGGAAATGGCCAAAATGTCCATCAACTGATAAATAGAAAAATAAAATGATATATATCCATAAAATGGAATGTATTTTGACAATAGAAAGAAATAAGTTATTGATACATACTACAACGTGAATGAACCTTGAAAAAATTGTGCTGAAAGAAGCCACTCACAAGAGGTCATATACTGTATGATTTCATTTATTTAAAATGACCAGAATATGCAAATCTAAAAAGATAGAGAGTAGATTAGTGTTTGCCTAGGACTGGGAGTGTTGGGAGAGAAATAAGAATGAATGTTAATGGCTATAAGGATTTCTAGGGGGATAATGACTAAATTCTAAAATCGATTGCAGTGATGGTTGCACAACTCTGAGGATATAACAGAAGCATTGAATTTTACGCTTTAAATGTGTGAAATGTATGGTACATGAATATGTGAATCATATCTCAATAGAGATGTTACATTTTTTAAAAGGATAATCATAGACCTCAAGTGGCTCAGAGTCTATTGAGGAAATTTAATTTCTTTAGTTACCACCCAATAGATTGGCTCACAATAGTTTAGATAATCATACAAGAAATCTAATAAAAATATGTGACATGGTAATACATGATTTCTATTTCTGGCTTGTCAAGATTTGGATTGTAGAGTATAACAAGTCTTAAAGCCATTTATTACCTACTACATGACATTCATTCATGGAGGCCTGCCTGAACTTAGATCTTCATGGATGGCAAGAGGTCAGTTAAGTGTCTGCAGCCAAGTACTAATCCCTCATATATGCTTGCAATGCTGCTGGTGTTTGCCTGCCTTAGAGTGATCACAAGTCTTATTGAGTACTCTCATGTATTATAAGAGAATAAATAGCATTAGGTTTTAACAATAAAGATAAAGTTACCTTCTCTTTTTTCCAGATTTCCTGTGTAACATCGGAATTAAACTGTTGCAACATTCAGCACATTTTTATCCAGATAAATATTGAAAACATATTTAATGCAATATTGGAGGGATTATAGCATTCAGAAAAGGGAAAGTCTGACTAATGCAGCAGCTGCACTGCATTCCAGCACACTCAAGACATTGCCAGCATTTATTAGCCAGTCAAGTCTTTGACAATAAACAATCTACAGTCCAGGCTCATGCTCTCTAGTGGATAGTTGTTGGAACTTTGTTTTCATGACAGCATTAATAGCTCTTGTTTCTGTAGGTTGCCTATTGTTAACTGCTTAAGTCATATCAGAAAGATTTTAATGAAGCTTTAAATGTACTTTTAACTGCATTCTAGTAGATGGTATTTTTATGATAATGATCCACTTTGTAAAAAGTAAATAAATATATAATTAAAACAGGAATTCCAATAGAAAATAGGGTATCTATTAACCATAAAAATTGAGTTGGTTGTTTCTTAACCACTTTATTTCTAAAATCTTGTATCTAAAAATAAAACAAAAGACGACAGTTTTTTTTCTGTTTTCTTCTCAATGTAACGTCCCTTTTTATGTCTCTTGATAACATATAATCTCATGAGGTTATTAAAATCAGGGCAGATTGTCAGCAAGTTCATACTGGAAAGGCCACAGTGCTTGTAGAAATGGTTTCATTCCTAATTGGATCACTTTTCACTCTGCATTATCTGTTCCCAGGTCATATTAATTGTTCAATATTTTGAATAACATCTTTGGTTATAATAGATCATTAATGTAGCCAAAACCCATTTTTTGGTGGTTTAAATTGGAAGGTATCCAAATGACATTCTAAAGAAGTAATTAAAACCAAAAAAAATGTAGGCTACACAGGATGGAAAAGGATAACAATAACATATCACACATTCTTGGTCTAGTCTCATTTTGATAAATAACAAATATTTATGAAGTACTCAGCAAAGGCTGTGAATACAGTTTACGTTTGCAGAATGAGGTAAAGTGATGCAATAAATTGCTAAAAAATGCATATATATTACATATACATATTCTATATTTTGATCAAAGCAAGCAGCCCCACAAGTGAAAATATCAAAAAGAAATGAAAAACTTTCTAGATGTGTGTTCCATTGCATTATCCAGATCAGTAATAACATTGTCACCTTTATTTGTATTACAGCAAGTATGTTTGTATTGTCGATTGAATACTTCTCTAATACAATAAAATATATATTTAAATTTTTTTTTATCAAAGAGCTTTGGTGAATAGGTAGAAATATAATACTTGTAGTTTGTGTAAAAGTCTTATTAGTCATGTACAACTCTGTAGACATTTATTCAGTGGGGTCTTGAAAACTGTTAATACTGCACACTGTTTAACAACTAGTATTTGTAGAAAAAATTGCTTTTTTGAATACTTAATACTTATTTTTTGAGATTCAGACCAAATCCTTCATGTATAAAGAAGCTTTGATCCCTTTCTGTGAAGACTTCATCAGTCCTTCTTTTGTGCTTTATTATTTCTTATTAAAGCGGCTTAAAATTTGGTAACCCTTTTTTTAGATTTTCTTGTTTTATATAAAATATAAGCTAGTCGGGAAAAGGCAGGCATAAAAACTTAACATAGTGTATACTACTGACTAAGAGAAAAGCTGTATATGTAAAGAATACTACTCATTTCCTTGCATAATCATTTATTAACCCATGCTTTAAAAAATTGCTTTTAATTTAAATCAGTATAAGTTCAATAGCTGTACTATTGAATACTAAACCTACATCTTTTCAGTATTCTATAAATTAAATAATTTCAAAATAAAAATTTAAAAATTTTATAAAACAGAGGTTCATGTTTCAATATGAGTAACTCTTAAAAATGTAATGTTGATAATATACATTAACATTTTTTAAACATGAAAACTTGTGCATATATTGGTTTTTCAGTATATACGTCTAATAGGGAAGAAACATATAGAAATGGAACCAACTACTACTTTAGTTTAGAGTTGATCCACAGAGTTCTAAGGTCATGGCGACTATGTGGCTAAAAAGAGAAAAATTTGAAATTTGAATTTAGAAATATTTAGATCTACTCATGTTTTTCTCCTACCCCCTAAAGCTGGGACTGAACCGCTCATATCTCAGCAGAAGTTGGAGATTTACACCAGGGAAAGAACAGAACAAGGTGTCTCTGGACTTGAGTATAACAGGCAAATTGAGAATGCAATACAGAAAATGTGGGATTAAGTGAAAGTTTACCCTGCTGATACTCAAATCACCCCCCCTCCCCACAACCTCTTCCATACCAGTTCCCAAAATCAAGGTATCCAATATTATACTCTGTAATCAGGAGATTGAAAAAAATCTATGGAACGCTCGTTTAGCCAGCCAATTGAAGAGACTTACAGAAGCTGACATGATAGCAATCAAGCCAGTCAAGCCAGAGTACTGTAAAAATGTAACCAAAACTTATCAAACAGCAAGGGCCACAGTTCACATTTCTTATGTAGACAAAGTTTCAAATCAGATTTACATGCCCTAATTTTAAAGATAAGAAGACAGCCATAATAAAGATATATCTAGGGAGCCCTCCAATACGAAATAAACTGATCATAACAAATAAGCAAGAAAAAGAAAGAAACTTGAAGAAAAGACATTAGACAGGAAGAAATAATAACTATCATTAATATTCTCAGAGAGACAAAAGAAAGAAATATCTCTCTGTTAGAAGACCAATGTAATGAAAAAGAGATATTCAGGAAACAAAAAATAACTTGAAATGTAAACTATATAGCAGAAATGAAAATTTGATATATTAATTAGAAATTTAAATAATTCTTCCCCCAAATCAAGAAAAATACAAATTTATGGAAACATGGGAGAAAAGATCAGAAAATCAGAGGATCAGGTCTGGAGTCTCAACATCTGAATAAAAGGAGTTCCTGTAAGACAGAACAGAGGAAAAAGCGGTGAGAAAATTAAAAAAAAAATCAGTAAATTATTCCTGGAATAAGGAAATTAGTTTCTTCCGTGAATAGATTCATGAAATGCCTAGAACAATTGATGAAGATAGAGCTACATGTACATATTATACTAAAATTTCTACATATTGTATCAAGAACAGCATGATTTTCAGGGAGAAAAAAATAAAATAATTTTTCTTTAAGCAAAGAATCACAAATTACATTTGGAACTAGAAGATAATGGAGCCTTAAAATATCAAGAAAATCTGTTTGAACCTAATAGTCTATTCCTAAAAAAACTACCAACTAAATATGATTATAGATGCTTTGACGTGCAAAGTGTTGAAAAACTATTTACCTTTATGCAGTCATTCTCAAAAAGATACTGTGGATAGGCTTAAAAGAAAATTATGTAATTAACTAATTAAAGCTAGAGGAGTTTCAGATCTCCTAAGATCTAGAAAGCAAACAAACCAGATCAGAACAAGTGAGAAATCATGGGGAGATGTTTCCCTAAGAAGATGACATTTGTTGGGCATTTTATGCATATGAATATACTAACATTTAGAGAAAAACTTTATTTCTGGAGAAAAACTTAGAGAAAAACTAGAGATTAATATATTTAAAAAAAACTAAGCAAAGAAAAAAGACAATTAGTAACTCCAAGGGAAATAAGAAGTTGTTCAAGAAAAAAATAACAATATTCTATAAGGCTCAGATGTGAATAATATCTTGTCATGATAAGGTAAATGCAGACTATTGACCTAACCAGAACTGCAAGTACATTTAGTAATGGATAGAAAGGAAGTGTATTTTTTGGATGTGGTGAGAAAGGAAGTTAAATTCCTAAGATACAGAGATAAATAACAAATGCAACAAGTTACATAACTAAAAGTAATTGCCTCTGGGAAGCACTGAATGATAAGACTATTTTTGAAGAGGGGCTAAGAGACTAACATTTTTCCTGAAGAAAGGCTTGACACTTTAAGTGACATTTGAGTTTGAGAAAATTAAATATAATTTGGACAAAAAAATCATCATTTAAAAAAGAGATTGTATGAAATGAGAGAATAAAGTATAATACTGTCTTAAGAGAAGAAACAATATTCTTGCATGCGTAAAACATGTAGAGAACAACCATACTGACAGCAAAAGTAATTGGGAGTCACTGAGTGGTAGTTTCTATATGACCTATACAAGTGCATGTCTTCAGTCTTGTTTGTTCCTTAATTCCACTGAGACTGCTTGCAAATTGCTTGTAATTCTTTCTCAGTGCTCACCAGATGGAATACTTATCATGTATTCCATTCTTTTCTTTGATCTGCTAGAATACAGTTTACACTTAAATCTAATCCAATTTTATGCAGAAAACATCTAATGTTAAAGAAAATTACAAAATGCTAAAAGAACATTTACAGTACGATAAAATGTATGATTATAAACACTGGTACAATCACACCATACATAAAACCACTTTAACTTTTAACCAGATTATCATCTGAAAGGCAATGTACACACTCTGAGACCAGGGCCAATGATCAAATGTTTTAGATTAAAATGGAAGAGAGCCAGAGGAAAAAAAAAAAAAAAAAGGAAAAATTGCCCAGGAAACCAAAACCGGAAAGAGTGAACACAAAGAATAAACAGAACAAACCTAAAAATTATCAAGATGAATTTAATATAATGTTTTAAGAAAGTTATAATTTGAAATTAAGTACTATTCAATTTATTAAAAGTCAGAGTACTAAATGATAAATAAATTAATATATTCATTTTGGAACTTTCCTGCAGAAAGCATCAGATAAGAAGTGTATTACAGTGGCCTAAAGAATGACATCACAAATGAGTACATCCATCTTGCATGGATGGTGAAAGTACATCCATCTTGCCGTTGGTGAAACAACGACATATTTTGGCAGCACAAGCAAGTAAGGGAAAAGGAGTATGCATTTAAAATTTCTCCAAAACATTCTTGTTAAACCCAACCCATGATCTCAGATCATGTACAGCCCCGGGTTAAAAGGAACAAGAATCAGGTTAGACTCAGACTAAATTTGTGTCAAATTGATAGAAGTAAATATTATGAATGTTAATAGTCAACATGGTTGATTATAAATAAAATTATTTTCAAAAATGAACTATTGTGTTTCCCAAGGAAAATTTTATTAATAAAATGGAAATAGTTTTTTAAAGGTACTTAGTTTATTAGTCCAAAAATAATAATGAAACCCAAACTGCCAAACAACTTGCTTTATAAAGTAGAACAGTGATTCATTTTTGCATGTTTAGGGGTGTGTGTGTGTGTGTGTGTGTGTGTGTGTGTGTGTGTGTGTTTTAAGGTGTAGGGAGTAGCATTTTAATGTTTCTATAACTTCTTTTGTTCAAATAGAATTCTATTATAAAATGGAATTTATCTTAAGTTTAGATATTTAAAAAATACAATGGTATACTATATGTAACTGACTATAACCAAATAAAGGAATTTATTTTAGCTTAGGAGAGATTATCAAATACTTAGGAGCTTCATAAAGCTCAGGCACTGCAATCCATAACCAGGAATGGAGGCCTGATTCAGTCAATATGTTTACCCAAGAAACCTAGAGCATGAAGACAAGCCTGGACCTGAATAAATGCATTTTGTATTTATAAGATCATGATTGCTTTTATATTCTAAGACAAGCTTTTACCAAAACTATTCCCCTTTTTGGTTTGTGGCTAAAGTACTCTTGATATTATCCTCTCAAAGAACTGGAAGGATAGAAATTGTTTGAAATGGTATTCCCAGAGCATAAACTCTAAATTTCATAATCCCAGAGTGGTAAAAATGTCCACTGTTAAGTAAAACTTGGGGGGATAGAAAAAATGGGGTTTATTAAACTTTCCTGACCTGCATTGTTATTGTTCTTTGACATTGCTTTACCTGTGGCAACATTATGCTTTGTTTCCCTCTGTGTGTGCTTGTGTGTTTATGTTTGTATATGTGTTCTGTTTAAATCAAATGGATTAAAATTGTAGTATTGAGTTCAGTCAAAAACCTCAGTCACACCTTCCCTATTGCCAGCTTCACAACTATTTCAACAAACTTTTATATTCAACAATTGACCAATTTAGTCAATCAAATTTTTTATTCAGTCAAAAGTCTAAGCAAATTTATTTGATTAAAGTCGTTCTATGTGAATAATCAGATGACTGATCCCTTATGAATGAAGCATATTTGAAAATAGAAGAGAAAAGCATGGGGAAAAAAAGTCCAGAAATTTAGGAGTGCCTTTTACATATTTTTTAAGGTATAAACTTCAAAGCCAGGTAATCTGTGTTCTTTATCGGTCTAGAAAAAAATATTTGCTCTGTAGCTCTCTAATCTGTGAAATGGGATGGATAACATTTGTGAAAGTTTTTATCAAAGTGTGGCCTCCTAAAAGCCCATCTGTATCAGAATCACCTGAGATTTAGATAAAACACATATTCTTGGGCCTTACCTCTGATCCTGGTGATGAGTATAGGATCTGCATTATCAGCCCAGCAGATTTTACATACCCTAAAATTGAAGAGCCACTGACTGAACCTTCAGGGTTAGTGTGTAGATTAAGATTAGCAACCAAAGCATTTAAGGCCTTGGCAAACTGAGCTAGCTCTGAACCTGATTTAATAAAATAACAACAACAAAACACAATTCTAGATGCAATACTGCCCATGTTTTTTGTGATAAGGGAGAAGGAAGACTCCAGTTAGGGCTGCTGTAGCAGAGTGCAGCAGTCTACTGGGGTGGGACTGGAAAGAGCTCAGGATTTTATGTTCAGTCCGTTACTGCAAGAGCACCAGAGCTGTTGTAATGCCCAGCCCTGAATGTTTGTGGGATGAGCTCAAATGAACATAATTCTGAGGTTATCTAGTTTGGTTGAGTGAATTTGCAGTAGGGGAGATGAAGAACAGCGCTCAAGCACTCAATGACCCTCTCAAGGTCATTCCTCTCTGGATACTTATAGTTACATGAACACTGCCTTTATAATACTCTAAAATGTCTACTGTATGAAGTAGCACATTTAAGTTGATTAATCCACGAAAAAGGAAAAAAATAACAAAATCATAAATCAAAAGGGGATCCTACTCATTCTAAACAACAATAAATATATAAATTCTGCTTTTCCTTTTGCTGTATCTGCAATGCAGTACAAAATAATTGGATAAAAATTTTATCCTATTTATACATACATAATTAATTGAAAGCATATAATTGTAATATATATGCTAGTATATTAGGGTTCTTCAGAGGGACACAACCAATAGAGTATATGTTTATATAAAAGGGAGTTTATTAGTGATAATTGGCTTACATGATTACTAGGTGAAGTCTTGTGATAGGCCATCTGCAAGCTGGGGGAAGAGAGAAACTGATAGTGGCTCAGTCCAAGTTCAAAAGCCTCAAAACCAGGGAAGCCAACAGTGCAGCCCTCAGTCTGAGGCCAAAGGTCTGAGAGCCTCTGGGAGGCTACTGGTGCAAGTCTCAGAGTCCAAAGGCCAAAGAACCTGCAGTCTGATGTCCAAGAGCAGGAGCAGAGGAAGCAAGCATCTGATATGGGAAGAGAGAGAACCAGAAGACTGAGCAAGCTGCTAATCCCCCTCCTTCTGCCTGCTTTGTTCTAGCCATGCTGGCAGTCATTGGATGGTGCCCACCTACATCAAGGTTGGGTCTTCCTCTCCAAGTCCACTGACTCAAATATCAATCTCCTCTGGCAACACCCTTACAGACACACCCAGAAACAGTATTTCCCCAGGCATCTAGGCATCCTTTAATCCAGTCCAGCTGACACCTAACATTAACCATGATAAGTTGACCTCTTGTCCACTGAGCACCCATACACATGCCCTCAAATCATACTTAATCTCCAAGTAAAGACAATAACGAAGTCATAATTCCATCTAACATAATACAACTATCCTTTGTACAACTGAAAATGCAGTAATCCTTAACCTAAATAGTATATATAAAATTAAGAACACTTAAGTGCTGATATAAAGTCAATAAATCTTAGGTTACATGATAAAGAAATAAGAAATTTAAAAAAAACAAAGACTTTGCTTAATACAGTGGTATATATGCACAAATATATTCTTAACAAAATAAGGAGGAAATACTCATGACAAGTACAGTCCTCATGTCAGTAACTGGTCACGTGGTCATAGCTGGTATTGATAACTACCTTCTACTACTCATTTGCCTTCAGCAAGCATCTTGGTTGTTTTGTTATTTTTGTTTTTGTTTTGGTTTGTTTTACCTGACGGAGTGACCCAACCCTCAATTCCTGAAGGGTCTGGGCCATTTATATTCTGAGCCTGAATTGGGTTGTTGTAGTTTCCCATTGACTTTAATTACAGGGCCGGGTAATATTAAGGGAAGCCCTAAGGTATCTCCTGAATTCCAAACATATGATTCCTTACCTCCATTGTGGAGCAGTAGTCTGATTTCATTTTGAAATCAGGTCAATCAGTCCAGCCAACACTAACTCCATTCTTAGCCTGTTGACTTAGAGACATGAGTCCAAAGTGGCCACATGGCAATTTTAATTTCCAGTTCAATGGAGTCACTGTTGTGTCTCCTGGTGGCTGCATTCTTCCTTCTGGAACTCAGACCTCTAGGCCAGCAGAACATAACGTTGAGGGAACAGAAAGCAAAAATTTTGCTAATGGGTCACTAGAGGTGATGGTGAGTGATAAGTGATACCACTTCTACTTCCACCCTTTTGATTCCCGGATCTGTGAATCCTGGCAATGAGAGAAAATAGTGCCATATATTGGGTGCTGATTTGGAGCATATACAGTCATCTGGAGAACTTGGCCCCAGACCTGAAAACTGTTATCACCTAGTTGGTGTTGTAATTGTGACTTCGAAAGGCCATTCAATTGTTTTATCAAACCAGCTGCTTCAGGTTGACAGGGGACATGGTAAGACAAGTGAATGCCATGGGCATGAGCCCACTGCCGCACTTCCTTGGTTGTGAAGTGAGTTCTTTGGTCAGAAGCAACACTGTGTGGGATACCATGACAGTAGATAAGGCATTCTGTGAGTTCACAGATGGCAGTCTTGGAAAATGTAATGTGGGCAGGAAAGACAAATGCACATCTGGAGAAAATGTCTATTCCAGTAAGAACAAACCACTGCCCTTTCCATGATGGAAGAGGCCCAAAGTAATAAATCTTCCACCAGGTAGTTGGCTGATCACCATGAGGAATGGTGCCATATTGAGGCTCAGTGTTGTTTGCTGCTGACAGATTGGAAACTCAGCAATTGCTGTAGCCAAGTCAGCCTTGGTGAGTGGAAGTCCACTTTACCGACCCCATGCATAAGCTCCATCCCTGACACCATGGCCACTTTTTCATGAGTCCATTGAGTGATGACAAGGGTGGCTGGGGAAAGGGGCTGAGTGGTGTCCACAGAATGGGTCATCCTATCCACTTGATTATTAAAAATCTCCACTACTGAGGTCACCTTTGGTGAACATTCACAAGGAAGACAAATATACTTACATTCTTTAAACACTTAGACAGGTTCATCCACATAGCTCTTCCCTAAATTTGTCACTGATTTTCCAATCATGCTCCTTCCAAGTCCCTGACCAT
Source organism: Homo sapiens (assembly GCF_000001405.40). Taxonomy (NCBI): domain Eukaryota; kingdom Metazoa; phylum Chordata; class Mammalia; order Primates; family Hominidae; genus Homo; species Homo sapiens. Next base: position 126,061,617 of record NC_000004.12, read on the forward strand.
CCAGCCAGACCACTGGCTACCACCCATGAGTCAGTATATAATTGCACGTCTGGCTATATCTCCTTCCAAGCAAAGTGCACAACCAGGTACACTGCTTGCAGTTCTGCACACTGGAAAGATTTCCGTTTACTTCTGTCCTTCAGGGGTGTCCCAGAAATGGTCTGTAGTGCTGCAGCTGTCCACTTTGGGGAGGTGCCTGCCTATCATGCAGAACCATCTGTAAACCAGGCCCTAGTCTTCTCTTTTCCTGTCAAATGATGATAAGGAACTCCCCAAGAGGCCAGAGGTACAGGTTAGAATAGAGAAGGCAGGGCAGAAGGATTTGGGACTACGGGTATTTGGGCCACTTCCTCATATAACTTACTCTTGCCTTTAGGACACGCTCAAGATTGATAAGGTATATACCACTTTTAATTTGATGATGAAAGGCTGCTGTGCATGCCCAACTTTATGGCTAGATGGGTCAGAAAACACCCAGTTTTGATAGGCAGCTCAGGTCACATGGTAACTTGGTGACCCATAGCCAAACATTCAGTTTTCACCAAGGCCCAATAGCAGGCCAAGAGCTATCTCTCAAAAGAAGAGTAGCTACCTGCAGAAGATTGTCAGGCCTTGATTCAAAATCCTAAAGGTCTTCACTGTGATTAACCTATGGGGGCCTGGCAAAGGCTCCAATCAGCATTCCCATCTGGCACTGACACCTTAAACACTATTGGATCTGCTGGATCATATGAACCAAGTGGCAGGGCAGCTTGTACAGCAGCCTAGACCTGTTGCAGAGCCTTCTCTTGTTTTGGGCCCCATTCAAAACAAGCAGCTTTATGGATCACTGGATAAATGGTCTGGTGTAATACCTTCAAATGAAGATGTGTTGCCTTTAAAATCCAAATAGGCCCACTAGGCATTGTGCCTCTTTCTTGGTTGTAGGAGTGCCAGAAGCAAGAACTTATACTTCATCTTAGAAGAAATATCTAGACAGGCCCCGTACCACTGGACACCTAGAAATTTCACTGAGGTATAAGGCCTCTGAATTTAGTTCCGATTTATTTCCTACCCCTGACATTCAAATCTTGCACCAGTAAATCAAGAGTAGTTGCCACTTCTCTCTTACTAGGCCCAATCAGAATGTCATCAATGTAATGGAACAGTGTGATATATTATGAAAAGGAAAAGTGACAAAGATCTCTGTGAACAAGAGTATAACAAAAGAGTTGATATATGTCTGAGGTAAGACAGTGAAGGTATATTGCTGGCATTGCCAGCTGAAGGCAAATTGCTTCTGGTGGGCCTTATGGACAGGAATGGAGAAAAAGGCACTTGCCAGATCAATAGATGCATACCAGGTACCAGGAGATGTGTTCATTTGCTCAAGCAATGAAACCACATCTGGTACAGTGGCTGCAATTGGTGTCACCATTTGATTAACACTGTCATTTGTTAAGATCCTTCTGTCTTCTGAATAGGCCAAATAGGAGAGTTGAACAGGGATGTGGTGAGGATCACCACCCCTGCATCTTTCAAGTCCTTGATGCTGGCACTAATCTTTGCAACCCCTTCAGGGATGCAATATTGTTTTTTATTTACTATTTTCCTAGGTAGAGGAAGTTATAACAGCTTCAATTTGGCATATCCCATTATAATAGCCCTCACCCCATAGGTCAGGGAACTAATGTGGGGATTCTCCCAGTTGCTAAGTACGTCTATTCCAATTATGCATTCTGGCACAGAAGAAATGGCGGATGGGTTCAGGAACCTAATGGATCCACTGTAAGTCAGACCTGAGCTAAAACTCCATTAATTACCTGACCTCCATAAGCCCTCTACTCTAACCACCACAATGACATTTTAGGTCCCACGGAATGAATGTCAGTTCACAGACAGTGTCCAGTAGTCCCTGAAAGGTCTAATTATTTCCCTTTCACCAATGCACAGTTACACTAGTAAAAGGCTGGAGGTCCCTTGAGGAAGGACTGAAGACAGATTAACAGCAAAAACTTTTGGTAATATAGTGAAGCCCTTCCTCAAGAGGACTCAGCCTCCCCTTCATTCAAGGGGTTCTGGGTCTGTAAACTACCTCAAGTCTGGAAATTGATTGAGGGGTCATGATTCTCTGTTTTTGTAATTCCAGTTAGACTTCTGTTCACTTACTGGAAGTTTTCTGCTTATAGGGATCAAATAAGAATGTATGAGGCTTCCTGCCTATTTCACTTCTAGGAACACCATGATGAATTAGCCATTCCAGAGCTCTACACTAGTCAGAGTGTTTGAAATGCTTGTTTCCCGGTGCCGTAAAGAAACAGCACTTGAACATAAATTTAATTTACTCAGCAAGGCCATTTTTACTTCCTGCAGAAAGAGTACACTCGCCAGCAGTTTTGCCATGAGAGTACACCAAGCAAAGGGGACGGAGTCATTTATAACCTGATGCGTCCACCCTACTGCTGTGTCCAGTTTCCATTGGCTGGAATGGGACCTCACATTCTGTATTTAGTCCCGATTGCCTAGCAACTTAGAACTTTTTAAAAGAGGCAAAGGCAGAGGAGAAAAAAGGAAGGAGGAAGTAACTTGTGGAATGCTGAGAAAGGTAAAAACACCTTTAAATAAGGAAGAGGAACAGGCTATGGCCTAATGCTTGCTTGGACCAGTATAAGCATGCCAGGGCAAATATTCAGGCTAAATTGCAGGAGCTAAGAACGAAAGTACATTGATTTCTTTATCACGGCTAGCAGATATTGAAAAATGTTAGCATAGTTCTTTGAATAAATTTTGCTCCTAAGAGAAGTTACTACTTATTCCTAATTAAATGGAGGGGAAAGTCTTTGAAGAGGAACCTCTACTTTGCTTTTTACAAGAGTATTCTGATTGTTGCTTTGCCTCGGCTGTCCATTACAGTAATTGTGCCCACCTTACCTTTGATGTTTGAGTGCCTCCACTTGGCCTCTGTCACCTTAGGATCCAATTATTCTCATTGCATTTAGGTTTTCCAATTGAGTGACTGCAGTTCCCACTCTAAAATCAGGCATACAAGAGAGCACACAACTCTTCAAGGATACTGGTGCTCCCCTCACAAATGTATTTCACAAAGTATTGGTGAACGGTGTGTATTCTGAACCCTCCCAGTTGAGTTGAGTAGGTCTTTTAAGTGACAAATCCATTCTAGCATTCCAATCTCTCTAAGCCTTTGGAGGCCTTCCTCTACATTAAATCAAGGGAGATCAGTCCTTTCCAGCTTGCTCACAGTGGGCTATATTTTGATCCATGCTTCAATTAACCAAGTAAATGAACTACTGGGTCTTTTTCGATTCCTCATGTTGCAACATTAAATGCAGAATCTCTTCTTAGTGGTCCTTTATCACTAAATTCAGCCTGACCCAACTTTATGTTCCTACCTCCACTATCCCATACCCTTACTATCCTTTCCCATAGCTGTCTCCTGGATTTCTGCTTATATACATTAGAAAACTTAAGTAGTTCTTTGGGAGTGTAGTTACACCTTCTAGTGGGTCACACTCTGTACCTCACCTCTAGGGGCATGCCAGGACTTGAATCTAGTTACAGGTCTAGAAGCACAGTGGGGTCCTGGGGATGGGTCCTGAGGAGAATCAGTGTTGTTTTGCCTGGCAACTGCCTTAAGGAAGGCCATCATTGTTTCCTCAGGCAATGCAGGGTTAATCTCCTCAGACAAAGGCTGAAAGGCTCATACTACTGTGGGTAGGGGAGATTTTGCTACCAAGGAGGGGAGGTGGGGAGACCACTTCCTCTGGCAAAACAGGCTCATCAGAATTTAGGAACTCAGTGTCCCCCACTTCATCAGCGTCCTCCCACATGTTCTGATTCTAACTTACAGGGTTTTATTCTTTCCTAATCAATGCCCTCACTTTAACAGTAGACACCTCGTGAGGCTAAGAGTGCACCTTTTCTTGTAGGTTAGCCACTGGCATAATAAAAGCCTGTGTTTGATTTTCAGCAATTTCAGCCCTTTGTCTACTGAAGAGAAGATTTTCACCCAGGGCACACTTGGAAACTTTTAGGTTATGTATGTGCTTCTGGAGCCAGGAGCTAGAATCCCTGAACTCATCCCTTTTTTTCACCACTTTGTCCAGTAAACGTAGGAGCAATCAACCAACTTCATTATATTCTTTGGTTCTCCACAAATGTTCAAAGGTATCCTTTATAGAATAACTAAACTCCTTGTCTCTCGGGAATAGTGAATCAGCATATCAAATGCATTTATTTTTACTATTGGTGCTCTCCCTACTATTAGAAGTAGAGTTTTTAGCATTTTTAAGACTAATCACATTAGAGAAGCAACTTCAGAAACCCAAAACCAACTAAGGAAATTCATCCTTAAAATTCCGTTCGTTTAAAATCACTCCTGGTACCAAAACCTGTATGAGGGTTCTCCAGAGGGGCAGAACCAATAGGTTATATGCATATATACAAGGGATTTTATTAGGGCTAAGTGGCTCACATGATTACTAGGTGAAATCTCCTGATAGGCTGTCAGCAAGCTGGGAATAGCCTGTAGTGTGGTTCAGTCAAAGTCCAAAAGCCTCAAAACCAGGGAAGCCAACAGTGCAGCCCTCAGTCTGAGCCCAAAAGCCTGAGAGCCTCCTCCAGGCGGTTGCAGGTACAAGCCCTGGAGTCCAAAGTCCAAAGAACCTAGAGTCTGATGTCCAAGGGCAGGAACAGAGGAAGCAAGTGTCTGGCACAGGAAGAAGAGAGAATCAGAAAACTGAGCCAACTGTTTATCTCCCTTCTTTTGCCGGCTTTGTTCTAGCCCCACTGGCAACCGTTGGATGGAGACTGCCCACATTGAGGGTGGGTCTTCCTCTCCCAGTCCACTGACTCCTCTAGCAACACTCTCACAGACACACCCAGAAAAAATGGTTCACCAGCCGTTTAGGCATTCCTCAAATCCAGTCACGTTCACATCTTATATTAACTATCACAGATATCAAGGCTCATTTAAGAAAATGACCAAACTATACTATAAATATTCTACAAATTCCATAACTAAGTTTATTTTTAAAAGAAAGTTATAGGAATTAGCCTCAAAGCAGTGTTTTATCTTGTTTTGGGTTAAGCAAATTGGCTGGTAGAAATGCATTTTTCCCAGGTGTCTGAGAATAACAGCAACGTGGTCTCAAGTTTAAAATAATTATCTGTACAACTCCATGGATATTGTTAATAATTTATCTTTTTATTGTTCTCTAGATGCAAAATATAAATGTGTTCTAAGACTGTGAAAATCAATTAAAATTTATTATGCAGGAGAAATGTGTATGAGGTATAAAAATGATTAAAGGGAATATTTATGGGAGGGGTAATATGAAACGGCTCATCTCTTATTGTTCCCTACATAATACATACCTAGGGATTTATAAATGAGAATCAAATTACATGTTGGGGGTTAGGGAGCTCAGATAGCTCTCTATATACTGGTTCAACAAGAATTTCTTCAATAAGTTTATAGAAAACTTGGGCCACATTTGGGGAAAACAAATTCCATGTATATATTGGAGCTAAAACAATGAAAGCCTAGTTGTTTGAGCTTGGTTAGGTGTTCCCCTTCAGCTTACAGGTTTGTTGAATCCAAATTTCTGAATTTTAGATAGCTTTGGGGTGTGAAGTGTATGTATGACTTGTCCATATGTATACCATTTACATAAACAATTCTCTTATTCACTGTACAGAAGGAGAGGTATATCGTCCCTTTAGGCAAATCGGTTATATTTAATGGTTCAAGAACAATGAAAGGCAGATAATCTTTACCTAGAGGAATAAAGCCCTGATAGGGAAGAGTGAGTATGGCGTTTCTTACAGGACTACTGGAATTAAGTTTGGAAGGAAAATAAAGAGAGGTGAATGAGCCCCCATTCTTTGTGAAATAATTAAATAGAATTAATTTTAAAAGGTAATGCTAAAAAATGTTGAAAATTAAATCAGGAGAATTTCCAAGGAACTCAGTAAAAATAAGCTTATCAGAGGGGAGAAAAAAGTTAAAAAGAAAAACATAAGTAAATAACACACCTTATATTACTACATATTACTGTTAATGTGTAAAATAATGTATATTTATTTTTTCAGCATTATAAAGCTAGAAAAAAAGTTCTGGCAGCATAACTTACATACTAAGAGCTAAATAAGTCTTAGAATATTGCTATATTGAATCCTAACCTCGCCATAGAATAGTTATTTTGTAGGACTTACAGCTACATGGCTCATATATGCCAGCAATCAAAGGCTTATATTTACACTTGGTCAGTCTGTGAAATATTTTTGATAGGCCTATTTATGAGTTAGCACTGGTTATGATTTAGGTAGCCTACAACTCAGGTTTCATATTAGGTTTGACAATTTTTCCTTCATGTCACAAACTTTTCATGTTGAATGAAGCCTCATAAAATCATTGGCAGGGGGAGCATGTTCACAGACATGCACACACACACATACTCACACACACACAGCCATAAAACAAAGCAAAACAAAAAACAAGGTGCCTGCCTTGCTCTATTTCCCCGTGCTTTCTCCAAGAACACCAAAGGTGGTCTTTAGTATCTGTAGGCTAAAAGATTATGAAACTGTGCTCCATCTACCCTCCACATCAATTTCTCAATTATATAGAGCATGCTGCAAGTAAAAAGATTTTTTGAAGTATCTTTTTATTTCAAAAGGCATCCTGTTAATCACATACACTCAGCAGATCTTTAACTTGGCCAACTTAATGTTCTTAAAGTTCTTCCTAAACTTTATCTGTAATATTGTAGAGTTGACAACCACAGTGGTACTGTCACTAGGTAGGATCAAATTGCTATAGATGTTGACATATGATAATAGACTCTTAGGCAGTGAAGATACGTTAGGATACTTTCTCTCCCGTACCTCATTTTAGAGTTCAATAAACAGAGACAAAGAGAAGTGAACTGTCCATACAGCATGCAAGTAGCACCTCTAGTTCCTAATGTAGTCTAATGCCATTTTGCTTTTTTTAATTTTTGAAAAAATAAACACAATAATTATTACAAATAAGATGTATATAGGTACACTGAATAAAATTTTTACATTTTAAATACATTGAACTTGAAAAAAAATGGGCATATTTGGGTCCCAGGGAGGTCTCATAAATGGAATACTTTTGAGAGACTTGATTTTATTTAACAAAGACAGAAAAACATGCCTCATACACATTAAAAATCTAAAATGTATCATTTACCAGACACCTACTAAGTCAAGCATTATGGAAAACACTGGGAATAGAAAAACAAAAAAGTCAAAGGTTTGGTCTAGAGAATAGTGCACTCTCGTATGACAGTATGTTGTCTCTACAATGCACAGGTTATTAAAGGAGGACCATCACAAGAAAGAAAATGTTCAATAAGTATTTGACAGTTGGATTATTTTTATTAGCTAAATAAAATGGAGTTTTAAATTTAATACTTTGCATATTTTAACAATGAAATTAATTTTTATTGTCATAAATCTTGGGAGAATTCGTAACTAATACAACAGATTAAAAGTACTGTTTTCCTCACTGAGCTCTTTAAAGTTTGTAACATCTGAATCATTTTTTTGTCCTCTTACCAATGTTTTATTATACTTTTCCAAAAGGTTAAGTCATGACTTAGGTAAACATAAAGTGAATATCTTTCAATGATCTTTACTTAGCTCATTAATTGAGAAGTAAAATAAAACTAGTTCAAAGAAGAATACTAGTGCAAGTGCAAGTATTTTTAAGCAACATAAAGGAGCGTCTAGGCAAGATTGTTGGGTTAAATACAAAATCAGTTAATGTCCAACAGGGCAATACACCATAATGTTTGAGATTATCTTTTCCACAGGACAGAAACTATTGCACACCTGTCAGAAGAAGAATATTCAAGTTGGCCTCTGCCCCTACAGATCTGTAGAATAGCCCAGTCAATCAAATGTCAATCAAAGGGGCAAGCCCATGGCTGCACTGGAAAAAGACCTAGTAATTAATCTCTTTGGCCTTAGTTGGAAGTTTGAGACATCTTTTATTCACACCAGTATGCCTTGATTATTAAGACACTCTCAAATAATTTCTCTTCTCTACGTTCTACATCACTCACTTGCAGAATCTATTTGGCCTGAGTTAGTCTTATTATATTTTTTAAAGTAAGTCCATGAGCCAGTTGCTCAACTTCTATGGCAGAGAAAATAAAAAAGAAAATGTCTGAGTGGGAAGCTTTATTTACCTGGAGAACAAAACCTTCTGAAGTTTCTACTATCTAGAATAGGTTCAACCTACAGTTTGTTTAAATGCCTGTTTGAGGTCAAGAACATTTAAAGTATTCACACATTTTCAATGGGTACATGGAAGCATTAAATCTGGCTGTTTAAACACACTGAAAAAGCAGAAAATATGCGATTTCTGAGTCAGTTGATCTCGAGTGTCCCTAAAAAATTTAATAAGTCTGTTAAGCCCTCAAAAGCAATGCTTTTGGAAATGTTTTTACATTAGAGTTTTGCCTCAGGAGCATCTAATAATTTCCTTGTTTTTATAAGACATAAATATAGAGGTATTGTTGCTATTATTACACTAATTTTCATTCTCTGTTTCTATCACTGCTTTTGTGACAATAAGGGAAAAGAATGTCTGCAAACCTAGTTGGGGGAAATAAAAAAATGGGTTTCAAACGCAGAGTATAGAAGAAAAACTGAAATTTTTGAAGTAATATGTGATAGAAATTAATTCATTATTAAAATACTACTAAAATTATGCAACATGATAGCAAATGATACAGTCTGCTATAATATCATATGATTTGAAAACAGTATATGAAAATGTTTCAAAAAGCATAAGAACTGTAGCTATATATGTTTTTCCTTTGTTTGATAACCTCTTAATGTTAAATTGTACTGAAATTTTTTTGTGTGCAGTCTTTGACTTTTTATATTTTAAAAAGTTAATTAAATTTGCAGTTCTAATAAGACTGTTATCCAAGAAAAAAGATGATCAATATTGAGCTTAGTTTTAAAATATCAACCTCATAAGCTATTGAATAATTTTCATAAGGAATATTTATTAATCTTCAAGATTTATTTTAATCTTTTCATTATTTAACAGAAGAAGCCATTTAGATTTTACAGAAATGTAGCTCCTCATACATTATATTGTTCCTATGAAGAATTAGATTGAATAAAGCTGCTTTGAATAAAGCTCGTATTACCAGGTGTGTACGTCAATAATTTTTTAAATGGACTATTACGTTGACATATTTAGTTTCTGAACAAGATCTCAAATTTAAAAATTGTAGAAATCATGAAAAAATGTGTAGTCCAAAGTCATATAACAAAATTTTATAACAATTTTCTTTAGTTGTATTTTCATAAATAATTCAGATTTTCATTACTTTATTATTACTGATGTTTCACAGAGCTACAACTGTGTGCTGCATGATCTAGAAAAAAATACGCTAGCAACTAAAAACTTAACTGTGAAAAGTGTTGCCTTTTTCTTTAAAATCTCTTAAAAATCTCATGTGATTTGCTAGTACTCTTTCTGATAGTATAGAAAGCAAAATAATTCTGCTGCGAAAACAAGCAAAATTTCTTCTAATATACAACAGCTGAGTGCATCACTGTCTTTACAAAGAATCCATTCCTTTTCTAGTCACAGGTATTTTTTTAAATCAAGTTTCTATTATGGGTACAATGTGGTTTAGTGAAGGTTCTCTTTTCTTATAGAAGAAAAATTAGAAAAATGAAAAGGCAGCCAGAGCCTAAAATTGTTTTAGTTTATGTTATATTGTCCTTGAAAAGAAAGAAAAGAGGATAATTTAGCCAAAAACAACAAACATCCAGTTACCACAAATTCCAGCTTCTCAGGTTCAGGGTAAAGGAGACCAGTTGACTCAGGGATATCAAGGCTGCTGGTGAAATTAAATACAAAAATATACTGTCCTTTGAGTTTCCTTTAATAGATAGCGTTTGGAGGGAATCTCTATGCTTGCTATTTAAGCCTTTTGTAAAACAATAGAAAGTAGTGGAGATGGTAGAATCACATTTTCTAAAGTACACATGCACTCATTCAGAACTTCAACAAAGAGAATAAATTCTGGCTGCTAAGAGGAAAATAGAAGTAACAGTTTCCTGAGAATTGTTAAGCCAACACACTATTAAATATACCACCTAACATTGTTCTTTTCCTCTCTCTTTTCACTCTTGCAGCTACCACATGTGATGGAAAGAATCCAAGTTAAACACTCTCACCAGAGCATGCTCCAAGACAGATGACTGAGCCCCAGGCTTGGCCAATACAATGCACTTCTATTCTCTATTTATTTTTGTAGTTCAAAGACCTGGCAGTAACCCACTTGATGCCTGCCATAAGGACCAGTACACTCCTGATTACTGCCCAGCGATTTTATATCTGTATGCCAGCTACTCAGACCACGTATAAAGACTAGGGGGATTTTTTGAAAGGAAAAGAAACCCCGGCTTCCACTTATACTTTGAAATTTCAGATGATGTACTGCCAACTTACAGACCTTGCTTTAATCAGCAGCCACATGAAAAGGCTGTTTCTATTTACTCTAGGTCATTTAGGAAACAAGCAATAAGTAGGCCTTGCAAAATTTCAGCTTCTCTTAAAGTTGGCATGTTTTCCTCAAATAGAGAGTTGAATCTTGATTTCATTTTCTGAGTAGAAATATTTACAATCCTGTCATACATGAATTTTAGCCTTCCTTCTGTCTAACAACAAATAGGCTTTTTAAAGAATGCTTAGCGTTAAACTGGAGGCTGTTTTGTAAAGGTGGGTCTGTATAGATTTGAATAATGACTACGCTGCTTTACTGCTCTAGTTAAAATTTCATCAAATACTGACTTTAGCTGGAAAAAGATAATTTAAGCCCATCCTATTTTAGTTTTAAATTGTGTATATATAAAAAGGTAATCTTGCAGAACATAAAGTAACAACTACAATATTCAGAAATTCATTAATATTAGAAAGATAAAAAATGATTAGGGTACCAATATGTTCTTTGGTCCATAATGAATTTCTTTTCTCTTGGTTGTTCATACTATTTTGATTATCAGTGTAATGAAGAGATTTTGTGTAGTCCTTAATATTGTGACAAAGTATCATATTTGTATTATCAATTTTTAAAAAATATTTTCTTCCTTTATTATGTAGAGTCAATATTACACCATTTTCTGCTGTAAACTTGCAACTTGGTATCTGACACTTCACACTTCACAATTGTAAAAGCCTTACAACAATACAATTTCACTGATACCCTCACCATCTGCTATGGACTAAATTGCATCCACCCAAATATTCATATACTGAAGCCTTACCCTAAATGTGACTATTTAGAGATTGGGCCTACACAAAGGTAGTTAAGATTAAATAAGGTAATAAAGATAGGGCCCTGATCCCATAGATTAGTGTCCTTATAAGAGGAGAGAACAGAGGAATGTGGGCTCTCTCACCCTTACTCTTGCTGTCTCTTTTTATTCTCTCTCTCTGCCGTGTGAGGACACAGAGGGAAGACATCTGTCTAAAAGCCAGGAAGAGAGCCCACATTAGAACCAAAATGGGCCAGCATTTGGTGCCTTGACTTAAACTTCTCAGCCTCCAGAACTGGGAGAAAATGAATTTCTGTTATACCAATCTATGGTGTTTTGTTATGGCAGCTTGAGCTAACTGAAATGCTATTTTTCATCTCTTGTGCTACTGTTGTAATATTTTAAGTTTTATTATAACTATATAACTACATTTAACAATTTTTGTTTTATTTTTCTTATTTGTTTTAAACAGTCTGTTTTATTTTTTTAAGGGAAATTGGGACATTTAACAAAACCCTTTTATGCTTACTGTCCCCTCTCCTGCCCCTTGTTTTTAACCATTTCTAGTATCTTCATTCCTAATAATACAGCCAAGTTTCCATCTGATGTCATTTCTTGTCGGTGTAATGAACATTCTTTAGCATTTCTTTTAGCACAAGTCTCCTTGCAATATTTTCAGTTACTACTTATCTGAGAATGTTTTCATTTCATTCTTGTTTCTAAAGAATATTTTCATTGGAAATAGAATTCTAGGAAGATTGGTTTTTAAGCATTTTAAATAAATCTTTCTATAGCTCTAGGCCTCTATGGTTTCAGATGAGAAATTAGCCATAATCCATATCATGTTTTCTGTGTAAGTACTACATCTATTTTTTTCTTGAGCTAATGTCGTTATTTTCTCTTGATCATTTTTAGCCTGAAGCTAAGTTCTCTTGAATCTATCAGTGGATAGTAAATTTTTATTATTAAATCTGGAAAAATTATTGCCATTATATCTTCAAATGTTTACTGGTCATATTCTTATTGTCTTCTTTTTCTGGGATCCTAATTACACACATAAGATTGTTTGACAGTGACTGTTAGTTCTCTGAGGCTCTGGTAATTTATCTTATATTTTTTCCCTTTTTTCATATTGATTAATTTCTATTATTCAGTTTGCTGACCCCTTTTTCCTATCATCCTCAATCTGCTATTAATCCCATCAGAATTTTTTTTCATTTTAGACATTGTAATTTTTAGTTTCAGAATTTCCATACAGTTCTGCTTCTTTTTTCCCCATAGTTTTCATTTCTCTAACCAAGCTTCTCTATAGCTTTAGATAAACCCCATTTTCCTTCAAATCCATGAAAATATTTATATTAGCTTTAAAAAGTCCTGATCTGCTAAATCCAATATCTGGGCCATCTTGAGGTCAGTTTCTATTCATTGTATTTTTTTTTCTTAACTGTGGGTCATATTTCCTTTTTTAAAAATGTCTAGTAAATTTGGTTTAACACTGAACTTTGTGGATATTATCTTATATACACTCCTGATTCTGGTGCATACTTCTGAAGAGTTTTTCTTTTAATTCTAGTAGGGAGTGCAATTACTAACTGATAACCTTAAAGTTTTTGTTTTCACTTTGTTAACATGTCTCTGTGGATAGACTGTTTTCCAAGACTCCTTTATTTGTTGGAATTCAATCTCCAAACCCTGACATTCATCTAAAGATATCATTGAGGCTTGGTTTTAGGCTTTAGAAGGTTGCATTTTCAGTGGATTTTACTCTAGCGCAGAGTCCTAACTCCAAAGACATGACTTTTCTGGAGTGTGCTTATGGATGCTTATGGTATTTAGAAGTGTGTGGACTGGAATTCCAAAGTCTCCCAGTGTGGTTCTACCTGTAGTGTCTTAGATCTCTTCTTAAACCCACAGCAGCTTCTCTCAAGTTAATCACTATATAGTTTCTTTTCATACACGTATAGTCCAGCCCTTAGCCAAGAACTTACATTGGATTCTCAATTAGTCTTCTTTCTCCCTCTCTAGACAGCTTCCCCCTCTTTGTTGTTTCAGCTCCCTGCAGTGAAAAAAAGAAAAAGAAATGTATCCAAGCAGAGACATGAAAGCTAAAATCTTCATACAAAACCAATTTACTAGCATGAGGTAAAGAATTAAGTCATATTCCTTTTAATCTTCAATGAGGTTACTTCATTCACATTGTTCTCATAATATAAATATCTTTCTTTTTTACCTGGCAATTTTGCCTCCTGGGAAAACTCTAAATATTGCTGGAGGTTACTCAACCCAAGAGGTTAAACCTTTGTACTTTCATCTCTAGGAAATAATAAAAAAAGGAATGCTTTCTTTGGAAGTCATGGGTCTCTTACTGCTCTTTCGTTTGGTCTGCATGGTATTGTTGGTCATACTAACATCAGATGTTATCATCTTTGTTGAGGCTTGTTTAGGTAGAATTATCTCAGGGGAAATTGGTTAGAGGGAAGATGAAGAACTCAGCTGCTCTCTTTGGAAATGGGTGATGATACCACTGCTTCGAGCCTGGCTGCTGACTCCACCAAGTACTATGGGCTGAGGAGTAGTCAGCAGTGTAGTTCATCCCAGCCTGCCTCTCTGAGACCACTCAGACAGTGGTCTACTCTCATCATCAAATTGTGTTGTCCACTTAACTGTACATCCTGGAGTAGATCTGAGGCCTGAAGAATTTCTTATCTGTCTCTATTCTTAAATTCTAATTTTTTTCTTTAATGACATTGCATAGCTTATCATCAGAGATATCCTAAAAAAGCCACTAAATAATCTCATTCTGGCATACTTTCCTAATTTTAGCTGCTCATTCTGATCCACAGATACAAATGATGTTCAGATATTTGGAAAACTATCTGCGGTTATCGAACATCCTGACTTTATGCTGATCACTCCCTTTTCTGAGATTCATGCATTCAACCCATGTTGACATCTAGTCATGCCTCTCTGTCTGTCTCTGTCCTTCTCTTTCCAGCACCAGTGTAAATAAGAATCTGAAGCCCATGACCACACATTTGAGATGTGCTCCCTTTTTTGATTGCCCTCACTATATTTATTCCCTTTCTCTTGGTCAATTTTAATTCTGCAGGGAATATGATGGTTCCCTTCCCAGGTGCTCCCTTTAAGGCTAAATCACGAAATATCCTAAATGCTGGAAATGTTGCCTTGTCATGTTTTAAAGCTGAGTCTACACTAGCAAAAACAGTAATCTTTAAGTTCTACCTAACTGACCTGGTGTCTGTATTTTTCTGTCTTATATCTGAAATCAGGTTACTCAGAAAAGGAACCTATGGGCCAGGCATGGTGGCTCATGTCTGTAATCCTAGCACTTTGGGAGGAGCCCAAGGTGGGTGGATCATCTGAGGTCAGGAGTTCGAGACCAGCCTGGCCAACATGGTGAAACCCCGTCTCTACTAAAAATACAAAAAAATGAGCTGGGTGCAGTGGTGTGCACCTGTAGTCCCAGCTACTTGGAAGGCTGAGGTAGGAGAATTGCTTGAACCCGGAGGCGCAGGTTGCAGTGAGCGGAGATTGCACCACTGCACTCCAGCCTGGATGACAGAGAGAGACTCTGTCTCAAAATAAATAAAAAAATAAAAATAAAAAAGAGGAACCTATGTAGAAAAGCTTTATTAGCTGATGTGCTAATAAAGCAAACAAATAACAAACAACAAATCCTGGAACTTTTACCACTATCTACACTCTAGACCCATTACTTTCATCATTCAAGTAAAGATAAGAGTCAGGTAGGCAGCAAGACGGTTGTGCAGGTGGTGCCCTTCAAAACCCCAAGTAACAAATTTGCTACTCATGACAGTTGGTGATATCAACAAATGGGCACGAGAAGGTAACTGCAGGTCATAACTCTACCACAATTCACAGTTGTGAGTTGGAGTGTTCTTGCAAATGCTTTCTAGCAAGTCTATGGCCTGATTGTTGGAACTTGAAATGAATTTTCTCTTAAAAACTGTACTATAATGGTGATCAGAATTCCTATTCACCAAGGCCAATAAATCTATAATCTATAATTTAACCTAAGTAGAAAAATAATAATGATTTTAATTAAGAAACAAATCATCATTTATTTCATTATGGTGCCTGGCTCATGTTTGGTACACAAGAATGGGTAGATAAATTAACAAATGTGCCTACAACATTGCTTCTGTGGAAACATGTTTAAAATTCTGATTCAGGTCATAGTTACCTTCAAACACTTGTATCCTCTATACATCCTTTCATCTATAGCTCCAATCCCAGCAGCTGGATCAATATTCTATCCCTTTCTAGACATCAGTGGAAGAAGATATAAGGTATAGAGATTTCCAGCTCCTCAGTCCCTACAGAGGCCTGCAGATAATATGGGAGAAGCAACCTGATGGAGGGTTATCTGTGATGGCAGTGTCTTGGGAGACAGAGTGGATTGGGAAAGCTGTGGAAGAGGGGCAGGAGCTGTAGCTCTCCACAGTGACTACACAGAGCTTCTTCCTGTGGTGTTGTGGGAGGGCAGCTCCTTTAGCTGCAGTATTTCCAATTCATAATCACAGTGATGCCAGCGGAACATGGCTGCTCCTTGGGGGGCAATGGGAAAATGACCTCAGGTATGCATACTGTCTAAGTGGCATAATATTGTACATCTTCAGAAGGAATGACATTCTCATACTGGACCCAGATGAATACTCCAATGGAGCAAGTCTTTGAAGACAGATGTAACTGCAGGTAGAAATTGATCTGGCAGTCAGGATAGAGCATTTAAAACAACTGGCAACAGAATGTGGCATCAGAGAGGGATGAACAAGGGATTTTCACAGTGTTGACTAGAGATTTAGGACTATGTGATATTAAAATTATACAGAGAAGAGAAGAGGGAGAGAAGAAACAGACAGCGTTCTTATATTCGATTTGCTGATTAGCAGGTGTCAATCACAGGGGCAGGCAAAGCCCTGGTGTCCCAGATATATAAATAATTGACATTAGACAAAGAAATAGAGTGTGCCTACCACACCTTGGGGAAAATACAAGGACTAGGAATATGGTAGAAATCTCTTTGCAGAACTGGGTCAAAAAATTAGAGTCAGATAAGTTTTATTTTTCCTAAAAAATTAGAGCTCCTTTATTTAATATACAAGATCAAGGTGGGTGCCAGAGACTTCAGAGACTAAATCTGTTCTTGGGAGCACATTTCAAGTTTGAGAAAACAAAGGTCTGAAGATGCTCAAGCCAGCTAGCTAAACAATCCAGGGAAGGACTGACTGTGTCATGCCATCTATAAAGCAGATCGACTTAATTTTCATTTTCTTCTGATTTCATCTCAGTTTCTTATTTTTTTTTTTGATATTAATGTATTTCTGTGCTTCAAACCACTCTTTAATTTTATGGCCTATAGGCTGCATTTCTTAAGCTCTGTTCACATGTAAATGGGATGTTTTGCTGTCCCTATCTTTTAATCCTGTGTAGGTGTGTCTACATTCTATCCTAGTATATGTTGTCTGTCTTTCTGTTTCTGTCTTCGATTTTTAGGCTTTCAAATAGCAGTTCTGTTTATCTTTGCCCAATATCTGATGTAGCACTTTGCACTGTTAGAGAGAGTGTATTCTAAGTAGAATTTCATATTGGTAAATATGAACTAAAAGACAAAAAGAGTATTTAGCTTGATTCCAAGGGCCACCCTGAATAAACCACGAAAATCACCAAAGTCTATTTTGAAATGGCAATTAATAGCACTTATGAAAAACTCTAAAGTGACGATACATAATTCTTTAATAGAGTTTGGCAATCATATACGGTTTTGGATTTATCAGAGTAGAATTATTGATAAGAGTATATAAAGCATTTTTCTTTGAATTTCATAATAAATTAAGCCTTTCATGATTAATCTGAAAGGAGAGTAAATCCAAGTTCAGGAATAGAGATGAACTACATCCTGAACATGTTGAAAACTCAAGACACATGCATCTCAATATTCATGGTTACTTTGAACAGAAACTGTAAAGAAAACTAAATGGTAAACAATCACAGTCAGTGTATTCTGTAGGTCTCAGGTGTGTCAACAGTTTTCTTATGATAATTGAAGGCATTAAATTAAAAATCAAAACCATTTTTAATATGTTTCTGCTGTTGTAAAGATTTGTTGACTATTAATGAAATAAGAAAAAGTCAATTAAAAATCAAATATAATAGGTGAATTGGGAAAAAAGTCCTCCTAATCATTTATATTTGATAATATTCTAGTAAATTTACATAATTTACTATATGTCAATCAATTTTCAAGAAAACAAAAATACAAATTTCATATTTGAACTAAGGCAACAATCAATGGATTCAATGCAATCTCAGAATAATCTAGAAAGTGAGGAAACATATGTAAAGAAGTCATTCTACTTTCTGAAACTCACCATATTATGTATAGAATGGAAGTATACAATTCCACCTATAAATTATTATTGCCAAATTCCAAATCAGAATATGATCAAACCTCCAGATCTAACTACCAATTTATCAGAAATATATAAAACAGAATACAAGTTAAGTGTTACCAAAGGGATACAATTAGAAAATTTCATATTCTGGGAAATTATATAGGACAAATGGCCCGGTTCCTCAGCAAATAAACATTAAGAAAAAAACGTTTAGAGGAGGGAGGTTTAGAAATTATAGGAAAAGTTTCATTTTAACCAACTGTAGCATATGGATCTTATTTGTATCTTGGTTCTAGTAAACATTCTATAAAAATATTTGAGACCCTCAGGGAATTTGAACACTAATTGATTACATCATAATATTAAGCATTATTCTTAAGTTAAATATTATCATAGAAATATGGTTATGTTTCAAGATGAATGCTAATTATTTAGAGAGACACACTGAAATTTTAAAAATAAAATAATTTTCAAAGCAAACCAGAAGTAGCAGGAATTAGCAAGAGCTGTAGGCAAATTAGTCATGCGTTGATAAGGACAGATGGTACATGGGTTTATTATCATAGTTTCTACATTTGTATATATTTAAAATTTTCCATATAAAGCAATTGAAAATATAGCAGTCCCAGAAATTATATTTACTAAATATTTATTGCTCAGTATAAAAGCATAATTAATCATTTTCAGATTAACTATATGTATTTATATATGTATATATGTTTATATATATATGTGTGTGTATATATAACCAGCTTACTAAACTTACCCTCTAAATCTAATAATTTCTCTATAAATTCATTTTAGGTTTTCCCTTAATAACACCTGTCATGATCTCTGTTTGCAACTGTCCTCTAAAATAGTGGTGCTAATCATTAAGATTATCATTAAATGCTTGCTTAAGATGGTAATAATAAGAGATTTAACACAATAGGGTTCCTATTTCTAAATTTAAGAAAATTATTTTGATAGTCACTCCCCAGTTTTATCCAATTTAGTGCAATTTAACATAATAAGCCAGGTTATGCTTATTCATGAATATGTTGAGTTTTCCTTTAGGTTAGTACACGTGCTCCTTAAATATTTCATGGAAAATAAAACCTACGTCTTCCCTGTGAGAGGCACTGTCAATGTCAATCACATCTGCTAATTCTTGTTTTAGGATATAGGTAAAAATTAACTATGAAATTATATATATGTGTATAATTTATATATATATATAATTACACAAAATAATGTATTTAAAATCAGTTCGAAAACCACCTGTACAGAATGTGCCTTGATAAAACACAAACACATAACAAAACCAATAAAGACCAATAATTTTGATGAAAAGCTGTAGCCTCAGAAATAGATTTGTATCATATGATGCTCACGGAAGTTTCTCTGAGATTTACTTTGGTAATCAATCAACACTGACCTCTGTCAAAAACTTTTCTCCTAATAAATGTAGGGGAAGAAAAAGAAATTAGTCTTATAGTGAGGAAGACTGTATAGTGAACTAATGATACAGAGCAGAGGCTCTGGAGGCAGATGACCTGAGTCTGTTCTTATTAGTGAGTGAGACAAGCTGCTTAACATCTTAGTGCCTTGGTCACTCCTGTCTAAAATTCAAATGATAATAGTTCATAAACTCAGCAGATTGAATAAATGAGTTACTACTACTTATTAAATTACAATAATGCCAGCAAAAAGCAAATGTGCAATAGGTCATTGGCATTATTATTATTAAATAAGTTATTAGAGTCATAAAAATGAAGTTAACTCATAGAAATCTTTAGCTTTAGGTTTTCATTCATATATCAAGAGGAGAATATTAGACATATGTTGCTTATTTCTATTTATGCATTGATTTAAAAAATAGTCATTAAGTGCCCACTGTGTGCTAAGGATTGTGAGAATAAAATTGTCTCCTGTCCACAAGATGCTTTTGGACATAGAAAGTACTGTAGACACCTAAGTGTCCCAGGAGGTATGAAAGAAGCATGCAGAGGTTACAGTAGAAGAGCAGAGGAAAGGGTGGGTGGTTTGATCTGAGGAGTGTGACAGAAAAGCTCAAGGAAAGAGGACAATATTCTAAACTCTCCAGTAGGGTAATTGAAGATTTGTTCACTAGATAGCCAGTACCCAGGAGAGTACAAGACTTCCAGGCAGCAGGGAAATCTGGCAGAGAGACACAAAGATCTGAAACAGCCTCCGGGCATGATGCATTCCTTTATTTCTTCGTTCATTCAGCGAATGGTTTTTGAATGCCAGACCTTGCAGATGTTGTACTGAACAAAACAGAAAACATAACTGTTTTTGTAAAATTTATATATTAGAAAAAGAAAATAAATAAACTAATAAATATAATATCTCAAGTAGTGATTAATTCTGTTTAAAAAAAACAAAGCGGAGTATGAGGATAGAGAGGGCCTGGGGAAGGAGAACCTTTTTAGAAAGCCAGTCCATTAATAACATTTGAGTAAAGACCTGGGAGAAGTGAGAAACCGAGTAGGGTGGAATAACTTTTCAAGTAGAAGAAATATCAGGGGCAAACACTCTGAGGCAGGAACTAATTCGTTTGAGAAACAGCAAAGAGGCCAGTATGGCTGACATGCGGTGATTTAGAGGGAGGGAGTTAAGGCCCGAAATCAGAATGAAGGGAGGTGAAAAAAAACAACATATGGCCTTTCAGGGCATGGTAAGAACTTCAGATTTTATGTTGACTAGATAATTTTGAATAAAGATAAACTTTTAAGTTTTAAAGAAATCTAGATGATGTATGATATGATTGTGGAAGGCAAGAATGGAAACAGGGAAACAAGACGTGGAGTTTTCACAGTGATCTACATGACAGATATTGATGCATAGAACCAGGGTAGTAGCATTTAAAAGTGAGAGTCCGGCCGGGCGCAGTGGCTCACGCCTGTAATCCCAGCACTTTGGGAGACCGAGACGGGCGGATCACGAGGTCAGGAGATCAAGACCATCCTGGCTAACACGGTGAAACCCCCGTTTCTACTAAAAACACAAAAAAATTAGCCGGGCGTGGTGGTGGGCGCCTGTAGTCCAGGCTGCCGGGGAGGCTGAGGCAGGAGAATGGCGTAAACCCGGGAGGAGGAGCTTGCAGTGAGCCGAGATCGTGCCACTGCACTCCAGCTTGGGCGACAGAGCGAGAATCCGTTTCAAAAAAAAAAAAAAAAAAAAGTGAGAGTCCATCGGATTCTGAATGCATTTTGAAGGTAGTATCAACATGATGGGGTAATTAACCTAAAGAAGAAAGACAGAATTCAAAACCGATTCCAAATTTTAGGGCCTGAGCAATGGAAATATGGTATTCCCATTTACTAGGATAACAGGATTGCTACTGAGAAACTATGTTTCTCCTGGACATGTTAAATTCGGGATGCCTCAGTACATGTCAGTAGGGATGAAGCATGCCCTAGTACCTGCAAGATGATTGATATCACTGGAGCATCAGACTCAATGGAGGCACAGTGATAATCTTGAGAAATTATGGCGAATTCCTTCTCTGTTCTTTGCAAGAGATGCCATGTTTGTATTAGAAAAAAAAAAAAAAACCTTTGAATACTTCCAACAGCAAGACTATCTACATTTTCTTTTCATTTTTCATTTCCAAAAAAAGTAATAATTGGAAAAAATGCTTTATTTTTTATTCTACTATTGACATGAGTTCAATAAGAAATATCGTATATTTTAATATTTATTTTCAAATGTTTTCCTTATAAAAAATCAATATTTGGGCCAGGCGCGGTAGCTCATGCCTGTAATCCCAGCACTTTGAGGGGCCGAGGCAGGCAGTTCATGAGGTCTGGAGATCAAGACCATCCTGACCAACATGGTGAAACCTTGTCTCTACTAAAAATACAAAAATTAGCCAGGCATGGTGGTGTTTGCTTACAATTCCAGCTACTTGGGAGGCTGAGTCAGGAGGATCACTTGAACCCAGAAGGCAGAGGTTGCAGTGAGCTGAGATTGCACCACTGCACTCCAGCCTGGCCGACAGAGTGAGACTCCATCTAAAATAATAATAATAATAATAATAATAATCAACATTTAGATATAATTGTTATTAGTGATAAACCCCTATAATTATAATTATAATTTTTAAAAATGATAAACCCCTCTATTAATTATATAGGGGTGTATTGTTTTGAATAATATTATTTTATTATTTTGAATAATATTGATTTAACCAATAGTCATTAATTGCCTACTACGTGCCAAGAATTGTGCTTTGTGGGTGCAAGTGTGAATAAAATCATCCCCTGTTCAGGGGTTTATTATTTTGAGTAATAAAATAGGTGGTTTATTAATTTATTATTTTAAGTAATTTACACATGAAAGACAACTCTCATTTTTTAAAAAAGATAGTCACTGAAAATCTCAAGATTCTATTTCTTTTTCTCGATAATTGTATGTAAATCTGAGACATACCTGATATATCAGAATTTCAGACACAGCTGTTTGGAAAAAATATTAATGAAGTGTCTTACTTCGCTAGTTATCAATAATAGAAAAAAGTATAAATTTTGCAACTGCTAAACATTGTTTTGAGTGAAGGAGTATAAATATCATTAACAATTTTATGCAGCTGCTTTCTTTAGTGAATTCTAGCATGAGTTATAGTTTAAAAAACAATGAGGTGGGCCGGGCGCGGTGGCTCATGCCTGTAATCCCAGCACTTTGGGAGGCTGAGGTGGTGGATCACCTGAGGTCAGGCGTTCGAAACCAGTCTGGCCAACATGGTGAAACCCTGTCTCTACTAAAATTACAAAAATTAGCCAGGCATGGAGGGGGTTGCCTGTAATCCCAGCTACTTGGGAGGCTGAGACAGGAGAATCTCTTGAACGCAGGAGGTGGAGGTTGCAGTGAGCCGAGACCACGCCATTGCACTCCAGCCTGGGCAACAAGAGCAAAACTCCGTCCCCCACCCCAAAATAAATAAAAAAATAATAATAAAAGAAACGAGGTGAACAAAAATGGCAAGTGAGTATAGTAATGGATATATATCATAAAATATTGCAAATATTCACATTTGAAATGAGTACATTTGGAAAACTTATAGCATGTAATTGGAATACAATTATGAACAAACATTGAAGAGATGATTACACTCTAAAAAGAAGTGAAGTTTTTTATGGTTTTGTAAATATGAATTTTATCTTCTTTTGTTGAAAAATTAGCCAGTAGTTATAGTTTGTCTGTGACAATTTTTGTTTTGCCTATAGATCAGTTTTAAATTTGTCATTTATCTCTGCTCAAACATGATTATAAATAATGTAATATAATTTTATAATATTAATAAAACCATATAAAATACTACATTTCTCCAAATGACATTTTGATAAGAGTTCTTATGACTTCTCTAGTAGATCTGTGTTCAGAAATAAACTCAAAACTGGTAGGCCTTAATTCTTTCCAGGCTGCCTGTGAATTTAATGCTGGTTCAATGGGAAATAGATTAAAATTTATGTGGCAATACCATTAGCACTTTTGAGAATACCAGACTGCTTATATTTTAAGAGTGTAGAGCATAACAGAAATAAAAGACAGAGAAAGAAAGAAACAAAAATGAGCTTTCATTCCTCTTTCTCCCTTTGAAAACAATTTTAAAGAATCATGTCTTTGATTTACAAATATTCTTTATATACATTAGATGATAGTACTTTGAGTAATGGAGTGTTATAAACAAATAAGTGGTCATTTTATTAAACTGTGAAGAAACCTAACAGTTATCAGTGGATGAAGACTGCTATTTCTTTTTACCCATTCTCTTCATTTTCCTCTTTGTAGTGAAACCCTTGAATTTTTGCTGGGCCTATGTTGATCCAATGAGGGGCTATATTTTCTCATCTGACTTGTAGGCAGATGTGGCCTTTGTGTGTATGTTTAGGCTGATAATATCAGGAAAAAATGTTGTGAGCAACTTCAATGTGTTATCAGTTTAAAAACAAAGCTGTTCTCACTGGATTGCTCTTTTCCTTTCCCACTGCTTGAGGAATGGCAAGGCCCAAAGCAACACTGGAAATCTGGTATGAAGATGGCACAATTGTTCACTCAGAAGGGCCTGCTCAATTTAGACTATTATATTAGAGTGAAATATCTTTCTCTCATATGTGAGTACAGTATTCTGGAATCTCCTTGTTATAGCAGCTTAACTTATTTTCAACCTAATAGAGTATTCAAATGTTATTAATAGTGGACAAAAATCTTTACAAATATTGGCCAAGCATGGTGGCTCACGCCTGTAATCCCAGCACTTTGGGAGGCCGATGCAGGAGGATCACTTGAGGCCAGGAGTTCAAGACCAGCCTGGCCAACATAGCAAAACCCCATCTCTATTAAAAAATACAAAAATTAGCTGGGTGTGGTGGTGCATGCCTATAATCCCAGCTATTCTAGAGACTGAGACAGGAGAATCACTTGAACCTGGGAGGCGGAGGTTGTAAGGAGCCAAGATCGTGCCACTGCACTCTAGCCTGGGTAACAGAGCAGGACTGCCTCAAAAAAACAAAACAAAACAAAACAGAAAAAACTTTACAAATATTTAGTGTACATGGCATAAAATCATACAAATATCTTGAAAGTTGCTGAACTCCCTATTTGCATAATGCTAAAGCTTTGTCTACGTTGCAGGTATGTAAAAGAAGGCCAGAAATGAAAAGGAAAGAAAAATGAAAATAAGGGGGAAATAAAGAATCTAATTAGAAAGAAAAAAAGAGCTAAAAGATATATAATTTTGAAATTTCAGCAATAAGAGAAGATAATATAAAATTGTTATATGACCAGAAATAGTTCAAATAAAACTTATTTTAATAAAAAGTCTTTCATATACACCTAAGATCCTTTATCATCTTTTCTGCAATATAAGCAGAAAATTACTCCCGTGTAATTCAGAGGGGGAAAAAACCCACTGTACTTCAACAAATGAGCAAATTTATAGCTACTGAAGAAACATATGCTGAATGTGCATGAAAGCAGGCAGAAGTCAAGCTGATTTTCAGAAATAAATGCGTATTACTTTGAAAATGTCTTTTTATTTAATTGAATATCTGAATACTATTTTATTTTTTTACTGCATGTTTGAAATAGTGATGTGTTCAATTAAACTGACAAGCTTCCATGAGCTCTTCATAGTTTTTCAAATTTTAAATAAACTTGAAATTATTAATTTCATCTATCAGTAAATAGTTCGAATAAGAAATCCAGAGGAGTTTCAGGCAGTAAGATTCCCATTGGCCAAGTATTGAACCATTGCCTATTTAAAATGTGACATAAAGATGAGACCTTTAGACTCCATCATCCTCTTCTCCATGTACATTTTCTAATGCTAAAGCCAAATTTTTAAAAATCCTACTTTCTTTCCTTCATATAACTTTTCATGAATAATGACAAATATCACAGTTCTGAGTTTCTTTTTTATTTTTCTTGCAGAAAACTCATAAAACAAAACCAGATTGCTTTAAAGAATGCATGATTAGTTTTCAGAAGAGAAGTGAAAAATCTCTAGTTTGGCTACCATAATAATTATTGGCAGCCACTAAATTCTATATGCAACATGAGGCGTAAATTAGCTGATCACCAACATGTGTGTTGCCACAAGGTAACAAATACTAAACTTGCAGGAAAAAAAGAAAAAAGGAAATAAATTAATGCATGATGATAAAAAGATAAGATGTTTAGTTATATGTTAATTGGGTTTTGCCAGGTCACTTGTTTTAGCCCTCAGTGACAGTTGTTAACATTTTTATGAAAAAGAGCCATTTTATGATATGTCTTCATTTTATTGCTAGGTAAGCTTCTGCATTTTAGCAAGAAAAAAAGAAAATAGCAACAAATGCAAATAGGGCTACATTTTTCTGAGAGCAGAAAACTAATGTAAGTCACCCTGTCAACATAGATTCAGAGCCAAAATGGAAAAAAAGAGTAAAATGCCTTATGTGATTTGTTCCACTGTCCAATTTTACTGAAGACTCCAGTTCCACAATTAGAAGCTGATGACAGCTAACCATATTTAACTTGAATGTGTAGGTTATTTTAACAAATTTGTGGGAAAAAAGCACTGATGGAGATTTTCACATTTCACAGAGTCCAATGCCCAAGTACTAAAGTTTCAGAGTTATTAAAGAAAAACTTGATAGAAAAAATATAAAACATTGAATAATATCTATCCTTTATACATAAATATAATGTTAACAGCCCACTGTCAATACAGCATACACCACTAAATTTCTTTCAATTGGTGATGATGGATTTACATTCATAAATTCACAACTCACTTATTCCTCAGTGATCAGCCACACACAAGATGCCTGATGGGAACTGTGGTCATGGAAGAGGAAAATGCACGGGAATTCATGAAACCCAATTACATCACTTTACAGTTACTAGTATGGTAAAGAAACCAACTAGAGACTAAAAAGGAGGGAGAAAAAGAGAAGAGAAAAGAAAAAAAGCATTAATGGAAAAGATCACAAGAAATGAATTTTAACTAATAATCACTGATTTTTCTGTATTTGTAGTTCGTAAATAAATTTTATATTCATTTTCTTATTCAAAACTTAATGTTCTTCTCAGCAAGGAGGGTTTATAATCATACTCATAGATATGAAATGATCACAAAGAGGAGTGATGTAGTTAAAAGTCAAATTCAGGAGATAGAATTACCTTGTGGCTAAGACCTAGGCTCTGGTCTAAATTCAAGTCCAAGGTTGACCTTGAAAGAAGCTTTATGACCTTGCTTAAAGACATTTATGGTCTTTGGACCTAAGTGTCTTTATCTATCAAATAGCATCTGCCTGATGATAATGCTGAGAAAATTACATAACGTAATCACATAAAATGCCTAGTATTGTGCCTAGCATTAACAAATGTTAATCTTATTTTTACTGTTGGTTTTATTATCATTCCAAATGTTCATGGCTATTTCAGTGCATCCGCTTGAGATTGTAATCAGGGTATATATATTAAATAATAATATTTTACAAAAAATAATATTAATATAGAATTCTAGATAAATAAAATTCAGCTATAAATATTCTTATTCATGGAAGTCAAAGAGGTGGGTTCTAACTCTGGCTTTGCCACTTTTCACTGTGATATTGGGCCCATCAGTTAACTTCATTGAGTCTACATTTCTGCATTTGTAATGTTGTTTGGTAAAATGTGCTCTGCTGCACTTACTGAGTTACAAGGATCAAATACTAAAGGACATTGGAAACTAGAAAGCATGGCACATGTGTAAAGTATTTTTAGTCCTTAGGGAATAATTGCTGGTGAAGTCTAATCTCATTATGAAGCTCCTCTGGCTTCTCCACTATCTGGTATTACCTCGCCAATCTTCAACTGAATTGTGACCTAACAACAATTTCAAAAATAGGCAAAAGAAAATGACTTTCACACTTGGCACTTTGTGTTTGCAAACATTTTCCTCTCAAAGTGATGTTATCAAAATTAGAGTCACCATTAGTTAATCACCAAGCAAAATACTGATGTATCTAATTTACTCTATCATGTTCAATGTGATCATAGCAGTCAAAGTGAGGAGACAAAATGGAAACTTTTAGCCAGCACATGTGTTTCATTGTATGTTGGGTTATAAAATCCTGATCTCTGATTTTTTAAGTAATTTTTCTTTTGACTTTTTTCAGCAAAAGTATGTTTGAACATGTGCTAAAGTGTAAAATAATACAGCTTTGGAGGGATTGTGATTAATTCCACCCTGCCTTGTGATTTGTTAGCAAATATGTCAACTCCATTTTGATTTGGACCTTTTCAATTTATACGAGCTAAAAAGATATGCTTTGGATTTCTAGTCCCTGCATGAGAAATTAGGGCTTCAATGAGGGAAAAAGCAACCTTGCTAATAGATTGCGTTTGTTTGGAATATGCACTCAAGAGTAGAGAAGCAACATAAACATAGCATCATTTAATGGATATTTATTTAACATCATCTCTGTACCACATACTCTTCTAGATATTGTGAATAAAGCAGTGAACAAAACAACAATTGGTTTCCCTATTAGGTTTACATTCTCAATGTATTATGCAAGGTAGAGAAAAGACAGAAAAACATATTGTCATGGTTATATATGGACATGACTGAAATCTTTAAACTCACTCTCTGTGTATGAGTTTTCTCAGGGATGTTTACTAAATGCTGTTTGTAAAAGGTGAATGAAACCACTGGGTTTATTTAAAGATCACTGAAGGAAATATTTCTGTTGATCTCTTAAAGCAGATAAAACTAAAATGCTTTCAGTAAATTTGGAAGTGTGGAGTACGCCACATGGATGATTCTTAGTCCCTTTATCTTTGGTGAATAGCCATTACTTTAATGTCAGAATAAAGTATCCTCAGCTTCCACACCATGTTCTGCAGTCTGCTCTGTGCCTCCAGTCTGTCTCTAAATTCTACTGGCATTCTAGTGTGTGTTGTAGGGGAAGGGGTCACACTTGATAAAGGTCTCTGAAACTACTGAATTATTGATCCTGATCTTCTACTCACTGTCAATTTACTCTACTCTGGACCACACCCAGAATCTTTCATTCACACATACCTGCCTTACTCAATTCTGCTTTGCATTTACCCCCAGGATTCCTGACTTAAAAGACAACATTCCTGACACTTTTTCACACAAACTATTTTAACTTTATCCAAACCCTTTTTATTTAGGAACCTCCAGGCCCACTCAGGGACATCAATCTTCAGAAATATGAAAATAAATAAATAAATAAATAAATAAGAGCCAATCAAGGAACCTGCTTCCAGAAAGAGCCAGGATTATTGCTTGTCCTCCTCTAGAAAAAAAATGATGTGTAATATATCCACACATACAGATTCACATACACATGTACATATACATCCACATATACAGACACATACATAGACATATGCATATACTTCTTAGTAGAAAATTAACCATTTTCATCTACTTAGACTATTATCTTCATTTGTATACAGTTGCTAGGTCCCAGGACGTAGCTATAAGTTCTTTCTTCACTACTATTTTTCAGTTGATTAAGTGAAGTGATATTAACCTTAGATTAATCAACTAAGAAATCAGAAATATACTATGTCAGAGGATTGTTGGGAGAATTAAATGAGCTGATATATATGAAATGTAGATGTTGTATTTATTTGTAATCGCTCTTCTCTTGAGGAAGGTAAATTTGTCTTTGAGGATCTCTGAATTCTTACTTCCTTCTACCCTATCTTTGGTCCTGCTCTTCTGGGAACCTGATTCTTCACTCTAAATTTTGGATGCACTAGGTCCTTTTAGCCCTCCTGCCTTCAATGCTTTCTTTGTTTTAAATTTAATAAATTTAGTTAGTGCAATTTTAGGTTTACAGAGCAGATAGTACAGAAAATTTGTGTATACTTTCCCACTTTTCACTCTCCCCTCACTCCCTGACAGTTTCCCCTATTATTAACACTTTCCATTAGTGTAGTATATATGTTGCAATTGATGAACTAATATTGGTAAATTATCATTAGCTAGAGTCCATAGTATACATCAAGATTCTCTCTTAGTGTTGTACAGTTCTATGAATTTTGACCAATGCATAATGTCATGTATCTACCATATGGTATCGGACAGAATAGTTTGACCTGTTCATCCTTTTCTTCACTCCCCTTGAACCCTGGAAACTGCTCATCTTTTTATTTTCTCTGTAGTTTTTCTTTTCCCAGAACATCATCTAGTTGGAGTAACAGAGTGCACACTCATTACTGACTTCTTTCACTAATAAATACACTTAAGTTTTGCCCATGTCTTTTTGTGGATTGGTAGCTTATTTCTTTTTAGCACTGAAAAATATTTTATTGTATGTACGTATCAGAGTTTGTTTTTCCACTTGACTATCTGAGAACACTTGGTAGATTCCAGTTTTTGGCAATTATGAATAAAGTTTCTATAAATACAAATATGCAGAGTTTCGAGTGGACATAAGTTTTCAACTCTTTTGGGTGAATACCCAAAACAAGAATGTTGGATCATATGGCAAAACTAGATTTTAGCCTTGTAAAAGCTTGCCAAAATGCCTCACAAGGTTACTACAGCAATTTTATTTCCACCAGGAATAAGTTAGAGTTGCAATGGGTTTTTTCATTTCAAAATGTGTCTAGTGGTATCACATTATTGTTTTAATTTTTCAGTTCCCTAATATTGGACACCTTTTTATGTGATTATTTTATGTCTCTGTATCTTCTCTGGTGAGATTTCTGTACAGATCTTTTGACCATTTTAAAATTAGGTTCTTTGTTTTCTTATTAAGTCTTATGAATTATTTATATATTTGGATGTAAGTCCTCTATTAGATATATGTTTTGCAAATATTTTCTCCCAGCTTGAGCCTTGTCTTTTCATTTTCTTAATGGAGTCTTTTAAGATCAGATGTTTTAAATTTTAATAAAATCCAATTTATTATTTTCTCTCACATATCATGCTTTTGGTGTTATACACCTAAAACTCATTGCCAGTTTCAAGATCACTTAGATTTTGTCTTATATTTTACATTTTTGTGTTTTTTCTTTGTCTATTTATTCACCCATCACAATTTATTTTATCTTATTTAATGGAAGGTCCAGAGATTTATTTGAGGAGCCATATCATGCAGCACAGGGCATTCAGCAACATCTTTTCCATTCCATACCCTGCTGCTCTTCTCCTGTGACTGTTAGGAGTAATAATTATAATTCATTAAATGACATTTGTAAACTAATTAAACATTGAGATTTGTTCTTCAGGATTATATTGGCTCTTCTGGGTCTTTTGTTTTTTAACATAAACTTTAGAATCCATTTTTCCATATCCACAAAATTACTTGCTTAAATTTTATTGGGATAGTGTTGACTCTACAGATCAAGTTGGAGGAAGTAACATCTTAAAAATGAGTCTTAACGTCCATGAACATGGAATATCTCTCCATTTATTTAGACTCTTTGATTTCTTTCAACAGACTTTTGTATTTTTTCTCATATAGATCTTGTACGTCTTTATTAAATTGATACCCATTTTTATTGTTTTGGGTGTTAATATTAACTGCATTGTGTTATTAACCTCAAATATCAATTGTTTATTTGGTAGTATATAAGAAGGCAATAAACATCCATGTATATTCGTCTTGTATCCTGGCACTTTGTTATAACAATTGACTAGTTATAGGAGTTTTATGGTCAATTATTGGGAAATTTTTGTATAAACAATCATGTCACTTGTGAATAAAGATAGTTTAGTTCTTCTTTTCCAATCTGCATATATTTGTATTCCTTTTGATGTCTTATTGCTTTAACTAGCAACTCCAGTACAATGTTCAATAAGAGTATGAGAGTAAATGCCTTTGAGTTGTTCTCAGTCTTAGAGGTAAAGCATCTTTTTTTTCTCACCATTAGCTATAATGCTAGTTGCAGGGTTTTTTGTAGATGGTCTCTATCAGTTTGAGCAAGTTCTATTCCATTCCTTGTTTGCTGAGAGGTTTTTTTTTTTTTTTTTTTTTGAGACAGAGTCTTGTTCTGTTGCCCAGGCTGGAGTGCGGTGGTGCCATCTCGGCTCACTGCTGTAGTCTCCGCCTCCTGGATTCAAGCGATCTCCTGCCTCACCCTCCTGAGTAGCTGGGACTGCAGGCGCAAGCCACCACACCAGGCTAATTTTTGCACTTTTAGTAGAGACGGGGTTTCACCATGTTGACCAGGAGGGTCTCGATCTCCTGACCTCGTGATCTGCCTGCCTTGGCCTCCCAAAGTTGCTGGGAGCTTTGATCATAAATGGGTGTTGGATTTGTCAAATGATTTTTCTGCATGTATTGATATTGTATGATTGATTCTTTATCCTGTTGACATGATAGATTACATGAACTGATTTTCAAATGTTGAACCAGGTTTTTTTGAAAATTTCTGGGATAAATCACACTTGACTATGCTTATAATTCAATCAATTTGCTAATATTTTGTCAAAGATTTATGCATGTATGTTCATAAGAGATATTTACTTGTAGTTTTTTTCTTGTAATGTCTTTTTATAATTTGTGTATTAATTTAATGCTAGTGTCATAAAATGAGTTAGGAAGTATTCTCTTTGTTTCTATTTTCTGGAACTGAGTGTATAGAATTTGTATAATTTCTTTCTTAAATGTTTGTCAGAATTTGCCAGTGAAACCATCTGGCTCTGATGCTTTCTGCTTTGGAAGATTATTATTTGATTTTTTAAAAAAATAGATATTGTAATATTCAGAGAATCTATTTCTCCTTGTTTAAATTTTAAAAGATCGTTCTTGTAAAAATTGGCCATCTTTATGTAAGTTAAATGATTTGTGGACATGTTACTTTGTTTCTTTATTATTCTTTTAATGTTTATGAGATCAGTAATGAAGTTCCTTCTCTATTCCTGATATTAGTTATTTATATCGTTTCTCTTTCTCTTTTTATCCTGGTTAACCTTACTAGAAATTTACTAATCTCATTGATAATCTCAAAGAACAAACTCTTGGTTTTATTGATCTTCTCTATTAGTTTCCTATTTTCATTCTCATTAACGTCTACTCTAATTTTTATTTATTTTATTCTGCTTAACTTAACATTGCTTTTATTTCCTTAGTTTCCTAAAAGGAACATTTAGACTGTTGATGTTAGATCTTTCTTCTTTTCCAAGATATGTAGTTAGTTATTTTAATTTTTAACTAGCATTGCATTTGCTGCATCTCATAAGTTATTATAAGTTGCATTTTGTGTTCTTTCATTCAGTTAAAATATTTTCAATTTATTTTGAGACTTCATTCTTGACCCACATATTATTTAGAAATGTGGTATTTAATTACTAAGTATTTTGAAGTTTTCCAGCAATCTGTCTGTTATCTATTTCCAGTTTGATTTTATTGTGGTCTGAGGACATACTTTGCATGATTTCTGTTCTTATTAATTAGTTAGCCCAGAATGTGGTCTATCTTAGTGAATATTCCACATGAGAGCAATATGTATTTAGCTGCTGTTCAAAGAAGTACTCTGTAGATGTTAATCAGATCCAGTCGATGTATAATGTTGTTCAGTTAAACTATGTCCTTACTGATTCTTGTCAATTACTGATGGAGTTATGTTGAAGTCTCCAACTGTAATAATGGATTTCTCTCATTCTCTTAGTAGTTAGATCATTTTTGCCTCATATTTTGATGCTCTGTTGTTACGTGTATACACATAAAGAATTTTAAGGGTTTTTTGAGAACTAACCCACTTATCATTATGTAATGCCCTTCTAATGCCTTGTAAATGTTCTTGCTCTGAAGTCACCTTTGTCTGAAATTAATATAGTTTCTCTAGCTTTCTTTTGATTTGTAATAGCATATCAAATATTTTTCCATTCATTTATTTTAAATCTGTGTCTTTATATTTAAAGTGGATTTCTTATAGACATCCTATGGTTGTTTTTAAAAATAATTATCCTGTCAGTCTCTGTATTTTGTTGGTATATTTAGATTGGCCTTTTTACTGGTGTATATAAATAATCACTTTAAATGGATAATGACATTTAAAGTATTTATTGATGCAGGTGGATTGATACCTAACGTATTTTTTATTGTTTTCACTTTATTGCTTGCATTCTTAAAAAAGAGTCTTCCCTCTTTATCTTCTCTGGCTTTATATCATTACATTGTATCTCCTCTTTTTGCATCAATTATACTTCT
This sequence comes from Homo sapiens, assembly GCF_000001405.40. Classification (NCBI taxonomy): domain Eukaryota; kingdom Metazoa; phylum Chordata; class Mammalia; order Primates; family Hominidae; genus Homo; species Homo sapiens. The sequence goes on from NC_000004.12 coordinate 126,095,047, forward strand.
AAAAATTTTAAGTGTTTGCTCTAGAATTTGTAGTATACTTTTAAAACTAATTTCAAACAATACTATACAACTTCACAAATAGTGCAGGAACCATATAGCAAGGTAGTCTCATTTCTTCTCTCTTATACCTTATAATATTGTTGGTATTCATTTTACTTACTCATTTTACTAAATACACTGTAACTATTATTATTTTGGACTGTGATCTATTAACTCAATAAAAAATAAGAAAAATAAAAGGTTTTATTTCACCTTTATTTATTTACTTTCAAATGCTGTTTCTTTCTTTATGTAGAACCAAGTTTCTGACCTCTATTATTTTCCTCCTGTATTAGTCCATTCTTGCATTGTTACAGAAAAATACCTGAGACTGGGTAATGTGTAAGAAAAGAGGTTTAATTGGCTTACGGCCCTGCAGACTCTACAGGAAGCATAATGCCATTTGCTTCTGGGGAGGCCTCAGGAAGCTTCCAGTCATGGTGGAAGGCAAAGCGGGAGCAGGCATATCACATAGCAAGAACAGAAGCAAGAATGAGAGAGAGAGGAGGCAGAGGTGCCACACCTTGTACATGACCAGATTTCACAAAAACTTACTCACTATCATGAAGACAGCACCAAGCCCTGAGGGATCTGCCACCAACACCCAAACACCTCCAACCAGGATCTCTTCCTCTTCTTATACCAGGGAGGTGTTTGGGTCATTATATTCCCCACCTCAAGCATTCAGCATTATAATTCAATGTGAAATTTGGGTGGGGACAAATATCCGAACTATATAATCTTCTCTCTGCAAAACTTATTTTAACATTTTTTACAAGTCAAGTCTACTAGCAACATATTCCTTCAGTTTCTGTGTGAGAAAGTCTTCAATTCTGTGTTTCTTCAATTCTGAAGGATAAATTTTCTGGATACAGACTTTTGGGTTGACTTTTTTCTTTTAATACTTTAAATATTTCATTCTACCTCCTTTTTGTTTGCAGAGTTTGTAAGCAGAAATCCCATGTGATTCTTATCTTCTTTCTCTATAGGTAATACTTTACCTTTTCCTGTGTTATTTATTTATTTATTTATATTGCAGTTGGGATATGATATGCCCAGGAGTTGATTTTTGGAATTTATCATGCTTGTTTCTTTCTGAGTTTCCTTGATCTGGCTGTCATTAATTTTGGAAAATGCTCAGTCATTATTACTTCAGTATTTTTTCTGCATTTTTTTCTTTTTTTATCTGATACTCTCATTATGTGTATGATGCACCTTTTGTAATCACTCCACAGGTTTTGACTCTTTGCTTTTTTATATTTTTTCTCTTTGAATTTTGGCTTGGAAGGTTTTTATTAACATACTTTTAAGCTCACTTATTATTTTCTAGACTAAGTCCAGTTCACCAGTGAGGCCATCAAAGGCATTCTTCACTTCTGTTACAAGTGTTTTTCATTTTTAGCAATTCTTTTTGATTCTATCTTAGAGTTTCAATCTCCATTCATGGATTACCCATCTGTTCTTGGTGTTTATGCACTTTTTCCCCATAAGATCCCTGAGCATATTAATTATTGTTATCTTAAATACCCTGTATGATAATGCCAAATTATCTACTGTATTTGAGTATGTTTATAATGCTTTCTTTGTCTCTTTAAATTATTTCTTTTTTCCTATTTTTTTTTAACCATGACTAGTTATGTTTTGTCCACAGCTTAACATGATGTATCAGGTAGTACAAACTGACATAAATAGGCGTTTGGTGTGCAATATTTATGTTTATCTTGTATATTAATCTTCTAAGGACCCCATAACAATAGGCCATAGACCGAGTGGCTTAAGCAGCAGAAAACAACTATTTTTATCAAAGTAATAGAGGCTAGACATCCAAGATCAAGGTGTTGGCAAGTTTGGTTTCTTCAGAGACCTCCCTTTTTGTCTTGCAGACAGCTACCTTCTCACTGAGTCCTTATGTGGCCCTTCCTCTCTGAGTGCACATCCCGGGAGTCTCCTCCTCTTCATACAAGTCATATTCAAATAGGGGTCCAGCTTTGTGTCCTCATTTAACGTTAATAACCTACATAGGCCCTTTCACCAAACACAGTCACATTGGGAGTGACACAATTCAGTCCAGAACTGGCAGCTAGGGGTTAGGCTCTGTTAAATATTTCCTGTATCTGTAGGCGTTAGAGACTTCAGTTTCCCTGGTTCCTTGTATTTTTCACCGCTGTAGTCTCTGGGTTTCCCTGGGAATCTTTTCTTAAATGGAGTCTGTGTTACACAGCACTCTCAGTGGTAATACCCTGTTGTAAGCCTGGAGACATCTTGTGGTAGCAAGATAAGTACAGAAAGTGCTCTTATGATTAAAGCTCTATTTGTTTTCCTGTTTGCTTGTTATTTTGGAGGACCAGGGTCTTTGAGCCATGACCTTCAAAAGCGTTCCTGGCCCTCTCTTTTTTATCTCCTTGTGTTAAGTGTAGAGGGACTACAGCTGGCTATTTGCCCTTTCCCATCTCATATAAGACTTTGGTAAACAGTTCCTCTTGAGGGCTGACCTTTACAGAGAACAGAAGAATGGAATGGCGAACATAGCATAGAGAGCTTGGGGCTTATTTTAAAAGGGTTGCTTTTCACCTCTTACTGTCAGAAATATAAGTAAATTTACCTTAGACTTTCACAGTAAAGACCTGGTGGGGCTCCTAGAGGTAAAACTCTTGAAAGCATGGGGTTGGGGAGGCACCTAAGATTTGCCTCTCCCCTGTAGATTTTAGCTCTCAAACTAAGTCTGAACTGCCGGCAATTATTCAGTTTGGTGTTCTTTCTGGCCCTGGCTTCAGGAGCTGCTTCTGCTCTCAGTAAGTTATGATTCTCTGCATCTCTGCCTCTTTCTTCAGTTTTCTGGGAAGCAGTTTGCACGATGACTTCAATTTCATGATGATTCTAAGAGTAATTTTGTTTCTTAGTTTATTTAACTTATTCTCTTTTTGTGAGAATGGAAGTGGGGACTTCAAACTCTTTACTTTTTGGAGTGAAAATGTAAGTGTGGAAATACTTGTGTTTTTTTGGTTTTGTTTTTTGTTTTTTTGGGAGATAGGGTCTCACTCTGTTGCCCAGGCTGGAGTGCAGTGGCATGGTCATGGTGGCTCACTGCAGCCTGGACATCCTCAGCTCAAGCAATCCTCCCCTGTCAACCTCCTAAGCAGCTGGAACTACAGAACATGCCACCATGCCCGGCTAGTTTTAAATTTTTTGTGGAGATGGAGTCTCACTATGTTGCTTAGGCTGGTCTCAAATTCCTGGGCTTACTAATCCTGCTTTGGCCTCTCAAAGTCTTGGGATTACACGTGTGAGCCACCACATCTGTCCTCAAACACATTTTGTTCCCTCCAGAAATTTTCCTGCAATCTAAATTTAATGACTCTCTTTATCTATCACAACTTGGCTGCATACTCTCCCATGATCAAAAAGCCATATTCTATTATTTCTAAAATGGATGATAAGCACATGATCTAAAAAATAGTATGAAAGCTAATGCTTGATAATAGTATAATGAACGGGCTTTCTGAGAGGTATTTATAACACCACATTTGTATCAACTATTGTAATGAGAATTTTAGGAATGATACCAGCAGACACAGACAGACAATATAAATTTCTTTAATACAAGCAAAGAACATGGTTTATTAGAGACACACAGCTTCCCAGAGCAAGAGACAGACATTTCCTCAGTTACAGAGTCTCCTTAGCAAACAAACCAATACTGGCGTTCCACAGCTAATGATATCATCTGATGAAGTCAATTATGATGTCTTGCTTCATAGTATATACTTTTATCTGCTTTAATATAATGATATTGTATGCAAATGAACTCTGTGAAAAGATAGAGAGCAGGGATCAGAGAGTGGCATTCCATTAGGAGATTATCTTATAGAAAAAGTCATGAGGAACCTGGAAATAGTGATGGTGATAGTCTTTGAAATTTTCTTGTTTACAATGTACAATATTTTCCGTATATTATTCTCATTGTTTCCTCTAAGCATTCTTTAATGAAGACTGGACATAAATTACTAGTCTTATATGGAGATGAGCAACTGAAGTACAGGTTGCCAAGGAATTTACTCAAGGTCTTCAAATTAGCAATCCAAATCAAAGACCTGCACAGAAGGCCATATGTATGTCTATCACTCTGTGATGGATTGTGCAGCCTCTGCATGTAGAAAAGGAAAAGGAAACAAAAAGAAGGAAAGAAGAAAGGAAGGAAGGGAGGAAAGAAAATAGGGAAACAAAGAAAGAGATAAAGAGAAAAAATGAGCAAATTAAATGTTCCAAATGCTGAACATTATTGAATGTTCCAGCTGCTGAAAGGATTCTGAGGCCAATAGCACAACTAAAAACTGCTGTTGTGGTGTTCATTTTCATTTTAGTTCAGCAGAATAGGCTCACTCTGTTTCTGGTTACCTACTGAAGCTTTGCAAGTATAGGTATTTCATATAGGCTTTAGATAAATATGACTTCTAATAACTAATTTTTCTATACATGCTTTAAAAATTATCAGTGAGGCAAAGCATTTAACACAGTATATTATGTTAATGTTATAGATGCGATTTAGTATTTCCCTGAAGCAAATCACTGAGGGTGATTTCCACCCAAAATTCTTGACAATTCTTGGATGCATAATAGGAATTCAGATGAAACATCAGTTAAAAGAGTCTTGTGTGATACTCTCACTAAAATAAACCTCAGTTGGCACAACCTAAGTAATAAAAAGCTAGGTTTAGAATAACTATCAGATTAATGGCTTATGAATGTTAAAACCTCATGGTTTTCATTCCCTTTAGAATGAATATAGAGAAAGTAGACAGAATGTTGGCCTCTATCTTTGACAAGAGATCTTATATATTACCTTCCATTATTAACATACAAATACTTAAGTTCTCCTATTTTTAAACTAGATACTATAATGCAAACACCCGTACTTTTGAAAAGTGATATGGTAGGGTTTAAAAAATATTTATCATATACTCAGTTCATCAGACCAGGATGCTATGTGATGTCTACAACAATTTTTAAATAACACCATGTACTAAAGCTCTAGACATTTGCTTGATTCCAGGTGTCTTTGTAAATCTACATGAAATATAAGATCACATGCCATCTTTATCTTATATCAGGTGTGGAGAAAATACTGCACACTGAGGAAATACTGCTCTCCACTTCCTGTACTTATAAATAAAGGCTTTTGGGAGCACAGTAAACATTCATTCATTTATGTATCATTTATAGCTGCTGTCCCTCTACAAAGCAGAATAGAATAGTGGTGATAGAGACTACATGGAATGCAAAGCCTGAACTTTTTGCTATTTGACCATTTACAGAAAAGGTTCCCAGCCTAAATCTTATGTTTTCACTGCTATTTACCATTTCTAACCTTCGTTCAAGTTTTTCATCGTATTTAAAATATTTTCATCCTTCAAGAAAAACAAATACATAAACAAACCTCCTGAAATAGAAAGCAAAGCATGGTACTTTTTCCTTTGTGTTGTTTTCTACTATACACATGACTAATGATTCAACAGTTCATTTTCTAAGCACCCCTTCTATGTTAGAGCCCATCATAGGTGCATTACATATATTCTTTTTTATCCTCAAACGAGAAGGAGATAAGCAGAAAACAAAATCTACTTTCATGTGGTAAAGTAGTAAAAAATAATATAGGCCCACCTAGAAAAATAATTTTTTTCTCTTTATGGAAGTCTATAAGAACGTATTTATATATGTCTTCTATTTTATATGTGCAAGCATTACATATATACGTATATATATACGTATATACGTGTATACGTATATATATACGTATATATACGTATATATGTGTATACGTATATATATACGTGTATATATGTGTATACGTATATATACGTATATATATACGTGTATACGTATATATATACGTATATATACGTATATATACGTGTATACGTATATATACGTATATATATGTATATATACGTGTATACGTATATATACGTATATGTAATGCTTGCACATATAAAATAGCAGACATATATATGTATATATGTACATATATATACGTATATACGTATATACACGTACATATACGTATATACACGTATATATACGTATATACGTACATATACGTATATATACGTACATATACGTATATATACGTGTATATACGTACATATACGTATATATACGTGTATATACGTATATATACGTGTATATATGTGTATATACGTATATATACACATATATACGTGTATATACGTATATATGTATACATATGTATGTATCTATACATATACACATGTATGTATATATATACGTATATACGTACATATATACGTATATACGTACATATATACGTATATACGTACATATATACGTATATATACGTATATACATGTATATATACGTATATATCTAGACTTGCAATGCTCCAATTCTTGCCTAGATATGGTTTTGTATCCTTATTTCGTACTCTACAGGGCATTAACATTAACCTGTTTCCCAAAGCCAGAAATACAGGTTATAATTTTAACTGCATTTCCCAAACACCTCTCATACCATATTATCTCTCATGTCTAATTGATTTTATCTTTTAAAGCTTTTTTTTCCCCACTTCAACTACTGCCATTGCTCAGACGCTAGGGAAGCCTTATGGATTTCCATAGCATTTGTTGATGGTGGTGGTGGTGTTTGATCTAGTCTTATTCCCCCATCCATATTATGGGTACAGAAACCACTCCCCTTTTGGGGGAAGTTCTCTTTCTCTCTCCTCTTATCTTCACACTTTGAAGTTCATTTGAGAGCTGCTATCTTCCAATATAACCTTGTCTTCCTGGCCTCAGTAATTGCATGAGAAATGAGAAAGTCACCCAATCTGAACCTATCACAGTGTGCTAAATCCTTACTCACCAGAGGAGCTTGAAGGGTGGTCATGGAACAACTTTAAATTCTTTCTTTTTAACTTTCTGACCTGACTTGGGTTATTCCCAATTGGCAAAGTTAGGGAGACACTGGACAAGACACTGTTGTCAACACTGATTCCTGCCTTTGTAAAAAAGGTCTGCAATAAGACCACCTGAAGCTTGCATGTAGAGACTAGCAGAAGTAATGCATTTAATTGTCTAAGTTCCCTCCCACATCAGCCCTGCCTTATTTATTCTTTTCTCAAAGTTTGGTTATAAGGGTCTAAATATTTCCATCATTTGCTTAAACTATCTCAAATTTTAAATAGTTTTTCATAATAGAAAATAAGGGAACAGAACCACCTTCAATTCAAATTTGGTTTGTATAACTTGCAACTAAAATGATTCAAATTTATATTCTCTTCAATATTGCCTTGAATTTGCATAAATCTCACACCCTAAATGTTGTTAAGGTTGTCTATCTGATTTCCTATTGAAATATTCAATGCTGCATTAAAATTGTCAGATAAAGTTATATTCTGTGGTTTATAGACTTTCCAATATTTCACCTTATTTTCAGCCACTTTTGCCTGAACATTTTACAGGTCGCAGTTTCCAAAATACATCATGCTATTTTATACCACAGTTTTTCTAAATTAAAATGCCCATTTTTTTAACCTTTTTAAAACTAATTCCTACTCATCCTCCAAAACTCAGTTCAGTGTCCACTTCTCTAGGAAAATTCTCATGACCTTCCCTATTTTAAGTTGGGCTACATACCTCACAAAATGTGTATGTATTCCCATAGGAAACTGTACCTATATGTACATATATGCATATATGCTGGCTGCATCAGTTAGAATGCCAGTTAATTCTAGTATCTCTCCATGTCTTATTCATCTTCGGCATGATAGCCTGAACTTGAGACTGAGATGGCATTTATTCTGCTTATTGAAGTAAACCGAGTGTGTATAAGTGTCCCCAAGGATACTTTTCTAAAATTCAGCTTCTGAGGTTTCAATTTTTTACATGCTGGTTTAGTAGGTGTGGGTTGGAATTCAAGAATAGATACTTTCTACAAGTACTGTAAAGTACTTGTTCTGAAGGTTATTCTTTACAGTATTAAAAAGAGAATGATAAAATAGATCATGCAACTGAACTCTTCTTTTAACCATCAAACTGGGCCTCATTATAACACAGAATAAGAAACAGAACCATTTTTAATTGGAAATCATGCTATGTAAATTTACCAGGGTAAATTACATCTTACACTGTAGAATATGTTTCTGGTATTAAAAGTGGTTCATTATATGAGTTCCAATTGTTTTATTACATTTATAAAAATCTAAGCACATAGACATATCAAAAAAGTACTTTAGAAAAATCCCAAAGTGAGGGTATTGACATTGATAACTTGAGTAAATGTATCTTTTCTCACATAACACCAAGATATTTCATTAATCAATTAATCGTTTTCTTGGGAAAGATAAGTTTTTTTGACTTGTATGTGTATCTATTTAACATATCTAAACAGCAAAATATATTTTTGGTGAAGACATATGGAACTAGCTAAAATTTAAATTTTATTTCTCAGAAGTTGGTAAAGTTCAAATTCAAGAGGGAAATGATACATATACAGAAGATTAACTTAATTAACCCTGTCTGAGCACGAAGTCTTGTTAAACCCCGATACAAAAGTAAATCAATGAACAGGTAGAACACAGAGGATTTTTAGGACAGATAACTTACTCCATGTACCATAATGGTGAATCCATGTCATTATAAATTCATCTAAACCCATAAAATATTTAGCAATAAGAGTGAACCCTAATGTAAACTACGAACTTTGGGTGAGCATGCTTCGTCAATGTAGGTTCGTCAACGATAGTAAAGATAACGCTCTGGTGGAGGATGTTGACAATGGAGAGTTTATGCATTTGTAGGGGCCAGGGATGTATAGGAAATCTCTGTACCTTCCACTCAATTTTGCTGTTAACCTAAAACTGCTCTAAAAATAAAGTCTATTAAAAAACAAAAGAAACAGATTATTTGGCTTTTTTATTTCTGTAATAATGCTATTATACTCAGCCCAACAAACAGAGTACATATTTGGCTTAAGAAGGACTTGATGATAAGTACACTGCATGTAGTCAAACCTTAGTTCATGGTAGTAAATTAACTTTTAAAAATCTTAATTGTAATAAATTCAATGTTATAGAAATACATTTGCTAAACTTTTATTTCCTTTAGTGAGCAATTTTTATAGTTGACTGAATTAGCTGGATATATTTTAAATTATGTGTTTGATATGCTGTCAAACATTATCACAAACAGGTCTTCTAACATAATATTAGTCACAACATTTCAATTTAAAAGAGAATTTTTAGTAATACTTTGTCCATAAACTAAGAGTACACACATCTTATGTTGAAGGCATAGGCATGACCCAGAAAACACATGTTGATATATTTCTGGAGCTAAGGCCTAGAGTTTAGGTGGTAATTACATATCTAAAATATCTTTGGTCTGACCTTGTCAAGATTGATCCGGAAAAGTCAATCTTCCTCTGGAGCAAATACCTTAAAACCACAGATCAGAAAATACTTTAGATTCATATAGGCTTAGATTTAAATATTAGCTCTGCTTATTACTAGCTGATTAATTAACCTCCTCGGGCTTTTCCCATCTGAAAATAATATTTGCTCTCTTGCTGAGATCTTGTGAGCATCACATATATCTAGTATAAAACATGGCCCAAAGCCCTGCAAATACTAGACACAGTCAGAGTAACCCTAGTTTTTTTTTTTTCTATCTTAGTAATCCACTATACATTAACATAGCTAAAAAAGTAAGAAATGTTATAATAATTATTACATGTATCTTTATAACTTGTTTTTGAATTCACTTTCTTTTAGAGTCATGAATCACCTAATATGATTGCAGCTGTTTCATTTCACTCTGCTGTAAGATATATTATAATCAATCAAATTGACAGCCTGAACTCTGTCCTGTTGTTCTTTGGGCCTGAAATCCACCTGGTGTCCTGTTGGCATTAAAGCTGTCATGCTAGGTACCCATAAAAAATGTTTAAATAAAAGCCATAAAAGATAGCCACAATGTTGATACCTCTAAAAAAACTTTGTGTGCCTCCATTTAACTATTTTGTTTTGTTTTGTTTTTGTAGTTGGTCCAGCTTCTTGTTCTTATCTACTAGAGGTTGGGTCTGATAGGATGTCATGTGTACTGCAAGCGCAAGTTTACTCAAATTGTTTATAAAGATAATTTAAAATACACACATATCGTTTGGAAAAATTAATTGACATTATCTGAGAAAAACTGAATTTTAAAATCACTGCTGCGTCTGATGAGAATAAACAATTGTCATCGCTCCTACAATTTCAAATAAAGAATAAAAAGATAAATAAAATGAATGGTTGAAAAAATAAAATAAACTTTCTGCATCTAATTTAATTAATGATGTTAAAATATGACAGGTACACTAAAAGCCCAAACTTCACCACTGTACAATTCATCCATGTTACTAAAAGCCAATTGTATCACTAACACTATTGAAATTTTTAAAATGTTAGTATAAGCTATTTTTTGTTTCAAGAAGTTCTTGGAAAATATTGAAATTCTGTTTTCTTATCATCTGATGTATTTTAATAGCAAACTTACAAGAACAGCACAGAAGACAGACAATATTAAAAAGATGTACTTGCATTTAGGACAGCTAAGTTAGAAAAGTACAGTGAATAGATGGAATTCACTATATGATAAAAATGCTACAAACACCATTTTGTTGCTGCCAATAAGAAATTTACTTGCTTTTTAAAAAAAATTCAAATCCTGGATTGTTCAGAAAAATTTAACATGTTTATTTATAATTATTATAAAGTTGAAACACTGAAACTTGTTCACTGAAACATTTTGACTTGCATTAATGTTTTTTGTCTCCGCGTTTATATTAAAAATTCACACACAAATGAAAATGGAAAAATTGCCAATATGTGATTTCTGTCCCCTATTTTTCCACTCACAGTCATATACTTGGGTACCTTTTGACCCCATGGGAAAAAATATCTAACATTCAGAACTGCCAAAAAGAGAAAGAAGATAATTTTTTTTTTTTTTTTTTTTTTTTTTTTTTTTTGCGAATGCAATGTTCCCTTCATAGCAGTTTCTTAAGCACGTTCTCCACATGTGTAGTGTACTAGTTGATTGTCTTTTGGTGTAATTGTTACACATGTGGCATGGATAAATAGCACACAGGTTGGTAGCTTCAAAAAGGCTAACCAGATAGACTTTAATTGCCTCCTGCAAAACACCAATAGCTGGGCTCTGGAAGCGTAGATCTGTTTTAAAGTCCTGAGCTCCTGAGCTATTTCTTCCAGCACGATATGGTTTAGCTGTGTCCCCACCCAAATCTCATCTTGAATTGTAGCTCCCATAATTCCCTCATGTTGTGGGAGGGACCCAGTGGGAGATAATGGAATCCTGGGGGCGGTTTCCACCATACTGTTCTCCTGCAGTGAATGAGTTTTAGGAGATCTGATGGTTTTACGTGGGGAAACCCCTTTCACTTGACTCTCTGATTCCTTCTCTTGTCTTCTGCCATGTGAGATGTGCCTTTCATCTTCCACCATGATTGTGAGACCTCTCCAGCCATGTGCAGCTGTGAGTCCAGTAAACCTCTTTTTTTTGTAAATTGCCCAGTCTTGGATATGTCTTTATCAGCAGCGTGAAAATGGACTAATATACACCACACACTGGAAGGGAAGTCTGCGAATCAGAAATTCAGTGGACTTGGATAAAGTATAATTTCAAGGAGAATACCAGGCCTGAAACGATGAGGTCTTTTCATTCCTCCAGTAGAGGGCGAACTCTTGTGAGCAACTTTGGTAGCTCCTTGCTTCCTGGGTGCCTTACCATCTTTCGATTTGTGAGCAGTCTACTTTGTAGGAGCCATGGTCTCCTTTGGCTGGAGCTTGGTGAGCTAGAGGCAGCGCTGGTACCAGCGACGACTGCAAGCCCAATTAAAATTGCATTTTTGTTGTTGTTGTTAGTTTGTTTTTGTTTTTGTTTTGTTTAGGCTGGAGGGCAATAGCCCAATCTTGGCTCACTGCAACCTCCGCCTCCTGGGTTCAAGCAATTCTCCTGTCTCAGCCTCGCAAGTAGCTGGGATTACAGGCGCCCACCACTACACCTAGCTAATTTTGTATTTTTAGTAGAGGCGGAGTTTCGCCATGTTGATCAGGCTAGTCTCCAACTCAGGACCTCAGGTGATCTGCCTGCCTCGGCCTCCCAAAGTGCTGGGATTACAGGCGTGAGCCACCACGCCCGACACATGTTATATGCCCTCTTAAAATACATTTGTTAACTGTTTAGGACTTTTAATTTTTCTGTTTAGAATCTGTTTGTGATGTTTTATTGAAATGTGCTGTACATTTTGGAATTTCAGCAAATATTATTACAGCTCTCCTCTTCGACTATAAATGGACATTATTTGGAAGTTTTTGGAAACAGAAATTAAAATACTACCAATTACTTAGTCAGTTAATAGATTATGAAGGTTTTTGCTTGCTATTCTTTTCATTTTAACTACTGTTCATTTTGAAATCTGGCATTTTTTTGTAGACACGTGTTTTATTTTCACTCCATTCTAAAAAATGAAATAGTTTTGTGAGTCTATGACTTTTTGTGCTAAATAATTGCATTTTTATTATTTTTAAATTCTCCCATAGGCACTCCAGATTATTATGACCAGACTTGAAACGAGACATAGAAATAATTTTCCATTTGTAAGAAATTCAGCAGTTTTATGAGTGTGAGAACATAAAATTCTTTAAGAAAATATCATAACAAAATGCACCCAGCACATTTTTAATAATATAGGCCATTACAAATATAAAATTTGAACAATTTGGAGGCATGCAAAAATACTGGCTCCAGTTGAATATGTTTTGTACATAGTAGGTATCTGATTGTTCCACTAGCAGCTAAAGTAAGAGCCTGTGCTTTTGATTAGATCCTTTTAACTATCTTTGACGCAGCTCAATAATTAAGAAGAAATAAGCTTGTGGACTATATTGACTACTAGACTCTTTACAAAAAAATTCTTTATTTTATCACATAAATTGGCCCTATATTTTATATTCTTTATGATTAACATTAAACCAGTTATGACATTTGATAAGAACTACAACTTCTTGTATAACAGGTGTACCTCTCTTCTGCATCTCGACGTAGTTTGATGCTTTACTAATTGTGAAAGTACATACTAACATTCAATTTATTCCTTAAATTATCTATTTCAAAAGGTTTAAATAAATGCCCCATTTGGTATTTGGTAACGCTATAGTAGTTAAGTCTTCCCAGGATAATACTCACTTATTTATATGTAGCAACCCTATCAAGAAATGTCTGAGTATATGAAAATGGTCTGCTAGAATTCTGTTTCTTATTCTTACATATATATGAGTTCTGTGGAATGAAAATTTGTAGTATTGGGAAGTCTTTAGAAGTAGAATCATAGTTGGTAACTTTAATTGACATATTTTAGTCATCTTCTGCTCAAGAGAAATAATTTAAAGACATTTTCACTTTCTATTGTGAAGAAGCAGAATTCTAACTAATAATATCTTAGTAGTAACACAAAAATCTCAGAAATATTTTAGAAATCTCAGTGACATTTTCAGAAAAGTATTTCAAGATATCCTGTTTGGGTGAGTGGCTTAGTATTCTGTTTAGTTGAATATAGAAGGGATTTTATCAGTACAATAACTTCTTATATTAGGAAATTAACCTGGCTTGTAGAACCTTCAATATTTTGGAATTTAAAAAGAGTAAAGGAAACAATTACATGGATTTAGGGAAACTTAACTGCCATGACTTTCTGATACCAACAGATAGTTTACAAATTTTCAGTGTTGCATGTGTGTTTGCATGATTTATGGGTAGTATTTCCTCTTAACGATTAGGTTACTGTACACTGTATTAAATCTCCAAGTTAAAAACAGTGGTAGTTGATACAGTTATTTTGGATTCATGAACCATGATTCAGGATAACAGCATAATAATTTTAGCTTCAACTATATTCTATTGATATGAGTTAATGAGATATAGTCTATATTGGGATGCTCACGTGTGGCTTCAAGATCCTCATTATTAAGTAGTTTCTTTTGCTCAAACATGTATTCAAGTGTAGTCTCTAAATATACAGCCTTTATCAATTTTTGTCTATAGAAGTTACTATTTTTCAAATATTAACTATGCAATAAAACTGTACATATTTGTGTATATGTATATATATTCAGAGTTTTATAGACTATATAGAATTTAAGTAATGTATATAGTCTACATATAGTATATATATTTAGTATATACATAAAATTAAATTAAATTTTAGAACCATTTTATATTTACAGAAAAATTACAGAACTTACAAAATTACAGATTGTAATGAGAATTCCCATGTACCTTACGCCCAGTGTTTTCTATTGTTGACATATTTTATTATATGGTATATTTGTTATAATTAATGAACAAATATGATAAATAATTATTACTTAAAAGTCTGTATGTCTGTTTTCATGCTGCTGATAAAGACATACCTGAGACTGCGAAGAAAAAGAGGTTTAATTGGACTTACAGTTCCACATGGCTGGGGAGGCTTCAGAATCATGGCAGGAGGCAAAACGCACTTCTTACATGGCAGCAAGAGAAAATGAGAGAAGATGCAAAAGCAGAAACTCCTGATAAAATCATTAGATCTCGTGAGACTTATTCACTACCACAGGAACAGTATGGGAGAAACTGACACCGTGATTCAAATTATCTCCTACTGGGTCTCTCACACAGCATGCGGGAATTATGGGAGTAGAATTCAAGATGAGATTTGGGTGGGGACACAGAGCCAACCCATATCAAAGTCCATTCTTTTTTCTGATTTTCTCATTTTTTACCTAAGATTATTTTTGTTTTCCAAGATCCCATCCTGGAAACTATTGCATGTAATTATCATATTTCCTTAGGCTTCACTTAAGGTTATAGTTTCTCACATGTTCCCTGTTTTTGATGACCTTGACAGTTTTATGGACTACTACTAAGTAATTTTAAACGATGTTCCTTTATTGCAATTTGCCTGGTGTTTTTCTCATAATTAGAGTAGAGATGTGGGTTTTAAGAGGATGAACAGAGGTAAAGTGCCATTTCCATTACACTATAGCAAGTTTATATACTTTCAGCATGACTTATGACTGTCGATGTTGTTTTGATTACTTAGCTGAGGAAGTGTTTGTCCAAGTAAAATTATCTTTTTTTTTTTTTTTGAGATGGATTCTGGCTCTCTTGCCCAGGCTGGAGTGCAATGGCATGATCTCGGCTCACTGCAAGCTCCGCGTCCTGGCTTCACACCATTCTCCTGCCTCAGCCTCCCAGAGTAGCTGGGACTACAGGCGCCCGCCACAACGCCCAGCAAATTTTTTGTATTTTGTTTAGTAGAGACAGGGTTTCACTGTGTTAGCCAGGATGGTCTCAATCTCCTGACCTCGTGATCCACCAGCCTCGGCCTCCCAAAGTGCTGGGATTACATGCGTGAGCCACCACGCCCGGCTTAAAATTATCTTTTTTTTTTTCTCATCATTCTATACCATACTATTTGAGAAGAAGGCACTATATGCAGTCCACGTTTAAATAGTGGAGAGTTATGTTTAACCTCTTTGAGGGTGAAATTTCTACATAAAGTATTTGAAATTCTGCATAGGAAATTTGTCTCTCTCCTCTATTTGTTTATTTATCAAGCATTTATTTATAGCAGTGTAGAATAAAAAATATGTATTTTATACTGTGGATTATAACAATTCTTAATTTATTGTCTTGTTCAAAATGTCTGGCTTTTACCACTGGTAATTTTTCAGTCATCTTTTGTGTCTCTCTTAAATAAAGCCCCATTAATACAATTTCATTATTTTTAAAAAAACTATCTTATTTTGTTATATTGCATGACACTTCAGTCTTATACATTCTCTGTCCTATCTTAGATTTGGCCATTTCTACAAAGAGCTCTGATTTCTTTCACTGAAGAACAGTATTAGAAACCAACATCAAAGTACTGGGTATGCTTTCTGCTACCAGGACGTCATTCCTTCTAGACCCTTGCCACTGACACAGAAAAGAAATATATGTGTGCATACCAGACCTTGTATATGCACATACATACAAATATTTCTATGTGTAACCATTTGTACCTACATTAAGTTAAACATGAGTTCATACTTAGTTTCTAGGTCTAATACATCACCACATGAATTATTCTAGTTGTCCTCCCTCACTTATTTGTAAACACCCACTCCAATATTTAGAAATCTGGTTTTATCAATTTACTTAATTGTTCAAGTCCAATCTACATGTATACCAGTTCAAGCGTTGTTAACCTAGTCCCTATTGGGCAACAGCTTTATAAACCGGTTTCTTTTGCCATTAGTTTTATAGATTACACACATTTCCAATGTCACTTAGCTCAGCACCTTTTCCTCTACCCCCTTTAGTGAGGTTGTCTCATATATTTAGAATACAATGAAATTGTTTTGTCATATTCTGCATTTCAACTTGGGATTCCTAAGACCTCCTAATTTTTTGAAAATGTCATACATTAAATGTTACTATTTTGCTATAAAGTTAAATGGATTTTGACATATGTATAATGTCAAGTAGGCCCAATTATAGTATCATATACAATAGTTTCATTTTCTTAAAAATTCCATTTACTTTACCTATTTGAATGTTTTTTCCCCATTTCTCAAACCACTTGGAAGCGCTGATTTTTTTTATTATCTCCAAAGCATTGCCTTTTCAAATAGGTCATGTAATTGGAACCATACAATACATAGTATTTTAGGTTGTAATATTTCAGTTGAAAACATATTTAAGATTTACCCACATCCTTTTGTGGCTTGATAATTTCCTTCTTTTTATTGTTAAATAATATTTCATTGTATAGATATGCCACTATCTGTGATATCTTGGTCACTTCAACTTTTTTGGTGATTATGTATAAAGTTATTATAAAAGTTTGTATATCGGTTGTTGTGTAGACTTGTTTTTAAATCTGTTGGGTAAATACCCAGTAATACAATTTCTGGGTAAGACTAGTTTAGCTTTGTACAAAATTTCAAAAATGTCTTCGAAAGTGGTTATGCCATTTCCATTCTCCCTAACAATGGAGAGTTCCTGAGGTTCTGCATCTCAGTCATCAATTGGTACTTTAAATATTTGAAATTTTAGCCATCCTAATAGGCATGTAGTGACAACTTGTTTTAATTTACAATAACTTAAAAACAAATAATGTCGAGCATCTTTTCCTATGCTTAGTTTCCATTTGTATATCTTATTTGTTGAAGTGTCTGTCCAGATCTTTTGCACTTTTTTTTTTTTTTTTTTTCAGACGGAATCTCACTCTGTCGCCCAGCCTGGAGTACAGTGGTGCAATCTTGGCTCACTGCAACCTCCACTTCCTGGGTTCAAGGGATTCTCCTGCCTCAGCCTCCTGAGTGCCTGAGGTTATAGGCACTTGCTACCACATCCAGCTAATTTCTGTATTTTTAGTAAAGATGGGGTTTCACCCTGTTGGTTAGGCTGGTCTCGAACTCCTGACCTCAGGTGATCCACCCGCCTCTGCCTCCCAAAATGCTGGGATTACAGGCATGAGCCACTGTGCCCAGCCCTCTTTTGCATTCGATTATTTTTAAATTCGATTATTTTCTTATCATTGAGTGTTAAGTGGTTTTTGTATATTTTAGATGCAAGCTGTTTACCATATATGTGTTTTCCAAATATTTTCTCCCAGACTTTGGTTTGTCTTTTTGTCCTCCTAGCAGTGTCTTTCACAGAGCAGAGGTTTTCAATTTTGACAAAATCCAATTTATTAATTTTTTCTTTCATGGGTAGTACTTTTAGTTAGTGTTGTGACTAAAAACTCAATGATAATGCAGAAGTCACTTAGATTTTCTTCTATTTTTCTTTTAGAAATTTTTTAGTTTTGTGTTTTACATTAGATGTAATGTATATTTTGAGCTAAAATTTCTGAAAATTACAAGGTTCTGTGTCTATGTTCATTTTTTGTGTGTATGTCTATTTTCCTGTTATTATCTTCTAAAAAGATCATTCTTTCTACCTGGAATTGCCATTGCTACTTTGTCTAAGATCAGTTGACCATATTTTTCATGGATCTATTTCTTGGCACTATATTTTGTTCTACTAACCTCTGTTCCTATTCTTTTGGAAAAACCACACTTTCTCAATTATTGTAGCTTTATAATAAGTCTAAATGTCAGTATGAATCCTCTAAATGTGTTTCTTTTTCATCATTGTGTTGGTTATTTGAGGTCTTTTGCCTTTTCATGTAATGTTTTAAATCAGTATTTTTATATCTCCAGAATAGATTGTATGGTTTTAGTTGAGTTTCATTAAATCTATAGATCTAGTTGTGAGGAATTGACGTCTTAAAATATTAAGTATTCTAATGAATGATACGGAATATTTTTCCAATTATTTAAAACATTTTTGAAATCTTTCATTGAGGTTTATCATATTTCCCATAGAGAAAATTTTCTTATATTGTTTGATTTATACCTAAATATTTCATTTTTGGTGCTAGTATAAATGGTATTTTTAAATTCTAAATATAAGTTTTTATTGCCAGTATGTAGAACAGTAACTGACTTTTTTGTTGTTATTAAAAGTTTTTATTTTTAAATTTGTTTGGGTACATAGTAGTGGGTATATATTTATGGAGTACATGAGACATTTCAATACATGGGTACAATGTGCAATAGTCACATCAGGGTAATTGAGATACTCATCACCTCAAGCATTTATCTTGTGTTACAAACAATCGAATTTTAATTATTTTAAAACATACAATTAATTTATTATTGACTATTGTCACCCTGTGTGCTATCAAATACTAGATGTTATTCATTCTAACCACTTTTTGTACGTGTTAACCATTCCCACCTCCCTTCCACTCCCTCTACTAGCCTTTCCAGCCTCTGGTAACCATCCTTATGCTATCTCCATGAGTTCAATTGTTTTAATTTTTACATCAACAAATAAGTGAGAACATGTAATATTTGTCTTTCTGTGCCTGGCTTATTTCACTTAACATAATGACCTCCAGTTTCATCCATGTTGTTGCAAATGATAGAATCCGATTGTTTTTGGTGGTTGAATAGTAAGTACTCCATTGTATACATACCACATTTTCTTTATCCTTTCATCTGTTGATGGACACTTCTGTTGCTTCCAAATCTTGGCTATTGTGAGTAGTGTTGCAATAAACAAAGGAGTGCAGATCTCTTTCATATAGTGCGTTTCTGTTTGGGGGGTATATACTTAGCATCAGGATTGGTGGATCACATGGTAGCTCTACTTTTAGTTTTTTGAGGAACCTCCAAACTATTCTCCATTGTGGTTGTACTAATTTACATTCCTACCAACAATGCAGGACGGTTCCCCTTTCTCCTCATCCTCACCAGCATTTGTTATGTCCTGTCTTTTGGATAAAAGCTATTTTAACTGGGGTGAGATTATATCTTATTATGGTTTTGATTTTCATTTATCTGATGACCAATGATGTTGTGCACCTTTTCATATACCTATTTGCACTTTGCCTGTCTTCTTAATTTCTATTCAGATCTTTTGTCCATTTTAAATCAGATTATTAGATTTCTTCCTGTAGAGTTGTTTAAGCTCCTTTTCCTTGTATATTCTGGTTACTAATCCCTTTTCAGATGGTTGGTTTGCAAATATTTTCTCCCATAGTATAGGTTGCCTCTTCACTTTGTTATTTTCTTTTCTGTACAGATGCTTTTTTAACTAGATGTGATCCATTTGTTCACTTTTGCCTTGGTTGCCTGTGCTTATGGGGTATTACCCAAGAAATATTTGGCCAATGCAATGTCTTGGAGAGTTTCCCCCAATTTTTCTTGTAGTAGCTTCATAGTTTGAAGTTTTAGGTTTAATTCTTTAATGTATTTTGATTTTATTTTTGTATATTTTGAGAGATATTGGTCTAGTTTCATCCTTCTGCATACGGATATTCAGTTTTCTCAGCACAATTTACTGAAGAGACTGCCCTTTTCCCAGTGTATGTTCTTCATACCTTGATCAAAAATGAGTTCAGTAGAGATATATGAATTTATTTCTGGGTTCTCTTTCTGTTCCATTGGTCTATATGTCTACTTTCTGTTAGTACAATGCCATTTTGGTTTCTATAGATCTGAGTACAATTTAAAGTCCAGTAATGTGAATATTCCAGTTTTACTCCTTTTGCTTAGGATAGCTTTGGCTGTTCTGGGTCTTTCATTGTTCTGTATAAATTTTAGTTCTTTTTTTTCTATTTCTGTGAAAAATGTCATTGGTATTTTGATAGGGAGTGCATTGAATCTGTAGATTGCTTTAGGTAGTATGAAGATTTTAACAATATTGGTTCTTAAAATCCATAAACATGAAATATCTTTCCTTTTGTGTATTAGTGTCCTCTTCAATTTCTTGCATCAATGTTTTATAGTTCTCATTGTAGAGATAGTTTACTTTGGTTAATTCTTAGGTATTTTATTTTATTTGTAGGTACTGTAAATAGAATTACTTTCTCAATTTCTTGTTCAGGTTGTTCACTGTTGGCATATAGAAATGGGAAATATTTGGCAGAAATGCCAAATTGTTTACTGCTGGCATTTTTGTATGTTAATTTTGTATCCTGCAATTTTACTGAATTTGTTTATCAGTTCTGGTAGTTTTCTTGTGATGTCTTGAGTTTTTTTCAAATGTAAGATCATATTGTCTGCAAACAAGGATAATTTTTCTTCCCTTCTAATTTGGGTGCCCTTTATTTCTTTCTCCTGTCCAATTTGCTCCAGCTAAGATTTCCAGTACTATTTTCAATAACAGTAGTGGAAGTGGTCATCTTTGTTGCATTCCAAATCTTAGTGGTAAGCCCTTCAGTTTTTCCCCATTCAGTATAATACTGGGTATGGATTTGTCTTATGTGGTTTTTATTATGTTGAGGTATGTTACTTCAATACCCTGTTTTTTTAGGGTGTTTATCTTGAAGAGGTGTTGAATTTGATCAGATTTTTTCAGCATTAATTGAAACAATAATATGGTTTAGATCCTTGATTCTATTAATCTGATATATCACATTGATTGATTTGTGTATGTTGAACCATCCTTGCATCCCTGGGAAAAATTCCACTTGGTCATGGTGAATTATCTTTTTAATATATTGTTGATATCAGTTTGCTAGTATTTTGTTGAAGGTTTATGTGTCATTATTCATCAGGGATTTGGCCTGTAGTTTTCTTTTATGGATGAGTCTTTGTCTGGTTTTGGTATCAGGGTAATACTGGCTTTATAGAATGAGATTGGAAATATTCCCTCCTCTTCTATTTTTTGAAATAGTTTGAGTATGACTGGTATTAGTTCTTCTTTATATGTTTTGTAGAATTCAGCAGTGAAGCCATCAAGTCCTGGGCTTTTCTTCACTGGAAGACTTTTAATTATGGCTTTGATCTAATTACATTGTATTAGTTGGTTCAGGGTTTGTATTACTTCATGGTTCAATCTAGGTACATTAATTTATCCGTTTCTTCTAGATATTCCAGTTTATTGGCATATAGTTGCTCATAGTAGCCTCTAATGATCCTTTAAATTTCTGTGATATCAGTTGTAACACATCATTTTTCATCTGTGACTTTATTTTTTATTTGAGTACTTTCTCTTGTTTTTTCTTAGTCTGGGTACACGTTTGTCAATTTTGTTTATCTTTTCAAAAGAGCAACTTTTTGTTCCATTAATCTTTTGTATTGTTTTTTAAATTTCAGTTTCATTTATTTCTGTTCTCATGTTTATATTTTTTTTCTTCTACTAATTTCAAGTATGGTGTTCTCTTGCCTTACTAGTTTTTGTAAGATTCCCCATTTGGTTGTTTATTACAAATTTTTCTTCTTTTTTGATACAGAAACAGCTATAAACTTCCCTCTTAATGCCATTTCACTGTATCCCATACATTTTGGTATATTCTGTTTCCATTGTCATTTGTTTCAATAAATTTTTCAATTTCCTTCTTAATTTCTTGATTGATCCACTGAGCATTCAGAGCATACTGTTTAATTCCCATGTGTTTATATAGTCTCCAAAATTCCTCTTGGTATTGATTTATAGTATCTTTCATTGTGGTCAGAGAAGATGCTTGATATTATTTTAGTTTTTTTCACGGAATGTTTTAAGACTTGCTCTTTGACTTAACATATGGCCTATCCTTGACAGTCATTTATATACTGAGGAGAAGAATGTGTATTTTGTAGTTGTTAGAGTTGTTAAGTTCAAAGTTTCTTCATTAATTTGCTGTCTGAAAGATCTGTTCAATGCGAAAGTGGGGCGTTGAAGTCTACAGCTATTATTGTATTGGGGCATATCTCTCGTTTTGGCGCTAATAATATTTGCTTTATATATCTGGGTGCTCCAGTGTTGGGTGCATATATATTTACAATTGTTATATCCTCTTGCTGGATTGACCCCTTTATCAGTATATAATGACATTCTTTCCTCTTCTTTTAGTTTTTATCTTGAAATATATTTTGTCTAATATAAGTATAGCTACTCCTGCTCTTTTGTTTCCATTGGCATGGAATATCTTTTTCCATCCCTTTGTTTTCAGTTTGTGTGTTTCTTTATAGGTATATTTCTTGTAGACAACAGATCATTGGATCTTGTTTATAATCCATTCAGCCAGTCTATGTCTTTTGATTGGAGAGTTTTAGTCCATTGGCATTCAATGTTATTATTGATAAGTAGGGACTTACTCCTGCCATTTTGCTATTTGTTTTCTGGTTGTTTTGTAACATTATCTTTTTTCTTTCCTTCCTTCCTGTCTTCCTTTTAGTGAAAAGGATTTTCTCTGGTGGTATACTTTAATTTTTTGCTTTTTATTTATTTATGTATCTGTTGTTGGTTTTTCAATTTGAGATTACCATGAGGCTTGAAAATACTATCTTATAACTCATTATTTTAAAAAGATGACAACACTGATTGCATACACAAACAAACACACAAAAAGAAAACAAATAAAATCTATATGCTTTAACTTCATATCCTTGCATTTTAACTTTTTATTGTTTCTCTTTTCATCTTATTGTACTATGTTTTGAAATGTTGTTGTAGTTATTTTTTATTGGTTCATCATTTAGTCTTTCTACTCAAGATAAGAGTAGTTTACACACCACAGTTAAAGTGTTATAATATTCTGTGTTTTTCTATGTACTTACTATTACCAATGAGTTTTATAACATCAGGTAATTTCTTATTGCTCATTAATGTCCTTTTCTTTCTGATTGAAGTACTTCCTTTAGTACTTCTTATAGGACGGGTCTGGTATTGAAATCCCTCAGCTTTTGTTTGTCTGAGGAAGTCCTTATTTCTCTCTAATGTTTAAAGGTGACTTTCACTGAATATACTATTCAATAGTAAAAGGTGTTTTTCTTTTTTTTTCCTTCAGCACTTTACATATGTCATGCTACTCTCTCTTGGTCTGTAAGGTTTCCATTGAAAAGTCCACTGCCAGATGTATTGGAGCTCCATTGTATGTTATTTGTTTATTTTTTTCTTGCTGCTTTTAGCATCTTTTCTTTATCATTGGCCTTTGGGAATTTGATTATTTAATGCCTTCCAGTAGTCTTTTTTGGGTTAAATCTGCTTAGTGTTGTATAACTTTCTTGTACTTGGATGTTGATATCTTTCTCTAGGTTTGGGAAATTCTTTGTTATTAACACTTTGAATAAAACTTCTACCCCTATCTCTTTCTCTACCTCATCTTTAAGGCCAATAATTATTAAATTTTCTCTTTCGAGGCTATTTTCTAGGTCTTGTAGGCATGCTTCACTGCTTTTTATTCATTTTTCTTTTGTCTCTTCTGACTGTGTATTTTCAAATAGCCTGTCTTCAAGGTCACTAAATCTTTCTTCTGCTTGGTCAATTCTGCTACCAAAGGATTCTGATGCATTCTCCAGTATGTCAATTGCATTTTTCAACTCCAAAATTTCTCCTTGATTCTTTTTATTTATTTTAATCTCTTTGTTACATTTATCTGATAGAATTCTGAATTCCTCCTCTGTGTTATTTTGAATATTTTTGTTTCCACAAAGCAGCTATTTTGAATTGTCTGTCTGAAAGGTCACATATCTGTGTCTCCAGGATTGGTCCCTAGTGTCTTATTTAGTTCATTTAATGAGGCCATGTTTTCCTGGATGTCCTTGATGCTTGTGGATGTTCCTTGGTGTCTCATCATTGAATAGTTAGATATTTATTGTAGTTCTTTGCAGTCTGGACTTGCCTGTACCCGCCCTTCTTGGGAAGGCTTTTCAGGTATACAAAAGTACCTGGGTTTTGTGATTTAAATCATGTCTATTAGGAGGCACCCCAAGCCCAGTAACACTGTGGTTCTTGAAGGCTCATAGAAGTATCGCCTTTGTAGTCTTGAATAAGATCCAGAAGGATTCTCTGGATTACCAGGTGGAGATTCTTGTTCTCTTCCTTTACTTTCTCCCAAACAGATGGAGTCTCTCTCTGTGCTGAGCCACTTGGAGCTGGGAGTGGGGTGACAGAAGCACCCCTGTGTTCACTACTACTGGGATTGTGCTAGATCAGACCCGAAGCAAGCACGGTACAGAGTCTTGTCCAAGTCTCACTATAACTACTACCTGGTTACTGCCTATGTTCGGTCAAGGCCCTAGAGCTCTGCAATCAACCAGTGGCAAACTTAGCCAGATTTGTGTCCTTCCCTTCAGGGCAGCAAGTTCCCCCAGGCCCTGGGTGAGTCCAGGAATGCCACTGGGGAGCCAGGAACTGAAGTAAAAACCTCAGAAATCGACCTGATGTTCGATTCTACTATATGCAGTAATTTTTATTATGTTATATTTGTGATATTATAGCACATATTTCTGAAAACTAGTGATCATCCACTCATTAAATGGTTTTTAGGTACCAACTATAGGCCAGAATAATAATACGGATACACAGGCAAGTAGATCCTATCTTCACAGAACTTATAATTCTCTACAGGTGGCAGAACATGGAGACAAAAAAAAGTGAGACTTAAGGACTCTAAAAAACACAGAGATGTTATGAATGTTTAGAGAAAAGATGAGTTTTTCTCTAATTTCAGAATTAGTGATGACTTTTTGAACTATGTGGTATGTAGAGTAGATTTTAAAGAATAGATAGAATTTGGGCATCTGGAATATGATGACAGAACCCGTTAAACAGGCAGAAAAAAGTGAGTGGTATCTAGATATAAACAAGATATTTGATTTTGTGGAAGTCCTGGCTACATTAAGGAAAGAAAGTATTCATAGCTAGAAATTCTTAAATGATATAATTCATGTAGATATCAGGGTGCATAGTGTACAGAACGATGCACAGCTTTTTGAGGCACAAAGAGCTAGCTTTAAATGCAAGTTTTATCACTGATATTTGTATTATGTTGTAATAACCTGGTTAAGATTTTCTGAGTCCTGTGTTTCTCCTGCAGAATGCAAACCATAACAAGTAATTCACTGAGCTCCTTATGAGGATGCATTAGAAGGTGAATGTTTCAGAGTGAGAGTAAGGGTGACAACAAAAACAAAAAACCTTGGAGTCTTACAGAACAGTTATAAATTAGAGTTTCTTAAATCGTAAGCTGTGACCTTTGGCAAATCAATATTACCAAGCTTCAATGTATTTATCAATAAAATAGCAATAACTATACTCTCTGAGGGGTGTCAGGAGGATGTAATTCAATCAAGGAACAAGCTGATATCCCAGAAATCATAGCTATTTTAGAAATTTAGACTGAGCAAAAAGAAAAAAAACCATAAAACATAATTTTCTGAACCATGAGCTAACATGATCAAAGGTATATTTTAGTGAGATTTATTTGTTACAAGTATGTGGTTTATAACTAAAATCATGTAACAAATGAGGTAGAGGAAAGAGTAAGGTGACTAAGTCAATTTTTCAACTATAAGTAAAAGAAGATCTAAATGTAGTTAGTGGTAAAGTACAAAGAAGAATTAGATATTGATGTTGCAAAAGCAATGACACTTAATGGTTGTAGACTTTGCTCCAAAGGAAAAGTTAGAATTCACTTAAAGATATTGCACATAAGATTTTTAAAAGTTGCTAGATTATTGAATAAATAAGAAAATCAGTAAAATACTTAGGTTTAGAAAGAAAATTCATGAATATATTTAATTGGTCAGTATGTCTTAACAGGGAATGTTGGCAGAAATAAGAAAATCATCATGTGAAACATTTACCTTGAGGGTAAAGGGATAAATTTGGAGAAAAAATAAAATGTTTCATTAGTATATATCTAAGAGTATGTAATGTGGTTTGGCTGGGTTTCCACCCAAATCTCATCTTGAATTTTAGTTCCCATAATCCCACACATCATGGGAGGAACATGGTGGGAGGTAATTGAATCATGGTGGGGGAGGGGGTTACCTCCATGCTGTTCTCATGATAGTGAGTGAGTTCTCACAAGATCTGATGGTTTTGGCTGGGCATGGTGGCTCACGCCTGTAATCCCAACACTTTGGGAGGCCGAGGCGGGTGGATCACCTGAGGTCAGGAGTTTGAGACCATCCTGGCCAACATGGTGAAACCCCGTCTCTACTAAAAATACAAAAATTAGCCGGGCGTGATGGCAGGCACCTGTAATCCCAGCTACTTGGGAGGCTGAGGCATGAGAATTGCTTGAACCCAGGAGGCGGAGGTTGCAGTGAGCTGAGACTGCACCATTGCACTCCAGCCTGGGCAACAAGAGTGAAACTTTGTCTCCAAAAAAAAGGCATGTGTGCTTCCCCTTCTACCATGATTGTAAGTTTCCAGAGGCCTCCCAAGCCATGCTGAACTGTGAGTCAATTAAATCTCTTTCCTTTATAAATTACCCAGTCTCAGGTATGTCTTTATTAGCAGCATGAGAATGCACTGATACAATATGGATATTGGTAATCTGATGTGCAGATTTCAGATGTTGAAAATGAGTTCTATCTTACCGGTAAAAGCTGATTTTTGAGTTTTCTCTGACCAACGTAGGGACACTTGTGTAGGCTGCAAGTTCCATACACATTGGAATTTTTTTTGACTGTCTGATAGAGAATCCCACTCTCAATGACTACAGGACTGGGGACAAACATCAATTTAATGATTATCTGAGCAAAAGTTTCTTTATTCACAACTAACATTCTTTATTCATATAAAATACGTTAACAGTCTAGCCTTCTTTAACCTTAGATACACAACTGACCCAAATATTGGTTTTTAGAAATACATTATGACAATTAGGTTTAAGAAAATAGAAGAAGAAATGGGCAAAATAAATGAAAAGATGAAGTCTTTCAACAAAGAATGGGAAACCACTGAAGGAGAACCAAAAAAGGCATTCTAGTACTGAAACATCCAAGATCTGAAATTACTAACTAAACAAATAATTAGAATGGTTAGTAAATTGGAAGAAAGGTTATTGGAATATAATTATATTGAAGGCAAGAAAAAATAATAGGTAAACAAGGAAGGGCAATGGAGACAAGTAGGCCCTAAGGATTTGAAGTGCCACATTAGAGATGCCTTACATAATATCCAACACTAACAGCATCATTGCCCAAACTGGTGTTTGCCAAACGCATAATATCTGATATTTCAATTAGGTGAGGTCTATGTACCATTTCTTTATATATGTAGTTAAGTGTGCCTTTGGCAACATAAACTGCGAAAAGGTATGCTGCCACTGATCTGAGAATAGTTTTAAAATACCTTCATTGTTTGGCTAGGTCTCTTTCTTTCTTTCTTTCTTTTTTTTTTTTTTTTTTTTTTGAGATGGAGTCTCGCTCTGTCGCCAGGCTAGAGTGCAGTGGCACGATCTGGGTTTACTGCAACCTCTGCCTCGCAGGCTCAAGCGATTCTCCTGCCTCAGCCTCCTGAGTAGCTGGGGCTACAAGCAAGTGCCACCAGGCCCAGCTAATTTTTGTATTTTTAGCAGAGAGGGGGTTTCACCTTGTTGGCCAGGATTGTCTCAATCTCTTGACCTCATGATCTGCCCGCCTCAGCTTCCCAAAGTGCTGGGATTACAGGCGCGAGCCACTGCACCCGACCGTTTGGCTACCTTTCACAATATCCTGTAAACTCCATCTTCATCATTGTATGGATATCATCAATTGCAAAAATGGAAGCCATATACTTGGGATTTACACCAATCTCCTCTAAGGCCAACTTGATCATGCCAGTAGGTTTCTGGTTTAATTTGCTCATACTTGATCCAAAAATGATTTAAAATAATGGCATATTACTACCAATAGAAATCTTCTGTTTAACAATGTGTACTTACACTTATTATTTTATGTAATCCATGAATATTTTGTGTTAAAATTAGGGACATGCATACATATGTGAAGAATTTGATAAACCCTATATAGAAAACTCTAGATTTAAATGCCAGGTACTACAATGACCTTCTTAGCCTTCTATATACATTGGAAAAAAAGGGTATTTGAACAAAACCTTTCTTTTAGTAGAATGTAATAGATCATTCCGAATAAAAAATTTGATTGAAAGTTTTGCTAGAAAGATCAATTCTTACATTAGACATTACCACCTACAACCATATGCAACAATTTAGTCTTTGACAAAGAATGTTTATAGTTACTGCAATATAGGTTAGGTATACTGCTCTGAAACAATGGAGTTGTTTAAGACCATTAATCAGTGAAACAAATCAAACGAAGCATTTTTGAGTTATGTAGACATAGCTATAAGCACAGCCAAAAATGAGGTCAATATGTGGTTACAGTGTTTTCATGATAAAATATTTAATGTCACTCTATACAGTCTGCTTCAAAGGAATATATACTCATGTTATATGCTAGTTATTACAACAGATAGTAAATTCAGTTCTAGTTGTTTCTTCTTTCTTTATCTAATTTCCAAAACAAAGTTTGAATTTCTTCATTTCCATGGCTTAACATAAACTTATCTTTAGAGAACTAGAGCTAGAAATGTCTGAAACAAAAGCCTGTAGATCTGGTGGATATGAAACAAAATAAAGTGAAAAAAAAAATGAGTGCCACTCTGATGACTGTTTTCTGTAAAATGTCTTTGAGTGATGAACATACTGCTAATGTGTCTGGAAACAGAAAGTAAATATAACTGAATCCTCAATGTCATCCTTTAGAAAGAAAAACAAACTATTTAGAAAGTGTAAAGTGAAGTAACATTTAAGCTGCTTTGTCCAAGTAAGTGGCCTGGGCCAGAGAACATTTTCTTCAGGAAAAAAAAATGATCTCTTTTAACAGAAAATTATTTGGTTTCCTTAGATTATTTTCCATTAAAAAAGATATTAAAAAAAACTTTGCCACAGTTCTCCTTATCAGACTTCAGAGTCAGAGACATAAGAACAGTTTTCTTAGCTTTTTTATAATAATATTTTCCTGAAGAATGATAAATGCACACTTTCCTCAGTAGAATTTCTGACTTATCATTGAAAAGTTAGCTTAAAAAATCTATTCATCAAAGATATATACTTATTTGTAACTGTGGACAAATTCTTGCACAGCCTTAGTAATAACTAATTGCCAATAGCTGAATATTTTTCTAGAGACTCTATAATCACCATCATCATCTTCAACAACTAAATATTTAATGATTTAAATTTAAATAATAATATGTTTCCTCCCTTGACTAGACTGATGAGCAAGACAAGGTTTTCATCCTAATACTGTGGGTACCTTGGGGCACTTACATTTCTGATAAAGAATGTAACATGTAACTAACATTCTAATTTCAAGAAAGAATCTAGAGGACAGCTGGTGTTAACACATTAATAAGAGATTTACTACATAAAGTTTATGGCCATATTTTAAACTGAAGAATCAAGGCTGGTTCTAATAAAAATGATCCTATCTTTCCTACGTGTGTGCCACTGTTATTAACATTTCAGGTATTTGAAAATTGTTAAAACTGAATATTTAGCATTCATAAAAACAATAGAGAAAGATTGAGCAAGAGTCTTCAGGAAGTAAACTGATTTAGTGACATGTGCCAGGATTAAGTTGAGGAACATTGTGCCAACTATCTCTGCTTTAAAAATACCTCAACTCAGAAATATTAATTCAGAAAAAAATCTAGAAATCTATGTGGATTTTTGGATGTCTGTATGTTTATACATTTGCACATGTTAATGTTTGTGTTTTCATTTAACAAATGTTGCATAGACATTGAAGAACATGAGGAAAATATGGAAAAAAAGTAAACACACAAAAATTATTCTACTTCATCTGGTGATAAAGATTTCTTTCCAATCTTATTTTTATTTTTAAAAATCCTTCACAAAAACTGTCCTTATAAGGTTCATTTCTAGCATTTTAAAATTCATTATTTTAGAATTAATTTAGATTTATATAACAGTTCCAAAGATAATATAGAGTATCTATCCCATACATCCTTTTTTCTAACTTTCTCTAATATTAGCCTCTTACCAAACCATGCTACATGTGTCTAATTGTATGTCACCATTAACACTGGTGCCGTCCAATTAACTGAACTACCTATTTAGTCAACATCCGTATTTTCTTCCACTAATGTCCTCTTTCTGTTCGGGATCCAACAGAAGATACTGCATTAAATTTAGCCCATATTTTTCTTTTTTAAAAAAGCTAACATTATATTGTGTTTTCTTTTGTTTGTGGCCTCTAAAAGTAAAGCTACATATGTCCTCTCAGAGGGTAGGGTGCTTGTTATATAGCCAAGAAAGTCTTCTCCGTGCGACAACTCCAGTCATAGACCTTTAAAAAAATTATAGCAAAAAAGCTGACCTCCGTTAAATGAAAAAACTACGTTTAACATTAAAAAATGAATATGCTTCAGTCAAATCAAAGAGGACACACACAAATTGGTCAGCCCCAAGGGATTGCTTGGAGAGCTCCAGAAATATAACACACTATTGGGTTCCTGGAAATTTACCTGAAGATGAAAGAACAATCTTGTACTTACCCTGAGATGAACAGAATGAGGAGGAAAAAAATAATAGGGAAATACACTTTTTCTGTTAAGAAGATTAGTTTGTCTATATTGTCAGAATTATACCCCAAAACACTTAGAGATGAAGCTGGGAGCTGTGTTAAACTACAGCAATGGCATTATAATATGAATTCACATTAATTCAATTTGTCTATAAGTAAAATCCTATTGCAAACCCCACATCACGGATACTTAATCTTTTCTTCCAAGTCTATCTTTCACAACAAATTCTATATTTCCAACAGAACATATTGTTTTCTACTGAATTAAGATAATTCAAGATGCAAAACCAAGAAAGAAAGGCACTTAATCAAAAGGGAAACCTCGGTGTCTCACGCCTGTAATCCCAGCACTTTGGGAGGCTGAGATGGGTGGATCATGAGGTCAGGAGATCGAGACCATCCTGGCTAACACGGTGAAACCCCATCTCTACTAAAAATACAAAAAGTTAGCCGGCCGTGGTGGCAAGCGCCTGTAGTCCCAGCTACTCAAGAGGCTGAGGCAGGAGAACGGTGTGAACCCCGGAGGTGGAGCTTGCAGTGAGCCGAGATCACGCCACTGCACTCCAGCCTGGACAACAGAGCAAGACTCCGTCTCAAAAAAAAAAAAAAAAAAAAAAAGGAGAACCTCTTAATCATAAGGGAAACAAATATAACTGCCTGGCAGAATTTATGTCCTACTCAAAGACCTAATTAATGATTTTAGAGTGAAGTCAGCCAACATGATTCTATTTGCATGTTGTTTTTTCTTTTACCATTTTTGTGTAGTGTTAATCATATAGATAAAATTACACACATTATAAAAGTACAGCTCAATAAATTATCACAAAACAAATACCTCTACAACCAAAACCAGGTCAAGAAGCAGAATATTGACCACATTCTATTAGTTTCATCTGTGCCACCTCCCAGTCAATACCCTCATTAGTCCTCAAAGTTAATTGCAATCTTGACTTCTGGTATGACAATTTGCTACTTTTTGGAATTAATATAATTGGAATCATTCAGTATGTATTCTCTTGTGTCTGGCTTGTTTCTCTTTATTATGACTATGGTATTCCCCTATGCTGTTACATATAGCTATAATAAATTCATTTTCATTGCTGTATGGTATTAATATTTTATGATTTTTTTTCTTTATTTAAATTCCCATTCAGCTAATGTGATTATCTGGGCAGTTACTAATTTCAGCTATTAAAGTAATACTACTGTGAATATTTTTCTGCCTGTGTTTGCTTTTACATGTATATGCATTTCTGTTAACACATTCTTTTTTGGTGGAATTTCTTGTTTTATGCTATGACTATGTTCAGCTTAATAGAAAATGTCAAACATTTTTCGGGAGGTAATTATGCTAATTTATTCACTCACAAGCAGTGTATGAAAATGCCTGTTGCTCTATATTCCTACCACCACTGGTATTGTTAGTCTTCATAATTATTTTATTTCTGTGGGGGTGTAAACATGTTATTGTGTTTCAATGAGCCTTTTCATGATTAGTAATGGTATTGTGCAAATTTTCACATTTAGTGATCAATCAGATATGCTTTCAGTGAAATGTTGTACAAGTTTTTCAAATATCTTCTCCCATATTAAGGTTCCCTTTTCTTATTCTTAACAATGTTTTGATGTAGTAAATTTGATCAACCATTTTCCTTAAGCTTGTTTTTTTTCTGTGTCCTCTCTAAGAATTTTTTCCTGTCATAAAATCCTGAATATATTCTATTACATTAATATCTAGAACTTTTATAATTCGCTTTAAAATTCAAGTGTACAGTCCACTCAGAGCTTCTGTATTCCTGGGGTTTTATTCAGTGTTCTTTTCAGTGTTAATATTAGTTCAATAGGATGTAGAGCCTTCAGGAGTCAGAGAGTTCCAAGGTGAATTATTAAAAAGCAAGCTAGCAAAATAGAAAAAGATGACCACAGAGTAGTATGCATGAAATCAACACAATGCAAGGGTTCTTGTCTTTGGCAATGTCAAAGACTAGGATTAGACTATGGAAATAAGTTGCAATGGTAGAGTAAAGGGGAAGAGTTTGAATTAGCTAAGAAAATGTTAAAGAATTTAGGTAATCTGATGTTTTAGATTCATTTCTTTCTTTTACTTGCAACTCCTCTGATTAGTCTATATTCTTCATTTTCTCTTGCTCCACAATTGTCTGTAAAATAACCTCCTTTACAATCACAATATAGAAACTGCTGTAAGTTTGTGTCATTAACATATGTTAAATAACTTTGGCTTCTTTATAATTTTATTCATTTTGTCAGTTATTATTTCTTTTTCAATCAAATGACCCTGTATCCTTCTTTATGCAATTCTTTGTTTGCTAAACTGTGTCTCTTGGCTCTAGTTCTTTATTCCTCTGGATTTCACTCCTTCCCAATATATAGTTTCCTTTTCCAGAAATTCTCATCTTCAGGCATCTTTACTCTCTTCATCCTACAGAATTAACTTGCACTTCTCAGGAATAACTTTTTGCATTTGTTTTTACAACATCAAACTTTCTATTCTCATGAATGTCCTACTTTTGTGTCAGAACAGAGGTATCTGGGTTAATCTTTGAAAGTAAATTTAGAGTTAATACATGCCCAACTGATTATTCAGTCTCTAGTTTCTCCTGGCTATAAATCAAGCAGCAGAATATCCCATCAAATGTCACATCATCCATATGAACTGTTATGGGATTATTAAAACATGGCATGACAAATTTATTATTTATGAAATTCTCTGACTAGAAACTATTTTGTTGAATGAATTGATAAGTTCGATTTTTTTCCTCAAATTATATTACTGGACTATCACAGTGAGATAGTGTGTTTTGTAGCAAAAAAAAATGCAATATCAAAATAAAAGGTGCTGTCTGAAATATGGAATAAATTTTTAAGTGACTTTATAGAAATAAGTCATTTTTAGAAGTCCTTTGTGAGGTAAGTCTCCTGTTTATAGATATTAATATTGTACTCTTCTCAGTCTAGGGATGGGCTTGGAGGTCCCGTCACATAGTCATGATACAAATAATACCCTTTAGATTCAAGAAAGTACATAAGCTGCGTTACCACATAAGATTGCTCTGGTAGTCTTATTTTCAACTCCTGGTCTTAAAGATTTGATCTTTGGTTATAACACAATTTTACTGAAGCAATTCCAGAACTGCTCTGCATACTCTGCTAACTGCTAACCTCATATATGTTGGCAATCTGTCTTCTTAGATCAACCTATTAACTGACAGTCTTTATTGTCATGTTCTTCAAACACTCTCGGCATCTTAGCTACTTCTCTTTGGTAAGCACTCTTGCCCCTGACTACCTGTCTAGAGTGCCATTGGTTATTCATATTTAGAGCTATTTTCCAGATCTTGCCTTCTCAAAAGACAATCCTCTTAGTTGTCTACTTAGCCCTGGTTTTCTTTTCTATTATCTATATGAAGTCTCCCCTGATCCTCAAAACTAGAAGAGTTATCTTCTTTGTCTAACTAGAATTCCTTAGCCTTATTTGAAGCAACTGTATGTCACATAAAAGTTACTGCCTTCTATTATCATAGTTGTGAACACATCTATATATTTGTGGGTAATTTATGTAATATAATTAAGAACTCTTTTAAGTAAGCACCTTTGTCTCCCTACTAGAAGGTAAGTTCTATGAAGGAAAAAAACCTGTATTTTTGCTCCCTGGGAACCAAAAGAGGGCTCAGACTGAGAACAAATAAATGAATGTCATAAATAATGGATTCTACATTAGTTGAATAAAATAAAAAATAGTATACTGAAGCAAGACCCCAAAGTATGGATAAGACCTAGATAACAGGAAAAAAGAACACTATTTTTTGACATAGAGGAAAGCTTAAATGACATTATTGAAATCAGAATAAGGGTAGTATGCCACAAAAATGGGAAGTGATTTAGTTTTCCCATCCAAAGTAACTGATTTTTTAATAGGTGAAATACTTGTTTAAATTATTGTATTGAGAACACATTATGAGGGTAGAAAATAAGTAATGAATGGGAAGGTTTCAAATACCCTGCCAAATAGGTGGGCAGAGAGATTACAAAGTATGATTAAATATTCAGTGGCTGAGAAAGAATTAACACACCAAAGAATATTGGAGTGATTTTCAGGGAGTTTATAAAATGATAAGGAAGGGAGTTCAGGTCTTTATATGTAAATTGTTGCAACCAGTAGACATCTAGCACAGTAGTTTATCCAGCAAATGCCTATGATGCATTTTGATGTCTTGTAGATTAAGCTGATCATTTCTGTTTGAAAAAACTTTGTTACTATTCCTTGATACTTAAGATTAGTTCCATCACAGTGAGTCAATATCCTGCAAAAATGAAAATATACAGGGGAATCAGAATATGTCAGAGTATGCAGAGGCTCAGAGCCTGTGACTGACTTCCTGTTGGTTGTAATGCACACATTTTTGGGTAGTTCAGGAAAGGAACTTCATCACATGGACTCTGACAAAAAGTCAGTCTTGGAGATTAAGCAAAAAGGAAGCATTCAATGGAAATAAAATTCAAACATGACAGATTTTAACTAGACAGTTCTACATAATTGATAAAATTTGAACAAAGGGTTGTTTACCTGGGACCACAGACTTCCCTTGTGTTACTAAAAACAGTTTTATATAATATCTAATACTATATCCAAGTATTTATATCAAAAACTATAATTATTATTTGTTGGGAACAGGCCCCCCAAAATCTGGCCACAAACTGGCCCCAAAACTGGCCATAAACAAAATCTCTGCAGCACTGTGACATGTTCATGATGGCCATAATGCCCATGCTGGAAGGTTGTGGGTTTACCAGAGCACCTGGCCCACCCAGGGCTGAAAACCACTTAAAGGCATTCTTAAACCACAAACAATAGCATGAGCGATCTGTGCTTTAAGGACACGCTCCTGCTGCAGATAACTAGCCAAACCCATCCCTTTATTTCAGCCCATCCCTTTATTTCCCATAAGGAATATTTTTAGTTAATCTATAATCTATAGAAACAATGCTTAGCACTGGCTTGCTGTCAATAAACACATGGGTAAATCTCTGTTTGAGGCTCTCAGCTCTGAAGGCTGTGAGGCCCCTGATTTCCCACTCCACACCTCTATATTTCTGTGTGTGTGTCTTTAATTCCTCTAGCGCTGCTAGGTTAGGATCTCCCTGACCGAGCTGGTCTCGGCAAGCAGCACCCATACATGGGGACTTGAATCCAGGTCGAAGGGTCGCTGAAGTGATGGTTGGAGAAAGTGTAACTAAGATGCAGGACACCCGAGTACTCTTAAAGGAATCCCCACGGTGAGTAAGAAGGGGAGCTCAGAAGTATCAGGGTAACAGTGGGACAATCTGGGCTCTGGTTCGTTCCACCTTGGAACCTTTTCACACTGATGATGAGGAGGAAGGAGAGTATAACAAAGTAACAGAAGAGTTTACAGAGCAGGGTTGTTTACCAGCTAAAGCTAAAGCAGCAAAGGAGGAAGAGGTTCATCCCTACCCTTCTGCACCCCCTCATTATTATTTTGAAGAAAAAGAGTGGCCTGACCCTCCAGATCTTTCTTTTCCAGAGGACACTGAGTGAAAAGTAGGTACCCCAGTGACTGTTCGAGCAGCACCTGGAGGAACCGCTCTCAGTACTATTCAGGCAGGAATTCAGCAAGCTAGATGAGAGGGTGATTTAGAGGCTTGGCAGCTCCCTGTTAGAATACACCCCCCAGATCAACAGGGCCATATTATAGCCACATTTGAGCATTTTCCTTTTAAATTTGGGAAACATCATGAGGGGCCCGGCCCGGCCCCGTTCCAAACTGGGGCATTTCCGGCTCAGGCCATTCCCTCACCCCTGTACAATGTCTGTCCCCCACCACAGCTGGTAGTGCTGCAGTAGATTTATGCTACACAAATGCTGTGAGCCTTCTGTCTGGGGAACCCCTGCAAAAAGTCCCAACAGGAGTCTGTGGACCCTTGCCAGCGGGGATGATAGGATTACTTCTAGGAAGGTCTAGTTTAAATTTAAAAGGGGTACAAATACATACAGGACTCACTGATTCAGATTACAATGGAGAAATTCAAATGGTTATATCTACTTCTGTTTCCCGGAAAGCAGAGCCAGGAGAGCACATAGCACAGCTCCTGATTGTGCCATATGTGGGAATGGGGAAAAGTGAAATGAAAAGAACAGGAGGATTTGGAAGCACAAATAAACAAGACAAAGCAGCTTATTGGGTAAATCAAATTACTGATAAACATCCTAACTGTGAAATAATTATTCAGGGAAAGAAATGTAAAGGTTTGGGAGATACAGGAGTGGACATTTCAATCATTTCTCTACAGCACTGGCCATCTGCGTGGCCAATTCAACCCGCTCAATTTAACATAGCTGGAGTTGGTAAAGCCCCTGAAGTATATCAAAGTGGTTATATTTTGCACTGTGAAGGGCCCGATGGACAACCTGGGACTATTCAACCAATTATAACTTCTGTACCTATAAATTTATGGGGAAGAGATTTATTACAACAATGAGGAGCACAAGTTCTAATTCCTGAACAATTATATAGCCCTCAAAGTCAATATATGATGCATGAAATGGGGTATGTCCCCGGTATGGGACTAGGAAAAAATTTGCAAGGTTTAAAGGAACTGCTTCAAGGGGAAAGACAAAGTTCTCACCAAGGTTTAGGGTATCATTTTTGATGGCAGCCATTGTTAAGCCTCCAGAACCTATACCTTCAAAATGGTTAACAGACAAGCCAATTTGGATAGAACAATGGCCACTGAGTAAAAAGAAACTGGAGGCTTTAGAGGACTTAAAATTGGCCTTTAATAGTCATAGATTTAAAAGATTGTTTCTTTACTATCCCCTTAGCTGAGCAAGACTGAACAATTTGCATTTACAATTCCTGCAGTAAACAACCTGCAGCCTACTAAGCGTTTTCATTGTTTTACAGATGGGTCTAGTAATGGTAAAGCTTCTTATTCTGGATCAAAAGGTAAAGTTTTCCAGATGCCCTATGCTTCAGCTCAAAAAGTGGAGCTTGTAGCTGCAATTGAGGTATTGACTGCTTTTGATGCCTATTAATGTGATTTCTGATTCTTCATATGTGGTTCATTCCACACGGTTAATTGAAAATGCTCAGTTATGATTTCATACAGATAAACAACCGATGATTTTATTTACCCAATTTCAAACAGCAGTTAGGAGTAGAATGCACCCTTTTTACATCACTCACATTAGGGCTCATACACCTCTTCCAGGACATTTAACTAAAGGGAATCAAATGGCTGATTGCCTGGTTGCTAATGCAATCTGATAACAAAAGTTAGAAAATAGGTAAGATAATAACTTGGGGTAGAGGTTATGCTTGTGTTTCTCCAGGCCAAAATCAACAGCCAATTTGGATACCATCAACACATCTGAAACCTTATCATGAGCCAGATGCCAAGGAAGAGATTCTGGGAGGATCCCGAGGACCCTTCGGTTGCAGCCATGTCGAGGCTGATGCTGAGGAGGACCCCAACTTTCACGAGCAACACCTGTCAAACACAGCCACCCACCTGGGCACAGATCAAGAAGTTGTCACAGATGATGGAAGAAAACCTGAGGAAAGCAGGACAGCCAGTCACAATGAGTAATTTAATGGTAGCTATGATAGCGGTGATCACCATTGCCATGAATATTCCTTCAACAAGGACTGACACAGAGAACAATTATACTTATTGGGCATATTTATCAATCTTGGCTGGCAATAATGCCTGGGTGTAATCACTCTATGACACAGTTACACATGCTTTCTGATCTCAGCATTTACCATAATAAATCTGCTCCTATAATTGAGGCATACCGTCCTCAAAAACCTATTTGTAAACAGAAGTGGACCTGGCCAGAAAAAATGAAGGTACTTGTTTAGGAAGATTGCATTGCAGAACAGGCAGAGGTGCTGCGCAATGATTCTATGGAATCATTATGAAATTGGTCCCCTAAGGGGATGTTTAGCTTGAATTGCACCCCTCAGTCTATGTGCCATGGACACACTATGTTCATCTGGTCTGAACAAAATGGTCAGATGGTAGAAATGATAAGAAGAACGGCAAGAGTTCCTATTATCTGGAACCATGGCAGCACAGTGGCACCTCAACCCCAAATGATATGGCCCATTGTAGGAGCTAAACATAAGGATTTGTGGAAACTATTAATAGCTCTTAACAAGATCAAAATTTAGGAAAGAATAAAGAAGCATCTAGAAGGACACTCTACAAACTTGTCTTTGAATATTGCAAAATTAAAAAATATATATATTTAAAGCTTCCCAGGCACACCTGACCTTAATGCCAGGAACCGGAGCACTGAGAGCTGCAGATATGTTAGCAGCTAGCAACCCATTAAAATGGATAAAAACACTTGGAAGCTCTGTGATTTCAATTATGATTGTGCTTTTAATCTGTGTTTTTTGTCTTTGCATAGTCTGCAGATGCAGATCCTGACTCCTGCAAGAAGTAGCTCACCATGACAAAGCTGCCTTTGCTTTTATCGTTTTGCAAATCAAAGAAGGGGGATGTGTTGGGAACAGCCCCCCCCTCCCAAAATCTGGCCATAAACTGGCCCCAAAACTGGCCATATACAAAATCTCTGCAGCACTGTGACATGTTCGTGATGGCCATGACACCCACACTGGAAGGTTGTGGGTTTACCGGAATGAGGGCAAGGAACACCTGCCCCATCCAGGGCGGAAAACCACTAAAGGCATTCTTAAACCACAAACAATAGCATGAGCGATCTGTGCCTTAAGGACATGCTCCTGCTGCAGATAACTAGCCAAACCCATCCCTTTATTTCAGCCCATCTCTTTATTTCCTATAAGGAATACTTTTAGTTAATCTATAATCTATAGAAACAATGCTGAGCACTGGCTTGCTGTCAATAAATACATGGATAAATCTCTGTTCGAGGCTCTCAGCTCTGAAGGCTGTGAGACCTCTGACTTCCCACTCCACACCTCTATATTTCTGTGTGTGTGTCTTTAATTTCTCTAAGTGCTGCTGGGTTAGGGTCTCCCCGACTGAGCTGGTCTCAGCAATTATTCAAAGATAGTCTCTTATTCATATACAGTAAAAATAATTATGAAATCATTTTTGATCTTAGGGTACCAGTTCCAAGTAAATAACAAAACAATTAGTTCTGAATCACACACTCCTTCTCTGTTATAAGATCACTGATACGGTTAGGCTTTGTGCCCCCACCCAAATCTCATCTTGAATTGTAATCCTCAGAATCCCCATGTGTCAAGGGAGTGACCAGGTGTAGGTATTTGGATTATGGGGGCATTTACCCCCATGCTGTTCTCCTGTTAGTGAGTTTTCATTAGATATGATGGTTTTATAAAGGGCTCTTCCCCCTTCACTCTGCACTGTTTCCTTCCACCTTGTGAAGAAGGTGCCTTGCTTCCCCTTTGCCTTCCATTATAACTGTATTTTCTGAGGCCTCCCCAGCCATGCTGAACTGTGAGTCAATTAAACCTCTTTCTTTATAAATTACCCAGTCTCAAGCAGTTCTTCACAACAGTGTGAAAATGGTCTAATACAATCACCAACAGTGGTTTCTTAGTATTGGCTGAAATGTTTTTAGAGAGAAAGCTAAATCTAAAATTCATAGCAAAAATAATTGCTAGAAAAACTTAGTGTGATCACTTGATTAGCATTCCTTTTTTATTTGCCTACAATAGAAAAATAAACATTTTAGTGGATTAATATTGTTTTCCCTCAATAAAGAAAAATCATTAGAATGTATTTTAAAAGTTAGCTTGACAGAAGTTTAAGAATATTTGATGTTAGAATTTGGCTTATGAAATTCATTTGAAAATCTAAGTTCTGGCCAGGCGTGGTGGCTCACACCTGTAATCCCAGAAATTTGGGAGGCCGAGGCTGGCGGATCACGAGGTCAGGAGATTGAGACCATCCTGGCTAACACAGTGAAACCCTGTCTCTACTAAAAATACAAAAAGTTAGCCGGGCATGTTGGTGGGTGCCTGTAGTCCCAGCTACTCGGGAGGCTGAGGCAGGAGAATGGCATGAACCCAGGAGGCAGAGCTTGCAGTGAGCCAAGATTGTGCCACTGCACTCCAGCCTGGGTGACAGAGCAAGACTCCATCTCAAAAAAAAAAAAAAAAGAAAATCTGAGTTCTTATTTTAGTCTTAATACTGACTTTAATTCAATGTAGCTAAGATGTATTAGAAAACAATAAAAAATTTACAACTAATATGTTGACTTTTGCATTAGTTAGGCTGTAAGTTCAGATGTGTGGACCAGAGACCAAAAATAAATAGTGGATGAAACAGGATTTAAGTTTATTGTTCTTCAACATAAACGTCCAAGTGGGAAGGGGCTTCTGCTTCACAAAATCATCATAGGCCTGAGGTTCTTCTATATTGTAGTGTCAGCATGCCTAAGAGATTGCCCTCGCCATATGGCCTCAGATTATCTGCCTCCTTTTCAACATTCTACAAAATGAAAAGGACGAAGGTAGAGATATCACAGAACTTTTGTTCAAACTGAGAATGGAAAATGGTTCTGTTAATAATTACTGTAGAAAATCATGTAAACAAGTCATATGCAGGGTAACCTTGAATATATGACACTGTAGAGAAAGGAGAAGTAGATGGCAAGTCTCTGTCTCCAAAGGTATAGCCCACAAGTTGCACACGTTGTTTTTCTTCACAAGTGCTTGCCTGCATATTATTCCATTGCCATATATATCTTAAAACTAGGCTGCAAAAAATCACATCTTTATTCTGGAAAACTTGATATTCAGCTAACAATCCTACTTAAAAATCTCTAAAAAGGGGAAAAATGGATGTGGGCTGGCAAGTGGCAGTGTCTGCTACGTCATTAGAAAGTATGCATGGCCAATCATCACATCCCGCCTTTAACAACAAAAATGTCCTTTAAAAATTCATTCTCTCCCTTATTAAGGAAATGACACTATAAATAGATATTTATATCCAATGATTTAGTTTTCCATTTTCCTTTAAACCCTATACATCTGGCTTGTGATTCAGCAGTGATTTATTGCACATAAGCATGTGTGACTACGAAAGCAAGTTTTATTTTGGGAACAATTTTAAGTGTTGTTCATTATCCATTTTTATTAAAGATATTTTAGGTGGCCTGAGTGACATAAGAATATGTTTTATGATGATGTCATTATATGCAAAGCTCTTTGCTAAGAAAAATAAATGAAGATGAGATATGATGGTTAAGACTAAGTTACATTGGCATAAGGAAAATTAATGAAATATTGAGCCAAGGATTTTTTTTTTTTATAAATCAGTTAGGAATCAAAGTATAGAATATAATTTAGAGTTAAGTCTTATTTCCTGATTGTACAGAATGGAAAAAGAAAAGTTTCTAAAGCCACATACCAAATAGTAAAGTAGACCAAGAATAATACACCATGATTTTCAGAACGCAGGCTAATTGACAGGGATGAATCACTGGTGAAAATTTCCTTACTTACGAACTCAGTCCCTCTGCTCTCTATCATGATGTCTTTCTTAATTTAAGGTGAAATAAATTTCATGATTAGTACACTAGATAGTATGTGAAGTCATCCTTCCTTTTTACTCATTCCTCTTAAATTATGAAGTAACCAATTTTTTAATAATTTTAGCCCTTTTATTTAGTTGATAATTTCTCAATTAATTCATATTGTGTATTTGAATTTCTATTCTGGTTAAAAAGTACTCAGAAAATATTCATAGTTTATGCCTGTAGGCATTCCAGCCAAAATAAGTTAATTAGTTCTATAGAAATACTATAAAAATATGAAGAAAGAAAAATATGCAGGCCCTGCCACTTAAATAGTTATAGTCTAGTGAAAGATATGATGTCACTGAATAATCCAAGAATTATTGGATTAACAACAACCACACTCATTAGTCAGCCAGTCTTGAGCATCTAGAGTTCCTAGCCTTGAGAAATTTTATACAGGGCCTGAGATTG
Source organism: Homo sapiens (assembly GCF_000001405.40). Classification (NCBI taxonomy): domain Eukaryota; kingdom Metazoa; phylum Chordata; class Mammalia; order Primates; family Hominidae; genus Homo; species Homo sapiens. The sequence continues at coordinate 126,138,057 of NC_000004.12, forward strand.
AAAAAAAAAACAAAAAAGTGAGGACCATAAACTATTTTTTACACTTCTTCTAGAAAGTCCTTTTTGGATTGTTTGTTTATAAATTCATACTTTCCAGTGGCAATGGTAATTTTCTAAAGTTAATTAACCATTACAGACACATAGTAAGTTTTAAACAATGCTGCTGACTTCTTTCAGATACTAGTGTCTATTTCTGCATTAGCTTCTCTGAAGCTAAGCTGTTATAAACTCAAAATTATGGCAAGTTCTAAGGCCCTGTATGTGATTATGAAAATGTTCTCAATGAAGGGCAGGCCTCACACTACTGGACAAATGTATGCTAATATGATTCAGTAGTGGTAAGGTGAGGTTGATTGAATGAGAATACTGACTATTACATTGACGAGGCCGATTTATTTCTATTGTTACCAGTGGCCACAATAAATTTTAAATGAAAATAGTGCCATAAATTAGATTATATTTTAGATATAAGATTTCGTCAGCTTCTTTTGTCTGAGAAATCTCCCAGCACTCTTCCTTCATTTTTAATCCATACATTTGTCTATAAATCTTATATTATAATCATAATCATTTCAATAGCTATCACAAATTATTCTATATTAAAAGATAATTGATATAAACTTTGCAAATAGTATGTCTAATACCTCAAAAATATTGCAACACAGATTTTATTACCCTATTTTAAATATGAGAAAGCAGGTGCTTCTGAGAATTTAAGTGATTTGTCTTACTTGTGAGAGAAGAGGTGGGGTAACTCAGCAAAAGGTAACTTCTTGCCAAATCTGATTATTCATTACTTTATTCTACAACACCAATTGCCTGGTGAGTATAATGGTTTAGGGGTGAAATAAAAGATTAGGATATTTATTTGCTTTTTTTACGGTGGTGGATTCAGAAGAAGAACAATAAGTAGCAAAAAATAAGACTTTTAACTACCAAAATAATTAAGCATAAACGGAAGCAGAGAACCAGAGATGATCAGGAACAGTAAATGCAATTCCATCACATACATCATTTTTACATTTAAATTATATATAGATGCATTATTTATTCTACTTTTCTCTGGGGTTTTTGTTAACCATAAAGATACTTAGATAAATGGATTAATAAGAATAATAAATATAGATGAGAAATAAATTTCATTTTGCCTGCAGACATTTATTACCTGACCAGTAAATAAATGTTTCCATATTGCCAATACAGAGTTTGATATTATATATTAAAAATTATAGTCATTGGTATAGATATTTTTGAAGTTTTGTACTAACAACAGTACTGCTTTTTTTTTTTTTTTTTTGAGGCAGAGTCTCGCTCTGTCGCCCAGGCTGGAGTGCAGTGGTGTGATCTCCACTCACTGCAAGCTCTGCCTCCCAGGTTCACGCCATTCTCCTGCCTAAGCCTCCCGAGTAGCTGGGACTACAGGCGCCTGCCACCACGCCCGGCTAATTTTCTGTATTTTTAGTAGTGACGGGGTTTCGCCGTGTAAGCCAGGCTGGTCTCGATCTCCTGACCTCATGATCCACCAGCCTCAGCCTCGTGAAGTGCTGGGATTACAGGCATGAGCCACCGCTCCCGGCCGAGTACTGCTTTTTTAAGAGTAATTTTAAAAGATAATTATTTTGTATTAGAAAGAATCAGAAGTACAGTTTGTATGTATTAATGCTATGTTTTGGTATCAAAATAATTTTTGTTGCAAATTTTATTATCATAGATATATTATTTTAAAAAAAGATTCATTCACTCTGAGTAAAATATAATAAATAAACTCACAATTTCATAAATGCAGTCATAATTTATTTCTGTAATGACAGACATTCTATGTAACTGTTTTATATAAACTGATGCAAAAATCAACAAAATATTGTATTAAAATTTAAATATAAAATAACACTCAATGCAGAAGTCTTGAGAATAAGTTTTAACTAAGTGTAGACACACACACACACACACACACGCACACACACACACACACAGATAGCCTAGACATTCATTAGGAAAAATAGTTTTGATAAGAACCATGAATGCCTCCCATACTCATGGAGTATGCCATACAGAATTGAGATAATGGTGAGCTAGGAGCCTTTCTGACTCAAACCCTACCTGTTTGAGCAGCAACATAGGTTAGAACTATAGTATCTAGGTTTAATATTTTAGTCCAACACTTACTAGATTTGTGATTTTTGGAGAACTTATTTAATCACTTTATGTCTCATTTTGCTCATTTTAACAATAGGGACAGTAATAGTGTCAATTCATACAGTTGTTGTGAAGAAAATAAGATTAGTATTTCTAAATATTAGTTCTTTTTATTCTTTTTCATGGCTTGTCTATTCTGAGAAACATTCCTAGATTACTTCCGCACACATCGATTTCCCTTTTATTAACAATAATATGTATTTATATTAAATATATAGTACCTGACATTTTTGCTTAACTCTTCACATGATTGTATTAGCATTAGAAATGAAGGCAGAGATCTAATAATGTATAGAACACATGCCATACATATGTGCACTTCCTATCTTTAGCCCACTATGTAAAATGTTTTGGCATTTAGTTGCTTTTCTTGGATAAAACCAAATAACTAAAACTCCATGAAGGCTAAATTTAAAATGAAAAAAAATCACTGACTCCCCACAAGAAAGTTAGACTATAAAATAAAATGATGATGAGTTTTTCTATATTTTGCCTGCCTAGTGTAGTGACATTTATGGGAAAGCCAAAACTTTAAATTTTTCTATTTTTTATTTATTATATTTATACGTATAGTCTGATTTAAATTAATTAATACAGAATGAGAAATAAAGTATCAATCATTATTAATCAGTGAGCCAATTCTTTGTACTTAACATTTATATTTGGGTGAATGCAAAATATAAAAAGAGCTACAAATAAAATAATAAAAAATGTAGATTTAGTGACAACTAAGAAAAATTATGAAAGAGCATAGATAACATTACATTTCATCAAATAAAAAATAACTTTGTAATATGTACAAACACTTCTTATTTCCATGTGGGTTTAATATCCTGTAACACAGAAGTTCTCACTCATTGGAACATTATTTTACAAAATTAAGTATTGTTACATTACTAAAATGACTTGTTTACATTATTTCAAAGGGCACCAGAAATCCAGACATTGACTTTTTTTGTTCTTAAATTAAATGTACATCATTTAGTAATACTATGGAATATATGTGTAATGAAAATTGGAAGAAATACTCTTATTAAGGCTCTTTTTAAGCTTTTGAATGCCCTGGCAGTTATTTTTAAAATACATTTGTTTTACCACAATCAAACATACTTTCATATTACATCGAGTTCTTATTTGTTAGCAGGATCTAACATTTACCATCTACAATATACTATATTTTCTTTATCTATGGGCCTCTTGAGGTGAGGTGGAAAAGGATGACCTGGAACTAAATGAAGTAACTAAATCTTTTTACATTTAATATCTGTACATTGCTAAGGTCATGAATAAAAACATTCATCATAGGCTGGCCCTAATAAAATTGCAAAGCTCTATTGCGAAGTCTCAATCGTGAACATGCTAATCTTTTGCCAAGTAAATAACAGTGGCCAATTTTTTCGATCACACAGAAATGACACCTGACTGCCATTGGAATTTTAGTGCCAAATGGAATTGTAGAAAATAAATTTTCACTTGTAGAAAATCTTTAAATAAAGCTTTAGGACTCCTACATGGTAAAGTAAGTGTTACAGTAAGCGACACACATAAAACGGTATGTTGGAAGATCTTGCATTCAGACGACAGGCAAATGTTGTTGGCAAGAATTTAAAACATTTACCACCTTACAATATATTATGATCAAATTAAGATTATTTCAAATATGGGTAGTGTTATTACATAGTCATTTTAATTAACAAATTATTTATACAAAATTTATAGGAAGAATTTATTGCTGGGCCTTCCAGTTCTGTTAAAGAATGCCCATAATCCAGGTGACCCGATTTAAAATGTCACATAAACCATGCTAACATATGAACATGTGAATCACAATTCTTCTCACCATAAAAAGGAAAGAAAGAATATTACATTAATAGCAAATATTACCATTTCTATTTAAGAATACTCTAGTGTTTGTTGAGAAACCTCTCCCTCACCAGTGTATTTCTAATTATTTGAAGATTTGAACATGCAAATATTGCTGTAATGAATCTCACTTTAATGAAAGAATAGAAAAAGAAATTGCATTCGAAGTGATGGTGATATAGATGGCTACTTCTTTCAGTGTAAAATGGTATAGGTAAGAGTATTCTTTTTTATTATAACAGATTCTTTCAAGCAGTAAAGCAAAACAACCTTGTGTAAATTGTGTTTTATAAGTAAGGATGTAAAACAGGGAATGAATGCATGCAATTTAATGGAAATGGTATCATTAATGGTATAGATTGCCAAATGGAGTTCTCTAGTCTCCAGAAGCTGTGTTTACTACCTTTTCCAAAGTGACTTAATGGATTTTTAAAACCATGTCTTCAGTTACATTGGTCTTGTTAAATGGAAAGTTTAATTTTAAGCTTCTCCTGATTCCATTTAGTGGAAAAATCTCGTTTGCATAATCCCACAGCTATTCTTTATTGGAAATATCTTCTGTAAAACCTGGTTATTCGAGTTTCTCTGTACTTAGATTTGATTGAGGAATTAAAAATAAATGAAAATGCACAGTTCGACCTTAAGGCTTGCACATTATTTAGGTACATTACTGGAATTGCCTCTAAACAGCTCCAGATCTTCTCAGACTGTATAAGAATTAATTAAAATAAGAAAGAGCATTATGATGTAAAAGAATTTAAAAATATATCTTTGAAAATGATACTACCACATATTTTTATTTATTCAGTAGATATTTACTGAATGCCTATTGTCTGTTAGGCAAAGAACCAGAAATTGGGATTACACATTTTGTACACCATTTTTATACACATTTTGAATACCAGATTCCTAAGATTGCATCGGCATGAACTATTCTGTGTTACATGCTTTGAAAAGTTTTGTATGAAGAAATTACTTTGTCTTCTGAGCTATATAGTACTTGTATTATAATTAAGTCATTTCAAAATAATAAAAAATCAAAAAAGCAATGTCAGTAAATATAGCATTTATGTTTCTGATCCCAAACAGCAAACATACTATCCCTTCTCTCATATGAAACACACAAAAAATGACAGAAATGAACAAAAATGGTAATTATAGAAATTAAATACACAACTAGGAAGACAACTGAATAGGAGTCATCTGCTGTGAGATTTTTTTTTTGTTTTTCATTAATACAGAAAAAATTGGAGGGGTATAGAAAGAGGAGGAGTGGTAACTGAAGGAAAGTGTGGAAGAAACCACAATTACAAAGAGAAAGAAGGGACTATGACTTGGAAGGAAAGAATCTGTCTAGAAAAAGCTCTAAATGTTTTTTCCCCCTGAATAAATCTTGACTTAAATGGTAAATGTGATGGATTGCTGAAGTGAGCTAATGGGTCTGAAAGCTTAGGAATTAGTTGAAGGGTTGCAATTAACAGTTGACCCTGCCCACTATTTACCCCAAACTTAACCCTCAATCTTGACCAGCAGCATCTGTCAACTCCCAGACAGAAAATAAAAAAGTCACAGATTTACTGAAAATAACTAAGGGTTTCCCTACTGTGTACTTGATGTGCTATACCAAAACCTCTATATTTATTTACAAATTAGCTACAAAAATTAGCTATTTTTGAGCCAAAGATGCAAGTTGCAGCTCCCTTTTCACTTACTCTAAAATGAAGACTACCTACCCGTCAAGAAACCTAACCAACAGAAATAGTTCAAAGTAAGTTTTTATGTTGTATTATTAACAAACATGAAGGCCAAACAATGATTACCAGTCTTTGAGAAAAGTTTAAAGACCATGTGAAGCAGCAGTGACCAAAATATTACTTCTAAGGAAACAGAATTCAGAAAACAGAAATACATTTAAAAACATCTTTAAAATAATGAAAATTGATAACTTCATGGACGTTTGAGGAGACATAGTATTTATTTCCTTGCTTCTCTATATATACACGAACAAAAGTCATTAAGAGCTAAAAGCGATTCCCACTGGGAATGTTACTGGACATGAGGACAGATGAAGGCCAGAGACAGTATTTTTCATTGCAGTCTCATCTGTACTATTTAATTTTGATTAGATGTGCATATTAATTTGACTTAGAATTATTAAGCAACTACCAATAATACCCCCATAACAAATTCTTGCACATTTCAAACTATTCTTCATATTAATTGAAATAATTAAAATATTGCAGATATGCCAAATTTAAGTTAATATTGTCCTGCTGCTCATTAAACATCTCTAAACTGGATATTTCAAAGGCAGGTTATTGTAACCATTTACCACCCTACTGACTGTCTCTTAAAACCTGTTTCTTTTCAAAGTTCTGTACCATGTAAAACATTTTCACTACTTAGTCAATGTCCAAATGAGAAATTAGAAGCCTAGGAAACATCTTAACCTACTCTCTCAATCACTGTTGCACAGTCAATCCATCATCAGGTACAATTCATCTTTTCTCCTACAATTATTTCTTATCCAAATATCTCTACACAAGATAAAGCCATCACAGAGACAATTGCCATGGCTTCTTATTTTGTTTATTAGCATTCTTTCATGCTTCTCTCTGATTACATTCCTGTTGCAACCAGAGTCATCATTTCAGAATGTGAAACTACTTATTGATGTTATTTCTGTGTAATCATCTAATATAAAATTTCCTTAGCTCCTAGGTGAAAGGCTGACCCCCTTCATGTGGCCCATAAAGCACTTCCTTTCATGACTCCCTGTTCCATCTCATCTCATAGAGTCCTCACACCTGCTCCCACTCTCTACCTTCTAGCCACTAAGGCCTTTTCACTTTCCATGTTGCCTGCCTCCCTCTTAACTGAAGGAAATTGTATATATTGCTTCATCCTTGGAAATCTATCTCCTCCCTTCTTACATTGTTAATGCTGACACATATCCTCAATAAAATGTTTTCCCTGTTTCTTCACACTAAAGCCAGAGCTAGTACTCTGATGCTTTCCTCCTAAGTATTTAAGTGTGGGTATTTTGGTGATAATTTGATTATTATCCCTTTCATGTGCATCCGTGTGAAGAGACCACCAAACAGGCTTTGTGTGAGCAACATGGCTGTTTATTTCACCTGGGTGCAGGTGGGCTGAGTCCGAAAAGAAAGTCAGTGAAGGGAGATGGGGTGGGGCCGTTTTATAGGATTTGGGGAGGTAATGGAAAATTACAGTCAAAGGGGGTTGTTCTCTGGTGGGCAGGGGCGGGGGTCACAAGGTGCTCAATGGGAGAGCTTCTGAGCCAGGAGAAGGAAATTCACAGGGTTAATCACTCAGTTAAGGTGGGGCAGGAACAAATCACAATGGTGGAATGTCATCAGTTAAGGCGGGGCAGGGCCTTTTCACTTCTTTTGTGATTCTCCAGTTACTTCAGGCCATCTGGGCCTATACATGCAAGTCACAGGGGAAGCGATGGCTTGGCTTGGGCTCAGAGGCCTGACATTCCTGCCTTCTTATATTAATAAGAAAAATAAAACAAAATAGTGTTGAAGTGTTGGGGCGGCGAAAATTTTTGGGGGGGGGGTGGTATGGAGAGAGAATGGGCGATGTTTCTCACAGCTGCTTCAAGCGGGATTAGGGGCGGTGTGGGAACCTAGAGTGGGAGAGATTAAGCTGAAGGGAGATCTTGTGGTAAGGGGTAATATTGTGGGGTTGTTAGAAGAAACATTTGTCATATAGAATGATTGGTGATGGCCTGGATACGGTTTTGTATGAATTGAAAAACTAAATGGAATAAGAGAAGGAGAAAAACAGGTAAAAAAGGACTAAGAATTGGGAGGACCTAGGACATCTAATTAGAGAGTGCCTAAGGAGGTTCAGCATATTCCTGCCAGCAAAGATGATTTATTTACTTCAAGAGTTAAGAGTGGCAGTTTGGGGATAGTACGAGGAGATATCAGCTGTGATGGCTTGGAGAAACAGTGTAAACCGGCAGTGTAAACAAGAGCAGGGCATGTATGAGTGGTTGAGAACAGTGAATAGGAGTATGAGTAGACAGAAGATAGTAGGGATGACAAGTTATTTGGGGGAAGTTGGTCTGGTGTCTGGAATGAGACTGGGGCCTAATAAAAAGTAGCGTCTATACAGGAGCTTAAATGGGCTGTACCTTGTAGCATTCTGAGGATGGGTTTCACTTCTGAGAAGGGAAAGTGGTAAAAGTATTGTCCAGTCCTTTTTAAGTTGGTGGCTGAGCTTGGTGAGGTGTGTTTTTAATAGACCATTAGTCTGTCACTGAACACTAAGAGCCTGAAAAAATGCTTGGCTGATTTGACTGATAAAGGCTGGTCTGTTATCAGACTGTGTAGAGGTGGGAAGGCTAAACGGAGGAATTATGTCTGACAGAAGGGAAGAAATGACTGCGGTGGCCTTCTCAGACCCTGTAGGAAAGGCCTCTACCTATCTAGTGAAAGTGTCTTCTTAAACTAAGAGGTATTTTAGTTTTTGTGACTCGGGGCATGTTGAGTAAAGCTAATTTGCCAGTCCTGGGCAGGGGCAAATCCTCGAGCTTGATGTGTAGGGAAGGGAGGGGGCCTGAATAATCCTTGAGGAGTAGTAGAATAGCAGATTGAATAGCAGATGGAACACTGAGAAGTTATTTCCTTGAGGATAGATTTCTACGATGGAAAGGAAATGAAAGGTTCTAAGAGGTGGGCTAGTGGCTTGTACTATCGCATAGCCTGCCTTGGCTAGTGTGTGGTGATTAGGCCTGGTGGAACTGCCATCAATAAATCAAGCGTGATCAGGGTGAGAAACAGGGAAGAAGGAAATGTGGGGAAATGGGGTGAACATCAGGTGGATCAGAGAGATGCAGTCATGAGGGTCAGGTGTGGTATCTGGAATAATGTGGGAGGCTGGATTCAAGTCCAGGCCAGGAACAATGGTAATTGTGGGACTCAACAAAGAGTGAGTACAGCTGAAGGAGCCAGGGAGCAGAAAGTATATGCGTCAGGTATGAAGAAGAAAATAGATTTTGGAAGTTATGAGAAATGTAGAGAGAGAGTTGAGCATAGTTTGTAATTTTGAGGGCCTCTAAAAGTATTAAAGCAGTGGCAGCCGATGCATGCAGACATGAGGGCTAGGCTAAAACAGTAAGGTCAAGTTGTTAGGACAGAAAGGCTACAGGGTGCGGTCCTGGCTCTTGTGTAAGAATTCTGACTGCACTAACCACGCCTAGGAAGGAAAGGAGTTGTTTTGTAAGGGATTGAGGTTTGGGAGATTAATTGGACACGTTCAGCAGGGAGAGCACGTGTGTTTTTATGAGAATTATGCCGAGATAGGTAACAGATGAGGATGAAATTTGGGCTTGACTGAAGTAATGGGGGCTGTCTGTGAAGAATTGCAGCAGTACAGCCCAGGTAATTTGCTGAGCTTGATGGGTGTCAGGGTCAGTCCAAGTGAAAGCAAAGAGAGGCTGAGATGACGGGTGCAAAGGAATAGTAAAGAAAACATGTTTGAGATCCAGAACAGAATAATGGATTGTGGAGGGAGGTATTGAGGATAGGAGAGTATATGGGTTTGGCACCATGGGGTGGATAGGCAAAACAATTTGGTTGATAAGGCATAGATCCTGAACTAACTTGTAAGGCTTGTCTGGTTTTAGGACAGGTAAAATGGGGGAATTGTGAGGAGAGTTTATAGGCTTTAAAAGGCCATGCTGTAGCAGGCGAGTGATAACAGGCTTTAATCCTTTCAAAGCATGCTGTGGGATGGGATATTGGCATTGAGCGGGGTAAGGGTGATTAGGTTTTAATGAGATGGTAAGAGGTGCATGATCAGTAGCCAAGGAGGGAGTAGAGGTATCTTATACTTGTGGGTTAAGGTGGGGGGGATACAAGAGGAGGACACAAAGGAGGCTTTGGATTGGGAAGAAGGGCGACAATGAGATATAGCTGTAGTCCAGGAATAGTCAGGGAAGCAGATAATTTGGCTAAAATATCTCGGCCTAATAAGGGAATTGGGCAGGTGGGGATAACTAAAAAAGGGTGCATAAAAGAGTATTGTCTAAGTTGGCACCAGAGTTGGGGAGTTTTAAGAGGTTTAGAAGCCTGGCTGTGAATACCCACAACAGTTATGGAGGCAAAGGAAACAGACCTTTGAAAAGAAGGTAATGTGGAGTGGGTAGCCTCCGTATTGATTAAGAAGGGGACGGACTTACCCTCCACTGTGAGAGTTACCTAAAGCTCGGCATCCGTGATGGTCTACGGGGTTTCCGAGGTGATCGGGCAGCGTCAGTCTTTAGCCGCTAAGCCAAGAAGGAGTCAGTCAGAGAGTCTTGGGCCAGAGTTCCAGGGGCTCTGGGAGTGGCTGCCATGTGAGTTGAACAGTCCAATTTCCAGTGGGGTCCTGCACAGATGGGACACAGCTTAGGAGGAATCCTGGGCTGCAGGCATTCCTTGGCCTGGTGGTCAGATTTCTGGCACTTGTAGCAAGCTCCTGGGGCAGGAGGTTCTGGAGGAGCCCCTGGCCGCTGCGGTTCAGGCGTTTGGAAGTTCTTGTGTGCTGGAGATGTGGCTGGGATTTGTCTCACAGTGGAGGCAAGGAATTGCAACTTTTTTTTTTATTATTGTACACCTTGAAGGTGAGGTTAATTAAGTCCTGTTGTGGGGTTTGAGGGCCAGATTCCAATTTTTGGAGTTTTATTTAATGTCGGGAGCAGATTGGGTAATAGAATGTATGTTGAGAATAAGATGGCCTTTTGACCTTTTGGGGTGTAGGGCTGTAAAGCTTCTCAGGGTTGCTGCCGAATGAGCCATGAACTGGGCTGGGTTTTTATATTTGATGAAAAAGAGCCTAAACGCTTCGGATTTGGATAAAGAAAAAGGAGCATTAACCTTGACTATGCCTATAGCTCCAGCCACCTTTTTAAGAGTAAATTGCTGGGCAGGTGGGGGAGGGCTAGTCATGGAAGGAAACTGTAAGCCAGACCAGGTGTGAGGAGGGGAGGCGATAAAAAGATTATAGGGTGGAGGAGCGGATGCTGAGGAAGAATTGGGACCTAGCTCGGCCTGGTGAGGAGGGGAGAGGTCAGATGGGTCTGTAGAAAAGGAAGATTAGAAAGACTCAGTGACGCTTGGGGTTAGGACTGAGGGGACAGGCGGGAGGGAAAGAAGGAAGATTTGGGATGAGTTGCACTGGGCAGAGAGACTAGGAAGGGACTGATGTGTAAAAGAATGCCTGGATGTCAGGCACCTCAGACCATTTGCCCATTTTACGACAAGAATTATTTAGATCTTGTAGGATGGAAAAATTGAAAGTGCCGTTTTCCGGCTATTTGGAACTACTGTCGAGTTTGTATTGGGGTCAAGCGGCAATGCAGAAGAAAATAAGATGCTTAGATTTTAGGTCAGGTGAGAGTTGAAGAGGTTTTAAGTTCTTAAGAATACAGGCTAAGGGAGAAGGAGGAGGAATGGATGGTGGAAGCTTGCCCATAGTGAAGGAGGCAAGCCCAGAAAAAAGAGTAGAGACACGGAGAAGGGGTGGGGGCTTCTTGCCCTCCAGAAAAGCAGAGAAAGTGTTGGGGCATGGAAATAAGGGATTGGGGCACAGAGATAAGAGGTTGGGGTGCAGAAATAAGGGATTGGGGCACAGAGATAAGAGGTCGGGGTGCAGAAATAAGGGATTGGGGGTTCTTGCCCCCTAGAAAAGCAGGACTTGCCACTAAGGGTGAAGGAGAAGGGGTTCAGGGATACTTGCCCCTCCCCCAGAAAAGCGGGACTTGCCGCTAAGGGTGAAGGAGAAGGGGTTGAGGGGTAGTGAGGGAGATTGGAGAAGAGAGTAAAAAGAGGCCGCTTACCGGATTTGAAATTGGTGAGATGTTTCTTGGGCTGGTCGGTCTGAGGACCTGAGGTCGTAGGTGGATCTTTCTCATGGAGCAAAGAGCAGGAGGACAGGGGATTGATCTCCCAAGGGAGGTCCCCCGATCGGAGTCACGGCACCAAATTTCATGCGCGTCTGTGTGAAGAGACCACCAAACAGGCTTTGTGTGAGCAACATGGCTGTTTATTTCATTGGGTGCAGGCGGGCTGAGTCTGAAAAGAGAGTCAGTGAAGGGAGATAGGGGTGGGGCCGTTTTATAGGATTTGGGGAGGTAATGGAAAATTACAGTCAAAGGGGGTTCTCTGGTGGGCAGGGGTGGGGGTCACAAGGTGCTTAGTTGGGGAGCTTCTGAGCCAGGAGAAGGAAATTCACAGGGTTAATCACTCAGTTAAGGTGGGGCAGGAACAAATCACAATGGTGGAATGTCATCAGTTGAGGCGGGGCAGGGCCTTTTCACTTCTTTTGTGATTCTTCAGTTACTTCAGGCCATCTGGGCCTATACATGCAAGTCACAGGGGAAGCGATGGCTTGGCTTGGGCTCAGAGGCCTGACAATCCCTTTACCAGCTATCCTATAAACTTCACAAAACAAAGGATGATATAAAATCAGTTCATCACTTTGTTCCTAGTTTTCATAGAGTGTCTTCTTTATAATAACTGCTGAAGAAACATTTTTGAATAAGATAACTATCTATGAAGGACATAGTTAGGGGTTCAAGAAGGTACAATAAACAATCTACGGTTCCTGCCATTAATTTTCCCAATTTATAAAGTGAAAATCTATTTGAGAATGTGCTGAGATTTTTTAAAAATCTAAATTTTTATCTTATTATAAGAGAATACTGTATTTTGTGCTTTCTAGAAAACAATTCATTTCTGCCAAGCTTTCAAATTTATTAGTAAGAAATATTTAGTTTTCTTTGTTTTTGTGGTTGTGATTTTCTTTCTCTTCCTCTTTCTGCCCTTTAAAAATGTTTCTCTTTCTTCCTTCCTCCCCTCAAGTTGTAGGAATTAGTTTCATAATGTTAATTGAGAGAAAAAGTCATTGATATCCTTTTATGAAAATTTTCAAGTTTACAAAAAGTTGAAAGAATTGTATATGAAAATTTATAATTATACAATTAAAGTTTTATTATATTTGCTGGTAACGAATTAACCAAATCTGAATCTCTTTATTCACCCATCAATTCATCTTATTTTATTGTATTTCAAAGTAAGTTGCAGGCATCAGTAAATTTCTCTCTGAAACATATCATCAGTGCTATAATTAAAGTAGAATGAAATATTTTACTTATTTGAAGTAAAATTTACTTGTGAAGTAAAATTTACTTTCCATGTACATCTAAGTTTACCATTAAATATATGTTGGCAATTTCATATACCTGTATAAAACAAATTCTCATTAACTTATAAAGCATTCTCAACATCCCGGAAAGCTTTCTCACACCCTTCTTAGTCAATTAACAGCTTCACCCTCATCCCTCCAGAAACCACTCTTCTGCTTTTTCTCACCATATGTTAGTTTTGCCTTTCCTACAAATTTATATAAATAAAATCAATAATGTATACTCTTTTGTGTGTCTTCTTTCACTTACCATATTATTTGATATTAACATGTGGTGTTGCATATTGAGCATTTCACTTTTCATTGATGAATAGTATTTCATTGGATGAATACACCCAAATTTATTGATTTTGCTGTTGGTAGACACCTGGTCTGATTGTAAGTTTGCCAATTATGAGTAAACCTTTTCTATATGTATACTTATACAATTTCATGAGCACATTTTTTTCTTTGGTAAATAAGTAGGATTGAAATTATTGGATTATTGGATAGATATATGTTTGTGTATACAGAACCTTTTATAAAATAATTGTATAAATTTACAGTGCCATGAAAAATGTTTATTTTCATTGCTCCACATTGTTGACAAAATATGGTACTGTCAGTCTTAATTACAGTCATTCTGAGGAATGTGCAGTGGTATTTCACTGTGATTTCAAGTTGTATTTCTCTAATGACTAATGAGAAATTAAACCCATTTCCATGTATGTATTAGCCTATGTAAAGTGTCCTTTTAAATCTTTACTCATTTTATTATTGGGCAGTTTGTGTTTTTATTGTTAAATTATCAGAGTTCCTTATATATCATAGATAACAGTTCCTTATTAGATAATACATATTATTTGGGGAATTTTTCACCAGAGTGTTGCCTGTTCATTTCATTTTGAAAAATGTTTTTGATGAGGAGGTTAATTTTATTTGCTTGTTTTTGATGATACCTACCTTATCATTTTTTATGGTAATTGCTTAACATATATTGTATTAGAAACCTTGACCTACTGCCAAGTGTGATACTTAATTTTATGTCAACTTGACTAGGTGACAATGTTCCCAGATACTTGGTTAAACATTATTTTTCATGCCTCTGTGGCAGTGTTTCTAGAAGAGATTAGCATTTGAATTGCTGGGCTAAGTAAAGCAGAATGCCTTCCTTAATGTGAGTGAGCATCATCCAACCTTTCTTGAAGGTCTGAATAGAACTAAAAGGCAAAGGAAAGTGTAAATCTATCTCTCTAAGTAAATGCTTGAGATAAGATATCAGTCTTCTCCTGCCTAGAACTGGGATTTATACCGTCTGTGTTTCTGCTTCTCAGGCCTTTGGACTTGTGCTGGAATTTACACCAGGTTTTCTGGGTTTCCTACCTGCAGGGGTAGATCACTGGACTTTACAGTTTCCATAATCATGTAAGCCAATTCCTTATAATAAATCTCATTATATATATAAGCATACATCACTGCATTGTGTTTCACTTAATTGTACTTTGCAGATATTGCACCTTTTATATATTGAAGGTTTGTGGCAATTCTTGGTCAAATGAGTCTATCAGGACCGTTTTCCCAATTGCATGTGCTTACTTTGTGTCTATGTCACATTTTATTAAGTTGTGCAATATTTCAAACTTTTTCATTATTATTATATCTGTTGTGGTGATGTATGATCAGTGATCTTTGATGTTATTATTGTAATTGTTTTGGGGCACCACAAATCACATCCACATTCGATGGCAAACTTAATCAATAAATGTTGCATATATTCTGATTGCTCCCAGACTGGCAATTCCCCTACCTCTCTTTCTCTCTTTCTCTCTTTCTCTCTGTGCCTCCCTATTCCCTGTGACACAATAATATTGAGATTAGGCCAATTCATAACCCTAAATGGCCTCTAAGTGTTCAAATGAAGAGCCATATGTCTCTCACTTTAGAGCAAACACTAAAAATAATTAAGCTTGTAAGGAAGGCATGTTGAAAGCCAAGATAGATTGAAAGTTAGGTCACTTAAGCTAACTAGTTACCCAAGTTGAGGATACAAAGGAAAATTTTTTGAAAGACATTAAAAATTCTATCCCAGTAAACACACAAATGATTAGAAAGCAAAACTGCTGATACGGAGTTTGTTTAATAGCCTGGATAGAAGATCAAATCAGTCACAACATTTGCTTAAACCAAAGTCCAATCTAGATAAGACTCTAACTCTCTTCAATTCTTAGAAACCTGAGAGAGGTCAAGTAACTGCAGAAGAAAAATTGAAAGCTAACAGAAGTTGATTCACGAGGTTTAAAAAAGAAGCCATTTCCGTTACATGAAAGTCTATGTGAAGCAGCAAGTCCTAACATAGTTATCCAGAAGATCTAGGTAAGATAATAGATGAAGGTGGCCATACTGAACAACAGACTTTTAGTGTAGATAAAATAGCTTTCTTTAGAAAGAAGATGCCATCTAGGACTTTCAAAGCTAGAGAGGAAAAGTCAATGCCTGGCTTCAAAGCTTCAAACAACAGGCTAACTTTCTTGTTAGGGGCTAACGCAGGTGACTTTAAGTTAAAGCCAATTATCATTTGGCATTTCAAACCTCTTAGGACCCTGAAGAATTATGCTAAATATACTCTCCCTGTGCTCTATTAATGAAACAACAAAGCCTGGTCTAGAGCACATTTGTTTACAGTATGGTTTACTGAATATTTTATGCCCACTGTTGAGACCTACTGCTCAGATAAAAAGATTCCTTTCAACATATTACTGCTCAATAACAATGCACCTTGTCACTCTAGAGCACTGAAGAGATTAGTCTTATTTTCCTGCCTACTAACCCATGTATTCTGCAGCTCATGGATCAAGGAGTGATTTAAATATTGAGGTCTTATTGTTTAAGAAATTCATTTTGTAAGATTATAGCTGCTATAGCTAGTAATTTTTCTGATGAATCTGGGCAAAGTAAATTGAAAACCTTCTGGAGAGGAATCACTAATCTAGATGTCATTAAGGATATTTGTATTTCATGGAAGGAGGTTAAAATAGCAACACTAACAGGTGTGTGGAAGAAATTGATTCCAACTCTCATGGATGACTTTGAAGGATTCAAGACTTCAGTTCAGAATGTAATGTTATTGCACACTGAATTGACTAGAGTATGGTGTAGACATAACTTATATATACAATGGGAAAGGAGAAAACAACAACTGTGAGACTTGCATTATTGCAATATTTATTTTATTGCAGTAGTGTGGAACCAAACATGCAGTGACTCTAAAATACAACTGTGTGTGTGTGTGTCTGTGTGTATACACACAGACACACACACACAGACACACACATTCACATTCTATGATCCAAATCAAATTATTTTGGAGGAGTATGGTGTGAAATAGGAATTGAGATTTTCTTTTTTTGTAGAAGGTCCAAGAAATTTTTATAAATGTCCTTTATAATACTGAGAAACTTTCATTTTGTTACTTGTGAGAATTGTTAACATAAATAGGTAATTAATTTTGAAAAGTGACTTTTTTATCAATTGAAATAATTATTTTACTTTTCTCTTTATTAAATTAATATGAAAAATTACATAGATTGTTTTCTGAATAGTAAACTAACCTAATAATCCTGAAATTAAACCTACTTGGCCATGATGTGTTGGCTATTCTTCACATTATCTCTATTAATATTTAATTAAGAAATTTAACACATGTGTCTATGAAGAATACCAGTCTGTAGTTGTCTTTTTTTAATGTTTTGTCAGATTTTGATATCACAGGTTTGCTTATAAAAGATTCAGGAAATATTTTCTTCTCTCCTATTTTGTGAAAGTGTTGTGTAAGGTTCTTATCACTTTCCCTTAAATACTTGGTTGAAGTCACTGGTAAAAGAATATAAGTTTACTTGTGCTTCCTTCCTTATGTTTTCCAGTTATTAGTCTCCAATAAACACTTAAAAACTTAACTTTTTTTCAGCATATGCTTCCCATTAAAACCTTAGGCCAACTAATCCAATTTCTGAATAAATTATAAGAATATTCATATTTTCTATTTCTTTTACATTTGGATTTTAAAGATGAGAACTCATAAGAATTTGTCATTTTAATCAAAGTGTTTAATATTTTATGGCTTAATATTGTTAATATTCATAAAATCCCTTCATAAGATCTGTAGTAATACAACGTTTTTAGTATTTCTCACTCTCAATATGTCAATCAGTCTTGCAAGATGTCTATCAATTTTGTCTTTATAAACTGTCAACTTTTGATTTAGCTAATTTTCTTCTTATCCTTTGTCTTTATCATTGCTTTTGCTTTATAAACTTATCTTTATTATTATCATATAACTTCTTTAGGTTTTTAATTTGTTATTCTTTCCTTTATTTTACACAATAGATCACAGTTTATATGCAGTTTAGGATCTATATATGCTTGTAAGCAAAACTTTAATTCAGACCAAAAATTTTATATGTCTTGTATTTGTCATCATCCACTTTACAATATCTTCTTGTTTCCTTTGAATTTATCTCTCTTCCTACCATTTATTTAAAATTTACAAATGTCTAAACACTGAAGCAAAATGCAGTTACACTTTTGCTTTTGTTTACATGTATATTTCTAAATTTCCACCTTAGTTACAAAGTAGTCAGAAAAAAATAGTAGTTTCATTGCTTTGAAATTTATTGAGTTACCTCAAGCCAAAGCATATAATCAATCTTGTCAAAGTTTTCATGTGTATTTGAAAATCATGTGAATTCTGTCATTTCTGGATGAAGTGTTTTAATATATCAGTTGGATCAAATTTGTCATCTTTGTGTTTTAGATCGTAATGCATGCACAGAAAATCTTTAACCTCCCTTTAACTTAAATCCTTTATTGACCTAATATTTAATGAAGAACTCATGAAAGCAGCATTCAGTAGCTATAATTATTTATCACTTGTTTTTTAAAATGACAATCTGTCCTTCAGTCAACTTTCTTGCACAGTGCAAGCTATAAGTGGATCTATCATTCTGGGGTCTGGAGGATGGTGGGCCTCTTCTCACAGCTCCCCTAGGCAGTGCCCCAGTGGGGACTCTACATGTGGGATTGCACCCCACATTTCCCTTCCAGACTGTCCTAGCAGAGGTTCTCCATGAGGGTTCCACCCCTGCAGCACATCTCTGCCTGGACATCCAGGCATTTCCATACATCCTCTGAAATCTAGGTGGAGGTTCCCAAACCTCAGTTCTTGACTTCTATGCATCCACAGGCTTAACACCATGTGGAAGCTCCCAAGGCTTGGGACTCGCACCCTCTGAAGCCACAGCCTGAGCTGTACCTTGGACCCTTTTAGCCATGGCTGGAGCAGCTGGGATGCAGGGCATCAAGTCCCTAGGCTGCACCAGGGGGGCCCTGGACTCAGCCCACAAAACCATTTATTTCCTCCTAGGCCTCCAGGCCTGTGATGGGAGGGACTGCCATGAATGTCTCCAACATGCCCTGGAGACGTTTTCCCCATTGTCTTACCATTTATTTCCTCCTAGGCCTCCAGGCCTGTGATGGGAGGGGCTGCCATGAATGTCTCTGACATGCCCTGGAGACATTTTCCCCATTGTCTTGGTGATTAACATTTGGCTCCTCAATATTGATGTAAATTTCTGCAGCCAGTTTGAATTTCTCCTCAGAAAATGAGGTTTTCTTTTCCACGGCATCATCAGGCTGTACTTTTTCCAAACTTTTATGCTCTGTTTCCTATTGAACGCTTTGCTGGTTAGAAATTTCTTCCACCAAATACCCTAACTAATCTCACTGAGTTCAAAGTTCCACAGATCTCTAGGGCAGGAGATAAGTGCCACCAGTCTCTTTGCATAACAGGACCTAAGTGCCACCAGTCTCTTTGCATAACAAGAGTGATCTTTAATCCCGTTCCCAACAAGTTCCTCACCTTTATCTGAGACCACCTCAGCCTGGACTTTACAGTTCATATCACTATCAGCATTTTGATAAAAGCCATTCAATAAGTATCTAGGAAGTTCCAAACGTTCCTACCTCTTCCTGTCTTTTGAGCCCTCCAAGTCTCTAAGAAGTTCCAGACTTTCCCACATTCTTCTATCTTCTTCTGAGGCCTCTCAAATGATTCCAACCTCTGCCTGTTACCTAGTTCCAAAGTCGTTTCTATATTTTCAGGTATCTTTAAAGCAGCACCCACTACCTGGTACCAATTTACCATATTAGTCCATTCTCATGCTGCTAATAAAAACACACCAATGACTGGGTAATTTATAAAGGAAAGAAGGTTAATGGACTCACAGTTCTACATGGCTGGGGAGGCCTCACAATCATGGTGGGAGGCAAAGGAGAAGCAGTTATATCTTACATGGTGACAGGTAAGAGAGCATGTGCACGGAACTCCCATTTGTAAAACTATCAGCTCTCTTGAGACTTATTCCCTACCACAAGAACAGTATAAGGAAAACTACCCTCATTATTCAATTATCTCCACCCGGCCCTGCTCTTGACACAGGAGAATTATCACAAGTCAAGGTGAAATTTGGGTGGGGACATAGCCAAACCATATGAGGGGGAATACAGGAATCTCAAAATCCTGTATGGAATCCCACCACATCTTTTAATCATCTCTTCTACACTGTCTTTCCAATGAACTAAGTCCCTGTAATTGCCATCCTTTTCAAGTGAACAGAGAATTAACTCACAACCAAAGTCAGCGAGTCACAGGTTTCTCTCTCTCTCTCTCTGTGTGTGTGTGTGTGTGTGTGTGTGTGTGTGTAATGACTTAGCAATTATATTTTTGTTCTCCTTCTGTTGGTGTGATCAGTAGCTCAAAAGCTAGTTACTATCTACTATTACCTGAACACATCTCTGGTTTCCATTGATTTTGTTTCCTCTACATTTGTATTCTCTTCACCTCTGCTACTGTGCATTGTGGTTTTATACCAGGGACACTGCTATAGCTGATACTTATGTTTAGGTTATGGTGTCAAGTAACACATTCATTTGAGAACACTGGGGCCATGAGACATACTTTTGGAAAACACCTTGTGCTACCCAAGTTGTATTGAGATACATCTGTTCTCTGTGAGTTATCCCTTCATTGGATGTACTTTTCATGTATCAGACAACTCTCCTTTGTACTTTTTAGCTTGATTTGTAGAAAATGTTATTTTTTTTATTTTTGCTTAGTTTTAAAAAGTAATGGAATAGAAATACATCTGTTCATCTTTTTTTCCACATGAAAATTGAGAGCAATTTTAAGCCATGCCACTAAATTTTCTCTGTGCCTAATTCAAAGGGGAAAGGTCTAACTTCTGTTTAGGGAAGAAAAGAAAAAGAGAGAGAAAAACAGAGAAAGAGACAGAGACAGTATTTTTGTCTGGGCATATTCTTATGAAACAAATGACCCTAGAAGAGTTTCACCTGTGAGTTTTCATTTGTTACTAACATCTTGAAGCATAGGTTTAAAAAATTGCAGATGAAACAATTTGGTCAATTACTAGAAGTATGGGGATTTAAAATAAGTCTATATATGAGAAGATGTAGTATAGAGATAAAAGTTCTAAAATATTTTGATTTGTAAAAAGCATTCCATCCTAAGTGATAAACTACACAAACACAGAAAAGTCATTATGTATTTTCAGAAACTGGCAGACAGAGACTCATGTCAAACTTGCACTAAATTAAAGCCCACATAAAAGTCTTCAAATCAGTGATCACATCAAAAATTAAATAAATTGATTTCACAACCTGAACTAACACAGATAACACATCTGGCATCTTGAGAAGCTCCATCAGTATTGCACATGAGACACTTCAAATGTTAGGCAACAAGATATATTCCTTAAAGGTGACCAAGGGAACACCAGTCAGAAGGGTATGGCAATTGTCTTAATGGCAATTTAGATTGAAATATGTGCAAGAAATCTAAGATATCTATCTAGCAGACTGTCTTTGTAACAGTTTTTCTGGCTCATTCGCTCTTGATTTATTCTAAGGCTTTACTAAAAACAACATGTAGAAATGTGCTGAAAAACTGCAAAGAGACATGTAAGTTTGTGTAAGGTAACCACACACTTTTTGATTTAAAATTTTTTCAAAAAAAGTTTCTACATACCCTGCTTTGTTTTAAAAGATGCAAAGTGATTGAAAGAGACTTTCAGGGATATATAATACTTAATAAACCAAAAGTAGGATGCAAATGCAAAATAACAAGAATAAAATAAAATAACTGTAACAGAGGAAGGCTAAGATAGTGAATGTCACAATATTCTATACTTATATATTGCTGTGTATGAGGATGTTCAAAAAATCTAACAAAAATAAGTGAAAAGCAATTATTGATTAGTGACAGAAATAGAAGGCACAATCTCAAAAATTAATATGTGCAAATAAGGTATATTATGGAAGAAAACCATTTGCCGTATAATTCCTTGTATCTTGAATGACATCAATAGCTTTTTAATTTTTCAACTCATATCTGCTCCTCCTGCATCTCCAAGCCCGTTCTCACGATTAAAAGTTTATCTTTATTGGTCTGATTAATAGATATCCTCTCTGATAACTGAAGAGATTCATTGTTAGAGTAGATGTTATGTTTCTTGTTCATCTTTATATTCTAAGCTGGCAACACTGTTCCTGGCTTATGGCAAATGTGTTGAATAGAAGAAACTATTAATACCTGCTCTCCAAAATTAGCTGGGTGTGGTAGTGCATGCCTGCAATCCCAGTTACTCCCAATACAGTGAGACTCCGTCTCAAAACAATGACAATATCAACACACACACACACACACACACACACAAAATCCTGCTCTCTAAATAAAGTTAAATGACTCACAAGAATCATGTGAATGAACTTAAATTTAGTATTTAAGACTTCCAGGTAACTATTTCCTTTTATCAAAATACTTCAGATTTTCTCCATGATTTCTAATATTACTCCACTGAATGTATTTAATGCTGTTTCTTACATCTGCACAAGCAGGTTCTTACCACTATCATGCCAATCATCTCTCTTTTTCTGGAAAACAAATCATATTTTTTCTTAATTTTGTGCATTTGTTTTTTTCTTATTTATATTGTTTTTTTCTACCATGATTAACACAATGTTACATTTACTTAATTTGATAAGATATTATTAAATAATATTTCTATAATTTGGATGTATATATACATTTCTGCATTAATATAATACATTCTCATACATTTTATATTATATAAAATTGTGCATGACAGTAACAAGGCATTCAGAAAAGACAGAATATGAACAAGCCACTAAAAATGTCTGCAACTATGTGACCTGAGCTCTGACTTAAAAAATTACACAAATAAATATATAATACAGTAAATTATAATTTTAAGT
Organism: Homo sapiens; assembly: GCF_000001405.40. Lineage (NCBI taxonomy): Eukaryota > Metazoa > Chordata > Mammalia > Primates > Hominidae > Homo > Homo sapiens. Next base: position 126,160,659 of record NC_000004.12, read on the forward strand.
AGGTGAAAGGAGTTTGAGGTAAGGAGACATAGGAAAGATTGAATTTGTTTTATTAATTAGAAAACAGATTATTAAAAGATAAGAGAAAATGGAGTAATGGTTTATTCAATATAGAGGATGTGTTCAAACTGAATCTAAGTATAGCTGATGCTTTAAGTTGTATAAATAAACACATTTTGCATTTAGCTTCTGTTGCTGAAGGTACAGATCATGCCAAGCAACAAAAATGGTCCTGTTCATATCAACATGCAGGCAGTCTCATTGTACCCATATCTATGTACATTTTTCATGGTGATAAGAGTTGACTTTAAGCTAGAATGCCAGGTGAGGTATCTCACTAAAGAGAGAATTGGGGCTGGGCGTGGTGGCTCAGGCCTGTAATCCCAGCATTTTGGGAGGCCGAGGTGGGCGGATCACAAGGTCAGGAGACCGAGACCATCCTGGCTAACACGGTGAAACCCCGTCTCTACTAAAAAAAATACACAAAAAAAATTAGCTTGGCGTGGTGGCGGGCACCTGTAGTCCCAGCTATGCGGGAGGCTGAGGCAGGAGAATGGCATGAACCCGGGAGGCGGAGGTTGCAGTGAGCCGAGATTGCACCACTGCACTCCAGCCTGGGCAACAGAGCAAGACTCAGCCTCACAAAAGAAAAAAAAAAGAAAAAAAAAAAGAGAGAGAGAGAGAGAATTGGATAAAACTCTTCATTCATAGGAATATGGTAAAGGGTATAGGGAAGAAAAATCAATAGACCCTTGTTGGTATATAGTGCTCAACGTAGAGAAAGCAGAGCTGATGGGGCCAAATAAAATAATAAGATAATTCATCAGCAAGGAAAAGGAAATGAATCCTCAGGAGCGCTATAAAAAGAAGCTACTGAATCAACATCCTTGCCAGCGTTCATAATTGCTTGTCTTTTGGATAAAAATCATTTAACTTGGATGACGTGATATTTCATTGCAGTTTTGATTTGTATTCTCTGAGCATTTTTTCATATACCTGTTAGCCATTTATATGTCTTCTTCTGAGAAATGTCTATTCAGATCTTTTGCCTATTTTTTAGATTGGATTATTTAATGTTTTCCTATTGAGGTGTTTGAGCTGCATACATATTCTGTTTATTAATCCTTTTTCAAATGGATAGTTTGTAAATTCTTTCATTCTGTGGGTTGTCTCTTCACTTTGTTAATTGTTTCTTTTGCCATGAGAAGCTTTTTACCTTGATGTCTTTCCATTTGTTCATTTTTGCTTTGGTTGCCTATGCTTTTGTTAAGCATAAAGGTGTCCACAATAAATCTTTGCCCAGACCAGTGTTTGGAAGTGCTTCTCCAATGTTTTCTTTTAGTGGTTTTATAGTTTGAAGTCTTAGATTCAAGTCTTTAGTCCATTTTAATTGGAGTTTTGAGAAAACCCTTGTATACCCTTGTACTTGGTAAATTAGTAGAGCCACTATGAACAATGGTATGGAGTCCTAAAAAAACTGGTATATGTCCAAAAAAAGAGGAAATTAATATATTGAGAAAATATCTGTACCCTCATGTAAGCCAGACACAGAAAGGCAATTACCACATGTTCTCATTCACACATGGAAGCTAAAAGGATAATAATTAAAAACTAAAAATAAACTCATGGAGATAGAGAGTAGAATGATGATTATCAGAGGTTGAAAGGGTAGCAGGAAGGCAGGAGATCAAGTGGGAATGGTTAGTAGGTACAGGTATATAGAATGAATAAAGTTAGTGTTTGGTAGCATGATAGAGTGACTCTAGTTAACAATAATTCATTGTATACTTTCAAATAACTAAAAGAGTGGAATTGGGAAGTTTCTAACACACAAAAAAGATAAATGCTTGAGGTGATGGATACCCCAAGACCCTAATTTGATCATCACACTTTGTAGGCCTGTATCAAAACATCATCTGTACCCCATAAATATATACAACTATTATGTACCCATAATATTTAAAAAAAAGCAATTAATAAAAAAACAGAAAAAGAAGTGAAAGAATACAGTTAAGGTCAGAAAAGAGAGGGGGAAGAAGCTGAAGCATGCTATCAGAATCTCACTATGTTTTAGATATATAAGTGCTATATGACTATGTTAACTCTAACAAAATGGATACATATTGTATTCTTGGTTGTGGACACCTTTATTCTTAACAAATCTTTTAAATGCCTTCCTAAAGTCCTGGGATGTCTACTGTTTTGGGCTGCTTAGCATGCTTTTTTTATTCATCTCCCCAGGAACAGATAATACACCCCTGAATACAGAGGAGGATGTATGATTCAGTTCTGGCCACGTATTATCCCTGCCCAGAGTTTTACATAGGACGGCTATGTAAAATAATCTTGGCTGGTTACTATTGTTTTCCAGAATTGTTCTTATACACTGTAGCAGAGAAAATATTCTTGCTTTTTAAGTTGCAGAGCTAGGATGTGAATATGAAGCTACCCCTTCAGTGATAGCCTCCACTACGTGCAAAGAACCTGAGTACATAAGGAAAAAATTAATCTAAACAGTCAAACAGAGATGAGGAGACAGAAAGAAGAAATTGAAGAAAGAAGAAGAGGCAGAGAAGAAAAAGGAGGAATAAGAGGAGGAGAAGTGGGGAAGGAAAGAAAGACAGGGAGAGACTAAGAAAGATTCAGGCAACACATTTTCTCTCTCCTTATAAGTTCCAGAGCCAGTAGTTTTTTTCTCTGCCTGGGAAACCATCAGTAGTCTCACAACAAATTATCTTCTTATGCTTAAACTCACTTAATTGGGGTTGATATCACTTGACCAAAACACCCTGAATGAGTCCAATGTACCCAACTTAGAAAGTTACTGATTTAGTTTCATGTGTAGGCTCTGGCAATTGGTTACGAAGATTCTTGTGCCACCAGTAGACAAAACAAAGCAAAAAGAGAGAAGAAAAGAAAAAAGTAACATAGATCTTACCACAGGAAAAGAGGTAGAATATAAATCAGATCCTCTTAATTAGATTTAAAAAAAATATAAAAGCTTGCCCTCTAGACAAACTAATTCTAAATCTTTTGTGATGGGAAGGAGGTATTTTATAAAGCACATTAAACCACTTTTATTTTCTGTCTCATACTCAGCACTCACTAGGCGCCTATCACCTGCCTTGAAAATAATTGCATAATAAAATGTTTCTTTACAGGACTATTCCTACCTTTTCATACTTTTTCTATAATGTACTGTGTAATCTAGTAAGAGCTATATTGTTTCAAGATTCAACAAAACAAATTTCTCCAAATACTTTTTTTTATTATAGTTTAAGTTCTACGGTACATGTCCACAATGTGCGGGTTTGTTACATATGTAAACGTATGCCATGTGGCTGTGCTGCATCCATTAACTCGTCATTTACATTAGGTATATCTCCTAATGCTATCCCTTCCCCCTCCCCCCACCCCACGATAGGCCCTGGTGTGTGATGTTCCCCTTCCTGTGTCCAGGTGTTCTCATTGTTCAATTCCCACCAATAAGTGAGAACATACGGTGTTTGGTTTTCTGTCCTTGTGATAATTTGCTGAGAATGATGGTTTCCAGCTTCATCCATGTCCCTACAAAGGACATGAACTCATCATTTTTATGGCTGCATAGTATTCCATGGTGTATATGTGCCACATTTTCTTAATCCGGTCTATCATTGATGGACATTTGTGTTGGTTCCAAGTCTTTTCTACTGTGAATAGTGCCACAATAAACATATGTGTGCATGTGTCTTTATAGCAGCATGAATTATAATCCTATGGATATACACCCAGTAACGGGCTGGCTGGGTCAAATGATATTTCTAGTTCAAGATCCTTGAGAAATCACCACACTGTCTTCCACAATGGTTGAACTAGTTTACAGTCCCACCAACAGTGTAAAACTGCTCCTATTTCTCCACGTCCTCTCCAGCACCTTTTGTTTCCTGACTTTTTAATGATCGCCATTCTAACTGGTGTGAGATGGTATCTCACTGTGGTTTTGATTTGCATTTCTCTGATGGCCAGTGATGATGAGCATTTTTTCATGTGTCTTTTGGCTGCATAAATGTCTTCTTTTGAGAAGTATCTGTTCATATCCTTCACCCACTTTTTGATGAGGTTGTTTGTTTTTTTCTTGTAAATTTGTTTGAGTTCTTTGTAGATTCTGGATATTAGCCCTTTGTCAGATGAGTAGATTGCAAAAATTTTCTCCCATTCTGTAGATTACCTGTTCACTCTGATGGTAGTTTCTTTTGCTGTGCAGAAGCTCTTTAGTTTAATGAGATCCCATTTGTCAATTTTGGCTTTTGTTGACATTGCTTTTGGTGTTTTAGACATGAAGTCCTTGCCCATGCCTATGTCCTGAATGGTACTGCCTAGGTTTTCTTCTAGGGTTTTTATGATTTTAGGTCTAAGATTTAAGTCTTTAATCCATCTTGAATTAATTTTTGTATAAGGTGTAAGGAAGGGATCCAGTTTCAGCTTTCTACATATAGCTAGCCTGTTTTCCCAGCACCATTTATTAAATAGGGAATCCTTTCCCCATTTCTTGTTTTTCTCAGGTTTGTCAAAGATCAGATGGTTGTAGATGTGTGGTATTATTTCTGAGGGCTGTGTTCTGTTCCATTGGTCTATATCTCTGTTTTGGTACCAGTACCATGCTATTTTGGTTACTGTAGCCTTGTAGTATAGTTTGAAGTCAGGTAGCGTGATGCCTCCAGATTTGTTCTTTTGGCTAGGATTGTCTTGGCAATGCTGGCTCTTTTCTGGTTCCATATGAACTTTAAAATGTTTTTTTTCCAATTCTGTGAAGAAAGTCATTGGTAGCTTGGTGGGGATGGCATTGAATCTATAAATTACCTTGGGCAGTATGGCCATTTTCACGATATTGATTCTTCCTATCCATGAGCATGGAATGTTCTCCCATTTTTTGTGTCCTCTTTTATTTCCTTGAGCAGTGGTTTGTAGTTGTCCTTGAAGAGGTCCTTCACATTCCTCGTAAGTTGTATTCCTGGGTATTTTATTCTCTTTGAAGCAACTGTGAATGGGAGTTCACTCATGATTTGGCTCTCTCTTTGTCTGTTATTGGTGTATAAGAATGCTTGTGATTTTTGCACATTGATTTTGTATCCTGAGACTTTGCTGAAGTTGCCTATCAGCTTATGGAGATTTTGGGCTGAGACGATGGGGTTTTCTAAATATACAATCATGTAATCTGCAAACAGGGACAATTTGACTTCCTCTTTTCCTAATTGAATACGCTTTATTTCTTTCTCCTGCCTGATTGCCCTGGTCAGAACTTCCAACACTATGTTGAATAGGAGTGGTGAGAGAGGGCATCCCTGTTTTGTGCCAGTTTTCAAAGGGGATCCTTCCAGTTTTTGCCCATTCAGTATGAAATTGGCTGTGGGTTTGTCATAGATAGCTCTTATTATTTTGAGATACGTCCCATCAATACCGAATTTATTGAGAGTTTTTAGCAAGAAGGGATATTGAATTTTGTCAAAGGCCTTTTCTGCAACTATTGAGATAATCATGTCCCCAAATACATTTTTTAAAAGACTAGGTGAAATACTGAAATAGCATGATTTTAAAATACACATCCAGGTCTTTGTCTGGCACAATAAACTAACAGACAAAGGATTTAAGTGTAGTAGAAAATCTTATTGTAAATTATTCTAAAAAGTTGTATAATTTAGCACAACTAAAATGTCACACTTCCTATGATATACAAATGTGAAACTGTAATAAAATTTAGTTGAGCTTTAATAAATTGTTATAATGTTCCTCCAAAGTGCCCCACCCCAAATGACTCAATAGTGTAGCTGTAATTTGAAATAAGCATAAAAATCTCTGATTTATATCCATCAACCAAATCACAGACTCCCAGTTCATTTCAGAACACTCCTTTTTTCCATATGGGTCCCTGAAGTGTCTCAAAACTGCTAATAAAGGGCAGTTCTCTTCTACTGCTGCTACAAACAATGGGTTGTATATCTGGTAATGTCACTGGCTACTGGTTACCATGATTACAACTGCTTCCTACATGAAACTGCTATTGCTAAAAGATTACTTCTATTTATCACTGCATCTCAGACATGCACAGTTTAATATTTTATCCAAAATTGGACTGAATCTGAAAATTGCTGTAAACTAGGCAGAATCATTAGTAATTGGCATTACCTTGGGATTTATGACTTTATCAGTTAAAAAATAGCCTTACAGAATAATTTGGACATTTCCATGTAGGCTGTACTAGATAGATCAAACTATGTTTAGACCTCTGCGATACAGCAAAAGTAGTGCTAAGAGGGAAGTTATAGTGTTAAATTCCTACATGAAAAAGACGGAAAGATCGCAAACTAACAACCTGACTTGCACCTGAAGGAACTAAAAAAACAAGAACAAACCACACCCAAAGCTAGCAGAAAAAAATAAATAGCAAAGATCAGAGCAGAACTAAATGAAATTGAGAATAAAATAATACAAAGGATCAATAAAATGAAAGTCAGTTCTTGGAAAAAATAAACAAAATGAATAGACTGCTAACTAGATTAACCAAGAAAAATAGAGAAAATCTCAAATATGCACAATCAGGAATGATAAAGATGACATTATAACTTATACAACAGAAATATAAAAGATTATCAGACTACAGTGAGCACCTCTATGTGCACAAACTGGAAAACCTAGAGAAAATAATAAAATCCTGGAAACATACAACCTCCCAAGATTGAACCAGGAAGAAATAGAAATCCAGAAGAGACCTTTAACAAGAAGTGAAATTCAATCAGTAATAAAAAATTTCCCAATAGAAAAGAGCCCAGGACCTGATGGATTCAGAGCCAAATTCTATCAGATGTACATGGAAAAATTGAAACCAATTGTACTGAAACTGTTTAAAAAAATTGAGGAGGAGGAAGTTCTCCCTAACTCATTCTATAAAGCCAGTATCACCCTGATACCAAAGTCAGGGGAAGGCACAACTAAAAAAGAAAACTACAAACCAATATTCCTGATAAATGTCAATGTAAAAATCCTCAATAAGATACTAGCAAACGAAATATAGCAGGCTATCGAAAAGATAATACAGAACAATCAAACTGGCTTTATTCCAGGGATGCAATGTTGGCTCAGCATATGCAAACGAATAAATGCAATTCTTCAGATAAACAGACCTAAAAAGAAAACCACGTGATAATTTCAATAGACACAGAAAAGTCTTTCATAAAATTAAACATCCCTTTATGTTAAAAGCCCTCACAAAACTAGGCATAGAAGAAACATGTCAAAATAATAAAAGCCGTGTATGAAAAACTCAGCCAACATCATGCTGAATGGAGAAAAGTTGAAAGCATTCCCCCTAAGATCTGAAGCAAGACAAGGATGCCCACTTTCATCGCTCCTACTCCACATAGTACTAGAAGTCCTAGCCCTGGTAATCGGTCAAGAGAAAGAAATAAGAGGCATCCAAATTAGAAAAGACGAAGTCAAATTATCTCTGTTCACTGATAATATGATCTTATACCTAGAATAGCCTAACTTACCCAAAAGACTCTTAGATATGATGGTAAAGTTTCAGGATACAAAATAAATGTAGAAAAATAAGTATCATTTTTATATACTAATAATAATCAAGTTGAGAACTAATTCAAGAACTCAATCTCATTTACAATAGCTCCAGAAAAAAAGAAAGGAATACATTTAACCACAGAATTGAAAGACCTCTGCACAGAGAGCTGCAAAAAAATGATGAAAGAAATCATAGATGACACAAACAAATGAAAAAACATGGACTGGAAGAATCAATATTATTAAAATGATCATACTGTCCAAAGCAATCTACAGATTCAATGCAATTCCTATCAAATTACCAATGCCATTCTTTACAGATTTAGGTAAAAAAAAATCATAAAATTCAAATGGAACCTAAAAAGAGCCTGAATAGCCAAAGCAATAATAAGCAAAAGGAATAAAGGTTGAGATATCCCATTATCTGATTTCAAATTATACTATGAGCATATAGTAACCAGAACCACATGGCACTGGCATAAAAATAGACACATAAGTCAAGGGAAAAGAATAGAGCACAGAAATAAAGCCACATACCTACAGCCAACTGATTTTTGACAAAGTCAACAAAAATGTACACTGAAACATAAATAGTGCTGGAAAAATTGGCTGGCCATACGCAGAAGATTGAAAATGGATTCCTATTTCTCATGATATATAAAAATTAACTCAAGATAGATTAAAGACTTAAATGTAAGACTTGAAAATTTAATAACCCTGAACAAAAACCTAGGAAAAACTATTCTGGACATTGGCCTATGCAAAGAATTTATGACTAAGTCCTCAAAAGGGAACACAACAAAACCAAAAATAAACAAGTGAGACTTAAACTAAAAAGCTTCTGAACAGAAAAGGAAATAATAACAGAGTAAACAGGCAATCTACATAATGTGAGAAAATATTTGCAAACAATGCATCTGATGAAGGGCTAATATGCATAATCTATAAGGAACTCAAACAATTCATCCAGAAAATAACAACTAACCCCTTCAAAAAGTGGGCAAAGGACATTAACAGACATTTTTCAAAAGAATATATACAAGCAGCCAACAAATATATGAAAAAAAAGCTCATCATCATTCATCATCTGAGAAATGTAAATTGAAACCACAAGAAACCATTTCACACCATTTATTATGCCTATTATTAAGGAGTCAAAAAACAACAGTTGGTGAGTATACAGAGAAAAGGGGATGCTTATATGCTGTTGGTAGAAATGTAAATTTGTATAATCACTTTAGAAAACATGGAGATTTCTCAAAGAACTAAAAATAAAACTACCCTTCAATCTAGCAATCCCTCTACTGGGTATCTACCCAACAGAAAAGAAATCGTTTTATCCAAAAGACCCCTACATTTGTATGTTTATCTCGGCACTATTCTCAGTAATAAAGTTATGAAATCAACATAAATGTCTATAAATGTATGATTGGATTAAAATAGTATGTATATATCTAAAACAAAACATTTATATATACAACATTTGTATATATATATATATATATATATATATAAAACGCTTATATGGATGAAACAGGAGACCGTTATTCTCAGTGAAATCACTCAGAAACAGAAAGTAAAAAACCGCATGTTCTTTACTTGAGTGGGAGCTAAACAACGGGTATATATAGACAACAGAATGGAATCATAGATTTTAGAGACTCCAAATTGCGGGAGGGCTGGAGGGGGAGTAAGGAATAAAATACTACTTATTGGGTACAATATATACCGTTCAGATGGTCGGTAGACTAAAATCCCAGATGTTACCACTATGCAATATATCAAGGTAACACAACTGCACTTGTGCGCCTAAGTCCATAAAAATTAAATTAAAAAAATAATTTAAGAAACACTTGATGAGAAAAATAAACACAAATTCAAGTTTTTGCTTGAAAACTTTCAGTCGACACCTACCAGTCGGAATCAGTTGCAGGATCAAATTATTTTTAAAGTGCAGAATGGCTGTCAGAGACCTGGAAGAAAATAACCAAATCCTGGAGCACTCTTTAGAGAACTACTTGTCCGGAGGATGAAAATGTGTGGATAAACAGAGATGTCAGTGATTCAGAGCAAGTCATTCACCATAGGCACTTCTGAGTGTGAAGTCTTTTATACTTTCAGCAAGACATTGTATCTATAATTTCCTTTGTATGTAAACATGAGTGATAGTTGAAAACATATGTTTAAGTAAATCTAAAAGAACTTTTGTACATATATACATATATAACATAAAAGTTCTGTATGATGAGAATATGATGTCTTAATTTAATAGGCACAGTTTTTAAATGTATTTTTCTTCATAAAATAAAGGTGCACCTTGGAACCTATGACATCTTAACAACAAATCAATATAGTAGGATCCCAATTTGATTGGGATCCCTTCTTTGATTTTTCCATTTGGTAATTTAATATTCAGCAAATATTTTAAAAATTATATTACACCAGACACTGTTTTAGGCATGGTGTTATGGCAATAAAAAGAGATTTTACAAACTGCATTTATGAAATTTTTTTAGTTGTTTAAGTATATCATGTTCATTTTTCCTAACGTAGATGCCTCAGCATTAAAGTACATGTTGAAATTTATCCTTCCACTCCATTCGTAATCCTTGTCTGCTCAGGAACACCTGATGGCAAAACATGTTCTTTGTGTTTTTCTGGAAAACTCTTTACAGCCACATGTTCCTACTACCCTAGAATTGATCTAAAGTAAGCAGGGTCAGTGTAATTTTCACAACTAAAATGCCTTTACAAATGTTTACATCAAATTATACCAATTTTCTCACAATAAGCTGCTATCTTGTGATATTATTATAGTATGTATGCATGAAATTAATTGCATCTCTCTGCAAGAAAATATTTGAGAGGTAAGGCATAAGAACAGTAATGCATTTGAAATGTTTATCCTCATTTGTGATCTGGGGATCTGCAATCAGACACATACAGTTCAGTTGTTTGTCCTGTTTATTTTCTTTACCCTATCAAAAAAAAAAATCTAAGAAAGATCCCTGAGAAGTGAACTCAACATAAGTGTTACTATAACATAGAAAATATAATACTATTGAATTCTACACTTGTCTAAATGTAATGTAATGCGAATTCTTGAAAATACCTATTTTTTTTTTTTTTTTTTTTTTTTAAGACAGAGTCTCACTGTTCTCTCTGTTGCCCAGGCTGGAGTGCAGTGGTGCAGTCTCAGCTCACTGCAACCTCTGCCTTCCAGGCTCAAGCGATCCCCCTGCCTCAGCCTCCCAAGTAGCTGGGGACTACAGGTGTGCACCACCACACCTGGCTAATTTTTGTATCTTTAGTAGAGATGGGGTTTCACCATGTTGGACAGGCTGGTCTCAAATTCCTGACCTCAAGTGATCCACACACCCCAGCTTCCCAAAGTGCTGGGATTACAGGCATGAATGACTGCCCTTGGCCACGAAATCTTTAAATAATTTTTAAGAAACATTTATTTAAAAGCCTACAAACCAGGTTGCATATTGTGGTTTTATAAGTTTACAGAATTAAGTTTTACCAAAAGTTCACAACATGAAGTTAAAAAAACAAAAAATGTGTATGAAAAATAGCCATATAAAAAGGCAAAAGTTTTATGTCCTGACAAATAAGAACATTGACCCCTCAATCCCAAGTAATTATGACACAGTTCTATTTTGCTTCTGAGGCAAATTAATTTTATTATAGAGAAAAGTTCTTATTGATTTATTTTTATGTTTTAATTGAATTTTAAATATTCCCAGAGATATAAGAAGATAGTAATGTTGCAGTCTCCTTACTCCCTTAGTTTAGCGAGGTCTGAGTTCTTGTCTTACAACCAAGAAGATTAAGGCATGTGGATGCTGGACAGTGAGTAAGGCAGAGCAGAATTTATTAAGCAACAGAAAAGCTCTCATCAGTGAGAGGGGATCTAAAGAGGGTAGCCAGAAATGGGGCTGAGTTCTGGATCTTTTATGTGGCAGAAAAAAGGAAGTCTTCTGTGGTTCTGCCTTAATGGGTGGGGTAAAGTTCCCCATGTGGGTGTTGCATCTGCACATGCCTGGGCTTGGCCACAGTGACTCCATGTTGGTTATTAACCATGAATGCCTAAAGCAAAACCCATGTGGGACTAAAACTGCAATGCTAATGGCATTATAGTGAGTTCAGGGTCATTTGGGGATGCCCCAATATTTGTCTGTGCCTGTATAAGTGGCTGGAAAATCCCTTCTGGGCAAAAATCCTGTGATAAGAGGAAGTTCTTAACCACATTTTCCTCCTGCTGGCTATTGGGGTAGTGCAGATGCAGTCCCACAGGCATTGCCGTCTTCCAAGACCCTCCCTCTCTATCTGCCTAACCACCAGCACCTACATGCCTCCTCTCTGAGTAACTTATCTCCATTTAAGATGAAATCTGGACGAATCTATTAATTTTTACACTTATTTCATGATGCCAAATACTACAATCCAAGGAAAAATATTTTAGGGAAAAATCAGGGATTCCTATTTCAAGGAACAAATAATAATGTTTAGAACTTTTAGTTTTTCTTCTTGAAGGAATTTCCCACATTTAAAATGTTATTTTCAAAATTATATTTATTTTTAGGCTTATAAGTAGGAGGCTGATAATAAATGATATGCTTTGATATTAATTAACACCCTGACATATTTAAAATTAAAGTGATTACAAGAGCTAAGTGAAGAAAATCAAGGGGCTTGCAGGTGGTTAATTTTAAATTCAAAGAAAGCAATCTCCGCTATTAATTTTTCAGAAATTTTGAACTACCATTGAAGAAAATAAGGATATTCTCAATAGTATACTTAGTATGCCTATTATTTATGTAAGTTTCTCTGAATGCAAAGGGAAAGAAATTTTAGGAAAAAAAATTTGAGAAGAGATGGTGTAGGAGTAAAAGTAAGGCACTTACCATCACCTTAGCCAGAACTCTAGTCCTTTTTCCCCAGTATAGTATGCTTCATTGTTTTTACCTAATTGGACTTTTATAACCACTTCAAAAAATTTATGGGAAGACTTAACAGCAAAAATCAAATTTTATTTCATGAAATTTTATACTTATATGATGACATTCACATTTTATTTAACTCCCTGTATCTTTCCAAAATTAAAAAAAAAAAAGCCTGTGTACCTCTGAGTTAAGGAGTATCCCCTCCAAAACCACACACAAACATTGTTTTCCATCCCGAATAGTTAGCAATGATGCCATCTAATGTCATTAAATTATTTTAAGAATTAAAGAAAAAATGGGGTAAGGATGAATAGAAAAGTATGGTGCTGATAAATAGAAGATAAATTATCTTTACTTACTCACCTCTTAACCATGGGAAGAAGCACAAGAATATGGCACAGGGTGACTTGGAACACTGCTAAAAATCATGTGTGTTATGTTTAAGAGATGTGTTGCACCGTAACAGGATGTACTATTTTCAAGACATAATTAGTATAAGAATTTTTAAGGTAAATAAATTAAAGAGGCAATGTGATAATAAATGGAAAAATACCAGATGGAAGCTTCACTATTTAAAAGTTAAGACTTACCGAACTGCACTCAGACATTTCTTGAATAAAAGGATATATCAATTTAGACAAAATTTTAAAAGAACAAGTGATATAAAATAATTTTATTAAAAATTTTTCTTTCTAAACAGTATGCTAAGGAAGTTCTTTCAAAGGATTAGAACAGAATTATTTTGCTACTGGAAAGTTCTATAACACAGTTTTAATCTTGTTAATTCTTTTACTGTTACTATACTTCTGATACAAAACTTTGAAGCGGTAGTATAAGAAAGATAAAGTTTTTCTTTACTTATTAATGAAAATTGAAATATGTTAAATTTTTTACTTAAAACCTAAAAGGGTATTAACTCAACACTACAAACAAGAATCATGTATCCCAGGAGTATAACAATTTAATTTTAGAAAATTATATTTTATCAAATTAACATGTGGAAGAAGAAAAATATTTTAAAAAGTCAATAGATAATAAAATAATATGAAATTTAAAACCATATTTTTCCATTTTTATAAGATTCTATGTGATTTATTTTTCTTTCAAATAATTTTCTGCAAAAAATTGCTTACTTTTATAGGCAAGAAAATGCTCTTTTAAATTAAAATAATTTGTGTGTCTTCTATTTCATTAAATATTGTTATGTAATATTATGAAGTATATCGAACATACAGAAATTTAAAAGGCTAAGGAGATAGCTGTAATTGAGGCAATAAACTTTAACCATTATATAGCATATTTTGATATATGAAATTCTAGTTCTTCTTCTCTACTAGGTACTGAAACCAATGGCCTAGCAGAGCTAAAAGTCTCTTCTGAATTGACCTTAACTTTTCTTTTCTTGTATTATTTCTTTATGCCTTAATTGCCTAACTGCTGGCTGTCTCATACTTGTCTATTGACCCTAATACTTGCTTGCATCAATACAGTTATTACTGATACAAGATGAAGATATTTTTACTTATTGGAATTCCAGTGGGAGATGAAAAACTAATCCAGTCCAACAGATTCCATTTCCTTTGTCAATGATGACAGTCCGGAGAGAATGCACTCCACTTACCTGGCTGATCTTACCGGGAAAAGTCACAAGGTGGGATTTTGAAATTCAAGTGTAATCATTGAAAATGATTGACAGGCATGAGTTCTAAGTGAGACTTCCTCTGCTAGTTTTCATAGAAATTATAAATACATGACATATGTGGTGACAGTAGACTTAAGGGAGAGCTGAAATTTGGCTTCTAGTTGGGAATGTAGTTGATCTCTAAATAACACACATAGCTACAGGGGAGAGACAGAGAAAAATAAGGTAGATGTTACAGATATTGAGGGGAAGAGTGTTGTAATAGTTGAGTCTGTGAAGTGAGGGCCTCAAGCCAAGTTTCTTTAAATTACTGACAACATATAAACCCAAGTGATGGGCGTTTCATTTTACTGAGAGTGATTTCACAGGCTCTTAATCTGCATTTGCTCAAACCTTAATTTAAATGACAGTGTTTTCCTAAACATATTTTTTGCTGTTATTTTTATTTTTTGTATTTTTTTATTTTATATTCTTGTGGGTACATAGGAGGTGTATATATTTATGCAGTACATGAGATATTTTGATACAGGCATACAATGTGTAATAATCACATCAGGGTAAACGAGGTATCCATCACCTCCAATATTTATCCCTTCTTTGTGCTGCAAACAATCCAGTTACACTCTTTTAATTATTTTTAAATGTACAGTAAATTACTGTTGACTTTAGTTACCCTATTGTGCTATCAAATACTAGATCTTATTCATTCTAACTATATTTTTGCACCCATTAACATAACACTGTTTCTAATGAATCTTTCTCCAATATGCTTTACAGTGTATCTTGTCTCAGGAATTCATTACGTGTTAACAGCAACTCTTTCTGCTTGTTAAATGCCTTGCCTCTCCAAAAGTTGAGAATTACATTCTGCTCAAAGAGAATTTTGTTTGTTATTTTGGTTTATCAGAAAATGCCAATTGAAGCTACGCATTTTGCCATATGTCAGTTTCTTCAGACCCCTGCTCATGGTGTAAAGGATTGGGGGATATATATGCAACGTGTTAATAGAAGAACTGATTTCTTAGAAGACCAATTACAAAAGAATCTGTTACTAAGTAGAAGCAGATAAGTTTCACGTCACTCTACAGTGGCTAATAAATATCTGTTGTATTACATTTAAGTTGAAGGAATTGTTTCTCTATATCACATTAAATTTAGTGGAGCCTACACATACCAGGATTGTAGAAAATCAATGCTGAGTCATTGTGGGGAAGAGAACCCCTTTTCCTCTCTTTCAAACAAAGAAACCTAAGGATCTTGGGGAAAGTCCTCAGGACTCCAGTCCATTGTAGACTTGGAATTGCTTACTTTCCAAAATACATCGTTGATTAGAAGCAGATTGTGCTGTCTATATTATATATTCCGTCTCTGCCAGTATCTCCCCGAAAGCTCTCAAATATTTTTTTACGTAGTATAGTCTCCCACTTTGAGGCACCGCTCCATCTTGGGGAGCAAACATGTTCCTATGACCATTCTTGGGAGCAGAGCAGATGTCCACCCCTCACTCTGTCTTTGTCCCTTGGGTCTCAGGAAACATAACTATCTAGTTCTTCCCTTTTCTTTCAGACACTTTTTTCATTTTTGGACAAACTACCTGCTTTCGTGAGGCTAGCTTTTGAAAAATACAGCCGCTTGCTAATCATCCCTTAGAAAACAGAGTCCAAACATGGAAAGCTGGGCGAAAGACAAGTATTCTTGTATATTATCCTGTTGCACTATTAAAAAATATATCCTCTGAGTAGAGTAGCTCAGGTTTTACTCTTTTTTTATTATTTATTTTTAATTAATTTATTTTTTTTTTGAGACGGTGAGCTGTCGCCCAGGCTGGAGTGCAGTGGCCTTGGCTCACCGCAAGCTCTGCCTCCCGGGTTCACGCCATTCTCCTGTCTCAGCCTCCCAAGCAGCTGGGACTACAGGCCCCGGCTACCACGCCCCACTAATTTTTTTTTTTATTTTTTTATTTTTAGTAGAGATGGGGTTTCACCGTGTTAGCCAGGATGATCTCGATCTCCTGACCCCGTGATCCGCACCCCCTCGGACTCCCAAAGTGCTAGGATTACAGGTCAGGTTTTATTCTTTAACCCTTCTTCGTTCACCAATCATACAACACCGTGTCCTGTCAGGTGGCTGCTAAATCTTCTTGAATCTATCTACTCCTCTGATTTTCTCAGTTAACTATCCTGCATCAAAATGTCTTATCTTTCCCCAGGACTACTGCAAGGCATCTACGTGTGTCTACTCTTGTTCTGCTCAAATTCCTTTTTCTGAAAGGGAGATAATTATAAAATATCAATCAAATTATGACCACAGGCCCACCTTCCAACACATTCATTGTTTCAGCTCTTTCCATGGCTTCTCATTTCTCTGAGAATAAAATCCAACACTGTGATCTATAGTATCCTGGAGGGTTTGACCCATCTCTCACACTCCAACTACATTTTGCACCAAACATTCATGTTGCTGAATATTGATATCTGCATTCAGCAACATTGTTATTATGCACTCTTTCCTTGGATCTTGATACCCGTGCCTTCCAAAATGTCCTCCAGTCCCTTTACCCCATAACACTCATACTGTGGGCTCTTTCACCTGTTGACCTGTGTACTTAAAAGCCACTTTCCTTGTCACCTATCCTACTCCTTCAAATCTCAGTTCAATCAACGCTTGCTCAGAAAATCTTCCCTGACCTTTTTTCAATATTCAATTCTTCATATTGTAATTACTCTTTTACAGAATATATCAGCATTTATTTTAAAAATTATTTTTAATATACTGGTTGATGTCTTCAGACAGAAAGCAATTTCCATGAAAGCAGGGCTCTGTTAGGTTTTTGTTGTTTTGTTTGGTTTTGCTGCTATGAAATACAGTGTCTAGCATTTTGTGGGTGGTGAGTAAATATTTATTAAAGATAATGGTCACAAATTTATAAAGTATGGTAGATATTTGGGTGATTATTTGCAGTTACAGTTGTAATTTCTTCATTTTTTTCTGGAGCTGGAGTGTGGAGTGGTGTGAAGTAAGTAAAAAGCAAAACAAGTAGTTACACATTATAGCAGAAGTCCTACAGAATATTGTTAAGGTTTACTATCCTTGGTATATGGAAAATAAACCTCATTTTAAATATAATTTATATATTAAATATACTTTGTTTCAAACTGAAAAATAAATAAGACATTTGTGGCCTGGATCTTACCAAAAAGATTAACAATGGTTATGTCTTTTTCCACATAAGGAAAGTAAGAACTTATTTTATGTTTTAAGCTCATAACTCTTATTAAATATTGGTAATTAATACACTAATGAAAAATTATGTCTGGTTTCTAAGGTTATAATATTGGAAGACAACCACCTTCAAAGAGAATTTGAACCTATTCTAACTGATTTTACCTTGAAATAACTATGCACTAAAAAGAAATCAGAATCTTACTTGAACTTGAGCTACTCAGGTCAAACTTGAGCTACTCAGATACTGTTTAAATTGTACTCTGAGACTCACAACTCATTGTGGAGAAAAAAATCTAACCACCACACAGCCAAGCCATGGCTCAAAAAAAGAAAAGCCATTAATAAAGAAGTCATTAATATTATCATCTGTCACACCAAAGGAAGAGGGTACTTAGGCCATGAATATATTCTGATACGGAAAACTAGGTTGGAAAACTGAGGATTGATAATTGATGATAACCTATCCTCTGTTCACCATATTCAATAAATAGGTTTAATTTTTTTAATAGGGTACACAATTTGTCTAATTCATGTGGGCAGCTAAGGAGATTGATTATAAGTGTGTAGGGTCTGGAGTCAGTCAGACAACCGGGGGTTGAAACCTGGTTTCTAGAGTACGTTATGTGAGGCAACTGAAGCATCCTTAATAATTCCCAGTTTTTTCTTTTAAAAATGCGTAAAACAGCATTTCCCACTTCAGAGGGAATTTAAATGAAAAAAATGCATGCTGAGTGCTTAGCATAATGTTTGTCACAAGGTATATATTCAGTAAATTGTAATTACTATTATTGTTGTAAATTATACACTAATATAATTAGGTTAATCTACAAATAATTTTGCAACAGCTGAAGAAACCTAACTGTAAATAGCACTCTTCTAATATTTTGATGAGTATTTGTCTATTGGAAAAAATGGATTTTGCAGAATAAAATAAAAATAAGACACTATTAAATATAACATTAAATTGGCAGGAGTTTAAATATTTTGCCTATAAATTTTACCCTTCCATATAAAATAGCTTTCTAAAATAGTGTGTAGAAAAATTATTCATGTTATTGAACTTACAAATATTTAGAATAGAAAATATTGAATAATTAAAAAATATAATAGAAAAATATCTCATATAAAATCTTGGTTCAAATTCTGTTGATACAATTTACAGCTTGTTTGGGTTAATTTATATTTGAATATTATATGGTTTTAATTTTATTGTTAATTTTTCAGTATGAAAAATGGATAGGACATTAACAAAAACTATTTTATCCTTTGCATTACAAAATGTAAGAACAAAGTTTAACATAAGAAAGGTTTGATTTTATACACTCTTATAAAGCTCTTTATTTTTCCTTTTTTAAAAACTTTACACTTTTAATTATTTTCTAAGTATTTTTCTTTCCAATAGATTTTAAACTCTTCAAGGACAAGGTCACAAGTATCTTAACCAGCAATATGCAACAGTTACACAATATATAATTGTGTGTTGAATAAATATTTATTGAATGACTAATAAGTGAATAAATGAATTAACAAGTGCACAATATTTATTTGCTCATTTGGTAGCTTATATCTATTTGATAAATTTAATTGCCAATTGCAGGATGTGGTTATGCAAAGGGGAGCATGAGGTGGCCATAAAGTAGGTTCAAATCAATTTGTCAGATCTCCATTTTTTTTTTGAGACGGAGTCTTGCCCTATTGCCCAGGCTGGAGTGCAGTGGCAGCGATCTTGGCTCACTGCAACCTCCACCTCCCGGGTTCACGCCATTCTCCTGCCTCAGCCTCCTGAGTAACTGGGACTACAGGTGCCCACCACCATGCTCGGCTAATTTTTTTGTATTTTTAGTAGAGACGGGGTTTCACCGTGTTAGCCAGGATGGTCTCGATCTCCTGACCTCATGATCTGCCCGCCTTGGCCTCCCATTACAGGCATGAGCCACCGCGTCCAGCCCAGATCTCCATTTAGTCTGATTTTACATGTTTAGAGATAATTTTTAAAATAAACTCATTAATATCTTAATCAAATTACAATTTCAAATTCACTGTTAACTTATGCTGAAGCACCCATGTTTAGTAATTTAGGTTCGTGTTTTTAGGCTGATTTGTCATAATACAATCTAAAACCATATGCCATGGCCGGGAGCAGTGTCTCACACCTGTAATCCCAGCACTTTGGGAGGCCAAGGTGGGTGGATCACCTGAGGTCAAGAGTTGGATGGCAGCCTGGCCGACATGGCGAAACCCCGTCTCCACTAAAAATACAAAATTAGCCAGGCGTGGTAGCATGTGCCTGTAATCCCAGCTAATCGGAGGCTGAGGCAGGAGAATCGCTTGAACCTGGGAGGCGGAGGCTGCAGTGAGCTGAAATTGCACCACTTCACTCCAGCATGGGTGAAAGAGCGAAACTCCATCTCAAAAAAGAAAACTTGTAATTCTCTGGCTCTTAAATGCTGGCAATTTTATTAGTTCCCTACTATTGTTTCCAAAAAAAAAAAAAATCCAATATTTGTTTATGAAAGGAAAGAAAAAATATAAAAACTGGAAAGTCATTTCTCCATTTCCATATAAGCATTGGTTATTAACTAAATGCCAACTTGAGACACCTACTATAAACAGAGCTGTGTAAATGAAGGCATTTTTCATTTCTCTTTCTACATATAATTCAAATAGAAGAATGCAAGACAGAAATTCAAACTTCAATTTTAACAAAACAAGAAACTATGTCTATAACATTTTTAAGAGCTGTTGAAACTCAGTATTTTCATGCAAATGCCATCCTTGAAGAAACATGAGTTGAGTAAAGCAAGAGTTTAATGGGAGTCATTGCCAACTTCAAACACAATTACTAAGTTGTGGGTCACACTCTGAGATGCAAATGGGTGAAAACTGAGACAATTGGGTGATGCTTGAAAACCCTTTGTTTTGATTTCAGAGAGAAAAAAAGGGCCAGAGATATTAAAAAAAAAATAAGACTTTTAACTACACACCTCCTTATGTCTTTTATATTTGGGTCATGTTAGTATCTGCCAATAAGTTTGAAAAAATATACTGTTTATTCTAAAAGCTTGGCCAGTCTCATCTTCCTCATTCTCAGTGGAGCAAAATCATTTGTACATTTCTATGTTTTCATTAATTTATGATCTCCTTTAAGATAAGAATAATGTGCTATTATCCATATGAATACTTATTAATGCATTGCATGGCACAAACATCTTATACATTTAAATGCCTGGCACAAACGTCTTGCATATTTAAAATGCATATGTAAGACACTGTGACCTACTTTAGAGGGAAGGCTTGGAGGAACATGAGGGTCTAAAAACTACCTGTCAGGTACTATACTCACTACCTGGGTGATGAAGTCACCAAACTCAAGTGACATCCAATTTACCCATGTAACAAACCTGCACATGTACCCCATGAATCTAAAATAAAAGATGACAGAAGAAAAATATATTTACATTTTATTGAATTAAGTTGAACTAATCGGTTGTCTTCATAAACAGGCTTCCCTTAATGCTGTGTGTCTTCATTTTCTCTTAGCACTCTCTCAAAGTAAACCAAAAATGTCTCCAAATATGTCATGTCTGAAACTATCATTCTTTCTCTGAACCCAAATATTCAATATGCCTTTATTGTTTTATGCTCTAAACTTAAATATACCACACTTGCTGACATAGTTATATAATAAATTTTTATGTAAAATTTCTGAAGCAAAGGGTATATGGATACATAATTTTAGCAGTATGATAGTTATTATGATAGTTATTAAAGTATAGATATGTATTAGGGCTATTATCTGTCATTATTTTAATTGCCTTGATTTACATATATGAGTACAGACATTCTGTCCTCCTCCAATGAGTACAGACATTCTGTCCTCCTCCAATTCTCTAAAATATTATTTATTTTAGATCTACAGTTAAAATTAATGACTTTTAAAAGTGCTTATATTAGAAGAGCCAAACTTTTGTTTCTCTCACTAGCATTTAAATGTATAAACAATACAAAACAAAACATAATAAATGACTCTAGAAATTCTGATGCGATTGTTTCCCACTTGTGGAAACCAGACTCCTACCAAGCTGCTTCTACGTTAGGACTGTGTGTATAGCCTCTTTCTTTGTTTGGACATATTGTAAATTCTCAGGACACCACAAAAAGCCATATTAAATATAAATATATAAAGCATATCATAAAACCAATTTAAATGAGTTTTACTTATGTAACTTTAGGGATTTATAGAACCACTTGTTTCTTTTAATGAGTTGGAAGAACTAAGATTTCACTAGACTCAAGATAGAAATAAGGGCCAACCAATCTGATAAGGGCAAAAGTAGAGGTCTTCCTGAGTTTGTCTCCAGATATATACCATTTAATTCAAGCAGATTTAAGAGTCATTTGAACTCAAGTCAAGATGAAAAGTAGAATTTATCAAGTACTGGCCTTCTGATTCTAAGTACAGAGACCTATCAATGTCTGTCTCTTGGCTACCCTTTTTGTAATAAATGTAGGCTTGACGTATAATGAAAACCAGCTGAGTAGTTTAAGGTACAGATGACTTCTTTTCTTCTTATTCCAACTAAGATTGGTTTTACTCTTCATAATCTCTCACAGCTGCCAAAAATCCATTTTATCTTTGCATGAGGTGAAGTTTCCATTAACAACTATTAGAGTAGCAGAGGTCAGACATCCAGTGTCAGATGTGCTACTAAAAAGAATACTGAACAAAGAGTTTACCAAAAGGGTGTACAAATCAGTTCAGAATCTTTATAACTTATAAAAAGGCTTTACGCTTTCATATTTTCTCTTGCTTTTATGGTTCACAAGATAATTTCAGAAGAAAAAATAAAGGGGAATTTATGTATGAACTCAATTATGGTGACTGAAAAAAATTAATAGAGCTGGATCTTGCCTCACAAAATTTTTCCCATTGCACAGCTGATACTTCCAGGCTACAAGCTGCAATGATATCTCTGGATGTAAACAAGGTTAGTGATTTCAACACTCGGTCATATTGGATGACTCTCTGGTTCAACTAATAATAGTCATCAAAGAAGGAAAAACAACTTTGATTTCTTACTTATTGAATTAAAAGCTAAAATAAATGTGAAAAGTAAACTTTAAATATATATATATATATATATATCTTTTATTGAAACTACCATCCATTAGGGGATATATACATAGGTAGACATTATTTCATTGTGTTCATTCTTTTATTCTTTTGTTTATTCTAGCATATTAAATTCTATCCATTTAGTAATATTCATTGAGTGTCTACTACGTATCAGGCCTCCAAATTGGAATTTCTGGGAAATTTTCCAGGATTACTTCTAGAATTAAATTCCTTTTAATTATGATTCATGAACAACTTTTAAAAACAATAATCTTGAAATCATGGCACAAAAATGGCAGCCAAGTGAAAAACAAATGGATAATTATCATATATTGTGATATGTGCTATGGCAGAGACATACAAAGTGTACTGTGGAGACATGTAGGAGGAACGTATAATTTAGACATGAGTTTTGGAGGTCAAATTAGCTTACACCAGCCAGAAAATTACTGTCATGAAGAATAAGCAAGTCTTAAAATGTTAGAAGAGTCTGTTAAGTAAAATGGCAAGAAGAATGGTGTTCTTAGTAAAGAATCACTAATACAAGGGTGTGTGTGTTTATGTATGTGTTTCATAAGAGAAAGAGAGAAACTGAAAGAACCTGACTGGAAGACTGAAGAGCACTGGACTCTAAATAGGAAAAAGTAGTGAGTGAAAGACACAAAGTGAGGAAGTGGGGTCAAATCACAAAGAACCTTTCTTAGCAGTGTAGAGTTTGAAATAGAGTCATAAAGGCAAATTCAAGGATTTGGGGACAGGCTTATGACATAGTCATGTTTGCAATTTAGGGCTCATTGTGGCATAAATGTAGAAGATAATTTGTGGCTTCAGATAGATTACAGAAGATGGTCAAAGAGGCTGTCGTAAGTAACATGGATAAGGAATTAAAACTGTCTGAAGCCAGGCAATGGCAGACAGTGAAATTAAACAAGAAGAGACAATTTGAGAAATATTTAAAGATAAAATCAACAAGAAAGTGACAGAAAATTTTGTGAGGAAACAATTCAA
This sequence comes from Homo sapiens, assembly GCF_000001405.40. NCBI lineage: Eukaryota > Metazoa > Chordata > Mammalia > Primates > Hominidae > Homo > Homo sapiens. Next base: position 126,184,150 of record NC_000004.12, read on the forward strand.
AAATGAGAATCAAAGAGGCTTGTCAATTTTGTGATGAGAACATTCCTCAATGGTGTTGTTATTCATGACATCAGGATATACAAGAGGTTTGGTAAGTAATCAAAGATCAGTCATGCACTCAGCACTAAAATGATGTAGTGGGCAGATTACTTGCTTGACTGCCAGTACTCTCTCTATTTTCTAGTATTTGAAATACAATTCTTTCTTCAAATCCCAACTGAAGTATAGCACATTATTGAAAGCATGCCTGAAATCTTCCCACCACATTCTCAACACGACTCTCTTGTCTTTATCATAGCATTTACCCTGATATGACATGCATCCCAGCTTGTACCATATGCTTGTTTGGACAACTGGATTGTGAGCTTCTTATAGACATAATACTTAAAAATTCATGTTTGAGACTCCACAATGCCTAGCAAAAAAACAAACCTTACGTATCATAAGCACTCAATAACCGTTTTCTGAATTGAACCAAGAAATAATATTCTTCATCGAATTCCTTTAAAATGAAAACAATAGATGCTTTTGGTCCCACAGTTCAGTTGAAGGGAAGGTCATTTCTTGCCAGCAGGCTATGACTGACTTTAATTAAATATTTTATACCATCCATCTGCTGCTGTGTACCATGTCTTTTAAAACACAGGAAGCATTAATCTGCAGATGAATGGTATAAAATATTTTTACCATATTTTCTTCAGTTACAAGTAGAATATATGTGAACCATAATATTTTCTGCTCCATTCTAGAATCATAGAAGAATGCACAGTATCAATAGACACCTACAGTGAGAGTAATAATATGCATATGGTGCATTATAACATCCTTATGCTAGTTTCAAAAACTGAGAAAATAAAAAATAAAAAGTAGAGAATGTTATGACTTAAATAATACAAGCATGAGCATTAAGTCAGGTCTTTAAAGGAAATATTTCACATGTGGGAAACATAAGTGAAAGCATTATGTGTTTCACTGTGCAGTAACCTCTTATCCTCCTTCATTTGGTTGACCTGTATCATAGCACTGTGGGTGTCCAATATTGCTCTCTAGATTGGAGTGACTGGAGGAAGGGAAGGCAGGCAATGTGTGAAGCAGGCAGCAACCTGTACTAAAGTCGAGGAAACAGGAATGGTGCAGCTCTTGCCATAACCTATGGTATAAGTGTTCATTGTTCCAGTTGTTAGAGTGGTTGATAAACACAGAATTGTCTAAAAAGTATCATGTTCAAACTATGAGAAAGTCGAGTGCAGAAGAGTTGAACAAGAAAACAAGCATGAAATGGCTTTGGAGCTGGAGAATGACCAATTGTCTTCAGTTTACTGTTGATTCTTTCTTTTACTGGCAGGCAGGAGATGGTGGTGGAGATATCTTGGAGAGTTAAATGTACCATGAAAAATGTAGACTGAATCTTCTACCACTTCATCTCCCTACTCACACCTGGCTGGTGATGCTCACTTGGGAACAACTTACTTGTTCTTTATTTTAGTAAGAAGTGAAATGATAGGTTTCTGTTGTGTGATCTGGGATTGATTTAAACTTTTGCAAATAATTTTAACCTGGCAATGAAGAGCTTTCCATAAAACAGCACCTAACATAACTAAGCCCTCTTTTTCCTAAAAGATTCTTTTCTTATTGTTGAAAATTTCTAAAATTTGCCTTTGCGATATCTTAGACCCTTTTCTCATCCTACGGTATTTGGCTATAGAATTTTACCCATATCCATCCTACCAATATCCATCTTTGAGATTTAAATTTGTGTAAGATGAACAAAACATTTGATCTCTTAACTTGAAAAATTGAACGAGAATGTCAAATTTAAGTTTTGTATAACTTGATTTTTAAATGTTTTCCTTGCACATCCAGGCACAACTAAAGTTTTTTTATCTTCCCCATTTAAACAAATTGTAAATTTTTAATAGTCCAAAATACACCTTGTATCCTTACATACATTTATATCTGCATTAATACCACTCAAATTCAAACTGCCACCATTTCTCACCTGGACTATTTGAAAGAGCCTGCAAATTTCCTCTAGCTTTCCTGTATTAGTCAGGGTTCTCTAGAGGGTTCTCTAGGATAGATGTATATATGAAGGGGAGTTTATTAAGGAGTGTTGACTCACAGAACAACTAGGTGAAGTCCCACAGTAGGCCATCTGCAAGCTGAGGAGCAAGGAAGCCAGTCCAAGTCCCAAAACCTCAAAAGTAGGGAAGCCTACAGTGTAGCCTTCAGTCTGTTGTCAAAGGCCTGAGAGGCCCTGACAAACCACTGGTGTAAGTCCAAGAGTCCAAAGGTGAAAAACTTGGAATCAGATGTTCAACATCAGGAAGCATCCAGCATGGGAAAAAGATGAAGGCTGGAAGACTGGTTTTTTCTAGCCGCACTGGCTGCTGATTAGATGGTGCTCACCAAGATTGAAGGTGGGTCTGCCTTTCCCAGTCCACTGACTCAAATGTGAATCTCCTTTAGCAACACCGTCACAGACACACCCAAGTTTAGTACTTTGCATTCTTCAATCCAGTCAAGTTGACACTCAATATTAACCATCACAAGTCCACCTCTTGTCAACTTGAACCCATACACATCTCCTGAAATCATATATAACCTTCAAATAAAGACAATAATGAGGTCAATTATGCCTAACATGGTACAGCTATCCTTTGTACAACCAAAAGTGCACTAATCCTTAATCTAAATGATATTATGTAAAGTTAGCAACACTTAAATGCTGATATGAAGTCAGTAAATCTTATGTCACATGATATAGAAAAAAGAAAGGAAATAAAATGAGGATATTTTCTTATTACAAGTGTATACATGCACAAACATGTTTTTAATAAAATAAGGAAGAAATACTCCTAACAATTACAGTCCTGGTTTCTGCAACTGGTCACATGTTGTAGAAACATCAGGTTGTACCTGGTATTGATGATTACCTACTTCTACTACCCATTTGGTGTTTCCTTTGCCCAAAGCAAGCACCTCAGCAGGTCGTGGGTTTTTTTTGTTGTTGTTGTTTCCTGGTGGAGTGACCCAAACCTTCATTCCTGAAGGGTCTGGGCCATTTGGAGTCCTGCCTGGATTGGGCTGTTGTAGTTTCCCATTGACTTTAATCACAGGGGCATGATAATATGAAGTGATGCCCTAATGGATCTCCTGTATTGCATGCATAGTCTTACTTACCTCAATTGTAAAGTATTAGGCAGATTTCATCATGATACTCTGGGTCAACCACCCCAGGCAACACTGTGACTCCCTTCTCAGCCTGTTGACTTAAGAGGAGGATTGCAAAGTGTCTAGGTGGCAATCTTAACCTCCAGTGTAATGAAATCGTTGTCTCCTGGTGGCAGCATTCCTCCCTCTGGAACAAAGACTTCTAGGCCAGCTGAATGTAATGTTGTGAGAACAGGAGGCAAAAATTTTGTTAGTGGATCACTAGGGGTGATGGTGAGTGGTACCACTTCCACTTCCATCCCTTGATTCCTGGACCCGCAAATCTTGGCTATGGGAGAAACAGTACTATATATTGGACAGTGATTCAGAGCATACATGGTCTTCTGGAGAACTTTGCCCCAGCCCTGAGAAGCATTGTCACCTACTTGGTGTTGTAATTGTGAATTCAAAAGGCCATGCCAGCATTCTATTAATCCAGCTGCTTCAGGATGATGGAGAACATGGTAAGGTCAATGAATTCCATGAGCATGAGTCCACTGCCACACTTCTTTAGCTGTAAAGTGAATGCCTTGGTCAGAGGCAATGCAGTGTGGAATACCATGACGATGGGTAAGGCATTCTGTGAGTCCACAGATGGTAGTCTTGGGAGAAGCTCTGCATGCAGGATAAGCAAACCCGTATCTGGAGTAAGTGTCTAATTCTGGTGAGGACAAACTGCTGCCCATTCCATGATGTGGGAAGTCCAATATAATCACCTGCCACCAAGTAGCTGGCTGATCACCCTGAAGAATGGTGTCATATCTAGGGCTCACTGTTGGTCCCTGCTGCTGGCAAACTGGGCACTCAGCAGTGGCTGTAGTCATACCAGTCTTCTTGAGTGGAAGTCCACGTTGCTGAGCCCATGCACGACTTCCATCTCTTCCATCATAGCCAGTTTGTTCATGGGCCCATTGGGCGGTGACAGGGGTGGCTGGGGAATGAGGCCGAGTGGTATCCACAGAACAGGTCATACTATCCACTTAATTATTAAAACCCTCCTCTGCTGAGGTCACCCGTTGGTGAGCACTCACATAGGATACAAATACCTTCACAGTTTTTGACAACTCAGAGAGGCCCATCCACATACCTCTTCCCCAAATTTCTTTGTCAATAATTTTCCAGTTATGCTTCTTCCAAGTCCCTGACCATACAGCCAAATCATTGGCTATAGCCCATAAGTCAGTACATAATTGCATATCTGGCCTTCTCATCTTCCAAGCAAAGTGTACAACCAATTGTGCTGCTCAAAGTTCTGTCCACTGGGAGGATTTCCCTTCGCCGTTGTCCTTCAGAGATGTCCTAGAAAGGGGCTTTAGTGCTGTAGCTGTCCACTGTCCACTTTTGGAAGGTGCCTGCATATCATGCAGAACCATCTGTAAACCAGTCCCTAGTCTTCTCTTCCTCTGTCAATTGACCACAGGGAATCGGTGCAGGCTGGGTGAGAGAAGGCAGGATGTCAGGAGTGAAGACCATAAGCATTTGAGCCACTTCTTTTCGTAACTTACTTGTGCGTTAGAACCTGCTCGAACAATCATGAATATATCACTTCCATTTGATGATGGAATGCTGCTGTGCACACCCCAGTTTATGGCTAGATGGGCCAGAAAGCACCCAGTTCATGATAGTCAGCTCAGGTCACGTGGTGACTTCATGACCCATAGTCAAACATTCTGTTTCTACCAAAGCCCAGTAAAAGGCCAAGAGCTTTCTCTCAAAAGGAGAGTAGTTATCTGCAGAAGATGTCAGTGCCTTGCTCCAAAATCCTAGAGGCCTCCACTGTGATTCACCTATGGGGCTCTGCCAAAGACCTCAACCAGCATCTTTATCTGCCACTGACACCTCAAGCACCAGTGGATTTGCTGGGTCATATGGCCCAAGTGGCAGAGCAGCTTGCACAGCAGCCTGGACCTGTTGCAGAGCCTTCTCTTGTTCTGGACCCCACTCAAAATTGGCAGCCTTTTGAGTCACTCGATAAATGGGCCAGAGTAACACACCCAAATAAGGACTGTGTTGCCTCCAAAATCAAATAGCCCACTAAGTGTTGTGCCTCTTTCTTGGTTGTAGAAGGGGCCAAATGCAGCAACTTATCCTTCACCTTAGAAGGAATATTTCAATAGTCCCCACACCACTGGACCCCTAAAAATGTTACTGAGGTAGAAGTTCCTTGAATCCCTGGCATGTAAACATCTCACCAATAAGTCCAATGTGTTTGCTACTTCTCACTTACTGGATCCAATCAGCATAATGTCATCAATGTAATGAAACGGTGTTATATCTTGTGGAAGGGAAAAGTGAGCAAGATCTCTGTGAACAAGATTATGACACAAAACCAGAGAGTTGATGTACCCCTGAGGTAGGACAGTGAAGGGATATTGCTGGCCTTGCCAGGTGAAGGAAAATTGCTTCTGGTGGGCCTTATGGACATGAATGGAGAAAAAGGCACTTGCCAAATCAATGGCTGCATACCAGGTACCAGGAGGTGTGTTAATTTGCTTAAGCAATGAAATCACATCTGATACAGCAGCTGCGATTGGAATCACAACTTGGTTAAGCTTACAATAATTCAGCATCATTCTCCAAATTCCATCTGTCTTCTGCACAGGCCAAATAGGAGAATTGAACAGGAATGTGGTGGGAATCATGACCCTTGCATCTTTCAAGTCCTTGATGGTGGCATTAATCTCTGCAATCCCGCCAGGGATGCAATATTGTTTCTGACTTACTATTTTTCTAGGTAGAGACAGTTCTAATGGCTTCTATTTGGCCTTTCCCACCATAATAGCCCTTACCCCGCCAGTCAGGGAGCCAATGTGGGGGTTCTTCCAGCTGCTAAGTATGTCTATGCCAATTATTCATTCTGGTACTGGGGAAATTACTACAGGATGAGTCTGGAGACCCAGCGGACCCACTGTAAGTCCTGAGCTAAAACTCCATTAATAACCTGACTTCCATAAGTCCCTGCTTTAACTGGAGGACCACAATGATGTTTTGGGCCCCCTGGAATTAACATCAGCTCAGGGACAGTGTCCACTAGTCCCCAAAAGTTCTGATCATTCCTTTTTCCGCAGTGCACAGTTATCCTGGTAAAAGGCAGGAGGTCTCTTTGGGGAAGGATGGGAGAAAGGGTAACAGTATAAATTGCTGGTACTGTAGTGGGGTCTTTCCTCAAGGGGACCCAGTGTCCCCTTGATTTAAGGGGTTCTGGGTCTGTGAACTGGTCCAAGTCTAGAAACTGAGTGGCCGTGATTCTCTGTAATTCAAATTAGTTTTTTTGTCCACTTTACCCAGGAGATTTTCTGCTTATACAAATTAAGTAAGAATGCAGTAGTCTTCCTACCAATTTTACTTCTATGAATACTGTGATTCATTAGCCAATGACAGAGCTCTACATGAGTCAAACTATTCTGATTGCTGCTTTGTCTCTGCTGTACATTAGGATAACTATACCCACCTGGCCTTTGATGGTTGAGTGCTGCCACTTGTTCCCCACCACTTCGGGATCCAGTTAGTCCCATTGCATTTAAGTTCTTCAATTGTGTGACTGCAGTTCCCACTGTAAGATCTGGCATATAGAGAAGAGCAATTACAGAGCTTTTCAAGGATGTAGGTGCTCCCCTCACAAATATGTTTTGCAAGGTATTGGTGAAGGGTATGTCTTCTGGGCCCTCCCAGCTGTCATCTACTTTAGCATTCCTATCTCCCTAAGCCTTTGGATCCCTTCCTCTACATTAAACCAAGGAAGATCAGGCATTTTCAGCTCACTCATAGTGGGCCATCTTTTGATCCATGTTTCAGCTAACCAAGAAAAGAAATTATTAGAACCTTGTTTTTTGAGATGGAGTTTCACTCTTGTTGCCCAACTGGAGTGCAATGGTGCCATCTCGGCTTACCACAACCTCCACCTTCCAGGTTCAAGCGATTCTCCTGCCTCAGCCTCCTGAGTAGCTGGGATTACAGGCATGTGCTACCACGCCTGCCTAATTTTTGTATTTTTAGTAGAGATGGGGTTTCTCCATGTGGGTCAGGCTGGTCTCGAACTCCTGACCTCAGGTGATCCACCTGCCCCGGCCTCCCAAGTGCTGGGATTACAGGTGTCAGCCACCGCGTCTGGCCAAAATCTTTTTTTTTTTACTCCCTAAACTGCAACATTAAATGTAGAATCCCTGCTTAGTGGGCCAATATTAATAAATTCAGCCTTCTCCAACTTTATGCTCCTTCCACCATTATCCCTCACCCGTAATATCCGTTCCTATGCCTGTTCTCCAGATTTCTACTTATATAAATTAGAAAACCCTAGCAGTTCATTTGGAGTGCAGTGCACTTCCTCATGTGTCACACTCTGAATCTCACCTTTAGGGGCCTGTCATGACTTGAGTCTAGTTATAGGTCTAGATGAAAACAGAGGTGTTGGGTGTGGGTTTTGAGAAGGATCAGCATTGTCTGGCCTGGCAACTGCCTCAGGGGAGGTCAACCCTGTTGCCTCAGGCAGTACATGGTTAATCTCCTCAGACAAAGGTGGAAAGGCTGATGGCAGTGTGGGTAGGAGAGGGGATGTTGCCACCACTGGAAGTGAGGAGACTGTTTCCTCTGGCCAAAAAAAAAAAAAAACCTTATCAGAATTTAGGAGCTTATTGTCCCCAGCCTCATTAGGGTTTTACCACATGTCCCCATTCCAAGTTGCAGAGTCCCATTTTTTTTCCAATCAATGCCTTCACTTTAATAGTAGACACCTGACAAGGCTGAGCATGCACCTTTTGTTGCAGGTCAGTCACTCATATAAAAAGAGCTTGTGTCTGATTTTCCACAATTTTAGTCCTTTATCTACAGGAGATAAGACTCTCTCACTCAGGACAATCTTAGAAGATTTGAGGCTTAGTATGTGCTTCTGAGGCCAGGAATTAAGAGTCCCCGAGCTCATTATTTTCCTTCATCACTTTGAAACTGCCTTTGCAAAAATTATAACTGAAAACATTTTGTCAGTGAAAGAAATCAGACCTAACTGAGGCCATCTTCCTTCTAACCTCTAAACTGTCTTTGTTCACTCCATAGTGTAGGCCGAACTAGCCTTGGGGAGGAATTTCATTTAGTTCAAACTCTGAAACAAAATGGATAATAGCCCTTTCCTGAAAAATCCCTTCTTGCCTGGGGACCAGTCTGCTTTGTAGGACTAACAAACTAGCTACAAGATTAGAAATTAAAGTTTAGGGGCCATGCAGCCTCTGGCTGCAAGAGTCTGAACCTCCCCAAAATTCCCGGGAGTAACATCACTATTTAAGATCAGTGTTTGAGATATTTTGCAGACCCTGCATTCCGATGCTGCAGATGACACCACCCAGACCGATAATCCAGCTCAACCAGTTCTGCGATCCCACCCAGGAACAGAAGCAAGCAAAAAGAACTCACTTCGACCCCAACCAATCAATAAGCCCTACTTTCTGAGCCCATACCCGCCAAATGATCCTTCAACACTCTGATCCCTGAATGCTCAGGGAGACTGATTTGAGTGATAATAAAACTCTGGTCTCCCACACAGCCAGCTCTGTGTGAATTACTCTTTCTCCATTGCAATTCCTCTGTCTTGATAAGTCAGTTCTTTCTAGGCAGCGGGAAAGGTGAACCCATTGGGCGGTTACAACTTTATCCAGCAAACTTAGGAGCAACCAACCAACTTCATTACATTCCTTGGTTCTCCACATATGGTCAAAGGTACTATGTGCAGAGTCACTAATTCCTTGCTTCTCAAGAGCGGTGAATCAGGAGTAGCAATGTATTTATTTTGCATACTATACAGTTCACCCCAAAGAGTATCAGTGTTCTTTATACTATTAGAAGTAGAGTTCTTAGCATTTGGGGGTCTCATCAAATTAAGCAGCCAACTCCATAAACCCCAAAACCAACTAAAGAAATCCATCCTTAAAATTCTGTAACCACTAGAATCACTCCTAGTACCAAAATTGGCATTAGTCAGCGTTCTCTAGAGGGACAGAACTAATAGGAGAGATGTATAGATTAGGGGAGTTTACTAAGGAGTATTGACCCATGCGATCACATGGTGAAGTCCCACAGTAGGACATCTGCAAGCTGAGGAGCAAGGAAACCAGTCCAAGTCTCAAAACCTCAAAAGTAGGGAAGCTGACAGTACAGTCTTCAGTCCGTGGCCAAAAGCCCAAAAGCCCATGGCAAACCACTGGTATTTAAGTCCAAGAGTGCAAAAGCTGAAGAACTTGGAGTTCAGTGTTCAAAGGCAGGAAGCATCCAGCACAGGAGAAAGATGAAGGCTTGGAAGCCTCAGCAAGTTTGCTCTTTCCACCTTCTGCCTGCTTTTTTCTAGCTGTGCTGGCAGTTGATTAGATGATGCCCACCAAGACTGAGGGTGGGTCTGCCTTTCCCAGTCCACTCACTCAAATGTTAATCTCCTTTGGCAACACCCTCACAGACACACCCAGGAACAATACTTTGAACCCTTCAATCCAATCAGCTTGACACTCAATATTAACCATCACATTTCCCTTTTACCTGGCTATATCCACATCTCTTTATTTTCCTTATAACAGTAAAAATGAAAATTGAAAATGATAAATCATATGTTGTCACTATTCTGTTTATAATTCTTTAGTTTCTTTATATCTCTTTACATTTAAAATTATTTTGAATCAAATACCCCCAGTTCATTCTACTTGGTCATTGAGTACCCACCACACTGGGCTTATATCAGCTCATAGGACACTCCACACTCTTTTCAGCTCATAAATTTTGTAAATGCTTTTTGCACATGTTATTTTTCTTGCCTAGAATGTGCTCTTCCTACTCTTTTTTTTGTTTGTTTTGAATATAGAATTCCAAAAACTTCTTTATTTTTCCATGATATACTGTAAACATCATTTACATATAAAACATTTTAATGAATATATTGCATTTGCTGTTTGGACATGACATAATTTATTTAACCAGTCTAATGTTGATGTACATTGTTGTTCCTTATTTCTTACCATTGCAGTAATTTTACTGCAGTTAACATTTGAATGTATTTTTCATAGAATGAATTCCCACAAATCCAATTGCTGTGTCAAAGCATATGGCCTTTTTTTTTTTTTAATTATACTTTAAATTCTAGGGTACATGTGTACAACATGCAGGTTTGTTACCTATGTATACATGTGCCATACTGGTGTGCTGCACCCATTAACTTGTCATTTATGTTAGGTATATCTCCTAATGCTATCCCTCCCTGCTCCCTCCATCCAACAACAGGCCCTGGTGTGTGATGTTCCCCTTCCTATGTCCAAGTGTTCTCATTGTTCAATTCCCACCTATGAGTGAGAACATGCAGTGTTTGGTTTTTTGTCCTTGCAATAGTTTGCTTATTTGCTAATTTTTCCATATTCTTTAAGTTACCATTAAAACCCTGTTCCCTCTCAAACAGGTTTTGGAAAGAGATCATAGAAAATTAATGCCACCCTCTACCATTATTTCCCCTCAGAACACTCATTTGTTTTACTTCATAGAAATTCTTTTTATATGTTTATTGTATCGTTATTTATTTAATGTCAATCTCTTTTGCTTAACTGTAGGATCCATAATAGTAGGAACTCTTCTGTTGTTCTGTTTTGTTGGTATCCCAGAACTTTGCCCAATGTCTTAACATTAAAAGAGAGCCATAATCGTTTGAAGAATAATGATCTAATTTTATGTGTTTTTATATGTCTAAAGGCTATAAATTTCCTTAATCACTTCAGGAAACACTGCAACCAAGATTATAGATTACAGAATATTGTTTAAAAGTTGTTGCAAAACACATTGCTTTCATTTAGTTATTTGTATTTTCCCTTGCTGATTAGCAGAAACGTTTTGGTTTTGTTTTCTTCCTTAATGTTTAATCTCCATGTGCACTTAAGAAGATAGGGGAAATTACACTGTAAGTGTTACCAAATTTTTTTTTTAAGCATGACATCTATCATGTCTGCATTAATGACATACTAATCACTATAAGTATTGGAGTGCTGAAAGAACACACAAGTCTCAAACAGTTTTTACTCCTAGATCTTTTTTATTACAGGCAAAGGGCAGAAAATAGCAAAACAAAGGAAAGTTATACACTGAAATATTTCCTGACATCTCAGGTGCAGCTGGTCCTCCCACACTGGGCCAGATAAAACAGGAAGCATATTGCCATCTGCTCTTGAACCATCAGCAAAAGACCTTGGTGCCAGGACAGCTAAGACAACTTTTGGTGAGAATATTTATGGTGAACTGGTCATGCAGACACATTGTATCTATGTTCCCAGTCCTAACTGTTGAACTTCTCCAACTCCAAGTCTCCATGAAAACCAAGTGGTAATCATAATTATTATTATTACTAAACAATACTGACAAACTAGAAATCATTAGTTTCATGGCTTCAAGGTTTGGACAAAATCAGTAACTCTGGAGAAAAGCATGAAATCAATACAGGGTACCCAAAACCCATACTGTGCAAATGCAAATAGAACATAGAGCATGCATAATATTTTACAGTTCTTCCATGCAATACCACATTTAAGCATTACACAAATAAGAGGAAGGTACTATACTTTCCATTACATTACAGAAGTGAATATTGAACTAAGAAAGATTAGGGGATTACTCAGAATCAAATTGTACTAGCTCATTCTCATATTGCTATAAAAAACTACCTGAGACTTGATAATTTACAGAGAAAAGAAGTTTAATTGGCTCACAGTTCCACAGGCTGTAGAGGAGGCATGGTTGGGGAGGCCTTGGGAAACATATAATCATGGCAGAAGGTGATGTGGAAGCAAGCACGTCTTCCATGGCAGCAACACACCGAAAGTAAAGGGGAAAGTTCTACCCATTTTTAAGCAATCAGATCTCATGAGAACTCACTACCACGAGAACAGCAAGAGAGATAATCTGCTCCCATGTTCCAGTCACCTCCCACCAGGCCCATTCCCCAACACTGAGGATTACAATTCAGCATGAGTTTTGGGTGGGGACACAGAACCAAACCATATCACAAATAATCAGCAAACAATAGCCCTGGAAATAAAACTCATGTATTTAGATGTTAAGTCCAGATGATTTTTCTATTTCAACAAAACTGACTGAAGCAATCCACTTTCTCTAGATTTTTCTGAAAGAGCTTTTAAAAAGTTGATAAAATAGTAGAGTTGACTGTTGTCAGCATTGACATTTATTATGCATCTTTCTCTTATTTATAATCTGTAACTTGTGACAATTTATCCTATAAATCCTAAAAATTTTATATGTCCCCCTATTTCTATTGTCCTTATAGTAAATGTGAATAATTAATTTGAAGTCATTCATCAATTCATGATCTTCATATATGTCCAAGCTCTTTAGTTTATCTAGGGCCCACTTTTCAATTTTTGTTATTGTTGCAATTGCTTTTGAGGAACTAGCAAAAAATTCTTTTCCAGGGCTGATATTCAGAAGAGTTTTTCCTAGATTTTCTTTTAGGATTTTTATAACTTGAAGTCTTACATTTAAACCTTTAATCTATCTTGATTTGATTTTTTGTATATGGTGAAAAGTAGAAGTTCAGTTTCAGTCTTCTGCATATGGCTAGCCAGTTATTTCATGACTGTTTATTGAATAGAAAGTCTTTTCCCCATTGTTTGTTTTTGTGTGACTTGTTGAAGATCAGATGGTTGTAGGTATGTGGCTTTATTTCTGAGTTTTCTATTCTGTTCCATTGATCTGTGTGTCTTTTTTTTTCCCCCCAGTACCACGCTGTTTTGGTTTCTGTAGCCTTATGGTATAATTTGAAGTTGGATATTGTGATGTGTCTGGCTTTGGTCTTTTTGCTTAGAATTCCTTTGGCTATTCAAAATCTTATTTGGTTCCATATGAATTTTAGAATTATTTTTTCTAATTCTATGACAATTGTCATTGATAATTTGATAGAAATAGCATTGACTGAGTAAATTGCTTTGGGCAGTATGGGCATTTTAATGATCTTAGTTCTTCCTATTCATGAGAATGAATTATTTATTTATTTGTGTCATCTCTGATTTCTTTCAGCAGTGGTTTGCGTTTTTTGTAGACATCTTTCACCTCCATGGTTAGATATATTCTTAAGTATTTTATTTTCTTTGTGGCTATTGAAAATGGGATTGTGTTCTTGATTTTACTCTCAGCCTGCATGCTCTTGAAATAGAAATGTTACATATTTTGTACACTGATTTTGTATCCTGTAACCTTGCTACAGTCATGTATCAGTTCTTGTAGTTTTTTTGCAGAATCTTTAGGGTTTTTGAGGTATAGAATCATATCATTAGCAAAGAGAGTTAGTTTGCCTTGTTTTTATTCTACTTGGATTGTTTTTATTTCTCTCTTTGGCCTGATTGCTCTGTTTTGGACTTCCAGAACTATATCAAATAGGGATGGTGAGAATGGGCATCCTTTTCTTGTTCCAGTTCTCAAGGGGAATTTTTCAACATTTTGCCCATTCATTATGATGTTGGCTGTGGGTTTGTCATATATGGCTCTTATTATTTTGAGGCATTTTCCTTTGATGACTACTCTGTTGAGGGTAAAAGGAACTGAGTTTGATGGGTCTTTAGTGTGAGATCTTAGGTGTATCTGGCTAGAAGTTAGGCTGTGTTTACTGTTTGTTGTAATTGTAGTGTCAGTGGCTAAATTTTTCTCTGGTGTCCATCTTTGTCCCCTTTACTGTCTTTGAGTTTTACTAGAGACTGCTACAATAGCATCTGAGGATTACAATACTTTACCTATAATCCTGTGTTTTACCACCACAAGCCCTAGCATGTGGTGGTAGTTGTGGAGAGAGGGGAAGCACTTATAGACTTATGATTGGTTCTTGGTCTTTTATTGAGCCTGAGTTGGACATTTCCCTTTCCTCGTATTAAAGATTAGAGGAAGCTACAGTTCTCTCCCTTCTCCAGATTGGTTAGGCTTTGGCAAAACCCCAGTTGGTAAGGCTTTGATAAAATAGGTTTCCTTGAGTGCATGCCTTATTAAGAAGAACAGAGTGTTCTTGTCTTATTTCAAATGGTTAGTTTTTCTCTTTCCTGCTGGAAGCAAAGGGGATTTTTCTCAGATCTTCATAGTTAGAACCTGGTAGGGCTCCTGGAAATAAAACTAAAGAAAGTGTTGAGGATCTCCCCAAGTCTGGCTTCCCTTTAATCTAGTGCACACTAACTAAGCCTTTAGCAACTTGTCAATGACAGTTTAATATGATCCTACCAATCCTGATTTCAGCTGTGGGCTTTTGTTCCTCTGCTTTTTTTGCTAATAAGCTGTAATTCTGTACATTCAACCATCTGTCTCTCCAGTTTTGGTGGTAGTCATTCGCAATTCTATAATGAATCTAAAAAGAGTTTTTTACTTTGTAGTTTGTACAATCTTTTCATGTTCAGAAGATGACTACTTCTAAGTTTTTTACATATTGGACCAGAAATAACTTCAGGTGTTACTTAAAAGTAACTGCTCACAGCAATTATTCACTGTACTTCATTGTTGCAGGACCTTTGGCAAATCAAAACTAGGCTCTGGCTAAATGGAAAATAATGCAGCATAGGATCAAGAATAAAAGAAGCAAAAGATAACTACTTCCTGGCTGACTGAATATTAAACCTTCTGAATATAATAGTAAATTCATAGAGGTCTTAATTTACCTATTCAAATAATAGTAATTTTTTCCTACTTGTCATTAGTTTCTTCCTGTAATATGAATTATTCTCTATCTTTTTTTAAATAGGTTATTTGCTGTTCCCTTTGTGGGCCAATTTACACCTTTTGGGAGTAGACACAGATAATTTCAGAATGATTTAGGAACCAGCTGGATACATTAACTTGCCATGTATTTTCTCTGCCTATGAAGAGAACATCTGCTAGATATGCTGGAATGGAGTATGCTTTTGTCTTCACAATGAATCAGATGTCTTCTTGTATTTCCATTCTAAAGAGAAAATGTTGCTATGGTGCTTTTAAAAAATCCAACCTGTAAGTAACAATTTGTTAACACACCCTGGCAGAATTACATTTTATTTTAGGGTCTTGAATGGAATGTATTATCACTGCACAAAGAGTTTAGGGAAAACAAAATGAGCTGAGATCATGACTGCCATGGTCTTCTTTAGGTTGTTAAATCTCCTACTGGGAAAACACAAGAAATATTAATAATTTGACAGGAACTGTCAGGGTTCTATGGTGGTCTTATGCCAAGCAGGCTTAGTGATATTTGAAGGAAAGTAATCATAAATACACTAGAGAAAGGCCTAACTAGAAAACTGTTTTCATTTTATAGTAGCTCTTTTAACAATTAAAAACAATATACTTGCTATCAGCTAAGATAATAATTTTTAATACAAAAATACTGATGATTACGTTTCATTCAAATGGTAATATATTAAAATTATATACGAATCTATTATATGTACTTAATTTTATCTCTATCTGTCTTACCCTGTCCTTAGTTGAAGCTACCACTATTCCTTCTTTGATACATTGAAATAATCTCCTAATGAATCTCTCCAAATCTATTCTGTCCCTCTTAGATCACTCATTCACACACTAAATGGGTGGACCTTTTCAAAAATCATATTTGATGTTCATACCCACTGTTTAGAACACACTGACTTTCTATCACTCCTCTTATAAAGACCTACAGAGCTCTGCATGCCCTGGCCCCTAGCCATCTCTCAGCTCTCTGGTTCTCTGTGCTCACTATCACTCACGTCTTTCCTCTCTTCCTACACATTTGGCTTATACCACTAGGTGGTCTCCGGCATGTTGATTCCGCTGTTTGACCCCTGTTTCTTCCCGATTGTCCTTAGTTAACTCCCACTCACCCCCCAAAATAGCATTTATTGTTACACCTCTTCTCCTTCAGCATCAGGTCAGGTTGCATCAGCAAGGCGCACCAGGTGCTGCAGGTGGGGAGGGCAGCTCCAGGTGCTGGCTCAGGAACTGGCTCTGTAGGAGGCCTCCGCTAGGCCACACCACAAGCAGCTTCTGCGGTGGGCACCAACATCTGGACGAGGGGAATATGGTGGCACTCACTCGAAAACTTAAAGACACCAGCAACCATGGAGCGTCAAGGAATTGGGGTACGTGTACTACAGCTGTGTCCGGAATTGGTGGGTTTCTGGTCTCACTGACTTCACGAATGAAGCCGCGGACCCTCGCGGTGAGTGTTACAGCTCTTAAGGTGGCGCGTCTGGAGTTTGTTCCTTCTGATGTTCGGATGTGTTCGGAGTTTCTTCCTTCTGGTGGGTTCGTGGTCTCGCTGGCTCAGGAGTGAAGCTGCAGACCTTCGCGGTGAGTGTCACAGCTCTTAAGGCAGCGCGTCTGGAGTTGTTGGTTCCTCCCGGTGGGCTCGTGGTCTCGCTGGCTTCAGGAGTGAAGCTGCAGACCTTCCCGGGGAGTGTTACAGCTCATAAAAGCAGCGTGGACCCAAAGAGTGAGCAGTAGCAAGATTTATTGCAAAGAGCGAAAGAACAAAGCTTCCACAGTGTGGAAGGGGACCCCAGCAGCTTGCCACTGCTGGCTCGGGCAGCTTGCTTTTATTCTCTTATCTTGCCCTACCCACATACTGCTGATTGGTAGAGCTGAGTGGTCTGTTTTGACAGGGCGCTGATTGGTGCGTTTACAATCTGTGAGCTAGACACAAAGGTTCTCTACATCCCCACCAGATTAGCTAGATACAGTGTCCACACAAAGTTTCTCCAAGGCCCCACCAGAGTAGCTAGATACAAGTGTCCATTGGTGCATTCACAAACCCTGAGCTAGACACAGGGTGCTGATTGGTGTATTTACAATCCCTGAGCTAGACATAAAGGTTTTCCACGTGCCCACCAGACTCAGGAGCCCAGCTGGCTTCACCCAGTGGATCCCGCACCGGGGCTGCAGGTGGAGCTGCCGGCCAGTCCCTCGCCGTGCGCCTGCACTCCTCAGCCCTTGGGTGGTCGATGGGACTGGGCGCCCTGGAGCAGGCGGCGGCGCTCATCGGGGAGGCTCAGGCCGCACAGGAGCCCACGGAGGGAGTGGGAGGCTCAGGAATGGCGGGCTGCCTGTCCCGAGCCCTGCCCGGCGGGACGGCAGTTAAGGCCCAGCGAGAAATCGAGCGCCCCGCCGGTGGGCTGGAAGTGCTGGGGGACCCAGTACACCCTCCGCAGCTGCTGGCCTGGGTGGTAAGTCCCTCACTGCCCGGGGCAGCAGGGCCGGCCGGCTGCTCCGAGTGCGGGGCCCGCCAAGCCCACGCCCACCCGGAACTCCAGCTGGCCCGCAAGGGCCGCGCGCAGCCCCGGTTCCCGCTAGCGCCTCTCCCTCCACACCTCCCTGCAAGCCGAGGGAGCCGGCTCCGGCCTTGGCCAGCCCTGAAAGGGGCTCCCAGGGTGCAGCGGTGGGCTGAAGGGCTCCTCAAGTGCCGCCAAAGTGGGAGCCCAGGCAGAGGAGGCGCCGAGAGCAAGCAAGGGCTGTGAGGACTGCCAACACGCTGTCACCTCTCACAGCTTTCTTGTTTCTACCCCCCACAGCTTGGCTGACAGAGTGGGGCATGTTCTCCGCTTGTGCAGTCCCACTGCCTTGTTCCGGCCTGTGTCTGCCAGGCTGATCCAGCTCTGCTGCTGCTTCCCCTCATGTGGGGTAGCCATGCCACGCCGGCAGAGGATGAGCGGGCTATAGGGTTACAGCTCTGGCTCAGGAAATCCCAAGGTCTGGACCCCTGGAAGTGTCGCCACTCTACACTCCCACAGGCCAATGAACGGGAATGTATTACTGCCCACAGCTTTGTGAGCCATCCACGAATGCATTATAGCCCTTTTTGCTCCCACTCACAGCTAGGTGAGCCAGCCATGAAAGTGTTACAGCTCTTTTCACGCCCACTGTTTGGCAGGTCCCGAGTTCTTGTACCACGTCCAGGAAGAATGGGGTTATGCAGACACCTGAAGAATGAGCAAGGTGAAGAGTTTTACTTAGCAACAGAACAGTTCTCTGCAGACAGGATACCTGAAGTGGATAGCTCCTGGTGCTTTTATGGTCTCAGAATAGAGGAAGTGCATGTTGATTGGTCCATGGGCAAGAGGAAGTGCATGCTAATTGGAACATAGACCTGTCTGAAAAAATTACCATTTGATTGGCTGAAAGCCATCAAGGAAGTTTGCACTCCCAGTTGTGGATTCTACCTAGAATTGACAGCCCAGTTTTCAGGCTTCAGGCTGTCTTTGGCTTGAAGGTCGGGTTTCAGTGGGGACCTGCCCCATCTGCCCAGGAATTTGTCTGCCTCCTGCCCCCTATCAAGATCTTCCATGAAACATTGTCAGTTGCCCATACCTTTTCTCTGTAGAACTCACCACTAGTGACTATCATGCCATGACAATAACATTCACTGAACAGATGCATTTGAATCTTATTTGACATTTAATTGAAGAAGGCATGCATGTGGTGACAAATATATTCCAGGTACATTTTACATGAATGGAGATGCACAGGCATACATTAAGACAGAGAGAGAAAGATTGAAAGAGTAATGTAGAACTGACACCTCCCTAATCAATGATACTTTTTCAATAAGTCAAAATATATGTTAGTGTTCATACTGAAATGCAGATGTGCTTTATTGTGTTGGTATGTGATACAATACCATGATTATGTATCTCCTTTCACATTTGCTGTAAAAATTAATACAGTTGATCTGCATTATTCAGATTCTGTATTTGCAATTTGTCTTCTCCCTACAATTTATTTGTAGTCCCCAAATTATTAATTCCTGTATTTTTATGTCATTCCAGACATATGCAGAGCTGCAAAAAATTGAGTCCCTCAACATATATATTCCAAGCTAAGATTGAACAAGAAGACCCTCTGCGTATTAGTCTGCTTTCATGCTGCTGATAAAAACATACCCAAGACTAAGCAATTTAGAAAAGAAAGGTTTAATTGGATTTACAGTTCCACATGGCTGGGGAGGCCTCACAATCATGGTGGAAGGCAAGGAGGAGCAAATCACATCTTACGTGGATGGCGGCAGACATAAGAGAGCTTGTGCAGGGCCACTCCCATTTTTAAAACCATCAAATCTTATGAGACTGATTCACTATCACAAGAACAGCGCAGGAAAGATCCATCCCCATAATTCAATCACCTCCTACTGAGTTCCTCCCACAACACATAGGAATTGTGGGAGTTACAATTCAAGACGAGATTTGGGTGGGGATACATCAAAACCATATCACTCCACCTTCTTGTTTTAGATCTCATACAGAGATGACCAGAGAATAAAAATGGTCGAGGGCAGGGCAATGTAGTGCAAGAAGCTCTTGCTCTGGGACCAGTTGGAGCAGGTGTAAAATCCAACTCTGGTACCTGTAGTGGAATGGCCTCAGGCAAGTGATTTAATACTGTCAACTTGCTTTTCTCTTTTGAAAAATAAAGAATATATATATACACACACATACATATGTGTGTGTGTTGTATAAATGCAATATCACATTATTACACACACAAAGAATATGTGTGTGTGTGTGTGTATCTCCAATGCAGGATCAATACACATACACACACATCTGTTTCTCTTGGGATCAATGGTTAAGTATTAAGTAATTCAGTGTTTCTAGTGCATCCTAGAATAAAACTAACATGAATAATGAAATGACTTTATGCTGAAAATAAATATAAATTAAAATTCATTGGTCTCTGAAACATATAGTCTATTGGCCATAGGTTGGAAAATGATGATTTTAACAAAGACTTTAAAATTTAAATTAATTTGTATCCAGGGAAATTAAAATAATTTTCTGAAGTCACACAGCTACACATCCAGATAATATATCTATAACTCAGATATTCTGATTCTTTCAGAATGCTAAATTTTTACCATATTACACAGACTCGTGTGTGTGTGTGTGTTTCAGTTTCTCTCTGTGTCTCCAGTCATTCTGTCTCTATCTCTCTCTTCAAGAAAGTGATATCCAAAATAAGAAATGAATAAAGAGAGAAAGGAAATTAGAGTATAGAAACCAGTATATGAGGTAAAGTTGTCTATAATGGTGGGATCTTTGGTTTCTTATTCTCTCAAAGTCCTGTTTGCTTTTGTACAAAGTGAAGATAATAGCATCTACCCTGAAAGGTTTTTGTTGTGAGTTTCAAATAGGAATGATTTGCAATTTAATCCAAATTTTCAAATGGTACTGGAGAAAGTCAGAGGTAAATTAATCTCCTGTACATGACTTACTTTCAAAATATAAGCAGGAACAATTTTTGAGTTGAATAGAATTTAAAATCCAGTAACTAATGTTGCAAAATTATCAGACCTGACAAAGTTTTCTAAGAAAGAAATTGATGTTACAAGTCAAAATTTAAAATTTATTGCCTAGTTATTTTGTTTTGCTTTTAACATGCTGTCTTTAATTGAAAAGTAAATATTTACTAACTAGTTTATTTTTTTTATTAAATTTTAACTACTGGGATACATGTACAGAACGTGCAGGTTTGTTACATAGGTATACACATGCCATGGTGGTTTGCTACACCTGTCAACCTGTCACCTACATTAGGTATTTCTCCTAATGCTATCCCTCCCCTAGCCCCCCACCCCATGACAGGCCTCAGTGTGTGATGTTCCCCTCCCTGTGCCCATGTGTTCTCATTGTTCAACTCCCACTTATGAGTGAGAACATGTGGTGTTTGGTTTTCTGTTCCTGTGTTAGTTTGCTGAGAATGATGGTTTCCAGCTTCATCCATGTCCATACAAACAACATGAACTCATCCTTTGTTATGGCTGCATATTATTCCGTGGTGTATATATGCCACATTTTCTTTATCCAGTCTATCATTGATGGGCATTTGAGTTAGTTCCAAGTCGTTGCTATTGTGAACAGTGCCGCAATAAACATATGTGTGCATGTGTCTTTATAGTAGAAAGATTTATAATCCTTTGGGTATATACCCAGTAATGGAATTGCTGGGTCAAATGGTATTTCTGGTTCTAGATCCTTGAGGAATTGCCACATTGTCTTCCACAAAGGTTGAACTAACTTACACTCCCACCAATAGTATGAAAGTTTGCTATTTCTCCACATCCTCCCCAGCATCTGTTGTTTCCTGATTTTTTAATGATCGCCATTCTAACTGGCATGAGATGGTATCTCTTTGTGGTTTTGATTTGCATTTCTTTAATGACCAGTGATGATGAGTTTTTTTCATATATTTGTTGGCTGCATAAATGTGTTCTTTTGAGAAGTGTCTGTTCATATCCTTCACCCACTTTTTGATGGGGTTGTTTATTTTTTTACTTGTAAATTTGTTTAAGTTCTTTGTAGATTCTGGACATTAGCCCTTTGTCAGAAGGGTAGATTGCAAAAATTTTTTCCCGTTCTGTAGGTTGCCTATTCCCTCTGATGATAGTTTCTTTTGCTGCACAGAAGCTCTTTAGTTTAATTAGATCTCATTTGTCAATTTTGGCTTTTGTTGCCATTGCTTTTGGTGTTTTAGTCATGAAGTCTTTGCCCATGCCTACGTCCCGAATGGTTTTGCCTAGGTTTTCTTCTAGGGTTTTTATGATTTTAGATCTTACATTTAAGTCTTTAATCCATCTTGAGTTAATTTTTGTATAAGGTGTAAGGAAGGGGTCCAGTTTCAGTTTTCTTCATATGGCTAGCCAGTTTTCCCATCACAATTTATTAAATAGGGAATCCTTTCCCCATTGCTTGTTTTTGTCAGGTTTGTCAAACAACAGATTGTTGTAGATGTGTGACATTATTTCTGAGGCCTCTGTTCTGTTTCTTTGGTCTATATCTCTGTTTTGGTACCAGTACCATGCTGTTTTGGTTACTGTAGACTTGTAGTATAGTTTGAAGTCAGGTAGCATAATGCCTCCAGCTTTATTCTCTTTTCTTTGGATTGTCATGGCTATACAGGCTCTTTTTTGGTTCCATATGAAATTTAGAGTATTTTTTTCTAATTCTGTGAAGAAAGTCAATGGTAGCTTGATGGGGATAGCATTGAATCTATAAATTACTTTGGGCAGTATGGCCATTTTCACGATATTGATTCTTCCTATCCATGAGCATGGAATGTTTTTCCATTTGTTTGTGTCCTCTCTTATTTCATTGAGCAGTGGCTTGTAGTTATCCTTGAAGAGGTTCTTTACATCCCTTGTAAGTTGGATTCCTAGGTATTTTATTCTCTTTGTAGCAATTGTGAATGCGAGTTCACTCATGATTTGGCTTTCTGTTTTTTTATTATTGGTGTATAGAAATGCTTGTGATTTTTGCACATTGATTTTGTATCCTGAGACTGCTGAAGTTGCTTATCAGCTTAAGGAGATTTTGCACTGAGATGATGGGGTTTTCGAAAAATACAATCATGACATCCACAAACAGAGACAATTTGACTTCCTCTCTTCCTATTTGGATACCTTTATTTCTTTCTCTTGCCTGACTGCCCTGGCCAGAACTTCCAATACTATGTTGAATAGGAGTGGTAAGGGAAGGCATACTTGTCTTGTGCCAGTGTTCAAAGGGAATGCTTTCAGCTTTTGCCAATTCAGTATGATATTGGGTGTGGGTTTGTCATAAATAGCTCTTATTATTTTGAGATATGTTCCATCAATACCTAGTTTATTGAGAGTTTTTAGTATGAAGGGGTATTGAATTTTATCGAAGGCCTTTTCTGCATCCATGAGATAATCACATGGTTTTTGTCACTGGTTCTGTTTATGTGATGGATTACATTTATTGATTTGTGTGTGTTGAACCAGCCTTGCATCCTAGGGATGAAGCTGACTTCATCATGGTGAATAAGCTTTTTAATGTGTTGCTGGATTTGGTTTGCCAGTATTTTTTTTACATCAATGTTCATCAGAGATAATGGCCTGAAATTTTCTTTTTTTTGTTGTGTCTCTGCCAGGTTTTGGTATCAGAATGATGCTGGCCTCATAAAATGAGTTAGGGAGGAGTCCATCTTTCTCTATTGTTTGGAATAGTTTCAGAAGGAATGGTACCAAGTCCTCTTTGTTCCTCTGGTAGAATTCGGCTGTGAGTCCATCTGGTCCTAGGCATTTTTTGGTTGGTAGCCTATTAATTACTGCCTCAATTTCAGAACTTGTAATTGTTTTATTCAGGGATTCGACTTCTTCCTGGTTTAGTCTTGGGAGACTGTATGTATCCAGGAATTTATCAATTTCTTCTAGATTTTCTAGTTTATTTGCACCAGTAACCAGTTTTTCTACTTCTAAAAAGCTATTTTAAGAATCCTCTAGTGAAAAGCTGAAATTCACTTTTGACCAATTTTCTTCTATTATGGTGGTTAAAATAAGAAATGTTATGGTGGAGACTCTTACTTACCCACCTCCACTTCCATAATCTTTAGCTGAGTACGTGGCTGCCTGCAAACAGAGACTACACTACACAGCCTCTCTTGCAGCTAGTTGCAACATCAAATAAAAGTTCTGGTCATGGGATTCAATAGAAATATTATAAGACATCTTCTGGGAAATCTTAAATAGTTGATGCAGATCTTCTACCTCCTCTCCTCTCTTTCCAACCTCCCTGAAAGTGAAACCTGGAGCCACAGTCAGCTTCATGACAGTTAAGCAGTATGATCACACCGAACCCTATGCTTAGAAGGGATCCATACTTGATTTATTGCTCCACTGTAGGCTTCTTGAAACTTTTAATAATTTTCTTTCAACTTGTGTTTTGTAAGTGAAGTCCTCTGGGACAACGGAGCATGTGCTCGAGCAGAAGAGATACATGCAACATGTGTTTCAGACATCCCTCACTTCCTCATATATAGCATTCTGGGTGCCTCATGAGGTCAGAATTACAGTGGATAATGTGTGAGAGTTTCTCAAGAGACAAAGTGAGTACAGAGTAAACATGTTATATTATGTTCAATTGAATAAGCAGGAAATACTGTTAGTTTCAGAAGGCCACAGTATCTAAGGAAAAAATTAGCTCAAATCCAGGGAGAAGTAAATAGCATTCTAAGAGACAAAAAGGACTAAAGAGTCCTATCATGTCCTTTTCTACTTGTGTTACTTCTCTGTATCATTAGTCAACCACTTTGCTGAAAATCATCGTTCTTCCTCCTTTCAGTCTTTCCTGATTCATTAGTAAGCTAAATGTAGAGAATATTATTAGATCGTGTGCATATAAAAATGAAATAAAAACATTTGAGTCAGTTTCATGTAGTGTTTCCACTGCTCTGCATATCTGAACTATGAAATATGAATCATGTAATTTTGGTGAGTTAAACATATGAATTAAATGTTTTTTATATTTGCACTTAAAACTACCATCATAAGTGTAAACAGGGAATGGCAAAATTTATGCTAATAACTTAACATTTTAACTTTTCTTTACATAGAAGAACATTAAGAGCAAAGACAAACAAGCAAACAAAAAAACATTCTAACAAGCTAAGAAAAAATCTGGCTGAGGATGGTGGCTCACACCTGTAATCTTAGCATTTTGTGAGGTGGAGTGCGTGGATCACTTGAGTTTAGCAGTTTGAGACCAGCCTGGGCAACACAGTGAAATCCCCTCTCTATGAAAAATACAAAAATTAGCCGGGGCATACCTGTACTCCTACCTACTTGTGAGGCTGAGGTGGGAGGATCGCTTGAGCATGGGTGGTTGAGGCTGCAGTGAGACGTGACTGCAGCACTGCACTCCAACCTGGGTGACAAAGCAAGATCCTTTGTAAAAAGAAAAAATAAAAGAATAGAAAAGATAAGGAAAAAATCTTCAGAAAGAGAAGTAGCTTTATATCTTAGTACGTTTAAATCCATCCTTTTCTTGATTTTTTAAAGAGGAGTGCAGTATTTTCATTTTACACTGCACTCTGAAAAGTAAAGTGCTGGCCCTGCATGGAAGGGATGACTAGAACTCATCCTTAGTTCATGAGACTGAGGGCCAGACCTTAAAAACGGCAGAAAGGAAAGCTGGAAATACGCTGGGTCCCGTATGACTGCCAAGAATTATAAGCCAGCCATGAGCTGTTCACATCCAGATTTCTCAGAATGAAAAATAAACTTCCATCATGCTTAACTAGCCATTTAGGGAAGGTTCTGTTATTCACAGCCCCACCTAATCCTAACTCATACAAGCTTGGAATTGGAGAAAAGGAATTTTAAAAGGAGCAGATTTCACTGTCATGCATTTTTCATTACAGACACTACCCTAAGGACACAAAAAGATATTATTTAACAGAAAAATGGTCACAGAAATAAGTGACCATATTCATGATGAGTCTCATGTGACTCACTGATCTGTTGGTCATTTGTTTATTTCTTGATTTACAAAATCTAAATGGCCCTAGACAAAGAGATTTGCTTGAATGTATATTCTCTAATTTCAGTACATTTGTATTGGCTCCTTTTTTTTTTCAGAGACAGATAGTTTCTGTACTATTTGAATATATTCAAAACATAGGAAAAGTCATTACAAAAATAGAGTGACACCTAAGGTATTGCCCTTAGTGTTAAAAAAAATTGTCTAGTGTGGAGACAGGCAGGAGAACACCTAATAACACATGCGAAGCAGAATGGAATAGTTTTTAATCTAGTGATGCAACAACATGCCTTAGGAATAATTGCTTACAAACAAAGAAATCTAGGAAATTATGTAGGTCAGTTGCATTAAAGCTGAGAATTATTAAGATCAATGTGATAGCACAAGAAAAGGAAAAATAAATAGAATTTTCAGACTAAGTGAAATGATATATAGACGTGATATTCAACAACAAGGGCAAGTCTGGTCATATTTATGCAGGTGTATTTATTCTGATTTATATAAGCAATGTTTTCTATACACCCACTACAATAGGTTACTAATTGACCTTAGTATAGAAAGTAGGGGAATTTGGAAATTGGAATATTTGGAAAAGGTAAAATATCTGCCTAGGAATAGAAGTGAATATAATAAGCTAAACATTTCAGATGTTATTTTGGTCATAAAGAAATGATCATTAAAATGCAATAAATAACAATACTAAACAAGGTGGAGAGGCTCTGCAGTAGTGTCCTCTCCTGATCCTTTAAAGAAAGGCTATGATCAATAAGGTTAAAGATAACTCTCAAGAGTTATTGAAAATAGATTAAGGGAAAAACGGGAAGGATTTAAATCAATTAGGCATGTATGGATATGAAATGAAATGACAGTGAGTTAGCTTACATTGCAAAGGAAATAAAATTGTGAGAATTTAAAATAACAGAATATATTTTAAAATAAATGTAAGTTTAGGAGAGTAAGTATATTAATGTATTGATTATGAAATTCTCTCTCCTGAAATATGCTTTAAATCCTACCTTAAACTGAGTGATCAAAATTGTTCTCTAAAGAAATAAATCATCAGTTGGTGAATAATGAGTTAGCTTGCAGGATTAATTTATTTTTCCTTAGGATAATTCTTCATAGATGTATTTATTTTCTCAGCTAAAAGTGGATTGCCAAATATGAAATATAGATACAAGTGTATGTTTGTAAATTGGCTTTATTTTGCCATTAAGCTAATGTTAATATTTGTGCTCTATGAATCAGTCAAAATACAAATTAATTCACTTCTGAAAAGTTAATAAGTAGACTCAATGTTTACTTTTACAGTAAATATGTGAGTGAAGAGGGCAAATAGTAACATTTGTTGAGTTCCTAGTATGTGCCTATGGTCACACTTCATGTGTATTATCTCTTTTATTCTCACAAAAGCACCGTGGAGGTATACAGTATCATTGTTTAATAAGCCAAAAAATGGTACCTCAGTAAAGGGAGCTAAGTGCCCAAGATCACATAGCTAGGAAAAAATAATTAAATCTGCTATCTTTATAGTAGACAGAGGGGCTGTAGAAGTACAAGGAGGAGCTCTAGAAGCACACAGCCATCGAAGCAGAGTGAGCAGCACTAATCGTCTGTGAAAGAGTTTGTGATGTCTTTCATGGATAAATTTTGTGAGGATTAAAAAGTTCTTGATATTTCATCTACAACTTTAATCAAGTTTCAATATGCACTACTGACCCTAGCCACCAGTAAGTTCCACATGAAGCCAGTGGAAAAAGAGAGCATAAAGACAGATGGAGTCCTTGGATCCATGCACAACTATTGCCTTATATTCTTTTATATGATCCTTGTAAAAATAGGTCAGCTTAGCTGTCTTACTCAGATGAAAATGTAATAACTATTTACACAATTCATCACTTAAAGAATCTAAATTTAATTTCCGGCTTGGACTTCTGTCTGTAAGAAAAATATGAAAGAAACAGCATACATTATTTACCTCTTGAGAATGACAAGTTATAAAGTAAGATATTTGATATAGGAAGACTAGACATTTCTATAGTTCGTTGTTCCAGTCACTACAGCTGTCATTGGCATCAGTATAGATTGATTTGACAACATGACCAATCTTGCCTATTTATCAATCAACTTGTTTTGAAAAGGTCATAAAAATCACTCAGTTTGTCACTATGTCGCTAGGTATGGAAACATTAATTCTCTTATATAGTTAAAATTTTCTTTAATTGACCTTTAAAGGATGACTAGTTTTGGAAATTCGTGGCTATAATTTCGACTTTTTTTGAAGGGGAGAGAATATTAGAATTAGGGGTTTCACTATGAAGTCTTAAATTATTTAAGGCATCATTCATTGATAACATGTTATGGTGGATTTTGAGGGCTCCTTCCCTTTCAGAGGCCCTTTTCTATCTCTTGCTTACTGAAATTTCGGTGTTTAAGTTTTGTCCTTTCCTTTACTATGGTATAAACTTTTATCCTATAAAAATAGTCTTTGACTGTTGAGATACACACCAATGTAAGTTACTATGTTAGAAATCGCCCCTTTGGAAGAGCCAGCTGAGGTCCGGGTGTACTGGTAGTGAGTAGTTTGACAAACAGGTGAAAAGAACATTTAGAACTTAAGTAAAATTTTAAAAAGTAGAGAAGTAAGAGGTACAGAGTTTTTTGGAATAATATTAAAGGTAGAATTTGTCCGTTTTACAATATTCACAGCATTTCTGCCTTCTTTTAAGAATATAAATCTGTGTAGGCATTCATATTTTGTCTTTTATTTTATTTTAAGAAAGTTAATAGCCTAAATATTTAGAAGAACTGACAAATGTATGTACACAAATGGGATTATAATCAAGTGTTTCTGAAGGAAATATGTTTTTCTCATGCATAGGCATGTTTATTGTGGTAAACACATATATTAGCAGTTCTATGTATGTGTATGTTTTAAACATTAGCATAGGCTTACCTAAAAAGAAGAAAAATAAACTTTGTTTATATAATGGAGTTGAAAGTGAAAAAATTAAGAATTGTTGTTGGAATTGGGGAATCACCATAGCTGTGGTTAGTCATAATCATCATGTTCTATTATAAGAAAAGCAAAAAATAAACCAACTAACAGAAAAGATTAAACATAAAAACAGGTGAAAATATAGTTAATTTTCTTATTTAATGTAACTGTCCCTTAAATTTTTATTTTCTATGATATTTACTTAAGTTTCTATATTAATATTTTTGCCTGAAGTATGGGATATATTATATATAAAATGGATTTGTTTTATATTTTGCAAAAAACAAGGAATCTCAATTTGAGTTTCTTTTCCTTGCCTTGTCTAGATGAACATAAATGTAAGTTTAGGAGAATAAATGTGTAAACATGGAATTATATTATAGGATGTTAGCTGCATTAGTGTCATTCTTTAACTTTAAACAAAAGAAAAAAACAAAAACTGCAGATTGCCATTTATTTTATTCTAGTTAATTTAAACTAAATAGTTTTAAAATATCTTGTATTTTAATAGTATTGAAATGTCTGAATACAAATGTCACAAAGAAATGAGACTGTTAATTTCATTTCTGGCCATTTGGCTGACTAGTTTACTTAGAGTCTTCTAGTTTCTGAATTAAAGAAAATGCTGATCCTGGTTCATATTAAATGTTATCTTTTATCATGTATTTACTCATCAATTTATTGCACAAATAGGTGCCAGGGACAAGGTATTAAAATTGTGATTAATCAAAGATAATTTATTTAAAATATATAATGCATTGTCTTCCATGTACTAATATTATGCTATTCATTTTTGTACTAATTTATGTACTAATATTATGTACTAATATCATTATGTGCTAATTATGTACTAATATACAATTGCTGTTACTATTACTATATTACCAAAAGAAGTTAATACTGTTGTTATTACCTAGCCTCAATACTTAAGCATTTTAAAGTCCAGTGGCCATGGTCTCATGCAAAATATAGGAGTATTTTACTTGTTGAGGAGTTCTTGTAGTAGTAGTTCTCTTTTTGAGTGTAAAATAAAATCTTCTTTCCCATAATTTGTTAACAAATCTTTTCTTCTCTATTCTTGTCCCTTTTAGGACAATTCAGAGTATTTCCTTACACATAGAACACATTTTAATATTTGAAAACAGTTCTTCACTCATTTAAATGTTAATCTGGCTTTTTGTGAAATAGGAATTTAAAGTCAATTTCACTGAGAACATTGAGGACTTTTTTTTTGCCTTTTAAGAGTCATGCTCATTATTGGATTAATCAAAAGGTAAAAAGACAGATAATGACCAAAATTTATTGATATCTCACTATGGGCTAGGCACAATTCTATTATGTGTTTCATGACACGTTTTTGTTCACAAATCCCAGCTCATCTCTCTGTCATGCTTTTTAATAACCCTTCTGATAAACTACATAGGGAGGGAGACATATTTTGCCACGGTGGTTTCAAGTGTCTCTCTGTACCTGGGGCTAGGTAGCTACTTAGGACACTGTTCTGCTTCTCCAGCTTTCAAACTAGAACTCACACTACTTTCAGTTTCAGCTTACAAACCTGTTTAGCCAATTCTCCATCGGCAGAGTGCCCTGGCTGACCTAAGTGCCACTCCCAAGCCACCATTTAAAGAGTTCCTGAGGCTCCTTTTCTTGTGTGTACTCATGATGAAATTAGAGTTCCCAAGAATCACTCTTATCTGCGCAGCACTTTTCACCATTCTTTGTGACTGGCTGTTACTTTTATTGACTACAAATCTGATTCATTCTCTCTGTTTCTTTTTCTCCCTCAAGAATTATTCTTGCTATCAATGGAGTTACTCATTCTACAATTGTCTTTGATAGTATATACTATGCTTTTAAGTAGAAAACAAAGTTGATGTTGATACACCAATATTCGGTTCCTTATCTCAAGGTCATCTTAAAGCAAAAATTAAGGTCATAGAGGTTACTCAAGGTTCTCTATAGGACTAGAGTTTTAAAGTTCTATTCTTTATTTGCCCTTGGTTTTATATAGTCTTAATCGTTACTTCTAACTCTTTCAAAATTCATTTTATATCTAGCAAATAGTTAAGAGGAATTAGCAAGATTTAAGCAGCTATAACTATTTATTCTTATATATTCATATAGTATTTTTCACAACATTTTACCTAGTAAGGGAAGATATTATTTTGAGTATGGTTAATTCTAATATGACCTTAAATAGAGGTTAAGTCTCTTTACCAATTTGTTATATGATTAATTTTTAACAGATTAAAATTAGAAAATTATTATATAGTCCCTTAATTTTAATCTCAAATCAATGATTCACTTGGGGCTCCAGTGTAGGGCCTTAGAAGCTGCTGCCATTCCTGACACCCCCTTGTTTTCGATGCTGCCTGTAGCCTTATGAGCATATTTTCATTTTATTCTCAGGATCGGCACATTGCTTTGCAGACATGAGTCTCTCTATAAATGCAGGATAAAGAATAGATGATACATAAAAAAAAAAAAGGAAAAAAGAAAGAAAAAAATTATAGGAAAACCACTCAAAGAAACCTCACTAACCAAAGTGATATTCCTGTATTTTTAAATGATTTGTAAACCAGAGAAACCTCTAATATTCACACAAATAAATTTGTGCAACTGCAAGATTGACCAGTTTATTATCAAGTGGCATGATCCCATATATATGAAAGTTACTTCAAGTTTTCATTTAAAAAAAAAAAAGAGAAAAATAGGCCAGGTGCAATGGCTCACGCCTGTAATCCCAGCAGTTTGGGAGGCCAAGGCTGGTGGATTACCTGAGGTCAGGAGTTTGAGACCAGCCTGGCCAACATGGTGAAACCATGTCTCTACTAAAAATACAAAAAATTAGCTAGGCATGGTGGTGGGCGCCTGTAATCCCAGCTACTGGGGAGGCTGAGGCAGGAGAATCCCTTGAACCTAGAAGGCGGAGGTTGCAGTGAGCTGAGATTGTGCCATTGCACTCCAGCCTGGGCTACAAGAGTGAAACTCCGTCTCAGAAAAAAAAAAAAAAAGAGAGAGAGAGAGATACAGACAAAAACTATAGAGACATTTCTTGCCAAAAGCATTTATTGAGTACTTACTTCTGCTAGGCACTGAGGAACCAATTGGTACTATACTTGTGTTCAGTAAGCCTATAATCTAGTGAATTGAGAGTAAGTAAAAAATTGTTTTTTATACATCTTTGGAATTTGTATGAGAACTAACTTTAATTAAAAGCACAGTCACATGTTTCCTTATTTACTCAGAAACACTAACATTCCTTTTAAAACAACAATAGTATCCTTACCCAGACAATGATTATTAGTCATGATGGTGACCTTGGGTACTCAGCCAACTAGAGACATTCTTACCTGGCACAATTAACTAAATGAATGAAAGGAAGGATGACGAAGGTCAAATCAGGTATTATTTTTGGTAACTCTTTCTTGCTTAGTCCACAGTATATGTAGAAGCTTTTTGTGGCCCCCAAATAGGAAGATTAGGCAGTCAAAGTGTGAAATTGACAAATGTGTGCAGTTCAAAATTAAACTGAACTTTTTTTACCAGGAGCCTTATTTATATCTCCAAAATTTGATCAGAATTGAGGGTAAATGAAGAGAAGAAATTTATAAATAACTTTTAAGTCTGATTTTCCTAGTTTTATTATAATCTCTGTCTGTAGCCTGAAGTTACATTTTATGAACTGAAAACATTTATTGCTTGTAAAGCTGGTTGTCAAGTTGTAAGAGTGATAGAAAATTACAGATAAGTTATACAATTTTAATTAAAATGTCATAAAATATATAGTTTTGCATGGCTTCTAGACTTACATATATCAGACATTTCACCTAAAATTAGAAAAAAAATCACTGTTCTAGTCACAAGGCAACTCAATTGTACACAGACAGAGTGAACTGAATCTAAGTCATAAGCTTTTATCTATCATGCAGAATTTTGTTTCCTTTCAAAATTTAACTGTATAAATGCTGAATTTAATTTCATAATAAGAAATAAGTCAAAGTTTCTGACTGAAAAACAAGAGTTACAAAACAAAATATGGCAAATGGGGAAATTTCTCCTTTTTACATCCCCCTTGCTTCAGCATATTTTATCTTACTCTCAGCATTAATGATACACTGTTTTTTGGTCCTATTTTTTGAATTATTGATTTTTCTCCCTTTTTGCTGACTATTGCACTTTTATCAGTGTCAAAAGTCAAAATTACAACAAATTTAATTATAGACTTAACTGGCTTTTATTTGCAATTCATAAATCAGGGCAGCTTTCATTCTACAAAACAGAATGAGAGCTCCATTGAACAATGGCAGAATGGTGGATTTTGTAAGAAACAAGAAAACAGAACAATAGGAAAAAAGCTGTCTAACATCAGGATACTTCCAGTGACTTTTTGTAAGGGTTAATGCAGGAGGAACTTTCTAACTATGCTGACTAAGGTAGAAGTTGATCTGACTCAGAAAAAGCTGGTCTGTTTTGGAATGATTTGCTTCCTTAAAGTTTCAGTTTGATTATGTGGCATATAGCATAAGCAGCTCCATTTTGGTTTGTTTTGTTTTGTTGGGGCCTCGTGCAGGAGCTTAGCCCCAAACAATAGCCTCCCATAATTTTTGTTTAACATCAGAGTACTGGCAAAGTGAAGCAAAATTAATACCACCAAAATCCATGTTTGTTAGGCAGATGTACTAAACGATATAACAAAATATTTGGGAACATTTGGGTAAAATAATGTTAACAAATCTAATGTAGAGATATGTGTTAAGATAGAAACAAAGAACTCTGGAATCGCTGACTTGAATCTGAATCCTAATTCTACATCTTCCTGACATGCGAATTTGGGCACATTGTGTTTCTTCTCCAAACTTCTGCTTCTTCATAGGGACAGTGAGAGTAACATTTTCTAACAATGTCATCATTTGGGAATCTCATCAAGTACTATATACAAAGAAAGTCCTTAGAGTGTTATGAAATAAACCCCCACTGGCTTTTAGAAATTTTACAATTTCAGTGATGTATTATTTTACACCATGTCACAGAATGAATTGAAGGTGTTCACATAAATGTAAGGATATGTGCACACACACACTGCTAACTTAGTCAAGAAGTTCTCCATCAATATAATACCTTCAATTGAAGTTGCAATCATTGGTTATTACTACCAAGCGGCCTATTTTGCCCTGGGAAGTGGGGTATATCTAACAATACAAAGTTTTCACAGCAGATCATCAGTGGACCGGGGGTTACTATGCTTCTTTCTCTGATCGTTGTTATTCTGTTTGTCTTCTGAACAGGTTTCCTGCCAAATTCCAAATTCAAAATTTAATCTTGGATTTAAATTCAAAACTTGATGTTTAAATAGTTTTTCTTTTTATGATTAATTTGATCTGAGACGTCCAGCCTTGGCTGGATTCATTTTCTCTATGAATATGATCACAGTTCCTTGGTCTACACAAAAACAACAATTGGGATTTGTTGTCCTATGATTAGCCCCACCTGTTTCACCCTGACTGGTAAATCTTGTTTCCAGATTTGTGTCCTGCTCATCCATCCTGCTGCAGCCCATGACTTAACATGAGTTTACATCAGTAGATGCACATCTTCCACATGCTTATGTGTTTATAAATCACCACAAATTAAAACGGAATTGTGTCAGATTGAACAGCATGGTAATTTACTCTTCCATGCCTTTCTGATCCTAATGTTAATTTTGAAAGTAAGGATGTCTGTCTTCATTATAGTTAATGACAGATAGAACAATTTCGATATTTTAAGGCTACTACAATAACTAGTCTAGCACATAGGCAAATTCTTACAATTTAGGAAATGAGATAATCTGCTATTTTTTTGTCTCTGCACCACTGAAACTGTCATTCAGACTATAAATTTAGATTGTAGGCTCTCATATTTAGCCACAATTCAGTTTGAACAAATTACCCTAAAATGGAGATCAATGTTATATCAAAATTTAGTGTAGAAAGTAGGTAAGAGATAATAATTTGCAGATAAAGAATCAGAGTCCAGGGATTTTGTGGTGATCAATTACGTAAGTGTTAAAACATTGTCTCAAATTCGGTCCTTCTGAATCCTAATCCAGAAATCTTTGTCTCTCATGTGCTCACTTGAGTAGAACTGATTAATAATATATTTTTTCTGTGATTTTGATGATGAAAGGTAAGTAGCATATTTTTGTAGAAAACATTTAAGGGCATTTTTTTGTTACTTTGTTAGAGTTGATCTGTGACAAGACCGGTCCTGCTTTGTTTTTAAGTGTTTAGATACTGCAAACTTTTCATAAAGGTCTACACAATAAGTTGAGTTTTTTAAAAAACTGCAATTATAAGCTGTCTTAGTCTGGTCAGGCTGTTATAATAAAATGCCATGGACTAGATAGCTTATACACAATAGAAATTTATTTCTCCAATAACAGACAAACAGAGAGCCAAATCATGAGTGAACTCCCACTCACAGTTGCTTCAAAGAGAATAAAATACTTAGGAATGCAACTTACAAGGGATGTGAAAGACCTCTTCCGGGAGAACTACAAACCACTGCTCAATGAAATAAAAGAGGATACAAACAAATGGAAGAACATTCCATGCTCATGGGTAGGAAGAATCAATATCATGAAAATGGCCATACTGCCCAAGGTAATTTATAGTTTCAATGCCATCCCCATCAAGCTACCAATGACTTTCTTCACAGAATTGGAAAAAACTACTTTAAAGTTCATATGGAACCAAAAAAGAGCCCGCATCACCAAGTCAATCTTAAGCCAAAAGAACAAAGCTGGAGGCATCACGCTACCTGACTTCAAACTATACTACAAGTCTACAGTAACCAAAACAGCATGGTACTGGTACCAAAACAGAGATATAGATCAATGGAACAGAACACAGCCCTCAGAAATAATGCCTCATATCTACAACTATCTGATCTTTGACAAACCTGAGAAAAACAAGCAATGGGGAAAGGATTCCCTATTTAATAAATGGTGCTGGGAAACTGGCTAGCCACATGTAGAAAGCTGAAACTGGATCCCTTCCTTACACCCTATACAAAAATTAATTCAAGATGGATTAAAGACTTAAACGTTAGACCTAAAACCATAAAAACCCTAGAAGAAAACCTAGGCATTACCATTCAGGACATAGGCATGGGCAAGGACTTCATGTCTAAAACACCAAAAGCAATGGCAACAAAAGCCAAAATTGACAAATGGGATCTAATTAAACTAAAGAGATTCTGCACAGCAAAAGAAACTACCATCAGAGTGAACAGGCAACCTACAAAATGGGAGAAAATTTTCGCAACCTACTCGTCTGACCAAGGGCTAATATCCAGAATCTACAATGAACTCAAATTTACAAGAAAAAAAAACCATCCCATCAAAAAGTGGGCAAAGGATATGAACAGACACTTCTCAAAAGAAGACATTTATGCAGCCAAAAGACACATGAAAAAATGCTCATCATCACTGGCCATCAGAGAAATGCAAATCAAAACCACAATGAGATACCATCTCACACCAGTTACAATGGCAATCATTAAAAAGTCAGGAAACAACAGGTGCTGGAGAGGATGTGGAGAAATAGCAACACTTTGACACTGTTGGTGGGACTGTAAACTAGTTCAACCATTGTGGAAGTCAGTGTGGCGATTCCTCAGGGATCTAGAACTAGAAATACCATTTGACCCAGCCATCCCATTACTGGGTATATACTGAAAGGACTATATAAATCATGCTGCTATAAAGACACATGCACACATATGTTTATTGCGGCACTATTCACCATAGCAAAGACTTGGAACCAACCCAAATGTCCAACAATGATAGATTAGATTAAGAAAATGTGGCACATATACACCATGGAATCCTATGCAGCCATAAAAAAGGATGAGTTCATGTCCTTTGTAGGGACATGGATGAAACTGGAAATCATCATTCTCAGTAAACTATCACAAGGACAAAAAACCAAACACCGCATGTTCTCACTCATAGATGGGAATTGAACAATGAGAACACATGGACACAGGAAGGGGAACATCACACTCTGGGGACTATTGTGGGGTGGGGGGACAGGGGAGGGATAGCATTAGGAGATATACCTAATGCTAAATGACGAGTTAATGGGTGCAGCACACCAGCATGGCACATGTATACATATGTAACTAACCAGCACATTGTGCACATGTACCCTAAAACTTAAAGTATAGTAATAATAATAATAATAATAAAGAATTAACGATGAGTTTAAGAAAAAAAAATTTATTTCTCAAAATTCTCGAGTCTGTGAAACCCAAGACCAAGGCACCTACAGATTCAGTGTCTGGTGAGGGATCATTTCTTGATTCACAAAGAAAGGCGCTATCACATTTAGCTATAATTCTGTTTTCACTGTTGTCCTCACATGGTGGAAAAAGCAAAGCACATCTTTGCAGTCTCTTTCACAAGGCACTAATCTCATTCCTGAAGGCTCCACCCTTTTCACCTAATCACCTCTCAAGGGTCCTACCTTCTAATACCAACACCTTGGGAATTAGGATTTCGACATATGAATTTTAGGAGGACACAGACTTTCAGACCGCAGCATAACTCCATTATTTTCTACAATAAAACTATTTTTGGGTCCATGGGAAAAAAATGCTCATCAAATAGAAACACTATGAAACTGTAATTTAGTAATTGTTCCAAAAAACATAACGTTCACTTATTTGAAAATATTAGAGGAGACTGTGTCTGGAAATGAATGAATTACCTAGGCTTGTCCGGGTCCTTCACTGAACCTTCAAGAAGTCTGTGCCAGGAATGGTTTCACCCAGCATGTTCAGCTGCCTGATGATACCTAGAGAAGTAAACCAGCTGTGCTACAGCACCTCACACATATGTCACTTTACGATATTCCAGCTGGAATTTACTTCTGGCAGGTTCCCCCTTTTGCTGTTCCCTACTTCCTTCTGGAAGCTTACCCCAATAGTTGGCATTTACTCTGGAGCTGAAATTTCTCTCCAAAGAAAACTTACTTCCTTAACTCTGGGTTTTGTTTAGGTCTGATTCTCCAGTCTGTACACAATGACAACCTTCCCCTCTTCATGTACTCTTGTGAACAGATGGAATCCATTTTCCAGACATTCTCATTGACCTGGAATTCAAAGAACAGAGACCTCTCCTCAAAAAAATAAAATAAAATAAAATAAATGCCCCTGAGCCCTCACCACCTTCCCCATGTTCTCATACTCAGCCACTTGGGCTGATATCTCTGGGATCAGTCCTAATAAACAGAACCTATCCAGAGGCTCAGAATCTGGCCAACAGATGGGGCCTGCTTCTGTCTCAGATAACAACTTAGGGCATTTTCTCTCTTCTGTTCTTTCTATGGCTTTCTCTCTCTGTTTTCAGATCAATGGTAGCTTCTTTTTCTCAGCTTTGTTAGGATAGAATCTATAATCTTCACAGACACAGGGAGAAGCATATAAACATTAATTTAAAAAGAGAGCAATACTGCCTGCCAAAAATCTTGCTCTAACCATTTGGAGAAGGAAAAAGACACACCCCAAGAAATACAAACATAACTGAAGTCTTAAAATGTGTGAGGCCCTGTGCCTGTGGCTGCATGTACATTTAACCAAATGTAATCTCCATACAGGCCGTCAGAGACATTTTAAACAGTCACCATTATATAAAGTTAACTGATCTTGAGATAGTTTACACATTTTTATTTACCAAATGTCATTTATATACAAATATGATGGTGAAGTATAATTTTGACTTCTGTTGCTTTATCACGTCTTTGTGTCATATTGCCATTATAGAAAAACAAATTATCCAGTTATTACAGTTTTCTTCATCTATGAAAACATATTTTAGTTTTCCCAGATATGCATTTAGTAAATATATTACTCATCACTTGTATGCTTCAAGTTATACCTAAGTACCCCATTGATAAAGTACTTGCGTTTTTCAGTTTACTCTAAAACTGTAATATTTGTGGAAAGTGAAATTATATTAATATGTCATTTTCAATAATGATTTTATAATTTACTGAATTTAAAATTTTTGGAAGGCCTTTTTTAAAAATGCAAAGGAATAATGTGTAGGATTGCACAAAAATTCAAGTACTTGAAACTTTTCCAAATCCATATACACTTCAATCATTTTTTGCATAATCTAAAACAGATAATAAGGGCGTATGAAAAATGATGTATAGTTTAGTACCAAAGAGGCAAAAAGACTAAACAAATTATTATGATATAATAGTGAAAATTTAATAGCATTTTATGTGCCATTTACTATTTAAAAATGAAAACTGTTGCAATGCATTACAAAACATAAATGAAGAATGGGAGTGAATGAATAAATAAGTTAATTAATAACCCATTTATCTTGAGTCTTTCAATCTGACAGTCAAGGAAACCCTGAACAATGAGGAAATTGTGTAAGGAGGAACAGTCAAGGGCTTTTTAGAGCTAGAAATGGAAAGGTAGCTTCACGATGGTTAAGCTAATTCAGCATTGGAAATTCACTCTCTGGATAATATGAAATGTATGTATCAGCCAATGTACGGTAGGCTAAAAGTTCTATTTTTCATTGATTAGCAAAGTGTTATCTCAACCAGATCTTGGAAGAGTCAAGCAAACTAGGTCACTAGAAGTTCATGGTCCTTGATCAGCTTCAGATAATTAACTGGTTGTGCTGAAACACTGTATGTAGGCTTAACATCTTTGATGAATATGGCTGCAAGCAGAAAATTTTTTTCATAGTATGTATTCCAATTTTTTAGCATCTTGGGATACTCAAATACTATTAATAAATATAAAAAGCATAAATAATGAAAAATGAATTTCTAAAGTAATATAATAGGAAAAACACCAACAATATATTAATATTATTTTTATTACTGATACCATTGTTAACACATTTGTTATCTAATTATTGTTACTTTACTAACATCCTGAGAATACATAAAAATTTAATCATATTCTGAAAAGTGGTAATGTTAATTTTTTTTAAAGCCTCAACTCCTAAATGCATTAGGGAAATTGTGCAGCTCCTAAGGCATTCTCCTTGAAATAGGATAACATTTAAGAAATTAAATGTGCATAAACCATGGATGGTTATAGAAGATAAAGATGGAGATACCATATCAGAATTACACTCCCGATGTGCTGAATAAACATTTCTAATGTAGGTATGTATATACAGTTTTTCAGTTATCATTTCTTATGATGTTTTTCTTCTTCCTAAACATCCCCTGAGTACTCTCTGTGCAATATTTACTTTTTAAAAAATACACCACTTCTCTACAAGCATTTCCTCCTAAGCCACTAAGACTGTGATTCCCTTATCTGCCAATAGAGGGAGGAATGTAGTTTAGTGATTAATATTTCCAAGTCTTAATTAGCTAAGATTAGTGATTTGCACCTCACAAGTAAGTTAGCATTGCCTCTGTCCACAAATAAAATTCATGTAAAACATACTAATAATACCCACTGATGATATTAATATCTAATCAAAATATAATTATGTTAAAACCAGGGAAATATAGATTTCACCTTTTTCCTAAATCCTAGTTTTTATTAAGCTATACTTTTATTTGGACTATTTCCACCATCAGAAGCTTTTCCCAGTTTCACCCTCTGTGTATAATAAAACGAAGCAAAACAAATCACTCTGGGGGCTATCTGGTTTCCTTAGCTTTGCTAAATTAAAAAAAAAAGTGTGGAGGAGGTCACTATGATGCACAAATAAATCTAGACATCAAATACATTTTCTTTCTAATCTGTGTTTTAAGCAATATCAAAACCTTGTAAAGTTAAGAATTTGCAACTTGGTGGGGGCAGGAGAATGGGTCATTAGCTGTTAATGGAAGATGAAAGTTTTACAAATATTTTATGGTTTAATGTGACTACTTCTATTTACATTATTAAAGTAGATGCCCTTCTAATGTCAGGTCTAATTCTCAGTTTCACACTTATGTAAATATTTATTCACGATCATGAAGAAGTATTGAAAATAAGATTACTTTGGATTTCTCTGTAAAACTGAAAATAAAGAAACAAACTAAGCTAAATCAATAAAAATGTTTGAATAATTCTTAGTACATCTATACTACGGAATAATATGCAGAGGTTAAAGACAAAAAGTACCAATTTTGAAATTTTTTCAGTGTACATTTATTATAATAAAAAAGGAACTGTGGAGTATTACATGCTGTATTCTAAATTATGCCAAATATGTACATAAAGTATGCATTTCTATATGTATATCTGTGTTTGTAAATGCATAAAAATATATTTGGAATTATGTATTTTACTCTGTTTTTAGTGGTTACCTTTAGAATCCTTTATTTGTGTACTTTTGTATTTTTGGTACTATACTAATTTTTCGATATTATGTTGGATATGGTTTGGCTGTATCCTAACCCATCTTGAATTGTAGCTCCCATGATATCCACATGTTGTGGAGGGACCTGGTGGGAGGTAATTGAATCATGGGAGCAGGTCTTTCCCATGCTGTTATCATGACAGTGAATAAGTCTCAAAAGATCTGATGGTTTTATAAAGGGTAGTTCCCTTACACAAGCTCTCTTGCCTGCCACCATGTAAGACGTGACTTTGCTCTACATTTGTCTTCCACCATGATTGTGTGTCCTCTCCAGCCATGTAGAACTCCAAGTCAATTAAACCTCTTTCCTTCGTAAATTACCCGGTCTCAAGTAGGTTTTTATTAGCAGCATGTGAACAGAGTAACACAATATTATTTTTTGACAACAGTGTATTTGTGTATTTCATGGGTTAAGAATGTAATAAAATCCAAATAACAATTGTGTATATACTACATTGTATTTTGTAAATATACACTATATATAATGTACATTTATATACATAATATACACATATTACTTTAGCTACATTCTTAACAAT
This sequence comes from Homo sapiens, assembly GCF_000001405.40. Taxonomy (NCBI): domain Eukaryota; kingdom Metazoa; phylum Chordata; class Mammalia; order Primates; family Hominidae; genus Homo; species Homo sapiens. Next base: position 126,225,559 of record NC_000004.12, read on the forward strand.
ACCAAATGTTAGAAACATCTTAATTATATATAATTAGAAAAACAGTTAATTCTAATAGTATTTCCTGGCACAGTGGAGTATCATGTATCCTTTTACAATGGTAGTTCTCCAACTATTTTAAAAATATTGGTCAAAATATGAAGGCAAAAGAATGAATAGAATCTCTCCTAAAAAGAAAATATATTCCAGTCAATAGAGATAATGATCAGGAAGTTAGAAAACTATAGTAACCTGGTGAAAAACTAACAAATCTTTTCTGTAAACGAGAGAAAGAAAAATGATTAGCAACTTGAATGGATACATAAAGCTATAAAGGAAATTAATTGTTCAAAAATGAAGCAAAATGTTATCTGATAATTATCACTTTAGCAATCAATGAAGTGTAGGAAAGGAGATCAATTTGAACTTAACACTTGAAAATGCTCTTCTAAGTGACAGTATATATGACTTTTTAAAATGAGTTATTTTACATTACTTGCTTCAAGAGTCAATTCTACTTAGGTATATTATGAAAGTTGGTTTTCAATTTTTTTAGAATCAAGCCATTGACAAAACTTGGAATTGAGGTAAATATTACATGACTTTACAATTTAAAAGCTATGGCATCACACAAATAACTCAGGGGCTGAGTAGATATGTGGAGGTAAGAGACATACACTAAATTCCTAATTTCCCATGGCAGAGTCCAAAGGACAGTATCTGATGTATCTGATGTGAATGGATCCAGAATTTGAGGAATAAATGTATTGCTAAAATTTATTCTTACAATTAATAAAAACGATTATTACAAAACTCAGGTTGGAGAAGAAAATTGAGAAAGAGGTAGTGACTGGTAGTTTAAATAAGTCCATTCCTTTATCCTCCTTAGTGGAACACAAATGGATAATATTAACAGTTGCTTTACTGAGAAATTTTTCTGAATTAAAAATATAAAAGAGTTTTCAAAAAAATTTAAAAAAATCATTCTGAAGGAGAAAAACTATAGATCGAAGGGTGTAAAGTAGAAATTATTTAATATTTTATGTTAATTTGCTTAATTTTTAATATACACCAAATACTCTTTATTTAAAAATACTAAAAGAATAATATGCCATTACTGTAACTTAGAATTTTACATTATAGGCCAGGCGTGGTGGCTCACGCCTGTAATCCCAGCACTTCGGGAGGCCAAGGCAGGTGGATCACAAGGTCAAGAGATCGAGACCATCCTGGCCAACATAGTGAAACCTCGTCTCTACTAAAAATACAAAAATTAGCTAGGCATGGTGGTGTGTGCCTGTAGTCCCAGCTACTCAGGAGGCTGAGGCAGGAGAATTACTTGAACCCGGGAGGCAGAGGTGGCAGTGAGCCGAGATCGCGCTGCTGCACTCCAGCCTGGCAACAGAGTGAGATTCCATCTAAAAATAATAATAATCATTTTACATTAAAATAAAAGTTCATTTCAATTATTCTTGGCATTATAGCGATCAGTGCTCTAGTCAACAATTTGAACCATCCCTTCTGAATCTTTGTATAATAGAGTCATTTTTTAAATAAAAGATCATTAAATTTATAGCATGCAACCCAATTATAAAATGAAGTTGAATGTTTTGAAAAACATCTATAAAAGTAAGTTGCCAGAGACAAGTTATATCAAATAGGTATGGGTAAGATAAATATTTGGGATTTGATTAATAAATCATAAACATAGAATTCTCTGTTCAGTTGCTTCACTCTATTTTAAGTAATTATTCCACTTTTTAAATAAAGTAACTCTCTTAAAACAATGCACCACTGCTGTGGTTTACAAAATAAGACAACTAAGATGTTAATTTTAAAAGTAAGTTCAAACAAGGGAAACATATTATATGTGCACATATACATACACATACACCCACAAGCATACATATTTGGCTATATTTCCAAAATAACTCAATTCCTTCTTCAAAAGATTCTGTTATTTGAAAGTTCTTTCTTACACTTAGCCAAAATCTACTATCTTATACTTGCTAACTATGGTTTTCTGTGGTACAATTTGTGTCCAAACTGTTCTCTTTACCATCTGGGTTTCCCATTCTTGAATATGTTCGTGCGTTTCTCTCCCTCTTAATGTGCAACACCCAGAAAAGAATTCAATATTCAAATGTACTCTGACGAACAAAGAGTGGGGCAAGACTATCACCTTTCCCATTCATGTTTATTGCAATCTGAAATCTTTACGTCTTTATTAAATCAACATCTGCTAATATATGTAAAAATTCCTCCTACCTTAAGGAGATTTTGATATTTTTAAAACTAAATTTAGTTTTATCTTGTAGCATTTGTTCTGTTACTCTAGGCTATCAAACATTGTGAGATACATACTCTTCCTTCAGGCCAGCTACAATGTTATTATTAAATACATTAAAAAAATGCCTTAAATGAGTCCAGATATGCCATATGATCTACATTTTATATACTATAACTGTATTACTATACTATAGTATACTATAATATACTACCCATATTGAGGACTGGATCCTGCTACTCATCATTTCTTCTTCAACTTATTAACATATTAATATATTAATATTTACTTCTTAACATATTAATGTTAAGATTAAATAATCATAACAATATGATTAATAGTTCATTCATAAGATAAGCATGAAGAATTTTGTTATGTGGAATGCACTATCTTAACAGTTATGAAAATCTTGGCCTTTACCCTCCTTTCATTTTGAAGTTTCTTCAACATTTAAATAAAACCTTAATAATTCAGGAATAATTCTGGAAAAAACACTATCTTACAATTTCTTCCTCTCAAGTAAAACACATTTTTGAATGGCAAGCATAGTAGTACATGACATGATCATTTTGAGTCCACAACAGAATTATATTTACAGAAAATATATAAATGTAATTTACTTTGTAAAATATTTTACATTGTTATGTAAATACTTATTTCTTCTTATTTAACTTCAAAAGAAAAATATTCTTATTGTATTAGTGGAAAAACTATAATATATTTTCACAGAACTAGAAATCTGCTGTTGGAAACAAAATTATGTTTGGTGTCCTAACATAGAATTGTCTTTGCTCTCTTACCTTCTCTTTGACCAAAGCCACTTGCAAAGAAACATCACCAGGAGAAATAAAATTGTTGTATCTTCTTTATGTTTCCCTACTGTTAAATCATGTTTTCCTTGTATTTCTATTCATATAGGATTACTAGGAAGAGAATGGAGGAACAGCACAATGTCAGGTTCTGTGATTTTGTTTTCAAACAGTAGTAAATTATTTTCTATTTTTCATTTAAAAGTGATAAACTCTTAACTGTTTCCTTCTAGATGATTTCTAGTAGTTTAAATTAAATCATAGTACTTTTAATTATCTATTCATAAGCATACAATGTTTACAAGTTTGCCTCTGATACAACTGCTTTCCAAAGGAAGTTGATTTTTGCCATAGAATTTTCTATTGACTGCTTCATAGAATATACATTTTTTTTTTACTAGAGAACACATTCAATCTCTCTTAATTCTCTTCTCTTCTACACCATTTCCATAGGTCCATGAGAATATTGAGGAATTCACTTGATTTGGATGCCAAATATGCATTTGTTTATGGCATACATATTAGTCACTACAAGTCAATTCTTGGGGCAATTATGAGATATTAAGAAACCATATTTGTAAGTACAAGTGTTCCCCAATAGTCCCCTGCCCCATACACAATTTCATAGCTCCAGTTTTTCCCTGAGTGTCTATGCACATTAAAACCTTGTATAATCCCCAAAATGCTCACTGTCCAAACCTTACCCTCTTCTTGTCATCTTCCTACCAAAGTAGAATGCAGAGTCTATATTGTTAACATTTTAATCAATTCTCAGGCACATTTGCAGAAACATCATCTCTGTTTTGTTATTCATTTCTTTTGTCATCAGTTTTCCAGTATATTTTCCAGTGCTATTGCTAACTGTTGGCTCCCCGAGAAAAACAAAACAACAAAAACAAAAACAAAAAACTGTTGCTAAAGCAAAACTGTATTAGGCTTGCTGAAGTAAAGGAGAATACCACCTTAATGGAATCTTTATATCTCAAAATGGGAAATTAAGGCAGAGTATTTATGAGAGTTAAGGTTTTAGGACCATGTGTGGGAAATTTTTTAAGTAGGCCTAGTTAGGCAGGAAATCAATTGGGATTGAACAGAATTTATAAAATAGCTTCAAATGGGGGAGGGGTAAGAGTAAAGCAAAGATCTTGAAGTGAGTTTTGATAAGAAGGCTCAGAGTCTTAAAAATCGGCTGTTCAGTTAGTTCATTATCCCACTTTTCAGTAACAGTATTTTTTCATGGATGTTTCCGCATTTATTCATTTCTGATGGAAGCAAAAAAATTATTCACTCACTGCCAGCTTTGTTAAAAAATCTAGGATGATAAAACGATGTCTAGTCCCAGTATTGCTTAAGCTAGTTTAGCTTCAGTTCTTAATATGTAAAATTCCAGAGCCATTTTAATGTATATTCCTTTTTCTTTGTTTTATTTTCTGTACATATACTCAATAAATGCTGACCCTACAAATGCTATTGTATTGCTTACAGCTTAATAGCCACAGTCTAGAGTTGTGTCTGCTATAAAATATGTGTTCACTTCAATATTCTGTTGAATAAATGAATCAATCACAAATACTTGGAAGTTATTGAAGAGATTTACTAGTTGAACAGTGAAAGGAAAAAAGCATCAAATTAAAAAATGTGCTATAAATAATTTAAGACTTTTTTTGAAAGACTAATTCTTATTTTTCAGATCTCTGGTCAACATGATAAGGTTATTCATTTCTTAAGTCAGCTGAGAAAAGTACCCTAGCTCTTTGTACAACAAAGAAATGACCTAAAACACACAGACTGGGAGTGGAGGACATTCACAAATGATTTCCCTGAGGAATTGAAATACTTGAGTTGAAACTGGAACTGTAAGTGGTTACCTAGGCAATGGGGGAATGCATTGTTGGCGAAAGGACAACATACACAAAGTTTATGCTGTAGGTTCAACTATAGCTTGTTTGACAAATCAAAGAAACTTGTTCTTAGAGCTAGGAATCAAGGAGGTGTAGTATAAGATGATGCTAAGGAAGTGGGTAGAAGCCAGGCCATGCAAGGTCTTGTAGGCCATTGCTATGGTTTGAATACAATTTGTCCCCCGCAAAACTCATATTAAAATATGATTCCCAATGTGGCAGTATTGAGAAGTGGGGCTTAGTGGGAGGTGTTTGGGTTATGGGAACAGATTACACATCAATAGATTAATGCCGTCCCTCAGGGGTCAGTGAGTTCTCCTTCTCATATGGAATAAATTGGTTTATGTGAAAGCAGGTTACAAAAAGAGAGTCTGGTTCCCTTGGTTTCTCTCTTTTGCTTCCTATTTCACCATGTGATCTCTGCACAAGACTTTCACCTTTCCACTTTCTGCCATGAGTTGAACTAGCATGGGGCCCTCGCTAGATGCAGCTGCCCAGTCTTGAACTTTCAAGCCACAAGATTAATAAGCCATATAAATCTCTTTTGTTTATAAATTGCCCAGCCTCAGGTGTTCTGTTATAGCAACACAAAACTAAGACAGCCACATTAAATAAATGTTGGCCTTTATTCTGAAAACATTGTAAAGCCATTGATATGTTTTGAGCAAAGAAGTGATAATCAGATTTGAGTTTTGAGAAACTTACTCTGTCTACTCTATAGCTCTGTAGAGACTATAATTGGCAGGTGTAACCATTAATGAAGCAAAACCACTTAGAAGTTATTGTGGTAATCAAGGTGATGGCAATGAATTTGGGCAGTGACGACAGGAATGGAAAGTAGAAGAAAAACTTGAAAATATTTAAGAGGTAAATTAAGTAGAATTTCCCATCATTATGGGCTATGAGGGAAAGAAGACATTCGAAATTTGTGGAACTACATGAATGGTGGTATCATTCCATGAGAATAAGTATACTAGGTCAGTATTGGGTTTTGAGTGATTATCCCAAGTTTAGTCTTGTGCATTTTGTATTTAGAGAGATTTTTGAAACATGAAAGTGGAAATGACAAAGAAGTAATTGTTTATATATAGTTGGAGTTTGCATTAAAGTCTAGCCAGGGGATATATATATATTTGTCAGTAATTACTTTATATAACAAACTATAAATGTGGGCAAAATCAACTGGATAAAAATAAATAATAAAATGAGTCTTATAAAACCACAAATATTAATGGCCAGAGAAGTTTGAGCCAACAAAAGAGGAATAAAAAAAGGCCCATAAATGTAGAGATAAAAGCAGGAAAACATTATGCCCTGAAACCCAGTGAGAAAAAAACATATGTCAAACATAGAGTAGTCCCTATTAGAAAAGTTTGCTAACAGTCAAGTACTGTGACAATTGAAAATGCCATTACATTTAGAAATATGGAAGTCACTGACGACCCTACTTCTCTTTTAATAAACCAATCTTAAATTGTTTGATGCTTTACTTTTTCACTGAAAAAGTATAATGAAATCTGGAGTCTGAAAATAAGTTATCTCTAAATTAACATCTAATAAAGATACCATAATCTAGAAAATGACAGAAGATGATATAAACCACGGGGCTATTACTAGAGGCAGATATTGGTGGCAAATATGTGTCAATATTTATAGTCTTGAACTTTGGGCTGTTAAATGTGAACTTCAAATAAGTAATTTTAGTACTCTCTTAATATGTTATTAATATATTTTCCAGCTTTGAATAAAATGGCTTAAAATAATAAATAGGCTATATTTCCTATTCTTGGAGTTACATTAAAAGCAAAAGATTTGGAACGTTAACATTTATATCAGGACATGCAGTGGAACTCAGTGAATTAGACCGTGAAGCAGGTCCCCTTGTGAAAAGGTGACTTTTGAGATTTAAGATAAAACATAGAAGGGAGAAAGGAATAAAATCTGGCCTCTAGCTCTGTCCTCTTCTGTAAAGTTTATCTCTAAAGAAAAACATATATTGTAATCACCGGAATTCTAGATAAATGTAACAGCTCTGAGAGTTGTTTGGTTTTGTTTTTCGGTTCGTTTGCCATTCTGTTTTATTTGACTTTAAGCCAGCCCCTGCATTTAGTATGTAATGTACCCTGCAGCCTCACCACTCCTCTGAAATTATCGCTATGTCAGGACATGAAAGGTATTCTCATATGTTATTCAACAAACCTAATCCTAAAGAAGAAAAACTATTTACTCTAAGATTTTGAAATTTATCTAAATCTAAACAATTTAAGAGTCTCTTTGATAAGAAGTTACTTTTATGATTTTTCTAGCTTACAAATTATGTGGTATAAATTATAATAACATGACATGAGATTAATAATGAATATGAGATCGTGTCTTACTTAAACTTATTTGCTTCGCCATAGTAACTTACAACATGGAAAATGTAGTAAAGATAGCTAATATTAACTATTTGGGAATTATTTGGAACATGTTGACCTTTAATTGTTATGGATAGTTATTTTTAATAGAAAGGAGATTATTTTTAAATAAGCATATGTTTTGGGAGGTGAGTTAACAAAATGGCATAACCATTACATAAACAAGATGTTCATTATATTCTTAGGTCACGCTATTAGTTCTTGAAACGTGGAAGTTCAAGAAATTTTTCTGGTTGGTGTGGGGGTACCTTGACATTAGAATCCAATCGTTTATTTCTGTTAAAAGACCATTTTCTTTACTCGGCTTCACCATTAATAGGATCTTTAGCTTGCATTATTTAAAAATATTTTCTAAAAGAGAGATTCACTTTTACAAGTCATTTATACCACATACTTTTCCATTTTTTTTAGTTTCTACCAAAATTATCTCTTTTGAAAATTGGATTTGTTTACATAGAGAAAATATTCTACATATTACAGGCAACAGCAAAATGTAAAAAAATGTTTCATAAAGAAATTTTAAAATTTGGTACCAAGCAAAATGTTGGCAATAAAATTAAAATGATGAGCCAGGAGTAAACCGCAAATTATACATTTTAAATTTATCTTGCTGAATAAACCCAGGTCTGCTTTGAGAATTTTTCTAAGTTTTGTCTCTGTATTGATATTTAAAACTTCATTGTGCTTAATTACATATTTTTCTATTGATGTCTTTCATTACACTGATCTTTTCTTCTTCTATGTCTAATCTGCTGTTAATCTCGAGTGAATTTTCCACAGTATGCATTAAGTAGATCAGCTCTATAATTTTCAGTTTCTATCTTCTATTTCATTTCTTATTGTGTTTATGTTCCCCTTTAAATGCCTCAGCATACTTGCAACATTTACAGTAGATGTTTAAAAGCCTTTGTTTGCTGGAGAAAAGGAACAGTTTATATTAGACAGGAGGAATTACCATGTGGCCACTACAGTTAGTAATAACGTGCTATGCACTTAAAAATTGCTGAGAGTAAGATTTTAAGTATTCTTACCACACACAAAAAAAGAAAGTATGTGAGTTGGTGGATATGTTATTTAACTTGATATAATCATTCCACAATGTATACATCATATTTGATGTATACATCAAAACATCATGTTGTAGCTTATAAATATATATGATAAAAGTTAATAATACTTCACAAGTCAAAAAATGGCCTTTGCTACTACCATTATCTCTGTCACTTCTGGGTTTTCTTTTCTAATTTTTCTAGTTACATGTCATATCTACTGTTTTGTCCCCTGATTTGGTGTTAAGCATTGTGATGGCTATGCTGTTGTTTGTTTAATTTTGTTTTCTTCTGTAAGACTGCTGAAGATTGGCCTGGGAAGAAGCTAACTTGCTTGTGGATAATTTTAAACATTTAATAGCCTGTTTATAGACTCTGTTTTGATGGGTCTAATATAGCCTTTATCTTAGCCTAGTTTAAGCTTAATACAAGGCATGGCCTTTCTTGATGCTTGGAGTATTCCTCATGGTTTCTCTATTCAGACTGAATGGGATTTGAATGGTTTATTCTGATAAACTGGGTAATTTATTACCCTTTAACTTCATGGTTTTTTTAATTTGCTTGGCTTCATGAATCGTAATCATATTGCATGTGAAAATTAATATTCAACTAAAGACTCAAGGGCACCTCATGCATTTTCCTGGAGATAGTCTTACCAAACTCCTATCTCTTTGGTCTCTGTTCTGCAAATTCTAGCTGAGTTGGCTTTGTAAAATATATGTGTTCCCCAAATAAGTAAGTCACTAGGCTGTGCTTCTGTTTTCTCTGCCCATACTACAGGTCAGAAAATTGCTTCCAAGTGGTAACCTGTGTAAACTGTAGAGCATACTTTTTTGTTTCCCTTTTCTGAGGAAACTAGTCTTATACTTCTTATTGTCTCAATCTCTGAAAGTAGCATTGTTGTAAGTTTTGTCCAATTCTCTTATAGTTTACAATGTGAAAGCCAGTTATAAACCAGGTATTCATTCATGTCCAAAAATTGAAGTCTTATGATATTTTTAACTTTTAACTAAGAAAAAGATTTTTTTAACACATTCCCCACCCTTGACACTATTGCTTTCTCCAAATTTATTTTCCATCTGACATTTTCTTTCAGCCTGTAGAAGTTTCTTTACTATTGCTTGTAAAAAAATATTTGCTACTGATAGATTCTGTAAATTCTTGTTTGTCTTTAAAATATTTTATATTACCTTAATTTTTAACTAATAATCTTCATCTTTACAGAAGCTTTAAGTTCACAGCAAAATTGATCAGAAAGTACATGAAACTCCCATATACTCTCTGTCCTCACAACATGCAATCTCCACTATTGACACCTCTCACCACAATGGTACATTTGTTACCATCAATGAACTTAGAATGGCACCCAAAGTCTATAGTTTACATCAGGCTTTATTCTTGCTTCCTGATTTTTGAAAGATATTCTTATTGAATATAGAATTCAAAGTTGACAGGGTTTTTTGTTTATTTTGTTTTGGTTTTGTTTTGTTTCTGTGAATCCTTTATGTAGTTTCATTGACTTCTTGCTTTAATTCTTTCTGATTAAAAGTGTACAAACAATTTGATCTTTGCTCAACTATATGTAATGTGACTAGAATAATGTCCTGCTAAAGAAAAGATATCATTCAACGACATTTGTCAAAGCATGGTAAGGAAGACTTAACTCAGGACCATTACAATAGGTTTAGGGAGCTCAGCAATGAGATTTTGTAATGGAGAAGAGAGATTGGGTTTAATTCTGAACACAGCACAGGCAAGTGACAATTTATAGTCAAGAAGTGGTCTAGGGGGCTGGGCGTGGTGGCTCATGCCTGTAATCCCAGCCCTTTGGGAGGCCAAGGCAGGTGGATCACGAGGTCAGGAGATGGAGACCATCCTGCCTAACATGGTGAAACCCCATCTCTACTAAAAATATAAAAAATTAGCCAGGCGTGGTGGCGGGCGCCTGTAGTCCCAGCTACTCTGGAGGCTGAGGCAGGAGAATGGCATGAATCTGGGAGGCGGAGGTTGCAGTGAGCCGAGATCACACCACTGCACTCCAGCCTGGGCGACAGAGGGAGACTCCATCTCAAAATAAATAAATAAATAAATAAATATAAAAAGAAGTGGTCTAGGGGTTAATGGATGGAAAGTTACTAAAATAAAACATTAAGAGTAAAGGGGGATTCTGGCTAAACTGACTTAACAGGAGTCTTGCTGAAGACAGGACAGGGTAGTCAGACATAACCTGGGGGATGGTGAAGGATGAGGAATTCAATCAGATATCAGGGTGATCAGTTATCAAGGGTGGAAGGTTCTTACTAAATTGACTTAGCAGAATTCCTTGCTAAAATTGGATTTTGCAAAATAGCTAGATGGGCCTAGAAGAAGGTTCAGGAGCCTGAACTTTTCTTACCCACAAATGATGTTTCTTTCTTTGACCCTTTCAAAATTTTTTTCCTCACTGATACAGAGTTTTACCAGTATGAATATAATGTACTTGATATTCAAACTTTCAAACTGATGAAACTGTGTGTGTGTGTGTGCACGCATATGTGTGTGTGTGTGTTTATCCCTCTTGGGACGTGTTTAGTTTCTTTGAATCTGTGGATTTATAGTTTCATAAATGTTGAAATGTTTTAGCAGTTATTTCTTTTAATATACTTTTCTGCTGCCCCTTCTCCTAGAACCTTTCCTTGTGAGAATAGATTCACATTATACCATGGGTTACTGAGATTGTTCTTTTCTTTTTTCCCAATTTTACTTCTCTCTAAGTTTAATTTTGCACAGTATCAGTTGCTTTGTTTTCTAGTAAGCTAATATTTTTTTGGAATGGTCTAATTTTTGAGCCTCCTTACTGATGTTTTTATGGGATGAAATGTCAAAAAAATTCATCACTAGATTGTATCATTTTTATATTTCCAGTGTATCTTCATCTTATGATTATATTTTACCTGAATTGATATATATGTTTCAAATAGCTGTTTTCCATCTTTTTAAAACTAATTTCCTTATCATTGTCACTTTCAGGTATGCTTCTATTAACTTTTTTTCCCCCTGATTTTGCATATTTTACTGCTTTTTATCATACCTAGTAAATTTTTAGTGAATGCCAGACAACAATGCCACATTGGTTCATATTTGCATTTTAATATTATTCTTTAAATATTATTAGCTTTTGTTTTAGTTGGCAGTTATATTACTTGCAGATCTACTCAGTTCATTCAAAACTTATTTAAAAGCCTTTAGTGGTAATTAAAGAGTAACCTTTATTTGAGAGTTAGTTTATTTCTAATACTAAAGGTTACTTCTTCAGTCATCTTTACAATGCGATTTCTTCCTCTGGAATATCAAAATTTTATTGTCTTCCAGGCTTGCACTAAGTATTATTCAGCTGATACCTTTTTTGGGAATTTGTTTCCTGGTCTCATGTAGTTTCATATTATGCATAGGCAGATTAGAATTCAGCTAAAAAATTGAAGTGACTACTGCATAGTCCTCTGGAACTCTTTTTCTCCATAGATCTGTGTTCTCTAGTATTTCAATTTCAGTCCCCCAAAACTCTTATCTCTCTCTACATAACTCAGCAAGACCACTTTTTGTTGATTGAATTTCATTTCTCTTATCAAATTTTGTAAATTATCTTCTAACAGAAATCCTTTGCGTTTGTGGGAATTTAGCTTATTTTTGTGTTCTTTTGTTTTTCTTTAGCTCAAGGTTCACAGTCCTGCACACATTCTTATCTAGTTTCTGAAAATGGTGGGAAAATTCATTTTGTAGTAGTTATTGCATTGTGGTTGCCAATTGTTACCTTTCTGTCTATTTTTATTTCTGAAATACCATCAGTGAGATGGACTCCCAATGATGTCCACCTTCTAGTTTTCACCAGTTTGCTTACTCTCTTCCTTTGGGTGTGAGGGATACCTTGACTTCTTTCCAGCCAATAGACAGCAAAGATAATAGGTATCGCTACTGTGATAATGTTACATTATGTGACTCTCACTCTTCCTTGGTAGTTTCGAAGAAACAAACTTCTGTAAAGTAAGTAACCATTTTTGAAAATCCCACATTGCAAGATACTGTACCTCCAGGATCTTTGAACAGCCAGCTAGCAAAAAACTAAAACCTCAGTTTGGAAGTCAGAAAGAAATAAATTTTGCCAACAACTTACATGAGACTGGGAACAGTTTTTCTCTCCCAAGTGAGCCACCAGATGACAATGCAGCACAACCAACATCAGGACTGTAACCTGATAAGAGAAGGGTAACCTGATCAGTGGACACAGCTGATTTGTGTCTGGACTTCCAATCCATTAACACTGTATTGTTTTAAGCCACTAAGTTTGTTTAAATTTGTTGTGCACCAGTAAATAACTAATAATAGAACCAAAGCACCTCTTATTTGAAGTCAGAATAGTTAGATTCATTGACCTACAATATTCTGTTTCAGCTCTGATTCTATCTAGTTAAGTCATTTTGAAGACTAAACTTTAATTCCAGAGGATACTATTTTGGTAAATGAGAGAATATTTGATGGTTAAATTTAAACATTAAATACATCTTCTTTAGATTTACCATATGCTATGTCTCCTTTTAATATATCTGTCTTTTATTTTTCGATCTAGAAAAGGACTTAAAACCACTTAGAACATTTTCTTCATTTCACAGATTAGTAAAATAGAAAGGTGATCTGTGCTAATATTTCAACCAATGACTTTCCAAAATTATAATCTAGATTTTCTAACCCACATGCTGTGTATTCTATAATAGTGATAAAAAACATATAAACTTAAGCTAATTATAGGAACTATACAAGGCATATGAAGTATTAGGATATAATGTAGACCCATATTTACTAAATTACTGCAATTGGAACATTAGCTGTGAAAGGCACTCTGAAAGAAAATTATTTGCTATTAAACATATTTGACAAAATTCTTTTATTTTATTATTATTATTGTTTAGAGGACCAATTCCTTGAAAGACATAATCTTTCAAAACTAACACAAGAAAAAATAGACAATCACAATAGTACTATACTACCAAAGAAATTGAATTAAAAATCTCATAAAAAAGAAAAGCACAGCCTAAATGAATTCACTGGTGAACTCTATCAAACATTTAAGGAAAAAATTATGCAAATTCTCTACAACCCTTCCAAGAAGACAGAAACAGAGGGAATACTTCCTAAATTATCCTTTGTTGCCAGCATTACTCTAATATCAATGCCAAAGATATTAAAAGAAAATAAAACAACAAACTAACATCTTTCATGAACATAATGCAAAAATCCTCAACAAAACATTAGCAAATAGAACTTAAAATATGCAAAAATAATTATACACCAATATCAAGTGATATTATTCCCAGTTATGCAAAACTGATTTTCAAAGTTTGAAAATCAATTAATGTAATATCTCACATCCACAGGTGAAAAAAATCCAAACAATCATATCAATAGACAGAGAAAAAGCATTTGATAAAGTCCGTCAACCGTGATAAAAACTCACATGATAAAAACTCACATGATAAAAACTCACAAAAGGAATGGAGGAAAGCTTCCTGAATTCTATAAAGAACATCTAAAAATCCCTATAATTAACATCATGTGTAATGATGAGAACCTAGGAATGTTCCAAGATGAGGAGCAAGGCAAGGATATTGGCTTTCACCACTCTTTTTCAATGTTTTACTGGAAGTCCTAGCAAATGCAATAAAACAGGAAATGAAAAAAGGGTACATTGGTAAGGAAGAAATAAAACTGTCTATATTCGTAGTGGCATATTATCTATGCACAAAATTTAAAGCAACTGACAAATAAGACACCTAGAACTCATAAGTGAGTATAGCAAGGTTACAGAATAAGAGGTTAATATAGAGAAGTCAATTGTTTTCCTCTATTTCAGCAATTACTAAATGGGATTTGAGAATAAAAACACAATATAATTTACACTAACACCTTCCCTCAAATAAAATACCATACTTAGGTAAAATACTATCAAAATATATACAAGCTCTATGTGAGGAAAACTATGAAACTCTGATGAACAAAATCAGAGGAGAACTAAATAAATGGATAGTTTATGACCATGGATAAGAAGACTCAATATTGCCATTATGTCAGTTCTTCCCAACTTGACTCATAGAACTGATGCAATTCCAGTCAGATCTCAGCAAGTTCTTTTGAAATATTGACAAACTGATTCTAAAGTTTATATGAAGAGGCAAAAGACCCAGAATAGCCAATCTACAATACTGAAGAAGAGCAAAGGAATAGAACTGATACAACCCAAAGTCAAGACTTACCATAAGGAGACAGTAATGAAGGCAGCATGGTATTGATGAAAGGATAGGCAAATAAACCAATGGAACAGAACAGAGAGCTCAGAAATAAGCCTGCATAAATGTAATCAACTGATTTTTGATAGAGGACCAAAGGTAATACAGTTGAACAAAGATAGCCTTTTCAACTAAGGGTACAGAAACACCTGAACATGCGCATGCAAAATAAATAAATTTGGACACAGACCTTGTACCATAATAAAAACAAACTCAAAATAGATTATAGGACGTCACGCAGAATTCAAAAATACAAAAGTCCTAAATGGTAACCTACCTATGTTAACATATAGATAGACATCATGTGGAAGAAAATATAGTGATCTTCAATATGGCAATTATTTTTACATATGATACCAAAGGCATGTTCTGTGAAAGAAATAATTGGTAGGTTGCACTTCATTAAAATTATAAACTAGGGCCGGGCGCGGTGGCTCATGCCTGTAATCCCAACACTTTGGGAGGCCAAGGCAGGCGGGTATGAGGTCAGGAGATCCAGACCATTCTGGCTAACAGGATGAAACCCCGTCTCTACTAAAAATACAAAAAATTAGTGGGGCGTGGTGGCACGCCCCTGTAGTTTCTGCTACTCAGGAGGCTGAGGCAGGAGAATCACTTGAACCCAGGAGGTGGAGGTTGCAGTTAGCTGAGATCGTGCCACTGCATTCCAGCCTGGGTGACAAGAGGAAGACTTTGTCTCAAAATAAATAAATAAAATAAAATAAAATAAATAAAATTATAAACTTGTGTTCTGTGAAAGATGCTGTCAAGAGAATATGACAAACCACGCCACTGGAAGAAAATATTTGCAAAACACACATTTAATAAAGAACAGTATCCAACATGTACATGAAACTCTTACAGCTCAACAATAAAAAAAAAACAACTAACTTTAAAAAATGGACAAAAGAGCTGAACAGACACCTCACCAAAAAAGATATAAAGATGGCAAATAAACTTAAAAAATGCTCTACATCATATGTAATTAGGAAACTGCAAATTAAAATAATGAGTTACCACCACATACATTTTAGAATGGCCAAAATCTGGAACACTGATGACACCGAATGCTGGTGAGGGTGTGGAACAACAGGAACTCTCATTCATTGCTGGTGGGAATGCAAAATGCTACAGCCACTTTGGAATACAGATTGATACTTTTTTACAAAACTAAACATACACTTACTGTATGATCCAGTAATTGCACTCCTTGGTATTTACACAAAGGCGTTGAAACTTACGTCCACACACAAAGAAACTGCACAGATATGTTTATAACAACTATATTTATAATTTATAATTTAGCGATTTATAATTGCTAAAATTTGGAAGCAAACAAGGTGTCCTTTAACAGGTGAATAGATAAATATACTATGTTACATTCAGATAATGACTTATTATTCAGTGCTAAAAACCATGAAAATACATAGAAGAATCTTAAATGGACATTGTTCAGTGAAAGAATGCAATCCGACAAAGCTATGTTACCACATGATTTGAACCATATGACATTCTGAAAAAGGCAAAACTATGCAGACAGTAAAAAGATTAGCGATTGCCAATAATGTGGGGTGGGGAAGAAGTAAAGTGAAGGACAGAATTTTTAAGCAGTGAAAACTTATCTGTATGATACCATGATAATGGATACATGGTATTACACATTTTTCAAAACCCATAGAATATACCAAGACTGAACAAATGTAAACTATGAACTGTGGGTGATAATGATGTGCCAGTGTAGATTCATTTATTATAATAAATGTAGCACTCTGGTGTGATACATTGATAATCAAGAAGAAGCCTGCAGGAATGTGGGGTTGTGGGATACATGAGAACTCTCTGTTCTTTCTGTTTAATTTCGCTATGAACCTATAATTTCTCTAAAAATAAAGTATATTTTAAATTGAGATTATATAATAAAAATACATATTTATATTATACATGTTTGCAATACTGTTCCTACAGTTAAAGCCCACCAACAAATATCTTGTTCAGCTCAATATTTCCTACATGTATGTTACTGCTGGATTCATTTTTATATAACATTTATTTATATACCCTGGGCCTAGTATTCCATACAGTATTTTTAAAGTCACTACATTTGAATATAATAGTCATAAAGAAAGTTTACAGAAACCTGATGTATATTTTATTCTCTCTGTGTGTGTGTGTGTGTGTGTGTATGTGTATGTGTATGTCTCTGTGTGTATTTCATGAATTTCACAACTTTTTAAATTAAAAAGTGATATAAATTACTTTTTAAAACAAGCATAAAAATAAGTAATTGATGTATGTAAAGTAACAGCAACAAATCAAACGTAGAATGTACTCCTATTTCTTGACTCATAGTGTCAGGACAATTTCACTGTCAAACGAAGCATCTATAGTTATCTAAAGGAGCTGAGCAGCTTAGAGTTTGTGCTTTTCTCTAATCTACCCCCTACAGACACACACGTACACACACGCACACACACACACACACACACACACACACCCCAATTACCATATTGTGTATAAAGGCCATGGCAGTTGATCTCTGTCTCCGATCTTCATCAGAATCCTATTGTGCTTCCCTGGTTTTACAGAAGCCTGCTCTCTCCTAGTAACTGTGCACTGACATATGCCTAATACTTTTGACTTGACCTTCTGCCACTCACTTTCAACTTGGTTTTGAATCCTGGCACTTAAATTGCTCCTTCTATTCTGTCTTTGTTTCCTGTCTATTTCTTCCCACTCTGTTTGGAAACTTTGTTGATGACCTCAGGCTGTGCACTTGGATTTTATGCCCTGTTTGCTCCTTTCCTGTTGCCACAATATCATTAGATTGGAGCACGTCATCTCTCTCCGGATTTACAATATCTGTGCCGTCTAACCTCCTGTGCTTGGGTCTGTGCCTGCCAGACATTCACTGTCTTCAAGGCCCTTCCAGTTGGACTCCTGATCTTGGCTTTCACTGTTCTGCCCCAGCTGGCTCTGTGACAGTTTCCAATACTTAGCAGACATGAGTGAAGGCCTCCATTTCCTGTCACAGCATTTTGTAAGTCAAATATAATACTTCCTGCAAATTCACTGGGCCTATCTTCAATGCAGTGCAGTGGTATTTGCAAATGACACCTTGTAGATGAGGTCTTCCCTCAACATATATTTAAAATGCCAAATTTTCCCCCTCATCACGCCTTCAATCCCCTTCCCTGACTTTATTTATTTATTTTTATCGAGAACACGTACAACTTTCCATCATACTAGATAACATACTTATCTATTTCACACAGTTTCTGCCTCCTTGCCTGGAATATTAGCTCCATGAGTTCAGGGTTTTGTTTCTTTTTCTTCCTTCTATATCTCATTCATCTGGAAGTGTGTCTTATCCATAGTAGGCACTTACTATATATGTGCTATGTAAAAGCAAAAATGAATGAATACGACTGAACCCTTGCTATGGTAAATTGGGGGTAATAATGCTGCAACCAACAATGGAAACGTGGTGCTCAGACATTTTAAACACTGAAACTGGGCCATTGTGGTATTCCCTAAAAACTTAGAAGAAAATTTATATTCTGGGCATCCATGTTTGCTATGATCTCACTGACAGTTTTCCAGCGGGGAAATCAAAATTTTTGGCTTGTTGACACATTCTTAAAAATAAAGTGAGCACCTTTTAAAAAATACACAGATCTCAATTAAATAATTGAAAGTTAAACGTTATCTAGCTTACTCTCTTTTCATTATTTATTTCATGAGAAGAAAATCACATTACTCAGTGATTCCAAACCTTGAATCTCATGAAAAGGGCAATTTATTTTTCACCATTTCTTTATTCTCCTGCCTTTTGTAGCTAATAATAAGTTTTTTCCTCAGTAAAATTTTTAAAGTTTGGAATCTCTCAGTTAAGAGGAGTGGTTATTCCTCCTTCAATACATTTGTAAGTTTATTATACTTATTTTAGAAAAGATTCATTCACAGAAAATATAGTTGAAAATCTCAGAGAGCTCCTAATTCTTTCAAACCACTATATAAAAACTATAGCATATTTTGTTCAAGTCAAAGACAATATACCAAGTCAAAGACTACACACTTCTTTAGGAAACTATGTTCAGCACATGATAAGGCAAAATTAAAGTAACTATTTTAATTCCATTTGAATTCACTTTTCCAGAATGGTTTAATATCCACAAGTCAATAAACATGATACATCACATAAACAGAATTTTTAAAAAATCACATGATCATCTCAATAGATGCAGAAAAAGCATTTGACAAAATCCAGCATCTCTTTTATAATTAAATCCCTCAGCAAAATTGGCATAGAAGGAGCATACTGTAAGGTAATAAAAGCCATCTATGACAAACCCACAGCCAACATGGTACTGAATTGGGAAAAGTTGAAAGCATTCCCCCTGATAACTGTAACAATACAAGGATTCTCACTTTCACCTCTTCTATTCAACATAGTACTGTAAGTTCTAACCAGAGAATTCAGGCGAGAGAAACAAATCAAGGACATCCAAATTGGTAAAGAGGAATTCAAACTGTCACTATTTGCTGATGGCATGATCATATACCTAGAAAACCCTAAACACTCATGCAAAAAGTATCTAGAAGTGATAAATGCATTCAGCCAAGTTTCTGGATACAAAGTTAATGTACACAAATCAATATTTTTGCTATACACCAATAGTGAGCCAGCTGAGAATCAAATCGAGAACTCAATTCCTTTACAATGCTGCAAAAAGTAAATATAAGATACTTAGGAATATACTTAACCAAGGAGGTGAAAGACCTGTACAAGGAAAACTGCAAACACTGCTGAAAGAAATCATAGATGACACAAACAAATGGATTCATGTTTATGAGTATAAGCATGGATGTGTGGAATCAATATTGTGAAAATGACCATACTGCCAAAGCAATCTACAAATTCAATGCAATTCCCATCAAAATACTACCATCATTCTTCACAGAACTAGTAAAAACAATCCTAAAATTCATATGAACTGAAAATGAGTACACATAGCCAAAGCAAAACTAAGCAAAAAGAACAAATCTGGAGGCATCACATTATCCAACTTCAAACTATACTATAAGGCCATAGTCACCAAAACAGTATGGTACTGGTATAAAAATAGCCACATAGGCCAGTGAAAAAGAATAGAGAACCCAGAAATAAAGCCAAATACTTACAATTAACTGACTTCCGACAAAGCAAACAAAAACATAAAGTGGGGAAAGGACATCCTATTCAGCAAATGGCACTGGGATAATTGGCAAGCCGCATGTAGAAGAATAAAACTGGATCCTCATCTCTCACCTTATATAAAAACCAACTTAAGAGAGATCAAAGACTTAAATCTAAAATCTGAAGCCATAAAGATTCTAGAAGATAGCATTGGAAAAACCCTTCTAGACATTGGCTTAGGCAAAGACTTCATGACCAAGGCCAAAAGCAAGTGCAATAAAAACAAAGATAAATAGATGCAACTTATAAACTAAAAAGTTTCTGCACAGCAATAGAAATAATCAGCAGAATAAACAGACAACCCACAGAGTGGGAGAAAATCTTTATAACCTATACATCTGACAAAAGACTAATATCCAGAATCTACAAAGAACTCAGACAAATCAGCAAGAAAAAAAAAATCCCATCAAAAAGTGGGCTAAGGACATGAATAGGCAATTCTCAAAAGAATATATACAAATGGCCAACAAGCATGTGGAAAAATGTTCAGCATCACTAATTACCAGGGAAATGCACATCAAAACCACAATGCAATACCATCTCACTGCTGTAAGAATGGCTATAATAAAAAATAAACAATAATAGATATTGGCATGGATGTGGTGAAAAAGGAATATTTTTACACTGTTGGTGGGAATGTAAACAACCCACCAACCACTATGGAAAACAGTGTGGAGATTCCTTACAGAACTAAAAGTACATATACCATTTGATCCTGCAATCCCACTATTAGGTATCTAACCAGAGGAAAAGAAGTCATTATACTAAAAAGTTACTTGCACACACATGTTTATAGCAGTACAATTCATAATTGCAAAAATATGGAACCAGCCCAAATGCCCATCAATCAACAAGTGATGTAAAATGTGGTGTACATGTATACATATATACTCACACCATGGAATACTACTTACCCATAAAACTGAACAAAATAATGGCATTCACAGCAAACTGGATGGAATTGGAGAGTATTATTCTAAGTGAAAGTATCTCGAGAATGTAAAAACCAAACAATGTGTGTTCTCACTCATAAGTGGGAGCTAAGCTATAAGGATGCAAAGGCATAAAAATGATACAATGGACTATGGGGACTCGAGGAAAGGGTGGGAGGGGACTGAAGGGTAAAAGACTACACATTGGGTACAGTGTACACTGCTTGGGTGATGGGTGAACCAAAATCTCAGGCGTCACCACTAAAGAAGTTACCCATGTAATCAAACACCATCTGTTCCCCAAAGACCTACTGAAATAAAAAACAAAGTTAAAAAGTTAATAAAATTAAATAATAAAATTATTTAAATAAAATAAATGAACTTAAAATCTACTTATTTTCTTAATATTTACATTATCTAATGATGTTTTTATTTTAAATAAGTTACAAAAAATTCACATTTTTATATGTACACACTATATATCTTTAAATTACATATATGTATACTTCTAAAAACCATGAAACAGGACAGGCATGGTGGCTCACGCCTGTAATCCCAGCACTTTGGGAGGCCAAGGCGGGTGGATCATGAGGTCAGGAGATCGAGACAATCCTGGCTAACACAGTGAAACCCCGTCTCAACTAAAAATATAAAAAATTAGGCAGGCGTGGTGGCGGGCGCCTGTAGTCCCAGCTACTCGGGAGGCTGAGGCAGGAGAATGGCGTGAACCCAGGAGGCGGAGGTTGCAGTGAGCCAAGATCGCGCCACTGCACTCCCGCACTCCAGCCTGGGCGACAGAGCAAGACTTCAACTCAAAAAAAAAAACAAAACAAACAAAAAAAAACCATGAAACTGTATTTTAACACCATACTTAAGGTAGAGTTAAGGACTTTGCCACGTTCATAATGAACATAGCTGTTTAAGAAGGGAAACTTTCCATATAGAAAGGCAAAGTTCGGTTTGACTCATTTCCTTCTATTTTCCTAGTAGTTAACTTACCATACTTCTTCTTAAGTGAAAAACTGTGCCAGTATGTTTTGAGGTTTGGGGGAATAGTATGTAAACTCAAATGTACTTCTCAACTTACTGTTGCCTTACACTCTCTTCACTCTACCAAAGCTGCTGTATCAGAGTTTCACTTTCAGCTACTGCATTATCGGCATACGAAAGTCTACTTATTTCTGTATGTTGATTTTGTATCCTGCAACTTTACTGTACTCATCTATCAGTTCTGGGAGATTTTTGGTGAAGTCTAGGTTTTCCTATTTATAAGATCATGTTATCTACAAACAGGAACAATCTGGCTTCCTCTTTTCCAATTTGGATGCCCTTTATTTCTCTCTCTGGGCTAATTGCACTGGCTAGGACTTCTAATAGTATGTTGAATAATAGTAGTGAAAATGAGCAGCTTTGTCTTGTTCCAGTTCTTAGAGGAAAGCCTTTCAACTTTTCACCATTCAGTATGAAGTTTGCTCTGCGTTTGTCATATATGGCCTTTATTTTGTTGACATAGTCCTTTGATACCTAATTTACTGTGTTTTTTAAATTATGAAGGGATGTCAAATTTTAACAAATGCTTTTTTGTTGTGTCTATTTAGATGATCATTTGGGATTTTCATTCTCGCTTCCCTGGGTTAAATTCCACTTGATCTTGGTGGATAATCTTCTTGATGTACTGTTGGCTTTGGTTTGCTAGTGTTTTGTTAAGTATTTTTGCATCTATGTTAATCAGGGGTATTGGCTTGTAGTTTTCTTTTTTGTTGTACCCTTGTCTGATCTTGGTATCAAGGTAATGCTGGCCTTATAGAATGAGCTTGAAATAACGTCTTTCTCTTCAATTTTTTTGCTATAGTTTGAGAAGAATTGATGGTAGTTTTTTTACAGGTTTGGTAGAATTTGGCAGTGAAGCCATGTGGTCCTGGGCCTTTTTTTTCCTTGGGAGACTTTTTATTTCTGATTCAATGTCGTTATTTACTATTCTACTGTTTAGGTTTCCTTTTTGGTTCAATTTTGGTAGGCTATATGTGTCCAGTGTTTATCCATTTTCTCTTGATTTTCCAATTTGTGGCATATAACTATTCATAATAGTCTCTGCTAATTCTTTGTACTTCTATGGTATTAATGTCAATCAACACATAAATGGATTTAAAAAGGGGTATATATACACAATGAAAACTCTTTTGTTACCAGACAAAATGAAATCCTGCCATTTGCTGCAATAAAGATGAGCCTGGAGGACATTATGTTAAGTGAAATAAGTTAGGCACAGAAAGACAAATACTGTCTATTCTCACTCATATGTGAGAGCTAAAAAGTTGCTCTAATAAGTATTCTACCCCATATTAGAGGGTAGAATACTGGTTACTAGAGGCTAGGAAGAAGAGGGAGGAGGAGAGGTATAAAAAGGATGGTTAGCAGATACAAAATTATAGCTAAACAGAAGCGATAAATTCTAGTTTTCTATGGTACTGTAGGGTGACCATAGTTAACACTAATGTATAATTTATCTTTAAAGGGCAAGAGGAAAGGATTTTGAATATGTCCAATACAGAGAAATGATAAATGTTTGAGGTGATGCATATGCTAATTACTCTGAATTTGATCATTACACATTGAATGTATCTATTGAAATGTCAGTCTGTACCCCATAAATATGTATAATTATTATATGTCAATTAAAATAAAATTTTAAAAAGTTCTTTATTTGCTAAATTCTGTGGCTATATGAATCCTTCGTAGTGCCCATCTGGCTATTTTGTTCTGTTAGAGTCTGTTAAGAACAGAGGTTTGCAAACTTTAGCATGCATAAGAAACTCCTGGGCAACTTCAAATTTGCAGAAATGAAGATCATAAGTCATATCCTTAGAGATTCTGATTGAGTGGGCACAAGTGTGGATCCAAAATTATTTTAATGAATATCTAGTTCATTCTGATACAGGTCATTTGTAGTTCATGCGTATAAAATGTGGACTTCAAAGATTATTTTCCCTTACCTCTCTCTTGATAATTAATACTTATCAGTGCCTCTTTGGGAAACTTTTTTAATACTACCATGTCTCCCCTCCCTTTTAGTGTCAGAAATCATTTTGTGCCTGTTTATTTACATCTTTAATGCTAAAACATATTTTGATTAAATAAACAAACTGATGAAAGTGTGTATGGTGCTGTTTTCCCCCTGAGCGCTAAACCTAAATATCTCACAGAGATCATTAATTTAAAATATATATAACCAAGCCAAACTCAATATGAGTTTCCTTCTAATAACTGCCAATTTGTCAACACCATTACCCATGAAATAGGGTTCAGGCCAAGGTTAGAAATAAGAGAAATGGGTGACTACCTACCTGGATAAGGAGAAAGAAAACAGAGCTGAGTACATACATGGTCAAAATGGAGTCAGCTAACAAAGATAGCACATCCTAGCCAGTTGGGGGCAATCTAAATCAATCTCAGCAGGAGTCACATGAAAGGTACAGTCTTGTGGTGGGACACCTTGGAAAGGACTGTGGCTCTCACAAAATATCTTTTCTGGGCTGGATCTGACTTCAGTGTCAAACACATACTACCTTTCCAGTTCTATCACTAACTATATCCACAGTAGATGTCCTATCTTTAGGCACTTCATATTAAAATTCTTACCAGTATTTAAAAACAGTGTGATATTTTATAACTCAGTGAGGCAGGTTGATTAATTAAATAGACCTGGATTTAACTGCTGGCTCAGCTAATTGTATAGAATCTCTAGAAACTTACCTAAACTGTCTGAACCATCTTTTTCCTACGCCATAAAGATTGACAGTGTCACCCACTTCATAGCACTATAGATTAACATTTAACTTCTTGTGATATGACATAACATATAACCACTGGTACAGAATTCAAGATTACTAGTATTATTAGTTACGACAGTTAAACTTGCACAAAATAATAATTAGTTCTCTAGTTCCTTCAGTTTATCTTCATTTTCTATTTCTTCTATTATCTTCAAGTTTAAATGTGGTATTTTAAATATAAATAATAAAAAAGTATGATTCATGTTTATAAAATTATTCCATATATATGTTTGAAGGATGTCTAGACTAATATATTATTCTAATACTACCAAGAGTTATTTCTGCATCATGAATTTGGGGTGACATTACAAAATATTTTATTTTGAGATAATTGGGATTCACATACATTTATAAGAAATAATACAAAGAGAACCAACATGACCTTCACCCACTTCACTCCAATGACAATACTTTGCACAGCAACAGCAAAATGTCACAACCAGAAAATAGGTATTGATATAATCCATTGATTTTACTGAGACTCTATCAGTTTTATGTGCCCTTATTTGTGTGTGTGTATATTTGGTTCTATACAATTTCATCACATGAATAAATTCATATTACCATTATCACAGACAAAAACCAGGAAAATTCTGTAATCACAAGATTCATTGTATTGCCATTTTATAACTGCCCTCATGTCTATGCTCACCATCCCTCATAGCTTTATATATTTTATTTATTTATTTATTTTTTATTTTTTACTTTTTTTTATTTTTATTTATTTTTTTTAATTTTTTTTATTATGTTTTAAGTTTTAGGGTACATGTGCACATTGTGCAGGTTAGTTACATACGCATACATGCGCCATGCTGGTGTGCTGCACCCACTAACTCGTCATCTAGCATTAGGTATATCTCCCAATGCTATCCCTCCCTCCTTCCCCCATCCCACAACAGTCCCCAGAGTGTGATGTTCCCCTTCCTGTGTCCATCCCTCATAGCTTTAATCTGTTCTCTATTTCTATAAATATTCTCAGTTTAAAATTGTTACATTATTAGAATTATACTTTCCTGAGATTGGCTTTCAGGATTGGCTTTTTACCCACTCAGCATAATTTCCTGGAGATTCATCCAAAATGTAGTTTTGTTTATTGTTGCTGTTGTTATTATTTGTTTTAATAAATGCTGGGTAATAGTCCATGATTTGAATAGACTACAGTTAAATCAACCACTTACCTATTGTATGGCATTTGAATTGTTTACACTCTGACTACTACAAATAAGCTCCTATGAACATTAATGTCTAGGTATGTGTGTGAACATAAGTTTTCAATTTGAGAAATACAAAGAATTAAATTGCTGAGCCATTAGGTACCTGCATGTTTAGTTTTGTAAGAAATTGTTTTCTGGAGTGGCTGTACCATTTTACATTCCATACATAGCAGCAAAACGTAGCAGCAATCCAGTTTCCCCACAGTATCACCAAAATTTAGTGTTGTCATTACTTTTTATTTTAGTTTTTGCTATAGATGCAAAGAGTTATCTCATTATTATTTTAATTTGCATTTACCAAATAGCTCTCCAAGATGTGGGGCAGAACAATGGGTAGTGATGAAGATTAAAAGCTGTCAGGAAACATTAAAAATGGAGAGTTCACAGAGGACATTCTCATCTATGTAGAAAATCTAAAAGAATCAACAGAAATTTCTGTAACTAGTAAGCAATTATAACATGGTTGCAAATACCAGGTTAGTATACAGAAATTAATCACTTTAGGGGTTCTATATACCAGCAATGAACATGTGGCATTTGAAACAAAAAACACAATACCATTTGTATTAGCATTCCCCAAACTGAAATGCTCAGGTATAAATTTAACAAAATATGTACAGAATCTATATGAAAAAAACTATAAAACTCTGATGAAATCAAGAACAAAATAATGAAGAAATATTCCATTATTCATAGAGAAGGAGGCTTAGGATGGTCAAGATGTCAGTTTTTCCCAACTTGATCTATAGGTTCAATGCTATCCCAGTCAAAACCCCAGCAAGTTATTTTGTGGATATTGACAAACTATTTTTAAAATTTACCTGGAGAGTCAAAACCCAGTATGGTCAATACAGATTGAGAGAAAACTATCAGAGGACTGATACTATCCGACTTCAAAACTTACTAATAAAGATGGTAATGAAGACAATGCGGTATTGGCAAAAGAATAGACAAATGTACCAAATATACCAATGGCACAGAATAGAGAAATCATAAATAGACCCACATAAGTATGATAAACTAATCATTGACAGAGAAACAAAGAAAATACAATAGAACAAGATTGTCTTTTCAACAAATGATGTTGGAACCACTGGACATCCACATGTGAAAAAAAAATGAATCTGGACACAGATCTTGCACTCTTTATGAAAAATAACTCAAAATAGATCATAGACCTAAATGTAAAATGTGAAAATATAAAACTCCTAGAGGATGACACAGGAGAATACCTAGATGACCTTGGATATGGTGATGACTTTGTGGATACAACACCGAAGGCATGATGTACGGAAGAAGTAATGAATACACCGTATTTATTAAAATTAAAACCTCTGCTTTTTGAAAGACAACATCAAGGGAATGAGACGACAAGCCCCAGACTTGGAGAAAATATTTGCAAAATACACATCTGATAAAGAACTCTTACACAAAATACACAAAGAACTCTTAAATCTCAACCGTACGAAAACCTACAAGCTGATTTCAAAAATGAGCCAAAAACCTTTAACAGACACTTAACCAAAGAAGATGTAAAGGTAGCAAATAAGCATATGAAAAGGTACTCCACATCATACATCATCAGGAAAATGTAAATTAAAATAATGAAATACACTCCCATTAAAATGGTCAAAAACCAGAATACTTTCAGCAAATGCTTGCTAGGATGTGGCACAATAGAAACTCCCATTCATCGCTGGTGGAAATGCAAGATGGTACAGCCACTTTGGAGGACAGTTTGCTACTCTTTTACAAAGCTAAACATATTCTTGCCAAACAATCCAGAAGTAATACTCCTTGGTATTTACTCAAGGGAGGTGAAGACTTTTGTTCACACAAATGCCTGCATGTGAGTGTTTATAGCAGCTTTATTTATAATTGCTAAAACTTGGAAAAAACTAAGATATTCTTCAATAGGTGAATGAATAAATTGTGGTTCATCTGGACAAAGTATTATTATTCAGTGCTAAAAGTAAATTAGATAAAGCACCACGGAATGACATGGAAGATGCTTAAATGCTTATTGTTCAGGAAAGAAACCAATCGTAAAAGACTATATATTGTATTATTCCCAATATATGATATTCTGGAAAAGGCAAAACTATGCAGACAGTAAAACAAAAGATCAGTGATTGCCAGGGCTTGAGGATGAAGGATAGGTGAGTAGACAGAGCACAGCAGGCAGTGAAAATACTGTATATGCAGAGTATATACAGAGAAAATCTTCTGTATTTACAGTATTTTCACTGCCCTGGAAATCTGGACAAACATATAATGGATACATGCCATTATACGTTTGTCCAAAACCATAGAATATTCAACCCCTAGAGTGAACCC
The DNA here is from genome assembly GCF_000001405.40 of Homo sapiens. Classification (NCBI taxonomy): domain Eukaryota; kingdom Metazoa; phylum Chordata; class Mammalia; order Primates; family Hominidae; genus Homo; species Homo sapiens. The sequence goes on from NC_000004.12 coordinate 126,253,870, forward strand.
TAAGGTAAACCGTGGACTTTGGGTACTCATGGTGTCAATGTAGATTCACTAATTATAACAAGTACACCACTCTGTTTGAAATGTTTTAATGAATGAGATTATGCATGTGTTGGGGTTGTGGTATATGGGAAACCTCCGGACCTTCGTTCCAATTTTTCTGTGAACCTAAAACTGCTCTAGAAAACAGCCTTGAAAAAATAAAAAGTAGGTCTGCAAGTGATAATTTTAAAAACATTTCTTTAATTTGAGAGTATCTTTATTTTCTCTTCATTCCTAAAGAATATATTAACTGGAGGTAGAATTTATAGTTAACAGTTAACTTTTTTCAGGACTTGAAAAACATTGTTCCACTTCCTTCTGGCCTCTATATTTTTTTTTATAAGAAACCCATTTTCTTTTACCTTGATGTTCTTCTATTAGTAATCCATTTTTCCCTCTGGCTGCTTTGAAGATTTCACCTTTGTCTTTAGTTTTTAGAAGTATGATATGTTTTGGTATGGAATTTTTTGGATTTATTCTACTTGGGGTTCATTTAGCTTCTGGAATATATATGGTTTTGTCTTTCGCAAAATTTAGGAACTTTTTTACCCATTATTTCTTTGAATACCGTTCAGTCCCACATTCCTCCTCTTCTTTCTTGAACCCTAAGGATAGAGATATTTGAATTTTGCTATTTTCCTATTGGTTTTTAGATGTTCATTCATTTTTATTTTCAGTATATTTTCTCAATTTTTTTGATTTAATACATTTTATTGATCTATTCTCAACTTCACTGATTCTGTCATTGTCTTATTACCTTTGATCTCTTCCAATGAGCTTTTAAGTTATCATATTTTGTTTTTAATTTCTATTTGGTTTAGTTTTATAAATAATGTATTTGCCGACATTTCCCACTTTTTACTTGTCCCAAATACATGCTTAATTATTTGTTGAATTAATTTAATTTTAAGATTGTTGCTTTAAAATCATTGTCAGATAGCACTAATATCTGATTCATCTAGGTATTTGTGCCAATTGATTTACTTTTGTTATGTTGTGCTTTACTTGGATCTTGGTATGACAACAGATTTTCAATTGTATCTTGTGTATTTCAAATATTATGTTAGGAGACGTTTAGTTCTATATAAATCTATTTTACCCGGCACTCACCTTGTTTAGTTTTATCATGTGGGTTCCAGCACTTTCACTCACTCCACCATGTAACTGCTGGGGACAGATTCAGATCCAACAACACTAGTGTGTCCAGAATTGGTTCCTTGTGGTAGGTTCTTGGTCTCACTGACTTCAAGAATGAAGCCGCAGACCCTCGCAGTGAGTTACAGTTCTTAAAGATGGTGTGCCGGGACTTTGTTCCTCCAGAGGTTTAGAGGTGTCCAGAGTTTTTTCCCTCTGGTGGGTTCATGGTCTTGATGACTTCATGAGTGAAGCCACAGACCTTCGCAGTGAGTGTTACAGCTCTTAAAGGTGGCGCGTCTGGAGTTGTTCATTCCCCCCCATGGGTTCATGGTCTCGTTGACTTCAAGAATGAAGCCCCAGACTTTCGCAGTGAGTGTTACAGCTCTTAAAAGTGGCGTGTCCGGAGTTGCTTGTTCCTCCCGGTGGGTTCTTGTTCTTCGCACTGCATTCGTGGTTGGTCTCCCTGGCTACTGGAGTGAAACCGTACACCTTCGCAGTGAGTGTTACAGCTCATAAAGGTACTGCGGACCCAAAGAGAGAGCAGCAGCAAGATTTACTGCAAAGAGCGAAAGAACAATGCTCACACAGCATGGAAGAAAACCTGAGCAGGTTGCTGTTGCTGTTGCTAGCTGGGTGGCCTGCTTTTATTCCCTTATTTGGCCCCACCCACATCCTGCTGATTGGTCCATTTTACAGAGAGCTGAATGGTCTGTTTTACAGAGAGCTGATTGGTCCGTTTTGACAGAGTGCTGACTGGTGCGTTTACAAACCTTTAGCTAGACACAGAGGGCTGATTGGTGCATTTACAATCCTTTAGCTAGACACTGAAGTTCTCCAAGTCCCCACCCGATTAGCTAGACACAGAGTGCTCGTTGGTGCCTTTACAAACCTTTAGCCAGACACAGAGTGCTGATTGGTGCGTTTACAATCCTTTAGCTAGACAGAAAAGTTCCCCAAGTCCCCACCCGACCCAGAGCCCAGACAGCTTCACCTCTCACTAACAGGTGTGAGGTGGAGATGGTTTAGTTGAGCTCACTTGGTTTCTGTAGGTAGATCAGGTGACCACTGTTGATTGGCATGTGGTGACAGATAAGTTTTCCTGAGTAGGGTCTGTCAGTAGCACTGCTGCAATTAGATTGAATTGCTTTGGCCCGCAGATATGAGACAAGGGATCCAAACTTTGAAAGCAAAGTTCTATCTTTCAGAAAGTAATTTCTCTGGGAAGACTGCAATCAGCTAGGAAAATTAGCTACTACCACTTCTAGGATTTTATAACTTTTTATTCAAACCTTTGATACGACATTTTATATGAGATATTTCTGTATACACGTCTTCCTGACAAAAAAATAATATGTAGCTAATAGATGCTTTTTGAATGAATGACTCTAGGTTGTTATATCGATTTCAGAACTTTTCTATCCAGTATTTTTCCTTGTGCCTTTTGTTCCACCCCTGCCATTGGTATTATGTGGTAAATCAAAATAGCTTTCGAACCACTTGAAAAGTACTGTGAAAATACAGAACTATTTTAAGCCAGGATGTTTGTTTTAAAGCCTAATATTAAACTGTCTACAGTCTAATTTCCTAATTTGAGGGAAAAAGTGGCAGTAATAGAACCCTTCTTCTCAAAGGGTCAAATTAATATTTTAGAAACCTTAAGGTCCTAAAATAAAAGCCTCTAAAAAATAGCAAATATACAGTGTTGCTTTCCTTTCTGTTATTTTACGCTGTGAGAATTCTGAATGGAATGCATTGCATTTGTTAGAAACACAAAAATGTATTTATCATATTTCTCACGACACAAATATGATAGATTGGAAGAGCTTAGTTTTTATTAAAATAAATCACAAGTCTTTCCATGTTGTTTTTATACAGCTAAAGAAGAATAAGCAGAGTTTTCTAATTTAGAGTTTGCTAATGTAGTCCCACTTAAAACTGTAAGACTACAGTAACAAATAAATTTTAACATAGTACATATTATATGAATTATTAATGTTTGTTATTACATAATTAATTAGAGCAAACCAGACGCTTATTAGAGGTTCCCTTCCTTTGAGTTTATGCACTATTTTGTTTATAACTCTTTTGCCATTTCTAATATTCCCTATAAATCATAAATGATTCATGTTACCCTCTATTATCTCCTTCATAATTATTCAAACAAAACTACAGAGTGAAACTATCCTCATGCCACTCTTTTCCTTCCTCTGCACCAAGAGCATCCGTTTTCTCTTTTCATTGGAATGATTTCGGAAAAATGTAAAAGAGTGAGATAAAGCATGTGACAAAAATTACAGTTTTCAAGATGCTAAATGCTAGTGACACCTTCCTAAATTTATCCCTTGGGATTCTGGGACTTTGCTCTTGGTTACTTAAAAAAAATGTACAGGCTAGGAAAGGGTCTCCTTTCCTTATCCTAATAGAAGGGATTCCATTTGAAATCATCTTAAACTATTGGTGTCTTTTTCCAGCTAGTGTCTGCATGGAAACTTGCTTCTCCATGGGCCACCAAAGTTCCCAAGTAATTAGACTTTTTACTATACCTGTCAAAATGTAGAATGTAAACACAGGCTGTCTGGCATCTCAGTATTCCTTCATAGACAAGGTTAATTTTAAACATCACTATTTAAGAAAAGGAGATCAGGGGTTGTTTTTTGTGGCGGAATCGAATCTCTATCCTGTAACTTCAACCCTCTGATTTTTCCATTGAATCACCTGTGTCTTTTGTAGGAGGATGAAAATTTGGGGTTCACATTTCTCCTCTTGGTAATTCTTTTTTACATTTCCCCAACAAATACTGTTTCTTTACTCAGACTGTGTGATATTATGTCATTCTCTCCAACCCCTCTTATATATTAGATGGCAGCTATATAACACTTCTATGTTTAGTTTTCTCATATCTTTTAGCCTTTATTTGAGAAAAACAAAACAAAACTCTGTATGTCTCCTACTAAACTATCAAAGAAAAGATTGCATTTTTTTCATTTTTATGTATTAAACACCTAAGCTGAGTTAAAGAATAATTGAAGGATGGCTATATTCTCATTCCATTTTAAATTCTACATCTTTTAATTGAATTTTCCCTGATGTATCATTGCCAAATAAATTATAACATGTTTAACACTTTAAAGGTAATGTTAAATCATTCTGTTTATTTTTTCTAAGCATATTGATATATTGTCTTTATATTGAATATCAAATAGTAGTAATAGCTTTAAGAAAGTTTGTTTTATGTAACTTTTATCTGGATTCATCTGATTGTAACAATATTTACTTGCTAGTTTAAACGTAGGAGAATTGTGAGAATCCTTCTCTACAAAAAAATTTAAAATTTTTCCAGGGGTGGTGGTGCATGCCTGTATTCCCACCTACTCGGGAGGCTAAGGCAGGAGGATTACTTGAGCCCAGGGGTCTGAGACCTGTGTAAGCAACGTATTCAGAACCCTATCTCTACAAAATTTTTAAAAAATAGCCAGGCGTGGTGGCGCGTGCCTGTAGCCCAGCTACTCACTGAGAGTTTGAGCCTGCAGTGAACTATGATTGCACCACTGCACTCCAGCCTTAACAATAGAGCAAGATCCTGTCTCAAAAAGAACAAAACATAGGAGGTCTTTTATTATCTATACGCTCTACATCCAGTGATAACCACTGTAAAATTTTGTTTATCTTCCCAGTATTTTTATAGTGGTAAAAATGCTTTATATATAATATATATAATAATGTATGTAATATATAATATATAAAATATTATATAATTATATTGTATATATATTATATATTATATATAATGAATGTATGTGTGTGGATGTCTATATCTATCAATATATCTGTATGTGTGTGTGTTATCTTTCTTGTCTAAACTTCTTCCACTTATTTTTCTGAACCAGTTTGACAGTTACATACTCTATTTCTATTCTTTAAGTAATAAGTTCTAAAATTTTGCCAAAAATATTTAAATTTTAAAAAGAAAAGATGTATTTTACTTTTCTCCTGAGCAATACAAGTACAGTAGTCATCCCTTACCCACAGTTTCTCTTTCTAAGATTTCTGTGGCCCAGAGTCAACTACGATCTGAAAATAGGTGAGTCCAGTAAAATAAGACATTTTGAGAGACAGAGATCATATTCATATAACTTTTATTACAGTATATTTTTATAATTTTTAAAATTTTATTACTGATTATTGTTACCAATCTCTTACTAGGCCTAATTCATAAATTAAATTTTATTTATATATATTTTATTATATATATGATAAAAATATAGTATGTATAGAGTTCGGTACTATGGTACTATTTTCAGGTTCAAGAATCCACTGGGTGTCTTGGAATGTATCTCCCATGGATAAGGTGGGGGCTACAGTCCCTCTAATTGGACCCTTCTGGACTTTCATGCCATCACCACACCACTGTTGCCACCATCATCATCATCATTATTATCACTATGACTGTAATTCTATCCAGGAAACTTTTCTTGTACTTTTCATAATTTTTTTTTGCTCCATATTCCGTTTTCATTTCAGGTAATCCCCTAGAACCATTCCCGTTTCTCCTGAACTATATTCTCTGTAAGTTCCTTTAGCATATCTTTCCAGGTGGTCAACCTTCATAGTTTATGCTTATTTTTAAGTATTTCCCTTTCTCCCTCCTGTCCTTGAAATATACATTTTTTTTTAGTTCGAAATTCTACATTTAACATTATTGTTTGTCAGTATTATGAGGAAATTATTTTTCAATAGTCTGTATGTCATTTTCGCAGTTGAGATATAGACTTTTTTTTTCTTATTCTAACGTTTCTGTTTTTGGCTGGATGTGAATGGAGGGGATCAGCAAGGGCTAGGGAACCTGTGGATTTTCCCTGGATTTATTTTGCATATATTTTGTATTTGGCATTTTGCTGTTTCACAATAGGGTGTCTGGGTATGAATTGGCTTTAATCATACTCCCTGGGCTATGATGATAGAGTCTAGTTTTTTTATTTCTTTCCAAAGTTTTCCCGTTGTAATCACTTTAAATGTTGTATATTAAACAATATGCCTAAAATAAATAAGAACTTAGTATTCAAATTTATTTTTCAGATGATGTATCATAGCTGTTATGAGAAAATGTGTAAAATATATATTGATAAATTTCTAATTCAAATAATGCCCCATAAACATGAAGACCTATGAATCCTTTTCTCTTTATATTAGGAGATATGATCCTGTTTGTGCCAATATTTTTCTAGTGCAACTCTAAATGTTTATATAATAATTTACCACCACCTCTTCTTAAGTATATCTGTATGCCTTGATGTGTTTCTGACAAAATTTATTAAGAAGAAATAAGAGAAAGCAAAACAACAACAAACCACATTTTTTTTTTTTGCCCCATGATATTTATAATTAAATTACATTGTATATTTTGGTATAATTGGGTTACTGGTTGAGTTTTGTAAAACAAATAGAATAAATATTGCTTATTATAGTTTATCACACAGTCCAAATAACAGCGAATTCACATACTACATTATGTAGATAATGGAACAACTAATTCATGTGGTCTACAACTGACTTTGTACTACCAATGAGACTATGGATTCCAGAATCTAGAAACCTTTTCCACACGTAAGTCAGAGTAAGAACAACTCATGAAAAAGAAAAAAATACTTAAAAATTATCCAAAGGATTCAGAATGAATTATAATGAAATAATTATATTTCACGCCTTCCTTTAAAGATACAAAACATATTTACTCTTTTTTTCTTTTCTTCTCTTTTTTTAATAAGAATAATGGTATGATTGAAGCATTATAAAATATCTTTAAAGGAAAATATTTAAGTAGACATATTTTCTAACAGTTGAAAACAAACAACCAAAAAGCAAAGTTAAATATGAAAGTAGACGAAGCAAAAGCTACTTTTGACTGTATTGCTAATAACAGACTTTGAAAGACAGGAAAAGTATTGAGTTTTGAACAAATGGTACAAAATAGAAGATTCTTTGTTGATTTCTGGCAAGTTCTTCTTCTACTAACTTCTAAATATAGTAATTATTTCTCTTCTTCATTGATTTTTAAATTAAATATTTTGAGAGTAATCAAAATAAGTAAATACTTTTTTGATATTATTAATATTTTAAAATGGAGAAATTTATTCTTATGTATTGATATTATTTACAAATAAGGAAAATATCTACTGTACTTATCTAAACAAGAAAAAAGTGACTTCCAAAGAAAACTATAACCACGTAGAATCTCGTCATCTAAAAAGGCATGGCGATCTTTACAATTTTCCCTCCTTGTTGAATAATTACTCTCTAATTCATTAAATGGAAATATATTTTGTTACCACACATAACATTATATTTCATTTTCCAAGTTGAATTTGAATGTATATATTGTATAGGTTGACTACGAAAAAAATAACAATTAATAAGAATATGTTTAATTTGAAACTTCCAATCAGTTTATGCACAGTTGAATATGAAAACAGTAGACCATAAAAATGGAAGCAAAAAAACAAAAAGAGTAAGTGCAAATATTTAAAACCTTGCAGACCAAGTATTAGAGTTATACATTCTGAACTCTTTTTTGGTGCCATTTTATAAACTAAAAATGAGTTTTTCATAAAGATTGATGTATTTGAATACCCAATTTATTTGGAAGCATACAATATCACTTCTTGTGGTTTATTAAATTTGTTTATTTGCTTTAAGTTTAAGAAAAACAATTCTTACATAACTGAAATCACCATATGCTAAAAAGGTAAGGAATACTCTCAAAATAGAAAATAACTACTTGTTTTTCTCACCCTCTTTCCAACTGTTTATTACAACTTTACTGTCCCCCTAAAGCCAGGAACCTATGCTGTCCCGTGGAACTGTAGGGTTTTAATAATTATTTCTTTCCCTTCTCGTATTATGTTTTGACTTTGGGATCCATCATAAATATTAGTATTATCATCTGGATCCAATTAAATGTAATGGATATGCAGTTTTGGAAAATAACCTACTTTCTGCCTATTAGTAAGTAATATTGATTCTTCTTTACACAAATCACTTAAATACTATAACACCTAGTAAAACAATGGTCTTTAATAGCTTGCCCAGAATTATATATAAAGTTTTATTTTCATAGTTTAATTCAGTCTGATTATTTTCATTGTTTTTTACCATAATAGGTATGAGATTACCTACTGACATGAAACATTTTAAACATCCATAATTAAAACCAAGAGGGAAAAAGACAATAAAACTTCAAAACTAGTTTAAAGCTTTGCAGTAATATTTTACTGCCAAAGAAAGCAGATAAGACTTTCACACTGTGCTGAAAACTGCAGGTAATTAATTCCCATGGCACAGAAGTGAAGGAAAAGCACATTCCATATTCTCAGGGCAAAGTGTAAAAGGAATTTGCAGGAGATCCTGTTGGATTTCAGGGTTAACCTGTAAGGGACACACAGAGTAGACTGGGGTAGGGAGGGGTTGCTGTCAAAGTATAAATTATTTAATTGAAATGTTTGTGTCAGCTAATCATCCACAACAAGAGAAAAAGTTCTAAGTAATAAAACAAAAAGGACTTAGTACAGAGTCTGAATTCTTCACTGATTTCTCTTTTGGCTTTTCTTACTCACCCACGTATAATTTCAGGGTTAAGAGTGTCCCTGGCCTTCACATACTGTATCTTTTGATGCATAAAGACTAGAGCTTTTGTCCTTTTAATATACAAAATTCCAATTTTCATTCTCCCTTCCAGTCTGATTTCAAAAGTTACTCTGTAGTTCATCATTAATTCAGGGAAAAATGCATGATCTCATGAATCCTGGAAATTGTAAAATAAAGACAGGAGTGGGGCAAGCTGGAGAAGACAGAGGCCTGCACACGATTAATGAGGAAAACTTGTAATTTTCCTGGGTTTTGCCAAGATTCGAGTGTTTCAGAAACAAGCTTTCTGCAAGTGTTTGATACATCAGGAGGGAATATAGTAAACAATACACTAGGGGAGCTAGAGCAGATTCTAGCATCATATACAAGGCATTTATATAAGATAGGCTCTCTTTAAATTCTTCACGAGTGGTATTCAGGTGGGCAGCATTTGAATATCATGATTATGACCATGTGTAGAATAATGAAAACATGTTTTTACCAGTGAATATTTATAATTAAAAATGCACCAAAACACTCCTTGACCAAGGCATTATCTCTCATATTTGAAGAATTAATGAAAGCAGATATTGGACAAAAAATATACAAATTCTCATCCTTCTTGAGGGAAAAATTAACAAAATGGTTCAAAGACATCTGTGCAAATATTTCTAAGAATGATAACTCAGGAAAATACCTAGACGCTATCACATAGTTATTCCTATTTCTTTCCCTGCACTTCATAAAATTTTAAGTATTCCAGAATTTTAGAGCCTGTGCCAAATAAGAACAAAGGTTCTGCAGCTGCAGGTGCCTTGTATACATATCAAATGCCTTTGAAATTACTGGAAGATTTTGTTCACATGTGCCAGTAGATTCCTCTGGCAATCTGACCTACCATGCCAAATCATTTGGATAGGTGAAATCTGATTGAACATGCCAAATCATTTGGATAGGTGAAAAGGGAAAGGAATGCATGTTGTTTTTTCAGGTAGTATTTTTGAAACAATGCTCAGCAAGCTATCGGATTCTAGAGATCCAGAACTCCTATCCTAGTGATGAAGGGAGGGATTGGAGGTCCAAGGAAGCTGCGTTCTGCGTTCCCCAGATGTACTTCAATCAGAACAGGTTTTCTTTCCGCTGCTTTTCTGGAAAACTTCTCTAGCTTAAGTTCCCACTTCACTACAAAGGCTGATCTGGTGTAGGTTAAAATATCCAGACCTCAAATGTACATATGTAAAACGAAAAATAAATTTTAAGTGTCCTAATTGTTTTTACTGCTATACTATTGGAGTACACATAAGGAGTTTGCTGTCGTGGTCTTTGTCACTCAAAACGACTGGCAGCTAAAAAATGATTATTCATACAGTCTTCTCCACTCCGTTGTGTTGATTTAAATTTGGTCTTGTCACTCAATACAATAACTTAATAAGAATACAGCAGTTATTTCTAAATAGTGAGAAGAACATTATTAGTTTTTGGAGCTGTGGCTTTCTGTTTCTGTTTTTGGTTTAATCTGTATTGAGAGCCACAGCGTGCACAGAATACTCTACAATCATCACAGTAAAATATACATGACATTTGCAAAAGTGAAATGGTCTGAAGTCTGGATGCATGCTTTTTATACTCAAAAGCTATTATTAAACCCAATGGCCTTATAAAATCTATTTAAAGTCAGGCAATTAATGACTGTGATGCTTATTATTAAGTACATATCTCCTGCCTTGGAACTTGAAGAAATTTAGCCACACAAGTAACAATGCTATGTTAGGTACAATAGTATTTGGTCCCAGTTTTTCACAGAAGAGAGAGAAAGAGAGAGAGGTAAGAGAAATTGATTCGGCGTGATTGATTTCTGACAATAAAAACTCAAATCTTTCTCAACTCAGTTTTCTCCAATAAATAAAAGTTGTTTTTGTAGACAGATTTTGGTTATATTGCTATATAAAATGACATGACAACCACTAGGTGTTTGTCTAATGCCCTTTAACCTACATGCAGAAAAAGAGTAATGTACAAATTTTTATCCACTGTGTTCTCTGGGTCCCCAATAGGTTTGAAATACTTCGCTGGTGCTTATTCTTTTACCAGTCTAAACTATCGACAGGGTACTTTTCACATTCTAGCTTAAATTATAGCTTGTTACAAATAAAGCATTGTATTTAATATGTCTTTGAAAGACTCACAAAACATAACACAGTTTCCAAAACATTGTAGGCCATATCCATATATCTATCAAACATAAATATGTGTGTATGCACATACACACATATGAGAAATGCTGAGTTTGGAAGGAAGACACATGCTACTCACTTTAGTTTGTGCTTAGAAAAGGAAGGAGGTATTTGAATTATTCACCCTCACTTGACTCATTCTCTGCAAATGTGTAATAAAGAGATGACCACAGTGCTCCTGAAAAATGTGGCTTCTGACACAATTCATCTTTCTAGAGGATAAAAATCACACCAAAGTTTGTAACATTTTCCCCAATACCAAAGTATTATCAAAGATAAAATAGTGAAAGCACAGTATCACTAATTTGACTCCAATGAAGTCTTTTGAAAACCTAGGATAAAATAATGTCTATTTAAATTTGTGGGTAGTAGTTCTTACTGCAAAAGCTGCCTTGCTTTCTCCTCATTACTCTCCCTCCTTCTCCTTATTTAATTCAAATTTCTTTACTTTTTGTCATGGTCATTAAAACATAGCCAAAAAAAAAAAAAGTTTCTTGCTTTCCAAAACTATCTGAAAGTGTTGGGTTCAATTTTGGTTTCAGATTAAATTGGGATAATTACATAAGTTGTTGACAAATAAATATTCAAGAAATTTTGATGGAAGATAATCTTGGCAAACCACAACAGCTTTTAAATTTTGCTTTAAATTAAAATTCTAGCAGTTTATTATGTTACTTTGTGCCAGGATAAGCCAATAAACCGTTCTCATATTCAAAAGAATGTTTCCATTTAAATTTTACATTTACAAGTCTAATAAGATGTTGGAGCTCATTCTATTCACAGAAAATCTACTGAGTTGCATAACTTAACTTTATTAGAAAACCAACTCACATTGTTTCTTGAATCAATTTATCTTAGTTAATTTTTTATGATGGAATATTAGAGGTAAAATTAGAGATAATGACGGGCTCTTAAAATAAGGTTACCAAGTAGTTTAATGTAGACAGATAAGTTATGAAGATCATGTGTTCAAAGGTGCATCTTTTGAATCAGTTTTGAATTTTATATTACTTTATGACCAGTTTAATTAAATTGTTTAAAATACTCTTTTATGCCCTGTTTAATTTTAGAATATAATTTATAGAAGGTATTTTGAAAACTATATTAAGTACATTAAATCCATGTGGCATATGTTTTCATTTACAAGAGATGCCTCATTAACAATGAGACATACTATGGCCAATAAGTGTATTACTCATTCTGCATAGAAGGTACTAAATTATAGGCCAGTTCTGTGAGAATATGAATTGCAATCCTACTCTTGCAGAGTTTCAGAATTCCAAATTATGGGACATAATTGGTATATCTGATACTTAAATGCTAAGAAATCATTTTGGCAACTGGGTTTCTTCATGAATAGTATCTAATTTGCAAATGCATACCCTACATCTCTGTGCTTAAGTGATTTAAATTTGTAGTCATTTAAATTATTTAAGCATCATTGATCTGTAATTTTCTCAGAACATATATCCTGTACTATACATAAGTATATGTCAGATATAAAAAGAGAAAAAAAACCCTAATTGGCTACAATGGTAAAACTTAAATCAATTTCTGTGAGAACAGTAAAGATCTGTACTTCATGATTATTATATAAGTGATTCCAAAAAGATAAGTTCTAATGTGAGACGTAGAGTTTGAACTCCTCCAGAGGATTACAGCCATCTCTATTAAACTCTTTATAGCAGTTATTTATAAACTGACAAGGGGCAAGTGTTTACAGGCCATTTATAATCTTCTGTTGTATCTTTCCTTATGACATCACAGAAAAATGCATCCAACTGTGCTAAAATGTTTTCATGAACACAAAGAATACACACACACACTCACACACACACTCACTCACACAGGGGCATACACAGGCAAACACATGGGGAAGGTTTCCCAAGGTTGGGAAGTAGTAGAGATATGCTATTGAAACTGAAATTAAACAAAGAATGTCTGGCCTATCTTGTGGCGAGTAAACTACCATGGATGATTTAAAATAAAATAGAAGAGATAAAAGATGCTTAAAACTGGCACATAGAAAAGATAAAAAGAAGTATAGACCAAATTCTGCTGCTTACTAGCTGAATATGTGTGCAAATATAATACAGACTATCATCAATTATTAATGTATGCTTCATGTAGGAAAGTAACATTTGCTCCATTTTAACAAATGACAAAACAAATACAAATAGCCTGTATCTAAGTGGCTTATGATCACACAGATGTGTTTAAATGGCAAACCCATGATTGCTACCCAAATATCATCTCAAGGTAATATCTGTAGTTTCACACAGCATGGTTGTATGGTTATATAATATTTGTAAAATACTAAATATAGTGCTTGGCATATGGTAGATATTGAATAGTAGCTATACAGGTTTTATTAACAATTAATGCTTACTATTTGGCAGTATAAAATGAAATGATTTTGCACATCTCCTAATGTCCACTTCCATTCAATCTAAACTGATTAGGGTTAGAAATACACTTACAAATATAATATAAAAAGTGAAAAGAACATCTTAAACTACACCTCTTTTGCATCCATTCCAATACTCTGCTTCTGATAGTGACAATAATTGCAATAAAGTTTGGTACTCAATATCCTACTGCCAATCTCAACAAATATGAATTTACTCATAGTAATAATCCTAAGTGCCTTTGTTTATTAATTATATTTCCATAAACATCTAATGCATTTAAATTCTTCTAGAATTTTTGTCAAATCCTACAAAATATTTGTTGGGGAGCTAGTGTGCAGTTGGAAGTAGGGGAGCTCCCAGACAGTCAAATAATTCCTAGCCATATTGTAAACATAATTCTGACCTCAAACTCTTTTATTCAACATTTCTTCAAGCAATTTATCTTCAAGTCTTACAGTGATTCAAATATTGTGCAAGACACTGAGGATACAGTAGTTTGCAAAAAAGTTCACCATGCCTTGTAGCTATGAAATTTAGAAAATTTACTGGAATTCACACAATGTTAGATGCAAGCACAGTAATGAGTGATAAGTGCTTTGACAAGGAAATAACAGAGTGCTATGAAATCGAACACAAGAGAACCTTGCTCAATCAGAGAAATTCCCCCAGAGAGAATGATGTTAAAGCTGAGAACTGCTACAAATGATAAACTGTGATTCCTGGTTTCCATTTTTCTCATGATTAGAGGGAAGCTTTTGTACTCACCAAGCCATAGTTGATGTAAATATTATAGGCACTGATTATAATCCTTACATTTGCACTTTTGGACAAAAAAAGTATAACAAATATAATTAAGAAATTAAATAAGTTATGAAGAGAATTGGTGTGGCAACTTACAAAAAGTACATTTTAAATCCATATATAGTCAACTGTCCCTATGCCAATTGATTTGTCTGTCTTGTGTGTTTATACATGTGTGTACATAATTTTGTGATGATTCCACATTACATCTGATGACATAATCTGTGACTTCTTGCACAATCTTTCATAACAATGAGACTGCACTTCAGACAATATACTTTGAATATCATAATCTGAATCTGAAAATATATAGCAAAATTTCAGAAAATCAAAAATAAATAACAAAAATAACACAGAAAGAAACTTGAATTATGTCAAATAAAAGAGATATATAGGCGTCGCTGTACTTCTATAAAAATGTTTCTGCTTATCTTGGCCATAAATACAGAAAAGTGAATATAATAACCCCTAGATAAAGGGGTTCTGCTGTGGTAACCTAGGAAACCCATCTAGTCACTGAGAGAGCACCATAACCAACAGCATTTTGGTAAATGAAAAGTTATATCAGTTCTTACATCATGAAAACAAAAGCAAGGAATATTTTTCTTCAGAACACAAATAACTGAACCTAAGAGAAATTTTGTTCCTAAAGTGTGAAAATAAAATGTAAACTTCAGATAAATGATGTAACAAAATAATCTTAAAATGAGAGTTGGATTTCAGGGATTTTCATCATTCTGCTAATACTGTAGCAGAAAGTATTATATTTATATATAAAACTCAAAGTTTGGCTCACTTTTGTTACCATGTGTTGCTCTCTATTCTAAGTGATTTACGTTTTACTCTCAAAACAATAATTAATCTTTATTTTATTCTGATTTCTCTTCATTCTACAGATGATGCAGTTTGAGTATAGTAGGTTTAATATACATATCCATATTCTTTGATACTCCTTTCTTCAAGGGTTGGAGTTTATTTCCACTCTTTAGAGTGTGAGGTGGACTTAGTGCCTTGCTTATTATGAAACGAGTATAATTGAAGTGCAGTGTGTGATATACGAGACTATTTTTATCTAAGATACTGTTGCTTCCCTCTTGATTTCTCTGTCAGATCTCTTGCTCTGAGTGAAGTCAGAGAACACGGTGTTAGGATTCTCAAACATCCCTGTGAAAAGACCCACGTGGTAACTGAGGCCGCCAGCAACACATAGCAAAAATGTGAGACCTCCTGCCAACATCCATGAGTGTGAGTTTGGAAATCAATCCTCTGGCCCCAGTGAAGCCTTCAGATAATCACATTGTTGACTGACACCTTGAATGCAACCTTACAGAACATCATGAACCAGATAAGATGCTTCCAAATTCCAAAACCACAGAAAATAAAAACGTTTATTGCTTTACTCCACTAATTTTGGTGGTAATTTGTTAGACAGCAATAAATAAGGTGAGTTAATTGACATGTCTAAGGGAGTAACTTGAAAATTAAGCCCAGAAAGTCTGGCTTCATAGATGACACTTTGCATATAAGATAGTAATATTAAAGTTAATTATTTATGAGATTCTGTCATGTGCTAAGAACTCTTCTAAAACTTACAACGGCACGAATTAGTAGATAACCCTTTTCACATTTTACTTAGGTTCAGATGGCTTATGGAACATGCCACCATGCCTCCCAGGTGAACAATGTATAATAGAATGTTAAGGATTAAATCAGAAATATACAAGTTTATTAAATTAGGGAAATAATAGAGGGATTTGATGTTGAAATTTTAATTACATTTTGTATTAGCCCTACCTACCTACAGAAAAACTATGAAAATTAGAAAAAAAATCATTTTATAACATATTTATAAATACTATAGAATTGATGATGGTACTAATATTATTTTTGACTAAATAAACAGATTAAAATAAGAAATTAGTGAGTAGATATATACTAGATGAGAGACTGAAGATAAAATGTTGCCTTAATAGTCTTGTCAGAAATCAGTAAAGTGCCAAATAGTAAATATTTTAGGTTTTGACCATAAGATATCAGTTTTAACTACACAACTCTGTCACTGTAGTGCAAAAGGAGCCATGCACAATATATAAATGAATAGCCGTGAATTTTTTCTAATAAAACTTTATTGATTAAAATAAATGGTGGGCTGCATTTGGTCTATGAGCAGTAGTTTGCTGACCCCTTGTCAAATATAAAGAATCTGCTATGCAGGAAATAAATGATATCTCTGTGGTATGTTTCAGTGTATAGATTACTTTAACAAACATATTGCAATCCCCAACCTTATACAATGCTGTTCAGAAATGGAAATGTGGTCATGTAGAGACAGCACCAAAAATTAACAAATAGGATTGAGTTATACTTTCTGATCACAAATTAGAAGAGACAAGATCAGAACTGAAACTTCATAGAGGGAAAATAAGGAAGAATAAAGCAGGATGGGTCTGAAAACATGTCAAAGAAGATTATCAAGAAACATCAAGTATGGTCAAATTACTGGAAATGTAGTGGGAAGTTTATGTCAGCTGTTGATGCTGCATTCAAAAAGTGGACTATTAGGTGACCATTAAAAAGAACGCAATTGGTTGGGCACGGTGGCTCACGCCTGTAATCCCAGCACTTTGGGAGGCCGAGGCGGGCGGATCACAAGGTCAGGAAATCGAGACCACCCTGGCTAACATGATGAAACCCCGTCTCTACTAAAAATACAAAAAAAAAAAAAAAAAAAAATGAGCCGGGCGCGGTGGCGGGCACCTGTAGTCCCAGCTACTCGGAAGGCTGAGGCAGGAGAATGGCGTGAACTCGGGAGGCGGAGCTTGCAGTGAGCCGAGACAGCGCCATTGCACTCCAGCCTGGGCGACAGAGCGAGACTCCGCCTCAAAAAAAAAACAAAAAAAAAAGAACACAATTACTTTTTATTATTCACAGTACAGGTAGTTATAGTCTATAAAGTTGTTGCACACACTGAATTAACAAAAAGAAACCATCGCCCCTGGGGAAAATACAGAATTAGGTTTCCTGTGGTAACAACATTTTTGTCAACCAATCAATACATAGCCTTGTTTTATGTGAGCTCTGTTTAAAGCACCTTTTTTAATACATATTTCTTACAAATAATTAGTTGCATGGTCTTGGAATAATTTAAAACCAGGGGCTTTGGAGGCCATGTGTGTTATATAGGTTTGTTTGCCAATGTTCTTGTAAAACAAGTCAACCTCATCAATTTTGAAAATCTGCTCTTACACATAACCCTTTTCCTGTTTAACACTTAGTCGGTATTTTTAAAATTCTTCTGCAACCTCTTGATCTGCAGAACCTGCTTTTCTGCAAGTTTAACATTTTTCAAGCCATATTGCCTTTTGAAAAGTGTGAGCCAGCCAGCATTAGCCAAGAAGGATTTAACATTTTCATGACCCTGGGTAATGTGGCTGTAAATTTCTTTGGCTTTCAGTCCCACAACAATGCTATCCACTGTTTTTTTATCAGTCATCATCTCATGAATCCACAAATTCA
Source organism: Homo sapiens (assembly GCF_000001405.40). Taxonomy (NCBI): domain Eukaryota; kingdom Metazoa; phylum Chordata; class Mammalia; order Primates; family Hominidae; genus Homo; species Homo sapiens. Next base: position 126,271,628 of record NC_000004.12, read on the forward strand.
GCAGCTTTTTCATATTTTCTATAGCCTCATCATTATTATAGATGTTATGGTAGCATTCTGCAGAAGGTTCACATACTAACAGGCAAATTTTTTCTTCCATTTTCTTGGTTTATCCTCTTATTGATTCATTAATATTGAACTTGCAGCCAAATGCATGATAACTCATGCCTGAATGGGGCTTATCTGTATCTTTCCTGTAAGGCACATGGATGACTTCTTGAGCTCAGGATCACCGGACAGTGCTTCCACACTACGCTTGGGGGTCACTTTAAATAGTGAAATCACCAACAAAGGTACACAAATGGTTAAAAAAAAAAAGTGGCAATAAATACACCACGAGAGGGACATTTCTTGCAGTATAGGAGCTGAAACAAAGCAGAGCATCACCTTGCTTGACCTCAGCTGGGGACATGTGCATCAGATGATTCAAATTTATTTATTTATTTTATTTTTTTGAGACGGAGTCTCACTCTGCCGCCAGGCTGGAGTGCAGTGGCGCGATCTCGGCTCGCTGCAACCTCTGCCTCCTGGGTTCAAGCGATTCTCCTGCCTCAGGCTCCTGAGTAGCTGGGACTACAGGTACGTGCCACCACGCCCAGCTTATTTTTGTATCTTTAGTAGATATGGGATTTCACCATTTTGGCCAGGATGGTCTCGATCTCTTGACCTCGTGATCCGCCTGCCTCGGCTTCCCAAAGTGCTGGGATTACAGGCGTGAGCCACCGTGCCAGGCCTCAAAATGTTTACTGCTCTGCACATGGCTCCAGATAACTACAAAACTCTAGGAGTATTTATTTTGAAGTTATAAATAAATTTTAGTGAGTAGGCAAATTCATAAATACAAAATCCATGAATCCACGAGGATCAACTATATATACAAAGAAAAAGAATAAATAATATAGTGTATTAATTTATTTGCTTTGATTCACTTATCAAAGATTGTGTAAGCATTTGATATGTGGTGCTAAACATCCATGTTAGAAGTGTATACGACAATTTGGTACCTTAGGAAGTACAAATATGTACAATGGAATAAAGCATGGTTGCAGTAGAGAAGTTAATATTTGCATACACGTGGTCAATGTTAATATCTTAGTATCCATGTGAGTTTTAATATATAATTTACATTTTGCATAATGGAAGATGAGGGCAGAAAAGAGAAAAGAAAATATGCACCTGTTTAACAATAAAATGTTTACCGTCTTTTCCTTTTCATCCTTAGTGTGCACTTCTACTCTGGCCAACACCATCCTTACTCTTACAGTTCATATTCTTCATTACCAATATATAAAAATGAATACACATATTAATTAAATAAACTTTAAATAATTTATTTAAATTATTAATTAAATAAAATTAAGTTAAATAATGAATGAAATAAACTTTCGTGATATTAAATTAAAAGAATGATATGGATTAAATAAACTTTGTTAATACGTATTATCTGCTTTCTTCTGATTTTAATAGCAAGGTACTCAATCTACTTAAATTATGGAAAATAGGAAAGACATAAGTAAAAAATATATGATTTTATATTTTTATTATATTTTTAATTTTATTTTCTTACCTAGTATAATAATACTTTGACAAATGGCCTACACTGACAAGATCAGCTTACATGCGAATGTTATTTTATTATTATTTTTTCTACATTTCATGGTCCATCACTTAAAATTTGCATATGCAATTTGGTCAACAGTGATCCGTATGGTGAAATCATACCAAGGTGTGAGAGACTGAGCTCCTTGAAGGCAGGACCTATAATGTATTCAAGTTTATATCACTGGCTTTCTATACACATGCCTGATATACAGTAGGCCCTCAGCAAATAGTCACATGATTAAACAAATAGTAGATGTAGAAAAAGAAAATATTTGTTTCCTAAAATTTATTCAAAAATATGTTTCTGATATTCATTTATCGGTGGTAGAGTAGTGAAATGACATTCTAACCATGGTAGTGAATGCAAATGAAGAAAGTATATTTTCACAATGAATTGAAGTAATCTCTGCCTGAAAAAATCATTCTGACTTCTATCCACAAACTTTAGATCATTTGTTTCATCATAATTATTAAGGAAATAAAGTAATTTGGAAGGTTTTCTTGATAAAACTTAATGATATTGCAAGGGTTTTTTGTGTAAAAGAATGGTGCGTTCAAAGTTTCTCCTTACAACATTGAATGTCTTCCTACATTAATTTCATGTGAACAATGTAGCAGAATAAAATAATTAGACTAACACAAGAAAAATGTTGTGTTAGTGAAGTGTTAGTATACACGAGCTGTAGAGTTTAGTTAGCTTAAGAGTCATTGCAAGAATTCACTTATGAGGAGAACAGAGGCAGTGCAGATTATTAAATCCAAGCATAATATCTTCCATATGCTTAATACCTACTGACTGTGAAATCTGTTATATAGCTGATTGCATTTTAATTAGGTTTCTACTTCCTAGGTCATCAAAACACACACACATACACACTATAAACTTCTATACTTCACATAAATTGAGTGTAGTAATTTTCTGTCATCATTAAGCTATATACAATAGAATAACTTCTCAGATCTAGAGTTATAAAAGAAATGTAAAATTTTACTCATCAAAATGAAGGATGAAAGTAGTTCTTAGTTGCATTACTTTGTAAAACAGAAAGCCATATTGAATCTTAATGTAACTGAAAGAGTGTATCCCTTTAATTGATGTTTGTACCTTTTTTCTAGCAGTTCCAATTTGATGCTCACTTTCAAAAACAGAGAAAAATATATTAGAATAAATTATGGTATACATATAATAAAATATTATGCAGCAATAACAAATAATGAATTATGTAAGTGACCACAGGATGAATCTCACGGAAATTATGTTTTGTGAAAAATTCAGGTACAAATGCAGATTTGCTATATATACTTGATGATTTTATTAACCTAGACAAAACAATGTGACAGTGAGTGATAAAGTCAGAAGAGCAGAAGAGTTACTTCTGCTGGGGAGTTGGGGGCAGTCAGGTTTTGGGTAGGTATTAACTAGGATTGGATATGAGGAATATTCTTAGGTGCTAGATATGTTTTATATCTTCTTCATGCTGTATTTCTAAGATTAGTACACTTTAATGTATATTATCCTCAATGGAAAATCTTTTAAAAGTACTTACCACATAGTAAAAACTTAATATTAATAATGTTAGAAGGATTCATTTTATATGAAATGAATACCTGATGGAGAGGAAACACATTTAAACATTTCTTAATAAGAAAAAGAAGTGATTTCAATCTATTCAAAACTTTTTAAGAAAAGAAATATTAAGAATATTCTGTTTTGCCAGGCACAGTGACTCATGCCAGGCACAGTGACTCAAAAATCACAGCATTTAGAGAGGCAGAGGCAGGAGGATCACTTGAGCCCAGGAGTTCAAGACTAGCTTGGGCAACATAATAAGACCAGTTCTCCACAAAAAAGAAAAAAAATAAAACAAGACAAAATGAAGAATATGTTCTGTTTAATATGTCTTCTATGAACATTTGCATATAAACTATGTTCTGTTTACAGAACATAAAAAATATATTCTGTTTAATCAACTTCAATGAACATTTGCATATAAAAATTTTTAGATAAATAATATCTTGCTTCCAAATAGTTCATGTTCTTTGATGTGAGCAAGCTGTTCATCAAAGAAAACACTTGATATTGTATCAGATTTCAGTGCATTAATTAGGCAAAATTACATCAACCCTTAAAAAGTGGATTGTTGATACCTTCTATATTAAGATGTGTTCAGGAATGCTGCATATAGTTGTGCTGGCTATGCACTGTACCAACATTAATTGTGCCACTCACATCGTAATTCATATGACTGGTGCCTCCTATAGTTTGTCCGTTGCAGCACACTGAATATACACACGTACATATATATTCACAATATTTCCCACCCAGATCCACATAATTTCTATAATTATCCGAGTAGGTTTTAAAATTAATTTCTAATGTCTTTATATATAAAGCCACTTCACATTTAAAATTGTTTTATCTATTATATATGAAAAATTCTTAGGAGTTTTATAGGATCAGTTCTTACAAAGTTTTTCATGATATTAAAATCAAAACATAAAACTATGTATCAGTTTTCTACATATATTGCAACGGCATTGTGGATCTCATATGAATATAAACCAAACTCTACTAAAATTTAAGTACTTCCTTAACATAACACAAAGGTAATTACAGTTGTATAATATTCGTTTAGAACTAGATGTTTATAGAGAACTAATGCTTTATGTTAGTATATACCTTCAATGTTTAGGTGAATGCCCTAGATCCATGAAATCTCATTCGACAGGGTTTTTTGAGGATACACAATTAAGAAATGATTAGAAATTCCTAAGTGCACCATGTGCAACAAAATGTACTATGTTGTGTTGGAACACCAAAAATGATGGTTATCTATCAATTACTGAATCAAAGCTATTACAGTTCAAAAGAGAATAAATGCAACGTGATTAATAGAAACTTTATTAAGGAGGCAGATATGGGCTGAAGTCTGAATAAAGAAGAAATGAGAACCAGCAGACCAAAAATAAACGAGGCAAATGACATTATCAAAGGGATGGATATTGGAAGGGACAAAGTATTGTTGGAAAATAGCTTGGGTGTGTTTGTGTCAGGGAGAAATAAAAGCATGTATGTCCAGAAAATAAGCATCAAGGTAGAAGGTTCTTCATTCCCACATGAAGAAAACTAACTGTCCTATAGACTGCACAGAGTCATTAATTTTGAAGTTAAATCACAATCAAATCATAATCAAAGCTGAAATTAAATTAAGCCATAAAAGATTGTGGAGATATCTGGAATTACATTGAGTTGTTGGTGAGGATCAAGAATAATCAACCTCTCATTTTACGTATCATACTTGTTTTTTTCAAATAATACTTTAGATATCCCGCTAGTGGCCTTTGCATGAAAAAAAAAAAAAACCCTGTAAAAATAGGAGTAAGAAAAATTCCCTAGATTGACTTCCAGTGAAAAATGATCTTTCTGGTTCTTTATAAATTTCATATCATTATACATTTTATCATGCTTTTTAACTAAAAAGATAAGGTAGATATTTTCCTTTGGGGGTTTTATTCACCATGTATTATCAGAAAGAGAAAATTTTCACAGGAAAACAACGTATTTTAAAAGTAAGTTCTCATGCCTTGTGCAGAATCACATGCAGTTTCATATCGTCCTGTATATTTGTGAGCTCTATACAAAGTATGTTGTTTCATCTAAAATATTTTTTCTTCTTAGGTTCATTACTAATAATGAAAATAGTAAATGTATATGATTTTATTACTGAGTCATGTGTTGGCTTGAAATTTTACTGAGGAAGTGAAAGCAGTGGGCAGGAAGAAAGGATAGAAGCATTTAGGACACAGGAGAGGAAGAAAGGAAGAATAACAGTAACTTAGATAGGTGAATTGGGAATTTATAGGAATGGAGGAAATAATATTCAGCAATAAACTCAGCAACACGGACCTAAGGGGAGGAAAAGGAGAATATTAAAAGTAAACATTCATAAAATAAAATTGAAAGCACAAAGTGACATGGAAAAAGTCAGCATTTTCTACATTACTTGAAGTACATATGCAGAGTGTATATTTTTGGAATGGCATAAAATAGACTTTAAATATATGTAACTCAAAATATGACACTGTTTTAGATTGAAATGATGCATATTAAAATAGTTAAAAATATCTTGGTAAGTACTAACGGGGGAATAAAGATATTGACAATGTTCTAAGTTTAAAGTCAAGGATCCCAAGCCAACATTTTATAGAAGTACTGCCTTTCCACTGAAACCTGTTCTTCTTTTTCCAGTCTATACTTTGCCACCAACAATATCAAGTTTAGCCCGCACAATTCAATGTGGATTTAATTAGGATGGAAAAAAATCATTCTTAGATACAACTCCACACCCTACTATGATATTTTCTGACACATGCTGTCCCCAGATATTATAAAATGAGGACTTCACATAGAGAACAAACTTTCTGTCCTGCGCAAGCAGAATTGCGTTCACTCCCTTTGTAGAGAGCAGATGCTCAAAATCACACAGAAGCTGCAATGATTCAATGCATACCTTTCAACATAAACATACCTTTTCAACATACCTTTTCATACCTTTTCAACCTTTTCAACATAAACATTAAAGGTTTGGTTAGTCCAGAATTGTTATCATGGATACAGTGTCACTGTGGACACAGACGTTTTCTATATTTCTGCTCAAATATCTTAACATCAGATTTCTATCTCAAGATCAACTCCTAGTCCAAGACAGCTAGCTGCTGGAGCTCCAACTCTCACGTCTGCATTGCAGGCTGAAAGAAAGACATACAAATGGGGCAAAACGTCTGTTTTATTTTAAGGATTCCTTTCTTTCCCTCTAGCTTTCTATCTCCATCTCTATGTCAGTCTTTCTACACACACACACACAAACACGCACTCGTTCACATACATGGATACACAAAAAATGTATGTGTGGGTATGTGTTTGTAATGCTTATATTTATGTAAAGAATTTCCATAGATGGGTTCCTTATTTTTGTAGTTTTGCACGTACACACAGACACTTATCCATGTGGACATGAACAAAATTTTCTGTAAGATGCATATAAAAAATAAAAGTGTATATGGGATTATAACACTTTTCTCCTCCCTTCCAAATTGCACCAATTTATTTTTGGAAAAAATATATGACTGCTACCAAATATTTTAACATTTACCAATATGATAAGTAAAAAACAATATCTCTTTTTTGTTAATATTTGGATTTTGCTAATTACCATGAAGCTGAGTTTCTTTTCACGTGTTAATTGCCCATTTGCATTAATGTTCTTTGCTATTTACATCTTTTACCTACTTTTCCATTAAATTGGTTCTCTGTTTTTCTAGATGACCTTTCTAAGCTTGTTATCTTATACAGATACAAATCCCATGTAATATGTTTTCATCGTTTTCTAGTTTGAACAGCTGGAAATAGCTCCAATGGATTGCTATGTTGATTTTCTAAAACTGGAAGAAATCTATGACCTACATTAAATGAAATTGAGATACCAAAGATTTCTTGGTGTAAGGTAAACAAAATAATTCAAAACTTGGTAAGATTGGACTGTTGGAATGCTTATATCAAATCAAAGGTTTTATTTGAAATGCATTTTAAAATTATATTTTATGCAGCTTATATACTTCAGATACATTTCTTTCATTTTTGATATTTGTGAACAAAGACAATTTGTTCTTTTTGATCTGCAGACTTTAGTACTGATCACCATCAAAATATATACCTACTAATGTGATTAAATAAATGACTGTATTCAGTCTACCTAACAAATAGATTCAGTACTAAAATGATTCCTGAATGAGCTGTATAACAGTAGTAAGACCAAATGACAACCACAATTTTGATATTTTTAAAACAAAAATCTCATCATATTACTTTCCACTTAAGATATCTCTGGATCATTCATTGTTCTAGAGATGAATATTTTTAAAATGAACACCAGGATGTATATAAACTACTTTCTGCCTAACCTTAGAATATCTTCATGCTACATTCCCCTCCTTGCTCTTCGTCAGCTGACATTCTTTCCCTTTCTGGAACACGACACCTTTTTCATATCACACAGTATTTGCACATATTATTCTCTGTCTGAAATTTTTTTTCCTCACCCTCCTTTACCTAGTTACCTCTTAATTTATCCTCAGATCATAAGTATTATTTGCTCAATGAAGTTTTTCTTACCACCAATCTAGATACATATCCTTTTGTATTCATTGTCATAGAACTAACCTTTGCAGTATTTAGGCCTTTCATAGTTATATATTTATAATAATTATTATTTATGATATTTAAAAATTACATATTTTTATTAGTAGTCATGTCAGTATTAGAATTCCCCAGAGAAACAGAACCAATAGTGTGTGTGTGTGTGTGTGTGTGTGTGTGTGTGTGTGTTTGCTAGATCTTTATGATGTGTCTATCACAAGAGAAAATTTTAAAAAATCATACATTTGCTAATACGAAGAGTACTGTGATAAACATCCAATGGTAAGAGAGGGGAGAATGATGAAAAATTACTTAGTGGGTACCATGTACACTAAGGCCCAGACTTCACCACTGCTCAATACATCCATGTCACAAAACTGCCCTTGTACCCCTTAAATTTATACGATTTTCTTAAAAGACAGCTTATAAGTTAATAGAGATGTTTATGCAGAATGCTGAGTAAATTACTCATTTATTTGAACTTAAGCCACTCTTTGGAAATCATTAGCAAATGCCATTTTACTTCATTATTGTCATTGTTTTATTATTGTCATTTCTTTTAATATTAATGTGATTCTTATAATTGTATTTTTATATCATTAGAAGAAAAAAAAACCCTGAATTATACGACCAATTTGCATTCTACTAGTGATTTTGATGAGAGATGAGAGGAAAACTCCATTTCCCTTAAGGAGTGCATGTTACTGGGGAGGTATGGTTTGAAAAGGTTCTCAAAGTGATTATGTTGTATTCACCTCTGTGACTCTGTGAAGAGGACATCCCTCTTGAGAATCATTACTTAACGCCAAGGAGATTCCTCTTCTGTTCAAAGTGAGTGATGCTTATGTGTTGGATTAATTTGAGGAATTCAATTGTGTCACTTATTGCCAACTGTGCTTCATATAATGTATTTACTTTTACTTCAAGGACCCTTCCATGTGCTCCTGCAGCCTTAGACATGTGCCATTCATCACTTTAGGGAAAGATTATTGGAGCCAAACCGGAAGACAAAGAGGTGAAAATCTTAGTTTGAAAATTATTAAAGGTGAGGCAAAAGCGCAAAAAAATATGGTAGGATACTTAATGCTGTTCGTTTGCTCACATGGTCATGAAATAGGTAAAGTTTTTATGTGCTGGAGGTATGGCAGATAAATTATTAGTCATATTAGTATTAGTCAGGTATTAGACAGATGGGGCTGATTGAAAAGTGTGAGAATCAGTAGAATCAGTAGAAAGATCTTGTTGAGCTCTATCTGAGCAAGCTCAGCCTACTCTAGTACCCAGAGACCCAGGTGCACCCCTGTGCAATGAGTTGGCACTGAACATCCTCTGTGCTCACACTCCTAATGCTATACTAGATGCCATTCATGTGGCTCTCTGGGGAGAGGTGCACTTCACCCAAAGACCATCAAGCAGGAATGATGTGCTTCTGTGCCCTGACATTTCTCTCAGCATCCAGCTAATTCTCTTACTCTGGATAACCCTCCTTTAGACATCCCAAGAAGATATTCCTAAATGAAATGTGGGGTCTCAGACAATGCAGTATCTAGAAGGGTGTTTGTGGCATAGAAACATTTCCTGTAATTGGCTAATCCAGAAGAAAATGGGATGTCCCATTGTGGTTCGAATAGGGTACTCACCCCACTGTTACCTATTCTTTTCCAATGTTCAATAGTGACCAATGACAAGAAATCTTTGATGCCAATGTAATTTTATAACGATTTTATTCTGCAGCTTCAGTAGTATGGTGATATTTTATCTGTGGTACCAGTGGTGTTTCCTTGATATGTTGGTGATGGTGGTGAGAGGAAGAGTCATGCCTGGAAAGTCTGCAGAACAAAACTGCCAGGTGACAATGAGCAAAAGGAAAAAAAGGAGCCTCAATTGAAAGAGGCCTTCACCAAGGAAAAGCCAGTTGAGGTGTTCAAGCTCCATCCAAGGTATGGCCACAGGTGGGTGATTTGAAGGGAAGTTGAGTGTTAATCACTCAGATTGACCTTAGCTACTTCCTCATAGACTCATGTTTTTTCCTTTCCATTGAATTAGGAGAATGGGTTGCAGAATCAAACAATTTTATTAAGGTATCTGCAATGCATTAGAAGCCCAAGGCTCAAGTATTGAGGTGTTGGTGGAGATGTGTTAAAGCAATTTTGAAAAACAGAATTATATGACAATTGCCATACCAGCTAAGAGCTAGAATATCCAATATTAGTGCCCTGAACAGGCTATGTCAATTTGCTGCCATTGCAGGGTTAATAGCCGTAATTTATTTGCAGTGCCTACACACCATCATTGCCATCTTCAACTTTGGAACAGTAGACATCAGGGAGCATGGAAGGGATAGGGGAATGGCTAACACTACATGTAATCATCTGTATAACAATATAGGAGAATTCAGATGTGTGTGTAATATTAGAGTGTTGGGAGGTCTCACAGAATTGAATGGAGTCAAAGCCAAGGAAATATTCCAACTCTGTGATTTCAAATTCCACTGAAACTCTGTGCTTCTATGGATTATAAAAGGTCATTGCAAATAGCTGCTATTAATTTACTATATTTAATAGAATATAAATCAAGGCATAGTTATTTTGTCACAGAGAAATGAGACATATGTGTTTTTCCTTTCCATTGAATTTTTTTAGACTCAGAAAGTATACTTATATCAACATGTTGTGTATCATAGGTCTTCATAAGGCAAAACATTTTTACAAACATGTTACAGGTGATGATTGTTTGGAATGCAGATTGCTCCAAACTATGTCCCATAAAAAACTAATTAAAGCATATAATCTCATACTATTCTTTTTATATTTTTAAGGCAGACCAAAAGTTTCCATGTGAAAGAAGGAGCTCTAAAAACCATCTCCACTCCTTCACACATGATTTCCTTGTTCATTGTTAACCATATACTGTAGGGTATAACATGATTGTGAAATATTCTTAAAAACTTTTAGTTCATAAAATTTGCCAGAAAAATTTTGATCCCCAAGGATAGAATACATTGATAATGAGAAGAAATTATTAGCATCATCAGGCACCCACATACTCCCCTATCATGTGTAACTGTATTATCCATATGAACCAATGTCTACTGCAGCCGTGAGCTCAGCACTCTTTTTACATGGCATATGCCAGGCAGAATACTTGGAAGCTTCTAATTTCAGAAGAACTGAAGACATGCTGGTAGCACCTATGCTTTCTGATCCTTTGAAAATTTTTTCTTCGTTGTGTTGGTAGATAAACACATCTAGGAAGTATAGAAGGTTGAGACATTATTTTTAATACATACAATGTATACATCTATAAATATACTATTTAACAGTGAGTTTGTGGTAAAACGTTGAATTGAACACTGAATCTTAATTTCTTAGCTCAACATAAACTGCAAACATGGAAACTTTTTAAGCCTTGGTGCCTGTGTCAGGACATGTCTTGAGATAAATATACTAGTCTCACAAAATCCTTGAGAGAATTCAATGAAGTAATGTCTAGAAAAAGATTAACACAATGCCTGACATAGTAAATATTCAATAAATTGTCAGTAGTGTTATCATCATAAATTATTAATAATAAATTATAATTTGAGAATAGATTTACATTAACACTTAAAGATAATAACCTTTTTGAGAACAGACTGTGCTTCATAAGTTTGTATCAGTAAAAAACATTCTCAATGTGACTCACTCTTTTTTCACTCTACTTTTTTCTTTCTCATTCCACTATTACAGTTAGGGTTTTTCTTTAGCTTTTTCATAATTCATTTAGTTTTTCCATCAATTTAATTATTTCAGTAGATAAGCCAACTAGCTCCTTTAAGAGTTTACTCACTTTTTTTTCCAGATAAAAATATGTTTCTCAACTATGGTTTGCTTGCTTAGCTGGTCTAATTTAGTGCATATTTTATAATGCTTACCTCCCCATGATGTTTACATTTTTAAATGTTACATGGAGATTACATGCATGTTGATACAAAAATTTAAATTCATAGTTTAAAGATTTTTATAAGCCTCAAATTCATGATTCTCATTTGTTTTCAGGTTAATCCAACTATTGCTATCTAAAGATTAACCTATTTACTTTATGAAGAAGTATATGAAGTTCATGCATCCCATAGTTCTTCCATATAAATGATGACACAAGAAGTCACCCAGCACATGATAAGCAGAATTGCATTGAGAATTTATACATCCTTAGCTTCTTCTGTGACGTTGATCTGTGGTATAGTAGACATTTAGTCTTACTCGTGTTTAATCCTGATAAAAGAGCCCTGGAACCAAAACAAATTTGAACCTCACTTGGTAAGTTGAGTTTGCTTTGGGCTTGTTCCATTCAATCCTAATAAGTTTAACCTTAATAAAATCTTGAAGTGTATCCTGTACAAGTCTAGCAAATTGACAGCTAAACATGTGTTCCCAATTCCTCTTTCAGTGTATTCTGATTCTCAGCGCTGCTTTTCCTTCTTTTCTAGATGCCTCCTTAACTCTATGTTATTCTCAGCTACCCAATTCTTGTATTAAATTAATTAATTGTATTTAATTTAGATCAATTGTATAGCCAAAGAGAAAAGCTGAAATCTCCCAGTCATTATATTTCTTGGCCACAGGAGTTGCCATGTTCTCTACTAAATGTATTATTCATACATAGCAGGAATAAGTGAAACCATAAAGAGCAAAGTAGCAATGAATAGAAATTTGGAAGATCAGAGAAGATTGCAATAATCCAGAACCACCTTCACAATAACTTTCGTAAGTTTTTTAAGAGTAATCAGAAATTTTTAAAGATAATTTGTTAAAATCTGGAGAATTATGTGACTCAAAGCGTGAAACAATCTGTGCAAATTTTTTTAATCACTTAACTGGAGGATTCTGGGATAGAATGCAGAATGTGAAAAAATTATCTAAATGTATTACAAATGTACAAAACAACCTCAGTCTTAGGGGTGTAGAAAAACTGTGTTGATCTAAATAACTAGAAATGAGTGGAGTCTGTAAGAATAAAGTCCAAAGAAACCACACATAATCTACATAAGCATGTATGTTAGTTGACAAAGTGGTGTCTCATGGAGCACACAGATCAACAATTCTAAAACCACTACACATGTAAACTGGAATTGAACAATTAAGTAAATGTATGGCAAATATTGGGAGTCCAAAAACTCAACTGTTGAAGTGGGAAGTTAGATTTAAGTAAAGGGAGTAAGCTTGAATAATTCACATGGTATTGGATTAGAGGTATAGACATCAGTATGAACTTACCTTCAGCTTAATGTAAATGTAGATGTTTATCTATAGAAATATATATAAATATGTGTATATGCATGGGTGATTATGCGCACACACACATTTCCTTGCTTTGTCAGCTGAGAGAGCCCAAAACAAGGAGTTGCAGCAGCAAAGAGCACGCCTCGCATCCTGCTCTTGACTGTTAATACCATTATCTAATTAAAAGAACCAAGGCTCCTTATAGAAATAGCTGACTCTTGGATTAGGACAGAAAATATGGATTATGAGCCTGGAGTATCTTGTAGTACAAGAAAGTAGGAAAATTTTCAAAACAAACAAACACATTTTTAAAAACAACCTACAATGTTGGAGGTATGTCAAAGGGACACAAGATCCAACCTTTCAAGCTTCCAAATGGCCAAAGCTAGAACAGTTGAGTAACAAAATGTAAAGTATTATTGAATTATATCTCAAAAGATGAAATAAATATCCAGATTCCATACTAATATAAATCGTTGAATAAATAAACACATGAAGGATAAGAGATCTCCCATGCCAAAGAATTCCAATTAATTTATGTCATTACTGTACCCTCAAGGAAGTGGAATGTAACTGCCCATTCCTTAAGTGTGGGCTTCATATGTGGACTTATTTACAAAGAACACAGTATGGAAAGGGTTATACAAGGGTAACTCTAGAATGGAGAACCTGGAAAACACTATCTCAACCAGGATATCAAAATTAGCATCAATAGTGATGAACCATGTTAACTGTATGTACACTTGACATGGTCTAATGAAAAACAGATTGTTACTTTGTGTTCTTCTTTCCCCCAGATTATAACTTCAGTGTAGTCATGAGAAAATCAATGGGCAAATCCCAAATGAGAGACATTCTATAAAATACCTATTTAATATTCCTCAAACCTACCAAGTTAATCAAAACCAAGAAGATAGGATGACTAAATGTAATGTGGTAATGTGGATAGGATGTTAAAACAAAAAAGGGGCATTAGGTAGAAAATAAGGAAGTCTAAAGAAACTATGGACATTACTTAACAATAATGTACCAATATTGGCTCTTCGTGGCAAAAGTACCATACTTAATGTAAGATGTCAATAATGGGGAAAACTGTGTGGTACAAGGGAAATTGCTGTACTATTTTTGCAATATTGCTAAAATAAAAACTTAGTTTTCTAAAATAAAAACTATTTGAGGAATCTACATTGACATTGCGCTGAGTTGACAGGCAGGTTACAAATAAATCTCCACACTGAGTTGAACAATAAATTGATTTTCTCTCTGTAGAAAAAATACTTGGCTTTCTAAAAGCAAGATATATATAATATATATTTAGAGATTGTTTTAGGGGCATTGTCACATACATTTAGAAGTTATTGTGTGCTTTCGACAGAGAAAAAGTAATTTATTTTCAAGTTAAATAAAAATAGAAATGTGCCTTCAAGTTTTAAAATGCTTTGCCACTTACTGAGTGATTTCATATAAGGTTTCTCATTTCTTACAAATGGGTTAGAAAATATGCTGCTATTTATAACTTTATAATGAAAAACTAAGGCTCAGAAGTTAAACAACATGTTTAGTGCCGTAAAAGAGCACATGGGAAAGTCAAACGCAAAAATTATCTCTTCCAGTTCAGTAATGTATTTTTCAACTTTCCTTTGAAAAAAACATCTAATGAGGTTCTTCAGTCTTTTGAAAGGTAAGGGCATGTTGGAGTGCTGGAATTTACTTCAGCTGCCTTTAAAGAGTACAGTGTTAAATAATGTTCAACGACAAGGAAGCTTAAATATGTTTGTACACTTTCTACTTTCCCTTAGTGTCAGAGGCTAATTTTTATTTTAATACAAAATAAAGCAACTTTTCCATGTCAGGAAGAAGATCCACAAATTTTTCGCATCAGGACTGTGGATCAGTACATCTTTGGATCTCCATGTCAGGAACTAAACCGACCTGTCTACAAGACTAACATCCAATGACAAAAAGTCCAAATGCCCTAATCTTCTCCATGCTCCCAATATAAAGATTTCTGATTCTCAGATAACATCTCTACTTCTCTTTACTTCTGATATTGATCTAATAGCTACTGGTATTTTGCCTTCCATTTCAGCCTAATAAAAGTAAATGCAGTTCTCTAGGTATTCACCGAGGATTGTTTCTAGCCCTTCCCCATACCAAAATCCAGAGATATTCAAGTCTATTATATAAGATGGTGTAGTATTTGCATATAACCTACCTACATCCTCTCACGTACTTTAAATCATCTCTAGAGTTCTTAAAGTACCTAATGCAATGTAAATACTGTGTAAATTGTTGTTGTACTAATACTATGTTGTTTAGGGAATGATGGCAAGAAAAAAGGCCTGTACTTGTTCAGTGCAGACAAACAATTCATTTTTCTTGTCTGAATATTTTCAATCTGTAGTTTCTTGAATCCACAGATGTGGAACTCATGGATACAGAGGGCTCATTCTACTTTGCTTCAATTAAAATAGAATTTCACATTCGTTTAAAAGTAGTGGCATTCTTGTTCTTTTTCTTCCTTTTTAGTATTTTTACTGGTAAACTAACTCCTGCATCCTCTCCCTATTAACCAGGAGAGACTGTCCATAGGCTCCAGATCCATTTGGCCCACAATTTATACCTGACTATTGTAAACCCCTTCCCCATAGGTACAGTAATTATTTCATGAGTGGACATGTAATAAAAGTTGATGAGATTAAATTCAATCCTGAAATTTGTAGGTTTTAAATGGCAAACAGAGCTTTTCACTCACCATTATTTTTTCACAGTTTTATTGAGTGATAACTTATAGGTCATAAATTCTGTCTGGAAGTATACAATTCCACAATTTTTAGTATATCTATTCACCTTGTGCAACTTTCACTCAAAATTCACTGTTAGAACATTTCTACTAACCCAAATAGTCGCCTCATACCTGTGTGCAGTTAATTCCTCCTCTAACTACATCCTTAGAGAGCCACTTATCTGCTGTCTGTCTATAAATTTTTCTTTTCTAGACATCTTATGTAATTAGAATCAAGCAACTTGAGGCCGTTTGCATCTGATTTATTTCATTAAGAAGAACGTTGCGGGCTTTTTGCTTGTTTTTTTAGATGAAAGCATGTTGTGGTATGTATCGATAAAAGGAAAAAGTGTGTCTTTCCTATTACTGATTAGTTACTCTATTGTGTGGCTAAGGCACCTTAGTTTATGCATGCAACTATTGATAGACATTTGGATTAGACCCTTCCAGTCTTCAGCTTCTATGAATAATGCTGCTATGAACATTTACTGACAAAAGCTTGTGTGGACATAAATTTTCAATTCTGGTAATTAGATTTTTAGGAGTGGCATTACTGGGTCATATGGAAAGCTTATGCTTAACTTTTTAAGAAACTGAGGAATTATTTTCTAAAGTGGCTGTACCGTTTTATATTACCCTCAGCAATACACAAAGATTCCAGTTTCTCCAAACCCCTGCCAACACTTGGTGTCGCTTATGGTTTTTAATATAGGCATTCTCATATTAAGTGGTACTTCATTGTGGTGTTAAGATTTCTCTAATAACTAAGGATTTTAAGCGATTTTACCTGTGCTTATTAGCTATTTATATGTGCTCTTATTAGCTATTTATATATGCTCTTTAGTAAAATCTGTCTTTAAATAGCATGCCTACTTAAGAAAATTGTTATTTATCTCATTACTGTGTTTAAAGAATTTTTCAGTTACTATATACAAATTCATCATGATATAAAATTTGCAAACATTTTTCCATTTTATTGATTGTTCTTTCTTTTTTAAAGATCTTTTGAAATACAAAAGTTTTTAATTATGAAAAAAATCAATTTTTTCTTTGTACTATGAATTTGCTTTTGTTACCATATCTAAGAGCCCTTGACTGGCCCAGTTTCATGAATATTTTCTCCTGTGTTTTATTCTAAATTCCTACTTTTTCTCATACATTTAGGTTAGACTATTTGTTAATGTTTGTGTTTATATGGGGTGAGGGTCTAGGTTCCTTTTTATGTCCAATATTCCCAGAATCATTTGTTGAATTTAAAGTTTTCCGCATTGGCTTATCTTGAAGAGTTTGTTGAAAATCAATATACTTTAAAAGTAAGCATTTACTTCTGAACTCTTGAGTCGGTTTTATTGCTTTCTCTGTCTATCATTATGCCGGTACCACGCTTTTTTTTTTTTTATTACTGTGGCTTCATCATAAGTTTTAAAATTGGGTAGTGTCAGTCCTTCAATCCTATTATATTTTTTACATATTGTCTTGGCTATTCTATGTCCTTTACATTCTCATGTAAATATTAAAACCAGATTGTAAATTTCTAGAATTTTTATTGGGCTTGCAATGAATTTACAAATTCATTTGAAGAGAATTGTCATCCTGAATGTATTTTTCCTTTAATTAATAATAACAGATTATCTCTCAATTTATGTGGACCTTCTTTATTTTCTCACTGCAAACATTTTATACAATTCTGGGTATAAACCTGAAACTTTGAAAAATGTATTCCTGTATACTTTTACCTTTCTGATGCCATTATGAATGAAACTTTTTCTTAATTTTATTTTTAGATCACTCTTTAATAGGCTTTAGAAATACAAATGATTTTTATATTGATCCAAACTAGGTAAACTGACTTACACATTTTAGGAGATTTGTGTGTGCATGCATGTGTGTGTGTCTTCTTTGGATAATCAGCCTATTAGATCCTGTCATTTGCAAGTAAAGATAGTCTTACTTCTTTCTAGTCTTGATGACATTAATCTTTTTCTCCCTTGCTTTCTTCTTTTGTACCCACATTTACACACCTTATTACAGTACCTGTAACTAGTACTATTTAAATAAAACTGGTGGCATGGACATCTTCGATTTCTTCTTACTTTTAGGGGATTAAAAGCATTTTTGTTTCACCATTAAATGTAGCTTAGCTGTGAGTTTTTCAGATATTTGTTTTTCTTTCAGATTGAGGAAGTCTCTTTCTATTTATAGATTATTGAAGGTTTTTATATACAGTGTTGAATTTTGTCAAATTATTTCTCTGCCTCTGTTGAGATATTTGTGTATGTCTCCTCCCTTTTTTGTTAGTATGACAATTATATTAATTGGTTTTAGTAAGTTAAATACATAACTGGGTTATGATATATGATCCTTTAAAAATGTTTCTGGATCCAAGTACTTTGTAATGATCTTTACGTTTACATTCATGGAGCGTATTAGCCTGTAGCTTACTTTCCTTGTGATGTCTTTTTGTGGCTTTGGTATATGGACAATAATGACCTTATAGAATGAGTTTAGAAGTCCTCCCTCCTCTATATTCTGAAAGAATGCTATATACCCTTGATTTACGATTGGCAACTCAGGTAATAGATGCCTGCCATCCAGGCTCATGAAACTTAATTGTAAAAGTAACAAAGTTATATAAATACTTGATTAACCAAACTAGAATGAATAATTGCATGTTAGTGATATGGTGGTGTCAATAATTATAACAAATTTATCCATAAAAATATTTAAATTTTTATTTCTATTTATTGAAACTAATTGAGACAGGCATTTTAATGCATACACTGGGTCTTAATTAGAACATTTTTGAATTTTGTTTATGATATAATAAGATATAAAAACTCTGAGATGGTTTATTCCAGTTTTATATATACATTTAATAGAGTTGATAATGTATTTATCTTGAAACACAAAAGATGATTAAAATATTGAGGGAATAATTTGAGTGTTACCTCTTTCTTGATGGATGTGTAAAAGCAAATTTCTAGCATTAATTTGCAGTAAAACTTTCCAATTTTGTTTAGATGTCATAGGGGTTTTGAGCAAGAGAAGCATTTGTATAACTTCTTTAACTTTTATTATATTTTATTACTTTTCTGGTAAATTCATTAATATAAGTCATTTACCCTGTTCACAGGTATTACTTATAGTAATTGGTGGTTTCCACTCCTTGGAAATTAAAGCTTGGCTTCATAATGCTGTTGCTGTACATTTATATTTGATGACATTTAATGTACTTGAAATGATGAATAACTGACAAATAAAATGATTTTTGGGGCATTCCTCCATAAATATTTTGACTAACAAAATATTTAAGAAAAATACCCAGCATCATATCCAAGCTTTAAAACTTTTACAAAAAAAAAAGTAAACTACCTACTTTTAACTTTATTGAAATGCAATTAGCATACTATATAATACATCCATGCAAGGACATAATTTAATGGTATTTAATGTAGTCACAGAGTTGTGCAATCCTCATCACAATATTAGAACATTTTATATCTCCAAAATAAAGCCCACGCTCATTCATAGTTACTTCTCATTTATCTCAAGTAATGTCATCCTTAGGAGAACCCTATTCTGCTTTCTCTTTCTATAGATTTTTCTGTTCTAGATATTTTAGTAGAAATCTAATCATATGATATGTAGTCATTTGTGACCAGCTTCGTTCACTTAACATAATGTATTCAAGCTTCATTCATGTTGTAGGGTATTTAAAGACTTCATTTCTTTTAATTTCTAAATGATATTCCTGTGTGTGTGTGTGTGTGTGTGTGTGTGTGTGTAATTGTATTTATCTACTCAGTTGACTGACACTAGGGTTTTCTTTACTTCTTTGACATTCTTAGGAATTATACTGCTATGCACATTCATGTACGAGTTTCTGTGTGGGGATATCTTTTCAGTTCTCTTGGGTATATACCTAGGAATAGAATTGCTGGGTCATATGGTAACTCTATATTTAACATTTTGAGGAACTGCCAAACTGTTTTCTAAAATGGCTTTACCAATTAATATTCTCATTTGCGAGGAATGATGTTTCCAATTTTTTTACAGTGTCACAAACACTTGTTTTCTTTCTTTTTGATTATAACCTTCCTAGTGTGTGTAAAATATCTTATGGTGGATTTTATTTGCATTACTCAAATGGGTAATTATTTCATGTGCTTATTAGACATTTGTATGTATTCTTTAGAGAAATGCCTATTCCAATCCATTGTACTTTTAAAATTTTGATTTATTGTCTTTTTGTTATTGTGTTGCATTATTTAAATATCCTGTATACAAATTCCTTATCAAATAAATTATTTTCAAATGTTCTGCCTCATTCTGAGTTGTATTTTCATATTTCTTTCAGTGTCCCTTGAAGCATAAAAGTTTTTAATTTTGATGAATTTCAGTGTATTTATTTTTCTTTTATTGTGTTTTTGGTGTTAAATCTAATAGGAGCTTCTCAAACCCAAGGTCATAAAGATTTACTTGTATGTTTCCTTTCAACTGTTTAATAATTTTAGCTCTTAGGTTTTGTTCTGTGTTCTGTTTGACGTTATTGTTTCTGTCTGACATAAGCAAGAGATCTAACTTCATTCTTTTGCATGCAGATATACAGTTGTCCTAGAACCATTTGTCCTAGAACTTGTTCTGTGTAATTGAATTGTCTTGGTGTACTTCCCTTGAAAGTCAACTGTTGTATATCATTTACTTTCTTTTATAATCTCAAATGATGACTTTTCAATTGGACTTTATTGTTCTGTTCTATGTTAATATACTTAATGTTGTCAAATGGATCTAATAAATAACATTTGCTTTCTTGTCTCATTTCTTATGTATTTTGCTTCTGGATCTACTATCTTTATAAATGTATATGTCAATTGTGTGCTAAATTTTAAGTCATAAAATATGTACAGTGATTGTCTTCTTTGATAAATCAGGCATCAAACATTTTGAATTGATAAATTTTGGAAGTATTTGACTCGAGCTTTTGCTAACTATAATAAAAATGCAGATTGCTACCGTAACTATAAGGGAACATTTTTAGGTTCAAGATCCTTCTTGATCAAGGTGAAACAGAAAATTCACCAGCTTCCTTGACAGCTAGTACAGAGGCAGGTAAGTTTACACGCAACAGTCAACTGTTAGGGCATTTACGTTCCTAAATGTGTAATTGAAGACATTAAGCACTGGGCCTAATCTATTTTCTTTGTCATGGTGGCAGCAGAAGCATCTGTAATTAATTAGTATCAGAGTTAGCAATGTCTCAGGCCTATGCAGAGATGTTTTCATGAAAAGGCCTGAAAAAAGCATCATTGCTATTTTCTCTAGAGCTTGGCTGCTAACTAGCAGGAGGGCAGTGGTATTTTCATTACGCTATATCTACAGTGGTGTTTATGACATGTTTCCTGAAAGGTTAGCCTTAAACTCATTCTCTAGAAAGTTCAACAATTCTGTAAACTACTTAAATATTCTCTAGTAAATTCCTTTTCTATTTACAGAGATAAAGATATTTTTTCTTGCTTTCAAGTGACAACTTAAAAGATATAATATTCTATACCATCCTGGAGTATATCAATAATAATCCTATATGAAGCCATGATGTCAATTTTGTAATACAATTTAATTCAAAATAGACTTGATTGAAAAATATTATTGAAGTAAGAGATGTCACAGAGATTTCAAAAATAAGAACATCTATCTATAAGTTATATTGTCTCCCTGAAAGATTCATGAATCACGCACAAATACCATTGCAAATTTAATTTTGGCATAACTTTAAAAAGACAGTTTTAAAATATTAACATATCAAACACAAATGATATTAATACATTTGCATATTTAGGTGAGTTGGTACCCATACACCTGGGATAAAAGTTACTAGTTACTCCTGTAGACTCACTGAACAAAATTCAGCTCAGAAATTTGTATTCTTCTGAATTCTTAAACAGTGAATTAGATAAGTATAAACGACTTTAAGTGTTCTCAATCATTTCTGACTCTAGTATAATCTTGCCAAAAATAATACATAGATAAAAAATAGAGATTTTTATTGTTCACTACATGATATCAAACTCTTCAAGAAAAGCCAAATTTCAATCAATATTCCACAAACATTTATTAAATGGCTGTCAAGTATAGTGTAATGTATCATCATTGTACTTATTTGGAACTATAATTTATAGTTTATTGTCTTTGATTTAATTTTTTATTCTCAAACGTAACAGAAGTATTTACAAATTATGATATTCCATTTTGTGTTCTCTGAAGTATAAGTATGTGTTAATGGTTTGTTTGGCAGTATATATGAAAAGCCAACCATGTTTACTGAGGTTTAAAATATTCTTGTAGGCTCTGAAGAATTTTTTTAGGTATAGCTACAAAATTCAATACACTTAAAGATTATCTTGTTTCTTCTTTTCTGCGGCTTGCCACACAACATCTACAGGATGAACTAGAAACCAAAGTCACAGATGGAAACAGTGATTGAATTCCTCAGCCTATGAAGATCACCTCATTGGCAGTCTTAGGCTTCTCTTTTTCTACATGATTTGAAACTGCAGCTAAACTTTAAAGCAAATAGTATATAGAAATGTAATGTCAAGTTTATTGTTAGGGCAATCAGCACCCTTAAAGACAAGCTTCACAGAGAGATCCTAAGATGAATGGTGACATGGTTCAATACTCTTGAAAGTTATCAATTGAAACAGTGGTCATACAAAAATCTCATTTCCATTTCATTCTTGCCTTTTACAGTTCATTATTCTATTAATAAATTTTTGTTGCTTTTTCAAGAAAAAGGGAGGTATACAATAAATTAAAGGGATTAACATTTATAGAATGCAACTATGTTGTAACTGCGTTAAGTTCCTAGACGTTAAGATTACTTTATAAAACACTGAGATTGCTTTGTCATTTTGGGAACTATCAGTATGAGTTGGAGTGAAAAATTGAAATATTTCGAATATATATCTTTTAACTTCTATTTTAAGTTCAGGAAGTACATGTGCAGGTTTGTTATATAGGTAAACTTGTGTTATGGGGGTTTGTTGTTGTTGCATGACACAGGTTTTAAGCCTAGTACTCATTAGTTATTTTTCCTGATCCTCTCCTTCCTCCCAGCATACACCCTCCTATAGATCCCACTATGTGTTGTTCTTCTCTATGTAGCTATGTGTTCTCATTGTTTAGCTCCCACTTATAAGTGAGAATATGTGGTATTTGGTTTTCTGTTCCCGCATTAGTTTGCTAAGGATAATTGCCTCCAGGTCCATCCTTGTGCCTGCAAAGGACATGATCTCATTCTTTTTTATAGCTACAGGGTATTCCATGGTGTATATACACCACATTTTCTTTCTCCAGTCTATTGTTAAGGGGCATTTAGGTTGAGTCCATATCTTTGCTATTGTGAATAGAGATGCAATGAACATACGCGTGCATGTGTCTTTATAGCAGAATGAATTATATTCCTTTGGGTATATACCGAGTAATGGATTGCTAGGTTGAATGGTATTTCTGTCTTTTGAAAATAACAATGAATTAAAATATTACAAACATCTACCACTCAGAAATAACCATTGTTAATATTTGGAGTATAAGCTTTCAGTTTTTTATATCTAGTTTTGTCTATCTATTCATTTATTTATTTGTTCTTCCATGTGTCCATTATTAGTAAACTTAATATATCCCTACCACTGGGAATTAAATTGTCACTTTTGTTTGTTCCCTTATTGAGTTATTTTGCTCTGTTCTGCTATTGTAGAGGACAGAAATAAACATTCCTAGAGCAAAAACTTGGTACACATCCATGAAAATAATTTCTAAATTTTAAATTGTGAATCTAGGGTATGGATATTTTTACGATTTTGTGAAACTGAAGGTTTTTAACCACTCAATAATACAGCATGAGGGTATTATTTTCATAACGGTGTAATTTTCTTAACACTGAATATTATCATGCCTTTTACACCTTACCACGCTTCAAAGATGTCTTAATTTTTGTTCACCTATGTCCAACATAATGCTTAAATTTTGTAGTCTCTCAGACATGTGGCTGTTTTTCCACCTTCCTTACCTCATGGAGTGGTTCTCAAACTCTTTGGCTTCCTTACCATCCATTGACTACTAGCAATCCAAATAAGACTCTGAATGTTTCTCAATGCTTATGGACTCCTGATATCAACTGTTGGTCCCAACTGTTGATTACTTCATACTTCTTCAGTGTTCTTAACAACCAATATGGCTGCAATTGCAACACATTTTAGTAGTGGTTAAAATATTTATCTCTTTTATGATACTTCCCAGGTTCTGTGATTTCAAGATAGATAATCTTGGGGAAACAGGTACATTCTTATGTTATTGTTTAAATGTTCTCATTCAGCTAAAAAGTTTTATTCATATTTCTCAGCGGAATATTGTTTTTTAGGACGTATCAGCAGACAACCCAACTAAGCAGACTTGTGGAAAGGAAGTAAATTAAAATATGGGCAGTAAATTGCTGAAGTTGAATAAAAATTGAAAGCAATAAATCAAATAATTTCCAGTGTCATGCCATGGTTATATTATTTTTTATTATTCTTTCATAAAAATTCAATAGATCTTTCTGTAAATATAAAAATGTAGTAATTGTGTCTTGACCACTTAAAGGAGCATTAATATGCTTTTTAATGAGAACTATGGCTATAGAAAGAAAACAATTAGAAATTATTTTTGCAAACACCAAAGCTTAAGAAGAATAAAACCTATTGGTTTATTGGAGACCTTATAACAGCTGCAACACATAAACATTTCCTTACACATACCCTCTTTAATAGAGTAAATATTCACTGAAGGACTAATAGGTGTCAGGCACTGAGGTAGTGGCTAGAAATAAATGATAATAAAACAGACCATATTCTTACCTTCCAAATACATGTAGTGTGTTAGGAATTACAGATAATAGAATACAAACATGAGAGTGCTATATCAAAGAAGTAAAGTGTCTGGAGGCCACAATGGCTTATAACTTAGTCTAGAAGAATTAATGAAGACTTCCATAAATAAACAATATATAAGACTAGGACTGGCATGGTGACTCACGCCTGTAATCCCAGTACTTTGGGAACCCGAGGTGGGTAGATCACCTGAGGTCAGGAGTTCGAGACCAGACTGGCCAACATGCTGAAACCCTGTCTCTACTAAAACTGCAAAAATTAGATGGGCATAGTGGTGCAACCCTGTAATCCCAGCTACTGGGGAGGCTGAGGTTGGAGAATGGCTTGAACCCGGAGGTGGAGGCTTCGGTGAGCCAAGATCGTGTCACTGCACTCCAGGCTGGGTGGCAGAGCAAGACCCCATCTCAATAATAATAACAATAATAATAATAAAAATACCAGAATGAGAAGTAGGCAGGATAACACAAACAGTGGGCATATTAGGAATGAATGCTCAGAGCTTAAAAAGTTTAGTGCATGGATAAAGTTAAATGGGGATGTAATTTATTGAGTATGGGATGCTAAGTGAAAAACAGAAATGCCAGGAGAAATCAGCCAGGTCCAGTACCTCTGGGGCTGAATAAGACATCATAGTTTTTCTTTTATTCTAATAAAATCGGGAAAAATTTTGCAATGCTTTGCACAGAGTATTTACATGAGCAGATTTGTGTATTTGAAAGATCACTTCCACTAGTGTTGAGTTGTGATTGAAGAAAAACACAGCTTGAGGTGAGGATACCTGTTTGAAATCTGTTTTGTTATTCAAATAACACCAAATATTAGCATAATAATTATACGATTGTGGCTTGGAATAAATGGGAAAGAATGAAAACAGAAACAAGTAAAATGATTTTGAAGACATTTTGAATGTTTAATTATAAAGCTTTGGTGGATTGTGTATGCGCAGATTGGAAAAGAGGTAAAATCCATGGATTTGTCCTAACATTCTGGGTTGGTCATCCAGGTATTTGGCTGCACCAAACATTAGGCACCCATGAAAGAAAGAACCAGCACATTAAAAGAAGAAAAATAATGAGATTTCATGAAGACCTGGAAGTCCTTGATCTCACCTAGAGAGATGACACGGGATGAAAAGGGAAAAGTTTTCTGAATAGAATCATGAAGGAATTCAAACTTGGAGATAAAATTTTCAAACTCAAGTTTCTTCTGGGGCAAGTAAGGTGATATAAATTAATAAAACAATGTAGATTTTAAAAAATAAACAACAGCATATGCTGATTATATGTGGCCACTGACACCATGATTCAGTCAGGATACAAAGCACGTGATGGAGACTATGGTAGACTCCAGAACAAATGCCTTTAATTAGTTGTCACCAGTTTTTCCAATTATAAAATTTATCAAGAAAATGTCAAACTCTGGACATTAGTGTGATGTTTCAATAGGACAACTAATTAATTGTAAAAAACAAAAGCATATGTGAATCACAAACAAAACACAATGGTGGACCAGATTCTACATAGGGCCATTCCATCTCACTTTAGGAAATACAATGAGAAAAATAATTTAAAAAGGAAAGTGGAAATGGATGAACAGAGATGTACAAATGCAGGGATCCTAAAGAGTTAATAGACATCCTTGTTCTCAATCAAGTAGTGATAAGCTATGGGTTAATAAATCCTTGTGCTTGGGAAAGGCTTTGAATATTAAACAGCCTGTATTGATATTATTTACAACATTGCCTTAAAGTCCTCCATCTCCTACCACTCTTCTTCATCAAGCAGGATTTGTTATCCTACCACATGCATAAGTCTCAGTGTTAGATGTTCTACTAGTAAATGGAAGAGATAGTTGATCTTTTTCAGAATATTTTTCATTAGTGATTTAGCACTTTTTATACTTCCTTTATATTATTGCAGGAACACATTTGTCCTAATTCTTTTACATGTAAGATATTTTCTTCTACTTTTCTTTCCTTAAAAAGCACTGCAATGCATTCTTTTTGGATAGTTTTCTTGATATAATTTTGCAAATGCTCCAACTAGAACAGAATATGGTTGCCAAGACCATGTAGCTGGAATGACAGAAGCACATTTATCTGGGGTGGCGGGGAGGATTATTGGATAGAAGTCAAACACTATATTGACTTGGCTCTACCATGCTTTCTCTTAGGCACCCTATAAGATATTATGCTTTCTTGGCATATGAAGTGCTAACTCCTCTCTCTTGGGTTCACCCCTGGCCAAGCAGAAGGGTGAACATGATAACCTAACAGGTATTTTTCCAACCATGACTACTGTGATCAAAGTCCAATAGTAATCTAGAAATTTGTAAGCATTTCATTTTAAATAATCACACTTAAATTATCTTAAAATACATCAAGTGAAATAAATCTTTGCTTTAACACATACTTCAGTGTTCTGAACAATTTCTTTCAGTTTTATTTTGCTTTATCTAAAAGTTTTCAGAAAGGAACTTGGGAAAACAAATATCCTATGTATATCCATGAGCATATTCAGGTTTAGTTCAATTTGAGAAGGATAATATTTTCTAAGGAACCATATTAATGTATGAGTTTCTCAAAATTCATATATTTTCTCATAACTTAATTCCAAAATTTATAAATATAGCATAATCTGGACTTTCCTAGTAAAATTTAATAAAAATATGATGAAAAATCAAACCAGTGTATGTTCCATATTTTTATTTCTACCATATATTGAATCATTTAAATAAATTTGTCATTAAAACCAATTTCTTTTGAACTCTGTGCCCAAGTAAAATACATAATTTTGTGAATTTTTTTTTTAAATGGAGTCTTGCTCTGTCGCCAGGCTGGAGTGTAGTGGTGCAATCTTGGTTCACTGCAACCTCCGCCTCTCAGGTTCAAGCGAATTTCCTGACTCAGCCTCCTGAGTAGCTGAGACTACAGCTGTACACCACCACATCCAGCTAATTTTTGTATTTTTAGTAGAGACGGGACTTCACCATGTTGGCCAGGAGGGTCTCAATCTCTTGAACTCGTGATCCACACACCTCAGCCTCACAAAGTGCTGGGATTACAGGCATGACCCACCATGCCGAGTCTGTGCAAGTTTTTACTACGTATATACTTTAGTTAAATATCAACATAGCTAGGTGTATCAATCTATTCTCATGCTCCTAATAAAGACATGCCTGAGACTGGGTAATTTATAAAGGAAAGATGTTTAATTGACTTACAGTTCAACATGGCTGGGCAGGCCTCAAGAAAATTTTATGTTGGAAGGGGAGCAAACATGTCCTTCTTCACATGGTGGAGGGAGACAAAAGTACAGAGAGAAAAGGGGAAAAGCCCCTTACAAAACCATCAGATCCTATGAGAACTCATTCACTATCATGAGAACAGCATGGGGAAACCGTCCTCACGATCTAATCACCTCCCACGAGGTCTCTCCCCCAACAAGTGGGGATTACAATTTGGATTACAATTCAAGATGAGGTTTGGGTGGGTACACAAGCCAGACCATATTATTCTGCCCCTGTCCCCTCCCAAATCTGGTCTTCCTCACATTTCAAAACATGACTATGCCTTTCCAACAGTTCTTCAAAGTCTTAACTCCTTTCAGCATTAACCCAAAAGTCCAAGTTCATAGTCTCATCTGAGATAAGGCAAATCCATTCTGCCTTTGAGCCTGTAAAATCAAAAGCAAGTTAGTTGCTTCCAAGATATAATGGGATACAAGCATTGGATAAATGCACCCATTCAAAATGGGAGAAATTGGCCAAAACAAAGTGACCATAGGGTCCATGCAAGTCGAAAATATAATAAGGCAGTCATTAAACCATAAAGTTCCAAAATTATCTCCTTTGACTCTATGTCTCACATCCAAGTCATGCTTATGTAAGAGTTAGGCTCCCGTTGCGTTGGTCAGCTCTGCCTCTGTGTCTTTGCAGTGTACAGCCTTCCTTTTGCTTGCTTTCATGGCTGGCATTCAAATCTACCATTCTGGGGTTTGGAGAATGGTGGTCTTCTTCTCACAGCTCCACTAGACAGTGCCCCAGTGGGGACTCTGTGTGGGGGCTCCAACTTCACATTTCCCTTCCACATTGCCCTAGAAGAGGTTCTCCATGAGGGCTCCTCCCCTTCAGCAGACTTTTGACTGGACATCCAGGCATTTCCATACATCCTCTGAAATCTGGGTGGAGGTTCTCAAACCTCAGTTCTTGTCTACTATGCACCTGCAGGACCAATCCACATGCCAAGGCTTGGGGTTTGCACCCTCTAAAGCAAGGACCTGAGCTGTACATCGGGCCTTTTTAGCCATGGCTGAGTAATACAGTACCAAGTCCTGAGACTGCACAGAGTAGGAGGGAGGTGCTGGGCCCAGCCCATGAAACCATGTTTCCCTCCTAAGCCCCTGGGCCAGTGATGGGAGGGTCTGCCTTGAAGTTCTCTCACACGCCCTGGAGACATTTTCCTCATTGTCTTGGTGATTTATATTCATCTCCTCATCACTTATGCAAATTTATGCAGTGGGCTTGAATTTCTCCCCAGAAAATGGGTTTTTCTTTTCTATCTCATCATCAGGCTGCAAGTTTTCCAAACTTTTATGCTCTGCTTCATCTTGAACCTTTGCTGCTTAGAAATTTCTTCCACCAGATATGCTAAATTATCTCTCTCAAGTTCAAAGTTTCACAGATCTCTAGGGAGGGGCAAAATGCTGCCAGTTTCTTTGCTAAAGCATAGCAAGGATCACCTTTGTTTCAATTCCCAACAAGTTCCCCATCTTTATCTGAAACTACCTCAGACTGGACTTCACTGTCCGTATCACTGTCAGAATTTTGGTCAAAGCCATTCAACAAATCTCTAGGAAGTTTCAAACTTTCTCACATCTTCCTGTCTTTTGAGCCCTCCAAACTGTTCTAACCTCTGCCTGTTATCCAGTTCCAAAGTCACTTCCACATTTTCAGGTATCTTAACAGAAGTGCCGCACTCTCTGCGGTACCAATTTACTGTATTACTCCATTCTCACACTGCTAATAAAGACATACCTGAGTCTGGGTAATTTATGAAGGAAAGAGGTTTAATTTACCCCAGTTCAGTATGGCTGGGTATACCTTAGGAAACTTACAACCATGGTGGAAGGGAAAGCAAACACGGCCTTCTTCACAAGACAGCAGGAGAGAGAAGCACAGAGTGAAGTGGGAAAAGCCCCTTATAAAACCATCAGATCTCATAAGAACTCACTCACGATCACAAGAACAGCATGGAGGAAGTGGTCCCATGATTTAATCACCTACCATGAGGTTTGTCTCCAACATGTGGGGATTACAATTCAGATTACGAGTCAAGATAAGATTTGGATGGGGACACAGAACTAGACAGTATCACTAGGTAAGCTGCTATGTTCATATATCAGCTAAGTAGTTTATCCCTTCACACCATGCTTTCAGGCATATGAAATTCATATTTGTACTACAGCAAAATTAATACTATGTTTTATAGATTATTTGTGCTCCTATAAATGGAAAGAGCTGGAGATGAAATCCTAAATGGCAAGGTTTAAGGAATAAATGAGTAGATCAGGGAATAAGTAGTAGAAAAGGCCACAGACATAATTATTATTATTTTATCTTCAGAATGGTTTATGATGTGGTTACCACAAATTACATTTGTCTTTAGTCTCTCTTCATGCCCAAGTGATTCTTCCTCGACTCCCACATATTTCTTAATGTCTTTTTGTATCTCTCTCATTTTATTTTCTTATTTTTAATTCACCCAGACCTTGGGCAAATGTGGGAAAGAAATGGATGAAGCAGAGGAGAATTAACATCATTGAGTACACATTATGTGACAATAACTGTAATATCAGTTTCCTAGCAACCTCTTCTGACTTCACATCAACCTGAAGACCTCAGTGTATCACACATTATTCTTCTTTACCACTTTCCACACTCAGTCTAACACCAGACCCTGAATACTTTTCCTATATCTTATGAATATCTCAGTTTTCATACCGCCTCTATTCAGCCTGTCAAGTCTAGACCACTATCATTTTTCACTAAGAAATTCCTAATTATCTCTCTCTGTAGAATCTTATCTCATCTTATTCTCTTTGCTGTATTATTTTTGAGGGATTGTTAAAGATTCATGTTTGCTGTGTCATTTAAACAGCTTAAACCCTCTAGTGGCTCTTATATAAAACTGATATATTTCCAAATATGTGTCAGATTCCCAAATGATTTGCTCAACTTAGTGTCATTCTATAACATGGTGTCTAGAATTATTCAGTTCCTCAAGTATTCCAAACTCCATTTTCTTGTAGAGCATTTTCACATGTCTCTCCATCTTCATGGAGTACCCTTTGCCTCACTCTCCCAGAATATACCACCGCTATCTCCACACATTCGATGTGTCCTTCAGGGCTTTCTGCTTCTATGACAAGCCTTTCTCCAAGATTCCTTCAGGTCTTTCAGCCTATACTTTAAATGAACTCAATTCTTCTTTCTGAAAATTAGTTAATGGTGTATTTAACTGTTTATATGTGTCTCTCTGTTCCAGATTGTAAGACCCACACATCCCTAGTAGTTATATTGTTTTATATATATGAGACAGTTAACAAATTTTTGATAATGAATGAATTAAATAATAAATTGTCATATTTAAACAACTTAAAATCACATTTCAGGGTATGAGATTTCTAAATGACCTTTCTATGTATGAATCAGGATTAGGTAGCTGGGATTCAAAGCAAAACATGAAATCTATGTTTGAGCTATATATAGTGCTTCAATTTTAGAAATGATTTTAGTCAATTTTAAATATTCTGCATTATTATTTGATGCATCCAAATGGCATGTATCAAATAAGGCAAATCTAACTCCCTTTTCATTTTAATTTAAGCTATGAACAAATGGACTTATACCCCAAATGAAATATCAATACTATGACTCATTTAGTTTTTTATTATGAAGCCATGACTTCCACTGAATCTTCTGACTCTTTGATCAAAAAATGTTTATTTTGGTGTATTTGAGGATGTTTTAAAAATAGAACAAATTCCCAAGCTGTTGATGAAAATCTTTAATTTTAGATTGCAAGAGACAACATCTTAGTTTTATTCACTAACAAAACCTTACACAATTAACTTATGTAAATATTACAAGGGTTGGGAATGAACAGATAAAAATGTGGAAAAGTGAAGTTCATTATCTTTTACGTGCCCAGGTGGTTGCTCATTCAAATAAATTACTATAACACTTTTTGTTAAAAAGCAGCGTATATAGTAAATTGGTAGATTACAAGTGCTGCTGTTGAAATTGAGAAAAAGGAAAGGACAGCTTAGTACTATCAACAACAGGATTATATAATAATTCACACCTATGCCTACGAATTGGAGAAATAACAAAATAAAATTCATTTTTGAATATAAAGATTTGTAAGAATGATAAATGCCTATATGTAAAATGGAAAACAAACTTTCATGATATGAAGTAAAACAAAGAAAGGATAATAATGGAACATAAACTGAATTAATGTGTTCATGCTCATACCAAGCCTAATGCTTAGCAAATGCACACGCCTTTCACCAAGAAGTTACTCACTATACATATATGTTTACATTTTTGAGTATCACATGTGGAAAATCTGGGCTAAGTCTCCTATTAAAAATCTTAATTTCACTTTGTAACTTGGTAGTTCATGACGTTTTAAAACTAAAAAAGCAGACATGTCTAAAGGGAAATTATAAAACATGTAAAGTTTATCTCTAGCATTAAACTATGTATTATGTAACCCCCAATTGAGCTCCATTTGAACACTTTTTATTCGTCCATTTATTACTTACTCCTCCATTTTTTTATCCTCAAGTACCCGCTAACTTTTATTCTTCCTACTATTCTTTCGCTTCTCAGGACTACGGGACTTTGTCAGAATACTCCTCCGATTTTGTTTATCCTAGTGCAGTCAGAGAAGCAATGCTGTATTATCGTTAATTGTGTGGGCTTTGCAGCCAGGCTGCCTGGGCTTAAGGCGTGGTTTAGAAATATTTCCTGAGCCTCAAAACTATGGAGCAATAATCTGATGGCCTTTGGCTCAGAATGCGAGTGCTTATAAAGTTGACACTATGCCTGTAAGCCATGATAAGTAATCTGCCAACCTCAATGCTAACCAAAATCTATGAGAGAAAATATACTAAGACATAGTGTCACCTCAACAATTTCAGACTTTCGGTTTACACCATGATTGTTAAAATTTAAGGCCTATTTCCTTCAGGCATTTCCTTAAAAATGGAAAACTATGCACACACACACACACATGCACACACACACACACACTCACACACAACAAATAAAATTTTGTGCTATGCCATTATACTGATTATTTGGACAATTTTTATCAATGCTTATCTTTTACTATTTTCTCTTAATGTAAATAAAACTAATTTACTTTTTTTAATCTTGAACTTTAAACTAGCGGGGAGTCAATTTATAATTTCAATGTATAATACTACTTTTTCTTGTAACTATAAGGATTAATAATTATCATATAAGTTGCATTAGATTGCAATAGCAATAATAGGCTTACTGAATTAATATGAATACACTTCTATTAATCTTATTTCATTATTTTATTAATATAAATTATTTTATTTTAGATAATATTTTATAGGTAACTAGAAAAGAGGGAAATAAATGAAGTGTATTTGAGCAACATAGTGAAATATTTAGAAACTCCATAGTTATTATAACCTTTAAAAGATCCAAATTATTTGGAGCAAAAAATACAATTTCATTTGATATTTTCCTATAAAATCTGAGTTAACTTTACATAATGAAAAATGACTTATCATTGTTTGGGGGCTAAGATATATATTTCCTGATATAAGTCCTCATGCAAAAAAATCTAAAATGCATTATTTGGCTCTGTGCTCTCCCACCTATATGGTTTATGAAACAGATAACTCAAAATATTGTCAATGGCATGATGATAGTCTAATTTTAGAAGGATATCTCAGCTAGTGCACTATAGCCAAGGTTATTATATACCTAGTTCAAAGAAACATTCAGTAAGCCTATACACTTCTTTGGGTGAATATCAGTCACAAATGATTAAAGTCAAGAAGGCAAGGCCCATGTCAGAGTCAAGAGGATTTTGGTTGTCTGATTTTAAAATGTCACTCTAGTAACATGACGGATAAAGAAGGAATAGAAGCATTTATCTAAGCAGTGTCATTACTGTACAGTAGTTCTTTTCTTTCTCCCACAATGTGGTCATTAAAGGGCTTGTAAATATCTTTGTGTTGATATCACAAAGATATTTAGAGTCCTAATGAACTGGAAGAAAAGAAAAAAACCTAAAATTTGACAATACAACTGGCTTCCTTAAGAAACAATGATTCTGCAAATTTAATGAATTCAGAAGGTAAACAGACAATCTGCCAGATTATAGAAGGATTTATTGCAACCAAGTCTGTCTCCCTGTATGTTTCACTAGCCTATTCTGTTTTCCCTCAACTCCTAACTCGTCCCAGAAAATAAAGAAAATCAATGTCATCACTTATCAACATGAAAGATCTCAAAACATTTTCGGTCAATTTTGGTACCCCATTGCCCAGTTAATTTGGGGCAATACCCATATTCCTATTCCCAAAGAATACTTAATTGTGGGACAAAAGACACAGTATAGAATCTGGTACGTCTAAATGGCAGATACTTGCAAGTATCTTCATTTTCTTCATCACCAGTGGCCCTCTCTCTCCTCAATTAGGAGCAGAGCTCAGGCTGTCTGAGAATTACGTGGCAGTTTCCCAAGTCACTCATAATTCCAGACCAATACATCCTGTATAATAAATGATCAGCTGCTGATTCGAGTCACTTTAAACTAATTCTCTAAATGGCTTCTCTTTGGTGTAGCTAAGAATCACATGTCCCACTCCTCTGGCCTTCTCAGAGTCTGGCACACTCCGTGGAAACTCTGGATATTTCACAATAGAAGTCTGGCAAAATAACTCTCCACCCAAACCAAATAGTGGTGGCTCTGGAAGAAGAGTTTATGGTTGTTTCTGAAAAAAGCATGATTTCAGGAAGCCTTTATAAAATGTCTGTTGCACTATTGTGGCAAAATCAGCCATAACCACTAAAATATGACATACTCCTCTTGTGCCTAATCTTCCCTTGAATTAATTTGGAGGAATCAACCTTCCCAAGTTAATTATTCTTATCAATCAGCCCTCCACTTACTCCCTTGAAACTCATAGTACTCTTCAATTAGGGTACATAATGTCCTTTCAAAGGCCCCTGCCGTATTCTCCTGAGCATTTTCTGAGATTCCTGGAACATGATTGAAATTATGTCCCTATTTTAACATTCACAAACTATTAGTCTACTCTTTTGACTAATGCCAAAAGTAAAGTTGAAAATTACAAAAAAAATTCGCTTTTGTAAATTATAAAACACTGCATTTTTCTTCAATATTCCTTGGTCAGCTACCAATGATGAAGCATGTTTTCATCAAGGTACCGCTTCCTACTTTTCATGCAGGCTTATTTGGAAGATGAGTTAAATGGAATATACACTTCAAATCTAAAGAAAAAATTTTTTTTAACATGGACGGTATGCTGATATATTTTTCTTATGGAATAATTCAAATTGGACACAATTATTTATTGTGAATAAAATAATACTTAAGATTTTGTATAACTTTATCTGAAAGTATAACCATATAACTATAAAGAATATATAAAAAATTATGTAAACAATGGTCCCAAATGTTTAATTTTTAACAATCAATATAATACCTTCCAACCATGTCATTTTATATTATTCCTTACAATATTTGTTTAGCTCTTTATCCACATACTAGTAATCCTAATTAAATGAAAATTCTAGGCCAGGCATCGTGGCTCACACCTGTTACCCCAGCAGTTGGAGAGGCCGAGGTGAGCAGATAACTTGAGGCCAGGAGTTCAAGACCAGACTGATCAACATGGCAAAACCCTGTCTATACTAAAAAAAATTAAAATTAAAATTAAAAAACAAAAAAACCTACAAAACAATTAGCCAGGCTTGGTGGTCCCATGTACTTGGGAGACCTTAGGAGGCTGACGCACAAGAATGGCTTGAACCTGGAAGGCAGAGGTTGCAGTGAGCTGAGATCGTGCCACTGCACTCCAGTCTGGGCATTAGAGTGTGACTCTATCTAAAAAAGAAAATAATAAATAAATAAATAAATAAATAAATAAATAAATAAAATCCGAACTTTTAAGTTCATCAAATTAGCTTATGTTACTATATGGGTTCTTCCATCACATAATATAATATTAGACAGCTCATAATCTGCCATTACTATCAATTGTAGCTGTTTTTCAATAATTTACATTAATTTCTTCTAACATAAGTCATAATAACTATAGCATTCTTTGTAATGTGTAGTCAATCTAGAAATATTGGAAAAATTTGAATGAAATCTGGAAGAATTGGTTTCTTAATACACATCAAAATATAAGACCAGATCTCATGTGAAATTATTTAAACCAATCATTCTTTGGCTCCAAATTATGAGGCATTCCTGGTTTTGAAATATCTATCACATATTATTTGTCCTTAAACTATTGGGATGATTTACTACTGTATAAGTAAATTTAAAATTTATAATCCAATTCTCGAAATTACATGAAACAATATAATCATAAAAATTTATGTTAACAATTTTGGTAAAATTCATGAGATGCCATCCTATGCAAATATGATAGTGGATAGGGAAGGCAGAAAAACAATAAATCACATATTTTTGCAGCCATGATATTTATGTATGTCATATTTTCCTGCTTAAAAATTAAAAATGTTGTGTCTCCATTAAACTGAATCTTTGAAGCAAACAATTCTGTATCCGATCCTATACAAAGATGGGAATTAAATAAATTGAGACCATTCTAATTTCAATTCGAAGAAAGTATTACCATCAATGTTTTGGGCATCATTGGATATCTTCTTCTGAACTTGATTAAATACAGATATTGGCATTTGCAAGTTGCAAAATAAATAGTTTCTAAAACCTCGAATGATTTCAGTTTATTAAAAATTTGTTTATTAAAAAAAGAATTTTTTTATCGACAATATGTGGT
The DNA here is from genome assembly GCF_000001405.40 of Homo sapiens. Classification (NCBI taxonomy): domain Eukaryota; kingdom Metazoa; phylum Chordata; class Mammalia; order Primates; family Hominidae; genus Homo; species Homo sapiens. The sequence continues at coordinate 126,308,503 of NC_000004.12, forward strand.
TAATTTTAGAGTGTTCATGTGCAGATGAGAGAAATGTATATTCTGTTGTTGGGTGGAGCATTCTGTAGATGTTTGGTGCACTGGGTCAAGTGCTGAGATTATGTTTTGAATATCTTCTTAAATTTTTGCCTCAATAATCTGTCTAATTATGTCAGTGGGATGCTGAAGTCATCTACTGTTTTTGTGTGATTATTTCAGTCTCTTTGTAGATTTCTAAAAACTTGTTATATGAATCTGGGTGCTCCAATGTTGGGTGCATATATATTTTGGATAGTTAAATCTTCTTGTTGAATTGAACCCTTTATCATTATGTAATGCCCTTCTTTGTCCCTTTTGATCATCACTGGTTTAAAGTCAATTTTGTCTGAAATAAGAACAGCAACTCCTGCTCATTTTTGTCTTTTGATTGCTTGATAGATCTTTCTCCATTCCTTACTTTGAGTCTATGGGTGTCCTTGCATGTGAGATGGGTCTCTTGAAAATAGCATAATGTTGGGTCCTGCTCCTTTATAAAACATGTCAACCTAGGCCTTTCAAGTGGGTCATTTAGCCCATTTACATTCAAGGTTAATATTGATATGTGCAGATTTGATCCTGTCATTATGTTGTTAGATGGTTGTTATACAGACTTGATTGTGTAGTTACTTTAGTGTCAGTGGTCTCCCAACATAAGGATGTTTTTGTGGTGGCTGGTAATAGCCTTTTTTGGTTATGTTTATAACTCCCTTGAGGAACACCTGTAAGAGAGGTTGGGAGGTAAGGAATTCCGTTAGCCTAGAGTGCAATAAAAATGGAAATCAATAGCAATAAGTTCTTTCAAAATAATAAAATCTCATGAAAATTTAAAAATCTGCTCCTGAATGAGCTTTTGGGTAAACAAAATTAAGACAAAAAAACAAAAAAAATTTTGAAACTAATAAGAACAAAAATACAACTTATCAAAATTTGTCGGACATAGCTAAAGCAGTGTTAAGAGGAAAGATTATAGCACTAAATGCCCACATCAAAAAGTTAGAAAATTCTCAAATTAATAATCCAGTATCATACCTAGAGGAACTAGAAAAACAAGACCAAAATTACCCCAAAGATAGCAGGAGAAAAGAAATCACCATAATCAGAGCTGAATTGAATGAAATGGAGACAAAAAAACTATATAAAATATCAATGAAATCAAAAGTTTGTTCAGTATAGTAGTTCCATGTACTTAAAACAAAACACAACATTGAAAATAAATAAATTCCCAGAACTGACTGGAAATGTTTCCATTTCACAGGTTGTTATGCAGGACTTTTTCAAAGGTCATTATGTAAGCCGGGGTTAACTGGAAGGCAACAAAACTATGACTAAAAAACTCATGGTTTGATCCAAAGATGAGTTGTTTTCAGTGAGTCTGCTGTTTTGTAACACAGATCTAAGTTCAGCCTGCTGAGTTGAAGGGATACAGAGTCACTTTATGATACTGAATGGGCAAAAGCTGGAAGCATTCCCTTTGAAAATCAGCACAAGACAAGGATGCCTTCTCTCACCACTCCTATTCAACATAATATTGGAAGTTCTGGCTAGGGCAATCAGGCAAGAGAAAGAAATAAAGCGTATTCAAATAGGAAGAGAGGAAGTCACATTATCTCTGTTTGCAGATGACATGATTGTATATTTAGAAAACCCCATTGTCTCAGCCCAAAAACCCTTAAGCTGACAAGCAACTTCAGCAAAGTCTCAGGATACAAAATCCACGTGCAAATATCACAAGCATCACTATACACAAACAATAGACAAGCAGAGATCCAAATCATGAGTGAACTCCCATTCACAATTGCTACAAAGAGAATAAAATTTCTAGGAATACAACTTACAAGGATGTGAAGACCTTTTCAAGGAGAACTACAAATCACTGCTCAAGGAAATAAGAGAGGACACAAACAAATGGAAAAACATTCCATGCTCATGGATAGGAAGAATCAATATTGTCAAAATGGCCATACTGCCCAAAGTAATTTATAGATTCAATGCTATTCCCATCAAGCTATCATGTATATTATAATTTAAAAATCAATATTTTAAAAAATAGATGAGGAAGCATTTGAATTCTTAATAATGTTTTCAGGTATTATGTACATTTATAAATTTCTCTTAACTTTTATGGCCTTTTAACAATAGACTATTGAAGAATTTAAATCAGAGATATCCAAAAAGGAACAAGTTACTTTAACACCATATCAATTTTAAAATAATTTCTATATTATTCTACAACTTTTTATTTGAAAAAGTATTATGACTAAAGTTTGTTCATATGATGCATGAGATAGTAATACTACAAAAAGTAAAAATTGGTCTAAAAAACTCTTAATATTCATGGATATTTGATGAAGTTGAAAGAATGGTCAACAAAATGAGGCCCATAAAACTGGAAAGAGATTTAGTTGTTTATAGCTAATATATGATCCCCAAGACACTTTCACCATATTTGCTACTTTGACAATATCAGAAGGAAATCAAAATATGGACTACAGTGGCAAGATTATAGCTCACTGTATCCTTGAACTATTGCTAAGCTCAAGCAATCCTCCCACCTCAGCCTCCAAAGTATTAGGTTGGTGCAAAAGTAATTGAGGTTTTTGCCATTAAAAGTAATGCCAAAGTAACTGCAGTTTTATCATTAAAAGTACTTAGTTATAATGGCATGAACCCCAAACAATTTTTAAAAATAGAATCATTTTGAGGAGTTAATAATTTATGAATAGCTGATTGTGTTGTGTAATACATAATTTATCTCTAGCTGTACACAATCAAATAAATAATATCTCTCCCTTGCAGATCCTTGTCCCATCTTCTATCTAGTTCTGTAAATATCTTCAGATTAATCTGCCCTTGAATTACACAATTTGAGTAAGTCTTATCTATTTTCTGCTGGGGTGCTGGCTAATACAACCATATAGAAATAATTTTTAAGAGTATGTAGGATATTATCTATGATATTACCGTAAACCAAAAAAAATTAATATTTCCTATATAGTATATACATGTGTAAACATAATAAGCTTTATAAAGGCAAAGGAACTAGAGATGACATCTTGAAACTCAATCCCTCTGCTCTATTTTTAATGCCTCCGTATAATATATTTTAAAATAATTTAGGGAAAATATAATGAATAATAATTCAGCAAAATGTCAGCAAATTTTCTTTTTTTATAATGTTTTCACTGAGAAAATGTTTTGTAGAATTTTTTTTAGTTTTGTAGAACTTTAAAGAGTGAGTTTGATAGGAATTACACTGGATCTGTAGATTGCTTTGGGCAGTATGATCATTTTTAAGTTACCAGTTATTTTGATTCATGAGCATAGGATGTTTTTCCATTTCTTTGTTTCATCTACAATTTCTTCCATCAGTACCAATGACATTTTTCACAGCATTAGGGAAAGGAATCCTAAAATTTACATGGAAACAAAAAAGCCCAAATAGCCAAAGCAATCCTAAGGAAAAACAATGACAACAACAAAGTTGAAAGTGTCACATTGTCAGACTTCAAATTACACCACAAGGCCATAGTAACCAAAACAGTATGGTATTGATATAAAAATAGACATAAAGATTAATGGCACAGAATGGAGAACCCAGAAATAAATCCACATATTTATTGTCAACTGATCTTTACCATAGTTGGCAAGAACACACAATGGAGAAAGAACATCCTTATAAATAAATAGAGCTGGATAAATTGGATTGCTATGAGCAGAAGAATGAAACTGGACCCCTATTTCTCATTGTATACAAAAATCAACTCACAATGGATTAAAGACTTAAATGTAAGCCCTAAGACAATAAAAATTATACTTAAAGAAGAGCTAGAATAGCCAAGCATGGTGGCTCATACCTGTAATCCCAGCACTTGGGGAGGCTAAAGTGGGTGGATCACTTGAGCCTAGGAGTTAGAGACCAGACTGGGCAACATGGCAAAACTGCATCTCTACAAAAATACAAAAATTAGTCAGGTGTGGTGGTGCAAGCTTATAGTCCCAGCTACTCGGGAAGCTGAGGTGGGACTATCACTTAAGCTTGAGAGGCAGGGGTTGAAGTGAGCTGAGATCACACAACTGCACTCCAGCCTGGGTGACAGAGTAAGACCCTGTGTCAAAAACAAACAAACAAGAAAACCTAGGGAAAACTCTTTTAGACATTATTCTTGGCAAAAATTCATGACTAAGACCTCAAAAACACAGGCAACACCAACAAAAAATAGACAAATGTGGCTTGATTAAACTAAAAAGCATCTGCACAGCTGAAGAAATAATCAACAGAGTCAACAGACAACCTGCAAAATGAAAGTAAATATTTGCAAACTATGCATCTGACAGGAGACTAATATCCAGAATTTATGAGGAACTCAAACAACTCAGCAACAACAAAAATAAATAATTCCGTTAAAAAGTGGACAAAGGACGAGTAGACATTTTCAAAAAGAAAACATACGAATGGTCAACAAGCATATGAAAAAATGCTCAACATTACTAATCATCAGAGAAATGCAAATTAAAATCACAATATCATCTTACACCAGTCAGACTAGGTACTACTAAAAAGATGAACAGTAACAGATGTTGATGAAGATTCAGAGAAAAATTAGTCTATTTTAGTCTGTATTACTCTGTTTTTATGCTGCAGAGTCTCTTTTCATGCTGTAAAGACATACCCAAGACTGGGTAATTTGTAGAGGAAAAGAAGTTTAATGGACTCACTGTTCCACATAGCTTGGGAGGCCTCACAACCATGGTGGAAGATGAAAGGCACATCTTACATGGCAACAGATAAGAGAGAATGAGAGCCAAGTGAAAGGGGAGACCCCTTGTTAACATCATCAGATCTTGTGAGACTTATCCACTACCATGAGAACAGTATAGGGGAAACTGCCCCCATGATTCAATTGTCTCCCACTGGGTCCCTCCCAAAACAAATGGGAGTTATGGGAGCTATAATTCAAGATGAGATTTGGGTAGGGATACAACTAAACCATATCAGAACCCTTAAACGCTGTTGTTGGGAATGTAAATTAGTACAACCTCTATGGAAAACAGTATAAAGTTTTTTTTCAGAAAACTAAATATGGAAGTAATCCTTAAATTAGTAGATACCATCGGATCATACTGAAAGTATATATCCACTACTGGCTATATACCAATGAAAATAAATCATTATATCTAAAAGACACCTGCATTGGTATGTTTAAAAAATTGCAGCACTGTTTATCACAGCGCTATTAATGTGTGTCCACCAGTGGAAGGCTAAATAATGTGTCATATATAAACAATGAAATACTATTCAGCCATAAAGCGAATGAAATGATATCTTTTGCAGCAACATGGATGAAACTGGAGGCCACTATCTTAAGTGAAACAACTCAGACATAGAAAGCCAACTAACGCATGTTTTCACTTATAAGTGGGAGCCAAATAATGTGGACATATGGACATAGAGTGTGTAATGATAGACAATAAAGACCAGGAAGATTGAGCAGGTGGGAGTTGAGTGGATGATGAGAAATTACTTAATGGAAACAATGTAGATTATTCTGGTGATAGACATCTTAAAAGCCCTAACTTCACCACTACACATTCAACCTATGTAATAAAATTATACTTTTACACCATAAATGTATAGAAATCTTTAAAAATGTCAAAAAGTGAGTTTCAACATCTATAATCCTTCCGATGTATCAAACACAGTTCTTGTTCTCCATATCATCATTCACTTTATTTTAAAAAAATACAAAGAAGTAGATGTAATCAGCTGAGCAAAGTGAGGCTTTCATGGATTATTTTGGAAGCAATCCCTGAGCTTTGTGTTCAAGGATATTCTATTATTGGTCTTCATACACATTATATAAGGGTGCATTTCTGTGTGTCATTATTAAACTTAATATTATTGAGATAGATTTATGGGTAGAATGATCCATCCTGACAAGTAGAAGCATAGTTTGACATTAAAATGAGCCCAGAGCTAAATATTGTAAATGTCCAGAATAACTGGAGTTAGGGAGATCTGCAACTATAAGATTGCTATAAATAACGATGTTCAATGGCAGAGCAGAGTAGGAGATAAGGGCCTATATATGTTTTGTGTAGGGGTGTGTGGGAATTTGTGGATATATCTATAAACAACCTTTCTTTTATGTTTATTACTGCCTATTGACTATGTAATGATTGATTTTGTTGGTGTTCATACTTTCTTAATGTCACTAATGAAACTGCAGAGAATTACTAAATTGCGGACTCATGCTGATATCCACTTCAATTTCTCAATTCAGAAGTTAAACTGTGTTCAGTTTTGGACATTTTAAAATCTGCTGTATTTTTTAAGTGAAGACAATTAAGATGTATTTTGTCTTGTCCTATTTATGCTCAAAGTTAAATCATATGGCTCTTCCCACTGGACCTATTAGTTTTATGCCTCCTTAAATAGGTTTGTGAAAATCATACAGACAGTAAGAGTCAGAAGTGATAAGTGTACCACAGAATTACTCTAAAACCTAGTTAATCACACTGCTCCTTTGCCTCCTGGTTAATTATCTAATTCTTTTACTGCAAATGGTTACTTGCTTTTGACAGAAGTTAATAATATATCCATTAGAAACCATGTATAAAACTGTGCTTTAGGCCTTATCTCTAGTGGGAAAAAAAAGGCGCTGCCAAATATTCTGAACACTGTGTTTAATATTTTGGCCCAATTATTCTGCTAGATGAGAAAAAGCTCGTGCATTGGCTGTTTTATTCAAGTTCTATGTGTTGATTATGGAGAAAACTCAGAATTCTATGTTGGGCGGGATGTTTCTGTGGGGTTTACAATCTACAACAAGTAAAAAAGACATACAAAAAGACAATTCCCTGGACATATTAGTTTAAATTGTCTACTTCACCTAGTTTCAAGCAGGAATACAAGCTCATCAATCAGTAGATATCATTGGATCATACTCAAAGGTAAAATATAGTCTTAATCTTGACAAAGGCTAAGATCTTTCGCCTAAGCATTTCACGGAAGATGGAAAATTTTAGGTACGATCATATATAGGGTGATGAATCATACATAACCTCATTTTGGGCACAATTTAGGACTTGCCTGAATTTCAAAGGCATATAACTGATTTTATTTGGTTTCTACTGTCAAACATGCATTTCTTATCTTAGTAGTTTTACAACTTGATGTTTGTCTAGCAGTCAACATTTCAATTTTTCTAGTACAGAAAATAAGTAAGCAGTGGCCTGGTTCAGATACATTGTATTACTAAATCTATAAGACAGAAAACTATGATATATGTTGACTTTTTATATAAGCTTTTATATTAGTAATTTCTCTTTCTTTTGATCTTAAGTTACACTGTTTCAAAAAGTTAAAAAACCTTTTTGGAATTAGAAGTATAATAATGTAGAAAAGATAAACCAATCCATTTGTGCAGCATTATATAATTTAGTTAATGTCAAATTAGTCTGCTTGAAGTTAGTTTTTATAAAAATACTAACAAATTGAAACATCAGAAAAAATAGATTGCTCTCTAATAGTAAAGATTTATTATCTATGTCTGTTTTCTTTCTTATGAACTTAAAAAAATCTACAATGATGCTTATGAACTTTTTTTTTAGTCTCGCTCTGTCACCCAGGCTGGAGTGCAATGACACAATCTCAGCTCACTGCATCCTCTGCCTCCTGGGTTCAAGCGATGCTCCTGCCTCAGCCAGCCAAGTAGGTGTGATTACAGGCGTACACCACCATGTCTGGCTAATATTTGTATTTTTAGTAGAGGCGGGGTTTCGCCATGTTGGCCAGGCTTGTCTCAAACTTCTGACCTCAGGTGATCTGCCCGTCTCGGCCTCCCAAAGTGCTGGGATTACAGGCGTGGGCCACCGCACTCGGCCATGAACTTTTAAAATAATATAAAAATTAAATATTCAATTAAGTTAGAATAGTATAACATAGATCAGAAACATAGTTTCTTCATTTCACTCTTATTTTATAATGAACTAAGTCAAACTGGTTTATATAGAGGCTGACTTTAGAAATATCAAAATAGTGTTGCCTTTTAGTGAATGTCAAATCCTTTTGATTAATAGAACCCTACGTTTCTACCTCATATAAATTTCTTAAATTTTAACCTATATAATAATGTGATATTACTGTCATATGTTAGAATCTTGCCTTACTAGACAGTTAACCATTTGAAATATGCAATTAGTTATCTTATTATTCCCAAGTATATAAAAATATTTATTCAATAAGTTGATACCATCATTTACAGAATATTTAGATGTTCAAAAACAAGGAATAATATCCACAGATGATAATATGCCCAGTGCTTAATAAATCCCTAAACCATACCTTTGATGGATATGTAGATAGATAAATACATAGATACGTAGCTCCTCATTTTACAAATGTTTGCATATGCCATAAGGTTAGATATTAATTAAACTTATTCTTTGATCATATAATTGCTAAAAGTTTTATTAAAGTTTAAAACCTTCATTCTCTCAAAGGTTAGCATTTTTGAATGATGCAAGCTAACTATGCAAATTATGAATTTTCAGTTTGAAACTCTTTTATTCTTAGGAGTTATAACTGGAGATGCTAGAAACAGAGTATTTAAAGGTGTATTAATCCATTTCTCAGATAAGTGATCACTTCAATCTACAAGAATATAAATTAATAGTTCATCCATGTTAAGGATAGTTTCCTTTTATACCCTAAATTAGAAGTAAAATTGGATGTTTAAAAATTAATTAAAGATTTTAAACCAAACTAACAAACTATCAAATAAAATTAGTTCTGTACTTTGCCATAAAAATTATGCCTTCACAGCAACCTGGAAAGCTAGGTTTGAATTTAAAGTTCTCAGTCCCTTGGATGTCTGTGTTTGCAAATGCTGACTGAGGAAGAGCTCAGACCCAGCCCTATGTCTTTGGGTCAGAGCTTGCCCCATTATATTCCCATCTCCGGCCTTGTACCTGAAGGGACTTAAGGCTTGCATGTGTAAACATTCCAACTTTTAATTTTAGGGTCCATCTAAACAGCCTTTGTAAAGAGCATCCCCTTGATCATTCCTTGGAATGTTCCCAGAAGTATATACACAACAGTGTGTTCTGCCTTAAGGAAGGCAGACTCAAAGAGGCCCACACAGGAACTGGTAACATGGTCTTGGGCCGTTTGGGCAAGACCTTCTAGGGTCTTGGATAACTGGAACATGATCCAAAAGAGGAACCTGTGAGTTTTGGGTGGTCATGTCTTCTTGGCCCTACTGTCTCCTCCTGGGGCATGGCACCTTTTTCCTTGATCTAAAGATGGTAAAATTTAAACTACATATTAGGCATAATTGTGTTTTCTTATCCTATTTGCTGGCATGGCCCAAATTTCCTAGCTAGTATGGGTAAGCGTTTGGACACATGGTTCATACTCATTATAATAATATTTTAGTAACTAATTCTTCTTCTAGACACATCAACCTATGTATTTTGGGGGACTCTTTATTCTGCCTTTTAACCATTACTTTATAGTGGGGACTGCTCTTTTTACCACATGTGTAAGGATGGACACATAACTCATCCTGCCATAGGATGATTTGAGCTAAAGCTAGGTAAATAGATTAGGTCCCATTGTAGTAGAGAAATGTGAAGAGGGAAGCTATCTGGAAGCCATTATTTCCAACCATATGGACAAAATCTAAGAAAATATGCCAATATGCAGAAGAGAGTAGGACTCACACATGTTAGGACTGAGCAAAGCCACAATTTAGTGCTTTTCTCCAAGGCATAAGGACTTTAAAATGTGATCTCATTGAATTTTTCGGGTCCCTAAATTATATGGAAATTATCAGAACAGTATAGGAACTGCAGAAATAGCCATCAGCCTATTGAAAAAGCTGTTTCTCTTCGCTTTAAATGGGATATCATTTATTTTCCACCAGTTTGAGAGCAGTTCGATTCTTAATAGTGTGACAGATTTTTAATCCCTAACCTGTGAGTGCTGAGGATCCTTGTGAGTGTGTGAGGCCATATGGTGCTTTTCTGCAGTCATATGGAACACCAGCTGGGCCGACTAAAGATTTATGATCAATTATCTATGCTCAAAGGGCATAAACCCATTGAACAATGGCTCTTTCTGGGTTGTTATGTAAGGGGGAACTCTCAGCTATTGTGGAGTTCCTTTGTCAATAGAAAAAGTTATTAACTCAAATTACAAAAGTTTATGCTTACAATAGACTATAGTTTATAATAAAATTAATGAATGTTTTGAAAGTTTTGGTCTTCCTATGTTAAACATCCACAAACAAAAACACACACACAACACATAGTCAAACCCACATGCACAAAAACTATTAAAATTTATTGAATGATTTAAATACTGCTCTAGCACTTATGTATAAAAATCATATCGTTTAAACTTGTTTTCCTTTTATATTTTCATGATCGTTTTATTATAAATGGGACAATCTGGGACAACATTTCATGACTCTAATTCTAATTCATGTCTTGTTATTATCCAGTCCTCCATTGTTGTCTCTAATCTGGTAGCTGACTGCTTTGGGGAAAATATTATAATCTCTCTATGTTGTCCTTAATGTAAAGATAGTTTTGTTTATTAATAATTTGTGTGTGTTTATTGTGACTATTGGCAAATATACATGATTAATAATATCCCCATAGTTCTAGGAATAATTTGAGAAATAATCCCTATAAGCTGTTTGTACTAGTTTGAGTAAAATTCTCATTTATTAGGTATTCGTTTAATAATATTCTTCCTTTATAAAGGAACAGTTCTTCCTTTATAAAAATAATTGAGTATAATGACTCCCAATTCTGCTGAAAAAGGTGCACATAGAATGATGGAAAGACTTAAAATGAGACTAAGACTGAATTGGAAATTAAGCCATTAATCTTCCCATTTTCTAATTTTTTAAGGGTGAAATTCTGGGGTTAAAAAAATCAATCTTTATCTGTTACATTGCTTCAAATGTCACATTTGAATCATTTACTTCTAAATCTTTGATAAATTAGAATGAACTCTGAACTATAATACTTTCATGTGTCTAATATTTTGTATCATGGATTTGTGATATGCAGTCAATTACGTTTATGATCATGCTAATATACTACATTAAACCCTAGCTGATTTTTTATACTGTAAATATAGCTTTGCTTATTTTTTATTTTTGTAATGAATCTCTACAGTTATCCTAAATTATGATTCATTGACAAAGGTCAACTGAATTACAATATAGATGATTTTTTTTGACTAAATTTAAAGCAATCACTAATTATTTATGCCCTGCCAACCTCAACAAAAAAATGAATCAGATTACCACTCTTACAAAGTTAATTTAGTTTATATATGCATATCTCAATACCATTATAGACAGAGAAAATGAATATCTATTTTATAAGTAATTTAAAATCTATTTACTGTCATAACTAGAATCAATGAATTTTTAATTATGATAGCATATCTTTTCAACTAATAGACATTTTTTAGTAATATAATGCCAGTAATCAAATATAAATTTATGTTTTGTCTGTACTCACATTCACATATAACTTTCTGTTTGAGATATAATTAATATTAAAAAATTATTTTTCAACTACAGCCAAAACCAATATTTTCTTTACTAAATTGGTTTATAAAATTATTAAATTTCATGCAACAATCCTTATTTGCTTTCCATAAATAGTAAAAAGGCTGAATGCAAAGAAATTTTTAAAATATATACACAGGTACTAAACATCACTAATATTAATAGGTTATCAAATTTATGAAAGTATTTGGAAATTCAATGAGATCTTTCTCTTAATAATTACTTTACATTTTTAAAGAGTTTTCCAATGTCTTTCATTTTCACATAAGGCAAACACTTTTTTTCTAAAATTTACCTTAGGCATGGGTTTGACCCAGAAAAATATTAAGTATATTACATTTTCTTCCACTGTAGTATAATTTATTATTTACTTATTATTTATGGATTTTTATATTGGAGGAGATTGTTGAATTGGGGAGAGAAGAAAAATGTGAAGGGGTGAATACCAGATAAATATTAATTGAACGATTTATCTGTTAGGACATATATGCTCTTTAACAAAGCCCAGAGCTTCCCTCGGTACATCTGTTATTAAACAAAACAAAACAAAACAAAACAAAAAAACCCTCCTTATCTGCGGAAAATCTATACTATTTTGAATTATAATGGCAGAATTATTCTCTTAGAAAATATATGCTCAATATGACAAAATAAATTTGGTGAGTAAATAGTAAAGTTGTCTTCTACACTAAATTTATCATAATATACACGTAGGCATGCAGTAATATCAAATGCAAATGGGATTCATGAACACTGATTAAGGTGTGTAAAATATTTTGAAATATTCATGCTATAAAATTAATTATTAACTGCGTTATTTAATGAGAATACACAACTTGTATTTTCCTTTAGATTTTCAAAGTACTAAAACTCTATCTACGCAGGTAAGCTTTAATTTGAAAAAGCTTTAGTGTTTATATTAACTGCTGTTCACTTCTCTGCCTTTATTGCCACTGCCAAATTGGTAGAACAAGTTAAAAAATTCAGACTTTGGAGTATAGAAATGTTATAAAAATAACCTTTAAAACTGTAATAACTAAGTATGCACATTTTTTAAACTACAAAATATGATTAGAGAAGATGAAAATAATATTTGAAGTTCATGTCTATTTATACTCCTTCAGTAAAATTAGACATAATTAGCTCCCTATAGTCATTAAAAAATATGAGAGGTGATTTAATTGTTTGGGGGGCTCCCAATCTGATGGTTATCCCAGAACTGCAGCTCAGACAAAGCATATTTATCATGTATCATAACAAGTGAACCTATAAAATCTATAGAGTGAAATGATATAAATCACCAGGCAGTAAATACTCACTGAACCTCTGGAATTTTAGAATTCCCCCTTCTACAGTGAAGCAATATGGACTCTATAAGAATGCTAGGAGAAAATATTTAATGATCTAGAATACAAAATGACAAACTGGTGGATTATGGGAGTACATATTCACTGCACTCATGGGACTTTGAAAATTCTTGTTTCTTTAATGAAGAAAATGAACTCTTTATGTGGCCAAAATATACATATAAGGATGATCTATGTTAGTGGTTGGACACCAGTGGCTTGAGGGATTTGGTATAATAATGTAATAAGTTTGCCCTGAATTGATTCAGTGGGCAGCATCAATTCTAAACTTAATTTAGTAACCAACGTTTAAAAATCCACAGTTTTTCTGTAAGAATCCATTTTCTAACTTATATTATAATTAAGAGAATCTGATAGCATGGGTATCTCATTAACACACAGTGACAACCTATTAAGTTTGAATGGACAGCTGCATCTTAAACAGGGTGCCCATTTTTTCCTTTTTCATAATTCAGACCCCTTCTTCTCTGAGTCATAAAGGTTAGGCTTCATATGGAACTGCCTGAGAGCCTCCCTCACCATTTTCCTACTCAGCTCCATCTCCGTCCTGTTTCTCTCTTCTGTATTCATGGCAATTATCACTAATGGACATTTCTTCTTTGTTTAGATCACTCAAATTTTGGCTGTCAGGTTCTCCAGGACCTAGAATAAAGCCTGTTGAATAGAAGAGTCTAAATAATTTTATTAAATGAATGTCATGTGTCTAAGTGTAGGTTGTCATTTATTTGTATAGTGTTTCTGCTGCTTTGCTCACACAGGAAATGGAAAATTTTTCTTATGGTTAAAATTATATTAAAAGTAAGAAATACAAGATTAACCAAGATCATGATAAGTTTTATATATTAAGGTTGCTTCACGTTTTGTTATATTCCTTTTTGAGGTTTTTAAAAGAGTATTTCTTCTGAAAGTGAACAATTGTACCACTATCATTAATGGTCTCTATTTCTTGGTGATCTGTAAAATTTGTTTATTATACATTGCTCTTTAAAAATATGTGTTTAATTGATTATCATATTCTTGAAACAATACTATTTTAAAATCATTATAGATTTATCATACATTGCTCACATTTGCCACTTTTGTTTTTTTTTTTAAGACACAGTTTCACTCTGTCACCCAGGCTAGAGTGCAGTGGCATGATCTTGGCTCATTGCAACCTCCGCCTCCCGGGCTGAAGCGATTCTCCTGCTTTAGCCTTTCGTGTAGCTGGGATTACAGGCATGCGCCACCATGCCCGGCTAATTTTTGTATCATTAGTAGCGGCTGGATTTCACCATGTTGGCAAGGCTTGTCTCGAACCCCTGACCTCAAATGATCTGCCTGCCTCAACATTTAATACTTTCATCTAGAATTTTTTTATATTACTACCTCTTTATCTTGTTAATTTTTTTCTAAGTGAGTGCAACAATGACTGCCAGAATTGTGAAACATTTACTTATTTATTGGAAACAATTCGTTCTATTTATGTGATATTATAGTATAGTCATGAATGATGCTATCGTGATTAACTGGGTGAAGAATATACAGGATATCGCTATTATTTCTTACAAGTGCATGTAAATCTACAATAATTTCCAAATTAAAATATTAAAAATAAATCTAATTCCTGGAAGAATCTTCTGTATAAATTCAGAAATTATTGCTAAAAGACTAAATTTATAAGTAAATTGATAATTTCTATTCTATTTATTCATTAAAATAACTCTAAATCTAAAACAAATTATATCGAATGCTATATTGATTGGATGACAAGAATAATATGCATAGCCATTGTTTCAATAAAATCTCACTCTCCTGGCCTCTACAGATTCATCTGCCAGAACACAAAAGGAGGCTCTTGTAGATAGTCCACAAGGTCGGGCAAGGCCTCCTTCTTTTCCCTCAACTTTTCCTGTTTCACTAGTATCATCCGTTTAGAAAACAAATCTCTAAAAACATATTTACAATGAGAACTGATAAACCATCTCCAAACAAGATTAAAGCAGAATTAATCTTGTTATAACCTGCATCCCTTTTCACTTATGCTACAATTAGAAGCTAAGACTCAACAGGCTATCTCCCATCTTCTACTCTTTCACAATCAAGCACCCCTGTTTGACCTCACTAACTCTTTCACTGTCATCTTGAGAACACTTCACTAATTATCAGAAAAATTCCCTATAAAAATAATTTTCTTTCTAAGTATTACCTCCATTTTTTTTCTACCCAAAGCAGGTTAATAAAAATGGCTCCACTGGTCAGAGATTAAGATGCATAAATTGCAACTCTATCAGGTATGCATGTGTGAGTGAGTGTGTGTGAGGGTGGAAGGGGTCATTCTTTCCCAAACTCTATTACCATAAGCCTAGAATACAGTATACAACCTCAAGCCTTCTCAAATACCTCTTGTGTAAATATATTCTCTGTGTCTCTTAAAATCTTCAAAACTATGGAGTTGAGAAGAGAGAATCATATGTTTATACATTTTTTTAACTTTAACTTATCTGAATAAAATACAGTCATGAAATTCCAATCAATACCACAAGTCACAACTTTACATTTTTGCATTTCTGCACTACCATACTTAAACAGAATACATCAAATTCATACCTTCTTTTAATGTCCTTCAAAAATGCTACAGTGCATAAAAACAAGGGAGGTGAACTTGATTTTTCACATGTAAACTTTATAAATAATCATTATAATCATCTGTTAAAATGACATTGAAAAAGAAAATACTGTTCAATACTTCATAAGTAAGAATTCACTTTGTATGCTTTGTAAAATTTGTAAAAAGGTCATATTTAATTTAATTCTATTATTTTACAAATTAAAAATTGTCTAAAATTGACACGGAACTAGAAATTGTAAGGTATTTATTTCAGTATTTTGTTTTAAAAGTTGCCATTGTCAAGTGTTTTTGAAAATGTCATAAAATCATGCTAATGCACCTAATAAACTACACTGCAGGGTATGTATTTCTGTAAGCCATCTGGAAAGCAGTTAATGCCCTAAAGCACAAGAACCGATAGCCCCTTTATTTTCATCCTTGCTAGTTGTAGGTCTTTAAACCGTTGTACAGCTTCTAAATTAGATATGTCAATGTTCACATGAGAATTAGAGATTACAAAAAGCCATATTGAAACCTCAAGAACCTACTATTCAACAAAATTTCTCATGCTACATATTGCATACTGTTTTGTGCTGTAATTTATGTGAAGATTAAAACAAAACAACATGAAACAAATTGAAATTTGTATATTTTAATAGAATTTTTACCTGCAGTATTCTACATACCTAAAGGCATACCTTGGAGATATTGTGGCTTCGGTTCCAGACCCCTGATATAAAGGAAGTCACATATATTTTTTGGTTTTCCAGTTTACATCACACTGTAGTCTACTAAATGTGCAATAGCATAATGTCGACAAAAATTATGTACATACCTTAATTAAAAAATACTTCATTGCTAAAAAAATGTTAACAATTATCTGAGCCTTTCGCAAGGGGTCCTCTTTTTGTTAGTGGAAGGTCTTGCCTCAATCTTAGTGGCTGGTGACTGTGGTGGTTGCTGAATGTTGGAATTGCTGCAGCAATTTCTTAAACTAAGATGACAACGAAGTTTGCCACTTTGATCGACTTGCCCTTCTATGAAAAATTTTCTGCAGCATTGATATTGTTTGGCTGTGTCCCCACCCAAATTGCATCGTGAATTGTAGCTCCCATAATTACCACATGTCCTGGGAGGGACCCAGTGGGAGATAACTGAATCATGGGGGCAGTTGCCCCATACTGTTCTCATGGGAGGGTACAAGTCTAAAAAGATCTGATTGTTTTATAAGGGGATTCCCTTTTTCCTTGGTTCTCATTTCTGTGTTGCCTGCTGCCATGTAAGATGTGCCTTTTGCCTTCTGCCATGATTGTGAGGCCTCCCCAGCCACATGAAACTGTGACTCTATTAAACCTCTTTTTCTTTATAAATTACCCAGTCTCAGGTATGTCTTTATTAGCAGCATGAAAATACAAGCATTCAATGTGGTTTGATTACACTGTATCCATAGTAGAACTTCTGTCGAAAATTGGAGTCAATCCTTTTAAACCCTGCCACTGCTTTATCAACATTTATTTGATGTTCTAAATCCTTTGTTGTCATGTCAGCAATGTTCATCAGAATTCAAATCCACCTCAAGAAACTACTTTCTTTGTTTAACCATAAGAAGCAACTCCTTATCTGTTACAATTTTATCATGAGGTTGCAGCAAATCAATCCCATCTCCAGTTTTACTTCTGGTTCTCTAGCTATTTTCACCATATCTGCAATTATTTCCTCCATTGAAGTCTTAAATCCCTCAAAATCATCCATGAGGGTTGGAGTGAACTTCTTCAAAACTCCTATTAATGTTGATATTTTGACCTCCCATGAATCATTAGTGTTCTTAATGACATCTAGAATGGTGAATCCTTTCCAGAAGGTTTTTGTGGAGCAGTCAGAATACACATATTTATCAACTGATTTGGCCATCTTATATGGGGGTGTTTTATTGGGTACCAAAACAATAGTAACATCAAACATCACTGATAATAGAGCATCTTAACAAATATACTAATAATAAAGTTTAAAATATTGGTAGAATCACTGAAATGTGACACAAAGATGCGAAGTGAGCACATATTGTTGGAAAAATGGCACTGACAAATTTGCTCCATGCAGGTTTACCATAAACCTTCAATGTATAAGAAATATAATATCTGCGAAGCATGATAAATTGAAATACAATAACATTACGTGTGCCTATACAAAATCTATGTTGTTAGATGGTTTAAGTTTTTTTTTTTTTTGCATTTTTCTTTGTTATTATTTGACTAAAATCTGTCCTCCCAATAACTAGTATTGGTTTTAATTCTCCTCTTTATAGAAACACATCCGCCTTACATTAACCCTTTTTCAGAAAATCTAAAGAGTGTCACATCTCAAGTTTGTTTACTTCATTTTCTCGAAACTTTCTCATGTTGAGCAGTTCCTAATATCTTTAGTGTTGATCTCAATCATCCTTATGTAGTTCGGTTTACCAGTGTCTCCTATAAATGTGGTGCTTTAAATTGACTAAAATGGTGCCCATGCAGTCAGACCAACATAGCAAGTATTAAACATTTTTACATTTTTATTGGGAACCTTACTGTTAACTTTATTTAGGATTTCAGTGTCTTGTTTCCACTAAATTTTCAAGTATTTCAATGACATTCCCTTCCTAGCTTTTTCAGTAAAATTAATTACCCCATCCTCATGTATTCGCCTCTGAATTATTTTTTGGAAACTGTACATTCCTCTCTCTACTGACAGCATTTTAAATTAATTATCTACCTATTTGACTGTGTCTCTTATAAGACCTTGGGTCTTTGAGTACAAGGACAATCACGTTTGTCTTGATATGTCTGGTGTTTAATGATAGAACAGATTGGCAAATTACTGGATGATAATTCAAATTTTAAAAGTTCAAGACCTAGCCATTTTGCTTCTACATCCGTATGCTTTGTAATAAAATTCCCAGTCATAAAACTCTCTTCAACAATTTATTAAAAATAATTAACCATAAGGTAAAAGGTAGCTACATTATACTTCTATAATACATAAAAAAAGAACATTTTGTTCTTTTAATGTGAGACACAAAATTATTTCAAATATTATTAATATGGTATAGTGCTACACATATTACTATAAATAATATAATCATATTCAAAAATTCATATTTTAATATCTCATTTATAGTGCTACATGAAATAGAAATTATAAAGAATACTTTTTCCAGATCAAATTTTAAGTTACTATGACAAAATAGCTTTTAAGATATATATATGTCTCAATTTCCAGAGCAAAATAACAAATTATTAAAGCAGAAAACTTCCCATCTGTAAATGTATATAAATAAATAATAATTGTATTAATAAGCTAGAGATCCTAGGTGTTTTTTTTTTCAGTTGCATCATGGCATTTACAGATGGGAGAAAAGTTGGACTTTTAAGAGCCATCTGTTGATGAAAATCCCTAATTTGCTATTTGTTGGCACTTTTTCATAATAAATTCTTTCAATTTTTATCTATTTTTAGCGAAATAATTTCATAAAATTCTGCCCATATAAGATGCTTTCAAATGTTAATTTTAAAAAAAGAAAACTTTATTTTCAGTAATATTAGTGCTGGAAAATGTTTTGATGACAGATTTCCACCTAAAATTATTTATTTTTAGTATGTAAATTATCATTTTATTTTTTTCCACACTGAGACTGAGTACATAACGCCAAAGTAACTACCTAATTCAATCAATTTGATAAACTCAAAAAATTTTGAGTTTTTAAAAAACTCAATATATAACTGTATCTTAGAATAAACAAAATAACAACAACAAAAACTAAGCTGATTTAACCAAAGTTTGCATTTTCATAAATATGCAATATTAGTCTCTAAGTTTCAAGGGCATTTAGCCTCCAGATACTCGAGTTTTATTTATAAGATTTCAAATTCTTTAATGACTTTAAGAATACCATCTCAAAATTAAACAATTGAGTTTCCACATTATTTTTAGACTGCTAATGCTTTTTTCCCATTTTATTCTCCTGAATTTGCGGTCTTTTTTTGATATAATGAAAAGTCAAGTGAAACTGGCATGAAAAAGTCTTTGGAAGGCATGTCCAAATAGGTTTCCTAAGTGCTGATTGTAGGCACTGAAAATTTATTGGACCTTTGAAATACCTTCTTTGATCTGTGTAAGAGACTTACTGACTTAGAGATAAGTCTCTTTCAGTACACACTTCTGTTCCTTTATCCCTAACTTGTTTCTGAAACTCAACATTTATAAAGAAATTTAAGATATAGAGATCATTAGGATTTATACCTTCAGAACACTGAGACAGTAGCACTCTGAATAAAATTTTTATGTGACATGACTTTAAATATTAACCATGCAAACACAAGCTAGTATTCCAGTTCTATACTGAGGTAGCAACTCATCCATTGTTTTCTACTCGAGAAGCAGATTTTGTAAAATTTTAAATACTTGCTAAATAATTAAATAAGCCTTTATTAATTCAAAATATTAGAACTGATAAAATGCTTTTCTTACTCTCATATAGTCCAGAGCTTCACACCAGTGTATTCTTTTCTAATTTACAAAAAGAAACCATTTTCTTCATATCATTTTAAAAGGGGGAGCAGTTTCCTTTGCACCTCATACTTTATTCCCATTTTGTACCTCCTCAATGAAGACTTATCTGAACACTTCAGCCATACACATTTTCTCCCACCACTTAACTCATTTCATGTTAATAATCTGCATGTTTTTTGAATCAGAGATCCCCTGATCTTATGCAATAATGAATCTATGAGGTTTTTACAGGTTTTGCCATCCTCCTTCCCTTCCACTAAGCAACTGGAAGTCCTCAGAACCATAGGCCACGTAGTCAATTTCTTCACATGTGTTACAGCACCAGCACTGAATAATGCACAAAACAAGTGACTTAAAAATACTTTCTGAATTAACTTATGGTTTTGATGAGTGTTTATTGAAACTAATTTTATGTCACATGAACAAGTATGTGGGGCAAACAGCATTTAGTCTCTAATAGGGATTGGCATAAGTGGTCATAAGTCTGGCAAACATCATGCTGCCAGTCTAAAAGAAAACAGCTGGCTAACAACCATCAGATTAAAATTTTCAGTTTTTTTTCTCCAAGGGTAAACTTAGGGTGAATTAAAGCTCTGAAGTCTACTAAAACATGTAAATTATACTTTTTTCTCCTGTCAACTAAATAGGCATGGTTTTATAAGCACAGTTTAATCCAAAAAGCAGATGTAGTTTTTCCTTATGATACAAAATAGAGCCAACTGGCATGCTTAGTAGTTTTTTTTCTCTCATGCCATTATTGGAAGGGGCAGGTTGAAAGAACTAAGAATTATAATTTCAGGACATGGCAGTATATGCAAAGAACAAAGTTCCAATTCTTTAGAGGAAATAGAAAAAAAATGGAGAGAGAAAAAAGATGAACTTTTATGGAAAAAAGTAGTGGCATAAAAAATGATGTCAATCAGAAATTACATTACGAAATAAGCAAGTGCAATACTAAAAACAAGTATTATAAGTCCCCAGATAGTCTTTAAACATGTATGTATTTTATGTTTTTAATAGATACATTTCAATTCAACAAATTAGATATTTGCGATCATTTGATTAGCCTCCCCGCAAATAGCTAAGTGCCTTCCTCAATGCACCCAAGAGACACCACATTTTCTGGTGTAATGGCCTGTGAGGCTATACTTGAATCTATATAATTTTCTAGATCGAACTATTGATTTTAGCTTTCACATGAGAAAGATGATTTCTTAATATTTTCTGTACCCTTATCACATAAATGAGTGCTTGCTGCTCCATAAGTATTTTTTGGAGTGCTTATATACAGAATTGTAATAATCAGATGGGTCGACTATATAGTTTTATAGTCAGAAAATAGTTATTCTGAATCCAGTGCTGATACCTGTCAGCTGTATGATTTGGTCAAAGTGGCATCAATTTTAGACTCTTTATTTTTTTAGTTTTTGTATTATTTAAATTAAATTTATGTAAAACACTTCATTCTATACCTGGTGCATATTAGATTAATAAATGGAATCTATGTTATTGATAATAAAAAAGGACGTTACAGAATTTGATCTCATATAGAAGTAGGAAACATGTAAAATGCCAGCTCTCTTCTGAGTCGCATAAGAAAGAGTTTAAAGTCCTGGTAAGCTGAACATTTAAATTTTATTTTGCTTTTCAAGTCCACAGTCTCTAAACAAAACCACAATGTGGAAAGCCAGCAGAGTCCTTAATAGGGGTTTTAAAATTTTAATTAGTGAAAAGAGTGAGACACTTCCTTAGAAAGTTTTAATTATCAATTCTAATTATCAGCCTTACATACTTTTGATTCAGATCACTGTCTAGATCTAATCCAGAACAAGTCATTCAGGTTAGGTAGTCAAGGCACTAGTAAGGAAAATTAGAACTTGAGTATGTATTTAAGAACTCGTGGCTGCAAGCAATAGACTGGGAATGAACTGAAATGTTTCATAACTACTTCTATCCTATGTATTCCATTCTGCATCAGGATTTCCATAGTGTTTAACAAGAAACATGGGGCATTTTTGGTTTTAATTTGGATTTCATTATGTAGCTAAATCTAGTATGGAATGCATAATTACATTTCAGAGTAGAAGCCAGGAAGCCAATGCTCTTTGTGTCTTCTAAGATGTACAGTGTACTGGGAAAAGGAAGCCAAAATATGGGAATCTTAAGTATGCACTGCAGGCTCTTAAAAGGCTCAGTAACAATGACAACAATTAAAAAAGCAACTAAAATGTTGAGTGTTTACCATATATATTACAATCACATTTCTGGGTTATTTTCTATTAACTCATCTTTAATCACAAGAACTTTATACATTAAGTACTCTTATTATACAAATTTTACATATAGGTAAACTGAGGACTGGAGAGGTTAAATAATTTCCCAAAGAGTAACACTTGGTAAGTAAGTATGCCTGAAAGGATTTTACAAATGTGAATACATCTTTTGAGATTGGGGTAGATAACTTGTCTAATCTCTCTGGAGAGAAATGCTCTACTCCTGCCAGAATTAATTATGTGTTTATTTATGTTTGACAGTATTTCAGAGGTCACACTATATTTTAATAGTTAATATCTAATAATCCTAGATTATTTGCTTAATTTTAGATTTTGATTGCTATTTGTACCACATGGTATATCAGAAAAAACACAAAATATTTTCATCTCTTAATTATCTAACTTTGAGAGAGGAGACTTGGGGGCTTCATGTAGTCTCTCACTCAGGAAATGCATATTGCTTAAGAGAAACACAGCACAGCATGTGGCTCATGTCATCTGATGGACAGGACACCTCCCAGCGACTGCCTACTGAGGTCTGATTAAGGTCTCTTATATGGCTGCATCTTGACCTGGGTCACTGCTTATTTCCACAAGGAAGGATCAGATCACTTCTCATTACCAGAAATGTTCTGGTATCCACATTTCTCATCATCTATAGTTTTTCACAGCAAGCACTGAGAGGAAGACATTATTCTATCTCTACAATTCATATTTTCTGCCCCATGATAAATTTATTCCCATAATGATTGACATTGGGAAGGTTAACTCTCTTCTGAGGAAATCCCAAATTTGTAGGGATATAGTCTACTTAGAAGGATATGGTCTGCTCAGTCCCTTAAAAGAAGAATCACATGGCTCTCACACATGGACCTCTTTTCACAATATTGCTTTGAAATGAATAAAATAAAATACATAGAATTATAAGGAAACCCAATTATATTGAAATAGATGGGCTTTCAAGTTTATACTTTAAATAAACAAATACAGTGGTGGCTCTAACTAAAACCATGATTTCAAAGGAGTGACAAGGTAGATAGCATTTCAAGATTTCTACAGCATTTTTAAGATAATAAGAAAGATCAAAGAAATATCTATTGGTGACAGAGTCATAAGTACTACTAATAGTTTTGAGGTTAGTGAATATATAGATAAAATGTTTTTCTGTAAAAGTTCAACAGGATTCTAGAATTTTTATCTGCAAACTCTTTGAGGATGCTTATGACCTAGATTATGACCTAGAACTCTAATCTGGAGGCAAATAAAAGAATCAAGGAACTTACAGAATAAGAGACCTAAGAGGAATTAATATTAAGAGGCAAAAAGTTTTTAAGAAAAAGAAAGTCTGTTTCAAATAATTGAACAAAGTAAATGAACTGAGTTTCTCAAAACCCCAAGGAAGATTACTATTCACACATAAATGTATTTTATTTCATTTTGTTTTATTTTATTTTATTTTATTTTATTTTACCTTTGTGACGAAGTTTTCACTCTTGTCGTGCAGGCTGGAGTGCAATGGTGCAATCTTGACTCACTGCAACCTCCGCCTCCTGGGTTCAAGTGATTTTCCTGCCTCAGCCTCCCGAGTAGCAGGGACTACAGGCGCCTGCCACCATGCCTGGCTAATTTTTGTATTTTTAGCAGAGACGAGGTTTTGACATGTTGGCCAGCTGCTCTCAAACTCCTAACCTCAGGTGATCCACCTATCTCGGCTTCCCAGCATGCTGGGATTACAGGGGTGAGCCACTGCGCCCGGCCTCATAAATGTATTTTAGAAGAAATAAAAATCAAGGAAAATGGCCGTGCGCGGTGGCTCACGCCTGTAATCCCAGCACTTTGGGAGGCCGAGGCGGGCGGATCACAAGGTCAGGTTCTAGATCAAGACCATCCTGGCTAACAAGGTGGAACCCTGTCTCTACTAAAAAAAAAAATACAAAATATTAGCTAGGCGTGGTGGCGGGTGCCTGTAGTCCCAGCTACGTGGGAGGTTGAGGCAGGAGAATGGCGTGAACCCGGGAGGCAGAGCTTGCAGTGAGCCGAGATCCCGCCACTGCACTCCAGCCTGGGGGAAGGAGTGAGACTCTGTCTCAAAAAAAATAAATAAATAAAGGAAAATTAGATCTGGTTTGTTACGGAGTAAAGAGAAAAGACTTATGCACTTGCAACTTAAACTCTATTGGAAGAAGAAACTCAAATCCAACGGGTAAATAGTCAAAAATCTTGAAGAATAAAAAAAATTTATCCATGCAAAACACTGATATTGAAATACATGGGTCCAAACAAAGGAGAAATAGAGGTAATCATTTTTGTAACCTCAAAATACAGAGAAAACATAACTGATAATCTGGGTAACATATACAATGTGGTGATGAACATCTTTGTATAAAGCCTTGTGTACATCTGTGAATAACTTCCTGGGATAGAAGTCTAAAAGGAAAATTTGGGGTTCAAAGAATATACAGGACAGAATGGTAAGTAGCATCATCATTACAAATCTCCCTGTTGTTAAAGAGATGAAGATATCTGTCAAATATTTGCCTGCAAGTAGGCCTTGTCACTAATCCCCCTGTTTGCCAGTGGGCCAGCTTTACCTGTTTTATCCCCAAACCAGTCATGTTTACTAGCTTGGCCATTTCACCTGTTTTTAAAGAGGTAAAACTTATCTGGGACTAAAAGTGAAAATCGGCTCATACTGGAAAAAAAAAAAGTAACCTCACTCTTAACCAGGCTATAAGAACAGACATATAAAGCCAAGCTTCAAAGTTAACAGGAGACATACTTTCTCCCAAAGTCATGCAGCAGCTATAAAACGACATGACTACCTATTTTAGTAACTACCGTTTTCTTACCAATGATGTTCCAAATCCACTTTGCCACACCCATCTCTTACTGGGGATACTCAGTTGCTAAACTACTCTCGCCTCATGACAGCAACCAAACCCTACTTAATTCCTCTTCTCCTAATCTCATCACAGAAACAGCTAATCTGTGCTTCTCTTAGTTCCTTCCTCAAAACCCCTCGGTTGGAAAATGAGAAAACCCAAACCTTACAAAAATACTTTTCCCCTTCCTCTTGTTGAGTGTCATTCCACTGTTTGCCTGGAGTGGCTTTTTACATTGCATAGTCATTAAACTGATTTTTTTTAGACTACAGTCTTCTGCCTGTGATTTTGTCCAAAGCACATTCATGCTTCCCCACTAACTCAGACTACTATTACTGATGAATAGTACTAAGCTAAGTAGCTCCCTGTACTGAAGTAGCTAAGTAGCCTCCTCTCTCCATTCCATCACTGTTTCACCCACTTTTCATTCTTCACTACTGACCACTTGTTTCTACTTACCTCTGACACTCATAACCACATCGGATTATTGAAAGGCTTTTTGGCAAAGCCATTGTTTTTATTCTGTGATATTCTGAGGCTCCTTGGTCTTTTCTGCTGTCAGCCACTTTGAATTACCTACTCAACCTCTAATCTTCAATATGTCTCAAGCACATGAACATATGCCAAAAAGTAAAGTCTCAATTTTCTACCCAGAACATGGTGTTTATTCATTCTCTCTCATTTTAGTTCCAGTCTATACAGTTGGTCAAGCTAGAAACCTGGAATCACAAATTAAACACTCAATGCTTTCCTATACCTCACTCTCCCTTTACTAACTCCAATTTGTCAGAAAGTTCTGCTGATTCTACTTACAAAAGATACAATTTGAAGTACCCTCTGTATCCTTCTTCACTACCATTGACCTTGTCCAAACTACCATAATTTCTCACCTGATCTTCCCCAAAAGGTCCGCAATAATACTTTCAATTTGTTTGATTATTTATGAACATATTTTATTTTATTTATCTAATTTTATATTTTCATAACTCTTTTTATAATTGTCAAAATTATAAACCAGTTTTCTTTATGTTTCAATGAGAGTCTCTGTGCTAGATACTTTGATAGGCACTGAAGATACATAAATAATTATGCATCTTCCTTGTCCAGAGAGTAGTGGAGAAACAGACAAGAAGATCAAGTATCAGAGCAAAGGAAGACAATGAAAATAACCGAAGAAAGTGTGAAAATATATATAAAAATATAATATAGATAGTCATAAGGATATTTCCCATTAAGCCACAGAACTCTCACTTGCTTGAGCCTGGATTTTAAGGTCCTGAGAGAGGACTCCAGGAATGCGTTTGCATGGTCATATGTTTTATTCAGAATGTGCAGAAGTAAGGTATTTTAACCACACTTGTAAAGACCACTGTCATTTTCCACTTAGACCTCCCTCAGACACACATCCTTTCATCTAAGGTAGCATTGCAGTGGCCACAGACGTTTTTGGGGATCTGGTAAAAGGAAGTTGAGTTGGAAATACATTTAGTTTTGGTTTAGCGGGATGTATTTTTGTAGTTCACAGTCATTTCAGTGTACAGTTATATTCTTGCAAGCCAGCATGCAACAGCAATGACTGCAAAGAATGTTCCTCACCTTCACTGTGCCAACTCACCCATCGTCTCGACAAGAAAGACAGGACCAGAGGTTGTATCACATATGTCCTGAAATCTATCAAGTTAAATTTAAAAGAAACTTAAATGCTTTTCCAAATTTCATATGAATCACAAAACTTTGTATGTCACTACAACTTTCAAATTGTGAAGTAGGGAACTTTTCAAAATATCAGCAATAATAATTTGAAAGAAATTCTTAACTCCTTTTTCTATTCTTATTAGAGAAACTTGTATTATCAGATTACTGTCCTATGAAGAAGCAACCAAAGAGACTGAAGCTCATTTTTTTTAAAGTATCACCAAGTTCCATAGGGCAGTTAATAAAATTATTTTATTATTTTTACAGATATTGTGATATTTATGGGATTTGATACCCTGTAAATTTTTGTTTTCATTTCAAGCAATTTTGATTGTACCAAAAATGGCAAGTAATGGGGGAGAAAGCAGGGAATCCAAGGTGTCATTTCAGGAATGTTCCTTAGATACTTATTACTGAAAAGAGAGGTTCCCCACTAGGAAGCACCTAGTGGGGAACAAGGATAGGAGAGGAGTTTGAGGGAGTGTCTTACTTGATGGTCTATGATTTTGAGAGAAATGATAGTTATTTCTATTTACTAAAAATTTGAAGAATTGTTAAGGGTGGGAGGAGAATATAAAAGAAAAAATATGGCATGGCACTATATTGGAATGAGAAATGCCTGAAGAGTCAGGTCTACTATTATACAGGAGTGAGGAACAAAATCTTTCCTGTGCTTGTATGATTTTTCTCTGTGGAGCTTAGAAACTCTGATATAAGACCCTATCAAATATGGGCTAGATAGCAAAAAAGGTAAAGTTTGAGCTGAGAGATAGTGAGAATGCTAAATATTTGAGTCTCAAGATACTTAATTGTAGATACTCAGAATATAAGAATGGGTTAGTAAAAGGAGAAGAGAATGTGCTTAAATAATGAAACCATTTAATTTTCAGAGTTGACTAAATTAAAGTCATTAACATGATTGAAGGCATCCGTAGCCATTAAACAATGGGTAAAAAGTTATTTCACTCAAATATTGATGGTGAGTAAAGAAATGATATATGCCAAGCAGACAAAATAGAATAAACAAAGGCTAATATGAATAAAGGGCTAATATCCAATATATACAAGGAACTCAAACTACTCAATGACAAGAAAACAAAGAACCTATTATAAAATGTACAATTCTCAAAAGAAGATGCACAAATGGCCAACAGATCTATGAAAAAATGTTCAATGTCTTTAATCGCCAGAGAAATGAAAATAAAAGCCACAGTGAGATACTACATTGCACCTATTAGACTGGCTATTATCAAAGAGATGAGGGATAACAATTATTGGCAAGGATGTGGAGAAAAGGGAACACTTGTACACTGTTGGTGGGAATGTAAATTAATAGAGCCATTTTGGAAAATAGTATAAAGGTTCCTCAAAAAACTAAAAATAGAATTACCATATGATCCATCATTTCCACCATTTCCACTTCTGGGTATATAGCTAAAGCAATAGAAATCAGTAAGTTGAGGACATGTGTGCACTACCATGTTTATTGCAGCACTAATCACAATAGCCAAGATGAGGAAACAACCTAAGTGAACATCAATTGATGAATGCGTTAAAAAATGTGGTATATATACAAAATACAATACTATTCATCCTCTAAAAAACAGGAAATTCTGTCATTTGCCACAACATGGATAGACCTAGAGAACATTATGTTGAATGAAGTATGCCAGGCACAGAGAAAGTACCACATGATCTCACTTATATATGAAATCTAACAGGGTGGACAGTATAGAAACAGAGAGTAGAATGTTGTTTACCAGAAGCTGGGAGCCGAGGGATAGATGGGAAAACAATATGTTGATCAAAGCGTATAATCTTTCAGTTAGACAAGGGGAAAAGGTTCTGGTAATCTATTAAATAGCATGGTGACTATGGTAAATAATAATGTATTATCTATTTCAAAATAGCAAAAGGAATGAATTTTAAATCTTCTCTCTACAAAAAAGATAAGTATTTGATATAAAAAATATGTTGATTAGTCTGATTTGGTTATTCTGAAACTAGACCCTTATTGAAACATCACATTATAACCCATAAATATACACAATTATTTGTAAATTAAAAATAAAATGAAGCTTTAAAAAAAGTTGCTCCTTTCATTGGTCTTATTTCATTGCCCACTTGGAAAAGCATAAATTTAAAATATTCTTAAATTGTTTATGTCTTTAGTGAAGAAAGAGTTTAGGCTAATATTTTATTTATTTTTGGAAGATTAAATACAAATAGAATGGTCTATTTCAATAATATTTTTCCAAGAAGCCACAATTTGAATGACTATTTTTACTCTTATTGACTTTGCTCCTATAATTATTGAAATTAGCATTTTTTGCATTTCTATTGTATTAACCAAAAATGAAAATTGCCTTTCTGAGGCCTCTGAGATCCAAAATTCATGAGAATTGCCTACTGCATGCGAAAAATGGATACTTTGTAAGTCAGCCTTCCCAGGTCCAGATGTAAGAGTCAGATCCTAAACTGTGTAATAGTTACAATCAAGTCTGAATGATAAAAGAACTCTAAAAGAGGAAAGGTAGAGATGCTATAAGAATTGAAAACTCAAAATTATTGCATTGTGTTTATTATTATTAAAATTTCCATTAACATCTTATGTTTCAGTTTGGTTGTTTTAAAATGTTAATGTTCCTGCAATTTGCAACTACTTAATATAATAGTAAAAATTTTGTCTAGAAAATTGTTCCAAATCTTAAACTCATACTGTTAAAAAGTTAATGTATATTCTGATCAAGCAGAAAAATAAGTTCTAATGCTGAAAGAATTTAGGGCTGAATAGCCTATATGAATGCAAATTAAGAGGAAAATAGTATATTCAATGCCTTCAGTTTTAGTTTGGAAGTAACGTGAATGACAAACACAAATCTCTGTGGAATTTCTTGTTACATTTCCTGCCAGTTGTCTTAATAAGAGTCTCTCCCATGATGTTAATTTTGTCTTTGAAGAAGTATTAAATATGATTTAATTTCTAATATGTTGCCATGGTCAAGAAGCCTTTGCTGTCTGCCCTTGTGAAGACAGTTAAGCTGAAAGGGTTGTGTAGCCTTCTGATTATTCTTGATTTTGTTTTAAAGTTTGCGGCTGGGAATAAAGTCTTCCTAAAGGAAGTATGATATTTGATTTGGTCAGGAATCAGAACACTTTGAAGTGGCTCCTGAGCCAGTGAAAGGAACCATCTGTCTGTGAAATATCTGTGAATGAAGTCTGACAGTAAATATCAGGGAAGTGAGTGTTACATGGCAACAGATTGCCACACACAGTTACAATACATGCTGAAATTTCCTCTATATGCACACTCATACGGACATCTAATTTTACCAATGAATAGCAATGATTGCTTGGCAGATTTAACTCATCATCAAATGCTTTTTGGCATCTTGGTCAGGATGTCTGTTATTTAACCTCTTTAGAATGAACTAATTGGGATGGACTAGAGGAAATGTGGAGAAATAGAGCCTGCTAGACCAGATTATTGAAGGAATTATCCAGGTCAGCAGCATCTCAAGAGGTCCATTGCTTTTGATCAATAAATTCCTTTACCTAATTCAGCTCCTACACACAGTGATGATCAGAATGCATCTTCATTTCTGGTTTCCTTTCATTTTACTTTAACATTTTTAGCCCGAAATATGGAAAATATCACTATGTTGCAATACAGAGATAAACCCTATTAATATGTTTGTGAAATGTCTTCTAGTTATCTATATACTTATATATTTTATATATATACATATGTATAATATGCACTGTTTTCTGTAGGTAGATTTAAATATCAAGGTACAAGATATATATTGAACAAATATTGGTAACTTTTGTATATGAAATGGCTTAATATTATATACTATTTACTATACTAACATTGTAATACTTAAAAATATAACTGTAATCCCTACAAAATCCACATATGCAGTATTTTATTTAACCATTTATTTCTTTTCCAGTTTTTCAATATTGTAAGTAGTATTTTATCAGATAAACTATTGCATAACAAAAATGATGTAAGTACTTTAACAATTATTGCTTTAGATTCCTAGAAATATAATTTTGAAACAATTGGCACTGGGTGTCAATTTTTAAATAAAATTAAGTTTCCAATATCAATATGGGCTATTATTAATTTACATCTTCATTATCACTGTATTGGTTCGTTTTCATGCTGCTAATAAAGACATATCTGAGACTGTGTAATTTATAAAGGAAAGAGGTTTAATTCACAGTTCCACATGGGTGGGGAGGCCTCAGGAAACTTACAATCGTGGCAGAAGGCACCACTTCACGAGGTGGCAGGAGAGAGAATGAGTGCAAGCAGGGAAAACACCAGACACATAAAACCATCAGAACTCATGTGACTCACTCATTATCACGAGAACAGCATAGAGGAAACTACCCCCTTGATTTAATTACCTCTACCTGGTTCTCCCCTTGACATATGGGGATTATGAGGATTACAGTGTAAAGTGAGATTTGGGTGGGGACACAGAGCCAAACCATATCAATCACCAAGTCTAACTGTATTATAAATGTCCACCAAATTATAAGATAAATAATCATTGATATTATGACTTTCATTACTATGAATATGAATGAGGTTGGATAATCTTGGCTCTTTTAATTTCTTTTCGTGGTTATTAATAAGCCCTTATATTATCACTGTGCATATCATATAATATGTAATACAATACACACAAATATTACACAAAACAGCATTTATTTTCCAAACATTTTTTCTTTTTTATTTTAATACCCTTAAATATTTGTGATGATAACACATCATTTGCTTTTATAGTTATATATTTTAATATCTGGGGATGCAATTTCCGCTCAATACTCTTCTCTTAAAAAATTATCTTGGATAGTTTTACCCATTAACTTTTTTCTAGATTTCATTAAAATTCAATTTTATTTCTTATTTAAACAGATATTTTCATTCATCTTTTGAAAACAGCTTGGTTGTTTACAGTTTGGACAATTATGAATAAAGCTGCTATAAACATTCATGTGCAGATTTTTGTGTAATTCTTATTTCTTTGGGATAAATGTGTAGGAATGTAGAAATTGGTCATATGATGTTTGCATTTTTTTTAATAAACAGCCAAGTGATTTTCTAGAGTGATTGTAATATTCTACATTCACACCAGCAATGTATGAGTAATATATTTTCTCTTTCCCCAGCAGAATTTAGAGTTGTCACTACTTTTAAATTGAACCATTCTTTTAGCTGCGTAGTGATATCTCATTGTGGTTTTAATTTTCAATTATCTAATAGCTAATGATGTTGAAAATCTTTTCATGTGCTCATTTTTCATCTGTCTGTTCCCTTCAGTGAAACTCCTCTTCATGTTTTTGTGCCATTTTCTAATTGGATTGTTTGTCTTAATGTGTTTGAGTTTTGAGATTTCCTCATATATTCTAAATAGTTTTTTTTAAGATATATGACTTGTAAATATTTTCTTTCAGTCTAAAGCTCATTGTTCATACTTTTAATGAGTCTTTTACAGTTTTAAAAAATTAATTTTGATGAAGCATAATGTATCAATTTTTCCTTTTATGAATTGTGCTTTTGGTGTAAATTCTAGGAAATCTTCTCCCAGCCTAAGGTCCCAAATATTTTGTTATGAGTGTTTTTTTCCTGAAAAAGTTATAGTTTTATGATTTACATTTGAATCTGTGATATATTTTGAGTTAATGTTTGTATAAGGTGTGAGTCAGAAGTCTGTTTGTTTTGTCTTAGCATTTTGCCTGAGGATTTCTAATTGCTTGATGTTATTTCTTTAACAGGCAATCTTTCCTCCATTGAATTACTTTTACAGATTTGTCAAAAATCAGGTAGTCATATTGGTGCAGCTCTATCTCTGGGTTCTCTGTTCTGTTCCATTGATGCCACTGTCAATACCACCAAGTATGGATTATTGTAGCTATATAATGTCTTGAAATTGGTTACACTGGTTCCTCCTATTATCTTCTTTTTCAAAACTGTTTTAGCAATTCTGGTTCCTTTCCCCTCCCATATAAATTTTAGAATATTCTTGTATGTATCTACAAAAAATATTATTGGGAGTTTGATAGGAATTATGCTGCATCTGTATGTCAGTTTGAAGACAAATGGCATCTTTATAATGTTGAATCTTCCAACCCAATACATGGCAATTCCCTGCATTTATTCTGATTTTTTTTTTATTTCTTTCTTCAATATGTCGTTTTTGGCATACGGAGCGTATAAACATTTCATTAGATTTGTACCTAGGTTTTTTTTCTGTTTTTTTTTTTTTTTTTGGAGTGAATGTAAATGGTATTTTTCTGTTTTTAACTTTCACATCCATGTATTCATTGCTAATACAGAGAAATGAAATTTGTTTGTAATCTTCTCTTCTGTCTTGTGACCTTCCTCAACTTACTTATTAGTTCTAGAAGGTTTTCTTTGAATATACAATGGAATTCTTTATTTAAACAATCATATTATCTGCAAATAGGGACAGTTTTATTTCTTCCTTTCCAACTGAAATGTCTTTTATCTCTCTTTCTTTCTAATTGCATTGGCTAGAACTTCCATCTTGTTGATAATTTAATTATATGTGTCAACTTGACTGGGCTAAGTAGTGCCAAGATAGCTGATAAAACACTATCTCTGGGTGTGTGTCAGGGTGTTTCTGGAAGAGATTAGCATAGGAATTAACAAACTGAGTACAGAACTGTTCCCTCACCAATGCCATGGGACATCCTCCAATGTTTTGAGAGCCTGAATAGAACCGAAATTAGGAGGAAGGGTGCATTTGCTCTACTTGAGCTGGGGCATCCATCTTCTCCTGCCTTCAGACATCAGTTCTCTTGGTTCTTGAGCCTTCAAACTCAGACTGGAACAAGCACCATTGTCTGCCTTGATTTTCAGGCCTTTGGATTTAGAGTGAATTGTATCACCAACTGTCCAGGTTCTCTAAGACAGACAGCAGATCATGGGATTCACAGTTTCCATCATTGCATAGATCAATTACTACACACACACACACACACACACACACACACACACACACGTATATATATATTCAAATATATGCATATGTATGCAGGCATATAAATTACTGATTTATTAAAATAATAAAAATAATTTATTATTAGAATAATAAACATGCTTATCTTCATTGGTCTATCGATATGATGGATTATACTCATCAGTTTTTATTTGTTAAACCAGGCTTTTATACCTGAAATAAGCACCATTGATTATATTGTACATGAGTTTTATATATTGCTTAATTCTATTTGCTAATATTTTGTTAACATTTTTGCGTCTACTTTAATCAAATATATTTGTAAATTTTTGTATGTGTGCTAAGTTTTCTAGTCTTTGCAGTAGGGTAACAAAAGCTTTGTGTAATAAATTGGAAATGTACTACACAAGAAAAAGTAGAGGCTCAGTAACATACACAAGCATGAGCTATTCTGTACTCACCTTACTTAAAAGCAATTCATCTCAAATTATATAGAGAAGTGGCAGTTGTTTTTTATTTGTTTTTTTTTATAATTTAAATTTGTCAAAAGCTTTCATAAAATAAAATAAAAATTAATTACCAGCAAAATGAAGGAAACAAAATATTAAATCATTATTATTATCATTATCAGTTTTAACAGATGTAAAATTACCTTTTCTGCCACTTTCTTGGTCAAGGTCACCATTATTTATTGGTGTAGTAATACCCTCCCATGTGGTTTCCTTATTTGAAATCTTGTCATCTTCAGTATTTCCTCAATACAACATGTGAATAATTCTCTAGAAACGTTTATCTGGTCATGTAACTGCTCTTCACATGTCATTAAGAATGAAATACAGGCCAGGAGCAGTGGCTCACACCTGTAATCCCAGCACTTTGGGAGGCTGAGGCGGGCAGATCACGAGGTCAGGAGATGGAGACCATCCTGGCTAACACAGTGAAACCCCGTCTCTACTAAAAGTACAAAAAATTATCTAGGCATGGTGGCGGGTGCCTGTAGTCCAAAGCCCTTGTCAGAATTAAAGCAGAAATTTTTTCAATGTCTTAAAGTTACTACACAGTATACCTCCTTCCCTTAACTCTGACCTCATCTCTTACTATTCTCTGCATTTCTCCCTTTGCCACAGCCACACTGGTTGCCTTGCTATTCATCAAACATATTATGCAGGCTTCTGTCTCACAACATTTCTACTGCTCTCTCCTTTGCCTGGAGTCTATAGTCCTTCAAATAGCTAAATCATTCTACCTTTAATTCTCATAAGTACTTGCTCAAATATTGGCTTTTAATGAGGATTTTCCTGTTCACCTATTTAAAATTTAAATCTATACCCATATATCCTCTGAACATCCTCATTAACCTTTCCTTTTACATTTTATCTATAATACTTAAACCATATAAAATGTCATATTATTAACTTATTTTAGATATGTTCCATGTAATTATATGATAATATAAAAGCCTGGTTTCACTATTACCTTCTTAGGGCCTAATATAATGTTTTATACATATCAAAAAATAATAAACATGTGAATGAATCAATAAATAAAAGGATTTTTATAAATACTAATGATGCTACTAATTTTTGTTTTATTTAATAAAAGTTTTTGACAAATTTTACTTTGATTTTATTTTTTCTTTTTAGATGGAGTCTCACTCTGTCCCCCAGGCTGGAGTGCAGTGGCGTAATCTCAGCTCATTGCAACCTCCGCCTCCTGGGTTCAAGGTATTCTCCTGCCTGAGCCTCCCGAGTAGCTGGGACTACAGGCGCACACCTGGCTAATTTCTGTGTTTTTGTTAGAGATGAGGTTTCACTATGTTGGCCAGGTTTGTCTCAACCTCCTGACCTTGTTATCTGCCGGCCTCAGCCTCCCAAAGTGCTGGGATTACAGGCATGAGCCACCTCACCCAGTGACAAATGTAAATTTTAGGATGATGAGCAGTTAAAAATTATCTACATATAAACCTTGTAGTCTAAATACAAATTAAAATTGTTTTTGAAAAATATCACAGATTTGAGTGCTATAGACTAAATGTTTTGAGAGACTTATAAAGGAAGGAAAGAAGGAAGAAAGCAAGGAAAAAGAGAGGGAAGGAGGGGAGGGGAGGAGAAAGGAGGGGAGGGGAGGGGAAAGGAGGGGAGGGGAGGGAAAGGGGAAGAGAGGGGAGGGGCAATATATAATCAGCGATGTTGTTCATGCCATATATGAATGAGGTATTTAAATTTTTATTTAACTAGTAATCAAAAATAACAATAATTACTTTGCATGCCAATTATTATAGGAATACGCGGGAGATATTGTTTCTTTAAAAGACATGTCACTCTTTTGCCTTTTATTATATCGAAAGGTAAACTAAATAGACAATAAACGAATACTGTGTAATTTTACGTCACACTTTCTGCCAGATATTTTTCTAAATACATAATTTCATTTAAATCTTTGTATCAACATATGAGGTAGGTGCTTCTTTATTTCTTTCTGGGGTGCCAAGTTCACCTAGCTGGCAAATTGAGGGACTTGAGTAGAACACATGCAATCTGGCCCCAGAGCCCATGCTCTTATCCACTTATATTGTCTTTTTATACATTAGGGAGCTACTATCAAATACAAATAATAAATATCATTCACTTTGTACTTATTCTTATTGACAATAAAATTAAGAATAAGTTAATTTATTTAAACTAACATGATAACAATAAGCTAAGTAGTCTCCTGTTTTTGTCCAACTATGGACATTTCAATCTGACTCTGTGTGTGTGGGCACGTGTGCCTGTGTTTTGCTTATGTACAGAAAAGCCAGAATTCTACAACGCAGTAGAAGGTGATGAAGTCCAGGAAAAATAGTAGAAAGACTGCAGTCTAAAAGAAGTTTTTTGGAAACTTTCCAAGATGTGTTATAGCTGGGTTAATACAATAAGAATTTCATATATAGTTTTCAATTCCAGTTTTATTTATTGTTATATATACATTTGATTTTTTATCATATAACTTGTGATTTAAACAAATGTATTCACTAGATTTATAGGAGAAACTAAATTTTATTCTTATAACTAATCGTTCTTATATTTTAGTATCCAATTCTTATCATGTACATCATGCGGGGCTGACACATCTTACTCATGCTCTTGGAGTTTCTAAGACAACAAGCTGGCTCTGATAAAATATATTGATCATATATTGATTTACAATTTTCACAGTGCATGGATTTATAATTTTCACAATGCACAATCATTTTATATAATGCATAGGGAAATTTAATAATTGAAATGCACATTTTATCTCTGTGGACATTACATCATATTAAATCAAATCAATATTTTATCATAATGTACTACAAGTAAAAATGTGCTGTTTTTTAAAAGTTATTGTTTTGAAAGGTCTTATGTAAAATACTGAATTGTCAAATTATTCTAACCACCTAGTTTTTTCCACTCCTAATAAAATTCTTCTACCAAAAATTGACAGAGTAAGCCAATGGAAGTTATTCATTCTCTGTATGTATCTATTTCATATACATTCTCTTCACCTTAGTCTTCTACCATTCCAAGGAATCATGACTTTGAATAGCTGTATGTTTCCTTCTTATTAAGACAAACAGTAAATGAAGTATGACACAGATATGATAAAAATGTAACAAACATGAAACATTTTATATCAGTTCTGTAACATTCCATTTAATTATTAAAAGTTACATACATTTTGGTCACTTAGGAAATTTTAAATTCCAAGTATTATTACTCAACACTTTTTATAGATTCCAAAATCTCTGCAGAATATTTCAACCTAGGGAAAACCTGTGATACTAAGAATTTGATATATGTTGCATATATCATATTTTCTATCTCACTACTTCATATTTCTAACCTTGTTTAACAGAGAAATTGAGACAATTTACAGAACACACACATATGAAATGATGACACACTAGAAAAAAAGCAAATACCAAAAGCAACATACTGGTTTGGAAAAAAAAATCACAGCTATGTTTTAAAATATAGAGAAAATTCTTTACATAATTGCTGTAGTGAGCTTTGCATTCAATTCTGAGTTTCTTGGCAATCAGTGCAAAATCAATGACATATTTTATTGTCAAAATAGTTAAAGCATACTAGTATTTCAAAGAAAAAGTGAATTCAAAATACCATTTATTATGTGGGCTCCACATAGGAGAGCACTGCATAAATAGCACGATTGTGCAGCAACTGGAAAACTGAATTGCACTTCACTACAATTTGTTTTGAAAACAGACCTTCAATATAAAACACAGACTGATAACATCAACACTTAGCCCAGGAAAAAGATTATTAGAAGGTTATGGAGTGATGAAGTCATTTTTTCCCATGGAAGTAATTGAGGGAGGCATTACTGGTACCTAACAAAAAGAGGCTAGGAATGGCAGATATGATAATGCATGCAACGGTCTTGCACAATACAGTTATTTAAGACTTATCTGAGTTGCAAATAACCTGCTGGACATTCATCTTGGTAGAAAGGACATTTATGACTATTTGAGCTTAGAAACTAGTTTACATTCAAAAAAACCCAAAACATTTCTTGCATTTTACTATGCAAAAATGGTAATTACTAATAGAGAAGATCTTATTTTGTTTGATTTGGAAATTTATCAGTTTTTTTTCATTTTGGGAAAGTCACATCACCAATACAAAAGTATTTGGATTGCCATTCTCAAATTTGCATAACTCTGGTTCTATAGCTGTTGTAAATATATACCCTAGTTCCTGGTTCAGGGAATAGATTTTCTTCCTTATACCTTCGAAGGTAGTTTCATGCCTGCACATTTCCATATTAAAAATTATTAGTTTATAGTAAGAATTACTTTCTTCTTATACATCTTTACATTAGCATTAGGGTATTTTGTAGGTTACATCTGTTTTTAGATTTAAAGTTTTATATTCGAATAAAATTATGTTTTGTATTAATTTCAGTTGAATGTTTATTACAACATATTTTATTTAAAAAGAAAAGGAAGGTTTTGTTCCGATAAATTTCAGAATCACTGGGTTAATGTAATGTCGGAGTACTATTCACTTATAGGATGCTTAGCTTATAAATGTAGAATATAAAATAAATAGAATTGGAGAAAAGTGCATATTCTTCATATGAATTCCCCAAAGTATCACATCACTTTTTTTTTTTTTTTTTTTTTTTTTTTTTTTTTTGAGATGGAGTCTTGCTCTGTCGCCCAGGCTGGAGTGCAGTGGCGCGATCTCGGCTCACTGCAAGCTCCACCTCCCGGGTTCACGCCATTCTCCTGCCTCAGCCTCCCGAGTGGCTGGGACTACAGGTGCCCGCCACCACGCCCAGCTACACATCTCTCAGTTTCTAATGGGAGTTATGTAATTAACAGTTTAAGCAAATATTTTCTAATAAGTCTAGTGTTCTTTCTTGCAATTGAAGAAAGATTCATCTGATTTGATAACAATAGAATAGTTCTATA
Organism: Homo sapiens; assembly: GCF_000001405.40. Classification (NCBI taxonomy): domain Eukaryota; kingdom Metazoa; phylum Chordata; class Mammalia; order Primates; family Hominidae; genus Homo; species Homo sapiens. The sequence continues at coordinate 126,347,926 of NC_000004.12, forward strand.
AGGGATAATAATCAAATTACTGCAAAATGAAATTCTAATAAATGAAAATATGGTTAACGAGATTGGACCGTGCACAACATATGATGAATTTTAACTATAGACATTTCGATAAAATAAATCACATAATTTGATTGAAAGCTATTTCTTCCCTAAAATTTTCCTTATTCAGAACCAGCATTTTCTCCCTAAAAGTAAGTGATACACTAGAAATAAAATGATAAAGAATCATGGATAGCTGGTAAGTATAGTTAGGAGAGGCACGTTTCATTTCTGAAAATTTTCAGTTCCTTTTACGGAAACATAAGTTTAAATCTTAAAAATTTACTTTGTCATTTTCAATGCAACAATCTTATACAATGTCTTATTTATAGTATTTTTTAAAAAACAGGTTACAAGAATCATTAACAAATGCAAAACAGAATAGCATCAATGCTCACTCATAATGACACCTGTAACAAATTTAATTAATCCTAAAAATACATATTCCATGCTTCCTTTTTCATGTTTTTTCTCAATTGTGGAAAAAGATGGAATTTTCCATATTCAATTTTAAAATTCATTGGAATATTTAATTAGACAATGAAAATAAAGTATAAATCTTTGACCTAGACATGCACAGATGTTTTCAATAGGTGTACTGACATTATTAATGACAAAGAAACTTTCCTTACGGGGAAGGTTTCCTGTGCTGCTGTTTTTATTATTGTTTTATAGTAGTTATGCTTAGGTCCTAGGGCCAGGCAGATATCCAATATGCATTTTGAGTAGTTGAGCCATGCAAAGGTAACTGAGTTTTCATTGAATTTTATTTTTATTTTGCTTTGAGATGTAAAGGTAAATACATATAGTATGCAATCACATATCAAGTGTAATTTTTAATTTTCCAAGTAATGAAAGATGCCATTCTTGAATCAAATCATGAAAAAACACAAGTATATAAATTAAGAAACTTTCTTTCCTCTAAATTCTATTCCTCTTTACCAAGAGAAAGAGGTGGTCACATTCTTTACTTTTGTTTAACATGTTCCTCTCTAATCCTCTACACATAGAGCCAAACTCTCTCTCATACATGTAGACACGTGCACTGATATATTTATAGACAAGTAACTATACTATATGATTTACTGTGAATAACATTTTATAATGTAAATTTAAAGTTATACTCTACAAACGTCCCTATGTCTACACAATATAAGTTGATTATAGTTAATTTATAGTAAAATGTAATTAATAATAAAATAACATTGTTTAGTGTTTCCAAAACATCATTAGTTTTTATAAAATAATAAAGTTTATAATTTCTATCAGAAAATAATAGGTGAAACAATTCCTGGAGCTCCCTTGTGGATAAGAATTGTTTGTGTTCCCACAAACCTGAGTTGAATGGCATCTTAATGCATGCCTGGGATAGAGTCATATAAAAGGCACTATTTAGTAGTGGAGCCAAATTAGTTCTAGAATAATAACTCATCTGAACCTGCCCTAAATAAGTTTTAAGGTAAGTCTTAAAACAAATAAAATGTCTGGGTGCAGTGGCTCACTCCTCTATCCCAGAACTTTGGGAAGCCGAGGCAGGCGGCTCACCGGAGGTCAGGAGTTCGAGACCAGCCTGATCAATGTGCAGAAACCCCGGTCTCTACTAAAAATACAAAATTAGCCGGGCATGGTGGCACATGCCTGTAATCTCAGCTACTCGGGAGGCTGAGGCAGGAGAATCACTTGAACCCAGGAGTCGGAGATTGAGGTGAGCCAAGATCATGCCATTGCATTCCAGCCTGGGCAACAAGAGCGAAACTCTTTCTCAAACAAACAAACAAACAAACAAAAAATAAAAAATAAAAAACAAGTAAACAAATGAAATGATTTGAAGTAATTTAAGTGTATCTTAGAACAACAAAAACATTTAAAATGATGTAACAAAATTCAACAATCAACAATGTGATTCACAATGTCTGGTATTTAATACAAATTACCAGACATGAGGGAAGCAGGAAAAATGGCCCATAGAAAAATAAAATTAACATAGATGAATAGATGATGAAATTGGCAGAAAGAGGCGTTAAAGCAGTTACTATACATACACTACATATGTTCATGGAGGTAGAGGAAATTTTAATATGATGAGAAAAGAAAAAAATATAAAAAAGAGCTAATTAGAAATTCCAAATGAAAACATAATTTCTGAAATAAAAGATATGCTGAATGAAACTAATACCATATTAGAAACTACAGAACATAAATCAGGAATATAAAAGAGAGAACACTAAAATGTCCAAAAAGAAACATAGACAAAAGACTGAAAAAATGAAAAAGAAATTCTGAGAACAATATAAAGCATTCCAATGCTCATTTAGTTGAAATGTCTGAAGAGGAAAAGACAGAAGCAGGACAAGTTAACTCAAAAATTAATGACAAAAACCTCTTTAAATTTAATGAAAATTATTATCCCATAGATCCAACTATTTCAAGTAACTCTAGTTAGAAAAAAAATAAAAAGTATTACATGGTTACAACATAATCAACCTACTAAAAATCTATGATGAAGAGAAAATATTATTTAAAAAACAGTAAAAATAGACCTATTACTTAACAGAACAATGATATGGGCCAGCTGGCACACACATATGCTGATGATGGAACTATTAATGTCACTACTACTTTAAGAAGCAGTTTGATAGTTTCTTAAAATGTTAAATATGCAGACGTCATATAATTCAGCTATTTAACATCCAGGTATTTACTCAAGAGAAAAGAATGTGTGTGCCTATAAAGAGGTTTGTAGATGAAAATTTATGGTAGATGTATTGGCAATTGTCTACAAGTGGAAATAACCCAAATGTCCATCACCAGGTTAATTAATACACAAATTGTGTTATAGTTTACAATGAAATGCTGCTTGGTGATAGGACTATTGATACATGCAAAAACATGAGTAAATTTCAAAATAATTATGCCAACAAAAATGAGTTCAGAGGGTAGAGCTGCATTAAATGGAGAAAGAAATACCAAGGAGCATGGGAAAATTACTTGGGGTAATGAATATTTCCATAATTTTAGTAACAAGTTCATGGGTGTAACATAGGTATACATGTGTCAAAGCTTATCAAACTGTATAGTTTGATATATGCAGTATATTATTTGTCAATTATAACTGAACAAAACTGTTTTTAAAAGTTGTCAAAGAGATACCACTACACACCCCAATAGAATGATCTAAATTACATAAACTCACGATACCACTTATGAGTAAGTATGTGAACAATTTGAACACTCTGTCATTCATTGCTGGTTGGAGTACTACATGGAGTACAGACATTTTGGAAAGCAGTTTGGCCATTTCTTAGAAATATAAACATACACTTATAATAGAACCCAGCAATCTTTCTCCTAAGTTTTTATACAACTTAGTAAGAAAACATATGTTCACAATAAAACTTGTATTTCAGTGTTCAAAGCAACATTATTTAATTTCTCAAAACACTGGAAGCAATCTACTAGTGAATGAATAAACAAATTGTGGTATATCAACACAGTCAGATGCTACTCCACAATTAAAAGCGGTGAACTGTGAATACATGCAACAATCTTGATGAATCTCAAAGCATTGTGCTAAGTAAAAGAAGCCAGACACAAAAATTTATGTATTGTAGGAAGCCATGTATATGACATTCTGGAAAAGGCAAAACTATCAGCTAGAAACGAAGTCAATGGCTGTCACGGGCGGGAGTTAAGGGAGTAGATTGACTACAGGAGTGTACACAGAACTTTTGTGGAATAATGGAATACTCCCTATCATGATTGTGATGGTGGTTACATAACTGAATACATTTTTTAAAATTGAATCATACACTTAAAAATGGTAAATTTTATTTTATGTTAATTTTACCTCAGTGAAGGTGATTATAAAAACAAATAAACTGATCTCTAAAAAGTCGTCTCCAAATTTCACATAGAAAAGAACAAGAAAGATTGCAGTGTAAACTAGCCAGTTAAAAAAAAGATTAAAAAAATTAAACTCTTATGGACTTTTAAAAATATATTCTTTATCAATTTCAGTGATAAATTTACTAAAAAATGTTTTTCATTTATCTATAGCTGAGTTTTATCTTTTTTTGAAGTAGTACGTAAAGGTGAAAACACTTTCGAGTAAATGATCAAAAGCGAATTAGTAAATACAAGAAACAGCTGATTGCTGGATGAAGTTAAATTGATTCGAGCTGGTTTCCTCAGAGCAGGTAACATCAAGTCTTATGTACTTCAACTTTCTAACAAAAGTCAAATTCTGCAAATTAGAAACAGGAAAAAATAAAGATTATTTAGTATGTACTTTGGCAAGATATAGGTAGCATTCTAGAATAACACTATCTACAAAACCGGTTGGCAGTGTTTATAAGGAAAAATGTCTGCCACTTTAAATTACGTTATATATTTCTTTTAAAAGGCTTGTAACAGAATGTAATACAGCTCGTCTTTCAGAAATTGCCCAACAGATGCTTTTTATATATATTTTGTCCAAGTACAGTATTTCATTCATTCTTAATTAAATGTTTATATGACTCAAATTTAAGTTAACTTGAAATTATGTGTTTTATTTGAATTCTGAGAGCAGGCAATACCCTGTCCTATCATGGAATAATGTAAAAGGCAAACTATTTTAAAATCTTTTCTAGTGAAACTAATCCCTGTGTTCTAAGCAGAGGATTTTATTAGCGTTTATCGAGCACTATGCTCCGCAAATAAATTCTCTATTTTTGTTGGCATTATTAAGAGCTATAATGAATATTCTAAACCTGTCTTCAACAAAAGTTATTTTTATATGTCACTGTTGACACTTAAACAATGAAGCTTCTAGAACTTTAGACAAAATTTCCACACCATGAGGCACAGTTTATCCGAACTTTTAAAACCTTCAACTCAGAAGGACTAATATGGGAAAATGTATACGTACTCATTATTTAAAAGCTTCATGACAATATAAAAATACTGGGCTCTTAAAAATAGACTTTTCTGAGAATTTGAGGGGAACTAGAGGGGGGAAAATAAAACAAATAGTGGAAGTAGCCATGAGGGTCCTCATAGTGAACTTGGTGAGGAAAGTTTTTTAAGTGGATACTTACAGTGTGGTTCAGACATCCATATAATAATGTTATTCTAATAACTTTTATGAAAGATACTTAGATAAACTTTCCTGAACCACCAATTGATATACGCTATGGTGTTTCAAAGGGGAGCAAAAAAAGGAAATGTATAACATGTTTTAACCGTCTTTCTTTTAGAACTGGAAATTGTTTCTCTTTTCTGAGTCAAAAACAAGCAAATCATAGTGAAAGATAAGAATGACAAAAATCAGCATCATTAAGGGAGTGATTGTGTGTGTTGTGCTCAGTCCTACAGGGAAGAAAAGCCATTGTGTTTAACATATCTCACCCTATTAGAAAAAGAATATTCTTTATTACCCTTCATATTATATTATTACATATCACTTTTTATGTGCATAGATCTGTCATTTTAAACTTTGCTTCAGATAGAATATTATTGCAATCATCTAAAAAAATAATATTTTAAAATATTTGTGTCTCAATCCTGATGAATGGTGATGTTTATTACTGATTAGAAATAGGAAAAATAACGTCTCTCTCTCTCTCTCTCTCTGGTGTGTGTGTGTGTGTGTGTGTGTGTGTTTGATAAAAACATACAAGCTAATAACTTGCATATCAAGGGCAGTTTTTAACATAAGAAGGAAGGTACCCATTCTAAAGGTGTTTATTAAAGGGCAAGGCTCCCAAAGTTCTACAGGGCAAGGAGTGAGATGCATATGTAGCTGAATGGTGAAGCAAAATACAAATTTCAAGTTCAGTAAAAGGGCTGGATGCTGAACTCAGTATGATTGATAACCTAGTGTAAACATAATTTGTAGAACTAAAAACAACAAATAAAAACAATGAAAGTAAAGTGTAATGTTTTTTGACAAAAAGGTATCAAAAATAAATTCATATTTGATTTGAATTTTGTTGTTTTTTTTTTTTTTGAGATGGAGTCTCGCTCTGTCGCCCAGGCTGGAGTGCAGTGGTGCAATCTGGGCTCACTGCAAGCTCCACCTCTCAGGTTCACGCCATTCTCCTGCCTCAGCCTCCCGAGTAGCTGGGACTATAGGCTTTATTGATCTCTTACAATGAATCTTCAGAGTCTTTGTAGACAATTTACATTTGCTTTCAAACTAAAATCAAAATGCTCTGTTGTTTATTGTTATCAGCCTTTAAAAATAGAAGCGCATAAAACTTATTTTAAAGAAAGTGCTTCTTAAATTGGTATTTTAGATGAAAAGTTTCAGAGAAAGAGGCTCAGGTGACTAGATTGTAATGTTTCTAGTTACTATGAAAAACAAGAGAACCCTGAGTAGTGGTTAAGAGAAAAACAGGGGCTAACTAGAGACAAACTAGACCTCAAGAAATGTCAAATTTTTATTATAGCTCTGGATACTTTTCTTAAAATAATCTAAGCCCTTTTTTCTCAACATGATGACAGAAAAAAATTCTCTGCCATTCTTTTTATTTATTTTAATATTGATCATTCTGTATTATAGAGGTAAATTCTCAATTATTACAAATAATCAAAATTATTTTTTCAATTAATCATTTTTCTCTAAAATAATTTTTTAAATATGTGATTTATTTTTGGTAGACTTTCTTTTTTTCCCACACCTCTGGGCTTCTGTAATAGAAAAGGGAAATTGAGAATAAACCAGTAATAATCCAAATATTCTTTAATTAGAGATTGGGAAAATTTTCTTCAAGATAACAGTGCATTTTCTTCATAGCCTTTTACTTAAATTTACCTGATACTTCCAAAGTATTTTATTACTGGAAAAATACACAAAAATAATAACAATGCCCAAAACAATGTAGGAGAATAAAATGGGTGGTAGGATTACCAGAAGGTAACATTTGGGAACATGATGTTTTCCAGACAGAACAATAGCCTTCTGCTATTTGAGAAAGAGAAAACACATTAGTAATGCACGTATGGCTACGTACACAAAAATATCAAGAATTGCATCATGTTGAAACTTGATCTGGTTAGTTATTGCTATAGAACAAATGACTCTGAAATGTAGAGGTGTAAAACAATGAAAACCTTTTGTATCATTCCTGGTTTCTGTCAGAAGGGCTTGACTGGACTCTCTGGCTCAGGGTCTTTCACGTAGATGTCAGGTGAGGGTTGGAGCTGGGACAGTGGAGGGGGAGATGAAGCAGCCTGGGCTTTCCCTGGCACCTCCTCTCAGAGTTTCTGCATGGGTCTCTCTGTAGGCGCTAGTTTGGACATTCTTTGTGTTGAAGCCAGCACAGGGCAGTCAGACTCCTTACATGGAGGTGCAGAGCTCCAGGAGAAGTGTTCTGGTGAAAAAACTGGCAGATGCATGGCTTTTTCAACTTGCTCTCAGAAGTCACTTCCTATTACTCCCAACGTACATTGTTGGTGGAAATAGCCACAAAAGCCTACCTTGCAGCCCATAGGCTGGTAGATATCACTGAGATTGTCTTTGGAAGATATAACTTCACTGGAAAATTATCATTCAGTTTTTGAATAAGCGTTTATTAAAACTGTCAATTTATGAAATATTTTACTTAAATCTAAAATTATTTTAAGTGAGAAAAAGACAAGTGATATCAAAGAATGAAAAACATGTCAGAGTGCACCTCATATTTATAAAAATAAAGAATACAGGGAGATTTTCTTGGCCATGTACTAGATGAGTATGCTTTGACCAATATTTTCATATTTTCATTTCATGTTCTATCCTCAACAATTATGATAGCTACAAATTGTTGCAGAAATTGTACATTATAGCTGCAGAACAACATTTTACATGCACCCTTGTTCAGTCCTCATTGCTATATTCCAAGATAAGCAATGTTTTACAGATAAGAAAGTTAAACTCAGGCAATCGTGAGTTATCCAAAAACACAAATTAGAAAATTGCAAAACTGGGTTTTAAATTCAGATGCCCCTGATTCTAAAGTCTAACACCTATTTCAGGTTACCAAAATGTGAAATGGAGAAATGACATTAGATGGTTCATACCCACAGACTCTAATGACATTGATCCAGAGAATTTGAAAGTGATTTGCTTTCTACTTCTATTTCTTTTCTGTATTAGTCAAGGAGTGAGCTGCAGTTTGGGAATACCCTACACGGAATACCTCTCTGGTACTTGACAATTCCACTTTTCGGTTAACAAAGAAGGACTCAGATCAGAGCCTTTCATAGGCAACAATATCTATGTAAACTTTTATTCTTTTTTTCTCATTATATTTATTTTTAGTTACATAATAGGTATTGATATTAATCTTTCACCTTTTTTTTTTTTTTTTTTTGAGATGGAGTCTCACTCTGTCACCCAGGCTGGAGTGCAGTGTCGCCATCTTGGCTCACTGCAAACTCCGCCTTCCAAGTCCAAGTATTTCTCATGTCTCAGCCTCCCAAGTAGCTGGGATTACAGGCATCCACCATCATGCCTGGCTAATTTTTGTATTTTTGTAGAGACAAGGTTTCACCATGTTGGCCAGGCTGGTCTTGAACTCCTGATGCCTGCCTCGGCCTCCCAAAGTGCCAGTCTTTCACTTATGAATAAAATGTACCATACAGTTTTCAGGTCTCAAACAAATCAACCTAAAGTAAAATAGTAAATAAATAATACTTAAAGGTACTTATGTGCATATGTGAGGCATGTATTTAAGATGAAGCAGTCACCTGACTGACATTTAAGGTACTCTACTGCCTTACACAGAATAAGGAGGAAAATTACTTTTAGAAAAGAGTCTGAAATTAAAGCACTTCCAAACTTTCACATATGTTGTCAAATATCATTTGATAGTTTTACTTAACACTATATTCTATATCTGATTTTGTATGCTTATATAGTGTTTCCCATTGTTTCCCCTCTTTGGCAATTGCACATATAGCATTTCCACTGCAGCCTGGGGACAGATGGAGAGATTCTTCTCACACTGCAACAATCATAGTGAATAGTGGTCCCCAGATGGAATGCCAGGAAATAGAGAAGTCAAGTACCATGTTTGACACTTCCTTCATCTGGCAATCTTCTGAAAGTCAGAGACCATTACCAATTTAGCAGCCACGGAGTTGGCTTTTTAAAGAACTTTTTTTTTTTTAAGCCATAGACTTAAACAGAAAGGGGGAGAAAGAGGAGAAGAAAGATTTTATTAAAAGAATGTAGCTTGTACCTGCCTATGATCTCCATTTTATAAAATAATAGTGGTAATGATAACAATTTTTTTTAAAAAAGAGGCAAATAAGTCATATTGACTGCTTGCCAAGGCAGCAGTTGGTTTGAATAAAGCGTTGGCTATCCCTTGGTATGATCATTATTTACACTTTTGCTTTCCGAAAACAATTGTTTGATATATTAGTATTAGAAATAATCTTTAAGGATGTCATATTATACAAGTCTTAATGCATATTTACTATCAGAAAAAAGGGTCATTTTCTATCATTCTTTATAAAATGGTTAACTGAAATAATTTCTAAGTTCTACAAAAATGAACACCAATTTTGGGTGTTCACAACTTTAAAATATGCCAAGCTTTCACAATCACTACCGACGCCTAGGAGAGGCACTCTTCTCAGAGCCTCTCATATTGCAAATGCAAAAAAAATTAAAAATTACCTGCTGGAAATCAAGATCAGAATGTGGACTTATTGAAATGTTTTGCCACATTACAATGTTGTTGGTTCTTAAATTTGATGTAAATTATTCTAATTCTACTTTAAATCTACAACAGTAATGCCAAAATACGTGTGCTAGAAAAGTATAAATAACTTATTTATCAATGTGGCAAAATTATTTCAGGGAAATTTATGGATAATTCCAAGTAAAAGCTGTTCACTCTGTGGTTTCTCATTTAGCATATTTATACTATACCCCTACCTCACTCCCATAGCAGAGAAAATATGAGATGTCAAAACATCTCATGTAAAAATAATTTAAATATTCTAAACATATATATCTATGAGATATACTACACATATTCCACATAGAGCATTTTGAGAATATTCTACTGTTGGACACCCTGAAATGTTTACAGATTATCATTGTAAGACAGTCTTAAATATATAGAACATAGGTGGTCAATAAATTATTTTTCTAAACCATGTGAATGACTTTAAAAAATCTACCGTGAAAGACCAGATGGCTTAGCAGATTGGCAATTTATGAGCTAACTTTAATTTCTCACTGGACAAAATGACTACAGGTCATTGTCATCCTCCATCTGCCATGTGGCATGTGAATAATGAATGGTAGGCTTAGTCTTGTTACCATAGACAGGTGCCTACCCTAGAAGAGATGAGCCTCATTCCAATTGGAAATAATTCATTTATGTCTCATGGGATGAATGGCAAAAGCTGAGTTTCCTGACTACAGTTTAAAACATCTCCGGGTTAAAATTATTAGAAAATAAGGTACTAATAAAAGTGTTTCTAAACCTTATATTTTAAAAGAGGATATCTATTTTCCCACATATTTCTATGACATTGAGTCAATAGGTCCTCAAAATAAGATGTTATTATTCACCTTTCAAACTTCTAACTTTGTGGAAAAGTCTGCAAAGTAATTAAGTATAAGCATTGGATTTATATTTAGAAAACATCAGGTATCTTAATAATGTATTTGGCATAACACAAGCTCTTTTAAAATTTTAAAATTTTGTTTATAAATGTGCATGTATGTAGGGAATTGAGTTTTCTATATGTGATTAAGAAAAGGGAATAATGTACACTTAAGACAGAGAGAGAGAGACAAAAAGATTAATTTGGAAGAAATTTTTGTATAAACATAACATTGTGATTTAAACTTGAAAAACCCAACCCAAGCGTTTAAATATTCTTGCCACCATATAAATTTTTATGCTATAGGTAAAGACAATAAACCCTAAATATTAATTATAAGAAAGAATCTGGCTAATGTTGAAGAAATGTTGAGTAGACAATTTGTGGTGAGGATTTCTTTGTCTGTTACTGATTTTTCTTTGAACCCAGGGTGATTAAGATTTGCATACAACAGAGAATCTTCACTCTATGAATATCTTGTCAAAAGTGAGATTCTGTTAACTCTGTAGGAGCTTAGGGGCTACAAAGTCATTGAACTTAAATAACTTTAAGCCACAGAACTTTGAAATTATTCTCCTGTAATCATTTTGATTACATAAAGGGGAAACTCAGTATCCATTTAAGCCCATGCTAATCTCCTCCTTTAACAGTACAGAAACAAGCCAGAGAGGTGTGGACATCGATAATGATGTAAATCAAGCTAAAATTTAATAACACTATTGTTCTTTATTACGTTTATTTCCACAGCTAGTTTTAATTGATCATATCTCTTACATATTTTTCACTTGGTGTAGTAATATAATCTTTTAAATATTAAAACTATTTATATTTGTATAGGTATTCAATTTAAAGTAAAGTAATATGTAATAGCCCAAGTGCTGCTCAGATACAGGAAAAGTTAATAAGGAGATAAGTGTTTTAAGATTATGTAGCTAATATGCTAATTGGGTCAGTAGAGATTACAAAATATGAATGTGTTATTTCATGATGGTAACAATGTTTAATATCATTATTATGATATATAAAGTATTTTAGTAAATATGTTTATAATTATGTCAGCTTCTGCCAGTTTTCCAAATCTGCAGCCTTTTTCTCCCTTCGTCAATAGCCTTCCAATTTATTTTGTAGGCCAAGAAGCAATTCTTCTTTTTTTTTTTTTTTTTTTGAGATAGAGTTTTGCTCTCGTTGCCCAGGCTGGAGTGCAATGGCACAATCTCGGCTCACCACAACCTCTGCCTCCCAGGTTTAAGCGATTCTCCTCCCTTAGCCTCCTGAGTAGCTGGGATTACAGGCATGTGCCACCATGGCCAGCTAATTTTGTAGTTTTGGTAGAGACGGGGTTTCTCCATGTTAGTCAGGCTGGTCTCAAACTTGCGACCTCAGGTGATCTGCCCTTCTCTGCCTCCCAAAGGCAGGTGATCCATTAGCTATTCCAGACTCGTTTGTGGATGTCTATACCTAGTCTCTTGCTGCTTTTCCGCTATTAACCTAATAATTCACTCTAATCCAGTCTAACATATTAATGTTTGACTGGCTCCTCCAACTTATTTCTTAGCTTTTGCCTTGGGGTGGTAACAGGATTTCTTATTTAACTCATGGTAAATGAGTTAACATCTGGGTTTCCCAATTAATATGATGCTTCTAGGGATCTAACAGTCCTGATGGCTCCCGTTACCAACCGAGGAACTTCTCTTATATCTATCACTGCCCTGTCTGTGGATTTTTAAATAGTGCATTTTTATGGATGCCCCATCTCTATAATGATCTTGGAACACCTTGCTATTATTAGTTAGACTCCTAATGTCAGGGTTTTTTTATTATTAGATTACAACCCTTTGGATATCATATTCTAGACCTACAGTGGCCTCCTAAATCCAACAGTGGGCATGTCCCATGCTGACTTTCTTGTATCCTCCTTCAATTGACTGATCTTCTTGGCATTCTCAATTATAAAAATGCAACACACAGTGCATTTAAAAATATAAAGTGTTTAATTATTTACTTTATTTACATGTATTTACACTATATTAACTTTCAAAAAGTAGATACAGACACCTGCTTCAAAGAATCTAAAGTAAAGTAATATGACAGAAAAGGAGGAGAAAGGTAGGAAGAAACTGATTTAGCTAGTGTGGTCATACTGAAATGGTGATTTATATAATACTTTTTCAGGCACTGAGAAACTTTACAGAAAATAGGTTTTATGTATATTCAGATGAGTGCTAACAATTTTTTTGAAGGCAAGTATTTGGCATCTACTAGATAAAAAGTAAATTAACAGAAGGATTTTGCATGTTATTTATGATATAATAGAGTTATCAAGACACATAAATAGAAAAAATACCAATGTCTTAAGATAATGTCTGAATATTTGCACACATATACACTTACCCTCACATCTGAACAATTTAAGGTTAAAAAAAAGTAGGTTAAAAGAAAGGTGGCACAAAATGCTAAGGTAGTCCAGAGGAAGATACTATATCCTACTATAGAGAATAATAAATGCTTCACATATAGGTTAATTCTAAGTAGCAGAGACACAGGGCATGAACAAGGCAAGAATAATGAGATCACCCAGGAGGTAATTGCCAAAGATATAGAAAAAAAGCATAAATTATCTCTAAAAGCTTTATGTAAGACATTCAGATTTTTTAAAAAAGATCATATGATAGAATGTGAGACTTAAGGAAAGCAAAGTAAGTTTCAGTGGTGCTTTAAATAGGTCCTGCATATGTATTCGCATATTTATTTTAGATGCAACTATAAACAAAAATAAAATTTGAAGCCCCCGCCACAACCATCTGAATGGACTTTCTCCTCAGCCAGGGCACTCTAAAATTTAACTTGAAAGTGTGGTGTAGGCCTTGACAGAAAGTAGGATTTGGACTTGCCTCATTACACCCCTCCAGCGTTAACATCAGCACAAAGCTTAAGTCTGATAAGAAACATTTGCATCTGCTAAAGCCTGCTGCTTGAAGGCTTCATCTGCATGATAAAACCTAGGTCTCCATAACCCCTTATCATAAACCAGACATTCCTTTCTACTGGTAATAGCTCTTTCAACCAGTTACCAATCAGAATATGTTTAAATCTACCTATGACCTGGAAGCACCGCCAACTTCTAGTTGTCCCACCTTTCCAGATGGAACCAATGTAAATCTTCTATGCCTTGATTGATGTATTCTGTCTCCCTAAAATGTATACATGCAAGCTGTACCCTGACCACCTTGGGCACATGTCATCAGGACCTCCTGAAGCTATGTCACAAGCACCTCCTTAACTCTGACAAAACAAACTTTCTAAATTGATTGAAACTTATCTCAGATACTCTTGGTTTACACATATAAAAACATACATAGCTCGAGATAATCACATGATTCGAATTATTTAAAGATAATTTCTTTAACTCTAAAATTTATAAAACTTGTATTTACATACAGAAAGACCTGATTTTAGAAAATATAAATTAATGCCATTATATAAACCCATTAAAAGCAAAGCCTAAAGAAACCCTGCTCTGCAAATCAGTATACAAATGCAGTTCAGGTGACTGAACCTCCAAGAGTCAGTGGTTGTGTATGTAAGGTTGTATACCACTATTGAATTTTAAATAAGCAGCCACACTAATCTAAAAATAGTCACGTAACAAAGTAGGAGAATGATATAAGATGGAAAAAATACATTTTCTTTTTTTTGCCTAGACCTTAAATTATGCAATCAAAGATTATAACGAGTATTTGTTCTGAGAGTTCATGAGGACTGCTGAAGAGGAAGAAAAAAATGTCATTTGCACTGATAAGTGGCAGTCTAAGTGACTTTAGGAGATTTTAAGGAAATGAAGCGGTATTTTTAAGAATAACAAATAATGGTTTAAACCATTATCTATAGAGAGCTCCTAGGACCTAATTAGATGCTCATTTACATACTAAATAACACATCCACCAGTGTCATAACACTTCCCAGAATACCCGTATTTGGTGTAAAAATGGGTGACACTTCAGTTCTGAGGAATGTCCACCTTTTTCCAGGAATGTCCATGAATATTCCACCCCTTGGTTAAAGAAACCCATAATGTAGCAGTCCCAAACCCCCTTGCTCATGACTCTCTCTTGAGTATGACTGCATTCCCATTTCTTCAGTGTCTACTTTTTGCTTTGCGATAAATCTCTGTATTTTCACTATTTTCTCACTGAATCTTAAACTCCTTCCCACGATGATGTCAAAAGCCTGGAAGCAAGCTGGTGTTGAGGTTCCACTGGCATTAGATGACCTCCCCCAGCCCACTTGCCAGTATTACATGGAAGTGATCACAGTAGTTGGAACTACAGAAAAGGCAGAGCTAGATGAAGGGAAGTAGATAAATTCAATGAGTGTTTTGGAGGTGGTGGTAAAAAGATTTCTAGATATAGAAACTTTATAGCAGTCTGTTTCAACATTTCTAGCACCAACAGCTTCCTTTGGAGAAACACTCTAACCACCCGCCCCCTTTTTAAGCCATTCATATCTTTTCAGCCATATTAACATAAAAAGGAATTCCATATTTAGCATACTATTATGCGTTGATTCCTGGGCACACTACTATTCCAAAGAGATTCTTAGACATGAGTTTCTTACTATACATTTAAGTAGCATTAGCTAAATTTTCTTATAGATGGCTTAGGGAAATATTTTTCTAATATTTAAGAAAACTGGTTCATAGATGCAACATGAACAGTGGAAGAGGTTATATTGCCCATATTCACTGCAGAGAGAGGGCTAGCTGGATTTCCTAGGCCAACTAAGAATCCCTAAGCCTAGCTGGGAAGGTGACCGCATCCACCTTTAAACACGGGGCTTGCAACTTAGCTCACACCCGACCAATCAGAGAGCTCACTAAAATGCTAATTAGGCAAAAACAGTAGGTAAAGAAATAGCCAATCATCTATGGCCTGAGAGGACAGCGAGAGGGACAAGGATCGGGATATAAACCCAGGCATTCAAGCCGGCAATGGCAACCCCCTTTGGGTCCCCTCCCTTTGTATGGGAGCTCTGTTTTCACTCTATTTCACTCTATTACATCTTGCAACTGCGCTCTTCTGGTCTGTGTTTGTTACAGCTCGAGCTGAGCTTTCGCTCGCCATCCACCACTGCTGTTTGCCACCATTGCAGACCTACCACTGACTTCCATCCCTCCAGATCTGGCAGGGTGTCCGCTGTGCTCCTGATGCAGCCATGCGCCCATTGCCACTCCCGATCGGGCTAAAGGCTTGCCATTGTTCCGGTACGGCTAAGTGCCTGGGTTTGTCCTAATCGAGCTGAACACTAGTCACTGGGTTCCATGGTTCTCTTCCGTGACCCACGACTTCTAATAGAGCTGTAACACTCACTGCATGGCCCAAGATTCCATTCCTTGGAATCTGTGAGGCCAAGAACCCCAGGTCAGAGAACACGAGGCTTGCCACCATCTTGGAAGTGGCCCACCACTATCTTGGGAGCTCTGGGAGCAAGGACCCCCAGTAACACTATCACATGGAGTAACTTACAAGTAGATAAAATATAAAAAGAGACTATTTTCGGAAATTGCTATGGTAAATGTCATATGGAACAAAGTTATTTTTGAGAAGAACTGTTGCCCAGAATTTATAAAGTAGTTTTGTGTTTATGATATTATTCTTAAAAACGCTATCTGAATATCACACCATGATTCTAAATTTATGGGAAAAAAAGAAGAAAAAAACAATCCATCCAAGAGCTGGAAAGTAAGCGTAAGCTGCAGGGAACCTCCCAACTCTACAATAACAAAATGGCCAAATTACTTCTTAAAAATAATAACAGTCAACATTGTTGAGTAATCTTTTTGATAGAATATGCAAAGCTGTTCAACATTTTCTTTTTCATTTCAAGAACATATGAGCCAACTGTTATGATGATGTATCTTGTAGGGATTTTGAGACCAGCATGACTTATGTTCATAATATTTGGATGTTTTGTATTTTTCTTGGACTTATCTACACATTTGTAAAAGTGCCAGCACAAGAAGGGAAATAAACAAATTTGATCCTCACTCTCAAATATTTAAAGCTATAAGTGTTCTTGTTCTTTGCTCCCTTGTTGCTGAACTGAATGTCTATTTTTCTCATTGAGTATCTGTGACTTTAACAGCCTCATTATAATCTGGAGTACACACCTAATAACAGCACCATGGCAAGAAGAACATGCTCATGACTGACAATAGCAGGAACCTAACAAACCATTCTTTCGTCTAGACACTGTCTTCCTCCCAAGCTTCAGAATAAACAAATCCAAGACTGCAGCTGCATTGGTGTTACATACAGACAAGATGGATAAACAAAATCTGACTTTCTTCCTGTTAGAGTAGGCACAGATACTGATAAACACAATTCCCACATCTTGTACACATATTTTGTCTGCCTGACGAAAGACCTAAAGAACAGTGTGTGTATGCCTCTGTGTGATATGTGGATAATGCCACATGTTTCTACAGAATCTATTCTCTCCCATTTAGCATAGAAGAAATAACCAGTTATATAGTTTTAATTCACTAATATTAAACCAAGGGTCTACCTGGAATCAACACTACTTTATGATTTTCTGACATCACCCCATTTGAAAGGAAAGAATAATCAAATTGAATTAGGCAGAAGAAAATTTCACCTAGATGTTTGTAGAATATTTTAAAGAAAATGATCTGATATGCAGCAAACTACAAATATTTTATTCCGATTTTTTTCCCATTCCATTGCTAATTTAAAAACATTTACTTATACTTCACATCACAATTGCCCACAAATGAGTCCCACAAACCCAGGCTCAAGAATACTTGATGTTCAAGGTCTGGGCTTGTATAAGCTCAGTTGACTGTTATTCACATTTCCATTTATAAGGAAATCCATATATGGACAGCCCATGTTCCATAAAATTCATACTGATAACCTCTGCCACAAATTTTAAAAATTGTTTTAACAATATTTTATACATTTTTTTTTTTTTTTTTTTTTTGAGACGGAGTCTTGCTCTGTCACCCAGGCTGGAGTGCAGTGGCACGATCTCGGCTCACTGCAAGCTCTGCCTCCTGGATTCACGCCATTCTCCTGCCTCAGCCTCCCGAGTAGCTGGGACTACAGGCGACTGCCACCACGCCCGGCTAATTTTTTTGTATTTTTAGTAGAGACGGGGTTTCACCATGTTCGCCAGGATGGTCTAGATCTCCTGACCTTGTGATCCGCCTGCCTCGGCCTCCCAAAGTGCTGGGATTACAGGCATGAGCCACCGCACCCAGCCTTATACATTTATTTTTATCTGCTTCATTTTATGTTCTGTAGATAAACCCTTGAGCAAAATGTCAAGTGGCAGGTTTTGGTAAAGTCAGGTAAAAGAGTAGCAGCATGTGGTCCTCTACAGAAAAGGCCACAAAGATAATCTCTCTTTGTTTCCCTCTACCCTCCATATTTCTCAGCTATTGGCAAAGCATGTGCTTCAGAATCATTCCCAAAGAGAGTTTAACACAACATGTTCCCAGGAATGCAATGCACATCAATGCGTAGTAAAGAGTTAATTGGAATTATTATATTTCCCTGCACCTCAAACACCCTGAGTCAAAACTTTTTTAAAAAATTTCTTTGGCAGGTTGAGAAATGAATAAAGTAATCTGCATAAAAACAATTATGTACTATCAAGATGGCACTCTATAGAGAAATTTAATTTCCAAGGTTAATAAAAAATGACATCCCCTTCCTCAAACTTGAAGATTGCTTGTAGCCAGGAATCCTAAATAATCACATTACCTATCTTCTGGTGCCAGATCATAGTAAGAATATAATAATTTTCTAAGAATTTCTCTTGGTTCTGGATAAAGACCAATGTTACTTTCTCATAGTTAAGATGCAGTCATTCCAAAACATAATTGGGCTCTGTAGTAGCCACAAAGCATTTGATGTGTCATCATAAATGAAACTGTAAAAATCAAATATAGCTAGGAAGATGTTCATCCTTCTGTTCACTACAGATTAGCTTATGTTGTTCTTAATATCCTCTAATCCTTGAGAGGATATATGTATTTATGTGTGTGTGTGTGTGTAGCTTTTCATTCAAAGTTTTCAACCAATAGTTACTTGCTAAATACCAGGAACAATTACAAGAAATTCTGAAAATCACCAAGACATGAGAATATTTGATATTCAAGGTTTCAGCTTGTACAGGCTGCAATCGACTATTACTGCAGACTGAGCAACCCAAGTTGGGTGAAATGTGGCACTAATAAGAGTAGGGATCTGCTATGGACTGAATGTATTGCCACAAAATATACATGTTGTATTTCTGACCTCCAATATGGTGGTATTTGGAGATGGGATCTTTGGCAGGTAATTAGATCATGAGGGTAGAGGCCTCATGATGGGATTAATTCCCCTATAAGAAGAGACAGGGAGCTTCATCACTCTCTGCTCTCCACCAGGTGGATTTGCTATCTGTAAATCAGGAAGGGGGCCCTCAGCAAAACCTGAGTGTCCTAGAATCTATACCTCAGACTTCCCAACTCCAGAACTGTGAGAATAAATGTTTGTTGTTTAAGCCACCAAGTCTATGCTAATTGTTTACAACAGTCTGAGCTGACTAAGAAGGGATCTTACAGAGATTCATATCCATGTGGGTAAGATGAAAAGTGTCCCAATAGTTGGGGGAGATTAAAAGAGTAGAAAATTATTTTAGAGATAGGCAGATCTGAAGGCAAAGAAGCAAGACTAGTGGTATAGGAACTTTCATATGAAACACATTAAAAAGAAATTATCTTCCTATGTAATTATTCCCTTTAATTACGTGAAACCCTTGATTAATGTCTGATGCAGCTGTAGAGCCAAGTGCAAATTATTTTGATGAATAAGGAAATTGAATATTAGAGGAAAGAATAGTCTGTAATGAATTAAGGGATTGAATATTAGAAGGAAAACTAGCCTGTGCCACATTTTTTTCTTCCCCAGATTCCTCTGGGAAAATATCATCATCCTGTACAGATATGGGATCAGGAGTTTGAGGCCATGATAAGCACTAATGTTTTGCCTACAAGCAACAAAGTAGTTTAGGTCTAAAAGTCTTTCAATGAATAATTTTTTTTTACTTTTAATTATTAACTTGAAGGAAACTGAGGAAGGAAAGAACAGTGACAAATTCATACTACAGTATGGTTAATTAAAATTACCTTCTTTGACATCCATCGGACTTAAAATGAAAGGTTGGGGAAAAGTTCTATTGAAAAAATATTGAAATAGTATGCACCTGAAGTGTGGCAAATGTGAGGGACCATAGGGAAGGCACAAATTTCTACTTTTAATTGTTAGGAAGGGTCACTCTAACACTAGAATTTTTAAAATTTGAGATTTCATAGATCATTAATTAAAGGAATTTTCATCTTAAAGTTACTGACTTTTAATTTTGTCAGATTAGGATGTTAAACTCAATCAATCATTTAATTAATTTAATTAAGCAACTGTTTACTAAATATCCTCATTTTATTAAAAAATATTGCTGTTTTGGACATACACACACATACAAACACATACACACACATATATCCACATATGTACATTTATGTGTACCCTAAGAAACAACTATCAAAATTAGTCATTAAAATTTACCTAAAAATGTCACTACATTATCACTCTCCACATCTTTTATATGGTGGTTAAAAAAAAATCATTATAGATCAACATTGCTCCTCAAGCAAAAATGTAGGAATCATTATAGGAGCTTAAATTCTATCTTCAATTAGGAATACACATAAACTCCTTCGGCATTTCACCTCTTGGCCATGCCTATTCCTACTCTAAATGGATACTTCGTAAATTGGCTCTTACACAACTTGGGACTATTTCAGGGACTACAATAGCTTAAACTTAAGATGGACCTTTCTCACTGATATGGAATAAAGGTCATGAACTCTTGCACTGAGCAGTTGGAAAAATTTAAGTCAAATTCTTCCAAATTCTTCAAGTCAGCGGGTGAAAAAGAATTTAAATAGATTTGGAATAAGAAACACCTTATATCATATTGTAAGTTTTTATTGTATAGGAATGTATAAAAATGAGGTGGGAGAAATACAGGTAGATACACACCAAAAACCATTGCCATGTTAAATATTAGCCAAAACTGTTGTCCTTACAGATGTTTTTGTAAGAATTTTCTCTAAGTGCCCTGTAATTTTAAGAAGTACTTTAAGAAATGTCTGCTTATACTCACCTCTGAAGAGCTCATTTATTCATGTATATTAGAACATTTCTCAGATGCTTTCCTTTGGTTTCATGCCAGGAGATCTCTAAATAATAAAAGCACCTAATAAGGAGGTCTATTTTATACATCTACAACCAAACCCTCTTCGATGAATAACAAATGGCCCCTTCTTGTAGCAAATTTTGAATGTAAGGAAGATTGTTACAATGGATTTCCTGTGGTTGTTTTATCCTCTATACCCCATACATATAATTTTTACAAGATTCAGATTACTTTGAATAATAGAGTTATTGGCTGTTCATAAAGAAATCAAACACACTAAGCTGCTATTTTCAACATTATTTTATTGTTTTACAGCTCATATTTCTTTTTATCAAGAGTAACTCATGCCAAAAATTTCAAAAGCACTTTTGGCAGATATGTAAATAATTTGGAGAGCAAATATCCAATTAGTAAATTTTGGCAGATAGTCTTTTGGATCCACATGAGAAGAGAAGAATATTTTAATATCCTTGACCAGTTCATTACTACTGACATAGCTCTGCTCACACATGGCAAACACTCCAGGTTTTATTTGGGAGGAATGTGATCAGGGAAATTTGTTACTAAAGCCTAAATGTTCAGATAACACTAAAGTGGTTTTCTTCCTCTCAATTTGCTATTTTCTAAAAATAGATTAAATAAACTTTGGTCCCTTTACTTTTATATGAGTAATGTTTTTAAGTTGCATATTACTACAAAAGATGATAGTTTGTTTCAATTGCAATGATCTCACACCAGAGATGCAATGGAGAACAGGAACCTGACCATTTGTTCTCAGGGCACATTTACTCTCCATAAACCTGCGCCTTAGTTTCATTCATCCGTTCAAGAGCAGTAACTGTTAGCTGACTCTGATGGACTCAGAAAAGCCATGTCTAATATTCATGAGCTGGAACAAGGTAACTCAGTCCAATTGCTTCCTTTCATAAAGGAAATGATGAGACTTGGAATAATTCCTGAAATGGAAAAACCTAGACTTAACATTTTAAATGAAAGGATTTAAAGCCAAAGCTTAATTTACAAAGTAAGTGTCTATTATTAAAAATAACTTTTAAAACACAAGCCTCTATTTTAACAGTCACACAAAACTTCTTTCTTAAATGTCCACTATATAGAAAGCATCTATCACAGTCTCAGTTTGCTATATTTTCCCCTTTCTTTGTCATGAATAGCTTCAGAATGTTAGATATACATGTTGTTTTTATTATTATCATAAATAATGACTTTTAGTGTTTCTGGTTACCTTTAAAAGGAAGACAGCAACAGACAAAGCAATATAGAGTAGTGAGAATTTGCAGAAGCCCCACGTGCTTGTGTCTTCAGTAGACCATCAAATCTGAGCAGCCTTTTGGTCATTTAACTATTTCACTAAGACTACAGAAGCACCTTTTCATTAAACCTCTATTCTTCAAACCACCATGACTGCATTTAGGGACAGTGGATGGGCAAAACTCTCCTCTCTAGAATCCACTGTTGTAATGGAATATTGGCTTTGTTGTTTCTTTCTGATTTATAACCATGTCTAAAATGTCACATCACATACATATTTTAGGTTCTTTTGCTTCTTATATTGTAGTATGTATCCTGAGACTGTGGATACATATGTGTGTGTGTATGTATATGTATATGTGTGTTGTGTGTGCATATATCTATATGCATATACATACACACACACACATATATATACAGGTTCAGTATAATGCACATTTTTGTATAAGTTTATGTATATTTTTCATACATATTTCACAGGTGAAATACATTCATGTGTTTTTTTCTTCTGAAGTTGTAATCATTATTGTGTAAGAACCATAATTAATTATACCTTCATTCAACAAGTATTTAAGTCCTACTTTTTATCAGGCTCTATTTTATTAGCAGTTTTTTTGAAGTTGATTTACATTTCTTAAAATTCCACTGTTTTAAGTGTAAAATTCAATGATTCCTAGTGAATTTATAGAACGGTGCAAACATCGCCACAACTCAGTTTTCAATTCCCCAAAACATCTCCAGTCCATTTGTAGTCATTTCTCTTTTCCATCCCCAGCCCGAGCCAATCTCTAATCAACTTGCTTTCATTCACTTTTTTGAAAATTGTATATCAGTGGAATAATACATATGGGGTCTTTTATATTTGGCATTTTTAGCCATGTTTTTTGAGGTTCATTCATGTGGTAGAATATATCAATAATACACTCTTCTATATTGCTGAATAGTATTCCACTGTATGGATATGTCACATTTTGTTTATCCATTTACCGGTTGGTTGGCATTTGGGTTGGTTTCAGTTTGGGACTCTTATGAATAGCAATGCTATGAACATTTATACATGCATTTTTATATAGATGCATGTTTTTATTTCACTTGTATATATACCTCTGAGTCAAATTACTGGGTAAATTTATGTCTTTTTAAGAAATTGCCAATCTGTTTTCCAAAATGGTTGGACCATGTTACATTCTGACCAAAAATGTATGATAATTTTAATTTTGCCACATCCCCACATTGTTTCATGTGTCATTTTGATTATAGCCATCCTAGTTGGTGTGAAGTGGCAACTCATTGTGATTTTGAAATGCATTTCCCTAATGGCTCATTATGTCAGTATCTTTTCATGAGCTTGTTAACCATTCATTTATCTTCTATAGTGAAATGTCCACTAAAATGTCTGGAACTGTTTTACATCAGAGGATACAGTATGGAACAAAATAAGTTTCCCACACTCAAGAGCTCACATTCTAGTAATAGGAAGAAAAAAAATTAGCTGTTTCAAATGGTGTTATATCATATGGAGAAATGCAAAACAGTGCAATGGGCATAGGAAGTACCAGACTGAGAGTGGGTTTGATATTTAAACAAAGTCAACAAGGAAATTTTCACTGATAAGTAAACTGCAGAAGGTCTGGAAGAAAGTGAGGGAGGAACCCACCTGTACTTCTGATGGATAGATGGATATGTATTCAGTATCATATTGCCCTTAAAGCAGGGAGTATCACATGCAACTATTTAATTAAGAGAAGCAATAACACATTTTGTTCTCCTGCCTACACTGTTATTTAAAGAAGACCTAGTATCAATGACTCAGATTTTGTCACTTATAAGATTTAGAGTTTTGGAGGTGATTTTAATAATCATTTTAAAATGGCACAGAGCAAATTATTGTAATGTTCATATAATCTACATTATATAGTAAATGAGGTGACTGACTTTTACCAAGTTACTGCTGCTGTATGTACGCTTTTTAATCTTATGACATAGAAATATAATAGTACACATTCTGTTTGATAGGAATCCATATTTTTATACTACAGGAAATTGACTTTTTCTCGTTAACACGACTAGAAATATGCTTCCTATGCCACCACAGCATCGTGATGAAGGACATCTTGCATGACGGGAAGAATGCAGGTATGTAGGTTTCATTTTAGAGAATATTAGAGCACCTCACATTTTTTGTTGTTTGTTAAAATATATCAGGTAGTTGCAATGTGCAGAATATATTGAGGAAGGCATATTTTTCCATGATAAAATCTCAGAACTAAAACTGTACTTAGAATAAGTATATATGCAAAACATATCCGTGTAGTGTTAATAAGAGACATTAGATACTCCAGCACAGGCAGAAGCTATGTGGGGCCTACAGGGGAGACTAATTCGATCAGAAACAGCTCTATCTTATTATCTTCATCCAAAAAGTTATCTAGAATGGTTAATTTGATATGTGATTGCTAAGTTTGAACCCTTTTTCTTTTATTTGTTATCTGGGATTAGCAGTGATTGCTTCTTTTGTTTTCTGTGGTTTTGTTGTTGTTTAGTTTTTTGCTTATTGATTGTTTTTTGTTTACTTGGTTTGGACTTGAGAAGGGGCATTCTTGTAGAGAATAAAGTATACTTCCATGACATACTGATTATGTGGTCACTTGACCTCTGGGCAATTTTGGCATAGGGCTCTGGTTGTCAGGCAGCAATTCCTAGCACATGCCAACTCTCTGGTTCTTGTTTTCCCTTCCGTTAGGGCTCTCCAGATGAGTATCATTGACTGGAAATGCTTCATGAAACTCTGGTTTCATTTTGGGCATAACTGTCTGCAACAAGAGGATCTGGTTAGAATTAGCTCTACAGACTCAATCACTGCCCATGCCATGGAGTTACCATTACCAAAAGCATTATCCAGATTGGGTATATCATATCGTAAGGACAGGAGGGATAAGAATAGCAAAGATAGAGATAGGGATATGCAGTAAAACACTTAATATTTGAATTAATAAGGCTAGGACAAGATTGAAATTAACTAAGGTGGCAGAAAAATGATACCACAGAAAAAAAAATTGAGACAAAAATTGTAAAACACACTGGGGTCATGCCAAGTGCTGAATGCATGCAGCAATAACAATAAACAATAACAAGACAGACAATAAACAATCCAAGGGGAAAAAACATATTAATGCTGCCTGCATTATCTCCTCTAAGACTAATAACTAGGTAATATAAAAAGGAATAACAAAAGCCACCTAGATTAGACTGTGAAGTCAGGAAAATCCTGAATCATGATGGGATTTAACTGGTGAAGTCAAGGGAATGATTGAATGCAAAAGGCAGAGCATGTTCAAGGGTCCTGAGAAAGAACTTGAATTTTGCATGGACTGAGAAGATCAGTGTGGCTGAAGCAGGGAAAATATTGATAGAGAACAGCTAGAAATGAGCACTGAAAATTACATAAAGGATGAATCATGTACAAATGATTAGCTAATAATAAAGTTTTAAAATTTTATTTTAAATTTAATAAATAATAGTTTTATAATTTTAAACTGAGACTAATATGACCTCCTTTACCTTTTAACAAAATCACTCTATCTTCTGGGTGAAGAATGCATTAGATGGAGGTAAGGATGGATATGAAAAGACTGGAGGCTAATAAAAAAAACAATGATGTGGACTAGAATGAAAGCAGGAAAATGTATCAACAGTATTTGGAGATGAATTGTGAGTAGAAGATAGGCAATGGAAAGTGAAATTTCCCAAAGTCTGGCTGACATCATTGAAGTCAATTAATGAAGTGGGTCAACTCTGGAGGAATAGTACATTTGAAAAGAAAGATCAATAATGCCATTTTGAACACCTTAATTTTGAGATGTTTGTCACCAAAATCGATATGTTGAGTTGCCATTTGGATAGAGGAGTACAGAGCTCAGAAGAGAAATCGAAAATAGAGATAGTAATTGGGAAGCTTTCACAAATACATGGGTTTTTTTTAAGACATAAAAATTGATGAGATTGCTTTGAGTGAGGGTGTATAATGAGTAAAAATATTCAAATGTCCAAAGATTATTTAAAGATTGGGAAAAGGGAGAAATTACAAGAGAAAAATGAAAAATTGCTAACAATATTTAAGAAGAAATTAAGAGAATTTGATATCATAAGAAGGAATAGAATAGATTTCACAAAGACAGGTACGGAGAAAATTTTTTCAAATGCTTCTAGAACATTAAAATAGACATAGAGGATTTAAAAGTTTACATTGGTTTTAACAGCATGGAATTCACCAATGTAACCAGAGCCCTTTCAGTAGACTGGAGGAGTGAGAGGCTAAATGGCATGAATCAAAGTTAATGGAAGTGAGGAAGCAAAGGCAAAGAGAATAGACAGAGCTTTAAGGATACTGTAATATGTGGAGTGACTTTGAGAAGATTATGGTTGAAAGGGATGTTTTAAGAAGGAAGGGTAGTAAATTTGTTTAAAATGATGATGGAAATAACCCAATAAGGAATATGCAGGTGAAGATCCAGAAGAAAAAAATATATAGCCAATATAGTTTGGTTACAGGAAGTGAGTTTGGCACTTAATTGGGCCAGACTAAACCTGAAGTATCTTACACAGATTGATTCTTCAGCTTGGGATAAGAAAAAGACGGATAGTGGGATTGACATGGTTTGCATGACAAGAATATAAACAACCTCAGCCATGATTTTACTAGATATCAAAAGATGAACTGCTGCAAAGTTCATCAATTTTCTTAATCCCATCTGTTTACTAGAAATCTTAAAATCTTTAAAATGTGAACAGGTGGTCATGTGCTTTGTGCAGAAACACCAGATATGGATAATAATTGGGAAATACTATCTGGCTCTGTAGAAGCCCTAAGGGGAAAAGATACCAGAGAGGAGATGAGTATCACAATGCAGCTCAAATCAAACACTCCAGGGATCAAAAGGAGGTGGGCCGTGAATGTGCCCAGGGAACAAGCCCCACATCACCAGTCAGTATTCAGGGTCTGTCTTCTTTTCACCTCACAACCTGGTGGTCTTTCTCTCTTTATTCCAAGCGTCCATAATGTCTATCATTTTCTGTTCCCATACACTTAAAAAGGTGTACCAAACTAAAGAATACATTATCCATTTTCTCTTATTATTACAAAGGCCTCACCAAACTTTGAGAGGTAGTAAAGATAACTTACTTCAGGTATTTTGAGAGACTGGTTGTAGAATACTTTTAAAATTAGAGAATTATTTGTTCAGAAATGGTTAGATTTGGACAATACCTTTTAAGAAGCAAATGTAATGATATGTTCAAAGATACAGAGATGGACTTCTTTCAAAAGTAATAATAAAACTATAATTAGTGATGAATGATCTTGAATTACCTGCTGAGTCAAATCATCAACTGAGGTTCTTAAGAGTGAAAACCTTACAGAATGTTTTTTCCCACGAAATTTCCAGTAGCCTTTGTTTAGTTTGTGCCTGACTTGGAATTCCAGTACAAAAGTCTTTCTTGTGGTAGCTCAGCTCTGCTTTTTTGGAAGCAGTCAATGCCAGGAAATGAACTGAGATGAAGAAATATAGTGAGGCTTTTTGTTTTTGTTTTTGTTTTATGGTTTTATTTCCCCACTGAAAGCTCACACTAAGAAAACGAAGCATGTTCTGTCTCAGAAGAGAGTTTACAAGTGTTAAATGGGTTCATATACTCAAAATAGTTCTGTATTACTCAATTTGTAAATTAACAAATAAAATATTGTTTGCCCAAGAGCAGACTCACAAACCCATCAGAATTTGTGGTTGCCAAAACTCTGGAACTTTGCACTAGATTCAACCATGGGAGATTTGTGACCTCTTGAGATTGCTATTTGCATACTAATGTTTAGGTATAGGTAATACAGAAGAGTTAACAGAGTTCCTCAGGGTGCCCAACTTAGATAAAAAGGGAAAGAAGGAATACATTCCTTCCCAGCATCAGGGGATTCTGAAATGCCTTCTGTTCACTGCAATTTGTGACCTGCTTATTTAAAGTAAGGAGAAATTTGAGTTTACTTTCTGTGGTCTGGAGCCCTCCCACTTTGTTCTGGGACCCCATCAGCAAGGAACTTATAACCTGAAAGTGTCTATGGCACCCTTTGGACACTCAAGGAGACGAAGTCTGTAAAGTGATGTTGAAATTTCAGTTGCAAAGCCACTTTGCAAATAAGTCCTGAGTTTATGTCCCCAAGCAACCTGAGAAGAGGTCACAGTGTTGCTTTAGGTGTCGGCTTTTGGATAAGAGGTATAATTGAGGCCCCTTTTGATTTTGCTTTTTCAAGAAAAATAAGGTCAACTCTTGGTTTTCTAACCACAATCAGCTTCATATTAAATTCCTTCCTGGACTTTCACCTTCTAACAGTGGAGTGCTCTGAAACAGTTTTAATCATTTTTTATGTTAGAAAATGTTGCACATTTTGAAAATTAATTCTACTACAGTCAACATTATGATTTTAGTTCGTTGTAATCTAGGAAACATTCTTCAACGTATATGTCATAACGATATTTTATTTGACTGATTTTGATCTGTAATTATTATTTTATGTACCTTTGAATTTTCTAGTTTTGATTGGGAAAAAAAGTAGCATTTTAGCTAACTTGTTACTAATGTATGCATATGTGTGCGCACACACATACACACTTGAAATCTTGTCAAAAGTTCTGTCACTTCCAAATTTAATCTAGGTTCAACAAACTAAACTGCTTAATATAAGTTTGGATAGATACTCTAAGAAAACATAGGGAGCAAATTGTGAGTGGTTAAAACAAATCTTTTCAATCATTTTAGTTTCCACTATCTGTATATGCAGATCTTATTCTCATTTAGTAAAGCTTTTTTCAAAAGGAAGAAATCTAAAAGTTTAGGGACATCAATGTGTATCAAACAATATAGTTATTTTCCTACAGAAAGCGAGAGGGAAGTGGATGATTGCTATGTGGTCAGGAGACCATGTAGGATTGAGTGTCAGCATATCTGGGTTCATGTTCCTGCTTTACTTCTACATAGAAAGTCAGTTAAGTTTTCTGAACAAAAAATTCTTCAACAGAAAATGGAAAATTTTGGACCAGAAAACATCTTCCACCTATTCTACCCCTGAACATTATCTTAATCTTAGCAATTAACAAATATCGATTTATTTGTTTCATTTCGTTTTTCTTTTCATTTTATGTTTTTTGGGCTACATATAGGTTTATTAATTTAAACTTAACTGTGTTTATTTAATTTTATGTTTTATGCATTCCTGGAAAATGTGTGCTGTTTGAGAGCATATGATACTTTATATCAATGGTGTTATACAGCACTCTGTTTTTCAGATCTAATCATGTTTCTATGTGTGTATCTGATTTTCTATTCTAACTGCTGCATTCACAGTACTTCACAAGGTGAATTTTACACATCATAGCTACTTAATTTCCTGATGATGGGCACCTGAAATACCCGACTCTACCTTCACAAGCATTTTCATAGTACACAGCCTTGAATACTTTATGAACATGTGTGAGAATTTCTCTCAGATAAATATCTAGGAATAAACTATCTGGGCCACTCATAGAGCATGTCAGTAATTCCACATGGTAATGCCATGGTGCTCTCCCTTCTGATAAAGCTAGGATATACTCCTGCTAGCTGTACATAGGGGTTTCTATACCCTACATATACACCAACATTGGCATTAGCTAGCTTTTTAATTTTTGACAGTTTAAGAGTATAAAGTGAAAGATTTTGTTTAAATTTTTTTTCTGTCATTTCCAATGAGCTTTAACATCATTGGATGTTCATGTTAGCTTCAATGTTTTTGTGACCCATTAAGTCATATCCTTTGCTATTTTTTTTGGTAGGGGAAGTGGTGCTTTGGAAAAATTCTCTGAATATTCTAGATATTAATTCACTGTGGATTTTAGAAATTGCAAATGTTCCTCCATTATTTCTGCCATATAACCTTTGACCAAGATTCTTCCTCATTGAACATAAATATTTAATAATAATATAATAAAATTATTCTCTTTGAAGCAATTATGAATGGGAGTTCACTCATGATTTTGCTCTCTGTTTGTCTGTTATTGGAGTATAAGAATGCTTGTGATTTTTGCACATTGATTTTGTATCCTGAGACTTTGCTGAAGTTGCTTATCAGCTTAAGGAGATGTTGGGCTGAAACAATGGGGTTTTCTAAATATACAATCATGTCATCTGCAAACAGGGACAATTTGACTTCCTCTTTTCCTAATTGAATACCCTTTATTTCTTTCTCCTGCCTGATTGCCCTGGCCAGAACTTCCAACACTATGTTGAATAGGAGTGGTGAGAGAGGGCATCCCTGTCTTGTGCCAGTTTTCAAAGGGAATTCTTCCAATTTTTGCCCATTCAGTATGATATTGGCTGTGGGTTTGTCATAAATAGCTCTTATTATTTTGAGATACCTCCCATCAATGCCTAATTTATTGAAAGTTTTTAGCATGAAGGGCTGTTGAATTTTGTCAAAGGCCTTTTCTGCATCTATTGAGATAACCATGTGGTTTTTGTCTTTGGTTCTGTTTACATGCTGGATTACGTTTCTTGATTTGCATATGTTGAACCAGCCTTGCATCCCAGGGATGAAGCCCACTTGATCATGGTGGATAAGCTTTTTGATGTGCTGCTGGATTCGGTTGGCCAGTATTTTATTGATGATTTTTGCATCGATGTTCATCAGAGATATTGGTCTAAAATTCTCTTTTTTTGTTGTATCTCTGCCAGGCATTGGTATCAGGATGATGCTGGCCTCATAAAATGAGTTAGGGAGGATTCCCTCTTTTTCTATTGATTGGAATAGTTTCAGAAGGAATGCTACCAGCTCCTCCTTGTACCTCTGGTAGAATTCGGCTGTGAATCCCTCTGGTCCTGGACTTTTTTTTGGTTGGTAGGCTGTTAATTATTGCCTCAATTTCAGAGCCTGTTATTGGTCTATTCAGGCATTTAGCTTCTTCCTGGTTTAGTCTTGGGAGGGTGTATGTGTCGAGGAATTTATCCATTTCTTCTAGATTTTCTAGTTTATTTGCATAGAGGTGTTTATAGTATTTTCTGATGGTAGTTTGTATTTCTGTAGGATCGGTGGTGATATCCCCTTTATCATTTTTTATTGTGTCTATTTGATTCTTCTGTCTTTTCTTCTTTATTAGTCTTGCTAGTGGTCTATCAATTTTGTTGATCGTTTCAAAAAACCAGCTCCTGGATTCATTGATTTTTTGAAGGGTTTTTTGTGTCTCTATCTCCTTCAGTTCTGCTCTGATCTTAGTTATTTCTTGCCTTCTGCTAGCTTTTGAATGTGTTTGCTCTTGCTTCTCTAGTTCTTTTAATTGTGATGTTAGGGTGTCAATTTTAGATCTTTCCTGCTTTCTCTTGTGGGCATTTAGTGCTATAAATTTCCCTCTACACACTGCTTTGAATGTGTGCCAGAGATTATGGTATGTTGTGTCTTTGTTCTCGTTGGTTTCAAAGAACATCTTTATTTCTGCCTTCATTTTATTATGCACCCAGTAGTCATTCAGGAGCAGGTTGTTCAATTTCCATGTAGTTGAGCGGTTTTGAGCGAGTTTCTTAATCCTGAGTTCTAGTTTGATTGCACTGTGGTCTGAGAGACAGTTTGTTATAATTTCTGTTCTTTTTCATTTGCTGAGGAGTGCTTTACTTCCAACCATGTGGTCAATTTTGAAATAAGTGCGATGTGATGCTGGGAAGAATGTATATTCTGTTGATTTGGGGTGGAGAGTTCTGTAGATGTCTATTAGGTCCGCTTGGTGCAGAGCTGAGTTCAATTCCTGGATATCCTTGTTAACTTTCTGTCTCGTTGATGTGTCTGATGTTGACAGTGGCGTGTTAAAGTCTCCCATTATTATTGTGTGGGAGTCTAAGTCTCTTTCTAGGTCTCTAAGGACTTGCTTTATGAATCTGGGTGCTCCTGTATTGGGTGCATATATATTTAGGATAGTTAGCTCTTCTTATTGAATTGATCCCTTTACCATTATGTAATGGCCTTCTTTGTCTCTTTTGATCTTTGTTGGTTTAAAGTCTGTTTTATCAGAGACTAGGATTGCAAACCCTGCCTTTTTTTTTGTTTTCATTTGCTTGGTAGATCTTCCTCCATCCCTTTATTTTGAGCCTATGTGTGTCTCTGCACGTGAGATGCATCTCCTGAATACAGCACACTGAGTCTTGACTCTTTATCCAATTTGCCAGTCTGTGTCTTTTAATCGGAGCATTTAGCCCATTTATATTTAAGGTTAATATTGTTATGTGTGAATGTGATCCTGTCATTATGATGTTAGCTGGTTATTTTGCTCGTTAGTTGATGCAGTTTCTTCCTAGCCTCGATGGTCTTTACAATTTGGCATGCTTTTGCAGTGGCTGATACCAGTCGTTCCTTTCCATGTTTAGTGCTTCCTTCAGGAGCTCTTGTAGGGCAGGCCTGGTGGTGACAAAATCTCTCAGCATTTGCTTGTCTGTAAAGGATTTTATTTCTCCTTCACTTATGGAGCTTAGTTTGGCTGGATATGAAATTCTGGGTTGAAAATTCTTTTCTTTAAGAATGTTGAATATTGGCCTGCATTCTCTTCTGGCTTGTTGAGTTTCTGCCGAGAGATCAGCTGTTAGTCTGATTGGCTTCCCTTTGTGGGTAACCTGACCTTTTTCTCTGGCTGCCCTTAACATTTTTTCATTCCTTTCAACTTTGGTGAGTCTGACAATTGTGTGTCTTGGAGTTGCTCTTCTCGAGGAGTATCTTTCTGGCATTCTCGGTATTTCCTGAATTTGAATGTTGGCCTGCCTTGCCAGGTTGGGGAAGTTCTCCTGGATAATATCCTGCAGAGTGTTTTCCAACTTGGTTCCATTCTCCCCGACACTTTCAGGTACACCAATCAGATGTAGATTTGTTCTTTTCACATAATCTCATATTTCTTGGAGGCTTTGTTCATTTCTTTTTACTCTTTATTCTCTAAACTTCTTGCTTCATTTCATTCATTTGATCTTCAATCACTGATACCCTTTCTTCCAGTTGATCAAATCGGCTACTGAAGCTTGTGCATTCGTCACATAGTTCTCGTGCCATGTTTTTCAGTTCCATCAGGTCATTTAAGGACTTCTCTACACTGTTTATTCCAGTTAGCCATTTGTCTAATCTGTTTTCAAGATTTTTAGCTTCTTTGTGATGGGTTTGAACTTCCTCCTTTAGCTCAGAGAAGTTTGATCATCTGAAGCCTTCTTCGCTCAACTCGTCAAAGTCATTCTCCATCCAGCTTTGTTCCATTGCTGGCAAGGAGCTGCGTTCCTTTGGAGGGGGAGAGGTGCTCTGATTTGTAGAATTTTAAGCTTTTCTGTTCTGTTTTTTCCCCATCTTTGTGCTTTCATCTACCTTTGCTCTTTGATGATGGTGACGTGCAGATGGGGTTTTGGTGTGGATGTCCTTTCTGTTTGTTAGTTTTCCTTCTAACAGTCAGGACCCTCAGCTGCAGGTCTGTTGGAGTTTGCTGGAGGTCCACTCCAGACCCTGTTTTCCTGGGTATCAGCAGCAGAGTCTGCAGAATATTGCTGAACAGCAAATGTTGCTGCCTGATCGTTCCTCTGGAAGCTTCATCTCAAAGGGGTACCTGGCCGTGTGAGATGTCAGTCTGCCCCTACTGGGGGGTGCCTCCCAGTTAGGCTACTCAGGGGTCTGGGACCCATTTGAGGAGGCAGTCTGTCTGTTCTTAGATCTCAAACTCCGTGCTGGGAGAATCATCAATTAATTATATTTTCTCATGGTTCATAATTCTGAAATTATGTTTTAAAAGTCCTTTAACTTCCTAGATCACAAAGGTAATCATTTTTATTTTTTATGAACTTTATTACCTCTCATAATTATGGTTGTGATCAATTTGGAGTCCACTATACATATGGTGACATATTAACAAACAAATCTTTTCAATACTTTTAATGTGAAATAGTTTATCATGTTTAGTTTAAATACATGACCAAGCTATTTTGATACTACTGCTTCAGAGGGTAAATCCTATTCTTTTTCTTGTCTTTTATAGTATTTCTATAAGGACTTCTCATGTGGCAATGTAAAATAATATTTTCTCTCTGAAATCATCTTTTCCTAGGGCTAAGTACTTGCTTTAGGAAGTGTCATGGAGCAGAGGAGAAAGGCCCTAATAGGTGCAGGGCACAATGAGTTTAAAGAGCAGAGAGATGATGACCCATGGGCAAAAATCCTTGCTTCCCCTAAGCACCATAGGTTACATGCCTTTGCTGCCACTAGTAGCCACAAAAACCCAGAAATGGTCAGGTTTTAACTTCCCACCCTCAGGGAGAAACAACACGGTATTTTGAATAGGAGTAAAGGAAACACATATGGCTTATCATGTTGCCTGTTTTTATCAACTGTCCCCAACAAGGTCTGATTCCCTGATATTATCATGATTACACTGGCCTGAAAGCCTGGCAATGGCTCCTGATTTCTTCACATAAGAGACAGCTGATAACTATCCCAGGTCAACCTAGGAGCTAGGCAGGAGCAGAACATAGAAGGCTTTCCTTCTACTTCTTCTGCTTATTCTCTTCCTGCTGCCTCCAAATTACCCAGTCCCAGTCTGCAGTCATCAGCCTCTGAAAATTATCAGTTTAAGACAGCCCTTAGTCTTCCCAGGTGTTTCTCTTGAGACATTAGTTTCTGGAATCTATGGTTCTCTTTTTTTCCCATAACGTATCCAAAGCTAAATTTAATGTGAAGGAGACACAGCCAGTGATAGTTTACTATCTAGAATGAAGAGTGCCTTTCAAGCACTTCCCAGTGGAAAGCACTTTCTGTTTATCTAAATATTAATCCACAAAGTGACTAAACAATCTTATGTAAGAATAATTTAAGCATGCTTTCCCAATTTCAAACAAAGTTGGCCCATGATCAAGGTAATATAACCAAATATCTGACCAAATTTTCTATTACATATGTGATTTCCTGTCTGATGAACTTTGTATAGAAGACAGAGTGCTGAGAATAAATTTCAGCCAAAGTTCTGAATTTCTCACTTTTATGGTGTTATAATAAGGCCCTTATAAAAGTAATCTTTTTTAAGTAAAATTCATAGTTCCATAAAATAGCATCAGTATTTAAATTTTAGAAGTGCCGTAAAAAGAAAAATGTTTGAAAAAGTATTATTGAAGGTGTAAATCGAAAACAGATTGTATATGCTGTCTGAGTTCCTGCAGTAGAGTTTGACCTCATATTTTACTTCATTTTAATGATATTCCAAGAAAAAGGGCAGTATTGAATAATATAAAAGAGAAAGAGGTAACATCATATGACAAAAAAATTCACACAATATACATTTATTGTTACATTAAACTGTGTATCAATTAATTAAAGGTAGATTTGGCCGTGTATAGAAGAAAAAATTTAACATTGCTTAAATGAGATAGAAGTTAGAAAAAAATAACATCATATTACCAAAGAATCCACACAATATATATTTTTATTCATTTAAACTCTTTGTTAGTTTGAGGTAGGTTTGGCTGCATATAGAAGAAAAAAATAACAATGGCTTAAATGAAATAAAAATTTATTTCTCTCTTATGTAAAAGAAATTTGGAGGTGAGCAGTGCAGAGATGTACTAAATTACAAGATTCCAAGCTCAAATCTGTCTTCCCTTTCTCAAATGAACACATGGTCTTGATTTCTTACTGTTTCTTCAACCATCACATCTCAAGAAAGCCAAAACAAAGGAAGGATTCAAAAAGTTACCTTTCCCCACTGAGTTAGATCCCTTTATGCAATTTCCTGAGAAATCTGATAAAAGATTTCCACTTCCACCTCAGTGGCCAGAACTTCATCACAAGATTGTAACTAGCTGCAAGGGAGGCAGAGAAGAAAAATTTTTTTATTCTGTGTGGGTAAAGCTAAACACCAAGTTTCTAGTACAAAAATACAACGGAGAGAATTAATTCCTGTGTAAGAAACTAGTTATCTCTGCCACAAGCAGTAACAGAAATGGTTCAATTCTTAAAACTTAAAAAAATAAAAACAAGGAGTGTGAGGTATATGTATACTCAAGTGCCCCTTCTGCGATTTTAGCCAAACTAAGTGATCATCACAGAGGCCATGAGGCTCTGATCACAGATGCTTCAAAGACAATTCTATAGCTGATAAATGGCTGTGTACAAATTTAAAACACAGCCATTTGCAATGACCACTCAATTGGTTTATTTATCCAAATGACCACCCTCAATGACACAAAGGTCATATCTTCCTAGACCCCACACTGAAATCTGTAGAAAGCTAGCAAATAGATTTCAAAATTGAAGAGTAGGATATATTACTAGGATTTTTATTTTATAATAAGAGGAGGCTTTTTAAAGGTGAAAACCCAATAATATCCTAAAAACAGTCATGTAAGCTTTGAAAGGCAAAGGAGAAATTTGTGATCTATTCTCTAGCTCTGTTAGGAAAAATCTAAACTGCCTGTTTGTGACAATATTAATCCAACTTAAGTACCTCCCATAATCACAATTTCTACCATGAGAAAGAGAATTGATGATAAGGGTAAACACAGTCTTGGTGACTAGCATTCTAAAATGAAGAGTAGGATAGATAATTAAAGATCAACTCAGACCAGTAAAAGATCAAATTGCATATAATCTGTTTTCATAGCTAAAAATGTTTGGTTAAAATAAAATAAATTAGTTTTCAGTTCCATTAAATGAAATCACTAATACATTAATGAGAGAGCAATTAACACTAACACTTTAAAATGTAAGAATATTTTATAATGGTGGAAATCTTTTATGTTTCTTCTTATTTATTGGAATAAATTTGTCTATCTTATTCTGTCTAGTGTTTCCTTTCATCATAAACAAAATTAGGTAGAATTTGAATTATATAGAGAAAAGAAAGCCTAATTTCAAAACAATCTATTTATATGAGTGAATTTAATACCTTTACTTGATCTTAGTTTTATGTTTTCATCCTTGGTTTTTATATTTTTCTTAACCCATTCCATGTAGGCTTTATTTTTTAGCATAGACATAGCTAAATTATTTTATATTCAACCTTAGAGTATTAAAATGAAAAAAAAATCATCAGATTTATTCGATTTGTTGTTCTCTTGAAAACAATAACCACTGGTTAACCCAGGTAAAACTAAGACTTAATCACCATTGTTAATAACTTAAAAATATTGACCAAAAACACATTACATCTATGATGCAACACGTATGAAATCTGCACATACTTATATAATTTATATTATCATTTACTATGAGGTTAAATATTGTCATCAAATTTTAGTTCAAAATAATAAATTTATTTGAATAAAAAATAATGTATATGCTCTTATAGTAACTGGGTTTACTTCAGAATCAAAAGGCTTAACTTTTATGTCTATATATGTAAATTTGTGTATATATTTTAATCTTTTTAAGCCTCTTTGACTTCATTTTTAATGCTAGGAATAACAATATCTGCTATAATTACCTTATAGCATTTTTAAAATGAAATGAGCTAATATATTAAAAATAAATTGCTTTGTAGAATTCAGAAGACCATATAAATTTCAGCTAATGTTGTTCATCATGTTACTATTGTTATAGCCATTATTATTGGTCAGATTTTATTGATTATTTTTATTATAGCTATTACTTGTCTTATAATTAAAATATTATAGAAGGACACATGTTAACCTTCAAATTCTTTTGAATGTAGTTATTCTAATAGATATAAGGGAAAGAAGTATACCTAAAGAATTGCCCATTATGCACAAGTGGATTAAAAAGTAGAAGATGGATGAACAGAAAGTGGCAGAGTCTGATATTTTATTCAGTATTCAGTACATCCATCTAATTGTTTATTAATTTACTCTTCATACCCAGGAATTGTAGTCTTACTATAAATTTTAAAGTAAAGATATTTTGTAGTGATTAATATACATATTCCCATATATTGCTTTGTTTCACTACATTTTAATGAATGCTGTGTTAGAATGGGCTAAAAGTCCACTGGTGTTAAAATTTATGTCATCTTGGATAATAAATATGCAAATTCAGCAGTAAAACTGTTTATGACATTATAAAGAAAAATTTGTGTATATTTTGTACAGGTTTCCATAAAGTTCTGTGCTATGTTATTTTTCACTCTCTCTATGTCTTTCTGCTAGCTAGCTAGCTAGATAGATTCATTGATCTACCTAACACATTATATTTCATAAATAAAATAAAATCCTTATGTTTAACATCTTGTGAATGAAAACCTCTATTTATGTGAGGCCAATACAAATATGTTTCAATGTGAGAAAAAAAAATCACTGTTCCCTTTGTCATTGGTTTTGATTACTGGAAATTTATTCTTAAGACAAAGCTAAGTTTCCCTTATTTAATAAATTCATTATAATATCAGTATTTAAGAAGGGAAGACATATCTATTAAAAACTAAGTATTAAATAGGAAAAAGACAAGGATGCCCACTCTCATCAGTTCTATTAAACGTAGTACTGGAAGTCCTAGACAGCAATTAGGCAAACAAAAGAAATAAAAAGAAGTAAAAGACATTTCTGACCAGGTGTGGTGACTCATGCCTGTAAACCCAACACTTTGGGAGGCTGAGGAGAGTGGATTGTTTGATTTGGAGACCAGCCTGGGCAATGTGGTGACACCCTATCTCTACAAAAATGCAAAAATTAGCTGGGCATGGTGGTGCACACTTGTGGTCCCAGCTACTTGGGAGGCTGAGATGGGAGGATTGCTTGAGCCCAGGAAGTGGAGGTTGCAGTAAGCCGTGATGGCACCACTGCACTCTAGCCTGGGCAACAGAGTGAGACCCTGTCACACACACACACACACACACACACACACACACACACACACACACACACAGACATTTCCAGAACACACAAACAAACACACACGCACACTCTTCCAAATCAGAAAGAAAGAAGGAAAATTGTCTCTATTTGAGGATAATATGATTTTATATATAGCAAACCCTGAAGACCCCACCGAAATATTGTTAGAACTAATAAGTGAATTCAATAAAGTTGCAGATACAAAATCAACACTAAAAAAAACTAGTTGCATTTCTATATACCAATGATAAATTTTCTGTAAAATTAAGTAAACAATTACTTAATTACTTATACAATTGCATAAAAAAAATTAGGAATACACTTAACCAAGGAGGTAAGTGTGTTTTTATTGGCTAAGGTAATTTTGAATAACTTTAAAATAGAATCTTTTCTAAACTTTGCTTTGAAAATGGAAAATATTTTGCAAACCTCACAATATTTAAAAATATATGGAAATTATTGTGTTATTTAAATGAGTCAAGACTTTATTTGACAAAAAGAATAAAACCATCATAGGAGACCTAAAGAAGACAACTGTACACCCTCTGGTTTATTGCTTCCATAAAGTCTAATGACTTTTCCTATTGAGAAGTAATATATATCAAATTTATATAGCCTTCTGTCATTATCAGTGATGGTGCACCAGGTGTTCACAGTTTATCACTGCCATAATGTTCCAATGATATATGTGAAAACATGCATTTTAAAAATTTGTCTACATAGGTTGAATTTTAAAATTCTAATTTTAAAGTCATATGTGTGTATGCATGTAATTTTTAAATTTATATGTGTGTATGCGTGTATGTGTCCATGTATGTGTGTTTCACTATTGTGCCAAGATATATATTTGTGTCTATTTTAGGGTCAGAAGACTATTTTAAGTATAGACAATGATTTGGTGCCATGTTGTGGTATCTTTTTTGTAATTATTTATAAGACTTCTAATACGTTCTTTTTTCAGTTTAATATCTATGAAACTGAATCAGGACTTAAATACTTGATAAACACAATGAAATATGTTTGTGTATTTTGATATTTTCCATCATTATCCTTATTTCATAAAGTTATTTCATAATTTCCAACAAATTTAGTAAACAGCATTTTAAAAAATTTCATTTAATTACTCTTCAGAACACTAGCAGAATGTCTGTGTTGTGTGTGTGTGTGTGTGACTGTGTGGTGTGTAGAGGTATAAATATACCTAGAGCAAATGAAATAAATCATAGACATAACAAAATAATTCAAGAGAATATGTGACTCAAAATTCAAGACTGAAACACAAGGACAGCTTCTTTTAAGTGACTAGAAATTTAAGTATAAATGGTAACAGCTATACGTTGGCAAAGCTCATAGAAAGACTTTACTCAATCAAATTTGGATCCAAAGGTTTCTGTGATTCAGGTTTGGATTGGAATAGATTCCTCACAGATGAAAAAAATGTAAAATAATAGTTATCCTTCACTGATTTTCACTCACTAGGCAACCAGTTCCTAAGTTATAATGTAACACCCTTTGCTATATCTCATTCTTTCCAGGTTACTTTTGTGGCACTATGCATCAGCCCTACTTTAATAATACTATTTTTACAGGAGCCAAAGAATAAATAAAAATTTCCCCAATATTCCCCAAGTAATGAGTGCCAGGAGTCATGACTTTTAAGCAGGTAAGACTTGGAAAATCAGAATAAACTTTTAGAAATACATTTAATTCAATTCTATAAATATTAATCATTCAAAATCTGGCCACAATCATAGGAATACAAAAGTAAAATCCCAGTTCTTTTTTCCCTAAAATGTCACAATGTAATAGATCTAACATTGCATATATTTCTAATGTGATGAAATGTTGATATATATTTTCTATCGTGCAAACTACAGCTCTAAAATTTTTCAAAGATAGTACATGTATTATGTTTTCTATAATACTTACACCATCATTATTGTTTTACCTTTTATATCTCATATTCTACTTTAATTATGGAATGGTATTATTACATATCCCTGATAAAAATATTAAAATGTGCTATGGGAAAATTAAGAAAAGACATATTAAACCTTGTTATGTAGTAGCAGGGACCTGGGAAAACTCCTTGGAAGAAGTAAGGTTCATCACTCAGAAGTCAACCTATTTAATACAGAGATAATGATTCAACTTTACTTCAGAGAATTTAAATCTGCAGCTACCCTCTCATGGTTTGAATGTAGTTGGTGACTATTTTTTAATAGAAGCAAGAACTAGCTGACACAACTCAAATTTTGTTTCTCTCACATATTGTTTGAAAATAGCTAGATTTATCTAATAAAACAAAAATCAGAGTATTATACTGAAAAAACTGCATTTCCAGCTTTCCATAAAATTGTGAGCATGTGGCCAAACCAAGCCCTCAATTTTATTAGCAACATTTGGCTAAGTCACATGTTTCCATTTGCCCACCTTGTCCACATCACGCATTTCACTCTCCTGACTGGGCAAATTAGTTATTTGCACTTTTACTCCTGCTTGAGAAATGTAAGAAGTGTTTCCCTCCCTCGTTCTACATGAAGTGACATATTCCTTTCTGGAAAGAGGAAATTGTTTTCCAGAAAAATAAACAGAAGTGAAAATAGCCTTATTCAAGCAAATTGGCAAAGAATAAATTTAACACACTTATTTGTAAATTCTAAATATTTAAGCTAAGAATCCCATAATAACTTGACCATAAATAGTTTAATGAGGGTAGCAGAGTTGGTTGTAAACCCTGAAAAATCTGCTTAGAGAGTGTGGAGGTAGAAGGAAAATAAAATATATGAAGTGTCTGTTAAAATCGCGTTAGGTGTAATCATCAAAGAGTTTAATATGATTGGCCTCAGTTTATATTCCCATAGTGGAAACAGGAAGCAAACTCAGAGTTACCCAACCTTAAAAGCCTCGGCACTCTATCTATTATTCTTTCTAGTCTACCAATTATTTTCAATGACTGGCATGCTGTTTATTACATGTAAGATACAGAAGAAAAAATAAGGCAGAGGTTTTAAAATCATCAGTAATTCATTATATCTTGACTCCCATAGTATGAAGGACATTGTCTCCATTTTTTTATGAATTACCTAATTTGAAAATTTTATTTGTAATTTCTATGAGTATATAGTAAGTTTATGTATTTATGGGGCACATGAAGTATTCTCACACAGGCAGACTGCATAATAATCACATCGAGTTAAGGGGGGTGTCCATCACTTCAAGTATTTATTATTTCTTTGCATTAAAAACATTCCAATTGTACTCTTTTAGTTATTTTTAAATGTACAATAAATTATCATTGACTGTAGTCACCTTGTTGTGTGATCAAATGCTAGATCTTACTCATTTTATCGAACTATAATTTTGTTCTCATTAACCATTTCCATTTCTCCCTCCCCTCCAAACTACCTGTCCCAGCACCTGGTTAGCTAGTATTCTACTCTCTATCTCCACAAGTTCCATTGTTTTAATTTTCAGCACCCACAGAAGAGTGAAAACATGCAAAGTTTGCCTTTCTGTACCTGGCTTATTTCACTTAATATAATGACCTCTAGTTTAATTCATGTTCTTGCAAATGTCAGAATCTCATTCTTTTTACGGTAGAATAGTACTCTATTGTGTATGTCTACCACATTTTCTTTACCAATTCCTTTGTTGAACACTTACCTTGCTTCCAAATTTTGGCTGTCTTGAATAGCGCTGCAATAAACATGGAAGTTCAGATACCTCTTCAACATACTGATTTCCTTTCTTTTGGGTATATACCTAAAACTGGGATTTCCGGATCATATGATAGTTCTATTTTTAGTTTTTTGAGGAATCTCTATACCGTTCTTCACAGTGGCTGTACTAATACACATTGCTACCAACAGTGTATGAGAGTTCCCTTTTCTCCACATCCTCAGCATTTGTTATTACCTATCTTTTGAATAAAACCCATTTTAACTGAGTAAGATGATATCTCATCGTAGTTTCGATTTGCATTTCTCTGATGATCAATCATGTTGAGCACCTTTTTGTATACCCATTTGCCATTTGTCTGTCTTCTTTTGAGAGATGTCTATGAAGATATTTTGCCCATTTTAAAATCAGATCATTTGATTTTTCCTATTGAGTTGTTTGAGCTCCTTATATGTTTTGAATATTAATCTCCTGTCAAATGAATAGTTTGCAAACATTTTCTCCCATTCTGTGGGTTGTTAATTCATATTGTTGATTGTTTCCTTTGCTGTGCATTAGGTTTCTAACTTAATACGATCCTGTTTTTCCATTTTTCTTTTGGTTGCCTGTGCTTATGCGGTATTACCCAAGAAACCTTTGCCCAGTCCAATGTCCTGGAGAGTTTCCCCAGTGTTTTCTTTTAGTAATTTCACAGTTTGAGGTCTTAGATTTAAGTCTGCAATGCATTTTGATTTGATCTTTTTATATGGTGAGAGATAGTGGTCTAGTTTCATTCTTCTGCATATGGATATCCAGTTTTCCCAGCACTATTTGTTGAAAAGATTGTCCTTTCCCCATTGTATGTTCTTAGCAACTTTGTCAAAAATGAATTCATTGTAGATGTAAGAACGTTTTTCTGGGTTTTTTCTGTTCCATTGGTCTATGTGTCTGTTTTTATACTAGTACCATGCTATTTTACTTATTATACGTCTGTAATATTCCTTGAAGTTAGGTAATGTGTTTCCTCCAGGCTTGTTCATTTTCCTCAGAATGGTTTTAGTTATTCTGAGTCTCCTGTGGTTCCATATAAATTTTAGAATTATTTTTTCTATTTCTGTGAAGAATGTCCTTGGTATTTTCGTAGGGATTGCATTGAAGCTGTAGATTGCTTTGAGTACTGTGGATATTTTAGCAGTATGGATTCTTCCAATCACAGAACATGCAATATTTTTCCATTTTTTTGTCTGTGTCATCTTCAAGTTCTTTCAGCAATGTTTTAGTTTTCATGATAGAGATCTTTTACTTCTTTGGTCAAAATTATTTCTGGGTACTTTTTATTTTGTTTGTAGCTATTGTAAATGAGATTACTTTCTTGATTTCTTTTTCAGGTTGTTCACTGTTGGCATATAGAACTGCTATTAATTTTTGCATATTGATTTTGTATCAGTATTTGTATCGGATTTGTTTATCAGTTCTAATAGTTTTTTTGTGTGTGTGGAGTCCTTAGGTTCTTCCAAATATAAGATCATACCATCTGCAAACATGAATAATTTGACTTCTTCCTTTCCAATTTGGATGTCCTGCATGTCTTTCTCTTGTCTGATCGCTCTTGCTAGGACTTCCCATATGATGTTGAATAATAGTGGTGAAAGTGGGAATCCTTGTCATCTTCCACGTCTTAAAGGAAAGACTTTTCATTTTTCCCTGTTCTGTATGATACTAGCTGTGGTTCTGCTCTGCACAGCTTTTATTGTGTTGAGATATGTCCCTTCTATAGCCCATTTTTTCAGGGTTTTTATCATGAAGGGATGTTGCATTTTATCAATTTTTTTTCAGCATCAATTGAAATGATCACATGTTTTTTGTCCTCCATTCTGTTGATTATGATGTACCATGTTGATTGATTTGTGTATGCCTAACCATTCTTGCATCCCTTTGATGAATTTCACTTGGTCATAATGGATGATACTTTACATGTGCTGTTGAATTCAGTTTGCTAATATTTTGTTGAGCATTTCTGCATCAAATTTCATCAGAGATATTGGCCTGTAGTTTCCTTTTTTTGATGTGTCTTTGTCTGGTTTTGCTATTAAGATAGTACTGGCCTTGTAGAATGAGTTTGAAAGTGTTCCCTCCTCCTCTGTTTTTTGGTATAATTTGAATAGGTCTGGTATTAGTCCTTCTTTAAATGTTTGATAAAAGTCAGCAGTGAAGCCATTAGGTCTGGGCATTTCTCTGCTGCAAGACATTTTAATCATAGCTTTGTTCTT
Source organism: Homo sapiens (assembly GCF_000001405.40). Taxonomy (NCBI): domain Eukaryota; kingdom Metazoa; phylum Chordata; class Mammalia; order Primates; family Hominidae; genus Homo; species Homo sapiens. The sequence continues at coordinate 126,392,880 of NC_000004.12, forward strand.
GTCTCTTGTTATTGGTCTATTCTGCTTTTGGATTCCTCCATAGTTGAGTCTCATTAGGTTTTATGTGTCTGGGAATTCATCAGTTTCTTCTAGGTTTTCCAATTTATTGGCATACAATTGTTGCTAGTAGTCTTTAATGATCCATTGAATTTCTTCAATGTCAGCTGTAATATCTCCTTTTTCATCTCTGATTTTATTCATTTGGATCCTCTTTTCTTGTATATTTTTAAAATTTTAACCAATCAGCCACATATACTGAATGGATCCTCTCTTTTTTTCATAGTCTGGCTAAAAGTTTGTCAATGTTGTTTATCTTCTTGAAAAAATGGCTTTTCATCTAATTGATGTTTTGCATTTTTTTATTTTCACTTCCACTTATTTCTGCTCTGATCTTCTTTATTTCTTTTCTTGTACTAATTTTGGGTTTTGTTTGCTCTTGCTTCACTAGTTATTTAAGATGTATCATTAGGCTGTTTGTTTAAAGTTTTTATACTTTTTTTGATGCAGGTTATTATTGCTATAAACTTTCTTCTCAGTACTGCTTTTGCTGTATTCCAAAAGTTTTGGTATATTTACATTTTCATTTGTTTCAATACATTTTTTAAATTTCCTTCTCAATTTATGGACCTGCTGGATTTCATTCTTCATTCTCCTCATATAATGTTTCACATTGATACGTTAATTCATAGCTACTTGTGGCAATAGCAAGCAGTTTCAAGAGATGAATACATAGCTCAAAGCCAGGTGAGTAGGACATGAGTGCAGTCTCATTTTAATGCTTCTCTGGGCCTGACAATAAAAAGGGTTTGCATTCCTCAGATGACAGTGCTTTTCTTTTCTCCTTAGAGAAGAGCAGCATATTGCTTAAATTCAGGATCATATTATTTAATTTTCACTTGTTTGTATAGTTTCCAAAATTGCTCTTGATTGATTTTTAGTTTTACTCCTTCTGGTTAGAAAAGATGCTTGCCATGATTTTCAATTATTTTTCAATCTTTTAAGACTTGTTTTGTGAAATAACATAAAATCCACTACTTGAGAATGATCCATGTGTTGAGGAGAAGAATGTGTATTCTGTAGCCTTTGGATGAAATGTTCTGTGAGTATCTATTAGGTCCATTTGGTCTAGAGTACAGATTAAGTCTGATGTTTCTTTGCTAATTTTCTGTCTGGTGAATCTGTACAATGCTGAAAGTAGGGAGCTGATGTTTCTAGCCACTATTCTATTAGAATCCATCTCTCTCTTTAATAATATTTGCTTTATATATCTTGGTGATCCAGTGTTAGGTGTATATATTTTTTAAATTATCACATTATCTTGCTGTATTGACCCTTTATCATTAAAGAATAACCTTCTTTTTGTCTCTTTTTATGCTTTTTGTCTTAAAATCTATTATATCTGATATTATATCTACTCCTGCTTTTTTTGTTTCCATTTGCATCTAATATCTTTCCCTATGTCTTTACTTTAGTGTTTTTGTATCTTTATTGGTGAAGTGTGTTTCCTGTAGGCAGTAGATAGTTGGAGTTTGCTTTTTTATATGTTCAGCCACTCTAAATCTTTTGATTAGAGAATTTTATTATTGATAAGGAAGGATTTACTATAACCATTTTGTTGTTGTTGTTGTTTTTCAGTTGTTTTTTGGCCTTCTTTTCCTTCCTTCTTTCCTTCATTCCTTTCTCTCTTCCTTTGTGTGAAAGTGATTTTCTCTGGTAGTGTGTTTTAATTTCTTGTTTTTTATCTTTTGTGTTTCTACTGTAGGTTTTTTTGATTTGAGGTTACCATGAGGCTTGCAAATAAAATCTTATAACCCATTATTTTAAATTAATGACAACTTAAATGTACTAATCTAGGATATAACTTTTCTTTTTTCCTTCAGCACTTTAAATATGTCATGCCACTTTCTCCTGCCCTGTAAAGTGTCCACTAAGAAGTCTGCACCAGATGTACTGGAGCTCTATTGTATGTTACTTGATTCTTTTCTCTTTCTGCTTTTGGGATCCTTTCTTTATCTTTGACCTTTGAGAGTCTGATTATTTAATGTCTTAAGGTAGTCTTATTTGGGTTAAATCTACTTGTTCATTACTCTTGTACTTGAATATTGCTATCTTTCTGGGTTTGTAAAGTTCTTTGTTATTATCTCTTTGAATAACTTTCTACCCAAATCTCTTTCTCTACCTCCTCTTTAAGGTCAATAATTCTTAGATTGGTCTTTTTGAGGCTATTTTCTACTTCTTTTATTGTTTTTTCTTTTGTGTTCCCTGTGTATTTTCAAATAGCTCACTGATTATTTCTTCTGTTTGATTAATTCTGCTAATGAGAGACTCTAACGCATTTTTATTTTTTCAATTGAATGTTTTAGCTCCAGAATTTCTGCTTGATTTTTAAAATATATTTCAATCTCTTTATTTAATTTATCTGATAAGGTTCTACATTCCTTCTCTATATTATCTTGAATTTAATTGAGTTTCTTCAAAACAGCTATTTTGAATTCTCTATCTGAAAGCTGGCATATCTCTGTCATTCTGAGATTGGTTACTGGTTCCTTATTTAGTTTGTTTGGTGAGGTCATGTTTTCCTAGAAAGTCCTGATGCTTGTGGATGTTCATCAATGTCTGGGCATTTAAGAGTTAAATATTTATTCTATTCTTTGCAGTCTGGGCTTTCTTGTACCTGTCCTTCTTGAGAAGGCTTTCTAAGTATTCAAAGAGAATTGAATGTTGTAATCTAAGTCTGGTCACTGCAGCCATATCTGCATTGGGAACAGCATAAACTCAGTAATGGTGTTACTCTTACAGACTTGTAGAGATGTCTTGGTGATCTTTGGTAAGATCCAAGAGACTTCCCTGGATTACCAGGTAAGATCTCTTGTTTCCTTCCTTTACTTTCCTCCAAACAAATAGTCTTTCTCTCTCTCTCTCTCTCACTGCTGAGCTGCTTGGAGTTGGAGACAGGATGATGCAAGTGTTCCCATGGCCACCGCCATTGGAATTGTGTTGAGTCACACCTGCAGCCAGCATAGTACTGGATCTCACCCGCAGCCAACACAGTACAGGATCTCACCCAAGGCCTGTAGCAACTGTTGCCCAGCTAGCACTGATATTTATTCAAAGGTTAAGGGCTCTTAAGTTAGCATATGGTGAATTCTGCCAGGCTTATGTTTTTTCCTTCAGGACAGTAGATTCCCTTCTGGCCAGGTGGGGTCTAGAAATGCCATCCAGAAGCTAGGGCCTGGAGTTGGGAACTTTAGTAACCTACTTGGTGCTTTATTTTACCGTGGCTGAGCTGGTATGCAAGTTGCATGATAAAGTCATTTTTACTCTTCCTTCTCCTTTCCTCAAGTGGAAGGAGTCTCTCCCTGTGCCCACTACAGCTAGGAATGCTCTGGGTCACACCTGAAGGCAGCAAAGCACTGGGTCTTTCCTGAAATCCATAGTGACTACTGCCTGTCTGGCTACCACTGATGTTTATTCAATGCCCAAGGGCTAGTTAGCAGGTAATAAATTCTGCTAGGACTGGGTCCCTCCCTTCAGGGCACTGGGTTTCCTTCTCACCTAGAATGTGTCTAGAAATGTCAACCAGGAGCTATGGCCTAGAATAACGGCTTCTTGACTCTATTTCATGCTTTATTTTACTACGGCTGAACTGGTCTCCAAGTTGCAAGACAAAGTTCTCTTTATTCTTCCTTCTCCTTTCCTTAAGTAGAAAGAGTTTCTCCCAGAGCTGCAAGCTGTGCTGACTGGTATTGGAGGAGAGGTGACACAAGCACTCCCTTGGCCACCCCAGCTTGTGTCTCACTAGGTTGCAAGCACCCCAAGTCCACTTGCTCCAAGCACAGCATGGCACCAAGACTTGCCCTGGAATTGCCATCCTTGTGGCCTAGACTGCCACTCAAATTTATTTAGGACCCCAGAGAACTCTAGCCTATAGCAGTGGGGCTAACCAGAACTCAGGTTCTGACTGCCGGGACAGATGATTCCCCTCTGGCTGGGGCTGATATAAGTGCTCCCTCTGTTGGTGGCAGCAAAATTCTGCCCTGTTTGCTTTCCACTGTGACAGAGCAGCACTGAGTGCCAATCTGGAGTCCCATATTCATTGCACTATCCCTCCCCCAAACACACATGGTATTGCCAGGGGATAGAGGAGGGGTGATGTAGGCAATTCAAGACTGTGTTTTACATCCTCTTCAGTACCTCTTTCCTTAAAATGATATTAAAACCAGGTACTGTGATCACTCACTTGATTTTTGGTTCTTATAAAGATGACTTTTTGTGTGGATAGTTGTTCAATTTGCTGTTCCGTTTGGGTAACGATCACTGGAGGGTTTTATTCAGCCATCTTGCTCTGCCTCCTTAGATCTGGATTACCTATTTTTGATTTTTTATGCTTCCATTAGCCATGGACATTTCATTTTTTTCCTAAATTTAATTCTCCTATCACCAAAACGCTGTTGTTGTTTGCTTTTAGCATAACTTCCTGCCAAATCTATCTTCCAGGTATTATACACTAGACTTTTCTCCCTGATTTTTTCTACACTGGCTAGCCAACAATTAATTTCCTACCAAAGCTGTAATTTGTATCAGTACCCAAGAACTTGCCTAAACATTTTCTATAGTATTATAATCTATTTATTCCCAAGTTCATAACCATATTTTAAAATGTATTTTATTTTTTCAATATATCATAGCTCTTATAATTTCCAAAAATGTATCTAGTATCCAACTAAAACATGTCAATTAGAAAGAAATTTGTGAATTATCAAGATACTACTCATTAATGCAAGAAAACTCAAAGCCCTAAGCCACATTTTTCTGTTACTTTTAAAAGAGAGGAGTTTGAATTAATTTAGATTTAGGTTTGTACAACACATATTCTGCTTTAAAGTTACTGTTGTCTTTTATTTCCTTAGTAAACATACTTAAATTTAAATGTTTCAAAAAATATTAACTTGTGTTCCTCAAATATAGGGGTTTTGGCCAAAAAGTAAAACATAAAATAGTTCTGCCAACTATTTCTTATTCTAAATCCAAAATGATGTAGCAGATATTGTCATTTTCTTCTTTAATTTAAATGAAATGAAATAAGATTTTTATCACATATGTATGTATTAATTTTTCTTTCCTACCCCTTCTAAAGTCTACCTAAACACATTACTGAGTGAACTTGACTCATTTTTACCATATTTTAAATATAATTCCAATGGATTCATTCAGCATAGTTAAGGGGATTCAATAAAATAAATATTTGATTAAAACAAAATACCAGACCACCTCCATAATGCTTTCTGACAATCCAAGTTTTAAAAAATATCTCATAAATGAGTGTTCTTATATAGTAGAATTATCCTTTTATCCTTTCACTTTCTGAAGTTACAGCATTGTATCACTTGTGTTTAAAGCCACAAAAGAGTAGGTTTGGATATTGAAACATGATATGCAGTGTATCTGGTTTCTAAGAGAGGTCGATATATTAAATATGCACTGGAAAAAAGAAGTGTACAAGCTGGGTTTTCCTAGTAAGATTAAGGAGAAATATACCTAGTGTGTATTTGCTAGCCTTATTACATTTTGGAGTTTTTATTTCCTCCATTATTCGATGATCCCAGATAGGTATCTAAACATAAGGAAGGCAGACTGTTTTCACAGCTGCTCTTACAAAGTTATACCTATGTACTGTAGACCACACAGGAGGAGCACAGTTGCTCAACTATTAAAGTATCACCAAAAGACGGTTTACTTAAATTGATCTAATTGCAGCACTATGGGATAACTTCTGTGTACATGTGTACATCAATAGTGTCTATATCAGTAAATGGAATTTATTTTGAAGAATTGTGTTTCAGAATCACATGAAAGAAATAGTACATAGTAACATTATAAAATAATTAAAATCTCATGGCCCAGGAAATAAAGAGGTGATGTATTTTACCAATCGTAACTGATAATATGCCCATGCCATCTTAAACATGTTTGAATATAAGAAAGAAATAAGTACAAGTCAGCACTGTCATAAAAAAATATTATGTTCTGCTTGCCAAAGTAATTTCTCAGTACACTCAAGTAAATCCTACAATTTTCTAGGTATTATTTAGCTGAGATTATCACATTTTATATCTATATCTATCTATATGTATATCTATCTATATTATATATATGAAGCACAGACACACACACACTTCCCTTATAACCAAAACCTGTCATTTATCAATAGAAAAAAGTGAGATAGAAGAAATAAAAAGCAACATAAGTATTGAACCTAATACTCTCATACAACAATCATCTCTTAAGTCAATGTCCACCCCTGTGATCAATGATGTCTTCAAATCATATATAGCCTTTGAACCAGCATCCCCCATCTTCAGGAAAAGAAGATATCTAAAGGTTCAATGTATCATGTTCTATCATTTTTTTAAGCTTTTAAGTTGAGAATATGAAAATGAAGATTTGATATTTCCATATGTTGCTTGCTTTCTTGAAGTCTCTCTTTAAAATGGCTTTCAAGAAAAAAAGAGGTTAATTGATTAGTAGCTCTGAAATATAAAAACATAAAAATTAACACTTTCTCCTCTAACAATTTTATTGAGTGTTAAGACTGATTTACAGATTTACTTAATTTCACATATAATTGAGGCCAAACCACTAAAAAGAAAAATATCAAGTCAGTTATTAATGCCAGATTGCTTCCAATAATCCTCAAAGATGATTTGGACTAGAAATATGCAGCCAGACCCTGTTGCTTTTTAATTAAGTGCCACATTAAAGCTCCTAGATCCCAGTCAACTATAATAATAATAACATTTCTTCCAGAATCTAACTTCCTTTTATGGATCTATTTCTTCCTACATGCAGTTTATTTTTAAACTATGTACTTTTAAGATGTCTGATACTAATGATGTTTATTTTTAATAAAATAATAATGATTATATGTTATATTTTTACCCTTTTTAAAGCATTTTAAATATACTAATGTTTAATTTGCAGAGCTAAACTATGAAATCAATGAAATTAAAGATATATATTTAAAGATGAGAAAATGGATTCACAGTGAGCTTAGGTTCCTTTTCAAAATCATGTGGCTGGTAAACTGGCAGAGTAATAACCTCAACCCAAGTAGACTGGCCTCTGAGCCTCTCCTCATAAACAAAATGTTAATACTTCCTCTCTGCTTAGTGTCCATTCTTCCTTTTAAAACCCTAACTGAAGATAATGCTAACTGTGGTCTACAAAGTAAAGCTGTTTGATCCATCTATATTTACCCTAAACATCAAAAGGATTCTGAGTGGGCATAGATTTTTATGAAAAATAAAATGTTCTGCTTTATGTCTCAAAATAAATATAAAAGATTAGGCCAACCAAAGGTTTGGAACAACATGCTAAGTATTTGAATCTAGAGGATTTTTGCAAATATATTTTTAGGCAAAACAAAAAATGATAAATATGGAATAGAGAAAAATAATAGGTAAAAAGATAAATATTCCCCTAAAACAGGTTTATGAGACACTATTAATATCTTTCAGATGTGAAAACTAAGTAGTGATAATATTTAAGATGGTCCATGTAGTGAACATGACATTTTATAGTTTTTTAACTTCATTCACATACTGTCAGTTGAGCCTCATAGTTGCATATTGTGGGAGAATCAGGATAAGCTTTCTTACATAGGTAAGAAAATAAATATAGAAAGTGTTATTTGTCAATGGTCTGATAGTTACTTGGTAATATATTTTACATATTTTATCATGATTCTTTTTCAAATAAAAGTGCTTAAAAATAGAATCCCATGCACTTTCAGAAAATGTGTGAATTACTAAACACAAATTGGGAAAAAATAAATAGTAGAGCTTCAGTCATAAACATCATTCATTTCAGTTTTAATTCTAACAAAAATTTTTGAATGCTTGTACTTCAGAAATACGCAATATTTTCCTAGCTTTCATCAATATTTAATTTTAATTTTATCTCTAGCATCACCTTTCATCTTTGTCTAACATAGTCATTCTAACTAAACTCAACTTTATACAAAGACTCCCATCTTTAGAGTTGAAAGCATCAGAATATTGGTTGGCCTGAATGAAAACATCTGCATGCTTGAATTTTTCACTTTCTTCTTGGATGTTTTAATGTCATATAGACAGAATTGTATTCCAAGGACATGGCAATATTTTTTATTTTAAATAATTGAATTTTTGGAGGTCAATTATTCAATTCTTGAGAAATCATTTTTTAGTTCTTTTTTTTCCTTTTTGGCTAAATTCAAGGGAAGTTTATATTTTCATTATGTTAAGGCTGACTTTAATTGCAAAAACTATTTTTCATTTATTTTAGATATGTCAAGATTACTCGTGGGTGTTATGCAAATGAAAGTTTGCAAAGTTAGCACTTTAGTTTTTGAGTTATTGAGATAAAATGTACCTACAAAGAAAAGCAGAAATTGCAAATGTATATTCTGGTAAACTTTGACAAATATATATACTCAAGTAACTGTTTAAGATAGATAACATTTCTATCACACCAGGAAATTCCCTTTCCTTTTTTTCAACCTCTTTTATCTATAATCAACTCAGTTTTATCACTATTGATTTCTAACATCATGATTCTTGAATTTATAATTGATCCCTTTAAAATTAATATTTGTGTGTAGTATGAAGTAGGAGTAGAGTAGTATTTTTCCTCATGAATTTTTTGTTTGTTTTTAAAGGACCATGTGTTAAAAAGACTTTTCTTTCTCTTCTGAATTGACCTGGTGCCTAAGCCAAAAATGTTTACATTTATAAAATCCCTATTCATTTTATTGATGTATTTGTCTACTATTATGTCAAAAATATACTCTCTTCATGACTATAGCTTTATAATAACTCCTGAAATCAGGCAATATAATTCCTCCAACATTGATACTGTATTTTATGAATATTTGAATGATTACTGGTACTATACATTGGCACATATATTGTAGAATATGCTTGAGAATACTGAAAAACCTGTTGAATAGCTTCAGAGTTTTAGTTTTCAAAATGAGAAGAGTTCTGTAGATGAATGATGGTGATGGTTGCACAAAAATATAAATATATTTAATGCTATTGAACAGTACACTTGAAAAATGGCACATTTTAAGTTTTATGCATTTTACCACGCTTTGAAATATTGCTAAACGAATGAATGATGGCTAAACAAAATGTAGGCCATCCATTCAATGGAATATTTTCCACCATAAAAAGGAATGAAGTGCTGATATATGCTACAACATTCATAAACCTTCACAAAAATTATGCTAAGTGAAAGAAATCAGACACAAAAGGACACATAGTGCACATAGTGCATAATTCCATTTATATAAAATGTTCAGAATAGGCAACTCTATAGAGACAAAGTAGATTTGTGATTGCCAGAGACTGGGAGAAGAAAGGATCTGGGAGTGACTACTAACAGGTACAGGATGTTTTTGAGGGGTTTTGAAAATGTTTTGGAATTGTATGGTGGTGATGGTTGCACCACCTTGTGAATATATGAAAAAACACTGAATTATACACTTTAGAATTGGGAGTTTTTATGTTATGTAGAATTTTTTGTTATATGATTTAGTTTTCATTTATAAAATGAATAAATGAAAGAAAAAAATTTAATTTGGATTGATTTGAATCTTTCCATCAATATGAAAATAATGAATAATGAATGTTTCATTCATTTTTAGTGTACAAGTTTTACACATACCTTGTAAATCATACCTAAGAATTTTATGTTTTTGATGTACTTTAAAAGTGGCATTTCAAAAATTGTTTGCATTTTTTTCTAGAATACAAAAATAAAATTGATTATTGTTTATTTACCTTTTATCCTATGAGCTTGCTAAGTTTACTTACTAATTAATTATAGTATATTCGGTGAACAAGGGAGAGTGAAAAATTCCCTAGAATTTTGCAACAGTGCATAGTCTGTATATAGAAAGATGCTAACTTTTCAATCTTTATGTCGTTATTTTACTTCTTATTAACTAGGATACAACTTTGAATACAATGTTTAATAGAATGGCAAGAGCAGACATTCTTCAGAGAAAGAATTCAATATTTCACCCTTATTATAATGTTGCTATTGATATTTCATAGATATAATTTGACATTAATTAAATGACCTACTATTTCCAGTTTCCTGAGAGTGTTTAGAAAAAAGTGTGTGTTGAATGTTGTCAAATGTGTTGTCTTCATCTATTGAGATGATATTATTTTTTCTCATTTATGTGTACATTTATATTAATTTATTTTCAAAAAAAAAATCCAGCCCTGCATTCTTGAGATAAACTCAGACTGGTTTTGATGAAAACACTAACATTTTATTAAGGCTATTTGTTTTCATATTTACAAAGAATGTTAATTTGTCATTTTTTATGACATTATCTAAATTCATGTTTATCATTTTATCTCTTGGTCATATAAACATGTGTCTGCATATGTTTTTATATAGAAATGTGCATGTATTTGGTTTTGTTTTGTTGTTTTGTTTTTTTGTTGTTGGATTGTCAGTTTCAGTGAGTTCATTAGTTTGATTTTATAGTGGGAACTGGAGCAGTTCTTTTCTTAACACATGAATGAGTCTTTAACAGTCACAGAACTAGAGTCTGGTAAAACACAAGCCATCTATGAGGCTGCCTCCTTCCTTTCCAAATTTATTGCAAAAGATTATGGTGTGGAACCCTAGACAAAGAAGCAAATTCTTGTCTGGTTTGAATCTTGTCAACAGTGGAGAAAGAAAGTGTGAATTAATCAAGCCAACAACAGCTTACACAACCCCAGATATCTTTGAAACAACCCTTATTCATTGCTGTCAGAAGAGGAACAACTGCTCTGCCTGCAGGTCTTAGCAGGTGCATCAGTAATGACCTGAATCAGAATGTGTCTCTTGTGATGTTTGGGATTGCTCAAAAAATAGCCCCCAACCTCCCCTGGCTCTTTTCAGGGAAAGAGGGCATTTGGGGATGTGGAATCTGGTCCCAAAGATAGCATTCAAGAATTTAGGTCTTTTGTGAGGCTGGACAGAGAGGGATGTGGCCTGATAGCTGTGGTTTCTTCCACAGAGAGTCTCACAGTCTGGAACAACTGGAAGGCCTCATGATGTGGGCATAGATGGCTTGGGACTAGCCTAACTGGTTGGACCCACTGCTGGGGACCAGATGCTGAAAGGAGACCTGCTAGGTCAGGATAGTGGGAGCTGGTTTGGCCCCATGGCAAACTGCTGGGCTAAAAACCCCAGCCACCTTTCTTCACCTGAGTTAACTCTGTGGTGCAGCAGAGGTGCCTCCACTCCACCCTGGTGGGTAGTTGCAGTTGCCTGAGAGCTGCCCCTAGATCCCAACAAAGGCCAATGTTTGACCCGCCATGGAGAGCCTGGTTGCCAGCTTGCCTGGTCCGGCCTGAACCAGCTTTCCCTCCTCCAGCTGGCTTGGCAGGAGATCACAGGATAGGACCCTGAGAACCCCATGCCCTGCACATCATCAGGGATGCACCAGTACTTCCTTCATCAACAAAGGCCAAGTAATGCAACCAGGGCCAGCTTGGCGATATGAAGCTAATCTGCTTGTGCCATTGCTGAGTGCCCCAGCCTATATCCCTGAGATTATGGTGCAGCAGGGCTTTCTCTGCTCTACCCGAGGCTGAAATCCAGGCATTTGGAGTACGCTCTTGCCTGGACCAGCATCCTGTGATGCCCTATCCTTCATAAATACACATTGTGGTACAGAGGGACCCTTTCCACTCCATGTCCAAGCAGATCTCCAGGCATTTAGAGTGTCCACTCATCTAGTTCAGCAGTCTGAGTAACCCCACTCTTCCTGTGCAGGGATCCTGATGCAGGGGGGGACTTTTCTGCTACATGCCCAGGCAGATCTCCAAGCATTCAGAGCACCAGTTTGCCTGGTCCAGCAGCCTGAGTCACCCTACTCCTTCTGTACAGAAATCTCAGTTCAGGGGGCCATCTCAGCTCCATGCTTAGGCATATATCCAGGCATCAGAAACACCCACAGACATGGAGCAGCGGCCTGACCTGCTCCATACTTCCTAAGCAGAGATCCTGCTGCAGAGAGGCCCTCTTTGCTTGCTGCCCAGGTAGATTACCAGGCATTAGGATCATCCACTCATCAGGTTCAGAAGCCTGAGCTGCCTCATCATTCCTGGACATAGATCATGGTGCAGAGAGGCCTTCACTCCATTCTCAAGTAGATCTCCAGGCATTTGGAGCACCAACTCACACGGATCAGTAGCCTGAATTGCCTGACCCTTTCTGTGCAGAGATCTTGCTGCAGGGTGGCCATCCCCACTCCATGCCCAGAGAGATCTGCAGGCAAATGGACCACCCACTCCCTTGGATTAAGGGTTTAGGCTGCTCCTCATCCCTGTGCAGAGAACATGGGGCAAAGGAGGCTTCACACCTCCACACATGGGCACATTACTGGGCACTCAGCAGTGGCCCACTGGATTCTCTCCAAGTAATGCTGATTGTTTCAGCCATTGGGGCCATGTAGGTGGACCTGCGTAGTCTGGCCCCACCCTTTATGATGTCCCCCCACCCACATGGGGTTCAGCAGAGAACTCAGACCACTGGGCACCCCATTAAGCAGCCCATTGCTTTAGGCAACAGAGAACTTCTGCCAGTAAGCAAGGATCAAGTATATACCCAGCATATTGGCAACAGAGGGCTCTTACCCATAAGTGCCATCTACTGGCTTGTAGGTCAAACTGCACAGCCCAATATAAAACTTGCCAAAAGAAATGCCTAGGGCTATAGAAGCAAAGACAAAAGACCCTAACCAGCGTTCTCTACAATCACTTCCCCAAGGAGTAGGGGAAGGGAAAGGGAAATAATAATAATAATAAGTATGAAAGAAAAAGAAAAAATCATAACCTCATGGAAATAATTACAATAATTAGAAATGCCAGCATCTCCAGATAAGAAGGAACCAGCACAAGAATTCTGGCACCATGAAAAATCTTAATATAGTGACACTACCAAAAAATTGCACTACCTCCTTAGCAGTGATCTTTAACCAAATTGGTAACTCAGAAATGAGAGATGGATAACTCAAAGCATGGATTGCAAGGAACCTCAATGATATCCAAGACAAAGTTAATAATCAAAACAAATAAACTTCTAAAGCAATCCAGGAAATGATGGAAGAGATAAACATGAAAATTAATCAATCAGAGCTTCAGGAATAAAAAACTTACTCAAGAAATTTCCAAATACAATTAAAGCTTTATCAATAGACTGGACCAAGCAGAAGAAAGAATTACAGAGCTTGAAGTCCAGCCTTTCCAAATAAACCATTCAGACAAAAATAAAGAAAAAGAAATTTTTGAAAAATCAAGTCTTCAAGAAATATAGGATTATGTAAAGCCATTAAACTTATGAATTATTGGCATTACTGAGAGAGAATAAGAAAAGTAAACAACCTGGAAAACACATTTGAGGGTATAATTCAAGAAAATTTACTGAATTTTGCTAGAGATGTAGACATCAAGATACAAGAAATCTAGAGAACAACTGCAAGGTATTATTTAAAAAACTAACATCACCAAAGCATGTAGTCACCAGATTATGCAAGCTCAATGCTAAAGAAAAAAATCTTAAAGACAGCTAAAGGAAAAGGTTAGATAACATTCAAAGGGAACCCCATCAGGCTAACAGAAGACTTCTCAACGGAAACCTTACAATCTCCAGAGGAGACTGAGGGCCTATTTTTAGCATTCTTAAAGAACATAAATTTCAGCCAAGTATTTATTACCCCACCAAACTAAGCTTTGTAAGCAAAGGAGACATATAAACTTTTCCTGATATGCAAGCACTAAGGGAATTTATTACCACTAGACCGGCCTTAAAAGAGATCCTTAAGGGAGCTCTAAACATGGGGGGAAAAGGACAACACCTGCTAAAACAAAAAACACACTTAATGTGCATATCCTGCAGATCCTATAAAGCAACCAGACAATAGAAACCACAAAGCAATGAGCAAATAACTTCATGATAGAATCAAAACCTCGTATGTAAATATTAACCTTGAATGGAAGTAGTCTAAATACTCCACTTAAAAGGTAAAGAATAAGAAGATGGATTAAAAAATAAAACCCATCTTTCTGCTGTCATCAAAAGACCCATCTCACACATAATGACACCCATAGACTCAAAGTGAAGGAAAGGGATCTATCATGCATGAAACAAAGAAGAGCAGGGGTTACTATTCTTATATCAGATAAAACAACTTTAAAGCAACAATAGTAAAGAAAAAGGGCAAAGAAAGGCAATGCATAATGATGAAGGGTTAAATTCAACAAGAAGACTTAACTCTCCTAAATGTATATATATAGCCAACGTCAGAGCACCCAAGTTAATTAAACAAAGTATTTCTAGGCCTACAAAAAGACTTAGACAGCCACAAAATACTAGTGGGGAACTTCAACATCTCATTCATAGATGCATGAGACAGATCATTGAGGGAGAAATCTACAAAGAAATTCTGGACTTTCAACCTGACACTTGACCCACTGGACCTAATAGACATCTACAGAATACTCTCCCCATCAACTTCAGAATTTACATTCTTGTCATCTGCTCATGGAACATACTGCAAGATCAATCACATGTTCAGCCATAAAGCAAGTCTAAATAAATTAAAAAGCAAAATTATACCAACCATATTTTTGAACGACAGTAGAATAAAAATAGAAATCATTACCAAAAATATCTCTCAATTCACACAATTACATTGGAAATCACATAACTTGCTCCTGAATGACTTTTGGGTAAACAACAAAATTAAGACAGAAATTAAAAAAAAGTTCTTTGAAATAAGTGAAAACAGAGACACAACTTACCAAAATCTTTGGGATGCACCAAAAGCAGTGTCAAAAGGAAATTTTATAGCGCTAAATGCCTATGTTAAGAAGACAAAAATATCGCAACTTAATTATCTAACTTCATGCCTAGAGAAACTAGTAAAACAAGAACACCACCCAAAAGCTAGCAGAAAATAAATAACTAAAATGAGAGTGGAACTGAAGAAAATTGAGATCCTCAAATCCATACAAAAGATCAATAAAACCAAAAGTTAGTTTTTTGAAATGATAAAAAAGATTGATAGACTGATAGCTAGATTAACAAAGAAACAGAAAGAGAAGATCCAAATAAACACACCAGACATGACAAAGATGACATTACAACAAATCCAACAGAAATACAAAAGATACTCAGAGAATATTATGAACACCTCTACACACAAATGAGAAAAATCTAGAGAAAATGGATAAATTCCTGGAAACACACAAGTTCCCAAGATTGAATCAGGAATAAGTTGAAACACTGAACAAACAAATGTCGAGTTTTGATATTGCATCAATAATTAAAAACCTATGAACCAAAGACAAAAATAAAATAAAAATTATACAGCAGCTAGATTCATAGCCAAATTCTACCAGACATGCAAGGAGCTCGTCCACTTCTACTAAAACTATTCCAAAAAATCAAGGAGGAGGTACTCCTTCTTAACTTATTCTACAAAGCCAGCATTATTTCCTGATTTCAAAGCCCAGCAAAAACACAATGAAAAAAGAAAACTATAAACAAATGTCACTCAGGCACATAGATGTAAAAATCCTCAACAAAATACTAGCAAACTGAATTCAATAGCATACAAAAAAATTAATTCCCCATAACTCAAGTAGGCTATATTCTTGGGATGTAAGGTTAGTTCAACACATGCAAATCAATAAATGTGATTCACCACATAAAGAGTTAAAAACAAAACTCCTCAAAATATAGCAGTCATCTATGACAAACACACAACCAACAACTTACTGAATTTGCAAAACTGGAACCATCCTCCTTAAGAATTGGAACAAGACGAGGTTGCCCACTCTTACCACTTCTATTTATCATAGTATTGAAAGTACTAGCCAGCCAATAAGAGAAGAGAAAGAAATAAGAGACACCCAAATACATAAAGAAAAAAGCAAATTCTTTCACTTCATGGACAATATAATCCTGTACCTAAAAAACCCAAAAGATTTCTGGGACTGATAAACTACTTCAGTAAAGTTTCAAAATACCAAATAAACATACAAAAATCAGTAACATTTCTATACATCAATATGTTTAAGCTGAGAACCAAATCAAGAAGGCAATCCCATTTACAACAGCCAAAAAATAAAATAATGTAGTATACCTAGGAATTCAGTTAACCAAGGAGGTAAAAGATCTCCATAAGAAGAACTGCAAAACACTTCTAAAAGAAATCACAGTTGATACAAACAAACGGAAAAACATTTTATGCTCATGGATTGGAATAATGAGTATCATTAAAATGGCCATACTGCCCAACAAAATCTACAGATTCAGTGCTATTTCTATCAAGCTACCAATGCCACTTTTTACAGAACTAGAAAAAACTACTCTAAAATTCATACTGAACAAAAATATGCCATAATAAAAAATTGTTTGAAATGAATGAAAACAGAGACACAACATATCAAAACCACTGCTATACCACAAAAGAAATGTGAAAAGGAAAGCTTATAGTGTTTATAGTGTTAAAGGCGTATATCAAAAAGAAATAAGGATCTCCAATTAACAACCTAACTTCACACCTCAAGGAAATAGAAAAACAAGAATAAAACACACCCAAAGCTAGCAGAAGAAAAGAAATAACAAAGATCAGAGCAAAACTCAATAAAATTGAGACATAATTACAATAGACCAATAAAAGGAAAAGTTGGGTCTTTCAAAAGATAAACAAAATTGATAGACTGCTACATAGATTAACCAATAAAAAGGAGAGAAGATTCAAATAAGCACAATGGCAAAGGTGACATTGCAACTGATACCATTGAAATACAAAAGATCATCAGAGATTAATATGAACATTTATATGTACACAAACTAGAAACTCTAGAGGAAATGGATAAATTCCTGGAAACATACAACCTTCCAAGACTGAACCAGTAAGAAATAGAAATCCTGAACCTATTAATAATGAATAATGAATTTGAATAAGTAATAAAAATAACTTCCAACACACACACACACACACACACGCCAGGACCAGATGGATTCACAGCGAAATTTTTCCAGATGTAAAAAGATGAGCTGGTTTCAATCTTACTGAAACTATTCCAAATAATCACGGAGGAGGGATTGGTGCCTAGTTCATTCTACAAAACGAGTATCACCCTGATATGAAAATCAGGCAATGACAAAAAAAAAAAAAAAAAGGAAGCTACAGCCCAATATTCCTAATGATCATAGATGCAAAACTTTTCAGCAAGAAACTAGCAAAGTGTGGCCGGGCAGGGTGGCTCACACCTGTAATCCCAGCACTTTGGAAACCAAGACAGGAGGATCGCTTGAGCCCAGGAGTTCGAGACCAGCTGTTCAACATGGCGAAACCCCATCTCTACAAAAAATACAAAAATTAGATGAGCATGGTGGTGCATGTCTGTAGTCCCAGCTACTAGAGAGGCTGAGGTGGGAGGATCGCTTAAGCTTAGGAGTCAGAGTTTGCAGTGAGTCGAGATTGTGCCACTGCACTCCAGTCTGTCTCAAATAAAAATTTTTAAAATAAAATAAAATCGAAAAGAAAAAAGAAACTAGCAAAATGAATCCAATAGCACATCAAAAAGATAACTCATCATGATCAAGTGGATTTCATTCCAGGGATGCAAGGTTGTTTCAACATATACAAGTCAACAAATGTGATTCACCACATAAATAGAATTAAATACAAAAACCACATGATCATCCCATTAGGGGCAGAAAAAACATTTGATACAATCCAACATCCTTTCTTGATAAAAAGAAAACCTTCAACAAACTAAGCATTGAAAGAGTGTACCTCAAAACAATAAGAGCTATATATGGCAAACCACATTCAACATCATAATGAATGGGGAAAAGTTGAGAGCATTCCCCCTAAAAAATGGAACTAGACAAGGATGTCCACTCTCACCACTCGTATTCACCATAGTACTGGAATTAATTCCTAGTCAGAGCGATCAGGCAAGAACAAGAAATAAAAGGCATCCAAATTGGAAAAGAGGAAATCTGATTATTTCTGTTTACTGATTATGTGATCTTATACCTTAAAAGCCCTAAAGCCTCCTCCAAAAGACTAGAATTGAGAAGTGAATTCAGTAAAGTTTCAGGATATAAAATCAGCATACAAAAATCAGTAGCGTTTCTATACACCAATAACGTTCAAGATGACAACCAAATCAAAATCTCAGTGATGTTTACAATAGCCAGAAAGAAAAATAAAATACCTAAGAATACATTTAACCAATAAGATGAAAGAGCTGTAGAAGGAGAAATGCAAAACACTAATAAAAAAATAGCTGACACAAACAAATTGAAAAACATCCCATGATCATTGACTGGAAGAATCAATATTTTGAAAATAACCTTACTTTTCAAAACAATCTATGGATTCCATGCAATTCCTATCAAAGTACCATCAGTCTTCAAAGAATTACAATAAAACTTAAAATGTATGTAGAGCAACAATAATAACAAAAATTTTGAATAGCTAAAGCAATCCTAAACAAAAGGATCAAAGCCAGAGGCATCAATCACATTATCTGACTTCAAATTATATTATGGGGCTGTATTAATAACATGGTACTGGTACAAAAATAGAATCATAGATCAATGGACCATAATAGAAAACCTAGAAATAAAGCCACATACCTACAACCAACTGATATTGACAACATCAACAAAAATAAACAATAGGAAAAGGAAACCCTATTCAATAAATGGTGCTGGGAAAATTGACTAGCCATACGCAGAAGAATGAAACTGCGAAACTGCGTATAGCTAGCCAATTATATCTCAACATATATATCTCACCATATATAAAAATTAACTCAATATGGATTAAAGACCAAAATGTAAACCTGAAAATATAAAAGTCACAGAAGACAATTAAGGAAAAACTCTTCTGGACATTGGCCTAGGCAAATAATTTATTACTGAGACCCTAAAAGCAAATGCAACAAAACCAGAATTAGACAAATGGTATTTAATTAAACTAAAAAGCTTCTTCACAGCAAAAGAAATAACAGAAAAAACAGAGAACATACAGGATGGGAGAAAATATTTACAGTTTATGCCTCTGACAGAATATTAATATCCAGAATATAAAGGAACCAAAACAACTGAACAAGAGAAACACAAGTATCTATCCATCTGACAAAGATCTAATATCCAGAATCTACAAGGAACTTAAACAAATTTATTAACATTAAAAAACTGCACAAACAATTTGACTAAAAAGTGGGCAGGCCAGGGATGATGGCTCATGCCTGTAATCTCAGCATTCTGGGAGGCCAAGGCAGGCGGATCACGAGGTCAAGAGCTCGAGACCATCCCGGCCAACATGGTGAAACCATGGTGAAACCATTTTCTACTGAAAATACAAAAATCAGCTGGGTGTGGTGGTGCATGCCTGTAGTCCCAGCTACTAGGGAGGCTGAGGCAGGATAATCACTTGAACCCAGGAGGCGGAGGTTGCAGTGAGCAGAGATCAAGCCACTGTACTCCAGCCTGGCAACAGAGAGAGACACCATCTCAAAAATAAATAAATAAATAAATAAATAAATAAATAAATAAATAAATAAAACAAAATGAAGTGGGCAAAGGACATGAACAGACTCTTCTCAAAAAGAGACATTCACAAGGCCAACAAACATATGAGAAAAGCTCAACATCACTGGCCATTAGAGAAATGCAAATCAAAACCACAATGAGATACCATCTCATGCCAGTCAGAATGGCAATTATTAAAAAGTCAAGAAACAACAGGTGCTAGAGAGGTTACAGAGAAATAGGAATGCTTTTACACTGTTGGTGGCAATATAAACTAGTTCAACCATTATAGAAGACAGTGTGGAGATTCCTTAAAAATCTAGAACCAGAAATACCATTTGACCGAGCAATCTCATTACTGGATATATACCCAAAGGAATATAAATCATTCTGTTATAAAGGTACATGCACATGCATGTTCCCTGCAACACTACTCACACTTGAAAAGACATGGAATCACTGCAAATGCCCATCAATGATAGACTGGATAAAGAAAATATGGTACATGTACACCATAGAATACTATGCAAGCAAAAAAAGGAACAAGATCATGTCCTTTGCAGGGACATGGATAGAGTTGGAAGCCATCAACCTCAACAATCTAATGCAGGAACAGAAAACAAAACACTACACGTTTTCACTTATAAGTGGGAGCTGAACAATGAGAACACATGGACACAGGGAGGGGAACAATACATACTAGACCTGTCAGGGGAGGGGAGGGGTAGGGAGAGCATTAGGAAAAATAGTTAATGCATCCTGGGCTTAATACCTAGGTGGCAGGTTGATATGTGCAGCAAACCACCATGGCACACGTTTACCTATGAAATAAACCTGCATATCCTGCTCAAGTACCCTTGAACTTAAAAATAAAATTTTTGAAAAAATAGGGCAAAGGATATGAAAACACATTATTCAAAAGAAGACTTATAAATGGCCAACAGGTAAATTTTAAAAAAGCTCCACATCACTAATCACCAGAGAAATGCAAATTGAAACCACATTGAGATACCATGTTTTACCAGTCAATATGACTACTATAAAAAAGTCAAAAACAACAGATGTTGGCATGGATACAGAGAAAGGAGAACTCTTATACACAGTTGGTAAGAATGTAAATTAGTACAACCTCTATGGAAAATAGTATAGAGAATTCTCAAAGAACTGAAAATAGAACTATATTTGACCCAGCAATCCCACTAATGGGTTTCTATCCAAAGGAAAGGAAAAACTGTTACATAAAAAAGACACACGGCCGGGAGGAGTGACTCATGCTTGTAATCCCAGCACTTTGGGAGGCCGAGGTGGGAGGATCACCTGAGGTCAGGAGTTCGAGACCAGCTTGGCCAACATGGTGAAAATACAAAAATACAAAAATTAGCCGAGCGTGGGCATGCCTGTAATCCCAGGTACTCGGGAGGCTGAGGCAGAAGAATCGCTTGAACCTGGGAGGCAGAGGCTGCAGTGAGTTGAGATCATGCCACTATACTCCAGCCTAGGTGACAGAGTGAGATTCTGTCTCAAAAAAAAAAAAAAAAAAAAAGTTACCTGCACACATATGTTTATTGCAGCACTATTCACAACAGCAAAATCATAGAATCGAACTAAGTGCCATCAGTGGTGGATTGGATAAAGAAAATGTCTATATGTACACCATGGAATATTATGCAACCAAAAAAGGGGGAAAATCATGTCATTTGCCCCAACATGGATTGAACTGGAGGCCATTATCCTAAGTAAAATAACTCAGAAACAGAAAATTGAATATTTAATGTTCTCTCTTTAAGTGGGATCTAAATAATGGGTACATATGGACATAAAATGGTAATAATGAACACTGGGAACTCCAAAAGCAGGGAGGGTGGAGGGGGGTGGTGAGGGTTAAAAAATTACCCATTGGGTACAATGTTCAAACCTCACCATATACAATATATACATTTTAAAAACCTTCCCTCTGAATCTAAATTTAAAAAAAATTAAAGGATTTAGATCCTATCTTCATAGTTGCCAGGCTGACAGGATTTGGGACTCCTAGGCAAAATGTGACCCACCAATCTTTTGCCAATGTATGGATAAAACCTGTTATACATTGACATTCAGTGTTACCTAAATTAAAACAACTGAATTAGCCTTAAATTGTACCCATCGCCTTTATAGCTATGGTGTGTGGATTTAACTCTTGCGGGCACTTCAGAAAAAATGAAAAGAAGTTTCATACCAAGATGGATTTTGTTGTTGTTTTCATTAGTTTATTTAGCCTAGGCCCAAATGAGGAATGGAGATTTTCTCAGATACTTATTTCTAAGGCATATAGGATTTCTGTTACTTACAACTGAGTGAATCTTGACAAATTTACTTTGTTAATGTAAGTCTGTTTTAGTGCAACCGATTCAATGAGTAGGCAATATTACGCTTTCATACCTGACAGCCAGTCACAGCTGAGGGCTCCGTGTGAATGTGCCAGGGTGAATGCTACTTGCATGAAATTCCTTGCAGTAAAAGAGCATTTTTTTTTTTTTTTTCTGTCCAGACCCTCTGCTTCACCTGTCCTGGGAAACTTTTATTTTAAAAAGTTAAATGTATCTTTTCTCTTAGACATTATTCAGTAGGCAATCATTCTATAATGATTTTTCAATTTATCTTTTTGAAATACTTATAAAAAGAGCAAGCAATTTTATACTGTCACCTTAACCCTTACACAAATACTTTTTCTTGACCTTCATTTGAACTGGGAGAATGACAAGAATTTCATAAATATTCTCAAAGCACAAAGTCTTGTCAATTTTTTTTTTTTTTTTGGTATTTCATTTGGGCCTTAGCTGTCAGTATTGCACCTGTTAAGATATTTTGCACACACATATTAGTAGATTTGACATTTTTAAGATAGCTACTGTCAATAAAAATTATAGGTATTTATTTTAAATAATGTGGTTGGAAATCATCCAGCAGATCTTGGCAGAATAAAAGCCAGATCAGAATGAAAGCAAAAGCTCCTCCCCCAAGTATTTCTTTTTCATACAGTGCCAGGAGTCTAATAAATATTTAAGTATATTTTTATCTCTATTAATTAGTGAATTAATAATAAACATAGTATCAATGCAAGATATTAATCTATGAAAAAATATTTATAATGTTACAAATTAATTTTCAAATGATATAGTTTTAAAATAAATTTTATTAATTTATCTCAGTCATAATTCATTAAATATGGTCAAACTTATTCCTTTTAGTGTTTTATTTCATTTTAATTAAAATATAGTGCATTATCTTGATTTAAAATAGCAAAAAGGATAAAATTCTCTCAACCAAAAGCTAATCTTTTCATTCCCATAATTAACTGAATTAATACATACATACACACACAAACACATTCTGTATCCACAAATTATATTACAATGAAACACTGTTATTATACTTACTTTTTTACTTAACATTTATTTAAACACATTTTAAAATTATTTTCCATATAAATTTACCTCCTTTTTTTGTTAAACTGTATAAAACACATATAACATAAAATTTATCATCTTAACTATTTTTAAGTGTACATTTAGTATTATTAAATATATTCACATTGAGCAACGGATCCCAGAACTTTTTCAAATTGCAATACTGAATGTTAATATCCATTAAATAGTTACTCCCCATTTTAAACCCCCTCCAGCTCGTGGAAACCACAATTCTACTTTCTGTTTCTGTGAATTTGAACACCCTAGATACCCAGATGAATCAAACAGTAGTTGTCTTTTGTGACTGGTTTATTTATTTCACTACAGTATAATGTTTTTGATGTTCATCTATATTGTACTTGTGTCAGAATTTACTTCCTTTTTGAGGCCAAATGACATTCCATTATAGATATATAGCACATTTTGTTTTCTCAATTATCCATCAATGAACCCTGGGGTTGTTTTTACCTTTTGGCTATTGTGAATAATGATTCTGTGAACATGAATGAATAAATATCTTTTTGAGACCCTGCTTTTCATTATTTGGGCATACACCCAGAGAAACTTGCTGGATCATATGATGATTATGATTTTTAATTTTTTGAGGAACTGCAATACTGTTTTTCATTACAGCTGCACCGTTTTATATTCTTATTAATAGTGTCAAAGGGCTCCAATTTTTCCACAACCTCATCAACAATTATTATTTTCTACTTTTTTTTATGTTAGTCATCTTGACGAGTGTGAGATTCTATTTCCCCGTTTAAATGCTGTATAGGGTTTTATATGATTATATTATTGGTTATTTGGCAGTGTGATTTTTGATGAACATTATGATTATTTCTATGCTCAATGCTGAAATAGGAGCCTTATCCATACATGTTTGTGTACTTATGCAAATATATCATAATTACATACATTTTTATGAGTGGATTTTCTATGTCAAAGTATAAATGTATTCACATTTAGGAAAATTAAAATATAAATTGTTCTGTATTTTTTTAATTTTTTATTTTTGAATCTTTATGCTAAGAGAAAGACATTTTCTCCTGCCCCCTTTATCCCAACAGAAATGATTTTACCAAATATCCTCTAAAAGTGCTCAGCTATTTTGTAGTCTCAGCAAAAGGAGGAAATAGGGGCAACGGTCTTCCATAACCCTTACCTTTGTTGGTAGGGTGGGCTAATATTTCCTCATTTTGATTCTCTTGCTTCAATAATAATTTTGTGATTAATTGATTTTTATATTCATTGGCCATTTGTTTCTTTTTTTAACTTTTGTGAAATATTCACATTTTAGGGCCTTTTTTACATTATGGTTTTGTATTTTTTAATTGATTTATGAAAACTTCTTGAAAATTTAAAATACTAGTTCACTTTTTGCCATATTAGCTGCAAGTACTAATTTTGTATTTGGTTAAGAAATATCAATTTCATTGTTTTGTTTTTTTTTCCCAAAAAACAGCATTTGGTTTTATTATTTATAATTTCTTATTACAATTTTAATAATTTGTTTACTGATTTGTGTATGCTAGACCATCCTTGCATCCTTGGGATGAATACCACTTGATCATGGTGAATGATCTTTTTAATGCGTTGTTGAATTTGGTTTGCTAATATTTTGTTTAGGATTTTTGTATCTATGTTAATCGCTAAAATTGGCCGGTAGTTTTTCTTTTTGTGGTTGTTGTTGTGTCCTTGTCTGGATTTGCTATCAGGGTAATACTAGCCCCATAGAATGAATTAGGAAGAATTTTTGCTTCGTTTGAGAAGAATTGGTATTAATTCTTATAAGTATGATACATGGAATACACAGTAAAGCAATATGATTTCTGGGCTTTTGTGGGGAGGAGAGAGGAGACTTTCTATTACTGATTCAATTGTTACTCATTTTCGGTCTGTTTATGTTTTCTATTTATTCTTCATTCAATTTTTTTAGATTATATGTGTTCAATAATTTATCAATTTCCTCTAGGTTTTACAATTTGTTAGTGTATAAGTTTTCCATGATAGTCTCTACTGATCCTTTACATTTCTTTAGCTTCAGTTATAATGTCTCCTTTTTCATATCTGATTTGATATATTTGGCACTTCTTTCTTTTTTCTTGGTCAGTTTAGCCAGCGTGGTGATTTTATCTATTTAAAACACCAAATCTTTACTTTTTTAATCCTTTGTAATTTCTTAGTCCCCATTTTGTCTATATCTGTTCTGATCATATATCTTTCCTACTATGCATTTGGGGCTTGGTTCATTCTTGTTACTGGTTCTTCAAGCTGCATTGTTAAGTTGTTTATTTCAAGTCTTCTTTCTACTTTTTCATTGTAGGTGTTGCTATAAACTTCACTCTTAGCAATGCTTTTGCTGTATCCCACAGGTTTTAGTGTGTTGTGTTTCCATCTTCACTTGTTTCAAGGAACTTTTTGGTTTTCTGCTTAATTTGTTCATTGACCCAATACTTGTCAGAAGCATCTTGTTTAATTTTCATACATTTTTACGATTCTAATTTTCCCCGTTATTGATTTCTAGTTTTATTTTGGTCTCAAGAAATTATTGATATAATCTTGATTTAAAAAAAATTGCTGAGACTTGTTTTGTAGCCTAGCAAATGGTCTGTCCTGGAGAATGTTCCATGTGCTGATGAGAAGAAAGTTTATTCCATAGTTATTGAATGAAATGTTCTGTAAATGTCCATTAGGTTCATTTGGTCTAAAGAGCAGCTTAAATTCAATTTTTTTTGTGATTTTTTGTCCAGATGTTTTGTCCAATGCTGAGTGAGGGGTTCTTAAGTCCCCAGCACTTACTATAGTGAAGTCTATCTCTAATGATTACTTTATATATCTGGGTGTTCTGGTGATGAGTACACATATATTTAAAATTGTTACATCCTTTTGTTGGATTGATTCAGTTATCCCTATATAATGACCTTCTTTGTAGCTTTTTACAGTTTTTGACTTAAAGTGTGTTTTAACTGACATAAATATAGCTACTCTTGCTCACGTATGGTTTCCATTTGTGTAGAATATCTTTTTCCATCCCTTTACCTTCAGTCTATAAGTGTCTTTACAGGCCAAGTGAGTTGCTTTTAGGTAGCATATAGTTGAGTTATGTTTTTTTTTGTTTCCATTAATAAACCTTTTAAGTGTGGAGTTTAATCTGTTGACATTCAATATTATATTAATAGATGAGAACTTATTCCTGTTATTTTCTTGTTTTCTGGTTGTTTTGTATATCCTTTGCTCCTTTTGTAGTCTCTTATTATCATTGCAGTTTGGTGGTTTTCTGTAGTGGTAATATTTAACTTCTTTCTCTTTCTCATTTTAGTATATATTTGACAGTAAGTTATATAATTTTGTGTTTTCATGATGTTAGACATCATCCTTTGATTTCTAGATGTGGGACTCTTTTATTCATTTCTGTAGGGCCTGTCTAGTGGTGATGAATTCCTAGCTTTTGCTTGTCTGGAAAATAGTTTATTTCTTCCTCATTTTTTGAAGGATAGCTTTGTTGGGTATAATATTCTTATCTGATAGGGTTTTTCTTCAGTACTTTGAATGTATCATTCCACTTTCTCCTGGTCTATAAGGCTGCTGTTGAGAAATGTGCCATTAGTCTGATGGGGATTACCTTATATGTGACTTGATGCTTTTTTCCTGCTGTTTTTAATATTCTCTTTTTCTTTGACTTGGCAGTTTTACTAAAATATGTGTTGGAGAATACATTTTTGGTTTGAATCTATTCAGGTATCTCTGAGATTCCTATGTCTAGATATTTACATCTCTTGCGACTCTCGAAAAGTTTTCAGCTATTATTTTATTAAATACGTTTTCTATGTCTTTGCCCTTCTTTCTCCTTCTGGAACTTCCTGAATTTAGATATTTAGTCATTATATATTATCTTAAATGTCACATAGAATTTATTCATTCTTTTATATTCTTTTTTTTAAAAATCTAACTGTTATTTCAAAAGACTTGTCTTCAAGTTCAGAAATTCTTTCTTCTGCTTGATCTATTATATTGTTAAAACTCTTAATTGTATTTTTCATTTTATTTATTGAATTCTTCAGTTGCAGGTTTTCTGTTTGGTCCTTTTTTATGATATCCATCTCTTTGCTGAATTTGTCATTTGGATCATTGTTTTCCTGATTTATTTGTACTGTATCTGTGCCCTCTTGTATCTCACTGAGTTGCTTTAATATTATTATTTTGATTTTTTTAGTCATATTATAAATTTTCTTTTCATTGGAATCTGTTTCTAGAAAATTACTATGTTCCTTTGGAGATGTTATGCTTCCTTGCTTTTTTTCATGTTTCTTGTGTTCTTAAGTTTATATCTGTGCATTTGTTGTAAGTCTCTTCTATCTATTTTATGGATTGGTTTTTGTAGGAAAATACTATTTCCTATAGGTGTATCTACAGTGTTGGTTGAGTAAGGTCACATGGCTTTGATTCTGGATGGGCATAGTAGTGTAGTCTCCAAATGATTTTTTTTGGCTGCAGTCAGCATCAGAGGTTCCTGTGAGTTCCTCAGTGACTTAGACAGTGGTTGTTAGTGGAGGCTGTGGTAAGGCTTTGCTGGAGACAGTGACTCCAGGAAGGCCAGCATTCAGGCACCAGTGATGGCAGTAGTAGGCAGGGCAGGGCTGTCCTTAGGCCCCTAGATGATGTGCATAAGTGTCGGAAAAGGAGGGTGGGGCCATGTAATCCCCAGGTTCCTGGGTGGTATATTCATGTGCCGGCAGTAGTGGCAGTAAGTAGGGAAGACCTAAGCTTCCTGGATGATGTGCATAAGTGTCGGAAATGGAAGATAAGGCCATTTAATCCCATGCTCCTGGATGGTGTATTGATGTGCTGGCAGCAGTGGCAGTAAGCAGGGAAGGCCTAAGGCCCTTGGATAGTGGATGTGGGCACTGGCAGCAGTGGGCGGAGCGTGTTGATCCCCAGGCCTTCAAATAATGCACACGTGTGGTGGCAGCAGCAGCAAAATGCAGGATGGGTCTGTCCTTCGGCTTTCTAATGGTATGTGCACAAGCACCACCTACAGTGGTCAGGGCAGGTCAATCTATAGACACTTGGACCCTACTCCCAGACACTTGCTGTAGAGGTGAATAGTGTTTCAGGCCTGTCCTCAGGCCCCCAGTTGGTGCACAGGTATTGGCTGTAGCAGGCAGTGCAGGTCAGTCCCTAGGCCTCCCAATGACTTGCACATGTGGCAGCAGTGAAAGGCAATGCAGGTCTTTCCTCAGGCCTCTGATGGTACATGTGGACACTCACAGTGAGGCAGGTTGATCCCGAGCCCCTAGATGATATGCATGGGCACTAGTGGTGGGTAGGACAGTCCTCTCCTCGGACCCATGAATTGTGGTGTGCATGTCAGCCAGTGGTGGTTGGTGGAGCAGAGTGAATCCCCAGGCTCCAAGGCAATATGCATGGGCACAG